>NC_000002.12:132489618-134989618 GCF_000001405.40 Homo sapiens
GTGGGGACCAGAGTAGGGGGCAAGACACATTTGTATGATCAGTTAAATAAGAGTGTTGATACTGGGTGGATCAAACCTTTATTCTAATTCTTTTTACATATTTTCCTTTTATATATGCACTGCAGTGCCCTAAAAAATGCCATATTAGGAGTGCTGTATTTTTAATTTTTAGTACAAAAATTACTTTTCTGTATTAAAAATGTATTTGTATTAAATTTATGATCAATTTAGTCAGTTACTGACAGCTGAAAAGCTACTTCAGAGAGGAGAGGAGGCTCAGCCTAGATTCCCTTTGGACACAGGCCCAGGAGCTTGCAGGCAGAGGATCAGCTCTGGGAGGCCCCAGAGAGAGTTTATGGTGAGCAGAATCCTCACCAGGTAGTCCCCAGGCACCTGGCATGTGGCACCGTGCTTGCTCCTGTGCTCACCTGCTTTCTGTCCTGCAGTCAGCAAGCCACTCTCTTCTGCCAAAGCCTGGCTCACTGGGGACACAAAGGTCTTCCCTACTAGTTGAAAGAGCCAGAGAAATTCATCTCCCTTAAGGAAGGAGAGGAGAGAGAGAAATAGAAGTTTGGAGGGGCAGGATGCAGCCTATTAATGCACATATACTTTTCTTTGCTTCACTCTAGAGTTTGGAGATAGCGAGAGATGAAAAGAAAGAAATGGAAAGGGATATTATGAGGGAAAAACCCACTAAGAATGAGATATTCTTAATAATCTAAAGAAATCCAGTTTTCTTTTTTTCAGGTCAAATCCTGCTTGTCCTCGGAATTCTTTAACCATCAGCTGTAGATTTAGACCGAGGAGGTTTATTCGATATTTAACGTATACTTAATGGTCATCTGCTGTATTCCAGACACTTCTACACAACGGAGGGTTTGATAGTGAAAAAGAGACAAAACTCTTTGACCTTGTGGAGTTAACATCTAGTCGGAGAGACAGGAAGAACCAGTACCTAGAGCATGCCGATCGCTGGTGAATGCTACAAAGAACAAGCATTAAGTGACCTGGGAATGTGAGGCAGGAGGGGGAGGATGATGGCTATTCTAAGAATGATCAGGGAGGCCTCAGAGGCCAGATGATGTGGGCACAGGCCTGAACAGGGTGAGGGAGGTAGGGTTTCAAGGGACTGAGTGGGTTTGCTTCTAGTAGCCCCTCCTCAGCCAAAGAGGAGCCTCCAGGGACCCCTAATCCAGGCTAGACAGGAGGTACTGCTGTGCAGCAGCAAGAGCCTCTCTAACTCCCCAAATATCCACCCTGGTTGGAGGGAGATGATGATAAACGTGTGAGGGCTAAAGGGGCTGCGAAGGCTCTGTGGAGGGCAAAGGCCACAAATACCAGGCCCGCGAGCTGAATTCATAACTGGGCACCAGCTCAAGTGTGAACCACCCTGGAAGGAACTGCTCTAATTTGCGAACCTTGAACCAAGCTGAGCCCTAAATTAATCTCTTTTTTTTCTCACTGAACTGAGCACTGAACCAAGGATTTTTTCAAAACAGCAACAGCTAGTAAGCCAGTTTGAACCAGAACCAAGCCTATTCATTTTCTAAAAGTATTGAACTGGAACAATATAGGAATATTAAAGTATCTTTCGAACTAAACCAGGATTGAACTGATCATTCACAAGTGCCCAGCTTGAGAAGAGAAGAAATTCTTTTTGGAGAGACAATTCTGTGTATATTAAATGTCTGCCTTGAGAGTCATTCCCTACCAAAAAATTACACTGCCTTGTGACCTCTTTTTAAAATTTTAATCTTGGGCCTAATTCTAATATTTAACTTTTCATTTGTACATTTCATTTGCCTACTTATTCAAATGTTCTTGATGATAGGAACCACATTTTGTATTGCCTGGAAATGTTAGCACAATTCCTGGGATACAATAGAAGTGTGGGTATATATAGGGGAATAGGGGTGTAGGAGTGATTGGTGGCATGCAATGACCAAAGGCTTGAAATTTATTCTGCAGGCCAGAGGAAACTGTGGAAGGGATTCAAGCAGAAAGTGGCAAGATCAGATTTGAGTTTTAGATGGCACTGTGGGGAAGGGGTTAGGAATGGAGATTGGTTCGAAGTGTGTATTATAGTAATCCGGGTGTGAATCAGTAAAAAGCAGTGGTATTGTGTGAGCCCCAGAGGCAGAAACTGCCTAGATTCCAGTCCTAGCTTCACATGTCCTTGCTGTGTGACCTCAGGCAAGCCACACAACTTCTTTGTGCCTCACTCCCCTCCCCTGTGGAAGGTAGATGCTAATGATGCTTACTCCATCCTGTGCTTTTGAGGTTTATGTGATACATTGTGTGTGAAATGTAGAGCACTCAGAATAGTACCTAGCACATAGTAAGTGCTCAAAAAAATTCATTATTAATTTTCATTGATAAAGTAATTATATATATATACACAGCACATATATATACACCACATATATATACACCACATATATATGTATACACCACATATATATACACACCACATATATATATACATACCATATATATACACACCACATATATATACATACCATATATATACACCACATAAATATATACACACCATATATACACCATATATATACATACCATATATATACCATATATATACATACCATATATATACCATATATATACATACCATATATACACCATATATATACATACCATATATATACACCATATATATACATACCATATATATACCATATATATACATACCATATATATACCATATATATACATACCATATATATACACCATATATATACATACCATATATATACACCATATATATACATACCATATATATACCATATATACACCATATATATACACCATATATACACACCATATATACCATATATATACACCATATATATACACCATATATACACACCATATATACCATATATATACACCATATATATACACCATATATATACACCATATATACGATATATACCATATATATACACACCATATATATACCATATATACACACCATCTATATATACAATATATATACACACCATCTATATATAATATATATACACACCATATATATATAATATATATACACACCATATATATATAATATATATACACACCATATATATACCATATATATATACACACCATGTATATACCATATATATACATTCCATATATATACCATATATATACCATATATACCATATATATACATACCATATATATACCATATACACACCATATATACACCATATATATACCATATATGTACACCATATATATACACCATATATATACCATATATATACACCATATACCATATATATACACCATATATACACACCATATATACACCATATATATACACCATATATACACCATATATACACCATAGATATACCATATATACACTATATATACTATATATATACCATATATATACCATATATACCATATATACACCATATATATACCACATATATACCATATATATACACCATATATATACCATATATACACATTCCATATATATACCATATATATACATTCCATATATATACCATATATACACCATATATACACCATATATATACACCATATATACACCATATATGTACACCATATATACACCATATATATACACCATATATACACCATATATATACCATATATGTATACCATATATACCATATATATACACCATATATATACCATATATATACACATACCATATATACCATATATATACACATACCACATATATACACTATATATATACACACCGTATATATACACACCATATATATACACTATATATACACACGCCATATATACACACACCATATATATACACACCATATATATATACACCATATATATATATACACCATATATATATATACACCATATATATATATATATATATATACACACACCATATATATATATATGGTAGCAGCAACAGGATTGGATATGGGGGAGGAGAGAGAAGGAGAAGTTCATGATGAGTCTGCCATTTCTGATATGTGCAGTTAGGTAGATGGTGACCACATGAATGTAGGCCATTTGGGAGAGGAATCAGGTTGGAAAGGAAAATTTTAAACATGTTGAGTGGAAGGTGCCTGCAACTCATCCACTTAGGGTTCTCCAGCAGATGGTGGACTGCATAGGTCTGGTTTTTAACAGAGCACCACAGGCTATAGCTAGATACAGACATGAGAGTCATTTGCAGAGACCTAGGGTGTGTTGAAATCACCAGGAGAGAATGTCAAGTGAGCGGAGCAGAGGGACCATCAGAGAAGGTGGGAATTCCAAGTAGGGAATGATCAATAGTAATAAATACACCAAAAACTTCCGATCAACTAAAGACTGAAAGTATTTCCAGTGGTGATATGGCTTCATTGACTCCATAGCTAGTGGGGTTTCTCCAGAGGGAGGAGAGCAGAAGGCAGGTTATGGGGGATGAGGAGCAGCTAGGACGTGAGGGAGTAGGGAAAGCATGTATAGGCAGGTCTTTAAGGAACCTTGATTGTTAAGAGATGGGAGACAAGATACAGGTTTCTCATTGAGTTGCCTTCCCTAAATCAGGGTTTGGTTTCACTGGCTAAACCAGGGGGACCTTATAAAAATGGTCCAAGGCGTAATATGGCTGATGCCTCCACATCCTCCTGAGAAAGACCTTCTCCAGAACACCCTACCTCTCCTAGCCTCTCCTTTCAACTAATGACATGAACGTGTTTATTGCCCATCTCTTCGCCAGTAAAATCCAGGGTCCATGAAGGCAGGCATCTTTGCTGCCTTGTTCCTTCTGTTTTCTCATCATTCAGTAATGCCTGGTATTATTTGGCATCAATTCCTGTCACTCGCTGTGTCACTTTATCACACAAGGCTTCTATTATGGGACCCACAGGAGAATTTTCGCTCAGGCCTTATACCAGGCATGATTAGGCCTTCCCTGAGCAGCCGAATTGTTTTCATCACACGGACACTATGCCCTGTTTTATGTTTCCCTCTGATTATGCTTTTCTCTATGCTGTGGTCACAGAAATGGAGTCAAATTTCCATCCTATTTCTAGCAGATCATATAACATCCAGGCATGGGTTTTTGTGTGAATTCATTCAACACACCACTAACTTTGAGCTTTTTTTATCCTCATCTTATTTTCCATTTATCTGATTTCCTCCTTTCTTTATATTTGATGTTTGTTTTTCTTATCCAGAGTGCAGTTTCCCAGGTTTCTTCAAATATTTTTTGGAAAAAACTGAGGTTATATGTCAATAATGGGAAAAATAGGATGGTAAATAGGACTTGTGTGGAACTGGGTTTTGAGACAAAAGAAATGAAAAAGGGATGAGGCTGACTTTACACGTAAAGGGAGCACCCTGAGGGGATAGGGGAAGTGGGGATGTGATCCCCAGCCCTAGCGGGTTTCTAGGAGATTTCAGCTTTGTTGGAGACACATCAAAGACACTAGGAAGAGAGTAACATAACAAGGCCATAGAAGAGCATGTGCTGTCATGAATGGTTCAGGGGGTTGTATAGGGGTACCAAAGAGGAAGAGAGCATCATAGCATATATGCTGGCATGTTCTAGAAGGCTCCATGGAGGATTTTGGGCAACTTCAGCCTCAAAGAGGGAATAAGATCTAAATAGAGCAAGTGAACCTTACATTTGTCAAGAAAGATTTGAGTGTGGCAGTGGCTTTTGGGGCAGGTGGCCAGAAATCTAGGTCCACCTTTGCTGGGAAGGAGGCACTAGCTGGAGTTTGGACGGTAGTGGGATGTTGAGGTCGCTTTGTAGATTTCAGTTTGGAAGCCCCAAACTGTGGGGGTGTCTTTGCCAAGGTCATAACAGGTTGGACTCCTCTCTTGCTTGGCTGCTCGACTTGCCCTTACTGGCCGGGCTTTTCAGACAAGTGCATTCATTCCTGCCCATTCAGATCTGCTTTCTTCACTGACCTCGGCAGCAGAGAGGCCAGGTTTGATTGAAATTTCACTTAAGGTGCACAGAGCATCCCTTCCTTGCCGAACTCATCAGCCAGCAATAAATGGAACTTCTTGACAGTTTCAAATTTCCTGCCAGGGAGCAGCTGGTGAGTGTTCCTCTGGAGAAGCAGTCTTGGAGAAATTTTATCAGTATCTGGCTAGAGAAAGTATTTTCTACCTCTCCTCTCCTTTCCTCTCTTTCATCCCTCTCTTCTCACCCCCTCTCTTCTCTTCCCCTTCTCACCCCTCCCCTTTTATCATTGCTCTCTTCTTCTTAGTCTTACCTGTAAAGACTTTGCACTTCTTTAGTCCTTAGCCACTGAAAATTAATTTAGGGACAAGAGAAGGCCTTCTCTACACAGCCTTCTGAGTTACTCATTACTGTCTTTAAGATTCAAAGAGCAAACCCTCTTTTTTCAAGGCTTCTCTTAATGAGCCATTTCAGCATCGGACTTCCAATTTTCACCCCTGCCAGAAAACAGCCGCTGGGAAGGTTTGGGAAACCAGTCTCCCTTCCAGAGACTTGTAGCTATTGGGCTGCAGGAGCAATATAATTATTCCCCATTAGTGCTCTATGAAAGTGCAGATGGTGTACAAAGTCCTGATGCTGTTTTGCTTGCCTTTTTTTCACCCTTCCTGAAACATTTTGGTTTATGTCCCTTCATTTCAGAAAACAAAGGTAAGGCCTGGCTCAGTGTATTTGGGTGAATATCAGAGTACAGTATCATAAATTTCCTATATGGAACCTATAATTTCTTGTTATTTACCTAGGCATTTGAAGACACCTGTTAGCCTCCAGCAGGAAACTGTGTTAATCACAACTCCCTTTGCTGCTACAGGAAGTGCCTGGTCCCCTCCCAAAATAATAATCAGTCACCTTAAAACAAAGGCAACAGCCTGAAAAATAACGTGGTGATAACTTTATTAGTGATCCCCAACAAGGCAAATAAAACAGAAGTGTAGATGTCATCTGGAGAAGAGATTTCAGACCTTGGCTAAGCTCCACCATCCCTTTTACCAAACCTTTTTGTTTTCTCTCCAGTTCTCCTCGGCTCTGAGTCTGTTGGAGATTAGAAGTATTTCTGACATGCTGTGCAAATATATGCAAATTCATTGTGAGTTGTCATCAACTCCACTTTCCCCCATGTGGCTGGGCTGCCTGTGCAGTGCTGGGCTGCTGGCCTCCTGGAATCGCAGCAATATGGCCTATGCACCCTGTGCCAGGAGCCATTAGCAGCCTTGATGCATCGGATTAGGGAGCTCTGATGGCTCCATGGTGTCAGTGAGTGGTACCCGGGCTTCTAGGCTGTGGAACAGCACAAAGCAATGTCAAAGGCAGAGGGAAAGATGCTGATTTCCACTGATTTTTAAAATATCCACTTGGTTTCCCAATTTTACTTTCATATATATGCAGCCACAGTAGAAATTGGCTATCATGACAGCAGTGATTATCTGATGATGTCCTTATACATGCATATCTTTTAGTGCCGGTCTTTTAAGTTGATTGCTGCTGAGATTTTCCAGAGGAGCACATCCTGATGTGTGTGTGGGCAGGCGTGTGGCTCTCTGTGTATAAACACGTGCAGAGTGTGAGCCACACAAGGGTCAACACTACATTTGCATATTAATTCCAAATAACCAACATGTGACTCCTAACATGGGCATCCTCAAGCAACGGGAAAATTGTCTTGATTTTCTTGAGATTGTTTTGGGTCCTCCCATCCTTTCCTTTAAGGTTTTTCCTATCTTCACTCACCCTCATTGGCCTGTTTGTAGGGCCCAATGAGAGAGGAAGAGTGGGTTCTGGGTGGGTGGGAGAATCCGAAAGGAAAAGGTATGGGTAACTGGAAGAGAATTTTAAGAACTTACGTGACTACCACCACCTTCAAATACAACTCTTCAATTGAGAGCAGAGGATTCTTTGCTAGATTCCATTCTGTTACCTCTCTTGCCCATATATCACCATGCAAACAGTAAAAAGGTGAATGTTGGACTCACATAGGACTTTTATGTAATTGTTATAACTAATTAAGAGTCATAATTATTTCCCACTTTGGAACAAAGCCCTTTCTAACACCCTACTTATTATGCCATCACCTGGAGTGCATATGAATAAATTCCTGCTGCTACTCACCCTGAAGCTGCCCAAGGAAGAAGCAGCTCAAACAAATCTTAGCCCATGCATTTGGAGAGGCTGCCCTAATGACTCACTGATAGTTATTGAGAAACAGATTATCTCTGTGGATGTCTGAAAGAGAAGGGAATGGTTTCAAGGGCTCAGCAGTCTCCAGAGAATATATTACCAAAGATTCCTCTATGACTGTGCCCTATTAAAATGTATGGAAAAACAACCTGGATTCTGGGTCCCTGTAAAAGGCTCCAATCTGCATTTATCATTGAATCTGCATCATCTTAGGCTTACACTT
Source organism: Homo sapiens (assembly GCF_000001405.40). Lineage (NCBI taxonomy): Eukaryota > Metazoa > Chordata > Mammalia > Primates > Hominidae > Homo > Homo sapiens. Next base: position 132,498,012 of record NC_000002.12, read on the forward strand.
CAGTTATGACGACAATATGGGGCTTGACAATTCTGTCATATTTTTGATATTTAACTGATGTATATTTTTTTAATTTTTAAATTTTATTATTTCAGTAGGTTTTTGGGGAACAGATAATGCTTGATTACATGAATAGGTTTTTTAGTGGTGCTTTCTGAGATTTTGGTGCACTCATCACCCAACCAGTGTACACTGTACCCACTGTGTAGTCTTTTATACCTTGCTGCCCCCCACCCTTTACCCTGAGTCCCCAAAGCTTATCATTCTTATGCCTTTGCATCCTCATAGCTTAGCTTCCACTTATGAGTGAGAACATATGATGTTTGGTTTTCCATTCCTGAGCCGCTTCACTGGATGGAGTCTCCAGTTCCATTCAGGTTGCTGCATATGCCATTAATTCATTCCTTTTTATGGACGAGTAGTATTCATGTATTTATATACCACATTTTCTTTATCCACTCATTGATGGGCATTTGGGCTGGTTCCATTTTTTTGCAATTGTGAATTGTGCTGCTATAAACATGCGTGTGCTAGTATCTTTTTCATATAATGACTTCTTTTCCTCTGGGGAGATACATAGTGGTGGGATTGCTGGATCAAACGGTTGACCTACTTTTAGTTCTTTGAGGAATCTTCACACTGTTTTCCATAGTGGTTGTGCTAGTTTACATTCCCACGAGCAATGTGAAAGTATTCCCTTTTCACTGCATCCCCACCAATACCTATTATTTTTTGATTATGGCCATTCTTGCAGGAGCAAGGTGTATCACATTGTGTTTTGATTTGCATTTCCCTGATAATTAGTGATGCTGAGCATTTTTCCACATACTTAATGGCCATTTGTGTATCTTCTTTTGAGAATTGTGTGTTCATGTCTTTAGCCCACTTTTTGATGGGATTGTTCTTTTTTTTCTTACTGATTTGAGTTCTCTATAGATTCTGGATATTAGTCCTTTGTCGGATGTATGGATTGTGAAGATTTCCCACTCTGTGGGTTGTCTGTTAACTCTGCTGCTTATTTCTTTTGCTGAGCAGAACTTTTTAGTTTAATTAAATTCCATCTATTTATCTTTGTTTTTGTTGTATTTGCTTTTGGGTTCTTGGTCATGAAGGCTTTGCCTAAGCCAATGTCTAGAAGTGTTTTTCCTAAGTTATCTTTTAGAATCTTTATGGTTTCAGGGTCTTAGATTTAAGTCTTTGATCCATCTTGAGTGGATTTTTATATGAAGTGAGAGATGAGGATCCAGTTTCATTCTTCTACGTGTGGCTTGCCAATTATCCCAGCACCATTTGTTGAATAGGGTGTCTTTTCCCCACTTTATGTTTCTGTTTGCTTTGCCAAAAATCAGTCGGCTGTAAGCATTTGGCTTGATTTCTGGGTTCTGTTCCCTTGGTCTAGGTGCCTATTTTTATACCAGTTCCATGCTGTTTTGGTGACTATGGCCTTATAGTGTGAAGTTGGGGGGTGTGATACCTCTAGATTTGTGGTTTTTTTTGTTGTTGTTGTTTGTTTTTTGCTTAGTCTTGCTTTGACTATGCGGGCTCTTTTTTGATTCCATATGAATTTTAGGATTGTTTTTCCTAGTTAAGAATGATGGTGGTATTTTGATAAGAATTGCATTGAATTTGTAGACTGCTTTTGGCAGAATGGTCATTTTCACAATATTGATTCTACCCATCCATGAGCATGGGATATGTTTCCGTTTGTTTGTGTTGTCTATGATTTCTTTCAGCAGTGTTTTGTAGTTTTTCCTTGTAGAAGACTTTGATGTTCTTGATTAGATATATTCCTAAGTATTGTATTGTATTTATTTATTTATTTATTTGCAGCTACTGTGAAAGGAGTTGAGTTCTTGATTTGATTCTCATCTTGGTCACTGTTGGTGTACAGCAGAGCTACTGATTTGTGTACATTAATTTTGTATCCTGAAACTTTGCTGAACTCATTTACAAGTTTTAGGAGCTTTTTGGATGAGTCTTTAGGGTTTTCTATGTATACGATCATATCATCAGCAAACAGCAACAGTTTGACTTCCTCTTTTCTGATTTGGATGCCCTTTAGTTCTTTCTCTTGTCTGATTGCTCTGGCTAGGACTTCCAGTACTATGCTGAGTAGAAGTGGTGAAAGTGGGCATCCTTGCCTTGTTCCTGTTCTTAGGGGGAATGTTTTCAACTCTTCCCTGTTCAGTATAATGTTGGCTGTGGGTTTGTCATAGATGGCTTTTATTACCTTAAGGTATGTCCCTTCTATGCCGATTTTGCTGCAGGTTTTAATCATAAAGGGATGCTGGATTTTGTCAAATGCTTTTTCTGTATGGAGATGATCACATGATATTTGTTTTTAATTCTGTTTATGTGGTGTATCACACTTATTGACTTATATATGTTGAAACATTCCTGCATCCCTGGTATGAAACCTACCTGATCATGGTGGATTATCTTTTTAATATGCTGTTGGGTTTGGTTTGCTAGTATTTTGTTGAGGATTTTTGCATCTGTGTTCATCAGGGATATTGGTCTGTATTTTTCTCTTTTTGTTATGTCCTTTCCTGATTTGGTATTAGGGTGATACTGGCTTTGTAGAATGACTTAGGGAGGATTCCCTTTTTCCTCTATCTTTTGAAATAGTGTCAACAGGATTGGTACCAATTCTTCTTTGAATGTCTGATAGAATTCAGCTGTGATTCTATCTAGTCCTGGACTTTTTTTGTTGGCAATTTTTTAATAACCCTTTCAGTCTCACTGCTTGTCATTGCTCTGTTCAGAGATTCTATATCTTCCTAGTTAAATCTAGGAGGGTTGTATACTTCTAGAAATTTATCCATCTCCTCTAGGTCTTCTAGTTTATGTGCATAAATGTGTTCATAGTAGCCTTGAATAATCTTCTGTATTTCTGTGGTATCAGTTGTAATATCTCTTGTTTTATTTCTAATTGAGCTTATTTGGATCTTCTCTCTTCCTTTCTTGGCTATTCTTGCTAATGGTCTATTAATTTTACTTATCTTTTTAAAGAACCAAGTTTTTGTTTCATTTATCTTTTGTGTTTTTTTTTTTTTTTTTTTGGTTTCAGTTTCATTTAGTTCTACTCTGATCTTTGTTATTTCTTTTCTTCTGCTGGGTTTGGGTTTGGATTGTTCTTGTTTCTCCAGTTCTGTGAGGTGTGACTTAGATTGTCTATTTGTGCTCTTTCAGACTTTTTGATGTAGGCATTTAATGCTATGAACTTTCCTCTAGCATGGTTTTTGCTGTATTCCAGAGGTTTTGTCATTATTATTGTTCAGTTCAAAGAATTTTTAACTTTCCATCTTGATTTCATTGTTGACCCAATGAGCATTCAGGAGCAGGTTATTTAATTTCCATGTATTTGCATGCTTTTGAGAGTTCCTTTTAGAGCTGATTTTCAATTTTATTTCACTGTGGTCTGAGAGAGTACTTGATATAATTTTGATTTTTTAAAATTTAGTGAGACTTGTTTTGTGGGCTATCGTATGGTCTATCTTGTAGAATGTTCCATGTGCTAATGAATAGAATATATATTCTGCAGTTGTTGGGTGGAATGTTCTGTAAACATCTGTTAAGTCCATTTGTTGTAGGTTATAGACTTAAGTCCATTGTTTAAGTCCATTGTTTCTTTGTTGACTTTCTGTCTTGATGACCTGTCTAGTAAAGTCCCTTACTGTTATTGTGTTGCTATCTATCTCATTTCTTAGGTCCAGTAGTAATTGTTTTATAAATTTGGGATCACCAGTGTTAGGTGCATATGTATTTAGAATTGTGATATTTTCCTGTTGGATTAGTCCTTTTACCACTATATAATGTCCCTCTTTGTCTTTTTAAACTCCTGTTGCTTTAAAGTTTGTTTGGCCTAATATAAGGATCACTACTCCTGCTCACTTTTGGTGTCCATTTGCATGGAGTATCTTTTTCCACACCTTTACCTTAAGTTGATGTGAGTACTTATGTGTTAGATGAATCTCCTGAAGACAGCAGAAACTTGCTTGGTGAATTCTTATTCATTCTGCCATCTTGTATCTTTTAAGTGGAGCATTTAGGCCATTTACATTCAATGTTAATATTGAGATGTGAGGTACTATTCTATTCATCGTGCTATTTGTTGCCTGAATACCTTATTTTTTCATTGTGTTATTGTTATATAGGTCCTGTGAGAATTATGCTTTAAGAAGGTTCTATTTTGATGTATTTTGAGGATATGCTTCAAGATTTAGAGCTCCTTTTAGCAGTTCTTGTAGTGTTGGCTTGGTAGTGGCAAATTCTCTCAGCGTTTGTTTGTTTGGAAAAGACTGGATCTTTCCTTCATTTAGGAAGCTTAGTTTTGATGGATACAAAACTTAGCTGATAATTGTTTTGTTTTGGAGGCTAAAAATAGGACCCCAATCGCTTCTAGCTTGTGGGGCTGAGAAATCTGCTGTTAATCTGATAGATTTTCCTTTATAGGTTACCTGATGCTTTTGCCTCACAGCTCTTAAGATTCTTTTTCTTGTCTTGACTTTAGATAACCTGATGACTATGTATGTAGGCGATGATCTCTTTGCAATGAATTTCCCAAGTGTTCTTTGGGCGTCTTATATTTGGATATCTGGATCTCTAGCAAGGCTGGGGAAGTTTTTCTCAATTATTCCCTCAAATATGTTTTCCGAACTTTTAGATTTCTCTTCTTCTTTGGGAACACCAATTATTCTTAGGTTTGGACATTTAACATAGTCCCAAACTTCTTGGAGGCTTTGTTCATTTTAAAAAATTCTTTCTTTGTCTTTGATGCATTGGGTTAATTCAAAAGCCTTGTCTTCGAGCTCTGAAGTTCTTTCTTCTGCGTGTTCAGTTCTGCTGCTGAGATTTTCTAGTGCATTTTTTATTTCTCTAAGTGTGTCCTTGATTTCCAGAAGTTGTGATTGTTTTTTATTTATGATCTCTGTTTCACTGAAGAATTTTTCTTTCACATCCTGTATCATGTTTTTGATTTATTTAAGTTGTACTTCATCCTTCTCTGGTGCCTCCTTGATTAGATTAATACTTGACTTTCTGAATTATTCTTCTGGCAAATCAGAGATTTTGTCTTGGTTTGGATCCATTGCTGGTGAGCTGGTTTGATCTTTTGGGGGTGTTAAAGAAGGTTGTTTTGTCATATTACCAGAATTGTTTTTCTGGTTCCTTCTTTTTTGGGTAGCCTATATCAGAAGGAAGATCTTGGATTCAAGGGCTGCTGTTCAGATTCTTTTGTCCCAAGGAGTGCTATTTTGATGTGGTGTTCTCCCCCTTCCTCTAGGAATGGGGCTTCCTGAGAGCTGAACTCTAGTGATTACTTTTGCTCTTCTGGGTCTAGCCACCTAGTAGAGCTACTGGGCTCCTGGCTGGTACTGGGGAATGTCAGCAAAGAGTCCTGTGATATGACCCGTCTTCAGATCTTCCAGTCGTGGATACCAGCACCTGCTTTGATGGAGGTAGCAGGGGAATGAAGTGGACTCTGTGTGAGTCCTTGGTTGTTTTATTTAGTGCACTGGTTTTGTGTTGGTTGGCCTCCAGCCAGGAGGTGGCACTTTTAAGAGTTCATCAACTGCAGTTCTATAGGGAGGATGCAAACTCGCCCTAGGAACAGGTTTCTCAGGTGGTGGGCAGGGCCATAGAACTCCCAAGAGATTATGACCTTTGTCTTTGGCTACCAGAGTTGGTAGAGAAAGACCACCAGCTGGGGGAACGGATAGGCATTTCTGAGCTTAGCCCCTCCCAGGGCAGGGCTTTCTGTGGCTGCTGTGGGGGATGGGGGTGTGGTTCCCATTCCAGTGGAGTTATACTCCCAGGCAGATTATGGCTGCCTCTGCTGAGTCATACAGGTCACCAAGGAACTGGGGGAAAGCTAGCTGTCATAGGCCTCACCCTGCTCCAAGCAGCCTGTAGTCCTAATGGCCTCATTCCCTCCATGCTCCCCCAACAGCACTGAGTCTATTTCCAGGCAGCTGATGACCAGGGCTGAGAACTTGCACCAGACCATGAGCTTCCCTATTGAGAAAGCAAGTTGACTCAGTTTTTGGCATCTCAGGGAGCCTGCAGGGGTAATCCAGTTTCTTCAAAGCATCTGTGGATTCTCTCAGCTTTCCTGGTATGTTCCTGCAGTCGTTTTTGGAGCAAATGTTCACATTGTGAGTCTCCACATGCTACTCTGTCTGTCCAAGCAGGAGCTGCAAGCTAGTCTTTCTTCCTATCATATCTATGATTCTTTAGCAATTGAAAGTCTAAAGCCATCATTCATCTCCTCTTGCCATGATATCTAAATATAAATATGTATTTCACATGTCTCCTAACTGGCAAGAGATGCCCCTCAGTGGAATTTTAGTTTCCATCACCTGTGAAAGAAGGAGCAAGCCACTGCCAAAAGGTGGTCACTCAGCCTCTTGGGCCCCAGTTCTAGAAGCTCTGGATAGTGACTGCCTGTCGTTGGGGTGCTCAAAATCTCTTTGTGCTTGAAGTTCTCAGAGAGAACATATATCCTAGCTAGTTCTGAGCTGCTCTTCCTGTGGACACCCTTCAATCACCTCTTCAGGGAAGAGCCTGTCTCTCCCAACTGTCCCACAGAGAGACTTTCCTCAGACTGACTTATGATTCTCTCACACTTCTCGATTTTAGCTCCTACTAGTGGCATTTTGTGTGGCATATTTTGTGTTTGCACATAAAATAGAATTCAAGCAAAGACTTGAAAGAATTAATAACCATCTGGTGACTCTCTGTCACACCCATAAAATCCTAGTATAATTTAAAAATATATATAGTTTTTGAATTCATTTGTTGAAATATTTAAATAATGTTTTCTTGGTATAAAAGAACAACAATGGGGTGCCTAAAAATGCTCCAAAGTGAATTGTGTACACGACCTATTCTATATTTGGAGTTAGATTTCTTCAGCACATCTTTCCACATTTGTTGGAAATCTGTTCACAGTTGGTGGAAATCTGTCCAGCTGCTTTCATGTGATATGCTAATAAATAGGCATGTGCCTTAGTCTGTCTTCTGTTGCCTATAACAAAATACCTAAAACTGGATAATTAAGAAAGAAAAGGAATTCATTTCTTACAGTTATGGAGGCTGAGAAATTCAAGGTAGAGGGGCTGCATCTGGTGAGCACCTTCTTGTTAGTAGGGACTCTGCTGAGTTCTGCAGTAGGACAGGGCATCACAATGGTGAGAGGCCGAGTCTGCTAGCTTAGTTCTCTCTTCATCTTCTTTTTTTCTTAATTAAAAAAATTATTAATACATAATATGTGTACATACTTATGGGGTACATGTGATATTTTGTTGCATGCATAGAATGTGTAGTGATCAAGTCAGGATATTTAGGGTGCCCACCACCTGGGGAAGTTATCACTTCTATGTATTGCAAACATTTCAAATTCTCTCTTCTAGCTATTTAAAAATATACAACACATTGTTAACTGTATTCACCCTACTCTACTTTCCACCGTTAGAACTTAGTCCACCTATCTAACTCTATGTTTGTACTCATTAACCAACCTCTTTTATCCCCTTTACCCACCCCACACACCCTTCCCAGCTCCTGGTATCTATCATTCTACTCTCTACATTCATAGGATTCACCTTGATAGCTCCTGCAAATGAGTGGGATTATGTAATATTTGTCTTTCTGTGCCTGACTTATTTCACTTAGTATAATGAACTCCAGTTCTATCCATGTTGCTGAAAATTACATTATCTCATTCTTTTTATGGCCATATAGTAATCCATTGTGTATATATGTCACATTTTTAAAAATCCATTCATCCATTGGTGGACACTTAGGCTAATTCCGTATCTTGGCTATCGCGAATTGCGCTGCAATAAACATGGGGGTCAAGTATATTTTTGATACACCAACTTCTGTTCCTTTGGATAAATACCAAGGAGTGGGATTGATGGATCATATGGTAGTTCTAATTTTAGTTTTTTGAGAAATCTCCATACTGTATTCTACAATGGTTGTACTAATTTACATTCCTAGCAACAGTGTATCAGCTCCCTTTTCTCTGTATCCTTGCCAACTCTGTTATTTTTTGTCTTTTTAATAATAGCCATTTTAACTAGAGTAAGATGATATCTTATTGTGGTCTTGATTTTCATTTCCCTGATGATTAGTAATGCTGAGCATTTTTTTTTCATATACTTATCAGCCATTTCTATGTTTTCTTTGGAGAAATGTCTATGCATGTCCTTTGCCCCCTTTTTAATGGGGTTGTTTGTTCCTTTGCTGTTGAGTTGTTTGAGTTCTTTTTATATTCTGAATATTAGTCCCTTGTTAGATGAACAGTTGGCAAATATTATTTTTTCCATTCAACAGGTTGTCTCTTCACTCTGTTGTTTCCTTTGCTGTGCAGGACCTTTTTAATCTAATATGCTCCTATTTGTCTATTTTTATTTTTGTTGCCTGTGATCTTGAGGTCTTAGCCATTGTATTAGTCCATTCTCATGCTGCTATGAAGAAATACCCAAGACTGGGTAATTGATAAAGAAAAGAGGTTTAATTGACTCACCATTCTGCATAGCTGGGGAGGCCTCAGGAAATGTACAATCATGGCAGAAGGCACCTCTTCACAGGGCAGCAGGAGAGAGAATGAGTGTTCAGCGAAGGGGGAAGGCCCTTATAAAACCATCAGATCTTGTGAGAATTCACTCACTATCACAAGAACAGCATGGAGGTAACCACTCCCATTATCTAATTACCTCCCACCAGATCCCTCCCATGACATGCGAGGATTAGGGGAACTACAATTCAAGATGAGACTTGGGTAGGGACACAGCCAAACCATATCAGCCCTAAATTATTTGCCCAGACCAATGTCCTAAAGTGTTTCTCCTATTTTTTTTTTTCTAGCAGGAGAAAAATCCCTAAATACTGCTTATTCTATAACCCAAAGATAACCACTTGATAGTTTCAGGTCTTGCATTTAAGCCTTTAATCTATCTTGAGTTGATTTTTTTCTCTTCTGATAAAGCCACCAGTCCCACTTCCATGATAACTCATTAATTCATGAATCCACAAATGGATTAATCCATTTATGAGGGCAGAGCCGTTATGATCCAATCACCTCTTAAGGCCCCACCTCTCAATACTATCACATTGGGAATTCAATTTCAACATGAATTTTGGAGGGGACAACATTCAAACCATAGCAGCATATAATTAGGAAATAATTTTATTTATATATAGACATGAGATATAATGAATAAGGAATAATACCAGGTAGTGCTCAGTGAAATATAAAAAGGTGGGGCAAACTATAGTATTCTATATTTGGTAAAGCCTTAAAAGAGATAGAAGAAGTCTTAAAAATAAGTAGGTAAGCCCCTGTCCTGCTACGTGGTGGGGCATAGGTTTCATTAGTGATGGGTAACATTTATGAGTGCTTACTGACATCAGTACTGCTCTGAGCATTTCACTTGTGTTTTCTTCCTTGTTTTAAGTATACTTACTAAAGATTGAAAAGGATAAGAATTTGCCCCATTAGGTAGCACAGCTAAAAAGTCCCAAGACTAGGGTTTGAACCTCAGGAGTCTACATTGCAATTCTGATCACTACCTGGGGTTAGGTCAAATTTCACAGGTTAAAGGCATGGTCCCCCACAAAACTGACCTCATCCCAGATATCAGCTGCAAGCTCAAGAAGGTCACAGACCGCCCATACCTCTGACAAACTGAATTTGAGTGTTCCCATGACCTCCTCAGCTTTGGCAATTCACTAGAACAACTCAGAGAACTTAGGAAAGCACTATACTTATTATTACAGTTTTTACTGTGAGTGATGCAAATCAGGACCAGACAAAAGAAGAGAAGCACAGGGCAGAGGAGAGTCCCAAACATGGTTATCTTTGGAACGTGTCGCCCTCCCAGCACAATTAACAAAGAATCTCCAGTGAGCTTCAGTGTTCACAGTCTTTATTGTGATTTCATTATGTAGGCATGGTTGGTTGAATCGTTGGCCATGTGACTGAATTCAATCTCTAGCCCCAAAATCCTTCTCTGATAACATATGGTTCAAAGCCCCAACCCTATAGTCACATGGCTGGTCTTTCCAGCAGGGCAGGCCCCAATCTATAAACTCTCTAGGGACTTACCTGAGTCACCTCATTAGCATAAACTCAGATGCGGTCTGAGGGTCCACTTGGAATAATGAAGACACTCCTACTACTTGGGAAATTCCAAGGGTTTAAAGGCTCCCTCCCAGGAGCCAGGGACAAAGGCCACACAAATTCTCTATTATACAACACAGTCATCCTGGTGGTAAGGGAACTTGAGTCTCATCAAAGGACTTCAGAAGACTCTCAACCCCCTTCTCTCCTGAGGCCCAACATTAAACACTAAGCTCCACAGTAAGGCTCCTGAAGGAACATAGACTTCTGTTTCTGAGGTCGTGCCTGAGCTCTAGCTGGGTGGGTTAGTAGAAGGGCTGCCCTCCGAGAATTGGAGACTAAATGCTCAGGGTCCTCAGAAGTTTCCTAACAAGAGGGTGCAGATTTGCTCTGCAAAGACTGGAAGCCACATATTTGGACAGCAAACACCTCCATGCATTGAAATGACTAACAAGCCAGAGGAGCCTTTCCTAGAGGTGGAGGACAGCATCTTGTTAAGTGTACTAAAAACCATATCTGTAAATCAGCTGCCGTTTAAAGCAGTTAGCAGTCACTTACCACCATGGGCAATAAGCATATGCTGGGCTACACCTGCCATCAGCCCCAGGGAGCCTCAGAGAGGTTCCTGGTTCACCATTTCACAGACAGAGACATTGGTGAAGGAGTATGGGTCACAGATGGCCTGGGACTGAGAAATGTCTGCTCCAACCTTATGTTCCCAGTTGTCCACCAGTCCATACCTGTTGGACTAGGAGACTCAGAACTTCTAGGGTACAGAACTCTGGGTGCTTGGAGTACTCATTAAATTTGCAAGCTCTTTGGTCTCCCAGAAGAAGGAAGCAGATACAAGGGATGGGGCCCCATGGAAATCCAGAGAGGCCAGGCTGTGCTGAAGGGAGACGGGCATCAGAAACTGCTGGGGTGGGTCCAAGAGCTGGGAAACCAGAGAAAAGTGTTTCTGGAAGCTTTACTAATCATTCCTTCTCCCCAGCATGACTTATTCCCTCTCACCTGCAGGCCTTAGCCTGACAGATCAGTATGCAATCAGTCTCTCACTCTACCTATAGGGAGTGGATAGTAACCAGCTCAATGTATGTTGCCTGGGTTTTAGGGAAACAAACACATTTCTGATTGTTCAAAATAATATATGAGCATTAGAGAGAAAATAGAGAGATGCACAGAGCAGGACAAAATCTCTAAATACTGCTTATTCTATAACCCAAGGATAACCACTTGATAAATTTGATATTTCTCCATCTGAGTCCAATGCTAACCTAATCTCAAATATCATATACACACTCACACACACAGACACTCACTCGCACATGTCCCTCACTCTCCGGTTGCTCCTTGTCTGAACTTAGGAGCTATGAATACATTCAGACATAGAGACATACTTATAAGTAGTATTTGAATAACTACATTTTCATTCCTCAAAAAATTTTTAAAACAAAACTTGGATAGTTGTGACCTTGTGTAAATTCCTTAACTGCTCTGACTTTCAGGTTACTCATCTGTGAGTAGGTATAATGACCCCTGCCTCACAGAACTGGCTATTAGAAGGTCTCAAAGAGACAAAAGCCCTGAGGCACTGGCATTGTGCATGTGGTGCAGCAGGGACCCAGGCACCATTAGTTCTCCCTCTCTCACTGGATCCTCTCTGGCTCCAATAGGTCATCCCAGCCCCACCTTGACTCACCTGTCTGCAAGCATCTGCTCATGGTCCTGAAGCACCTAGATGGATAATTCATGGGCAAAGCTCAGAGAGGAGAGGACTGTGTATGGCTGGTAGGAGAGGGGCTCTTGGAAGCCATTTGCCATGGGTGCAGATGGCATAAAGGAGGGGAGGAGAGAGGCATTTCCCAAGCAGTAACTTTAATATTTTCAAATCCATATATCTCTAACTATGACTGAGAGGCTCAATGGAGCCATTGGCATGGATCAAATGAATGAGCTAGTGGTTGAGATGGTTGGTCATAACATTTGTAAGCATAGTCCTGACAGGCTACTTGAATTTTGACTCCCTGCAAGTTAAGCACTGGGATGGTTTTTGTGAAGCGGGTTCACTGGGCACTGGTTACCTACTTGTCTGTGTCCAGTGAGACAAAACACTCACATACAAGACATGAAGTGAGCTTATTGTTTGCAGGCAGGCAGCAAGAGACCACAGAAGCCTAGGATGTAATTTGAGCCAGTCTCCCCAGGCTCGGGAAAGCTGTCTGGGGCTGCTAGTCTCATCTACTCATGCCCCACCTGTACCACAGCTGAGGGACCCCAGAAAGCAGCCTGCCCTCAGTTTTATACTTTGGGGCTCTTGGAATCACTGGGATAAAGTGTTGAAGGACATACTGTTTTTCAGGGTTGAGGGCAGGCTGAAACAGAGCCTGGACTATTCCAGCCAGTTCCTCCCTATTTAAGGTTGTTGCAATCTTAGCACAGTTTCCAAGTGTTCTTGAGAATCACAACTGAGAAAGAGGGAGAACTGGGTTGGTCTAAGGCCACCCAGAGAATAGTCCTGAAATTTTGACTGCTGTATGGAGTTCAGCTCTTTTTGTTCATGGTTCTATTTTGTTTACTTTACTGCCATAATAGATCTGATAAAATGGATAAGGAACATTGATGTTATAATATACAAAATGAATGAGGAGTGTAATTGTGATGACAGTTCTTCAAACATGCCTCAAGATGATCTTTACCTGATTGTATGTTGCATTTATTTGCTTACTATCTGTACGTAGTATATAAGGATAGCTCCTGAACTCCCAAAGGCAGTGTTAAAAAGAGAAAATAGAATGATGATTATAACCAATCTGAATTTTCGTTTATTCAGATTAAAGGGTTTCTTTATCCAAAATGTATTATTTGCAGACATACCAAAAAGGAAAACAAAAAAGCCTAAAGCATAAACCTTTTCTATCTCATTTAAAAGGAAAAACACACAAAATATAAAAGTTAATGAGTTTCCTTTTAAAGTGAACATTGCAAGAATTCCCAGCATCCCATCGTGAAGCAAGGTTTGCCTGTTTCTGATGCACCATCATTTAGTTAAACTTCAATCTGCATTTTCATATAGATTCAGTCTCCAAACCAAACCTGATATTTTATAACACTTTGGAATTTATTGCCAACAAATCAAGTTTTTCTAACATAATTAATCTAAAGTAAATTAAACTGTGTGCTTCACTTGGCAAATGGAAATAAGTAAAAATCTGACTACATATTATGAATATTATTAAATACAATTAAAAATAAAATTTATAATACATTCTTCAATACTACACTAATTTGAATGAAATATGTTAAGCTTGAAATCAGTTCTGTATGATATTCTAAACAAAAATGACAAAATGGTTTTTAAAATTCCAAAGGCAGTTGGTAAGATCGTATGTTAGTGTGAGTAGGGTTCACAAATCAAAAAATGTAGTGCTGAGGGAGAACTCTGACTCTTTGGACAAGCTTGTGGTGTGGCTAATCAGAGAAGTGTCATATTTGCTGCGGAAGGTGATTTTTTCTAAAGTAGCCAGGTGAGGGTGCAGGACCATTTGCTGTCTTGGTAAATAACAGCAAACACTGACTTAATATGTACTACGTGCCAGGCATTATTGATTAAGCATTTATTGGTGTTAGCTATTTAACTCTACCAACCACTCTGTGAGGCAGGCATTGTTGCTAATGTCATCCCCATTTTACAGATGAGGAAACTGAGAGCCAAAGTCCAAGCAAAGTGATGACTCAAGTCCAGGCAGACTCTATACATTGAACCACTGTGCTACGTGCGTATCGAAAAGTGCACGAACTCATGGTTGACTTCTCATAATACTTGGGTTTGTCATTGTTCCTCACCCTCACCCCCAGTCCCCAATCCCCAGACAAACACCTTGTCATTGTCAGGTGAAAGAAGCTGATCCTGTGTTCACCTGGGGGCTCCCTTTTTCCTCTTCCAAGGGTGTTAGGCTGTACCTTGGCTCTCTGTCAGTCTAGGGCTAAGAGTATAACTTGGGGTAATTATGCATTTCTTCATTCTTGCCTCTATGCTGGTGTACATGTAAACTTGGTAGGAGCTGCTGAACTGTAAGTAAACCTAAGGCGTATGGATTATTAGGGAGGTATTGAAGCATTTGCTGGAAGAATAGGCCCAGTTAACCAGAGTTGGCTCAGCACACCTCCCCAGGTCAGTCATGGGGAAAGTTTAAGGGATTCTGAAAGAGATACTCACGGAGAGATGAGGGCACTGAAAAGGATAAGGGGGGGTACAGCCCCCTTCTCCCTGGCACCCTAATGGCCTCCAAACACTCATAGTCCTCTCCACAAGGGTGTGTTCTGGGTGTGCTTGGTGGTTATGGTTTGTCCTTGTGGAACCACCTCAGGCAGATCAGAGGTTGGGGATTCCAGTTTCAGAATCAGGTTGGAATCCTCCCTCTACTCTTTATCAGCTATGTGACCTCAGGAGAGTTACCTCATCTCCCTGAGCCTCTGTGATCTCATCTGTACTAGGGACTTAACAATAGTTTTCACCTAATGGAGTTGTTGTGAAGATTGAATAAGAATAAAGTACACACTAGTGCCTGGCTCAGAGTAATTACACAGAGCGCAGTCATACATTTATGCATACTGCATTTAGAAGCTTGCTGTCACTCCCAATACATAGATACTTTTACAGTACACACATGTATTCATGCATATTTCAAGTATTTCTTATTTTTTATCCCTCTGGATGGCTGGGAAACTTAGACTTTCCAATTAATATTTTCATTCTTTATTGCTGCATAACAACTACCCCAAAACATTGTGGCTTAAAGCACCCATTATTTTGTTATCTTTCATGATTCTGCGGGTTGACTGGGCTTAGCTGGGCAGTCCTTCTGTGCCCATATGAAGTCAGCTTGGGCTGCAATCACCTGGGGATTTAGCTGGGCTCCTGGGTCGGTTCTGTTCAAGATGGCTCAATCACACGGCTGCACTACATGTGGTCTCCGTGTGACACATGGTTGGGTTCCAGTAAGATGTGTCCCAGGAGTGACCATTCCAAAAGTCCCAGGCAGAAGTTGCAAGACTTCTTATGGCCTAGCCCCAGAAGTAGGACAGCAACATTTCCACAGCATTGCTCAAGAAAACCACTAAAGCCAGTGCAGAATCAACAGTCTGCACCCCGTCTCTACTAAAATACAAAAAATTAGCCGGGCGAGGTGGCGGGCGCCTGTAGTCCCAGCTACTCAGGAGGCTGAAGCGGGAGGATGGCGTGAACCTGGGAGGCGGAGTTTGCAGTGAGCTGAGATCGCGCCACTGCACTCCAGCCTGGGTGACAGAGCAAGACTCTGTCTCAAAAAAAAAGAGTCTGTGTATTCCACCGCTAGATATCTGGAGTAGCAGGTGTGTCCAGGGAAGGAATTAATGGCGGCAGCTTGGGAAGTCTGTCTACTATGTACACTACACTGACAAATGCAAAAGCGCACATATACTGTTTTGTTATTTTCGCTTTCTCTCTTCTCCCTGGATGGTTGGGAAACTAAGTCTTGTCAATTAACATCTTTGTCTGTTCCAGCTTAAGAGTATCTTTTCAGTTCGAATATTAAAACTGAATTTCTTTTTTTAGATGGGGTCACTCTGGCCCCCCGAGTGGGAGTGCAGTGGTGCATTCACAGCTCATGGCAGCCTTGACATCCTGAGGGTTAAGGTGATCCTTCCACCTCAGCCTCCTGAGTAGCTGGGACTATAGGCGTGCGCCACCATGCCCAGCTAATATTTTGTATTTTTTGTAGGGGTGGGTTTTTGCCATATTGCCTAGGCTAGTGAATATTCAATTTAAACTAAGTTAAATTATCTAATAGAGCTGGTTTGAGTAGCTTCTTTTGGATAACTTGCAGTCCACCTTCCTTCTTTTCTTTTCAAGATGGCCTCTGGGGATGCCCTGATGTCCTGTGGCAGCAGGAGGGTGGGTGATACGGGGATGGGGGTTGGCCTGCTCTCCCACTTTTCCAGTAAAGAAAGGCTGGGCCAGATCTGTGACTGTTAAGGCAGCACTGGTCCATCTGGCCTTAGGGGATGCAGTGGGACCCAATTCTGGAATCCCTAGCCCAGGCCACTTGGTTTTGATCTTGACATCTCCACCGATACAGACCTTTGTCCTGTCTCTCCATGTACCCCTACTGTGGCATGTCAGAGCTCCTGGGTCTGTGTTCTACCTGTCCTTCCCCACTGCCTGCCACTGTACACCCTCACCATTGCTCCCACACCAAGTTGGACCCCTTGGCCGGAGTTATCCAAGGATATCTGGAGCAAGGGATGGTCTGGAGGGTCACAGGCTCCCCCGTGTTAAGCTGAATTTATCTACATCTTTCCCACCTCACCCCTCCTTGAGGTGTGGCTCCCAGATCATTGGTACCTGCCTGATTTCTTCTCTCTAGCTCTGTTCCCCTCTGCCACTTACAGTCCCCAGCCCATTGGAACAGTAGTCAGGCTTTGCAGGCTCCTTGCAGGATGTGCCTCTGCCCTGCAACAGCTCTGCTTAGAGCCTAGCAGGCACAGGTGGAAGGTGCATCCTCTCTACACCGTGGAAGAGATAATGATTACATCCTCTGGACTTGGCCCTAGATATATTAAATAAATGCCAGAGAAATTTAGAAAACTTTCTTGGCAATGTCTAGCAGTCAAGATTCATGTCTCTTAAAAAAACTTTTTAAAAAGCCTATTTTGGTAACAAATTGAACAATCCTTTTTTCTCTCTGAGTTCTTGTTTTAACAATCTTAATACTCTAGCCCTATTACCAATAACCTCTCCCATGGTCACCCTACCAGCCAGAGTATCTGCCACTGGCTGACATGGAAGACAATTATTTCGAGGAAATGCACAGTGAAAAAAACACAGTAATATATTTCCAACAAAACAAAACAAACCTCAAGTTCCCTAACTAGTAGCTACAATTGTGATGACCATTGTCCCCACCCAGATCATTCATTTATTGGTGGCAGGGGCCAGTTCTGGTTACTTTGACGTTAACCTGCCATGTGACTTCAGCAAGTCACCAGCAGTAGGTGGCGTTCTGCCAAGGTTTCCACCACATCTCTAAGGCCCCTTCCAGCCTAAGTCTCCTTCTAGTGACAACCTGTGGACAGTGGGTGAGAAAATGCAAGCTGCTGACCAGCTGACACTGAGCAGATCTCTTAGTTATTGACTGACCATTTATCCAACCAAGGTTTCCAAGGACTGGGACATTGTCTTTTTCACCACTGTATCCCCTGCAGCTAAAACAGGGCCTGGAGAATGGTATACATTCAATAAATAAATATTTATTAGATATTGAGTGACTGCTGACTCCTTCCCACTGGTCCTCCCCAGACACCTGTCCCACGTGTGATGTTTATCAGGTATCAGAATGCAATATCCCCAAATATGGTACCTTGGCATACTGAATATTTTAAGGTGAAGGAAATTGAGAAGATCACAGAAGCAATAAGGTCACTCTGATCTTCTTCCTGCTTCTTCTCTCCTGAAGTGGGTCATAGAGACTAGAATTCCCCTCACCCTTTCTTCCTTAAAGCAACTAATAAAACCTAAGAATGTCACTCTCTGACCTTGTCCCTCCTTTCTCCCTGAAGACTCTCATACAACAGGTATCCTGCTATATACCTAGAGGGAAGGAATGTCACACAGAAGCCAAGAAGAATCAGACTAAACAGGGCTTGCTAAGTTCCTCCCTGTTTATTATTATTAAGTCATAACCTTTTGTCCTCTGATTGTATTTCTGCATGACTGTCCGTAAAAATACATGGTTTTCCCTAGGTCTTTGGGTCTTCATTTCTGAAGCCTCCCATGTCATGTAAAATTTATATGAAGTAAATTTGTATTATTTTCTCCTGTTAATCTGTCTCCTGTTATCGGAGTCCCAGCCATCAGCCTTGCAGTGACTGACGGAAAGATCTTACTTTTTCTCCTCTGTCCTTTGTTTCTGCTTTCTGGGTCCTGGCAAGCCCGTGAAGGCTGATGTCTGTGCCCACCTCTTGCTCGCCAGGCTTTTGAGGGAGGGAAATTCTCAGCGTCCTTGGCCATTCTTTACTGGCTTTCATAGTGAGATGTGTACCTCGTCAGAGCTGAGGGGGTGCCTCTGAGGAAGGTGGCATGTTCTCTGGCTAATTCAGAGCTTCTCATCAGACAACGGGTCTCTAGGAATGAGGAGCAGACCCTGCTCAGACATTGGGAGCAGCAAGATTCCTAGAATGAGATGGAATGGTCCACAATATGGAATATGCACTCTAGGCTGATGGTTCACCTCAGGAGGTGGCCTTGGGTGTTCAATACAGGACAGGGAAGTGCCAAAAATGATAGAGGGTGTCTTGGGGGATGGGATGCAGATAGCTGACATTTCCTATTCTTAATATCTCTCAGCATAAAGCAAAGAACATACAATGTCAGTGGGGGCTCACCTGAGGCCTGTTAGTTCAGAAGTTCTCTGCATTTTTCAGCCGGCCACACTCTGATAACCTTCAGGAAAGGTATTCTCACATTTGTACCTACAGTTACCTCCTAGGTAAAGCCAAGCTGGGTCATGGGTTATTTGCTCCCTGCTTACAGCTGGAACGCTCTTCCTTCTTCCACTGGCCTGTGATGGGCCAACATGACAGAACCTTAACACTCATTGGGATACCTAGTGCAGCACCTAGCACAGGTGGGCATTTGGGGAATGTTTGTGGAATGAATGAATGAAACAAAGGGCAAGAGGGAGGATGAATGAGAGGGAGGAAGAGAAGTAAAGGAAAGAGAAAGGAATGGAGAAGAAAGATTATTTCATATTGGTGATACCAGTGCTCATTTAGAAGTCTCTAAATTTTTGTAATAGCAAAAGATTAAAAATAACACCGATGTCCATCTATAGGGTCCTGGCTAATTAACTAACTGTATAATAAGATAAAATGCGCATTTTTTTTTAAAAGCGGACACTCTTCAGGTTTTGGTATGAAGAAGTTTTCAAGGTACTAAATGTAAAAAGCAAAGTCACTCCGTTTGTGTGTTTAGGGGTGTGTGTGTTTGTGTGTGTATTAGGCTACTTCTGTGTCAAAAAAGAGAGGAAAAATAAGAATATTTTATATATTTACATGGGTCATATAAACAAACTATGAAAGAGTATACAGGACCCTAATAAAAATAGTTGCCATTTTGGGGGAGGTTAGTTGGGGGAAGGAAAGGAGGAAGAAACAGGAGGAAAACTTTTCACTAGCTCTTTAAAATGGTTGTGCCTGGAAATATATTACTCTTGCCAAGGTTGTAGTTTAAGTCCCTCAAGTCAGGGGAGCATTCTAGTTGAATTTCCTCTATCTAGTGCCCTGTGAAGCATGTGACTAGAGCTCTCCCTTGATCATGGCAAAATTGATTTGATAATAGAATCTGATCTTTTTCATTTTAGCCAAATCTAGCTCATCTGAACCATTGCCCTCCAGTTATAAGGGAGGAAAGAGAGAATGACTCAGCTCAAAGGAACTGCTTAGATATGGTTACAGCATGCTACTTCTCATGGTAAATTATGTTATTGATCGCCAAATTTGTGAACAGTTTTTACCTATACAAAGTATTCAGTTTTATAAGTAAATGTTTTTAACCATTGAAAGAATTGGTAAAATTCAGGAATGGTTACCTCTTGCCAGGATTCTTGGAAAGATGGAAAATCGGAAACAAGCATCTGTTTCACTGCTTTTTCTACATTTATGTCTTTATCTTTGAACAAGTACCTACTGAACACCTATTATGGGTGAAGCTTAGATAAAGAAAGTCAGAAACATATGTGGGTATATTGAAACCATTGACATTCCCATAGGGGCTTTTTTTCCTTTTTTGCTATGTTTGGGGGGAATGGTTAATTATCATTGCACTAT
The DNA here is from genome assembly GCF_000001405.40 of Homo sapiens. Taxonomy (NCBI): domain Eukaryota; kingdom Metazoa; phylum Chordata; class Mammalia; order Primates; family Hominidae; genus Homo; species Homo sapiens. The sequence goes on from NC_000002.12 coordinate 132,518,005, forward strand.
AAATGTATTGGCATAACAAGTGGCTTATATTCTTCACTTTAATAACAATCTGTAATTTCCTGAGTCATAATAATAAGGCTTTAACATATTAGCTCAGTGAAGACTTGGTCAATGTCTTTACTGAGAAAAATATGTTATGACCTAGCACATGATACCATCCATTATAATGTTCTTGGTCAATAATCATAATTTTATTATAATTATTGAAAGCTAGGGTTTCCCCTCTGTGCAGAGTGTTGTAAAGACAGATGCATGAGATTGTGAAGGATCAAGGTGTTATCCATAATAGTACATTCAGCTGGATTTATGTCCCTCTCCAATTAGAGGACAATCAAGCTCAAATTAATTTAGCTCACAGCTACTAATGAGCAACAGCAAAATCAGCTCACTATAAAAAAATTGTTATTGAATTTTATTTTCTCCAACTTGATGAATGTCTATGCACTGCGAGTAATGTGTGTTTGAGGTCTGGTGGTGAGGGACCTTGAGGGTTGTCTCATCCGCCCCGTTCATGGGCTCTGTGACAGCTCCGTTCCCTGGTGCAACAACATTTAATGAGTTGTTAGAGGTCCACAGAGATGGGCTTCCTCTGTTAACTGAGCCTTGACAGTGCTTTTGAGTGAATTTTCTGGTCTAAACTGCTGATATAAATATAATGCAAACCACATACATAATATAAAGTTTTCTAGTAGCCACATTTTAAAAAGTGAAAAAGAAATAGGTGACATTAACTTTAATATATTTTATTTAACTCAATGCAATGTATCCAAACTATTATTTCAATGTGTAAACAATATAAAAATATTAATGCAATAGTTTTCATTCTTTCTGTTTTGTAGTAAGTCTTCAAAATCCAGCGTGTATTTTACATTTATGGTACATCTCCAGTACTCTAGCCTCCTTTCAAATGAACAATAGCCACAAGGGGCTGGTGGCTTCCACATGGCACAGGATGGGTCTAGATTGAATTTCTTCATTCATAACAAAGCTGCATTTCCCTCTTTGGAGTTTGTAGGTTGAGGCAAGGTGAGCACAGGCTTTGGTTGCTCAATGATGATAAAGAACATACACAACCTATAAGCAGGAGAAGATACTACATTTTCATCTTTACTGTGAGTCTTGCAAGTCATTGGCAAATTTACAGTCTCTGTGAATTGGCTTATGGTCCCTGTCACCATCCACCTCCCACACTAATAAAGGCAGAATAGATCCTCATAAATATCCTTTTTCCCCATTATCAGAGCTTCACCAATTGTGGCCTCATAAAAAAAGAAGGTTGTTTATTATTATTATTATTTGTTGACATAAAAAATGCATATTTTTCTGAAGCCTGACTTCCCACTAGTACTGTTGCTTTGACATCAAATAGGGCATGAAGCATATTGTCAAATACATGTTTGGGGAATTAGAAGCCATTGAGTGTTTCATCTCTTTGGCAATGTTCCTGAGGAAAGTGCATATTTAAATCTAGGAGAATATTTTAATTGTTTAATATTGTAAATGTTTAATAGGAATTCTGAGGCGTAATGCAAGGACTCACTGAACTTGATTACTGCAAAGTAGGAGATGTGTAATGAGAGTCTGGAGCTCGGGGTTCTCATCACTTGGAGACCCTTATACACTAATGAAATGGGATGCCCAGGATAGGGGCATGGGGGAGTACATGAGGAAGAACAGCCGCTGATATTACCACTCCAATGGATGCAGCTACAAACTAGGCTTCTTGCCAGCACACAAGGCCCTCTGATGACACTCTGATAAGCTTCAGCCTGGCACAATCTCATCATTGCTATTTCCACCCTCTTTCCTCTCAAAGTAAATAGGTAGCTATCAGATTCCTGACTGGTCTTTCTGTTTCCAGCCCTGTCCTCCTCAAGTTCATCCTCTACCCAGCTGTCAGAGAGCTCTGTCTAAAATGCAAATGGGACCCCATCACTCACTGCTAAAAGCACTTCGGTAGCTCCCCATTGCCCTTGGATTAGAGACCATGCATTTCTTAACAGTAGCCTACAAGCTGTCCTGTGATCTGGCTTCTCTGGATTTCCTTCTCTTCCCTTCCTCTCTTCTTTCCTTTTTCTGACTTATAATTTATATTCTTACAACTCCGACCCACATTCCTGTAATCATTCCTTTCCTCCCCTCTTTTGGCTTCTTCCCCACCAAATTTTAATTTACTTTCTTTATAAGTCATAAGTCAGCCTTTACCTCCTCCAGGAAGCTTCCCCCACTCCACTCCAAGCAAGGCAAATGCCTTTGATACTGCTGTGGTACTTGCATCAAATATATGCACATCAATCATAATGCCTATTTGTGTAACCATCTGCCATCTGCATAACACCTTGCCTTTCATTTTTGAATCCTTCATGCCAAGCTCAGTGCCTGATGCTTAGTAGGTACTCAGTAGATGTCTGCTGGTGGACTGGCCAGACCCATGATGCAGTGGTTTCTGGGGTTTGGGGAACTGCCTTTCCTCTCTGTTGGAAGATGAGGCATCACCTCTCATTCAGCTCCTGAGATCAGCCTGGGCACTCATTCCCCTACAAGAGGGAACTGATGATGAGACTAAGTCTTCAGCCCAATGCCTGCAGTAGGGTCCTCAGAGGCCTCACTGCCTGCCAGGCATGGTGATGAAAGTGTATTGCTTTGGTTCAGTTAGATGAGGTCTTGGGACCCCACCAGCAATGCAGTGTTTTGAAGGGAGTGGGTAGAGGGAGGATGCCTGAACAGTCAGGAGTTTAATGTCCATCTTGATGGTGATGAGAGTCATTGAAGCATTTTTAGCAGAGAGTGGGAGAATCAGGTTTACCTGGACCAAGGCTCTTCCAGCCCAGCCTCAACTGCACGTTTCTGTATTCCTGCAGTTTATAAGGGAAGAAATGCAGAGGAAGGGGTCAGAGAGAGGGATCTGTGTCAGTTAGAATTGCAATCTGTTGTAAGTAGAAGAAAATTCAAAGAACACTGAGTTAAAAACAAGATTGGGGGTTATTTCTTTCCCATCTAACAAGAAGCCTGGAAATGGGCTGTTCAGGGCCAGCACAGTGTTTACCCCTTTGCCTCATTGTCTTAGCACACGGGCTTCGTCCTCATGGTCACAGGATGACTTCGCCTTTCCAATGGGAACAAGGGAGAAGGATGAAGGGTCCAAGGCAAAAGGACAAGCTACTGAATCTATTTCCTGGACAGCCACCCAGTGGCCTCTGCTTGTGCCTCGGTCACGTGGGCACTGCTAGCTGTAAAGGAGCCTGAGAGACGTTGCCCCAACAAACTTGAAGTTCTGTGAATAGCGAAAGAACAAATAGATACTGGGCGGGCAACTGGCATTAACACCCTGACTTTCCAACATCTTCCTGAGAGTTTGAATTTATTTTTTTCCTGGCATTAACACTCTTTGAATTTACCTTGTTTACTAGTTTGTTGGCTTGTGGTGTCTGACCCTAGAACATATGCTCTGTGAGAGGAGGAGCCTCTTTTCTCTGATTCTGTCCTGCCTGTTTCACCTCTGACTCACACCACAGGGATGGGGGATCCCGCAGCTCCAGGCCTTCAGATCCAGAATGAAAATCCTCGGCTCCATCCCCCAGAGGGATATTTGGAAGCATCTCTCAAAGAGGTAAGGTATCTCTGGTATTTGGCATACAACCAATTTCACCAGACTGGCTGCCTCTCCTCCATCTCCGGGATCTTGTTCTTTTTCTTTTCCCCCCCTTATTAAACAAATTAGCCAAGATGACACTGGATACTGATTAGCAATTTGTATAGCAATAAAAGAAAACTGGCAGAATTCCATTGTTTTGCTCTCCAATTCTTCATTTCCATTTTTAATGTACTGTGTCTTCATTCATTTGATTGGGTTTCCTTTTCTGTGTATGTCCTTAATGGAACAAAGTGTTCTTCTTCCCCCAACCCCTCCAATAATTGTGAACATTAAAGAGCTGCTTAAATTGTTCAGTCATTTCATTTTATAATTTGAGTTGGGAGTATTTATGGCTTTTCCTCCCCTTCCCTTTGTGCTAAATCAATAGTTGCTGTGTAAATGCGACTTAAACTGTAGCATGGAGGCAAGCTCTTCTACTTCTAGATCCTTCCCTGTGGCCCCGCCGGCTGGGGGATTTGGAGTCCCTATCTGTCAAAGGCCATCCTTAGCCTTCCGGTCAGCCCCACGTTGTGATATAAATGATCAGCACACACATCCCCTTCTTGAGGGGAGATGCCCTCTCTGGGCTCCTATGTTAACCTACTTGTGCTTTCAAACTCATAATTTTTCCTCTAAAATGATCGCTCATTTATTTGTCTACTGGAGATTCTGGAGGGAAGGGACTTTATCCTATCCATCTCTGCCTCCCTACAGCCCCCTTGAGAGAATGCTAGACATCAATAGATGCAGGATTTCACTTAATCATCAATTAATGACTGATTGGGAAGAACTGAACAATAACAAAAGCCAAAAGCCAAATGTATTCTCTGTGATAGGCATTGTTCTTTGTTGCTTTAAAGACGTTAACACATTTAATCTTTACAATTACCGTTTATGAAGCAGGGATTATTATCCTGATTTCATGGAGGAGGGAAGTAAGCCAGGAAGAGAGATTGAGTAGCTGCTTTAGGGTTACAAGCCCAATATGGGGGACAGCAAGATTGGGCCCATAATTTGGCCCTGGGTAGTGTGAGCATGGAGCCTACCTGCTTAGCCCTTGCAGAGCACAGCCTTCTTGTCTGAGTAGAAGCTGCCATGTATTTATATGACATCTGGGCCAGGAAGCAGAGCCTCCTTCCCTCTCTCTGACTCAGGAGCCTCCATGTGGGGAAACCATTCCAACCCTGTTGACTCCAGCAACCTTCTGAGAATAGATATAAATGCAAATAGCAGGAACTGCATTGATGTGGACCTTCCTTAATGCCTGAAAACTGCCTGGAAGCTGCCACAACAGTGTATGCCTCCCCTTGGCATGTGCATGTGGCTACTGGAAGCCCTGGGGGACGAGGCCCACCCCATACAGGGCAGAGCCCTCTGAAGAGCCTGCTGCAGGTGGCTCTGCCACCACCAACTTACGTAACAAATCACTCCGAGCCATCTTTACTCTGTAAAATGCAAATGTCTGTAGGTGCTGGAGGCAGCCTGCCAAGAATTCCTGTGGCCAGGAATTTCACAAACCAGACATTACTTTTTTAAAAGAGAAAAGACTGAAGTTAGGTATTCACCTGTTAAACATTAAGAACTAAGAACATTAAAAAAGGAGAAAAGTAAAATAAAAAAGACCATCTTTTGTCACCATCGTTTCATAAAAGCATTTTAACTCCCTAAAATATAAGTGGGACTATCTCAGAAAACAATGAACAATCCATTAAATTGAATTCTGATGGTTAACAGATGAAAAACTCACACTGTCCTTGTTTTGTTCATCCGTTCAGCTTAGACCTGTGAAAATTCTATTGCCCATCATTGAGGTCCAGTTTTTGGGAAAAAGTAATGTAGAAAAAAAAAAGGAGTCCAATCCTAGCCCTGCCATCCACTGCTTGTGTGACTTTGGGCAATTTAGTTAGCATCTTTGATCTTTGGTTTCTTCCTCTGTGAATTGGGAGCTGCCTTTCAGTGCTTTTTAAAGATTAAACAAGGATATGAGGGTGATGTGGCTGCAACATCTGTCACCCCACTGATTGCCAGGGTTGATTTGGCTGATCTGGCTGGCTAGACGGGTGTCCCTTTCCTCCCTCTGCTCCATGTGCATCCCTCCTGAAGCTGCATGCTCCGCTGAAGAGGATGACCTTCCCCAACAGAGGAGAAATGGTCTTTGGTCAAGGGTATATGAGTAGCCGTGCTCCCCTGCTAGAACCTCCACAAACAAGCTCTCAAGATTAAATGAGGCGTGTGTGGAGTGCTCAGAACCTGGGGGAAGAGTTTGGACTATGCTCAGAATTTTCAGAGCAGCAATTCTCAAAATGTGATCCCAGACAGGCAGTATCAGCATCACCCAGGAACTTTTGAGAAATGCAAATTATTGGGCCTCACCCCAGACCTGCTGAATCAGAAACTGGGAGTGGAGCCCAGGAATCTGTATTTTAACCAGCACTCTTGTTGATTCTGATGCATGCTCAAGTTTGAGAACCACCATTATAGGGAAAGCTGTCACCTCAGTCACAGTGGCCACTGCTGTGGCCATGTGTGGGATCTGTGAGATCTGATAGAGCAGCCAGAACACCTGTGAAGAGGGAACGAAGAGGGTCTTGAGTTTCCCTGGTAATTATTCAGTTCAATCTGCACTTTGTTCACAATCCATCCTTCATGGGAGGAGGCTTTACCTGGACATGTTAAGCATGGGTCACCCACCTACCTGTCAGCATTAGATTCCTCATCCATAAGCTCAGGACACCTGTGCCCTCCTTCCCACCTAGCAGTGGTGGTGACATTGCTCTGCAGAGAGTGAGGGCTCCCTTCCTCCCATCTAGCTGTCTCTGATGTCAAGATTGCCAGGAGTGGGGACAAGCAACAACCTGCACTTTGCCATTGATCAGCTTTTCTCTGTGTCTCTCATTTTCTCTATTGAGTGACACTTGGAGGTGGGCCTAGTGTCTGCCCAAGTCTGCTGCTACATGATGCTGTCAGCATCTTTGTCCCAAAATACGGCTATAATTGGGTCTCTCCCAAACAAAACAGTCCCTTTACAAGATACCCAGAGAATAAATCCAAAGTCTATCCTGAAACACCACAGCCTCCAAAATCTAGTACCCACTGTCTGAATTTTTTAAAAAATAAATTTTAAAGATGTAGGAAGCACAGAGAATAGTATTATTACATGTACTCAGAAGTCACACTATCACATGTTACTGTGTTGTCACATTTATTTTATTATTTTCTAGTGAAGTTATTACAAGTACAGTCTTCTTTCCCCTCCTTGAATTCACGCTTCAGTCATTTTCCTCTGCGAATCGCTTTATACAGCCCATACTCAAGCCTGACAGGACCATGGGAATTTCCAGTGGAAACTGGTGCCATATTGCCTCCCTACATTTGTCTGTGTGGGACCCCTGACTAGAATGTCCCCCTACCCATCAGCTGCCCCTGGAATTTGAGAGTTCACTCAAATCCTACTAGCTCTTCAAGCACCAGTTGAAATGCCACACCTCCCATGAAGCCCGTGGGTTTTCTTTCCCACTTCTCTTAAACTCCCCCAGCCCTCCCCACTGTCACCTTGAGCTGGGATAACTTTCAAATCCCTGCCTTTGGAGCACAGGATTGATTCAGAGCACGAGGCTGAAGGCTCAGCTTGGCCATTGACTGAGTGTGGGATGCTTGACAGACTCAATGCCCTCATCTGTGAAATGGGGATAATAATGTCTTCTTTGCAGGCTTGAGAGAAAATGTGTGACGGCTGTAAGGGATGATCATGCGAGGGATTTTATAAGTAATCCTAGGTAAGGGATCATTTATGTTTGCTAATGCTCCCTGACTTTCGTCATCATTTGCGGTGATGCATGCACGTATCTCAACTGCCTGAGGACAGAGTGAATCCCGGCCTGATTTACCTTTTATGCTACGCAGAATTCAGTTTGATGCTTTCCCACAATCATGACTCAATAAGGTTGACTGAGGAGTGGGTAGGGTTACGAACACTGTGATCGTTTCTGCCTGTCTTACTACAAGGTGGAGGAATGGGACTTCCCTTTGGCCGTCAGACATACAGCAAGTGCTCACTGTGTGCCAGGCACAGGACTAGCTGGCAGTGGAGGCACAAATATGTTCCAGACATGATCTCCAAGGCCAGTTATAGGCAAAGGTCACGTGTGTGACAAGGAAGACATGTCCCTTCATGTTGTTTATTCATTGCCTGAGCAGCAGCTAGATGGGGAGAGCTGCTGGGGCCCAAAAAAGGGGGTGGGGGAGCATTCCCTGAGTGCCTGAGATAAATGCTCCATGAAAGTGGACACGGAACATCTCACAAGTGTCTTGGAAGCAACCTCCTTCGTGACATCATGACAAATGGCTTTTCTAGGAAAACAGACCAAATGTGAGCAAAAAGGTCTGTGATCCCAGACCCCAAAAGTTCTGAAAATGGGATATTTACTATAACTTACTTGGTGGCAAAACCTGGACCAACCTGATATGAGGCTATTTATGGTATTCATCCTCCTGAGTGTGAAAATCCATGCCTTTGCTGCAGAAATATGTGTGTGTAATGACAGGACACTTCCCCAGACCTTATTGGAGATGTTTTTAGCATGCGGTAGATGCACTGTATCACCTTACTAAAATCTGGGAAATTTTGAATTCCTACAGATATTTGACCCCAAAAGTTTTAGCCATAAGGATTGCAGACCTGTAGAAGCTGCAGCAGTGAGGGACTGCCTTCCAGTCAATCCTGCCTCCCACTAAGTTTTTCTTCCTGTAGGCTCCCAGGCAAATGGTTTTCTTCTACCTGGGGAAGGCCAGTCCCAGTATCTTCAAAGTGCAGGCAGGGCTCAGCTCAACCTGCAGCCAAACCCTAGTGGGATCTTTTACTTAATTCAGAAGTATGTTTTTCTTAATGTGAGAAACACAGCTCAGCATGAGCTTACAGGAAAGGTGGGCTTAGTGTTGCCTGCAGGCATCTTCTGGGCCTTATTGGATGGTTGCACCATCCTGCTGGGCTTAATACCCCACACTGCCCATCCCCCGGAGCACCTGCATACTCTGGACTTTCTCTGCTGCCTTTCCATGTCCGTGGTGTGTAGGGAAAATGTCCCATTTTCTCAGGGCCCTGATAGCTCCTAAGCTCCTATATTAACTGTGCTCCAGTATTAATAAATGTGTAGGTACTAGGTTTTATATTTCTAGATACCATTTGCACTTTAGCAAATGTACTTTATGCTTTAACCCATAAGGTGACTAACAGAGGGTGTTCAAATAATGTGCTAGACCCTTTTTTTAAAATTAATTCTACCTACTTTGTTTTTTAAATTTTTATTTTATTTTACTTTAAGTTGTGGGATACATGTGCAGAATGTGCAGGTTTATTACCTAAGTATACATGTGCCATGGTGGTTTGCTGCATCTATCAACCCGTCATCTAGGTTTTAAGCCCCGCATGGATTAGGTATTTGTCCTAATGCTCTCCTTCCCCTCGCTCCCCACCCACCGTCAGGCCCTGGTGAGTCTCTGTGTCCATGTGTTCTCATTGTTCACCTCCCACTTAGGAGTTAGAACGTGCTATGTTTGGTTTTCTATTCCTGTGTTAGTTTGCTGAGGATGATGGCTTCCAGCTTCATCCATGTCCCTGCAAAGGACATGTTCTCATTCTTTTCTATGGCTACATAGTATTCCATGGTGTATATGTACCACATTTTCTTTATCCAGTCTATCACTGATGAGTATTTGGGTTGGTTCTTTGTCTTTGCTATTGTAAATAGTGCTGCAGTAAACATATATGTGCATGTATCTTTATAGTAGAATGATTTACGTTCGTTTGGGTATATACCCAGTAATGGCATGGCTGGGTCAAATGGTGTTTGTAGTTCTAGATCTTTGAAGAATTGCCACACTGTCTTCCACAATGGTTGAACTAATTTACATTCCTACCAACAGTATAAAAGCATTCCAATTTCTCCACAGCATTGCCAGCATCTATTGTTTCTTGACTTTTTAATAATCACCATTCTGACTGCTGTGAGATGGTATCTCATTGTGGTTTTGATTTGCATTTCTCTAATGATCAGTGACGTTGAGCTTTTTTTGTATGTTTGTTGGCTACATAAATGTCTTCTTTTGAGAAGTGTCTGTTCATATCCTACTCCCACTTTTTATGGGGTTGTTTTTTTTCTTGTAAATTGGTTTAAGTTCCCTGTAGATTCTGGATATTAAACCTTTGTCAGATGAGTAGATTGCAAAACTTTTCTTCACTCTGATGATAGTTTTTTTTGTTTTGTTTTGTTTTGCTGTGCAGAAGCTCTTTAGTTTAATTAGATCCCATTTGTCTGTTTTGCTTTTGTTACCATTGCTTTTGGTGTTTTAGTCATGAAGTCTTTGCCCATGCCTGTGTCCTGAATGGCATTGCCTAGGTTTTCTTCTAGGGTTTTTATGGTTTTGGGTTTTACATTTAAGTCTTTAATCCATCTTGAGTTAATTTTTGTATAAGATTTAAGGAAGGGATTCAGTATCAGTTTTCTTCACATGGCTAGTGAGTTTTCCCAGTACCACTTATTAAATGGGGAATCCTTTCTCCATTGCTTGTTTTTGTCAGGTTTGTTGAAGATCAGATGGTTGTGGATATGTGGTGTTATTTCTGAGTTCTCTGCTCTGTTCCATTGGTCTATATGTCTTTTTTGGTACAAGTACCATGCTGTTCTGGTTGCTATAGCCTTGTGATATAGTTTGAACCCAGGTAGCATGATGCCTCCAGCTTTGTTCTTTTTGCTTAGGATTGTCTTGGCTATACAGGGTCTTTTATGGTTCCATATGAAATTTAAAATAGTTTTTTCTAATTCTGTGAAGAATGTCAATGGTAGTTTGATGGGAAGAGCATGGAATCTCTAAATTACTTTGGGCAATATGGCCATTTTCACACTATTGATTCTTCCTATCTATGAGGATGGAATGTTTTCCATTGTTTTTCCATTTCCATGCACTGATTTTCTTGAACAGTGGTTTGCAGTTCTCCTTGAAGAGGTCCTTCATATTCCTTATAGGCTGTATTCCTAGGTATTCTGTTCTCTTTGTAGTAATTGTGAATCAGAGGTCATTCATGATTTGGTTCTCTACTTGTCTATTGTTGGTATATAGGAATGCTTGTGATTTTTGCACATTGATTTTATATTCTGAAACTTTGCTGAAGTTTTTTATCAGCTTAAGGAGTTTTGGGCTGAGACAATAGGGTTTTCTAAACATAGAATCATGTCAAATCAATCCTGGGGGTGGAGCCAAGATGACTGAATAGGAACAGCTCCAGTCTACAGCTCCCAGCATGAGCGATGCAGAAGACAGGTGATTTCTGCATTTCCAACTGAGGTACCAGGTTCATCTCACTGGGGAGTGCCAGACAGTGGGTGCAGGACAGTGGGTGCAGCGCACTGTGCGTGAGCTGAAGCAGGCCTCACCCAGGAAGCACAAGGGGTCAGGGAATTCCCTTTCCTAGTCAAAGAAAGGGGTGATAGACAGCACCTGGAAAATCGAGTCACTCCCACCCTAATACTGCGCTTTTCCAACAGGCTTAACAAACAGCACACCAGATTATATCCCACACCTGGCTCGGAGGGTCCTATGCACATGTAGCCTCGCTCATTGCTAGCACAGCAGTCTGAGATCAAACTGCAAGGCGGCAGCGAGGCTGGGGGAGGGGCGCCCGCCATTGCCGAGGCTTGAGTAGGTAAACAAAGTGGCCAGGAAGCTCGAACTGGGTGGAGCCCACCACAGCTCAAGGAGGCCTGCCTGCCTCTGTAGGTTCCACCTCTGGGGGCAGGGCACAGACAAACAAAAGGCAGCAGTAACCTCTGCAGACTTAAATGTCGCTGTCTGACAGCTTTGAAAAGAGTAGTGGTTCTCCCAGCACGCAGCTTGAGATCTGAGAATGGGCGGACTGCCTCCTCAAGTGGGTCCCTGACCACTGAGTAGCCTAAGTGGGAGGCATCCCCCAGTAGGGGCGGACTGACACCTCACACGGCCGGGTACTCCTCTGAGACAAAACTTCCAGAGGAACAATCAGGCAGCAGCATTTGCGGTTCACCAATATCGGCTGTTCTGCAGCCACCGCTGCTGATACCCAGGCAAATAGGGTCTGGAGTGGACCTCCAGCAACCTCCAACAGACCTGCAGCTGAGGGTCCTGACTGTTAGAAGGAAAGCTAGCAAACAGAAAGGACATCCACACCAAAACCCCATCTGTATGTCACCATCATCAAAGACCAAAGGTAGATAAAACCACAAAGATGGGGAAAAAACAGAGCAGAAAAACCGGAAACTCTAAAAATCAGAGCGCCTCTCCTCCTCCAAAGGAACACAGCTCCTCACCAGCAATGGAACAAAGCTGGACGGAGAATGACTTTGACGAGTTGAGAGAAGAAGCCTTCAGAAGATCAACCTACTCTGAGCTAAAGGAGGAAGTTCGAACCAATGGCAAAGAAGTTAAAAACCTTAAAAAAAAAAATTAGACGAATGGCTAACTAGAATAACCAATGCAGAGAAGTCCTTAAAGGACCTGATGGAGCTGAAAACCATGGCACAAGAACGATGTGACAAATGCACAAGCCTCAGTAGCTGATGAGATCAACTGGAAGAAAGGGTATCAGTGATGGAAGATGAAATGAATGAAATGAAGAGAGAAGAGAAGTTTAGAGAAAAAAGAATAAAAAGAAATGAACAAAGCCTCCAAGAAATATGGGACTACGTGAAAAGACTAAATCTACATCAGATTGGTGTACCTGAAAGTGATGGGGAGAATGGAACCAAGTTGGAAAACACTCTGCAGGTTATTATCCAGGAGAACTTCCCCAATCTAGCAAGGCAGGCCAACATTCAAATTCAGGAAATACAGAGAATGCCACAAAGATACTCCTTGAGAAGACCAACTCCAAGACACATAATTTTCAGTCACCAAAGTTGAAATGAAGGAAAAAATGTTAAGGGCAGCCAGAGAGAAAGGTCGGGTTACCCACAAAGGGAAGCCCATCAGACTAACATCTGATCTCTTGGCAGAAACTCTACAAGCCAGAAGAGAGTGGGGGCTCATATTCAACATTCTTAAAGAAAAGAATTTCCAACCCAGAATTTCATATCCAGCCAAACTAAGCTTCATAAGTGAAGGAGAAATAAAATCCTTTACAGACAAGCAAATGCTGAGAGATTTTGTCACCACCAGGCCTGCCCTAAAAGAGCTCCTGAAGGAAGCACTAAACATGGAAAGGAACAACTTGTACCAGCCACTGCAAAAACATGCCAAATTGTAAAGACCATCAAGGCTAGGAAGAAACTGCATCAACTAACGAGCAAAATAACCAGCTAACATCATAATGACAGGATCAGATTCACACATAACAATATTAACCTTAAATGTAAATGGGTTAAATGCTCCAATTAAAAGACACAGACTGGCAAATTGGATAAAGAGTCAAGACCCATCAGTGTGCTGTGTTCAGGAAACCCATCTCACCTGCAGAGACACATATAGGCTCAAAATAAAGGGATGGAGGAATATCTACCAAGCAAATGGAAAACAAAAAAAGGCAGGGGTTGCAATCCTAGTCTCAGATAAAACAGACTTTAAACCAACAAAGATCAAAAGAGACAAAGAAGGCCATTACATAATGGTAAAGGGATCAATTCAACAAGAAGAGCTAACTATCCTAAATATATATGCACCCGATACAGGAGCATCCAGATTCATAGAGCAAGTCCTTAGTGACCTGCAAAGAGACTTAGACTCCCACACAATAATAATGGGAGACTTTAACATCCCACTGTCAACATTAGACAGATCAACGAGACAGAAAGTTAACAAGGATATCCAGGAATTGAACTCAGCTCTGCACCAAGTGGACCTAATAGACAACTACAGAACTCTCCACCCCAAATCAACAGAATCTACATTCTTTTTAGCACCACACCTATTCCAAAATTGACCACGTAGTTGGAAGTAAAGCTCTCCTCAGCAAATGTAAAAGAACAGAAATTATAACAAACTATCTCTCAGACCACAGTGCAATCAAACTAGAACTCAGGATTAAGAAACTCACTCAAAACTGCTCAACTACATGGAAACTGAACAACCTGCTCCTGAATGACTACTGGGGACATAACAAAATGAAGGCAGAAATAAAGATGTTCTTTGAAACCAATGAGAACAAAGACACAATATACCAGAATCTCTGGGACACATTCAAAGCAGTGTGTAGAGGGAAATTTATAGCACTAAATGCCCACAAGAGAAAGCAGGAAAGATATAAAATTGACACCATAACATCACAATTAAAAGAACTAGAGAAGCAAGAGCAAACACATTCAAAAACTAGCAGAAGGCAAGAAGTAACTAAGATCAGAGCAGAACTGAAGGAGATAGAGACACAAAAAACCCTTCAAAAAATCAATGAATCCAGGAGCTGGTTTTTTGAAAGATCAACAAAATTGATAGACCACTAGCAAGACTAAGAAGAAAAGAGAGAAGAATCAAATAGACACAATAAAAAATGACAAAGGGGATATCACCACCAATCCCACAGAAATACAAACTACCATCAGAGAATACTATAAACAGCTCTATGCAAATAAACTAGAAAATCTAGAAGAAATGGATAATTTCTCGACACATACACCCTCCCAAGACTAAACCAGGAAGAAGTTGAATCTCTGGATAGACCAACAACAGGCTCTGAAATTGTGGCAATAATTAATAGCTTACCAACCCAAAAAAAGTCCAGGACCAGATGGATTCACAGCCGAATTCTACCAGAGGTACAAGGAGGAAGTGGTACCATTCCTTCTGAAACTATTCCAATCAATAGAAAAAGAGGGAATCCTCCCTAACTCATTTTATGAGGCCAGCATCATCCTGATACCAAAGCCTGGCAGAGACACAACCAAAAAAGAGAATTTTAGACCAATATCCTTGATGAACATTGATGCAAACATCCTCAATAAAATACTGGCAAACCAAATCCAGCAGCACGTCAAAAAGCTTATCCACCATGATCAAGTGGGCTTCATCCCTGGGATGCAAGGCTGTTTCAACATACGAAAATCAATAAACATAATCCGGCATATAAACAGAACCAAAGACAAAAAACACTTGATTATCTCAATAGATGCAGAAAAGGCCTTTGACAAAATTCAACAACCCTTCATGCTAAAAACCCTCAATAAATTAGGTATTGATGGGACACATCTCAAAATAATAAGAGCTATCTATGACAAACCCACAGCCAATGTCATATTGAATGGACAAGAACTGGAAGCATTCCCTTTGAAAACTGGCACAAGACAGGGATGCCCTCTCTCACCACTCCTATTCAACGTAGTGTTGGAAGTTCTGGCCAGGGCAATCAGGCAGGAGAAGGAAATAAAGGGCATTCAATTAGGAAAAGAGGAAGTCAAATTGTCCCTGTTTGCAGATGACATGATTGTATATCTAGAAAACCCCATCGTCTCAGCCCAAAATCTCCTTAAGCTGATAAACAACTCAGCGAAGTCCCAGGACGCAAAATCAATGTGCAAAAATCAGAAGCATTCTTATACACCAACAACAGACAAACAGAGAGCCAAATCATGAGTGAACTCCCATTCACAATTGCTTCAAAGAGAATAAAATTCCTAGGAATCCAACTTACAAGGGATGTGAAGGATCCCTTCAAGGAGAGCTACAAACCACTGCTCAATGAAATAAAAGAGGATACAAACAAATGGAAGAACATTCCATGCTCATGGGTAGGAAGAATCAATATCGTGAAAATGGCCATACTGCCCCAGGTAATTTATAGATTCAATGTCATCCCCATCAAGCTACCAATGACTTTCTTCACAGAATTGGAAAAAACTACTTTAAAGTTCATATGGAACCAAAAAAGAGCCCGCATTGCCAAGTCAATCCTAAGCGAAAAGAACAAAGCTGGAGGCATCCCACTACCTGACTTCAAACTATATTACAAGGCTACAGTAACCAAAACAGCATGGTACTGGTACCACAACAGAGATATAGACCAATGGAACAGAACAGAGCTGTTAGAAATAATGCTGCATATCTACAACTATCTGATCTTTGACAAACCTGAGAAAAGCAATGGGAAAAGGATTCCCTATTTAATAAATGGTGCTGGGAAAACTGGCTAGCCATATGTAGAAAGCTGAAACTGGATCCCTTCCTTACACCTTATACAAAAATTAATTCAAGATGGATTAAAGACTTACATGTTAGACCTAAAACCATAAAAACCCTAGAAGAAAACCTACGAAATACCATTCAGGACATAGGCATGGGCAAGGACTTCATGTCTAAAACACCAAAAGCAATGGCAACAAAAGTCAAAATTGACAGATGGGATCTAATTAAACTAAAGAGCTTCTGCACAGCAAAAGAAACTATCATCAGTGTGAACAGACAACCTACAGAATGGGAGAAAATTTTTGCAACCTACTCATCTGACAAAGGGCTAATATGCAGAATCTATAATGAACTCAAACAAATTTACAAGAAAAAAACAACCCCATCAAAAAGTGGGCGAAGGATATGAACAGACACTTCTCAAAAGAAGACATTTATGCAGCCAAAAAACACATGAAAAAATGTTCATCATCACTGGCCATCAGAGAAATGCAAATCAAAACCACTATGAGATATCATCTCACACCAGTTAGAATGGCAATCATTAAAAAGTCAGGAAACAACAGGTGCTGGAGAGGATGTGGAGAAATAGGAACACTTTTACACTGTTGATGGGACTGTAAACTAGTTCAGCCATTGTGGAAGTCAGTGTGGCAATTCCTCAGGGATCTAGAACTAGAAATACCATTTGACCCAGCCATCCCATTACTGGGTATATAACCAAATGACTATAAATCATGCTGCTATGAAGACACATGCACACACATGTTTATTGTGGCACTATTCACAATAGCAAAGACTTGGAACCAACCCAAATGTCCAACAATGATAGACTGGATTAAGAAAATGTGGCACATATACACTATGGAATACTATGCAGCCATAAAAAATGATGAGTTCATGTCCTTTGTAGGGACATGGATGAAGCTGGAAACCATCATTCTCAGCAAACTATCGCAAGGACAAAAAACTAAACACCACATTTTCTCACTCATAGGTGGGAATTGAACAATGAGAACACATGGACACAGGAAGGGGAACATCACACACTGGGGACTGTTGTGGGGTTGGGGGAGGAGGGAGGGTTAGCATTAGGAGATATACCTAATGCTAAATGACGAGTTAAGGGGAGCAGCACACCAACATGGCACATGTGTACATATGTTACAAACCTGGACGTTGTGCACATGTACCCTAAAACCTAAAGTATAATAATAATTAAAAAAAAAACATGTCATCTGCAAACGGAGATAGTTTGACTTCCTCTCTTCCTATTTGAATATCCTTTATTTCTTTCTCTTGCCTGATTGCCCTAATGAGAACTTCCAGTACTATGTTGAGTAGGAGTGGTGAGAGAAGGCATCCTTGTCTTGTGCTGGTTTTCAACCAGCTTTTGCCCATATAGTATGATATCAGCTATGGGTATGTCATAAATAGCTCTTATTATTTTGAGATATGTTCCATCAATACCTAGTTTGTTGAGAGTTTTTAACGTGAAGAGATGTTGAGTTTTATCAAAGTCCTTTTCTGCATCTGTTGGGATAATCATGTGGTTTTTGTGTTTATTTCTGTTTATGTGATGAATTACATTTATTGATTTGTGTATGTTGAACCAGCCTTGCATCTCAGGGATGAAGCTGACTTCATGGTGGACAAGCTTTTTGATGTGCTGCTGGATTTGTTTTGACAGTATTTTATTGAGGATTTTCACATCGATGTTCATCAGGGATATTGGCCTGAAGTTTTCTTTTTTGTTGTATCTCTGCCAGGTTTTGGTATCAGGATGATGCTGGCCTCATAAAATGAGTTAGGGAGGAGTCCCTCCTTTTCAGTTGTTTGGAATAGTTTCAGAAGGAATGGTACCAGCTCCTCTTTGTATCTCTGGTAGATTTTGGCTGTGAATCCATCTGGTCCTGGGCTTTTTTTTTTTGGTTGGTAGGCTATTAATTACTGCCTCAATTTCAGAACTTGTTATTGGTCTATTCAGGGATTTGACTTATTCCTGGTTTAGTCTTGGGAGGATTTATGTGTCCAGGAATTTATCCGTTTCTTCTAGATTTTCTAGTTTATTTGTGTAGAGGTGTTTATGGTATTCTCTGCTGGTAGTTTGTATTTCTGTGGGGTCAGTGGTGCTATCCCCTTTATTGTTTTTTTTATTGTGGTCTATTTGATTCTTCTTTATTTTCTTTTTTATTAGTATAGCTAGCAGTCCCTCTATTTTGTTAATTTTTTCAAAAAAAAAAAACAGCTCCTGGATTATTTGATTGTTTGAAAGGTTTTTTGTCTCTGTCTCCTTCAGTTCTGGTCTGATCTTAGTTATTTCTTGTCTTCTGCTAGCTTTTGGATTATTTTGCTCTGCTTCTGTAGTTCTTTTAATTGTGATGTTAGGGTGTCAATCTGAGATCTCTCCAGCTTTCTGATAAGGGCATTTAGTGCTATAAATTTCCCTCTTAATACTACTTTAGCTGTTTCCCAGAGATTCTGATACATTGTCTCTTTGTTCTCACTGGTTTCAAATAACTTGATTTCTGCCTTAATTTCTTTATTTACCCAGTAGTCATTCAAGAGCAGGTTGTTCAATTTCCATGTAGTTGTGTGGTTTTGAGTGAGTTTCTTAATCCTGATTTCTAATGTAGTTGCACTGTGGTCTGAGAGACTGTTTGTTATAATTTCTGTTCTTTTGCATTTGCTGAGCAGTGTTTTACTTCCAATTATATGGTCGACTTTAGAAGAAGTGCCATGTGCCACTGAGAAGAATGTATATTCTGTTGATTTGGAATGAAGAGTTTTGTAGATGTCTATTATGTCCACTTGATCCAGAGCTGTGTTCAAGTCCTGAATATCCTTGTTAATTTTCTGTTTTGTTGATCTGTCTAATACTGACAGTGGGTGTTAAAGTCTTCCACTATTATCGTGTGGGAGTCTCAGTCTCTTTGTAGGTCTCTAAGAACTTGTTTTATGAATCTGGGTGCTCCTGTATTTGGTGCGTATATATTTAGGATAGTTTGCACTTCTTGTTGAATTGATCCCTTTACCGTTATGTAATGCACTTCTTGGTCTTTTTTCATCTTTGTTGGTTTAAAGTCTGTTTTATCAAAGACTAGGATTGCAACCCCTGCTTTTTCTTTGCTTTCCATTTGCTTGGTAAATTTTCCTCCATCCATTTATTTTGAGCCTGTGTGTGTCCCTGCATGTGAGATGGGTCTCCTGAATAGTGCACACCCGTGGGTCTTGACTCTTTATCCAATTTGGCAGTCCGTGTCTTTTAATTGGCACATGTAGCCCATTTACATTAAAGGTTAATATTGTTATGTGGTAATTTGATCCTGTCATCATGTTGCTATCTGGTTATTTTGCACACTAGTTGATGCAGTTTCTTCATAGTGTCATTGGTCTTTATATTGTGGTATGTTTTTGCAGTGGCTGGTACTGGTTTTTAATTTCCATATTTAGTGCTTCCTTGAGGAGCTCTTGTAAGGCAGTCCTGTGGTGACTAAATCCCTTAGCATTTGCTTATCTGGAAAGGATTTTGTTTCTCCTTCACTTATGAGGCTTAGTTTGACTGGATATGAAATTCTGGGTTGAAAATTCCTTTCTTTAAGAACGTTGAATATTGGCCCCCACTCTCTTCTGGCTTGTAGGATTTCTGCTGAGAAATCCACTGTTAGTCTGATGGACTTCCCTTTTTAGGTGACCTGACCTTTCTCTGTGGCTTCCCTTAACATTTTTTTTTTTTTTTTCATTTCGACCTTGGAGAATCTGATGATTATGTGTCTTGTGTTCTCTGTGTTTCCTGAATTTGCATGTTGGCCTGTCTTGCTAGCTTGGGGAAGTTCTCCTGGATAATATCCTGAAGTGTGTTTTCCAACTTGGTTCCATTCTCTCCATCTTTTTCAGGTACACCAATCAATCGTAGGTTCAGTCTTTTTAACATAGTCCCATATTTCTCAGAGGTTTTGTTCTTTCCTTTTCATTCTTTTTTCTCTAATCTTGTCTGCATGCTTTATTTCAGCAAAATGGTCTTCAGATTCTGATATCCTTTCTTCTGCTTGATCGATTCGACTATTGATTCTTGTGTATGCTTCACGAAGTTCTGGTGGTGTGTTTTTCAGCTCCATCAGGTCATTTATGTTCCTCTCTAAACTGGTTATTCTGGTTAGCAACTCCTGTAACCTTTTATTAAAATTCTTAGCTTCTTTGCATTGGGTTAGAACATGCTCCTTTAGCTCAGCGGAGTTTGTTATTACCCACCTTCTGAAGCCTACTTTTGTAACTCGTTCATCTCATTCTCTGTCCAGTTCTGTGCCCTTGCTGGAGAAGTGTTGCAGTCATTCGGAGGAGAAGAGGCACTCTGGCATTTGGAATTTTCAGTGTTTTTGCCCTGATTTTTCCTCATCATCATGGATTTATCTACCTTTTATCTTTGAGGCTGATGACCTTTAGATGAGGTTTTTGTATTTTTGTTGTTGTTGTTGTTGTTGATGTTGTTATTGTTGCTTTGTTAGTTTTTCTTCCAACAGGCAAGGCCCCTCTTCTGCAGATCTGCTTCAGTTTGCTGGGTATCCTCTCCAGACCCTGTTCACCTGGGTGTCACCAGTGGAGGCTACAGAAAAGCAAAGATTGCCACCTGCTCCTTCCTGTGGAAGCTTCGTCCCAGAGAGTCACTGGCTTGATGCCAGCCAGAGCTCTCCTGTATGAGGTGTCTGTCAGCCCCTTTTGGGAGGTCTTTCCCAGTCAGGAGGCATGGGGTCAGGAATCCACTTGAGGAGGCATCTGTTCCTTAGCAGAGCTAATGTGCTGTGCTGGGAGAATCCCCCTTGTCAGGATCAGCTGCTCTTTTCAGAGCCAGCAGGCAGGAAAGATTAAGTCCTTTGAAGCTGTGACAGCACCCATCCCTCCCCCCGGGTGCTCTGTCCCAGGGAGATGAGAATTCTGTCTGTAAGCCCCTGACTGGAGCTGCTGGATTTGCTGCAGAGATGCCCTGCCCCGTGAGGAAGAATCTAGAGAAACATTCTGGCCACAGCTGCTTCGCTGTGCTGTGGTGAATTCTGCTCAGTCCAAACCTCTCAATCTCCTTAGCACTATCAGGGGGAAACCACCTACTAGAGCCACAGTAATGGAGGTCGCCTCTCCCCCGACCAAACTTGACCATCCCAGTCCGACTCCAGACTGTTGTGCTGGCAGCGGGAATTTCAAGCCAGTGGTTCTTAGCTCACTGGGCTCTGTGGGAGTGGGACTTGCTGAGCGAGACCACTTGGCTCCCTGGCTTCAGCCCCCTTTCCAGGGGTGTGGATGGTTTTCCTGTCTCACGGGAGTTCCAGGCACTGCCGGAGTATGAAAGACTTCTGCAGCTCAGTGCCTGCCCAAACAGTGGTCTATTTTTGTGCTTGAAACCCAGGGCCCTGGTGGTGTAGATGCACAAGGGAATCTACTGATCTGTGGATTGCAAAAATCCATGAGAAAAGTATAGTACCCGGGTAGGTGGGACAGTCTCTCACGGCTTCCCTTGGCTGCGGGAGGGAGGTCACCGGGCTCCTTGCACTTCCCAGATGAAGTGACGCCTCACCCTGCTTCTGCTTGCTCTCCATAGATCACACCCACTGCCTAACCAGTCCCAATGGGATGAAATGGGTACCTTAGTTCGGAATGCAGAAATCACCTGCCTTCTGTGTTGGTCTTGCTGGGAGCAGCAGACTAGAGCTGCTTAGCTGTTTCTATTTGGTCATTGTGGCCCCCACTATGCTAGAGTGTTAGGGAGAATATTTTGGGATAGAGAAGTTGTTCTGGTTGCTTAGTGCTACTGAATAAAGTACCTCCTATCCCAAGTAGTAGCTTCAAACAGCAATTTTATTTTGTTCATAATGTTGCAGGCCAGGAATTTGGGGAGTGCTTGCCTGGGTGGTTCCTCTCTGATCCATGGGAACTTAGCTGGAGTGGCCAGAGCATCTACTTCTGTCATATTCTGTCTGTCAGAGCAGTCACAAGGCTTTCCCAGATAAGACAGGGGAGGGGAACTGGCCCTATCCTCTGAGGGGATGCAGCAAGATCTCACCACAGGAGTCTGTGGGATGGGCAATGCTGTGACTACCTTTAGAAAATACGGTTCACATAGGAGGTTTCCAGGCAGATCAGATGCTCATGTGGAGGAATCTGTAACCCCAGTCCAAAGAATTATGATGCAGAAAACATGTGGCACAAGAGGCCAAAATAATATCTTCCATCTGCACCCCACAGAGGAAAGGAAGTTGCTATTAAGAAGACCAAGAAAATCCGTGTCTACCCTCACTCACATCCTACACCCCCTAACTCCTAAACTGGTTCTTGTACCCCATTCCCCAAACTTCCTGTACCCTTATCTGCTAAACTTCTTGTACTCATCTACAGGTACTGAAAATTTCTCTAACATATGTAGAAAACTTTTCCTTCCAATGCAAAATATAAAACTTAAAATTGTCATACTAAGCCCTGCACAAGCTTGACAGCAGGGGCTCTCCGGAGATTTAGTTGTGAGAACAGGAAGGCAGCATGAGCCCCAGGGTTCTGCTGCAGCATCAGGGGAGGGGAGGAGAGGAGGCACTCTGGGGAGAGCGACGGTCAGGAAGGAGCTTAGCCATCTCCATCTCACAGGGGAACCCAGGGGCACTGCTAGACTGGAATGTCTCTACTGACTCCTTGGTTTTTCCCATTCCTGACACTGTCATTAACTGACTCCTACTGGAGACCCCTGTCTGCCACATGGGCCTCAGTATTGCAGGTGTTTGTGAGCTGGACCCCGGAGCATCACCCTTTAAGAACTTGGCTAGGATGGCAGGTTGGGGATAAAGCTGCCAAGGAGCATTTTTATTTCTGCATGTTAAAACAGCCCTTGCCTGGCCACCTGGGTTGGAGGGTTTGTAATTTTGTCTCAGCCACTGCCCATCAGCTGCAAGGGTGCTATTAAAGGCAATCTTGGTGTTACTGCAGTGAAATGTCAGCTGAGAGCTGCATTTCTCAGCTAACTTGGAGCTGGGGCACCCATATCCTCTTGCTCGAGTGTGGTATGAAATTGAAACTGGGCTGGGGCTGGATTCTGTCCTCCAGATGAGCTGCTTTTGAAAGGAAAAGAATCTCTGTAAAACCTGGGAATCAATCTGACTGGTGATGCTCCATACAGGTGGCCAACCCTCAGGCTTCCCTGTGGATCATCAGCTTGGTGGCTTCTCTGTGGTGGCCCTCTTGCCCCATTGACCTGCCTCTCATCTTGCCCAGGTTCCCTTTCCCTCTGGGAACTGAGGCCAGGTAAGGAGACCTGGGCTTTTTCTTCTTATTATTGTTATTATTTTTTTGAGATGGAGTCTTGCTCTGTCAACCAGGCTGGAGTGCAGTGGCACAATCTCGGCTCACTGCAACCTCCGCCTCTCAGCTTCAAGTGATTCTCTCAACTCAGCCTCCCCAGTAGCCGAAATTATAGGTATGTGTCACCACGCTCAGCTAATTTTTGTATTTTTAGTAGAGACAGGATTTCGCCATGTTAGCCAGGCTGTTATCGAACTCCTGACCTCAGATGATCCACCCGCCTCAGCCTCCCAAAGTGCTGAGATTACAGGTGGGAGCCACCACGCCTGGCCAGCATGGACTTTTTCTATAACAAGCCTGAGCCTGGGCTGGGATCATAAACTGTCTGGAAAATAAAAATCATATCCTGAATTGACAGGGCAAAAGAAACACATTTTGGATATTTCACAGTTTTCTGTCATCCATACCGCTCTCTCCTTCCTCATTGACAACTGAAAAGTGAAGGAAAATGGCACAGGTTGGCCAGGTCTGTGGACTGAAAACCCAGGAAGCAGGGGAAAGAGAAGTGTGTGTAACCCACAGAGGAGGGTAGGATGATTTGTGGTGGGGTGCGGGCAGAAGGCTTGCACTTTCTGCCTCATTGATTGCCACGGCCCCCTGTGCAGGATACAGAGGCAGTTGGACAAGCCTTATGCATCCTGGGCTTTGGTGACATCAGCAAAGTAGAGATCATAGTCATGTCTTCCTCATAGGGCAGTGTCTTAGCTGTTCAGGCTATTCAAACAGCATAACATAGACCAGGTGCCTTAAAAACAACAGAAATTTATTTCTCACAGTCCTGGAGGCTGGGAAGTCTGAGATCAGGGTGCCAGCAGGTTTGGTGTCTGCTGAGGGACACAATTCATAGATGGCATCTTGCTATGTCCTCACATGGTGGTGGAGGGGGCAAGGTAGCTCACTGGGGCCTCTTCTATAAGGGCACTAATCCCATTCATGAAGCTCTGCTCTCAGGACCTAATCAACTCCCTAAGGCACCACTTCCTAATACCATTGAATTGGGGGTTAAGTTTCAATATATGAATTTTGGGGGCACATTCCATCTATAGCAGGTGGACAGGAAGATTCCATGAAACAATACATGCAAAGCACCAAAAATAGGGCCTGGAATATAGAAAACACTCAGTAAATGTTTGCTGTCACTACCTCTATTACTATAGAGGAATAAATGAAGGCAAAATGAAATAGTGAGGTGACAAGGTAAAAGGGAAAGCCTGCCATGTCAGATGGCCATTGGCAAGCTTGGCTTCTGATCCCCACTCTACCAGTAACTATTCTGTGACCTTGCACAAACTCTTTAACTTCTCTGAGCCTTGGATTCCCCTCCTACCAACTAAGAAGATTAGATCAGTTAGTTTCTAAGGCCCCTTCTGCTAGAAAATATATTATGAGCCTGCTATGAAAAATGCAAGGTCAAGGAGAACCTCCTATCATAGACCTGGAAGGGGAAGGAGGAAATATGTGCATGGAAGGGTTGTGGGCACAGAGGCTACAAAGCTCAGCATTTGTTAATACAGGGACTGGTGAGTGCTGCACAGAGGCTAGCCTGGTGTCCTTTCCTTCACATCCTGCGTAGCCATTGTTCTCTATAATAACATCAAAAAATCACTAGAAACATCAAGCTCCCAGTTGCCTCACTTAACAGAAGCTTGGGTTATGGGTACAGATGGTTCTTCAACATCCATTCTCCTCTCCTTCTCTGTGGCAGTAGGGTCCCCTTTATCTGAGCTGGGCACAAGACTACCCAGTTAGAGTTGGTGCTTCCCAACCTCCCTTGCCACTCAGTAAGGTAGGTGTCTGAGTTCCAGCCAGTTGTGTGCAGCTCAGGGTCCCATTCTTACAAAGATGCTGCTTGCCTTCTTCCTAATCATTCTAACTTCCCAGGGCTGGAACCCAGTATGGGGGTGGGTGTTCAGTTTCCATTGTGTGCATGAGATAATGATGCAGGACTTTTTGCTCCTTAACTCAGCTAGGTTTGCATTCTTGTCTCACGACCAGGAAGAATTAGGCAAGTGGACATTAAAGAGTGAGTGGAGTAGAATTTATTAAGCAAAAGGAGAGCTCTCAGCAAAGAGAAGTGTCCTGAAAGCAGGTTTCTGGTTGCCCCTTTCACAGTTGAATACCAGGGATTAAGGCGTGAATTCCTGGCAGCTCCACTCCATCCTTCCAGTGTGCTTTCAGGCCCTTAGACTGAGACACTCCATATTGATTTACTTCCCTTACCGTGTATGTGTTAAGGAATGGAATTTTCCACTGTGGGCATGTTTAGGCAAGTCCCCTATGCAAGTTCCCTTATCTGTGCAAAACATCTGATGTAAGCACTTGTGGGGCAGGTCAGAGGTTCTCCAGGGTCGCTTCCCTTACTATCTTCCTAAAGCAAGCTGGCTAACTCCTTTCAATAACATACTAAGGATAGGAAACCTGGGTGATCACTGGAACAGTGCCACTTTAACCCTTAGGTCACCTGCCTACTTGGACTTTTCATGAGAGATATAGAAACCTATTTGTTTAAGTGCGTGTTATCTGGGTTGGGTTAGGTCCTAGCAGCCACATTAGTATTATCATAAACACAGGAATGATGGGGGTTAGAAAGTGGGGAAGAGGAATTTGTAATGGATCTTTGTTACTGAACTGAACTGGGGTCTCCTCACCCAGCTCAGTAAAGCCAGACACTGACACTAAGATTTGCAGCAGGAGAAAAGAGCATTTATTGCAGGGCACCAAGGGAGGAGAATAGGCAGCTAATGTTTCACACCTGAACTCCCCAGTGGCATGCAAGCAAGGGCTTTTCAAGGCAGGGGTACATTTCAGGAAAGCAGAAATTGCAGACAAAATTATAAACCAATTACACAGAGGTTATACATTGTTTTGGCCCATGGCATGACTTTCTCCAGACCCCTCAGGAAGAAATTTAGAACAGAGAATGGCAGCCAGAGTTCAGTCGTCAGTTTCCCCTTATCTGAGCATTAAGTGATAGTGGTCAGCACTTTCCATCTTGTGGGGATTTCTAAAAACAACTCACAACTTGAGAACATATGTTAAGATGTCATCTTTTAGTTTCTATAGGGAAGCAAAACACCTTGTGACTCTGGCTTGCCTGGGAGACTGTTGTTACTATCTTCCTGCTTATCAGGTTGCTTGTTTGCTTTTCAAGGCTACCTAGGTGCTTGGAATTTGCCTTGAAGGGACTCAAGGTTTTTCTTTATCTCCATGCTTAGGAGGCCAGGCAGGCCATCTTGAGACAAACTAGTACTTCAAATGTGGTGTGGTCCAAAGTCTGGGTTCTAGTCCCTGATCAATCAGCCCAGGCCAGCTGGATTGGGGGATGTGGTGGTCATCTCAGCTCTCCACATGCTTGCCCCCTTGATGCAGGATTTTTCTCAGCCACTTTGCCAGCTGGAGACCCCCAGATGTCCATGCCCCTGCCCAGGCCTCACTCTGCCCCAGGCTTGCTGCAGGAGGTACTCCACCCACTTGGCCTGCTGGGCCATGCCTGGCTTGCACACCAGCCCAGCTCCCACACTTACCATGGGATCTGCACTCATCCTGCAGTTGGGCTGGGTGTGCACCAGTCCGCCAGCATTACAGCTTGTATCTGTGTTCAGTGGTCCCTGAGTTCTTGTCTCATGTCCAAGAAGAATGAGGTTATACTGACAATCCAAAGGGTGAGAAGGGCAGAGGACAGACCACCTGAAGTTGGGTGGTCTGTCTCCCCGTGTGGCTGGGTCCAGGGCTTTTATGGGCTCAGAATGGGAAGTGCATGCTGATTGGTTTGTGAGTATGTGAAAGAGGCTAAAACAAAGGCACCACTCAAAGGTGGGCATGACAGTGTAAAAAACCAATTAGGGAATGGTAGATATATGTAAAATAGGTGAAGCGTGGGGAACAATCAGCGGAAAGTACACCCAAGGGGAAAAGAGGTTCTTAATCAGGTCTGTGGATTTATCCGAGACTTGTAGCTTGGCTTTCAGGTTTTAAACTGTCTTTGGCTTGAAAGTTGGGTTTCAGTGGGGACCCACCCCTATCTGCCTAGGCATTTGTCTGCCTCCTGCCACTATCACCCTCCTCTGTGCCATGGCAGGGCCTGGTCTCCAGGAGTGATATTCTGTGACTCCCTAACTTTGGACTGCTCTAGGTTCTACCTCAGAGTCACTTGTTAAAGGGACAGATCTTCACTCACTTTCCAGAGAGGGTGAGAAATTAGCCAGGCAGTCCATGTGAGGCAGCTGCTTTATAAACATTGAGCAGACATCATTTGTAATTGGGAAGGTGATGTGATTTCAGGGTCCCCATCCATAAACTCTCTCATGTTCTATTGTGCACCATGGTGCTTGAACACACTAGTAGAGTTTTATTCCTGGATTTAGTCATTCTAGTCTTCAGATGTTCTAGTTAAAAAATAAATCCTACATTCACTCACCAAACACTTACTAATGCTAAGAGTGGCTATATCTGTCCCTGTTCCAGATCCAGATGCTGAAGACCCAGAGTTGAATAACAGTCAGATTGTCTTAAAACCATCTTATAATCCACGATGTGTGATGGGCGTGTGTGTGTGTGTGTGTGTGTGTGTGTGTTAAAGCACCTGATGATGACAATTCTTCTCCACTTTCAATGCACCAAAGAATCAACTGGAGATCTTGCTAAAAGGCAGAATCAGATCAGTCAGTCTGGGGGCAGGCCTGGGATTCTGCATTTCTAACAAGCTCCCAGGTGATGCAGATAAACTGGTCCAAGACTAAGTTTGCGTAACAAGAGACAATAAGAGTCTGATCACTGCTGTCAACTAGTGTGGAGGACCCACATAGGAGAGAGGACATGATTGAGTTGTCCTGGTCAGAGGCTAGCAGACGAAGCGAAGTTTACCCAAGAGGTTTCACATTCAGTCTAGACCTCTGAGGATGAATAGGCCATCAGCATCCATAACTGGCATGAAGAATAGTTTATCAGGCTTCTTAATGTATTTTTCCATCAGCATTAATGAGACTTAGCCAAGAGACAATTTTGGTTAAGAGTTGGTGAGTGGAGAAAAATGGGATTCATTTATAACAACAGTTCTCAAACTTGAGTGTGCCTCAGAATCACTCCCAGGGCTTGTTCAACACAGATTACGGGTCCCCACTCTAGAGTTGTAAGTCAGTAGGAGTGGGCTGGGGCCCAAGAATTTGCATTTCTAACAAGCCCCCAGTGAATTTTAAGAACCACTGGTTTATAACAAGAGGCCCCACAGGGCACAGCAAGAGGGGAGCCTGGCTATAGTAGGGACAAGAACTGGACAGATCGGGGGATAGGCAGAGGAACTCTGAGAAAGAAATATGTGGGCAAGGTTGCTGGAAGGGGTTGGGTTAAGACTAATCCTGAGACCGTAAGTTGTAGTCCAGCCTAGCTGATATGGACAAGATATTAAGAACTGACTAATGAATTGTAAGTTGCCTAAGAGAAGGGGCCTGGGGCTTGTCTACCCAGTATTCCTATCACCAGCAGAGTGAAGATGTGGTCATTCCAACCAAAATTACTTTCTCCCTTCCCTCCCCTCTTTCTGATTATGCCACATTCTAGGAGTCTGCCTATAAAATAGAAAACTCGGTCCAGCCCAGTCAGCTCTCAGTGGACGTTGGCACCCTGGGGATTCCTTGACAGTTCCGGGGCCTCTGTGGCTTGGGCAGAGAGAGCCTCCATCTGTGGTGGCATTTGAGAGCTGTTGTTCTCCAGGATGCAGTAGCTCCACAGCAAAAAAAAAAAAAAAAAAAAAAAAAAGAGGCATCATATGCAAATATCAAATGAAGGGGAGGGAAGGAGGAAAGGGCTGGCTGACATTTTGGCTCTGCCCCTAGATCCTCTGAGAAGAGAAACCACTCGTGCCTGAATTAATGTTAATTCAAGGGGGTATTTTCAAAAAGTGGTCCTTGGAGGAGCAAGATGCTGTGTTTCCTATTTTCCGTTGCCTCCAGCAAGCCGCACCGACAGAGGGTCAATGGGGTTACTGTATGAGGAAGCCCACTAATTGCATTATAAGGAATGTTTTGCCCATTAGCTCAGATGGAATGGTCTCCTAACAGAGTCCTTTGAGGGGAGTGATATTTCAGGTGGGGGATGGAGGAAAAGGAATTGATAAGTAATTGAAATTTGCAAATGGCATTTCCCTGGGCCCTAGACAAAAATGGGTTCCATACATCCAGCAGGGGGCAGCAATGCACGTACATTAATTCCGGTCTTGTGAATCAGGAGCTTGGCGAGATCTCAGAAATTGCAAAGCAGTAAGGATGCCTGGGGAGGTTTATAGACAATTTCCAGGCCCGGCAAAGCTGGGACTGTCACACCCACCATTTCCCCAACAGTCACACCTTTTATTTTTCTCAATATACTGAGAAAATAAATGTTTAGGTCTGATGGTTTTTAATTCTAGAAATTTTCTTTAATCTTTCGGCTGCTTTGTGTAATTTAGAATTTCTGCAGCCTGACTGAAAATTATAAGTAAACTAGGATTAGGAAGTCAGCTTTATTAATAAGATAGTTCAGCTAATAGACATTTTAAAATTGTAATGCAATCTATCTCCCTCCCTGAGTTGAAATTTTGCTAGAGCTGTAACTGATAGGACACCCACACACCAAGTTGGGTAACTTATTTGCTGATCCATTTTAAAGTGGAGGAAAAGAGGCTCCAAAAATATAAATAAAGATAAAAGTCTCAAAGAAGTATCA
Source organism: Homo sapiens (assembly GCF_000001405.40). Classification (NCBI taxonomy): domain Eukaryota; kingdom Metazoa; phylum Chordata; class Mammalia; order Primates; family Hominidae; genus Homo; species Homo sapiens. The sequence continues at coordinate 132,547,811 of NC_000002.12, forward strand.
GATTTTCCTGAATTAGGCACAGAAAAGACCTACTAGTTTGTCCATTCCTAAGGCTGTTTAGGAATGTGGCCCATAATATATTTTCTCAGTAATTTGTCAAATTTGCTTGTAAATGACTTTTATGATAGATGGCTTTGCCTGCTTTACTGGGCTGGAAATTTCTGCAGCCCAGCACACTTCTCCTTCAGGAAGCTTCTTGCATCTTGCATAATGTTTCTCCCAGCCACCCTCCCCGCTTACGCCCCTTCCCAAGGTTAATTTAGTCCTGTTGTTCTTAAATGAACTACTCTAAATCATCCTCCTCCCCTTCCCTGTCTTTCTCCTCACTGTTTAAACCTTTCAAGGATGTAATAGTCTGGCAAATATTTCAATCATCATGTCTCCTTTTCAGCTGCCCAATTCAATTCCATTTGGTGCTGCTCGTGCTGAAGTGCAATTTTTCACAGCATTGTTTTTAGTTTAAATAACATACAGTGCACTATTGCTAAAGGTCTTCTGGAACATTCCACTTGGGGGTCTTACCCTTAAATAATATTTTGATGGGAAACTAACTCAACTTTTCATAGGAAGAAATGCTATTTGCTCCCAGCACTAATTGGCTGTAAATTTAGCTAAAAGTCCATCTACGCTGGCAGTTAGACCATCTTCCTGTGCCCATGTGGTACCCTGTATTAGATGTCTAATGGACAGACTTAGTGAATAAGTATGTATCTGTAAGTGCACCATTTAGAAAACAATCAAGTGAAAGGAATTTAACTCTGCTAAGCCAGCAAATGTAATTTTTCTCATTTCTTGCCCCTTCTTGCCACGTGGCAGCTCCTCAATTTACCAGCTCTATGCCCTTGCATGTATTACTCAACATTTCTGAGTCTCAGTTTCCTCAACTGCAAAATAGGGAAAGCAATATCTGCTTTCTAGGTTTTGTTGTAGGGATCAAATAATTATGTACAGCATTTGGTAAAACATAAGTCCCCAAGAAATGCAACTTTTTGCCATTATTATTATCACTACTCTTATCATTATGCAGTCTAAATTCTATGCCTGGGTTATCTTTCAGAGTTCCTGACTGCCTATACATTCACATTGTTCAACAAATGTTACTTAGGGAAACCGTCTCTGACCCCCTGGAATTGGCCAGGTTCCCCTGTGATTCACTGTCACAGATACGTGTGTGTGTATGTGTATATGTATTCTTATATTATTACCCTCAAATTAAATGCTCCCTTCTTCATAAATTCAGAGCAGCTAATATCCTCTCTTCTCTCCTTAATGGTGTGTCTAACATACCTTCATATCCTAGGCTTGACTAGGAACTTCTCATAGGCAGGAGCAGAGCCTTGCCTTTCAATGGAGCCTGGATTGTCACATAGAAATGAGCACATAGAGGTCTGTGGTGTGTACTTGTGAGACTATCAGACTGTAATATCTTTGAATTCAGGGAAAAGGCTAATTCACCTTCAGTTCCCAGAGCATACCACACCCCAAGCCTGTACATGGTAGGCATTCGAGGGAGGTCTACTGTGTCGATTAAGGCTGTGCATTGGTCTTCCAAACTTTGCTCACCATATACAGGTTTCCTTCAGAGTCCCAGTGTCCATATTACTGTTTAACACGACTGAAAAGGAACAAAACGAAATCCCCACCTTCACCCTCTCACTTTGACTGTGGGTGATTTCTGTAATTAAGAGCTTCAGGAGGTCGGGCACGGTGGCTCACGCCTGTAATCCCAGCACTTTGGGAGACAGAGGCGGGTGTATCACGAGGTCAGGAGATTGAGACCATCCTGGCTAACATGGTGAAACCCCAACTCTACTAAAAATACAAAAAATTAGCCAGACGTGGTGGTGCGCACCTGTAGTCCCAGCTACTCGGGAGGCTGAGGCAGGAGAATCGCTTGAACCCAGGAGGCGGAGGTTGCAGTGAGCCGAGATTGTGCCACTGCATTCTAATCCGGTGACAGAGCACGACTCCGTCTCAAAAAAAAAAGAGCTTCAGATGACTTTCTAAGATACACTCCCTAAGAATCTCATATAACGAATGGCCTAGAACATGACTTCTTTATTGTTAACCTATGTTGATGCCAAGAGATCAGTGTGTCTTTTTGTGATGCTCATAAACAACCTATTAAATAATCCGTTTTCCATTTTTAAGGAGGACTTAGGTGCATGTGCATGAGTCTGTGTGAGTTGGTGGGAGACCAAAGGGAGACAGAGTATTCTGAAAGCCCACCGAATTATTCAGCTCTATTTTCTGGCCCAGAATTCACCAGATAGCACAAAACAAGCTAAATCATGGCATGATAAAACACTGCAGCCCGGACAATGAATATGCAAATAGCATAACAGAGTTAAGTACTGAGAGAGCCATCTATTGTAGATAGTTTAGCTTCCCTTTAGTGAAAGATCAAGGACAGAAACACAAAAAGATCATGCTAATTTTAAAAAGAGAAAATAGATGCTAGCTAACGTGAAAAGGATGAATATAAGGAGGCGTTGGATCAGTCCCCCCAGGGCTCAGCAGTTCTGGAGGATGGCAAGCCCGAGTCTTTGGATACAAGGAACAGCGCGATACAACGGAGGTACTTGCCTCTTGGAAAACACACTTGCACTCTGTGTTGCATCTGTGGTTTCCATGGTATGAAGCTGCCACTGTGTTTGTTCCAATGCACTTTGAAAAGACAGGGCACATTTATGAGCAAAGGCATATGGCTTTGTCCTTTCAAGCTTATCCAAGGCTTTAGAATGTCAACTGTAGTGGCTGGAAAGCAGCCAGCAAATTAGGAGGCTACAGAAGAATTTCGTGAGCTTTTAAAATAATTTATTTCAGTTTATCGTTTACATAGAATGTCAGATCTGAAGGGGACCCCAGGAGTTATCCAGTCTAACTTCATATTATAAGTGATAAAATGAGGTCCAGCAAAAAGAAGTGATGTTACTCATAGCGAGAGTTTGAATGTGCTGTTCCTGATTCATACATTAGTGATTATTCCATTATACCTAGCTGTATTTCTGTCCAGACTATTTTTATAATGCTGATTAAGCTGGGCTGTTTTGGTGAATTTTAACATTTCCCATAGATTTTTACCATGTGTAATTTTGGAAAGGGGGCTTTGTTAAAGTATTAGAAGACCTACTATAGTAGTTTCTTGTGGTTTAGGTGGAGGAAGAGCACTGATGGCATTTTCTGTTGCAGTAAGTTTGTTGGTTGTAATATAGTTTTTGGTTACAAGGAGCAGAAACCTGACCACAGCTGTTTGAAAGAATATAAGTTCATTTTTCCACTACAAGAATTCTGGAAGTAGGAGAGTTTGGCTTTGGTTCAGCAGCTCAACGATGTTAGAGTTGATGTCTGATTATCTCAGCCTTTGCCTCAGTCATAAGACAACTGCCACAGTGCCAGCCATCATGTCTGCATTTGATGCAGGAGGAAAGAGAAAGAGGGGGAGCAAACTGCATCTTCCGTGTTATTGGGGGAAAAAAAAACTTTCCCAGATATGTCCAAGAAGTCTTCTGTTTAGATCTCACTAGCCAGAATTGGCCATGATGCAAAGAAGTTGAAAAAAGGATGTCCCTTATAGGCTTAGATTAGTCATGACCCTTCCCCCAGGGCTTGACACATAATCAGGAGCTTGTAATGCTGAGGAAGAAGAGGGCAATAACTGAGGGCTCCATATCACCCTAAAACTGTCCACATTCCCATTTGTATGTAATATGTTTGGAGTACAAGCTTGATGCAAGGATGGGCAGTGGAAGGTTTTTGGTGTCTGATTCTGTCATCTCTTTATACCTTTAGTGGAAGATTATTTCCCAACCAAAGGCTTATCTGAGGATAACAAAACAATTCCATTGCCAGACATTTATAGAGCCCAACCTGTGGAAACAATAAATGCCTGAAACAGTTTACCTGCACTATATTTCAACTTCTGAAATGTAGATCGAGAGGATAAATTTTATGAAAAGTTCACTAAAAGTAAATATTGACAAGTGGTTAAATCTCATAAAAGACATAATTTTAAAATGCTGCTTGCACCTATAGTTCTGTTAAGTCAAACGGCAAAACACAACTCTGTGCTCGGTTCTCTGCTAGGCAGTTGGGATCCATCACTGAGAAAATAAGAAAAAACATTTGGGGCACAGGACTTGGGGATGTATTAGTCAGGGTCCTCCAGAGAAATAGCACCAATAGGATGTGTGGACAGTCACCCCTTTGTAACTGTGGGTTCCACATCTGTGGATTCAACCAACAGAATGGCAGATAAAAAATATTTGGAAAAAAATATATCTATACTGAATATGTACAGACTTTTCTGGCTATTATTCCTTGACACAGTATGGCATAACAATATTTACATAGTATTTACATTGTTTTAGGTATTTGATATATTAATAGTTTGGATATATGTCCTTACCAAATCTCATGTTGAATTGTAATCCCCAGTGTTAGAGGTGGGACCTGGTCGGAGGTGTTTGGGTCATGGGGGCGGATCCCTCATGGCTTGCTGCTGTCCTCGTGATAGTGAGTTCTCTCAAGATCTTGTTGTTTAAGTGTGCAGCACCACCCCAACTCTCTTGCTCTCACTCTGCCTTGTGAGATGCCTGTTCCACCTTCTCCTTCTGTCATGACTGGAAGCTTCCTGAGGCCTCCCTAGAAGCCAAGCAGATGCCAGCTCTATGCTTACTGTACAGCCTACAGAACAATGAGCCAATTAAACCTGTTTTCTTTATAAACTACCCAGTCTCAGGTATTCTTCATAGCAATGCAACAACAGCCTAACACATAATAATCTAGAGATTATTTAAAATATACAGGAGGATGTGTGTATGTTATATGCAAATGCTATACCATTTTATATCTGGAAGTTCGGCATCCTTGAATTTTGTAAATATTGGCAAGCCTTTAAGTCTCATAAAAGATGTAATTTTAAAATGCTCCCTGTGCCTAGAGTTCTGTTAAGTCAAACCACAGTAGCCTACCAATGTGTATATATGTGTGTGTGTGTGTGTGTGTGTATGTATATATATACATATATATATATACACACATATATATATACATATATATACACATATATATATACACACATATATATATACACACACATATATATACACACACACACACACATATATATATTTTTTTTTTTGGAAACAGAGTCTCACTCTGTTGCCCAGGCTGGAGTGCAGTGGTTCCCTGCAACCTCCACCTCCCAGGTTCAAGCAATTCTCATGCCTCAGCCTCCCAAGTAGATTGGATTACAGGTGTGCACCACCATGCCTGGCTAATTTTTGTATTTTTAGTAGAGATGGGGTTTTGCCATGTTGGCTAGGCTGGTCTCAAACTCCTGACCTCAACTATGCCTCCCAAAGTGCTGGGATTACAGGCATGAGCCACCACGCCCAGCCACATATCTATGTATATTGATATACCTTGGTATCCTCGGGAGGTCCTGGAACCAATCCCCCTCCCCTCACGGATACTGTATATATACACACATATGTATATATGTGTGTGTGTGTGTGTGTGTGTATGTATATGTGTATATATATATGTATATATGTATATATGTGTGTATATATATAGTGTATATATACGTATATATATGTACACACACAAATATATACATATATATATATACCATTAGATGTATGCTGAAAGATTCAAAAAGTCTTGAATGAGCATCTACTACATGTCAAGTGCTATGTAAAGCAGGGAGAGAATGGGGAGTGACACAGTCCCTCCTCGAGGGACACAACCACTGGATGAGATAGACAAGCATAGAGACCCTCACAGGCTGAATGGTGGCTGCCCTGAGTGAGCACAGAGCTCACGGGGTGTGCAGGGGCAGGCACGGCTGTCCTCACTGAGTTGGCTGCCCTCTGGGGTAGGCCCAGTATGAGGTCCCAAGAGCTGGACTGACTTAGCTCAGGTTCCCAGGCCTAGAACCTGAACCCAGACCACCTGGCTTGTCATCCTGCCTTAGCAGAAGGCCTCTCTGAAACCCACAAGCAGATTCTTGACCCAGTGAGCATGAGTCCTTTACTCTGCCTGAAAAAAACACCACCAGGTAACATCAGGGGCTGGTGGTCCCTGATGGCAGTGCAATACATTGGCCACAGAGGACATGGGTATTGTGGAATCAGAAGATGCTTGTTGCCACAGCAAAGAAGAGCATGATTTCCTGGAAGGCAACAGACCCCATGGAGATGAGGCTGCTGTAGCCTCTACCTCCCTCATTCATGCTGCAGAAGTATAGCCTTCCTCTAACAGTTGAGGGTCTGAAACTTCTCTGCTTTCCTCAGCCCTTGGGAGAAAGCCTAATGATCCAAAGCAAGCTGAATGGAGTCAGTAGACATGGAAAACTGGGAGCCGTGGTGGCCTTCAGAGAAGAGAACCGATGGCTGGCTAGAGAGCCTGGCTTCTGTACCTTTTGGATTTTGTACAATGAACCTGCATTAACTTTAGGTATGATGTTAGGCAAGCTGATAGCAAAGGCTTTTCTGAGTAAAGTGAGAGTCCCTGAAGGCCATGTGCTAGATTACAAACATCATGGGCTCAGAGTCAACAGTCACAGCTCTGCCACTTATTATTTGGGTCATCTCACTTATCTGCTTCAAACTGCAGTTTCACACCAGGAAAATGGGATGCTCATGAGTTTGTGGTAAGGAATGAATGAGGGGATTTATGTAGATAGTTGAAGCCAGAAGTTGGTCTTGTCTGTTGGCCTTGAGACACAGGTAGGCTGAAGGCCATCACTGATGTGCAGCCCTGGGTCCCCAGCTGATAGCTACAGTGACCTGCCCCATCAGCAACAAGCACTTCCTATTCACTCTGCTCAAAAAGCCAAGGAAGTATGTCATATATTTGGAGAGGGGGCAGATTAAAATGCTGGCAGGGCTTAAAGGGGGAGGGAAAACTTGACTTTGCAGCACGGCTCATTTCTCAAAGGATCTGCACAAGCATTTTCTCCCCCTAGATATGCGCTATCTCTTAAATCAACAATAAGTAATGCTTTACAAACTTTTTAGTGCACACATCTCTCCCACATAAACAGTAAGCTTAATTCTGGAAAAGACATACTTTCATACGTGTTTGTACCGTTCAAACCCCACACATGGCTGCCACATTCACTTCCACTTTCAACCATTTTTTTTTTTTTCCTGAGATGGAGTCTTGCTCTGTCACCCAGGCTGGAGTGCAGTGGCACAATCTTAGCTCACTGCAACATCCACCTCCCAGGTTCAAGCGATTCTCCTGCCTCAGCCTCCCGAGTAGCTGGGACTACAGGTGCGTGCCACCATGCCCGGCTAATTTTTTGTATTTTTAGTAGAGACGGGGTTTACCATGTTAGCCAGGATGGTCTTGATCTCCTGACCTTGTGATCCACCTGCCTAAGCTTCCCAAAGTGCTGGGATTACAGGTGTGAGCCTGGCCTCAACCACTTTTAACACAGAATAGGTTGGTAATCTATTGCTGTGAAACAAATTACCCAAAACCTAGTGCCTTAACTCTAACAGTTTCTTTTGGTCAGGAATGCAGAAGGGGCTTGGTTGGCCTGCTGTGTTTCAGGGTCTTTCGTGAGGTTGCAGTCAGAAGTCAGTGTGGGCCGCAGTCATCCAAAGGCTTTCCTGGGGCTGGAGGGTCTGCTTCCAAGATGGTGCACTCACGCAACTGGCAAGTTGGTGCTGGGGCTACTGGTGTCTCTGTTTTATTCTGGGTAGGGCTACTTGAGTATCTTCATACTATGGTGGCTGGGTCCCTCAAAGCAAGTACCCCCAGAAACCAATGGAAGCTTTGATGCCTTTGATGATTCAGCTTCGGAAGTCACTCATTAGCATTTCTGAGTCCTCTATTGGTCATATAGACCACCAGTGATTCAATGTGGGAGGAGATTAAATAAAGGCGTGAATACCAGGGCTAGCCCTGGAGGCCAACTTCAAGGCTGACTATGACACAGAGCTGAGACACAAAGGTACTTAGTTAAGCACCTGATAATTTGTTGATGACATGATTGTGCATAATGTGAATATAACATATACATGGTAAGAGGTGAAAGTGTGTTTGTTTTACTTTTAGGGGAGATGTTACTCAAGTATCCCAAACTTGAGTGTTCATTAGAACTACCTGGAGGGCTTATGGAAACATAAATTGCTGGGCCCCAACCCTAGAGTTCCTGATTCAGCAGATCTAGGGTGAAATGGGAGAATTTGTGCTTCTAACAAGTTCTCACAGGATAATGATGCTGCTGGTCCAGGGTCGTGCTTTGAGAACTACTGCCCTAATTGATATAGAGACCTAGTGGTCCTTCAAGAAAATTTGCTTCAATGCAAATACATCCTTGGCCTCTTATAGCTGAGTGCCCAAACTGTCAAATTCATTAGGCATATCATTTTTAATTTGACGTTTTCCAAATGGCACAGAGTTTATGTAAATGTACGAATCAGAGAGACAGTATATGGACAGCCTAAGTAGTGGTATGCTGGCAAACTGGCTCTCCTCCCAAAATAAAAAGCTTTGATTTGTAACTTTTGCCAGTTTCCATAGTGTAAATGCTCCCACCATGGCCAATTACCAATAGTTAACTAGCTCACAAAAATTCCTATTTCACAGTTGACTCTGTAGCTGGTACATGCTGGCCCCAGTACACCATTGGCTCTAAGCAAGTTCTTTCCCTGCACATATGAATCAGAGAAAGTAGTGGCCTATGTGGGGGTTGGGGATCACTGGGTGATTCTAATTGCTAGTACCTTGTGCACCAAACAAAGGCGGTCAAATGCCAGGTCTGATTTTCTTCCTACCTGGAGTGTTTGAGTCTTTGAGGTAGCTAAAGTGATAGGATGTGATTATGCATACAATGCTATGTGGTGCAGGCACATCTAAAATGGACTTTTCAAATCCTCCCCCTCCACACAGTCTCCTTAATCTACCCCCACTTGGACAATTCTACTGACCGCTCCAGGCCTTCTGTCCTAATTAAGCACAACCTCATAGACACTCCTCCTCAAAGGCCTCTCTGGCTTTCCTTCCCTTTGAAGACACCAAGGCTCCTTTCCTTAGGGTAGGTGACAGGAAATACTTTACTGAAATCCATTCTTTGAGCTGCCAAGATGCCCAGTGAGGGTATAATGTCTGAGTGCCTGTAGAAATTGGGTAGAACATTTATTTGGCAATTCACCTTGTAGAGGGCTGTTTATCACATTGAACTGTTGTTTAAACCTTAACTTATGGCCAGGTATGGTGGCTCATGCCTGTAATCCTGGCACTTTGGGAGGCCAAGGGGGGGGGCAGATCACTTGAGGTCAAGAGTTCGAGACCAGCCTGGCCAACATGGTGAAACCCCATCTCTACTAAAAATACAAAAATTAGCTGGGCATATTGGTGGGCACCTGTAATCCCAGCTGCTTGGAAGGCTGAGGCAGGAGAATCACTTGAACCCAGGAGGGGAAGTTGGAGTGAACCAAGATCGCACCATTGCACTCCAGCCTGGGCAACAGAATGAGACTCCATCTCAAAAAACCCCCAAATCCTTAACTTGTAGGATTTTTTAGTGTGTTCCCTCACAGCGTCTACCATGGGGTTTTGGACAAAATAAGCACTAAGCATTTCATGAGTTCCAACTTTGAATTCTTTCTCTTGCAGAAAACACTGGCATTTTAACAGAGAGCTTCAGGTGCCTTAATGCCAGAGAGTGGGTCATTTGGGAATTCTCTCATGGGATTCAATTACCATAAGAGAAAAGTGGAATAAAATGTTTTGGTAGTGTAAGATTAGCTGAAAGAAAGGATGAGAGAGAGAGAGAGAGAGAGAGAGAGACCCAAGGTCAGGCAAGTAAGTTTATTAACCTGCCAGGCTGCTCCACCGCAGTCAGAGGAGGCAGCCCTGAGCTTAAAAAATGAGGGGTTTATATGGGGGAGAGAGACCCTAGGGTTGTCGGTTAACTTTACCACATATCTTCTCGTGACTGGCTTACAATATAGTATCTTGTGAAAACATGAATTTACAAGAGGATGTAACTTAGGTTTATCCGCGTTTCTCGTGACCTCCCCCATGCCGCCCGGGGGGGCTGTAATCAGGGTTCACTCGGCAAGTCTGGTGACCTTGCTGTGGCACCTAGATAAGGGTTCAGGGATGCAGCTGCAGAGTATTCAGGGTAAGGGTCAGCTGCACTGAGTGGTGGTGGTGGTGGGGTGGGGGTGGTCCTGGGGCAGCTTGTCCCTAACAGCTAGGAAAGCCTTTTAGGGCTTCTTTTTTGTTATATAAAGGATACGTTCTCAGAAAAATGGGACTCATGCTGATCCAGTGCAATAATAACAACAAAAGCCCAGCATTTGAGGTAGGCAGAATGTGACCCCTACAGAAGCGTCATCCTCCTTAGCTTCTCTAGCTCTGACATTCTGTTAAGTTTCTTAGTCTCTCTAAGCCTCAGTTACTTGGTCTGTAAAATGAGACTAGCAATACCTGCTCTGTTGTCTCTTGTGAGGAGGAAATGAGAATGTGTGAAAAGTGCTAGAATGGAGCCTCATGGGGGAGGCTCTCCCACCCCATGTCCTGATTTGGACAAGGAATCCCACACACCTCATCCAGATACACAGAGGCTCATGACTGAGTCTCTTGACAAATTATTTTTTGAGGGTGCATACTTTTTTGCTGTGAATTTCCAAATGTTTGCATTTCTAAGGCCACATTTGTGACACAGAGATCAGATCCTTTCTGACACAATGTAACTGGCAGGTCCTAATGAGCTGGGGGCACCGGGAAGCATTTTAAGTGGTAGCATTTCTGGAAATATTGAGATGAGGTCGGGGGAAAGAAGCTTTTTCTTCAGGGCCTAACCTGATTAACAAGACGATGCACTTGAGATACATGAAGGTGGATTTCTCTGCTTCCAGAAGCTCCTGGGTTCTGGAAGGTTATTTTTATAGTATGGCAAGTAATAAGCATTAGTGACCAGCCATGAATCCCAGATTTGGAAAGGACGACTCCTAAGACAGGGGCAGACCTGGAAGGAGGAGATAAACATTGAATAGGTGCTCAGCTCAACAGGCTGCCCACAGTTTACACAAGCTTCTTGGCTCAATGTATCTGTGCTAGGGAAAAAAGCTCCTCTTCAGTTGCTCCAGAAGCACATTTATTAAGCACTAACTGTGTGTTAAGCCCCAAAAGAAATAGAAAAAAGGCAAAGGACCTGATTTTCATATCTAGGCATTTACAGAGTAGATTATGAAAAAGGTCATAGATAGTTGTAATTATTTAACTCTCCTTGCTATAATAGAAAATGGCGTTCATGCTCGGAATCAAATAGAGAGGGTTTTCATGCTTGGAAAATTCAGTAATTAATAAACTTCCAATGTTTTGAAATTCATTTCTTTGTAGCCACTTAGGAAAAGAACTGACCGAGGTTGGGATCCAGGATCGGAACTTTATGTGGCATGTAAAATAATTTGAAAGAGTGAGATATGGCTTTGTAAATTTTTGTAGAAAACAACAAACCTGATGATTTCCCAGATTTGGGGGGTAACATCAGGCACATGGAGGGTGAGGTGTTTGGGGCTTGAATTACAGCATTTTCTTTTAAACAGGCGTGACTTTCCATGCGTAGAAAATGGTCTCAGGGCTTGGATTAGGACGTAGAGCTGGAAATCAGGGAGCCCGAGTTTCATTCAGTGAACACATAAACACCTTACTGAGCACTGACTTCACGTGTCAGTGCTGAGGATAAGAAAAGCAACAGCGTGGCGCCCTGATGAAGTTGATGGAAGCACGCTCAGGGCAGCAAACAGCTCTCCCGGCCAGGTCTTGGGAGTAGTCAGAGAGGAGCTAACATTGACACAGTCTTAAAGAGGAGTCGAATTGGCTAGAAAGAATGAGGCCAGTGTTCCAAGCAGAGTGAACAGCATTTCGCAGCGTAGTCAGAAGGCCACAAATACTGTCGTTGGAAAAGGCAAGAGCATTGGTTCTCCAAGGGTAACATGTGTTCCAATCACCTGGGGACCTGTGACATGCAGGTTCTCATTCAAGAGTTCTGAATGAGACTTGAGAGAGTACATTTCTAACAAGTTCCTGGGTGATGCCATGCTGCTGCCTTTAGCCCACTTGGTGTGGAGAGGCTGTGGACATGGAGCATGGAGCTAGGAGTAAAAATGGGGGCTGGGTGGAGGAAGGGGAGGATGAGGGCTTGTCACCTGGGCTGATGATTGCACCCTGGCACACTTCAGCTGTACTGCATACTGGTAATAGCATCCATGGTGCTCCCAGCCTCCAATGGGCTCTGGGAGCTGTCTGCATCCCTCAGCCAGCTTAGCTCTCTTTCCCAATCCAAATAGCAGCAACATCCTCAACCTCCAACCGCCCACCTGCCATTATAAAATTCTTCCCTCCACCCAAGCCTAAGCTTTCTGCCAGGGTCTGGCTGGGTTTCCTCTTCCTTTTGGCCTCCCATGGGCCCTCAATACATTCATCACCCCTTCTCGATAGCTCCCACCTTTTGCCTTTCCCACCTCTTTTTCCTCAACCATAAACCTGTTTGGCACCCTCCTGTCCTACAGCCACTGTGCTGGGAAACTGGCCCTGAACCTGGGTCCCCTTCCACTGCTCTCCAGTCTCTCCCCATCCTCACACCCTGATTGCATCGAAGAACAAACTCACACTTGTAGTTTCTCTCTCCTTCGTCTCATCTGTTCTATGTAATCTATCACTACCACCATTCTGCCTTCCCCGCTCTACTGAAATGGCTCATCTGGAGTTAACACTGGCCTTCCGATTTCCCAGTCCAGGAATTTCAGGCCCAGTCCAGCTTGTCCTCCAGAACACTTTACAGTGTTGATCACCAGTGCCCAGTCTCCCTATAGCTCTCCAGATTCTCTTTGGCCCCTTCTCAGCCTCTTTTCCTGGTTCCTCTTCCTCCATCCAGTCCTCACCAGGTAACATTTCCCAGCTTCTCCTCTCTCCAAACATCCTGCGTGGGCAGATTGCCCAAGCCTGGGAAGTGAGCCACTCTTTCTATGCTGTTGACTCAGGAACTCAGCCTCCTTTTGCCCATCTTTCTGTCTATTGGTCATATTTATGTAGGTACCTCACATTTTGTTTTTTTTTGTTTTGTTTTGTTTTTTGCTTTTTTTTTTTGAGATGGAATCTCACTCTGTTGCCCAGGCTGGAGTGTGTAGTGGCGCCATCTCTACTCATTGCAACCTCTGCCTCCAAGGCTCAAGTGATTCTTCTGCCTCTGCTTCCCGAGTAGCTGGGACTACAGGAACGTGCCACCATGCCTGGCTAAATTTTGTATTTTTTTTTTCAGTAGAGAAGGGGTTTCACCATATTGGCCAGGCTGTTCTCCAACTCCTGACCTCATGATCCACCCGCCTCAGACTCACAAAGTACTGGAATTACAGGCATGAGCCACTGCACCTGGCCCAGTGCCTCACATTTTCAAAACAGATTCCTTCTTTTCTCTCCTAAACCTGCTTTTCCTCCTGGGTCCCACTCCAGGTGAATCATACCCCTACCATTTCTCTTCTACAGAAATCAAACTAGGGAGTTCACTTGACTCCTCTCCCAGCCTCACCTGCCATCAGCCATGGTCCTGGCTCCTGCCCCCCATTAACTGCTGCCTTAGTGTAGGAGATGACTTCATTTCATTACTCAGATTACTGCCTTTGTCGTCACCTGACCTCTCTGCAAGGAGCTGTGGCTTTCAACTTTGGCCACACATTAGAATCAGTTGGATAATGTGATAGGGTTCTCCAGAGAAATAAAATCATTGAATATGAGTGTACACACACACACACACACACACACACACACACACACACAGATAAGGAATTGGCTTACATGATGATGGAGGCTAAATGCCAAAATCTGCAGTTGGCAAGCTGGATACCCAGGAGAGCAAAGGGTATAGTTCCGGTCCAAGTCCAAAGGCCTGAGAACCACGAAAGCTGACGGTATAAGTTCCAGACAAACCTGGTAGGTTCAAGACCCAGGAAGACTCAATGTTTCAGTCCAAGTCTAAAGGCCAGAAAAGGTCAATGTCCCCCTCAAGCATTCAGGCAGGAGGAGCTCCCTCTTACTCCAACTTTTCATTCCATTTAGGCTTTCAGCTGATTGGACCAGGCCCACCCACATTAGGGACAACTGTCAGCTTTACTAGGCCTACCTATTCAAATGTTAATCTCAACAAGAAATACCCTCGCAGACACACTCAGAATATTTGGCCAAATATCTAGGCACCCCAGTCCAGTCAAGTTAACCCAGAATATTAACTATCACAGAGAACTTTTAGCAACCTGATGTCCAGGTCACACCCCAATCTCATTGCATTCAAATTTCTGAGGGTGAGGCCCAGGCATCCATTTTTTTTTTTAAGGCTCTCCATATGATTCCATCGTGCATCCAAGGTTAAGAGCCACTGCTTTCATCTCTTCTCCCTCAGACTGATTCTTCACACTGCCACCAAAGTGGTTTTCTTAAAACTCAAATTGGATTATATTTGATCCCCTGTTCAAAAGCTTTCAATGACTTTCCATCATATTTGGGAAAATTCTTTGGCATGTTATACAAGCCTTTTTGCATGTTACACAAGGCCCTTCATGATTGGCCCTGCCTAATTCTTCAGCCTCATTCCGTGTGGGTGCATCAGGACATCGTACTCAGGCTGTTCTGATTCACCTCTCAGGATTTCTTACGGTTCTCTGCATTTGCATGGACTCATCCTTCAGTCCAGAATGCAATCTGTCCCCAGCCTATTCTCCTTCGTCTTTAAGATCCTATTTTGTCACTTACAGAAAGCCTTCTGAGACACTCTCAAGACTAGGTTAAATATTCCTTCTTTGGATACCCTAGCACCCAGTGCTGTCACCACCAAGAGGGAGCCACTGGTAGATAGTAGTAGATAGTAATAGATAGCAGGGGTTATCTACTATTTACAAAGCAGCAAAACCCAGCACACAGTATGCACTCATGTAGCACACCTGCATGAATGAAGGTATCCACCTCTTCCTACATCTCTAACTTCAGAACAAGCTCATGCAGCAACACCGAGAAAGAGTTGAAAGTTCAATGAGTTGTTAGGGCAAAAGACTTAAGTCTAAAGTACCATATATGCTGTTAGGACATTTCTCATCCTTACTCAAATCTAAATATAGCAAGTGAAAATGCAATCCCTAAAAAAGCGGCATTATTCCCAAAGAGCCTGGCAGAGCAGTGTTTGCTGCCACAGGGAAGGTGGTCCTGTCCTCTGCTCCCAGTGTTATAAAATGTGTCCTGCTACATTAAGTGCCCATGTCCACTCTGATTCCAGGGATAAGGATACAACTAAGCTAATTTTCAAAAGGGGAGTGTAGTTCATAGGATCGCACTTGCTAACACAGTGGAGCTTCACTATTGGCAGAACAACAGTTTTCAAACAGATCAGCTATTGAGAGGAGGTGATTATACTCACAGCCTCCTAATTTTATCAAAGGCCTATCAGCCACAGTATTCTTTCAAGTATGTGCTTCCCTTGAGAATGTAAAATTAGTATCCTGGCTGGGTGGGATGGCTTTTCCCTGAAATCCCAGCACTTTGGGAGGATTGCTTGAGGCCAGCCTGGGAAACATAGTGAGACCTCGTGTCTACAAAAACTAGCTCGGCATGGTGGCACGCACCTATAGTTCCAGCTACTTGGGAGGCTGAGGTAGGAGTAAAAATAAAATGAGTATCCTGTTTATAAAACTTCAGAGCATGTGAGATGGCTCATGCCTTACAAAAATGAGATCCAACAAGGTTTGAGAATCACTGGATTATGGTGAATGTGACCACCACCTGGCTATGATCAGTCATTGCCTTCCAGCTCAGAGCTTCTCAACCCTGGCTGCTTGTTAAAATCCTACCTGGGGGACTTGCAGAAATCCCAATGCTCAGGCCTTACTCCAAGCCAATTAAATGAGAACGTCTGGGAGTGGGGCCCTGGCATTGTTTTGCTGTTTTTTGGCACTGGTATTTCTGAAAGCACGCAGATGATTTAAATAGGTGGCCTGGGCTGAGGATTGCTCCTCTAACTTACTGGTTCTCAAACTTGGCTGCACATTGGAATTGCCTGGAGGTGCCTGGGTCCCCCCACCCCAACCATGGACATGGTTGTAATTGGTGTGGGATGTGACCTGGCCTCCAAGCCAGGATTTGTAAAAGCTGTTCAGTGGTTCAAACGTACAGCAAAGCCTTGAAACCACTGCTGCAAGCACATCCTCCCACAGCCTCTAACAGCCCATTTCACCTTGAAAAGAAAATCCATTGTCATAAGCAGATGAGCAACCCAACCTGTCAGGAACATATTTATCCTCCTGGCTGACTTGAGGCGGCTGAGGATCACTGAGGTGGGAGTCACCACTGAAAATAGTCACTGTGCTGGAGAGCGCTGGAGGAAATGTAATAGTGTTAGTTTACACATTAAACCCTTTGATACCAAGGGCCCTGCCACCTGCACCACCAGCCAAGCATCCCTGATTCCTGGCTGCCTTTGTGGCCCCTGTGGCCTTGGATGAGTGGCCACCCCTCCCAGGAAACATTCAGAGCACATTACAGATAATAAACAGATATGACTAATGAGCTCAATTATTGTAAATTTCTGGGTCATTTCTTATGGCATTTCCCTCCCTTCTCCTTTCATCTTATGTTCAAAATAATTTCTTTGTATTTCCCTATCAACATGTCCAACCTGAGTTGGCGCACTGCCCCGAGTAGGTAAGGAGGAGAGGACATTCTGTTTTCTCACCCCTTCCTCTGCTGACTCCCACCTCCACCTCATTTCCTCTCTGTGGCTTGTGCCAGGTGGGCCAGTACCTGCACCATCTTGAGAAAAAGTTGCTCAAAAAGATGCATGTAATATCACTCTCCACGGAGTCTTACAAATCTAACACTTTGAGGGCATAATCTTCAAAATTTCTGGTTTATTGATGAGTATTCTTATATGATTTCTCAACACATTGGAATCACCTAGGAAGCTTTAATAACTATTTTTTTCTTTTTTCTTTTTTTTTTTTTTTTTTTTTGTTGAGACAGAGTCTCGCTCTATTGCCCAGGCTGGAGTACAGTGGCATGATCTAGGCTCACCACAACCTCCACCTCCCAGGCTCAAGCAATTCTCCTGCCACAGCCTCTTGAGTAGCTGGGATTACAGGCACCTGCCACCATGCCTGGCTAATTTTTCTGTATTTTTAGTAGAGATCGGGTATCACCATGTTGGCCAGGATGGTCTCGAACTCCTGACCTCAGGTGATCCACCTGCCTCAGCCTCCCAAAGTGCTGGGATTACAGGCGTGAGTCACCACTCCTGGCCTTTAATAACTATTGATGCCATAATTGACCCACAGAGATTCTGATTTAGTGGCGTGACGATTAGCCGGGCATGGGGATTTTTTGGATGCTTCCTATGTGATTCCAGTATTTAGCCAAGTCATTTGTCAATGAGAGGGACTGAGAAAGAAGAAGCAGAAGGACACTCATAGTGAAACATCGCTCAAGTTGCAGTCTTCCTATGGACTCTCCCCTATGAACTCCCAATAGCCTTTGTCTCATTTAGATTCTTTATAAGCACAAGCAGTGAGATGAGTTTCCTTTTTTTTTTTTTTTTATTATACTTTAAGTTTTAGGGTACATGTGCACATTGTGCAGGTTAGTTACATATGTATACATGTGCCATGCTGGTGCGCTGCATCCACTAACTCGTCATCTAGCCTTAGGTATATCTCCCAATGCCATCCCTCCCCCCTCCCCCCACCCCACCACAGTCCCCAGAGTGTGATATTCCCCTTCATGTGTCCATGTGATCTCATTGTTCAATTCCCACCTATGAGTGAGAATATGCGGTGTTTGATTTTTTGTTCTTGCGATAGTTTACTGAGAATGATGATTTCCAATTTCATCCATGTCCCTACAAAGGACATGAACTCATCATTTTTTATGGCTGCATAGTATTCCATGGTGTATATGTGCCACATTTTCTTAATCCAGTCTATCATTGTTGGACATTTGGGTTGGTTCCAAGTCTTTGCTATTGTGAATAATGCTGCAATAAACATACATGTGCATGTGTCTTCATAGCAGCATGATTTATAGTCATTTGGGTATATACCCAGTAATGGGATGGCTGGGTCAAATGGTATTTCTAGTTCTAGATCCCTGAGGAATCGCCACACTGACTTCCACAATGGTTGAACTAGTTTACAGTCCCACCAACAGTGTAAAAGTGTTCCTATTTCTCCACATCCTCTCCAGCACCTGTTGTTTCCTGACTTTTTAATGATTGCCATTCTAACTGGTGTGAGATGATATCTCATAGTGGTTTTGATTTACATTTCTCTGATGGCCAGTGATGATGAGCATTTTTTCATGTGTTTTTTGGCTGCATAAATGTCTTCTTTTGAGAAGTGTCTGTTCATGTCCTTCACCCACTTTTTGATGGGGTTGTTTGTTTTTTTCTTGTAAATTTGTTTGAGTTCATTGTAGATTCTGGATATTAGCCCTTTGTCAGATGAGTAGGTTGCAAAAATTTTCTCCCATGTTGTAGGTTGCCTGTTCACTCTGATGGTAGTTTCTTTTGCTGTGCAGAAGCTCTTTAGTTTAATTAGATCCCATTTGTCAATTTTGGCTTTTGTTGCCATTGCTTAGTTTCCTAGGAGATCAGAAGCGGGGTGAGGCCACAGAAAAATCTCAAAAGCAGGTGTGTTTGTTTTCAGTGTCCTTTCATCTCTCTAGGAGTTTTGTCCTAGGGTTGCTGTCTCATTGCTCACACTACCCTCCTCTCCTCCATGACCCATGAAACGTTTTTGCAACATTGTTCGGGTGGCACAGATGCAAGAGAAAAAACTCAGTATTGGTGAGAGTGTGGGCTGGTGAAGGAGTGGGTGATTGACAGGATGTCTTGTGATGCACAAGATACTGAAGGAGCTTAGGGTAAGTGCTCCGGCTTCACGCACTGTGGTACACATAACGTTCCCTGGTCATTTCCCAATACACATTCCCTGGCCATTCTCCCTCAGCTTTCCCTCCAAGGCCTTTTCCTTCCCGTGAACATTTTTCTGTTCTGTGTTCCATACCTTCAGCGTCCTGCTGTGGGACCAGCTCTGACAGCCACAATCAATGGCCTTCCCGGGAGCCTTCTCCATTTGCCTTCTTCCTTGCTGGCTGCTGTGGTTTGAATGTTTACCCCCTCTGAAATTCATGTTGAAACTTAATCCCCAAAGTAACAGTATTAAGAAGTGGAGCCTTTGGCCAGGTGTGGTGGCTCATGCCTGTAATCCCAGCACTTTGGGAGGCCGAGGCAGGTGGATCATGATGTCAGGATTTTGAGACCAACATGGTGAAACCCCATCTCTAGTAAAAATACAAAAATTAACCGGGCATGGCGGCACATGCCTGTAATCTCAGCTACTCAGGAGGCTGAGGCAGGAGAATCGCTTGAACCCGGGAGGTGGAGGTTGCGGTGAGCCGAGATTGCACCACTGCACTCCAGCCTGGGGGACAGAGGGAGACAGTCTCAAAAAAAAAGTGGAGCCTTTAAAAGGTGATTGAGTCATGAAGGCTCTGTCCCCTTGGATGGATTAATCCACTCATGGATGAATGGGTTAATGGGTTATCACTGGAGTGGGTTAGTCAGCACAAGCAGGGTCTGTTATAAAAGCTAGTTTGGCTCATGCTCCAGCCCTCTCTCTGTGCGATGCCCTGCACCTCCTCAGCACTCTGCAGGGTCCCCACCAGCAAGAAGAATTTGACCTTGGATTTCTCGGCCTCCTGAATGGTAAGAAAGAAATTTCTTTTCTTTATAAATTACCCGGTGTTAGGTATTCAGCTACAGAAACAGAAAACAGGCTAAGATACCAGCAGAACCTGGAACTTTTTCAGGTATCTGACCCTGCAGCAGATGGTGAATCTTGATTAGTTCAAGCAGTGGTCTTTTACCTTGGCTGCATATTAATAACACCTGAAAAGTTCTTTAAAAACTACTGATACTTGGGCCTCACCATCGTTTAATTGGTCTTTCCTGTGCGGTTCTCATGATAGTAAGTTTCACGAGATCTGATGGTTTTAAAAAGGGGAGTTTCCCTACACAAGCGCTCTTCTCTTGTCTGCCGCTATGTGAGACATGCCTTTCACCTTCTGTCATGATTGTGAGTCCTCCCCAGCCATGTGGAACTGTAAGTCCAAGAGACTTCTTCCTTTTGTAAATTGCCCAGTCTCAGATTTGTCTTTATCTGCTGGTGACACTGGTTCTGATTTAACTGGCCTTGAGTAGGGATGAAGAGTTCCCATATGATTAAAATGTGCAGCCAAGACTGAAGATCACTGGTCTAGGATAATCATGGCATTTCAACTCCCCTTGCCAGTGGTTAAGATAGGGCAAACAATGCCAGTTTGGCAGATGAAACATGAGAATGCAGGGATGGGAGTGGGGAGATTTAGAAAAAGTGTCTCACCTTTAGGAAGTGATGATGTTTCTTTCCTTTTCATGGTCTTGGAGTTGTTGGGCGGGGGTGTGATGCTTGTCGCCATTGCAGCTATCTTTTGACTGTGAGTGGATATACCAGAGGACATAGATTTCTATGATGAGGTTTGCATGATGCAATGTTAAAAACAACCTAGGTTGGCCAGGCACGGTGGCTTATGCCTGTAATCTCAGCACTTTGGGAGGCTGAGGTGGGCAGATCACCTGAGGCCAGGAATTCGAAACCAGCCTAGCCAACAGGGCGAAACCCTGTCTCTATTAAAAATACAAAAATTAGCCAGCCTTGGTGGTGGGCACCTGTAATCCCAGCTACCCAGGAGCCTGAGGCAGGAGAATGGCTGGAACCCGGGAGGCAGAGGCTGCAGTGAGCTGAGATTGTGTCACTGCACTCCAGTCTGGGTGACAGAGCAAGACTCTGTCTCAAAAAACCTAGGTTTTCAACAGTGTCATCGAGCTGCTAAACAAGTCAAATTTGGAACCCCAGCCCTCTAGTTGGGGAGAGGTGGCTTGATAGCATGCCCTGCTAAACATGCACAGCACCTTCTGCTGGGTGTAAAGCTCTCTTAGCTCTAAAGCTGTTCACTCATCACAGGAGAGCTGCCAAGAGCCAGTGGCCTTGCTGGGCAGGCCTTATCTGCTACTGAGGGCTTTGGGCAGTGAACGAAGACAGAATTTGGGCAGATTCAGGCTTGACTTCTGGTCACTGTGTGAATTGACTCAATGAAATGCATAGACTAAGCGCCTTGGTTTTATCATCTTTACAATGGGACTAGCACCCAAGGGTTGTTGCTATGGTTCCATTTAAAGAACTCAGCACAGTACCTGGCACGTTGTAACTTCTTAGTAAGTGGCAACTTTTACACTTTTTGGTATATTTACTCTCCTTATGCTGCAATGAGCAAGAGGTGAAATAATTGGAAAGAATAACAAGAGAGATGTTTGATTTTTGGAGGACTAGTACTCTAACAGTTTTGAAAGACTGAACAAGTTTTTCCTGTGGTCCCCTCTGCCTGAAATTTATCAAAATAATTTGAGCCTGATTCACCAAGTCAGCACAGATGTTGGGCCCAGTGTGACTGGCTGAGCTCTATATTCTAGCTCTGCCAGCTGATGGGTTTGATGGATGCGTGGAGCCCACAAAACCCCTGCTACTGGTCGTGCAAAGGCTGTGTCTGAGCAGCGGGACCACACCTCCCTTAAGGCTGAGTACCACTTGGGACAGCAGCTGTGGTGGGGAGGGGGGCTGTGGAGCTCTGTGGGGATGGGGTCCTCCGGCTTTGAGGGCTGAGTTCTGGAGTCCAGTGTCACCTAGATCCAGAGTCCTGACCATACTGGGTGGGGCAGTGGGGGTGGGGGGGGTCCCATCGTTCCCTAGAGCTGGCTGTCAACCTGACTGATACAGTTTGGCTCTGTGTGCCTACCCAAATCTCATCTTGTAGCTCCCATAATTCCCATGTGTTGTGGGAGGGACCCAGTGGGAGATGATTGAATCATGGGGTCAGGTCTTTCCTGTGCTATTAACTTTAGAGTGAATAAATTTCATGAGATCTGATGGTTTTAAAAAGGAGTTTACCTGCACAAGCCCTCTTCTCTTGTCTGCTGCCATGTGAGACAGGGCTTTCACCTTCTGTCATGATTGTGAGGTCTCCCCAGCCACGTGGAACTGTAAATCCAAGAGACCTCTTATGTAAATTGCCCAGTCTCGGGTTTGTCTTTAAGGGCAGTGGGAAAGCGGACTACGAAACCGACCTTGTGCCTGGAAGCAGAACTGGGACTGGGGTATCAGATCATGGTCTCCAGTTGGCCCTGAGTGGTTCACTGGGGCTCCCCGGGAGCCCACTCACTGCCCTTGGCCCTCCCCACCCAGCTGATTTTCTTCCCCAGTGTCTACAGTCCTTGTTTCCTCCTTTCTTTCTTCCACCTTTATCCAGGCTTCAACTGCCCTGCTCTCTGTCCCTTCTGTCACTTCCCCTGTTGGGAAATGTCCCCACACCCCCCACTACCCCTCGTCTCTGAGACCTTCTCTCAGTTGGGCTCAATATCTGCTCCAGGGAAGTCTCCACGTTCACATCCCCCTCCAGCCGCACTTCCTCACTTGCCTGTTTTAATCATCCTTATTTTATCCTTATATGCCCTCTACTATATCTACTTCTAGTCCATAATTCCATATCCCCCTCCTGCCTTTTCAGGAGTCTTGCTGATCAGTCATATTGTTGATCATCCTTTTGCCCCAAAACCTCCAGTCTCATTCTCAGAACTTATTCTTTTTCATCTATTTGTTAAAATGTCAGGTTTCTCCTATCTTAAAAACAAGACACATGAAAAGGACACCCTTTGCCACTAATGTCCTCTACCCAGGAAGGAAGAATTGTCCAGATCCGCTGCCCCTCCACTCCTCCCAGCCTTCCTAGCCCTCGGCAGTGTGGCTTCCTCTGTCATTACTTCTCTGAATCTGCCCTCCCCAGGGGCACAGTTGACTTCCTTGTGACCAAATCCAGAATCTCCCTGAGGCAGCAGCCTAGAGGAATGGGTGTGGCTCTGCAGCACCCCCGTTGGTTCAAATTCTGGGCCACCCTAGGGAGAACATTGACCTTAGCTAAGTTTCTTAACTCTTTCAATAGCCTTGAAAGGGTGGGGCCTATTGCTTTCCCAGGGTCCAATAATAACCATAGTGAATATTTACGGCAGGCATCCTGGGCAGGGCTTCTGCTCAGTGCGCTGTAGGGACTGTGAGTTTTGTGTATGGGAGCTCGAACATGTTTACTGAATGAATGAGTACATTGTGCCCAAATAGTATTAACTAGGTACTTTAAATTCCCACTTCCACCTTCATCCCCACTCTGTCCACCAGGTCCCTGGTTTAGTTTCTGATTAAGAAGCGATTAAACAAAGACTGTCTTCTTAATGTCCAAATTAAAGCTATTTCTAGAATCGACATCTTACATGGATGATTTGGATCTATCCTAAGACTGAGCATAAGAGGTATCTTTGGAGTGTCTGTTCATATGAAGGTCACATTCTGAATTGGTATGTAAATTCAGGATGGTTAGATTAATATCATTCTGCAGCAAAAATTTGATCATTCTGGTTATAGTCAGATCAAACACATTTTTAAAAACTCTGTAATCCAGGTCCTCTTGTGCAATTTGTGAGACTAGAAAATCAGGGGTTAAAAAACCCATCTCAAGGTCCTAGAATGAAGATCTTTACATGAGAAAGAAAACTACTCTGTAAAAATAAGCAGGTAGATGAAATGGGCAATTAAAATAAAACAGTTGGGCGTCTTAATTGAAGTTTCATTACCCTTGTCCTTGGAAGTAAGTGACTGTAAACTCAAGCTGGGAACTGGGGAGTGGGATCTTACTGAGTGATGGTAAGGGGTTGCGGAGGCCTACTGGGTGCACCATCTGGGGGTCAGGAAGTGTGAACAGTGTCAAAGCAACAAGATCATGGGCCTGGCTTTCAAAGAGATTTCAGTCTCTTTGAGGAGATTAAACTAACCCCATAAAAAACACAGCATTCGATGCAAGGCTGAATAATTAAGTGCTAAATTGTGGCACAGATGCTAAGTGCTAGTGGAGCCCAGATGAGAAGATCTATGCATCTTGGAATAGCCTGCAAACTCTTAGGGAGGGCAATGGCTTCCAGCTGAGTCTTGAGGAATGGGCTCAGTTTCTATGACCTCAGCCTGGGCAAGCTACAAAAGCGCGTGAAGTGTGATGGGCAGGTATCAAGAGAGGAAATCTGTGGTCTGGGACTCTCCCAGTGAAATGACTGGATACCCAGCTCCTCCCCAGCCAGGAGAACTTGGCCCACAAATCCCTGTGGATGCTACTTACCTTGAGCCCTCCTGGCTTTCCTGGGTTATGTTTCTTTCCTGATCTGCTTTCCGTAGGGGCAGGTGACCTTCTAATATCTTCCACTCAAGGCCAGCTCGTGTTGGCCCTCTGCCCCTTCTTCCGTCTGGTGTTCTTGTTATCAGACCCCAAAGTCATATGGGCTACCTATTTTCAGCACCTCTTTCTTTCAGCCCCCTAGTAATCATGAGTCCCTCTCCAGAGAACTCTGGACAAGTCCTGGAGGGGCTGGAAGTGCATCTGAGCAGAGCATCCCCACGAGCTTGATGGGCTCCTCCTTTGTTCCCATCCCCAGTCCCAACTATCCAGTTCTAGCCAGACACCACAGTCTCCCCACAGGTTAGTTGTTTCTCCTGAGAGCTTTTATTAGTCAGAACTCATAGGGTTAGAAGAGATTAAAAAAAAAAAAAAAACCTCATTCTAAACTAGATCTTAAAAGAGAGGAGGCATTTGTTGAATCATGAAACCAAAACTTATAGGGGTTCACATATGGCTGAATCCAGGTGATCCCAGATATCCATAGGAGTCCGCTATGCTCCATCAGGCACCATTCTCTCGGGCACTTTCCCCCAAGTGGTAGCAACAAGTTTACACTCTGTCAGATAGCCACACTGCCTAAGTCCTAGGGAAGAAATAATAGAATTTCTTCTCCATAGTCCTAGGGAAGAAATAATAGAATTGATTGTGGTTTGTCTTTCTTGGACCATTTTATCCAACCCTGAATCATTTCAGCCAAGGAAATGAGATACTGTTATGGCCAGGACTGGTCACATGCCCATCTGTGGAGGTAGAGTCAGGAAGAGTGGGTTCCCCAAGTGGAGGATGTGGGTTTTATTACCAGAAGAAAGAATGCTGACCAGGCACACATGGGTGCCCATTGTGGAAGTGAAATGGTGGCCCTTGCTCCCAATGGCCATGGGCTGTATGTCCCATCATTGCTGCCCCTACTGCCCCATGGGTAAGGCTGATGCTGAAACTCTTGTCCTTACTTACCCTTCAGAGATGCTCAGAGGCAGGTCTGAAATTTCCAGATGTTTCCACAAGTTTCCAACAGACTATGTTGGGAAATCTGGAAAATACTGTTTTCAAAGATTTGGAAGACCTTTAGAAGCCTCCATTTTCCCCTCCTTCCTCTATTTTTCCCTCTGTGGCAATAGCTGACCAAGGAAGCTTTGGAGATCCCCCAATTCACTGCTTGTTTCTCATTTTGTTGACCAACACCTTGGATTCCCAAATAAGAAAAGCAATCAGGAAGGTTTCAGAGTGATGTGGAAAGAGGGGCAAGGAGAGGGCCAGGCATTTTCATGCATAGCATTTGCACAAGGACAGAGTGCCAATCTCCCAGCAAAGTTGGCAGACAGGGCCTCCAGCAGTTAGAGTGACAAAAAGGTAATCAGAACCACTTGCCACTTTCCATTGAGACAGACATGGGAGCCAAAGTGGGAACAATTCCTGGATGATAAATTGTTTCTTGCTTTTCCTTTGAACTTCAAGATCCATCCCCCTGGGTCCCTCCCATCTGATGGATTGACTGACAAGTTCAATGGGCAAGGAGAGGATTCCATACCCAAGAATCTGAGCTGTGTTAAGGCAAGTCTCTGAAGCTAATTGAATGCGAATGTCAGCTGCCACCGATAGGGGTAATAGGAAGAAAAGAATTACCTTCATCAGGGGAACTTTTAGGGGCTGAGAGAAAAACCAAGCAGAATAAGCAAAGCCTCTTGAACTTCAATGTGACATTTTTGCAGCCCCAGCAAAAGTCAGTTAAACGCTAGATTTTAACTCTTCCTTGAAGAATGTATTGCTTTTCTGCAATCAAGAAATTAAAGCTAGAGCACTATAAATTTTTAATTGACATAACTTTGTATATTCAGCTTCACATGCTGATATTTTTATCATATCATGAACATTGTAAACCAATGCCATTTTTCAAAATCATCATAAATGTCTGTATAATTCAGGGAAAGGATATACCATGCTGTATTTAAACATTTCTCACTCTTTGGTCATTTTGGATGTTTCCAATGTCTTGTCATTGTAAATTGTTCCACCTCACATTTCTGAGGCAGTGTTGAATGAATGTTTATTCATTTTTGCCAGCATTGAATATTATTTTTAAAATCTATTGCCAATTTGGTAGGTAAATAGCTTCTCTCTAATTCACATATCTTTGACTACTCATAAGGATAAGTATTACTTTGCATGTTTATTAGTCATTTGTATTTCAACTTCTAAAAATTCTCTTTATGCTCTTCACACATTTTTCTTCATAGTTCACAGGAACTCTTTATATGTTAAGTATATTACAGGCCAGACATGGTGGCTCATGCCTGTAATCCCAGCACTTTGGGAGGCTGAGGCAGGCAGATCTCTTGACCCCAGGATTTCAAGAGAGAGCAGCCTGGCCAACATGACAAAATCCTGTCTCTACTAAAAATACAAAAATTAGCTGGACATGATGGTGTGTACCTGTAATCCCAGCTACTCAGGTGGCCAAGGCACGAGAATTGCTTTAACCAAGGAGGTGGAGGTTGCAGCGAGCCAAGATCTTGCCACTGCACTCTAGTCTGGGTGACAGAGTGAGACTTTGTCGCTAAATGAATAAATGTTACAATTTATTCTATTAGAGTTACTGTTAACATCTTGTTATTTGTATTTAAAACTTTTGTAAAAGATACAACTTAGTATTTTTCTAATATTATTAATGTATTTTTTGAATAGTAATACATTTGCTTGGTTTAAGATTAAACAGGCACTAAGGAGAGCAAAGTGTTTCCTCTCCAGTCTTGCCCTTTTGTGACTGAGGTTTCCTCCTGAAAGCACCCATTATTACCAATTTTTGTGTATATAGTCAGAACTTTCTTCTGCATATTCTGTATCTACAAATTTCTACATTTATTTTTTTCATATTCCCTTTTTATACAAATATAATATTTGTAATCTTCAACTTTCTTTTTCTAACATTTTGGAGTTCATTTTATATCAGTACATAAAAGCTTTCTTACTCTTTTTATGATGCCATGGTATTCTATTGTATGGTTTATTGTAGTTTTATGACATATAAAAAAGTTAAGGACTTTACAGTCAGATCTATCTTTCCATTTTTAATTTAATCCATTGATTTTATGCTTAAAATATCTTTCACTGTGCAGTCACTTAAATACTCATCTGTGTTTTCTTTTGTGTTTAAACTTTGTATTTTAAGATAAAGGTAAATTCATCTGCAATTATAAGAAATAAGAGATCCCTCACACCTTCTACCTAGTTTCTCTCAATGTCTTGGAAAACTATACTAAAATATTACAGCCAGAATATTGCTATTGATAGTTAAATTGATCCTCCTGCCTCAGCCTCCTGATGTGTTTACTTTTTAAAGCAACTGTGAAACTGTTTTCCAGAGTGGTTGTACCATATCGCATTCCCACTAGCAATGTATGAGGGACACAGTTTTCTGCAGCCTTGTCAGCATCTGGTGTTGTCACTATTTTTTGCTTTAGACATTCTGATACGTGTATACTGATACTGCACTGTGGTTCCAATTTGCACTTCCCTAAGGGCTAATGATATTGAATGTCCTGCATGTGCTTACTTACCATCTACAATTCCTCTTTAGTGAACTGTCTCTTCACATCTGCTGTTGTCTAAATGTTTGTCCTCCTAAAATTGATATGATGTAATCCTGACCCCCAAGGTGATGGCATAAGGAGATGGAGCTTTGAGTGGTGGTTGGGTAATGAGGGTAGAAGCCTCATGAATGGTATTAGTGCCATTGTAAAGGAGACCCCAGAGGACTCCTTCTAACATGTGAGGAAACCGCCAGAAGACGGCACTCTGTGAACCAGGAAGTGGGCCCTCACTAGACACCAAATCTCTTGGCACCTTGATCTTGGACTTCCTAGTCTCCAGAACCTTAAGAAATAAATTTCTGTTGTTTATAAACCACCCAACCGATGGCATTTTTAACAGCGGTCTGAACAGACAATGACTGTCTTTTGCCCATTTTCTAATTGAATTATTTCTTTTTTTACTGTTGAATTTTGAGAGTTGTTTATATATTCTAGGTGTTAGTCCTTTGTTGGATATGTGGTCTGAAAATATTTTCTCTCAGTTGGTTGCTTATCTTTTTCTCCTCTTAACAGGGTCTATCACAGAGCAAAAGTTTTAAATTTTGACAAAGTGCGGTTTATCAGTTCTTTTTTGGATTGTGCTTTTGATATCAAGGCTAAGCCTAGCCAGGTGTGATGGCTCACACCTGTAATTACAGCACTTGAGGAGTCTGAGGCAGGCAGATCACTTGAGCCCAGGAATTCGAGACCAGCCTGGCCAACATGGCAAAACCCCATCTCTACTAAAAATATAAAAATTAGCCAGCCATGGTGGTGTGCACCTGTAATCCCAGCTACTTGGGAGGCTGAGGCATGAGAATTGTTTGATCCCAGGAGGTGGAGGCTGCAGTGAGCCAAGATTGCACCACTGCACTTCAGCCTGGGCAACAGAGCAAGATTCTGTCACCAAAACAAGAAAACTAAACTAAAACTAAGCCTAGCCCTCAGTCCTGAACATTTTTTAAATTTTTTTTCTAAAATTTTACAGAAATTTAGTTTTATATGCAAGTCTGTGATCCATTTTGAGTTAATTTCACATAAGGGTGTGAGATTTAGGCCAAGGTTTTTGTTGTTGTTTTTTGGCCTCCGATGTCCAGTTGCTTCAATACCATTTGTTGAAAAGGCTATCTTTTCTCCACTTAATTGTTTGGCATGCTTATCAAAAATCGGTTGTGCATATTTGTTTGAATTTGTTTTCCTTATTTTGTTTTATTGATCTATATGACTATACCTCTACCAATACCACATTCTTGATTATTTTAGCTATATAAGTCTCAAAATGAGGTAGACAAATTCCTCCCATTTTTTTTTTTCAAAACTGTTTTTGGGGCTGGGCAAGGTGGCTCACACCTGTAATCCCAGCACTTTGGGAGGCTGAGGTGGGGGGTATCACTTGAGCTCAGGAGTTCGAGACCAGCCTGGGCAACACGGTGAAACCCCATCTCTACAAAAAATACAAAAATTAACCAGGTGTCGTGGCACACACCTGTAGGCCCAGCTACTTTGGAGACTGAGGTGGGAGGATTGCTTGAGCCTTGGAGGTGGAGGTTGCAGTGAGCCAAGATTGTGCCATTGCACTCCAGCCTGGGCCCTGTCTCAGAAAAAAAAAAATTATTCTTGATATTCTAGTTCCTTTGCCTTTCAATATAAATATTAGAATAACCTTATCTATATCAACAACAACTCTTATGTGGATTTTGAAAGGAATTGTATTAAATCTGTATATCAATTTGAGGAGAATTGACAGCTGTACTATATTGAGTCTTATAATTTATGAACATGTAAGTCTCTGTTTATTTAGATATTTGATTTCTTTCAACAGCGTTGTATAGTTTTTAGTGTATAAGACATATATGATTTGTTGGATTTATATATAAATATTTTCTTTGAGTGACTGACTGTAAGTGGCATTGTCTTTTAATGTTGGTTTCCATATGTTCATTATGATCATGTAGAAATGCAGTACTTTTTTTGTGTTGACCTTGTATCCTGTAACCTTATTGAACTCACTTATTCTAGATTTTTTTTGGTAAGATTCCTTGGGATTTTCTACATAAACTATCATGCCATCTGCAAATAGGGGCAGTTTTACTTCTTCATTTTCAATCCGTATGCCTTTTATTTCCCTTTTTTGTCTGTTGCCCTGGCTAGACCTATCAGTACTATGTTGAGTAACAGTGGTGACAAAGACATTCTTGCCTTGTTCCCTATTTTAAAGGGAAAGCATTGAGGCTTTCATTAAGTGTAACGTTAACTGTAGGGTTTTTGTAGATTATCATTATCAAGTTAAAGAAACTCCCCTCTATTTCTATTTTTCTAGAGTTTTTTTTTTTTTTTTTATAAATGGGTGTTGGATTTTGTCAGTTGCTTTTTCTGTAGCAATTGATATGATCACACGATTTTTCTTGAGCTTGTCGATGTGGTAGATTACATTGATTTTATTTATTTTTCTCAAATATTGCATCAGCCTTGCATCCCTTGAAAAACGCTTACTGCTCATGATGCACAATTCTTCTAATATATTGTTAAATACTATTTACTGATACTTTGTTAAAGAACTTTATATACACAATCCACATTGGTTTTTAGTTATATTTTTTGTATTGTCTTTGATTTTGGTGTTAGCATAAAACCAACAACATAAAATGAACTGGGAAGTATTCTCCTCTTTTCTGGAATAGATTGTATAGAATTGCTGATAGATTTTTTAAAAATATTTGGTAGAATTCTCTAGTGAAACCATCTGGACTTGTGGATTTTGGTGGGGGGAGATTTTTTAAATTGCAAATTTAATTTCCTTAATAGTTACAGGGCTATTCAAATAATCTGGTTTATCTTGGATGAGTAGTGGTGGTTTGTGTTTCTTTAGAAACACTAGTATTTTCTTTGAGTGACTGTTAAGTGTGTTTCTAAATAGACTTAACCACTATTCACTCCAGATGAACTAGATTGTTTGATTAGCCCTAAGCTATTAAGGAAATTGAATTTGTAATTTAAAGTACATCTATTTTATCTAAGTTATCAAATATATTGTGTAGATTTGTTTATAGTCTCTTTTAATATCTTCAAGGTCTGTAGTAACACTCCATGTTTCACTTGTGATATTAATAATTTGTGTCCTCACTATTTCTTTGTTCATCTTGCTAGAAATGTTTCAAGTTCATCAATCTTTTCAAAGAAACAGCTATTTTTAAAATTTCAATTTCATTAATTTCCTATTTCTTTCCTTCTGCTTGCTTTGGGTTTATTTTGCCCTTTCATGGTTTTTTTCTCTCTTCTTTTTTAAGTTCTTGAGGGTGGAAGCCTAGATTATTGATTTGAGACTCTTCCTCTTTTCTAAACATATGCTTTCAGTACTATAAGTTTTTCCTTCTCAGTACTCTTTAGCTGTGTCCCACAAATTTTGATCTTTTTTTTTTTCATTTTCATGCAGTACAATCAGTGTATTTTTAACATTCCTCTTAAGACTTCCTCTTTGATTCATGGATTATTTAGAAGTATGTTGCTTAGTTTCCAAGTGTTTGAAAAGTTTGTTATTGATTTCTAGTTTAATTTCATTGTGGTCAGAGAAACACACTGTATAATTTAGATTCTTTTAAATTTGTTAAGATTTGTTTTTGGGCCTGTAATAGGGACTGTTCTTGGTATACGTTCTGTGGGAACTTGAAAAGAAAGCGTATTTTTCTGTTGCTGTGTGGAGTGTTTTATAAATTTTGATTAAATCCTGTTGGTTGATGGTGCTTTTCAGTTCTTTTACATTCTTGCTGATGTTATGACTAGTTCTACTAATTGCTGAGAAAGGGGTGTTGAAGTTCCAACTATAAGACTATGGATGTGTCTGTTTCTACTTTCAGTTCACATATTTTGCTACCTTCTGGTCTTAGGCAGAAAATTCAACCTTATTAGGAGATGGTCTGCTAGACCTCGTTGACTAAAAATTGAGTTTTTATTCTATTTCTTATATTTTATTATATATTTTTAATTTTATTTCAAAGAGCAAACAAATGTCTTTTGGAGTCTGTTGACAAATTATATAATTTTCTCCTCTGACTTATCCTTAAATGTTTCTTCAACATGAAGTACATTGTATTTCTTAATTATTCTTAGATGTTTACCTCAGGGTTCCAAGAGGAAAATGAGGTGGCTGAGCTCTCTGTGAAGAGACCTAAGGGTTATGTGATATTGAGATAATTTGTTGTAAAATGCCTAAAGTTTCAGTCTTCTGAAACATTGGCTTCATTCATTTTAGGTAAAAAATACTGACTTCTGTTAAAATTCAGAGCTTTTGAAAATTGTGAGCTCTATGAGAGGTAGTGTTGGCAAAATGATTACAAGTATGGGCTTTAGAGGCAAAGTTCGGGCTTCCTAGTTACACTTGTTACCTGTGTAACTTTAGGATGGTATGTAAAGTCTCTAATAGTTTCTTCATCTTTGAAATGGGATTGAAATCTCTCAGGATTGTTTTAAGAATCAAATGGATAACTAGTGCCTTGCATTCACTATATGTTTGCATCTCAGTTGGATTAAGGGATGGAGCCAATGAGTTTGGGATTGGCTTTATCTCTAGTGTGAGGGTTTTCCCAGGATGGGAACCATTTCCCGTTTTCCTTTCGTTTGACAAAACTGTATTCTGTAAGTCACAGGGACATTAGCAGGAAAGTGCCGGTGGCTGAGAGTAGTCAGTTGACTTTATCAACACATGTTTCTGTTCTTAGGTCAGAAACATCATCTTTAGAAAGTGAAAATATGTTTACTTGCACACTTTTATTTATATGCTAATCACACTTACTGGCCATGGTACAATAAGTGTGTACCTTACTTATGGAGAGGTTCCACCATATCCCAAGCCAGGTATTAGAACCAAAAGCACTGTGTGGTATCCAAATCCAGCTTTACAATTATTCCTTCTGTTTAGACATGTTAAAAATTAACTACAGGCTGGGCATGGTGGCTCATTCCTGTAATCCCAGCACTTTGGGAGGCCAAGGTGGGTGGATCACAAAGTCGAGAGTTCAAGAGCAGCCTGGTCAACTTGGTGAAACCCTAACTCTGCTAAAATTATAAAAATTTGCCGGGTGTGGTGGTGCATGCCTGTAATCCCAGCTATTCAGGAGGCTGAGGCAGGAGAATCGCTTGAACCCAGGAGGCAGATGTTGCAGTGAGCAGAGATCATGCCATTACACTCCATTCTGGCAACAGAGTGGGACTCTGTCTCAAAAAAAAAAAACAAAAAAAAAAACACCAAAAAAAAACAACAAAAAAACTGCAACACTGACTTCTCTTTTGTGGTAGTATAAAGATTAAAAAAAAAAAAGCATTACTGTGTCTTTAGTAAAGAAGGGGCACAAAAGGTATCACTGATTGGGAAAAACCTGTGAGGCAAAGCAGTTTTTATGAACTCACTGAATATCTTAGTTGTCCAGTGACTTTCTTTCTGCGGGCTTTATTTTGTTAAATCATTTTGATTTAACCAGGAAACCAGAGCAAGAAAGGCTAGTTAGCAAGAAACGATTCAGTCCTCTATTAGGTATTTGTTTCCATTTGACACATAGTCAGGAGTCTTCACAGGGCTATGGGGGAACGATAGTGACTTTTTTTTTTTTTTTGGAAGAGAATGATCTTGGTTAAATTTAGCAAAACTCTTAGTAGGTCTGGGGTTCCAGAAACCATGTGATGGCTCTGCAAGGCCTTGCAGATGCTTTTAAATATTATTTGGGAACAAAAATGTTCCCTTTGGCTGGTGCCCTTGTTATGTTTTCTCATGTCCCTTCCCTACATTTCTCTATTGCTCTCCATGTCAAAGACCAAGAATCTAGAATCCAACATGTGGGGCAGGCACTGAACCCCCATCCCCTAGCATTTGACTCCCAATATTCCTGGGGAAATGAGGTTTGGGTCAATGCGGAGTGAGGCCCTTAGTTTCACAGGCAAGATAGACTGACTCTTAGACAAATTGGAGGGAGCCGGTAGAAATATAAAGAAACCAATTTGATCTTCAGGGCCACCCTCTGCAGGGGAAGAATTATCACCTTCAAGAAGCTTTTATTCAGTGGCTAATGAAGTATGGTGCTCTTGGGGCCCATCTTTCAGGGCGAGTGATTCATTTTATAACTAGTTATCTAAATAAGAATGCGTGTGGCATGAACTCCAGTTTTACTGAATCTTTCTATGACTGTGGTGTTGTTTACTGCAGATGTTTCAAAAAAAAAAGAATTCAAACTAGTTCAGGCAGATGGCCCGGTGGTTGGGAGACAAAGTGCTGATTGGCAGTCCCAGCTGCTGCTGTCGGAGTCACCTGGCAGACCTCTGAGGGGGTGATTAAGTGACAGGTGTGCTGGGGATGTGGCCAGCCGTCTGTCCTCAGGTCCTTTTAGACACCATCTGCAGGTGGCCACGTCTGGGCTGTGAGTCAAAGCTACAGGTGATCCGTGAGAAGGAGGAAGTGGGTTTGGCGCTGTGCGATCACCTCCATATGCTTGCGGGGAAGACACATGCAGGGAAGAGGCTGGGCTATAGATTACAAACAAAACCATCTTCTTGCATGAGAAACAGAGACTGCAGTGTTAAAGATCCTCCGTGAGCTGCTGTTTCAATTCATGATTACATGGGGGAAGGACTTGGATAATGTAATTCTTAAGTGATTTGCAATGTGCCTTTCAGGCAGGTTTTATTTACAATTCTACATGAAGCCTGCTCTCAGTGGCTGGGAGAAGGCCAGATGAGTGTTTGCTGGCTCCATTCTCCAGCTTAGACTAGAGCTGGGGATGAACAATGCAGATCAAGTGGCAGGACTTGGCCAGCCCACTCTCCAGCCTTACAGAGCCACAGAGCCCAGGGGATTCTTAGCGGAGTAAGGTCAAGGTGCCTGTCTCAGTGGAGTAAGGTCAAGGTGCCTGAGCAGCCTGAGGCCTAGAAGTCACCTGGCTGGGATGCCCAGCAGGGAGAGCACTGTGACCTGCAGACAGTGCCTGCCTGCCTCTGCCCAGCCAAGCCAGGTCCCCAAACCAGCCTCACCCTCCTTCCAACCCCTTTTTTACCTCACTACCTACAGCAGTACTTTTCAAT
Organism: Homo sapiens; assembly: GCF_000001405.40. Taxonomy (NCBI): domain Eukaryota; kingdom Metazoa; phylum Chordata; class Mammalia; order Primates; family Hominidae; genus Homo; species Homo sapiens. Next base: position 132,582,811 of record NC_000002.12, read on the forward strand.
CTGCAGGTTGCAACCCATTTGTGACTTGTGACCTTCACTTAGTGATTCACAACAAGCATTGGAAAAAAATAGAATTGAATAGAGAGAATTAGATTTCTTTCTTTCTTTTTTTTTTTTTTTTTTTTTTGGAGATAGGGTTTTGCTCTGTTGCCTAGGTTGCAGTGACACTATCACAGCTCATTGCAGCCTTAAACTCTAAGGCTCATGATCCCAAGTGGCTGGAACTACAAGTACCTGCCACCATACCCAGCTAATTATTTAAATTACTTTTTTTGTTGTTTGTTTAGAGGTAGGATCTTGCTATGTTGCCCAGGCTGGTCTCACACTCCTGACCTCAAGTGATCCTCCTTCCTCAGCCTTCCAAAGTGCTGGGATTACAGGCTTGAGCCACCTCACAAGTAGTACCTACTGTTTCATGAAATGTATTCCAAGTGTGCCGTGTGTTTGTTTGCTGGGTGATACTGTAAAATATATCCCTTACTGTGGGTCAAAACGTTTAAAGCTGCTAGACATTTCTGTTAGCAAACACTCCTTCCTAAGTGAGATCCCCCCAACAAATACACATATCCCTCAAAAAAAAAAAAAAGTGCCAAAGCTGGGCACATTTAATCTAACTTAAAATAGACTCTTGTAAGAACTCTGGCCAACCTGCCAATTGAGGTTAATGTCTTTAGGGTGCCCTCTGAATTCAGAAGTGCTGAGTGCTTCTTACGGAGAATGATGGGAGAAGGGGGAGTCTCAGGGACATTTCAGTTATTGGTTTGTAAAAAAGCATCCCAAAACTTAGTGGCTAATTAAGAATGGGTTCCTTTTATGATGCTTGTGAACTATATGGGTTGAGATTGAAGAGGGGCATGGCAGGGATGACCTGACTGCTCTGTGACGTCTGAGGCCTCAGGAAGATTTGGTGGCTGGAGGCGACTTGGCCTCTGAGGGCTAGAATCACTGGGAGGCGCTCACAGGTCTAGCAGTTAATGTTCCTTGTCAGGGACACTTCAGCTGAGGCTGCAGCCACAGCACAGCAATGTCCTCTCCATGAGCCTGGGATTCTTCACACTGTGACCTCCAGGTACACAGCCCAGGATTCCAAGAGAATCAGGTGAGAACTATGTGGTCCCTTTGGGACCTTGCCTCACAGGTAGCTTCTGCTGCTTTCTAACGACTTCAGAGGAGCCCTTGAGAGAAAAGACATAGACCACACCTTTCTAGGGAGGGAAAGTCAAAGAATTTCATAAGTTGCTGCAGGTAGGAAGTTTTTTGAGGGGTGGGGTAGGGATTTGAATTTTAGTGGCCTTTGGAGGACAGGTTGCAGTTGAACGTGGTGGGACAGTACCCATGCGGCAGAGACCAGTGGGCACGTGACCTGGCCTGTGGTGCAGAAGAAAAGGGATGTGGATCCAGGCCTTTATGGAGGCTCTGGGGGCAGAGTGCTGCAATGAGTCCTGAGAACAATGTATGCGTGAAGTCTTAGAGGAGCAGCATCCCCGAAAGGCCTGCGTGTTCCTCTCTCAGGCAAACAGATGGTCAGAAAGCAATAGCTAATTATTAGACAGATGAGTGAACACCCATGCTTGAAGATTACCTGAGTGCTAGCCACCGAATATTCAGAACAAAGAGGAAGCTTCTGAAGCCAGAAATGGTACAGTCACTCCCATAACTCCCTTACTAGAAAAGCCTGGAGAGGTACCCAGAGGGCAGGGAGGTTGAAAGGGAAGGAAGGCTAGCAAGATCTCTGCCCCTTTCTGTACCCACCCTGAGTCCCCAAGGTTCTGTCTGAAAGGGAGGGCTGGCCAAGTCTCCAGTTCTTTCAGGGGAAAAAAAAAAAACGTAGTTACATTTCCAAAGGGAAGATGAAAGGAAGGAAAGAGAACTCACTTCTAGAGGCTTCTAAGAAAAAAACACCGTTTCGAAAAGCAGGCAGGATCGGATGCAAATGAGGCTTTCAGAGGCAATTTGGTAGAAAATGGGATGTCTATTAGACGATTACCAGTGTTCGCTCCCCCAAACTGGAATAAGCCTCTTGATTTGTCTGCATTCATTTGGATAACCTACAAAATCTTGTTTATGGACTTTTAACAGTGAGAGAGAGCATTTCTGGAGACACTGATTTCCACAGATCTCAGAACCTCCTCAAAAACCTGAGCACGGGGGAAGGGGAGGCCATGGGCTCTCCTGCCCCCCACCATCAGGGCTGTGTGGTGGGCCAGAAGGCCATTCATGGAGGTCTCAAAATACACCAAATGTTTTTGCACTGCTTTGGTTGACATTCTTTACGTGGGAGCCCCTGGTATATTAAATAGTAAGCCCCACACTCCCTCAACCTCACAGAGGTGTCTCATGGATTAAGGATTTAGGACAACAATCCCTACTGCACCCGCCCCTTTACCGTTCCACTGCTTTTCCCGTAACAACTTGGGGGCTCTCTGTGGGCCCTTGAAGCAGTCACATTGCTGCCGTCCCCAGCTAGGGTCATAGGAGTCCCTGTCCCCCAGGCCTTTCCCTAAACCCCTATTCTAGCTTCTGGACTCTCCTCAGGTCCTTGGAGAAGAGTCACCTCCTGCCCACAAGGTGTCCCTCTGCCAGTCCCAGTCCTTGAGCCCTTCCACATGCATCAGAGTTTAGGGATTCATTTCTTTCCCATCCCCTTCCGTCCCCTCCCCGCTTCTCCCGTGACTGATGTGAGTTGCCCTCGCACACATTTTCCAAACTCTCCAAAAAGCAGCTTTCTCTGCGCGCATCTGTGTGTGCGGACGGGGCCTGGACTTCGAACCGCCGGCGCGGCTCCACGGGCTCCCTGCTCCGGCCGCCCCCGGGATGCGTGTTGTAGGCACTGGCGTGGGGAGGTCAGCTGGTGCTCGAGGTGGCCAGTGGAGTGGACGGGCAAGGGGGGCGCAGTTTGCGAACTGCTGGGGTTCTCGGAGGGCCGGACAGCCCGGTGTTTTCTAATAACTCCCTCCTGCCGCTTCAGATTTGGAAACGCATTTCGGGGCGTGATCACGCAGCTGCCTCTTGGCATTCTGGTGTCCCTCGAGGTGAAGGCCCCTGGGTTGGGCTTATGTTGTTGTTATCGTGGGGTACCCGAGGGGGCCAAAGAGAGAAATCAACACCCAGTGATCGGGCTTCTCGAAGCATCCCCGGTTTTTTTTTTTTTTTTTTTTTTTTAATGCCCCACTCAGAGTGACCAGTGGCACCGCAGAAAGTTCATTAACACTCCCATTTGTGGCGTCTGATTCACGGCTGCTGCCGCTGGTGGGAAGCTGGGAGCTGCTGCTGCGAGAGCAAATCAGCTTGGGCTAATGCATATGTTAATAACGCTAATGTTGGAGCATTTGGTGTTCCTCAAAGAAAGACGGTAAAGTATCTGCGCTGTCTCCTCCAACGCTTAATAAGGCGGGTGGCGGGGAGAGGGGAGCAACAAAAAGCCATTCACTTGGAGCATTTATAGTTAGCATTTATAGAGGAGAGCAGCCTGTCGGTGATTCTGAAGGCACCATGCCACCACTCAGCCCTGCGCCTTGCATTGTTCAGCAACTCCATTGTAAAACGGTCTGGTGACAGGCGCGCTCCAGCTTCTGAGTTTGGAAAGGCAAGGCGTGCTGGCTGACCAAACGGTTCCCTTGCTAGCCTCTCTTCCTTAGGAGGAATTTGCTGTACCATCTGTTGTCTGCGTGTTTGCTGGTGTCCCTGAGGATGTACCCAAATGAGACACCCTTGGGGCCTTCCCTGGCAATCCTTCCTGACATCAATTTAGCAACATCAACTCCCACTTTCCTGGATAGAGATGGGTTAGGATGTATCCACAGCAGAGCTGCTGAATTCAGGCCTGGCAGGCATCACATTTTATTTTTAAACCACAAGGTGATAGTCTTTAAGCTTATAATTAGAGATATTCTAGAGGAATTCACTCAGACACTTACTGCGTGGTGCACAGTTTGCTGGGTCTTCAAAAGAATATGGTGCTGTCTGAGATTGTAGATATGTGCCCACCATATGGGATTCTCGATGTCTTTCTTCATGTACCTGGTTTCAAATGACTCTCAGCAATATCTCCAACTTCTTCAGGAAATGGAGATAGTTTAGTTCTTTAGGTTTTCTTTCAGGTTGATGTCCATCAGAAAATATCTCTGATGTAATAAGTGGGCTGCAATGGAAAGTAGGATTTTAAAATTTGGGTATCTCTCATACTGTATCAAGAGTTTATATGTTCAATCTGGTTTTCTGCTTGTCAGCATTAAAAGACTGAAAATATGTTTCCACAGTTAAAATTTGTAAAGGTCTTGCGGTAAAGACTGCATTGAAAAGCTTTGGTTCCAGAGAGATTAGGACGGTCCGGGATGATTCTGATCTGTGGTGATTGCTGTGGCATTTCACCAGCATTGTATCTGCTGGAAGTGGGAGCTGTCAAGTCTTTCAGTGAAGTTGTGCAGTTTAAAAAAAGTATCTCCAAACAAACAAAAGCATAGAAACCAAGGTTCTACAGCACATTAGGAGATCTGTGGCTCTTTCGCCATTTCTCCAGTTATTTTTTAGATTACTCTCTGTCATAATAGGCCAAGAACCAGGATACTGTTAAAGAACAACTGCCTCTTGGAGCTGGGGCCAGTGTTAGTGTTAAGGTCCTTCATAAGAAGTGTATATTTGTTGTTACTTGGCTTTGGACTATAGTGAAATACTTTTTAAAATGGGAGTGTCTTTGCTTTCTTGATTAGGTCTTTTCTTTTTTCTTTTTCTTTTCTTTTGAGATGGAGTCTTGCTCTATCGGCCAGGCTGGAATGCGGTAGTGCGATCTCAGCTCACTGCAACCTCTGCCTCCTGGGTTTTTAAGCAGCTCTCTCTGCCTCAGCCTCCCGAGTAGCTGGGATTACAGGCACCCACCACCACACCCTGCTAATTTTTGTATTTTTAGTAGAGATGGGGTTTCGCCATGTTGGCCAGGCTGGTCTTGAACTACTGACCTCAGGTGATCCACCCGCCTCAGCCTCCCAAAGTGCTGTGATTACAGGCATGAGCCACTGCGCCCAGCCTAGATTTGTCTTTAATATATGTTAAAGTAAGTTATTTTTCCATGGCCATGTACTTTCTGGTGATGGAACAGAGAGGGCAGTCTATTATGAACATGAGGAGTTGACTGGAATAATGAATGAAAACCAGCTTTAAGGTTCATGAGTTTCATGGTAAGGGTGCTGAGGTGTCTTACTTGGGCCTTCAGTATGGGTATAACTCATGGAGTATAGGATCTTGACATCCTATTGCAGACTAGAAGGTTCAGCCTGGAAAGAGACTGAAGGTGAGAGGAGGTGGAAAAGAAGGGAAAAGGTGTTTGCGATTGTGATGGAGAAGGTCCTGGAGTTAAAAAAGGCAGGCAGTGGCTAGCAATGTATGGGTTAAAGACCTGTAGCACTGGTCCAGCTCTCCTCTGTACCCCTTTAGTGAGAGGGAGGTTCTCTTCGCACTTGCACCTTCTCCCTTCTCAGCAGAAGTAAGAGCTCTGTATCCCTTGGTGGGAGGGAAGGATGGCCAAGGGTCTTAGTTATTGCAAGATAAACTATCCCAACACTTACTGGTTTAAACCACTACCAATTTATTATGCTCATCATTTCTGTGGGTTAAGGCAGGGCACAGTGAGAATGTCTTGTTTCTGCTTTGTGATGTCTAGAATCTCAGCTAAGAAAACATGGAGGCTGGGGGCTGACTTGATGGCTGGGAGCCTAGAATTATCTGGAGGCTGCTTCACTCTGTGTGTGGGGCCTGGGCTGCTGGGATTTCTGGGAGAGGAGACCGAAGACTGCTTGTCATTTTCCTTCCTTGAAGCATGGTGGCATTGGGAAGTCAGAATTGAAAGTCTGCTTACCTGGAAGCTCAGGGCTTCAAGCTTGAATGTTCCAGTGAACAAGGAAGAAGCTGCATCTTTTCAGACCTGGTGCCAGAGGTCACACACTGTCACCACTATCACATGCTATTCATAGAACCAGTCCCAAGTCCACTGTGATGAGCAGAGGAGGACTGGACTCCACCCCTTCAATGCAAGTGTGTCAAACACACATTGTAGAAGAGGCTGTGGGATGAGAGATGTTTTTGCAGAAACCTTTGGAATCAGCCTCAAATGGGGAGATAGAGAAACCAAGCAGAAAGGGTCTGAGGGCAAACTGGGCCTGCTCTTGCTCTGATCTCCCCTTAGAACAGCTCTAACTTAGACTCTGCAAATGCCTAAACAACTGGTTGGTCAAGTTGATCATATTTTTAAAAACCCATCAGATTAACTATTTGGGGTTGTGTAAGCCAAAGACAAATGGGCTGACTGAGAGCTTTTTCACTGTTCCAAGATTGTTATGTAGGTCCAGGCAAAGAATCGTGGGACCCATGTCTGCAACAAAAGCTTGGAGGCAGCCTTTCTGGCCATGTCCCCCCCTCCCCATTGCCCCTCTGCCTTCTTGGTTACTAAGCAGTTACCTGGCAACCATGCCTCCTCCACATCGGCTGCCGAGCCAAGAGGCTTAGCCTGTCCTCCCTCAGCTCTCAAGTCTCCCATGGATCACTGGGGACAGGATACATAATGAGATTTTAATTGTCACGTTGAATCAAATCATTTTTTCCATGTGCATAACTTCTAGGCAGAGATGTAATTTCAATTAACTTCGCTTATCTGATAAAACTTTCATATCCTTTAAGCTAATTTCATTTGAACTAATAGGCACTATGCTCCTCTTTGAGTTCCAGCTCAGATGTCTTAGGCAGAGCCGAGATCTCCTGCATACTCGGGCACATTAGAGAGCGTCTGGGCTGTGTGTGCAGAAGTGGCCTCTATGCTTGGACACAGCTAGTTTATGGAGCCTTTCCTTTTGCTTTTCTCACTTGATGAACATTCCTGAAAGCCTATTTGGTTTTATTAGTTTTCAGCTTAAGGGATCAGTATTTCCCAAACAAAAGGTGTCCCATTGCTCTAACTGCCAGAGCCATAAAGATTAAAATTACACTTAACTTGAAGGAATGTCTGTATTTCTCCCTGCTGCTACAGGACCTGGGGCAGCTGGTTCTATCTCAGTGATGAGTTTGAGCATTTGTTTTATTAAGGGAAGGGGGAAGGTGAGAAAGGCATTGTAATTTAATATGTGGGAGAAAAGGGCTGATGTGCCTTAATTTTATTTCTCAGTAACCCCCATGAATGTGCTAGTTCTGCTTAAAGTTCATTTGAACAAAAACATGCCTTTGCAGAAATTAAGCTGCTCTCATTATTTCTTTTCATATAGTAGAATTAAACTTCAAACAGTTTATCATTTGTTCTTTGACATAATACTGAGTTTGGCCAAAACCAAATAACTTGATGCTATTGAGCAACAGAAATTCAAATGCAAAGATGCTGCAAGGTAATGTTTAAACAAACCACACACTGGTCAATTTTTGGATTTCACTGCTAGCATTTTCTGGCTAGCAAGTTTGTTTCTTATCAAATCAAGAAGAGAAATCTAAGGAATGAGAATGAGAGAGAAAGGTTTAGTCAGAAGGAGAAAACACAGTGAGGTTGAAGATACACACACACATGCTTACATGTGCACATTCACACAGATGATGGCTAGGTCCTCAGAGGATCAGCCCTGAGCTTCTAGCCCAGAGTGTCACTGGTTTCCTGTGTGACCTTAGACAAGCACTCAGCCCCTGTTTCTACATGAGTGGAATGAGGAGTGGACTAGGCGCAAGACCTATGGTGGGCTGAGGCTTACTAGTATTTGATTCAAAGCCAAGCAGATGGGGTTGCATTGAGACCACAAGGGTAGGCACTGAGTTTGGGACTTGCCAAAGAAGAGAAGATTAAGAGACTGTAAAAAGAGTCACTTGCTTTAACAGTGGCACTCAAGCCTAAGCACTGTTCCTCATCCTTACTGTCAGCATGATGAGTTTGGGTCTGTCTTTCAGGGATGGACTCCCACCAACCACCTGGGAAGACTGATATATTGTGGTGGTTAATATTGAGTGTCAACTTGACTGGATTGAAGGATGCAAAGTATTGTTCGTGTGTGTGTGTGTGTGTGTGTGTGTGTGTGTGTCTTGTTAAAGGAGATTAACATTTGAATTGGTGGACTGGGAGAGACAGACCCACCCTCAACCTGGGTGGGCACCATCTAATCAGCTGCCAGCACAGCTAGGATAAAAACAGAGGAACAGGCCGGGCGCGGTGGCTCACGCCTGTAATCCCAGCACTTTGGGAGGCCGAGGCGGGTGGATCATGAGGTCAGGAGATCGAGACCATCCTGGCTAACAAGGTGAAACCCCGTCTCTACTAAAAATACAAAAAATTAGCCGGGCGCGGTGGCGGGCGCCTGTAGTCCCAGCTACTCGGGAGGCTGAGGCAGGAGAATGGCGTGAACCCGGGAAGCGGAGCTTGCAGTGAGCCGAGATTGCGCCACTGCAGTCCGCAGTCCGGCCTGGGCGACAGAGCGAGACTCCGTCTCAAAAAAAAAAAAAAAAAAAACAAAAAAAAACAGAGGAACATTGTAGGACTAGACCAGCGGAGTCTTCTGGCCTCCATCTTTCTCCCATGCTGGATGCTTCCTGCCCTTGAACACTGGACTCCAAGTTCTTCAGTTTTTGGTCTCCTGGACTTACACCAGTGGTTTGCCAGGGACTCTTGGGCCACGGACTGAAAGCTGCACTGTCAGCTTCCCTACTTTTGAGGTTTGGGGACTTGGACTGGCTTCCTTGCTCCTCAGCTTGCAGAGGGCCTATTGTGGGACTTCACCTTGTGATCGTGTGAGTCAGTACTCCTTAATAAACTCCCTTTCATGTATACATCTATCCTATTAGCTTTGTCCCTCTAGAGAACACTGAGTAATACAGATTTAAAAACTCAAGTGCCAATGTGACAATTTATGGTGGAATTGTAAAACGAGAAACACATCTATTATGCAGATCCCAGTGTTTGTAGCCAAAGATCAACATCACAATGGATAAGCTGCAGGAAAGGACATGTTGGTAGTTTCCAGTTTGGGGAAATTATGAAATAAAACTGATTTAAAAAAAACCATGTACAAGCTTTCGTGTGAACATGGCTTTGAATTCACTTGGGTTAATGGCTAGAAGTGGGATTGCTGTGTTGTATGGTACATATATGGCCAGTGTGTGTTTGGTGTATGGTCAAATTGTCTTCCGAGTAGCTATGCCATTTTTCATTCCCATCAACAATGAATAAGAACCAAATTATAATTATATTTCCTTGGTAAACAGGGTCTTTTTCATTTGTGCAATAAATAGTTATTGAGAATTCATTAAATGCCAAGTGGTATTCTAGACATTAAGAGCAAAATAGACAAAAATCCCTGTCATCATGGAGTTTATTGTCAGTTGGTGGAGGAAGGATAAGAAAATAAACAAGTGCCACGTATGTAGCATCCCAAATGGCAATCAGTACTAAAGAGAAAGATCAAACATGGGAGTGAAACTGTAGAGAGTGTGTCGGCAAGGGTGCACTGAGACAGTGACATTTGAGCAAAGACCTGAAGGAGGTGAGGAAGTAAGCCCTGAGGGTACCTAGGGGAAGAGAATTCCAGGTAGAAGGCACAGAAGGTCCAAAAGTCCTAGGATAGGTGCATACCTGGTATGTCAAGTAAGGCTGGTGTGGTTGAGCAGAGTCAGGGAGAATGGGGTAGTAGGAAATGAGGTCAGGGAAAAAAGTGGTGGCTGAGGGTGACCAGGTCTTGGAGAACCACAGTAAAGACTTCATCTTTTTCTTGGAGCTGGATGCAGAGCCATTGGGAGGGCTTGAGCTGAGGAGTGACATGATCTGATCTGACTGAGCCTTTGAAAGGATCACTCTGGATGCTGTGTTGGGTAGCAGAGACTAAAGGGTCAGAGAGAAAGAAAGGAGGGTAATTAGAAAGCTAACGCAGTAATCCAAGGGAGAGACCTGTGGCTTAGACCAGGAGGTGGCAGGAAGTGATTGGATGCTAAAACTAATGTTAGACTGGAGCCAGCAGAATTTCTTGGATTGATTGGATGCAGAATGTGAGAGATATAGAAGTCACCAGGTACCTGGGGTTGGGCCAGACCCTACAGATGAAGGAGTTAGTCCTCTATAAGACTATCCTCACTTGAGACAGCAGCTATAAATTCAAGAGTCCCAGGGCCACCTTCACTTCTAACCAGCTGGCTACACATTTAGGTTTGATGACCACGACCACCCTCAGGTTTCGTAATTCACCAGCAAGACCCACAGAATTCACTGAAAGCGCTATACTTAAGATTACAGTTTTATTACAGCAAAAGGATACAAATTAGAAGAATTGCATGGGGTAAAATCTGAGAGTTTCAAGTGCAAAGCTTCCATCCTTAGGGACACATTGCTCTCTCAACACAATATATGACAACACTCCAAGGGTCGTGGCAACTGGGGAAGCTCACCTAAGCTTCAGTGGCCAGTGTTCACTGGCATTTCACTACATAAGCCTGATTGATTGAATCATAGCCCAGGTCTTCAGCTCCCCTCCTCTCCCTCCTAGAGGTCAGGCAGATATCATGTGTGCCGAAGTCCCAACCCCCTAATCACATGGTTGGTTTTTCTGGTGTGACTTGCCCTATCTTGAGCTATCTCATTAGCAACAACTATGTAGGGACCCACCATGAGTCACTTCATTGGCATACATTATCAGACATGGTCTGAGAGGCTCAGCATGAAAACAAAGACATTGCTCTCTCTTCAGAAATTCAAGGGCTTATAGGTTAACTCCTAGGAGCTGAGGAGAAGAGCCAGCCAAGTTCTTTACTACACATAGGATAACTTAGAAGATTTTGACCTGAACAAATGGAAAGATGGGGTTGTCATGAACTGTGCTGAGGAAGGAAACAGCAGGCTTGGGGAGCCTGGGAGTGTATTTGGATATGCTCAGTTTGATGTGATTTTTTTTTTCTGTCACCTAAGCAGAGATGCAAGTAGACAGTTGGTGTTCAGGGACAGGTCCTGGTTGGAGGATGAAAACTTCAAGAAAGAGATGGGATTCACATTAGAGAGATATTTGAGGCTGCAAGTCCTGAGACCTTGTGGCACTGGAGGAAAGAAGCGCTCTCCATCTGGCTCTTTGGGCAGCTCATCTCTGTCCTCCAGTTTAATCATTCCTTGCTGGTCACCCATCGTTGCCTAGAAACTCATTCCTCCCATCCCGCCTCCCTGATATTTTGTCCAGGTCACTTTGACTGGAGGTCCAAGTGTTGCCAAATTCTTTAGTCAAATCTTTACAGGTAATCTCTGGGTTGATTGTCACAGAAGTGGAAAATTACAGCCAGGATGGGTGACTTTACAATGTGAACAATCAGACAGTGACCTTCTGCCTTGCACTACCTTATCACTGGGGGACCCGTCATACCCACCCCATTCTGCCTTCAAACTCCTCATAACCAGGGGTGGGGAGCAGGGGTCAAGTGACCCTGGGAAGGCATTTGAGTCTTCTGGGGCTGTTAGACACCATTCATTAAAAGGAAACATTGGACTTGACGCTTTCCTGGGTCTTTTTTGGCTAAAATGATCTCTCAGTCTAAAGAGTCTTGTATGCTGGTTGTATATGTGTATGTGAATGTGCCTGTGCATGTCTTGCCTCCTCAATAGATAGTAAAATTTTTATGCAGGGATGTTAAAGGATCCTAGAGCAGTTTAGAACTGATTTTGCTTGGTCCCATCTAGTATTTCTTTCCTATCCCTCTGGGCGTAGAAATTGACACATAGTAAATGTTCACTAAATTTTTAATAGTAGTGAATTGAAACAGTTATTCAGAAAATTTAAATCCCTTCCCTGCCTCCCACCCAAACCAAACTAAACACTTTTATCTGTGAGTTCAGAGTGTTTTAGATCCTGAGTAATCTGTTTAATAGCATCAGTTTTCACCTTTACTCTGGAGAGATGGGGAGAGAGACACCGAGATACCTCTTAAAGACAGAATAGAAAGGTGGCTTCTGGGGTCAGTGTCTGGTTGGGTTTTATTCCAAATCCACCATTTACTAACTCTCTTGGGAGAGTTACTTCGCCACTCTATGCTTTGGTTTCTTCATCTGTAAAATGAATCTAATAATGGTACTTATCTCATAGGGTTGATCTGAGGATTAAACAGTTTAATATTGGTGAAGCACTTGAAATACTGTGTGGCTATAATGAAGGCTATGTAAGTGGAGGTGGTCTTGGGTATTTAGAGGTGAATTGATTTGTTGTTGTTGTTTCCTTTTTTTGAGACAGAGTTTCACTCTTATTGCTCAGGCTGGAGTGCAATGGTGCAATTTTGGCTTACTGCAGCCTCCGCCGCACAGGCTTAAGCAATTCTCCTGCCTCAGCCTCCTGAGTAGCTGGACTTACCGGCGTACGCTACCATGCCTGGCTAATTTTTATATTTTTAGTAGAGATGGGGGTTTCACCATGTTGGCCAGGCTGGTCTTGAACTCCTGACCTCATGATCTGCCCACCTGCCTCGGCCTCCCAAACCACTGGGATTATAGGTGTGAGCCACCGTGCCTGGCCTTTTTTTCAGAATAACATTAGGACTGGCCAGGTGGGCGGTAATACTTGTAGCACATACCTCATGCAGTTAGTTTGCACTCCAAGCTAAGGTTACCATGGGCCTAATTTTGTTTTTTTCAAGTGGGAAATGAGTTCGCTGTCTTCGAAGTTGTAACCTACAAGTCCTTGTCCTGTGTGGCCTGGTGACCTAGTTGGAGGTGTGTAGAAGACCTGGGGGAACAGATCAGCACCCCCACATCCCCACCACTGGAGACGACTCAGAGTTCATTTTCTGCTGATCATGGGTTCAATTCCTTTTCTTTAGGCATGGAAGGTGACTTATTTTATTATGGAATAATTCTGTGTTGGGGGAGAGTGGGGAACTTGTTCAGTATCCAGAAGCATTTACCCTTCATTCTGGCTCAGTCATCATAATGTGCCATTTTTTGTTGTGATCAAAGTGTGTTTCTGTTCCTGCCAAGCCCCTGTGTCATGAGAACCAGCGCAGCAGCTCCAATTTTACTGCTGAGGAATAAACCACCAAAGCAGGTTTCTAATGAAAGTGCTAGGGAGACTTTAATTATAACCGTGCTCTTGAGCTCCCTTGGCAACACCTTCTCTTTTGATTCTTTTCAGAGTAGAAACAAAAATGGAGCTGCTGGTAAGAGCTCATGTCAGGGAGCCTTAGTGAGCTGGGACTCTTTAGTGTAGCCAGCTCTCCCCCACCCTTATGGAAAAGCAGTTCCTCCCAGATCACCTGAGCCCCACTGGCTCTCCAAGCTGGCCTGCACCCCAGCACAGTGCAGGGAAGAACATCTTCAGGGTGCTAGTGGCCGATTGCATGCGGAAGGAAAGAGACCAAGCTTAAAGAAAATCCTGGGTTTATTGCCCCCACTGAGATTTTTTTAAAATTGACTACAAAGTGCTGTTGTCTGGGCTCTTTGGAACAGGTTGCATGTGTTTGTTCAATTGCATTAGTTTTTGCTCTGAAAATTCCCTTCCTTTTCTCTCCTCTCAGTGGCCCATGTCTAGGGGCTTTGTTTTCCTTACTCCCCTTTTCCTTTTCTCTCTCTTTGTTTTGCAATGCCTCCAGCACATAGTAAGTGCTCAATAAATGGTGTTCTTCCTCTTCTTTCACCTGGATCTATTCTGAGTTTACTTGCTTTCTCTTTGTTTTTGTGCCCTTATCTTTCTCCCTGCCTTCGTCCCTTCCCCCAGCCACCTGCATGCTCTTCATCAGTCTGATTCCTTTCCCCAGTCCCATTCTCCTTCCTGCCTTGTGTCTCTTTTTTTCATTCACCTTCCTTTGATTTAAATCCCAATCTGAAATTCTTCTTTCCTCCCCTCCTTCTCCCAATCTTTATTTTTCAACTCTTTGTCTCTCATGTGGCCTCTACCTCTATTTTTCCACTGTCCCTTTGCCCAAATGCTTCTTAGCCTTGGCTTGGAACATTATATCACCCGAGAAGTTTTAAAAACATCCCAATGACCAAACTGAACCCTAGACAAATTAAATCAGGATCTCTGGGAATGGAACTTCGGTAGAAATGTTTCTAAAAAGATCCCCTGTTGATTTCCATGTATATCCCAGGTTGAGAACCATTGCCTGGCTTTTTGATTGAACATGTTTGTTGTGCAAAGCCAACTTTATATTGCTGTGGCTATCTCTAGGTGGCTTAACTGATGTTTCCGTTTTTCATTTAGTGGAAAGCATTTTCCTTGTGTCAGTTCCCAGTGTGGGTCCTGTGACCTTTGTTCTTCCTCAAGGCCATAAAGAGTCCAGGTCAAAAATGAAGGAGAGGTGAGGACAGGAGTAGCATGGGGAACTGGGATGGGATCTAAGCTACCCTAAATGCAGAGAGACAGTAAAGGCACAGCCAAGGACTGGAGCTTCCAGTTTCTAGACACCCAAGTGGAAAGCTGGCTTGGGTTGGGGTCAGGCTATGTGGAAAGGGTAAGTGCCCCTGATCCAGGCAGCTCTGCTTACATTGGCTTCCAGAACATCAGCTTCCCAGCCTGGGCAGCAAGAACAGTGCTAGCTTCTAAACTTCTGCAAACCCTTTCTTCTGAGCTTCTCCCTGGCTCTGGATTTCACCACCTCATTCTCTGTCAGGCATGTTGGGATGATGCACTGGGGACTCTGGAGCAGGCTGTTCCTTGACAGTCTCTTCACTGAACACAGAGTAAGGAATTTACTTCATGTAGGGGACACCTCAGAAGCAAATCAAACACCTGCTCAGTGGACTCTAAAATTTCTAGCACTTGTCAAGTAGAGAAGGAAGCAGCAGATCCAGAAGCACTCTTGGAAGCCCTGCCTCACATTCTGCAGTTTTTACCAGGCTTAACCTGGAATGAGCCCTGCTAAACACTGTAAAGCCATAGGCATTTGGCATGTAGTCTCACCATTGTATAATATATGTGTTCATGGACCATTTATAAATCAGCTGAAGAATATCTGATAGGGGAACCCAAGTCAAACAGGCAATATGAAAATGATGATGAAAATTTACCAGGTTCTAGGGGTAGGGAAGTCCAAACACTATTGACCCACTAGGCAGAAATTCAAAGTCCAGGAGAGAGAATCTGCTTGCCCCATAGTGGGTCACACAGGGTCTCCTGATCCCATACCCAAAGTCTAGTACCCATGCATAGTGATCATCTCTGGCTCCTTGACTTTGTCATTCTGTGCTGAGAAGTGCTGAACCAGCACAGCCACATTGAGCTCAGCTAATCCATCAGTAGCTGTTTGTTCCTGAGACTGACCAGCTGCAAGTCGGGGCCACAGAAAATGCAGGGCTGGCTTCTCAAAGCAAGGGCAGCCTGATTTGCTGCACCCTGGCCTCCAGCTCAAAGGCAGGAGGATAAGTTGGTGGCAGCTCCTTCTGAGGCTGAGAATTGGCTCTCCTTGCAGGAATTGGATCTTATATTTAGTTAGTATCTAGGCACTGGCTGCTACATACAGATTGGTTTAAAGCCTCTTACTTAAGAACTTTATTTCCGGGTATTTGTTAAACCAGTTTCAACTGAGAGTAACCTAGGGAAGCCTATGGCTCTCAATTTGAGTTGGATAAGAATCACCAAGGGATTTTTTTTTTTTTAAGATAATGATGCCCATGTCCAAAGCTTCTGATTTGGCTGGTCTAAGGTGAACTTTTTTTTTTTTTTTTTTTTTAAGCAATGGGGTTTTTTGTTGTTGTTGTTGTTTAAGGCTCCCAATTCTAATGCTACTCAGGGATAAGAACACCAGTAGAGTGAAAAGCCCATGGAGAGGCCAGGACAACTGAATTCCTTGTTCTAGAGTTTAGGTTTGCCACTTCCTAGATGTGGCACTGGGGAAAGGCTATGCTGCTCCTTTAAAATGTGAAGGGCAGGCTAGATGGAAAAGTTCCACAAGCATCCCAGTCCACCAGGGAGCCTAGAAATTCTACAGAAGCTCTGAATTCCACACTAGGCAGACTAAAATCCACACCAGCATCCTAGAGGCACTGGGCAGTCAATCTCGGAGATCCCTCTGAGCTAGAAAGTCTAGGGCCCTGTGACCTTATGTGAGCAGCACCATGACATGTAACAAGGTCCCTGTCCTCAAAGCATCGAGAATGTAATTGGCACAGGTCAGGCACATGGAGAGCATCCAGGCACGAGAAAGAAAGGGATGAGCTGCTGGAAAATGATGTAGCAGGGAAATAAAACAGCAGCAACAACAACAAAAACCATCAAGGTTAGTTGACAAGGAGGCAGGAAGGGGGTGGAGGTGCGGTGGTGGTGATCTCCAAACTGTTTTCATGCCTGTGTGAAATGGTTTATGTGTTCTCTACTTTAACCAGGAGCTCTCAAGGGTCTAAGTTATAAAGGGGGTGGAGGAAGCGGCTCCTGCTGGGCAGATAATCCAGGCACGAGAGGATTATATTTTTAACAACTTTCCAGCGGGAGGTTATGGATTTTCTTCTCTTTGGGACTCTTAAATATCTTTTTAAAAAGCAAAGAAACATCTATTTGTCTTTCATATTTCAAAGATGCTTCTGCTTTCCTATAATCAGAAGAGCATGGTGATACCTTTGTTTCGATGTGTTTTCCAGAAGAGGGGTGGGGCTGGCTTTTTGCCCTATCCTGTTCTCTCTCCGTCTGCCTTTGCAACAGTTTTTGAGGCAACTGACCGTGGCTAGAGGTGGGGTCTGTAGCTGGGAGAGAATTTTTCTCTGCACGAGGTGAATGTTCCATTTCTGGACTGCTTAGATTCTAGTCTTCGCATCACTTAGTGTCTACATCTGGGGAAAACAAACACCATGGCAGCTATTTTAGGTGGTCCCTGAGTCCCTTCCAACTCTGATACTTCATCACCAAAATATGAATGAGTTAATTATTGATAGGGAACAGAACTCAGGGACTGTGCTCTGCAGTGAAATTAAGCATGGGAGCAAGGTGTGGTAGTGAGGGCGCTGGTGAATTGCCGCCATCTCTGATTTCTAGTGGGTTGAGGAGTGCAAGACCATCATGGCGTGTCAGCAGACCATTCAAGCTGGTAAACTGAGGTTGGGATCCAGCTCCTCCAACTCTCCTTGATAAGCTAGACCTGCCGTGGATGTGATCTCCCCAGGAAAATGACATTTGGAGTCCCTCTTAATAACACCACAGATCTGCTCATGGATGAGATATGAGTGAAAGAATCCTTCTTAGATACTGGGTGTCTACCCGCAAATGCTGTCCATCCACATTGACTCTCCACATCATAGCTCAGTCTCCCAAAGGGGGCCCATCCATGCTTGTCTATACTTTGGAGGTTACCATTATCTTGGCTACGCAGAAGCCCTATGAAAAAGTAATCACAATCTGTATAAATACATGAATATTAAACAAAATGTCCCTGAACAACCAGTGAGTCTATGAAAAATTCAGGAGGAAATCAAAACATTTCTCGTAATGAATGAAAATAGAAACACAATATACAAAACCTATGGGATACTGCAAAAACAGTGGTAAGAGGGAAGTTTATGGTAATAAGTGCTTACATTTAAAAAGTAGACAGATTTCAAATAAACAACCTAACAATGCACCTCAATGTACTAGAAAAGCAAAAACAAAACAAACCTAAATTAGTAGAAGGAAAGGAAAATAAAGATGAGAGCAGAACTAAACAAAATAGAGGAAAAAATACAAACAATGAATGAAACATTTTTTAAAAAGATAAAATTGACAAAACATTAGCTAGACTAAAAGAAGGACTCAAACCAGAAATGAAAAAGGAGACATTACAACTAATATCACAGAAATACAAGGGATCATTAAAGACTATTATGAACAACTACATGCCAACAAATTTGAAAATCTAGAGAAAATAGATAAATTCCTGGACACATATAACCTACCAAGATTGAAATAAGAAGAAATAGAAAACCTGAACAGACCAACAATGAGTAACAAGATTGACTCAGTAATAAAAAGTCTCCCAACAAAGAAAAGACCAGGACTGGATCACATTATTTCTGAATTCTACCAAACTTATTTTGTTGTTGTTTAAAAAAAAAAATCAATAGCTTTAGGGGCACAAGTGGTTTTTGTTTACATTGGTGAATTGTACAGTAGTGAAGTCTGGGCTTTTAGTGTACCTGTCATCTGAATACTATACATTGAACCCAATAAGTAATTTTTCTTCTCTCACCCTCCTCCAACCTTCCCTCCTCTGCATCTCCAGTGTCCAGAATATGCCCCTGCATATCCATAGTTTAGCTCTTGCTTGTAAGTAAGAACATGTGCCCACCAAACTTTTAAATCAGAACTAACACCAATTCTTCTCCAACTATTTCCCCAAAATTGAAGAGGCAGGAATTCTTCCTAATTGATTTTATGAGGCCAGGATTTACCCTGATACCAAACCAGACAAGTACACACACCTCTAGGTGAATATTCTTGATGAACATAGAAGCAAAAATCCTCAACAAAATACTAGCAAACCAAATCTAACAGCACATCAAAAAGATAATACACCCTGATCAAATGGGATTCATTCCAGGGACGTAAGGATGGTTTAACACACACAAATCAATAAATGTGATACACAACATCAAGAGAATGAAGGATAAAAACCACATGGTCATTTCAATAGATGCAGAAAAAGTATTTAACACAATTTAACATTCCATCATGATAAAAACTCTAAAAAACATTAGGTATAGAAGAAACATACCTCAACATAATAAAAGCCATATATGACAGTCCCACCGCATATATCATACTGAACTGGAACAAGACAAGGATGCCCACTTGTACCACTCTTTTTCAACATTGTATTGAAAGTCCTCACCAGAGTAATTAGATAAAAGAAAAAGCATATACACTGAAAAAAAGGCAATCAAATTGTCCCTCTTTGCAGACAACATGGTCTTACATATAGGAAAGCCTAAAGACTTCACCAAAAAACTTAGAAATGATAAACAAATTCAATAAAGTTGCAGGATAAAAACATGCAAAAATCAGTAGTGTCTTTATACACCAATAACGACCTAGCTGAAAAAGAAATCAAGAAAGCAATCTCATATATAATAGCTATGAAAAATAGTTAGAAATGCATTTAACCAAAAAGGCTAAAGATATCTGCAATGAAAACTACAAAACACTGATGAAAGAACTTGAAGACAAAAAAATTGGAAAGATAACCCATGCTCATGGATTAAAAGAATATTGTTAAAATGACAATACTACCCAAAGCAAGCTACAGATCTCTATCAAAATACCAATGACATTCTTCACAGAAATAGAAAAAAAAAAACCTTAAATTAGTATGGAACCACAAAAGACCCCAAATAGCCAAAGCAATACTGAGCAAAAATAACAGAGCAGGGAGCATCATACTACCTGACTTCAAAATATACCACAAAGCTATAGTAACCAACACAGCATAATGGTATAAAAACAGACATATAGACCAACATAACAAGAGAATCCAGAAATAAATCCATATATTTACAGCCAACTGATTTTCAGCAAAGGTGCCAAGAATACACACTGGGGAAAGGACACTCTCTTCAATAAATGGTGCTGGGAAAACTAGATATCCAAATGCAGAAAAATGAAACTAGGCTCTTATCTCCTACCATATACAAAAATTAATTCAAAATTGGATAAAGATTTAAATAAATGCAAGACCTGAAACTATAAAACTACTAGAAGAACACATAGGGGAAATGCTTCAGGATGTTGGTCTAGGCAAAGATTTTTTGGGTAAGACTTCAAAAGCACAGACAACAAAAAATAGGCAAATGGAACTATATCAAACTAAAAAGCTTCTGCACAGCAAAGGAAACAATGAAGTGGGTGAAGAGAAAACCTGTAGAATGGGAGAAAATATTTGCAAACTATACATCCAGCAAGAGACTAATATCCAGAATCTACAAAGAATTCAAATAACTCAAAAGCAAAAAACTGAATAATCTGATGTAAAATGGGCAAATGATTTGAATAGACATTTCTCTAAAAAAAAAGACACAAGTGGCCAATAAGTATATGAAAAAAATTCAACATCACTAATCATCAGGGAAATACAAACCAAAACCACAGAGATCAGAGACCTTTTTAGCCTAGAATGGCTTAAAAAGAGAAAAAAAAAAAAAACAAATGCTAGTGAGATTGTAAAGGAAAGAGAACTCTGACATACTGTTGGTGATCATGTAAATTAGTACAGCTATATGAAAAACAGTATGGAGGTTTCTCAAATAACTAAAAATAGAACTACCGTATGACCCAGAAATCCCAATACTGGGTATTTATCCAAAGGAAAGGAATTCAGGTTATCAAAGAGAGATCTGCACTTCTGTGGTTATTGCAGCACTAGTCACAATAGCCAAGATATAGAATCAACCAAAATTTTTATAAAAAGATGAATGGATAAGGAAAATGTGATGTATATATGCAATGGAATACTATTTAGCTACAAAAAAATAAAATTCTCTCATTCACTTTAACATGAATGGAACTGGAAGAAGTTAAGTGAAATATCGGGCACAGAAAACCAAGTACCACATGTTCTCACTCATGTGGGAGATAAAAAAAATTGACATCATAGAAGTAGAGAATGGAATTGTGGTGATCAAGAGTCTGATAAGGGGAGGAGAGGATCTGGAGAAGTTGGCTAATGGATACAAAATTACAGCTAGAGAGGAGGTATGAGTTCTAGTGTTCTATAGCAGTGTAGGATGACTATAGTTAATGATATATCGTATGTTTTCAACAAGCTGGAAGAGTGGATTTGGAAAGTTCCCTACACAAAGAAATGAGAAATGTTTGAGGTGATAAGCATGCTAATTTCCCTGATTTGATCATTACATACTATATACATGTACTGAACTATCACTCTGTATCTCATAAATATGTACAATTATTACATGTCAACTAAAAAGAGGAGAAAAGGTGATCACAAAGGGTGTACATTTGTGGGCGTGCGTGTGCGAAATGGGTTACTAAAATCCACTGAAGTCAGGAGCTATTCACCAAAAGCTGAAAATGTCAACATTCTTTTTAAGAAACCATTTTCATGCCTCCAGCCTTTGAAGGACTCAAGGCCACTGACTTATGCTAAGGACAGAAAAGACACTGTGTTATTTAGGCCTGATTTTTAAACAATGCATTATAGTGATGGCAGAGTGCAGGGTGTGGGGAGTGGGAGGGACAGGAAAATGTATGTGCACATTTGTGGATGTGAACATGTGTGTGTTCATGTGTGTTTGTGCTGACTGTGGAGGTTTGCATAAATATACTTCACAACCCAACCAAGGACTCCTACCTCCAAGATCCTTTTCCTTAACCGAGACATGCTTGCCCTACTGTGAGTCCCAGGTTGTTCCAAGCATGTGTGAGATAACCTATCCCACATGAGAAGGTCAGGTCTGGCTCTCAGTTCTGTACACCACTTCACAAGGTCACTAGTCTTGTCATTTTCTTAACTTTCTCCTTCTGTCTTCCCTCAGCAGGCAACTCATATCTGGGCACATGATAGATGTCTATCCCCTTGCCAGAATGATTTAAAAAAAAAGAAAGGCAAGTTCTTTGTTTAAACTACCGAAGCTCTGAGAACTGCCTATCAGAAGCCATGGCTGTGGAGGGTATTCATTATCACCAAAGAAATCTTTGAGTTCTGAGCTATAAGGGCATAAAAGACACTGGCCTTGGCATCACACAAGCCAACAGACCTGGGGAGAGAATACAACCTCTACACAGAAGGATCCAATTAAACACAGCATACAGTCCCATGCTGGGTACTGCAGACAAAAAGACGGTTATGACTTGTCTCTTGAGAGGTCTGCTATCTGATGGCAGAGACAGACTTTTAAACAACTAACCATAAAGCAGAAGGATAAGTGCTGCTTTTATAGAAGGTTATATATAAAGTCTTATGAACATATAAAAAGGAGGCCAAGTCATTCTATCTGCTCTGCTTAAGGCATATATCTCAGAGAAAGGGACATTTGAATTAGACTTTGCAGACAAATAGGAGTTTGCTAGGTGAGAAGCAGCAGGAGAGAGTTTTAGGCAGAGAGAACTGAAAGAAGTAGAAACATGAAAAATGCATGGTGCTTGGAAAGTAAGGAGCAGCTTAATGTGGCTGAAGCTGAGGATACGTGGATGGCTGGATATAGAAGGTAAGAAATGAAACTACATAACAATAACAATGAACACTTACTGAGTACTTACCACATGTCAGATATCATACAAAGTGCTTTACATATTCATTTACTCTTTATAAGATACATGTGATATAGGTACTGTTTGCCTTATTTTACTGTTGGAGAAATTGAGGTACAGTCAATGAGTGCTCAGGAAAGAAACATTCCCAAGGTCACATAAGATAAATGGTAGAGCTGGGACATGACCTCAGACAGCCCGACACCAGACCCTGTGCCTATCACCGTTAGGCTGTTGGATGTGCATATTGTAGTTCTGCAAGTTGATCATGACAAAGGTTAGGTTGATGTGGCTTCAGGGAGAAGGTGGCATCAGAAAGAGGTAAATGAAGTGGATGTGGGTAGGCTGGAGTAAGAGGAGATGAGTAGACATCCCAGGCATGGAGGAAAGCCATGATCAAAGCCGTATGTGTGGGAACGAGGATGTGGAGTGAGCCATTCATGCGGCCCATTAGTCTGCTCAGTGGCCTGGTGCTTCTTGGCAAAGCCCAAATGAACATCTCATTGATGGCCCCAGAAGCATCCCTGCTCTCCAGAAAGGTCCAGGGAACTCACGTCTGCTCACTTTCTCTCTGTTCCTTCCTGCTTCTCGCTGGCCTGGGAAGCTGCAGTCATTCATACAAGGGAAGATGGGTGCCCGCAGGAATCTCATGGGCTTATCTTTCCCTCTGTTATGCGTGGTTTTTATAATGTATCTCCTACCGAGCATTCCTGGGTGAGGACGGATGCTATTTGGCAGTGGGATTTAATGAATCCAGCAGTGCCTTGCTCCCCATTAAGAATCCCTGAGGGGTGTTCAGTCGGCTGAGCAGCAGAAGATTGCAGCTGCACACATTTAAATAAGAGAGACATCAGGGCAGGGTAGCAGAGGCCAAAGGGAGACCATTCCTTGAGTGAAATTGAATTTTGTTAGAGTTAAATTGAGATGCTGAGCTGTCGTTTTACAAACGTATTCATGGGCTTGGCTGTCACTTTCATTTAGTGGGCTTGCCATCTGAAGCTGGGGCTTGCTGGTGGAGCCATGGCCTCCCCGCCTGAGAATGCAAAGCCTCACCCTGAGAAGCAGGAGCCCAGGTGGGTGGGGGGAGAATCTGCAGAGCAGCAAGCGGGAGGAGGGTCTAGTCTGCAACCTGCTGCTTCCTCCACCAGCTTCCTCTTCCTGGACCTGGCCAAGGACCTGCAAAATCATGATTCTAATATGATGCAGAATAAGAAGTGTTCTAGTCCCACAGATCAAAGGTAAAGTTCTGGTTAAGTACAATCAACAGCCCTATCAACGTAGGTAATTTATTGAGCCTCTCTGTGCCTCAGTTTCCTCACTTGTAAGAAGGGCTTTGAAATAGAATCTTTTTAGACTTATGGAGAGAGTGAATTTTGAAATAAAACATACCAAGTGCTTAGCTCAATGTTCAGCTAGCAGCAAGTATTTATAAAAGTGAAACAGAGTTCTTTTATCCCTCTTGCAGGGTGTGCAACAGGGGTGTGGCTCACTTCTTTGGTGCCACACTGCCCAAACCCCAAGGGGGAGCATGAAGATGGGCAAGTGCAGAGGTTGTGGGTAGCCCTTCTGGGCTCCAACCCATAGCAGCATCTAGGGATAAGTATTTACAAGCCCAAGTGGGTGTGTATTACAGTGTGCTCCTTCAGCTTTGCTGTCTGCAGTTGGCTTGTGTTAGTTCAGTTAGATCCTTTGCAGTATCCTAAGGGCAGAGGGCTTTCTGTATCCCAAGTTCTTGCCCAGCGTGCCGAAAAAATTAGATCACACGAGGGCTTAGAGGGTGAGTGCAAGGTTTTATTGAGTGGTTGAAGGTGGCTCTTAGCAAGATGGATGGGGAGCTGGTAGGGGGACAGAGCGGGAAGGTGGTCTTCCCCTGTGGTCGGGCCGCTCAATGGCCAAACTAACCTCCAAGTCCCCCTGGCAGAACTCCCCCTGGAGTCCGCGTTGCCCCTAACCAAGGGAGAAGTAGGCTCCAAAAGCAGAGGACCCTGCCACTCTTTTCCAAAGGCAGTGGTTTGCCACCTTCAGGGAAGATAGTTGGGTGTTATCTCACTCTGATCTTGATATATATTTTCCCCCACTAACTCTTTAATCTGAGAAACGTATTGAAAGGCTGGGGGCGGGTAATATGGATCAGAAAGCTTCCATGGTGTAGAATGAAAAGGAAGCAGGGAGTATTCACATGAAAAGGTAATTTGGGTGTCATTTGGGATCTCAAGTATCAGCCTGCTCTGGCATATTTCAGTGAGTGACAGGAATTGCAAAATTTACAAGATATTTGGTTTTTTTAAAAGTAATTCTAGCTTGTCCTTTTCCTGTCCTTTGCTAAGTTTCTACATTTGTTCATTCCTTTACTCATTCATCCTATGTTGAATAAGCCCCTGTGTAAAATTTATTGGGTTGATCATAAAGTCAGTCTCTTATTCTTCCCTTAAGGAGTATGAAATCCAGAGTTAGAGGGAGGAGAGTAGGTGGGGTAGCTCTAGGCTTTGCAAGACAATGTCTGGGATTCTATTTTTAATAGCCTTGGGGGCCAGCCTGAGTGGGATTTGCCCTTTGAAATTGATGCTTGTCTATAATTTAGAGAACCTTGAGGGAGGTTCTCTCCTGCAGCCTAAAGTTATCTTTGACGTCTGACACCAGCAAGAGGCAAATTTTATCTGGGGGAATACACCTCTCATCCAAAGGAGATAACAGCTGTGAGAAAAACTCCCCCAGTGCTGGTCCTGTTGACTTATGTTTCAAAGGAGAACAATTTCAACATAGAACTCCACTTTCCCTCAAGCTGCAGATGCAATAAAATGGCTGTAAGCTGCAAAAACTCTTTCAATATGGCACGTATTAAACCTTTCAGAGGTAGCGCTTTGATTTTTAATTTTACGCTCTTGGCAGGCAATCAGGGTCTTTAATAGTAGGGAGGCCAGAGGGAGAATGTTTCAAAACAGTGAGGATCTTATCATAGTGTGCAATTAATGAATAATTATTAAAACCCAGAAATAGCTAGAAAAGAAGGCAAGAGGTGGCAGAGCAATTCTCTGGTTTTGGGCCTATAATGAACCCTCTGGAGAGGGGAAATATGATACTGAGTTCCATGCAATTAAATCTTCCATTTTTCTCCTACTGGAAGATCAGCAATTTCAGGGGCAAAGAAAAAAGAAAAAAATACCCAACTCTTAAAAAGTCATTTGCTGACAATGATGCATTTGATCAGTTTGATTTTCAACATTTGTTGTAATGACATCGAAAATAAAATAATACTAATGACAAGCGCAATAATAAAACACCTGCTCCTTGAAATCAATTTCTAAGAAAGCAGTATTGGGGCATGTTGGTGGCACCAGTTAGAACAGGTACATTGTTGAACAAATTCAGTCCATGAGCTGCACAATTCCCAGCTGTCATAGGGAGAACCCCCCTGCACATCTTGTGAATACACATCCCCCGGCTCCCTGTCATTTCCAGGCACAATTGTGTCAGCTCCTTGCTGTCGGGATCTCTCCTCTGAAGGTCTCAGTCCCACTGTTTCCTTTTTGACTCGGCTCTAGAAAATCTTGTCATCTGTCAAATAGCTGTTTACAGTCAAAGCCCGGCCTGCTGAGTGGCCGTGTCACAGGCTGGCAAGATGTCATGCTGGCCACTGCTAAGCAGGTACAGATGCCGCTGCTTCTTGGAACCCTGCAAACAATAAAGTAGCCTGGCAGGGCTTGGCATGTGGCAGAACAACCACAGACCCACATTGATTCAGTTCTCAGCCATTTCAGTCACCCTAGGGCCCCTGCTAGGGCTCTGAGAGCATCTGGGGTCAGCTCACCTTTAAGTAGCCATTAGCCCCCTCCGCTGCAAAGCTGGGGTGGGGTGCGGGAGCAGGGCGGGCAGAATCAATGAGCACTTGAGATGGCATTTTCCTGGCATGTGGTCGCTCATTACTGAGGGCCTCAGTGAGGATCTGGGTTTTCATGATTGATCTCTCAGCAGTGTTTCAGGAGACCTGCCAACATCACAAGGCCAAATGGGCCTGCAAAATAAAGAAATAAATAGATGGACAAACAAATAAATGGGGAGGGGGTGCTGTTGTTCAGAGAGCAGTGAGAGAGGATGTTTTCCAGTGTGTGACATTGTACAAAGGTGCCCGGGATGTTTTATTTGAAGCTCAGCTTCAGGAGGGTACACGACAGCAGATAATAGATTGTAGGTACGCGGCCATGGGCCCCTAAGAGAAATCTCAGATGTGTTGTACTCTGCCAGATGATAAGAATGGGGATGGAAAGGAAGAGGTAGGTTTCTTCTTCCTCATTGCCAGCTGTGTCCCTGGCTATTCTTGTCAGGCCAGGTGCTTTTCTTAGAGTGCTCAGAGGGACTATTTACTTAGCACTTGCTCCGTGCCAGGTATTGTGCTGTGTGTGTGCTTCATGTACTCTGGCTCACGTAAAACCTGGAGAATGGTGGTATTACCCCAATCATTAAAGATGAGAAAACGGAGAGTCAGAGAGGTGAAATCACTTATACAAAGTTGCACAGTTGGAAACCGAGGGGTGCAACTGGGGTTGAGTTGAACTCCTAAGTCAGTGTTCTTAATTACTATTCTAGATGGCTTCCTAGGCAGGGATGCAAAGGCCCCTTGCAGCCTCTCTCCAGCACAAGGAGCTTCTGATGATATATTGAATGCCAGCTGACTCTGGGCTTCTCATTGTGAGTTTAGCCATCCTTCCTCATACTGGGGCAGAATCACTGCAGTCCCCTTCTGGCTGGGGCCTTGTCACTGCTGTCTGCCAAAAGACCCTCTGCCTTTTGCTCTGCTTCTGACATGTTCAAAACAAATCTGGGTCCCAGTCTTTCCCGCTCAACCTCAAGACAAGAGGAGCAAGGGTCATACCCTTCAACCTGGTGTCAGAGGTACTTCCTTTGTGTCCTTGTTTTAGAGTGCCTCTCCATTGTCACCTCTGACTACAGCCAGCCTGACCTTCCAGCTTTGTAACTTAGCGCAAACCAAGTTTCCTAGTTCTGCAAAGCCTTCCCCAACTTCTGTCTCTGCTTGGTACCTGCCTGTTCATTTGCCAAGACTCAGTTTAGACATTCCTTACCTGGAAAGTCTTTTCTGACTTTTGCAAGACTCGGTCAGTGATTCTATCATAACTATTGCATGCATGGAATGGTCTGGTTACTTATCTGTCTCATCCACAGTTTGCTGAATGAATAGGAATACCTCACCCTTTTGGTCACAGATCCTCTATCAAGTCCACATAGAGAATCTAAATACTTACATGCTTCTGGTGGTTTGTTCTTTTGTTCAATGCTAACTGGTCCAGAATGGCCTGGGCTTCAGTGTCACAGGTGTCAAATCACCCATACTTCCTAGGCGTAGTCATCACACAAGAACATGAAGCATTAATTAAGATGACACTAGCTGCTGTAGCATGCAACTCCAAAATGTATCATGTATGATGGCTTGAGAGAAGATTATATTCCACTCATGTAACATCCAAAGTGAAATGACAGATTGGCAGGTGGCTTCCTTAAGTGATGATTCAGAAATCTAGGATCTTTTGGCTGGGCACAGTGGCTCACATCTGTAATCTTAGCACTTTGGGAAGCCGAGGTGGGTGGATCACTTGAGGTCAGGAGTTCAAGACCAGTGTGGCCAACGCGGTGAAACCCTGTTTCTACTAAAAATACAAAAATTAGCCAGGTGTGGTGGCACGTACCTGTAGTCCCAGCTACTCAGGAGGCTGAGGAAGGAGAATCACTTGAACCTGGGAGGCAGAGGTTGCAGTGAGCCAAGATTGCACCATTGCACTCCAGCCTGGGCAACAGAGCGAGACTCTGTCTCCAAAAAAAAAAAAAAAAAAAAAGAAGAAGAAATCTAGGATCTTTCCACCTTGGAGCTCTGTCATCATCAACTCATGGCTTCCAAGGCCCCTGAGCTCCTCTGAATCAGCATGCTGGAAGGGAAAAGGGCATGGAGTAATAAATAGGTGTGGGACATTTCTAGGGCTAGGGCCAGAGGAGGAGCAACAATCACTTCCACCTTCATTTCATTGGTTAGGCCACATGGCCACACTCAATCTCCTGGGAGGCTGAGAAATGTGGTCTCCCTATGGTCCAGTCAGCCATTTCTGCCACACTATCTACCTCACTGTGCACAATCTGCAGAATTTTGAAGCACCCAACTTCCCCGTGTTCTGAGTTCGGACATAGTGTTCCCTTTTTAATTCTCTGGGGGAGAACACAGTGCAGGAAAATTTGTCACTTCCAGTTTGCCTCACTGGTGGCTGCACTGTCTGACGTTTCTTTGCTTGCAAATGTAAGGGCTGAAGAAGGACTGGCTTCTAGATTTATTAGGCGTCTTTTACTTGGCTGCCAAAGATTCCTAACCACGCCAGGTGGTGAAGATTAATGGCCAAGTTGGCATGTTGAGAGTAACTTAGGTAAAGCACTCTTTCTCACTGCCGTCCTTTAGAGGTCATCTATCACCTGATTCCGTTTTTGTTTTCAAGTGACAGAGCAAGTGCAAATTTAGGCGAGAAATCAGTAAGCTCCAGAAGGCTGGGAAGATACTAAACTATTTGCATATTTCAGCTTGGTTCAATTAAGCATGTCCATTGCTTGTGGTTGTTATGACCAATTTTCTTCTAGGAAACTGCTCCAAAGGATGCTTGAAGACCTGGAGTTTGATTTGCAGAAAAAAAAAAAAAAGTGGAGCTTCATGGCTCAAAGCAACCCTTTTCCAGAAACTTTATCTGGTAATGCCACTCAACAGTGAGAACACCCACATCCTTGTTCCTTTAGCATCTGGGATGGAGATTATACAGTGTAAATTTCTTTCTTTCTTTTTTGATTGACTTGCATTTGTTCTAAAGTAATTTCCTTCTGTGGGCATCTACATGTAGTAAACATCTCATAGTTCTCTTCCTTAAATGCAGTTAGTGAAGTGTTAATGTGAGGCATTAGCCTTTATCATGCTGAATAAATTGAATGCCCTATGACTGAAACGGAGCTTCTCATCTACACCCATACTTAATATTGCAGAAAAAGCCAAGCAAACATGTGAGTTCAGCGTGCATTTATCTTTGCCCAGAAGCTCTTTATGGTTGTTTACATGTCTCTCTCCATCCATCCAGCATTGCAGTGCCCTGAACTGAGTTTTCTAAATCATCATGTTAAGTTCTAAACGCTCAGGCCAGACAATTTTTTGCTCCAAGAAGCAAGACCCAAACATCTTAATCTTTTCACCTTGCTCAGCCTTCCTTCCTTTGTAGAATCAAATTGAAATTTGCTCTCCATCTCAGGAGCTTCCCCTGGACTCATGTATCTCTTCCCTCCATGGTTTCTGCTCTTTTGACACCCCCTCAACAGCCTCCCCCTCCCCTCAGTCTTGAATAATTTGTTCTTTTGTGACATGAAAGGTGCATTTTACATTTTTTGACACTGTGGTTTTAATCAGCTCTTATTTTAATCAGTTCCTGCAAAGAACTCTTTGCTTACTTCAAAGCAAGACCACGTTCTATGCTTTTTTTCTGACAAGCTATCTTTCACACTTAGATCTGCACTCCTTCCAGAATTGACTTTTGTGTATGGTGTCAGGTTAGGCACAAATTAATGTCTGCCCTTTGGAGATTGCCATTGATCAAGCACCACATACTGAAAAGCCACTTCTTCACCTATGGTTCTAAAGTGTCACTGTGCCATAAATCAGGTGACCTTATATGTACAGATATATTTCTAGATCCTCTGTTGCTCAGTTTATTTTTGTGCTAATATCACACCATCTTCATTATTGTAACTTTATAATACGTCATGATAGCTGGTAGTATAAGTCTTTATCATCATTCTTCATCTTAAACACTATTTTGGCTGTTTGCATTTCTACATAAATTTTAGAATCGGAGTGTAAATGTCTACAAAATATGTGCTAGGATTTTCATTGATCTAAAATCTATCTAGGAGGAATTTAAATGTTTGTAACCTCGAGTTTCCTAACCATGGACATGGTATACCCCTGTTCATTTAGGCTTTAAAAATTTCTGTTATTAAGGTTTTATGCTTTTCAATGTAGAGGTCTTGGTGACATTTTAAAGATTTATTCCTAGATATCCATATTTTAAAATGCTATTATGAACTGTACCATTTTAAAATTGGCTTTGTGTTCAGGGACTTTGCTAAATTCACATTAATTTCAACAGTTTTTCCATAGATGCTTTTGGGTTTCCTGTATATGATCATGTAACGTGTGACTAATGAGGGTTTTATTTCCTCCTTTCCAATCATTTTGCTTTTTATTTCTTGTTGCACTTGCTCTGTGCTCTAGCTCTGTCGCACTCCATGTAGACAGACACTTGTGCAAGGATAAGGAACATTTATATAAAACTTAAATAACTCTATTGGGCATGATTTTTTATGTGCCTCTACATCCTCCCAGAAAACTGTCCCTTTCTCCATCCTCCTTAGGCAAAACTTATGCATCCTTCAAGTCTTAGATTAAACACCTCCTTCAGGATGATTTCCTTGGCCCTTCTGAGACTGGGTGTACTGCAGGGAGTGGGAATTCTTTGTTATCCAAGGTGATTAAGCACAGCCCTTAGGTCATTTACTTCAAATGCTTGTTTGCAACTTTGTCTCTCCTGCTGAACTGCAAGCCCTTCAGGGGCAGAAATTCTGCAATGTTCATTGCTATATCACCATCACTTAGCAGAGTGTAGGGCATATCACAAGCACATGATAAAGGTTTAGCTTATAGTTCTCCTCCTCATCCTTGTCCTGATACTTGTCCTCATCTTGTTCTTTCTCATTTACTTATGGAAGCATGGCCCTCATCAGTATCAGTGTCTATTGAAGTTTAGCACAAACTTTTCCACTAGTGTCTTTTTCACTAGGTCACAAAGTCCTCAAGGGCAAACATCTTATTCTTCATGATTGTATCCCCAGTGTTTAACACAGTGTCTACGTCTTAATAGACAGTTAACAAAAGTATGACAGAGTGATTATGTGTATAAATACATGAATGAATTGGTGGATGAGTGCTCCTTGTTATAAGAAACTGAGGTCCATAGAGAATGAGTTGGGTAGCAACTTAAGCATACTCATTCTGTAGGATTACCATATACGCCTAAAGCCAAAACTAATGCCTTAGTATAGTTTGAATTTCCCTTTGCCCAGAAGGTCCTCTTGTGAATTCTTCTAGCATCTTTCTCCATCCATCCAGAATTGCAGTGTCTTGAGGAACTTGCTTGCTTTTTTTTTTGTTTTTGTTTTGTTTTGTTTTTGTTTTTGTTTTTATTTTGACAGAGTCTTGCTCTGTCGCACAGACTGGAGTGCAGTGGCGCAATCTCGGCTCACTGCAACCTCCATCTCCCGGGTTCAAGCGATTCTCCTGCCTCGGCCTCTCAAGTAGCTGGGACTACAGGTGCATGCCACCACACCCAGCTAATTTTTGTATTTTTAGTAGAGACGTGGTTTCACCATGTTGCTCTCTTGATCTCTTGACCTCGTGATCTTGATCTCTTGACCTCGTCTTGATCTCTTGACCTTGTGATCCACATACCTCGGCCTCCCAAAGTTCTGGGATTATAGGCATGAGCCACCGCACCCAGCCAGCCAAGGAGCTTTCTTTTAAAAGTCTCTTGAGATGGAGTCTCGCCCTGTTGCCCAGGCTGGAATGCAGTGGTGCTGTCTCGGCTCACTGCAACCTCCACCTCCCAGGTTCAAGCAATTCTTTTGCCTTAGCCTCCCAAGTAGCTGAGATTACAGGCGCATGCCACCACACCAGGCTAATTTTTTTTATCTTTAGTAGAGATGGGGTTTTACCATGTAGGCCAGGCTGGTCTTGAACTCCTGACCACCTGCCTCAGCCTCCCAAAGTGCTGGGATTACAGGCATGAGCCACCATGCCCGGCCAAGGAGCTTTCTTAAATCATCATTTTAAGCTTCAAGAACTTCAGAAAACACAGAAATAATTTTCTTACTCCAATAATCAAGACCACATCATCTTATTTATTTTCAACCTTCTTTGTCTGTCTTTTCTTCCCAGAATTAAAGTTTGGTTTCCATCTGAGCAACCCTCTCTAGACCCAGGCATCTCACCCCTTCCCGGCTCTGTTCGTTTGCTGCCTCCCCCATGCCCACCCCATGTGTCTTGGTTGCTTTGCTGTTTCAAAAGTTGGGAGGTGCATTTTTAAGTTTTCAGACACCACGGATTTAATTGCAACTGCCAAGGTCTAGTCAGAGCTTGGGAAGTACCTATTTTTCATGATCTGTCATCAGGAGCTGTGATAACTCAGCCATGAGCTCACAACCCAGAGACCTGCATGGCACACTTTTGAAAACAGAATGAAGCTCTGCAGGGTGCTTCTCCAGAATCCCTCACTCCAACAGGCAATTGCCTCCTTCCTTCTTTCAGCCTCACCTGGAGGCCCACCCCCGCTTTGGTGTTAACCTTCACCTTGCGTGCCTTCCTCGCAGGCATCATTGCACAGTGCCTTCCCATCTAAAAACTTTATTTCACCCCATGCAGAAGGGCTGAGCAGCAGAGCAGCTCCCAACAGAGACTGTGCTTTATTGGAGAGCAGGCCTGGGTTGTGTTAATGCCAGCTGACTTGAGAACCACAGGGGTGTAGGCAGGGCCAATTAACAGGTGAGATCAGGGTCTCTTAAATGCCAGCTACTGCTCCAGGGGTGGTAGGTCACTAATTGTAGCTGCACTCCTGCCCTTAAATAAATACACTTCTCTAGCAAGAGGGATTAGTTGCTTGCTTACTTCTCCCTTTAGCCGTATTTATATTTAATTGAAATTCTACTTTTTAGAGGTTCACTTGCAAGTCACTGTTTTGATGTGGGCCAAGACTAGGGTTAGGCAAGCTAGGTACCTGGGATGCAAAATTTAAGGAGGCCTTTACTCTCAGGTGTTGATCCTGCACTTGCCTGACACAGGGAACAAGTGTGTCTTTAAATGTCACGCACTGCACACCTGGCTTGTCTCACCCCATTCCAGCTCTTTTTTTTTTTTTTTTTTGGACCCAGTTATTTTAAGCAAGTGATTCTTTAACACAGATTAGGCAAGTATGGTGAGAGTCACAGGAATGCAAACAGCCTCCCTCCCTCCTGCAAACCTTCCCTGTCATCTTCCTACTGAACCCTGAAATGTTTTATTAGCCTGTAACAAACCCACCCCCATGTTAGAGCTATTGTTTATTAAGAGACTTTTATATGTGGGTTCTCAGCTGGGACCACACTTGGTTATTATTTATTGTCATCTGACAAACCTGTGAGGTTGGTTGGTATCTCAGTTTTGCAGATGAGCAAACCTGGGGTTAGGGGAGGTGGTTCTTCATATAACCAGTGAGAGGCAGAGCCAGGATTCGACCCAGTCTGTCTCCAGTCTTTCTGACTCCCCAGCATCCTATATTCATTGAGCTGCCTTTATACCTAATAGGACACCTGTCACCATGCAAGGTAATGCTATTGAATTTTTCAGCGACAGATTTGAGTGTGGAGGAAGGCAAGGAGCCAGAAGCCTGAGCCTGTAGGGGCCCAGGAAAAGAATGCAGAGTGGAGATTCTAGAGGTAATGTGAAGGAAAAGTTGGAGAGGCCCTATTCTCTGACTTTACCTGTTCACAGCTGGGTTGACCTTCTGCAGAATAAAATGCTTCTCTCTCCATGTTCCATGGGTCTTCATCCATCCAGCTTTGTATGATCTCCTGTTGTAGGGTTGCTGCTTCTGTATGTAGGTCAACTCCTGATCCAGCATGAGCTCCTTGAGGGCCAAGACTGGGCTTGCCTCAGTGCTTTTGTGCAGTGTTTTAATGGAGCCATGCATAAATCCCAGATTTCTTTTACCACTTTCCCAGAGAATTCTGTTTTGCTCAAAAAACTGTTTTGAAAGAATCAAATCATAAGGAATTATATAAAGCAGAAATTGAAACACGCTTTCTTTCTCTCAATGCCCCGCTCCCGCCACGGTCCCTACTGTTGAGCTGGATGCTCCTTCCTCCAGAAGTTTCTGTACACAAACACAAATGCACCAACACAAACCCATTCATAGAGACATTTTTAAAAAATTTTTTTCCAGTAGCACAGTCAAACAGTGCACACGTTTTGTGGATTCTCTTTCTCTATTTAATAGTGCAACGTAGCCTTGGGTCTTCCAGTGCACACAGAATTGTCTCATTTGTTTAGCAGCTATGTGTAGATGTACTATAAGTGTTTAATGTCTTCTGATGATGGATACTTGGATTGGACTGATCTTTTCTGGCAGTGAACTTCCTTGTACTAAAATATTTGCACTTTTTTTTTTTTGGCTTGTATTTTTATGGCTTGGAGTCCTACAGATGGAGTTCCTGGGGCAAATAATATACACTATTGGATTTTGGAGGATATTACAGAGTTGTTTTCGAGGAGGCTGAGCAGGCTTTCTTTTTAAATTATGAATGGGAATGCCTTTCCTTTGCTTCTCTACTTGAACCTCATTAATATTGTACCAATCTTTAGAACACTTTAGTCATTGTGAAAAGTTAAAGATGAGATTTAATTGCTGTCTTGATTTACATTTCTTTCATATATTAATAACTTTATTTTTTATGTGTTTATTGCCATTAGTATTACATGTTCATTCCCTTAGTCTATTTTTCTTTGGGACTGTTTGTCTTTCTCTATTGAATTCTAAGAGCTTTTCTTATGTTGGGTAAATTAGACATTTTTTTGTCATACGTATAGGAAATGTCTTCCCTAGTTGTTTGTTCTGTGGGTTATTGTTAGTAGTAGCATCTTTTACAAAAGCCTTCCTATATTTAAATACTTGTGAAAATTCAGATTAAGGGCATAAGTTTTGAATGCAGACAGATCTGAGTTCAAACACAGGCCACACAGCTTAGTTTGCAGAAGTCCCTTAAAATATCTGAGCCTCAGTGTCCATGTGTGATACTTAGAAGTAATGAGAAGGAGATAATGGAACAGGTTAAGCATTGACCAAAATAGATGGAATTAACAGAGGCCAGCTCCAAAAGTCAGAAGTGGGCTGTGGCCTGTTGCTTCCCTGATCTCCCTTTACTCCCCTTACTGTGGCTCTTCCCTAAAACTCGTCTTGGTCTGGAGCATTGATTCCCCCTAAATATGTCCCCTCCATTTCCCACTCCAAGAAAAGCCAGATGAGAAAATTCTGTTGGGCCCCTTCCTGCTTAACAGAAGCTGGAAAAAGAAGACATTCCCTAAGTTAAGTGGAAAAAGAAGACATTCCCTAAGTTAAGTGTGTGTTCTGCCAGCCAGTCCATCCGGCCACCTGACAAAGGTCACTCCAACATTCTCCCATTTACATGGCTGGAACTTGCTGAGCCTCATCATTTCAGCCTGAGATCAATTTGCTGGATTTTCATTTCATTTTCAAGTTGTACGTTCCCTCTTTCACTCAGACTAGTAATTTCAGGGGCTATATTATAATTTTGAGTTGTTGCTTTTTTGAGACATTACAAAACATTAAACTGCATTTAGCCTTGAATTGTCACTTAAGATTATTGCAGGAAATGAGGGCTTTCTCGATCACAAATGTGACAATAGATGGAGAACACAGCTTCTATTATGACTAAATGGGGACAAAGAGTGAAGAAGAGTTAAGTACACAGCCACATCTTATGTGGGTGCCAAGGAGCCCAGGGAAACCGAGGCCACTGCTGGAAGGATGAAGGGCTGGGCTCGGTGGTGCTTTGGGAGGCCACACATGCACCAGGGATGAAGCAGAGCCCCCTTCCCACATAAGCAGGCAAATTATGAGGCTGCCTGGGTTTTCTTATCTCCCATTCCACCCAATCCTCCTCTATCTTCAGCATCACCCTCACAAAACCTTTAAAGGCCGGCTTCACTTAATGCCAGGCTGCTGGCCTGTGGTTGTGGAGGTCCCTACGGAACTGAGGGCGTTTAGAAGATGGGAGAGGGGCCAAGGGTGGACAGCCCTGGGACCAGGATGTGAAGGCTGAAGGGCCTTGCCCTTTTGTGTTTCTTCAGTTTGTGGCAGAAATAAACGGGAACTGCCCACAGACTTCCTGGGAGTCGGCAGGCCTGGTAACCCCGAGGACGGACCCAGTAGCACCAGGCAGTGGGGCAGCATCCACCTCTGCTCCATAACTCTGGCTGCTACACCCCCACAGGCCCTTTTCCAGGGTGCTGGGTTCCTGATGCAGGGTCTGCAGCCCAGTGCACTTTCTTCTCCACCCGAGGCCAACCCAGCAGGTGCGAGATCATGGTGAGGTGCACACCAACCCTCTCTTTTGCCAAGGCCAAATTTGCTGTGGAATCAGGCTATGCACATCCTTAGCAGAAAGCTATGATCACAGCAATTTGAGGCACTGGACTGGGTGGCTGAGAAATCCAGTGAAAGATCCGGCAAGCATGGGTAAGGGCCCTCGCAACAGGCTCCATATGTCCTGGCTGGTTTGCCCACCGAGCGTGTCTTTGGTCCCAGCTGGGAAGGCAGAACTGACCTCCACCCCTTGAGCCTTCAGGGGCAGAACCTTGTGGCAGGCAGTGACAGTCCCACTTTGTAGACAGTCACAGAACGGCCAAGAAACCAAGTAGAGGGAGCTCATGTTCAAACTATTTCTACCCAGTTGTGCTTCATTTCTATGGGCAGGAAGGCTGACGGCTTCTCCCCAGAGTGGGAGTTATGTAAGAAGTTTTCATTTAGGAAGTCTCTGTCCCCTGGAACCTGTCTAGGCACAGCCTCCTGGGAGGAAAGGTGGCTGTCCAATTGGTGCAGATTAGACCTACTTTCCTTGCACTGGCCTGGGTAGTTAGGCAATTTGGTTTCAGATCCTTGCCATATACTCTCATCAGTCCTTGGGGCTCAGCAACCTTTTATCCAAAGGCTCCTCCCCAACATACACACAGACACAGACACAGACACACACACACACACACACACACACAGACACACACACACTCTCCACACCCTACACCCCACACCACATCCCCATCACTTCAGGATTGCCTCCCAAACCTGCCCTAGCTCTCTGAATGA
Source organism: Homo sapiens (assembly GCF_000001405.40). NCBI lineage: Eukaryota > Metazoa > Chordata > Mammalia > Primates > Hominidae > Homo > Homo sapiens. The sequence goes on from NC_000002.12 coordinate 132,619,949, forward strand.
GGCCTGCTCACCAGCCCCTTCACCTGCGCAAATCTCTGCCCTTTCTCGTGCTAATCTGCCAAACCCACTGGTGTCAAAATGCTCAACTCCTTAGCGGGGCTTTCAAGCCTTTATTGATGTGGTCCAAGTCCCCATGCCTCAGTCAGCTGGGGTCTCTCTGTTCAGAATTCAGATTCCTGAACTTCTTCCTGAGGGTGAGGCCCAGAGGTCTGTGCTTGTAAGCAACTCCCCAGGAGAATTTTTTTTACATGAAAGTTGATAAATACCCAGGCAGTTCCCTCCGGAGGCAGGAGGCTGCAGCTCCAGCATGAGTTGTCTCAAGATGCCATTAGTGGCCTCAGAGAAATAAGCCCTGGGGACTGGAGGTTTGCCCAGAGGGTTCCTCATGCTGTGTGCCAGGATCTCGCAATATCTTCTGGCCTGTGACTCAGTCATGAAAGGGACATTCTGAGGAGGGGGACTTCAGCTACTCAGTCACCCCTCCCATCTCAGTTTCCTGGGACTGTGAATCTCAGAGGCCACACCATCTCCAGTTTCACTGCAAACCCTGCCCCACAGCCCCTGTGTCAGGTCTGGGCTCAGACGCCCCTCCTTCCCCCCTGCGTGGCTCAGGTGCTCCACATTAGGCAGGGAAGGCCTGGCATGAGGAGTCCTGTGTCTACAAGTTGTCTTCCCTGCCTCCCTCCCAGTGTCTCTTGGGGCTAGGTTTGCCCAGACACTTCCCCTCGCCTCTCTGTTTTCCCTTCTCTCTCCTTCACCAGTGGGTGCTATTGAACTCAGATCACAACCTTCACATTTTATTTTTATTTATTTAGTTATTTTGAGATGGAGTCTCGCTCTGTCACCCAGGCTGGAGTGCAGTGGCACAATCTCTACTCACCACAAGCTCCACCTCCCAGGTTCACGCCATTCTCCTGCCTCAGCCTCCCAAGTAGCTGGGACTACAGGTGCCCACCACCACGCCCGGCTAATTTTTTGTATTTTTAGTAAAGACGGGGTTTCATTGTGTTAGCCAGGATGGTCTCGATCACCTGACCTCATAATCCACCCACCTCGGCCTCCCAAACTGCTGGGATTACAGGAGTGAGCCACTGCGCCTGGCCACCTTCACATTTTAAATATGTCCATTCCCCAGAGAAATCGGGAAAGACCTGTTGTGTGTCTCCGGTGCTTGAGTAGTTTCCCTTTGACCGCAGCTGCTTCCCTGGCTTCAGCCACCCATCCCTAGAGTCCCTCTCCCAGCTGGACCTGGAAGATTTCCAAGTTCCTGCCTCATATCTGGAATTGGCTGTGCTGAAAACGGGTCCCTGAACTCAGGTGAATTCCCTTAGCTCATTACCAGTGTCTCTCAGAGAGCAAGTTAACACGGAAATGCAAGTGTCACCAGCGTTGCTGCAGATGACCATGACTTGGCGCTTACCTCTCCCTGAGCCTGGTGTCTAGAGCTGCCAGTGCCCAAGGTCTCAGCAGACCACACAGAGGGTGTCAGCCACATGTCTTGACTTGTGATAAGTACTGCTTTATTCTGTTTTCCAATTGATTGGTTCAGAACCTGTTCTACCATCAGCACTGCCAGCTCTCTGTGGGAGAGTCAGTGCCTGAGATGTCGCTTATCACCTACAGGCCTGGGCAAATGGCCCATGTAGTCTAACACTTGTCAAGTTGCCATTTTGAGGTACAAGTAGGGACAGCTGGGGTGCCACAGAAGGTTTGAGTATGGTGGAACCAGAGAGATTCCAGCTCAGACCCTGTCTCCAGCCCAGCCAGCTGGTGTCTTTGGACAAGCCTGTTTCCCAGCTGTTAAGTGGGTTCAGTGATGTCCATCTTCCAAGGTTATTGCAGGGCGTGAATTTATAAAACCCCAAGCTGGGCCTTGGGCAATGCAATACATTGCAGCCTTCTGGTTCCTTCGTCCTAAGTAAGAAGGCATCTTCTCTATTTCCAGCAGCTTCCATAGGGTGCTGGGGTGTGGGGCATTAGAGAGGTCCTGTCACAAATCTCAGGCTGGCGATGAGAGGGATATGCATAGAGATGGCCACCTGTCCACCTAACTCTGCTCATGCTCTCCTGCCCCAGAGGGTACTCCTGCTGAGGTGAGGGGTCCCCTGGGCTGGGGAGAGACCTTTGAGAAGGACGATGGAAAAATAAAAGTCTGCCAGAATTGGCAGGGTGCAGTGGCTTATGCCTGTAGTACCAGCATTTTGGGAGGCTGAGGTGGGTGGATCACTTGAAGTCAGGAGTTCGAGACCAGCCAGGCCAAAATGGTGACACCCTGTCTCTCCTACAAATACAAAATTTAGCCAGGTGTGGTGGCGCACACCTATAATCCCACCTACTGTGGAGGCTGAGGCACGAGAATTTCTTGAAACTGGGAGGCGGAGGTTGCAGTGAGCTGAGATCGCACCATTGCACTCCAGCCTGGGCGACAGAGTGAGACTCCCTCTCAAAAACAAAACAAAACAAAAATCTACCAAAATATCTAAGGTTTATTCTGAGCCAATATGAGTGACCATGGACCAGGGAAACAGTCTCAGGAAATCCTTAGAAAGTGCACTTGAGGCAGTTGGGTTACAGTTTGGCTTTATATATTTCATGGAGTCAGAAATTGCAGGTAAAGCCATAAATCAATACCTGGAAGGTATATATTGATTCAGCCTGAAAAAGCTGGATACCGCGAAGCAGAAGCTTACAAGTCATAGGTAGGTTTAGGGATTCTTTTTGTGGCAATTGATTGAAAGACTTAAGCTTTGTCTAAAAATTTGGAGTTGATAGAAAGGAATACTTAAGTTAAAATAAGGGGGTCTGCCACCCATCATGTGATGCCATACCAGAAGAAGGTTGAAAAGTGAGCCACATTGTAGTAGATCAAAAAATAAGACCTGTTGGCCAGGTGCGGTGGCTCATGCCTGTAATCCCAGCACTTTGCAGACCGAGGTGGGAGGATCACAAGGTCAGGAGTTCAAGAGCAGCCTAACCAACCTGGTGAAACCCTGTCTGTACTAAAAATACACAAAGTAGCCGGGTGTGGTGGCGGGTGCCTGTAATCCCAGCTACTCAGGAGGCTGAGGCAGGAGAAACACTTGAACTCGGGAGGCAGAGGTTGCAGTGAGCTAAGATCATGCCATTGCACTCCAGCCTGGGTGACAAAGCGAGACTCTGTCTCAAATAAATAAATAAGACCTATTTAATGAGATTTTATGGTTTGTAAGGCATGACTCCCCAGGCCCCTTCAAAAGGAAAAAAAAAGTCAGAGCTCAGTCCTCAAGAAGCTTGCCCAAGCCCCAGAGAGGCAGTGGAGCCCCTGGGATGGACGAGGGAAGCCCAGCACAGAGTTTCATTGACTTGCCTAAAGCCACACAGCTGGGAAAACCCAGTGCCCTGGACTCCACGCTCCTGATACCGTTGAAGGAAGATCTGAAAAAGAAGGGCTGTGGCCAGGGGCGCCTGAAGGGAAGGAGAGAGGGACAGTAAAGAAGAGTAAGAAAAGAATGGAGGGAGAAGGAAGACTGGGACAGTCTGGTGCCACCTCAAAAGTCAGGAATAAAGTTAAAGCTTATAAAAGAAGTTAAACTATTCCCTTTATCCCTTTTCCTCGCCCTGCCCTTCAAAAAGCGAAGGCAAAAATGACTCAGCATTCAGAGCCCCAGTCCGGAAACCTGGCTCCTCACTAACTAGCTGTGTGGCTTTGGCCAGTTTCCTAACTTCTCTTGATGTTTCTTTCCTCATTTACAAAATGAGAAGGCTGGGTAAGATGATCTCTGTTGTCTCTTCTAGCTGGAAACATTTCTGTGATGATTAAAGCAAAAATCCTGGAACCCCTTCTGCTGTGATTGCTTTGAGGTGGAGAAGCCCGCACAATTGCCTTGGGAAGGTGGCTCACTCCTTTTTAGTTCAGCCAAGGAAGATTTTGGAATGATGGGAAAGCCAGAAGCAGCCTGGAGCTGATGCTCCAGGGTAGAGGAGCAGCCCACTCCCTTGACCACCCCCTCACCTCCACCAGCAGCCCAAGATCCTTCTGCCTCCCTGGAAATGGCTTAATTTACATCACAGTAACCTGCTTAAAAGGAAGCCAGGGATAACCTGGGTGACAACATGAGTTTGCTAGGGGCTACCATGATAAAATAACGTGGGTTCGGTGGCATAAACAACAGACATATATTGTCTCACAATTCCGGAGGCTAAAAGTCTAAGATCAAGGTGTCGGTAGGGTTGGCTCTTGGGGCTTCTCTCCTTGGCTCACAGATGGCCCTCTTCTCCCTGTGTCTTTCTGTGGTTGTCCCTCTTGTCTGTGCATGTCTGTGTCCAAATTTCCTCTTCCTGTAAGGACACAAGTCATATTAGATTGGGGCTCATTGTAATGACCCCATTTTACTGTAATTGCCTCGTTAAGACCCTATCTCCAAATACAGTAACAATTAGATGTAGCAGTGGTTAGAGATGCAACATATGATCTTCATGATAGTGACCATGACATTTATTATCAATGCTGGAATAATTCGAAAGAAATATTTTTGAACTTTTTATTAAAGTTTACAACATACATACTGAAAAGTGCACACATTAGATGTTTATAGCTTGAACATACTCACATAACCAGATGACTAGTACTCCTGAAATTTCTGCTTTGTGTCCTCTTGTACTTATTCCCTCTCAGGTAACCATCATTCTGACTTCTAACACCATACCTTAGCTTCTCTTGTTTTTGTAGTTTCTCTACAAAATCAAACAAAATGTAATCTTCCGCATCTGCCTTCTTCAGTGGACATATGTTTGTGAGATTTGCTCATGTTCTAGGGTGCAGCTTTAGCCTGCTGATCCTCACTGCTGTGTGCAGTGTATAGTATGTCGTTGCGTGAATATTCCACAGTTAGTCTGTGTTTTCTACCATTGATGAGCTTTTGTGTAGTTCCCAGTCGGGGATCAATATAGACCTGAAGATCCTAGTGCATGTCTTTAGGTGGACATATTTTACCCTTTTCTCTTTGCATATACTTAGAAGCAAATTTCTGGGTCATAGGTTCTGCACATGAACAGCTCTACTAGAGACTGTCAAACACTTTTCCAGAGTAGTTGCACCAATTTACAACCCACGCTGGCAGTGTACGGGAGTTCTAGGTGCTCCAATTTTTTTTTTTTTTTTGCTTCTACATGGCTTTTTTACTTCTACATGGCTTTTTGCTTTGCTTCTACGTGGCTTTTTCCCCTCTACCTTTCTTAATTTGGCCATTCTGTTGAGTACATGGCGACGTCTTGCTGTGGTGTTAATTTGCAGTTATGTGATGACTCCTGATGAGGGACATCCTGGCATTTGTTGACTGGCCACTTGGCTGGCCTCCTTCCTCTGTGAAGTGCCTTTTCAAGTCTTCTGCCCATTTTCTCTATTGGATTATTTATCTTTTTTTCTTGTTGTTTTGTAGGAATACTTTATATATTCTCCATGAGTTTTCTGCTGATTGTAGGACAATTTTTGGAGTCAAAGTGGGGAGTTGTGGATAATAAGCTGTAATAAGTGCCATAAACCAGCACCACTAGACAGATTGGCAAACTTGACTTCTCGGCACATAGTGCATTCCAGTTTTACGAAGATTTAAAGAGACAAATTTGGAAGCACCAATGGCTCATATGAGAACAGAAGGGGGGGAAATGCCATGTTTTCAGTATACAGCTTTATAGGGCTTTCAGTTCCTTCTCTTCCTACATCTTTTTGAAGATGTTCACCTTCAGAGTCCAACATTGGAATGAGTTTTTATTCCTCTGTGCTGCTGATTCAGCACTCTGTTTTCTATATGTCTGTGATCATCTGCCTTAGCTTCATTAACCTTCTGACATTTTATGATTCTCTTAGTCCAACCCCCCAATTTTATTAATAAAGAAACAAGCCTGGCTGGGTGCAGTGGCTCACCAGCTCTTTGGGAGGCCAAGGCGGGTGGATCACAAGGTTGGGAGATCGAGACCATCCTGGCTAACACGGTGAAACCCTGTCTCTAGTAAAAATACAAAAATTATCTGGGCGTGGTGGTGGGTGCCTATAGTCCCAGCTACTCGGGAGGCTGAGGCAGGAGAATGGCGTGAACCTGGGTGGCGGAGGTTGCAGTGAGCCGAGACCGCACCACTGCACTCCAGCCTGGGCGACAGAGCGAGACTCCATCTCAAAAAAAAAAAACAAAAAACTAAAAAAGTAGCCTAAAATGGTTAAATGACATCCCCCAAGGTGACACTGCTGGTTAGTACAGAGCTGGGACTAGAATCCAAGGCTACTGTGCTTTTCTCCAAAGGCATCTTCACAAGTCTTTAGTATTTAAATCAACCCATAAGTACCTTTGACCATGTACAGGGTCATTGGAGGCATTGGTGTCAGCTGGAATATTGGGGTTGGAGGGCAGGCCCTGGCCTGGAAGCTGGAGGACTTGGCTGCTGATGATAGTGGCTCAGCGAGCAGCCTCTGCTTTCACATTGGCGAGATAATAAGGCTGCACTACAGTGTCCTCTGACAGCCCTTCCATCCCTGAGTTCTACATCCAAAAATGTCTCCCCTGAGGGAAGAGAAAGGAGAGCTGGTTTTTTCTTTTTTTAAACAAGAACCAAGTAAATAAGTATGGATTTCCTTTGAAAGGAAATGATTGGGTTTCTCTAGTCAATAAAGAGAAAGGAGAGAAATAGGGCTTCAAATAAGTAAACTCCTTTGTGATGTGAGTGGTATTGAATAGTCTCTCAGTTCAAATGGGCAAAAGGAAATGTCTGTTTATGGTTGGAGGCCTCCAGGTTATCCCTGAGAGACTAAGTGATGTTACCTTAGGAGGCTGAACAACCTCCCCGCAGGCCACTACATTAAAGACATTTATATAATTGAGACTCTTATGGTTGGAAGTAAGTGAAAACCATATTCACATTGGCTTAAGAAAAAAGAATGTATTAGCTTATATAATTGAAAAGCCTATAGGTAGATCCTATTTTAGGATTGTAGGATCCAGGCTCAAACAATATTAGAAATAATTCTTTCTCCTTCTCACAATGTTATGTCTTTGCCTTCCTGTGCATTGGCAAAGGAGAGCTTTTCAGGGAAGCCGCCCCAGTGTTGGGGATGTCATGGCCACAGAGTTACAGGCTTGTTTTCCTGGTTTAGCAACTCCAGCAGAATATTTTTTTTTTTCCAGCAGATGTCCTGAGGTTGCCTCTTACGGGCCTGATCTGGATCCCATGTTCATCACGGAGGGGACTGGCCCTGTGTCCCTGATTGTCCACTGCTTCTCTGTGTACCCACCTCTGGGTATAGAGAGCGAGGACTACCTCCAACCTGAGCTGGAGGGATTGTCAGGGACAATGGCTCCCCAGAACATCGGGTACTCTTACTGGAGGAAGAGAGGATTAGTTTTAGGCAGGCATGAAAACTGCTGTCTACTTAACCATCCAAGTACAACAGTGTGCAGAAAACCACGGAAACTCAGGACAGGATGGTGGCAAGACACTACTTTGTCTTTACCTCAAACCCAGGATTCTAGGAAGCAGAGAGAAAGAAATAATATTTATCAAATGTCAATATGCCGAGTAATGATGTACAGTCTCATTTTAGATTCCAGTCATCTTTCATGGAAGATATTAGTTTCCCGATTTTGCAATCAATGAAAATGAAGATAAGAGGGTTCATAACTTGCTCCTTAGAGTTGCATGCTAGCAAATAAAGGGGCCTAGCTCATAAACAAGGGCTCTTGATTCTAAAATCTCCCTCACTGCACAGTGCTGTTTTGGAAACTGGGTTTTCAGTGCCCAGAGCTGTGTGAGTCATAAACATAAAGTTGAAAGGAGCCTCGGCCGTGGGGGAGGAGAAAAAGATCTAGCTTGGATTTTGCTCCATCCCTAGCAGCTGCCCAGCTGGACAACCTCAGGTGAATTTCCTGCCTTCTCTGGATCCCCCTTTCCTCATTTACAGCTTGGCAGGGTTGGGAAAATCTATGAGGTGTTCCAAGGCTGACTGTGGCCAGTCTGTGATTAAGTGAGGGCAGGTGACTGGCTGTGCCAGCAATGACCCAGGTGGACGCATCCCAAAGTGGCTCAGGTGTTATATTTTGGGCTTCTGGTTGTGGTTCTCTACTCCTATCATTCCACCCCCATGTTGGTTTCCTCTTTTCTCCATCTCAGATGCATCTCAGGGCATGGACTGCCCCCAGCCCCCAAACATGCACCTGAGCAAATACAGCCTTGCTCTGGGAAGCATTACTCCTAGAAGAGTTCCAGAATTTCTGGAGCCTAATGTCCTGGAGTTCCAGATTTCTGGAACTTGCCCCACTGGTGCCCTGAGGCTCCTGCCCTACTGCTTCCCAGCCTTCCTTTCTGGCTTGCACTGGTTTGCTTGGAGGAGTTATTTGGTTTCCTATGTCTTTCTCCATCCTCTCCCAGACTCAGCTCAGAATGCCCACAGGCTTGGGTCACATCAAACCTGAGAGACCAGCAGACTCAAATGTGGTCTCTCAAGTTTGGGAGGGCCCTGGCAGGAGAGAGGAGGAGTCCTGCTCCTCACTCATGCAGGGCCAGCAGGCAGCCTCTCCAGAAAATAATTGGGCTGTCCTTTGCCCTCCTGCCCTATCTCCGTCCAGGCTTTAGAGCGACCTGAAACTACTCTATTCTATCTATGCACATCTTTCTGGGAAAGAGGATAACTGTTTTTTCTCCTTTAAGTTTGTAATCATTTTTCTAAGTACCATTACCCTAGAAAACCATTTTCTAAGTACCATTACCCATTTCTAAGTACCCTTACCCTAATATAAACACCCTATATTTTCTAAGTACCATTACCCTAATAAAGTAGTACATAGTAATACGTGTGTGTGTGTGTGTTTGTGCAATCAATTCTAGTTTAGTCCACAATTGAGGATAAGACCTTGGCACACACTTTAATGAGATTCAGTTTTTTCCATATTTTTCAATAAACACATATTGAGTCCCTACTCTGCTGTACTAGGCATGTGCTGGAACACAGCCCTTGCCTTCCAAGTGCTCAGAGTGACCCAGGCATGGAAATTCATCACTCATGTGGTTGTCCTGTCTTGGAAGCAAGAACAGTATCTGGGAGGTTCTAAAAAGTTAGGGAGCCCTTCCCAGAGGAGAGGATACTTGAGCTGGTAGCAGTTTCCTGGAATCTGTCTTGGGCAGAGACATGGAGCGTCCTGGAATTAAGAGTCATTGGAAAAAAGCTGGAGCACTGGACTCAGATGGAGACTGGTGATAAGGCTTGGAAGACAGGCAGCAGGGAAGTTACAAAAGGCTTAGATGTGATGCTATGATGCTAGGACTGTAGTGTAAGCCACATGCCATCTGGATGTCTTGTTAAAATGCAGATCCTGACCACAGGTCTAAGATGGGGCCTGAGCTTCTGCACGTCCAACAAGCTCTCGGGATATCCCATGCACTACACTCTGAGTAGCAAGAGTGAAGGTGCCCAGGCATGACTGAGAACTTTCCATAAGAGAGTGATCATAATTCCTTGAACCTATGTATCTAGGAATTCTAGAAAGTGTAAGTGTATTGTCTAATTTGATTCATATAATGTGAATTATGTGTAATGTGATTTATATAGTTCATGATTTTTAGATGTAGATCCTGCAGTCTAGGGAAGTTAAACAACTAGAGTTTTGTAGCTGAAAAGGGCTGCAGAAATTGAAGACAACCTCTCAATTTACAGGCAAGGAAACTCATCTGTCATCTTTGAGGTCGTTCCTGGTCTAAAAGCCCAAGTTTCTGTGATTCGAATGTGTTGCTCATAGTTTTCTAATTAAAGACAAAAGTTGAATGAAAATCTTCAGTCAGTCCTGGGAAAGGCCCTAGGCTTGCTTCCCTCTCTGGGCTAAACTCTGGAGGAGGGTGTGGGATTGTATCTCTGGATGATAGCATGGTAAACATGGAAACATAATGCTGGGGGTGATGCACTTGAACTTGGTGGACACCCTTGATTGGAAGTTCCCAGTTTTCAGGCTGCTGTCCACTCATTTTCTTTGCAACCTGGACCAAATTGGTTCAACGATAGTGCGTCTTATTGTTTTCATCTGTAAAAATAGGGATAACAGCTCTGTCACTGCATGGTTGGGAGAATCAAATTGGCAGGTCTTCATAAATGTATTGTTCATCTACCATGAACCAGACACTATGCCAAGCACTGCAGACGCAGACATAGACATAGACATAGGATAGATCCAGCCTCGAACCCCATGGAGCTCACATGGCGGTGCAAAGACTGACATCCAAGACACAAGTTCTGGCTAATTATGTCCAAGTACACAGAATACAGCCAAGAAGTATGAGGGCAATAAGGATCTATAACAGGAAGGCCTAACAAGGAGGTCTCAGACACTTCTTCCAGGAAGAAGTGATCCTTCAGCAGAGAAGTGAAACATGAATAACAGTTAACAAGGAGAGAAGAGAGACTAACTGGGTCAGAGCCCTGAGGCAGGAGTGAGTTGGCTGGCATCAGGAACCAAGAGAGGGTTGGGTGTGAGGAGCAGGTACAGCAAGGAAAGAAGGAAGTTCAAGGACAGACTGGAGGAATAAGCCTGGTTAGATCCTGTAGGACTTGTTGAGGATTCTGGACCTTATTCTAAGGTTAATAACAAGCCATCGAAAGGTTTTAAGCAAGGAGGTGATGTGAACTCTTCTGTGACTTAAAATAATCCTGGCTTGTATGGAGAATGGCTTGAGCAGGAGTGACAGGGAGACTTCTGCCTGGTGTAAGCAGGAGATGATGGTAGTAGCCCCAATCAGGGTTGTGGCAGTGGGAATGGTGAGAAAGGGACAGATTTGGGAGGTATAACTGGCAAGCTTAGGGATCGATTGGATGTGGGGGTGAGAGGGGAAGAAGTAAAACAGGACGACTTGCAGGTTCCCAGCTAGAAAACCTCAATGCATGGCATTGGAGGTTATTATGATTGGGAGTAGTGCAGAGAGGGCAGCTTTGGGTGGGTAGCTGATCATTAATTCAGTTTGGACATGTCCCATTGTAGGTATAGATAAGCTCTCCAAGCTGTGATGTTGAGTAAGTAGTTGGCTGCAGGGTTCTGGCCATAGTTGTCTACTGATGCTGGTGACATCGATTTGGGAATTGTATATCCCTAGAGATGATATTTCAAATCAGAGTGACGGAGGAGGTACCCCAGGGAGAGGGAAAAAGAAGGGAGGTAGAGAGCTGAGGGCAGCTCCTGGAGGTGCTCTGCCATTTGGCGATTATCAAGTGAGATAACAGATGAAGAATAGCTTTAAAAATTAAAGCAGGATGTTCTCATTGTTGCGCTGTACTGTGCTTACTACGTACAACAATGTGCATCTCCGACATTTACTGCTGCACTTGGATGGGAGAGATTATATTTAATGTTCACAAATTTGCAAGACTATTTCCTCCAAGTTATTTTCACCCCTATTAAAAGAAAAGCCCACCAGGAGGGATTTATTCTTATCATGTTGTGCAACAGCAATTTCATTTTCAAATCATTAACAGGAAGGCATCCTCATCTGATCATTCTTGCCTCAAAACCCTATCTTAGAAGCCTGATACCATCTCAACCTTCCTGAGAGCTTTACTGATTTCTGTTGAGACCCTCAGCTCTAATTCAAACACAGTGTGAGCCTGGCTCCTGTGTGCACCTCTCTTAGTATCTCTCCCGTCAGTTGATTTTGTTTTTCTGCCTCTGGTCCTGGCATTTGGCTGCAGATTATTCCAAGAATTTCATTGCTAACTTACATGAGATGAACAGATAATAAGAAATGGAATTTATTTTCTAATTTATTTTGAAACTGAATTCCAGATTCTGTTTATGGGGAGGGGCGGAGTCAGCCTATGATGAGTGAGAACAGTCTTTGACTCAATTTAAATGAAGTTTTTCTTCTTCTTCTTCTTTTTTTTTTTTTTCTGAGACTGATTCTCAATCTGTCCCTCAGGCTGGAGTGCAGTGGCACAATCTTGGCTCACTGCAACCTCTGCCTCCTGGTTTCAAGCAATCCTCCCACCTCAGCCTCTGGGGTAGCCAGGATTACAGGCATGCACCACCATGCCCAGCTAATTTTTGTATTTTACTAGAGACGGGGCTTGCCATATTGGCTGGGCTGTTCTTGACCTCCTAACCTCAAGCGATCTGCCCTCGGCCTCCCAAAGTGCTGGGATTATAGGTGTGAGTCACTGGACCCGGTCAAATGAATTTTCATGGGCAAGTTTCCTTCCCCAGGACTGTTTCCAGGCCTGGCAGTGGGGGTGGGGTGGAAGTTCTTGCTTTCCATAAAGTAAATCCAATCAAAAGCAGACATTCTGCAGGAGTCTAGCTTGCCAGACTCCTATTCAAAGCTAGTTTGCTTCTTTTTAGCTTCTCTCTTAGCAACAGAAAAGTTTATTGTGTTTCCCTTACAAGTAAAAAGGCCCTTCCTTGTCACAGAGAGGCATCAGAGAGGATCTTTATTTCTTGCCAGCTGACATTGTGTTCTTCACCATGACACCCACAGGAAGAAATTCATTCCTGAACTTGTGGCCATTTCAATTGAATTACCTTAATTTGCATTTGCGACTCAGAAAGCATTGGACTTTTGATCTCCTGAGGTATGCTTTCCAGACAAAGCAGCTGGCTGGGGCTGTGTGTTTCGGTGCATGAACTCTGGACCAGGCTGCCTGGTCAAACTTCTGGCCCTGACACTTTCCTGCTGTGTGAGTTTGGACAGGTCACCTAACCTATCCATGCCTCCACTTTTCTATTTGTATAAGCATTGAAATTCAGCAGTGGCCACCTCATGGAGCTTATTGTAAGGTTTAAATAAGCAAGTGCAAGTTAAGTACTCAGAAGAGTGTCTGTCATACATGTACTATATTAATTTTAGCTGAGTATTACCTCTCTTCTGGGGCAGATGATTGGATTGTCTAATAAGGAGTATGAGCTGCCATTGATCACTGCTGCTATGCTGAGTGCCTGACATATGATAATGAGGTGGATACTATTATTTTATCAGTTTCACAGAGATATAGGTCCATGGTCACACAGTTAATAAGTAGTGGGGCTGAGATTCAAACCCAGGTCTATTTTGACTCCAAATCCTAGTCCTCACCTCCCCACTGCTGCCTCCACTGTACACTTTGCCTGAAGAATGGGGGGTAAAGAGGGTAAAGAAGCAAGGTCAAGGTCATGTGGAAAGGTATTTTTGGCCAATTAACCAGATGACCAGGCAGTTCTAGAGCATCCCTGCCCCTTGTCATTTCACCTGGACGGGAAGCATGTGAGCACAGGGAGTTGGGGAAAGGCTCAGAGCTCTAGTCCTTGGGGGATTTGCAATTTTTCCCTCTTGTTGTAATCCTACCTTCTATCAATTTCCCCCTTTATTATATCCTCTACTTTTTTTCCACTCCTTATCTTTAAACTCCAAATACCTCTGTGTGTGTGTGTGTGTGTGTGTGTGTGTGTGTGTGTGTGTGTGTTGTAGGAGTTAAGGCCTTAGGGCAGAGTGGGAAGAGCTCCATTTCCAGGTAGTGGAAAAGAACTTTGGGCTGTTAAACAGGCTGTTAATCTGGTCCTTTCTCTGCTACTGAATAGAAGAATAACCCTGAGAAAGTCATTGACTCTTTCTGGGCCTTATCCATGAGTTTGGGATTGAGGATTGGAAGGTATCTGACATCCTGTGGTTCTAGTCAGCCTTCTCCTAGATCTCTGACCTCTAGGAGTGGTCTTGGTGACAGTGATGATGGTGGTGGTGAGTACTGATGGTGGAGGAGGTGATGAGATAATGACGACAAAGGAAGTTGTTGGTAGAGGTGTTAATGATGGTGGTGGAGATAGAGGTGAATGCTTGGTGATTGTGACAGAGACAGAGGTGGAAGTCATGGTAGAGATGGTGGCAGTGGCTGTAGCAGTGATGTTGGTAGAGGTGGAGGTGATGATGTTGGTGGGGGTGGTAGCGGCATTGGTGTTGGTATTGTTGGTGGTATAGGTGGAGGTGATAATAATGGTGGTGGTGTGGTAGCAGTGTTATTAGTGTTGGTAGAGGTGGAGGCAGTGGTGGAAACAGTGGAGTTGGTGTAGAGGTGGAGATGATGATGGTGGTGGAAGCAGTGTTGGTGTTGGTGGTAGGGGTGGAGGTGATGATGATGGTGGGGGTGGCAGTAGTAGCAGTGGTGTTGGTGTTCGTGGTGATGGAGGGTGATGATGATGGTGGCCATAGTAGGAGCAGTGGTATGGTGATAGAGGTGGAGGTAAGAAAGATGGTGGTAGTGGTGGTGGTACTGGTAGAGGTAGAGATGATTCTGGAGGTGAGATGGTCATAATTGACAGTGGTCCTTTTCTGACAGCAGTCACTGTGGTCAGCACTATCCCTTCAGTGTCTCCTTTGATCCTCCTGGCAGCTAGTGTTATCTCCATTTGCAGATCAGAAGCCCGAGGAGCCTGAACTTTAGAGAGTAAGGCTGAGCATCTTGGTGCTGGGTGGAACTGTTCCAGTCAGGTAGAGGCAAAGCCGGAGGTGTCCAAGGAATCCTTTGTTGGGAAATCTGTGATAGGCATAAGGAGGGAGGGGAGTCAATACTGGCCATATTCATGTTTTGTCCTTCCCAAATCCTTTCCTGTGACAACCCAGTTGTGCCCAGATGGAAATTGAGGGTTATAATTGTCAGATTTTATTCCCTGAGGCCACACAGCATAGAGTGTCAAAATGGCTTCCATGCTTCTGCACACGTCCTCTAAGTACTTTATTATTTGTCTACAAATTTCCTTCTTTGGCAGCAGACCCCAGCCTTATGCTCTAGGTCCTGGCCTGCAGCTTCTCTGACAAAGGCTTGTATTGTCCATGGAGGGGAAGGGCCCCCCTCAGGTGAATTATTTTGGCATAAGTGAATGTCCTCTGATATGTCTTTGGTAAACAGGGTTTTCTGTGTCCTGTTATACCCATTGACTTGCATATGTACTCTGTTTGTACCCCATAGGGCCATCACAGACAGAAACAGAAAAAGAAATGAGTTTTTAGTGTAGAGAACTCAGGGTTAATCAGTAGCAAAGGGGGCTTCAGGTTAAAGCCACCTGCCTTGAAGGCAGTTGTCAGAATCCAAGACTCCTCAACCCCTGTCTAGTTCTCCTTTAGGGCTGAGGGTGCTGGTCTTGTTTGGATGAGAAAGTGATCCCTTCTCTCCATTCCCACTCTTTCTTTTTCTTCCTCTAAGTACAGAGATGGAAATGAGCCAGGCACTAGGCCCCAAGCTTGGAGGGCTAATACTGACCTCTTTGACAGAGAAGCTGGCTTCAAATGGATTCCATAGAGGTTCACCAGAGCCCCTCACCTGGAACTCTCTTTCCCTCCTGCAAACATTTATTGAGCAGCTACTATATAAACGTTTTCTGTTACACATTGAGAATACAACAGTGAAGATGGAGCATGTTGCCCTCCTTGAATTTCTAGTCTAGTTTATACTGCAGTGTTATGATGATGTGAGTAGGAATGAACATTCTTGGTGAACTCATAGAAGGGAACTTGATGTAGACTTGTGAAGTCAAGGAAGGCTCCCTGGAAGGAGTGACATTTAAGCAGAAACTTCTGGACTAAGATCTGGACTAAGTGTGGGCAATTGGTGTGAGAGGAATAGGGAGGAAGGAAGAGAGAAGGAGGAAAAGCAGGGGATGAGGAGGGTGTGGTCTCAGCAAAAAAGCAGCGTGTGCAGAGGCATGGAGGCTAAAGAAAAGAGATGGGGGAGGGGGCCTAGCAGGTCATGGGGCCTGGGGCATAGAAGAGTGCCATCCTATGCTGTGAACTGAACTGTGTCCCTCTCAAGTCATACATTGAAGCCCTAACCCCAAATCTGACTGTATTTGGGGATCGGGCTTTTAGGAGCTGTTTAAGTTTAGTTGAGGTCATAAGGGTGGGACTCTGAATAGGACGAGTGAACATAAAAGAAGAGGAAGAGAGCTTCTCCCCACCTCTATACCCTTACTTCTGCCATGTCGGAGAATGCAGAGAGATGGTGGCTATCTGCAAGCCAGGAAGCGAGCCCTCACCCAGCACCAAATCGGCTGGCACGTTGATCTGGGACTTCCCAGCCTCTGGAACTAGGAGGAATAAATTTCTGTTGTTTATGCCATTCAGTCTGTGGTATTTTGTTATGGCAGCCTGAGTTGATGAGTACACCCCATATCTAGACAAGGGTAGACAGAAACTACTTTCTTGCCTTTAGTCCTTGTTGCTAATTCTATAGCAGTAACAAGAAGTGGTAGCTGGTGTCTGGTTTTACCTTTGGATAATATAGGTCAATATTATCTCCTAGCTCACACCTCATTCTCTCTTCTGGGACGGTTCAGCTGTAAAAAAGACTCCCATGGAGGAAGCTCTTAGCTCTGTGCTCCACCCATGCTGGGCCTCCCCAGGTTGGGTTGGAAGGCCAGGCCCTGGCTAGCCACTCCTCTGCCTCAGTCACAGGCTTTGGGGGCTGGTCCTCCCAGGGTCTGGGAGCCCACTCAGGGATCTCAGGAAAGGAGACAGTGGGGAAGCAGGGTCTGTAGGCATGCTTGTTTGTCTCCACACTCCTGAAATGCCCATGCAGGAGAGACCTGGCTAAGTGCACTGGCTGGCTTCATCTGAGGGCTGCATGATTTTACCAGACTCTAAAGGGAGCTGGGCCAGTGCAAACAGCACCTGCCTGGGAAGCCCCACGTTTGGACTCATGGGCTGTGTAAATTTGGGCACCTCCTTCCACTTCTCTGGGGATTCTGCTAGCTCATCAGTAGACTAAACTCTGAGGTCTTTTCAGTGCCAGCATTCTAGAGTTTTAATTCTCTACTATTTATAGGGAGCTGAATTGTATTAACAGTGCAGCCTTTCAGCTGTTAATCAGTGTTTATAAGTGGCATGGCTAGAGCCCGTGTGGTATGCATCGACTTGCTGTTTTGGTTGCCCCAGCTGCAAGCTTCTTCATTATATGCTCTGCAGCTTCCCCGGTGGGCTTGGAGGACATCATGCTCCTCATTACCACCACCCACTCCTGTGCTGTGTGTTACTAGAGAAGTAGCATTTGGCTTCATCTGCCAGGCTGAGAGATAGCTACAGGTTTATGTAGCTGCACCACATTTTAGGACTTACTATCAGTGGATTGAGAATAGATTGCATAGAAAGCCACACAGCTACTTACAGTTGAGATCTACATAGAAAAATATTTATTTAGCAGATTCCAGTTGATCATTTATCATGCATCATAAAGGTACAGGAGCACTAAACCACAATGATGACCCTAAACTCCATTTACTTTGAGTGCAAGTGTCTGTCCTACAGCTTCCAGACAGGAGGGTCTATTTTAGAAATATGTGTTTGTTATGGTAGTGATTGATAGTTTTTCTTCTTGTACTGAAGCTTGTACAGCAGAATGAAATAGCTGTAATGCTTAGCAAATTGCAGCCCATTTGGAATCTGGCTTCTGTGGCACATTTCAGAGGCCTCTGGCCTCAACGTGGTGGATGGAGTTGCACTGGGGAGAGAGTTCTTTCCTGGGCTCCATCAAACAGCTGGAACAAGGATGAGACATCAAACCGTCTGTCTTCATGGACAGAGGCAGCCATCTGTGGCATTTACATCATTTTGAAGTTGTGGCCTGCGCCTTTCTGAAAACCAAATCCCAACAGTTCTTCTGTCTTCTAAAAGAAATTCCTCAGTAGGAAAAAGGGCAAGAAGGAAGATCTGCATAAACGAAGACCTCCAAGCTGCAGGTCACTAGAAAAGTGATTGCAAAGTTTCCAAGAAAGTCCTAGCTTGGACTTAGACCTTGTCAGAGGACATGGTACCTGGATTTAGCTCTCAGGGAAGGTGCAGTCAGTCCATGGTCAACTGCATCCCATCCATGCCGCTCCCAATGCCTCTCTGCCTTCCGTTGACAAACTCAGCAATGGGCGGAGATTGCCCTCTCTGCCACCTCCCTGTTAGCTATTAAGGAACTGGCTTGAAGCTGACCCAATTGCCTTCTCAAGATGATCCGAATAAATAATGGGAAGGGAGAGGTGTGGGCTGGGAATGGTTGCACATGGCTTGATTTGTGGTGATCTTGAATAAAGATGGGTAGGGAGCAAGAGGGAAAAATAGAAGAGAAAAGAGATGTGATTGCTTTACATACTGGAGAAACATGTACAGAAAGAGGAGAAATGGAAGCAAAAAAGGAAAGGTGGGGAAAAATAAGAGGAAAGGGGAGGGAAAAAGAGACAGAGGGAGAAAGGATAGGAGAAGAAAGAAGACAGGATGAGGAAGAGCTGTGTGTGGAAATAAGTGGGACTGGCAGGACGGTTGTCTAGGAGTGGAACCAGAGGGAGGGAGTTTGGAGCTACCGTCTGCTTTGACTGTAGACACTGATGAAAATGTGATGCTTTAAAGGCTTCAGTGACAGTGCTAGGGTCCCTACAAGTGCCCACTGAGCCAGGGGCTCCACCTCAATTTATGCTTCTCTTAGACCAGTGTTCTCCAACTTGTGTGAGCAGCAGAGTCAACAGAGGGCTTGTTAACCCCAGATTGTGGGCCACACCCTCAGAGTCTCTGATTCAGGAGATCTGGGTTGGAGCCTAAGAATTTGCATGTCTAAGAAGTTCCCAGGTGGCGCTGATGCTGCTGTTCCAGGGAACACTCCTTTGAGAATTCTGTCTCAGCCGTTAAAGACTAAACCAAGGTTGGTGCTGATTTGGACGCCTCGGGTCAGACAAGGTCAGTGAGTGAGATCAACATCTCAGCTGACTTGCAGAAGCAGATTGCAAACACTAACATATAAATTGAGAAAGTGCTAAAATCTTTTATTGGATGTATTTGTCTCTTTCTGGCTCTTCATTCAACTAACCATATGCTTACTTTCCACTGGCAATTGCTATTTAAATGTCAGTTGACAAGCAGATGCTTCTCACCCTACTACATGCAAGTTAATTTATTGTCCACAAAGCCTGATGGAGTGCTCTCTAACCATGCTGGTTTCCCACTGTCCCCACCCACCCTTTTGTTGCAACCACGCTGAGCCTTGCAGCTCACAGAAGGTAAGTTGCCTTTGTGTTTCTCCATCCCCTGCTCATGCCCTGTCTCTGCTGGTGCTGCCCTTTTCCAGGCTGACTCTTACTCTCCTTAACTTTCTGTGTGAATGTTCTTGCCTGTGGGAATGTTTATCCAGCTCTTGTTGCTGCAGTGTTGTTCGGCTCAGACCATTCTCCTAGCCCTTAGAAAACCAGGCTGGGGCCACCTTGTACAGCTCAGCTTTGTATCATCAGTCCCTAGGACAGGATCCTTAATAGGCCCCAGCCATCAAGAAGCAATTGCCAAGTAAATAAGCAAAGTACAGAGAACTTGAATGGGGGGATAAAAGGGGGATAAGGGCTGGGGGCTGGTGGGGAGGTGGAGATGTCTAACCCTTGCTCACTATGGTCAGGATTAGAGAGAAATTGAAAAATAGAGACAGGAACAGGCAGGAGGAGGACAGAGCAGACATAATAATCACAGAAATCCTAAATCATCATCAACATACCCCTGCACCCTCAAGGCTTCAATGATTCCATAAAATGGGACTCCAACAGTAAGTAGAAAAGCTAATATTGGGAATTTATTTAAATTACACAAAATATCTTTGCTTGGGAGGTGATCAACTTTCCAGATATTTTGTGCTTAATACAAGCTAAGTATCCATTTTTAGTAGGTACTTATGTAAGATGGATGGACGGATGAATGGGTAGAAGAGAGATGATAGATAGACAGATGGAGTCATTGTAGGCTAGGTCACCAAGTCATGACCTGAAGTAATATTTTGTTTTAATCTTCTTTGGCTCCCTTGGGCTGGGACTTTACCTTCCTTTGAGCAGGAAACGTTCTCCAGAGTTTTGCCAAATGCCTGTTCTTGGAGGACCCGCTTCTAAAACTGAAGCAAGACAGTGCATAGGAAAGGTGTTGTATAGACATGCCACTTGCTGCATCCCATGCTGTCAATGGTCAGCACTTGAGTCTAAAGCTGGAAAAAAACCCTAAAATTACAGTTAAAAAAAAATAATGGGCTTGCTTGGCAATCGAGGGTAGAATCAATCCAGTGTTCTAAGTAGTATGACCACCCTGGCCCCAGGAGATCTTGGGCAAATCACTTAACCTCAGTTTGCTCATGTGTAAGACAAGGGAGTTACAAGGCTGGTCTCAAGGTCTCCTCTTGATCTCCTGATCTCTAATGACTCTAAGATGGAATTCTGGGGAACACACTAGTAGTTACTTTGACTTTAAAGGTTAGAGGGGAGAAAATAGAGCATGGTGTCAGATACATCAATGCCACCATGTCCCAGCCTGCAGAGCTTAATGCACTTAAGATGAAACCAAGCAGGCTGCCTCTAATGCTGTTGAAATGTCAGGCTTCAGTGCAGGGTGTTGTTAGACATCTGCATTTCTTCTGTTTTTTAAACAACATGACTCTGCCAAGAATGAATCTGTGTCATCATCTAATGGCTCTTGTCATTTTAGTGTAGTGATCAAGGAGGAAAAATGAAAGTACTTTATGTGGAAAACCAGATAAGAAGGTATTTCATAGCCCAGAGTGCAAGGCTGTCTGGAGTATAATACAGATCTATCAGTAATTCAGTTAAAACAGTTTACCTGCTTTACATGAGTGGGTTCAGTTCATTGATCTTCATTCAAGTTCACACTAAAGTTATTTAACTGTGGGCTGCACATTACACCACACAGACCAAAGAATTATAGATTTTTTCCAGATGTGATATACAAATCCAAATTGTGATTGCAGCCAAACATGCATTTAGTCAAATCTTTAATACACTCTATTAGGGCGTGAATAAGACTTTAAAGCTTTGTCTTAGCCACAGGGTAGCTGGGCTAGAGTAGAGCCAATCGCAAACAGCCAGAATAGAAAGTTACCTTGGGATGCAGTATTTATTCTCAACGGTGTATCATCTAGAACAACAAACTTTTTTTAATGTAAAAATGAGCAATTACTTGTCATTATAAAATGACAAATTTTACAAGGGGTCAAATTTGGTTTTCTTCCCCTGAGAGGCTCACCTCCATTACCGTGCTCACTGGTACATGTCTCATGTTTGTCATTGGCTGTACCTGTATGCCTAATGCTCCATTTTCCTAGAGCAAAACTATCTTTCAAAACACAGGAAGAAAAGCGCCAGCCATTTTCCCCACCTCCAGTTGAGGCAGGGGAAGTTTATCCCAACAGCCCTGCCAAGTAGTTGGCATGATCTGCATTATTCTAGGATAGCTAGGCAAAGTTTAGAATGAGAAATGCAAAATACATCCTTGTGTTTTCAGGATTATATAAGTTTTAAATGATTTAGAGTTCCCTTATATGGAAGGCTTTCTAGGAAAAGACTGGCTAACCCTGTTCCTCGCTATAGCTGAGAATGCATACTCAGAGATTTAATTCAGCATTGGTTGCATTGTAGTGTAACAAATACAGGCTATGTGGGAGGTTCCTTGGGGCTTCCTTGGTTTGATATAACTCTCTGGAATGTGGTTGTTAAAGGGACAGTTGGGGGAATGGGAAGAGGGGGAGCCTTGCTGCTCTGGGGAGGGGCTAGGAAGGATTCTTTTAGTGGGTGCTGTCCAATACTGTAGACACTAGCCACATGTGTCTCTTCCCAACTGAGGCATACTGTAAGAGTAAAACCTATACTGGGTTTCAATGACTTAGTATTAAAAAATGTAAGACATTTCATCAATAATTTTTATATTGATTGCATGTTGAAATTACATGTGAAATAATTATTTTGGGAGTGTATCGGATTAAACAGCAGTATTAAAATTGTTTTCACCCATCTCTTTTTCTCTTTGAATGTGGCTGCTAGAAAATTTAAAACTACATATATGGCTCACATTCTGTATTTCCAGTGAACAGCACTGTGCTATATCCATTTTACATGGTGGAATTATGGTGTTTACTTTCTTGCTTGTGTTTCTGTATTTTTCAAACTGAAAGTATGAATAGCAAACAATATTGTGTTTTGAGAAAAAAATACACAGCATGGATTTTGGAGTCTGGCAAAGATGTGTCCTAGCTATTGCACTTGGGCAACTAACTTTCTCTGAGCCTGCACTTCCTCATTTGTTAAATTAAGAGAATAACTATTTTGACCTCACCAGGTCAAAGCTCTCCAGGTTGTTGTCAGGAGTGAGAAATGCATGGGAAATTAGCAGAGTGCTTAGCACAGAAACTGGCTTAGGAAAAACTCAGTAATAAATATTCTGCATTATTATAGGTTATTTCAAAACACCCATCTGGTGCACAATATGAAAATCTCTGCATTTCTAATTCAGGTCTTTGTCTCTCTTGTTCTACAAGTTTGTTCTTGCTATTATATCTACCTACTTTTACACCCAGAAAACCAAACTTCCCCTTCTTTGCCTCATCATTGTGACTCTGAGTTGGTTTTCTGTTACTTGTTCACACTGAGCTTCTTCCCACTTATTTTTGACTTCAGAGCAGGAATTTTATCCTGGCTACAAACAACACCACAACTCTTTATCTACCCCTGCCTTTGCCTTGTACCTGGAGGCTGGGTCTTGCTTTTTACTGAACTCTGCTGCTTTTGATGGGATGATCAGTGAAGGACAGTTGACACCAGGCCAGTGCATGTGGGAAGCTGTCAGAAGAGTAAGGGTCATGTAAACAACAGATCAAGAGAATGAGGAGCAAAGACAGGGCAGAAGAAAAGCAATGTTATCATTCTCTCCCCTTGTTTCACAAGCCTGCCTTATCTTCTCATTGCCTTTGTCTGTTGGCTTTAAAAGCTGTGCTATGTTCAGCTCATGGTTAGTACAAGGTGTTTCTAATTGCCTTTCTGGATTCTCACCGCCTGAAGTACAACCTCCCATGGTGTAGCACAGTTCACATCTAAAACCGTGCAATTTCCATATTCTGGGCAATAACTCCTCAGATGAAGATGGTTGTACATGTTCTCTGAAATTCAGTGACAGGAAAGAGAAAAAAAATGCAAAACTTTGTGAAAATATGTGGCTTCCTCAGGTATGGTCTTTTTCCTAGTTCTTTCACAATTAATGAGATGAGCCTCTCAATCAGAGCTGGATGAGATGCAAACAAGGAGCAGGAACTTAAGATGAATTTGGAATAGCACAAGTGGCTGGGAACACCTGTACTCCTCGAAGTGGGAGAAAAGTCCCGGATTTCTTATGTATTTTTTTAAAATCAGAAATTTTTGTTGTTGCTGTTGTTGTTCCTATCCAGCATCTGTAACTAGGTGATTCAGAATAAACTCTTGAATTAAGATGGTATTTTTTTAACCATTTTTTCATCAGATCAATATGTTAGTTCACTTATTTTAGTTTTAGATTTACTGGATGTTCTCAGGATAGCAAACTCAAAGGAAAAAATAAACAAATTGGCTTATATTTCAAAGTTTTAGGCTGGGAGTTGACAGGAGAAACCTGTGGAAATTAACAAAGGAGAAGAGTTTCCAAGGCCTTCCTTGCTCACATATGGATTTGTGGAGGATTTGAACACAGCTAGGGTCCCCTCCAACAGCAGGCAAGGAATACTCAGGCCAGTGCATACAGGAGGCTCAATTCTGGATGTGTGAATGTGGCTGTTTTTTCCTGGAGCATTTATTTATTGGTTTATTGAGACAGTTTCACTCTGTCAGCCAGGCTGGAGTGCAGTGGCACATTCGTGTCTCACTGTAGCCTTCACCTCCTGGGCTCAAGTGATCCTCCCGCCTCAGCCCCCAAAAAGTATCTGAGACCACAGGTGTGTATGTACCACCATGCCTGGCTAAGTTTTTCTTTTTTTGTAGAGATGGGGTCTTGCTATGTTGCCTAGGTGGGTCTCAAATTTCTAGGCTTAAGTGATCCTTCTGCCTTGGCCTCCCAGAGTATTGAGATATCAGGCATGCGCCACCATGTCTGGCCCCCATTTATTAATAGAATATTTACCATGGGTCATAGGCAGGAAGCATTCATTGCCAACTGTCACTTCCCTAGGGTTTCTAGAAAATCAGAAGATTGAAAATGTGAGTAAATGTTTCTTACTACGATTGAAATGTAGGAGAGGAAGGAAGCATTTCTGAAAATGCAAATCCTGCTTTAAGGTAGCAGCTCTCTACAGGGGAATTTACTGTGGGTGTCTTGGCTCCTTACGAAAAGAGAGAGCAAATGCTTCACAGATCCCCTGATCTTCCTTTGTTCTTTTTTGCTTTTGTCACTGTAACTAAACTCTCATGATACCTGTGATTTCAGTTGTTTGTGGTCTATGTAGCATCTTTATCTCTGTCAGTCAGAATTGCAGAACTGGTGGTGGTTACTTAAGTTGGAATACAAATATGTGGGCATGCAAACAAATGTACATGCAGTAAACATTTGATCTACAGAAGGGCCTTTGAGTGGTCTCTTCTCTAGGGCCTGATTGCTTCTGGGCTGTTGACAGCACAGCTCAGTGCTGCAAAGGAAGGGAACATGTTACTGGCTGAACTAGAAGGAAGTTTTATATTTGCCATCTCTGAATAATTCTTTTTCCCCACATGAGGGATCTAAAAGTGTCTGAAAAGAAACACATATGCTGTTGCAGATATGAGCATCATGATTATAGGTGTGCATACCTAGTATGTATATGTCCAAAAAACATTCTTGGCGACAGGCTATTCCTGACTTTGCTTCCCCTGAAACTGAATGCAAAACCAGTGTCATTAAATATGCTGCTTTGTTGCCAAAGGGACACTTCTTCCATTTGATTTAAAAATATCACTAGGTCTTCTTTGTGCAGACATCCTTTAAAATACAAACACTGCTTTATCTAATGCAGCTATACTGTATGTATACATCTTTTTCTTTAAAACAAAAAAAGACAAAACCAGATTTATGGATAACATGAACTGCTTTCTGGATACGCAAACAAACACCAATGAAAACATTTTTTTAAAATTAACAGACATCAACTGGTATAAATACACTGTCTAAAGCATTTAATGGTCTTTCTTTAACACAGCCAACTCCCCCGGGTTTGAAACAGTGTTAAATTCTCTCTTGCTTGTGGCAAAAGAAGCTGTCAAGTCCAACACTGAAAAATTGGTACCATTTCCTGGCCAGTAAGCACAGAACAGAGGGGCTAAATATTTTATGGTTTTATTCATTTACTGTGTTCTCATGCTGTGTTTTTCTTTTCTCTGTCTCTCCCTCCTGCTCGTGTCTGCCCAGGGCTGATTGTTGTGACATTGGCCGTATGCTGGATGCCCAACCAGATTCGGAGGATCATGGCTGCGGCCAAACCCAAGCACGACTGGACGAGGTCCTACTTCCGGGCGTACATGATCCTCCTCCCCTTCTCGGAGACGTTTTTCTACCTCAGCTCGGTCATCAACCCGCTCCTGTACACGGTGTCCTCGCAGCAGTTTCGGCGGGTGTTCGTGCAGGTGCTGTGCTGCCGCCTGTCGCTGCAGCACGCCAACCACGAGAAGCGCCTGCGCGTACATGCGCACTCCACCACCGACAGCGCCCGCTTTGTGCAGCGCCCGTTGCTCTTCGCGTCCCGGCGCCAGTCCTCTGCAAGGAGAACTGAGAAGATTTTCTTAAGCACTTTTCAGAGCGAGGCCGAGCCCCAGTCTAAGTCCCAGTCATTGAGTCTCGAGTCACTAGAGCCCAACTCAGGCGCGAAACCAGCCAATTCTGCTGCAGAGAATGGTTTTCAGGAGCATGAAGTTTGAATGTCAAGCGAGGGAGCCTTGAGTGGGAACTGGCCCTCCAGCCCTAAGAAAACGTCACTCTCACTCTGCAGTCTCAAACTATGCCCCCATCAGGGATGGAATGGACACTGGAGGCTTTACAAAAGGCAGATGCCCACCTCAGTGACTTCTAAGGACTGACTCTGCCAGCCTGGCCTTGACTCCGGTTACACAGACATGGGGGTGAACTTTCACTCCACCTCCTTCCTTCAAGTACATACTGAAAATTCAGTCAGGCTGAATTTATTCAGAATGCTTTACCGAGCTCTTTCATTATTTGCACAGGAACAAAAGAGAACACGGACTCCCGCTCCCTACCCAGAATAAAAGGACACCCAGAAGAAACTCACTCAGGGAGGTGGGGGGTTGGGGGCGAGGGCTGGAAGAACAATGCAGGAGGGGGTGGCATCTCCTTCAGCTTCAGCAGTGTGCCGAGAAGAGGGCTAATTTGAGGAACAGGATGGTGGTGCGGAGCCCTGGCCTGAGGGCCGAGGCAGAACTTCCCCTTTTCTTGGGCCTTGGCCCGTTACAAAGAGGGGTGTTGCAGCAGCTGATGCAAACTGAGTTCAGTTTCCCTGGGGAGCAGAAGGACTGGTACCCGGCAGAGGCGATGAGACAGGCCGCTGATGATGCACAGGACTTGCGGTACATGATCCCTGTAACACAGACCCAAAGGAGCTGAGTTAACGTGCACCGGCAAAAGAATAGCTGTCCCTCTCAGCCCAAATCCAAACGGACAGCTCTTCCTTACTCCTCCCACAGCCCAGAGACTAGGTGAGGTCAGGGAAGTGCTTCGGATTGTCTCATTGATATTCAAGATAGATGGTGAAAGAGACAGGCACTATTTCATTAGTTTTAACAAAACTGTTCCAAAAGCGATTTGAGATGCCAATACCTGTGAATACCTGTTAATAAAGAGCTGTTAAATAGACTTATTTACATTTTAAGTCAGAGTTCACACTGTGTACAAGACACAGCTTTTTATTTACTTTGTTTTTGGTTCAAACTGTCTCATGCCAGTGAGGCCCACAAGCAGTGCTTCTAGATTTTATCTCATTTTGCTTTATAAGCGGCCACAGAGCGCTGGCTCTCAACTATGTGTTGATGAAATCCTGGAGTTCTTTGAAGACAGACCAAATCCCGAAGGGAAATAAATGTATCCCTACTGAATGGGCCCTGAGTTTTCCACGGGATTTAGTGAAGGGGCACCTGGCTGACCGTGTGTCCCTCACAGTCTTATTCTAAGGAGAAACGCTCTGTCGTCAGGACACATGGCCATCTGCCAAGCCAGTACCACGCAGCTAGCACTCAATGACACACACTGGGTGCAAAAAAAAGCTTCCCAAGAAGACTAGGGGGCCTGTCTCAAAGAGCATGTGTGTCCTGTCAAGCTGCAGTATAGTCAGTCATCAAATTAGGGTGTCTTAATCATAAGGTGGAAGTTTATTCAATTCAAATAATACTAGCTAAACTTTTATTTAAGGGCTTCCCTGTCTGTCTCCCAGGCACTATTCAGACACCCTTAGCGTGTCAGCTTCTTCACTACCCCAAGCAATCCTACAAGGGAGGCCCTCATGATTACCCCCATTTTACAGATGTGAAGCCTCAGGGCTAGATTTAGTAACTTGCCCAAGGTCACATGAACAGGAAGTGGAGCAGCTGGGATTTGAACCCAGCATTCTGGCTCCATGCTGTCAAGACGGTGTTTACTGTATAGCAGTAAATTGGATTGCCAATTAACCACAAAAATAACCGGGGATTTTTTAGGGGGAGAGGGTTTACTTTGAAGATAGCTTTTGTTGTGTATGTATGTGGCTTTTTTTTGAGACGGAGTCTTGCTCTGTCGCCCAGGCGCCCGCCACCACACCCGACTAACTTTTGTAGTTTTAGTAGAGATGGGGTTTCACCGTGTTAGCCAGGATGGTCTCGATCTCCTGACCTTGTGATCCGCCTGCCTCAGCCTCGCAAAATGCTGGGATTACAGGCATGAGCCACTGCGCCCGGCCATATGTGGCTATTTTATATCAATGAATTATTTTTTTTGGATAGATGATAGTGTTTAATACTAAAGCTAGACTTAGAATTAACAGGTCTTAATCCTGTTTGCTGCCTTGCACAGCTGAGGGATATAGCATCCCACCAGCAGCCGGGGCTCCTTACCCACTCCTTTCCTGCAGGTATGTGGGCAGGTGTGGTTTTGGTTTTGGCTCCGTCCTCGAGAATTGCCACTTTGGGTGCTATAGAAACATTAAGGAATGAAACTGCCTAAAACTTCCAAGTGGGAGGTAAAGAAGTACTTTAGATTTACCGTAAAACATGCAATTTTATGTCATTTTTTCCCCTCTAACTGCATGTTTGTAGGGATTGATTTTCTAAGACCATTACAAAATCCTGGAAGGCAGCTGCTCTGGTAAGATAAAGTCGAGGTACAGAGGATGCCTGTATCTATGTGTGGGAGGCACTGTTTGATTTCTAAGGAATACACTTCAGGGAATTGCCCATAGTCTCTACATTTGCCATCCATGGCCCTTTTTAGGAAATCATTCTACTCTTTTTATTCCTAAGTATGAAAAACATTAACTGGCATTTATTTGCCACTTCCACTACAGTGACCTTTTTTCTTTAAGTGAATTTTTAAACTTTTAAAAAAATATTTACTGAATGTATTTTTCTCTGTATAAAATTTCAGTCAGTAAGGTGAAAATGGACCTTGAGTACCCCTGCCTGTTCCAGGCCCTCCGCCGTGTTCCCCTAGAGGCAGATGCTGTCATCAGTGTGGCATGCCTTCTTCCAGGCTGGTTTCTGTACATTTACATATATGCCCACAGAGAAATAAAGTCCGTGTGTTTGCACACAGTTGTATCACATCCTATACGCTATTCTGCAATTTGCATTTTTATTTAGTGACATGGCTGGGAGCTTATTTTTAAGGCGAACTTTGCAGGGTTAAGGATCAGTGATGAGGTAGGTTAGTTGGATAAATAGTGCATGTCCTTATGAAGAGATGGACTAACAGAGCCATAATCTTTACAACTGCTAAGACCCTCATGTCGTTAGTCAGAAACAATTTATCTTCATAAGGAAAGTTGGGGAGAGGTACAAGCTCTCAAGTTGGTGGTTCAGGAACTGAGGGCACCACAATGAGGCTTTCTGAAGGGGAAGGTTGACAGCTCCATAAGGGGCATTTACTAGATGTTCCAAGAGGGAGGATGGGGAAAGGTGTCTGATGTCAGATAGGTGTGTCCATTGCCAGGCTGGCCGCTCCAGGCCAGGCACCCTGAGGAGGCATGAGGGTCATGAGGCTCAGGGTAGCTGTGGGCTTCTATGAGCCTCCCTTGGTTAAAATCTAAGTCTGGAAACTGGCACGAGAGATGCTTTGGGTGAGATTGGATGTGATTAAAGATGTTTCCAACCGGATGAAAGGAAATGTGGACCTAGGCATCAAGGTAAGTGACAGGCAACTGGCTGGTGTCAGGGTATGGAGGAGCTAGCTTTGGAGACATTCAAGAAGAAAAAGTGTGCTAGTTCTAAACTGGGCAGTGGCAGAGGAAGCAGGTAGGAGGTGTTGTGCTAATAGAAATGGGGAAATTTGAGATTAAAGAGGGCTTTCAGAAAACAAAGGCATTTTACTCATCTTTTTGATGAAAATCCACGTGGTGGAGATAACACTGTGCCTCCTTTGAGAGGCATGGGATGGGGCTGAGTGGTGAGGCTGGGGCAGAGGGACTGATATTTGGAAAGGCTGATGTTTGGAGTCTGCAAAGAAGTGGAAATAAGCCACCTCTCCCATGGCTTCAGATAAAGAAAGAAAAGCTTTCCAGGTTCATTGTAGGCACTTCAGCAGGCAGGCTGGCGATGGGAACGGAGGTGCAGGGACAAACGGGAATGGTTTTGGGGAATGCTGAGAGCTGCCCTGTAAGGAACATGTGATTGAATACCACACAGGCTGCTAGGTAGCTTTAAGAAAATGGCCCTGAGGTTTAGGCACGAATGGCTGCCTGCACTGGTGCAACTGGTGAAGAAAGCCACAGGAGAGAGTCGAAGGCACCAAGGAGTAGAGGGGTGTAGAATAAAGACTCACACTGGAAGGAAATAAGGAATGCTGCCAGGTGGGGAGGGCCCAGTGAGGACTTAGAACTCCTGAACAGTTCCACCATTCACATGCTTAGGATAAATTCCAAGTAGATCTAAGATTTAAATGTTGGGGGATAAAAACCCCATAAAAGTACTAAACGACACTTTGGAACCTTGGGAGATTTTTTTTTTATGTAAGAGTTGTAAAGGCTATTCTATGACATAACACCCAGAAGCCATTACAGAAAATATTGAAAAATTAGACTACACACACACCCACAAACTCTGCCTAATAAAATCCCTATATGTAAGACAAAAAGACAAGTGAAACATTGGAAAAAATAATTGTAACTCAAATCACAAAGCAGATTTCCTTAATATGTAAAAAGGTCCTAGAAATCTATAAGGGATAAATAATAAATCAGTAAGGAATAAATAACTCATTAGAAAAATAGGGAAAGCAAATGAACAGACAGTTCACAGAAAACGCAACAGAGCTTTGAAACACATGAAAAGATACTCTCTCATATCATAAGAAGAATGCAAATTAAAACTACACTGAGATGCCATTATTATTTATCACTTGGGCAGAGATTTAAATGTTTATTATAAACACTGTGTTCATGAATCTTATAAAAAGGCCCTTTCCCACATTGTTGGTTAGGAGAGTAAATAGGTATAATTTCCATGAAGGCAACGTGGCAATAGCTATCAACATTGCAAATGCATGTACTCTGTGACCTAGCAATTCCACTTTTACGCATGTACCCTACAGACATACTCACATACATACAAAACGACTATACACAAGGTTATTCATGGTAGAGTAGAGTGTCATGGCAAAAGAATAGACCATCACTCTATCTATCACCAGGGAAGTGGTAAATTTCCAGTGTCTTATCTGCACACTGCAATTCCACAAAGCCATAGAAGATGATACTGAGTTAAAAACAAAGCAAAGTATGTCTGGAAGTTCCCTCCTTCCTTTTCTCTCCCTCCCTTCCTCCTCCTTCCTTTAAAAAAAAAAAACAAAAAACAAAAACAAAACCCAAATGAGTTTATGCTTCTTACTATGCTTCAGATGCAGTTTTAAGAGCTTTATGAATA
Source organism: Homo sapiens (assembly GCF_000001405.40). Classification (NCBI taxonomy): domain Eukaryota; kingdom Metazoa; phylum Chordata; class Mammalia; order Primates; family Hominidae; genus Homo; species Homo sapiens. Next base: position 132,650,806 of record NC_000002.12, read on the forward strand.
TTAACTCATTTAATCTTTGTAGTAACTCTAGCAATAATCCTCATTTTGCAAGTGGGGAAACTGAGGCAAAAATAGGGTAGGTAATTTGCTTAGGGTCCATTCAGGTAATATGTTGTGGAGCTGGGATTTAAGCCCAGGAGATCTGGATTTATAATCTGTACTCTTAACCATTATACTACACTGCCTGCCATGCTATAACATGCATCCATTGGGGAAAATAAAAATTAAACACATTTTACATGCATATGCATAAAAATGTATGGAAAAATACACAAAAAAGAGATAATATTGGTTGTCTCTGGCGTGAGATTCTAGGCGGCCACAGGATAGGAGTGGGAAAAAGACTTTTGACCCTTTCTTACCATTTAAAATCAGAACCACGAGAAGAATGATTTTTAAAATGACGTAAATAAACACCCGCAGTCAACCATCCTCAAATGGCTTCTTTCTCTGTGTAGTACAAGGTTCTTCCTAGCTATGTCCACCAGAGGGCTCTAGGGAATGACCACTCTCAAGAAAAGAGCCACCAGGAGCTGCCCCGAAGCTCAAGTCTCAGGGTCACGGGGCAGGGGTATTTGTGCCTGTGGTTCTCTCTGCTTTTCCTTTAACCAGGACCCCATAAGCTCAGGTCTGGGCCTGAGGGAGGAGGAGCTGTGAGGAAAACAAGGGCCTTGTCATGGACTGCTGGTGGGAGCAGAGACTGGCATAAGGGCAGTCAGAAGGATCTATAATTCAAAATGCAACAAATAAAACAGTCCCATTCCTCACCATGTACCTTCAAAACAAAACACACTTTCACATCCTTAATAGGGGAAAGGTACATTTATACTATACATATTAAGCAGCAGTTAAAGTACAGAGCTCTATTCTGATCTGGAAGGTTCTCAATGACAGTTCCAGAATGATAGTTAAGCATACCATTTATGTAAGAAAGAAACCACAAAGCAATATAATACGTGCTCCAGTGGTGTGTCTGCAGGGGGATGTGTGTGCACACATGTAAGTGCGTGAGTTGCCATCTCTAAGTCATATCATGGCAAGAGGTCCAGAGGCAATGCACCAGTGTGGTCCCTTGGGTGGTAGTTTGACGGGTCCACAACACGATGAGGCATCTCTGAAACATGAGACAGGTTTGGCAAAGAACACCACGGTTCGGCACAACTGCAGCAGCAACATGGGCAGGAAGGAATGGCTGGGTTCTAGCTGGACATGGGCCTGGTTTCCCTGAAACCTCATGGCTGGCCTCAGAAACCACCACTGCCGGGTTAGGGTAGGAGAAGGTCATGACCAAGAACAGAGGGGGGACATCGTTTGGAGACTTCCCCAAAGAACTGAGAGATGCTTCCTTCCCTTCATCCCTGCATGATTTTTCTCTTAATCGCTTCTAATACACTACAGATTTTACTAGTGTGTCTTTATTAATAGAACGTAAGCTCCAGCAATCAGAACAGTGCCTGGCACATAACGACACAAGTATTTACCAAAGGAATGAATGAATAAATGAAGGGAGGAAAAGGAAAAGACGACAGAAGGAAAGGGGGTTATTTGAAGGGGGTCTGGAAGTGCTTTTCTGACTGGTTTTGAGTAGGATTTTATTCCTACATTGGTGTCACCTGGGTAACAGAGTTTACATAAAGCTACAATTCACCTCCAGGCCTTGGTTGACAAAGGCAGAACTGTGAGAGGCTCTGATCTTAGTTAACGCAGATGCAGACCCAGAGCTAGAAGGCTCAACTGGTAGATGAAGGGCTGTCCATCAAACGTGGCTCGGATAATCCCAGCTTGGACCAGCTCCCAGCCGCCCTACCCTGCAGAGGCACAGAGATGTGTCCTGCCAAGACCAAGTCATTTCTCACGGCTCTAATCCGCAGACCAGGAGTGTGCCCATGGAACACACCACCCACTATCACCAAATTAATCAAGCCACCCAGCGTTTAAAACTTTAATCCTCTTTAAGTCTTTAGAGGGGTAATGGCCTCCTGGGGGCTCTTGGATTGAGATGGGTGGCTATGCGTGCTTGCTTTAAAAATACCACAAATTGTTCTCCCTGAGGAAGTCATTTGTATTAATCTGCCTTATTTATTTGGATGTGAATGATGGGCATGCCAAGGAATGAAGGAAAGGATAAACAAAATACTGAGGTTACTTCCCAGGCAGTTCATTCCACTGCAGCCATTGTACCTATTCCCTGGGACCCAAGAAATCAGAATATTAACTTCTTTCACCAAGCTCTGGAGTTTCCAGAAGCCATGATCCTCTCCTTTAATGGCCTTATCATTAAGTAGATCCTCATGTACTTAATGGGATGGAGGAAACTAAAGAAGCTCATGTCCATATTTCATTCTAATTCTGAAATAATTCCTTACCCTGAGGAAAGAACATGAACCCTGGAGTCTAACAGACCTAGACTGGAATTCTCCCTGAGCCACTTCCTTGGATAATACACTTCACTTCTGTAAGCCTCAGTTTGCCTTTCTGGACCAATGACCCAGTGGACAAAGCTGGAGTTTTGGTTGGACTTTCCAACTTCCCAATGGACAGAGCTGGAGCAATTTGAGCAACAAAATAAATAATGATAGTATTGGATTATAACCCCATCCAATCAGGTAAATACCCATGAGTTCATGCTGACATAGATAAATGAGTAAATAAGTATGTGCAGAAGAGACAAGTTTTTCTTACAGAAGGATTCCAGTTAATAAATGCAGAAGGAATGAGGGAAATAGAAATTAAGATTAGAACACCATGGTAACAACTGATGTGGGAGAGATCCACCAAAAGACACTGAAATTATTGGCCAAAGTTGGAGGAGAAACAGTGTATTTATATAGTTTCAAAGTATCTCCCTCAAGTTATTTATTAATTACAATGGAAAAAATAGTAACTTTACAGTGGAAAAACCCAGCAGATACTATCTGAATCAAAAGCGATCAAAGTTAACATCACCAGTAAGACATTGACAGCATGCGCCCCTTGCTACAGTGCACTGAGAAGGGTGCATCTCTTCTGAGGATTCTTGTCAAAAATGCAAAACCTCTATCTGTTCATGAGAAAACAGCAGACAATCCCAAACTGAGGGACAGTGTACAAAAATCTGGACCAGTCCTCTTCAAAAGTGTCAACATCACAAAAGACATGGAAAGAATGATGCATTGTCAGAGGTTAGAGGAGAAGGAGACATGACAATGAAATGCAACGTGGGATCCTGGATAGGATCTTGGAACAGAAAAAGGCAAAACTGTGGGAATCTCAAAACAAAGCATGGTTTCATTAACAGTACTGTGCCAATGTTAATTTCCTAGCCTTGATCATCGTACTGCGGTTATGTAGATTGTTAACACTAGCCAAAGATGGGGGAAGGATATATAGAAACTGCACTATTTTTGCAGCTTTTCTATAAGTCTCAATTTATTTCCACATACAACATTTTTTAAAAGACATTGGTATCAGCTGGGCATGGTGGCGCTTGCCTGTGGTCCCAGCTACTCCGGAGGCTTAGGTGGGATGATCATTTGAGCCTGGGAGGCAGAGGTTGCAGTGTGCTGAAATTGTTCCACTGCACTCCAGCCTCGTGACAGAGTGAGACCCTGTCTCAAAAAAAAAAAAAAAAATTGGTACGAATGTGGGAAAAATCTCCATGTTCTTTCTGTGCTACACGTACCCCCAACAAATGCAGTGAAATACGCTTGACCACTCTCATGCTGAGTAATAGGGTGAGTGCATAGTCTGTGTGTAGGTGACAGATATAGCCCCAACCATCTGTGCTATTAACTGCTTAACTCTTGCCTCAAAGGGCTTGGAGGCTCCTGAAATGACTGGTTTTCATTGTGATGGGAAGAGAACATTACTGAAGGAATGTTTTTTCTTCAGTCTCAACATCCATCCATGTAAAAGGAAACAAGGAGTCAATTAGTGTGACTCCTGGCCTCTTTCCCATTTATTTATTTATTTATTTATTTATTTGATGGAGCCTCGCTTTGTCACCCAGGCTGGAGTGCAGTGGCGCAATCTCGGCTCACTGCAACCTACACCTACCAGGTTCAAGTGATTTTCCTGCCTCAGCCTCCCAAGTAGCTGGGACTACAGGCGCCTGCCACCATGCCCGGTTAATTTTTTGTATTTTTAGTAGAGACGGGGTTTCACCATGTTAGCCACGATGGTCTCGATCTCCTGACCTCGTGATCCCAAAGTGCTGGGATTACAAGCATGAGCCACGGAGCCCGGCCTCTCTCTCCCTTTTTAATTCTCTCTGCCCTAAGAGAGGTGGAGTGATGTGTCTGATTGGTAAATTTGGAAAGAACAGACTGGGCACACGCTGCTTATCCCTTTCCTGTTCCTTCTTGAAATTGAGTGACTCATAGCAAACAGGTATTCTGCCCTGCTTCTCAGGGCAAGAAACTTCCCATATCTGGTCTTGTCTATGACTGGGTCAACCAGCCGGTTTGGAGATGCCAATTTGAAAGCTCATTTGACCCCCATCCCCAAGTAATTCCCTCCAACTTAGACTTTCTCAGTAGCAATGGTGATATTTCAGGCCTCATCTGCCTCGTTCCTTGTTTTATTTCTTAATTTCCTTAGAATCTGGGTGAGAAAGAAGGTTGATAACCATTGGACACTCATTAGACCCCAGTAGGTGCCATTTGTCCCAGTTTGCACAGTGTCCTAGAACTTAATTCTAAAGCCATGATTCTCTTGGGGGTTGAGAAGCATTTTTTTTTTTTTTTTTTGAGATGGAGTCTCGCTCTGTCGCCCAGGCTGGAGTGCAGTGGCGCCATCTGGGCTCACTGCAACCTCCGCCTCCTGGGTTCACGCCATTCTCCTGCCTCAGCCTCCCAAGTAGCTGGGACTACAGGTGCCTGCCACCATGCCTGGCTAATTTTTTGTGTTTTTAGTAGAGATGGGGTTTCATCGTGTTAGCCAGGATGGTCTCGATCTCCTGACCTCGTGATCCGCCCACCTCAGCCTCCCAAAGTGCTGGGATTACAGGCGTGAGCCACCGCACCTGGCCAAGAAGCATTTTCTAAACTAATCTTCTCCTACAAATAGCCCCTGGACCTTGAGGATCATAAATGGTCATCATTTAACATTTTTTTCTGCTAGAAGTATTGAGCCTCTTTGTTGTATTGAGACCAAAAGAAGATCTGTCACCCCCCTCCACTCCCCTACAGATGTACATACAACTTTCGGCAATCTCAGAGAGTTTGAAGCTACAATTCTATTACAAACGACGTGCTACAAGTATGCTTTTAAAATAAATTATTTTTCCAGTTTTTTCACTTTAACCTCTGCCCCAGTGGTCGTAAAAACAGAGGCATGGAGACTGAGTTCTTTTCTGTGGACCATTATGCATCTATCTTTTCCAATAGTTTCCTTTGCCTCTGCTCTTTTTTGCTGTACAAAGACAGAAATTTCTAAACAGAGCCTTTAATAGTCCATTACTTTTTACCCATGTTATGCAATGTAGCTTTAAAGACGAACTTTTCCAGCAAACTGCTGCTTGTGTGAATGCCTGTTTGGGAGTGAGACTTCCCTACTGGAAAAATAACTAACACACACTACACCATAGTTACGATTACATCACAATAAATATTCTATGCAGGACTAGGAACAGTTCCTCAAAGAAAAATGCTTGGGGAACGGGTAATTGGAATGAACTACAAGCATTTTCACTGAGCTCAAAGAAACTGCAAGAAAAAAGATCTTCGATCTGCATCCAAGTATTTTTTTTGTCTGAAAGAACACTGTGTGAGGAATTTTGACATTCTCTGCATTCTAATGAAAATGACTTGGAAAGTAGAGGCTTCTCTATACATTTGCCTCATTGCCGCCACGATGGGCACCGTTTATCAGGAATAAAGAGAGAAGATCAAGAAAGTAGTTCTTTTCTGGAGAATTTTGTGCTCTGGCTCTTAAGTACTTTTGCTTTGCCATGAATGTGAATATTTTAAAGGCCAAAAAAGCCCCCTCCATTTGAGTTGCAGATGGCCACAGGAACCCAACAAGAATGCTAACAACTCATTTTAAAAAGGGAAAAAGAAAGGAAGTGCCAAGTTCCACACTGCATATCCATACTGATGTTGAGCCCATCTTGGCCTAGCTGGTAGAACTGAAAATTGAGAATAATATTAAGGGGCTGCAATGATCCCTAAGGGTAAAAATAAATGTGTTTCTGAAAACAACAGCCACATCCACAATGAAATAGACATGAAACAAGATAACCCAAGAACACATTTGTTTTCCTTGTAACAGGGATGCGTTAAGTTCATTATTCAGAGGACTTTGATTACCCTTTTCAAAGATTTTTGGTGAGTTTAATTTTCAAGGCTGTTAACCACTGATGTCAACTTAATTATAGCAAGCAAACAACCAACCCATAATGTATGATGCCAATTGTTGGTTTTACTCTAGTCTTGCATTAGACTTGGATTTCTTTGCTCATTTATAACTTTCTGAGGGAGGAAGGTTTCTGCGCAGTCACTTGCTTTCCCTTAGCTGGTGTCTTTGTTCTCCAGTTTGCCATGGGGGATTGAGGGAACAGATATTTATGACTTATTATCTCAGTATTAACAGTGCCCCCTCAATGATTTATGAAGCTGTGCTGTTGCATTTCTAACCTTGATGTCCTTCTGATTATTGTTCTCAAATGGTAAGATTAACACAGTGGGGCCCAAAGATTCTTAATCAGTTTCTTGCATACAAATTCACCCAAATGTAGGGAAGAGAGAGTCCTTGGTGGCATAACGACTTCCAGATGGAATGAACTGAGAACATCTAAGCACTTAACCCAAAGCACCCTTATATTTGTCACCATGAACATGATGTCCTCACACTAAAATTTAGTTATACTTTTGTATCTCAGCATTCAATGAACTAGAATTCTAGAATGGCATGTACATCTTGTGTTAAAGTTCAGGACATTTGTTGGTATATGTGTTTCTTTTCTTCCAAAGGGTGACAGTGATCCAGGATGAAGGTCCTTTGACTATACATTTCAGCGTTCAATTGAGGTAAAATAATGGTGATTTTCGGGAAAGAAAAATTATCCCTGTCCTTTTTCCAGGGGTCCCTGGAGGTACTTTGTTGAATTTTTCTAATCTTGTGCATGGACTTCTCAAAAGCTGATCTGGCAGACAATCACAGTTGGCCACTCAGTCACTACCCTTACAGCTACTAGCGGCCATGAGACAGTGATCTGACCCATGAAATGTAAAGAGAATTTCTGGGGGGACTTTGGAAACTCTTTTGCGTTCTCATTAAAAGGCAAAGCTTAAGACACAAGCTCTTTGGTGCCATCCCTTCCCTTGAACCTGAATACAGTGATCATCTTGTGATCAAGAGGCAAGAAACCTGAGGACAAAAAGCCAACATGCTTAGGGAAGTAAGAAGAAAAATGGAGAAATTTTGAGTTTTTGATGACATCACTGGGCTGTAGGAGCAACCCCAAGATCACCTATGTAGACTATCTTGTTACATAAACAAGAAATGCCTTTATGGTTTATGTCCCTGCTACTTGCAGCCAAAAACATTCTTATGTGATACAGGAAGCAAGGTCTAGGGTGGAGGCAAGAACAGAAAGGACGGGGGCAGCAGTAATGGCTGGTAAATTCTGTTAGGAAGTGTTGCCCCAGAGACTAATGAAGGGATGGAAAATGCTGCTTGATGCCTAGGAGCTGTTGCAGCCATAGCTGCCTTGGCCTTCCACCTGAGGATGATGCCAGGTTTTGTCAATATCATGACAGTGATATTAATGATATTCAACAAAGGGGGCAAGAATACAAGCAATTAGTTGAATTCTTAGAGCTCAGTGAAAGAGTGTAAGGGCAAAGCAGACAGCAGGAGAGTAAAAACGAAGTTTGTTTGCTTCCCTTTGTGGTTTAATTTGCCCAAACTGAATGGTTTAGAAGTATATCCCTCAGCTGAAAGTCTAACTGCCTGTGTCTTGTGGAACATACCTGTATTTGTAACTTGCATCTTCTGTGTGGGTGAGGACCAGGGGGCATAAAACCATGTGGGGGGATTTTCCTTCTTCCCAAGGGAGAGCTGATGACCAAGGCTGAATTCCAAGGTAGCAGAGTTCCAGCTGAGGACTGGCCAGTGGTAACCTGGACCCCAGCTTCCTCAACCACCATATAAGCTGGTGTTGTAGAGGTGTGTGTGTGTGTGTGTGTTTCTTGAAAACACTCCTATTCAAAGCAAAGCCAGGTCAGCCTTAAAAGCAAGCTGACAAAAAGAACTATAAAACCAGGGGTGGATTACATTTCAGAGTGGTTCCTTAAATTACAACTATCACTAACAGGCATTAGTCAGCTATTTCTAGTTTAACTAAAAAGTAAAAGGTATATTCAACTTGTCTTTATTCTATTTTTCTTCTTATGCTAAACATTTAAGCTCCTTCATTTCTGCTATAATATTTTGAAATGGTGATAAATCTGTTTTAGCTTGAAACTTGGTTTCTTCAATATACGCAGTCAGCAAATAGTTATTGCGTGTCTCCATACCAGTGAGTGTGTGTGTCTGTGTAAGACAGAGGGAAGGTGAGGTAGAGAGAGAAAGAGAGAGAGAGCATGAGAGAGTGTGCGTGAGAGAGAGCCAACAGCATCCTTTCAGGATCTTGTACATAGAAATGAAAGCCGTGAATGAAGCTGTAGTTCAATTTGATTAGGAAAATGCACTCTAAAATACTGAGAGGATGTGATGCCAGGCAAACTGAGCTGCTGGCTGGAGAACACTGAACAAAGATGAAATTGTTTCTGGATCTTAACTCACTCTTATGCAGAATGTCTCCTGACTTGCTTTATCCCTCTTTCCCTTGCAGCAGTCAGTGACAGGCTGGGTGGAAAGTTGTCCTTCCTCTCAGAGAATGTTAACTCATCAGCCTCCAGGTGTGGCTCCGGCCTATTGGCTGCCTTTCCCTTTGAAGGCACAGACACTCTTGAGAGAATCTTGAGCTGGCTTTGGAGCTGGGACCCCTTTGCACTCCCACTTTGGATGTCTTCACTGGGTGGCAGACTAGTCAACCCGCTAGGCTCTAGCTATTTCTGAATAGGTTCTTTGAAGTTACTGGAGACCCAAGTGGTTTGCTACATTTTGCATAAGTAATAGAACAGTGCATAAACCCCCTTGCCCAGCATCACTTAATACACCTGCTTCTGCTGATGCTCTTTGAAGATGCCTCCGTGGAGGGCATTGCAAACTGCTCTGCACATTCATATTCAACCCGTGTGCAGTATGCATGGACCACTGCAGGCTGAGAGCCGCGTGCCTGGCGCGGCCCGCCTCTAGCACTGTCTCCAGTCATTCCACTGTGCTCACAAAGAAGTCCAAGAAATAGAAAAACATAAAAAGCTATTGTCCATGTCCAGTGAGAAATGAAATGCACTGGACCGCGTATCACAACTTCCTTAAAATAATACAACTTTATCACTTTTGCATCTGATCCTGCTCATGGTTTGCAAAGTCATAAACCCCTTGAAATCAATAGCTTGAGCCATCGCTGCTCTATTCTATTTAAACACATCCTCTAAAGAAGCAATTTATTACGAACTCTCTATGGTTTCACCTTATCTAAAACACTTAATTCAGTCCATCTCCTGCTTTGCTTTGTAGTGTTGGAAGCAATCAGAAGACTGGAAGCAATTTACTAATAAGAGAACATGCCCTACAGCTCTGGCCTGTGAAAAGAGTTTCAGAATCACGATGTAGCCACAAGTCAAATTCTAGAAAGAATTAATGGCACATCTCATAGTTCTTTCATTTGCTGGCTGATTCATTCCAGGTATGATTGAAAATCCTCCATTACAGGTATGGCCTCTTTTGGTGTTCCCAGGGTAGGAAACACATTGTCTTCTACCAGCAACTTTGCTCCAGCTCCCTGAAATATAGTCACTTCTACCACCATGAAAACTACAAAGCAAGGGAGAATCCAGCTTAGTCTTCTAGAAAAAATTAACAGAGAAGAAAAGATATGTCTCATGGTTAAATGAGTAAGGAGTTCTGCCTATACAAAGGCTGTAATCAAATGATTTGGTTTGGGGGACAAAAGCTAGGCTTGTGCATGGACATGGTATTCATTGTAGACGACCAAATCATGCCAGCATCTGATCTCTTTAACCAAAACCTTTCTCCACAACCTCTCTCAACCTGCTTTATCCTCAAGCTTTCTCAAGGGAAGAGAGAGAAATGGACTTATCAAGATGCTTAAGCCCCCCAGGAAAGAAAACTCCCTTCTGCACCACAGTGTACTCCTCTGTAAAGTGAAAGTGTGGACCAGAGAGAATAGGGTCTCTTCTAGCCTTAGAGGTGTGGGATTCTTGAGGACGGTGGCCTAAGAGTGAGGCCAGATGTGGAGCTGGGCATCTGGGACCACCAACAGGGGCCTCAGGAATAGCCCATCCATGTGCCTGAGGATTCCTGTGTTTAAAAGAAACTAATTCAAGATCTCAAGGGAAAACAGATGAATTATATAATAGATGGGCAAGAATGGACAGTCCAGTACATGGCACCAAGCAGATGTTTGATGAACACCAATTCCTTTGCCGAAAACTCACTGGAATGGCTTGCTCTTGGCACATGTTGTTACTTTAATTCAGCAAATTGGCTAATTGGCCAGTGGAGTTCTAAGATTCACAGCCATGCTGCATCCCATTCCATTCTCATTCTATCCCATTCCATAAGGTAGGGATCTGCTAAACCTGAGCTTTCTTTTTAGATATCTGCCCCAGCAAGAGGAAGGACACATCTACCTATGGAATAAAAAACAAAACAAAACAAAAGTGGAAGTGGTATGGATGAGCCATAAAACATGATCCTAAGCAAAAGCAGCCAGCCACAAAAGGCCACACAGTATGAGATTTCACTTACAGGAAATGTCCAGCATAGGCAAATCCATAGAAGCAGAAAGCAGATTAGTGGTTCCCAGGGGCTGGGAAAAGGGGAAAATGAGGGGTGACTGCTAATAAAATAAAGTTTCTTTTGGGGTGATGAAATGTTCTTGAACTGGTGGTGATAGTTACACTTCTCTATGAATAAACGAAAAACCACATAATTGCATACTTTAAAGGGTGAATTATATTTCAATAAAATTGTTGTTAAAAATACAAAAAAAGCGGGAAAACATAGAAAATGGCACCACAGCGGAAAAAAAAAAAAAAACCTGGAGAAGTGAAAGGTACTTGAATTCCTGTCCCACTGGCTGTGTGATCTTGACTTTTCTGTGTCTTAGATTCACCAACTATCAAGTGGGGATATTATCTCTTTGTGAACCTTCTAAATTAACTATGAGGATACTACTGTTAGGAACTAAAGGCTGAATTCAAGGACTCCCTCATTCTGAGAAATATAGAAACAGTGTACAAACTAACTTGTACTATAATATCTGGGCCACCCTTCAGAAGCAGGTATGGATAGTGAATGGGGCAACTCCTGGTGAGCATCAAGACAGGTTTCCATGTCTAGCACTGGTTCCTTGAAGATGGTTATACTGACCGCATTTCTCATTCTCTTGCTGTATCTCATAAGAAAACAGTCAGCCTGTTTCTACATTTTACAAGGGGGGAGGCTAAGCCCCTGGGATATTAAGTAAACTCTTTCAAGTTACCAAATGTGAAGAACCTAGAACATAGGGGTTCTCTCCCCTAAGGGAGCCAATACACTTTCCATTGGACAAGTAAAAAATAGGGGTTGAAGTGTTGAGTCCTTTTGCACAGTGTGCTAATAAACCTTTGCTTAGTTTGGACATTAGAACCTAAGTTGGTCAATTAGGAAGGAAGGAAGGAAGGTAGGGAGGGCGGGCGGGAGAGAGGGAGGGCAGGCAAGGGTACACTGTCTCTCTCAAAGGCTGTAGATTCAGAATTTTTGTTTCAGGAGTATGTAAGGGAGGCAGATTTCCTTTTCAAAGTTCAAAGAAAATGGTATGTTTTGTTTTCATACTTCGTTTCATTTTCACTTGGGAAAAATGCCCCAGCTTTGAAACCTCTCTGTTTAAACTCATTAGGAAAACTATCAATGACAGCAGCTTTCATGCAATCATAGTGGGAGGAATTAGTGTTATGGGAGAGCTGGATCAATCTTCAAATGTTTCATCTATGGAGATGGGAGGTCAGCACCGGCTGCTTGTTCAGCTGGAAAGTTAACATAAACAAATACTTCACTCACTGGGAGAGTCCAAGGGAAAGACATTTGATATTCCCCCTCTGAATACTTCCTCAGAAGGCACATGAAAGAGATAGTTGCTTCTTGAGAACTAAGTGGTCAACTGCTTGGCAAAATGTCTCATCTCGAAGAGCAAGGTGTTTGTTCTTTTAGTGTCTGGAAAGGAAAGGAGGTAGGGATGTGAACATTCACAGAATAGAATCCCTTCCTGTGTAATTCCTAACTTCATCGAAGTTGATATGGAAACCCTTTTAGCGGAGCTGGTTTTAATATATGAAGATATATTTTTTGATATCCAAATATGTTTTAAAGGTTTTTTTGTTTCGTTTTGTTTTTGAGACAGAGTCTCACTCTGTTGCCCAGGCTGGAGTGCAGTGGAGTAATCTCAGCTCATTACAACCTCCACCTCCCGGGTTCAAGCAATTCTCACGTCTCAGCCTCCTGAGTAGCTGGGATTACAGGCATGTGCCACCACGCCCAGCTAATTTTTTGTGTTTTTAGTAGAGATGGAGTTTCACTATGTTGGCCAGGATGGTCTCAAACTCCTGACCTCAGGTGATCCACCTACCTCAAGCTTCCCAAAGTGCTGGGATTACAGGCATGAGCCGCCGTGCCCAGCTTCATTTTAAAGTTTTTTAAGCTGTTGAAGTCTCCTTTGCCAAAAATAGAATGTGGAACTTTGTTTTTGTTTTGCACTTTATTCATAGAGCATATTCCATAGCCCATCTGATTGATTCAAAATGGGGTTAACAGTGAGAAATTAAGGACTGCAGATGGGATGTCTAAAAGAGAGCTAACAGGAGAGGCCTGGTAGGAGGAGGAGAGACAGGGACAAATGGAGGACGCTGGAAGATTAGCAGAGACCCCTGCTACTTCTAACAAAGTTGTTCTGCAAAAATAAAATAAAAAAATCTTAGAAAATGTTCTTCATGCCTACAACATAGCATGGATTAAGGAATTTGTGATCTCAGTATCTGTAAAGGTTAACTCAATATTTTCATTTTTCTTACAAGCATTGCATATGTGGGTATATGCAAATATATATACAGGCAAAAATGGAAAAGTATATCCACACACACAAATATATGACTGTGTGTGTGTGTGCACATATGTGTGCGCACAGGCATTTGAGCTTGAGTGCATGCACTCAAAAGAATACAGGAATAAAGGGACTATGACAGGAATACAGGAATAAAGGGACTATGATTAGCAGCACTGGGCCTCATTCCTGCCAAGCCCATCCCAAGGCCAAACTAGAGCCTATCATTTTAGATCTCGGGGAAATTAAGCAGACATAGACTTAAGAAAACACAGGCTGTGGTTAACTTTCCACTTCTTTCTACTAAGAGTGGATGACCAAGCATTTTTGCGACATCTAGTCCTCTGTTGCTATCCCTTAGTTAGCTCATGAGAAAATAAGGTGTAAAACTAAACTATCCAAGATATGAAGCCATCCCTGCCCAACTTAATGAGCAACTAACTAATCCAAAAGGAAAATAGCCATTACTTACACAGCCATAATGTAGATGCAACATGGCATATAAATCAGTAACTCTTGTATTGCAAAACAGACAAATAGATTAATGCATGTTGCAAAGGATGGGTGAAGAGATCGATTAGGTTACTGATTCAGACCGTGAACTTTCTCTCAATATACTGCATTTAACTTTTAAATAAGGTTTAGGAGAACCTGTAACATTTTGCTCACTGACAGAGCTATATTTTACTAAGGGAAGAAATTGGCTAGTCTATAAAAATTAAATTATGCCCCTTTCACTGTATCTAGTCAAGAGGAAAAACTCTAATTACAAGATTGCACTGTCAAACAAATGCAAATTCACATTCTTTATTCCCTGGTTTAAAAATTCATACTGGAGGGGGCTTCTATTCTGAAATGAAAATCAATATTTGAAATATTTTGCAGAGTGCAATGACAAGCAAGAGCAAAAGAAGTGTCATTATCAAGGGTGCTAGTAAATAGACACCAACTCATTAAGTGCAGAGCTAGTGAGAACAAGTCATTCATTATGCAAATATTTAAATATCAATTAGTAAGGACAATGAAAGAAGTTGAAATGAACCTTCCCTTCCCCACAGCCAGTACCTTATTATTCCAGAAATGACCAAAGGGAACAAGAGTGGTGGATAATAATCTCAGCACATAATAGCAATGTCACTCTGGGGAATAGGTAAAGGTTAATTTCAAACATACTTCCCAATGGAAAATTAAATGTACCTGCCTCAAAATTTTTAAGAGCTGAGTTTACAGACTTAGTCCAGAAAACTGAAGGCCTATGCATATTGCATGGCTGGTATTTTTTGGAAAGAGAACACCTTTCATTACTGCTTAATGTCAGACTGGCTTAGTTCATTAAATTTTCTTAGTCGATTTAAAGCCCTGGTTTTTCCACATCTATGAAAAAATGCAAGTCCACATAGCACTCAAACTTAAAAATCTCACTGGTTGCTTCCCAGATTCTTTTGACATCCACTTCATGGCCTGTCTACCTGGACTGTTAGGTGAACTTGGTGGATATGAAAAATGGCCTAAACTCTTTGAACTTTGCCTGGACTATCTTTTCAGGCAGACCTGGCAGGATATTTTACGACATGCTGGCTGTGTGGTATTACAGCAAAGGTGTTGGCCTGAGAAGCAGGCTTCAAGCGCCTCTTAGTAACAGTTGGCTGGTGAACTTGGACCAAGCATCTAATTTTCCTGGACCTTGCTTTCTTCCTCTGTAACACAAAAAGTTTTGTCCAGATCAGTTCTCAACTCGGGTCACCCCAGAATCATTGGGAAGTTTATAAAAGACCCATGGCCAGATATACCACAGACTATGAAATGGGCTTCTTTAAGCAGAGACCCAGGCATGTGGAGTTGAACAAAACTCCCAGCAAGATTCCAACATGCATCTTTAACTAGGAGTCACTGGGCTCTTTCAGCTCTAGTATGCTGAGATTCTCAGGACAACATATGTTATTGATCAAACTTGAAAGAAATTCTGACTTCAATTCTTAATAGCATCATTTAACAGGCATTACTTTCTCTGGAGAGGAGATGTTGACCATGTAATAGAATTACATGCTGACTGGCTGTGGCATGAGGAAACAAGATCCTGAAAGAGGACCACCAGATTTCACGAGATTCTATATGTGCAACCCACAGAAAAGAGTCAGATGCCTTGGGCGCTCAACAACAGTTAGCTCTTGTTAATATGATGATTATACTACAACTGTGTTCACTTAAAGTTTTAGGTTTGCTCTCTATCCTTATTGGCAAAAAATTAAATTGGTCCCTAATAAGTACATGGACATAAAAATGGAAGTGCTTTGGAGGTATAAGGCCCCCCTGGACATTGCTCTTTTGATGCAGAAACAGATCCGTTTGGCTTGTTTCTGTGGAGTTTAGGCTTAGAATGCCTTGCTTCCATGTGCACACACCCCGACCTAGCATCCTTCCCTTCAAAACTTTTTCCTTTGAGTTCATCGACTGCTTCTGTTTGTCAAACTTCACAATTGAAACTGCCTTATTACTTGATTCTGTCTCTACCTGTTGGGCTGTGACCTGTGGCCAGAGGGGCCTGGTTTGGAGACAAGGTACCTACCTTGTCTGAGCTTATAGAAAGCGAGCAACCTTAGGCCAGACACTTGAAGTCTGTGCTGAAGTTTCTGTGGATAAAATGGAAGTTAAAATGCCTGCTCTGCTTCTTTTACAGAGTGGTTTTGAGGACAGAATGAAGCAAGATGAAAAACAGCACTTTGAAAATGGAGTGTGTGGTATTCATCTTAGATACACTTTTAGAGAAGAAGAAATGTGTCTCAGAAAAAGGACCTCTTCTGACTCAAATTTAGCTTACATCCCCTTCTCAACCATATCCCAGGTGATAAAATATGACACCCAGGTAAGCAGTGGCCTTGTGGACTCTGAAGAAGTTCTTAACGTGTCCACGGCACATTCTCATTTTGTCTGGCTCTAAACTACTGTCTCAAGAAAGCTGCAAATATTTGAAAGTAACAATAAAGTGTTAACAGTAATTCTGACTAAAATCACAGCAGTCCCTCTGGTAGAAAGGCAGTAAATTCTTTGCTCAGGTAAAACGTAGGAAAGAAACACAAGTAGAAAAAAATCCCATTTGTTCAAATTATCCCTATCAATCTTAAGAATTATCGCCAAGTTTGTTTTGTTTTGCATCATTAATAGCCCAAATCCCACGTGCCAAAATAATGTTTACCGCATTTCTCGAGACAAGTTACCCTTGAGAGCCAGTATGTCTGAGGCTTCCCAGAAGAGTGATTTTGGTGCAACAAATAATGACCTATACAAACCAGCCCTTACAACTGCACACACACCACAACACAACACAGTGTCAAGCTAACATCTGCTTTCCAAATAACCATGAGGATAGCAATATGACATTTCCAGGCCCTTCTCTGAGAAGAAACGACTTTCCCAAGGTGTTGGCTTTGAAACTAGAGTCCTTGCATTGATTTGCCAGCGGGTAAAGGGAATCATATAACAGTTCTAATCACTTCACCGGGCTCTGCAGGCAGTTCACAGAACTAAAGGAAGTGGGGGCTTTGGTTCATTCACTATCAGCCATCAAGTTATGCTATTTCCCATCCTTTTAATATCCTTAAAATGGCAAGGTCTGTGTTTATGGTTTTGACCTTGAAACTGAAGTAACAGCTCTACCTATTCTCCCAAAGTTCCAGATATACTTTGGGGAACTTTGACTTCTGATAAGACAGCTGGGGTAGGGGGTGAGGAGAGGGTTGGAAAGTTCTACCTCAGTGAGAAGATTCTTGGTCAACTAGAGGGAGTGAGGGCTATCCCACAAGACCTCCCCTTCCCCCACAGGATGCTCAGGACTTCTTCTCAGCTAGCCAGCAGCTAAGCTGGTAGGGCTGAGAACGGCATTCCTTTGAAAGATCTTGGCAATTTGTGCCTGGAAGTTGATGCATTAGTTCTAAAATTAAACAAAGATCCTGTAGTGTTCTTCAAGGAAATATGGTGTGCCTCTATGACAAAACACATTTTTCAAGCTCTGACCTCTGGGAGCTTCAACTAGCTCCATATTTCAGGCTGACAATGCTCACAGGCTACTGTCTAGTTGCCCAAGCCAGGGCTGGTTAGCCATATATTTTCTACCTCCATCAGCTTTTAGCATAGGGAGGTGAAGGGAGTAAATAAAAAGAGGAGAGCCACTAATTTACATGCACTTCCCCTCCCAAGACCCTTGGGGAGAAGCCTTGGTAATTAACTCTAATGAGATTAAAGTAACTTGGAACTCTTCATTTTCCCAGCACTGTAAAACTAAATCTGCGATAACCAGTGTGTGGGCATTAAATCAAAGTCAGTCCTTTTTCCTGCTATTTAATGGCCCCCTCACTCCCACCCCACAGCCCAGGCTTAAGAGCGAGGGGGAGGGCTGCCAGGCTCTTACCGGCACTTTGCTCCATCACTTCTTTCTGACACATGTCTTGAACGTTCACCGTGCAATTCACAATGAACTCGGGGGAGGAGCAGTCGTTGTTCAGCTGGAATTCTTCACACTGGTAGCACTGGATTTGCAGCGCAAAGCCTGCGAGACAGACGCAGTCGGGTTCAGATCCGGCCCCCACAGAGCCCACCCCGGAAATCACGACCATCCCACGCCTCAGAGCCAGGCGGCTCCCAGCCTCTGGCAGGCTTAGACCACTCCTGGGTCTCCGGGTAGGGCTGGATGTGGCTGACACCGGCAGGGGGCGGCGCGGGTACCTAGGGTCCTACGGAAGAAAGTGGAATAGTGCCCGCCACCCCTGGACCCCGGCTCTAGACACAAAGCGCCCATCCATTACCACCCCAGGCCTTTTCCCAAGAAGTTGAAGGGAGGGTGGGGACGGTACCACCGCAAGAGTGAAGTAGCTCTGGAGATGTGCGTTAGCTCCAGCCTAAGCCAAAGGATTTGCCTAATTGCTAATTGGTTACAAATTACTTAATTACTATTTTGGCACCATTCGTGATTACATTCGCAGACGTCTTTTTAGTTTTTATTTATTTAATTTTTAAAGTCAGCGTTTCTGTGCCAGGGCTCTGAGGATCCCTGAGCGACCACCTGGGAACAACTTGGGTGGAGGTGCCAGACGCCAAGCGCTGCTGCGCCGCAAGTCCCCGAGCCCGGGTCGGCGGCCCTTCTCCGGGGCCGTCCCCGCGGCGACCCGAATGGCCACAGAGGGTGGGAAAGGGCGTTTGTGAGCGCGCGCACCCTGGATCCCCGACCCCGCAGCCCTTTCTTCCAGGCCCCGGCTTTCAGGACAACCGTTCGACTAGGGTCAGTGGTCGGGGTTCCAGCTCTGCAGAGCTTAGTCGGGAGCCAGTAGGCGAACTGGAGAGAGGACGCGAGACCTTTGCGCCTCTGGACGCTTCGGCCTGGCTGTTCTCGGTGTACGCGCTCCTGTCTAGACCCAACTACCCACGCTCCCGCAGCCCCACATCTATCGCACTCTGAGCGCAGCAACCCAGCTTCAGCGTGGCCGCAGGCTGCCTCGCGCATCGCTCACCTGTCGGCGGCGCCACTCCCACGGGGTGCCGGAGGCGCCAGACAACTTGGCAGGGTTCGGGAGATGTCGCCCCCTCTCCCTCGCCCAGAACCCAGCACCGCTCGGACCCTCCCTCCTCTCAAGCCCAGCTTCTCCCGACGGTGCAGCCGGACAAGCTGCAGCCCGGAGTCCCGCAAACCCGCCGCTCCCCGCTCTCCTCCTGCAGCGCGGGACTTGGACACTTTCCCAGCCTCGCGCCCCGGGGCACCAGTCGCGGCCGCCAACTCCCGCTGGGCAGCCCCAGCGCAGGGCTGGCCCCGAGGTGGGCGCCTTGGGGGCAAAAGGGCTGGCGGGTAGATGGATTGTGCGCACCTGGCCTCGGCTGCTGGCCTCTGGGTATTCTCACCTGGAAGCAAGAACAATCCGCAAAAAGTTGCCGCGATGCCTAGGACCCACATTCTCCCGGAGTCCCGGGGCCGGGAGAGGGCAAGCGCATCAGAGGAGGCGACAGCAGCGGAGGCTGCCCCGGCTGCAGCGGCTGTGGCTGCCGAGGCTGCTGGGGCCCGCGCTGCTGCCGCGGAGACGACGGTCGTAGCTTAGAGGAGCCGCAGGTGCCGCTCGCGGAGCCTGCATCGCCCGCGCTCGGGCTCCCGGCTGCGGGTCTCTGCTCCTCCCGCTCGCGCTCCCGGGCCGAGCACCGCGCCTCCGGAGTTGGCGGCTGAGACTGAAGGAACTACTGGCGATCGGGAGCACCCACAAAAGTCTCGCCTTTTCTCCCCACCTCCCACTCCAGGCATCACGTGACGGCTGCCGAGTTGGGGTGGGGGTGGCGGGCGGGGAAGGCTGGGACGGTCGCTTCACATCCCCACCCCCTTCCTGTCTTCCTCTTCTCCCGCCTCCGCACGTTCCTGGGAAAGGGGCGCCGGGGGGCGGGAGAGAACTGGTAGTTTTCTGAGATGGGGAGGTTGGGGGAGCGGCGAGGAGGGCGCAGCAGGTGCCGTGGGGACCTGCCGGGTGCGGACTAGGGTCTGAGGACTGCGTGCCCGGCTGGCCCTTCGCACATAGGAAGGCAGCCTCCCCACTCCACGTCCTCTGCGCCTTCCAGGACTGGTCGGTACCCCAGCGACTGGGTCCAGCCCACACAACTGAGGCTGTCCCGCTGCGGGCCGCGGGAGCCTGGCGCCCCGGGAGGCTGACAGGAAGGGCGCGCGTTCCCGTGCGCCTGGCAAAGTTCCACGCCCGCAGGCTCCGTAGGGTGTCCTGTGCAGCTGTGCCCCCTCTTCCTCCGCGAAGGCCTTCTGTCAAGAACCAGCTCGGCGTGGCCAATCTGGGTGGGGGTGTGGTGGGGACACTGCCTTAACTGTCTCACTTGCCCGGGCCGCCCTCCCTTCTCCCGCCTGCGCGCACCGCTGGAGGGTGCATTGACACCGCCCTGGTCGCCTAGCCTAGGAGAACGCCGTCCCGGGGACACCTGCCGTGAGGTCCTACCAGAAAGCAAATCAGGGTGAGGAAGAGGGTTGTTCTCCTCCATTCCTTGTCTCCCAAACGCCAGCCGGCTCCATTCTGCTTTCCCCAAAGCCACCGATTATTAGCACATACTCCCACGTCCTCTCCTGAAAGGCCATCCCAGCCTCGGACTCGGCCTCTGGCTGCTCCCCACACCCCTCAAATTCGTCTTCTTTCCGCAAAGTCCAAGTGACCCACCTTGCGGACTCCCGGGGATGCCCCGGTGCTATCTTCGCCTTCCTTCCCGAGCCTTGCAGCAGGTGGTGCGGGAGACCGCTTGCCCGCCGGAGTGCGTTGGTGCCCCCGCCCCCAATCCGCACATTCCCATCCCCTTTCCGCACATCCTTAGGGAGCATCCATTTCCGTGGAAATCGCCTCCTAAGCTTTAGCTCCTCTTCACCCTTTTCTCCCCCGGCCACTTCTGGGGGCAGCTCTCTCACGCCGGGACGCTGATCATTTATTTCTGCATCCTCCCAGCAGAGCTGGTCTGTAAAGGGGCTTAAATGACTTTCTTTGTAATTCCTCTGCAGAGATCGTTCCATATCTGCCTCAGGCTCCTTCTCTCCCTCCCTCCCTCCCTCTCCCCCTTCTTTCATTTCTATTTGGTTAACCCCTCGGGGAGACTGAAATGCTTTGACCATTACTCACCTGTCTGCAGACTCTGATCTTACAATTGGCTAAATTACTATCTCTGGAGCAAAAGGGCCAATTTATTTATTCCTTCTGGGAACCCATTGTAAGAGCACGTGTGAGTCATGATTCAAGTAACTGACTGGGCCAAAAGGTCCTTGAGCAAGTTATTTTCTGTTTTCAGAGGGTGCAAATGTGATATAACTTTTATTCAGAAAGGAAACAAAAAGATTTTTTAAAGTCTGAAAGACAAGGACATTTTACATAATTTTCATTTAAGATAAAATAAAACAAATTGCACAAATTAACCAAATAACACTGATCATACAATACTCTTTAAAGAAACAATTATGTGCTAAAGTAGCCATATAGATCCTAAAAATATTTCTATTGGGCCTAGTTTACAAGCTCCTGTACATAAGTAATTATAAATAGTTCACATCTAGAAAAAATACACATAACCTTTAAAATAGAATTTATCCTTACATATAAACAGTCTTTGTAGAAAAAAAAGGATATTAAAAAGAATTCTTCGTAGCACCATTAATTTTATTTTTAAAAGTGAACATTGCAAATAGAAATTTGTTTTCATTTTTAGAGTGCCCAGATTTTAATAAAAAGAGCAAGAAGATAAAAATCAAATAATATTCAGGATCATAGAGAAGCACTAAGTAAAAGACAATCTAAAGAAATGTCTGGAAGGAAAAACTGGTATTGGGAATAGAATTCGGTCATTTCTGATACAATGTCACACTCCCAATCAGTGTCCACACTTCAGGACCCTTTTCATTTTTCAGCAGAAGCAGAATGACACTTATTACTATCACCTGAATCTCTGGCAACGAATCTGAAATTACACTAAAATGAACATTTCCATCAAATTGAGATTTGTGAGATGGAGATGAGGAGGAACCCTCCGATTTTTTGGCAGGCCCTGTTGTAGGTTTACAGAGTGTACCCACAAACAATTTGAGGACCAGGACAACGAACTTCACAAAAACTTCAGTTGGGATTTTAAAAAATATATATTATCATCAACTTCTAAGACTTAGTACATTATTTCAAGAGCATGGCACTGATTCCATTTATTGCTGTCTTTTTTTGCTACAAATATAATTTCTCTTCCAAAAAATTTACAACTTCTGTACAAATATTCAAAAAAAGTGCAAAATTAAGGATTCTGTATCATAGATGTGTTTACGCTTAATCCTCTTGAAACACAATAAATGGAGTCTATCTTTATTGCCCTGTCAGAGAAATAAGCTCTGGTGGGTTGCCTGCTGTGAATTTGACAAGGAAGGCTCTGGTACTGCAATAGTTTATTGTTATCTCTATCAAGCGGTGCACCCCCCACCCCCCACCCATCATTTCTTAAGCGCTCCAGTCCCAGCTCACTAAGGGAAGAGATGTCCTTTATACATCATTTGAACCTTGACTGGCACAGGAAGAGAAGCTATCATATAAAGAATCACTCAAAGATTCCAAGTTGTCTACCCCAGGCCTATCTGAACTACTCAAAGATGTCTCTTCATTTTTTTCTTTTTCTTCCTTCTGTCCTTCAACCTTGTTCAGAGAGTTCTTCTCTTTTTCTAATAAAATCACAGTATTGCTGTTAAATTTATTGAATGACTCTAGGGAAATTTTCGATAATCTATTCTCGGGATCGTCTTTTGTTTCTTCAAGTTGTCTCAATTTCTGCAATAAAAAGAAGAAAATATTAGAAACATATTTCTTTGGAAAATCAAGTTATCCTATCTAATATTCAATTATTGTCTGTATAAAGTACAGTTTAAAGGGACAGAGAAAACCTACAAGTCTTTAATAATCTTCTAGTATAATTAGATGTAATAATAAAGCCAATTTTAGGGATAAATCAGGACTTTAATCATTTTACTGAGATAAATAGGTCCCAATTTGCAAATTAAGTGCCACTTAATTTCATTTTAAATGGATCCATTTGAAATTTGTTCAGGTAAAGTGCCTTATTTTTCTTCATCAAAGTTTCAAACTCCTCTCTTTCCTTGCTAAGTATTAGCTGTACTTTTTCTAAATATGAGTAGGTATTGAATTTCAGCCAGAAGTTATGGTAATATGTTTTTTTCTAATAAAAAAAAGACATAAAAATCCCCTAACTTGCCATTTTTGAATACATGTTAAGCTTGTTAGAAGCATTGCCATTTTAGTATTTTGTCCCTTTATAGGACTTAAGATATTTGAAAGAGATCTCCAGGTTTTTGGGTGTAGATCCCAGAAGGCCCAAGGGCTTAAAAATTAAAGCGGCAGGTGAACAGCTGAGTAACCCCTCTGCTCCAGAAGGTCTAGTAATACCAGTTTATACTGGGATATTACTGTTATTAATACCCTGTATGATGTATAAAGCACTGCACCAAATTCAATAATTATCATAGGTAAACCCTGTAAACATGAATATATTCGGTTGCTCAGTTGGCTCCTAAGGGCTAAGGTGAGGACAGAGGGAGGCACACTTGCGAAAAACAATGAGAAAAACAGACATGTAAAAGTGTCTACAATATTTCTCATCTTCTTTTCCTCTTTCCAGCAGAAATTCCATCCAAACACAGGAAAGAAGCAGGCCCGGGGGCTTGGAGATGATAGTAAGTGTTACCATTTATTAAGCATCCACTAGGTAAAAGACACTTAACAGATTCTATCAGCTTTTTCACAAACCTACAAGGTAAACGACCCCATTTTAAAGAGAAGGTATGCAAGGCTCAGAGTGACAGAGATATTTGCCCAAGGTTGCCCAGCAAGTGGCAGAGAACAGGATTTGAATTTCTGTCTGGCTGCCTTCCATGCTCTTGTTCTTTCCATTAAACCATGTTCTTAGGTAATAAAGGACACAATGTCCTGTTTTCCATTTTGTTACCCAAAAATTCCACTTAAATAACTTGCCAAACCGTCTCTAACATGTGCAGTTCTGCTGTGCACCATGCTCCCCACCCCCAACATTGTTATGCTGGACTCAACAAGGTTGCAATGAGGAAACTGTCTTTTGATTGGGAAAATAGATATAGCCAAAGCTTATGGATTCTCACATGCTAATGTGAAGAATGGAAAGAGAAGAGAGAGATGGAAGTGGATGGCTTCTGTGTTCCAAGAGCAGACACGGGCAGAATTTCTCTGCTATAGGAAATGGTATAATTCTATGGGAATATTTGAAAATCATCCTAGATCTAGTGCTTATTTCATTATACTACTAACGTGCAGAAACATTACTCACAGAGCTAATTTTCAATCACACACAGCTACCCTGAAACCAGAGGCGGGCTAAGGAACAGACTCCTAGCTGATTACAGAAAAGTGGCTCCATAATTAGAAATAACTCCATCCAAGGGCCCCTTTCAACACCATGCCAATTTGCCTACATTTACCAAATGGATGTAAATAAATGGCATTCAATGCAATTTTCTCTTTACCTGGATGTCTTCTCCATTTTTCTTCATTTAAGAACCACAAGTATTTTTCTTGCCTATTTCTCATCTATGTGGATCTCAAATTCATTCAACACACACTCATTAGAGAAGCTACTGCAAGGCAGGCTGAAGGCTTTGGTACTGAAGATACACAGCTGAATAAAATTGTGTCCTGCAGGGTGATCATTGAGGCCCTGAGGGCAGACAGGCTGAGCTTCGATTTCAGCTTGGCCCTTTCACGGGCTGAGTGCTACAAGCATCCTTCTTCAGGTGTAAAATGGTGATAAGATACATCTTTATTTCAGGACTGCAATAAGTATTAGAAATAAAGAACTTTAAAGCTCTGGCAGACAGTAGTGGGTGTGCAATAAATGTAAGGCTGGATTCTTATTCTAGAATGGTGGTTCTCAAAGTGTGTTCCCCAGACCAACAACGTCAACAACACCAAGGAGCTTCCTGGAAATGCAAGTTCTTGGATCCCACCTAGACCTACTACACCAGAAACTCTGAGGGCCAGCAATCAGTTTTTAACAAGATTACCAGGTGATTCTGATACATACTGAAATTTGAGACCCACTGGTCTAGAAGAACATGACCCCTGGAGGGAAGACAGACAGGTGGAAATCATAATTCGTTGTGAAATGGTGGAATTTGGGAAGAGTTAATTGCCATTAAAACACTCACTGTCATCAGGTTTTCAAATGTTTCAGGCTTACAGATTTGTTGCTTCAGTTAATTATAACAAAGACCTACACTGGCCAGAGAGGTTATAGAAATGAAAGAAGGGACCATTATTTAAAAAAAAAAAAAAGCAAACAAGAAACATGAACTTCTCGGGTTTCCTTTTATTTTTACAGTTTTGATGAAAAGTGACTGCAGACATATTACTTGACTGTAAAAACAACATCCATGCAAAAGTGACCATATGGACCAACTAGCATTCAGTCTCTAGGCAGAGCAGCCATAAGGAGTGGTGAGGGCTGCAGTCAGCTCAGGAGTATGTGCTGGATCTAAAGGTGGTAGCAGCTACTTAGATCTAGCTATGCAGAAATGTGGGTGCAGATCTTTCGATTTCAAAGATGAGGAGATACATCTAGATCAATATTTGCTTATATTTAAAATTCACTTACTTTTAATTCTTGGCTCACATTTAAAGAAAATAACAAAATACCCAGTATGTATACCGAATTGCAATCTTTGCACTGTTTGAGTTTCTGAGCTAGGGATGTTGTTTTATCCTTTTTTTTTTTTTTTTTTTTTTTTTTTTGCAGTGTCCTACTTCACCTCATCCACTCCCCTATTTCCCTTCCCCCAGCTTTCTTTTTGAAGGCCTAGTCCAATGCTACATCATCAGTAGTTTCTCAGTGGAGACTTTGCCTAGGATCAGAAGAGTCTTAACTATGAGTCTGGGCTCCTCAAGTGGTGCTGCCAGCTACGAATAAAAACACTGAAGTGGCTTACTTTTCTGCCTATAGGAGCATACCGAACCTCAACATTGTCTTGTCAGATCTCAGATATTTTTAAAATTTTGTAGTTGAATAACATTTAGATTTAACATATAAGGAGGGATTGAGGTGAAACAATAATGTGTTAATGATCTATCTGGCAAATGACAACAAAATAGTGCACATTAGTTTGCAGCAACTATACGTGAAAGTGCTTTGCAAACTAATCATGGTAATAACAGTTACCATTTAACAGTGTGTGTTCTGTACAGACACTCTGCTAAGCATAGTGCATAGATTATATGTTTCCATCCTCACATGAATTCTACAGGGTAGGTGCCATTAGTATCTCCATTTATAGGCAATCAAGGCTTGAGGAAGGTAAGTAACTTGTTTAAATTCCTGTAGCAGTATGGGATGGACTTTGGATTTAGAGCTAGGCAGTGTGCCTGCAGAGATGAAGCTCTCAACTTTCATCTTGGAAAACTACTTTATGAATATTAGCCAATATTATCTTTAAGGGAAGCATCTGAAATAGCAATTACAGAACAAAAACAATAATGATAGACCCGGTGAAGATTAGTGTTTGATGAGAATTGTGTAGGTTCCATAAAACATCGCCAATTCCTTCCTGTGTTGTGCTTCATCAGAATTATGATAAAATTAATATACTACATTTGTCACCTATAGGTGGCAACAGTTGTACAGATGACTTTTTGGTGGATTTTTTTTTCAACTACACTTGGGAATAAAAGTAGGGCTAAACAGACAAGATGCAAATACATTTTCAAGCTTAAATAAATAGCTTTGCATGTTCTTAAAATATTTTCCTGCCTTTAGTGTAACCATGGAATTATTAGTGATAATTCAAGCAAGAAGTGTATAGTGGCATATTCTCCAGAAATCTCTTGAGAATTAGACCTTTATTAATTTAATTCCTTGTAGTCAAGCAGTCATTCAATCAAACTAATCTACTATGTGACCAGCTTTGTGCAAACAGTCTTGTGGTCTTGATTCTCAGAGGAAGTTTTATAGAAAAGGGTGCTCTTGGAATGGTTTTGAAGGGCAAATAGGATTGAAATACACAGTAAGGAGGAGGGAGGGAATTCCAATAAATATTCATCTATTATGCCTCTATTGCAACTGTGCAACACTGTGTAGTCTACTTCAGGACCATGAGTTGCCCAGAGGGTCTCTCCCTTTGGGGATTCTGTAGTAGACAATCACTATAAAGACAGAAATTGAGACGTGCCTACCCCAAGAGGTTCTAGGAAACTCAACCAGACTCATGAAAGTATCAGCCCGTACATGGGTTATAAAAAGTTTTGACTTCCAAACTGCGTTCTAATCTATGACTCACTTTGCTCTTCCATCAGCCTGGAAGGTGAGGAAGGCCAGAGTCAGCTATACTTTCCACGCGATATTTATGGAATCTGTGATTCACACAGATTCAAATCCAAGTGAAATTAGACCTTAAAACTTAGTTTTCTGATTTTTCACACAAAAATTCACAGTAGTTTTTTTTATAGTTCACAATAGTCATGAAGTAGAGATTTTTGACTAGAACAATATCCTGAATACCAAGGATAAAATTGGAGGAGATATGGACCCTTGCCATAATGAAGAGGTGGAAAATATGTACGGTGATACAGAAAAACTCAAGTGATAAACCAGCAAAAAATATATGCATGATGGTATCAGCTTCAAAGAGATACATGTTATGTGTGTACAGCCAGAAACTCCTGTTCATGGTAGAGGAGAACAAATAGCAAATTTATGAAATAGTGCAATCAATTATTGTTCTATGATAAATGCTACTCTTTCATTATTTCAAATACATTTCCATCCTTTGATTATGTCTTAAAAATATTGGTTAGTATATCTAGTGTCAGGAAGAGATCCAATCTATTTGTGAAATTCAAACACAGCATTGTTCCTCAGCTGGGCACTAACATTTATAATGAGGATTGGAGCTCTTAGCACAAGTTAATGCAAACAGGACTTTAATCAACATAATTTCTTATTTCTCTATTGCTATAGAGATTCACTGCCCATGGATCAAGAAAATATGTGGTAGGAAAATAGCCCTATTTATAAAGTGTTTTTACTATGAGTCAGGTACTGGGTTGAATGCACTGCATGAAATACCTCATTTAATCCTGACAGCAAGCCTATGAGATAGCACTATTATCATCCCCATTATACAAATGAGAAAATGCAGATAGCGAGGTCTAAATGTTAGTCCACATATATGTGGCTAATAAGTTAGGCAATCAGGATTTGAGCAGAAACAGCCTGACTACAGGACTTGGGATCTTAATCACTGTGTATTACCCCAGGTTTTTAAAAACCAGCGTGCAACTCCTGGCTTTGTGCTAATTAGCTGTGTAAGCCCTCTGACCCTTAGTTTCTTTACATTAAAGGTTTTTTTGAATCTTCCCAGTCTATAAAGCTCTGTGACTCTAAAATATTCTTAATTGGATATCTTCTGGGCGTCTATTATTGGAATTTGAGGTGGCACAATAACCAACCCTAACACCCCCTTCCCTACTTTAGTTCTCAATGACTTAAAAAAATAAAAGAAAAAGGCTGACGGGAGGCCAAAAGATCAGCTTTACTAAGAGAAAGTTTGATTGGAGAACAAGGTTTCCATCTGTAAAGAAGTGGGTTTCCTAACACTGATCCCAAGATATAGACAAGCTTAGTAATTAGCAGCCCTGGGCTGGGAAACAAGTGTCTTCCTGTAAAAACTACAGCATGAAGGAACAGAACAGAAATTTGTGCTTCTGACAGTCTGATTCCAGAGGGAGACTAGGAAGAGCAAGAAGTTCCCTTCCTGAACTTGCTAGGCAAGTCAGTCCCTCATTCCCTGGGAGAAGTGAATAAGGGGGGCCCAGAGACTCCAGGAGGGTTACCCTAGGAAGCTCCTTCCATGTTTTTCTCAAACAAAAGAATGTTTGAGAAGAAGGTGTCCAAGGTGTCCCCTACTACCACCCAACATCTCTGATTACATATGATGCAGATTTTAACTAGACAGTCATATATGGATGAAGGCCAAGAAGATGCTGGAAAATTCTGGTGCTGCAGGGAGTTAGTTTGCACAGAGAAGTGTCTCCATGGGCAAAGAAATAGGAAGATGGTGATCCAGCAGGTGTGAAAGATGGCAGAGCTTCCATTTGGAAGCAAATAAAT
Source organism: Homo sapiens (assembly GCF_000001405.40). Lineage (NCBI taxonomy): Eukaryota > Metazoa > Chordata > Mammalia > Primates > Hominidae > Homo > Homo sapiens. Next base: position 132,679,682 of record NC_000002.12, read on the forward strand.
GAAGTCTAAGAGACGGTCTGTTTAATCAAGGGTTTTGGGCTGAAGCTGAACATGTGATTTACCCCATCCCTTTTCTGATGAACAAATCTTGAGCACTGGGAAGATGGATTCAGGGAAGAGTTTTATGTTATGTTCTTGTTGTGGGAATGGTGAGGAGGTATTTTAAGCCAAGGTCTCTTAGTTGAAGATTTGTGCACATCTCAAAGTCTATGTTAAGTGCTATTTGCGAAGGGCAGGCCAACCTCAAGGGAAAAGATGCAACTCAAGTCATTTCTCTTTTCTCAGAGGCACTAGTTAATCACTTCCTTAATGCCGCCTCTTACTGCATTCCTGGTGAAGCTACTTTCTAGATGAGACATAAAAATAGATAGAATGACCTTTGGTGATCACTAGAGACCCCTCCACACTTTTCTCAAGAGTTGTGATATTAACCCTGTTAACCTGGTCAAATTTCAACTTGGATATTACTTTCTCCCGGTGCTCGGTTCCCTCTATTACCTCAACTGGACACATTACTCTTGACTTGCCCTTCTGAAAAATTAAAGTGACGCATTGGTAATAGAGAACCACTCTCTCCCTCCAACCACACTCACGGAGATGTGATTTGGCACTTGGGGGCACTCTGTTTTCTTACTGGGGTCCTAGAGATTCTTCAGTATCCTCAGGGCAAACAGATTTTATTAGGTGAAAGAGTAATTTTCAGCAGAGATGTGCTTTTATGACTATATTAACTATACTGCTGTCCTTTACTGTGATCGATGGTCCTCAATGACCTCTCCTTGAACCCCTAAACCCAGAGGGGGGAAATAAACTCACTTTTTGAGAAAAAGAGCAAGCAAAGAGAAGGTCAGTGGGAAGCTTAGGGTTGTTAGAAAATAATACACCTTGTGGAAAGGAAAAGGATGCATTTTGAAGATAAACAATGGCTACAAAGGACATTTAAACACCAGATCAAGAGTACTGAAGGAAAGAGAAGTCATTTCATCAGTGATAAGAAACATCCCCATATATGGAAAACGGGGGAAAGATGGGAGGGGATGTCCCTTAGTAGGAAGATAAAGTAGCAGGAAGAAAACCGCAAATTTGCTTATGGCACAGAAAGGCATCTGGGAAGAGGAAAGGCATGTAAGTTGGGATAAAATTGTTATAAGAAACACATTTGTGATTTCTGCAAACTCTGATGTTAGCGTCATCATTTCCAATGCCCATTTGAAAATTTGGATTTTCTGTTTTCCAGGGGGGAACAGATCCACAAAGACAATTTAAAACGTAGGTTGACTGCCTTTAATAATGCTTCCGATTTGATGAGTTGTGGTCAATTTCTCCAAAAGTAAAATGTGCACTATTTTCTGATGATCCAGAATTGGGCAAACAAGACAGCTCATTGCTATCAGCCTGTGTAAACAGCTTAACTAAATGGAACATGTTTCTCGGTGTTGTTAGATTCCTTTTTCTTCTAGCACAGTAATATTAATTAAACAATTTATGCAGGAATGATAATTGAGCAGTTCCTGAGATGAGAACTTCTAAATCTACTCAAGTAAGGTTAAGAATTTCAGCTGACAAGAGTTAGGGCATCAAGATTTTCTGCTTTTCATTTATGTATACCATATGAGTAAAAATAAATATACATACTACTCACTTGACTTAAAAGACTGATTAGCCTTTTTTTTTTTTTAACTACCCTTTGCATCGTTTTATGTCTTAAATATGTCTTAAAGCCTGTTCAGCAAGCCGGGCCATGGCAGGCTTAGGTGTCACTGTGCTTGTAGCATAAAAAGTCCGTGAACTTTTGTCAGATGAAAATGCAGCATTTACTTATGTATTATAACATCACAGTGCTATGTTTTCATTTTGGAGTGATAGATTTTTTACTGTTTGTAAAAGAAAAAAATAATTTTTTTGTGTGGATCAGGTGAATATAAAAAAAGCTTATACTACTATTTTTCCCATGGAAGTTCCCCTTCCAAAAGAAAATCTCCAATACCATTGGAGATGGGTGGACATCATAGAATTATACCTGAAATTGCTAAGTTTTTATGAGGTATGCGGCGAGTGCCAAAGCTAGGGAAAAACATTTTATGTTATTCATTAACCTATATAAATAACTAGATGACCTGGAATTACTTCCAACAGAGTTTGGTAGGCCATTTAGGAGCCACAGTGCATTATGGCACCCAATTTATTAGGCACTTTACAACAGCCATGGAATTAAATGGGACTGCAAGCTAAGGTTCATCCAGGAACATGCTGATATTGGAGGGTGCAAGAATGTTTGCTCCACTGATGTGTGATTCATTTCCTACTGCAATTCATGTTTTGGGTCAAGAGCTGGTCAGCTTTTCATTTGGATAAAGTTATTTGACATATTGAATCCTGACAGCCAGGACAATTCAGAATTGGAACAAATTTATTGATCCTTATTCTAAAAAGAAGAATTTTTTTTTGGTGGGAATTGTTTTAAAGATTCTTTCAACGATCAATTCTGTGTGGCACTCTAGTTTATGGCAGCAATTGTAGGATGCTCTTAATGGTCACTACCCAGGAAGCACTGGGGTTCTAGAATGGGGAGACATGCTGGTGGGGAGGTTGCCGATGGGAATCTGCTTCCGTTCCAGATTCCATCCCTTGCTCTACCACAATGTGACAGTGACAATCACCACTTCAACTCTGTACCCAGATTGTAATGAATACTTAAATGGGGAGTCTGCTGTTCCTGCCACATCCTTTGTTTATTCTTTAGGTATTTACCAAGTACCTACAATGTACCAGAAAGTATTCTAGATAGTAGAGATACAGTGGTGTATGAGAAAAGTCACATGGAATACATGTTAAGGACTTTTTAATATGAAGCAAATATGGAACAAAGCATTAGATATACCAGAAAGTGAGTCCCTGAAAATTGCTTTGTTGAGTTAGAATCATCTACCCAGTCTGCTCTTTGGTCTAATAATGGCACCTAGAACACAAATATCCTGTCAAATTCAGAGTTATGGATGTGCCCACCCCAAAGGTATTTTTGGAATAACTCCCTGGATTTTCTAAAGCTTCTTTTGATCTTCTTCCATTTTCAGTCTGTAACATCATTTAGGCAGATATTTTTCATAGGTTAACTAGTTACTATTTACACTCAACTTTCTTAACCTTTCTGAGTCTGGTGACTTTCTGAAATTGACATGTTTAAATCAGAATTTCTTTCTTTTTACTTTTTTTTTTTTTTTGAGACAGAGTCTCACTCTGTTACCCAGGCTGGAGTGCAGTGATGCGATCTCGGCTCACTTCAACCTCCACCTCCCAGTTCATGCTATTCTCCTGCCTCAGTCTCCCAAGTAGTTGAGATTACAGGCATGCACCTCCATGCCTGGCTAATTTTTGTATTTTTAGTAGAGATGGGGTTTCACCATGTTGGCCAGGCTGGTTTCGAATACCTGACCTCAGGCCATCCACCTGCCTCAGCCTCCCAAAGTGCTGGGATTACAGGCGTGAACCACCGCACATAAAGATAGTCTATAGATGGACGAATATGCTATCCGTTCTGACATCCCGAAAGGACCAGAGGGAGAGGGTACTGCTTGAATAGAACCTAAAAAAAAATTCTTCCAATCTCATTAGCCCAAATGGATGGAAAGAAAAGGAGGGCAGGCAGATTTTAGGTTAGCATCAAGAAACCTCTTGGATTAATGGAGGTCTGACTATTGGTTACTTTGGCAACAGCAATTTTCTTTTTGTCAAGAGCAAAGACATGTGGATTCACCTCCCATGGTCACACTGGTTTGGCAGCTCTGAGCCATCTGGGGCTTTCTCCTGCACCTCTAGGTAGGCTTGGTCAGCAGTTGGGTGAGGCAGCAGCTGCCACTGCTTTATGGAAATCCAGGTGCAATAGCCAATACAATAAGCTCCTCATGGGGCAAAATGTTACTGAAAAGAACAGGCCCAGGATATTACCTTGGTTCAAAAGTAATTGCACCAACCTAATAGATGGTATAGACATTGTATCTACCCTTTTCTTAAATTCTTTCTTCAGCCAGCAAGTGTCACCTCACCTGGTCTGAGCCAAGTCCAGGCAATTTGCTCAAATTCAGATTCCTAGCTACTTCAGGCAGAGGAAGTTTGGTGACCCATCTTGGTGCTTCCAGGTGACAATAGAAACATCATGCTGATGACATTCTTAGAGGCAGCAATGAGATTGACTACCTGAGTGATAAACCTACAAATATTACTGGATGTATCAAACCAAGAAATTAAACTGTAGGGAGATTAAATTATAGCTGTCGTAGTACAAAATTCTAGTACCAGGTACCACACAGATGCTATTTAGTCTCTCTCTGCCACATGAAATATATTCATTCAGCAACTTGAATATTGCATTATAAAAGGTATTCTCTTCAACTGGCTTTATGCCACTTTATCAAGTTTAAGTCAGCCATTTGCTACAATAAAAATAAACTTCATTTTTGTCTCACATGCACAGGACAATTTAATTTTTAAATTAATGTAGAAGTGAAAGGTGCTTTGCTCCAAGAGAAGTATGTCTGCCCTGCATGGCTGTGTAAACACAATGCGATTGCTATGAGAATTAAATATGGATCAGCAAAATCAATAGTTAATTGTGTAACTCAGGGTCTTTCATTTCAGATCTAATCTGTAAAGAAGGTCCAGGGGATGTTTGCTTTTGATTTTCTTAAAATATTATTTAAAACCCTTCTGTCAGGCAAGAAAGTTCACAGGGTCTTTACATTATTTCCATAAGTTATTTGGCTTGTGAGTAGTCAAGGTCATATTGATCGCCCAGCCTTTCCAGCTGTCCTTTTAAAATTCAGTATCTTTATCAGTCAAACTGCCTCATTCTGAGTATCTGGCTTGCACTTAGGCTAAACAAATTTTATTGCAAAAATAACCCAACGTAACAGGTGTCTTGGTACCAGACATGGATGGACTAGTTGTATTATAAACTGCCTTTTGGTCTATGTAATAATACCATTCGGAGTGGCTAAGCAGTCCCCTTCCCCTACAAAGTTGACAAAATATACTGTGCTGTGAAAATGCAAGATGTTGTGTGACATGGCAAGAAGTACTGTAGGGTTGGGCTGAGTCTATAGATGGACGAATATGCTATCCGTTCTGACATCCCAAAAGGACCAGAGGGAGAGGGCACTGCTTGAATAGAAGCTAAAAAAAAGTTCTTCCAATCTCATTAGCCCAAATGGATGAGAAGGGAAGGAGGGCAGGCAGGCCTTCTCTTGCAAAACGAGTAGCACAGTGACTGCGGAAGACTGTGGGGGTAACAGGCGGACTGCCTTGACCCCTGTGATATCACAGCAGAGCTAAAAATGTAATGTTTGAACTTCTTTTCCCTTTAAAGTGTAACCTTTCATATAATAAGTTAAGCCTTGCTCTCTCTTACATATTGTTAGAAGCCTTCATCCATTTTGGGGACTGAAGGCAAAATAATTCTTGAAATAATGAATCATTTTTCTCTTACCAGCTTGTCCAGAAATCCCATGATTATTTTGCTATAGCAGACGATGACCTTCTCAAAGGAAGCCTATCAAACGCTCAAGATAAATAATGAGAAGGTCTCTCTCTCCTGCCTCCAGGAAAAAACTGCACAGAGGAAAAATGTTTGCTAAACCATTAATATGTTCATCCCAGGATGGGAAGCAGCTTGGTCTAAAAGAAACAGAGTGGCACATGTGTTTGTGTGTGACCAGTGGCCCCATTCAACAGGACTCCTGGGGCAGCATCCATGGAGGGGCCTCAGGAGACACACCTAAGCCCTTTACCCAGTAACGTCGGAAATGAATGTTTCTCTGGTGGCAGACAGGGTACCTTCTAAACCTCTTGACTCATGAGCAAATTAACTCAAGGTAAGGAAGCACTGGGTAATGCCGTCTCTCAACAACCTAGAAAAAACATGGTTCTGCTTTACTAGGCCCTGGAACTACAATTAATGGTAATGAATTCCCTCTTCCCTCACATTCCCACCTTCCCACCAGGCAGCAAATACTCAGGTGGCAAAAGAAGCTTTCTGTCTGTTTTTCTCCCCATGGAAGCAAGGTTTCGCAGAGTAGGTAGAGAGCTGCAGTAGAAATTGCAACTTTCCCATGATTTAAGTGCTTTGGCTGCCCTGGAGAATGGGGCTGATTTCTCAGGGCAAAAGTCAACTCTCCATCCATTTATGGCTCTTGTCCAATCTATGGACAGCTGAAGACACAGATCTTAACTCCAGGAGTTGGTGTAAGATCCTTCCCAGCAGTGAAATGGAAAGAGTTTTCAAAGACATAGGGTCCTCTATGGGAAGAGGTGGGAGAGTCAGGAGGTGAGGAAGAAAATTTTCTATTCCAAGGCAAGCTCAGGAATCAATGGGCTGAACCAAGTAGTACCCAATGGCTGGGTAGGGGCAAGGGTAAAAAAGCAATCTCAAAAGTAATCAGGATTCAAATGATCCAGGGATTTGCAGATAAAATTAAAACTGCTCAGCAACACTTCAGGAGAAAAAGTCAGTAGCATGCAGATAGTTATCAAGCACATTATTTTGCCAGCCAGCTGAGGATGGCAGCAAGCTAAATTTTGAGTCCAGAAAGGTGGTTAGGGTTTCTGTGCTCTGGATTGTACATCTTCCTCTCTCTAACTTGTTCTCCCCACCTTTTAGGATGGCCAACACCCTCTTATCACTTGAGACTCAGAAGAAGGGAAATCTCCTCTGAATTCTTTTCTGACCAGGGGCCCTGATGACTGCCCCTTGTTGTCCCTTCATCCCTGTGTGGACCATTCTCATGGCATGGTGGGTATTTACTGTGTATATCGGTTGCCATAGCTCAGTCTCCCTTGTAGGGACTGAACCTATTTATCTTCACATCTCTTGTGGCCAGAACACACCTGGCATATAGGTGGTCCATAAATGCTAGTGGAATAAAAGGAGGATGCTAATTATGTTTATTTACTGGTCATCCTTTTCCCCCCTATCACTTTAACTTTCACCTCTCTAATGCCCTTTAATGTCCTTGAAAGCGATTGAATTCCTAAGACAAGCTGCCATACTTTCTGGTGGAGAATACACATTTATTTCCTGAAGGGTAGTTAATGTCTAATCACCCAGAAGACATTTAGGTTTCTTTTATTTAGAAAGCGGAGATAATAACTCCCCCAGTAAGTAAACAGGAAAATAGACTTTGTTCTTCAAAAAAAATTTGATTAACATAGTTTCAAGGAACATTTCTACTGTTGTAAACCAAGGTTCTTGAAATAATCAACAACATTACAGATTGCAAGGTTAGAGATTAAAACATGCAAAATAAGTGGAATCATACCATTTAGCAATGGAAAGACAGACTATGTCGGTGAGGTGTTTTAAATACCCAAACAGTTTTATGACAAAAAAAATCCTCACTATAAACAAAATGAATTAGGGATTTGCCTTGGAATGAAGGTTTAAAAATAATGGGATGAGTTTAAAGAATACTGCAGGCCCTTAAAGACGATGAGAGATTTTGAGAGGCCTGAGTGACTTCAGTGGGGTCCATCCCTAAAATAATGAAGGACTAAGTAAGTCAAACCTTAGGGTCGCCTCTGCAGATCTTTAGCCTGGCCTGTGCAATTGTATTGCACAGAGGAATACAATATGGCAGGAACAGACCAATGTAACAGGTAGCAATTGTTCACGCACCAGATCTGGCACCAGCTACCAGAGGGAGGGTGAAAGAGGGGAAAATTATCTTTTCTTCAACTCTGTGAAGACTTAGAGTTTCAGATAGTTAAATGTGAGTGGGCTGGTGTTTCCTCTTTGCTAGATTTAGTGTGTGCGGTTTCTCTGCCATGTATATCTATAGTTCTCTAAAGTGACTGGAGAAATACTTTTCCTTAAATCAGTGGTAAAGAAGTTACTGGCAAAATGTCCCTTAAATATTCCTGTTGGGTGCTACCAAAGGATTATTTAAAATCATGAAAATAATCCAAAAGCTGCTCCCACTGGAAAATGACTAGGAGAAAGATGTTTAAATTCAAAACTGCTAAGCACGGACACCTACCTAAACACACACACACACACACACACACACACACACACACACACACACCCTTCCTCTGAAGCTTTCCAGGGATAGCTATAGAAATTTCATTTTAAGCAAGGGAAAAAAAAATAGAATCACCCCCTCACAAAAATGTTTGAGTATATTTTGGTCTCTTGGTCAGGGCCAATAAAGATCTCTTGTTGTGAGCCAACTAGAACAGAAATGGAGTGAGAGATGTACTACTTTATGTGGTCTGAATGTGATTAGCGATTAGCGCTGGTGGCTTCAGTCACTTGGGAATGGCAATCAGGGTTTTGCTCCTGCAACTCTGAACGACTACAAAACACCCTTGGCTTCCATCCCATATGATGATGGGATATTAACTGAAAATCTAATTAATCTGTGAATGAATTATGGCCTAAGAAATATACCATTTTATAATCAATTTTAAGCGAGTCCCTAACAGAAGATAAGATGAAGAAAAAGCTGTAAAATTGTAAGAGGTTGGTACATTCTGTTCACTATGACTGATGATTTTAAGGGGGATAATTTTACAATCCATCACATTTTTGTCATTTTAAAAATCATGCCTCCCAATGAATGTTGTAAATTAACTTTAGAATTTACATATTTATTAAAAATTGTATAGAAAACAGCAGGAACTGTGCCCCATTTGAATAATAAAATAACTTGTTATTCCACTGAAGACAAAAACACACAAAAAAATCAAAAGATTTTATTTTCAGGTAATAATCATATTAATTGCTATCTGAATTAGTTAAACCAAGAATTAATATTCACCAGAGGCAGTGACACAGCATTAAAGATAATCCTCCAAATTCCCATTTTCAAACATGTCTCAGAACATGTAAAAGCAAGGGAAAGACAAATGGGGAGGTGAGGACCATGTTCTTAGCCTGCGGGGTTGGGCAGCAGCAGATGTTTGAAGCTGAGCTACATCACCTGGGGGAAGGGGAGGTGCAGACAGCAAAACACATGATTTGGCTCTGAGATGAAGAAGCACAGGACTTCATTTTAAAAGCCTCTTTGCTTGTGAGGCTGAGGTGGGCAGATCGTTTCAGACCAGGAGTTCGAGATCACCCTGGGCAACACGGTGAGACTCTATCTCTACAAAAAATACAAAAATTAGCTGAGTGTGGTGGCAGGCACCTGTGGTCCCACCTACTTGGGAGGCAGAGGTGGGAGGATTGATCAAGCCCAGGAGATTGAGGCTACAGTGAGCCGTGATGGCACCACTGTACTCTAGCCTGCGTGGTGGAATGAGACACCAACTCAAAAAAAAAAAAAAAAAAAAGCCTCTTTCCAAAAAGATTCTCTACTCTACTTCTCCTACTTTGGTTGAACTCCCTACCCAGAATGGAAGGTTTGCTGGAGGCAACAGAACATCCCAGATGACTCCAGAGCATGCAGGGAAATAACCAGAAGGGCATGGAACCATGCCACATAACATGTGGGTGAATACAACCATTCACTCTAGATTAACCTCATAATGGACTGTCAACTCAAAGAACTGGCTCCAAGATAGGAACTGCATGGATTCATCCACAGAAGGATGAAGGGGTCAAGGGGAATAGAACTGGTGTGTTACCACATGTACTCACTAGTAAGAGTAACCCATTGGGCTGAACTGACACAAGATGTTCTCTTGAAATTCCTGAGAGATGAGGGAGAAGGATAATGCAGTACATGTTTTTCATGAACTTCAGTTTAATCATGATTCCTTCTTTCCATGAGGGATTCATGATAGGCTGTTACCACTATTTTTAAGAAAAGAGCAGAGATCCTTCATGAAGTACTGTAGTTGAGTGTGAGGCTTGGCTCACACTGCCTCTGCTACTCAGAGTTCATTGCTTCAGTGCAGACATGGCTAATACCTGGCACTTGTGCGGCAACCAACTCCTCTCATGCCCACAGCAGGCATTGCTTATCAGTCTCTGTCATCTGTCATCTGTCATCCCAAGCATGGATAGGGCCTCAGAATCCTTCTTAACACCACAATTCAGGCAACCTCTGTCTATTGATTGTCCTTGGCATTTGAGATGAAAGCTATCTTGCATCCTTGTGTGTGTGTGTGTGTATTTATACATGGGAAATATTTATATATTATCAGCATATAATTAAATCTAGCTAGCTATATATTACATCTATATACAGAGATCCAAATACCTATATTATATCTAACTGTCTGCTAATGGTGTAGTCATATTCCTTAGTATCTGCAGCTAATATGAGATATAGATTGATATCTTAGTATATGAAAACTTGAAGTCACCTTTGACTCTTCTCTTTGTCTCATACTCCACATCTACCAGTCTTCTGGTAAATTGCCTGTTTGTTCTCAGAAACAGCAAGTCCTTGAATAATATCCTTTTGTTCAATGTTATTTTTTTATAACATTGATGAGAAAAAAAAATCAATTCCTGCCAGGCCACTGTCTGTGTGGAGTTGGTATGTCTCCCCATGTCTGTGTGGGTTTTCTCCAGGGACTTCAGGTTCCTCTCACATCCCAAGGCTATGCGTGAGAGATAAATTGGTGTGTCTACATGGTCCCAGCATCAGTGAGCATAAGTGTTCTGCAAAGGAACTGTGTCCTGTCCAGGGCTGGTTCCTGCTTTGTGTCCTAACTGCTGGGATAGATTCCAGCCACCTGCAACCCTGAGCTGGAATAATTGGGAAAATAATGGACTTACTTGTTTTTATTCACCTTTCTTAAGTACGTGTACAGTTCACATGTGTTTCAATGTTTAATATTAGAAGTGTTCTGGTCTCTGTTTAGAAGTTTAGTAATGTTTCTGTGACCAGGAATATGCCCTAGGAACTCAGCTCTTGCTTGTATCAATTAGCCTCGGATAAAGTTGGTTTCTTTATATGTTGTTTTGCCTAAAGTCACAGCTTCTGAGAACCTACAACTTTAAGCAAGGACTTACTGTGCATTCTTCTCCTTTCCCCTGCTCCACTCTGCACCATAGGAACTACATTTTCCAGGCTCCCTTTATTTCTGGCTTCTGGGAAGGTTCAGCCAATGGGAAGCAATAGCAGAAGGCAGAAGCCTGGACAGTAAGAGGAGGGGGGGAAACAAGGCATTTCTCCCCTTCTCTGTGTCCTGTGCTGTTCCTAGCAGCACCCACTTCTCCCTCACTGCTCTAACTTCCACCATGTGCCCCTTCCCATCCATGGTTTTAGCTTCCATTGGACAGTCCAGCTTCTAGACTCTAATGTCACTCTGCCATTTCCCTCCATCCTTAAAGAGGGTGGTGACTTCCTGCTCTGCTAATTTCTAGATCATGACTGTCTCCTGTTGAGTATCTCAGCTATTCCATTATTTGGATAAGCCGTTTACTGTATTGAATTCCCTCTACTGAAAGGCCTAAAATAGTTCCCATTCCATGCTAGGCCCTGACCAATACAATCAGGAAATTCTGTTTGTGCAACTTTAATCCAGTCATTCTTCACCATTTGTTTTTTGCTACCATCAGCTCTTGCCTAGATGACCACATTAGTTTCCCAACTGTGCTTCCACTCTCTCCTCCTGATAGCCTGTTCTTCATACAAAAGCCAAGGCATCCCTTAGAAACTGTAAATCAGGTCATCCCACTCCCCTGTTAAAACTCCTCAGATGGTTTCCCTTTGCTGACAATGAATCCTAAAATTCTCCCCACAGCCTATAAGGTCCGATATAAGTGGCTCCTAGATTCTTCTCCACACTATTTCTCTTCCTCTCTGTGGTTCTGCTCCAGCCATAATGGTCCAGGGACACGTCACACATACCCCTCCTTCAGGGCCTTTGCACTTGCTATACCCGCTACCTAACATGTTCCTCTTTCGATTAGTCACGTTTCAGTGTTTCACTTCATTCAAACCTGACAGAGCAAGAGAATCACCATCTTGGACAAGCACCGCCATTTTAAAATGCCCCTTGATCAAAAACCACCTAAATCCAAAGGGCATCAGCCTAATGGCTAAGATCAGCATGACCATAAATCACAAATGACATCTCCGACCAGAAACATTCCAACAATAAGATAAACCCCTCCCTGACTGGAGGGATGTCAGCCCCAAGATAGCCTCTCCTCCAACCACAGACATTCCCACCCTGCAATAAACTTCTCCCCGCCACAGAAATATTCCAAGCCCGTGATAAGTTCTCTCACCCTGAACCCTTAAATACTATTAGTCTGTAAGAGAGAGCACTCTTGACAAAAATTGGCCAGAAGCCCCTGTCAGGTTTATTCTCCAAAATAAACCTGTCTTTGACCTTTCAGCTGCTTTTCATGTTTCTTTCCTTTCTTTACCTCTTACAAAACCTCTGTTCAAATGTCCCTTCTTCAGAAAGGCCTTTCCCAATCAGTCACTCTGAAGCCATGCCCTCATTATATCCCATCTATGAAGCCTGCTTGATTTTATTTTATTTTATTTTATTTTATTTTATTTTATTTTATTTTATTTTTTGAGACAGAGTCTCACTCTATTGCCCAGGCTGGAGTGCAGTGGCGCAATCTTGGCTCACTGCAACCTCCACCTCCCAGGCTCAAATGATTCTCCTGCCTCAGCCTCTCAAATAGGTGGGATTACAGGTGTCCACCACCATGCCCAGTTAATTTTGTTGTTGTTGTTGTTTTTTAGTAGAGATGGGGTTTTGCCATGTTGGCCAGTCTGGTCTGGAACTGCTGACCTCAGGTGATCCTCCCACCTCGCCCTTCCAAAATCCTGCTTAATTTTTAAATAACATAAATCATTACTTGGAATTACATTACATTTTTTTATTATCTACCTTCCATATTAAAATATAAATACCATAAAGGCAGGGACCTTGTCTTTTTTTTTTCTCAAACTTGCTCCATCCACAATACCTACAATGTTGCCTATTAAATAGTATGAACTCTATAAGTAGTCTTGAATCAATGAATAATAAATGATGAACCTATGTCACACTGTGAAAAACAAGTGGCACCAAGAAATAGTTGTCTTATTAAAATAAAAACGAAGATATAAACATTTCTCTAATTACATCAATACTCATGTTTAACGTGGAAAACCACTGCAAACCAAGGTACTGCTTGGTAGTTATTACACGAGCTAAGTTAATAAAGTTGACTGTGGCCAGTGAGAAATTCTCCATGATCTATTCTTTCCACATCTCTGCTATCTTTCTTTCTCAGGCACTATTCCATGGTACCTATGTTCAGTGCACTTGGAACTGATGTGGTCAGGGAACCATACAGACTGTGTCTATAGCCCTTTAGTTTGTTCATTTTAATCATAAAGCTAGAAAAAGATATCTGAGATATTCAGGGTTACTGGCCTACCAACTATTTCTTTTGGCCACAAATTACAGCTGGAACAGCCACTTGTTTATGAAATATGAAACTGAGAAATTCCTAAGAACTCAGTAGGCCAAAGTGGATTTCTTCCTGCTGAAGTCAAAATTCATTCATTTCTCTATCCTTCCATCTTCTGCTTCTTGGCTTCACGTACTCTCATGGGTTGAACTAGGTCCCCTAAAAAGATACGTTGAAGTTCTAGCTGCTGATACCTGTGAATGTGACTTTATTTGGAAATAGGTTTTTTAGATTTTATTGAGATGTAAGTTAAGGTGGATCATACTGGAGTAAGGTACACCCTCAATCCAATATAACTGGGGTCCTTATGAGAAGAGAAAAAGAGACACAGGAAGACATGCACGGAGGAAAGATGACAGGAAGAGACACAGAGAAGAATGCCATGTGAAGACAGACACAGAGAGAAAACAGAGACAAAGATGAGAGCTGTGCGGCTGCAAACCAAGGAAGACCAGGGATTGCTGGCAATGACAGAAGCTAGGAATGCAAGCAGGGCCCTGCCGACACCTGGATTTCAGACGTCTAGGCTCCAGAAATGTGAAAGAATACCCCGAATACCCCACCCCGCCTTTTTTTTTTTTTTTTTTTTTTTTGAGATGGAGTCTTGCTCTGTCACCCAGGCTGGAGTGCAATGGTGTGATCTCAGCTCACTGCAACCTCCGCTTCCCCAGTTCAAGCGATTCTCCTGCCTCAGCCTCTCGAGTAGCTGGGACTACAGGTGCCTGCCACCATGCCCGGCTAATTTTTGTATTTTTAGTAGAGATGGGGTTTCACTATATTGGCCAGGCTGGTCTCAAACTCCTGACCTTGTGATCCACATGTCTCTACCTCCCAAAGTGCTGGGATTACATGCATGAGCCACCGCGCCCAGCCCCTTTCTCTTGTGTTAAGCCCTCTCGTTTATGGCAGCTCCTGGGAAACCAGTAAAAGCACTCTCTGGATTACTTATCACCATTAACAGGAGCTGTTTGGAGACATGAAATTTCCAGGAGTTGCAAAAGTGTATTTATGAGGTTTTTAACTGATGGGAAAAGGAAGACAAGTTTTAAGTGTTTTATTTATTTATTTATTTATTTATTTATTTATTTTTTGAATTTCTTTTCTTTATTTGACTTAAAAATGGGATGCTTGAAGATAGAAATTTTTGTTCAACACTGCCATGTGAAATAATGATTACATTAATTCTCTAAAATATTAAAAGATGCTTCATTTGAAAAGGAAAAGTAATCAGGAAGGAAATGAAGATATATTTAGAGTATCAGGAAGCGATGAAACGCAGCATTTCATGGGAAGTCTATTTGGATGCACACATCAGCACGCCTGCTGTGCAGTGTGCTGCACAGCTCACCTTGTTTGGTCACTCTACAAATGACGGAAAGATTGTAATTGGCATTTTCTTGCAAAGGTGTACTTGGCCCAAAACTTTTAGTCCCAAGGCTTTCTTTCTTTAAAAGTAAATTCAAAATCAATTCCCTAGTAAAATTTGAAAATGCTGGAATTAGGCCCAGGATTCGATTCCCAGTTAGAATTTCTCCCCACAATATGCTAGGGGAAAACACTGGTGGGATTTAGATATAAATGGCTTCACTTCCTTCAATCACCTAAGAATGATAACCAAACAAATAATTGAGTTACTGACTCAGCTGGGGTGCCATCTGGCATAATGAACAGTGTATGACCAACGCCTCACTTTGAAGCTTTTCCTAAAATGAAGTAAAATATGCATAGGCTCTTTATAGAGTCTCTGTTGTGTCACAAAAGTTAGGTTAGTCTAGCAATTTTGGTAAAGGCCGAGCTTAGTCGCCACCCTCCAGTCTCCAGCATGGACCTTGTCTTAATCCACCTGGGTAGCTTATAAACAAGAGAAATTTATTTCCCACAGTTCTGGAGGCTGGAAAGTCCAAGATCAAGGCACTGGCAGTTTTGGTGTCTGGTGAGGGCTTCTGGGGTCATAGATACCTGCCTTCTGGCTATGTCTTCACATGGTAGAAGGAAGGAGTGAATGAGCTCTCTGGGGCCTCTTTCATAAGAACACTAATTCCATTCATAAGAGCTCCACCCTCATGAAATAATCACCTCCCAAGGCGCCACCTCCAAATACCATCACAATGGGGATGAGGTTTCAACATATGAATTGTGGGGGGACATAAACATTCAATCCTGAATAAAGTTGTGGATCCATGTCTGTCAAATCTATGCTTATTGTGAAGGAAGAAGTCTTTTCTCTAAACGGAAAAAAAAAGTCTGTTATTTTCTCGGTAAAGAGTAAAAATCTTCAGAATAAACAGCAGCATCTCTGCCCTGGAAGGTCGGTTGAGAGTGGCACCTGGTTCCACGATGGGAAAAGCAATCTGGGGAGGCTGGAAATGTCAGAGCCCATGCTGTCCTTATGGGAGAAGTGGCTTTTTGATCTTGGAGCTTCCTTTTATTCTATGTGTGATTCCTGGCCATGGCTGTCCCCTTGTGCCCCATAATCCCTAAATAAATGATAGCTCCTGAGAAATCCTCAGTGGAATTGCTTCTTTTGCAAGGAAATGTGCCAGTCTTAATTCTACTGGCTTCTTACTTTGACCTTTGGTGGATAAAGGCAGGAGCGAATCCAAAATAGGAAGCGTTGGTAGTTTGGGGCCTTATAATGTAAAATTGTGCCTGAACTTGAAACAGGATCCAAGGATACTTTTACCGTTCTGTTACCTCCAGCTCAGCCACCATCACCCATATTTGCATTTCCCCCATCTGTCCCTTTCAACCGTTTACACATCACACAATTTTACATCTTCTCTGATGATCTATTGTTTTTCATTTATTTTAACTCTAAAAACCTTTAAGAGCATCTAATTTCAGAGATGTATACCCTTCTACTAGCTTTGTTGATTATTTTTCTTCTGAAGATTAAATGTGTTTCAGAATATCACCTACACTAGCAGTTAACTTTCATTTGAGTATTTTGGCTTCACCCAACACAAGGTAATAAATCCTGGGTTGTTTTAAAAAAATAACACTCAGTGAAATTAATTTGGAATAAATGTGATGGTGCATATACTTATTTTAAAGTGGCAAATATTTATCTACAGGGACACAGCCTGACCAAACCAAATGCATTACCTTTGTATGCAAAAATGATGCCATGATGACTCCAGAGAAGGGCAGATTTCATGGCTTCTATTTTGCAGTAAGCAGTACAGATTGTGGTTGGTTGATCCATTCTACAGAAACCAGTCCTCATGAGCTGGAGCTCACACCTACAAAAGGTTTGCTAGTATGGAGATGTTTCAATTTTTGTGAGCAGTTAATGCTATTATTATTTTTATTGAAAACTAATTGGCCCTTGTGGAGAGAGTGATTAGACTACTGCTTATTGAATACTTCTTATGTTCAATCACTGATAGGACCTGTGTTCAATCACTGATAGGAGCTGCATCTCCTGTAAAGTCCTTCATCTCCTTTGAAGTCCAACGACTTCACTGAGGTAGATTCTCTTATGCCCATTATAATGGTGAGAGGTTCAGCCAAGTTAAGAAGTTTATGTGGGGATGGAAGAGCTTTCTGATTCCAGAGCCTGTAGTCTTTTCACTCGGATCATTAGCAGAGAGCTTAATCATCGTACATGATTCACTGGCTTAAATGTAGACAGATTAAAAAAGCTCTCAGAATTTAAGGAGAGAAAAAAAACTCAAAACTCAAGAAGAAATTCTCCTAAACTCACAGTTTACATCTTTTTAAATGACCATGGTAACCATCCATAAGTGAGGACACACTGGGGAAATAAAGAGAGGGCAAGACCAGGTAGATTCCAGGGTGGTGGGTGGTCTAACATCCTCATGCTTCTTATTCTTCTTTTTTATTTGGGTTGGGGGAACATGGTCTCACTCTGTCACCCAGGCTGGAGTACAGTGGTGTGATCACGGTTCACTGCAGCCTGGACTTCCCGGGCTCAAGCGATCCTCCCACCTCAGCCTCCCAAATAGTTGGGACTACAGGCATGTGCACCATACCCAGCTAATTTTTGTATTTTTTTGTAGAGAAGAGGTTTTGCCACATTCCCCAGGCTGGTCTCAAACTCCTGGCCTCAAGGAATTTGCCTACCTTGGTCTCTCTAAGTGCTGGGATTACAGGCATGGGCACTGCGCCGGCCGACATCCTTATGCTTCTAACAGTTATCCCTTAAAGAGCAGTCACCTTGGAGGAGCTGGTCCTCAGGGCTTCCTGTCAGGACAGTGCTCCCTTGATGCATGGGGGTCAGTTCACACACCCCTGATAAGTGCCACTTGAGTTTACATCATACTTTTATATTTTGTACATTTAAATTTTATAGTTGTTAACTCACAAACCATCCAAATCATCTTTGTCATTCTTCACTACTAATAGTGCTGAGCTCTCAAAGGGGATGTCATATTAGATTCTATTTCCTCTTGTTGAAAATCTGAAGGTTTCTCAAGAAATGAAAGTAACTTGGGGAACATTAACATAAATAGAAAGAAAAATGGCATCTTTGTTTTCTGTTGAGCCTTTGTGACCTTTCTAGAGGCTACTGTGGATGAACTTAAGGTCCCATCTTTTTTTTTTTTTCCATGTCCTGAAGGAAGCTAAGTGTATGTACACGATGACATTTTTCATTTTGATATAGTTGGTCTGTTTTCCAGACTATAGAAAACTGGGAAATGAATTTTCTTTCAAATAAAAGTTGAAACCCTTTGGGAAAGTAAAAGAATTCAAGAAATATAGAGAAATGGCTGTTTCCAAGCCAACAGGAAGAAGGGAGAGTCTTTTTGGTTTTCAAATTAGTTGTTAGGGAAAACGTTTTTCTTCCCATCAAACTTTCACTTTTTCTTCTTTAAAATAGATTAATCATAGCTGTGTAGGTTTAGTTTTCTGCCTGCTTGTTAAAATGTGGAAAATATGAACAGTGGCTTCAAACTTTTATGAGTAAATTGTCATTTTGTGCCTTTTATTGGCCCGTATTTCAAACCCCACATTGCAGGAACTCACTGCTTACTTCTGCGCTATTCACTGGCAAGAGTATGCTAATGGGTTATGCAGACCATGTCTTTATGAATTGACAATAAATTCCAAAGGACAAAACAGCTTCCAACCATAATTCAGTAGTATAAAACTGTTCTGTCAACAAATCTGATGGTTTTTTTGGTGTTCACACATTTTAGGACCCCATCATGCACAGACACCTGCTCATTTTTCCTGCTTAAAAAAGACCAAATTTGTTCTGTCTTTTTTACTCTTAAAAATCAAAATAGCACCATGGTGAAATTATACTACCTGCTTTAGTCTTCAAAATTATTCTTTAGAGCACAAAAGGCAGACATACTGGGCAGACCAGAGAGTGAACACTGGCTGTGTCACTCTGGACAAGTCATTATTTTTTCTGAATCTCAGTTTTATTATATTTAGTATGGGGGAATGATAAGGGGTAACTGTAAAGCCATGTGTGATCTTAAGACTAGCACCACCAGCATTGACTGGGAACTTGTTAGAAATGCAAATTGTGGCCGGGAGCTGTGGCTCACACCTGTAACCTCAACACTTTGGGAGGCCGAGGAGGGCAGATCACAAGGTCAGGAGATCAAGACTATCCTGGCTAACATGGTGAAACCCTGTCTCTACTAAAAATACAAAAAATTAGCTGGATGTGGTGGCACGTGCCTGTAGTCCCAACTACTCAGGAGGCTGAGGCAGGAGAATCACTTGAACCCGGGAGGCAAGGGTTGCAGTGAGCCAAGATCACGCCATTGCACTACAGCCTGGGTAACAGAGAGAAACTCTGTCTCAAAAAACAAACAAACAAACAAACAAAAAAAAAAGTGCAAATTGTAAGGCCCTACCCAGATCCAGTGAACCAGAAACTCTGGGTTAAGGCCCAGCAATGTATGTTGTAACAAGCCTTCCAGGTAATTCTGATACACACTCAAGCTTCAGAATCATTTCTGTAAAGATTTACCACAATATACACAAAGGGCTTGTTTGCCACATTGCAGAAGCACAAGAAATAGCAGCTATTCTCCTTTTGTTATTATCATCATTGTACAGAAGAAACTGAAGCACAGAACCAGGTGCTTCAGCAACAGCAGTGGGCCTTGTCACTCAGCCGAGTGGTGGGGACAGCCTGCTCCTCCACTCTGCACTCTCTCTTTATGGATGATAGTAGACAGTGATATAAATCCTGATTCTAAGTGTAAAAGGTGTCCCACATAGCATGTTGCCTAGTTCTGGCATGGATGATGCATTCAGGCTTTAATGTGGAGACTATAGCTCTTTTGACATGATAGATTTTTTTTAAATTATATTTTAAGTTCTAGGGTACATGTGCACAATGTGCAGGTTTGTTACACATGTATACATGTGCCATGTTGGTGTGCTGCACCTGTTAACTCGTCCTTTACATTAGGTATATCTCCTAATGCTATCCCTCCCCACTCCCCCCTCCCCACGACAGGCCCTGGTGTGTGATGTTCTCCATCCTGTGTCCAAGTGTTCTCATTGTTCAATTCCCACCTATGAGTGAGAACATGCAGTGTTTGGTTTTCTGTCCTTGCAATAGTTTGCTCAAAATATTGGTTTCCAGCTTCATCCATGTCCCTACAAAGGACATGAACTCATCCTTGTTTATGGCTGCATAGTATTCCATGGTGTATATGTGCCACATTTTCTTAATCCAGTCTATCATTGATGGACATCTGGGTTGGTTCCAAGTCTTTGCTATTGTGAATAGTGTCGCAATAAACATACGTGTGCATGTGTCTTTATAGCAGCATGATTTATAATCCTTTGGGTATATACCCAGTAATGGGATGGCTGGGTCAAATGATATTTCTAGTTCTAGATCCCTGAGGAATCGCCACACTGACTTCCACAATGGTTGAACTAGCTTACAGTCCCACCAACAATGTAAAAGTGTTCCTATTTCTCCACATCCTCTCCAGCACCTGTTGCTTCCTGACTTGTTAATGATCGCCATTCTAACTGGTGTGAGATGGTATCTCATTGTGGTTTTGATTTGCATTTCTCTGATGGCCAATGATGATGAGCATTTTTTCATGTGTCTGTTGGCTGCATAAATGTCTTCTTTTGAGAAGTGTCTGTTCATATCCTTCACTCACTTTTTGATGGGGTTGATTTTTTCTTGTAAAGTTGTTTAAGTTCTTTGTAGATTCTGGATTAGCCCTTTGTCAGATGGGTAGATTACAAAAATTTTCTCCCATTCTGTAGGTTGCCTGTTCACTCTGATGGTAGTTTCTTTTGCTGTGCCGAAGCTCTTTAGTTTAATTAGATCCCATTTGTCAATTTTGGCTTTTGCTGCTATTGCTTTTGGTGTTTTAGTCATGAAGTCCTTGCCCATGCCTATGTCCTGCATGGTATTGCCTAAGTTTTCTTCTAGGGTTTTTATGGTTTTAGGTCTAACATTTCAGTCTTTAATCCACCTTGAATTAATTTTTGTATAAGGTGTAAGGAAGGGATCCAGTTTCAGCTTTCTACATATGGCTAGCCAGTTTTCCCAGCACCATTTATTAAATCGGGAATCCTTTCCCCATTTCTTGTTTTTGTCAGGTTTGAAATGATAGATTAATATTAACCCATCTTTCTCTTTTGAGGACAGTACTGGTGACTACATTCTGTCAATAAACATTTATGGACTTCAAACCATGTTCAAGGCTTGATGCTGGGCCAGGCAATGAGTAAGAAATGATCTTTCTCCTAAATTTCTGACATCACAAATTTTGACATTACTAATGATCTGTTTAGATTCATATGTTTTTAGAAGTGGAAGTCGTTTTCTTAAGACAATCCATTTCAACTTTCAAATTCTGCCTTTCAGAGAGCTAAGGCAGTGGGTCTCTTTCCTGCATGCTGGTTACAATCCCCTGGGCGGGGGGGGGGGCTTTTAAGCAATACTAATAGGGATATCCATCCAAGAAATTCTGATTTAATCGGTCTAGAATTTAGTCGGCAATAGGTCTGTGGGTAGGAAGCTTTTAATATAAGTAATATACTTAACGATAAATACAATAAGTATTACATATATAAATATAATATATACATAGTTGGGATATACTTAAACTAAAAGCTATTCCTTGTTTATCTGATATTATAGTTTAACCAGGCAGCCTATATTTTTATTTGTTAAATCTGGCAACACCGTGGAAAGATTCTAAAGTCTATCCTAGGCTGAGAAATCATCTTGTAGGGTTTCCACTGAAATACCACAGGTAATGAGGGCGGGATAAGAGAGCAGGGTGCCATCTGGGCCCATTACACACAAAGTTTTATCTGTTTTACTTATTTGGTCTCTGGTCTCTGTAACATTTCACTTGAAAAAAATGGCTTGAAAAAGTTTGCAAACATCTAATCTAATCATATCAAAACTTAAAACCCAGAGAAGATGTCTCTTAGCCAGGTTCTCATAGCTAATTAATTGCAAAACCAAATACCAGGTCTCTTTCTCTTTCTATTACATCAGATACTGCTGCTGCTGCTGCTGCTGCTGCTATGTCCCTTTTCCTCTTGTTAAGTGATAGTTCAGGAATAGGAGGTGCTATGATCCTATATCTAAAAGTGTTTGGCAAACATTTGGCAAACCCATTAAGATATGCCAGACACATATAAAGAGATGCTAGGTGCTGAACATGGGGATTAAGATGAGGTTTTAGTTCTCAAGGAGCTGATACAGGAAAAGAAACACAAATAGTGTTTCTGTTCCTACAAAAAAATACCACTTATGTCTATGACTTGTTCCCTCCACAATGTGATTATTCAAAGCACCTTTCTTTGGTCCTCAATTTAAAAATGGTGAGGTGAGAGGACAGCACTGGGTTCCCAGAGGCAACCGGATGGAACCTGGAATCTAACCTAGATTTTCATTATGAAAGTTATAGGAATGAAGAATCCATAATGACAAAAGACACAAGGATGACTGTACTTTGGGCTGTGGGATGACTCACAATGGCTATATCTGTCAGGCTTTTTGGCAAATGGTCTCACATGGTCTCCAATTAAGTGAACCACATAGAATTTAAAAGTTGCAGGGAGTAAAAGAACGTGTCCTTCCATTTTTGGGGAATACATTTACTCCCATCCAGATTAAAATGGGTAAGCACTAATGGTGCTTCTGTGCTATAGGGAAAAATGAAACATAAATAGGCAATGCATGGGGTGGAGGTAAGACATTCTCCACTGAGCTCCCGTCCACTGTCACTTTGGAAAGGTTTGTGATGAGCAACATCAGAGGATGGCTGCTCCCTGGCACCACTCTTGGATGCCAATGACCCAGAAATTTAAGGGGACTCCAGCCTCTTCTCGCTCCTCAGGGACCAGGGAAGATATTTTAGGTGATCAGTTGGCTTAGGGAAAGAGGAAGAGGAAGCAAGATTAACAAGCCATAAACAGATCAACTTAAAGGGGCAAGAGAGCTCCAGAGATACAGTTGTCTCTGGACTTGGAGACTGGAGTTCCCAACATTGAGGGACTTATTGTATGTTTAATTATTTCTAAACTCCAGTTTGGACTTAGAATCCAAACAGCCCCCAAGGCTCACACAATGTGGAGAAAATGGCAGTTTATTCACACCATTCACAGAATAATTACTCATTTCTAGGTCTTGGTACTTTCTGTTTTTCTTCATCATTTCTTCTTTTCTACCACCATCATCACTCCCAATCAAACTATCTCCTCCATGCCCTGAAGTTTCATGACTTCAGGTTACTGTTTGGCTGTGATTTCCAAACCTCCCATCACTTTCTCCCAGGAACCTCGGGGTAGGAATCTCTGACTTGCAGAGTGATTTTTAGGATTTATAATCTGAGTCTGTTATCATTTGAGGATTAAAAAGTATTTATTGGCTGGGCACAGTGACTCACACCTATAATACCAGCACTTTGGTAGGCTGATGCAGAAGGATCTCTTGAGGGTAGAATTTGGAGACCAGCCTGGGCAATATAGTGAGACCCTGTCCCTACAAAAAAATTTTAAAAATTAGCCAGGTGTAAGGGTATGTGCCTGCAGTCCTAGCTACTTGGGAGACTCAGGTGGGAGGATCGCTTGAGCCCAGGAATTTGAGATTACAGTGAGCTATGATCATACTAGTACACTCTAGCCTAGATGACAGAGTGAGACCCTGTCTCTAAAAGATTAAAAAATTTAAAAAGTATTTAATTATTACTAGATGT
Source organism: Homo sapiens (assembly GCF_000001405.40). Lineage (NCBI taxonomy): Eukaryota > Metazoa > Chordata > Mammalia > Primates > Hominidae > Homo > Homo sapiens. The sequence goes on from NC_000002.12 coordinate 132,703,226, forward strand.
CCAACAAAGTTGTGAAAAATTTAAAAATAAATGACATGCTCAAATACATATATATCCAAACAAACGCTCTTCTTTTCAATATTGTCATGTTGGGACATGTAAAAGTATTCTGACAATTCATCTTGGAAATTCTTTTTTGGAAATTATTTTCAGAATCAGTTCATGAGCTTTATTACTTCATGTTAGATTTTAATTTTGACTGAAAGTTGTATTATTGCCTGGATTTACTAGATTTGCTTTTGAATGACACCGGCTGATTCCAAAAGCCAAATTCATCCCCAGTGGATGAAGATTTGCTCCCTTTAAGGGAACATGAATATCATAATAAACAATGAGTCAGATTTTCCTCTATGGTCCATTGCGATGGCTGACGTTGAAGACTTGGAGTTGCTGTTGTTATTGGTGGGAGTGCACAGAGGAGAGCATTGAGATGGCATGACCAACGGACTGAATTACTGACTGGGTCATTCATTCATTCATTCATTCAACAAACATTTATAATGCACTTATTTTGTATAAGTATTGTGATAGGTTGTAGAGATTACCAAGATAAATAAAATGTGGAAATAAGCTAGATGATTAAGATCCTTTCTAGTTATTTTATTTATACATATTTCATAATGTTTGAATCCCTAATAGTATTCTGGGCAAATCCAGCACTGCTGACATACATGGATAACCCCCTGGCCCTTATTTGTACATCTAAGTTCTGATGTGCCAGTTAAAAAATGTACTGAGTTTAACTGAAGTCACCCCTTAGTCACATCTGAATGACCCCTGTTGAAGCCATCTCTTACCCTTCTCCTGCCCCTGAAACCCTTCCCAGTGCTCTTGAAACTCAAGGCCAATTAGCAGAAAAGCTACCTATATCTTCAACCTCTTTTCTGAAGGTGTCTTTCACCTTGTAGTTCTAACTGAAATTTGATTTCCCTTGGGGAAGTGGCTTTCTTTGGAACCCTTTCAAGTGGTGGCTTTTTTCTTTTCTATACTTTTTGTATCACTGAGCCCAGAGGTGAAGTAGGTATCCGTCTTTCCTACTTCCTGCTCCAGGAATGAATTTCATGTCATCTGACTGCCAGACTGCCACCTGCCTCCCCTCCTTGTTATAAACATCGATTGAACTCCTGGTCATTCTTCCTAGCTCTTTGACATTTTAGCTTGCCACATACTATCAGACTCTCCAATACAACTCTAGCCACAAATCTTGATGATTTCAATGCCAACACAGGTGAACACCTGAGCTGTGATCTCTCTTCTGCACATCTCCTCTGTGCATTCCCACCAATAACAACAGCAACTCCAAGTCCTCAACTTCAGACTTCTCACTCTCCAAAGAGCACCTCCTGGTTTATCTGCTTATTCTCTCTAATACTTAAACTCAACAGTCCTTTGGAATCTACCATCCATTGAGTCTACCAATGTTTTATGGTTCCTCATACCTTTCGTGTCCACATTTCCATTCCTACTCAGTTTAGTCTCCATGGTTCATTGTAATCATTTCCCTTTAAACACCCTTAACTCCACTGCCCCTCTCTCTGTGTACCACTAACAAAACCTAACTGTGTGAAGTCTAACACTCTACCTGCTTTACATTCATGCTATTGAACATGGATGTAGATAAATACACAACTATGCTCACTGGTCTCATTTAACTCACAATTACTAACTTCAAGTTGATAAGATCCTGATAAGTTTCTCTAGTCCATTCCCTCTCCTCCTTTCCCAGACTATTTCACACTTTCTCTTGCTTCTTGAAAACTGCAATGCCTTCTAACTTATACTTAACTCTCAGTTGACAATCTTGCTTTCTGTATCTCTCAGGATAGAAGAAATCAGAAGAGAATTCTGACAAGGTTCCATCCATGTCTAACAGCATCTGCCCATAAGTTGTCCTCCCCTCTGCTCACTCTGGATAGACATCATGTTTCTATGTAAGGGAAGCCCTTCCACTGTTTCTCATCTCTTACATCATCAGTTTTTCTCTCTCTCTCTGCTGGATTACTTCCATCAGCATACAATGTGTGGTAATTTCTCTCATCCTTAAAAAAAACCCTCTCCAGTGACCCCATTTATCTATACCCTTTTATAGCAAAAATCTTTGAAAGATTTATATATACTTACCATCTCCAATTCCTCTCTTTTTACCCTCCCTTGATCCCTCTCCAATCAGACTACCCCTATCATTCTACTAATAAGTCTCCTGTCAAGATCTCCAATGACTCCATATTACACGAAAGGTTAATTCTCAGTTCTTATGTGACTTGACCTATCAGTGTCATTTGATATATTTGATCTCTTCTTTCCCCTTGAAAACTCTTTCATAATCATAATCTACGTTTAAAAGTCTAGTCAGGTTTAAAATGTAAGTTGCTTTGCAAAGCCCCAGTGGTATCAAATTCTGAATCATGATGTGTTCACCTCCATGTGGGAAATATTGGGAGAAAATGAAAAAAAAATAATGAAAAACAAAAAAAGGACCCAAGAGCATGCCTTTAAAATACTTGATGCCCACATTTTAACTTAGGGATTGTGACAGCTAGAAAGAACCTTAGAATTCATCTAGTCCAATACTCCCATTTTACAACCTAAGGACGTCAAGGCCCAGAGAAGATTAGTGATTTCTCTATGTTTTTACAGAATGGCAGAATTGGGATTAGAATCTAGGCCTTTTTTCCAGAGGATTTCATTCTAATGTCCAGTTTATACTGCTTTTCCTCTCATATATGTGTATGTCTATATGTATGTGTGTATTAATAAATAATAAGCATATACATGGAGACATATATATTTGCATATGTACACAATATATAAATACAACATACATATATATACACATATACAAATATAGTTATATACATTACACACACACACATACACACATACACACATTTTTTTAAAATAATTTTTTTCCTGAATGAAATAAGTGTTGGGATGAGCTCATGCACTCCCTCTCTGTCCTTTCCTCTGATAGAGTCAGGTATCCCTATTCGGTTCCCCTGGGATCAAGCCCATCTTCCACTAAGATGGATGATACTGAAGCAAAAGGACTAAGAAAGCCCTTGACTTAGCAGATCACTGGCTGAATAAAAAACTCACTGCTCTGGGCCACCATCTCAGTTCTGCTGATGGAAGGAGGCTGGATCTGGGAAAAGAGAGATTTAGGTTTAGTACTGGCTAAATCACTGGGTGACCTTGGGTGTTCTCATCTGAACAATGAGAGGCTGTATTGTATAAAGTCTTAATTCTTCCCTTCTAACCTTCTGCCTTGAGCTCAGGTTATTTGGGCTGATCCCATGCTGTTTATGTCATCTTCTTCTATATTAGCTTCTCCTCCATGTCCTATCACCATCCAGTCACTGAACTTCTTGCCTAGCTAGGTGTGTGCTATCTGCTTGTCTGTTTTGGCCCTCTTAGCTGACCTCCCTAGATGGGATATCTGGACTATGTGATCTGTGTTTTTTGCCAGGCTCCTTTCTATGTAATTATACTTTTGGTCCTGGCTGTTAGACAGCTGCTTCCCAGGGTCTGATATGACATGAAAGAATGAATAAGTAATGTGGAAAGCAGGTCTCACAAATGAGGAGAGGGAGCTTGCACAAAAATGTAAACAAAATACTGGGGAAGAAGGAAAAACAAAAGGAATGAAAAAAAGAATGGCATATTATGGCGCTTAAGCATAATACTCTCTGAGAGTGACTCCGGCCTAAAAAGAACATAAGAAGCTGGAGATGAAGCAAGATGGATGAATAGATGCCTCCACCCATTGTCCTCCCCGCAGGAACACCGAATTGAACAATAATCCACACAAAAAGACATCTTTGTAAGAACTAAAAATCAGGTGAGCAATCACAGTCCCTGGTTTCAACTTCATGTAACTGAAAGAGGCACTGAAGAGGGTGGAAAGACAGTCTTGAATCACCAACACCACTCCTCCCCATCCCCTGGCAGGTGCGTTGTGTGGAGAATCCACACTCTTGGGAGGGGGAAAGTGCAGTGACTGTGGGACTCTTCACTGGAACTCAGTGCTGCACTGTCACAGCGGAAAGTAACACGAGGCAGAACTCAGCTGGTGCCCACAGAGGGAGCATTTAGACCGGCCTTAGCCAGAGGGAAATCACCCATCCCAGTGGTCAGAATCTGAGTTCCTGCAAGCCTTGTGGGCTAATGTGGTCTGGGGTTCTATATAAACTTGAAAGGCAGTCTGGGCCTCAAGGACTGCAACTCTTGGGCAAGTCCTGGGACTGTGCTAGGCTTGGAGCCAGTCGACTGTAGGGGCATGTGAGCTACTGAGACACCAGCTGGGGTGGCCAATGGAGTGCGTACATCACCCTCCCCCAACCCCAGGACCAATGCCTTTCACTCATTCAACAAATGTTTGTTAGGTATCTCCTGTGTGCCAGGCACTGTTCTAGGCACTGGTGATGTAAGCGTGAGCAAAACCAAACACCCTGTCTTCATGTTGTTTAAATGTCCAGAAACGTGGCAGTGTTCTACAATAGTGAACATGAGGGTGAGCCCAGAAGATCCTAGAATATGGATCTCTCATAGCTTTGCGAGGGACTGTGTTTCTTCCACTTGAGGAGAGGAGAGGGAAGAGTAAAGAAGACTTTGTCTTGCAACTTAGATACCTGCTCAGCCACAGTAGGAACAGGCAGCAGGCAGAGTCCTAAGGCCCCCTTGCTAGGCCCTAGCTCCCAGAAAACATTTCAAGATATACCCGGGATGATACTGAAGGGAACCCCCTGTCTTAAAGGGGCTAGGAACCCAGTCCTGGCCAGATTAATCACCTTCTGACTGAAGAGCCTCTGGGACCTGAAAATGCAGCAGCAGTACCCAGGCAGTACTTGCCATAGGCCTTAGGTGAGACTCAAGGATGTACTAGCTTCAGGTGTGACCCAGCACATTCCCAGCTGTGGTGGCCATGGGGAGGGACATCTGCTTGAGAAAAGGAGACGGAAGAGTAAAGGGGACTTTGTCTTGCAGCCTAAGTAACAGGTTGGCCACAGTGGGGTAGAGCACCAAATGGGCTTTTAGGGTCATTGATTCCAGGCCTTGGGTCTAAAATGCCATTTCTGGACCTGCCCTGGGCCAGAGGGGAGCCAACTGCGCTCGAGTCCTAGCCCTGGCAGCATTCACCACAAGCTGACTAAAGAGCCAGTGGGCCCTGAGTGAACACCTGTGGTAGCCAGGCAGTACTTGTCATGGGCCTAGGGCAGTGGTGGTCATGGGAAGAGACTCCTTGGTTTGTGGAAAGGGGAGGTAAGAGTGGGAAGGACTCTGTCTAGTAGCTTGGGTGCCAGCTCAGCCACAGTAGAAGAGAGCACCAGGCAGATTCCTAAGGCTTCTGACTCCAGGCCCTGGCTCCTGGATGGCATCTCTGGACCTGACTGAGGATGGGGGAAACTCACCATCCTGAGGGAAAGGACACAAGCCCGGCTGGCTTCGCCACCTGCTGACCGTAGAGCGCTTCATGTGTTTATTACCGATATTTGTTTTCTATTCTTTAGAATGCCTTCTTACGTCTTTCCCCTTTTTCTATTATATTGTTGTCTTCGTATTAGTCCATAGAAGATTATTATATATACATGGTGCTAATATTTGTTGGCTGTATGTAATACCAATGTCTTTTTTTGGGTTGTATTTTGGCTTTTAATTTTCTCTAGGGTGTCCATTGATGAATAGAAGCTCCTAATTTTCAAGGAATGTTAATGCTTTTTGCATCTGATTTAAGGATCCTTTCTCTTCTCTTCCCTCAGGTCAAGAAGGACTTTTTAAAAAGTTTATTATTACTGTTATATAAAAATGCAATTAACATTATTATATTGATCTTATATCCAGTCACCTTGTAAAACTTTCCTATTATTTCTAGTAACTGTCTACACATTCTTTTGGGTTTTCTATGAACATATCATAATATCTACACCCCCCCACCAAACCAAAAGCAAGTGAATTTAAAAAAAAGTTTTTAAACCCAACACAAAAATTCTTGAGCCCCAAAAATAAATAAAAAAGACAGAAGATAGAAAAACAGAAACATCAAAAATGAACAAGCTTAGTGTCTTTCTGAAAAGTTTAAAAGAAGAATAAGATAACATAAGTTGAAAGAAGAGGATGATAAAAATAACAAAAGTTAATAAAATGGGGTGGTGGTAGAGGGGCACGATACAATAGGTTCAGCCAAGTTAAAAGTTGGTTTCTGGAAAAGACAAAATTGGCAAACCACTAGGAAGTCTTAAAAAAAGAGAAATGATAAATAATATTATTAATAAAAAGGACAAATAACTACAGATACAATAGAGACTAAAACGATAAGCAAACCCAATCAGGTGGTTTATGTCAATAAACATGAAAACTTAGACAAAAGGGATATATTCCCATATAATTTATAAAATTTATCAGAATTGATAGTGCAATAAAGCCTGAGAGTATTATAACTAGTAATGAAATAAACTAGTAATAAACTATTAATAAAAGTCACTAACCATCTGCCTACAAACAAAACATCAAACCCTGATATATTAACAAATTTTCTCACAAATTCAAGGGCTAAATCATTCTAACTTATACAACTTATAAAGAACTGAAAAATAGGGAATATTTCCCATTCATTTTATGAGATCAGTATTATTTTGACATCAAAGTACACGACAAAGTACAAGAAAATAATGTCGCTGACACATTTCAACTCATTTATTAAAATGGTTAATAAAAAATAAAATTTGTTAATAAATCAATATAGATACAGAAATCTTAAATATGACATTAGCTGACTAAACGGATCATTATTTACAAAAAATATCATAGCTATATAGGGTTTATCTCAAGGATGTAAGACTGGTTTAATTTTTAAAATATATAAGTATCTTTCATTTAAGGCATTAAAGGCAAAAACCATATGATCATCCCAAAAGATGCATATGTAACTTCTGATAAAATTCAACATGACTACGTGATTCTAAAAAAACCCTTCTTAGTTAAGGAGGCTTAAAGACAACTTCCACAACCTGATTAAGTTAATCTACCCCAAAACAAAACTAAAAACAAAACAGTTACAACAAACGTCATCATCCTGAATGGAGAAACACTGGAAGTATTCCCTTTAAATATCAACAACAATCAAGAATGTCTATCACCACCAATTTAACTCAACATTGATTATAGATTCTTTTAGAAGCACATATCCCTTTCATAGAATCTCACATACAAACCTTCCTCTTAAAGGCAACTCTTAAAACAGATGTTCTTAAACCTAAGGCACTGTGTTCTGAAAAGGTAGAACACTCTTCCCACCCCAAAGCCATTATCCAGTTTCTTTTAAAAAATACTGCTCAGAAGCATAGCACATTTGAGCAGTCAATTTAAAGAAGCGGGGGAAAAAGGGAAAGTATAATTTGACATAGTTAGTTGTAAATCCAGGAGTATTATCCAGGCTAAATATCATCTCACCCTGGGACCAAGGAATTAAGCTCATTTTGCTCTTTCATCTTCAACAAATGCAGAACTTAAAGAGCTGTTTTAGCCCATAATTTCATTCATCTTATGATCCAACTGGTATTATACTGAATAACATTTGTAATTTGACTGTATTATGTGAGTGAACTTTGCACTCCCAGGAGAACCAAAGAGATATTTTATGGCACTGAAGTGACAATTTTTTTAAAAAAAAGATCCGTCTTTTTAACATTTGAGAAAGGTACTAGAAATATTGTTTCGCTTATGCTTTGTTCTGAAAATCCAGCTAAGTTTCGAATGAAGAGAATGATTTATTTCAGGACCAATGTCTTTCACTCATTCGATAAATGTTTGTTAGGTACCTCCTGCGTGCCGGGCACTGTTCTAGGCACTAGTGACATAAGCATGAGCAAAAACACTCTGTCCTCATGTTGTTTAAATGTCCAGAAATATGGTAGTGTTCTACAATAGTAAATATGAGGGTGAACCCAGGAAATCCTAGAATATGGATCCCCTATCCATCCCATGTGCTTTCCCTTTCTCTCCAAAAGCTTTCCATTACTGTCTTGAAGGTAAAAGAAAAATGTCTGGGTTGATTGCCTTCCAGGCTTTGGTCACTGCATCACACCAGAGCTACACCTCACTGAGCCTTTCTTGGGAAATTTATTTATAATAATAACATAGCCAGCATCAAAAGGGCACCTTTCAAAAAGGCATGTGGCATATGCTGTCTGATTAAAATCCTGCAATTAGGTATTATCGTCATTTGGTGGGTGAGAATCCGAGGCACAGAAAGGCTCAGTGATCCAACATTATAGAAATTAATTCAAGTTTCTTTGACTCCAAAACCTTTTTGAACATTTTCTAGTATATCTGGTTGCCTCATTCATTCATTCACCTTCTCATCAAATACTGAGTTACGTATCAAAGGAATTCTGAATTTCATGTTATTCTTCTGAGTATGAGTATAGTCTTTATCCATAATCCATAAATATCCTATTTTCCCCAGCTGTGTAATACTGTGCAACCCAGACAGACCCTCCTTTTCCCTCCCTCACCACAGAGAATGGTATAGAAAAACTCAATTAGGCCAAATAAGGATAGGATAAGGGGCACTCCTCCTTCCCTTCCTCCCTCCCTGCCTCCCTTCCTTCCTTCTCCATTGAGCTTACATTCCACTAGGGGGATGGTAGACAGGATAAATTCTAAGCTCTTTTCCAACATAAAGGCTCTAGCTTATTAGAAATGGGGAGAATAAGCAGAAATAAAGAGGCAAGTATTTTGGTGTTGTGGTTGTATAGCGAAGGCTGCAGGACAGACTCAGGTTTACAAATCTAGGCTTGTTCATCACCTGTGCTCTGGGCTGCTCCTCTACTCACCTCTCAAATTCACTGGCACACACAGATCACACCCACTGCCAGTTGGTACCACATTTGTATTATCAATTACCCTCACAGAACTGTATGACCTCTGTTCTGCTAACCAGCTGTAGGGAAACACTGGCAGTCAGAGGATGTCACCACTCTCTTCTCACCCTCTCTTCATTCCCTGATTTGCTCACTTGCCCCTCAGAGAAATCCTCTTCCCCTTTATGCCCACCCAAACCTGATTCTTCAAGACTCACCTCAAGCCCCCTTCAGGAAGATACTTTGGCTACCTCATACCTTTTGCTTAGAACTATGTTGGGATTCAGGCCTGGCGGGGTGGCTCACTCCTGTAATCCCAGCACTTTGGGAGGCCAAGGGGGGCGGATCATGAGGTCAGGAGATTGGGACCATCCTGGCTAACACAGTGAAACCCCGTCTTTACTAAAAATACAAAAAAATTAGCCGGGTGTAGAGGCGGGCACCTGTAGTCCCAGCTACTCAGGAGGCTGAGGCAGGAGAATGGCGTGAACCCGGAAGGCGGAGCTTGCAGTGAGCAGAGATTGTGCCACTGCACTCCAGCCTGGGCAACAGAGTGAGATTCTGTCTCAAAAAAAGAAAGGAAAAAAAAAGAACTATGTTGGGATTCAATCTCAGCAGTCACAGTCCATTCATTCACCCAGCATTTCAGTAGGGATTCAGTAAGCACTTACCATGTGCCAAGGATTCAGTATGAAACACCATGATCTCTGGTGTTAAGGGATAAGCAGCAGAGAACAAGAGCAATTTGATGGTCAGGGTGAAACCAAGGTGTTATGGGATCACAGAGGAGGGGCACACACCCAGATCCAGATCAACAGTACAACTGCTGGGAATTGATTCCATAGATATCCACAGAAGACAAGTTAAGTGAATGATGGTACAGCCACACAATGTAGCTGGAACAAAGAACAAGGGAGACAGTGCACTGACATGGAATGATCTCCAGGATATATTAAGTGGGAGAAAGCAAAACAAAACAAGATGCAGGATAGTGTACACAGTGTGCTCCCTTTTGCGTAAGAAATGTGCATTTTTTGCTTTGTTCAATGAAAGACTGGAAAGATGAACAAAAAAAAAAATCAATAAAAATGGTTACCTATATGGGGCTAGGGACACAGAGATGGAGGAGAGAATTCTATGTTCAAAACGACAAAGTCAAATTTTGAAAATGATATCTGAGAAAAACTTTGAGAAGCTCTCCACGTAGCAGAGACTGCTGAATACTGAAGCATGAAGACTCACTTCCTAGTCACTACAGCATTTGTTCACAGAGTGACAAAACATCAAGCCTGGCAGTATCTGGAGGAAGATATCTCTTCCCAAAGAAGGGAGGGAAGACATGTGCTGAAGATCACCAAGTAAGTTATGGTCCAAGAAGACACATGCCTTCTCCAAGATGGGTATTTAGGTCCTTCCACACATCTCAAAGATTTCATGGGACACTGTGGTGCAATGAATGCTGTTGGCATAGCTTCCAGGTTTTGCCTAAAATATATTGATCCTGTGGCCTTGCCTTCTGAATAATCCTAATAAAACTCAGGAAGACACCAGGAGATATCCGGGAAAGAAACATTACAGAATAAAAAGGGACAAAGTGACATATTACATCATAAGACAGAAAGGGCCAAACAAAAAAAAAAAGAGCTCTTATTTTAAGGTGAAAAAGTTGAGAGTAGAAGAAGAAACATTCTGTATGATGCTTGTGGGGGGTTCATAAATAGAGAAGCAAGCTGACTGGGGAAAGCTGGAAACCAACCACTAACCTCTCTGCCTGCACAAGATCCAGAGCCAGCTTGGCCAATGGAAGGGATGCTATCTCCTTTTCTAATTAAATTCCTTAAAGAGTGTGTTGATTTATTCATTTATAATAAAATCCTGTTCTAATTAAAATTGAAACTTCTCCCCACCTGATCCAGCCTCACCATATTTCTGGTTTCCATGTAATTGAATTTGAAAACAATGATGCTGAGTGATAGCTTGGGATATTGCTGCTTATTGTGAAAGTAAATAATAAAAAAGGAGAATGCTGCTAGGCTTGTTTTGGGAAGGCTTAATCAGTCCTTTCTCCCTTAGACTGAATTTTAACCACAGTTGAAGATAATATGATATTTCCCTTAATGAAATTGTATATCCGTGGCTAATTTATGAGGGAAGTTTACCTTTCTGGGGCTTTAGCTTCACATTATTTTAGTCAATAGTTTTTAAGGTCCCTGGGTTCCCCTCTCTCCCTCTGACATCCTCAACCTTCAATTCCAGAAATTGTTCTGCGTATCAGTCCATTTAATACATAATACTCAGATTTATTAGAATTCTTCAGATTGGAAGCTTTGCCACATCTAATGTCATATCTGAAACACCCATGAGAAAGAGGCAAGGTGGGCATTATGTGGTTGATGCGACTAATGCTCAGAAAGGCTGACATGATTTATCTAGGATCAAAAAGTCACTTAATGGCCAGGCACAGTGGCTCATGCCTGTAATCCCAGCACTTTGGGAAGCCGAGGCTGGCGGATCACCTGAGGTTGGGAGTTTGAGACCAGCCTGACCAACATGGAGAAACCCCATCTCTACTAAAAATACAAAATTAGCCGGGCATGGTGGCGCATGCCTCTAATCCCAGCTGGGAGGCTGAGGCAGGAGAATCGCTTGAACCCGGGAGGCAGAGGTTGCAGTGAGCCGAGATCATGCCACTGCACTCCAGTCTGGGTGACAGAGTGAGAATCCATCTCAAAAAAAAAAAAAAAAAATCAGTTAATGACACAGCCAGCGCTGAAACCCAGGTATGTAAGCTCCCAGTTATGGGCATTTCTAACATACCCAGCCAAAGGGCTCATGGCTTTGGGTTTCTAGGTTCTTGGAGGTTCACAGAGGAGCCCACTGTGTAATTCGCTGAGTAATACTTGACATTTGTCCTGGTTTTTCCCAAGCTCATCTCCTTGGTTGTATAGTAAGTGTATATCTCTAGGTTTCTGATTAGTTAAGGAGGAGCAGTTGGGATGCAAGAAGGTTTGAAATGGTCTCTCTCTTGATCCTTAAAAGTCAGAGAAAAAGCAATTAGAATATATCTGTTCTTCTTCCCCCGATACCTGAAAAGACTGCACCTTGCTTTTTCCTCTTGCACATGATAATAGTTACTTCTACAAAGATTCTTCCTGAATACCGAGCCCTTTCTTTTCCCCACCTACCCCACTTCTTCAAGAAAGTTCCTTCTACTGACCCCAGTATTTTCATTCTGCAGATGATTGTTAATCTTCCGTGTCTGGTGTAACCATTCAGTTGGAAGAGTTCTGGCAAGGGGCTCTTTCTAAATGTCTCTATGTGCTTTCGAGCCAAATATAAAACTCTAAGGTCTCCAAGGAAACCCAAACACCTGTTGACTACATTTTTTTTCTCCATTTTTTTCATCTAATTGCAATTTACCTACTTCACTAGAGCAACGTGAGGATTAACTGTCCTTGGGTAACTTTCAAGTCTGTAAAGGATTTCTGCCTCCTCAGGGCACATGTTCTCTAAGAGAGACAGAGCCGAAATACTAATAAGAGACTTAATGTGTAGCAGCCTCGAATAATCTGTGCTCTGTGTTACCACTTCAGACAGTCAGTGTCTCCCTAACACAGTCTGACAAAGACACCGTGGAGGGATCAACAGCCAAGTCTGAAAGTCCCAGACAGGAGCATGGACTTCCCTTTCAAAGCCCTTGGGAGGAAGTGATATTAACCACCAAATTAGGTAGCTGGACCAGGGCCTGGTGCACCTGCTGGGCAGGCGGGGGTGTCTGCCTGCTGTCATATTTTGGCACAAACATTTGACAGCTTCTCCCTCCCAATGAACATTTCTAATACCCAAAGGTTAATCTTTTCTTGGCTTCTTCTTGTCACTACTGACATTTTGTACCCATTATCTCCCTGTGGTTGGGGGCTGTCCTGTGCATTGTAAGGTGTTTAGCCTCATCCCTTGACTCTGCACAGCAGATTAGTATCCCCTTCCCTCTCTGAGCTGTGACAATTCAAAATGTCTCCAGACATTTGCTGAATGTCACCTGGGGGATGGAGAGGCACAATTGCACTGGTGAGACGATCCATTTTAAATGCCTGATGTATTACTCAGATTATGAGTAAACCTCTACAAAAAAGCCATCCTCAAACATGCTCATGGGGCTGCAGAAATGTCAGTTGTCTTGGAAACCACTCTTCTCCCATCCCCTAGCAAGTTAGATTTAATTCTGCTCCCCCAACATGAAGTGGAGGAGACACACAAATTTTCACAAGTGAAGCAGCATCTGATTTGGTGTTTATTTATTTAGCACCATTGCCTAGTTCCGTTGCCTAGTTTTCTTTCAGCCCTGGCGGCCAAAGCCTGCTAATTTGCACAGCATTAAGTATCCTTTGCTCCCCTCACCTATTCCACTTCAACCAAGGATTTGTCTTTTGCTTTGAAATTCCACTGTGCAAGCTCCTTTTTAAAAGTGTTGGGCTGCAACACATTTGAACTTGAGGGGGGTAACACTGGGGGTTCGGTGGTAATGGGAGGGAATGTCCATCAAAGGGTGACAAACTCTGGGGGGCATCTCTTCCCTCAAAATGTCTCATTAGGGTCCCCAGGCTTGGTCTCCATCTCTGCTGTAGCCTGCAGTCCAATTTAATTGAGCAACGGCCTTGCTACGGCACACTGCTCTTTCGACAGGAGGGTAAACTCATTCTGTCCATCATGACATTTGCTTTCTTAAGGGCCTCCCAATATGCAACTTAAATAATTAAATGCAAGTCACATCACAGCCTCCCTTTTCAAGCCTGTCTGAGGGCACAGTGGGTTCTTTCTGATAGTTAGCTTTTGACCATGTGATTTTTAGAAGCTGGCTGGGTTTTTTGTTTGTTTTGTTATTGTTTATGACACTTCTCCTCACTAAAACCCCCAAAACTCAGCATAGTGCACACCCAATGTGCATAGCTAAAAGGGCTGTGGATTTTCTGATGTTGGATGAATAGTGACTAAGAGAAATTTGAGACCCCTGGTTCTGGCAAGGGTCTCAGAGCAGCCTGCTTGTCATGGTCAGTACTTTTCATTTGTCATCCAGGAAAGTGTAATGCTGGGAGACAAATCCCTTGTGTCCCACTGCGCATGTCCATCCACTTCGAGCTGGGATGGGCCTGTTAAAAATAAAGCAAACCTTTAAAATGATCTAAAAAGAGAGAAGTTCCAGGAAGGACTAAAGATAACTCTTACCTGTAGTGTCCACTTTAAACAATAGATTTCTCTGGGGCAACTTGGAGTGATTATAACGAGTTTGGATTTCGTTGAACCCAATGCTGATTTTGCATATTACAGAGATTTGTCATCTTTAAGTAATGTGCCAGATGAATGCTTTAAAATAGATGCAACTTTGTGTGAATTTTCTATAATATAGCAAGATCTGATTGCTCTATTAATAGCCAAAGTCCTTGGCCTTGAGAAGGCAGGATGGCAGCGTTTTTAAAATTCATCATCTCTGCATAATTAGTTATGAATCTCTAAATATCCAAGCTGAGGAATTAACCAGGAACTAGAGCTGTTATCCCTCAGCGTCCCTTTTAATATTGTTCCATAGTCATCATTTCCTTGTGTTTTTCTAATTACTGCAAAACCAATTGTTTTTAACTCAACTTCCCTGGCTCTTTGTAATTTGTTGAATGTAATCACCTTCAAGTGAAGAAAATGCACTTCTTGTTTGGGAAATTGGGGCTTGATCAGCTGAGTATCATCAAGCGGCTGGGGGACGCCAGTGCCAAAGCTTTGCATATTTTACCTGACCATTGCATTTTGAGGGTATGAGGCTGGAGAGGGCATGCTGGAAACTGAGCCCTTTGTTGTGGTGATCTATAGACCCTACTGGGATTTTATTTGGAGATGTACATAATTTTATAAAAACCAAAAAGAACTAGGAATTCTGGTTCCTTACTCTGAGTGGCCAACAATACGGCACTAGGCACTAGAAAACAATGGTTTTGGGTACTGGATTACCTTCTCTCTCAGACTTGTTTCAGTCTGTATGTCTGATTATAAGCACCTAGGGCAGGGCTGTGCCATTGAACCTTCCCTACTCCTTAGTGTCTAGCAGTGACCTGGACACAGTAGAAGCTGAACAAACCAAATAAACTAGTGTAGAAGTCAAGTCTCTCTCTTGCTTTCACTCTTTCCCAATCTTCTATCCTCTAGCACTAGAATGTGCTACCCATCTACTACCCAGTTCTACTTGAAGATCCTCAAAGAACAGATATTGGAAGAGCGAAAGTTTTCAACCTTTACTTCTCTCTTTCATAACGGGTGTGATGCACACTCATCAGTTAAGAGTGGTTCTCTGTGACAGTAATTCCCAATTTGGGACAGAGACTATGAGAATCAAGCCAGGAGGCACGGGACTATTTAGACAAAGCAAAACAAAACAAAACAAAAGGATTCTGATATGCCTGCAACAGCCTCCATGAAGTTTCATCATTGAAGAGTAAACTAAAAGTCTATATCCTTGAGAAAAAATTGGACAAATGGATTCATCATTTTTCTCTAGCAGTGTCCTCAAAGAAGAAGAAAGGTCCTTATTGTATTTCTCCCTGCAGGTAGCCATGCTGGGTCTTTCTTTCTCTGGACAAGGAAATGTATGCATAAGGGGCTACACAAGACCATAGTCAATGCAGTGAGATGGCTGCATTTTTATTTGACACACATTTATTAAATACCTAGGATATGCCATGTCCCCTGCTAAGTTCAGAGCATGAATGACCAGCAATTTTGGCACTAATGAGGGAGTTGAATGTGCAAACAAACAGGTAAAATATCAAGTGGAAATGAAAGAGATACAGGGTCTTACAGGGGAACAGACAAGGAGTAGTAACTGGACTTTGGGCGTGGCTGATGAAGGGGCATCCTGAAGACTTCCTGCTGGGGGTAAAGTCTGAACTGAACCTTAAAGATGAAGCAGGGGTTAAATGAAAGGTTAGAGAAGAAGGGTGTTAGTACAAAAGCCATTCCAGGGAGGCCAGACCATATAAGCAAAAGCATGGAAGCCTCCAACAGCATTGTGTGTTCAGGACATGCATAAACAAGGTATAAAGTACAAGCCAGGAAATGAAAAAAAGTGAAGCTGGAGAAGCAAGACCGAGGTGGGCTTTGTGAGCCTTGTAAGAGGAGGTGATTGGATTTAAAAAAAAAATTTTAAGTAAAACAAAATTTAAAATGTGTCATTTAAAATATTTTAAACTTTATTTTGTGCAAGAAATATTATTTTAACAGCAAAAGGACAACTGGGACCTCTCCTTGCTCTTGAAGTTGTTTTCAAAACCACTCTACTGAGGTATAATTGACAGACAAAAAGCTGAACATATTTAACGTGTACCTTGGTGATTTTGGAGAGATACATGTACCTAGGAGAGTGGACTGTGTGGGTGATGGACAACCCTCGAAAAGTTCCCAGCAAAGGAACAGCATGACAGGCTTTGGCATTTCAGGGAGGGCACTTCGGTGGCAGTGAGGATGATGCATTTAAGGGGCACGAGACTGGCAGCAAATTGACAGGGTCTAGGGACAAAGGGAGGCAGCAGGCTGCGTGAGTCAGATGGGGGCCAAGGCCGAGGCAGTGCTGGGGTGAGTGGGACAGAGGCAGACCTGAAAAGCCTCTAAGAGGGGAGGCAGCATGCCTTGGGATGGCCAGAGCATGGACGATGAGAGCGGGAGAGTCCAGGGCGACTCCTTGCTTCATAGTTTGTACTCCTACAAGGATGGCGAGACATTCAGTGAAGACAGAGAACCTGGGAGGCAGAGCAGATTTCTAGAGGAAAAAAGAGAGGTTTCCATTTGGATGTTTCCTCTTGGGGTGTCTGGCAGGGCTGGTGATTGGTGACACACAGCCAGGTAGATGAAACAGAAGCTTGGGAGAGCTGGATTTACTAGAATTGTTATTTTACTTTTTACCAGCAAGGTCCATTGGGTCCAGGTGAGACTCCCCTTTCTCCCTTCATCCGGAGATTGGGACCACACTAGGTCTTCCCCACTTCCTACAACTGGCTTGCTCGCTCCTTCACCTTTACACTGTTGTCCCCCGCACATGCCTTCTCTGAGGACTTGCCTGCTGGAAAAGGGCAGGAATGTTTGTCATGCCCAACTTGGCAAATTAGAGTGGGTAGCTCTGTGAACAAAACCACAACATTACTTCTGTCTACTACTTCACCCACTGGGCCACCTATCCAGCTCCTAAATCCTGCTCCCCCCACTGACTCTGCTAACAACTAGACTTTCTAAACATTTTTCAGAGTGAAGCTAAAGAAATCAACCTTGAAAGAAAAGTCGTGTATTTATTTCAGTGTGTTATGAACCCAGAGGCAGGGTTTTAGAAAGTAGACTTCTTTGGCCACATTCAGTGTGTTGCAAACAAAGCAAGTGGGCCCCCAAAACCAGGGAATGTGGGGCCACAGCCCACTCTGTTTTGAAGGGTGGGTTCCAAGTCATGCTGTGACCAGCAGGGTGAGCAGCTAGGGAAGGAGCCAGGGCCAATGGGAGTGGGTGGTGGGAGGGCACAGGAGACAGGCAGCAGCCTCTGTAAGCTTCCTAGAAGCTATGGAGGACCGACTGCCACTATCAAATGTCCTCTCCTGCCTAAGGGAAATTCCAGGGAACCGGCCCGGCACAGTGGCTCACCCTGTAATCCCAGCACTTTGGGAGGCCAAGGCAGGAGGATCACCTAAGGTCACGAGTTCGAGACCAGCCTGGCCAACATAATGAAACTCCATCTCTACCAAAAAAATACAAAAATTAGCTGAGTGTGGTGGGAGGCACCTGTAATCTCAGCTACTCAGGAGGCTGAAGCAGGAGAACTGCTTGAACCCAGGAGGTGGAAGTTGCAGTGAGCCAAGATCGTGCCACTGCACTCCATCCAGCCTAGGTACACAGTGAGACTCCATCTCAAAAAAAAAAAAAATGCTGTGCACAGTAGCTCATGCCTGTATTCCCAGCACTTTGGGAGGCTGAGGTGGGCAGATCACGAGGTCAGGAGTTCAAGACCAGCCTAGCCAATATGGTGAAACCCCGTCTCTACTAAAAATACAAAAATTAGCCAGACGTGGCGGTGGGTGCCTGTAATCCCAGCTACTCGGGAGGCTGAGGCAGGAGAATCGCTTCAACCCAAGAGACGGAGGTTGCAATGAGCTGAGATCATGCCACTGCACTCCAGCCTGGGTGACAGAACAAGACTCCGTCTTGGAAAACAAAAGAAAAGAAAAAAAGAAATTTCAGGGAACCAAGGAGAAAGGGTGTGTTTGAAAAGGGCAGCTATCTTGGCAAACATCCAATAAGGCTTCACGATCTATTGGTGAATTCCATCCTGCAGGTTGGGGACCTCTATTAAGAGCCTTGTTATTTCAAAAGGGACTCCAGGGGTGGGACGGCCAATCTCCTTTTCACAGGCACGTGCGACGAAAGCAAGGAAACACTGACTCACGGGGAATAAAATCTCCACCAGACACTCAAGGCACGTCCTCCTGTTATTGTCTTTCTCCTGTTTCTATTTTCTTTTTATACAACCTTTGCCAACATTTAGAAAGTTAATGGTGCTGCATCCATCCTTTAATGCCCCTTCCTAGGGTTATTGGAAGCCAGCACACACCCACAGCCATGCCAGCTGTCTGCATAGAACATTTTCCCTTCCTGGCAGCATTGCCACAGCTGGGGCTGACCTGTGGCTGTCAGGGTGTGCGAGGACAGATCTCTGGCAACACATCCTCTTTTAAAGGCAGGTCGCAGACACCTTGGTGGAGGGAAAGACTGTCTTGCTGTTTGTGCTGCTTCTAGGACCTCACCACCTTCTCCCAAGAAGCTAAAGCAATAGAATAAAATAGAGATGTTCCTTTTCAAAGAGGGGTTTGCTCTGGTTGGAGGAAATAGGATGAGCAAAGTGAGTTGACAGAGAAAAATATTCAGGCTGGGACTCACTTCATTTTGCAGAAGGATTTAAAAACAACTTCAAGCAGTAAATTTACTGTTCATCATGAGGTCATCCAAAGCCACAACCTAATGCGGATTCTTGATTGCCTTGCGCAACTCATGTAGACAGGCATATGATGCTGAAACATGGGCCCTAAGGTAAGTGCCCTCATACCCAGGTACTCTCTCATGTGGAGTCAGTGAATTTGTTTTAAATCTTGTCTCCTTTTTCAGGACACTTAGACCATCCTCCCCCTCCATTCCTACTTCTCCTGTCTACACTGGAACCCCACTGGCAGAGGAAGGGGTAGGACAGAACTGAAGATTGCTTGCCACTTTTTAGTAACAAGCAACAGACAGAATCATGAGTCTCCTCCTTGACATACCTTCCTCACTTGGCTTCTAAGACGCCATGCTCCCCAGCCCTCCTCTTCCTTCACAGGGTCTTCCTCTTCTCTGTGACTGAGATAAGGCAGGAGGACCTAGTCTTCTCTTGGGCTACACTCCCTCCCTTCCTCATCACATTTGGACACACAGCTTCAAATGCGGTTGATGTGCTGATGACACTCAAATTTACATGAGCCCCAGACTCTCCTAGCCTCCCACCTACCCACCACTTCCACTTGCAGGCTTAATGGGCCCCCAAATCTAGCATGTCCACGCAGAACTCCCATTTCACTTGGCAGAAGGCAAGGGCAAATCCAGCCTTTCTAAGAGCCAAAGCTTGGAGTCATCCTTGACCCTACGTTTTTTCCAGTATACCAGTGAATTGTATTATGTTTTTTGTTGTTGTTGTTTTTGTTTTGAGACGGCGTCTTGCTGTGTCACCCAGGCTGTACTGCAGTGGTGCAACCATGGCTCACTGTAGCCTCAAATTCCAGGGCTCAAGCAAGCCTCCCACCTTCCTCTCCCGAGTAGCTGGAACCACAGGTATGTGCCACCACATCCACTACACCTGTCTTATTTAAAAAAAAAATTTGTAAAGACAGGTTCTCACTATGTTGCCCATGCTGGTCTCCAACTCCTGGCCTCAAGTTATTCTCTTGCCTTACCGTCCCGAAGTGCTGGGATTACAGGCATGAGCCACCATGCCTGGCCTGAGCCAGGTGGTATTTTTTTTTTTTTTTTTTTTTTTGAGACAGAGTCTTGCTCTGTCGTCCAGGCTGGAGTGCAGTGGCATGATCTCGGCTCACTGCAACCTCCACCTCCCAGGTTCATGCCATTCTCCTGCCTCAGAGTAGCTGAGACTACAGGCCTCCCAAGTAGCTGGGACTACAGGCGCCTGTCACCACGCCAGGCTAATTTTTGTATTTTTAGTAGAGACGGGGTTTCACCGTGTTAGCCTGGTTGGTCTCGAACTCCTGACCTTGTGATCTACCCGGCTCGGCCTCCCAAAGTGCTGGGATTACAGGCGTGAGCCACCGCGCCCGGCCATTAGGTGGTATTTTTAATTAGATTTGGAATCCGACTGTTCTCACTCCCTGTGTTGTACGAGCCACATGTGACTATATTTACATTAAAATTAATTAAAATTTCAAATAAAAGAGAAAAGAAGGAATGGCCCAAATGAGAACTCTTAGGAAAACTGGAGCACAAATTAAATTTTAAAAATTCAGTCTCTTACTTGCACTGGCTGCGTTTCAGGTGCTTAACAGCCATGTGTACAGACATAGAGCATTTCCATCGTTGAGGGAGGTCACTTAGCCAGTGCTGGTCACTGTGTGGAGTGCAACCACCCTGGTCCAAGCTATCAACATCTCTTGCCTGGATGCCTGTAACAGTCTCTTAGTTGATCCTGCTTCTTCAGTTTTCTCAATACAGCAGCCAGACGCATCCTTTTTAAACTTTGCACGTCATGCCACTCCTGGGCTTTAAGTCATCCAAATTCCCTCTCAGAGGAGTGGTTAGTCCTCAGAAAGGCATACAGGGTTCTAGGGTTCTGGCCCCTTCTCATTTGGCCTCATCCATCAGGTTGCTCTCTCTGCAGCAACATGCGAGCCTCCTGCTACTCCTGGGCTCCAGAGCTTGCTCTGCCTCAAGTCTACCACATTGGCCATTCCCTCTACTGGGAGTGCCCTTCCTGGCTCACTCACTCTCCTGCTTCAGCTCTCTCTGCTCAAAAGTCGCTTTCTTGGTGAGGCTCCTTCTGACTATTCCACTTCAATTTCAACTTCTCCTCCAACTGCCAGCACTCTCACTCTCCCCTTCTCTGCCTGACTTTGTCTTTTCTGTAGCACTCATCTCCCATGAACGAACTATATACATTTACTTGTTTATGATATCTATTGTTTACTATCTGGAAGGGATCTTTGTCCATTTACTCACTGCTGGAAAACTGGCTCAGAGGAAGCTTTCAACAAATACTTACTCAATAATGAATGGAGAACGTTCGAGAGCTGAAAGGGGCCCTGGAAACCATTCTTGGGTGTGTGGCTGAGGGTTGGTGAGGTGAGGCTATTCCCTGAGGACTCACAATGAGCTCAAGGGAACAGCATGGATTAGGAGCCGGCATCATCCTAGGCATCTTCATTGGGCGAGCTCCATGACAATGAACTCCCCTTCCCCTTCATCTATCACAGTCAGAGGGACACCAATGAACCACAAAGAGCCAACAGGGACAACAACCAACTAAAACATCAGGGGTATTCACCATTTTCTTCTTGGTAAACCTTCGCATGATTCAACCACCAATCCTACCTCTCTGATAACTTATAAGAAGCAAGGGACAAAGTGGTGATTCAGATTAATGAGCTCTTCTTACATGCTACTCTAACCCTCCCTCCCCCAACGCAAATACCAAGATTCTCTGAAAACTGGAAATACACATGGCTACTAGATTATGTTTTTTCCCTAAACATATCAAACTTGTTTTAAAAAAATAAAATTATGGTTTCATTACATAGTTTATAAATTAGTATTTTAGAAAAAAGTTGATTAGTAGGAAAAGAATAGCTTTCCATTGCATCATTACAATATTTCTGACAATCCAGAATGAATTAGAAGAAAAGCAGAGCCCAGATCACATTTTGTGTTAGGGATTTGTCTGTTCTCTTGTATCTGAAAGGAAGTACCATCTGAATAGACATAGTTTTAAATGTCTAGAGATAATGACTTTTCTACTGCCAATTCTGGCTCAAAGACAAAGATGGTGAGGGAGCTTCAACCTCACAAACAGACCTGTTCATAATGGCACAGCTAACAGGTCCAGGGCTACACAGCATGACGTTAGCAGAGAGCCTGGAAAACTCCATCCACAGCTCACTGGATGATTTAACTTGCCAGAGTATATAATTAAGAACAGTTATCTTTATAGTCATTCCTTCATTATTGAGATAACTCAATTGGAGGCTGTTTTAGACATGCTGGATTCAGAAATAAAATCCTTACAGACTGCACTGCAATGTCATGAAGATTACACCAGAAAACAAATGGATGTGCATAGACAATCTTCTGTATGTACCAGAAAATTAGATCTCAGGAGAGACATGAAGAAAAAACATAAAATCAAAGAGGGTGGGGGCCGAGCACAGTGAAAGGTATAATCAGCGGCTTCCCAGAGAGAGGAACCTGCAGGGCCAGCAAGTTCGCTGGTTGTTACCTGGGGCAGCGCTCTTCAGTGCTTTCACTAACTGTCCCCTTCCAGCTCCAAAACCATTATCTCCATAGTCCAGGTCACTGTCACTATTACTGCCACCGCTGGCAGAGTACGTACACATTCTGGGTGCCTTGTCCTAAATGAGTAATATGAGACTGTTAAGATAATTCATACAAATCAAAATGAGGCAGAGCATCCTGTGAGGATGCGACACAGTTCACATCTGGCTGTCAATGTGTGCACAGAATTCCATTCCCACTGCCCAGCCCGCCGCTCACCCGAGAGCAACTCTGGTTTGCCGGTTTTTCTGCCTCCTGAGGAGCTGATGCTGTCTACTCAATTACCAGAGCTGCAGAAATAGGCCTGCAATAATGAAGCTGTCGACGGCACTCTGCCGTTGTCCCAGGCTCAGGAAGGTCCCCACGGTTACCTGGTCTGCATTTTGTACACTTCTTTATAGGGTCTTATTTTTCTCAAGTGCCTATTATGAGCTGCTGTTCCAAACCTAATGGCTTATTTATTTAACTGATCTCATCATTGCCTTCCAAGTATCAGAAGGTAATAAAACAATCAACCTTGGGAACAAAAGAATAAATGTTTGCCTAATTTATAATTTTCTTTCAGCTCCCAAAAGGACAGTAGCTTTTAGAAAAGTAAGCAATTGCTGACTCCATGTAATCCTCAAATCTGCTGACAGTTCATGGGCTGAGGAGCCCAGTTTCCCCTCTTGCTCACATGTACACATCACCTGACCCCATCCCCTAAGGATGTCACTGGTGTGGCAATGATGCTGTATTCAGAAATTGCTGAGGCGGTTGACGCTGTATGAACAGTATTCCCCTCTGTGCACATAAGCAGAATACTGGATCCAGGAGCGCAACTCCTATGTGTTGAATCGAGGTTATTTGGGGCCCTTTTTTCTGTTTGTAGAATGTCCTGTTAGAGCCTATTATTCCTCCCTAAGCCAGATAGTTCCAATACAGATGCATTAGATGGGTCTCTGAAGTTTGTTTAGAAGGGTGTCATTTGGTTGGGGAATGTAAAAACACATTTTAGGATGTAAACTCGCTTATCTGGGGTTATAAATTCAAGCACTCATTTCCTTTACTCTTTCATTCATTTACTTAGTCACCCATCCATTCAACAGTGTTTACTAAGTAACTACTCTGTGCTAAGCAGTATGCTAGGTTTTAGGGGTGGAGAGCTTAATACTGGAGATACCAGTAGTCTAGCAAGGACTAAGTCCATGAAGAAAGACAAGTCTACTGACTGTAGTTCTGGGTAACGTGTGTCCAGACCTCCAAAAGGACCCAGTCCAGTCTGGACATGATGAGGTACATCCTTTCATAGCTCCATTCAACAAATGCTAACTGAACCAGGCATCGTGCCAGGTACTAGAAATATAAAGCTAATTCCTGCTTGAAACGTTCCCTATCTGGCAGTCAACAAAGCAGGGTTCTGAGTTTCAAGGATTTCCAGTGCATGGGGCTAGTGCAGGACGATGAGGAAGGGAATCCTAGAGAAGTGTGTCCATTGGTGGATGTATGTCTTATGTGAGGAGTGCAGGTCCCCTCTGGGTCAGCAAGAGTAACTTTTTTTTTCCTTTTTACGTTCTTGGAATTATTCAAACTCCTTTGCCATCAACACCAACTGTTGTTCCTGAACTGGTTTTCTGCTCTCCAATTCTGTGTGTCTGTCATGATTTTCTAAATTTTACAGCTCTCAATTTTCTCAATTTGCCAGTTTCCCAATCCTCCCAAAGCCAGCACAGAGTCCTTTGGAACAGTGGCAGCAATGCTCTGTGCAAAGTGTGTTCCATGGATCAGCAGCATCAGCATCACCTGGGGATTTGTTAGAAATGTGTACACCTTACTCCGTATATGCCAAATCAGACACAAGTCTATGTGGGCAACAAGATTGTAGCCCTTCAGGTGGTTCTGATGCCTGCTCCGGTTTGGGAGGCACTGATCTGGAGGAGCCCTAACATTCTGTGTTTGACTTAAGGCATGGCAGAACACAGCAGTTTCCTCCTTTGCCTCTCAGACCCACGTCTTGTGGAGGCAGCCATCCCAGGTGCTGCCCTGGACTTCAGAGGGCCCAGTTCCAGTCTCGGCTCTACAGCAACTTTCCCCGGGACCCTGAACATGGTCCAGCAGGACTCTAGTGTTCCCCACTGGAAATTGAGGCTGTGGGCCCAGAGGATCTGCTCCCCTACTTGTCCATGGTCCCCTTCCATACTGAGGCAGATGCTCAAGGTTGAAAGGTGGTTTGGCCACACTGAGTGAGGGAGACCTCAGATGTGGGTGAATCTGGGTATCTCATCATCATAGTTGGGCAGAAACTTTAGTAAAAATAGCAACCAAGGCTCTTGATACCAGACCTGGGAAAGCCAAGGGCAGCAAAAGTGGGAAGGGCCAAGGAGGGGCCAGGAAGTTCTGGAAAATGAACCATGTGTCTTCCTCCTCCTTTCTCACCACCAGGCACCAGGGCAGATGCTGCAGTGGGCCACCCCAGGACGAGTGGTGAAATGGCAAATAGGCTGACCATGGTCAGAGTAACCTGCTGGAAACGGTAAACAGGAGGGGGTACCACATAACCCCCACTAGGAATGAGCAAGGAGTCCCTGAGCCAGACACCCATAGCCACCCATAGCCACCCATCAGGAGTTCCGTGTGTGTCATCTCAGGGCAGATGAAGAACCCACTGCAAAAATGAAACTCAGGGCTCACGGATTCTAGCAAGTCATTTGACCACACCGAGCATCTGATTAGCCATCCTTAAAAGCAATAGAATTAGATCTGCTTTCCCTGTTTCATAAGAACAAAGTAAAGGTTAAAATAACTACTGAGATACTGAAAAAATAGAAAAAACATCATTCCAATGGCGCCCACATGGCTTGGGAGAGTGAATGCTTGTCCCACAATATCTAATCAGGGGAGTGCATCCATACCCAAGAATCTGGGTGCATTTCAGAAGCACTTTGATTTCTTCAGAATAAAAGTGTCCCAAGAACCCACAGTATTCCTTAATAAGGCAGGGGAAAGGGTGAACCCTAGACCTTGGTTTATATTCAGTAAACCAACAGCAAATTTCATTTAAAGTGAAATCTATCATAAAAGTGTTTTTAGGGTACACTTTTTAGAATCAGGACCAACAGGTGGATTGCACCCTTCACCTCCCCCGACCCCTCACCTGGGTCCCGGTGGCAGCAACTTCACTCCCCCAGTCTGGAAGCGGCTGGCTTGCCATTGGGTCTTCAGCATATCCGAATGATGAGCATGTCTGAGGCCTTGGCTCTGCTTCATTCTGCTTTTGGGAACTGACTTTTCCTAAATGAGGACACGTATGTGGAATCACATATCACCTTTCATCAACATTTTACAAGTTTAGGGAAGGAGGTGGGGGAGACATTCAGAAATAATAAAAAAGGTCCAAATACAGTGAAAGCTGGGCTTCCTGCCACTCTGTCCCACTGTAGTCTGTGCTGCCCAAAACATCTGCTTAATTATGTATACACATCTATAGAAGCCCCTTTTCAAGACCCCGAGGCAAACTGTTCTTAGACTACTTTTCTACAAAATGTTGAAAGACTACAGGTTAGGAAGGGTTCAGCAGGCAAACCATTCAGGAAACACTAAAGTTATTCTTCAAATAATGTTATTCATCCAACAACAATCAAGTTTCTTTTTTGGAGGACTTCTCAGAGGCTTCAGTGTGCCAATGGGCATTAGCGTAGTTTCCGAAGAGAGGATTTGAATTTGCAGGCTTCCTCAAACATAGGGAACCCCGATTTTCCTAAAATACGTATTAAGGTTATTTTGAATAGTGTGGATTGGGAAGCTTTGCTTGGAGCCCTTAAACATCTCTCAGGGCAGTACTTTTCAAGCTTTAATGTACATATGGATCAGCTGAGCTTTTGTTCATGTGCATGCTGATTCAGTAGGTATGGGGTGGGCTCTGAGAGTCTGCAGTTCTGACAAGCTCCCAGGTGATGCTGATGATGCTGGCCCATGGACCACATTGAGTAGCAAGGGTGTAATTAGCAGAGAACAATTAAAGAGAGTTTCCCCACTACCCATGAAAGTAGATTAACCTGCATAGTGTATGCCTTTGTCATGCCAGAATGGAGAA
Source organism: Homo sapiens (assembly GCF_000001405.40). NCBI lineage: Eukaryota > Metazoa > Chordata > Mammalia > Primates > Hominidae > Homo > Homo sapiens. The sequence continues at coordinate 132,729,755 of NC_000002.12, forward strand.
TTGCTGTCATTATCCTCCAACCTCAGTGATTATAAGCAAGACATGCTGTGACAGCCTCTCCAGAGCATTTTGTTTGTGAGGGGAAGCTAAGAACTGTGTTTTCATCAGCACTGTGAGTTTTGTATAGTGACTTCCATTTTTCATATGGGGATAAGAAAAATAACCAATTCAAATGTACACATTTGAATTGGCAGTGACTGCTCAAAAAGGAGCTATAATCTCATTTTCTTTTTGTTCCAGCTAGTCCTCATTCCCTAATTTTTAACATGCATAACCGATGGACACAGAAAAGAGAAGCACTGGAAAGTAGGCCCTGCCTCTGGACCACAGATATTATGTCAGGACAGGAAAGTTCAGGATGGGTGACAAAAATTTCCTGCAGTGTGTTCACCTCACACTCTACCATATACTACCTTTTTACAACTCTTCACTGTAATTTAATTAAGATAGAACCCAAAGCCAGGTGCGGTGGCTCATGACTGTAATCCCAGCACTTTGGGAGGCCAAGGCAGGCGGATCACCTGAGGTCAGGAGTTCAAGAACAGCCTGGCCAACATGGCGAAACCCCATCTCTACTAAAAATACAAAAAATTAGCCAGGTATGGTGGCACATGACTGTAATTCCAGCTACTCAGGAGGCTGAGGCAAGAGACTCAGCTGAATCCAGGAAGTGGAGGTTGCAGAGAGCCAGGATTGCACCATTGCACTCCAGCCTGGGCGACGGAGTGAGACTCCATCTCAAAACAAAAACAAAAACAAAAAAGACAGAACCTTAGATACCTGGTGCAGTGGATATTAGCAGCAACATCTGAAAAATCTCCTTCTGATCCCTTATGAAGCAATTCAAGACTTGCGGTTTCTATTCAATTTGTTATAATGACAGTGTTTAATCACGGAGTCTACAGCAGCCGCCGCTGAATTGAGGTCACATATGTGACTATTCAGGCATGGAGTACACAACCTATAACTAAGATTTCGCCCCTGAATCTCTGGAGGCTGTGTCATTAATTAACAACACATTTATCTCAAAAATAATATGCATTACAGTCTTTAAAAATGTAGCCTTGACTTGGAATGAGCAGAAGTTTGTGACGCAACATTCGTGGCAATGGGTATTCCTATATAAAGGAAGAACTCAGCCATGGGAATAGCCCAATCACATTTATTCAAAGATTTATAATTAAAAGTCTCCTTTTCTAATTTCTCAGAAGCCTATAGCATAATCTCCACTTGCAGCTCCTTTCTAATCATCAACTCATACATGAAAGTGTTCGATTTAAAGTTTTAGTTCCTATATTTATGCATGTTGTAAAAGCAACATAAGACATACAAGTTAAAAATTATTTAGTGTCATCCTGGGCTGCAATACACATTTTTAATCGTGAGGGAACAATGAAAAACTGATGACCCTTAGCCCAGCCCTGTCTTTCATCATGAAATCTTGTTTCAATTGACTGCCACGAAGGATAGTACTTCTCAATGGGAAGACTCACTCTATTCTATTGCAATCGGTGCACGATCTACTGCTGATTTATCAAACTATGTCTTTTATAGTTCAACATATAAAGATATTTTAACTGGATAAGAATACACCAGAACACGTATGTTTCTGGTTAGAAGGCAAACAACATTGTAGTTAAATCTATATCTTGGGCTGAAATTGGTCTATATTCAGAGTTAAGTTTTATAGGATAAAACCTCACAAGTGTATGTTGCATGGCTTTTTTCTTAATCAGTTCATATATCCATATACCAGTATTTACATGTCTGTTTCCTTATATGTGTGTGTACTGCTTGATGTAATACTATGAGTAGATATTGTCTTATACACATTGTTTTGCTTGTTGGTGAAGGACATGAAGGAATTTTCACATATCTACATTTTTATCAGGCAGGTCACTGACTTACTCATCTCCTGGTGAAAAGTTTCCCTTTTTTTTGTCAGCAAATGTCTTATTAAGGGTGGGAAATTGGCATTTTACCTGAGGAAGCTGGTTTGGGGAGGCGGCTCTGAAGAGGCCTCATCCCTCTGGCGGTCATGATGGGGTCGGATGTGGAATGAACAATGGCGCTATCTGCAGGGCGCTGGCCGTCTGTGGAGGAAGGCACTTCACGTTCAAGGGTTTGGGCTCTCATGGAAGAAACTGCAGAAAGGGCTGACTGGAGAGGCAGGAGAGGCTCAGCGTCCTCTGGGGAGTCTGGCTGGCATAGGTAGCGTCCTGTCGAGCGATTTCCCGAGTCTGGGAGTGGAAAGGTTCCGATCCCACTGTCCAATGTTCTCATCTGGCAGTTGGATTCTGAGATAGAGAGACAGAGAGAGAAGGGAATAGAGAAGGCTCACATAAAAGGATAAAAGAATCATGGAAATTGGGGTATGATCTGGAGGAAAGGAGACACCTAGAAGGGTGAATTTAAGAAAAAGAAAAATGTCACAAGGACAGAAAACCAAACACCGCTTGTTCTCACTCATAGGTGGGAATTGAACAATGAGAACACTTGGACACAGGGTGGGGAACATCACACACTGGGGCCTGTCAAGGGGTGGGGGGAGGGATAGCATTAGGAGATATACCTAATGTAAATGTCAAGTTAAGGGGTGTAGCACACCAACATGGCACATGTATACATATGTAACAAACCTGCACGTTGTGCACATGTACCCTAGAATTTAAAGTGTAATAAAAAAAAAGAAAAATGATAAGCATTTGGAACCAGTATTAGTGGTGTAGTAAATTTCCAGTGAGGTGCATGAAGTGGACCTTTTTGAACCTGAAAACATCCCCCTTCATGTAATATGAGATAAGAAGACCAGCCTGTTACAAGCAGCAATAGTCGCTTGTGCATATATCCTGGATAATCAGAAAAGGAACAGTCATTAGAGACCAAATTGTGGTCACCCTTATTTCAATCTGGGAATCATACAACTTCAACCAATTAGGTGAAATTTATTAACTGAAATAATGAGTAATGAGAACACATAAATTGAAGTGACGTCCTAACAATGGTAATTGTGTATCTCGTGCATGAATGATCACCCATTCAGCAGTTGACTAAATCTCTGGCCTCTTAATTTGACTGTGGGGACAAGTAATTCACACGCCAGAAGGGTCATCCCAAAGGGTACCTTTCCCATCATAACACCACTTATCATGTGGACTTCATTCGACCCAGCTGAGAAGACTGCGAGCCACTTTCTTTCACTCTCACTTTATTCAATGACAAAACTCATCAATAACGCTTTGGATTTCTTGGCAGTCCCAGGGATCCCACTATTCTCTAGAACAAATTAAGATGATTTCACCATGTGTGTGACATAGTCTGTTAATTGTGTGTCAGCTGCAAAACATTTTATATACGGAGAAAAGTACAGTATCTGAAAAAATTACCACGTCATTTCTGGAATGGTGGTGTGGTTTATCAAGGCCAATGAGGCAGCTTCCAAGATCTGGATGTCACCCAGAAAGTCTCCTGTTCATATGATAATCCTGGAAGGAAACTTCCTAGGTTTCATCTTAGAAGCATCTTACAAGTCTAGCACTGGGTAAGCGGAACAACTTAGCACTGTGTTAGGCATGGTGGGGAATGTAATAGATTACGACATAATGTTTGTACCAAAAGCTCAACAGCTACCACTTCTTTGGTGCTTTAAGAACAGAGGCTTGTGGTGTGATCTCCGCCTATGACTAATTGTTTCAACCCCTGTGCAAGAGCTTTAGCCTCTCGAGGTCTAAGGTTCCTTTTACTGCTGTGAGGATTAAAGTATGTTCATCATTTAATCCTTAGAATTTAGAATGGCACTAAGCACACTGTGAGACAGCCAAGTAAATGAATAAAGAATGGCAAAATGCACAAAGTATTTAGTATATTTATTACATATTAGTAGATATCTGATAGGTGAACAGCTTATCCTTAAGTATCTTTTCTATACAATCTCACTTCATACTAAGCAATTACTATCCAAACTTCAGAATTTGCCCATTCCCCTACCTTCCTCCTCAAAACCTCTTTGCTGAGTAGCAGAAGTCTGGGAATTTCCTAATACTGAGGCAAAAATAAAGGGATGGGAATGTGTACAGAGTTGGCTTTTCTAGGCTCAAAGAGGTTTGGTGCTTGGTATTGGAAGTACTAGGAAGATGAAGTCCCTACTCAAGAGGCTTCAATCTTCACAGGGATATTTAGTAGGAAAATACAGATACTCTTTTCTCCACTATGGTGTCATTTAACCATCTCATATGCCATGGGATGTTTGGTCATGGACTCCAGGATATCTGAATCATACAGACGCACCAAGAGAAGTGCTTTTCTTTCCCAGGATTACAAGGGTTTTAGCCTCATTAATTTCAGGGCCCCCACCTGGCCAGCTTTATTCTCAACCAGACTTGCAGATTATTCATGACCTTCTCTTTTCATTTTCTCCTCAATTAAGGGTATTTAATTGTTATAGAATGGTGTTTTTGAGAAAGGATCATCTGTTTGCATGGGGAGGCACTGCCAGATGAGTCAAAGAAAGGACACTGCTATTCAGACTTCTGTGTCTTTTCTTAATTTTAGCCTACACATACAACACTTCAGATTTACATGTCCATGTGTTGTAACTGGGGCAATTCTGGAAGACTGAAATATTTCAGATTTACAGGAGTAAGTAGATCTTCATCAGAACCGACTCAGTCTTTGAAGATGAGAATCAAAGATTCATGGGATGTAGCAGCTGAGATGTGTCAGACCCTATGTACCCCAGGCTGCCTGCCCTAATAATTTACCCCAGCATCCTCAGGACCACCTATCCCTGAATCAAAGAGGGCTCAGCAGGGCAGGACGTTAGGGGCGCTTTTTCTTTTGAGAAGACGCGTCATCAAAAGTTTGGTGCTTATTACAGCTATTAGGAGTTCTGCTTTCTTTGTATCATTTCTTCATCCTCACATACCTATAAGGCAAGAACTATTATTGCCATTTAGAAATGAGGAATCACAGCTAAAAGAGGTTAAGCAACTTGTCCAAGGTCATATGCTGTAAATGAAAGCCTGGACTTGAATCTAGGCCTAACTACAAAGACAATGCTCTTAGCCACCAAGCTATACTGATTCCCCGCAGAAGCACAAGTAAACCCCAAAGTGGGCTCTGCTCAGTTCATAGCCATTCAGGCAGCCACGTGAGCAGAAGCCTCACAGCATGGCCCCATGGCTTCCAGGCAAGGTGCCCAGCTTTTCCTCTGAAATTGGTGCTGGCCCTGGAATTCTAGCTTGGTTCCTGGGCTCCCCATTCTGTGGCTGGAGTCCACTGTCAACATGCCTGGCATCTAGCTGGTTGTCTGGTCCTTTGCAGGATGCCTATGCAACCATATCTATATAGTTCTGAGAATCCCAAATGCCTAGCAACTCTTCCTTCTGCCCTCTTGGATTGAATCCTTAGACTTCTCGCCAGGATTTTTTTTAGAGTTTACTTTGCCTCCTGATATGGTTTGGATCTGCGTCCCTGCTACATCTCATGTTGAAATGTAATCCCCAGTGTTGGAGCTGGAGGCTGGTGGGAGGTGTTTGAATCGGGGGTTATATCCATCATTCATGACTTAGTGCCATCCCCTTAGTGACAAGTGAGTTCACATGAAATCTGGTTGTTTAAAAGTGTGTGGCACCTCCCACCTTCTCTCTTGCTCCTGCTCTTGCATTTGAGACACCTGCTCCTCCTTCACCTTCCATCATGATTGGAAGCTTCCTGAGGCCCTCACCAGCAGCTAATGCCAGCACCATGCTTCCTATACAGCCTGCAGAACCATGAACCAGTTACACCTCTTTTCTTATAAATTACCTAGCGTCAGGTATTTCTTTATAGCAATGTAACAATGGCCTAATACACCTCTAGCTTGGTGATAGGCAGACTTCCAAGGGCAATGTTTTTCTGGCTTTGTCTCCCTCTTCTATGTATTATAAGGCACATAGAGCACTTAATCCAGTCTCCTCAAATGATGATTCAAAAACCGAAGTAAGAATCTTGACAGCCTTTTTCATTTTGGCAATAGGTGCCATAAACAAAGCTCATACACGTTTGTCTAACCTATAACACAAAGCCATCGGGTAGTTGCAGGAAATAGGCCAGAGGAGGAATTTGGGGGTAGAAAAAATGTTGAAGGTGGTCTAAGTCTGGAGCCTTTCTGAAGACAACAACATTTTCTAGCATCAGTCCCCTTAAATTATTTTACTTTCCTTTCAACACCCAATATTGTTATACCAGAGCCTATAAAACAGGACTTTTGGAATTCTTGAGTTCTCTGATTCCCAGAGAATTGCATGCCCTGACATTAAACTCATAAACCATTCACTATTAAGGCCATTTTTATTTCTAGAAATTACAGATGCCAAATGTAGTGAATGTGAAGGATTCATTTGTAAGTACCTATGAAGTGAGGTGTGGACAGTCAGGGGCTCAGACACATGCCAAGTTTCCCTGCAAGAAAATGTCTTCAGAATACATAAACCTTTGGAAATGGAAGTTTATATTGAAAATGCTGACACCATCTTTATGTAGTTTCTTTAAGGCACAATTAGTTTCTTGCAGTTCATAAAAATATTGTAACCCGAATTACAAGTGTTAAGATATTGTACTTCTGAAGCCAGTTTTTTTTCTCAGAGAATTTTAAGAACTCACAAAATAATCAAATGGTTGTAGTAGGACCCAAGTTCAAAGGGGCAAGCCTCCCTCATCTTCAATGAGTTGATGCAGTATTGCTCTCAACAAATGTGAGTTCACAGCTGGGCGCGGTGGCTCATGCCTGTAATCCCAGCACTTGGGGAGGCCGAGGTGGGCGAATCAGGATGTCAAGAGATCGAGACCATCCTGGCCCACATGGTGAAACCCCATCTCTACTAAAAATACAAAAAAAAAAAAATCAGTTGGGCATGGTGGCATGCACCTGTAGTCCCAGCTACTTGGGAGGCTGAGGCAGGAGAATTGCCTGAACCTGGGAGGTGGAGGTGGCAGTGAGCCGAGATCGCACCACTGCACTCCAGCCTGGTGACAGTGAGACTCCGTCTCAAAACAAAACAAAACAAGAAACAAAATGAAAAACAAAAAAAACCCCACAAATGTAAGTTCACATTTCTGGCTGTGAGTGTAGTTGCCCACAGGGCCTTGCTAAGAAGTTCAAGGGTTGGGTTGTTGGATGTACCAACGGGCTTCATCCTTGCAAGGTCACCAATTACATCTCTGATTCTGGTCAACCCTCTCACCTGTTCCCATTGTTCCATGTGCCTTCTCTCTGTCTCTCAAGGTATTAACAAATTCTCACAGTTACCACCACCATCAAGACCCAGGCACCTCATGGGATGACTTAAGGCACTACTTCCCAGTCCTTTTAAAGTTGTATCGCACATAGGAAATATACAGTTGGTTGAGGAAAACACCAGTCCCCAGGACAACTGGTCAACTGAGGGCTGAACAAGCTCCATCTCGGTACACCTGGAACCCATTCAGAGCAGTCTACAGCAGAATGGTAGAGAATCTCATAGAGAATGGAGTCCCCATTCTCTTTTACTGACACCTTGAATACATTCCCTTGCATATGTTTGGTATGCAAGGAGGAGACCTTTTCAGTCTCCTAGAAGCAAATACAGGACTTTCTACAAGGCTCTCCTTTTGGGGGAAGAATGTTAAGACTGCTTGGGGCAGAAATATTGTCTGGCACCAGACTTCAGTAAAGAGGAAAGTTACTGTGTCTCAGAGGGACATAAGCAGCCAAGATGGGTGTGGTTCCTTGTGGGATGGTGGCAGAGAATTTTGAAGAAACATTTCCACTGGGGATTTTCAAGTTGCTACCTTAGGGTGTGTGGCTGAAAATCCCCACTCATCTCACTAATGAGTGTTACCCTGCTGCTCCCTACTCCCAGCTGCCTCCGCTTCTGGCCTTAGTGTCTTCATTTGCAAATTAGATCCCACTATCTTCATTATAGGGGTGCTTTGAGGACTAGAAACAAAGCATGTGATAAGCCTGGCACAATGCTTGCAAGAGGCACACTGTTATAATTCAGAAAATGGCAACAGTTCTCAAAATAAATGTTATTAGACTGTAAGCATCGTGCAGGCATAACTGGATTTGATTCATCTCCTCCATTCTCCCATATAAGTGGCTCCTGCTCCATGATTGCTCTTATTCTACAGAATGGTAATTATACTTCCCAGGCGTCTGACTCTATCACCAGTGCTCAGCATCACACCTAACACATAGTCAGCCCTCACTGATGTGGAATGAATGAACAGGTGAATGAAAAACAATAAACCTTTAGAATGGTCTTCCTCATCGTTAATGGATGTGAACCTCTTCTTGTGAAATCACAATCTGCTTCTTTTTTGCTCTGACTTTAGCAACCAAAGCAAACAACTGACTCCCTTTTCTGTAGTTATTTTTCACATGAAGCCAGACTTCATTAATTTAGATGGCCACAGAGATAAGATCATTCAGAATTCCTGAATATTTTAATGATGGATTTCTTAGTACTTTAAAGTCCTTGGGACAAGAATGGATGACCAAGACAAAGGACAGCCAACAGTAGGCTGTTCTAACATCCTCCTCAGTCCCTGTGCCAGTACACAGCATCACTGGGCCTGAAGGTCCCAGGTCTAGGAAGCTAGTGTGGCACAGTAACTCTGGCTCTCATCCCAAGGAATTCTAGATGCCAAGTGGAATGCTGCCATACTGTTTAACACCAGCATCCACAGTATTGTGAGAACTAAGTTCTTACTAAAGAGTCACGTTCCTGGGGCCATTTGTAGTGAATGAATGAGATTACTCATTATATGAACTTCTTAATGCATTTAGCCAGAAAAGTGAGTTGCCCTCTTTTAAAGCAAATCACTCTGTTAACTTCATTGACTATTGCCTTAGTCCATGTTGCATTGCTATAAATGGGTACCTAAGACTGAATAACTTATAAAGAAAAGAGATATATTTCATAATTCTGCATGATGCTGACATCTGCTCAGCTTCTGGTAAGGCCTCAGGTAGCTTTTACTCATAATGGAAGGCAAGGGGGGCTGGTGTGTGTTACATGGTGAGAGAGGGGGGTGAGTGCCAGACTCTTTTAAACAACAGCTCTCGTGTGAACCAATACAGTGAGATCTCACACATTACTTCAAGGAGGGCACCAAGCCATTCATAAGGGATCCACTCCCATGACCCAAACACCCCCACCAGGTCCCACTTCCAACAATGGGGGTCACAATTCAACATGAGATTTGGAGGTGACAAATATCCAAACTATATAAACTATGCTTCTTCCAAACTTGTTTTATACCATATTCGTTCACATAGCAACATCATCTTTATAAATAGCTGCAAAGAAAAAAAGTTGATTTCCAGCACTATTTCAGTTAATATAAATTTCCAAGTGAGTAGGATATGAATTAGCAATGATCTGTGGTGTTTGGGAAATGCCACTAATTTGTTTCTCAGCCTTTTCTTCTGCAGATTCAAGTGTCTCCATCTTTTCTTACGGATCCAATTTCACATATCTGTAATGGTTTGAATTTGTAACCTCAAAACTCTTGGTATTATTAACGTATCTGTCAAAAGAGATTATTATAGGCCAGGTTTAAGGAAACCTGACTTTAGTTCTAAGTTACTCTGAATATTCAGATAAATGAAGTGAGAAGACTATATGCTTCAGAGTTGGAAAGACTGAGCTCAAAGACCTGCTTGGCTACCTGCTTGCTGTGGGACAACAAGGGCTTTTTAGAACTATTCTGACTTAAATAGTCATAGCTCATTTTAAATAAGCCTGGCAGAGTGCTCATTATAAAGCAGACACTCAATATATTTCTATAACCGGTTGTCAGGGAGAAGTGAGGGCCCCTGTAGGTACATAATACATATACTATCATGGAATCCAAGGGAAACCAAATTGTCATTTGTGCAGGTAGTGTTACACTGCAGCATCTGGGTACACTTTACTCAACAACTACCCTGCTTATTTCCCAAGGAGTTACCTTTTGGCAATCATTTCCCTGGGAGTCAGTTCATCAAAAGCATTAATGAATGATGAATATGCACCAATGTACTTGAGGTAGCTGCAATCTGCCTCATGTAGAGAAAACAGAGAGTCTGTGTTTTTGAGAAATCTATGTTGGAGGCAGCACCTTAAAAAGCTTTTTAAAAAGCCTATACAAATGATGTCTGCTGATTCTCCCTTGTTTACAGACTTATGACATTCTCAAGTAATAGTCCCAGATTACTACACCATGATTTTCAGTAACTTACAGCACATGGATCCTAAAAGCTTATACTTCCTTCTGTGCAACGATCTACCCACTTACAGATCCAAACAAATTATGCTAGTAATCACCTTTTTCCCCTCTGCAACCCTCATTCATAAATCCCACAAAAATAGAAAACTTTGAAACTCAAACTTTTTCACTTTGAAAACTTCCACACAGCCATAAAAGTTTCAGCCAAACATACAATGAGGCCCCAACATAATTCAGTCAGAAAGAGTGACTCATGGGTGTTTAATATTCATACCATCTTATTAATTGGCATGCATTCCTATAATGCAAGTGGTCATGTAAATAAGTCTTTGTAGAAGGTCTCTCCAGGTTCCTAAACATCTTTAAGCTACATGTGGTATTGGCAGCAGAAACTTAAACTACAGATGGGAAAACAGATCTCTTTATTTGCACATCCTTCTCTTTATCTGAATGGCTGAAACAAGCTTAAAAAAAACTAAGTCTGTTGCCAAAGCCACATCAATTAAATGTTAGTGATCCATTCTAAGTTTACCCCATGGTTTTCTCCAAGTAGTAAAAAGTGATTATACTGGTTATTTATTCACAACCATTGGGTAGCTTTTGGCTGTGGCATTAAGATGACCTTCTGGAAGGGTAAATTCACTCTGATGGCTTTGGAGTTCATGAGAATACTCAGCCTCTAAGTTCAAACTGGATTTTAGCTTCCTGAGATTTGAAAACCAAGCAGGATAATATAAATGTGCTTTCCAATCTCTTGTGCTGTCTTTGGGATAATGGAAGACCAGACTTTGGGAGTCTTGCATAGGGAATGAGTTGCATAGGGGATGAATATTTTTAAAATGTAGGAAATTAATATGACAAACAATTAAAAAAGAAAAAAAAATGGACCATGAAATTCCTTAGTACAAATGAAGAAGTTATTTAAACCAATATAAAAGAAGTGGCATCTCAGGCTAAGTTGGTATCCAGTGACTCCAATATTCTTTGTCTGACAGTAGCATCATGTAAATTACTGTGGTAGGATGTAGTTTAAGGATACAAATTGGAAATGGTTAGAAATGTATTCCAAATGCCCACACAGACCATGCCTTTATAGAAGTCTTTCTTGAATTTATTTTCATATACAGCTGTTATAGCCTCTGAAAAAAAACTCCTTCATGTGCTTCTTCTTGTCACTAATACTGAAATGGCCTCTTCTAAAGTTTTGGGAATGGTTATTGGTCTAGTATTCCAGAATATGTTATGCAATTTTCCAAACACTTCTAGATTTTTGCAAGTTTTTATAATTATCGCTATACTCTTGTCACTCCAGACTGAAAAATCTTGAAGTCTTCACATAACTGCTTCACGTCTTGCTATGCTAATATGCCTCTCTTGAAAAACAATGGCTACACTTGTACACAGTACTTACTGTGATACGTAAGAGTGGGCTAATGTGACCACTACAGTTTAATGGCCAGCATTTGTTTGACAAGGTCATCTGACTTAGGAACTCACAGTTGGATCCCAGACTCCTAGGTCCTGTTTTAAGAGTTATCACTTCCAGTTCAAAGTCCTTGTTTATAAGAGTAGGACACAGAACTCTCCCAACTCCTCACAAAGCAATGATTACCACTTAACCACTTCTGTATCCATACATCAAGTCTTGTCCTCCTTGGTTTGACATTTTTCTAACTGAAAAAAACAAACTTACTTTAATTAGCAAAACCTTCTAGAGTGCCAAATAAATGTAGAATCACAATGGCTCCAGCCCTGATCCTTAATTGCCATTTTTCTAATTGAAGAAATGCCAACTTATCTATCCACCTTTTCGCACTGTTATCCTTGCCCATTCTCTAACAAAATTACTCTATGCTCAACCTTTTTCCCCCAATCTAATTACAATTTAGCTATCTGTTGGTATCTCCTTTTAACCCACTTCTGGGCTTGTGCGTATGCAAGGCATTTTAAACCTAAACAAATGCTCTTTACGCATTCTCCTTTGTTCACAGACTCATTACATTCCCAGATCACATACCCAAATTAGTGAGTCATGATTTTCCCTTACAGAAGGTATAACATATCAATCCTAAAAGATTATCTTTGCTTCTGTACAACAATCTACTCATGCCCATAGGTTCACTCCATCTCTAGCTGTCATGCCAAAATGAAGTGAAAAGTTAAACAATTATTTGGTGAATCTGATAGACACAGGTGGCTATTATGGGTGGTTCTGTCTCTTTAAATCTCTTTTACTTCACATCAGGTTTGGTGAATTACATGGACAACTGCCTCTATTCTTAATTTCACCTGCCTGGATAACATCTGCCTTGATAAGACACATGAGGGAAGAGAGTAAAGAAAATAACTTGGGGTACAATGCCGCAGGAAGAGATTTAAATCAGCTTTATTTGTCAAGAAACATATAAAAACCAGGAAGCATGGGGAAATTCAGATCTATCAATTTAGCAACTGATGAAAATTTTATTAAAGATATTTACAGGAGCATTGGAGCCAGATCACCCTATTCATTATTGCTCTAACTTTTTTAAATTAAAAATTTGAAGTTAGATACTCTAAGAGTATAAATAATTTTAGCCTGCCTATATTACTGTAATTACAGATATTTAATCAAAGTCTTCAGAAAGATAAGAATTTAAAGTTCAAAAATGTTTTTCTCCATTTGTCTCCATATTTAATCAGTATTAATTACTTTTTCAATTATATGCAGAAAAGAAGAAAGCTCAAGACTTCACAACCTTAAGCTTTTAAAAAATATTCATTTTAACATGTTTTACTTGCTTCTAAGGATTTTAATTATTATAAGATAATCTATTTTAGCTGAATATCAAGGATCATTTATTTTTCTTTTATGTGACTGTAGTTGAAATGTTGACGAAGGGAAGACTGAAGTTGAGATGAGTCCATCTTTCCATTTCAGTGGCTACCCTCCATTCACCAATATCCCATGGCTGTCTCTACAGGAAGATAATAAAAGAAGTAATGAAATCCAACAGACCAGGGGATATGGATATGGGTAAAAATATATATAGATTTTTGCTTCCATCCATGAAGAATTAAATTGTTACAGAAACACATGTGCACATGCACACACACACACACACAATTGCAGTGTTTTCTGACATTGAAAGATAAGCACAGAATTTGATCTCTGAATCAAGGAAAACAAATGAAGTGAGCCCTACAGTTACTCCAGCCAACTGCCTGGAGATGGTTTCTAGACTGAAACATAGATGGAATACAAACATAGCCTGGAGGTAAATATAGGTGTTAAAGGGGACAGATATGAGGATCAAGGCAGCTAAAATTTGCAGGGCAGATGTATATTAAAGAATGGAGAACACTAGAAATAGTAATATATGATCTATATATATATTTTGTTTATTGTGAGGTTTCTAACATATATAGAAGTAAAATATATAACAGCACAAAGGATGGGAGAGGTTATATGAAAATAGCCTGTAACATATTATGTAAAATAGATTATGATAAAGTAACAATGTAATAAAATTACATTTAAATGTTAAACCACTCACTAAAACAGGAAAATAGAGAGGTATAGCTAATAAGTTACAAGAGGAAATAAAGCAGAATCAATAAAAACATTCAAGTCAAAAAGGTAGAAAAGGAGGAAAATAGAAAGATGAGACAATCAGAAAATAAATAATTATATGGTAGATTTAAATCCAACCATTTAGATAATTACATAAAATTAAAATAGTCTAAACACTCCAATGAATAGGCTGAGATTGTCAGATTGGATAAAATAAAAATTGGTATACAAAATATACCTATTTATATGCTGTAGATAAAACATTCATTTTAAATATAAAAAACAGATAGGTGAAAAGTGGGACAGAAAAATATATAGCATGCAAACTCTAATAAAAAGAAAGCTAGAGTCACTATGCTAATATCAGAAAATGTAAACTTTAGAAAGGAAATATTACCAGGGATCAGAAGAAATATGTTATAGTTATAACAAGGTAAATTTATCAAGACATTATAATCCTAAATATGTATATCTATAACAATAGAACTCCAAAATTATGAAGCAGAAAACTGACAGAACTTAAAAGAGAAAATGTCAGATCTAAAATTAAAATGAAAAGTCTTCTCTCAGTAATTAATACAACAAGTAGAGAGACTATCACAAGGCATAGAAGATCTGAACAATATAATTTAAAACTTTGACCAATGTGAATTGTGCAGCACACTCTACCCATCAAGGGCAGAATGCATATTCTTTTTGGGTACACATGGATTAAGATAGACCATATCCTTCATTATAAAAGAAGTCTTAGAAAATTTAAAATCACCGAAGCCATGGAAAATATGTTCTCTGAGCATCAGAGAATTAAAAGAGAAGTCAATAGAAGAAAGATGTCTAGAAAAATTTCCAAACATTTACAACTTATACAGTACACTACTAAATTTCCTGTGTATTAAATGGAAAATAATATTTTGAAATGAATGAAAATACAATGGAATGCAGCTAAACAGTGCCTTAACAAAAATGTACAGCACAAATAAGACAGGCTTAAAATAAGTGCTCTGAGACTTCATTTTAAGAAACTAGAAAAATAAGAACATATTAAACATAAACTAAGCAGAAGACATAAAAATGAGAGCTGAAATTAAGAAAATTAAAAAAAAAAACAATTTAAAAATCAATGAAACAAAGAGCTGGTTATTTTACATGACTGATCCAACTGACAAACCTCCAACTAGATTGAGGAAACACTGACTAAAGGAGAAAAGACAAAAATTCTCAATATTATGAATGAATAAGGAGGCATCACTACAGATCTTCCAGTGAATAACAGATAATATGTATGTATGAACAAACTTAAGCCAACACATTTTACAATTCAGATAAAATGGAAATATTTTTTGAGAAATCCAACTACCAGAACTCACTCAAGAAAAAAGATAAACCAAATAGTCCTATATCAATTTAGGCAATTGAATTTGGAATTAAAAATATTTTCATGAAATATTATAGGCCTAGATGTCTTCACTATTGAATTCTTCAGAATTTATAAGGATGAAAAAAATGATCATTTCTTTATAAACTCCTTTAGAAAACAGGAGAAGAGCAAACACTTTCCACATCATTTTATAATGACCATATTACCTTGATATCAAACTCAAAGACATCATACATAGAGGAAAAATAGAGATCAATATAACTCATGAAAATGGATGCAAGAATGTTTAATAATTGATTTGCTATTAAGCATTTTTGCATAATTAAGCAAATTACTCACCAAGTGGCATTTACCCAAGGAATGTAAAATTTGTTTAGCATTTAAAAATAAATCAATATTAAAAGAAAAACCATATGATTATCTCAAAATACATAGAAAAAATCATTTAACAAAATTCAACATCCTTTCATGACAGACAAAAAAAAAACAGACACAGCAAACTAGGAATAGAAGAGAACTTTCTCACTCTGTACAAGTGTAAAAGGGCATCTACAGAAAACCTACAGATAACACCATATTTGAAAAAAATAGACTGAATGTTCCCCCACTAAGACTGAGAGCATGTTAAGAATGTTAGCTCTTACCACTTCCATTTAACATTATAGTGGAGGTTATAGCCAGTGCAACAAGGTAAGGAAAAGAAATAAAAGGCATAGAGATTAGAAAGAATAAAGTATAACTGTCTTTATTTGAAGACAATATAATTGTGTATGTAGAATACTCTAAGGGATCTCCCAAAACACTATGAGAACTAATAAGTGGTTTAGCAAGGTTACATCATACAAGGATAATTTAGCAAAATCAATTGTATTAGTATGTATTATAAATAATTGGTAATTAAACAATACTATTTCTAACAGCATCAAAATATGAAAAAAACACATCTTATAAAATGGTGAAACCTTGTACACTAAGAAGTACAAAACATTGTAGAGATAAATTTAAAGAATACTGACATAAATGGAGAGATCTGCCATATTCATGGATCAGAAGACTCAAAATTGTTCGGATATCAATTCTCTTCAAATTGATCTACAGATTCAATGACATTTTAATCAAAACACTATCAGGTTTTTTTTTAAAAAAAGACGTTGACACATTGATTCTAAAATTATGTGAAAATGGAAACATTTTCATAAAGTAAAACAAGGTCAGAGGTCTGACACTGCCTGAATTCTTTATAAGGCTACGTTCATTAAGAGAGTGTGGTATTGGGTAAGGATTTGCACATAGGTCAGTGGAACAGAACAGACATTCCGGAAATAGACTCACACATATATTTTCAATTGATTTCTGACAAAGATGACAATGTAATTTAACGGAAGAAAGATAGTGTTTCAACAAAAGGTATTAAAAACAATAAATACTCATCTGAAGAAAAGTAAACCCTTTTCTCACACTGTATATAAAAATTAACACATAAACCCAAACACAAGATCTAATACCACAAAACATCCAGAAGAAAATATCGGAGTATCTCTGTGGCCTTGGATTAGGCATCAATTTCTTAAATAGAGCAAGAAAACATGAACCATAAAATAAAAGCATGATAAATTAGATTTAATCAAAATTAAAAATTTTGTCTTCAAAGACACGGTTAAGAAAATAAAACGCAAGCAACATATACCCATCATGCAACACAGCTATAATACTCTTACTGTTATATGTCCCCCCAAAGACTTATACACAAATGTTTATAGCAGCTTTACACATAATAGCCCCAACCGGAAACTATCAAATTGTTTATCAGCCAGTGGATAAACAAATTGTGGTACATTCATACAACAAAATACTAATGGGCAATAAAAACATAAACAAACTAAAAAACCACTGATACAACATGGATGACCCTCAAAAGCATTATGCTTATTAAGAGAGGCCAAACCCCCAATATTATGTATTTTATCATTGATTCCATTTACATGAAATTCTAGCAAAGGCAAAACTACACTGATATAAAGCAGACCAGTGGTTCCCTGGGAGCAGTGGTATTAGGAGAGGGTGGGGTGTAAAAGGCGTGAAGGAGTATTTTGGGGTGATGAAAGTGTTGTAAATCTTGATTGTGATAGTGGTTATACAACTGTATACATTTACAAAAACTTACTGAACTATACACTTCAAAAGGATGAATTTTGTTATATATAAATTATACCTCCATGAACCTGCTTTTAAACATTTTATACTCAGCCTGCCAAAAAAAAAAAACAAAACAAAGAAAACCAAAACTGAAATCAAACAGTGAACTCTGGTTGAACACAGATGAGCAAAGGAACTGTGCTTTCCCCAGGGTACACGCTTGAATAATCATTAGAGGCATCTGAAAGTGGTGTTGGCAAGAAAGCATCTTCAAGAATCACCAGGGAACAAGACTGATGCTATTCCTTAATCCCAGATCTATGCAGGTCACAAAGGGCTTTGTGAACTCCTTTATCTTTTCAATAATCGTGGGAAATAGCTATTATTATCTTCATTTTATGGGGGAGGAAAGCAGAACTCTGAGAAGTGAAATGGTCACTTGAAGAAGTGCCGGCCTGACTCTGAAGCTCAGGATCTTCTTATTCATCAACCTCTTTCCAGTAGGGTGGGGATCCCTGGTTTCCATAGCTGTGTGCCCCAGACACTCCTCTGCAGAGAGGGCATCTAAGGAGCAGAGCCTCTGATTCAGGACCTTACAGGTAGCTGATATATGCTCTGTGCAAATGCATTTGACCTTCATTACACCTCACCTTTCTGCAGCATAACAACATTTGTTGATTATTTACTACTGGGCAGGTGCTTCACTTGTATTATGTCATTATGCAATGTGTAATGGACACATTTTTCCTATGAGGAAACTGAAGTTTAAGGAGGTCAATAACTTGCCCGTAGGCCTATAGCTATAAGTAGGAAAACCAGGATTTGGATTGGGGCCTGTGCAAACCTCAAAGCTTCAGGCTTGATTGCTACATGGTTATAGTACCTTCTTCTGTATTCAGTTTACCAAGCATTCTGAATCAGTAAGGATGCTCTTGGTGGAAAGTAACATGTTAAATGGTGAAGAATGGTATTAGCTCACAGTGCAGAATTAGAACAAGCTTCAGGGCTGCCTTAATCCAGGGCCTCCGCCTCTATTTGCCTGCAGTTCTCTTCACTGTGTCCCTGCTATGTATCAGTTTTATCTTCAAGCTGTTATCAGGAGGTTTTAGTAGCTCCATACTAGTCAGCCACACACTCCCATGTCTAAGGGAGAGAGAAGTTGACTCTCTGTGTGCCTTTCTCTATACCTCCAACCACCTGTCCCTTGAAAATTAGGCAAATAAGGTCATAAACTCATTCCCAGACAAATTTGTATCTCTTGGAAAATGCTGTTCACTGACTGGCCCAGGCCTGAATTTCTGAACCAATCACTGGCAGGGAAGATTGCCATGACCGCCTTCATCAGGCTTCACTCCTGGAGTGGAAATGTCTGCTACATTCTTTCTGAGTCATTACTTCAGTTGAGTTTATGGCAACACTTTTTCTATAAATGGAGTAATTATTTCCATTCTTCAGATAAAACAAATGCATAGAGAACATTATCTCTTAGGGACATGAGCACATATGCAGAAGCCGGAATTCAAAGCCAGGTCTTCTAACACCAAGTCCAGAGCTCTTTGCGCTGCTCTGCAACAACTATACCCGTACCCTACTCTCCCTGTTTCAAAGAAATTCCATTATGTTGCTAGGATATATTTATATTCTAGTTCCCTCCTTTGGTATTTATTTATTTTTCTAATTCAATTACTACTCCCTTATGGACTCTAGTGAACCATTTAAAACCAAGTCAGGATACTTTTTTTTTTTTGAGACGGATTCTCACTCTGTCACTCAGGCTGGAGTGCAATGGCGTGATCTTGGTTCACTGCAACCTCCGTCTCCTGGGTTCAAGCAATTCTCCTGTCTCAGCCTCCCAAGTAGCTGGGACTACAGTTGCATGCCACCACACCCAGCTAATTTTTGTATTTTTAGTAGAGATGGGGTTTCAGGGTCTTGAACTCCTGACCTCAGGTGATCCACCCCTACGGACTCCCAAAGTTGCTGGGATTACAGGCATGAGCCATCATGCCCAGCCGAAGTCGAGACTTTTTGTCAGCACTTCCTTTCTAATGAGGTTTTATAGCTATTATTTAAAATAAATACATAGTCTGATATAATTTAAAACCTATTTGGTGTGATATAGTTTTTTCTTTTTTTTCTTCAGTTTCATTTTCTTTCTTACTTTGGAGACAGTGTCTTGCTCTGTTGCCCAGGCTGGAGTGTAGTGGTACTGTATCTCCACTCACTACAACCTTCACCTCCCAGACTCAAGCCATCCTCCCACGTCAGCCTCCTCAGTAGCTGGGGCTACAGGTGCAAGCCACCATGCCTGGCTAATTTTTGTATTTTTTGTAGAGACAGGATTTTGTCATATTGCCCAGGCTGGTCTCGAACTCCTGGGCTCAAGCCATCCACCCGCCTTGGCCTCCCAAAGTGCTGGGATTACAGGTGCTGCACCCAACCGAATCTCACTTCCTAAAAGAAAATCTCCAGTTGAAAAAGATGGTCCTTTTAAAATTATTTTTCCACATTTACCATCAACGCACTACCAAGCCGTATCCCCAGGCCCTTTGGCTCGTCCTACCTGTATTCACTCTCTGTAACAGACCTAATGAGAAGAGGTTCTGGTCTTTGGTCTTTGAAAGCAAGAGTGTTATAAAGGTAGCATTTTTTTTTTTACTTAAAATACATATAAGACAAAATACATGGGGGAAAAAAAACCTTCAAATGTCTGCTTAGCCACGCAGGACAGTGTTTCAACTAGAGTTCTGATAGGAACGGAAATGGTTAACTGGCTGGCAGATGACTGTGACTTCAGTATCTAGCAGAGCCCTGGAGGCTAGTATAAAGGAGTCCCTTGCACTTTGGGCTCACTTTACATTTAAACTATGATGCCATGAGCCTCACCACCTTTTATCCTCCCAACAATCATGCTCCGAGTAAGGGAAGGCAAAAATCAGTATATCCAGCTTACAGATACAGAAACTGACGCAAAGGTTTGTTTAGTTAATAAGCGGCAAAACTATAACTGAAACTTACGTATGGTTGTTTCAGGATCATTTCTGTTTAGGGTGCATTATCTTGATTTCTGAAAAGCTAGGGAAGTTGTATGAAAGATGTCAAGGCTCAGGAGTAAGTTTAGCACCTCTGACCCTGCATTTTAAGTTTGAAACATGCAAAGTTGTTGTCTTTTTTTGTGTTCAGGAAGCGTAAGGAAGACTTGACAGAAAATTTGATGAGAAGATGCAACAATCATTTTGACATAAGGCCAATATATAAAAATTCAAAAGATGGTATCAAGAATATGTGTTGGTATCATCAAGGGTAACTGCCATAACTTGGCCTTCCAATAGAATGAGATCATTATATGTCAAATAATATTGAATGTGCTTTTGTTTCTTTAGAAAATGCGTATTTTATGGAGACAAGAAGAAAGAGATGAAAAGGCATTGAAGAAGCTTCTCATTTTTCCAAATGTGAAGACTTGGGAGTACAGTCTTGGGGGTGCTCCTAAAATAAAGAGCTGAGTTATAGCATGGGAAAAGATCATAATAGGAGGGTAACCATGGTGAGGAGAAGGCATGGGAGCTGAACAGAATAGTGATGCTGGAGGCCACATTAGAAATATCTAGTGCTAAGCATGAACATTTTGTTTGTGAGCAGAGTTTCTAGGAAGTAGAAAGGAAAACTACAGTGAGTACCATTGCTGAAGGTGGGATTAAGCAGAAAGCCAGGGCAGCTAAGAGAGCTTCAGGATAAAAGGCTGAAAATGTCTCTGCAAGCTCAAGCAAGTCACAGGACACTTAGGGAGCCCAAGCACACTTGGAAAGAATTAAGGATAGAGCCAAATGAGGAGGATGAGGCAGACTGAGCAGGTCTCCCTGTGGGGTCCTGAGGATTGCAGCAGAACAGAACATGCTAGGGCTTCAAAGGTTTGTGACAGCTACATCTGCTTAAATGTGCAGGGGAAGGAGAAACTTCACTCTGAAAGACACAGCTCAGCCCATTTATTTGTTTCAGAAGAAGTCCTCTTAGCTTCTTGTTATAGTCTCATGTTGAAATTTGATCCCCAGTGAAATCTGTCTTGGTGGGAGGCGTTTGGATCATAGGGGTGGATCCCTCATGAATAGCTTGGTGCCATTCTCACAGGAGGGAGTGGGTTCTCACCTTTAGTTCCTGAGAGAGATTTCCCTCTATCCCCCAAAAGCTGGTTGTTAAAAAGAGCCTGGCACCTCTTCCTCTCTTCTTTCTTCTCTTGCCATGTGGTGCCTGCTTCCCTTTGCCTTCCAGCATGAGTGGAGGCTTCCTGAGGTCTCAACAGAAGCAGACACTGGCACCATGCTTGTACGGCCTGCAGAACCACAAGCCAAATAAACCTGTTTTCTTCGATAAATTACCCAGCACAGCCTCAGGTATTCCTTTATATCCATCACAAATGGACTGAGATACTTGTATTCCATATGCCTGCAGAACTCTATTCCAGAAGCCAAGTTTATTATCTATGCTTGTAAATATAAACTCACTAATGGGTATGGTTTATTGTGGAGCAATGCACATGCCTACAGCCTGTTCTCCTATTTCAAGGCCTCCATCATCCTGGGACACTTCATTCAACTTAGCAGGGTTCCATTGCTGGTCCCAATATCTGTCTGGATTAAAAGATCCCTGTGCAATTACTGAAGTGAAAGCAGGTCCCTGCATGTGTCTCTAGGGTGTTGCTTTCTCAGGCAGGGGTTGGTGAAAAGTGGGGATTTTTCACACCGTGCATAGTGGATTGCCTTTCTACCTGGCAGTTTCATACCACCATCCAATACAACTTAGATGTACAAAGGAAGACCTAGTGCAAATTCAGCACAGCAGCCTGCCCACTGTGGAATCTGGACACACTGGTTCAAGGGGGAAAAGACCATTTCATCTGAGTTCCCTGGCAGACCAGTCTTCTTGTAGAACAGGGCAATGTGTAAAATGCAGTGCATTAATTGTCATCCTCTATTCTGTCCAGTCAGCACAATTATCTACAAGAAGAGCAACTCTCACTGATTTTAGCAGGAGCATCTGATGCATCCCTGAAGTCATCATTTTTTGCCCATAGAGAAAGTTTGCTCTAAAACCCAAATTTCTCTAATAGGTACCCATAACTGCATACTGAATAAATATGCCATTTGCAGGCATGCAGGTTTTAGGGGCCTTGGGCCCTTCCCCCGTGCACAGGCCTCTGGCATCTTTGGTTCCCTTACGGTGAGGGGAACAAACATCTCTGCAGAAGGCATACTCCTCTGTGAGGAAGTTCACATCTTACAGACATCAAAATGAGTTTTGAATTCAGACTCAGTCTAAAAAGTAAAAGCATTGAGCTTTGTTCCACATGAACTCAGAGGGCTAAACGGAAAGGCTTTTAATAAAGCCTCTTCACTAGGGCCCCTGTACCACTGTTTTACATAAAGGATGATGATTCAGGCTGGCTGGTGTCTGAATCTTGGCATCTGTAGTCTCTACCCACCCCCTGCCCAGTTTGTAGAATAAGTTTATTGGCTTAGTTTTCTTTGGCCTGGATGAAGCAAACATGGAAAGATGACAGCAATTCAACTTCCTCTAGTTGATATTCTAATTATCCTGTTAAAATCTAATTATATGCCATTGCGTAAGTCAGGGTTCTCCAGAGAAACAGAACCAATAGAAGATGTGTGTATAAAATAAAGAATTGGCTCACATGATACCAAAGCGGACAATTCCCAAGATCTTCAGGGTAAGCCAGCAAGCTGGAGACCCAGGAGAGCCGATTTGTTATTCTAGTGCAAAGGCCCAGCAAGCTCAAGACCCATGAAGAGCTGATGTTTCAGTTCAAGCACAAAGACAGGAAAAAGAAATGTCCCAGTTGAAAGGTAGTCAGGCAGGAAAAATAATTCCCTCTTACTTGGGAGAGGATTAGCCTTTTTGTTCTACTTGGGCCTTCAACTGATTGGATAAGGCCCACCACATAAGAAGGCACCATCTGATTTACTCAGTTTACCAATTTAAAAGTTAATCTCATCCAAACACACCTTTATGAAAACACCCAGGATCATGTTTGACCAAATATCTGGGCACCCGATGGCCCAGTCAACATATGAAATTAACCATCACAGTACTTAAGGAGATAGCGTTTGTGGCACACAGCAATGATTAAAGAGCCAAAATGAAGGGAGAACATTTTCTAATTCAAACACAATTTTTATACCTCCTTCGAATAAACACATGATGAAAGATGGCTTATTTAAGATAAAGTCAAGAAAGCCACCTTGCTACTAATCCCCCACCTCAAGCTTGAAGAGACATTATTATTACTTAGAAATGAATCTGGTGTTTCAAAATGGCTTTCCCAATATGTTTCTGATGTAAACTCCTCAAATCTTATGGAAATGGTCTGAGAACAATTCTAAATCCATTTCCCAGATGAGGCAAAGGAGGCTCAGGGGGTGGAGAGGGAAAGTAGCTTGTCTAGGGTCATACTCTTTGGAAAACAAATGTGCCTGCATTTTTAAGAACTCAGGAGAATGCCTTTAATGCCCCCTCTCCCCACATTCTTATTATATGGTGTACCTTCCACCTGTAGAAATGATGGACATCCTGGTTGATTAAAGAGTTGACTCAGCAGCAGGGAGAAAGCAAGGGTTTTGAGGGAATGTTTTTCAAGGGGGGACTTCAGCAGGTGTGCCCTCATTGAGGTAGCCCATTTCTAGACATTTGGCCCTGGCTCTGGATCCTGGGAGATTCCTTGATATTTGGGTGGCATGCAGGGCACTGTGGGTGACCCATCCCCTTCCACGGGGCTTTACTACTTGAGCATGTCCAACTGCCGGCAGCCATATCTCTTTGCCCAAAGGTAACAGCTCCAGAAGCAGCTCAGGAATAATCAGTGATGGGAGGTGGAGATGGATACCCAGCTCCCTCATTCCTCAGGTGAGAAAACTCTTGAGACTCGCATTCTATACTCCAGCATTTCCCACAGGCTAAGCTAAAGTTGTAGCCAGGCTGAAGACATGTGTCTGTGGCATGCACAGTTAAACAGGGCTTTGTGACCTGCTGCTGCTGTCTTGAAATTCTAACAGCTTTTGAGCAAGATATTCTGCATTTTATTTTGCAAATTATGTATCTGGTCCTGGTGGTAGCTGGCACGATAACATGTTTTTATTGGCTGGTTTCTCTTCTCTGTCTGACTTCCCCTATCGATCTTTCCTGTACTTGCTGATAACTTACTTGCCCTTGAATTTTTGTTACAGCAAGTACTTCTGGAAGACCCCAAACTAGACTGTTGTAAATGTCATTATAATCCTGAATAACACTGTAAATAATCAAACAAAGCCACCTACTATTTATTCAAGCAAGACAATAATGCACATGGGTTGACTAGTCACCCAAAATAGTCATGTTTATATCTTCTGTCATTACCATACCTCATTTTAATATCCAAGGGGTTTATTAGGAAGTAATAACCAACTAAGCTTCCCAACTCCTCTGCACTGCAGACCAAATGCTCAGGGGAATCCAACATGCAAATCACTCCCTGAAGAAGTAGGGCAATAAACAGCAGCAGAGTTGACATTTCAACAATGGCTCTGCATGCCATCTGTTTTAAAGAAATTATTTGTCTTTGCCAGCATGTCAAGAAGAGTAAGTTCACATAATTTGGGAACTACTAAGGCACGTAAATTCTTGATTATTTACAATGACAGGATTATCTATAGACATCAAGTCTTTTTGGTAATGTCCAAAGAATGTTTTTAAAAAACAGGCCAGGGAAATATGAACTTTTTGTAGAGTCCAATATTGAGGCAAGATATTAGAGTGATTCAGTCTTCAACTAAAGTTTCAGAAAATGATGTAAAGAAGAATTCTAGTTCAGAATCAGATTGGATAAGCTCATCAAATGGAAAGCCCATGTATTCTCCATTTTTATAGCCCTAGGGTTCAGCACAATGCCTGGAATGAAGTCAATGCCTAATAAATATTTAGTAACTGAAGTGAACTTGGTTTATGGCTGTGCCTTGAGGTTTGAGTACCAGAAAATGAAACTGACTCACTCCTACCTGTGGAGCAGCTAGCATTTTTCCCATTAGCTCCTTCTTACTGGCTGGAACCTAACTATTGGGCAAAGCCCCAGGCCATGAGGACAATCTGGGAGGAAGAGGATGAAGGCACTGAATGGGTAGCAAGTTGAAGTGAGATATTGCATGTGCCTGGTGGTTGTGGTTTAGGCACCTGTAGTAAGAGGGCATCCCCTGCTTGAGAGTTGGCTGGAGAAACAGAAGGTCATCTTAGGCCTTTCTCATCATGTGTGAGGCTCATGGCCAGGAACTTTTAAGACTAAGTTCATCCATCCTTAAGGCAGTCTATTCGTCAATATGAACCCTGTTACCAACTCATGGTGAATTACGGGCAAGGCACAATGCTTTTTTATGCCATGACTTCTGCATCATTCAGAAAGATTATATCTAGCTACTTTTACCTCAGACAACCCTTTTTAATAATAACTATAGGCCGGGCATGGTGGCTCGTGCCTGTAATCCCAGCACTTTGGAAGGCCAAGGCGGGCAGATCATGAGGTCAAGAGTTCAAGACCAGCCTGACCAACATGGTGAAACCCCGTCTCAACTAAAAATACAAAAATTAGCTGGGCATGGTGGCGCGCGCCTGTAATCCCAGCTACTCAGGAGGCTAAGGCAGGAGAATCGCTTGAACCTGGGAGGTGGAGGGTGTGCAGTGAGCCGAGATCGTGCCGCTACACTCCAGCCTGGGTGACAGAGCGAGATTCTGTCTCAGAAAAAAAAATGCTAAATGGCAAAATAATAATAATAATAATAATAATAATAACTATAATAATAATGAAGATCGATGCTTGAGTTCCTGCTAGCACCTGGAATGGTATCAAACACTCAGATGCAAAAGCACATTTAATGCTCTCCATAATGCTTTAACTATCATTAGTAGTATTATCTCCATTTGGCAGATGAGGAATTGGGGCTCAAAGAGGTTCAGGAACTTGCTCAGTTCCTTGGCAAAGGGAGAACTGGAGGAGGCCTGTGTGACCATAGCACCCAGGCTGTGAGACTGTTGCAGGAATCAATGAAAACACACTCAAAAATGCAAAACTTGAGGCAAATACATGCTGGTAACATTACCAACAAGGTCTAAGTTCTGTCCAGAAATAGCTGGATAAGCTTTGCAAATTTTCTAGTGTACTTAGGTCCGATGACTGAAACATTGTCTCCCCACAGAGCCTTAGGAAATGGGAACTTGAAAAGGGCAGACATTATGAAGTTCAGGTAGTACACCTACCTCCCTCAAAAAGTTGCAGAAACTTGGGCCAGGGAAAAGCATTAGAGTGTATCTAGAATAACCTCTCTCTGTGGTTGAGGAGAGTTAGACACGCAGAGAGACAGAGATGAAGCATTTTGACAGAACCCAAAACTATGCTTTTGATTCCTCCCTGCCCCACCACCAACATTCATTACCATATTACCCTGTCTCTCCAACAGTTTTAAATCTCCTTAGAAAAACCTGACTCAATTAAAACCCAGAAAATAAGTTCTTTTAAAAAAAAATTTAGGTTGTATAGGAAAGGGACTGATTTATTTAAACATGTTTTGAAGCAGAATTATAGATAAATACTTTGAGACCAGGAAAACATTTTGACTGGGTCAATGGTGAGGGGAAATGACATCTTTGGAAATGCGACACATTCATTTGGAAGCAGGGCGGCCAATGCCCACTCCAAATATGTTCTTGTACACTTAGGATTCCTTCCAAATGGCCTCTGAAGGTAGAACTCAGGCCTGAGTTTTCAAATGGGCAGAAACTCACTTTAAAATATATTTCCCCTCTGTTTGGGAGCTGACACAATGGAGTTACAGGCAGAGACGGTTTATCACCACGGCATGAAAGTCTCTCTTCAAATTCCTCCAGCTTTTATAATCAAACAATAACATCGCCAGAGTATAGGTTTTAGCTACATAAGAAACATATTGGAAATTGATTCAATGCTCCTGGCTTGGCTGTAACAATGTTTCATAACCTAGTAACCTCTCAGCTTGCTCTTCCCCCTTCCTGAAAAGCTTTCAGCTGCAAGAAAGTGGCAAAGCAAAGATAAAGAAAACATCATCCTTTTATCTGATCCTGTGCAAAATGAGTGGAGCAGACACTGTACCAGCGATAAGATGATTGCTAAATGACTCTTCTCACATTCTATCGATGGGCTGATGAAAGAAATTAAGACTGACATTGATAAGTTATTTTTCCAGACACTACCGTTTTCAAAAAATGAGGATTTCTCTTTAGAAGCAGTAAGCCTTGGTTGCATGTCTATGACTCATTAAAAAGTACCCAGATCAGCTCTACCTTGTAACAGATTAACTGGAAACATACATAGTTTTCCTTTCCCTATATCCCATTTTCTATTTCTCTGGCACATCCTCTTTGAATTCATTCAAGCCAAGAACACCCTGTTCTCAAGATCCCTTTCCTACCTACTTTTCTCAGTCACACATTTCATTAAACAACTCAATTTTCATCTCCACAATTTGCCACAGTCCTCACCCAATTTATCATTCTAGCATTTTACATCTCTCTCAAGCTAATGTATTTCTCAAACATGCCAGATTTAATGGACATATCATTGGGAATCCAGGTGAAACTGTGGATTAAAGAAACTGGTGACTAACAGGAATTCTTGATGTTGTTTTCCAGGATGGCAGATAAGGAAACAGCTTGTTGAAATCCCCTTGGCTTGCTAAATGGCAAAACGGGCTGAAACTGTTTGGAACCAATATAGCTGACTAGAATCTGCACAGAATAGACTTGCTTGCTGGATGAGTGACCTTTTGACATCATAGCTGGAATTTCCACCATATGTTTCAGACCAACTCCCCCTGCATTTGCACATGTGACTCATGAAGAGGCATGAAGAGACAACTGCATACACCCTAGGGATTTTACAAACTTCCCCCTTTCCTCCACCAAATCACTCGCCAATCCCGAAATCCTCCTCCCAAAATTTCTCCCCTCAGTATACTGCTTTTAGGCTGGCATGGGAGATAGATTTGAGTTAGCCTCCTGTCTCCTCATTCGGTTGCTTTGCAGTAAACCTTTCTCTGCAAGAGACTGGTGCTGTGATGTTGGGCTTTCCTTTGTGTGGGGGCAAATGAACCCTATTTGGTTTGGTCGCACTGGTGGAATGAGTGTGTGGATCATTTTCATGGCTGCGGTTTTTCATTAAGTACCTGTGACTGAGTTCTTACAATAGGGACAGTGACTTCCAAGCTAGATTATAGGGTTTTTGTAAATCTACAAGTCATTTGTTGCCAGCCTTTTTAAAAAATAAATACATGAATCACTGCTGCTTTTCAGTCGCTGATTTTTTATTCCCTTCAGGCATAAGAAATCCTAGTTTTCACAGCACCTAAACCACAGACAGTTCAACCTATCTATAATGTCTAGTAAACTCGGAATCATCTGTGGGAGAACAGAGGAAAAAAGATGAGAATTCAAGGGTTGCCCACAACCTCTGTTTTTAGCTCCTCCTCTGACACCTGATATGCTTCAGAATGATAACCTGAAACTTTATAGTTGTGTTAGGGACATGTCCCTTTCTTTCCCTCTCTCTCTCCTCTTGGCATCTCTCTTGTGATGCCAAAGAGCTGCTCCAAAGGTAGACAGGAAGAGGACTGGGATGGGGGATGAATGGCACAGATCAGACGAGCAAACCAAAGGCAGGCTGATGTGGCACATAGACGTGTTGCGTTTTGTTTTGGATGGTGTTTTTAACTTAAAAAAATTACAAAATACACTTCAAATACAAGAATGCATATTATCAAATTATTAAATTTAAATCATCAGCATAACCCATCCTAACAACTTTAACCATGTTTTTAAATTACTCATGTGCTCCTCTCTGATTACATCCTTCAATCACCACTACCCGTTGATAAAGTAACTATCTTGTTAATTTCATGTTATTCATTAATTTGCTGTTTGTTCCTTCTTACCATATTGTTTAGTTTTGCTCACTAAACAAATAGAATCATCCTGTAAGTGTTCTGCTACAATTGGCTTTTTTTTTTCCAATCAACATTGCTTTTCAAATGAATCTATCATGGTACTTGCAGCTGAAGTTCATTAATTTTCACTGCTGTATAGTATTCCATAGTATAGGTATTTCAAAATTTGTCTGTCCTTTCCACTGTCAATGAACATTTGGGTTATTTTCTAATTTTTGCTATGATGACAATGTTACCACAATCACTGTGCTATATATTTCCTGATATACTTGTTAAGGGTTTTTCTAGGGCCATGCCTTTCAAACTTTTTAGACTACTATCCACAGTAATACATTATTTTTTATATCATAAACCAGTACACCTTTGTATGTGTACCGATTTATAAATGTGACCAAAATGTCACAATATTTTTCCTTAATACTTGTATGACACTCCAATATTTTCACTGGGAAAAAAGAAATAAAAACAAAACAAAAGCAAATGCCAAACTTAACTCCCAAATCGATTTCATGACTCACAGATGAGTACAGTTCAAAAAGTCTTTGTTTAAAATATATTTTTTTCTGTTATTAATACAGCTATACCAGGTTTCTTTTCTTTAAGATTGTGTGGTATTTATTTTTCTGTCCTTTTACTTTCAATTTTCCTGTGTTGATGTTTAGATTTATTATATCTAAACAGCTATATAGCTGCTTGATAATCTTTGCCTTTTAACTAGAGATTTTAGTCTATGTACATTTATTACAAATCCTCTATGTTCAGATTTCTACCTTTTATTTTATGCTTTCTAGTTGTCCAGCTTTTCTGTATTTTTCTTTTTTTTCATGTTTTCTTTTGGTTTGTGTTTCTCCTCCTTACTATTTAACTTTCCCCCTACTTTTTCTACTAGATGGGAAATTTTATATTTTATTTCTACCCTTAAATTTGTTAACCTAGAATTTTTCACATGCAAATATAACTTACCAAACTAATATATTAATCATTTTCCTTAACAATATAAGGACATTACTTGCTTAATGCCTCTTCCCACTCATTTCCAGTTCTATTATTGCTCAGGATTTATTTCTCCTTTGACATATTTAGTAATGTACTTTTATTGTTATATAGAGAGTGTTTACCACTTTCTCTACTTAACAGTTCTTGCATTTCAGATCTTCCTGAGATCATTCTTCTCCTGTCTGATGTAAACTCTCTAGAAATTGGTTTAATGAGGATCTACTGGTAGAAAATTTATTATTATTTTTTTCTAGCCTTGGAAAATGTCTTTGTTCTTGAAGCATAGTTTCACTGAGTATTCACTTCTAGGCCAATAATTATTTTGTCTCAGATACAAATTATATCTTCAAGCACACTGAAGATATAATTCTAATGTTTTCTGGTTTTCATTGTTTTCAGAAAGAAGTTCACTGACATTTTAATTGTCAGCCCTTACTAGGTAATCTGTATTATATTCTATATTGGATAATTCTCAGTTCTGCAGTCTTTGGAGGACTCATTCTGTGTATTATTGCTTTTTTCTGACTCTCACTAATGAGTCATTTTTTCCCCCTCATGGTTTCATTGAGTTTCTATTGTGAGTTAATTTTACCTGGAACTTCATTTGTAAGTAAAGTTTAGAGTGAGTGCCTTGAGAGAGGATTTGAGATGGGTTCTGCCAGATTCCAAGGAGTACTGTTAACCTGAGTCTGCATTGTTTTTTAACTTTTCATTATGGAAAATGTCAAATGTACTCAAACAGTGTAATATATCCTCATATACCTATTGCCCAAATCTTAGAAAATACTAACCTTCTGCCATTCTTATTACATCAGTTCCCTCTTTCAGTTTCTTCTCTGGAGTATTAGAAACACAACTGGGACCCTTTTGTAATTTGAAGCTGGGGGATTTATGGGACACAAAAAGAGTGAATTAGGTCCCTGAGCCACATGAGTGCAAACTAATGATTCACAATCTTCAGAGGAAACATTTTCCTCCTCTTTTTTCCCCCTCTTTTTTCCCCAGCTATTGTTAAGACAGCGTTAAGGCTGAGTCAGGAATTTATTCCCAAAATCTTCCTCTACAGGTCAGCTTTGAAGTTACTGCCCTTTGGAGTCCAGCTTTATGCCGGGGAGGGGCTTGTGAGTCTTTGATCTAACATTTCACCCTAGTCAGGCCCTTGGCTTTCATTATGTCAACAATTTAGCTCCTTAAAACCAGGTTCTGGGTAGGGTGAATGGTGGGGATTTGAGGAACGTTAAAGAACATGGTTTACAAAGTCTGAAGAGTTTCCCAGGATATGAGACTTCCGGTGTTGAAACCAAGAAAGTCCCAGCACACTGGGACCACTGGTCACCCTAGCTCCAGGCCACTAGAGACTAGCGCATGCCCCATGGGCAAATGCTGGCTAGGGCATTCTCTTGCTCCTATGGATTCTGGCTTTCTTGCTGTTCCTAGCCTGTGATGAATTCTTTGCCTGCAGCTCAGCCATACCTTTAAGAAAATACGTATAATTTTATATTATATCCTATACTTTAGTAGATGTGGCATTCTGTGAGAGGATTTTGAAATTCTAATTTGGCATATTGCCAGATAAAAGAAAGTCCCTGAAGATTCATTCTTTTGAACTGAGCCCACATTTAAACATATATCATATGTCACATAAGAAATCTAGGATTTTGGCTTCTGGTGAAAAATGGGAAGACTTGCTACATAGGGCTAGCATTCTTCTATGCTGACAACTGGAGCTGCTTCCCTAGAACAGGTCATGTTCCCTATATACCTCAAATCCCCATCATCACTCATGTAATATATGCATGTACATGTCAAGCCCAGCCTGCACCACTCATTGACCTGGGAGCTTTTTTTGAGTTTGTAACTCCTGGCCAAGCATCTACAAAAGGGACCCTTGGACTCTGGTGCCTGAGAGGTGATCCAAGAAACATCTGGTCATCATTTAGAATTCTTGGGGGGTTATTTAACTTTATTTCACAGCTACAGAGTATAGTCTTGGTTTGGATGATGATTCCACTCCATCCTCGTCACGCTGCTGAGCAAGGCAGTAGCTTTGAGAACATCCATTTCCTCATCTTCAAATAGCGACCATCACACTTAACTTGCAGGGCTGATGTGAGGACAAAACAAGGCAACTTACATAAAACACCCAGGCCAGTGCCCAGCATATAGAGAGCTCTTAATAAGGAGTAGATAGTAATGTAATATGCATGATTGTCTTACTTTATTCATAATTTTCTGTCACATTGGACAGCTTTCAGGTTTTTGCGCTGAGGCATACTGCTATCTGACTTTGTTTTGACCCTCACCTACTCCTTACTATGCCATAAGTTACAAACACAGGCTTATACTTACTTTAAGTGACTTAACTGCCTTTTGGGAAGTTGAAGGAACTGCACAAAATCGGGTCTCTGTATAGCTAGTTCAGTTTCCCCAACTTTGTACTTTAGAGCAATAGGCCTTGGAAATGGGTGGGGAAAGGGCAAAACTTACTTAATATGTCTCACTGTTGCCTGTTCAGTGGGGCCTTTCCCCTTCAGGTACCTGGGTTAATTCACGCCACCTCGTAGGGCTGCAGGTCTGCCTCTGGCTCTGGCAGCTCAGCTTCCCGATCTGTAGCACATTACTCTTCTCTTTCTTAAACATCAAATCCTTCCTTCTACCACTTCTCAGTTCCATGGCAAGAAAAGATACCAGCCCCATGGCTCATTCTTTTAGGGTCTGGGGGTACTAATCTGAGAAACACACGGCTGCTATCAGCCAGTGATGCTCACTGTGTGCCTTTCCGGAGATCACCTGTATCATAACAAACCACTGGGGACTTTCACTCAAAGGAATTGCCAGTGGGTGGGAAATTCAGACATATTCTGGTAGGCTGGTATGAGAGCTTTTTTTGGTAGGGAGTCCTTTGGCAATCCTTAAATATTCTTGGTTGTCTATCCTTTCATATGAATACATGATTCTATTTATCACAGCACACCATTGATCAGGGAAGAGTGTTTCATGAGGAGGAAGGTGACTGGTGCGTTTGGTTGGCTTAAAGATAAGTGAGAGAAAATGAAGAAGTATTTTACTGTAAAAGTCTAAATATGAGCATCATAGTGATCAAAAGTGACGTCTTAACACATAGGTCTTGTTTTGAAAATCTCCATAGTCTATATATTGTCTGTAGGGCTAAGTTCAAATATCTAAGCTCGGCTTTCAAGGTCTCTACCATCTGGTCCCATCCTACAAATCCAACTGTATCTGCATCTTCTCCTGTGCTCTAGCTAAACTGGTCTTTGCAGACTCCCCTACCCTCCAGTGTGCCATGCGCCTTCCAATCTCTAGACCTTTGCTCATGTGGTTTCTCTTGACTTCAAGGACATCTTTCCTTTTCTGATGAGATTCTATCCCTTAGGACACTCTGCTGCACATCAGAATCACCTGCGGATCTTCAAGAACTACAAATGCTGGGCTTCCATCCCCAGACACTGTCATTTAATTAATATGGGGTGTGATTTTGGTATCAGTATTTTTAGAGGCTTCCCAG
Source organism: Homo sapiens (assembly GCF_000001405.40). NCBI lineage: Eukaryota > Metazoa > Chordata > Mammalia > Primates > Hominidae > Homo > Homo sapiens. Next base: position 132,763,588 of record NC_000002.12, read on the forward strand.
GTGATTCTGATGTACTGCAAAGTTTGGGAAACATTGGACTAAATGGCAAATGCTCTTAAACTTCACTGTATTACTTACTTGCACTTGCCTTTTTCCGACAGACAAAAGCCAATGCTCCCAGTTCCACTAAAGCGGGGCTCTGCACTCTGCTCTGTGCCATCAGATGTATATAGAACACACGTTTCTCTTATCAGTGATCACAATGCATTTGAATTGTCTATTTGCTTCTCTGCATCCTTGCTAGACTGGAGTTCACAGAGGGCAGATACTATGTCTTATTCCTCTTTGTATGCCCCGAAGCTGATACAGGGCATAGTTTGCAGACAATGCTCGATATAGGCTTGTTGAACTAAATAGAATTTAGCTCCCTGGTGCAATCGATAGGAGTAAACATTTTACAGGAGTGAAAAAAATATTTTACAGGAGTGAAAAAGCCATACTTTTAACACTGTAAGTCCATAATTCTCTCTCTAGTGAAAAAACAGAGGAAAGGAGTCATAGACTAGGATTCAGTATGCTCATAAATACAGAAACATCCACCAAAGCTTTATTTGGTGATTGTCCCTGCTGGTGAGAAGAAAGCACTCACAAGGAGCAAGCTGACAGTAAAACCAGAGAACCAGCCAGGAGGGAATGAAAAACATGGAGGGTGATATGTAATTTTATAAGCACAGGGCTTGGGTTGTAGTAGGCAGTCAATGAATAAATATGAATATTATTATTTTCAGTCCTTGGTCAGAAGATATCACATGGTCCTGTTTTCATGGGCCTAACTTCATGACAAACAGAGTTTACATTTCAGGTTGCCTTTGCTGGTTGCAATCTCTCCCTTTTGAGTTTATCACTTATAGTTAGTTATAAGTGGGTGAACTCAGTGCAGCCACAGTGGACATTTCCTTGCCCAAGCTACTAATCTACAGTACCTCTTAAATGTTATTTTGTATGTCTGAAAATGCAGAAGTAAAATTATCCTGGCAAGTATTACTACAGGATCTGAACCATACAAAATCACACCATCCTATTCCCCATCCAACCATAGGCATGATTATCTAAGTAGTTTGGTGCCAGTCTGATAGTAGCCAATAAAACAGTATCTATCAAAGTTATTGAGAACATTTGCACTTCCCACCCACATTTTGTTTTGATTATCAATAGCTCTTCCTGCCTACAATTAAGCCTAAATGTGTTAGCACACTATTCAAAATGTGACATTCGACTTAAGCAGCCTTCCGCTCAAAAAGCTGTGACAATCTGGTCAACTTTCTAAGATACACTTTTATTTTAAATATGAATGCCATTTCTTCTACATTAAATTTCTAAATTTTCTTCAAATCTTCTTGGTGAGGAAATTGGTAATATTCTTGAAATGAGACAGATAATTATCGGGACTTTAATTGATTGGCAGCTACAGTACTAGAAGACCTAATGTCCTATTTAATTTTAGGGAAAAGATAATTCTAGATGCATTGTATTCCACAAAATATTTATTTGAACATCTACGTAGCTTGTTGGTGACCAATTACGTATTTATTCATACATATGGTAGTGGCAAATTAATCCAAGTTCAACATATTTTCTCAAAAAGTTACTCAAGGTTAACTGCACATAGAGCAGTGATCGTTCAAATTATGCAAAATAGGAACTATGCATAAATCACTGAAATCAATTACATCTTTTCTAACAACTCTTCAAATTTGTTTTCCTATGGATTTCTTTCTTTCTTTTTTTTTTTTTTTTTTTTTGAGACGGAGTTTCGCTCTGTCCCTAGGCTGGAATGCAGTGAGTGGCATGATCTCGGCTTACTGCAATCTCTGCCTCCGGGGTTGAAGTGATTCTCCTGTCTCAGCCTGCCAAGTAGCTGTGACTACAGGCGCGTGGCACCACGCGCAGCTAATTTTTGTATTTTTGGTAGAGATGGGGTTTCATCATGTTGGCCAGGATGGTCTCCATCTCTTGACCTTGTGACCTGCCCGCCTCAGCACAGGCATGAGCCACCGTGCCCGGCCTTTCCTATGCATTTCTTAAATGATAGTAAGAATTTGCATGTGTTCTCTTAGCACAGATCAACTGAAGTTAGAAGGAGATAACCTTGGTAGGGGGCTGGCTGCAGGCTGAGATGCTAGATGTCCCTAATACCCATTAACTCCTTCTTTCAGAGTTAAGAGAACCTCTATTTTTTGCTGGACATATGGCTACCTTCCTCAAATAATGTTTCCTATCCTATGTGACCAAGCACTGGCCAATGGGATGTTAGCAGAAAGGATGGGGCAACTGCTAGGAAGTGTTCTTAAAACGATAAGCCATGTCCTTCATCATCCTCCCACTTTTTGGAAAGTGGACATAAGGGGTGGTTTTTCAACAATCATCCTAGACCATGAGGTAACTTCGGGAATGAAAATCATGAGGAATGTAGGCTGGGCACGGTGGCTTACGCCTGTAATCCCGGCACTTTGGGAGGCCAAAGTGGGTGGATCACGAGGTAAGGAGATCAAAACCATCCTAGCCAACATGGTGAAACCCCGTCTCTACTAAAAATATAAAAATTAGCTGGGCATGGTGGTGCGTGTCTGCAATCCCAGCTACTCGGGAGGCTGAGGCAGGAGAATTGCTTGAACCAGGGTGTTGGAGGTTGCAGTGAGCTGAGATCGCACCACTACCCTCCAGCCTGGCGAAACAGTGAGATTCTGTCTCAAAAAAAAAAAAAAAAAAAAAAAAAAAGAGAAAATCATAAGGAATGTAAACCATATGAGGCAGAAGGACAAGATAGGAGAGTCTGGCACTGCTCTATTAGCTTGGACCACCTCCCTCTGGGCTTTCATGTGTGACAGCAAGAAATTTCTATTCTTATTTAAACCATGGCACTTTACAGTTTCTTCTAGTCCCATCTGAACCTTATTCTACTGGTAGTAATGGTTAGAAAAATCCAGTCGTGGATTTAAAAATCAATGTGGTTTGGAGAATTCAGATGGTTGGATCCACATATGGATAACTACCACTAGACATGTTCTATTAGGGCTTTGATACAATGAAGCAGGTCCCAGAGTTCCTTTCATTTTGATAAGCACCTAGATCTTGGGTCTTGTTCTCTATAGAAGTGAAGCACTTGATTCAAGAGCCTTTGAGATCTTCCCCTCTTTCCTGACCAAAGAAACAACCACAGCCATCAACATTCTGGCATTGGGCCAGGCATTCTCTCCTCTGCTGGGTGAAGAAGCTGCTCTATTTGCTGACTTTCATTTGACTGTGGTGTAGAGATTCCTTGATAATAACAACTGTACATCATATGACTATTTTATTCTTTCTGTCTCTACCTAACTGCAGATGGGCACATTACCACTGTGGATTAGATACTTTATGGTTGGATGATAAACGCTTATAAGAACAACGTCTGTGTTACCAGAATGGCCATTATACATGATGCTCCAAACCTCCTCTGTTTGGCTTAACATAGCTTTGTCTCAATTCCTAGCCTTAATGCAGGCTACTTTTCAAAAGTAGGGTTCTACCACAAAACAACTCTTTTTTCCCCGGCAATGATTCTTGTGCAGTTCACTGAAGTAGGCTTGATCCTGTCTTTTCTTCCGCAACCCAAATTTGCTCAAACCAGTACCAAGTGTCCCAAACTTATAGATCCCAAGAGTTCTTATTCTTCTTTTTTTCTTTTTTTTTCTTTTTTGAGACAGAGCTTTGCTCTTGTTGCCCAGGCTGGAGTGCAATGGTGCAATCTCGGCTCACCGCAACCTCCGCCTCCCAGATTCAAGCGACTCTCCTGCCTCAGCTTCCAGAGTACCTGGAATTACAGGCATGCACCACCACGCCTGGCTAATTTTGTATTTTTAGTAGAGATGGGGTTTCTCCCTGTTGGTCAGGCTGGTCTCGAACTCCTGACCTTAGGTTATCCACCCGCCTTGGCCTCCTAGTGCTGGGATTACAGGCGTGAGCCACCGCGCCTGGCCTGAGTTTTTCTTAACTATGAATAAAACTTTGCCTGAGTTCTTGTTACAATACAAATATGTGGCCGAAAAAGGTACCTGTATAATCCGTAACTACACAGATGTGAGTTGGTTTACCACATTAGCTAGCTAAAGTCTAGGAGAGGATAAGGAATAAAGAAATGAAACACCCTGGAAAAATGGAAATATACTGGTTTATGGTGTTAAGTTACTCAAAGGTATTTACTGAGCACCTATTGTCCCTCTGCATGATACATTAGCTGCAGACAGGAGAGCCCCCTCCGGGGAAGAATGGAGGAAGGACAATAGATTGGGGTGGCAGGATGCTTTGGAGGCAGTATCAGTTTCTCAAGTAGGGAGAAGAGCACCTCACAGACAACTTCTCAGAGCTATCCAAGGAAAGTTAGAGCATCAGGGTTAGACCATGTCCTCTGTCATGCTACAGTCTGGCAGTAGGAACACTTCTGGCTCCTGCAGAAGAGACTAGGAGTACACCCAGACAATGGGGGAGGGTAATTAGCTCTCATTGAACCAGGGGGCACTGTGGCCTATGCCCTTTAGACTACTGGGAAGATCGTTGTTTTCAACTCTTTTAAGTTGGTGGTAAATAACATGTATCTTTCACTTCATGAACACCTACCACACAATCCTAATAGGATTCAATTTTTTGTGTGAATCCTATTGGGTTCTGCTTCAATAATATTCTTCCCCAAATTCCTCGAAGGACATTTTCTCCTCTTTATAAGATTTTACAAATCCCCTGTTTCCTTGTAGGGAATTAATTTTTATTATCACTGGCTGATGTTTCCAGTACAAGACAATGAATGGTATTTGAATTCCTACTAATTGTTAACTCTAGTAGACAATTAGTACAATACATAGGGTAAATGCATTATAGTTAGATAGCAGGAAAGAATAATTAGAAATACAGCATTTGTGATCGTTGGTGTTAATACTTCTATTAAGCTAGGCTAGCCATTTGCTTTGTTTAGTCTGACATTTATGGGGGCAATTTTAAAGAAAAAAATGCAGTTGCTTTATTTTACTTAAGCATGAATCTTCAATTTCAATATAGAGCAGGTTTAGTTAATAATATCTTTTTTTTTTTTTTTTTTTTGAGACGGAGTCTCGCTCTGTCACCCAGGCTGGAGTGCAGTGGCGCGATCTCGGCTCACCACAAGCTCCGCCTCCCAGGTTCACGCCATTCTCCTGCCTCAGCCTCCCGAGTAGCTGGGACTACAGGCGCCCGCCACCACGCCCGGCTAATTTTTTGTATTTTTAGTAGAGACGGGGTTTCACTGTGTTAGCCAGGATGGTCTGGATCTCCTGACCTCGTGATCTGCCTGCCTCAACCTCCCAAAGTGCTGGGATTACAGGTGTGAGCCACCACACCTGGCCCTTTTTTTTTTTTTTTTTTTTTATGAGGCAGGGTCTTGCTCTGTCGCCTGGGCTGGAGTGCAGTGGTGTGATCATGGCTTACTGCACCCTGGACCTCCTAAGCTCAAGCAATTCTACTGCTTCAGCATCCCGAGTAGCTGGGACTATAGACACATGCCACCATGCCTGACTAATTTTTTAAAAATTTTTAGTGGAGATGGGATCTCACTATGTTGCTCAGGCTGGTCTTGAACTCCTGGGTTCAAGCAATTCTGCTGCCTCAGCCTCCCAAAGTGCTGGGATTACAGAGATCAGCCACTACGCCGGGCCAAGTTAACAATGTCTTCTCTTGTAATCAACTCATAACATTTTGATTAAACTAACATGATTACCCTTAACCACAGAAATGCAAACATTCAGATTCACAACTTTCTTGATTGTTCTCTGTCAAAGACATTAGTTAATATTGGTTAAAAGAACAATACATTTAGATTTGCACAGTTGCTGTTATTGGAAACATATTATGGTTATAAAATATTGCAAGAATATGTGACAACACTTAGGTTAGACAACATGAAGAACAGTGGTATTATCAGGGTGAAAATATATATATTCTCAGCCATTCTTGTGGAATTAAGATAAACAACCATTTGACTTTGTTGAGTCTCATTCAGTCTTAAAATGGAGGGACTTTTTAGAAGGTCTGTGGAGAACCTATTGACTGGCTAGCCTGGGAGACATGCTCAGTCCTCTTTTCCCAGCTACTTCATGCAATGGAGGCTGGAAAGCAACATGCTAACTTTCCCAGCATCCTTTGCAGCTAGGATTGGCTGTATGATTCATTTCTCATCAATGTTGCATAAGATGTAGTCTATGGGGGAACTCTAGTGATGTTTTTAGCCTTCCTTATACTTTTGTCTTAAAGGTAAATGACTAGAGTGCTGGGAGTCAATTTGCAACCAGAGGCCACAAGCATGAGGACAAAAAGCTAGCATGGTAATCACGGCCAAGTAAATAGATACAATGAGCCAATATTGGCTCCTCTATTTGGCTTAACATAGCTTTGTCTCAATTCTTAGCCTTAATGCAGGCTACTTTTCAAAAGTAGGGTTCTACCACAAAACAACCTTTTTGCCCCTGGCAATGATTCTTGTGCAGTTTACTGAAGTAGGCTTGATCCTGTCCTTTCTTCTCCAACCCAAATTTGCTCAAACCAGTATTGAGTGCCCCAAACTTATAGATCCCAAGAGTTCTTCTTAACTATGGATAAAACTTTGCCTGAGTTCTTGTTACAATACAAATATGTGGCCGAAAAAGGTACCTGTATATAAAGGGCTTTTGATGACATTGTTGATCTGCTACACATCTCTTTCATGTTTGCCTTCCTCCAGTCTTTTAATTCTATAAGATGATTTTATTAATAATTAATATGAATACAACATATATTATATATTGTATATATTATATATTATAAATTGTATATATTATAACATATATAATAATATAGTATATATATAATATATGGTATATATACTATATATAATATTATAACATAATAACTTTATTATTTATGTAATGGATTGTCAGGCTTTTTTGTTGTCATTTACTTGTGGCCAGCAGTAGCTTATTCATATGGTTCTCCACCACTTTGAAGAGATACATCTGCAATGATCTGAACACCAAGTCAATTATCTATCAAAAACATGGTTCAAATGTACTTCCATTGGAGTAATCTAATGCAGCACCATCCAACAGAACACTGATGAGGGAAACATTCATAAAGAACACATATGTTTGTGTGATGAAGGAATATATGTGATCTATTTACGATATAGAACATACAGTCATGTACAACAAAATGAAGTGTTGGCCAATGACGAACTGCATACACAATGGTGATCCCTTAAGATTATAATGAAGCTGAAAAATTCCTATTGCCTAGTGACGTCGTAGTTAAACCATTGTAATGTCATAGTGTAACCCACTACTCATGTGTTGTGGTGATGCTGGTGTATAAAAAGCTATGTGCTTCCAGTCAGAGAAAAATCTAGCACATATAATGATGTATAGTACAGAATATTTGATAATGATAATAAGTGACTATTACTAGTTTATGTATGTACTACTATACTATACTTTTTACTGTTATTTTAGACTGTACCCCTTCCATTTAATAAAAAAAGTTAACAGCCTCAGGGAAATTCTTCAGGAGGTATCCAGAAGAAGACACTGTTATCACAGGAAATGACAGTCCTAGGTGTGTTATTGCTTCTGAAGATCTTCCAGTGGGAGAAGATGTGGAAGTGGAAGACAGTGATATTGATGATTCTGACCCTGCGGAGGCCTAGCTAATATGTGTGTTTGTGTCTTCGTTTTTAACAAAAAATTTAAAATGGGAAAAAAAATTTTTAATAGAAAAATCTTACAGAATAAGGATATAAAAATTATATTTTTGTGCAGCTCTACAATGTGTTTGTTTTAAGCTAAGTATTATCACAAAGTCAAAACGTTAAAAATTAATTGAAAAGTTTATAAAGTAAAAAAGTGACAGTAAGCTGAAGTTAATTTATTATTGAAGAAATTTTTTCCAATAAATTTAGTGTAGCCTAAGTGTACAGTGTTTATGAATTCTACAGTAGTGTAAGGTGATGTCCTGGGCCCTCCATTCACTCACCACTCACTAACTAACCCACCCAGAGCAACCTCCAGTTCTATAAGTGCCCTATACAGGTATATTGTTGTTTATCTTTGATGCTAATTGTTTTTTTTTTTTGAGACAGAGTCTCGCTCTGTCACCCAGGCTAGAGTGCATTGGCATGATCTCGGCTCACTGCAATCTCTGCCTCCCGGGTTCACACCGTTCTCCTGCCTCAGCCTCCTGAGTAGCTGGGACTACAGGCACCCACAACCACGCCCGGCTAATTTTTTTTTTTTTTTTTTTTTTTTTGTATTTTTAGTAGAGACAGGGTTTCACCGTGTTAGCCAGAATGGTCTCAATCTCCTGACCTCGTGATCCACCTGCCTTGGCCTCCCAAAGTGCTGGGATTACAGGTGTGAGCCACTGCACCAGGCCGATACTCGTATTTTTTTTAACCTTACCTTTTCTATGTTTAGCTCTGGGTAGATAGACAAATACTTACCATTGTGTTTTAATTGCCTGCAATATTCAGTACAGTAACATGCTGTACAGGCTCGTAGCCTAGGACCAACAGGCTATATCATATAGCCTAGGTATGTAGTAGGCTATACCATCTAGGTTTGTGTAAGTACACTCTTTGATACTTGCACAACCTTGAAATTGCCGAATGACACATTTCTCAGGACATATTCCTGTCACCAAGCAACCCATGACTGTACAGAAGACAGGGCCACTGAAAATTCAAAATGTGGCTACTGTTATTGAGGAAGTAAATTTTTAATTTTATCTTGCTTCATTAATTTAAATTGAAACAGCCAACATGTGGCTGGTGGTTATGGCATCAAGCAGCACAGATACAAAGAATTGCTACCTACTAAAAAATATTTGAAGAGATTCCTGTAGTTCTCTTAGGAAAAATTCAGCTTGTAACTTTATATATATTATTTCACAGGCCCAAGAACACCTCGTTATAGAAAAATGATGACTCAGCAGGGCTTTGCACAATGTCATGTTTGAAGGCTGTTAAACAATATTTAACTCGAATATTAGCTAACTAGGCAGAACTGATACCAATTTAAGCATTTTACATTGACAACTATAATAAAGGATGTCCTTTTGGAATAATAATCTTATTCAGACTACACTCTTTCAGCTGTTTGTTAAGACTTTTGTGTTCCCAATTACGAATGAAAAGAATAATAATGGCATGCCAGTCTCATTAAGCCACGGGGGTAAAACAACTCTCTCAGACAAACTATAAATTATCATTTGCACAAGACCGCTGAGTATGCTAGAAAATCAGCCACAAAGTGTGCCAACATGGCGCCGAATAGTGGGAGACTGAGAGTAGGCAGCTAAAGATGCTCCCAGTGAAAGGAGAGGAGAAATGGATACTGATTATACTGGACACTGGGGATCTGTGGGGCCGTCATATACTGGAGCATGGTATTCAGTACTGTCTCCTACACCCAAATGTGACTTGCGGAAGTGATTCCATGATGCCTCAGTGTCTTGTGTCGAGCTAAATAGTCAGCACACTCACATTCATGGCTATATTTAGAGCCTGAGGAACAACCACTTCTTCAAGTGTCCAGGGTGGCCTGGAGGAGCTAAAGGTGCCACTTCTTCTATCTCTTGACAAGGAATGCAGTCACAGGCAAGTTCTCCATCACTGGTTACCTCCAAGCTGCTGTAAAGAGGTCAGCAAAGTTCCTGCGTGCTGGGAACTTGAGTTCCTTCAAGGTTATGTACAATTTTAAGACGTGGCTGACAAGCTGAACTTATTTCAGAGACAGGACTATCTATATTCTGAGTTTTAACAGAAATGATGTAAAAAGAGAGTTGAGAGTTTTGGCAAACCGTATTTTCTTATTCTATATTTGCTACTACGTGTAAAACATTCAATTTATAAAATATTTCATTTAAGAAAGCCACCACCTACACTTCTAACCACTAGGTGTTCTTGAGATAATTATAGAAACTGGATTACTCAGTATCACTTTCATTTCATATTGACAAATACTTCTCATCAGTTTGCTTTGCATTCTTTTGGAAATACCTGTTTTCCTCATAGGTGCTGCTTTGACCCACTTATTTTATGGTAACGTCCAATGTCTAAGGAGATAATGGCAACCATGTGTGAATAGTTAACACTCAGTCTTGATAGAGGGACATGGTCTCTAGGAATGTACCATATCTGGAAGAAGGATACATTTAGAATAAGTCTCCATAAAAGACATATGAATATGTGAATTTTTACCTATGATGTGGCTCTGAAATACAGAATCTGCAACTGCATCGTCTTCATCCTCTTGCAAGTTTTCATTTGCCTCTTTTACCTGCAGGAAGAAGAAAATGATGCAAGTTCTTATTTGTTTTATTAAAAAGATCCTTTTGCAATCCTCAGAGTAATGGTACATTCTATAACAAATATGTGGGCATAGGTGTGAGTGTTTGCATGTATATACATGTGTGAGTATGTATGTATACATATAAAATACATTTTTTTCGTTCTACTTTTCCGCACTCCATCATTTGGCTTTATTACAAGTTTTAATTATAAGAGCTTATTTTCAGACATATAACCTCATTTCTGAAGGAGAGAATTTACAGGGTATCTAATTCTACACAAAATTTTAGAGATAACAGCTTAGCTTGTTAATAATTAATGAAATCAGTAACACAGGGCTGTTAGGAAACGTTAAAGTCTAACGAGGTATAATTCCTCCAGAGTCAGTGACTTCCACTGCAAGTTATTTTAATAGGAATAAAAATATATACTTTAAATATACTTAGGTCTGCTGGCTCTTTCCTGGAATGTAACTTAAGAAGATAATTTTTTTTCATTCTTTCCATAATCAAAGGAGATGACAATGATGTATGTATGATCAGTGAACCAGAGCAGTGAGTCATTTATCTAGATATTTTTTTTTGAGCCAAAAACATTCCCTCTTATATTTCAGTTGGAAGGCCCAGGCACTAGATTGGGCAGCATCAGATGGAACTCTACACAGAATTTAATGAAGTTCCAGTATTTTACAGATGAGAATTCTGAGGTCTAGGAAGTCTCCTTAAAGTTGGCACAAATGCAGTAAGTGGCAACACTGGCATGAAAGCCCAGGCCCCCTACTTCCCAATCCAGTAGCAGGAGAAGTAATAGCATCATCAGCAATACCAACCACAATAGAAACAGTGAACACTTACATACTGGGCAGGTGCTGTTTGCACGTAAGATCTCAAAATCCTTACAACAGTGCTATGAAGCAGGTGCTATGGTTAGCTTTATTTTAGAGATGAAGACCCATCCCAAAGCAATAGAGAAGGTAATTGTCAAAATGGTGGCACTGGGATTTAAACGCAACAAATCTGACTCCGGATTTGTGTTTACTGGGGGGACCTTTGGTATTCTCAAATTTTCCACTTGAATATGCCTGTGTAGACTTGGACTCAGTATCAAGACAACTTAGGGTTCTAGAGGTAATGGCGCTACATAGCTCTTTTAAAATACATTCCAGACAGCCACCTAGGCAGCCAATGATAATAACGTGCAATGCAATGGGTGTCCCGCTTAGGCACGTACGTTAGAGGTTGCCAGTGGATTTGCTACAGGGCTTGAGTTGAATGCCAAGAAATTATTATTTTATACTGTCAATGTGAAAGTCATATGGCTGAATACTGACCTTGAGCTGGATTTAGCTTTCTACTTTTTGCCTCCTATTTTTCATACTTAATGGAATAAGACCAATTATTTACATTTTATGACTGCAGTTTCAATATTAGAATGTAATTGGTGCTTAATCTGTACCATGCTGATAGCCAGAGATGGCAAACTCAAGAGAGTATGTAAATGGCTAACTCAACACTGGCAAGGACAGATCGTTAAGCGTTCAGTATCAAGAGGCCATGCTTCATCACTTTCTTTCCCCTTCAGCTGTCTAATCTGTGGGCATTTCCCTGTTTGTTAGCAGCTCCACAGAAAGAAAGTCAGAGAATGAAAGAAAGCAGGAAAAAAGGGTTTCATTAACTGACCGTGTTCTAGCAGCACATATTTACAGATGGCAGGGAGGAAACACACTGTGAGTATGAGAAAGACCAAAGTACTACTTATTTGCCTTCCAAGGTTCTCTTTGCTCAGGGATCTGTTTGTAACAAGGTGACCCAAAGGCCCCCAAACACCTCAGTTTCCATTAATAATCCACTGGGAGCCTTTTATCCTCTTTTATAGAACAACAAGGAAATCATATTTTCAGTTTCATATCAGCTCTTATGGCAATATGTCCCATATTTCTTGCACCTGTTAATGTAAAATAGTATTTCCTTTGGGTTTTTCCAAATTTATACATTTTAAACTCGCAGGGGTGCCCTCGAAACCTGTTGGACTGTCAGTAAATCATCATCTCTGCTGGCCTGTGAAATTCTAGATGAAAGAATCAAATAATTAGAACAAAGTTTTCATCTTACAGATAAAGAAAAAGGAGCTTCAGAGAGGGTTAATAATTTATTCAAAGTCATACAGAATTTCAGTTATAGAACAGGCACTCCTGATTCCTATTCATTGCTATAATTCAATTTTTCAGAGTGCCCTGTCCTGTTACAGCTATCCTTTCCAGACCTTCCAAAGAACTACTCTTTCTTAGTGTCTACCATTTAGATATGAAGGCAATATTCCAAGTATCCATAAACTATATTTTAAGAGTAGTAAACATTTTTCATGCATGTGTGTGTGTATAATTCTCTGCTTCCCTTCCCTACTGTTCCTTACCTGTTCCGTGCCCCTTCTCCACCTCCTTTCTCTAATTATCATATTTAAGAAAGAAAACAAAAGCGACTGCACAGTCCTACCTGTCAGCTCCTTGCCAGAGGCATTCCAGGGCCTTATGTGCTTAACCGCAAACACTAAATGTGGCCTCTGGGGACTTATGAGAAGAACTGAGATGGTGAACAAGCCCCCTGGCTCTTTCAGCTCTCCTGGGCTGGATGACCCATGAGGGGCAGATGACTCACTGGGGGAAATTGTGAACTTGATGGGAATGGATGAAGAAGCAGCAAGAAAATGGAAAGTGGGAGAGTGCTTTAGAGTGCCATACTTGTCAATTCTAATTATCCATACAAATAGATTTCAATGCAAAGTGGTGAGTAATTAAAAAAAATCCATTTGCCTATGGAAATGAGGGGCATAATTTATTTTGGCAGCAGATTCCCCTTGCTAATTATATTTTTCATAGGATGAAATTTAAATTAATTTTCATTCTTGATCCCATAGGAGCTGGATGTTGGTGGGAAGTTGTGGGAGTTTTCCCGGGAGTAAGAGGGCTGCCAGGTCAAGCATTTGCCAAAAATAGGCACAAGTGGGACAGTCTCCATGTGGGAAAGCACTGCAAAGAATGGGAGAGTGAACACAAAACCAAGAAGTCTGCCAAACGTTTGGTTCAGAAAAGATGTAGAAATGTAGAAATGTCCCAGTCACTGTTGCCATCCCAGGAACAGAAACAAGTCCATGTCAGTTATGTCCTATTTGGTAAAAAGTAGAAGGTGACTCACAAGCAACAACCATGGGCCATTTTTGGTTTAAGTTACTTGTCAGTGCTTTGGGTGTCTTCTAATGATTTATCTCTAACTCTTGTCCATCTTTTGGGGCTCTGCAGTTCTAGTTAGGAACTACTCCAAACACCAGTCTGCAACAGGCAACAATTAAATATCACTGCACTTCTATTTTATTCACCCCTGTTTCTAGGAAGGGCAGGAAGAAATGTGCCTACAAGAGACACAGGGGGAAAAGGGGAGAAAATAATTCACCATTGACATAATTGATATAATTTCATAATTAAACCCAATTTTATATCAATTCACCATTGATATAATTTCATAATTAAACCCAAATTTGAGAACATCCTTCATTTGGAGTTCTATATATATTTCTTCCCTGAATCATCCTAACACTAACGGCTTCCCAAGAAACCAACATTTTGATGTCAAAGCTCATTTGAAAAGGAAAAGAACATAAGTGAGACAGGAAATAATCCTGGGAGAGAAAGTTCCTGGAAAGCATAACCTTTGGAAAAGTTACTAATTTAGAAAACTTTGCAGGCGGAGGGCAAAATATGCATGTTTCTTATTAGCACCAAAATACCATTTAGAATAGAATTTTTCAATTAAGGATGTTAAAATTGTAACATTTCGCAGAACTTAATAAGATGATAACAATTTGTGTAATTATTGTACTATTTTCTGCCATTTTATCACCGTGGTACCATTTTAATGGGATAGTATTTGATGCTTTTTTATTAGCAGACATGATTTTTTTTTTAGACTATGTGACACTGGGTAAAGAGAATACCCATAATTTAAATTAAAATACCCATACTAAAATGGTCATATTAAAATGGTTCACGATGAAGGTATATGATCTCATTAATTTTGTTAATGATTTTTATTTTTGTCCAGTGATAGTTAAATAGGAGCCTAGAGCTGTCTTTCTTTGAGACTTTTCATTTCAGAAAATTATCTAAATCTACAGGAAAGAAGAACTTGAAACATGTAGCAAGTATAGTGTACCTCTTTCTGACTTACTGACTTAATACCAAAGCAGTCTTTCTAGGAGATGCCTTTTCCCTATTTTATAATGATTTTATATAATTTAAATAAAAGTACCAAGTAACATGGCCCTTGTCTAAATTACACAAAAATTAGAGCTAAGTGGTCTATAAACAATGGCAGAAATGGGGATATAAGCTTCTAATTAAGGCTCTGAAATAAGAAAAAATTTAATTCAGACAAACATTAATAGGACTTTGAAACATATTTTAGAATGTTTCTAGCAATACTAAAAATGAATATGCAGTTACTAGTGAACTAAGCGGAGGTTTGCTACACATGTGGATTTGTTATATGTATGGAAATAATCTATTATTATTATATATTAGAATACTAAAAATGCCTTAGGACTCTCATAACTATATATAATCTTAGTTTGTAAAGAACAAAAGATGGTGGTATAGTACGTCATAAGGTTTCAAACAGTGGTTTTATTTAGAAAAAGAGTGTGATACGTAGTGCATTGCATATATACATTGTTTTCATCCAAAATAACTTCTATGAAAACAATTCTTTGCAACACAGTTTAAAATAAGCAGACAGTGAATTTACCTTGAGCCCTAGTGGGGGGAAATTCTCTTCAACTCTGAATTTTAAAAGGTTCATGGGTATTCACATCAATGTGCTGTGGTGTTAAAATACATCTCATTTTGCATCTAATCTCCTTCCTATATAGGCTGATAACATATAATAAATGAGTTTTCCCTCCTATTCTTGTACCAGTCACAAAGGAGTCTATAGCAACGTCCTTTGTGAAATTAGTAATTTTAGCCCAATCCATGCTGATGATTATGGAGATGAAACAAAAAGCACTGCATTTTACATTTAAAAAAATGACTAGCTGGTCAACTACCCAGGTTAATAACATTTCTCTGTATGGAAAAGCTTCTCAGCATGACTAATTTGTCTTTCAGCTAACTGGAAAAATCATCATATGGATTATGTATATGTGGGGTCGTTAGGGAATCTTTGTACTTCACAGAAAATAATTAGAGTGTTTCTTGCAGATATTCTGGAAAGACCAAAGGACCCTGTGAAAGACTGCAGATGAGAGAGGAAAAGCATGGCAAATAACCTTAGCATTAGGAAGTAATAAGAAAATAAAAATGAAATTGTGAAAGCCAAACATAAAGTCTTTTTGTTTTTTTGGTACTTCTGTACAGTGAAGATATACCCTAGGCTGTCAGGACCATATTAAATGGGTCATAGTTAAATTGAGTGCCTCTGATAAGGGGCTCTGCCAGGCTATCAAAGTTTTCCATCAGCTGGATTGAATTTCCAGCATATTGCACATTTTCACACATTCATTCTCTCTTCCTCCTTTCAGTGACACCACAAGGGCAGCCTTAGATATGCTTACAATTTGTGGTTTTATAATGCAGGGGACATCTGTGTTTTCAAAGAAGGGATGATACCATGGAAGCCAAGAGCAGAAATGGGATGAGGGAAAGAAAAAAAAAAAAAAAACTTTTGCAACGAACATAATCTGCATATAATTTTGGAGAGTTTGTAAAAAAGACCTTATGGCTCTGTAGAGTCAAGAGCTATTTGAATAAAAAAATTTAAACATCCATTTCTCTCAAATTAAAGTCTGTGAAACTTGAAGGAAATCTAAACATCAATAAGTATTTATAGCTAATAATTAATAACTAATAATGTCAACCATGGTCACTTTAAAATCTCCTCTACTCTTGAATGACCCCAGAAAATAATGCAGGGAAATATTTCAAGTTTTCCCTCAGAAAATTGTAGTATGTCCTATATTTTAATAATCTCTTTATTAGAGTACAAAAAGATATGGATATAGTAATTCCATAAAGAGAATATTTTGTGTTTAAGTGCTCTGGAACTTGCCAAAAGCAACAATGAATACTATTAAATTATTTACACAAGTACATGAAGAATGTACAGAGAGTAAGTGCAATTTAAGGTAATTTTAAAACAAAAATATTAACTGAAACTAGTACACCCCAGGAAAATATAAAAAATACTCTTTCATTTATTTTTTATTTATTTTTTTGAGAAGGAGTTTCGCTCTGTCGCCCAGGCTGGAGTGCAGTGGCACAATCTCGGCTCGCTGCAAGCTCTGCCTCCTGGGTTCATGCCATTCTCCTGCCTCAGCCTCCCAAGTCGCTGGGACTGCAGGCGCCCACCACCATGCCTGGCTAATTTTTTGTATTTTAATAGAGACGGGGTTTCACCGTGTTAGCCAGGATGGTCTCGATCTCCTGACCTTGTGATCCGCCCGCCTCAGCCTCCCAAAGTGCTGGGATTACAGGCGTGAGCCACCGCACCCGGCCTTATTTTTTAATTTTTAAAAAGAAGGCTACTCCCTGAGTTCTGGACCTCACAATAGACTAAATGATAGGGAGCCAAGTTCCAAAAAAGATTTCTTAGTCTTAATAGCCTCTGTCTAAGTTGCATGAATTGGACATACAACTTTCATAAAACATGAACAATGCTTAAATCAAATCATCAAAATAGGCAATACTCTCTTAAATTGTTTAGCACTTTTATTTTTAAAATCATGTTCATTCCTTTTTGGTGGCAGGTGATGTTAGAAATAATCATCAAAACAAATTTCCAGCCCAGTGGTGTAATTTGAAGATGATACCAGTAGCATCATTTGCCTGGACTCACTGCGATTATACTCAACGTTCTGAAAACAGCTGGGAAAAGCAGCATTTCCTGAGAGCCAGGCCCACTCGAGGTCCAGCTGCCAGCTCTCTGCTGCAGTTGTCACCAGGATTTCGCTCTCTTTTTACAAATCCTTTTTCACTGACCTTTTCTTTCCCCCAGTTGCAATCTCTTACCCATACATTTTCATTAGCAAACGGTAGAAAGACCCCAGCCAGAACATCTCAGATTGTAGCACTTGATACCAGGATGGTGGAGCACTTACCAGGGAGTCTTTTGGTACTTCCATATCGGCTTTGATTTTCATGTTTTTCTTGTGGTTTCCTTGAGTACTGATAGAGCTGCCGATGAGACAGGAGCCCTGAGAACTGCCCTTTAACACATTCCTGCAGGAAGCATTACTTGATCCACTTTCTGTCTGTGGAGCTGCTTTCTTATCAACTCTGCAGGTAGAAAGTGATTCCTCTGATAAGTTACCTTGCTCCTTCTTCAATCACTCTCCTTTTCCCAATCTTTTTAATATTTAAAGTAACCTCTTTGTAGCTCTTTGTCTTTAAACCTTTGACGGATAAGGGTTTCTCATGGGCCTTGATCAAATCTTCAAATATTCTAGTAGCATGTCAATTTAGATTTGACAATATCATAATGTATTTTTTATTTTTGTGATTTCTTGTGGAGAGGGGCAAAATAAAAACCACTGAAGAGTGATTATTAACTACATTTTTAGCTTAAGAGCAGCAAGAAATATAATTATTTCTGGAAAGTTTCCAAGTATATGTTTGCTAGGTATAATCAACGAAATCGGCATGCTTTAAAACGTATGTGTAATTTTCTTCCATTTCACGCCATCTGGGTACATTCATAGCTCCTAGTGTAGGTGGAATTGCTATCAACCCTGATAAAACTTACCATTCTTTAATTTCAAAGGCCATTGGTTTGGTTAACAAAGTAACATGGACTAAATGATCATTTTATTGCTAACTTTTATTTCATTGCTTAAATTCTGGCTAATGTATAAAAGACTGCTACTATTCATTTCTGCCTGTATGAAAAAACATGCTTGACTGGCCTTTAATGCACAGGAAGCAAACAACTCTTTTAAAGGTGGTGGAGGGACCCCTCTACATTGCTACCTGCTTTTCCAGTGAGTTACCTGTTCAAGAGTTCCGTCATGAAGGTGTCTTTCGTTGAACATGCAACAGGGCTGTGTCTATTCCTTGGTTCAATCTTCAGTTGGTTGTAAATGTCTTGTGGTGTTCTCCGATTATTTTTGCTTTGTAAACCGCCATCTGGATTATCTGCTGACTTGGTGTCCTTGATAAGCTCATTTTCTGTCTCACACTGTAGTTCAGGCTTCTTTTTCTCTTTTTTTCTTTCTGATTTTAGTTGTCTGTTTCCAAACCCCAAGACTTTTGCATCTTTCTTTTCTACTTTGGTTTTGGAGATGTCCATTTTCCTGCTACTCAGAGCTGGAAGTCTACTCTTCCGAAAACCAAACCAGCTGGCAAAAGAAGGCCCAGGCTTCTGCTTTGCTTCCACAGAGGTGGGCTTTGTTTGCACTTGGCCCTTTTCCACATTTTCCTGAATGCACAACATGACCTTTTCTTCGATTGTGGGTGAGAGGGGGGCTTCTGAACTCACAGCATCAGTCGCGGTTGCAGAGGCATCTGGATGCCTTCCAGAAGTTTCTAGCTTGGATGTACTGCTTGTTTCAAAAGTGCTTGGATGCTGAGTCCTCCCTGGGCTCTGCAGGGCTTCAGGGCAGTCTGTTGGGGTGGGTGGGCAACTGCGGCGGTCACTGCCTGGTTCCCCAAGTACAGCCACATTGGCACTGGGGCACTCTCCCTGGGTGAAGGCCTGCTGGTCTTCCTTTCCAGGTGGGATGAGGAGTCCCTCAGACTTTGGAGGGATCCTCAAAGGCAACTTACTTGGGCTCCCATGCTGACTGCTGAAGCTGCCTGAGCTCCCCAGGGAGCCCTTCCCGGAGGAGGGGTGCCCCGAGGGCCTCCCAACACTGGGGAGACTCTCCAACATGGGAGCAGAAGGGGCCTTGTTGGGAGAGCTTTCCGTGGAAGAGTTCTGCCGGGTAAGAGAATTGCCTCTCTCGGCGGTATTGGTAATGATCTGAGTGCGGACTTTGCCTGACCCTTCGATGGGGGGCGTAGAAGGCTTGTCTCCTGAGTGTGTACTGAAGCTGTGGCTGCGGGCTTTGGCGCCATTCATACCCAGAGCTGGTTTTAGGTGTGGTTTGCTGGAGGAAAGGGATCTTCTCATGGATCTATTATCTACCCCATCCCTTCCATCACTCCCAGGGATGCTACTTTCCAATGGCTCTTGTAGTGCTGTTTCCAGGGGAAGCCCATCAGCTAAACTGCCCTGTGCTTGTGAATCCGGTAGGGTCACATTTCTTTCACCCGCTGTGATCTCCATGCTTGCTGGATTCTTGGAGTCCTCTGGCTTAGACTTGTTCACAGCCACGGAACTTTTGGAGGCTTCATTTAAACTGTCTTTTTCATGTTTCCCTGGCACGGTGGAACTTTTCCTGAGCAGCTGGGGAGACTTCATGAGCACTTTGAGTCCCACTGGAAGGCGAGTTTTCAGTCCTTTCTCATGAGCACTTTGACAACCATGAGGGCTGTTATGGCTTTTGGCGGGTGATGAGGATGATGAGGAACTGCTGACCTGAGATGATGGTGACTCATTTACCCCTAAGAAGGAAGGCTTGGGGGGTGTGGAGGCGCTATCATTCAATTGTCCTTTTCTCCCTGGAGATACACTTTTGGAGGACGTCATTTCCAGTGGCTCATGGGTTGAAGGAGAGATCCTGGGAGTCTGTAATCCTATGTCCCTTTGTGGGGTCCCAAGTGTTTGGCGAGGAGAGGTTTTGGGGACACCTCTCTTCGGAGAGACCTTTGGAGGCCCCAGAGCCATTACGGTGAAGGAGCTGGAGGGGGCATGAGCAGGGCATCGGGTTTGAATGACTGCTTCTGGGGAGGGCATAGGGTGAGTGAAGATAGGCTTTTTGAAGGCCACAGAAGGTTTCTTCCTCTGCACTTCTGTCGTGGCCGGATTAGAAGAAATAACTGGAGCAGAAATTCCTTTCAGCAGCGGGGATTTGAATGGGGTCCTTGCTGTTTCACTGGGGACCCTGGTTTCGGACTTGGTGGATGAAGGTGCTGGTGAATAGTCATAGCTGGGCCTGGCCAGCAGGGAGACGGACCTGCCTGGAGGGGGCGGAGGGGAAGGGGATTTCACCCCTGCCTCCGGCCCAGAGCCACAGTGTTCATCCCTCGTGGGGGGCTCTCCACTGTCACTAGACTCAATGGCAGGCCTTGACCGTGACCCTGGAGTCTGACTCTTGGGGCACTGGACCCAGTCCCTCCTGCTGGGCATCCTGGAGCTGTGCGGAAGTTGGGCGGAATGTTTTGGAATGTGTGGATCTGATCGTAATTCAAAGAGGGGCCCTGAGCTCTCAGTCTTCATGAATCGTGAGAGTTTCCCAGGAGCTAAGGCTGGTGATTTTTCAAGAGTCACCAGGCCAGATGAAGGGAGTAGTGTGGTGGCTTCGGGCTCCATTAGTTTTGATTTCTGAGGTGAAGACTTGCCCCTGGGAGGTATTTTTGTCAGATTTTGCTTTTGATAGATGCCCATGGGTGCCGAAGACCTGGAATTACTCTGGCATGATATATTGTGTGTTGGTTTGACCAGCTTTTGCTGCTGAGGATTTTGTGTCACTGTCCTGGAGCTGAAAGATTCAGTGGACACCCTGGGAACATTATCTACATTATCTTTTGGAATGTTTTTCTCAGTGTCCTCTTCAGACCTTTTAAAGAAAGTATAGTCTCTTGCAGCAGCTCTTGGCTGTAAACAAGCAATTCCCTGAGGTAAAAGCTCAGTATGTTCTGCCTTGGGTCCAGCAGGAGTTGAATTGATGGAAATCTCATTTCTGGTAACAGTGACAACCCCAGTCTGGTGAGAGCTGAATTCAATGGGCTCACCGTCTTCCGCATCAAATATCACAGTCACACATTCTTCTGAAGAAGTCCTTTTTACAACTCTTTGCTGCTTAATGAAACTAAAAGTCTTTGGCCTAGTCTCTGAAGGGATGGGCACTTGTTTTTCCTCCTCTTCAGGAGACCCACATAGAGATTTTCCAAACCCCACAAGGACATCCAGGTTCTCCACGGACTTATCGGTGTCGGCAGCCAATGACACGTCTGAAGGACTTTTCTCATCACTGCTCTCTATGTGCAGCTCATCAAACGTTTCATTGTCATCAGTGTCTGAAAGCTGGAGGTTGAGAGCCATGCGGCCATGGCCTTGGCCCTGTGGGCCCCTCTCCCTCTGTACCTGAGGCGTCTGCACACTTGGGCACAGCTTCATCTCTAAGGGACAGCTGCTGGCGCAACTTGTCAGCTTTTCAGGCCTTTCCTTGGGATAAACTGAGGATGTGCCTTCCAGAAAGTGTTTTCTGTTTGTCTCCCAGCCAAACAGACTGTCGGAAACACTGTGGGTTAATTTACTGCCATGTGGCCTGCAGCTCTGGTTTGGAACTGCTTGGAGCAATGCTAAGGTGGAAGGGTCATCGTCCGCATCAACGTGGGAATCTAGATCATAAACAAATGTCTTGTGGGGTTCCTTGCAGGGGCTCCCCAGGTCAGCTGTTTTGCAGGGGGGATACTCCTTGAGGCTGCTACTTTTAATTCCAGGAGAATATATTCCTTCATTCGAGTTCATGCAATCTTTATAACCCCATTTGGTTATCACTGATGGGGGTTCAAGTAACACTTTTCGCTTCTGTAGCTTTCTTAGCCCTTCCAAAATGTGGCTTTCCTTGATACGAGTTGGAGGTAGTTCATTTGTAGGACTAGCAAAGCCACTTGGGAGCGAAGAATCAATACTTAGCCTTTTATCCCAGTTTTGTGATGATTGCTAGGAAAGAAAAGTAGACATCAGAAATGATTGAACCATGTAGATCACAAAGATATAAAAGGAAAAGTACATCATGGGACTTAATTTGTGCTAGTGGTTGGTAACTATTCACATATAAATGCCTACATTAATTAGCTAATTAATTTATTCACAAACTATGCAGCAAACATTGATTTTGCCAGGTCCTGTGCTAAGAAGCACAGCGATCTAAAGAAACAGAAGGTAAAGGCCCTGTCTTCATGGGAGGAATCCCAGTGGGGAGAGGAGAATTGGCCACAACTAACTGTATGTCAAGGGAGAAAATGGGAAGTGCAAATGTTGTAAGTACTCTGGAGATTCAGAGGAGGGAGGCCACAGACAGGTCTATTTGGAGAAAGGCATATAGGAAAGGTATATATATTTTTTTCTTTTAAACTTACCTAGCTCTTGAAAGACACATAGGTTTGCCGTAGGTTAAAAGTGGGGGAAATGTTTTCCAGGTGGGAGAAATGGGGTGGGCAAAGACCTAAGTCAGAAAGTACATTCAAGGTACATTGAGGGAATGACTAGAAGATGATATGGCCTTATTGCAGAGTGTCTACGAGAGGTGCAGAGGGTAAAGCTGGAAAAGTAAGTTGGTTGATATCTTTATGCTCACATTTGATAGTTCTGTGACTTCATAACTTTATTTGGTAGACAATAGATATCTATGAAAATTTTCTTAAGTTACTACACTCATACATATACACATACACACATACACAGCAGCTGGGCATTCGCTGTTAGAACCTGACAGTAATTATTCACCTACCAAATTTAGAAAGGTCAATTTCCTGCCCATCACCCTTCCCAAATGCCAGCCTCAGCTTTGGAAAAGTGTATGGGAAATGACATAGAGAAAAGGCTGTGCTCTACATATTCATATTTTTTTCATAGTATTGCTAATAAGAAATGGAAGGGGGAAAAAAAAAAGCTAACATTTACTGAGCCTCTGCTGTACACCAGCCATTTACAGGGTGCTTTCACTCCATCTTCAGAACAGACAACTGAGACTCATTGTTGGGTCTGTTGGAGATCACATAGAAAGAGCTGGAGCAAAGGTATGACCTCTGGTTTCTCAGGCTCTTTCTATAGTACGTCGGTTTTGACTCAGTTCAAAAGTGGCAGTGAGGGGACATGAACCCAGGCAGTCTGGCCCCAGAGCTTGCAGTCCTAACTGATGCTATATATAAAGCCAAGCTTAGCCCCTCTTCTCCCCTTTACCTTAGTCAGTGTCATAATAGAGATCACAGGTTACCCCACACTATTTCTTAAATGGTACTTGCAGAGTTTAGGGGGCTGACCTAATGATTTCTTAAGAAGGCTATATGGGCCAGGCGCAGTGGCTCACACCTGTAATCCCAGGACTTTGGGAGACCAAGGCAGGTGGATCAAAAGGTCAGGAGTTCGAGACTAGTCTGACCCATATGGTAAAACGCCATCTCTACTAAAAATACAAGAATTAGCTGTGCATGTTGGCGGGTGCCTGTAATCCCAGCTACTCAGGAGGCTAAGGCAGGAGAATCGCTTGAACCTGGGAGGCGGACATTGCAGTGAGCTGAGATTGCACCATTGCACTCCCTCCCAGGTGACAGAGCGAGACTCCGTTTCAAAAAAAAAAAAAAAAAAGGGCTATATGATTAATGGTAAAGAGCTTCAAGAGAAGGCTCTGGGTTTCAGAAATGCACTCTATACCAGTTTTGGCTACATCAGTCTCCTCCCTGCCCCACACGCTTATGTGCAGTGGTTGAAAAACATGTCAGAAACTTCCATTTGAATCTGGGCTTCTTAGTACACTGTAAACATTTGCTCACATCTATGGCATTTTCATGAAAATTACTCTTGCTATCAACAACGCACACATTTATTTGTTTTTAAATCAAATTATAAATTTTCTTTAGGAAATTCTCCACCGTCAGAAGTTGCTGGCAGTAGATGCTATTCAGTGATGCTGCCCCACTTCCTCTTCCCTGTACCATTACAAACTCCTTTAGAAATCAGAAGAAATCCCATTAGTGAATCTGGGTATTATAGCTCCACCAGAAAGGAGCTGCCACAGTGTAAGTTTCTAAGAATTTCCATGATCCTGATAGTCATGTTGACAATAAATAAGAGAAACCAAGCCAAAGTACCCCACAAGAGCTTGAAAAATGTGGATCTGTTTGACCCCCAAGAAGACATGCTCAACCTCTGTCTTGCCTCCTTTCTGCCATTCTGGAGCCTGCCAGGTGCTGCACTGCGACTTGCCCCAGAGCCAGTGGCTGCAAACCTCCCAGGGCCCAGGCTCTCTGCCTGGTGAGATTAGCCACATTCCTCCTTCAGTCCTCTATAGGAGGTTATAGTATCTAACAACTGGAGAAAAGTCTAGGCCAATCTTGAAGCTTGGGGGTAGGAGACACACGAATGCCCCGTGGGAGTGATGGTGGGGAGGAGCTGGCATTTCTCACAGGCAGATCCATCCTTTGCTGCGAAAGTTGGAAGAGAGTTGCTCTTGGGAAGCAGTGTGGTTGACTAAAAGATGCTGTTGCTGAGGTGCAGGCCTGTGTTTAATGTCCACAGTCCTCTTCCATTTCTTGACTGGACAAGAATCTTATATATATATATTTTTCTAAAGGGTCTTAATGGGAGCAAACTGATCTCAATAATTGAAGCAACCTCACCACGTTTCAGGCTGATTCAACAAGGCCAGTATAAAAGAACAATTAAGAATGTGGGTTCTGGAGCCTTCTGGCGCCTGGCTCTGCCATGTACTGCCTGTGGCATCTTGGTTCAGTTATTTAACTTCTTAGCACCTCAGTGTCCTCTTCTGTGAAATGGGGAGAATAGGAGAGCCTACTTAATAGGCGACTGGGAGCATTACATGATCTAAGGCTTCTGAAGTCCTTAAAAGGCTGTGCTGCATATGGTAATTTCTCATCGACTAGAGCCACATTCCTCTGTAGGGCAGGCTAGTGCATTTCATGCAGGCTTCCTTTCTGTTTGTACACAAGTAAAACATACTTGTGAGCTCAAAAAGCACAATCAATAATATATTAATTGTTATATAATTAATATTCAAATTCAAATTCATATGATACAAGTTTATTATGTAAGTTAATACTACATGAGTACCCAGCACAAAGTAAGAAACTGCAGAAAGTTTCTTAAGTAATACACATTTCAAATGTCTTCATGAATCTGGGTCTGGCTTGTTAGGTCCCTGAGAAACAAGACAGTTCACTGTGAGATATGACAGGTGTACTGGTACTCCATGACCATGACAGAGCCCTATTAAGGATCCAGAGAAGAGCCACCTGAGTGTCCATGAAGTGCCTTAAGAACCTTCTTTCTCCTCATTCAGGGGAGAGATTGCCTTAGAACATCAAAAGCTACTGTAATTGGAAGAATTCCAGCCAAAAATTAAAAGAAAGTGAAAAGCCTTTGAGAAGGAGAGAGACAAAGAGGTGTGAAAGTGAAAAGAGCAGAGCGAGGGGCTCTGGGAGCCAGGGATATTCACAAAGCGAGGAAACATCCCTGACCATCTGTCCAGTCTGTTCCAAACCAGGCTCAGAGCAGTCATTATTCAGAGCACCTAACAACTCCTTAGAGGGAGCAATTTTGATAATGCAGCAGGCTCTGTACTTTGCATTGGAAGTCTGAGTCCCAGGGAATAAGCCCTAAATGCAACCTTGAGATCTTCTGAGTTCTTGTTCAGAGGATGACAAAGCTACTCCCTCATCAATATCTCCTGGGAGTTCTGGATTTTTCTTGGTTTCTACACTGCTAAAACCATGAACTAAATTTATACAAATGGTAGAAAAATGACCTCCAAATACTCTGATCCGGGGTTTCTATTCTTGTGTGCTCTTTCCTTTTCTCCAACATTAGGGAATGGATAAAACAGCTATTTCAAATATTTCCCTTACATCAGTGTACAAAGACGTCTGCTCAAAGCACAAAGGTATCTCCAGCTTTGCGAGTCCACTGTGCAGATGGGAGTCATTCTAGTAGTAGTAATTATTAAAAATCCTGGTAAAGGAAATCTTGGCATGTATATAAGTAGAAATATGCCTACCTACACTGAAGTTGTGGTCTCTGTCATCTCACCACGCTGCCCTCCAATTTATAGTCAAATAGTGTTTTATGAGGCTATAGCATTGATGAAAGGATGTCAGTATAATACATGAGCAGGTGCTCAGCAAATGGTGGCTTCCTTCTTACCCCTCCCACCTGCCCTTCATCTCCATGACCAAATCCTACCAGAAGAGGATTCTTTTCTGGTTCATTCCGATGCCACAGTGCCTTACCCTTTTCCTGAGGTTCTTCCCATCGTGCCACGTGTAGGAGGAGCCACTGGAGTACTCGCTGCAGGTGCTTGAAAGAGACAGTTCACTGCTGCTACTGTAGCTGTTTCGAGGACAGAGATGACCAGGGATGACAGCCCCCAAGCCAGGGCATTTCAAGGCCGATTTTGTATTTAGTTGGTGTTCCTGAAAAAGCAGGACAGCTCTGAGCAAGGGCTTTGCTCAGAGGAGAGTAAATATCAACACAACCTTATGGTGAGGTAGATGGGAATACAGATGCTCCTCAACTTATGGCAGGAGTACATCCTGATAAACCCATGGTAACTGGAAAATCAGCTGAAAATGTACTCAGTACACCTAACGCACAGAACATCACAGCTCAGCCCAGCCTACACTTACATTAGCCTACGGTTGGGCAAAGTCATCTAACACAAAGCCTATTTTATAATAAACTGTTGAATATCTCATGTAATTTATTGAATACTGTGCTGAAAATGAACATCAGAATGGTTGTATGGGTGCTCACAGTACAGTATCTACTGAATGTGTATTTTGGCTCCATCACAAAGTTAAAAAATCCTGTCGAACTACCCTAAGCTGCAGATTGTCTGTATGGTATGGTATGATAATTACGGGCAGACTTTGGAGTCAAATTTGGGCTCAGATCCTGGCTCTGCCTCTTCCTGTGTGGCTATGGGGAAACTATTTACTCTCTTTCTTCAAAGGAAATCATGATACTATTGCTTATCTTATAGGGTTATTGCAAGCACTAAACGAGGGTCTAGTTGTGAAGCACATCACAGCATCTGGCCTCTAGTAGGTGCTCAATTATTATAAGCTGCCATCATTATTAGGCAAAAGTACCACAAGGGTGGTCTTATTTTATCTAGCCATACTGGTGAGAATATCAAATCAGTATCAAAACATGACTCGAATGCTACAAAAGGACGAAGATAGAGTCACATCTTTGACTACAGGCTTCAAAAGCATGTAAACTGGCTGTGAGTCTAGTGGTCTGGATCCCGGGCTACCCACTGCCACTAAGCATGCACTCTTGAGCAAGGAAGACTTCTAACTTCTGTGGTCTTTAATGTCCTCTTTATAGAGGGTGCCGCTGTCTGAGATTTCTGCTACACTTTCCTCTGGTTCTGATGGCATCATACTAAGTCCACAACCAGATGCCCATTGCCTATCTGTGCTACCTCACAGGAAGCCAAGCACAGCAGACACGAAACTCAGGTATAATGAGCCTCCACTGTAAATATAATAGTGCTTTTCATATCCAGTCCTTGTTACCATTTGGCTATCCACATGGTAATAACCCTCACATCAGGTAGGTCTGGGTTTTTAGTGGAAGGTTCAAGCTGTTAGAATTCTAGTGGTTCTTCATAAGGCAAGGGTGACAAATAAAGCTGTAAACCTCCAAACACATCTTGACAGCCACATTATAGGCCCCTCGTGTAACAGATGAAGCTCTACAAACTGGACAGGCTAAATTAATTTACATCCCAACCACTGAGAACAGAATCTCTCTATTGCCGTCTAATTCCAGTCTCCTTTTTATATAAAGCTTTGTCTCAGAAACTCTTTGATGGTAAGCCATCTGTCTTTGTGTCACTTGCAGAGTGGCAAAGCCTTTTACTTATACAATTTATTGACACTTTGTGGGTGCCTTTCAGTACCTGAGTACTTATCACCATTCTCCAAATGCAATTCCAACTGACGGTGACTAAACACCAGCTTGGGAAAGGAAGGTAATGATGATCCTACAGTACTTGTGGTAAATATTAAACTCCTACATCAGTACACAGGGCATGTTTAATTTACTCTCTAATCAATACCTATAATGCTCAATTCCCAGTTCTCTTTTAATGAATAAGCAGCCCTGCCCACTCATGTCCATGTGTATACCTCCTGTATAGATGTTGGGGTAAGATGACAGGAAAGTAGGACTCAGAAGATGGGCTGGAGTGAGAAGGAATTGCTGCTTCTCCCTTGGCCTTGAACTTGAGATGCTCTGTTTTGTTTTGTTTTGTTTTGTTTTGTTTTTCAGATGGAGTTTCACTCTTGTTGCCCAGGCTGGAGTGCAATGGCATGATCTCAGCTCTTAATAACATTAGATTTTCAGTATTAGGCATCTGCCTTACTATCAATACTTCATTTTTGCTGCATAGCAATCTCTTTAAGTGATCTAAAAATGCCAAGAAATTTTACTATCCTATTTCTTCCCCCTGAAATTTGGCTCTACATATTATTGAAAGGAGAAACTTGTCTTAAAATCAGGCTTTCAGCAATATCTACTGATTTATGAACTTGTTTATTGCCGGACGTAACTTAGTTAAGGGGAGTTCATATTTGTATCTCCACAGATGCCTACAACAAATGGTTGTGTCGCAGAGCAGCAACTGCCATTTCAGCCTCAGCCACTGTTGGCACCTGGAATGTGCACTGAACAAACTTTCAGAAATATCTCATCAGGCTTCACTTCTACTGTGTGCTTTCTGTTTTCTCCTGTCTGTCCTCTCATATTTTGTTGTTTAAATACGCAGTGTGGTGGTTGTTATTTAGGACTGCCTCTGCTCTGACAGATGTGTCTACTCTACAGAGAGAGAGAGAGACTGTGTCTATTGTCCCACCAGGCTGTCCAGATCCAAACTCCAATGACCTTTCTGCACTCTGCCTGGCTATTGGTTACAGTTTACATTCTACCTTCTCCCAAGGTATTGAGGGAGGCTTGCATGCAATTCTCTGTCCTTCCCGCCTGTTCTTCCTACTACTTCTATTAAAATTATACCTATTTTTACAACTCAATTCCCAGGTCTCTTTTAATGAATAAGCAGCCCTGCCCACTCATGTCCATGTGTTTACCTCCTGTATAGATGTTGGGTTAAGATGACAGGAAAGTAGGACTCAGAAGATGGGCTGGAGTGAGAAGGAATTGCTGCTTCTCCCTTGGCCTTGAACTTGAGATGCTCTGTTTTGTTTTGTTTTGTTTTGTTTTTCAGACGGAGTTTCACTCTTGTTGCCCAGGCTGGAGTGCAATGGCATGATCTCAGCTCACTGCAACCTCTGCCTTGCCTCCCAGGTTCAAGTGATTCTCCTGCCTCAGCCTTCCAAGTAGCTGGCATTACAGGCATGTGCCACCACACCTGGCTAATTTTGTATTTT
The DNA here is from genome assembly GCF_000001405.40 of Homo sapiens. Classification (NCBI taxonomy): domain Eukaryota; kingdom Metazoa; phylum Chordata; class Mammalia; order Primates; family Hominidae; genus Homo; species Homo sapiens. Next base: position 132,793,188 of record NC_000002.12, read on the forward strand.
TAGTAGAGATGGGGTTTCTCCATGTTGGTCAGGCTGGTCTCAAACCCTCAACTGAGGCAGGTGATCCACCTTAGTTTCCCAAAGTGCTGGGATTACAGGTGTGAGCCACCGTGCCCAGCCGAGATGCCCTGATGTGATGGCAGATACTTGAGGGAGGTGGAGAAGGCCTGTGAATGTCATGTGGGAGCAGGCAGGGGCAAAGATGGTTAAGCAGAGAGGTGTCCTCTAAGACAGGCTTTTCACACTTTAACGTGAACTGAATCACCAAGGGATCTTGTTAAAATGCAGATTCTGATTCGGTAATTCTGAGGTAGGACCTGAGATGTATGTAGTATTTTTAACAAGTTCCCAGGTGCTTCAATGCTGCTATTCTGTGACCCATGCTTTGCGCAGCAAGCCTCTAGGAGAAGCTATTAAAGAAGTCAGTCTCTTATGTGAGTTCCCTAGCAGCACGTTGTGGTACCTCACTGTCTGACATGGGCTGTGCTAAGCCAGGCAAAGGGAATGGCTGAGCCTGCCTGCCAGCAGGCACGTAAGTTAAGGAGAGTGTCTGTGTAGGTGTACGTGTAGCGGTAGTTACAGAGTAATTCCTTGCAAAGAAGAGGAGGCGGCCACTCTTTTCTACTGGGAAATTCTCCCACTTCCCCCACCTTGGAAAATCAATGTTTGAATTTAATAAGGGATGCGGAATCCCTGACATCCTGGCTGCAAAGTGAGCTTTTTTTCCCCTACAGTTTCCTTCGTCAGCATGTGATTATCACATAGGATTATCTACTGCAGTAAATAACTGTTCTGTGGTTGAGCACTTGAACTCCAAGGCCATTTATGAGGTTTAAACTCTGGCTTTCACTTGCTAGCTCTGTGAGCTTGGGAAAATTACTGAACCCCTCTGTGACTCAGTTTCTTTCTTTGTAAATGGAGATCATGAAAGTAGTTACTATGTGGGATCATTGTGAAGACTGAACAGCCCCTGACAAACGCTGGTGCTTAGGGACTTTTACCTGGGTGTTGCTACTATTATTAAAAATGTTTATACATATATATATATATATATATATATATATATATATATATATAGAGAGAGAGAGAGAGAGAGAGAGAGAGAGAGAGAGAGAGAGAGGGTGGCGGGAAGAGAGAGAGAAAGAGAGAGAGACAGAGACAGAGGCCAGGCACAGTGGCTCACACCTGTAATCCCAGCACTTTGGGAGGCCAAGGTGGGTGGATTGACTGAGGTCAGGAGTTTGAGACCAGTCAGGCCAACATGGTGAAACCCCGTCTCTACTAAAAAATACAAAAAATTTAGCCAGGCATGGTGGTGTGCACCTGTAATCCCAGCTACCTGGGAGGCTGAGGCAGGGGAATTGCTTGAATCAGGGAGGTGGAGGTTGCAGTGAGCCGAGATCATGCCACTGTACTCCAGCCTGGGCAACAGAGTGAGACTTCATCTCAACAACAACAAATACACACACACACACACACACACACACACACACACATACACATGTGTCTTGGCTCTTCAACTAAGCCATCAGTTAGTTCATGGTCTCCCTACGGGACCCTGTTTTACACTTCCTGATATCCTATAATTCCCTGATGCCTGGTACCTAAGTAGTAACTACATTAGGCAATAGCCAAAAGTGGATGGACTTTGTTACCAGGGATCACTGATGTGAGCTTCTGGCTTCTGGAGAGACATATTAGTAGAGCCCTTTCTCAGTGATCATTTCTACCTTTGCTGTGGTTTGCTGTGGGTGCAGCATGGTACCACATATTAAGAGAACTGAAGGGGGCCAAAGGAACAGAGATCTTATGATTGTTCCAATATTGTTAGCAGGCACTGTGTATGCACATTTCCTGTGTTATCTCATTTAATCCTCACCACAACTCTCTGAAATAGAAAAGAAATATCATTATCCTCATTTTCTAAAAGGGAAGACTGAGGCATTGAGGTTTTAATACCTTGCCCAAGTTGCCCTATCAATATAACATTCTGATGCCCGGCCCAAGTCCAAGCCACTATGCCATAATGCCAAGTCAGCCCTGTGACAATGAGCAGAGCTCCCAGAGATACACAGAACCCCATGAATCCCAGTGAGTTGTCATTGGTAATAATGATTATTCTTAAAATTCTTCATCAAAAATGTGTATTAGCTTCTATTGCAACATTATCTTAATTATGTTGATTTAACAGGGAAAAATACAACCTGTCTTCTGCACTATCCAAAGTATATTTTCCTCATTGTTTATTTTAGATTACTACCCTGAATGATTCATATACTTTAAACATTCTTACTGTGAGAAATGCAGTATAAAATCTACAATTTTAGTTAAAAAATAGAGATAATGAAGCTGGCCCAGTGCAGTGGCTCATGCCTGTAATCCCAACACTTTGGGAGGCCGAGGCAGGCAGATCACAAGGTCAGGAGTTCGAGACCAGCCTGACTAACATGGTGAAACCCCTTTTGTAATAAAAATATAAAAATTAGCTGGGTGTGGCGGCGGGCGCCTATAATCCCAGCTACTTGGGAGGCTGAGGCAGGAGAGTCATTTGAACCCAGGAGGTGGAGGTTGCAGTGAGCTGAGATCGCGCCATTGCACTCCAGCCAGGGCAACAGGATGAGACCCCGTATCAGAAAAAAAAAAAAAAAAAACAAAAAAAACAAAAGAGAATGAAGCCCAGAGTTTCATTCTTCCCATTTTTAAATAAAAACTCCATACTTAAAAAAAAAAAACTCCTGACTTTACGGCTATATTATAGATTGGATGCCATTAGGTCTTTATGAATGTTTAAAGTGACAATATTCCACTGAAATTCAATTCAAATCTAACTTGAGAATATTTACATTTAATGGTCTATCTACACTGATGGAATTATTCAGTAAAATAAAAAAACAGTTATCCACAAATGTTCATGTCATTGTTTTAAGCCTCACGTTTTTCATTATATATTTATTTGGCAATTGTGTTTTTTCAAGTTACTCTTTTTATGTCAACGAGAGTTAAAAAGCCATGCTGGTTAAAGTTTTGCCAGATAAGCACAAAGCTAACCCCAGCTAGAGAAAAAAAATGCAGAGCCCATGAATTTTTAAAAGTTCATACATAATATATCATAAAAGTAGGATGAATAATATGGGACGTGGGTTTTAATAAAAAGCTCCTTGACCATTTCTCAGAGACTCTGAGATGTAATCAATATCCAAAAAAGGTATCTTGGGGACAAAGCCAAGATTTATGATATTTTTGCCAAGAATGACACTTTCTGCTTACTATATCAGCTGGGGGACATGATATTGAATTTCAGAGAACACAAGAAAGGAAGGTATTTTTATCTGCCTGACAATGCTTCAAGGATGCACTTTATGGTTCGCTTGTGACATCATATTTGATGGAAGGAAAATAACCACCAAAACAAGTGTTCTGAAGGCAACTGGGAAACTCACGTGCACCTCAGCATCAGTTCGTGACTGTGTCAGACTTCGGTTTCTTTCCACCTCTGAAAGCAAATCTCCAGATGAAAGATCCAAGAGACGTGAGTGAAGTTTCTAGGTAAAACCAAGCAGAAACATTGAATAGCGATAATTTAATTATTTGTCTCAAAATCCTGCCTTGGACAGTTAAATCTCAAAAGACTTGACATTTCCAGATTAGATAATACATGTCCTAATTAAAAAAAGTTTATTCTAGTTTATCAGTGTTCCCATACATGTATATGTACGTGTATGTGCAAATTACATTTTGTAAACAATAGTGATGCTTTTACAGTCTGTCAGTCTGCCTTGGAAGATATGTAGTAGAAAAATATAAGTAGTAGTTAAAAAAATAAGCAGTAGGAAAAGTATGAATACTCTGATATATTTATTGGGTAGTATGAAAATTAACATTTGATATTCACATTAAGAAAACCAATCACCAAGTTCACCTTACTATGTTGAGCAGTGGTTAAAATCTGAGCAGATAATTATAAAAGTGACCTTATTTCTAAACAGCATTGATCTTGTGAAATCTTCCCTTGGACACGTTTTAACTCAAAGTCATTAATGTCATCTGTTAGGAACAATTAATGTGAATAGAAAATAATTGCTTTGGGGACCTGGGGACTCTGAGGATTTTGTACATTAATATTCACGTGCTGTTCAATTATATACTGAATTCTTTATTTCAGTTTTGTTTGGGAGGACTGCTAAGCCAGAGACATTTCACTGTATTAATCTTGATACTAATTACTAAGGCTTTTCTGTGGACATTAAATTTGATCTGTTTAATTGCAAATACAATAAAAGTCGTGATTTATGCTTAATGTTTCTGCTAGGCTGATGACATTTTGAAAATGGCACTTATAGCCTGGTTTGTCTTGGTTACAACTTTTGTGGCTCCAGATGCTAAAAAAAAATCTAATTGAGTAAGTAAATAATGCAGCTAAGCGTGCCTCTCTCGCTTCCGAAAAGTTTTTTCTACTCCTTTTTCTCCCTGGAGAGGCCCTGCTGCACACTGATGCTGATCTAAGAAATGCCTTTGCTTCTTTGCCACTGAGCAATGTTAGAATCATCTTAGAGGGCAGGGCTATCCCACTGGTCACTCTGTCCCAGCATATCTACCATGAAGTCAGCAGGGACTACAAACTCCACTAAAATGAGTCACATTCTCTGTGTTCCCCATTCAACTCTCTTTAGGCTGAACTTCTGTGAGAGCCCTGAGTACTTGGTTAGGTGATTATTCAACAAACATTTATACAGCACCTCCTGAAGGATGGCACTGTGGCAGGGCTGTATTCTATCCTCCTGCAAGGGTAAAGGTATTTTTTTGCTGTTGTGGGTTGGCCAGTTCTCCTTCTCAGTGGACCTTCAAATTGTGTGTCTGTGGAAGTCCTTTCACAAAAAAGAAAATAATTTCTAAACTGATTGCCTGTTGCTTTGAAAATCCAAATTTCTCCAGCAGAGCTAAGACCTCCATAGGTAACCAGAACCAATGCATTGTTTCTGGACAGTTTTTATAATCCTAATTCTATAATCCTAATTCAAGATTCAAGCTCTAGAATCTGACTTTCCTGGGGGCAAAGATACAATTTATCTCATCTTGCAATCTCCGGAACCCGACAAAATACATCATACTTAGTAAGCAGCCCATTAGTGCTTGTTGTAGTCTTTAAACAAAAAGATGTCTTTATATTTTACTCACCCATATGTAAGTTTTAAAGATTGAGAGAGTGCCAAAAGAATTACAATGTTGTGAGACCTAAGAATACATTTATCAATATGCAAACAGGACAAGAAGTTATGGGAAATGACATTCAACAAAAGAAATGATTTTGAGTGGTATATCATCTGATTTGAGAGAAGAGGCCTCAATGGATTAGCTATCTAAATGACTCAGTTCATGAATGCACTTCATTATTATTTCTCAGATATATGATGTCACACTTTCACCTACTGCATGAATATATGCATCTAAAAACCTGCCCTCCTCAAGGCTGTTTCAGTGGCTTTTATCCAAATGGGTCCCTTCCCTTCATTGAAATAGGGAAGGTCTGCATGGGAGAAAGGAGAGGTCCTGGGGCAAGGGCCAGGAGACCTGAGTTCTAGCCCTGTTGAAGGTACACGTTCTACAGGATCTCAGGAATGTAACTGAACCTCTTAGTCTCAAATCCCTCATCTGCAAAAAGAAAGATGGAAAAACTTAAACCAGAGCTACCATTTGACCCATCAGTCCATTACTAGGTGTGTACCCAAAGGAAAATCCATCATTCTACCAAAAAGATACAAGCACACACATGTTCATTGCCAGGCTATTTACAGTAGCAAAGACACGGAATCAACCTAGGTGCAAATAAGTAGTGGAATGGATAAAGAAATATGGTACATATATACCATAGAATACAGCCATAAAAAAGAATGAAATCATGTCCTTTGCAGCAACACGAATCCAGCTAGAGGAGGCCATAATCCTATGTGAATTAATTCAGAAATAGAAAACCAAATACTGCATGTTCTCACTTATAAGTGGAAGCTAGATACTGAGCACACATGGACATAAACATGGGAACAACAGACCCTGCAGACTACTAGATGGGGAAAAAGAAAGGGGGGAATGGGTTGAAAAACTACTTAGTGGGTACTATGCTCACTACCTCGGTGATGGGACCTGCATCCAAAACCCAGCATCATGCGATATACCCACGGAACAAAACTGCAGAAGTACCCCCTGAATCTAAAATAAAAGGTGAAGTTAAATAAAATTCCTAACAAAGTCACAACATCCAATGACAGAATTATAGGCATCAGTAAGTGTAAATTTTCAGAAAAAAGAAAGACAGAAGTGGCTATTTAATCTACTACCACAGGTATAGAGAGGCACTATCATATTAAGAAGGGAAAACAAACAGGATAATATGCTGAAATTCACATAGGCCAATTTATTGTTATACCTGACAGTTGGTGGTAGGTAACTTCTTAGATAATAAGGCACGAATGAATCATTCATTGTTATAGCTTTCATACATATAAGGCAAATAAAAATTGACTTAGAATAAAATAAAATCTGTTTAGTTTTAAAAAAATAATTTAAACATTTATTATTATTTTTCAAAATTTTTAATTATTATGGGTACATAATAGTTGTTTATATTTATGGGGGTGCATGTGATGTTTTGATACAGGTATACAATGTATAATGATCCAATCAGGGTAACTGGATTACCTATCATCTCAAGCACAATAAAATCTACTTTTGTGTTAAGGCTATAGGCAAGGAAATGATAGGTTAATATCACACAACTTCCCTTAAATAACTGTGAAAGCACACAACCCCAAAGAAACTACATTTCTTATGACAAGAATTTTTATAATAGGCTCATATTTTCATCATATACATAATATACAGGCATGTGTGTGTATAGCATCACTTTTTATACTGATACTATATTACCTGTGCTTCAGTGAAAAATAGGTAGAATGTATACATTAGAAATTTAAGTCACTGTCAAAAAGAGCATAACTGACTTAAGAAGGCCATGACCTCTTAAGAGGAGCCCCCCAGCTTAGGGGGCAAATTCTCTATCATATACCCATGTATAGTTCATATTTACTGTTAGTGTTCATCTGAATAAAATCTCATCTGAAATACTTTAAACTTCCTGTCTTTAACCTGCAAATCCCAATGAATTCTGGAGTTAGACATACTTGTTTTATTTTAGACATGAAAAGTAGCAGGACTACTCAGTATAGGTTTGAAATAGGCCTTGTGTCATCTGTCACACTGTCTCAGTAACTGAGATTCAACTGGGTTTCAGAAATAGAGACTCCTAATTTCACACATTTTCAAACCAGAGGTAAGTGAGGGATCTTTTTACTCATATGCTTCCTTTGACGGTGACAGTCTAACCCTCCCTGTCAGGCTGGCTTCGCTGTCTCTGGAATGTGCCCCTCTCCTGTCTGAGTTGATCTTTTGTCCATTTTTCCATGGCACACTTTCCTCCTCCTGCCCCTAGATCCTGTTCAGTATTCAGGATGACACTGAAACCCTCCCTGTAAAGTCATCTATCCTCTCTAACCCACAGTGGATTCCCTGCCTTGAGGAATTGGACTGCCTCTCATTTTGGTCCTTTATCCAAAGTGTACTCTTACTGAGTTGTTCTCTGTGTAGGTTCTATCTTCCTAACAGGACAATCAACTCCATGAAAATGCAGGTCAATCCCTTAATTTCTACATTGTCCCAGTGGCAGGGACTAGCTGGGTGTCACGAAACCTCGGGAACCTTGGCCCTCTTCTTTCTGGGGGCACGGCTGGCCTGCATTTCCCAGCCTCCTTTACAGTCAGGTGTGCCCACATGACACGTTTAGTTCTAGTCATGGAGCCTGAGCAAAAGTGACATCTGCCCTTTCTTGCCTGGCCCAGGAATACCTCCCTCATATAGTCTTCCATGCTCTTTATCCTTCCACTGGCTTCATGCAGACAACTCAGCACAGCAACCTTGGAAGCCACTTGTTGAAGATGAAGCCAACCAGGTATAAGGAGTTTGGCTTCTTTAATTCTCAATTGGAAGAAAGCCACTCTGGGAAAAGAAACGACTTTTCTGGATTTGACACAAGGAAGATACCAACTTATACTGAATTTGGGCCATGATTCGTTTGGAGTTTGTTATTATTGCTGACATTGACCTGGCTGACACAGTTCTCTTGGCAGCCTACAGGGTAGCCACTCAAGAAACATGCATGTTTCTATGTATATATGTCATATGTGTACATAGGTGCACACACATGTTCATATATACGGGTATTTACACATGTATATGTAGTGGCTATGTCAACAGCGCAAGGTGACAACCCCACTGAAGATTCTAGCTTCATAGGAAAGAGACCTGCTTTCTGTCACTATACACAAGGGCAGGGGTTAGGGGATTGTGTGAAGAGCTAAGATGTATCACAATTTATAACAGAACGCATGCCTCATACAGGTGTAAAATACCAAGCTAAGCTTTGGGGACCTGGCAATGCCAGGGTAGTCAGTGCCTGGACTATACATTGGGTCGGTAATATTTGGTGGGTTCACTTGCCTTCATTCAGTCAGTTTTATGTTCTCTGTGCAGTTCTGCATCTGTAATTCAAGGCAGAGAAATGTCCCCCTCAACAGACTGTGCCAGGGACTGACTGTCCTTTATCTGGCAGGATGAAGGTGGAGTGGACCCTTCAGGGTGGTAGTGACTGACTCTGCAGCTCTCTAGTTAATGATGGCAGCAGAGACTGGAGACTGAGGTGCATTTGAGCCTTTGGCTATTTAGTAGAGACGGGGTTTCACCATGTTGGCCAGGCTGGTCTCAAACTGCTGACTTCAGGTTATCCACCTGCCGTAGACTCCCGAAGTGCTAGGATTACAGGCATGAGCCACTGCACCCAGCCCCTCCAACTATTAAAAGCCAAATATCGGCACAAAAGAGAAGTTTTAACCGTTCAGCACCTGATCTGAGAGAAGGGATGCCAACAGCTGCCCTGGCTGCTCCCCGTCTTGGTGAGTCCTAGTCTGCTCTAGCCCACTGTCTCTCTGGGTTCTGCCACACTCTGTCACCTTGGCTAGCTGCTTATTTGGACCTGGCCATGTTTAGGGATCACCCTCCCTCAAATCTAGTGGACTGGATGTTGGGCTGATTTCTCAGAAAAAGAACTTACTGCTTTTTCAGCTTTAGTTTTGTTTTCAAATCATCTCCACTTTGGAGAGCTGTTCTCACCTCACAGCTTCTAGAAAGCTTCCTAGAGCCCCATTTCTGCTCCCTCAACTCTGTCTTAGGCGGGCCCTGGGCCCAGGGTTTGATTCCCTTTGAGCCCAACACAAGGGAAGCAAACCTGGAGTGAGTTATTATGAAATCTCCTGAGTATCTTTTGATATTGCTCACTTCCTCTGATTGCCTGTAAGTTCACCTTTCTAGAGGATTTGGTGCATGTTTAAGAGAAGCATTTTAAATATGACCCTGAATAGACATAATCAGGTGAATAAGCTTTGTTCCTTCTGTTGGGTAACAAGGCAATTTCACAGGTACGCATAAGGATCTCCAAAAGGAAGGTGCAGGAAATTTTCTAAAACAGCTTGGAGCCTGATGAAAACAATTTTTCTGTAGAAGCCAAATGATCTTCCATAAAAACCCCAAAGTTTTGCCTTATTCACATACTAGAATTACATTTTTGCCACACTGAGAAGTGTGATTTTTCATCAGCCCCTCCAGAATCCCATCAAGAGAGATTGTGGCAGATCCCTGGGTTCACATTTCACAAGTTTCATTCTATTCCATTAAGAATTTATTATAAAACTGAATATTATATAACTGCATATTACATAACTGAGTATTATATGGTCATTTCTTAGATTCACAAAAATTTGAGACCAGGACAAAATCTTTTTGGATAAAAGCTGATGTTTAATTGATTATGCCATTATTTCCATTTTGGGCTACAAAGATAAAACATAATATCTGCATTCAGCCTTCCTGCTGATGTGACAGTGTGCCTTCCAAATGTTCTCCTAGAGACCCTTTAAAAAAATATGTCCATCATAATTTGATCTCACTTCAGTGTCTGAAATTTTTACAGCTAATTTTTTAAGCCATCTGCAACAGTCCTTGTTGCAATTATTATTTTCCCTGACAACTTTTAGACTTGCCTTGCACATCAATGTTTAGCTGCCCTGAGTGCATTCTGTTTTGCTCTGGATGGTGCCTTGGCAAATGACATGGCTCTGTCTCTTTTCTACTTCTCCAGGACCCAAGGTTATAAAATACTTTTGAAACAATTATTCCACAGCTATATTCAAAACCTTCTTCAAGGGTCCCCACTTCCATGACAGCCTGATTATCCAGTGGCTACCTAAGGGAGCAGCATTTGGTTTGGTGATTAGAAAGTTTATTCGTGGTCTCTGCAGCTTAGACTGATGACCAGAGCACCTCTTACCTGTCCTTATCTGCTGCAATTCCATTAACAGTGCCCCAAGGCCCACAGGGTGAGCACCAGTGGGTAGATGGATGAGGATGAAAACAGCAGACCTTGCCCTAAAGAGCCTCAGCTCTAATTAGTCTAACACTGATTTACGCTTTATGCTTTATGAAGCATCTACTATGTGCAGAATCATGACTATGAGCTATGAGAGACTCAAGGAAGCTCATTAACAGAGCTGACAATATCCCTGAGCAGACCAAGCACACAAAGGAGAAAAAAATACAAGAATTCTTAAGGCAGAACATGCAAACAAGATCACAGTAGAGTAAGGGTGCCATGTAGCTAGAGATGGTGGAGGCCAGTGTATTAACCACACAGTTAAATGTATGTAAGAGAATATTCTGTGCAAAGGGAACTTAGCTCTTCCTGCAGAGCTCCCAAATCTCTTGAAGTCTTTACAAAACAAACAAACAAACAAACAAACAAACAAAATTCGGAAATATTTCAGACCTAACAGCAAAGTGACAGAATGTTGAGAAAAAGGACAGAAGGTTAAGGCTCCCATGGCAGGCCAGTCAGACGTGTGGGCAGGAGGACAGCTGAAGAGTGACTCGCATTTGCTTGCCAAGCCTGACTCTCTGAAGCTTCCCTTTTGTCTTCTTCTGTAAATATGATCTAAGGGAGGAAGTGATTCAGCACAGCCTGAGCCTATTCTGGGATCTAAGAGACACAGAAGTGCCCTGAAATTTCCATTTTCATCACTAATTACTTTAACAGGTACTTTAATAAGTGCTTTCCAATTGCCCCCGCTGTTTTGTAAAATTATCTACACTGCATTTTACATTTTTAATCAAGCTTTATTTTTGAAAAGTTCTGACTTTCTGAAGATTTTGCCTTTTACATGTGGGGGAACACATTTTTTCCCTCTGATTTCACCAAACTAAAAGGATTAGTTAGTGGAGAAAAAAAAACCCAAAACTTGACCTATTTTTACCAGACCTATTGGAAGCTCCATTGATGGTCACTAGAATTCAATGTACCACTTATTAGGAAGAAATGAATTACCACTTGCTCTGTGGGGGGAAGAGACACTCTGTGAAGTCCTTTCCCTAATCTTATCTCATGAATCTTCATACTACTGTGTGGAAGAAGCTGTCATCTTAGTTTTTAGAGATGAAGAACCCAAGATGACAGAAGCGAAGGAAGGCATCTGAAGTCACAATGCTACATATATTTCAGGAAGCAGGAGAGCCAGGATTCTGTCCCAGACCTGCTTCCTTCTAAGTCCAAGCTCTTCCTACCATATTCTGCTTGCTTTTTCTATGAAGGGAGGGACGTGATAACATCATTGCTATCTTTTACAAGGCAAATCCTATGGAAGTAGCTTATTTCTGCCTAAATGTTAAGCCCACAATTTGAGCAGCTCCCATCAAATTAATTATGTTGCCTTGGTGATTTTCCTTCCCAGGTTCTGCTTTAGAGGCAGATAATTGGGAAGGAAATAATAATAATAACAGCAACAATAATAGCTGTGAACACTTATCGAGCTCTTTTTAGCACTAAGTGTGTGTTTCACATATGTTATCCTTTTAAATCCTCATTACAACCTACAGTAAGAACTATCATACCTGTCTTGCAAGTGAAAAAACTGACATACAGAGCTAAAAAAATCTTGCCTAATGTCACATAAATAGTATCTGAACCCTGGACAGTCTGACTGCAGAGTTCATGCTCTTAATTCTACCCAATTAAATCTGGTTAATGATGATTTGTTATAGACAACTTATTAAAATAACAATAAAAATTAATCAGTAAAATGAACTGCATAGAATTAAAAAATAATTACCTCTAAATACAATGTGATATCTGTTTGCTAGACACAAACATCATTCATTCATTTACTTAAAATCATGCTTTCCTTATTATTATTCCATGGTTATCACTATTGGTATTTGATTGGTATTGTTAATTTCATTTGCTTTTTAGATCACTACATTCTTTCCATGGAAGCATAATTCCATATGTAAATTTGGACCTAACTGAAAAAATAAAACTATGCAAAAAAAAAAAAATGAACATTTATAGAGTGCTCACTTGCAGGCTAGGTCTTGTGCTAAGTGTTTACATTATTATTATTTTTAAAAAATTTAATTTAATTTAATTCAATATTTTATTTTATTTTTATTTTTCCAGAAGTTATTGAGGTACAGGCGGTATTTGGTTACAAGAGTACATTCTTTAGTGGTGATTTCTGAGAATTTGGTGGACTCATCACCCGAGCAGTATACACTGCACCATATTTGTCATCTTTTATCCCTCGCCCCCTTCCCACTCTTCCTGCCAGGTCTTCAAACTCCATTCTATCATTTTTATGACTTTGCGTCCTCATAGCTTAGCTCTCACATATCAGTGAGAACATAGGATATTTGGTTTTCCATTTGTGAGTTACTTCATTTATAATAACAGTCTCCAATCTCATCCAGGTCACTGCAAATGCTGTTAATTCGTTCCTTTTTATGGCTGTGTAGTATTCCATTGTGTATATATACCACAGTTTCTTTCTCCACTCATTGACTGATGGGCATGTGGGTTGGTTACACAATTTTGCAATTGCGAACTGTGCTGCTATAAATGTGTGTGCAAGTATCTTTTTCGAATAATGATTTGTTTTCCTCTGGGTAGATACCCAGTAGTGGCATTGCTGGATCAAATGGTAGTTATATTTTTAGTTCTTTAAGGAATCTTCACACTGTTTTCCATAGTGGTTGTACTAGTTTACATTCCCAGCGGCAGTGTAGAAGTGTTCCCTGTTCACCATATCCACTCTGACATCTCCTGTTTTTTTTTCATTATGGCCATTCTTGCAGGAGTAAGGTGGTATTGCATTGTGGTTTTGATTTGCATTTCCCTGATCATTAGAGATATTGAGCATTTTTTCATATGTTTGGTAGCCATTTGTATATTTTCTTTTGAGAATTGTCTATTCACGTCCTTAGCCCACTTTTTGATGGGATTGTTTGTTTTTTTCTTACTGATTTATTTGAGTTCATTGTAGATTCAGGATATTAGTCCTCTGTCAGATGTACAGATTGTGAAGATTTCCTCCCACTCTGTGGGCTGTCTGTTTACTGTGCTGACTGTTCCTTTTGCTGTGCAAATTTCTTTAGTTTAATTAGGTCCCAGCTATTTATCTTTGTTGTTATTGCATTTGCTTTTGGGTTCTTGGTCATGAAATCCTTGCCTAAGCCAATGTCTAGAAGGGTTTTTCCAATGTTATCTTCTAGAAATTTTATAGTTTCAGGTCCTTAATCCATCTTGAGTTGATTTTTGTATGAGGCGAGAGGTAAGGATCTAGTTTCATTCTCCTACATGCGGCTAGCCAATTATCCTAGCACCATTTGTTGAAAAGGGTGTCTTCTCCCCACTTTATGTTTTTGTTTGCTTTGTCTAAGATCAGTTGGCTGTTAAGTATTTGGGTTTATTTCTGGGTTCTCTGTTCTGTTCCTTTGGTCTATGTGCCTATTTTTATACCAGTGCCATGCTGTTTTGGTGACTATGGCCTTATAGTATAGTTTGAAATTGGTTAGTGTGATGCCTCCAGATTTGTTATTTTTGTTTAGTCTTGCTTTGGCTATGTGGCTCTTTTATGGTTCCATATGAATTTTAGAATTGTTTTTTTCTAATTCTGTGAAGAATGATGGTGGTATTTTTATGGGGATTGCATTGAATTTGTAGATTGTTTTTGGTAGTATGGTCATTTTCACAATATTGATTCTACTCATCCATGAGCATGGGATGTGTTTCCATTTGTTTGTGTCATCTATGATTTCTTTCAACAGTGTTTTGTAGTTTTCCTTGTAGAGGCCTTTTGACCCCTTGGTTAGGTATATTCCTAAGTATTTAATTTTTTTGCAGCTATTGTAAAAGGGGTTGAGCTCTTGGTTTGATTCTCCACTTGGTTGCTGTTGGTATATAAAAGAACAACTGATTTGTGTACATTAATCTTGTATCCGGAAACTTTGCTGAATTCTTTTATCAGTTCTAGGAGCTTTCTAGAGGAGTCCTTAGGGTTTTCAATGTAAATGATCATATTGTCAGCCAACAGTGACAGTTTGACTTCATTTTAACCAATTTGGATGCCCTTTATTTCTTTCTCTTGTCTGATTGCTCTGGCTAGGATTTCCAGTACTATGCTGAAGGAGTGGTGAGAGTGGGCATCCTTGTCTTGTGTCAGTTCTTAGAGGGAATGATTTCAACTTTTCCCCATTTAGTATTATGTTGGCTGTGGGATGGTCATAGATGGCTTTTATAACATAAAGGTATGTCCCTTATATGCTGATTTTGCTAAGAGTTTTAATCATAAAGGGATGCTGGATTTTGTTGAATGTTTTTTCTGCATCTATTGAGATGATCATGTGATTTTTGTTTTTAATTCTGTTTATGTGCTGTATCACATTTATTGACTTGTGTAGGTTAAACCATCCCTGCACTCCTGGTATGAAACCCACTTGATCATGGTGGTTTATCTTTTCTATATGTTGTTGGATTCGGTTAGCTAGTATTTTGTTAAAAATTTTAGCATATCTATGTTCATCAAGGATATTGGTCTGTAGTTTTCTTTTTTGGTTGTATCCTTTCCTGGTTTTGGTATTAGGGTGATGCTGGCTTCATATAATGAATTAGGGAAGGTTCCTTCTTTCTGTTTCTTGTGGAATAGTGTCAAAAGGATTGGCAACAATTCTTCTTTGAATGTCAGGTAGAATTCTGCTATGAATCCATCTGGTCCTGAACTTTTTTTGTTGTTGGTAATTTTTAAATTACCAGTTCAATCTCACTGCTTGTTAATGGTCTGTTCAGGGTATCTAATTCTTTCTGGTTTAAGCTAAGAGGGATGTATTTTTCCAAGAATTTATCCATCTCTTCTAGGTTTTCTAGTTTATGTGCGTAAATGTGTTTACAGCAGCCTTAATTGATCTTTTGTATTTCAGTGGCGTCAGTTGTAATATCTCCTGTTTCGTTTCTTAGTGAGGTTGTTTGGATTTTCTCTCTTCTTTTCTTGGTTAATCTTGCTAATGGTCAATCAATTTTATTTATCTTTTCAATGAACCAGTTTTTTGTTTCATTTATCTTTTCATCTTTTGTATTTTTTTTGGTTTCAATTTCATTTAGTTCTGCTGTGATCTTGGTTATTTCCTTTCTACTGCTGGGTTTGAGTTTGGCTTGTTCTTGTTTCTCTAGTTCCTTGAGGTGTGACCTTAGAGTATCAGTTTGTGCCCTTTCAGTCTTTTTGATATAGGCATTTAGGGCTCTGAAATTTCCTCTTAGCACTGCCTTTGCTGTATCCCAGAGGTTTTGATAGATTGTGTCATTATTGTCATTCTGTTCAAAGAATTTTTTATTTCCATCTTGATTTGGTTTTTGACCCAGTGCTCATTCAGGAGCAGGCTATATCATTTCCACGTATTTGCATGGTTTTGAAGGTTCCTTTTGGAGTTGATTTCCAGTTTTATTCCACTGTGGTCTGAGAGAGTGCTTGATATAATTTCAATTTTCTTAAATTTATTGAGACTCGTTTTATGGCCTATCATATGGTCTATCTTGGAGAAAGTTCCACATACTATTGAATAGAATGTGTATTCTGCGGTTGTTGAATGAAATATTCTGTATAAATCTGTTAAGTCCATTTGTTCCAAGGTATAGTTTACATCCATTGTTTCTTTGTTGACTTTCTGTCTTGATGACCTGTCTAGTGCTGTCAGTGGAGTATTGAAGTCCCTCACTATTATTGGGTTGCCGTCCATCTCATTTCTTAGGTCTATTAGTAATTGTTTTATGAATTTGGGAGTTCCAGGGTTATGCATATATTTTTAGGATTGTGATATTTTCCTGTCGGACAAGGCCTTTACCATTATATAATGTCTCTCTTTGTCTCTTTTAACTGCCGATGCTTTAAAGCTTGTTTTGCCTGATCTAAGAATAGCTACTCCTGCTGGCTTTTGGTGTCCATTTGTACGAAATGCCCTTTTCCATCCCTTTAAGTTTATGTGAGTTCTTATGTGTTAGGTGAGTCTCCTGAAGGCAGCAGATGGTTGGTTCATGAGTTCTTATCCATTCTGTGGTTCTGTATCTTTTAAGTGGAGCATTTAGGCCATTTACATTGAATGTTAGTATTGAGATGTGACGTACCATTGCATTTATTGGGCTCGTTGTTGCCTGTGTACTTCAGTTTTTGGTTTGTTGTTTTTGCTTTTTAACTTGTATTTTTGTGTTATAGGTCCTGTGTGATTTATGCTTTCAAGAGGTTCTGTTTTGATGAGTTTCCAGGATTTGTTTCAAGATTTAGAGCTCTTTTTAGCAGCTCTTGTAGTGGTGGCTTACTGATGGCAAATTATCTCAGCATTTGTTTGTCTGAAAAAGACTGTATCTTTCCTTCATATACGATTCTTAGTTTCACTGTATACAAAATTCTTGGCTGATAATTGTTTTGTTTGAAGAGGCTGAAGATAGGGCCCCAATCCCTTCTAGCTTGTAGGGTTTCTGCTGAGAAATCTGCTGTTAATCTTATAGGCTTTCCTTTCTAGGTTACCTGGTGCCTCTTAGGATTCTTACCTTCATCTTAAGAATGGATAGCCTGATGACAATGTGCCTAGGCAAAGATCATTTTGTGATGAATTTCACAGGTGTTCTTTGTGCTTCTTGTATTTGGATGTTTAGGTCTCTAGTGAGGCCAGGAAAGTTTTCCTGGATTATTCCCCCAAATATGTTTTCCAAGCTTTTAGAATTCTCTTCTTCCTCAGGAACACCGATTATTCTTATGTTTGGTTGTTTAACATAATCCCAGACTTCTTGGAGGCTTTGTTCATATTTTCTTATTCTTTTTTTCATTGTCTTTGTTGGATTGGGTTAATTTGAAGACATTGTCTTTGAGCTCTGAATTTCTTTCTTCTACTTGTTCAATTCTATTGCTGAGACTTCCAGAGCATTTTATATTTCTAAAAGTGTGTCCAAAGTTTCCTGAATTTTTCGTTGTTTTTTAAGCTATCTATTTCCTTGAATATTTCTCCATTCACTTCTTGTATTAATTTTTGGATTTCCTTGCAGTGGACTTCGCCTTCTCTGATCCCTCCCTGATTAGCTTGGTAACTAACCTCCTAAATTCTTTTTCACATAAATCAAGGATTTCTTCTTGGTTTGGATCCATTGCTGGTGAACTAATGTGATTTTTTTGGAGAGTGTTAAAGAGCCTTGTTTTGTCATATTACCAGGGTTGGTTTTCTGGTTCCTTTTCATTTGGGTGGGCTCTGTCAGAGGGAAGGTACAGGGTTGAAGGCTGTTGTTCAGATCTTTTTGTCCTATGGGTATTCCCTTGATGTAGTACTCTCCCCCTTTTCCTATGGATGTGGCTTCCTGTAAGCCAAAAGTGATTGTTGTCTCTTTTCCAGATCTAGCCACCCAGTGAGTCTACTCGACTCCAGACAGGTACTGGGGGTTGTCTGCACAGAGTCCTGTGAGATGAAACGTCTATGGGTCTCTCAGCCATGGATACCAGCAACTGTTCTGGTGGAGGCGACAGGGGAATGCAGTGGACTCCATGAGGGTCCTTGGCTTTGGTGGCTTAATGTTCTATTTTTGTGTTGGTTGGCCTCCTGCTAGGAGGTGGCGCTTTCCAGAAAGCATCAGCTGTATTAGTGTGGAAAGGGACCAGCTGTGGGCGGGGCCCTAGAGCTCCCAGGATTACATGCCCTTTGTCTTCTGCTACAGGGGTGGATAGGGAAAGACCATCAAGTGGGGGTGGGGCTAGGCATGTCTGAGCTCAGGCTCTCCTTGGGTACATCTTGCTGCTGCTGCTGTAGGAGATGGGGGTGAGATTCCCAGGTCACTGGAGTTGTGTGCCTAGGCTTAGTCATGCAGGTTGTCAGGGAAGTGGGGGAAAGCCGGCAGTCACAGGCCTCACCCAGCTCCCATGCAAACCTAAGGGCCGGTCTCACTACTACCATGCTCCCCCCAACCCTGCCCCCTGCCCCCTCAACAGCCCTGAGTCTGTTTCCAGGCGGAAGGTGAGATAGGCTTGAAAACTTGCCCCAGGCTACCCACCACCCAGCTGAGAAAGAAAAAAGGCTTGGTTCTTCCCCTGCCTGTGGAGTCTGCAAACCAGATTTGTGCCCTCCTCTGAGTTCTGGCTAGGAAGCGTCTGGCCCTGTTCAAATTGTTACAAAGTTCAGCGGGAGATTTCCTTCTTCCTGTGGAGTTTTACCCCCCGCTCCTCTGGCCACCTTCCTGATGGATCCCTGTGGTGCCAGGCAGGAAGGGGCTGCTAGGGGACACAGCAAGCTCCCAGGGCCTTTCTGCTGCTTCTTCTACCCATGTATTTCACTCAGCTCTCTAAATTGACTCAGCTCCAGGTAAAGTCAGAAACTTCTCCCACAAACAGAACTTCAGCTTCTCCAGTGGTGGTGTGTGTTTGGGAGAGGAAGGTCTCCCTTTCCCACTTCCGCAGTTGGGGCACTCACAGTATTTGGGGCATCTCCTGGGTCCTGCAGGAGCGGTCGCTTCCTTTGCAGGGTCTGTGAGTCCTCTCGGGATTGCTGGTTTGTTCTTGCAGTTGATCTGGAGCTAAAATTCATAATGCAAGCCTCCGCATGCTGCCTTGTCTGGAGCTGCAATCTAGTCCTGCCTCCGGTCCTCCGTGATGAAGGTGATATGCATTATTTTTCCTTATTTAATCCTTATGGTCACTTTATGAGGTAGAAACTATTATCAACTCCATTTTTCAAATGAGAAAACTGAGGGACAAGAGAGGCTAAGTAACTGTTAAGTCAAGGATTTGAACCTGGACATAAACTTAAGGACTGCCCCTATGGCACCTCATTCTCTGCCACTATATTGTCTTATCCGTGCTTGAATGTTGGGGTACAATGATGAACAAGCACACTCCCTGCATCAAGGTGCTCATCAGACAGGCGGAGCAGGCACCTGCAACATAGTATGCTGTGGGAACTCTCGGCAGAGGGGTTCTGGGGGCTTTCCTAGGGAAGCTGTAGCTAAGTTTTAGCACAGCTAAGAGATGTTACTGAGAAACGATTACTCAGGAGAGGGGGGCTGTCTTAGTCTTTTCAATTGCTAAAACAAAATACCACAATATTGTGGCTCATAAACAATAGAAATGTATTTCTCGCAGTTTTGGAGGCTGTGAAGTCCAAGATCAAGGTGCCAGCAGATCCAGTGTCTGCGGAGGGCCTATTTTCTGGTTCATAGATGGTGCCTTCTCACTGTATCCTCAAGTGGTAGAAAGGACAAGGCAGCTTTCTGAGGACTCTTTTATAAGGGCACTGTCCCATTCATAAGAGCTCTCATGCTCGTGATCTAATCACTTCCCAACGTTCCTGCCTTCTAATGCCATCACCTTGGGGGTTAAGACTTCAACATATGAATTTGGGGGAAGAGACAAACATTCAGGCCAAAGCAGGGGTCAAAAAAGAAAGAAAGGTCTTTCTGAGAAGAGCATATGAAAATGTCCAGAGACGAGAGAGAATGTGCCATTTTCTGCAAAAAGTTCAGCAAGACCACAGAGGCAAGTTCAAGAGGGGAATGGTGAGAGAGATGTGTCAGCAATCAGGAACTTGGGTCAAGTCACACAGTGAGCAAGTAAGTAGCTGAGTTAGGATCTCATTCCATCACTTTCTGCAAAATACATGCTTTCCTCTACTCCTTTGTCTACCTTATTCTTTTCCCAGTGCTGGACTTGGCTGTGGGCCTCCATTACTCTTACCTATGCACAGAAAGGAAAGGTCTAGAGGAAGGGACTGCAGATGGGTCTCTGGGAAGAAATGTAGACACAGTGGACATTCACACAGCTTTTATGCCTTCTCAGTATGCTTCTTCCTAAAAGGGGTGGCTGGGGAAGTAGGGGGTCAGTCTAGGGCCCTCAATTATGCTGCATGCTAGAAAAGAGCCACCAGCACTCCAGTGATCCGTAATTGCTAATCCTGAAGACATGCAGTGACTCCTCCTGTGACACCAAAGGGTTCCATATGTTATCCAGATGGTCAGCAAGAAACCATACGTGGGCCCTGCTCTTGCAACTACAATGAGGAGACATTAAAATCAAACTATTATCACTTAACTTTGGAAGATAACCTCCAAAGAAGGGAAAATGCAATGTCAGTGTTTTGGAGAACCAAAAAAAATTATGTAGAATTATTTATAAGATGGGTGCTTCCTTACATTATTAAAGGAAAGATTAGAACAAATGAAATTCAGAGTTTGAGAGATTACATAACCACTGGGACCTTCACAGCCTGCAATATTGACTCTCACAGTATTCCACTGCATGGGGGCTGGGATAAGAAAGAGATCAGAGTGTTGATGAAAATGACTTTCGTGATGTGCACTCATCTGCATTTTACAGCTCAATGTCCTGGTTTTACTAGGACAAGTTGCTGGAGTCCCATTCATTTTACAACATTTGTGAAGATGTATTACATAAATGCAATCTCTGGCTGAATGTTCAATGAAAGCCCACTGTCTCACTTCCCTTGATAGTTAATACTAAGTTGTGCATTATCAGGGTTTCAGACTTATTACTTCAGTTTGCCTTATGGGCTTTGTTGCTACAGATCTGCATCACGGTTTCCCTGTAGCTTTATCCCCAAAGCAGTTTTTTAAATCCACTGTTACTTTACCCCATGGTAAGAAATGCCTCATGGTATTATAAACAAGCAGTTGAAAATTGTTATTTATGTGGCTTCCTAATAGCAATTTGAAATATAGGGCATAAAATTACTAGCTTACAACATTGTTCAATATTAACAGTGGGAAGGGTAATATGTAAAACAGACATTAAAGGATTAGCTGCAAAATACATTTCACTAAGCTAAATCATTTCTTGGCAAATGGCAGTTTCCAGCTAATACACAGGATTCATCAAGTCAAGTGGATTTATTTTTATTTTTCTATTAGTTTGTTAAATATATTCTATATTTAAACTTCAATTTTGCAGGTTTCTGTTTCAGGCATATTAGAGGAAGCTTCTGGAAACAGAATCCGAGATAGAAGTGATCTCAAGACTTTCAACTCAAAGCTGCTCGTCGATTTCCCCAGCAAATCTTCTGAGTTGACTAAAGATGAGACTGTAACATCTCAGAGAAAAGTGCATGGCTATGACATTGCAAACATTTGTATGACAGATTAGGAAGTTACAAGTGCATCAGAAATTTCACTAAAAAGGCATATCTTCCCCAAGACATAAAACAATGTTTCCATTGTTTTTGCTTCAGACTCTACAGACACACAACACTCTGTTCTAATCAAGCATGTCTGGAGTTCCGTAAACAATGTGAATCTGTGAAGCAGGCACCCAGAAGGAAGGTAAAGAGAAATTCCTAATCTCCTAGGGTGGAAATTGTGAAGTATTAAGCAGATATTCAATGCATAAATATAAATACCATAATCTCTCTGAGACAGTCTGTAGTTACCATAATCCTAAAATTATTCCGTCTTCTCAAATCCCTAAAGATTTATCAATTTTCATAAAGTACTTTGATGGAAACTTTTTTCAAGATGCAAAGTTATCTTTCTCTGAGCTTTCCTTTCATATTATACCATGTGCAGTATTTGCAACCTCGGAGAATACCAAAAATGAGTTCTTATTTTTCAGAGAAATTGGTTATGGATCTATAAATAACTATTACAAAGAAATGAGCATTATAGAGAGAAGAAGCTGCTCTTAGACTCATTTGAGAAACTATGGGGAAGTTCAGATTCCCAAGACTAATTATTATTGTAAAATTAAGGGTTTGCTTTGAACACTTGTTAGTATTCAGCCGATTTTAAAGACAACAATTTTTTTCTTAGACTGTGGGTTGGAGACTACAAATATTGCTCCTCAAATACCCCATGTTAATAATTCCAGGGGTTTAAAAACATTTATTACATATAAATCTATAGTGTTTTATTTAGCTATTTGGTGTGGGATGGTAAATTTATTTCATAAACCCTTTCCTAATGGTAGAAAACTAAGGAAATAAGATGCCCTTTAACTTGAATGTACAAAAATTTAGTCATTGTGTAACATGTGAATTACTTATTCAAAAAGCCAATGGTTGAGTCACAGAAGACGTCACCAAGCCCAGTGCATCATCAAGCTCTACATTGGAGCAAAGCCCAGGTCCACACGCTGTGGTTAATGTTAACTGCCTTATCAAAATAGCTCAATTGATTGGAATCCAATAGACCAAAATTCTCCATTACAGCCAACATATTTGAAACAAAGAGGATAATAACTATACAACTAGCTTTTCAACATGCAGGAGAAATCCTGGGCTCAGCCTCACCAATGAGCTTCCCTCTCCATGGCTACATCCATAACCAGGGAGGCAGGAAAGCAGGTGGCCAAAGGTGTCATCATAATCTTGGGTTTAAATCCTGGCTTTGTGTGACTAGGGCAAGCCACTTCATCTTTTGAGTCTTCATTTCCTTTAGGGATAATAATACCAATACTAGCTCACAGGGGCTTACCGGAAATTTCAAATTCAAGAGATGGAGCTCTTGGATTCGTAAGGTTGTGGTGAGGATTTAATTAAATGCTTGAAGACTGCTAGCTGTTTTTAGGATCTGGGGCACAATTTGTGGGGCCCAGAGAATCACCTCCACTGAAGAATCACCCTTTCGGCAGCAAGCTAAAAAAAGTGCAAAGTCAATAGCAGAGTGTTCAGCTGAGGTAGAACAAACACAAGTAGCAAGCGGAAGAGGGGATAGGTAAATGCTTCAGTAGGTTCGTTTTGCCAATGCTGAGTCACAGTTGCTTTACAGTCAGAATGTCGGGAGCGGCTTGCTGGAAGCCCCTGCTTGTTTCAATGGATTTCCTTTCCTTTCTCCACAGGAGGGCTGTCCATGCCCTGAAAGGCACTCCTCCCTTGACAGGAAGTACGGGAGGACTTCCCTGCTGAGGCGGAACACTGGCTCCCTCACAAGATGGCCTCCTGTGATGGTGAGCAGAGCTAGTGTCTTCATATTCTTCCCTCTCTGCTCACCCACCTGACATTTCTGCCTTGTCTCACTTGCCTGAACACTCCTCAGTTTTCCTGATCTGGAAGCTAACTGGATGACACTTGTCCTGTTACTACCCATGGTCCCTAATATGACACGGAGCTATGGACCAGCTCTTAGCAAAACCCCTGAGCAGACAATCAATGAAGGTATATAAAATGGCAAATGAAGACTTGAGAATTCTACTCCATATAATCCTTCCTGACGAATCTCCAGGAACTGACAGTTTCCTTTGCCATAGCACTATCTAGACATGACCTCTCAAAGATACAAATAAATAAGAGCATTCCATTTCTCCTATTCCCTTCCTTGAACTGCAAATGTCTATCTATAATTACTAAGTATAATTACAACTGTTATTATACTGTCACCACGTGGTACTGGTAACACATATCTTACAATATGAAAATCCTTAAACAACTTCTTTCTTACTGATTTTACCGAGGACCAAGATAGACTATGCCACATGGCACCAAAGTACCATGTAGCCTGCTGCTGGTCCACTGAGTGACTGTGAGAGTTTTAAATTCCTTTTCACATTTACTTCTTGAATCTGTCACTAGACTCCAGAATCATCTGAAGGAATCAGGCAGTTCTCAATACCATCTCATTATTGACATTTATGTTGATCGATGTTGGCTCTTACAGAATTGGAATCTACAGATGAATTTCCTTATTAGATTCTTTCTCACGGCTGCCATAATCATTTTATCACACAGGCTGATGCTATCAAATGCTGGTTTATCACTACGTAATGGGACAAGCTAAATTAGTTCCTCTAATATGTTACAAGAAATAAAAAAAAAAATTCCTGGTTTTAAATCTCATTTTTCTCAAATCTTAAGAAATTCCCTGATGTTTTTGTGTATAAAGAGGTTAATTTGAACTTATTCTCCCTTAAAACTGTGCTCCATGGGAGACCAATGGTGAATTCTAAGAGCAACTCACAATTCTCCTGGAAACCATTTTTCCTTTCCTTTCAGAGAGCTTCAGATGTCAGATTAACCTTGGCCAACTGGATAAGCAGGGGTTCATGTCAGTGCCTCTGGTAGGGTTCCCAGCGCCTGGCCAGGTAGCTCTACATAAAGGAGGAGTAACAAAGCCTCCAACACTGCTTCACCCACAACTGACCATACAATGGCCAAGAAAATACCAGTGTGGTTTGTGTCCACAGAACCCAGCCCTACTCTTAGGAAGACAACTCAGAGTGTATGCTTCACTAAGAAATGGTCGGGAATGACATCAAATATAAATCAAATTTATCCAAATATTTTCTAAAGGTTAATGTTAAATTCTTTATTTATTTATTTATTTTTTAAGACAGGGTCTCACCCCATTGCCCAGGCTGCAGTGCCGCGGCATGATCATGGCTCACTGCGGCCTCCACCTCTCGAGCTCAAACAATCCCCATGCCTCAGCCTTCTGAGTAGTTGGGACTACAGGCACACGCCAGCATGCCTGGCTAATTTTTGTGTTTTTTGTAGAGATGCGGTTTCGCCATGTTGCCCAGGCTGGTTTCCAACTACTGGGCTCAAGCTATCCACCTGCCTCGGCAGAGTGGATATCTTGAATCCCAAAGTGCTAGGATTACCGGTGTGACACCATACCCAGCCCTAATGCTAAATTCTGTATAGGAAGAATAATCTAAGCAATTGTCCTGTCTCTACAGACTTATAATTTTTAGGATATGGATAATGCAGATTCTCAGGAGTTTCTGAAATGAGACCTCAGGAATCCATGAATAGGGCCGGGTGCACTGGCTCATGCCTGTAATTCCAGCACTTTGGGAGGCCAAGGCAGGCAGATCAACTGAGGTCAGGGGTTTGAGACCAACCTGGCCAACATGGTGAAATCCCATCTCCACCAAAAACACAAAAACAAAAACAAAAATTAGCTGGGCATGGTGGCGTGCGCCTGTAGTCCCAGCTACTGGGGAGTGTGAGGTGGGAGGATCACTTGAACCCGGGAGGTGGTGGTTGCAGTGAGCCGAGATTGTGCCACTGCACTCCAGCCTGGGTGACAGAGTGTGACCTAGAATTCAAGATATTTATAAATTTGGATGGAAAAAAAATGCATCTTTAGTTTCATTAAACTTGAACCAAAATTCAGTATTTCCTTCAGTTATGAATGGAGGCATCAAACTACAGTGCTATAAACTTGTGACTTTGTCTCCAACAGAAATTACAGACATTTTATCATATTATAGCTGTTGAAAATATCTCTAAATATTGTGTATGTGTATCACTATTTAAAAATCAAGTTGAACTTGCCTCTTGCGCTTGCTATTTCATGCTTTAGAAAGGAAGCACACGTATTACCATCTCATATATGTTTTTCCAATATTTTGGCAACTGTATTTCAATGTAATTGCCTTTCTTTATAATCTTATGTCTTTTATGCATTAAAAGCATTATTCTGAGAAAGAACCATAGGCTTCCTTGATCTGAAAAAAAAATGGTCTATGGTTAAAAATTGGTTATGAACCTCACTGCTCCCCAACCCTCTGTCTTATGTTGCATATGGCATGGAGCCCTTCTGTTGTGGCTCTGACTTCCCACATGTGTGAACAGGAATGGGTGAATTTCAGGGATTCTGAGTCCTGCCATTTACCTCTAGAACCTGGAGTCACTGGTCCTGGTTGGGGGAGGAACTTACGTTAATTCAAATCTCCACTAAAATAAATTAGCTTTCTTCTCATTGCCAAGCAGAGCGCTACAGCTATGACTGTTATGTATTGTTGCAATCTAGACCTTAATGGCATTTTAGCCCTGTGGTGAGCTCAAGAGAAACTATTTTCAAACTTCAAAAGGCCATTAAAACATGTGCAGATGTCTGGAAAATTAATACTATTATCTAACTCTCACCCTTTGCCTGTAGGAGGCAAAGAAGAAACAAGGCTCAAGAAAGATACTAGAGATCAATACACGGTCATAAAGCAAAGAGCTGTCCTTCTAGGGAGCACGGATGAGGATGAGTGAGAAATCCCACAGTGCTTCTGAAGAGGCTTTTTCATTAGATTTTTTTTTTTTTGGTTGAAGTCATTCACTTAATCTGTTAAAAATTTAAAGAGGGAATGAGGATGGGATGGAAAGTGGAAGGAGAGAGAAAAAGATAAAGATAATTTTCTGCCACCCTACTTCAATTTGGATGTTCAAGGTCCAGAATTCTCAAGAGTGGAAGTATTCATTCATTCACACGACAAAACCTGAATTTGTCAAGGTTAATGTTGAACAAGCTCCAGTCTGTTTTAAAGCAAAAGCGTTTTGCATCTTGAAAGATTTGAGCTGCATTCTGTAAAATTCTCAGTGTAGGGAGGTATTCTCATAGGTAGTTTCAAGGCTTTTATAAAGTTTTCAGAACCACAGGATATTCTCTTCCCTTCCTTCATTTTATTCCCAACAAATGTTATGCTATAGGTGTCCTAGGTATTCCCAAAAACCTAGAAAACCAGACTTAATTTTTTAAAATCAGAGGATGAAAGCTTTATATTTTATTAAAACATGGAGAAAGTTTTTCAATTTTGAAAGAGGACAGAGAAATGGGATAGCAGGTATTTTTAGTAAGTTTTTTGTTTTGTTTTGTTTTTGTTTTTTTTTTAAGAGACAGAGTCTCACTCTGTGGCCCAGGCTGGAGTGTGGTGGTGCAATCTCAGCTCACTGCAAACTCTGCCTTCCGGGTTCACGCCATTCTCCTGCCTCAGCCACCCGAGTAGCTGGGACTACAGGTGCCCGCCACCACGCCCAGCTAATTTTTGTATTTTTAGTAGAGACGGGGTTTCATTGTGTTAGCCAGGATGGTCTCGATCTCCTGAACTTGTGATCTGCCCGCCTTGGCCTCCCAAAGTGCTGGGATTACAGGCGTGAGCCACCGAGCCCAGCCAGTGTTTTTTTTGTTTTTTGTTTTTTGTTTTTTTTAAATATAGGTAAAGCTGAACATTGGAAATACATTGAGAATCCTTTACAGAATATTACATGGATTTTCCTCTCTGCATAGCCCTTTGTAAGAAAACCTGAAAACATTCACAGACTGTGGGTAACACATCCTTTTAAATGGGAAGTTTTCCTTTTAAATTCAAGAATAAGCAAGATGGGCTGTGTTAATCAGGATTACACCTAGCTTTCAGGGACAGAAGAAAAGATTTTGGTGGCATAAACATACAAGGGTTTATTTTCCTTAAGCTAGAAATCCAGAGATAGGTTGTCATAAAGATTTTGGAGGTTGTTACTGCATAATTATTTGGGCTTATCCTGCGTGATAAGTGAGGCAACATAAAATGTGCCAGCAGGACCAAGTGGCAAATATAGTCTGAAACAGGGTCATCTATCAGAAATCTCTGGACCACATTTTAATTTTATTGAGGTGAGTGAGATGGTGGAGAGGAGACAGGGTGAATGTGGAGCTTCAAAATGGATGGATATAACAGTGTGTGGACTCACACCATGATCTTTTGCTCCAAGAACCACCATGAAACATACCGGAAAAACCAAAAGAATTCACAGATCCTTTGAAAGGAGTACTCCACTGCAAATTCCATGAAACAGGTGAAAAACTGTGAGTTCCCAAAGCGTGAGGGGGAGAAACTACCTCTGAACACACATCCCCACTGGGGAATCTGAAAACTCCAGATCACCCACGGGAGAAGGATTTAACCTTACCTAGGGATGAAACAGGTTTAGGGAGTTGTGAGAAATATAGAAGTACAAGTAGCAGTGAGAAGTGCCTTGAACGCACTCCCAGCTTCTAGCTTAAGCCCCAGGAAGCCATCCCTGATTATACCTCATGGGGGCCCTCTGGGAAGACAGCCAGAGGAATTGTGGAGGGGTTGCTGGGTAAAGGAAACTCTCAACTGAAATTGGTAGTGGTTTCAACTGGGCACAAATTCTCTTGAGTGGAGTCCAGGGGACCAGCAGGAGCTGTTGTGGATAGGAGTGAGCTAGCGAAGGAGCTACTGCGGACAGAGTGGACAGACAGGAAGGGGAGAGGTCTGAAAGCCATGCTTGCTTTCTCAGCTGGGTAGCTCACAGTCTGGGGCAAAGTGTGAGTGGGGAACTGCAGGAGTGAGACCCACCTCACCAACTGCCTGGGAGCTGGGTGAGGCTATCCCCCACTTCCCTGGTGAACTATATAACACAGCAGAGACAGCCAACATCCCCTCTGGAACATAACCCCATTGGCCTGAGAATCACTCCCCCATGCCCCACAGTGGCCGTGGCAAGCTCCACCCAAGGAGAGTCTGAGCCCACACCTGCCTAACCCTGCCCTGACTGGGTAGTACTTCCTTACCTGCCCTGGTAGCTGAACACAAAACATAGAAACTCTTGGGAGCTTTATGGCCCCACCCATTACCTGAAAAACCAAAATACTCTGGCCATCTTAGGGCAAGCTTAGAGTCCCCTACTAGCATCTTGGCTGCTGC
Organism: Homo sapiens; assembly: GCF_000001405.40. Classification (NCBI taxonomy): domain Eukaryota; kingdom Metazoa; phylum Chordata; class Mammalia; order Primates; family Hominidae; genus Homo; species Homo sapiens. The sequence continues at coordinate 132,822,065 of NC_000002.12, forward strand.
TCTCTTGAAAGTGCCACCTCCTGGCTGGAGGCCAACAAACTCAGGCCATTACAGCAACTCAGGACAGAATCACCTTGATCCCAGGAAGAAGACAAAACTTGATTCCACTGCCTGCAACACCTTGGCTAACCAGAGGTCCTGAGGGTGTCCATGTGACAACTTCACTGCTAGCATAACCAGTATTCAAGAAAGCCAGCACATTGAACATACGTATAACCATGGACACTTACAGAGTCCACTTCACTCCCCTGCCACCTCTACCAGGGCAGGTACTGGTTTCCATGGCTGAGAGACCTGAAGATGGACCGCATCACAGGACTTTTTGGAGACATTCCACAGCACCAGCCTGGAGCCTGATAGCCCTGCTGCATGGATAGACCCAGAAGAGCAACAACAGTCACTGCAGTCCAGCTCTCAGGAAGCCCCATTCCCAGGGGTAAGGGGAGAGCACATCAAGGGAGCACCCCGTGGGACAAGAGAATCTGAACAGCAGGCTTGGCCAGTAGGTCTGGCCTCTCCATTGAATTAGTCTACCCAAATGAGAAAGAACCAGAAAAGTAATTCTGGTAATATGACAAAACAGGGTTCTATAACAAGCCCAAAAGATCACACCAGCTCCCCAGCAATGGATCCAAACTAAGAAGAAATCTCTGAATTGCCAGATAAAGAATTCAGAAGGTTGATTATTAAGCTACTCAAGGAGATACAAGAGAAAGGTGAAAATCAACTTCAAGAAATAAAAAAAATGGGAAATGGATACAAAATTATCCAGAGAAATAGATATCATAAAGAAAAACAATCACAACTTCTGGAAATGAAAGACATGCTTAGAGAAATGCAACATGCAGGGAGAGTTTCAACAATAGACTAGGATAAGTAGAAGAAAGAGCTTCAGAACTTGAAGTCAAGGCTTTTGAATTAACCCAATCAGACAAAGACAATGAAAAAATAATTTAAAAAAATGAACAAAACCTCTAAGAAATTTGTGATTTTGTTAAATGGCCAAACCTAAGAATAATTGATGTCCCTGAGGAAGAGAAATCTAAAAGTTTGGAAAACTTATTTGTGGGAATAATTGAGGAAGACTTGGCCTTGCTATAGAGATCTAGACATTCAAATAGAAGAAGCTCAAATAACACCTAGGGAATTCATTGCAAAAAGATCATCACCTAGGCACATAGTCATCAGATTATCTAAAGTCAAAACAAGGGAAAGTATCTTAAGAGCTGTGAGACAAAACCATAAGATAATCTATACATGAAAACCTATCAAATTAACAGCAGACTTCTCAGCAGAAATCTTATAAGCCAGAAGGGATTGGGGTCCAATCTTCAGCCTCCTGAAACAAAATAATTGTCAGCCAAGGAATGTGTATTCAGTGAAACTAAGCTTCATAAATGAAGGAGAGATAAAGTCTTTTTCAGATAAATAAATACCGAGAGAATTCATCACAACTCAGTCAGCACTATATAAAATGCTAAAAGGAGTTTAAAATCTTCAAAGAAAACCTCAGAATACACCACAATAGAACTCCCTTAAAGCATAAATCTCACAGGGCCTATAAAACAATAACACAATGGAAAAAAAACCCAAGGTATTAAGGCGACAACTAACATGATGAATAGAACAATACCTCACATCTCAATACTAATGTTGAATGTAAATAGCCTAAATGCTCTACTTAAAAGATACAGAATGGCAGAATGGATAAAAATCCATCAACCATGTATCTGCTGTCTTTAAGAGACTCACCTAACACATAAGGACTCACATAAACCTAAGGGATGGGGTGGAAAAATATACTCCATGCAGATGGAAACCAAAAGCAAGCTGACAAAACATACTTTAAAGCAACAACAGTAAAAAAGACAAAAGAGGGACATTATATAATGATAAAAGGAATAATCCAACAGGAAAATATCAGAATCCTAAATATATATGCACCTAACACTGGAGCTCCCAAATGTATTGGGGTGACTGTGGGTAATACATCTTTTTGGATGTGAATGTTTTCCTCTTGAAGTTCAGAATAAATAAGGAATATCTCAGGATTTCATTCAGCTGCAAAAACAAACAAACAAAAAACAGAAAGCCTCACTTAACAGTTACTTCAGCTTATAGGGATTTATATTTCTTACATAGCCAAATGTCCAGAGGTAGGCAGTCCAGGGCTTGTGTAACAGTTCATTGATCTTGTCAAGGAACTAAACTCTTCCCATCTTTCTGCTCTGCTCTGCCCTCTTTTACTAGGGGCTCATGCCAAGATGACTGCTGCACATCCTGGCATTGCTTCCACCTTCCAGATAGAGAGAAGGGTTAAGAGGGGATGAAGAACATCTAGAGCCATATCTGTCCCTCCTTTATCAGGTAACATAAGTTTTGTCATAAATCTCTATGGCAGATTTCCTTTTAGGTCTCATAGGCCAGAACTAGGAGAAAAGGAGGCTGAGAAATAGCATATTTGGCTTTCTAATCTCTGAAGTAGAAGAAAGAAGGGAGAAGAATATTGATTGTGTATGGTGGTCACAAGTGCTGCCTATCACATAAATCTAGCTCTCTTTCCTTTTGGGAGTATGTTCATCAGTTGTGCTTCCTGACCCCTCTGTGGTTGGGTGGGGCCCTGTGACTAGTTCTGGCTAATGAATTGTGGATGGAATGCTTCAAGCAAGAGCATTTTAAATACAGATGTGAAACCCCCTCAGAGCTTTCATCTTGCTGGCCTAGTGACTGGCAATGTTTGAGATGGTGGCTGGTCCATCAGCAAGGTCTCCTGAGTGTTTAACATGTGCACAGCAAGACTGATGACTCATAAAAGACATGTGGCATGAGAAAGAAATAGACTTTTGTATTTGAAGCCATGGAGATTTTATGGTTGTTTGTTACCACAGCATGACCTATCCTATTCTAACTGATTCAGTGAGTCAACTTGAAATGTCAGCAGCCATAAGAACAAGTTGGAGAGGCAAAAATAGTTTCAGTTTCAGACAAGGCCCATGTATTAGAGATCCCTGAAAACCAACATAGATCTCAGTGGGACAATATCCTGAAGCCAACTTTCTCTACTTCAAGAGCAGTTAAGTGGACTTTAATTCATAATGTTACACAGCTATCCTCGTACTGCCCACAGGACACCGACAAATAATCTCCCTCTCCGGTGTCTCTACATAGGTGAGTGGCTAATGAAACATAGCATGTTCAAGGTAAGCCACCACATTTAATATGAACTTCCAGGATGACCATCCACAAAAATTTAATGCATGATAATGAGGGATGGCACAGTTTATGACCAGCCTTGTTAACGATATAGTTCACATCTCCACCCCTAAGAGGAAGACAAAAATCTGGAGGGGGAAGGGAGGTGACTAAGAGTTAAAACGTTAATGGCCTCTTCAGTTACACTGAGTGTCTGATTTTTATCTCTAAATACAGTATTTCACATCCTCAGCAAAATCAATAGGAATGTATTCAATAGGACAGGACTTTTCCATAAGGACTGAAAGCTACCAATATCAAGCCATTTTAACAGAGGGCAAGTCATATTATGGGAGAGGAAAGAGAACATTAGCAGAATTCAGTACAAAGGAGGTGATTGCTTGACTAGTGATTTCATGTTTCACTGTTGCTCACGCTCCATTTTAACTACTATCCCTGGTCTTACTGTGAGATGGGAGGAGCTAGCCATATGGATTTATGCTGGCAAAACTGTTGTTTCCACAGCAGATGGTAACAAAAAATCTTACACAACATACTTATGTGCTAAAAATCACTTAACGTAATTGTAGTTAGGTTAATCTGGCTTGAAATGCATAGTGTAATGTATGCAGCAAAGAGAACATTAAATGGTGACAAGTGTAATTACTGATGTAGTCCCTTCCAGGCAGTCATGCTACAGTGCTCACTTGCAAAGGGCAAAGGCTAGTTTGGAAACAGCAAGGGAAGAACAGAAAGCCGTTGTTGCACGATGCTTTACTTCTGTGGAGTTTTCAATTGCTTATTTAAAAGGAGGTAAGAGATAACTAATCCTTTGCTTTTGTAAAATCTATGTATGAACTGCTTTGCTCTCCATGAATGTGTACACACCTTGTTTCTGTGGTTGTCATCTTTGGAGTGTAAATTTTTAAAGCCAAAATAAACATTACATATTTAGGTACATTAATAATTATTATACTAAATAGTTATGGTCCCTTTTAAAGATTTCAGTGGATTCCCACTCTATCACAAAGGCATAAACCCTTTAAATCTTTGAATCATTTAATTTTATGTATTCTTTTGGTATTCCATTTGGGAGTTATGGGGTGTGAAATATGCATCATGATGAGAAAACAATTAAACAGCACACCTGTTGTTTATGCATATTGTACTCAGGAAGGGCCTTCTGGAACCATTATTTAATTCCCCAGTATGGTGTCAACCAAGGGGCTATTAGAGGTGACCTGACAACACCAAATTATACTTTTATTTGTATTATGTGACTTGTGCTTTGCCCTCCTGTTAGAATGATATTTACTTCTCAAGTCAAAATCATGTTTGTGACCCATAATAACAATTAGTGAGACTTTCATGTTTAATAGAAAAATATTAGCTCACATTTGCTACAGAAGGAGTGAGTAGTGATAGAATTATAAGAGCAGCAGAGGCAGTCACCATTTAATGAGTGCCTCCCATGCCTAGGTAAATCAAGCAGTTTATAGATAGATTAAGGAGAAAAATAGGACATCCTGGGTTTATTCACAATACAGGAGAAGAAATGTTCTTTTTGCTACATTTTCATTAACAGACCATTGATAGTAGAAGTTCACTGTAAGTTTAACAAACCCTCTGCAAGCATCTGCAGTGCGATGGGTGCTGGGCAAGGCATGAAAGACAAGGCGAGAGCAGAGGTGGGGGAAGAGAAAGTATTGGTACTTAGAGGCAAACTGACACTCTAGGTATCGACAGAGGCACTGATACGTGAAAAGGGAAGAAAAGAGGCTGCTTTTCATGGGGAGCAGAAGACTGCATGGTGGTAAATGTCATGAGTGTCTGTCATTCAGATGGAGATGGAGTGTATAGATATAGTCATGGAAAAAATTACAACTGCAACAGTTAAAATGACTGAGCATTTACTGTATGACAGGCCTGACCTCACTCCTTAGATGTGATATATATTTTTTTAATTTAAAAAAGAGCATTATTTTTTTCTTGTGACAAAATATATGTACAACACAAAATTTACCATTTCCATCCCTTTTAAATGGATAATCCAGTGGCATTAAGCATCTTTTTATGTGTTTGTTGGCCATTTGTAGATCCTTTTTGGAGAAATGTCTATTCAAGTCTTTGCCCACTTTTAATTGTATTTTTTAGTTAAGAAATAATAATTGTACATATTCATGGGGTACATAGTGATGCTGTTACACATATAATGTACAGTGATCATATCAGGGTAATTAGCATATCCATCATCTCAAACATTTATCTTTCCTTATGTGATACTTTAATCCTCGCAACTTCCCTATGGGGTGGATAGCATTATTAGCCACATTTTACAGATGAGGAAATGGTAGTAGAGGGATAAAATACCTTGTCCAAGTTAAAAACCTAGACAGTCTGGCTCCAGAGTGTGTGTGCTTTTCATCTATGTGCTATAAAAAAATTACTCAACAAGACATTGTTGTGATCACACTAAAAAGTTCATAGGATTCTCGGTCTGTGCTTTCTCATGGCCTTGATTTCCTTTATACTGATTCTTATTTTTGAATAAGGGCCTCTAAGATAGACAGGTTTAAATGTATTTCAGCTGAGTTGCTGAGATTTAATGGAGCTGCCACTTGGGTTTTTCAAAGCCCTTACAAGGCCAATGGTTGACCCTATACCTGCTGGTAGTCCTTAGGGGAAGCAGTACGATATAATAGGTAAAACTTTGGCTTTGAAGTCAGATTGAAGCACAAACCCAAGCTGAGGTCACACCAGATGTGTGATCTTGTTTATTCATCTGTAAAAGAGAGAGATTATTTCCTTATTGTATTTTCATGAAAAATGGAGACACTTCAGGTAAGGTACTGCAGTAAGAACAGTCCTCGCCAGACTGAATCTGCTGGTGCCTTGATCTTGAACTGTCCAGCCTCTAGAACTGTGAGAAAATACAGTTCTATTGTTCATAAATGGTCCAATCTGTGCTATTTTGTTATAGCAACAGGAACAGACTAAGGCACTGATATGGTTTGGATTTGTGTCCCTGCCCAAACCTCATGTTGAAGTGTAATCCCTAGTGTTGGAGGAGGGGCCTGGTGGGAGGTGATTGGATCAAGGGGGTGGATTTTCCCCTTGCTGTTCTCATGATAGTGAGTAGTTACAGCGAGATCTGGTTGTTTAAAAATGTGTAGCACCTCCCCCTTCTCTCTCTTGCTCCTGCTCCAGCCATGTAGGACATGCCTGCTTCCCTTTTACCTTTTGCCATGATTGGAAGCTTCCTGAGGCCTCCCCAGAAACAGATGCCACTATACTTCCTGTACAGCCTGTGGAACTGTGAGCCAATTAAACCTCTTTTCTTTATAAATTACCCAGTCTCAGGTATTTCTTTATAGCAGTGCAAGAACAGACTAATACAGGCACTTAATGTAATGTGTGGACCACAAGGAGTGTACAACAAATAGTCTTTATTATCATGGGTCACTTCAGAGTGCGTGTGCTTGGTCTAATCCCAGAAGGCAATTATCTCTCTCAAGCTTCCACAGGTAGCTCAGCACACAACACTGAGAAGCAGGTGTTTCCTGCTGGCATTTTCCTATCCAACCTTCCTCAGGAGTCCTGCCCTAGATGCCCAATACACCCATTGCCTTCCTAGAGCCCAAGCCTGAGGCCTGTGGAGGCTTGCTCTGGTTGTTAGTATCCTCTCACCTTGGTTTCCAGCAATATGGTGATGTCAGCTCAACTGTCGGCTAGGAGACTCAGCATCTTACAAAGAAAATGGGGATGGGAGACTGACATAACCAGTAACGGGAGAAAGGTGCTCATGAATATTCTTTTACAATAATAAAAACAACGACAATGTCAGCTCATCAGATGAAGAAAATGTCAGTCGTGTTGTATTTATTGAATATTAGTAATAATGAGTATAATACAATAAGTTTAAATATTTATTTAAGCATCAAAGTAAACAGCATGGCTTTTACAGTAAACTAAGGGTTGATTTATAGGCTTATTAAGTGTATGCTTTGTGGAAAGTTTGAAGCTCATTTCGTTATCTGTAAGATGGGAGCAGCAACGCCTACCTTATGGAATGCTGGGGGAAATGAATGAGATGATTCCTAAAAAGCCCCACAGGAGATACTCAATAAGTGGTAGCTGTTGTTATTATCTAGAACACGGATTTGCACACCACAACCTATGGACAAAATCCCTGCTTTTGTAAATATAATTTTATTGAAATACAGTCACACTCATTCATTTACATATTATCTACATGAGCTTTTGCCTACCACTGCAGAGTGAGCATGCCTGACAAGAGGCCTTACAGCCAGCTCTTTGCTAAAATATTTACTATATGACCCTTTACAGAAATAAATGCTTCCCGACCCCTGATCTGGAATAGGGGTTCTCAAGCTGTAGCGTGCATCAGGATTACCTGGAGGGCTTGAAAAAGTCAGATTACTGGACACCTACACCCAGATGTTCTGAATCAGGAGGTGTAGGGTGGGCCCGAGAACTTGCATTTCTAAAAGGTTCCCAGGTGATGCTGCTGCTGTTGGTGGTGGTGCAGGGACCTCAGTTGAGAACCACTGATTCTGAGAAACTTTTCAAATTTCTCTTTTCTATGACTTCAATAGGATACATACACATCATTAGGTTTGTTTGTGGCTGTTGAAATACACATAAGAGGCATTTATTTACTCTGTCTGGTGCTCTGGTAAATTTTCAGGGCCTTTCCAGATTTCGTCTAGTGATGTTGACTTTCCCCCTCTTAGATCCTGCCACAGTCTGAAACACAACTGATAAAACACAAGCTTTCTGCTCCTCTTACACAAACTTATTCTGGGTCCCATCTACCAACCGAAGCAGAGGAACATTTCTAAAGTCTGGGCATTACTTTCTTTCTACTTCCTTTCTCCATCCTCTAAGGCCTTATTGAAAACAAATCATTCTCATGCTAGTCTTTCCAGCTCCTTTCCAATTTTCAAAAATTATTTTCAACAGGATACAGAGCAGTAAAAGTTATCCAAAAAGTTCTTGTAAATAGGACTCTCAATTATTTTAGTTTTTAATGTGGAGGGGGATGGGAGGGGGCTGGAGTAGTAAACTGGCTCACTGGTGTTTCTGGTGATTATGCTCAGAGTCTAAGGACAGACTGTTGCTTGCAACAGTCTAAGGACAGTCTGTTTCCCCCCTTGCAGTGCTGAGAGAAAGTCAGGAGGGTAAACAGTATCTCACTCCCGAAGAACAAAGGGCTGAGGTGGAATGGGAGCTCCGTGACCACCAGCAGAAGAGGTATTTTGGGCCTATAAGGCACTTCCCAAATCACACCACAGAGATAAGAGCACAGATGAGCCTGTTCTTCCCATCTATTGCATACTTGCATATCCTGAATATTGCTTCCAGCAGAATGGTAAATAATGCATAGCTGCTTTCTCTCACTGGGAGTGACAAGGGTCCCTTCTGACCGATCACTTCCTGCAGTTGTTAAATGTTAGAACAACAAAAGGCAGTAATTTTCAAAAGAATATGACAAGGATCAGTAGCATTTCATGGTCTTTTAATTTTTAAAAACTATACAATATGTGAAACTATTCTTATAATAAAATATCAGATAATGTAAAAGTGTATATAGTAAAAGTGGAAGTCTTTTTTACAATGCTTCCCTCCCCATCTCACCCCCCTTCAGTCCTGTTGTCTCCTGCCAGAAGTAACCATTGTTTATATTTGATGTGGATCCTTCCAGAACACTTCCAATGTATGCAAATTTGCTAACACATATTTAGGTTTTAAAAAACATAAATAAATGGCACAGTATGATGCACATTGTTCCGCAACTTCTTTTATGTAATAGAATATTTTGGGATTCTTTCTGTCAGTACACGGAGATCAGTTTTACTCACTTTTCCCACCGCATGGTGCTCCATCACACGGAAGAACCATTCTTGGCTTAACCTTTTCCCCACTAAACTTTATTTTGGTTATTTCTGATTCTTTGTTGTTATGAACAATGGGGCAATAACCATTCTAAAACTTAAATATCTACTTGTGTACAAGCATTTCTGCAGAAGAGATATCAAGAACTGGCATTTCTGGGGCTGATATGCATACTTAAATTTTTGTTATAAAGAGCCAAATTACCTTTCAACAAAAGTGTAGCACCCACTTATCACACTCTAAATACTGGATATCAATTTTTAAAATATTTGTCAACCAACAATGTTGTTTGATTGCTGTTTTATTTTTATTTCTCTGTTCATTGCAACTGTACTTGAATGTTTATTGGATATCTGCTATTTTCTCTGTGAATTGCTTCTACATAGTTTTTGATCATTTTTCTTTTGGTTTGTTTGTCCTTATTGACTGGTAGGGGCTCTTTATATATTAATAGTATGGATATTAATATTGGAATTTTTCCCTCTCTGTTTCTTGTCTTTTAACTTTATTTACGATGTCTTTTGCAATAGGGTTTTTGTTTATTTGGTTAATTGGCTTGGTTTTGTATTTAAATATATCATTTTTTTCCTTTGTAGCTTCTGGATTTTGTATCTTGCTTAGGAATACCTTACCTACCAAAAAATTATAAACATACTCTGATATTTTATATGTAATATATTAATCCATCAGGGAATTTACTTGTGCTTATCTTGTTACAGCTATAATGAATTTTTTAGAAATACATTGATGAATCCCTATTGTTTCATCTATTGATTTAAAATAATATCTCTATCATAAACAAAACTCCCATTTAAACATTGTGAAGATATTTTCCTTCTTTCATTTATTGTTCTACTATTGAGCCATATCATACTGTGTTGGTTGTAGCTTTATAATTTGTTTTGAAATTTGGTAGGCAAGTCCCCCTTCATGCTTTCTTTTGCAAAAATTTTCTTCCAGTTCTTGTCAAAATCTGTAAAATAGCATGATGGGATTTTGATTTAATATTTTTAATTTTTGGAATATTATCTTTAAATTATTGAGTCTTCCCATGCATGGACATTGTATCATTCTATAGTAAAGCTCTCAAGTAGATTTGTTAATAGGCATTTCATAGAGTGCTTGTTACTATTAATGTCTTTCACTAATTACATTTTCTAATTAATCATTGCTGGCATGTAGAAATGCTGTGGTTTGGTTTTATATATGTTTTGCATGTATATATGGGGTACAAGTGCAACTTTGTTACATGGATAGATTGCATAATGGTCCCATTAGAGCTTTTAAGGTATTCATCAGCCAAATAATGTACCTTGTACCCATTAATTAATTTCTCATCATCCACCCCCCAGCCACACCCCATCCAAGTCTCTACTGTCTATAATTCCATTCTCTACAACCATGTGTACATATATTTTAACACCCACTTATGAGTGACAATGTGTGATTTGACTTTCTGTGTCTGGCTTGCTTCACTTAAGAAAATGACCTCCAGTTCCATTCCTGTTGCTGGAGAAGACATGATTTCATTCTTTTTTATGTCTGAACAGTGTTACATTATGTATATATACCACATTTCTTTATCCAATAATCTGTTGTTGGACACTTAGGTTGATTACTTATCTTTGCTATTGTGAACAGTGCTGTGATAAACATATGAGTGCAGGTTTCTTTTTTGTATACGGATTTATTTTCCTTTGGGTAGATAGCCAGTAGTGGGATTGCTGGATCAAATGATAGCTTTATGGTAGCTTTATTTTTAGTTTTTAGAGTGATCTCCATTCTATTTTCCATAAAGGTTGCACTAATTTACATTCTCACCAACAGTATACAAGCATTCCTTTTTCTCTGCATCCTTCACAACATCCATTCTTTTGCCTTATTAATAATAGTAACTAGGGTAAGATGATATCTCATTGTAGTTTTAATTTGCACTTCTCTGATGATGTGTGATGTTTAGCTTTTTTCATATACCTGTTGGTCATTTGTATGCCCTCTTTTGAAAAATGTCTATTCATGTCCTTTACCCCATTTTTAATGGGATTATTTCATTGTTGTTGCTGAATTGTTTGAGTTTCTTGTATATTCGGGATGTTAGTCCCTTGTCAGATCAATAGTTTGCAAATGTATTCTCCCATTCTGCAGGTTCTGTTCACTCTGTCGATTATTTCATTTGCTGTGCAGAAGCTTTTTAGCTTTATATGGTTTCTTTGTCTATTTTTTGTTGTTGTTGCCTGTGCTTTTGAAGTCTTATCCATAAAAATCTTTGCCTAGATCAGTGTCCTGAAATGTTTCCCCTATGTTTTCTTCTAGTAGTTTTGGGTCTTATGTTTAAGACTTTAATCCATCCTGAGTTGATTTTTGTACATGGTGAGCGATGTGGCTTCAGCTTAATTCTTCTGCAAATGGCAATCCAATTTTCCCAGAATCATTTATTCAAAAGAGTGTTCTTTATCCAATGCATGCTCTTGTCAGCTTTGTCAAAGATCTGTTGGCTGTAAATAATGTGTGTTTATTTCTGAGTTCTCTATTCTGTTCCATTGAACAGAATATTTTAATACCAATACCATGCCATTTTGATTACTATAGGCTTGTAATATAATTTGAAGTCAGGTAATGTGATGCTTCCAGCTTTGTTCTTTTTGCTTAGGATTACTTTGACTATTTGGGGTCTTTTTTCATTCCATATGAATGTTAGGAATGTTTCTCTAATTCTGCGAAACAGTGACATTGGCATTTTGATAGGGATTGCATTGAATCTCTAGATTAGGGTAGTATGGTTATTTTAATGATATTAATTCTGCTTATCCCTGAGAATTAGATGATTTTCTACTTGTTTGTGTCATTTTCAATTTCTTTCATCAATGTTTGATTTTGGATATTGCTTTTATATCCTGAAACTTTACTGAATTCATTTAACAAATCTAAGAGCTTTTTGTAGAGTCTTTTTGTTTTTCTAGGTATAAGATCATATCATCAACAAACAGAGATAATTTGACTTCCTTTTTTTCCAATTTTGTTGCCCTTTATTTCATTTTTTAGATACAGGGTCTGACTTCTGTCACCAAAACTGAAGTGCAGTGGTGTAATCATAGCTCACTGTAGCCTTGAACTCTTAGGCTCAAGCAATCCTCCTACCTCAGCCTCCCGAGTAATTTTTCTTTATTTATCTCTTTGTTTGTTTGTTTTTGAGATGGAGTCTTGCTCTGTCGCCCAGGCTGGAGAGCAGTGGCGCGATCTCGGCTCACTGCAAGCTCCGCCTCCCGGGTTCATGCCATTCTCCTGCCTCAGCCTCCCGAGTACCTGGGACTACAGGCACCCACCACCATGCCTGGCTATTTTTTTTGTATTTTTAGTAGAGACGGGGTTTCACTGTGTTAGCCAGGATGGTCTTGATCTCCTGACCTTGTGATCTACCGACCTCGGCCTCCCAAAGTGCTGGGATTACAGGCGTGAGCCACCGCACCCAGCCAACTTTTTTTAAATTTTAAATTTTTGTAGAGACAAGGTCTTGCTATGTTGCCCAGGCTAGTCTTGAACTGCTGGCCTCAAGTGACCCTTCTGCCTCAGCTTCCCAAAGGCTGGGATTACTATAGATGTGAACTACCACACCCGGTCTGAATGTCTTTTGTTTCTTTCTCTTGTCTAATTGCTCTGGTTAGGACTTCCAGTACTATGTTGAATAGGAGTTATGAAAGTGGGTATCTTTGTCTCATTCCAGTTCTTAGAGAAAACGCTTTTAACTTTCCCCTGTTCAGTAGGATGCTGGCTGTGTGTTTGTTGTATATGGCCTTTATTATGTTGAGGTATGTTCCTTTAATGCCTACTTTGTTGAGGGTTTTTATCATAAAGAAATGCTGAATTTTATCCATTTTTTTTCTGCATCTATTGAGATGACCATATGTTTTTTGTCCTTAACTCTGTGTATGTGATATATCACATTTATTGTTATGTGTATGTTGAACCATCCTTGCATCCCTGGTATAAAACCTATTTAATTGTGGTATATCATCCCTTTGATGTGCTGTTGGATTCTGTTTGCTTGTATTTTGTTGAGGATTTTTGCATCTATATTCATCAGGAATGTTGGTCTATAGTTCTCTCTTTTTTTGTTGTTGTCTTCTCGTCTGGTTTTGGTATCAGGATGATACAAGCCTCATAGAATGAGTTAGAATTCAGCCGCTTTGTTTAGGGGTTGATCTTTGCCCTCTCAGCGTCTTCTGTGATCCCTGGTTGGCTAAGGTTTCCTGCCTTCTCCTGAGATGATTTTTGTCTTTTATCTTCCTTAGAACACTAAGCATTCAATTTCATTAGTATAAAGCTTTCGCCATTTGTAATTCACACCATTTTGTAATTTCTAATGTCATTTATCTGAATTTTTACTTTTTTTTTTTCCTTTACATCAGGCTTGTTCAATTTGCTTTCTTTGTTGGGGAGGTGTGTTGATTTTTTTCACTTTCCTGCCTTTAATGAACTAACTTTTCTTTTTTCCAGTTTTCATTCAAATTTTACCCATCATAGCACTATTCTCAATTTTCCTCCAAATCTTTTACTGCCAGTTAATTTTATGTCAATTAATTTTATTTTATCCAAGTAAAATATATAAAATTTTAAAAGTTAGATATGACTAAGCAGCTTGAAACAAAAAATAGAAGTGTCTCACCCACCCTTCTCTACCTTGGGGGCCTACCTTCTACCCCCAGGCTTCTCCCTGATACTTGGCTCCAACTTTTGAAATAATAATCATAGCTAAGGCTTGCAAAGTGATTACTGCATATTAGGTACTCTTCTAAAAATATACTTGGATTATTTCATTCTTGCTATCCTGTTTTATTGATGGGACAACTGAGGTATAGAAATATTGTGAAACTTCCTCAAGGTCACATAGCAAGTGAGTAGCAGAACCAGGATTTAAATCTAGGTAGTTGTACTCTTAACCATTTTTACAATTTTCTGCTGCTCAAAAATGCTCTTGTAACATGTTTCACTGTTATTTCTTGATTTATCAATTGCAGACATCTTCCACTGACTTCCCAACATGGTAAATACAGACTAAGCTCTCCCATCACATGCCTTTATTTCTTGTTTCCCTTTCCTAACTTTAACACAGTAATTTATAATTCATTGATGTTTAAACTCATAGCAACTACAGCATTATCATGACCACTGATTGCACGGCTGACTAAATGGCGCACTCCATGACCTCTTTCATGAACAATCTCTTATTTTCCTAGGAGTATTTTTTTTTTGTTTGTTATTGTTATTGGTGTTTTTTTTTTCTGAAAATGTGATTTTTTTCCTTGAAAACCTGTATGTTTCCCTCAACTCTCCAACTGCTCATCAGTAACACGTTCCATATTCTCAGATATAAAGTTTATTATTTTATTTTCCATAAGTTATTGGGGTACAGGTGGTATTTGGTTACGTAAGTTCTTTAGCGGTGATTTGTGAGATCCTGGTGCACCCATCACCCAAGCAGTATACACTGCACCATATATATTGTCTTTTATTCTTCACTCCCCTACTACTCTTCCCCCCAAGTCCCCAAAGTCCATTGTATCATTCTTATGCCATACTATAAAGCTTATTTTCCACCCCCTAGAGCCTTGCCTGGGCTATTGCTCTTAAGGCTGCTGTACAGCTGTTTATTTTGTTCATGAGACTGCCTAGTCATCATTCTGAGTCTTATTTTGCTGCTTTCTTGTATCAAATCCTGTATTAGGCCAAATACGTCTTCCCACTCCGTTTCTTAAAGCACACTCTGTGGTAGCTTCCTAAGAAAAGGGACATGGGTGATTCTTTTGTTGGTTATGAGTGCTTGTAAGCTGGAACATATCTTTAGTCTATCCCCATGCTTAATTAACATTTGGTTGGTCGTAGTAGGTTGAGCATTTCATTCCACTGTGATCGTGACAGTGATGCTACTGAGAAATCAGACATCGTTCAGTTTGTAGTTCCTATTTCATGACCTGTAATTGTCCCTGGCTGTCCTGTAGCTGTCCCCACCCTTGGGTAGCTTCTCTTTCCCCCATGTGTTCTAAAGCTTCATAATATACCTGCTGTGGATGTGTCCTCAGGGGCTCACAGGCTTTTTCAACCTGAATGCTTCCTTGCTTGGAAATTGTCTTACTTATTTCGCAATTATCTTCCCTCTATTTTTTTCCTATTGTTTCTTTCTGGTATTACTATTATTCTTATGGCTACACTGATCCTTTAATTTCTTTAGTTTTGAACTCAAATTTTTTATCTCTAAACTTTTTTAACTTACTGGGAAATTACCTATACTTTACCTTCCAGCCCTTCTACTGCGTCTTTTTCATTGTGGTTATCATATTTTTAATTCCTAAGAACTCTAAAGTTTTCTCTGATCTCTTTGTATAGTACAATTTTTTTTTTGCATTTTTCTTATGTTTTTTCAATTTTCTTCTGTTCACTGAGTTGTTTCAGATGACCTCTGGGTTCCTTTTCTCCATTTGTTGGTTTTGATGTCTTCCTTTTTAAAATTTATCCTCAAGTGTCTGGTAACTTTTGACTATCCATTAACACAGGAGAATGCATTTCAAAAAACTGATGATTAGAAGGCCTCCGTGCATGGACAGGGCTTGTTCCTGGCTGGACTTCATTGAGAATGTGGGGAGCTGACTTCCCACTGGGGAGACCTCCAAATGCCAGGAACTGGAGGCTGTTTAGCTCCTGCTGAGACGAGTGATCCAATCCCCACAGGCTGAGAGCAGGGTGGTGTACATCTGGGTGGTGGTGTTCTGGCAGCTGGACAGAAGAGGTGGAGGTGGGGAGGGGCCCCCTACAGGGCAGCATGAATACTTAAGCTTAACTCCCTCTTGTGATCCCTGTTACTCTGGCCTTCAGCTGTACTGGCATCTCTGAGCATGGAGCCCTCCTCTTTCAACTTATTCACAAGTCAAACCCTTTGTTTCTTTGTATACTGCTGTGAGTAGTGGAAGAAGTGAATCTACATGGTCATAGACTTTCCACCCTCCTGCTCTCTCCGTGGCACCTGGGGTCTCCCAGTGGAACCCCTCATGGGTTCTACAGGGAGATTTCCTTCCCTTTGCTATTTGCTCAATGCCAATACTTAGGTTGTAGCTTCTTCTGTTTAATTAATTCAGTTCCCACTACTCCATCTGCTCCCCCTCTTCTAAAAACTTAATGAAATCGGGGCCGGGCGCGGTGGTTCACGCCTGTAATCAGAGCACTTTGGGAGGCCGAGGTGGGTGGATCACGAGGTCAGGAGATTGAGACCATCCTGGCTAACGTGGTGAAACCCCGTCTCTACTAAAAACACAAAAAAATTAGCCGGGCGTGGTGGCAGGCACCTGTAGTCCCAGCTACTCGGGAGGCTGAGGAAGGAGAATGGTGTGAACCCAGCAAGCAGAGCTTGCAGTGAGCTGAGATTACACCACTGCACTCCAGGCTGGGCGACAGAGAGAGACTCTGTCTCTAAAAACAACAACAACAACAAAAATAAATAAAATCACTCATCTGCTTTTGCTTTTTCTCCTGTACTGTTTCTCTCTTGTGGGCTAATTAGCTTTTATTTCTATGGCACAAAGTCCCGGAAGTGGGGTTGCTGTGGGAAGAGAGTAAGTACTTTTAATTTGAATAGCTATTGCCAGCTGCCATTTCAAAAAGTCTAACATTTACATATATGGGAGTACCCTCTCCTTGGTATCCGTAACAGTAATAAGCATTATTTCTCTCCTTGATTATTGCTAATATAATTAAGGAGATATTTAGTTGTTACATAAACTTGCCTTTTCCTGAATACTAGTGACATGGAGAACCTTTTGACATGTTTGTGGGCCATTTGGATTTGCACTTCTATCAACTGCCTTCTCATATATTTGTTCCATTTTCTAGCGCCTTACATGTCTTTTTCTTGTCCATTTGTAAGAGCTCTTTGTATATTATAGATGTTTGTCCTCTTAATTCAAATACTGCCCCGTAAAATCTATTGTTTGTCTACTGCTTATGTTAGGATTTTCAAAAATCATACAAAGTTTTAATTTTTATAGAATCAAATAAGTTCACCTTTCTTTTATAGCTTCTGGATTTTATTTGATTTTATGTATGGTCTCTCATATTATTTTGTAATATCTACTATTTCTTCTACATTAAAATCTTATATATATCTACATTTGTTTTTCATGTGGTACAAGATAACCAGTTATACCTGTTTTCTGTATATGTATTTTTTCCAGGTAGATAGCTAGTAGTATAAGTACCGTTGACTCTTGGTGTCAACAACGTGAGGGTTAGGAGTTTTTAGCAGTCAAAAATGTGCAAATGGTGGAGTGCAACAGCTCATGCCTGTAATCCCAACACTTCAGGAGGCTGAGGCGGGCAGATTGCTTAAGCGCAGGAGTTCAAGACCAGCCTGGGCAACATGGTGAAAACCCATCTCTACAAACAATACAAAAATCAGCTGGGCATGTTGGCATTTGCCTGTCCCAGATACTCAGGAGGCTGAGGTAGGAGGATTGCTTGGGCCCAAGAGGTTGAGGCTATAGTGAACTTTGATCATGGCACTGCTCTCCAGCCTGCGTGATGGAGTGAGACCTTGTCTCAAAAAAAAAAAAAAAAAAAAAAAGGCGCAAATAACTACTAATAGCCTACTGTTGACCAAAAGCCTTATCAATAACATAAAGACTGAACACATATTTTGTATATTATACATTTTCTATACTGTATTCTTACAATAAAGTAAGCTAAAGAAAATATTACTAAGAAAATCATAAGGAAAAGAAAATATATTTACAGTAGCGTACTGTATTTATCTATACTATGACTCTATACCATCTGTTTACAAGATGAATTGTTTGTCTGACATGTGGCAGTTGCAGCTGGAGACCTCAAACTATGGTCCATATGTAGCAGTTCAATGGTTTCTTATAATGTCTTGACTTTTCTCTGGTTCTTAGAGCACTTCCAGAATCACTAGTTGACATGGGGTTTTGGTATTGCACTAAATACAATGACAAATACATGAGAACCAAGAGAGATCACTTTTTGCCATGATATGCAATTGCAGTAAAAAGATTGGAGAGATGAAATGCTCACACAGAGATGATTGGCATTGCACAGCATTTTTTTTTTTTTTTTTGAGATAGAGTCTCGCTCTGTTGACCAGGTTGGAGTGCATTGGTGTGATCTCAGCTCACTGCAACCTCCACCTCCCGGGTTCAAGCAATGCTCCTGCCTCATTCTCCCAAGTAGCTGAGATTACAGTTGCCCACCACCATGCCCGACTAATTTTTTGTATTTTTAGTAGAAATGGGATTTCGTCATGTTGGTCAGACTGGTCTCAAACTCCTGACCTCAGGTGATCCACCTGCCTTGGCATCCCAAAGTGCTGGGATTACAGGTGTAAGCCACTGTGCATGGCTTCATACAGCATTTTAAGTGGATACTAGGAATACTTGAGCTCACCACAATAGCAGCAGGAAGTGGCTGTTTAATTATTACAATAGTACAGTATGTATACAGTTAATTTTACAGTTAATACTGCATCTTTACACTTGTTTGCATTTTTCTTGACTGCCAATGGCACCATGTATGGTCTGTGTTTGTGTGCGTATGTTTTGATACATTTTACCTTTTTATAATAGGTTTGTGTATATTTATTTTAAAAAATATTTCTAGGCTTTGTGGTTCACCTGTGAGTTTTTTCAAATTGTCACAAATCTCCAAAAAATTTCACTGTATATTTATTGAAAAAAAATCTGTGTATAATTGGACCCATGCATTTCAAGCCCATATTGTTCAAGGTTATCTGTATAATCTTTCAAATAATCCATCTCTCTTCTGCAGAACTGAAATACTGACTTTGTCATATATTAGATTTTCATACATAGTAAGATCTATTTCTGTACTTGGTT
Source organism: Homo sapiens (assembly GCF_000001405.40). Lineage (NCBI taxonomy): Eukaryota > Metazoa > Chordata > Mammalia > Primates > Hominidae > Homo > Homo sapiens. The sequence goes on from NC_000002.12 coordinate 132,841,069, forward strand.
CTCTTGATATTTTTTCTATTGCCATTCCAACACCATATTGATTTTAAATATAATAGCTTTATAGTTCAGTCTGATATCTAGCAAAGCAGATTCTCCTGACTTTTCTTCTCAGACATGTATTCTTCCAAAACCATGTTAAAATAATTTAATACAATTCCATTTTTTTGTGTGTGAGTTTTACCATGTGGCTAAATTTATTTCTAAATATATTATAATTTTAGTCCTTACCTTGAAAGGAAATAATTTGCTATTTCCATTTCTAGGTGCTTATTGAATAAAGAGATTACAGCTATTAATTTTTATTATATTTACTTTCAATCCAATGAGTTAACCATATTTAAACTAGCAGATTTTTTATTAGAGATTATTTCTAAGAATGTAGCTATGAAATGTGTAAAGGAATACAGTTTTCATTCTACTTTTCCAGTATTTATAGTTGCCATTTCATTTTCACGTCTTATTACCTTTACTAGAACCTTCAACATATTGTAGGATAATAATAGTGGCATTATTATTTCCAGAATTTAATTGCAAGGATTTCTGTGTTTTGTTTGCCAGCACATTTGCTGTTTTTTTCTGTTGTTATATATACTCTATTATACTTAATTGGTTTCCATCTATTCTGTTGTACATAGAGTTTTTATTGAAAATGAGTATTGAACTTTTCAAGCACAAATGCAAGATCTTTTGCTTTGGCCATGTGACTTTTCTACTTTAATTTGAAGTTATGTCACACTGTATTATGTTGATATATTTCCTGATATTGAACTACTCTGGCACTTCAGAAATTGCCTCATTTAGTATAATGTATCTTTAAAGACATTTCTTTATTCTATTTGTTAATATTTTCTTTAGAATGTATCTTAACTCATAAATGATATTTGTCTATAGTTTTCCTAGGTCTAGTATTTTTATAAGATTTTGGTATTAAAGTTATGCTGGCTTAACCTTTTGTATGGTATGACATAATCTAAATAATATTGGCATTACACACATTTTTTAGGATTACATAAAGCTTAGCTGTATTCTTGTCTGTTTTTAGGACCTTTTTCAATGGTAGGTCTTTAATTGTCTTTCCAATCTCTTACATCATACACTTCATTTTACAGTTTACATTTTGCTAGGCAATAATTTATTTCCAATTTGTTAGGACAGACATGATGATTATTTTCTTATAAACTTTTATTCACTGACATCTATGGCTATGATTTTTCTCCCTCATTCTTATATAGCTTAGCTCTCTTTTATTAGTCAAATGAGAGATTTGACTATTTTTATTGGTATTTTAATAAACTTTTTGGGAATATACATACATATATATACACACACATATAAATCTCTGGTTAATTTTAGCCTTCATTGTTACTTATTTCCTTTTGTATTTTCCTTTTCCCAATTTCTAAAATAAATTTTGCTACTTTATTATATTTATTTTCTAATACTAAAGATATTTGAGGATATCCAACTTCCATTTTTTCTTTTCTTTTTTTTAAATCCTTTCTGAGACAGGGTCTCACCCTGTCACCCAGGCTGGAGTACAATGGCACCATCATGGCTCACTGCCTCAACCTCCTGGGCTCCAATCCTCCCACTTCAGCCTCCCAAGTAGCTTGGATTACAAGTGTGTGCCACCATGCCCGGATGATTTTTCTTTTTCATTTTTTTTTCACTTTGTTGCCTAGGTTGATCTTGAACTCCTGGGATCAAGCAATCCTTCTGCCTCGGCCTCCCAAGTGCTAAGATTATAGGCGTGAGCTACCATGCCCCACCCAATTTCCATTTTTTCTGTCTCATGTAAATTTTCTATTTTTGCTGTGTCCCACAGGTTTTGATATGAAGTATATTTCTCTACATAGTTTTCAAGATGGTTTATAATGTCACATTTGCTATCTTCTTTGATACAAGAATTTTCTGGAGTGTATTTTATAATTTCCAAGCAGTAAACATTTTCATTTTTGTATTTATAATTTTATTAGCTTATTATCAGATAGTTGGCCTGTATAATCTACATGTTTTTAAATTTTGCTAGGGTTTCCTATGGAGCTAAGGCATAATTTATCTTTCTAAATGTTTCACAGATATATAAGTACAATGAATATACCTTATTGAAGCAAAGCAGTGGTTTGTATATGGCTATTATATCAAGATTAGTGATTGTATTCTTTATATCTTTACGTTCCTATTATTTATCAGAATTGCTCAATTCTGAAAGAATCTTTGTGTTCTGAGGTCTTTTTCTATAATAGTATTGTTTTATTAAGTTCACCTTACATTTAAGTTTTTGCTTTGTATGTTTAACTGCTTTGGTTTTTGGTGTATACAATTTTATGACTTAAATTTTTATTTATGACTTGTAAATTTTTTTTATTACCCAATGTCCCTCTTCATCTGTTTAAGGCTTCTAAACTTAAATTCCACTGTATCTGTTGTAATTTCTCCACAGTTGTTTTCTTTATATTAGCATTTTTCAAGTATCTTTACTCATCCATTCATTTTTCCCTTTTTTGTCACTGTAAGTTTTTCTTTTTTTTTAATAAAAAAACTCCTATTCTCTAACCCAATATGGCAATCTCCAATGGCTTTTGACTACTTTCTAATCCTATTTCTCTTTTTACCATACATTTTAGTGTCAAGTTGGTATACTTAATTTTATTTCTTATATCTTACTTTAGATCTCTTATTTTATATTGTTATTTCATCACTATCCTATTTAGTATTTTTACTAATTTAAGTTGCTATTCTTTCCCTTGTTAATTTAAAAGTTCTCCAGTGCTTTGGCCCTAAATAATACACATATCCCTCACACATTTTGAGAAAATGTGATACCAACTATTTCCCCTGCTGAGACATACTTTTTCCTTTATCTCTGCCTTTCCCCAATCTGGTAGGTTGTGACCTTAAGAATACTTTCATCTTCTTTCCTCTTCCTCCTTTCCCCTTCCAGAAATCTCTGGAACACTTTTACCCTTCTCCTCCACTCCTCCCAGCTTCAGGGTTTTACTGAGGATAGTTTGGCAGTTTAGGATTTAGACTAACAGAATCTACCATGAAATTATCTGCAAAACAAAAATAAGAATATGTAATACGTTTTCTTTAAAGAGCCTATCATTATAAAGGTACATGTGTTCTCACATGTATGCATATATTTTTTCTCAATATTTATAAACTTTTCCTACCCTTGATATTATCTTGATTTGCTTTTAATTTAAATAATACTTTTTAACTGTGTAAGTAACATCTGAATAAATTCTTACTGTAAAGAATTCAAATAAGAATTCTACAAGAAAGATAAACTCTTACTTGGCCACCCCTCATCCTATTCCCTTCCTTAAAGATACTCCCTTAAAGCCACTGTATTAGTATGACATACATTTTTTCCAGACTATTTTCCATGTGCTTACGTATACAGGTATATTTATAAATTATTCATTGTTTTGCTTTTCTGTGTGAGTGTGTATTTACTATAAATTGTATCACATAACCTGTATTGCTTTGCAACTTTACTTTTTCACTTAATATATTTTTAAGATATGTTTCTAGGTCATGAAATATGGTTTAACTTGATACTTTTAAACTTCTAACTTGATAATACTGGATAGCACGGATACAGCATAGGTTTTTTGATGGCCATTTAGGCTGTTTCTATTAATTTGCTACTTGAAAACAGTGCACAGTGTCTCACATGTCACCCTCTGCACATGAATGACGGTTTCTATAAATATGGATATGTGGAATTGCTAAGTCAAAGAGTAGATGCTTTTACTACTAAACTGCCACCCAAGAATTGCTGTACTTATTTATAACCTTGCCAGAAACGCATGCGGTTTACATTTTCAACATTTGTGTATGAGATTGTTTTTCTCCACCTTTGAGTAGAGGGTACTTCAAAATGTATTATAAAGTCTTATATATTATCATCACACTTTTATTTATGCCAGTCTATTTGGTGAAAAAAGGTTATCTTGTGTTTTAATATGCTAACTGGCTGGTAGTGAGGTGAGTGTCTTTCATAAGTTCATCAGCCATTTGTGTTTCCTCTCCTGTTAACTGTTAACTGTTAACTGTTTCTACTCTTGTCTTACTTCATTTTAACTCATAAGAAATTCTAATTCATGGAATTACATGCTTCCTGTTTCAGTCCTTTATTTGTATGTCAAAAACCTTTTCTCCTAGTCTATTGCCTATTTTGCCTAGGTATATAGAATATTTGATCAACCAAAATTTTAAAATTTTGATTTAGTCAAACAGTCCTTTCCTGTATGACTTCTTGGTTTTATGCCTTGCTTGAGAAAATATCCAATACACTAAAATTAAAACAAAAAGTCTTCAGTGTTTTCTTCAGTATTTACATAATTTCTTGTACATTTAGGGTATTAACCCATGTAAAATTTATATTTCCTTATGTGAGATAGGGCTCCAATTATTATCATTTTCAAATGAATTATCAAATGCACCACAACCATTTATGCATATGTCATCATTCCTTACTGCTACTATTATTGTAAAATAAATTCTCATATAAAAATGGGCCTTTTAGACTTCTCCTCCCTCAATCTATTTATTTCTTCTTGGTCCAAACCCATACTGTTCTAATAGCTACAACTTTATAGAATATTTTGAAGTACCACAGGGTAATTTTTCCACCCCATACTTCTGTGTAGTTCTTTATTTTCAACGCTTACTTGGCTACTGGAGAACATTTCTAACTTCCCAGGTGTATTTTACAATCAGCTTGACAAGTCCCATAAAAAATTGTGTTGTATTTTGATTGAAAATGCATTTAATTTTGGATTGGCTCTGGGGAATTAACATTTTTATAACATTGACTTTTCTCATCTCGTGGAGATATATTTCCACTTATTCATTTCTTCCATTCTTTTCTTATTATGTTTTCCTGTTTCATTCATTTAGATCTTACATATTTCTTATTAGGTTTATTGCTATGTAGTTCATATTTTTTATTTATATTATGAATGAAATCTTTTCTCAATTACATTTTCCAATTGGTTGTTACTGATATATAAGAAATATATCGGCTCTTGCGTGTTTTTCTAATATCAGCGTACCTTGGTGAACTTACTAGCTTTCAAATTTTCAGAAATTCTTCACGGTTTCTTTCTTGCTGATGAAAACCTTCTTATTCATCAGTAATAAGTATTTAATTTGATATAATGAATTTAGAGGTAAAGTTTCAGAACTGGGACATAAATCTAGGTGAACAGTATAACTTCCTTTCTTCATATTATTTCATGGTGACTCTTTTTTTTTGAGATACAGTCTCACTCTGTCACCTTGGCATGATTTCGGCTCATTGCAGCCTCCGTCTCCTGGGTTCAAACGATTCTTGTGCCTCAGCTTCCCGAGTAGCTGGGGTCACAGGCATGACCCACCACGCCCGGCTAATTTTTGTATTTTTAGTAGAGATGGGGTCTTGCGATGTTGGCCAGGTTGGTCTCAAACTCCTAACCTCAGGTGATCCACCTGCCTCGGCCTCCCAAAGTGCTGGCATTACAGGTGTGACTCACTATGCCTGGCCTTTCATGGTGACTTTTAACATTCAATGACTTCTTCCTCCATCCCTCCATCCATTATCCTTTTTCCTCAGCACAAATCAAGCTATAATAGAAAAAAGGATCCCTGGTTCTTGCCAAATCCTTCATTTTACCTACTGAGACCTAAAGAATTTAAATGACTTGTTTAAAGTCACACAACTTAGCACTCAGAAAGTGGCAGAATTGGATTAGCTTCAGGAATGGCTTTAGAGTCTCTAACATGTAAGCAGAAATAACAGTGGCTTAACTAAGGCTCTTTTATAAATTGCATATGCTTGTATACACTACCCATTTTATTATTCCAGAGAATGATTTGTGTATTTCATTAATTAAGTAAATTCAATTATAAATTAAATATTCGTGTATTTTATGAATGTGAATGAAATAGGCAAATTTTCATGCCATGCAAATATTGTATGCTTTCAACTGTATACTTTTAAAAAGTAGGAAATGGGCCATATTTATATTATAAAAATCTACAAGTACATACAAAGTGGCTAAAGGAAATTATCAAAATACTTCAGACTATAGGGCAATGAAAAGTAAACCCCAAAAGTGCATTCAGCATTGTGACAGATTAAAGAGATGTGGGAAATATGGGGTAAAATAATGATAAAGGAATAATATAATTAAATAGTTATTATTGGTAGTGCAATACATTGTACTAAGTACCTTACATATGCTAACTCACTTAACTCTAAAATATACACACACAACAACCAAGAAGTTAGTATTGTTTTTCTCCTTTCAAAGAGGAGATAACTGAAATTTACAGAGATGAAATTACTTGGCAAGGTCATGATATTAATGATCAGCAAAGACTGAATTTGATCCCAGGTTATTTCACTCCAAAGCCCTTGTTCTGCCTTTTCTATATATATTGTTTTCCTTAGAATCCAACTAGACAGATATACACATATCATCGCTTTTGGCAATGCTGCATTAGTACGCCAAATCCCAGGATAATATTTTTAAGTATTAACTGAGCCACAAATGAATCTACTGCCAAAAAGCTGGTCATGTAACTTACTGAACATTTTCCGTGAACACCTTCAAGGACATATTATCATCACCAGTCAAAAAATCAAAAGTCATTGTGGAAGAACTCCTGATACAAGCAGCTACATGGCTGATATCAAACATATGTGAAGCAAAATGAGCCAGATACAAAAGAGTATATCTTACATGATTTTGTTTAAACTCTTGAAAAGATAAAGCTAACCCACGGTGACAGAAAGCAGATCTGTGGTTGCCTGGGGCTGAGGACTGAGAAGGATTGATTGGGAAGAGAAATTAGAGAATCCTTTTGGGGTGGATAAAGGAGGATGTAAATATTCTTCAGAAACAGGTCACAACTATATGTAGAATGTGTTTAATGGTTCCTCTTAACCAGGGTAAAGACTCAGATTCATTAGGAACCTGCTTTGGAGAAGTTAATTTAATATATGTTATGTGGATCTTCAGTGTTTCAGCAGTCTGGTCAGAGACCAGAAGCAAAATTTAGCTACTGAAAAGAACAGTATGATAGCTTAGTGAACAATCAATTGTGGTAATCCACCCAGATGCAAAAAGGGTACCCAAGAACATCTCACATGTCCTGTCCTGATATAGAATTAAGTCAGCGAGTTATTTTTTTCCTTTTAGAAGTGGACATAACATTGTAATGAGAAGACAGTTTTCCATCTGAGGCATCAGCTTGCAGATTACCTCTTTCATTTCAGCTTTTCTTGTTTTTATGGCAAATTCTGCTGCAACATTAATGATAACGGCTTTTTGCACTCATATCATTATGAGATCTTTACGTTAATTCAAGGATCTCAATGCCTGTCTTGAACAATGTCAAATGTAACAATGAAATATGAGCAAGGCTTATTGGAACACATCTGTATGCATCTCATGTCCGAAAGTGTATAATGTGTTCTATTTTGAAATTCTGATTTCTTCACAACATAAATATATCTATTATAAAATATGATTTTGAAGACATGATTCTTATCCTCTTCCATTCACTAGTTAGCTATTTGGGAGGGAAAAGCAATCATAAAAAGGAAAAGCCTGCTGTGCGTGGTGTGCATGTCTGTAGTCCCAGCTACTCAGGAAGCTGAGGCAGAAGGGTCACTTGAGCCTAGGAGTTTGAGTCTGTGGTGTGGTATGATCACACCTTTGAATAGTTGCTGCACTCCAGCCTGGGCAACATAGTGAGACCTTGTCTCCAAAAGATACAATAAAATAAAACTTAAAAAGTGAACAGAAAAAGCTAAAAACAACTGTTTTTTTTAAAGATTTGCACTTTGAATTTACAAAGATGGGTATTCAGGATCTGTCATACTTGGTAAAGATTTAAAAACAGGCCTGAAGCAAAGAAACAATATGAAATAGAAAGTGTCCGATGCAATGTGAATGAATAAAGGGTAAAAGGGCAGTTATGATGCAGATGATCATCGTGGATTAAATTTTAATTTGGGATTTTGTAATTAAGGGATTAATTTCTTAATTAATAGACAGGCTTCGCAGGGTCCCTGAATATCTTGAAGTTACAAGCTAATTTCTCTCTGTATATAGGGAGAAAACCTACTGTCTTTCTCAGATACTCAAAGGATTCTGTGATCCAGCCATGGCTCCCCCTCTTTTTGAAAGTTAACCACAAGATTAAATAGATAGCTTAATCCAGGGCATTTCCAACTCCTGCTTATCTCAGACACTATTCTTGCTGAAACATTCACTCTGAGTCACTTGGTTAAAAGCCCATAAGGATCTACTTAGAGCTAAATATCCCTAGAGAATCCCCAGAAATACAAATTCCCAGGAAAATCCAACAAGTCAATAATAGAAAATAGAAACTGATTTAATACAGTATATTTTTGGGCCAATATCTCATTCACTCAGACCACAGTTTCTCAGAAATCAGTGCTGAGCAAACAGATCATTTGTTGCACCTCCCTGTTCCCCTGCCACAGAGATGCAGGTCACAAATCTCACAAGACGAGAAAGGAAAGAACTTCTGCATTTGTTAGCTTCTAACATTAAGGTACTAGACATTTCAAGAATGGCCCGAGGTCACCTAGTCAGCATGTGGTGCAGAGGGGATGTGAATCTCAGCCTGCGTGGATCTTAGTGGCCTTTCACTTCTCTCCTACCTCTTTGGTCCACCCGACATGCCTCCTTGGAGTTCAATGATTTAGTCAGTCCACTCCATCTGAACCATTTCCCAAAGCTGCTCGTTAGACTGAGGGCACATTTCTCATGCCAAGCTCTTTCTATTCCTTAATTCGGGTACATTTCCAATTTATTACCCCCATGGCGTAGTAGAAAGGGTACAATGCTGATAATCAGGACTCCTGGAATCGAGCCGCTACTCTTCTCTAAACAGAATGTGCAACCTTGCAAAAGGCAAGTATCAATCTGAGTGTCCAATAACCAGGGAGGGGGGTAGATTATATGATCTTGAAAGTTGAGATATAATAATATATGATTCTATTATTCCTTGGCATAAACATGTTTCTAGGGCAAATGATTTGATCATGTTACTAGGTTATTAGATCCATGTCCTTATTCAGGGAAATATCTATTATGCCCACAACAGTGTTGTCTATAACTCTGATTATTTGGACACCACCCAAATGTATTGAATTTGATTTTTCCAAGGTGTAGCACATTGTCAAGTCCAAACAGACCATTAAATGTCTTTTAATTGGCTGATTCATTGAACACCACTGCAATATCCTTTCCTTATGTAGGCCTGGGAAAAGTCATGAAGTGACATTTGGAAGTGAGGGCCTAAGCGGGCAGTGGGTAATTTAAGGCAGGAAGCTTTGGACCGGAGAGAACCCTGGCTAAGAAGAAGCCGCAGCCTCTAGGGGCTCATCTCCCTGTTTGTAAAACAGCACTAATACCCTGGGCCTATTGTAAAGATGCAGTGAGATGCCTTCTGCTTGCTAAAAAGGTATAGAACAATCTCAAAGCTTTATCAATGTAACTACAAGGTATCTGTTTGGGAAATGGCATATTTGACCACACTGGCCTTCAGCCAACCCAGTTTCATAGAAACACTTTGCTACCTTAGTACAGCACATGTTAACCTGCTAGAACTGCAGGGACTACTTCTCCTAATGAGACACTCTTGCAAAGATTCTCAGGCTCCTTTTAATTATGTTATTTTACAGAAACTCTGCTGATCCTTCTGCTTTCCTACTTCTGAGGTAGGAAAGGGCAGAGATTTATCAACCACAGAGTATGGCTGGAGGCAGTGGTGACATGTTTGTGTGGCCTTTCTCCGGTCACCAGTGAGTCACAGTGGCATCGGCTTCCTATCAGGGTCTGTGACATACAGGGCAATGTCCGTCATTCCAGTGAGACTCCTTGCAGGTGAATGGCCTTCCAAATTTTTCAGAAAAGCATTTTTTTTCAAGCATTTTTTTTTCTGTTCTTGATTTTGAGATGTTAGGCCGACAGTGATTGACAGAAACTGACCCAGGTAAGACATACAAACTGCTTTAAAGGCGGAAAAGTTTGCTAGAAAGCTATTGCATGAAGATGGTTTTATGAACAGGAGACTTGGTAACATTTCCTCGGTCTCTCAAGTTTCACAAAAGTGCACTATCATCTCATCTGTCTGGAGATTTCTATTAGGATTTTTGAAAACTTGACCTGAGCTTGTGTGTGCTTGTATATGAGGTAGTAGATGGAAGTGGGGTGTGTCTTTTTGCCTTTGAATCTGGCCCAACTGTTCTAGTGCAGCCAGGTGTAAGCTATAAACCAGTGGCATTAGGATATGAGAGTATCTTGCCCTGAGAATCTTTATCTTCATCCCCCTGATCACACTGGGGGCTACTGTGAGCCCAGTCCCAGTGTATTTCTGAGCAGCTGCAGCAGGCCAGGCACAACTGAAGGTTAACCCCGCTTGCCTCTAGGGTCTGGCCATCCCGGGCTGCACGGGGCTTCAGTGGCCTTCCTGCAGTTCTCTTCCCAAGGAGGCTCAGCCTGTTCTGGTTTTGCTAAGAGACCCTGGATGCGTCTATTTGCCTCGTTGGTATCTACCCTCCCCTCCCTTCCTTGACCCATGCAGCCAAGATTCAGGACTTCAAAGACATCCTTCCTTCCTGCAGCCCGACAGGTTAAAGATTTGTTCCCAAGTCTCCTGAAGAGCTGCGTCAGATTGCAAATCACTGGCCAGTTCCAGAAAGCTGCTCCCAAGTGTTTCAGGGCAGCTCTTAGACCAGTGCACCCTCGTGGTAAGAGAGGTGACAGAACAAAGCCAGAATTGCTTTTCATTTCTGGAAACACTAGTCTTTCATGTCAGAGTTTAGGTTACTTAATCTTTTCGTGCCGGGAATAAGATTTCCCTAGTGTGACATCTGCTGATAGCAATGGACAGTCCATGATTTCCAGCGCCAAGAAATTAATACTCTAATCTGCATAATCAAATCCCCAGGTAAGCATCACCATTCCTTTCTCAGTACTTTCTGTCCCTTGCATTTCCAAATCCTTCTATTTATCCAAAACTCAGAATGAAAATGTAGTGCTTAATAACAATTTTTACTAGGGGAGTTTTTAGGTTACTATGATAGACATTTACTGCACAAAATTTACTAAATTCAGGATAATCAGGTTTTCTTATGTGTTTGAAATATGATAAAAATATATATCGCCTGAATGTTTCATGCTACAGGGTGCATTTTGTGAATTTACACTTCAATCACTTAGTCTACTGCAATATAATGTTGATTTATGTTCAGGGTTTGAACCTCTATTCAATGTTGAAATCCTTAAAACAAACTTTAGACACAGAGGGCTCTTCACTTTTCCATTAGACTTCTTAATCCAGTTTAACTATATCCTTCTTCAGTTAAAAAGCTAGAAAGAAGTGTTGTTGAAGGTCACAGTGACAGAAATTTCAGCCAGCATGACACTCCTGGAGGTTATTGTTTTCCTACAGAGCTGGATGAGTTAATCTGGTATTGTTGCAAGAGGTTGGGAAGGCCAAACAAGGCCGAATCAGGGTAAGACAATTTTATAGTCTTACAGCTATAATTAAATCCAGGACCTGGGATCAATGTAAATATAAATCCCAGTATTAGTCCTGAATTTAGTTCACAAATTGCTTTTTGGAAACTGTTACCCTAGCAAACTCCTATTTATTCTTCAAAGTCAAGGTTAGCTGTGACCACACCCTAGAAGGCTTTCCTGACACCCAGAATAGTGTTTGTCACTTTTTCCTCTGAGGACCTTGGATGGTATATGTTTCTGTTGCATTTACTACTCTACTGCACAACTGTTTGTTTATATTATCTATCTCCTTATTAAATGATGACCTTTTTAAGTCTGAAACTGTGTCTAAACTATCTCTGTGTCCTCAGGAGCTAGTACACTACCAAGGACATAGTGCTCAATGAATTTTTGTTGAAATAATGAATAAAGCAATATATTCTGGCTGTCCCATGAATATGATTGTGCAGCATAGTGCCCAGGTGTTCTGAGCACATGCACCAAGTTTTAAATTAAACTGCCACCACTTTCAGGGCAGAGAAAGAAAAGCAGGTTGCAGGCCAATTCTGGTCCATGGTTGCCTTATTGGGTTTCCTCAGTGTCATTAAATAGCTGAACTAGGTGTTAGCCAACATTTAAAATTTGAGAGACTACATGCAAAAGTCTGCATTTCTAGCTTCTTACAATTTTCAAAGCTATGGCGACATCTAGCTAGCATTTCCATGGGGCCTAACTGGCTGGGGCTGGCTGCAGGGCACACAACTTCCTTTCCTGCTTCCTTCACCTGGCTTAGCCCCTTAAGGCATCTGATCTCCGAGCATGAGAGTTTTCATTGTTTTGGTGAGAGGATGGTTTATGTAAAGCCAGCCACATAGTAATACAGATTGACACATATGATGGGAAGTCAGCCATGTGCTCTTGAAAGCAATTAATACCTATTAATACAATTAATACATATATCTAATTTTAGGAGGATATGAAGAATAGAAATTTAGGTGCCTTCCATTAAGTTACTTAAAATTTAAGAGGGAGTAGAATGGGGAGATAAAAACCCATGAAACAATATGGAAACATCAGTCCCCCTGACCAAAGGCACATTCATATAATACAATCTCTACAGCTTACGGAGCCAACAATTCCAAGACAGAACCTATGTCTGCAGTCTCACTGGCCACAGGAAGAAATAAAACAAAACAAATAACAACAAAACACCTGAAACTCATTTAAAAGGAGAGATAATTTCCCCTAATTATCCTGACCCATCTAAACATAATATTTCAAAGCTTGCCTTCTTCACTTTAAATACACAGCACCCTAAGCACTGCTCTCACTCCCTTCTGCTCTTCCCTCCCTTGGAGCCACTTCATTTGTGAAACCACCTCCCTGTACCTCTGTTACAAGCATTTCCATTTGCCTGGTTTCACGTAATCCTTAGTTCACTCAGCATTTATTGAGGCTCACGTGTATTCCAGTTGTGTACTAGGAGGATTCAAAGGTCAAAACAAGGTTTTTGTCCCTAAGAAAATAAAGGCCAAATCAAGCAAGAAAAGAGTAGGAATCCTACCTTGATTTCCTTATAACAGACCACATACACCTTACGTGATAATGCTGACTATAAGCTGATGGGAACACAACATTTAGTCATGATGCATGGACTGGTAAGCTCTGGGTCTTGTTCAAAGAAAAAAAACACACCCCTCAATTGCTTTGGGAATGAAGAGCAAAGGTATGCAAAAAGAATTGTAGCATACTTACAAAGTAACATATCAATGCTGCCAGGACTTAGTGAGCAAGGTGTGAGTAGGAGATTGAGTGGGGCAGGGAGTTGTGATCTTATTCCAGGAGTACCTCCAAAGCATATGAATTTAGAAACCAGATTGTGAGGAAGAGAATTTCTCATGCCTTTGCACAGTGTATTCTTTCTGGATGGCATTTATACTTTCTCTTGTCCACCTGGAGTCACATGGAGGCATGGCTTCCTCTGCTGGGCCTTCCCCAGGGCCCTCTGCAAGCGGAGCTAGGATTCCACTTGCCCCACGCCTGTCTCTGCTCAGCTGCTATAGCTTCCCACATGCCTTTTAGAACATCATTTCCCTTTCAGGCTTAATTGTAGACCACAGGCCCTTGAGCAAATGCATTTTGCCATGGACTCCTCAGCACTGACATTACTTTGGGTGCTCCCAATTTGGTAATCGAATGAAGAGGAGTGGCAGGGGTGGGGTGGGCAGGAGTAGAGTAGCATTTTGAACAGAAAAATGACATACAAAGTGGAACAGTTGAAGGAAAACCTATGTCATGCTCTGTGGAGTGAAAGTATTTCTGCTTGGCTGAAGTAAAGAATTTGTGTCAGGAAAAAAAGAAAAATGAGGCTGTTGAAGTGTGAAGCAAGTCTATAGAGGGTCTTGGGCATATTATGAAGAGGGAAAAATCACATCTTGCCATAACCCTGATGATTCTTTCTTGTCTTTTGTATAGCTCTTACTTGATCCCAAACCAACCTCACGTGTTACATCTCATCATCGAAAGCCTTGCTCTGCAGGAACTGTGTGATTTTTCAAAGTGTCCCTTACCTCTCAAAGGGGCCACTTTCTGCACGTCTGGCAGGTTAATATCCTTTCCAGTGCTTAGTGCATGACACAGAATACCTGCTGCACATTCTCCATATGTTTTCATGTCTGGCCAGTGCCCATAATGAAACCACCAATGTCCTGTAACCATGCAGGATGACAGGCTCACCACCAGTGGATACTCTGCCATCTGAGCCCTGGTGTTACTCAGCATCCCTGAAGCATCACTGGCTGCTCCTCCTGTCACCCTGTGGGTGTTTCTAAATTAGATATCAGGTTTGTAGGGCAGGACTGGAGGCGCCTCCATGGCTGGTCCACACAAACAGCCAAGGGGCAGAGTTCATCCATTCCAGAAACTCATAAGGTGAACTTATATCCCAACAGCGTGGGAAGCCAGGTAGATGCTTCAAACTTGTGTGGATGTTCTTGCCTCTTCTCCCAACTCCTTCTTAGTTTGTGTCTCAAGAGAGGCCAGAATCGATCAGAATGAAAAGCTTCCATCACAGAAACTCAAGAACCACAGTTCCATTCTTTACCTTCTTCTTTACTCACTCACCTACCCCTCCCTTATTGCTCTCACCACAGGCTACCTGCTTAACTAGTCTTTTTTCTTTTCATCTTTTTGTCTCACTTCAACTACATATATGTGAAAGAACCCCAAAGGCAGATGTTTTGAAAAAGCAAAATACATACATTTAAAAGTGTATAATGGTTGGGTGCAATGGCTTATGACTGTAATCCCAGCACTTTAGGGGGCTGAGGCAGGTGGATCACAAGGTCAGGAGATCAAGACCATCCTGGCTAACACAGTGAAACCCCATCTCTACTAAAAATACAAAAAATTAGCCAGGCATGGTGGCGGGCGCCTGTAGTCCCAGCTACTCGGGAGGCTGAGGCAGGAGAATGGCGTGAACCCGGGAGGCAAAGCTTGCATAGACCACTGATACTACATGAACTCCAGTATGGGGAAAGTTCACTGAGGACTGCTGAGGCCCTGGCTGGCCCCTTGCTGGGACAGCTGTTTCTTATATGTTATTTTCCTTTATTTCACAGCTGGATCTCACAGTGGGATGCTTGGCTTGTGGACAGGTGGAAAGGAAAGTGTGCAGTGTCTTGCCAGATCAGACTCATGGATAGATTTACACTGAAAATAAAGACTAAGAGAAAAAAAAAGCGGAACAAGTAGAATGTAAAAGCCCTCTCATCTTACTGGAAATAATGATATAAAACACTAGCAAAAACAAAAAGTCCGCATTCTAAGAAGTAACAGCAAATTTTTGCACCTTGGTTCTAAGCTGTCAGATCCTCCACTGTTGATGTGAATCATCTACCCTATAAAATTCTTTTCTTCCTAACTTGGCCTAAGGATATCAGTAGTAGGACTTTTTGAAATATCAGATGAAAAAGAAAAGAAAACATTGTCTTAATCTAAGAATACGAGAATAATGTCCCATCAGGATAATGGTTACACAGGTATCCCAAACAAGTAAAAGACAGAACACATAGGAAGGGGAAAATCTTAGATGCCGCATTTCAGAAATGTGTAAAGATGGTAGGCTCCTTATTGGGATTGTACTGCAGAAGCCCTCTGATCTGACTCAATCCTAGGTGAGCCAGTTAATTCAAATGTCACCTAGAATAGGGAATCAGAAAATTTGTCCTCTTACTCATTTATGTTCCACGCAGAGGGAGCACCAATTGGAGGCGAAAGGGGGGACTTAATTTCAACAGATTTTCAGGTTTAAATCCTTGGTCTGTCAAATACCTGCTACAGGACTTAGCCTGTCTATGCCAAAGTATCCCCATTGGTAAAACGGGTGCAATGATAGGTCCTACCCCATGGGACTGTGATAAAGATGAAATTGGTGAGTGCTGTAAAGTTTGTAGAATAGAGTCTGACACATGGTAAGCACTACTATGTATTTGGTAAGTGACATTTTTGGTAGGGCCAAGGCTGCTTCTTTGCTTAGAGATCTTTTTGTTGGAATCTTCCATTATCTTTTTTTTTTTAATTTGGCATCAACACACACTTTATACATTGTCTATGATTCCTAATTTTTGTTTTCCTTAACAATGGTACAGGAACTTAAAGGCATTTGAGGAGCAGTTTGCATGCAGAATTGTTCCACATTTAATACAATTTCTGGTCTCCCACAATTTATTTTTATAGTTAGACAACTATATTTAATGTGATCACAAATACTACTTTAGCAGACCTACTAAGTTACAAAAATAACTCATTCTTGGCAAGTATTCAGCTCAACTGGTAAGACAAATAAGTGTACATGGTAGAGAGCTCTTTACTAGCTGCCAACATTCATTAAGTTGAGGGCATTGTTCAGTGTGATTTGAAAGGGGGAATGCTGAGCATCAGTGAATCCAGACAAGTAGGTTCAAATGAGCTTAGTTAGGAGATTCCAGTCTCTGTAAGAACATTACTTTTGGATTTTGTTTGCTATCCCGCCATCTCAATTCCTTGGAATTTAGTTCCAATGTTGATTTTAATATGGAGGGGGGTCTTGTTAATCTGATTTATTGCCACCCATAGTCCCAGAGATATCATTCTAGAAAATGAAATCAATAGAGAAGTTTGTTGTCAATCTTAAGATTTTAATTTCAGCTTAGGCCTTTCTTATTTCCATCATGGACCTGGCTCCCTTTGTAAGTTTACCAGAATCTGTCAACTAATCCTCAGAGCACTCCCTTTCTGTCTCTCCCACATAAGAATTTGCTAAATGATATCCATATAACCTCTTATTCTGTATTTTTAAGGGACAAAGAATTGGCTGTTTCTTATAAGTTATTTTCCTTTATACTATTTATAATTTGTCTACCTAAATCACAATGTGTTCATAACTCTTCTTTCTGTATTTCTTTTCAGGTAGCAACTTTGGAATATAGAGAATCATTAGGCTGTATTCAACAAATAATAACTAATGCAGCCTTCTAAGAAGTGCAAAAAAACTACTTAGAAATCTGCTATAATGAATCCAAAGACCATGGGCAGCAGCTATAGGGTCAATAATATTTGGAACCAGGGACACACTGGTGGATTTGCTGCCCCCACCCACCACATCCTCAGACATACTGGGCTGGAACACATGACTGTGTAGTGCCTCAACATTCATGTAAGACAGGAAAACTTCAAAAGAGGTGGGAGCACAAACCTCTCTTAAGTTTATGCAAAATAACTCTCCAGAACAATGAATTATTATTTGTTCATTATTCCACTCAACGCATAATGACTGAGCATCCATAGGTGTAAAGCAAGTTTGGAATGATTGTATTTTAGCTCCACTGTATATATTTTGTTTCTCAAACCCTAAAGTACTATCAGAAAATGAAAAGCCATGAGTGAAATAATTAACACACCATCTGAAAAGCCAGTCATGTCCTCTGTCTTGGATTATGAGCTCCAAGATGTTAAGAGGGCAGGTATCACACTTTATATCATTATTCTTCACAGAACTATTAACAGCCCATCTTTTATAAATATTATTTAAATTAGAATGGCTCCTGGAGGGAGTACTATTTGGGGAGAAATATGAAGTGTGTTGGCTGAAAACACCTAATGAATAAACACTGATGTCTATTGTTAGCATACACATCATCCCCTGATCTCTGAGTATGAATTTAAGAAATTTGTGACAGCCAATGAAAATGCTTATATACCCATAGCACGTGTGTTTACCATGCAAATAAATGATCACAATTCATAAACAGGGACTGTAGAGTCTTAAACACTACTTCAGAAAGGCCTCAAGTTACAACAGGCAGAACAGAAAAAAAATCAGGAACATGCAACAGCTTTTAAAAGTAATTCTAATATTGAATCTTGATGATGAGATTGCAAAAGAAACACAATTTTTTATAAATGCAAGATCCCCTATGACAAATATTTACGGTGGTCAGGAACAGAAAACAGAATAGAGATAGATGACTTCGCTCCCACCCCACAAAATTTTTGAGTCATAAATTATGAATTATGTTCAAACATATAAGGCAGAGAGGAAATTAATTTAGGAGATGAGATCTATTTTATAATTCAGAGAGCTGTTTTATTTTAATTTGGGGGGCAAATTACATTTTGATGTTCAGCTTACCGAACATCTTTCTTTCTCTGAAATGAATTACAATTTCCCGTTATTTCTCTGAGGAGTCCTAAGATTTTTATTCCAAAATTCAGAGGGTAAATTAGCAACACAGTCTGGATCATTTGGAAAAATACCGTCCAGCAGAGCTTTCCACAATGATGATAATGTTGTCCACGTGTGCTGTCTACTAAGGTAGTCCCTGGCCACATGTGGCTTTTGATGACTGGAAATGTGGCTAGTTGGACATAGAAACTTAATTTTAATTTAATTTAAATTTTTAAAATTAAAATTTAAATAGCCCTACATGGCTAGTGGTTATAGTGCTGGACAGTATCATCCAGATGACCACAGGATGGACAAGGACCTTCCTCTCAGCCAATTAGACCACGCAGTGGTGGGCCGCCCTTTGCACATTGCACACTGCCCCTGTGAAACCTCGATGCAGTCTTTGACAGCTTAGCCTCAGAAGGGCTTGGGGGCAAAGCTCATGGGAGCTTGTTTAAGCAAATATACACATTAATAGGATCACAAAGATCGGAAACAGCAAAGGTCAGCCCTGCAGACCCCTCTCCCCATTCATATGTTTCCCTGCAGTGGGACATATTCTCTAGTGCTTTGTCAGGAACAGCTTCAAATCGACTCAAATGGCTTGACTTTCCACAGCTTTCCATGTTATGAAGGCAAGTAAAAAAAAATAGTTCAGTGAGAGCACTTAGAAAAAGACAACCTGTAAAAATACTGAGATAGAAACAGGAGACGTTCTGTTATAAGAAGGAACTCTGCATAGAGAGAGATATAAAAGAAAAACAAACCCCACATGTATTTTTGATCATAAAGAGTTTGAAATAAAAAAAATGTGCTTTGGCACTACATAAAATTCTTCCTTGATTATCACAGTATGCAAGATTACTAATGCTGGTCCCCAAAGCAATCAATTATTTCCTAACTCCTTTCCATGGTTCCATTTAGTTTACTACAGAACATCTTCTGATTGTCCCTTTTGCCTGTTTATTATTTGTTAGTGCATTTCCTTATCTGCATGTAGCTTTAAAAAGTCAAGAACTTCAGACACCTTCAAATTTAATGACATAACTTGAGAAAGGAAAGAATTGGGATTCTGATGCAATATGCCTTGCTCATGAAGATGTTGCTAACTTCTGAACTTAAGTAACTTCCTGTCAATAGCATTTCAGTAGCAAAGATTGTTTTCCAGATAAACACATACCTGGAGGAGCAGATCAGAAGTGGGTCTGACTCGCTGTTGGAATAGGATGCTTAGTGTTCGATTCTGCTGTTCCAAATCAAACACTCTTGTTTTCAACTTCACACATTCCTCTCTTAGATCCTACAACAAACACATCGAAGGAGGAAAAAGTCCATAACTGAAAGATGTCTTTGCATATTATAACCATATTTTATATATCTCAGATCATTAGTAAAAAACGGTATTTTTATTCTTCAAAGCCCCCAGAAGTAAATCACATACGTTTTCGTCCACAGACCATTGTCTGATAGA
Organism: Homo sapiens; assembly: GCF_000001405.40. Taxonomy (NCBI): domain Eukaryota; kingdom Metazoa; phylum Chordata; class Mammalia; order Primates; family Hominidae; genus Homo; species Homo sapiens. The sequence goes on from NC_000002.12 coordinate 132,860,783, forward strand.
ATTATTATGTGCAAAGAAGACCAATTTTTTTTAAAAAAGCACCTTGAAATCAGAAATGCATTAATCTAGCATGCTATTTTTGAAGACAGTAAATCTTAGCGATATGAAGTCAATTTAAGTTTCCGCCTATATATTTTGCCTTTTCACTGTCTTTATAAAAGCAATCATAGAGCACAAACCACAAGGACAACAACAGTGTTTCTGCAGGGAATAGAGATTTGATGAGCTAAAGAAACTATCATTTCTGATGGAGTTTTTCATTGTCATTTGTGAAAACAAGTTGAAATTCTCGGTGATGGGGCTAATAGAGTCAGTGATGCATTTAGCGGGAGAGAAATAGCTCCGAAGAGATGGCTTTTAAAAGGCCACTTGCCACTTGCCCATCCTCTGAACTCATGGATTTCCATACCTTCTGGGGCTTTCTGGTCTCAGTGCTGGGTAAGAAGCACACTTAGCCCATTCTGGCATCTGTTTGGAGCAGCTCTTTTGAATAGTTCAAACACCACAGAGACCTTTTCCCCAGCTCATGGAGGAAGCTGATGTACTAGAACTGCCTTCCAAACTGACTGCAATAAAGGAACTTGCGGTACTTAAATATCTATGCCCTTTTTGATGGAATTCAAGGCAGACGCAGTAGAATAAAACCCAAATTCAAGGTTCTTCAAAAGCTGACCCTTTTCTGCATTTCAAACTATCTTTCACTACTTCCTGATGTTAATAAAAAAAAAAATGTCTTCTGTTCTCACCAAGCAGAGAACAAAGGTCTGGCGTGTTGTTCTCTAAAGCTCTACGCATTCCTTCTACCTTCTTCTCTTTTCCTTCCACTGCCACTTTTCCTTCTTATCCACCTTCTTCTTTCAGCCCATATTTGGCTCTTTGATTGAAGTACAGTTCAAACTTTATCACCTCTCTGACCTTTTACCTGGCATCCCTCAATACCTGCTCCATTTTCTGAACTCCCATCAGCCCTCAATGCCTCCTTTGTGACGGTTAGCATATATTACTCTGTATTCATTTTATCGTTTGTGCTCTAGACTTGTCAATTACACGACACATTTTTCACCAGACAAGCTCAAGAAGATACTGAAATAACCACACCAGCATATTGCTCTTACATTGTTTTTATTCCATCACCTAGCACAATGCCACACATAGTAGGAGCTTAATAAGTGCTCACAATTATTTTGCTAAAGGGGATGATGATGGCAAATTCTATTCACTAGTGATTGGTGTGATAAAGAGCGTTTAAGTTTCTCAACACTTCTACTTCAAAGATTTATGTATTCTGATGTGGGGCAGCTACCTATTGGGCTTAAGGCTCTGCAAGCAAGGGAGAGCCCAAGCCACAGTTCTGATGCCTAGGGCCTAAATAGGAGTCACAGAGTTACCTGGGCCTGCCATAACCTTGTATGAATCTAATGGTGAAGTTAGATCTCGCTAGTAAAGCCTTCTCTGAGGCTTGATGAGCATGCATCATCTTATCCAGTAGTATTAATTCTATTAAAGGGGGCAAAGAAACAGGCCAAGGTATAGCCCACTACAGTTTCAACTCTCCTTGCCTTTTTTAGTTAAATGGGTAAAGCTTATGTATAGGGTGTTTTCAACTGATCGGTGCCTACAAATGGAGAGCAGAGAAAAGAAATGTCATGTTCAGAATGACGTGCAAGAGTGCAAGATCCAGCAGGGCAGGATCACGAGTGCACATTTTGTACTCATGAGCACACATGCCATTTGGCAGAGGCCATTGTGAGGACCCACTCACTGCTCAAATTAAAAGGTGCAACTTCAGCCTGGCCAACATGGCAAAACCCCATCTTTACTAAAACTACAAAAATTAGGCAAGTGTGCACGCCTGTAGTCCCAGCTACTCGGGAGGCTGATGCACAAGAATCACTTGAACCCAGGAGGCAAAGATTGCCGTCAGCCGAGATCGTGCCACTGCTTTCCAGCCTGGGCAACAAAGTCTCAAAAAAACCCAGTCTCAAAAAAAAAAAAACCAAAAAAAAACAAAGGTGAAACTTTCTTTATTTTTATTTATTTTATTTTATTTTATTTTGAGACAGAGTTTCACTCTTGTTGTCCAGGCTGGAGTGCAGTGGCGCGATCTTGGTGCACTGCAACCTCCACCTCCCGGGTTCAGGCGATTCTTCTACCTCAGCCTCCTGAGTAGCTGGGACTACAGGCATGTGCCACCACGCCTGGCTAATTTTTGTATTTTTAGTAGAGACAGGGTTTCACCATATTGGCCAGGCTGGTCTCGAACTCCTGATCTCGTGATCCACCCACCTTGGCCTCCCAAAGTGCTGGGATTACAGGCATGAACCACCATGCCCGGCAAAACTTGCTTTCTTTATTTAGAATTCAACCTCTGTCTGTGTCTCATGCTGATTTTTGTTCTTAGCATGTATATAACACTCTCTGCTCCCAAACACTAATTGTTTTTAGTACTGCTAATTAAGTAGTTAATAAGACTTGACTGTGAGGCAGATAAATATTAATAGTACCTATTGGATGGGAAAACACAATCATCCTCATTTGCAACATAGAGATATGGAAACGGAAGCATACAGTGTGGATATGCAAGTAAAAGGGGACCTGAAAGCAATAGTAACCACGATTTTTAGCAGCAAAACTGAGAATACCTTGAAAGAGTTCTTCAGATGGGTAAAAAAAAAAAAAAAAGAAAAAGAAAGAATGAAAGAAAAAAATCAATATACTTTATAGAGAGTCTTTACACAAGTGCCCAAATTTCAAAGGCCATTAGTATTACTTAAGGTATGGTAAAAGTTCATTAGTGGGAACACAATTTATCGACCCTGAGAACTCTCTGTTCATCACTATTGGCACATCCAGCTCAGCACACAGCAGCAGGGAAGACAGAGGCTTTAGGGTTGTGACACTGATCTGATGGCCATTGACAAACAGAAATGAGCTGCTCTGAAAATCTGTAGATAGGAAAGAATCGCTTGCGTTGTTTTTAATATTCTTATTTTCTTCAGACAAGCTGTGGATCACCAGTAACTGATGCCAGAGAGTTGCCTTCCCAAGAAACTGTAAACAAAAACACCCATGTGCCCATGTACACACTCATAAACACAATCAGAATGGATATATATAAACAACTGTTTTGCTAACCACTATTGTAGTACCTGGATGGAGGGGGCAGATGGCTGTCTTAGCTTCCTCTATGCTCCCAACAGGAACACTTTGACATAAAGGAATGCATGACTGCATGATACATTTAGGCTGGATGCAAGAGCAGCTACTCTGACCCTGCCAGTTCAGAGGCAAGACCCAGAACAGCCTCCCCAAGGAAGGCTTTAGAAACAAAAGAACTCTCCTCTGGATAGGTGCCATAGTCTGGGATCATGGCTCAAGGGAGAGGCTGTACTATGTATCCTCTCTCATAATCCTTCTTTTTCTTCTATGACTTCCTGGCATGTATCAGACCTCAAGAAAGAACCTCACTGAAAATATAAGATTGTGTCTTCAGATAAGAAAATGGGGACATAACATAAATATTTATCATGGAGGAATAATGCCAAAGATTTGACTACATTTAATATCATGAAAAAAAAAAAGGTACAGTGGTGTTTGGGTTCAAGAAAATACTCAGACCTGTTTTCCTTGCACTCTTCATGTTACTATCAATTGGAAACAGAGACTTAAGAGATTACAGCTGAGCAATGTGATACACTGGTCTAATGGGCTCCTGTGCATCTTAATGATCCCAAACCATAATTTCTCTGGAGGATCCACACACTGTAATCCTGATAAATTCCCCCTGTGCTTGGGCTAAAGATGATTCTAGACTCACTGCTATATAGTACCTATAGGAGTACAGTTACTTTATGTATTGAAGAGTAAAATTGTTATCAGCTCTAGGCTGAAGTACATTTTTTAAAATGCTGATTGCTTAGAAGCAGGACATACACTAACATGATCGCTGGTGTGTCATTGAAAACTATTTAAATCTGATTTTACCAAGTAAAAATGACATGATAGTGGTATACCTATTTCAGAGGCAGTGTCTATCATGGGAATACATGGAATTGGGGCTTAGAGGGCCTGGGCTCTAGTCTTCATTGTCCACAGGGCCTTGAAGTGATTGCTTCTGATTAGGTCTCAGTTTCCTCATCTGTAAACCAAGGCACTGCACAAAATTGGGCTTCTGTTCAAAACACTGTATCTCTCACTAGCTTCATGGGATGTCTTTTCGAGTGCTGCTTTGTTCCCTCCCTGAAGCCTAATGGCCACCAAAACCACCAGCCTCTTTTGTCATACCCTTTCTTGGTGGCTTTCACTGATACATCCTTATCTCTGCCCCAAATGCTAAGACTTTTGTAACATGAAAAGCCACTTCTGGAAAAGGCTGGTCACATCTCAGACTGATCCAGGGCTTCAACATCGAATACTAAAAGGCAAGACAGGTGACATAAAAGTCTGACTGAACCAGGATACTGCACAGGAAGTAGTGAGTCCTGTGGCAAAATACATACTGCAAGTCTCCACCCTAAAAGCCTTCGGATTAAACCACTTATAATGAGGGCAATGGCTAAACAGTTCACGTAACTACAGTCACTTGAGCCCATTACCAAAGCTAGTTGACAATCTCAGGATTAAATACTCACCAAGGCTCCTGGAAATTGGGGAATTTGGGAGTTAAAAATAAGATTGATTTTGAGAAAGCTTGACCCCAAATATATAGAGTCAGTTTTACTCCACAGCTATCAAACTCTAAATGCTCTTCCTGCTACAGAAGATAAGCAATACTTCCAGAAGTTTTAGGAAGTCCTGTGGCTACCCTGCCTTTTATTTTATTCCCTGTGATCATAACCAGCCGTTGGATTTCAATCCTTCTTTTGATTTTCATGGTATCTCTCTCTGTCCTACTGAACTATGGGGGAGAAAAACAAGTGACAGAATGGGATTGTGGAGGAAGAATGAGGGAGTGGGTCAGAGCGTGGGGTTTACAGTGCAACAGCCATAATTAAAGCAAGGGCTCTGCCACTGCCTGGCAGTTGAAACTATGAGCAAACTTTTTTTTTAGTCCTACCTCACGGGGCTGCCTTGAGAACAAAACGACTTTGTGGATTTAAAGTGCTGCATGTGGGGTCTGAAGGCTTGTAAATGCCTGCTAAATATAAACAGCCACCTGATACCACACAGACCACTGCTAGAGAAGTGGACACGGATGGTTCAATTGCCCCTTTACAGGGGAAATAGGAATTTGGAGTTTTCTCAGGTACAAGCTATAAAATTGTTTTCTGTTTCTGCCTGAATGGCTGGATTCTACCATACCCAGCTTTATTCCATGTCGGTGAAGAAAACACATCATCGAAATATGTGTTTCCTCCAAAGAACATGCAGATAAGCCTGAGACTGTTCATATGAACGAAAATAACTGCAGAGAAAATGCCTTTCTTCCGTGTTTTGTTTAGTGGCAAACAAGCAAACAAACAAAAAACAAACCCAAAACACTGAAGAACCTAGGTGAGTTACATTTTCTGCAAATGTAATTGACTTAATGAAGATAAAATATATTTCAGATAACAATATGAATTTAACCTGAATTACTGATTTAATTCGCACTTGTAGACTTGGACCCATGATTTGGAGGCATCAAAGGAAGAAAAGTTGGGTTTAATATGATCACTTTTGTATTGTTGTTCTAAAGGGGTACAGTCCATTCTCCTAAGGGAATCCACAGGTTTTTGAGATAAACTAAATTACTTGACGAGGTACACTGAACAGAAACTGCTAAGTTCATGGAAATAATTTTTTTTTTCTATCAGTATCAGTAGACTCTGTTACTTCAGGATACTTGTCTGGGCCAATTCATGATATGCCATGAAAAATGTATTTCTGGCTGCCCAGTGAAGAGCTGAAGCCACAGCAGATTTGCCTTTGTGTCATAACTAATGGCATATTCTAAAACTGCACAGTAATGCTTATTATTTCACCTCAAGGATCTTCTGGTGACTTAGATAAATCGCTCAAGATTTTTTTCTGTTTTGTCTTTGCTACCTACATTCCTTTTTGGAATTATTTTTCTCATCTGCATTTGGAGTACACTGTATATTTTATATTGTGCTCTTAATTAAAAAGAAATTTTAGTCTTTTTGCAGCAATTTTACAGTGCCCATAAAAACTGGAGGCACACATTTCTGCAGAACATGATTCTTTTGGAATCTCCAAAAGCCCCCAGCATCTCTTTCTGCCTCATAGTGTCCCTGAGGTATGCTATCTCACAGTAGCATGTCTTTCTGTGTCTCACTGCTTAATTGTACCAAGGTAGATTTATCTGTTTACTAGTTATTACTTGGATTTGTGTAGCTATTTTTTTTTTTGTAGCTGACCTGAAGGGTCCCGTTTTCCTTTTTATCGTACCAAATGGCTTCCTTGTCTCTTTCCTGAGGCACCATTAACAAAAGCAGCCATGGGAAGTCTTTCAACAGTTGTACACAGAGCTGCAATAACACTCCCCTCACTCCTTAGGTTTGTAACTAAGTCAGCATAGAGTTTCAAACAGGAGAAAAACAATCGAGAAATTAAAGCCTTAGAAAAAGAAAAAGAATTCAAAAATGTTGAAGCAGCAATTATAATTTGTCCTCCAATATCTATTTCTCACCTTCTTCCAAAGTAATTTCAGCTGGGCACACACCCAGAACAAAGACCTCTTTGCCGGGTTTGTTTGGTGTGGCTGTGTGAGTAAGGTCTGTTCACAGAGATGTATGTAGTAATGTATGAAAGCTTTTGGAAGTGTCCTTTAAAAGACAGCTGCTGTATGCCCTTTATCATCTTCATATTCCTCAGCTTTTATTCCCTTCCTGATGGCTGGAATGTGTGGATGTGATGACTGGAGCTAGCATAGTCCTTTTGGACCATGAAGTGACCTTGAAAATGGGGCCACATTCCATGAAATACAGAGATGGAAGCTAGGGACCCCAAGGACTTTATGGAGCAAAGTTACCATTCCTGTTCGGCCTACCTGTCGGTTTATATGTGAGAAAGAACTAACATTTTAGCTTATTTAACCCACCTCATTATGGATCTCTGTTGCTCACAATGGAACCTAATTCTAACTCTACGTAAGTGTACTCAAATCTATTTATGCATGTTAGTATAAAACTGGAAGCAGTTAAAATTATTTGTAGAAGGAACTGTGACATTTTGACAGAAATAGTAGGCAAGAAAGTCTAGCAAAAGTATCACAATGCCTGTATCATAGAAATTTTAAAGAATATTTAAGTATCTCCATGAGCAGCAGTCAACCCCTAATAAAATTATTTTCAATTAAAAAAATCAAAATGGCATAAATTATTTTGCTGCCATTTATCACATCATCCTGAATATGCTGCAGGATCTAAAAGTTTCTTTTGGAGAAGTCTCTATTTCACAGATAGAAATCAAAGTAAACAAAATCTGAGGGAACTAAAATTTAGCTTCTCAGAAACTTCATGGCCGGAGATGGTAAACATTCCATAAAATTCACTGAAATAGCCAAATTTGGGCAAAATTGACCTGCATTTACTGTCTGCCCCAATAATGTGATCTGATGTTGTCTGCAGGCAGAATGGCAAGGCAGCAAACTCATAGGTATGGAAATTTCAGGCACAGTGGTTACCATTATTTTATATGTACCACAAACTATTGCAGTAACTGTTCTACATGCTTCCTTTTGTAGGGTCACCACAGCAATCCCAGGAAGCGGGAATTGTTATTCCCACATTACAGAAGAGGAACTAGGGCTCAGGGAAATTAAATGACTTCCCTAACTCTTGCTGAATTTTAGACTTTTGTTAATGCTGTCCAAAAGAAGATACTCGTTTTATAGGAATTGGGAGAATTCACCAACTTATTGCAAGTTTGTATTTACTAAATAAAAATGGTGGGTTTGCTACTCATCTGGGTAAATGAAAATCACCTTCAAAAGGCTTTCTATTATTTTACCGAAAGTTTGGATTTTTTATTACAAATTCTATTGGTCACTGATGTTACTTCATATGCCATGTAAAACACAAACGATTTTCACTAAGTGAATAAATACAGAAGTATTGCATCTATCAATCACAATTTCCTAGCTTAACAACATGAGCTCCAATATAGTCACAAAAGTGCCTTGAAAAGAACAAAGTCAGAAAGTGACCTACCTTTTGAGTAAGCAGAGCTTGAACAACTTGGTTGGCTACCTTTAAAAAATAAAGAAAAAGTTGTCATTTATAATAATGAGACTTTATATGCACCGACTCTAATTTACCAATAAGTTTCTCGCAGCTTATTGTAGCTAATTAGCTCCTCATTTGCCTCTTTCCTCTATATGCAGAGATCTGATTATTTTCATAATAAGTCTATCCTTCTAGGTAATATTTTGCTTTCTCCAAAGGTGACCTTGTTGCTAATTAAGATGGTTACACTTAAAAGATCATTCATACCTTGACTTTCACATTTCCATATTTGGAAAAATGATATCCTTTCATATACTCCAAGAAGGCTAAAAAATGATATAGTGCAAAACACAGTCCTAATTATCTGTCCACAGTTTCTACACTTTGCTGATTTACAATATCCTTTGCCTGTCCTTCCTATTCCTTTGCTGTCTATTTCACTGCTTAATATTACTTGCAATAGAGATAGGTTGAATGGTCTAGCATAGGGACAACTCATTGTTTCCTATGTGTCCTGCTTTCATCTTCAATGTTTTTGCTTAAGTCACGCTCTTGTTGTTGCTACCTGTAATATAATCTGGTAGTTGTTTACTACAACATCCATTTTTTCCCTTCTTCCTGAGTAACAAACCCAATCTTTTGGGGCTGGGCACATTCAACTGCATTTCCCAGCCATTCTTGTAGCAAAATGTTGCCATGTGACAAAATTCTGGCCAATAAGACATAAGCAGACTATTCTCTTGGGCTTACAGGAAGTCTCAAAGAAGAAGGGGGCTCACCCTTCGTCTTCCTGACTAGAAATGGAAGTACAGTAATGGCTGGAGCTTCAGCAGCTACCCTGACAACAACAGTCACATATTAAGGATATTTGGACAGAGAAAAGCTTGGTCCTGATGATGTTATGGAGCTGTACTGTCTATTGAATATCTATGTGGTGGAAATAAGGTAGTCACTGTTATTTTGAGTTTCTTCCAGCGAACAACAAAATATAATTCTTAGTAATTTTTTCAGGGATCTCATTTTCTTCAAGTATCAGGCAGCTTGAGACAGCAGAAGAACCTAAATCCCTCCTCAGCCCAAGGCAGTGAATCTTGATTAATCTAAGCCAATCTTGGCAATTCCAGTGATTGGTTTAGGAGTGGGCATATAACACAATTCCAGCTAAGGACCACATGTAAAACCAGTAACATGTTCCTGGTGTTTCAAATACCTGGCATTTTCTCCAGGTAACCATTCGTTATTACTGTATGTATTTGTGTTAAGATTTCTTTTTCATCTGCATATTTCAAAATACTTTGCATAGAGTCACCTACTAAACTTCACTATTACCTTGAAGCTATGTAGCTACATGGCTACTGTTGATAAAATTAAGGTGGACAGGTGAACTAGGTGGTATTTTTCAGCTAATACATACACTGTAAACATTTAATGTGATAACTGAAATTGACAGCATGAAAGACTAAATCAGAATACTTAAATATCCTAGATATAAGGCACTCTGGTTCATTCATTTCTTCCTTCATTTATCCAATATAAATTTTCTGAGTATCTACTTGCAAAGCTAGATGATTGGGCCATGGTCCTTGACTTCAAAGACTCATACCTGGCAGTGAGTTGGCAAAAACACAATTATAACACAGTGTGACAAACATCTAATCATCATGGTAATTCTTACAGTCAACGGGAGACTGAGGGACACTTTTGTGTTATTTTTCTCTTGGTAACATATTTGTTTTTGGTGGTGCCCAACTATTTGTGCTTCTTTCTCTATCTAGTATAGTCGAACAGATTATAGTAAGAATGTTTCCATGGAGCTTAATTGTTTTTTGACTCAATACTGGCAAATAGTACATCCTTCACAACAGCTGGCTACCAGTAAGTCTCATAGAAAATTAAAACACAGGCTGTCATCAACTTTTGATTAGAAGGCAATCACACCACAAGCAGTAAAAGACTAAAATCAGATTATCTGTAATTGATTAGTTAAATTATATGCACAAGAAGGATTTTTTTCCCATCAGAAGTCTTTTCAAAGTTACATTGCAGACATTAAGTAAAAAAGAAAGGCTCTTCATTGAAACTATGATTTTAAATAAAATGTTTTCTTAGGTATTGTTTTTGAGTGAAGCACAAGTTACAGAACTACCACAGACCAAAATAAACTATACTTTCATTAACTGAGGCCATATGTTCCTTTATCACTTTATTTATATGTGATCACAACAGTGATAAATGTTATCCAACCCACACAAATTGACCAATAGCATAATAGTGAAAGTCAGTTTTCCAGCATTCATTCCAATTCATAAGTAACTGAGAATTCAAAGTCAAACTACATATCATCTATTTTATTGTTGGCAAATAAACAAAACAAAACAAAACAAAACAGAAGAATCGAACTATTCATGCAGGTTGAATCAGGAACAAGGTACCAAAGTTAATTCATGCCATAAATAATTTACTTCTTTTGGATCTCAAACTTTGGATTTGATTTACATTCTCATAAAACTGCCCAATATCAATATTTTCTTTTCTTTCTCCCAATTGGTCTCTCACTGAAACCATTCTGGTAACGGTGGTCACATAAAATAGCTCTATCCATGATTTATCAGGAGACACGGACTAATATCCTAACTCTAACAGCCCACAGGAGGAAATATGTTATATCTCACAATCCAAGCAGTTGCCCTATAGGCTTAGAGACTCTATATCTAACACAGTTCCTTCTGGCATGTACTTTGGAAAATTATTTGCTCCTCTTGAAAGCTGAACAAAGATACACGAATGCCTTATTTCTTTACCTACTGACATGAGGTTATATTACCTAGAAGGACTCACTGCGCTTCTTTGAAAAATATCAGGCAGATTATAGACATGCTTTCCTCCATACTGTCTATAACGACAGTGTCCGAGGTTTTGTTATCGCTTTTAACAGCTAACTTCCCTGATGCATAAATAGGACAGCTGTTTGGAGTTTGTGCCTGCAACCTCTACTAGGCTCAAAAGATAATGCCTGGAATGCGTCCCTGCCCTCAAGCTAACATTATGCCCTAAACATTTGGGTTGCAAATAATCACACACCCATAGGCCCAGCTAGTGAGAACAAATCACTTCCAATGTCATCTGCCAGCTTTCCTCTCCAGAGAAAGGGCAGCAGCTGTGCTAGGCTGCAAGGGACTTGAAGCACACTGGAAAAACAAAGCTGGCAGTCCTTAAGCCACTAGCTTGTAGTACAGCCTTCCTTAGGCTGTCCATGGAGGCCTCTCCCCTTTGCTCCTAGGAGATGGAGCAGGGCTGCAGGTGAGACAGGAATGCCAAGGAGAGCGCCTGAGTACATCTCGTGTTTCCTTCTCAGTAAGAATTTTCTCAGACAATCTAGCTCCTCTAACACATGGCTGATCTTCTACTCACACAAAACTTTGCTCTTCTTCCCTGAAAAACTTCCAGGGCTCGTGATTCCTCCATGCACTCTCTTGGAAGTGGGCGAGCAGAGGGAGGAAAAGCTGGGGCTATGGAGTTCTCTATTATTTTATTGAAAAACAGTCCTTGAAGCTGAATAAGAAGCCACACTAAGCAGTTTATTCAGAGAGGGAGCCAATTCTCAGCCAAGGGCTGGGGTGGAGGGTGGAGAAGCTTCAGGTTTACGGGCGTGGGGAGCGAGGATCTCCATGCTCTATGCTTTGACAGTCCTCTCCTGGCTAGTGGGCTTGCTTTCATATCTTCATGAGCTATTTCACCATGAAAAGCCACTGTCATGTCAACAAAGTAACTGAAAAATCTCATCAGAAAAAGTATGTGTTTTTGAAAATGTGCTTTGGAGAGGTGTTCTATGCTTCTGATCTTGGTTGATTGTACTGAGGCAGCTAGGAGAAAGCATGGAGAATATGGACTTGGGTTAAAACAGTGCCTATGTTAACCTCATACACTGACATGCGCAGGGGATGGGAGAGAAATCTGACTTTTCTCAGCCATAAAATAGGGGAGCTGCCTACCTCTAAAGTTGTGAAAAAGGCATGAGATGATAGACATAATCAGCGAAACCACCTAGGACAGGACTTGATATAAAGCCGTCACCCCTAAATGTGAATCAGGCCAGTTGAACTTCGGAAAATATAATGCATGTTCAGGTAAGCAGTTAAGAAAAAATTATTTTATTTTATTTTATTATTTTGAGACAGAGTCTCACTTTGTCACCCAGGCTGGAGTGCAGTAGCACGATCTCGGCTCACTGCAAGCTCTGCCTCCCGGGTTCACGCCATTCTCCTGCCTCAGCCTCTGGAGTAGCTGGGACTACAGGCGCCCACCACCATGCCCAGCTCATTTTATTTATTTTTTTGTATTTTTAGTGGAGATGGGGTTTCACCATATCAGCCAGGATGGTCTCGATCTCCTGACCTCATGATCCGCCCGCCTCGGCCTCCCAAAGAGCTGGGATTACAGGCGTGAGCCACTGCGCCCAGCCGAAAAAATGTTTTTTAAGAATAAGGGATTCTACTTGGAAAGGCGTGAGGGGTATGTATATGTGTGCGTGTGTTTGTGTGTGTGTCCACATAATATACATGTATAAATGTAAGTCACTAAGCATCTGTATTATTCATTTACTTTGTGAAACAATCCTGTAAGATAGAAACAAGAAAGAAACTCGAAGAGGTAAATACACAGCCCCATACAACATTGGAAAAGGGTGAACAGTGAACCCTAGTCTGCCTAATCCAAAGCCCATGAAGTTCTCTTCTAATTCAAATCAGACTATTTGAAGTGGGTCCACTATTTTTTTCAGCTGATTAATCTTTGGATTATTACTTGGGTTAGTGCATAATAAATGAGTGCTCATCTCTGAAGAGATAACTGAAGAAATTAGTGTAAATATATATGTGGGATTTGGGGAAACACTAATTTGGAAATTAATTTCCTGCTGATACTGTCCATTCATTCATTTAGTCATTCAACAAATATGCATTAGGCACCTAGTGTGGGCCGGGAATCTGCTGGGTCCTGCAAAAATAATGAGGAAACAAATACAGGGACTGCCTCCAGGGCGATAGAATCTGGAGCAAACAAGGAGTAGATCATCTGTAATTTCCAAGAAATGAGTATTTTGAACATATGAAAGTGACAAGTACGATCGTCTTCCATTTCTTTCAAGACCTTGATTTTTTTTTTTTTTTTTTTTTTTGAGATGGAGTCTCGCTCTGTCACCCAGGCTGGAGTGCAGTGGCGCAATCTCAGCTCACTGCGACCTTCACCTCCCGAGTTCAAGTGATTCTCCTGCTTCAGCCTCCCAAGTAGCTAGGCCTACAGGCTCCCACCACCATGCCTGGTTAATTTTCTGTATTTTTAGTAGAGACGAGGTTTCACTATGTTGGCTAGGCTGGTCTCGCACTCCTGACCTTGTGATCCACCCGCCTTGGCCTCCCAAAGTGTTGGGATTACAGGTGTGAGCCACCATGCCCGGCCAAAACCTTGATTTTAAAGATGACGTAGGGCCCAGCTGTAGGATATGCCTGAGAGTGTCCTGGGAATGATTCTACAATCTAGGCTAGGCATGTAGCATGTGGATCAGAGAGACAGGTGAGAAATAGTCTCAGCAACCTACTTCCACCCTTACTTAAAATTCTATTTTTGTCTATTTCTGAACTACATCCAAAGGCCTAGTTTTCAATGTCCTTGCGCTCTGAAGTGTAGAGGTTGGAAAATAACTCAACTCCACCGTCGTCACTGACTGTAAGGGCCCAGCTCTGATTGGAGAGGAAGAAGCAGTTTCTCCAACTTTTCGTGCAGAAGCTCCTCCTGGAATGTTTGTGAAAATTGCCAATTTCCTGTCCCTGCATACTGATTGGGAAGGTCTGAATGAGGTCTACGGATATGCAATTTTAGCAACCACCACACATCTTTCTGATGCAAAGGGCTCCCAGAAACACACCTTGAGAAACACTGGGATATGGTTTATTTTATTTTATTTTATTTTATTTTATTGCCTGTAGCTTTATATTATCTCAGACATTGTTGTGGAATCAGAAGTACTTTAAAACTTCCACATGGGTCTGTGCTCTTCTGTTACTGTATCTAAACTTGGTGGAGGGAGCTTTCATCCTTCTACTGAAAATTTCTGAAAATGCTCTCTACAGCACAGCATTCAGATAATCTAATTGTGGTGTTCTTAACCCCAGGTGAATATTATAATCTCCTGTGGTGCTTTAAAAAAACAGAAAGCCCAGGCTCCACCCAAGAGCAGAGTCAGATGGGAATCTCTGAGGTGTGACACAGCCAGCAGTATTTTTAAAGGTCCCCAGGTAAGTCCACCAAGCAGGTACAGAGGAGAAGCACTTGCTGTTCTGGATCTGAGACCTCACCTGCTGCAGCTTCTTCTGCTGAAGATACCCTTTCCAATTCTGCCCCCTCCTCTGCTCACCTACCCGCTGCTCCTCCTGCCCTCTGGTGACTGCATTCTGTGTTTCCAAAGTCCTCAGTGCAGCTCATTTGCTCTGTGACTTTCTCTCACCTCCCTACTCTATGACTGTCCATCCCTTGCACTTCTCCTGCCAGGCTGGGAGTGCCGTGAACTCAGGGCCTGGGTGAGGCTGACATCCAGTAAAGGTTTGCAGGATACAACGGAATCCATTGAAGTGCCATGCAGTGGTTTTGGATGTTATTTTACTTATTTTACTTCTTTACATGGGAATAGTAGGTATGAAAGAAACTGTGGCCAAGGCAATACTGTGAATAAATAGCAAGTCATTGCTCACCACTAAGTGTCTGTCAAACAGCTAGACTAAGAAACCTGATTCTAACATGCAAACCTCCAAACTCTAAGATTAATCCTTGTTTTTTCCTTTGTACTGCAAGGCTGAGAGATGAGATAGGGAGCAGTAGCGGTGAGGATGAAGTGTATGCAGGCACACCTGTTTGTATACAGGTGTGTGCGCATGCATTTGTAGGTGTGTGCACTTGTGGATGTGCATGCCTAGCAAGCCAGGGTGTATGTGTGTGTGTGTATCTAGGAATGTGAGTCTGTTACCTTCTGAATAAATGTGCTCTTCTATTGGAACACAGATTCTCAAGTGTTTTCCCCAAATCCTCAATATGTTCCTCATTTCCCAGAAAATAACCATCAGTGCAAGAAGGATTGAAGAACATTTTGTTTATTTATTTGAGATGAGGTTTCACTCTTTCACCCAGGCTGGAATGCAGTGGCAGGATTATGGCTCACTGCAGCCTCGACCTCCTGGGCCCAAGAGATCCTACTACCTCAGCCTCCCAAATAGCTGTGTCTACAGGTACCTGCCACTACATTCGCCTAGGTTTTATGATTTTATTTTTTTTATTTTGTAGAGACAGAGTCTCCCTGTGTTGCCCAGACCGGTCTTAAACTTCTGGGCTCAAGTAATCCTCCTGCCTCAGCCTCCCAAAGTGGTAGGATTATAGATATAAGCCACTGTGCCTGTCTGAAAAACATTTTAAATTTACATTTATCCACCTGTGTATGTTTGATGACACCCACTAGCAAGGAAAAAACTTACATAAGGCCTTACCTTGTTAGTTTGTTTAATTAGCATAAAAAACCTTGAAAAGAATTTCCAGTTGGCATTATTACTACATTCAACTACCCCATTGAGAGTGTTCTCTTACAATGTGTGGAAATGGATTATCTACCCTCATGTAATTAGTTATAAAACAACCTGCATGTGTAATCAGGGGTCAGTATTCATGAATACAAAATATGTGTATTGCTTAGAGGCAGTTCTTTGTCACAAATCACCTCTTTGGCAACAGTTAATTTTTGCAACTAAGAACAGAGGAACACGCCCTCTAAAAAGTCTGTCTTCAGTGGAAACTTTATATGAAATGATTTTGTGGATAACTTATATTTTTGTCCCACACATTCTGATGAAACGTACGGAGTGCAGGCATGGGAAACACACAAAATACAGACTATGAGTTTCCATAAAGAAATGTGAGTGTTTTGATTGACAGGGAGGGTTGACCTACGGGAGAACTGGGACAGTTTCTGTGGTGTGAGTCACATAAATCTGACTTCTAAATACAGATAAAATCTCAGCAGAAATTTCTGTGCAGGAGGTTAAAGTGAAACTTTGCTAATCAATACATATGACCCAAAGGCATGGTATGTTCCTTTAAATATCCTTGGATCTGTTTGGTCTTTCTTGCCCTAAACTTTGACTGGACCACGAGCCCAGGGAGCAGTGAGGGCTGCTGAACTGGCCTCACTAGACTCTGAGCCATGTCAGAGTCAACTAACTTTAGTGTTTAACTTTGGACATTGTCAAGATTATTCTGGTCTTTTAAGGTCCTGACAGGGCAGAGAATTGCAAATACCATTTTGCTTGAGTAACCAGTGTATGTGGTTGGGAATATTAAACAATTAACATATCTAATATTAAACAAATAATTTTCTGAGGACATTTTGAGAGTTCTTCAACCACATATAAGTAACCAATACAAAGTGGTATGATGATGACAGTGTCTCAAACTATCAAGTGCGCCAGCATCATCGGGAGGGCTTGTTGACACATAGGTCGCTGAGCCCTACCCCAGAGTCTCTGATTCTGTAGGTCTGTCGTGGGTCCTGAGAATCTGCATTCCCAATGAGGCCCTAGGGGAGGCTGACGCTGCTGGTCCAGGGATCACATTTTTAAAACCACTGGTGCAGGGAGACTCCAAGGACTACTGGACCTCAGAAGAGAGAGACTGCTTCCAGTTTGAAGGGAACAAGAGTTATATACGGCGTTACTGCTGGGAGCTGAGCATGTGTTCCTTATAGATCATCCCATTGACTTCTGAGACAGTGCATTGGAGGAGAGGGGAATGGAGAGGGTAAGAAATATGAAGAGGAGTTTGTTAGAAGAGATTTCCCTCATGGATAGTAGGGAGAAAAAGACTGACGATATATTGGCAGTTCCCACTGGAAAGGTACTGGAACCAGACGAAATGCAGTTCTTCTTTTCTTTCTAAAATCTGCATCAGGTACATTGTAACAAATCTCCAACTGAATTACTCAGACCACAATAAAGTTTTAAGGTGCTAGACAGATGACTAAAGAAGTGATTTCATTTAAATAACAACTGCAATCACTGACAGGTCCTAGGTGAGAACTTGTCAGGGAGCGAATGGCCAATCGTGGCAGGGAGAGACAGGATGCGTCGGTGATTGGTGTGAGCCCTGATGGTGTGAGGTGACAGCGGGGGAGGACGAGGGCTCTGAGCGCATGTCTGTTTTCTCCTCACCTCCCAGAAACTCTCAAATGCCCATTATCTTTGCCATCATCTCTTCATTATCATCACGTAATATTTATCCAGTTTACTCATGCGTATAGCCCTGTCTTCTTCCATTCTGCTCCAATTTTCTTCCTCATTTCTCTTTCTCTTCTTGGCTTGTTCTGAATCTACTGATTTTTTTCCCTCTGGTTGCCAACTGTGAACATCATCCCCACCCACTCTATCAAGGATTTGCTTTTTCAGAAATGGTATCCAACTGGAGATGCAGCATGCCCCGACATGGTTCTTCTCATTCATTGGAAGGGATCACACTTATTGGACAGAAATAATTTATCATGCAGTAAACTGTGGCCCAAGAATATGAAACAACAACCAAAAGGAATATACAGATGCCTGGATAAGGAATTAGGGAGGGAGGGGGGCAGATACACACACACACACACACACACACACACACACACACACACACGCACGCATACACACACACACACCGCCCACACACACACACTTCCTTTTCAATGGCTACATGTTTACTACATTTCTTTGGAGGAGAAAATGCTGATGTTTTGTGGATACTGGTAGCACACACACATTTTGAGATCAGATTAAGGGAATCCCAACTAGTCCAGCCTTGGATCAGGAGCCTCTCCATCCCCCTTACCTCATCAAGACATCGCTCATATTGTTCCCTTTGATTTTCATTCTCCAAAGCCAACGCTGAATTCTCTGCCTGCAGTAAGATACAAAAATAACACAAATAAATCAATGAAATGTTGTGTTATGTGACAACTTATTCCATACAGTTACTAAATATATCTCCTCGTGATCCAAAACAATCTTTTAGAAGTACCTATGACAAGTTCACTCTAAGTACTATTATAAATATCGCAGGGATGACTTCTGTCTTACCAACTTGCTCACTAAAATACATGAGAACTTAAAGAAATGCAAAACTTGATATTCTGAACAGGTAGAAAATCAAATCATGGTTTGATGTGAGAGTGTTCCGTAAAAAGATTACAATGTTTATTTTATTCTGTGAAAATGTAAATGGGAGAAATGCCTTAATCCACTTCATTAAGGCCCATCACAGACTCACAGACTTATATTTGTTTAGGCCACAGAAAAGAATCTCACATAAAGTCATGAAAGCATAATTCCAAATGCAAACTAAATATGTTACTTTCATTGTTAGTCAATGACTTACGTACATAAGATAATGAGAAATGTAAGACTTGAACTATACTTAAGCATCCCCTTCCCCACACTCTTGTAATATTACTGCTTTCTCGCTCCTTAGAGCCATGTGGGTATGTGGTTGAATATGGTTACTAGGTTGACATGTAGAATAGTAAGGGGAAAGAAAAGTAATCACTGGAAGCTTATTAGGTTTTAGAAGGAGCGTGAAATGCTGATATGAAGCTGCCCTCCACCTCAGGTGACCTGGTTCCACTGCAGGTTCCTGTCTGAATCTTCAACTGTGCCAGTGAACCCTTCCCAGGGCTATGACAATGACCACCCGCTCTAAGCCCACAAGCAATCTTGGCTCTACGTGCCCCTTCTCTAAAATCCTCCTTGACATTTGGAAGTAGGGGTATAGTAATCTAAATCAGTATTTTCAAAATTATGGTATGATTTTTAGGTGGTACACAGATCAACATTTTAACTTCATAGTTTTTTCCCATCCGTTTTTCTAAACCTTTTATTTGGAAATAATTTCAAACTTATATCAATGGATGAATGGATTATGGTATGTATACACAATGAAATACTATTTGGCCATAAAAAAGAATGAAATAATATCATTTGCAGCAACATGGACAGAACTAGAAGTCATGTTAAGTGAAATAATCTATGCACACAAAGACAAATATTGCATGTTCTCACTCATATACAGGAGCTAAAAATGTGGATGTCATAACGGTAGAGAATAAAATGATAGATACTAGAGGCTGGGATTTGGGGTAGGTGCGAGAGGGGATGAAGAGACATTGGTCAATGGTTACAGATATAAGTTAGATAAAATATATAGTTAAATAAAAGGTGTAAGTTCTATTTTTTGACAGCAGAGTAGGGTGACTATAGCTAACAACAACGTATTGAATATTTCAAAGTAGCTAGAAGAGAGAACATGAAGTGTTACTAACACATAGAAATGATAGGCTGGGCTTGGTGGCTCACTTCTGTAATCCCAGCACTTTGGGAGGCAGAGGCAGGTGCATCACTAGAGGTCAGGAGTTCGAGACCAGCCTGGCCAACAGGGTGAAACCCCATCTCTACTAAAAATATAAAAATTAACCGGGCTTGGTGGTGCACACCTGTAATCCCAGCTATTCGGGAGAATGAGGTGAGAGAATCACTTGAATCTGGGAGGTGCAGGATGCAGTGAGTGGAGATTATGCCACTGCACTCCAGCCTGGAAGATAGTGAGACTCCATCTCAGAAAAAAAAAGAGAAAAAAGAAATGATAAATACTCAAGCTGATGGATGCCTCAAATACTGTGACACAATCATTATACATTCTATACCTGTAACAAAATATCACATGACCCATAAATACAGAAAATAATATGTATCAAAAAACAAAAAGGATAGCATTAAGAACCTCACAAATCCTTTCCTAAGATTCACAAATTGTTAACGTTTTGCCACATCTGCCATATCGATTCCTTTCCATTTCTTTTCTGTACCTGGAAAGTACCTTGTAGACATGATGCATTTTATTCCTAAATACTTCCACATGTGTTTCCTCATAACAAAGTCATTGTCTTGTACAATCACAGTATAGTTGTTAATTTCAGGAAATATAGGAAATATAAATACAGTACCACAATGTGATCTACAGTTCTTCCAGTTTCACCAATTGTCCCAATAATGTCATTGATAGCAATTTTTTTCCAGTATACAATCCTACCTGTGATCATGTACTGCATTCGACTGTCATTGCCATTCATCAGGTAATCTCTAATCCGGAATACCTTGCCTTTTATTTATTTATTTTTTTTGAGATGGAGTATTGCTCTTGTTGCCCAGGCTGGAGTACAATGGCATGATCTTGGCTTACTGTGACCTCCACCTCTCAGGGTCAAGTGATTCTCCTGCCTCAGCCTCCCAAGTAGCTGGGATTACAGGTGACCACCACCACACCTGGCTAATTTTTGTATTTTTAGTAGAGATGGGGTTTCACCACGTTGGCCAGGCTGGTCTTGAACTCCTGATCTCAGGTGATCTGCCCGCCTCGGCCTCCCAAAGTGCTGGGATTACAGACATGAGCCATTGCACCCGGCCTGGAATAGTTTGTCTTTTTATGTTTTTTATTTTCTTCTTCCCTTCTTTTCCCCCTTATTTCCTCTTCTTCCTTACCTTTCTTTTTTTTTTTTTTTTTCCTTTCTGAGTAGAGGCCAGTTATGTTGTTGAACATCCCTTAATTTGGGCTTCTCTGGAGCTCCCTCATACATATTTGGTGGAAACAGTGCACAGGCAATGCTGGGCCCTTCTCAGTGCATCATAGCAGCCACGTGACATCCATGGGACCTGCTGCTGGACATGTTAACTTTCATCACTTGGTTAAGGTAGGGTCTGCCAAATCTCCCCACTGTAAAGTTACTGATTCTCCTCTTGCAATTAATAAGTAATTTGTGGGGAGATACTTTGAGGCTATGAAAATATCCTATTGCTCATCAATCTTTCACCTACCTATTTAAGCAACCATCAATGATTTTTAACCAAATCATTGATTACCTTGGTTGCATATGGTGACTTCTAACTCCATTTTTCTATCTACATTTATGAGTTGACATTCTTCCATAGGTAAGTGATTTTCCTATCTGTTAGTATGAAAACATCAATTCTGATAATTTTGATGTTCAAATCACTCCAGCTTTGGGCAGGTGAGCCCCTTTAAGCTGGTGTCTATATCCTTTTGACATGTACCCATCATTTCTTAAATACTTTCTTTTTCAGCAAAAAGAGATGTTCTAGGACCATCTTGCTTTTTCCTTGCTTCAATCCCTGAAATCAGGCATTTCTCTAAGGAATTCTACTTCCTCTTACTTGGGGAATGATAATTGGGAACTAAGATCTGGGTGTTAGCCTGTATCAGTTGCTACCAAGGAGTCACTGCTTCTAGTCGCTTTCAGTGGAAGGATTTTTCCACACTCCTACATGCACAGGCTCAACACCCCCACCCCACCCCAAGCCCTACAGGATTCTTTCGTATCTTCTCCTTTTCATATTAGTATCTTCCTTTTTGTATGGTTAGCACTCAGGCTCTCAGCATTATTTTAACTCCTTTGTTCAATCTTACCATGTGTACAAAATTGGTACGCTACCCAAACCAGTGCTAGGAAAAGTTCAGTTTTGTGTTTTTCTTTAGAACAAAAGTATAAAGTAAAAATACTGTGTTCCAAAGTTACTAAGTTGGTTTTTCCCCTCCTCCCCTTTTAGTGTGTTTATATTATTCATTTGAAATTCGGTTCAGTTCATTTGTTTCTGATAGTATTCAAATTTAATTTCCTCTCTTCTTAATTACATTTTGTTTTTTAGAATACATAAAACATTAACAAGAATCCAAAAGTTAAAACTATATTAAAGGGTATATATTGAGTGCAGTGTCCCTCCCTCTCCTGCCTCGTTCCTTTCTACCTCTCGAAGATTCTTTAATAGTGTCATTATCCCTTTTTTGTCTTCCTCTGTTACTTTTAAAATCATGTCCTTTGGCCGGGTGTGGTGATTACAGGCTCACACCTATAATCTCAGCACTTTGGAAGGACAAGGTGGGAGGATCCCTTGAGCCCAGGAGTTTGAGACCGGCCTGGGCGACATAGTGAGATCTCCATCTCTACTAAAAATAAAATAAAATAAAAATTAGCCAGGTGTGGTGGTGCATGCATAGAGTCCCAGCTACTAAGGAGGTTGAGTTTGGAGGATTGCTTGAGCCCCAGGAGGTCAAGGCTGCATGAGCTATGATTGTGCCACTGTACTCCAGCCTGGGCGACAAAACCAGACCCTGACTCAAATACACACACACACACACACACACACACACACACGACACCCACCATGTCCTCTGACTCCCTCCTATTACATATCCAACAATCACCTTTCTTCCTTTCTCTCCTTTTTTCCTGCTATTTTATTAGTTGCATACTTCCTACTTTGCCAGGGTATATCATTTTCACACAGGCTTCTTCCACCTTTGCCCCCACCCTTGGTTTGGTCTCCTTAATGGATAATGGCTGGTTGGTCTTATGTTCTTTTGCTTCTGTAGCAAAAGAAATTGCTTTGAAATTCCCTCTTTTCCTTTTCCCCTTCACAACCACGTCTCCACACTGCACCTCCTCTTTCCCCTTTATCTCCTTCTTTCCCGGCAGGCTGCCTCTCTGAGACAGCCACCTGGGTCTGCTCACTTTCCAGCCTTGCCCAACAGCCCACTGGATCTGCCACGTGTCCACCTGTGTGCAGTGCTGGCCTTGGGCTTTCTCATTTCCTCGGTGCCCTCTGCTTTCCATCTCCCTGGGCACACACGCTGGCAGCAGGAGTTACATGGGTATCTGGTATTTATTTTTCTACTTACAGTAATTTGAAATTCAAGTGTTCTCTGTTATTGATAATGCAGAAGGCATGGGTTATATGTGGTTTTATTTGTGTTTCCTGGTGATATGAATGTCTTCTTTGGCAGGTGCTTGAAAAGTTTCAACTGTAGGCTAGTTTGTTACTTTAATCAACAATGAAACTTAGGAGAAATGATTGAACCAGAATAGGGCACAAAAATGAGGAAAACTCCCGGAAAAAGTCTGTTTGAGAGTGACTTGCCATTTTGATCAAGGTCAGGTCATTTCAACTCAGTCACGGTTCACATTCCAGAACTCCTCAAACACTGTTTCTTCTTCAGGTTACAGTTTTGATCCTTGGCTTTGACCTTGTTGCTCTGGGGCTGAATCCGTTTTAACAAACCTGTGAACACCCCAGTCCCTCAGGTGGGATCCTGCCACGTTCTTTCAGGTCTCATAATGGACAGACATCTGCCACACAGCACGATCCTTCTGTGCTCAGGCTGATCATCCGTTTGCCCTTTTTAAGCACAGTTATTGGTTATTCCCAGACTGTTTCTTCTCTTCATTCTTCACCAAACTAAACTGACTTTGCTGTTCCCTTCAGGGATTGCTTTTGGCCAGTCCCATGGAAGCTTTTCCGTCTCTGCAGCTGAGATGGAACCCCTCAGTTCCTCCTCCAGACCAAAAGGAAGAGCAGGCTCCGGTTCCAGTTCCATTCTGTTGCAGTCTTATTAGGCAATGCCATCTTGAGTAACTTTTAGCAAGTCACTTACCATTGCTGGGTTTATAATTTCTTAGTTAATAAACAAAGATATCCAACTTGCCAATCTAAAAGCGATTTCCAGTTCAAATATTTGGATACCATGAATCACGGAGGAAAATGCTAGAATTCCAATTCTACAAAGTCATGATTTCTTTGGAGAAATTTACCTTTTGTGGAGTCTGCTGATTTTAGTAAGCCAGCAGTACAAGGGATAATGGGAAGAGAGATAAAGGAGAGAACTGCAAATGCCACTTCACACTGTTTACTTTAAATGTCTTGGAAAAAACATGTATGGAAATAAAGCTGAAAATGGGAATTTATATGGGATATCTACACCTCGCTCCTACCCACAATATCACGTTGCAAAAACACTGCAATCGATCCATTCAGATAATTACCGTCATTATACCGTTTACATTACTTGCCTCACGTTTACTGCTCTGACAATCTATTACTGCCAAGCAAATTAAATACCTAAAGGGTGCTGGTGAAAGCACAATAGTCACATTTATGGTTACTGTGTTCAGTTACAGAGACCAATTTAATTGATGTAATCCTACATATCCCATGGGACAAAAAAGATATTAACAATCATGCTGGTGAAGTTAAAATAATCTTGAACTGATGATTTTCTTTAATCCATTTGCATTTATTAGAGATTCAGGATTAACCTGCTACCAACTTAAGGCAACAGAGAAAAAAAAAACAGGAAAAAAAACCCTCTTAACTAAATGTGATTTAAAGAAACAGTGAATATTTATATAGCAGGAATGGGAAAGGATAAGCAGAGAGGGAAAGGAAAGAGAAAATGCAAGTGTCACTATTAAGAATTACAGACATCACAATACAGGTCTTTTTCTACTTTAAATAAGTATGTTATTAAAGTCAATATGCCCAGAGGATGCAGTTAGAGCATTCAAGTAAATGTAACAGTGAATCTTTGCATTCAGCTTTGTCTTCCACAACAATCAAAAACTTTTGCTAGACTTAGCCCGGGATTTCCTGCTCAGCGTGGTTTCCCCATGGCTCCAAATTATAGTGGTCTAAATATGTTCATGGTTTCATCTCTAAAAATCCTTAAATGTCCTTATAAAATCAAAGAGCATCACAGAGCAAATCCGTATTGGTTTGGTTTACTGTGGAAAAGGGGTTTGACTTGATACGTAAAAGGAACTGTGTTTCTTAGAGGTCCTGCTCAGTGAATAGATAGGCTGGCTGGAACTTACGAATGATTGAAAAATCTGATGCTTCTAAAGCCACTGTCCTACATTAATTCTGTAAGTATGTATTATGTTTAAAATCTTTGTATACTATAAATTTGTTTAATAGATCCTTTTCCACAGACCAAAGGTAGACTACTAGCTCTACACAAAAATCTGTCCTCTGCATAACATAACAGCTCCGCTGCAGGCTTTTCACCTCTTATACTTTGTCTCCACTCACTTCCATGACCTTATATATCTGATTCTCCACAGCACACACCATCTCAAGAGTCAGGCTCAGCTCCTAAAGCTCCCATGCTCCTTCCTGGGCTGTACCTTTGGTTTTGCTGCTCTAGCATGGAACAAGCTTTACTCTCCCATTGGCCTTTCTAAATCTCACTCAGTTTTGGTGGTCTGGCTCAGATGTGGACTTGAAATACTTAAATGGGGACACCTTTAAATTAAAAAAATAATTGGATGTATAAAAATGTAGCAAAATATTGCAAAGAATTCCCCCACACCATTCAAGAGACTCCCCAAAGGTTAACTATTTTACCACATTTGCTTATCATTTAATACTATCTATACCTGGAGACAACTTTTTAAAAACACTTGAGAGTAAGATGAAGACACAATGCAATGTCCTTTTACCTCTTAATACTTCGGCATGTACTTCCTAAAAATACATTTTCTATATAACCACTGTGTAGTTATCACATTCAGGAAATTAACATTGATGCAATAGCCTAATCTACTCTACAGGCCTTGTTCAGATTTTTCCAGTTGTCCCTCAGGTGTCCCTGTCTAGTCCAGGATCCAATCCAGGTTCACAGAGCTGCATTTAGTTATAATTTCTCTTTAGCGTCCTCTCATATGGAACAGTTCCTGAGGTGTTGTCTTTCATGATCTTGATACTTTTCAAAAGTATAGGCCAGTTATTTTGTAGAATGTCCTTCAATTTGAATTCGCCTGATGTTTCTTCATAGATTTTAATATTTATGGCGAGAATATCATGGCAATGATATTGTGTCCTTCTTAGTGCATTGTATCAGGAGGCACATGATACCAATTTATCCTATTACTACAGGTGGAGTATCTCTAATCTGAAAATCTGAAATGCTCCAAAATCCAAAACTTTTTGAGAGCCAACATGAATAAAGAAATGTGCAATAGAGTCTTTTAGATTTTGGATTTTCAGATTAGGAATGCTGAACTGGGTAAATACATAATGCAAATATTTCAAAATCTGAAAAAAATCAGAAAGTTGAAACACTTCTGGTCCTAAGCATTTTGGATAAAGATACTCAATTTGTATGTTAAATTTGATCACCTGGTGAAGGTGGTATCTGTGACATTTCTCCACTATAAAATTATTTATTTCCTTTTATCAACAGTAAGTATCTTGCGGCAAGGTACTTCAAGATATGTAAATATCCAGAGTCTTTGAGATTGCAAATATGCAAATATCTAAACTTTGGTTCACTCCTCTTAGTATCTATTGGTAATTTTTTTTTGACTAAAACAATTATGACTGTGGTGGTTGCCAAATAGCGACTTTTATTTTTATTTTATCTATCATCTATCTATCCATCCACCCATAGCAACTTTTATTTTATCTATCTATCTATCTATCTATCTATCTATCCATCCATCCATCTTTCCATCCATCCATCCATCCATCCATCCATCCATCCATGTTGGTGCAAATGTAATTGTGGCTTTTGCCATTACTTTTAAGGGCAAAAACTGCAATTATGTTTGCACCAATATAATATCTATCTTGTTACCTCTTATACTTTGTCTCCACTCACTTCTATGACCTTATATGTCTGCTTCTCCACAGCGCACACCATCTCAAGAGTCGGGCTCATCTCCTAAAGCTCCCGTGTTCCTTCCAGGGCTGTGCCTTTGGTTTTGCTGCTCTAGCATGGAATATGCTTTACACTCCCATTGGCCAAATAGTGACTATTGGCTCTGTCACCCAGGCTGGAGTGTAGTGGTGTGATCATAGCTCACTGCATACTCAAACTCCTGGGTTCAAGTGATCCTCCCGCCTCAGCCTCTTGAGTAGCTGAGACTGCAGGCATGTGCCAACATACTCCACTAATTTTTAAAAACATTTTTGTAGAGATAAGGTATTGCTATGTTGTCCAGGCTGGTCTTGAGCTCCTGGTCTCAGGTGATCCTACCACCTCAGCCTCCCAAAGCATAAATAGTGATTTAAATTCTACTAGTCTTCCTGCATTTGCTAGTTTGAACCTTATCACAAGTAGGGGCCACACATTTTAGCACTTTATTATAATGCCTTCAATTGAGATGAGTAGTTTCATGAGTATTATTAGTCTTCTCCAGTTAGACTCTAAGCCCTTTGAGACAGGGATCATGCTTTATACGCCTCTTTTCAAAGGAGTGAGATGTAAATTAGTGTATTTTAACTATAGCTATGGGTGGAAATGAAAATTCAGTTTGATATTTAGATTCACTTAGCATCAATGCGTTTGTTGGCATGGAATATGTACTTTTACCTATGTCATCTCAGTGGTGGTCATACACACATGTGGATATATACTGATGTATCTTTTAAAAATATTATAGACAAATGAGAAATTAAACCAGTGATAACCAACTTTTCCCCTTTGCAAACATCAATATAAATTTGATTTATTATTAGGATGTCTATATTTTTTCTTCTTTCTTTTTTTTGAGACAGGGTCTCTTGCCACTCAGGCTGGAGTGCAATGGTATGATCTCAGCTCCCTGCAACCTCCACCTACTGGGTTCAAGCAATTTCTCCCACCTCAGCCTCCTGAGCAGCTGGGACTACAGGCATGTGCCACCATGCCCAGCTCATTTTTGTATTTTTTAGTAGAGATGGGACTTCACCATGTTGGTCAGCCTGGTCTTGAACTCCTGACCTCAAGTGATCCACCCACCTCAGCCTCCCGAAGTGCTGGGATTACAGGCGTGAGCCACTGCACCCTGCCCAGTGTGTATATTTTCAAAATGAAAGATGAATATACACCATCTGACACATTCTGACAACTGACAAAATATTTAAAGCTTGTACTTCGTTATATTGAATAGTAGAGGAGACTGAGGTTTTGCCCCTCACTTATAAATGTTAACTGCATTTATTACTAGTATTGTTGTAGTAGTAGATTAAAGATGGTTGCAAATGCTCTGTGACTTATCTTCTTGAATCTAGACTGGCCTTACTGACTTGATTGACCAATGGAAGGAGGCTGAAGTGCCATCTTTGGTCTTCCAAGACTACACCATGAGCTTTTAAGCTTCTACCTGGCCTCTTAGAACACTTCTTATATGAGCTACCATGTAGGCAGTCTGAATGTTTTGAGGTGGTATAAAGCCCCAGCTATGCAGACAGGCCCTGGAGGATGAGATGCCTTGCAGAGAGAGATAGGCCAGGGGACACTGAGAGGCCAGCCATGGGAGTGAAGGAGCCATCTTGGAAATGGATCCTTTCACCTCCCAACATCACATAGATTGGAGATGAACTATCCAGCTGTGTCCTCCCCAAATTTCTGACCCATAAAATTGTGAGAAAAATTAAATTGTTATTTTAAGCCTCAAAGTGTTGAGATAGTTGGTTACATAGCAATAAATAAGTGGAACAGTCATATTCAGGAAACGAGGTGGAACATCAATTCTTTTATGTGTACATTCAATTACTGGTCCTTTGCTGTACCTGCAGGAGCTATGCTGGGGGAAAATAAAGATGGATAAAATATACAGGGGCCACCATAAAGAAAACAATAGTCTAATAGAAGAAACAAGTTAATTTCTCACATTGAAAACTACAATGCAATAGGATCAGAACAAAAAAAAAATCAACAAACTTCAGATGAGGTAGGAAAGAGGTGACCGACCCTTGAATCAGTCTACTCAACAGGCAATCAAAACAATGACAAAGGTGCACATTGGACTAAATAAAAATAACACAGTTTTGAACAAAATGCCAAGAAAATGACACCTGACTTGTATTCAAAAAGCACATTATTCAACCAGGCTAGAATCCTGGATGTAAATATTGTCAAATTATTATGAAAGCAAATAATGTCAGACACTATCTAATACCCACTGCAGAGAAAACCTTGGGTTCAACAATGGCAAAAAAAATAAATAAATAAAATAACAAACTGATCATATGCAAATGAAACAGGTAGAAATGAACAGGGTTGAGTGGTGTGGAGGAAAGAAGGTGGAAAGAAGATGTCCTCTGAAGGCAAAAAGAGAGAGAAAGAGAAGAAAACGACCAATTCACAGTAGTTAAAAAAGGCTGCCTCCCTGTGGCTTTCCCACGGCAAAAGCTGGTCTTTTCCAGAGTGACATCTTTCAAGCTTGCTGAAACTCCTTCAATTCAGGAAAGGCAGACAGGTCAGAATAAGATCAGAAAAGGTATTTCTCTAAAATACCAATTCAACTCATGGTTTGGCCCCATAGGTAAGAAAAGGTGCTTCTGTACTTTATTTTCTCTTTGGAATTTTTTCCAGCCAAAAATGTGCTGCTTTATGATGGCCAGCCTGTGTCAGAGTCCTGTGCCACTCTACTTAAATAACACACTTCACAACTCTAGGCCATCCCAACAATTTCATTTGGGGAGGCCAAAGGGCTGTACCTGCAGGAGCTATGCTAGGGGGTATACAAAGATGGATAAAATATAGAGAGGCCACCATAAAGAAAAAAAATAGTCTAATAGAAGAAACAAGTTAGTTTCTGACAGTGAAAACTACAGGCTTCCAAGCAAAATACACAGGTCCCCAAAATGTTCCTAATTCCCCTGCAGTCTGTTCTGTTTTGAAAGCTGTTTAAAAACATCCTGAGGAAAAAGTCCCAGGGGAGTGGCTAAGCGTGCCAGCCAGGTGAGTGCATTTTCATCTGCTAGAGTGATATAAAGTCTGAATACAAGGAACACCAAGAACTGGAGCTGGAATATTGAATCCCCTTCCCTCTATGATTATAATTCAAACTTACGGGGTTTCTGAATCACTCATCTTATCACACCTGGCTGCCATAGTGGCCATATGTGTAGCGTAGTTGGCTAAAGGGTGTTCCCCACTGATTGTATTTGAGAGCTTGTACAGTATCCAGACCCAGACAATGTCTAGGGCTGCTGGGCATCTTGGAGGCAAATGTTATCATCCTAGAAAATGTCAATAAAGACATTAAGCTCTGACCACCTACAGAGAAACAAATACGTGTACCCATACATGTGTGAAGGCATCCTCACAATGTCCTTATTCTTGGACTCAACCCATTAGGTTTAGGACCAGCACAAGACACTAAGGATATAAACTACATTAAAATGAAGTCTTTGTTTAAAAAAGTTGAGGAGCTACGCCGTGAGAAGATGTGATGTAGAACCTGTCCACAGGTTCATTTTTGAAGAGTTGAATAGAAAACACTTCATAATGAAACCTCTGTGTACTTCTAGAATTTAAACGTTTGGATGGGGCTTCAGGCCAGTGGTTGGAAACTTGAGTGTGCATTGGAATCACTTGGGGGGTTATGGGATCACAGACTGTGGGGGAGCCACCCTCACATTTGGATTCAGGGCACCTACAGTAGGGTCCAATAACTGACATCTCTAACAAGTTCCCAGGTGCTGCTGCTGGCCTGGGAACAGCACTTTGAGAGCTAGTGCTCAAGATGGATCAACTTCAGGGTGAAGGTGGGTGTCACCTCCTTCTTCCCCCATGCTGCCATTGCCTTGGAAGCATTCAGAAGTCTCTTACTGCTTCTCTGGAACTGGGGGGTGGTAACCACACAATTTTATACTTTTCCTTCTCTTGTTTTGTTTATGAGTCTGCCTCTCTCTCCTACATCAGTGACTCTCATTGGGAGAAAACAGCCTAAGGGCATAGATCAGTGTCTCTCTGTGTGTGCATATGCATATGGGTGAGTAGAACAGAAAAAAACTGTGTGTGATTTGGAAAACCATTATTTGATGCTGCATTACATCTGGAAAATAATAAACGGTAATGCTTTCATGATACAAGAAGTCAGCTCGATAATTTCCTTGCCCAGGGGGATATACAGAAAAGAAATCCATGCCTGGAGTGCGAAGGCAAGAGGAGTGGTAAAGCAGATCTATCTTCCTAGGAGGAGAGTAAGATAATCTGATGGGAAGTGACGGCGTGCTTTTCAAATTTCCTTTTATTTGAAATGGATGTAAAAATAAATGTCTGTCACTGTTTTGGGTTGAATGAGATGATGAAGGCAGAATGTAACGAACATGGAGCCTGGCCCTCTGTATGGTTTGGTGAATGGCAGTTTCCTTCAGTCTTTTGTAAAACAGCTCCCATTTGTAACCACGGCCACTCACAGGCTTTAATGCAGGGGGTGGTGGTGTCAGCCAGGCCAGAAATTGTCCCTGCTGAGGGAGAGATTTTGGCCAACAGAAATGTACCATGGGTCCTCTGGATTGGACAGTTTAAACAGGCTCACATACAGATTAGCGTCAGGTCCTGATTCTTTTAACCCACAGTCTTCCTCTCTCACCCTTTCTTCTTCTCTTTCTCACCTTCTTACTTCTGCTTCCAGATGCCCATTTATCAACTCATTATTACATTTATCAACTCAATATTACATATCTGAGCTCAAGATACAACACGTATTTTCCAATTATGAGAGAAGCTGAAATTTTAGGGACTCCAAAATTTCTTTGTAAAAACAACCTTTAAACCTTAAAACATATTCCATCCCCCACCACCAGATGTGCTTTCAGAGATACAAATCTATGACTTTCAAGCTAGGGTGGACTAGAGTGGATTTTTCGGTTTTAGAAGCCTCACAGAGAAATTTCATGGAGCTAAAAAATGTAAAACAATCTGATCACTCTGTTGAGTAGAGAATATTTGTGGCATTAACCACCAGGTATTTTAGAAGTTAAACTATGCAAAACTCATTGACTGATTTGCAGAAAAGAATATCAATTAATATATTGACTTTATTACCTCATTTAATTGAAGGCCCCCAAACTCTGAGGTAGATAGGATCAGCTCCATTTTACAGATGAAGAAAATAAGAGACTATCAATATAAATCCTTTGTGTTGCAGAGATAGTTTATTTATATACACAGTCCTTATTCCTTACTAAGGACTTAATACAGTACTTTGAAGAAAAAAATATAAATGACAATAGCCTGATAAATGCCTAAATACCAGCGTGTTTGAACCCTCTCTACCAAGAAGCAGGTAATTCAGGTCAGGAAAAAGACTGAGAATTTCTCTAGAAATAGGAATTCTTGACCTCTGATCTATAAAAAAGCTGAAAAAAAAAAAAAAAAAACCAGAAAGGAAAAAAGCACAGACATAGTCATTCTAGGAATCATTTCATCCAAAAGAGGAAGCCACTTATAAAGCAAGTTTAAACAACAACAATACCATTACACACCAACCCAACTGGTGCAAATGAAAACATCTTACATGGCAAGCGTTGGTAAGAATGTGGAAGAACAGGCACACTCATGTGCCACTGGTGGGTGTGTAAATTACTACACCCATTTTAGGATACTTTGGTTCAACTTGCTGATAGAGAAGATGCTCATAGCTTCTGACCCAGCAACGCCATTGCTAGGTATAACCCCTGTAGGTACCCGCAAACACATATACCAGGGTGGGTGTACACATGGGTTCACAGCAGTCTTGTTTTCTAGCCCTCAGACAGAAATCATCTAAACTAAGATTGACAGTACAATGAATAATTTTTATTAATCAATTTATATAATGGGATACTATATAGAAACAAAAGCCAGTGAATGAGAACTGCATATTGAATCTGGCAATGATAACATTGAATGAAAGAGGCACAACATATATTTAAACACACACACAAAATCTTCCAACATGATTCTACATACAAAGTTCAAAAACTGGAAAAATTAAATTATATTGTTAAGGATACATACATAGGAGGTAAACCATATTCTTTCAAAAAGCAAGCAAATTATTATTACAGAAGTCAGATTCATCATTACCACTAGTGGGGAGAAAGGAAACTGTGATAAGACAGGAGCCCATGGGGTGCCCTAGGCTACTAGCAATGTTTCATTTGTGGACCTGGTGGCAGGTACTCAATGTTTTGCTTCATTATTTTTTAATTATAAATATACATTTTTGGGCATACAAATGTGCAGTCTTCTGTAAACATATTTCACACACACACACATACACACAAATGTACACACTCTAATAAGTAACAGAGCCCTAGGAGAGGGCCTGAAGGAAAATTGTGGAAGGGCCCTGGTGTACCCGGGCATCCCGCTGCCACTGTAATGGGCCCAGCAGGTGGACAGCCCATGAGATGAGAGAGGGAAGACACTGAGGCGGATGGAGCCAGTTGCTGAGGCAAAGGGACGGGACCAAATGTATATTTTAAGGAAGGAATCCTGGCACCAGCAACAAAGAGCGATGGAAGGGGAAGATGGGGAGATCCAAAGCATGCTATTGTAGCATTCCTTTCAAGGATGACCTACTCCTGAAATAAAACAGCGGCACTGAGGCGAGGAAGACCTACATTTGAGAAAGAATTCAGTACAGATTCATCAGCTCCTAACCAGTACCTAGATGAGAAGGAGAGCCAAAGACGACACTGAGTTTTATATTCTGGGTCTCCGCCAGGGCGATAAGGTCTTTAATAGAAATGGGTAACAAAGTGAGATAAAGTGCCATGGGAGATTTTTAGAAAAAAACCTATTGCCTTGCCATGTAATGACTTTTTTTTCTTTTCCTACAGGGAAGAAAAAATTGCAGTGAATGTATGACTCTAGTTCTTAAGGTATGCCAGCAGTCACAGCGACCTCTCTCCCCTTTCTTTCCATTGTTTGCATGTTTGTATGAAATTATTTTGTTCAGGGATGCTGACTGCTCACTCTAACTCTCCTTGTTCTCTCAAGGATGAATATTGTCCCTTTGCTTCAGAAACCACAGGATTAAACTTTAGGGAGATTATATATTAATCATTTAATTTGATCATCAGGCATGAGCTCTGGCCTTCCCACTCAGGACCCCTGGCCTTGCAGCTAGTGGTGCAGATGGACAGTAGCAGGGTGACAGAGGGCCGCCCTCCGCCCTGCTCCCCAATTTCTTCTGCCTCCAGCATGAGTGGGTGAGCAGCAGTGGCTCAGGAGCACCAGGAGGCTCGCAGCCTCCTGCCGTTCTGCGAGGACAGGAGGACAGGGTGCAGTAGGGGTAAAGCAGTGTCTAAGTGGAATTTAGCTTGGGCATTGCCAGCATCTGAGAGGGAACATAAGGACTTGGGAAACCCTTTGACTTGTTTTTGTCATCTGGAGTGTCCTTACTTTGCCTAAAAAATCGAAATAAGGGCCGGGCGCAGTGGCTCACATCTGTAATCCCAGCACTTTGGGAGGCCAAGGCGGGCGGATCACAAGGTCAGGAGATGGAGACCTTCCTGGCTAACACGGTGAAACCCCGTCTCTACTAAAAATACAAAAAATTAGCCGGGCGTGGTGGCGGGCGCCTGTAGTCCCAGCTACTCTGGAGGCTGAGGCAGGAGAATAGCGTGAACCCGGGAGGCGGAGTTTGCGGTGAGCCGAGATCGCGTCACTGCACTCCAGCCTGGAGACTGGAGTCTTTGAGACTTTGTCTGAGACTCTGTCTCAAAAAAAAAAAAAAAAAAAAAATCAAAATAAGATCTGGCCATGAGAGAGAAGTTACCTTTGATTTGTAGCAGTTCTCAAAATCATCATTCTTTGCAGAAACAATTATTAGTTCAGTTTTGTATATATGCAGCATGAGAGCAACATCTGGAAGACATCTAGCCAGAAGCTGGAAATGTAGGTCTAGTTTAAGAAGCCAGGGCTGGAGTCATTGCTGTGGCTGTGACAGAGAAGAACATGGAAGCTACAGAAAATGATGATGATGATGACAATGACAGTCAACAGGTGCTGATGATTACTATGTGCTACACTCTGTGCTTAGCCCTCAACAAACTTTATCACAAGTAATTCTAGCAACACTACAAAAGAGACATCTGTTGCTAGCCCCATTTTACAGATGTGCAGTCTGAGGCTCAGAGTGGTTGAGTGGCTTTCTTCAGGCCACACAGAGCTAACTGAATGAGAAGGACTCAAAAAAAAAAAAAAAAACAAAAAAAAAAACACAGTAGGCCAGGCGCAGTGGCCCATGCCTGTAATCCCAGCACTTTGTAAGGCCGAGGTGGGCAGATCACCTGAGGTCAGGAGTTTGAGACCAGCCTGGCCAACATGGCAAAACTCCGTCTCTACTAAAAGTACAAAAATTAGCTGGGCGTGGTGGGAAGCACCTGTAACCCCAGCTACTCAGGAGGCTGAGGCAGGAGTATCGCTTGAACCCAGGAGGTGGAGGTTGCAGTGAGCCAAGATCACGCCACTGCCCTCCAGCCTGGGTGACAAGAGTGAGACTCTGTCTCAAAAACAAGCAAACAAACAAAAACAAAAAAACAAAAACAAAACACAGTAAACTTCTCAGCGTTCTGAACTTTCAATTGTTTTGTCATAATGAAATTACGTGAAAATGAATCCCATTCTAGAAACCACATTTCCTGTTTGCAAGTTCAAGAACTAAAAGTGGGTGGATGATGTTTGGTTTCTCTGTAGAGAACTGGCAAGCAGCAACGTTTGCTTTGAAAATCGTGGAAAACGAAGAGCACTAACAGATTCATACACCACCCTTGTTCCTCTCCTTCTAGCTTTTAAAATTTCCTCCGTTTCTTTGTGTAAGTGAGTGGGTAGGAGTTGGTAGATATTTCTAAGCAGTTAGGACCCTGAGGTGATAAGGGTTGAGGGGAACTGAAATGTAGTTTCTTATCGAGGGCTGGATAAAGGAAGAATAAACACCTCAGTTTACAGCTCAGCTCAGGTGCAATAATAGACATGTAGACTGAGAAGCTGGCAGCCACCAATTTTATTAAAAGATTTTTCTGTTTGAATTACATATCATTTTACCAAGAGAATATTGAATCATTGTGCATACTGTGTACTTCTCCAGTGATGCTACCAAGGAGGTATTTTATACCTAGATGATGTCTCATAGAGAATCTTTTAAGTATAAAAAGAATGTGTTATCCAGAGACCTGGCTTTTTAGTTGTAGTCTGGCATTTTAGAAACACTGTCCAGCAGCATGATGTGGCAGAGAGAATGGCTAGGAACACACGGTTTCAAGCTCTTGCATTTAATTACTATGTGACATTGATCGAGACACTGAACTCCTCTTAGCTTTATTTTTTTCCCTTCATAATCTTACTAGACCACATCATCTCCAAAGTCTTTTGCAGCCATAAAATCTCAGACAGTATGAATTTATATAGTAATTATCCAGAGATAAATAATCATGGAATCATAGTTTGAGGTGACAGAGGATGAAATTTTAACTGTCTTCATAGTAGAATAATCCATTTTATAAAATTGTGAAATATATGGTGCTCACTTCTTCCTTTCCTTGATTCCATGAGAGGGTCAGCAAACCTCCACTAAAACCCTCAGAGCATGGCTGGCCTTATTCTCTAAACCAGACTTTGATGCAATCTGTTGAGCAGAGAGAAGCATAACAAAGCCAGAATGAAGTCTCATTAAGACAAACATGGATGAAATGTCAGGCTGGGAACAGCAAAGCTTATTTCTATGTCTCAACAGATGGCTGGGAAAACAGTGTCTTGTTGATCTTGTTAGAATAAATTATATACAAAGAAGCTCTCTATATAATGCTAGAGTGTGTATGCAGTACTTGAGTGTATTTAACATACCTATATATACATACGAATCAGAGTTTCTCAACCGCAGCACTATTGACATTTTAGGTCAGATAGTTCTTTATTTTGAGGGGTTGTCCTGTAAACTGTAGAATGTCTGGCAGCATCCCTGGCCTCTACCCACTATCTACAGACATACCTTGGGGAGAGACATCATGAGTTTGATCATGGATTCCAGATCACCGCAATAAAGCAAATGTCAGAATCAAGCAAGTCACACGAATTTTTTAGTTTCCCAGTGCATGTAAAAGTTATGTTTATATTACACTACTACACTATAGTATATTAAGTATGCAACAGCCTTATGTCCAGAAAATAATGTACACACCATAATTCAAAAATAGTGCATTGCTAAAAAATGCTAACGATTATCTGAGCCTTCAGCATGCTGGAATCTTTTTGCTAGTGGAGGGTTTTGTCTCCATGTTGATGGCTGCTGACTGACTAGGGTGGTAGCTACTTACGGCTGGGGTGGCTATCGTAATTCCTTAAAACAAGACAACAATAAAGGTTGCAGCATCAATTGACTCTTCCTTTCACAGAACATTTTTCTATAGCAAGCAATGCTGTTTGATAGCATTTTACCTACAGTGGAACTTCTTCCAGAATTGGAGTCAGTCTTCTCAAACCCTGCCAATGCTTTATCAACTAAGTTTATGTAATATGCTGAAATCTTCGTTGTCATTTCAACAGTGTTCACAGACTCTTCACCAGGAGCAGATTTCATCTCAAGAAATGACTTTCTTTGCTCATCCATAAGAAGCAACTCATCTGTTCAAGTTTTACCAGGTTGGAGCAATTCAGTCACATCCTCAAGCTCTGCTTCTAATTCTAACTCTCTTGCCATTTCTGCCACATCTGTAATTACTTCCTCCACTAAAGGCTTGACCCCTTAAAAGTTATCCATTGGGGTTGGAATCAAATTCTTCCAAACTCCCGTTAATGTTTATATTTTGACCTTTTCCCATGAATCACAAATGTTCTTAATGGCATCTAGAATTGTGATCCTTTCCACAAGGGTTTCAATTTATTTTCCCCAGATCCATCAGAGGAATCACTCTCTCTGCCAGAAATAGCCTTATAAAATGTCACTACTTAAATATAAGACTTGAAAATCAAAATTCCTTGTTGATCCATGAGCTGCAGAATGAATGTTGTGTTAGCAGGCATGAAAACAACATTAATCTTTTTGCACATCTACCCCAGATACTTCAGAGCTCTTGGATGGCAAGGTACATAGTTTATGAGTAGTAATATTTGGAAAGGGATATTTTCTTCTGAGGAGTAGACTCTCAAAAGTAGACTTATTAGTAAAATATTCTGTGAACCATGCTGTAAACACATATGTTGTCACCCAGACTTGGTTGTACCATTTACAGAGGACAGGCAGAGTATGTTTAGCATAATTGTTAAGGGCCATAGGATTTTTCAAATGGTATATGAGCATTGGCTTCAACTTAAAGTCACCAGCTGCATTAGTGCCTAACAAGAGAGTCAGCCTGTCCTTTAAAGCTTTGATGGCGGGCATTGACTTCTCCTCTCTAGCTATGAAAATCCTAGATGGCCTCTTCTTCCAATATAAGATTGACCCCTACATCAAAAAATCTGTTGTTTAGTGTAGTAGCTTTCATCCATTATTTGAACTAGATCTTCTAAATAACTTGTTGCAGCTTTACATCTTTACATGAAGCAGTGGTTGTTTCACCTTGCACTTTCATGTTATGGTGACACCTTCTTTCCCTAAACCTCATGAACTACCCTCTACTAGCTTCAGACTTTTCTTCTGCAACTTCCTAACCTCTCTCAGCCTTCATAGAATTGAAGAGTTAGTACCTTGCTCTGGATTAGGTTTTGGCTTAAGGGAATGTCGTG
This sequence comes from Homo sapiens, assembly GCF_000001405.40. Lineage (NCBI taxonomy): Eukaryota > Metazoa > Chordata > Mammalia > Primates > Hominidae > Homo > Homo sapiens. The sequence goes on from NC_000002.12 coordinate 132,899,347, forward strand.
GCTGGTTTAGTCTTCTATCCAGGCCACTGAAACTTTCTCCATAATAGCCATAAGGCTGTTTTGCTTTCTCATCATTCATGCATTCACTGGAGTACCACTGTTAAATTCCTTCAACAACTATTCCTTTGTACTCACAACTTGGCTGTTTGGGGCATGAGGCCCGGCTTTCAGCCTGTCTTGGCTTTTGACATGTCTTCCTCACTAAGCTTAATCATTTCTAGCTTTTGATTTAAAGTGAAAGACATGGGCCGAGCACAGTGGCTCATGCCTATAATCTCAGCACTTTGGAAGGCCGAAGCGGGCAGATCACTGGAGGTCATGAATTCGAGACCAGCCTGACCAACATGGTAAAACACCATCTCTACTAAAAATACAAAAAATTAAGCATTGTGGTGTCACACACCTGTAATCCCAGCTACTCGGGAGCCTGAGGCATGAGAATCGCTTGAACCCAGGAGATGGAGGCTGCAGTGAGCTGGGATTGAGCCACTACATTCCAGCCTGGGTGAAAAAGTGAGACTCCATCTCAAACAAACAAACAAACAAAAACAAACAAACAATGAAAAAAAAATTAAGTGAGAGACATGTTCCTCTTCCTTTTACTTGAATACTTACAAGCAGTGTAGGTTGAATAATTGGCCCAATTTCATTACTGTTGTGTCTCAGGAAATACATGGCCCAAGGAGAGCAAAGGAGACAGCAGAAAGGCCAGTTGGTGGTGCACTCAGAACACATGCAACAGGTACCATGTGCACCTTATATAGGTGTGCTTCATGGTGCCCCAAAACAATTAAGTATGTCACATCAAAGAACACTGATCACAGATTACCATAACAGCTGTAATAATAATGAAAATGTTTAAAATCTTGTGAGATTATAAAAATGTGAAAAGGAGACACAAAGTGAGCACATGCTATTGGAAAAATGGTACCAACAGACTTGCTCTATGCAGGGTTGCCGCAAACCCTCAACCTGTGAAAAAAATGCAATATTCACAAAGCACAGTAAAATGAGGTTATGCCTGTACTAGTAGCATCCCCTTCACCTAGTTTTGATAATAAAGATGTCTCTAGACATGGCTAAATGTCCTGTGTGAGAGATACACATACAACCACACACACACAAACACACACATACACATATGAATTATTGTACATATTCATATATACACACATACATCAATGACATCAGATCTATACTGGCATGGCACTTTCAACTTCATGAATAAATTTTCTACATTTTTAGAATTAGAAGGGTTTGAGGTATCAAGTCCAACCACATAATTTTATAGAGTATGAAAACTGTTATGAAAACTACTGTTATTAACAGACTGTAGCCCAGAAATGTAAATAATGACTCTTACCCAGTGACTGTAATTTATCTTTTGTTATTAGACACAAGAACACCAGATTGAGACCAGCCTGGCCAACATGTGAAACCTCCTCTCTACTAAAAATACAAAAATTAGCCAGGCATGGTGGCAGGCACCTGTAATCCCAGCTACTTGGGAGGCTGAGTCAGGAGAATCGCGTGAACCCAGGAGGTGGAGGTGGAGGCTGCAGCGAGCTGAGATCATGTCACTGCACTCCAGACCGGGTGACAGAGCAAGACTCTGTCTCAAAAAAAAAAAGAAAAAAAAAAAAAAAAAAGAACACCAGAACTGGAAGAGATCTCAACTTCACTCAACCCAGAGTCTATTTTACAAACAAGAAAGTTACATCTCTACTTTTTGCTTTTCTGCCCTTCTACCCATTACACTGATTGTTTCGATCACTTGTTCTGACAGATTTGGTATTAAGTGAATCAATTTTATTCCTCAAAGTGGTAGAATCTGTGCCCAATTATTGGGAGAGACAAACTTTGCAGAGCATATTCCCTTTGTTCAGGTAAGTGGTGACAGGTTGAGTCAGCTCCAGGCTCAGAACTCACATCTGCTGAGTTCCACTTAGGTTTTGTGGTAGCAAGAACACAATTATCTAGTCAATTGCTCTGGAGGGAACATCATCTTGAAAACATGACCAAATTCACACCACTGTAATTAATCAGACAACTGCTCTAGTGTGATCGTGGTTACCACTCCATAGAATTGGAATTGTCTTTTTAAACCCGAGGAGACACTGCTCACTTTAAGGTTGAACTTTATAGAAGCTGGTCCCACATTTGGATGCTAATTAGCAAAATAATACCCACAATGCAACCTGATTAAACGTTTCACCCATGGGTGGAAACGCATTAAGTAAACAATGCTGTAAATAAAATAAGATTGTGTCAACAGAATATATTTGTGTCAGTATGAAAAAATACTTAAAATCCCTTAAAAATAGCTCTTCATATTTTAATGTCCTAGAATTGTTAACTTTTAAAGATGAAGATTTTGGGGGATTATCAAGATAGGACTATAGAAAGAATTTATTTAAAAGAGCAAAAGGCAGTGTTGCACTGTGCATTAATTGCATGTAAAGATACACCAGGAACTTAGAAGGGTCTGGTTCCAATTTGCAAATGCTAGTACAGTACATGTTTTCATCCCTAATCATATTACATCATCTTTGTGTGTTTGAGGGCACAGATAAGACTTATTCAAACTTCTAGTTGACATGCATTTTGCTTTTGAAAACCAAAGGTTCTCATTTTCTATTAGCTTTTGTGCTACTAGTTTCACAGCATTTGAAGATTCCTGAATTTCTGTGCATATTGGTTTTTCCACTTATCAATATTCATATACAGAAGCAATTATTACTGTGAATCACCATGATAATAAACCCGATTTTACAGCACCAAAGTAAAGAGAAATCTGTATTTAATCTCCATTTGTCTGTACTGGAATGAAGTATTCTTAAATCTGAGAAAGTCAATTATTATTCAAAGAACAATCACAGCATAGTTAAAAAATGAGAAATCCAGGACAGCAGAAGGTGTAAAGAAGGCATTTATCAGACACCAAGGGAAAAGGGAAAGACGGTTGATAGCTGAGGTGTCCAGTTAAAACTCAACTAGCAACACAAATCTCTGGTAGGTATCACTGATAAAGGTCAAGGGGAACAGAGTTATGACAGTGAACTTTAAAAATACTGACAGGAAACAAGAGTACTGGTTTCCACGTGTGTTGCCTTGCTATTCACATAAAACCATTAGTCCTTTCACAGAAGGGTTTATTGATTTACACAGATACTCGTTTGTCACATCCTGTAGAGTACATTAAAAGCTGCCCAGGTATTTCAAATGTACTTAGCAAATTTGCCTTCTCACTTGTGTGCAGTCTGGAATCTTGGCTGTAAGATAGTTTTCAGCATAAAAGGCTTGATTGAAGAGAAAGTCAGCAACTTAACAAAAGAATCGCCGTGAGGCCTCTTTGTGATGTCTTACCAAGAAGCTGCTCTCATGGCTGGTGGACATTGATGGGGAATTCATCATGTGAAGGGGACTTAACACATTAGATGCACAGGGATTCACAAAGGATGAACAACACAGTTTTCCTCTTGCTCATCCCCATAATATTACTGACTTCCTATGTAGTTTGTCACTTCCGCCAGATGTGACTGCCACATGCCCAGTCCTGTGTCATGTAGGAGGCAGTGCAGAGTAACTGATAGGAGAGGTGGCTTTGGCATCCACTTATGTAGGTGTGAATTCTGATTCCACAGCTTATCGACACCCTCACCCTGGGTCACTTGCCTCTTTACCATTCAGTTTCCCAATCTATAAAATGAGAGTAAAAACAGTACCTGGATCACAGGTTGTTGTGAGGGTCACATGGGATAATGCATGGAGAGCACTGAAGAAGATGCCTAGTCTAAAGTGATGCCACCTTGTAGAGCTGCAGCTCCCACCCCCCTTGCCACATGGGCTACTCATAAATTAACTAACATTAATTTAAACCAAAAATGCAGTTCCTCAGTCCCACCAGACACATTTCAAATGATCAATAGCCTTGTTTGGCTAAATGGCTACCATTTTGGTTAAATGGCTACCATGCTGGACAGCACAGATAGAGAACATTTCCAACACTGCAGAAAGTTCTATTGGATAGTACTATTTTAGAGGGTGACTTACATAGTTTTAACTTTATTAACTAGTTTTTAATAAGCATTATCATTTAATCTGAGGCACAGGCCCGTGTCTGATAGTCACTGAAAATTATTTAATGTGTTGATGTGACAAATGTATGTTGACAGACCTCAACTCATATTTGTATCACTTCCTTTCCTTCTAAATCATGCTTTCATGTTTATCTCAATTTATCCTCACAATATCCTTGTCAGGTAAATACATCAGACATCTATTATTTTCATGTCACAGGGGAAACAGAATGTGTGGTATATGTACATTCAGATAAGCAAATAATGTCTATCTTTTGGAGGGTTTTGAGAGTAAGAAACAGATTAGGCAAGGTAGACTACTTGGGAGGAAGTTCTTATTTTTTCTGGTTCAAAACTAGTAAGAGTTTATTAGGAGAAACTTGAAAAATACACAAACTATGATGAAAGCAAATATTGTTCAAACTTATGCAACCCACACGTAATTACCATTAATGTTATAATGTAGCTTTTCAGGGGTATAAAATATACATTGTATATTACAATTTATGTATTGGGTGATAATTCTTTTTCTTGTGACATAGAGTAAATATTTCCCCACACCATTAAAAATATTTGATAATGGCCCGGCGCGGTGGCTCACGCCTGTAATCCCAGCACTTTGGGAGGCTGAGGCAGGCGGATCCTGAGGTCAGGAGATCGAGACCATCTTGGCTAATGCAGTGAAACCCCATCTCTACTAAAAATACAAAAAATTAGCCAGGCATGGTGGCGAGTGCTTGTAGTCCCAGCTACTTGGGAGGCTGAGGCAAGAGAATGGCATGAACATGGGAGGCGGAGCTTGCAGTGAGCTGAGATGGCGCCACTGCACTCCAGCCTGGGCAACAGAGTGAGACTGTCTCAAAAATAAATAAATAAAAATTAAATAAATAATAAATAAAAATAATTAAATAAAAATAAATAAATAAATAAAAATTAAATAAAAATTAAAAAATATATTCGATAACATAATGCATGCACAAGATTGTATTATGGGACCATACTATACGTTATTTAACCATTTCTCATGTTTGCTGCAAGGATTATGCTTAAACATAAATCTCATTTTACATCATGGAGTATTTTGAAAGATAGAGCCCTGCAGTTACAACTACTGGATGAAAGCCCTAGAACTTTCTCAGGGACTTCTAGTACATAGGATTACTTTGCTTTCTGGAAAGGCTATATCAAATTTCACTTCCCCAGGAGCATACGTGAGAATCACCGCCCACTGATTAGTACCATCTAAACATTTTGCCAATTTTGTACACAAAATATCCTCTTTTCTTATTTCACTTTTTATTGCCTTGGTCTCATGTGAGGCTAAAATTTTCCCTTGTGTTAATTAGCTAATGGTATTTTCTAATCTGTGGATTGTCTCTTCATACCCTTTGCCAAGCTTCCTGTCACAATGTTCCTGTTATGAGTTTATACTAAATCTTCATAATGAGGATAGAAAAAATCTAGTTCTGATGTTTTCTGTTTGTCCTTTAATGTTGTTTCTGATATTTCTGATATTTTTATGTTCATAGCATTTAAATGTTTATAAAGTCAAATCAATCTTCTTTTTCCTTTGTGATTTCCTTCATTGATTTTGTAATCAAAAAGTCCTTTTCCCACCCGAGCAAACTTAAATAGCCACTTTTGTTTTCCTCAAGCTTAATAATGTTTCAATTATCTTTTTTTTGGTACATTTATCTCTTTAATCCACATAGGATTTATGTTATGCTGTCACATAAGTATCTTCTTTCTTTCCAAATAGTGATATTATTGTCCCAGAACATTTCCAGAATCAGTTTTGCTTCTGTGTTGATATACAATATCTCCTTTACAACTATTAAACTGTTAAATTTTGCAAGACTTATGGCAGCATGGCTTATTCTGTTTTATGGATCCACCTTATCTAAAACTGTAATCACACAGTTTTAATTACTGTAAGTTCACATCGTTTCAATATATGATATGGCGAGCCAGCATTTGTGAGTCCTCTCTTTTCGAAACATTTCTTGGCTTGTTTATTGTTCTACATGAACTATAGAACCATTTCAAATTCTTCCCATAGCTCTCCTCTAATTCTACTGATTTTTTCTACTTGTCAAGATTTAATCCAACCTTAAATTTTGGGAAAAAGTATCAGCTTTGTAATATTTGGCCTGCCTATCTTGGAACATGGTATGTCTCTTTACTAAATTCTGCCTTATTTCTTACAACGAGTGTTATAGTTTTCTTTAAATTGGTTTTGCACATTTTAAAAATAGTATTTTATAACCTTCATTATATTTATACACTGAATTTTCCCGATAATTTTTGAGCCACCATTCCTCATTTACAGAAAACTACTGATTTTTATATACTCATACCTGACCACCTTACTGCACTCTTTATCCGTTCTAATGCTCTTCCAATTGATTTTCTCAGGTTCATAGTATATACTATGCCACTTGCAAATATTTTTTTCCTTCTTCTCAATAGCCAGTTTTATTTCTGATTCACATATGAAGGGACGCAGCAGAACTCCAAAAACAATGTGAACTAAGTGTGCAGATCATTGATGTGATTGTTCCTGACTGCAGTAAATAGCTCCAGCATATTTTTCTATTGAGATTGCTATTGGTTACCAAATAAAGCTATTCTTTATCCTGTTAAAAATTATACATTTAGTTCAAATTTTCCAAGAGTTTGAAACAAAAACTGGTTTGGAATTGACTGAAAGACTATTGATCTATTATTTTTCTAAGATGGTGTTTGGATTTCTTTGCCAGATTTGGGTATCTTTCCATCCAACTATAGTTACTGGAGTAGCTAACAGAGCAAGAGAGTTCTCTAAGACTTGAAATTTTACAAAAATTTGTCCACAGACTACTTGACTAGAGGGAATGAATTCCAATTTAACTAGATGTGGGACAAATTAGCTGTTAATGAAAGTGCCAACAAAATTACAGAAGCAGATGGCTATTTTCTAGATGAGAGATTATACTGTAAAGAGAGAGGCATTTTTGGAGTTGTCATCGCCATGCAGAGGTGATATGGACCTTGCACCCCAACCAAAATTTTGTTTTGGATATTGAGACTGATAATACCACATGCACATGAAGAAGGCATGAAAATACTTATAACTCCCATAATGAGGTCTTCTGGGGAGATTAGGGGAGACCCCCAAGCAGATCTGAAGTAGCTTGAGAGAGCCCAACCTTGCTTAGTTTGAACTTCCCACCTGAGCCAAAGAAGAAAGTACCTGGGCTTTCTTGACAACCAGAGCAGATGTGGAGCAGAATGGAAAGGGATAGTGGTGAGGCTTCAAAGCTGCCAGCAAACATAAAACATGGAGTCAAACTCTTTATTACAGTTGAGGTTGAAGAAAGATCAGAGGAGCACTGATTTGATGATGGAGAAAGAAGACATGAAAATTGATGGTCATGGACCTCAGGAGTTTGGGGGTCAAAACAGCAATTCTCCAAATATTTAAAATTGCATGATGAATAAAGGATTCAGGCTACAATAGAATTTTCTTTCTTGACACGTTTTACTTGAATGATTTACTGTTTTGCAGAAAATTTACTGAACTTACACTGCATCCAAGGATTGTGACTTTTGTACCATAATCAAAATCATTGTTGTTGAAATTCCAAAAGAATATTTTAAATATGCAAGAGCAGAAACATAGGGAATTTAGCCTTTTCCTAACATTATTTATATTACTAAACATTACTTTTAACTTATGAATAGTGACAAAATATTTAGAACAACATAAGGAAATACAAATACCTAGAAACTGAAAACCTTTTAGTCCATCCTCAACTCATAACAATGATCACCTAACCAAGGTTAGCCATTTTTGAGGTTGAATATAGACTTTTCCAACCCTGTTTGATTCTTTACCTAAAAGGTAAAATACCTTGAGGACACACCTGGCTCTAACTTGGGCATTTCAGAGATTAAGATCACGCGGGTAGCAAAGTCTTCAGGGCTGCTGCTTCTCAAAAATTTAGAGTCCTCTTTAAGTTTAGCCCAGAGGGCTATAAACTCCCATCTTAAGATACTCAGTTTAGCTCTTAGAGACTCTGTCCACATTTTCCTCTTTGTAGGTGGGAAAAGATACTTCCTATGTCACCTGCCTGAAGCCATCACCTGTATGTGCACTAAGAGGCAGTATGATTGCCTCATAATCAAGGCTCTTACCACTCAAAGACACGTTTTAGAGGTGTTTAGATAAACATCTCAGTTAATGTAATCATTCTTTTTTCTTTTTTTTTGAGAAGGAGTCTCGCTGTGTTGCCCAGGCTGGAGTTCAGTGGCACGATCTTGGCTCACTGCAAGCTCAGTCTCCCGGGTTCACGCCATTCTCCTGCCTCAGCCTCCCGAGTAGCTGGGACTACAGGCGCCCACCACCATGCCCGGCTAATTTTTTGTAGTTTTAGTAGAGAGGGGGTTTCACCATGTTAGCCAGGATGGTCTCGATCTCCTGACCTCGTGATCCTCCTGCCTCATCCTCCCAAAGTGCTGGGATTACAGGCGTGAGCCACCATGCCTGGCCCACAATGTAATCATTCTTTATAAAGCCTCATACCCAACAGAGATTTATTTGGTCAATGCTTTTGTTTATAAAAGCTTATTAGTCACAATAAGCAACTCCTCCTATACCTAGACACTTTTAACAGTTACAAATTCTTTCTTTAGATTAGATTTTCATTTCTGTAACCTTTATTTATTAACTCCTTTTTGCTTTTAAGAGCTATATTAAATATATCTCTATGGGGTTACACAAAACATTTTTTTTTTATATTTACACATCTAAATTACATCATCTTGATTTTTCTTTCCCTAAATTAAGTAGCTGTGGCCTGATTTCTATCTTTTCCTACAACATGGTTTTTAGGTGCTTCACCATCTTGGTTGTCTTTTCTCTTTCTCTTCTTTTCTTTCTTTCCTAAGGCACTCTGGTCAGTCAATTTCTCTCTTGAAATGCAAGTATCCAGAATCAAATCCTTTAGGATGTGGTCTGAATGGGGTAGAGTGTGGCAGGACTAACTGTGGTCTTCCAAAAGGATATTATTCTTCTATCGAATATCCTCCGACTGTCTTAGCTTTTAGCATAATCTTGACTAATACTAAGCTTATCTTCAACTACTCTCCCATGATTTTTCTTTTAATGCTAATTGTTTTTAAGCCTCTTGATTTAATAAATTGATTTTTAAGCCAAAAATGCAGGAGGTGACATTTATTACTGTTAAATTTTTATCTTGTTTACTATAGTCCACTGTTGCAGGATATTAAGAAATGAAAGAATATCTGGAATTCTGACTGTGACAAAATCAGTTATGCTACCTTCCCAGTTTGGATTACCTTTATGTTAAAAACCTGCTGTATAATCTTCATGTTATTGACAAATTATGCTGAATAATGCAGTTCTAAAACATGGATCCCTATGGCATAATTCTGAAATATCGTAGTCTTTATTGTGGCAGCTGATTACAATTACGAATCTTTCCAACTGAAAGATCAGCCAACACACATTTCTTCATCCTCACTGAACAGTGTCATAAGTTAAGTAATCAGATGTTTTGTTGAAATCTTGGTGTGATCAACTTATGGCAATCTCACGGTAAGCAGTTTTTAAAAAATCGATTAAAAAAGAAAATACTGGCCAGGTGCGGTGGCTCATGCCTGTAATCCCAGCACATTGGGAGGCCAAAGCAGGAGGACCACTTGAGGTCAGGAGTTCAAGACCAGCATGGTCAACATGGTGAAACCTCATCTCTACAAAAATGCACAAATTAGCTACGTGTGGTGGCGCACGCCTGTGATCCCAGCTACTCAGGAGGCTGAGGCAGGAGAATTGCTTGAACCTGGGAGGTGGAGGTTGCTGTGAACTGAGATGGCACCACTGTACTCCAGCCTGGGTGACAGAGCAATACTCCATCTCAAAAAAAAAATTATATCTATCTATCTTATTTTTAGTATGCTCAGGCTATATCCAATGATCATGCCTTTCTTTCTCATTTGCTCCTTTTTAGAAATTTCCCAGGCAGCAATCTCAAATTTCTTATGCTAGGGTATTCAAATTTTCCCCTTTATCAAAATGAAGACGGTATTATCTTCTATATTCCATTTCCTCAGAGATTATCGACAATGGTTCTGAGATAATATCCAGTACTTGGAATGTAATTTTCCTGACTGGGAGATGACTCATCCAGAGGAGCTAACTGCTTGTGTTCTAACTCCTCACCAATCTTGGGCATTGATTCATCCATTGGGATAATTACTCCATCCTTCCCAATGTGAGGAACACTTTGCTTTACAGAAACTACAGATGGAAAACAGGAGGTGACTAGCTTTGTCATTTATGGCTCCTGCTGCTGCAAATGCTGCTGTTTTCACCATGTAACCAAAATCTCCAAGTGGTTGAGAAATCATATGATTTTTCTTCTTGGAGGGATATGAGTAGCAAGCTCTTAAAAAGTCCTTACTCTATGTGATAGGACTTGCTAAATGCTTAAAGAATCTTATTTAATATTCACAGTAAACCTATGATGGAAGTGCAGTCATTATGCCCATTTTACAGGCAACAATGCTTACAATTAGAGCAGTTAAGGAACTTGCCTGAGGCACGGCTAGTGAAAACGTGGAGTCAGTATTCAGACTCAGGGTTTTCTGATACCAGCAACCATAATATTTTAAATTTTTTTTCATTTCTAATTTTTATGGGTATATAGTAGGTGTATGTATTTATGGGGTACATGAGATGCTTTGATACAGGCATGCAATGTGTAATAATCACATCATGGAGAATGGGGTACCCATACCCTCAAGCATTTATCCTTTGTGTTACAAAGAATCCAATTATACTCTTTTAGTTATCTAATATTTAAAAATGTACAATTATTATTGACTATAGTCAATAATATTTGTGCTATCATATAGTAGCTCTTACACATTCTTCCTATTTTTCTGTACCCACCCATTAACCATCCCCATCTCCCCCGAGCACGCCCCCAACTACCTTTCCCAGCTTCTAGTAACCATCCTTCTACTCTCTATATTCATGAGTTCAATTATTTTAATTTTTAGATCCCACAAATAAGTGAAAACATGGAATGTTTGTCTTTCTGTGCCTGGCTTATTTCACTTAACATAATCACCTCCAGTTCCATGCATGCCTTTGCAAATGACTGGATCACATTCTTTTTCATGGCTGAATAGTACTCCATTGTATATATGTACCACATTTTCTTTATCCATTCATGTGTTGATGAACACTTAGTTTGCTCCCAAATCTTAGCTATTGACTACTATGCTACATTGCAATTCATTTTTTTCTTTAAATACAAAAGAATATTTTAATTACTGTTTTAGAAACTATAAAGCTTATATGTATAAGCTTTGGATTGGATTGGATTTGGAAATGAGACTGTACCAAACAATGGCCAAAGAAGACTCATCCATTCTAGGCCTTCTCTTTTGCCTGGTAACTCAGAAGTATAATTCTATCTCATAAGCATCAGTACTCATAGGCCCAGTTAGTTACTTACAACATGGCCGTTTTCTGCAAATGGATGCCACATCTCTTGGGCCTGGCTGGAATACTGATATTCCGTGCCATGTTGTCTTCTGACCGACACCACCCATTCGGTAGAGAGACTTCACTGCCTGATTCCCACATCTCATTTGTTGCTAGAGAATACTGTGACTGGATGTTTTTCCTTCCACCTGTCTCATGATAGGGGCCTGACCCACTCAGCCAAGTAACTGCACATGATTCATGGATCTTTCAAGAAACAAATTGCTGGTCATTTCAGACTCACGTCTTACAAACTGATAAAGCACTTGTAACGCAGGTCTTCAAACATGGCTTCTATTTTCTTTTCTTAAAATCTAATCTTTAGACTCTTCCTGATGCTCTAGCTCAGCCAGTGTCCAGCTAGGAAATCAATTCCAGTGCACTACAATTCACTTAAAAAATGTAAATTTGGTTGACATTCTGACTTTTTGGCAAATTTTAGTTCATCATTGACTTTTATATTTTATGATACTATTCTTTTAAGTTTATGCCTCTCTTGTATCAGGTAATAGTCTTTCCTTCCTGCAAAATTCCAAGTCCTTTAAAAATCAAATTTTGTTGGTGAACTCCCTATGTGATATTTTAGTTAAATATCTCACTGTGACCTCCCCTTTTTCCTACTACAGTTCAAAAGTCTTCTTTTGTGTTTGTATGTGTGTATATACATGTAAATGCTGGCACTGTTTTCTAAGCATTTCCCACACAGAAGGACATATTTTCCTTTGCCCTCCTATGTGAACTCCATAAGCAGAGAAAGGGCCCTGGTTCCCATCCTAAAGAGGTAACGGAGAATTCTCTCTGCAGCACAAAAAGGAAAAAGATTTATTATTCCCTGGATCCTATTACATACATCTGCTGAACTCCCCCATGGCTCCGGTAAACTGCAGGACTGTTGATTAGCGGGCCCTCCCAGGCCTTCCAAGCTGCCTGAGAGCTGGCCAGTCGCTGCTTCTTGCTGGTGGTTGGAGGCACGCCCACAGTGTCTGCCTGGAGGAGCCTGTGAGCTGGGGATATCTGCAGAAACTACCAATCTGAGCCATTAAAGAAAACTGGTGAAAGAGTGGTGTTAGAAAAGAGTACTCATAGTTTTCTACTCAGCAGAGGACTAGCTCTCAAACTCTTCTGTGCAAAGTCAGATGCTGGCCTGTGGTGACTATGTGGCAGTGAGAGAAAGAGGCAGGCTTGGGCACCTCCAACAGGACCATACAGGGACTGCTGTGCCTGAAGTGAGCCAAGCTCTCGCTCTCTGTGGCACAGTGCCCTTTGGGAAAAGTCATCATATGGTCCAGAGGAAGAAATGCATCCTATCCTAGACTTGGTACATAATACCATTTTATTCAAGTACATGAGTATGAAAATGCATTCAAATAACCCATAATAAAACTTTGGACAGTCAATCAGGGTTTTTCAGAATATATAGATAGATTTCATCTGCAGAGCCTTCAACCCTCTGTGGACTATGTTTCTTTTCAGAGCCCGTCCATGACATCATAGTTGCTCATTCAATGAACATTCTGATATCTTATTTCCTAAACATTAAGTAGTGTGTACATATCTACAAACTGCCCTGCTTCCTATGGTTCCTTTGATGCTGATTTGCTTCTTTAAGCCTTCCTTCCTTCCAAACCATGAATCAGGTCCTTCCAGAGGCTAAGAATTAAGTTCACAATTAAGGCGACTCCCTCACTGTTTCCTCTGCTTTCAGAGAGGGGAAAATACTTCCAGGACAAGTCAAGAATTTATCAGATGCTCTGCTTTCAGCAGCCTGAAACTTTCAGCAGGAACACGATAGCCGAAATCCCATGCCACTTCTTCTATTGAGGCTTCCGTTTAAATCAGGTGAGATTAATCATCCTCCCCCTGTATAGTCTGGTTCTAGTGTTATTTCACATCCCTCCTCATCTGTGCTTTGAAATGATATAGAATTTTTTTCTATATCAACAACTTCACAAATTTCCAGTTTGCTTTCAATTTGAATGTTATCCCTACAGAACATTAGAAAGCACTCAGTGTTTAATAACCTAATAATTTAATATGCTGCCCTCAAACTACTACGGTCTCTTCCCTATACTTAAGACTTGGACCTAAGATTTGTCTCAATAAATTATTCAGCTACCATCACCAGGGCCTTTCAGCTATGATATGCCCTGGTGATCGTAGCTGAATCATTTATTGAGACAGCTCTTATTTATTGATTATCCACCATGTGCCAAGTTCCTACATAACACAGTCAGTCCACACAGAAATGTTATATGTTAATCATGCACATCTAGCTTGCAAATAAGATAAAGAGACTTTAATAAATAACATAAACACAGATCTGACTATCTTTACACCATGTCATGGATAAGAGAGATTCTACAGCCAGATGGAACCTGGGTCACTATACTATTTATTAGCTGTGTGATCTCGGGTGTGATGCTTAACCTCTCAGTGACTTGGTGCCCTCATATGTAGACTAGAGACAAGAAGAACAATAATGTGGTTTTATGAAGGATAAATAAGAGGTGAAAACTGATAGAATATGCCTGCTACCTAGTTAGCTCTCAATAAATGTTAGCTGTCTTCTGAATTTTTATTTGTACTTATAAATCAATTTTTTCCATAAGGCTGGTTCTTAGCATTATAGATGTAAATGATCACTTTGGGAGGTGGACGCTGATAAAGAGTATTGACTGGGTTCTGTGGCTTTGCTTCCCACCAAAATGCCTCTTGCAAATTATGCAAGACAGTACCTTGCATAATAAACATTTGAATATTTGAATAAACAAGACTTCAATTTTTAAGATATCTATGTTTGGAAATACCCACAAAGAACAGGGCTCATATTGAAGTGCATGGAGAAAACTCTTGTCATAATTTTCCATTCTCTCTATCCTCTATTAGCATACTTATCGTCTTCTTCAATCTATAAGTAAATTTGAAAAATAATGGAATTCAGATTTATTTATGAAAATGAATCTGCTTTTTCGTTTAGCCCAATGGGCTCAGTTGGTAATATTTCCCAAGGGGTCCTTTTAAGATTCTTAAAGTAAACATATAGTTAAAACTCGCACCACCTTGAAAAATAAGCATAAGAGCCTTAATTGCCTTTTTCTTGGCATACATCAATTTCTACACATAAAAATGCAGTACTGAATAACAGCAGTAAGCCAAATTTCTTTCAAATAGCACATCTATGTGAATAGTAGCTGTCCATTATGTTTCTTAAAATCTAGGAGGCTAAATCATATTTGTGAAAAGAAACTTTATAATAAAATTTAAAAAGCCTAATTCGTGTGCAAAGAAAAAAGGCATAGAAATGTTTCTTTTTAAATTAATACAAAACCTTCCCACATGCTCCAAAACAGTAACAATTTGATGTTAAAATAATTCATTGTATAGTCTTTTATGATAAAAATTTTAGAAAAAAAATAATGAAGTGTAAAATATAAGCAAGATAGGAGAGGAAATTTGGGGAAATTTTAACTGATCTATTTTTTAAGTAGAAATGGACAATTCCTGAGATAGCCCTGTTTTCTCTTTGGCCCCCTTTCACAAATAGTCTCATGGACTAATACTACCTTTAAAATACAACTGCAATATAGACTCTCTGAAACCCAAATGCTGGGGGTAGGGCCAGGAGAGAACTGAGAACACAATGGAATCTTGAATGGGATCTTGTACCCCAGTAACGTTAAAGGACTTCTGAATTCTATGACCACTGAAGGTACTCAGCACTTTAAGACCTGTGCATTTCACCACCCGATAATTTTATTTCAATACAAATGAGATAGTTTTGTAAATCTGATGGGTCACTGAGACGTGAATGCTGCTCAAGGCCATCAGATAAAAAGCCTATCAGGAGGAAGTGTGATAGCCCTGGATATGTGTGTTTTGTGGCTTCATCCTTAGAGCAACACTGCTGTATGATGACATCCCAGAAAGATCATAGCTCTTATCCTAAGTGTCTCAAGAGGCAATCTAAGATATTGCCAGAACTCAGCCAGCCATCAAGTAAAGCTATGGCCAAAAAAAAAAAAAAAATGCCTATTGCATACCTTCTATTTCAGCAATTAGGCCTCTAAGTATTCATCTAAGGAAATAATCTAAATGTTTATTTAAAATGTGCACAAATAGAAGGGTGCTCGCTGTTGCACCAGACATGTGATGAACCTAAGACCGGATGGACCATTTGATGGATCTGCTAGACTTGTGGCTAAGGGCATCCAGTGTCTCCTTCCTGAGTTTATATCATGGGGAAGGAAGTCTGAATGGTGAACAGTGGCATACTGTGCAGAGCTGTATCAGATGAGAAGACGAGAGGCCGTCCTGTGTGCTGCATGGCCTGACCTGGTGTGATTCCTACAGAGAAAGGAGCAGGAGGCTAAAGGGGATGAGGCTGTTTCCAAACATGATTTGGGAACTGCTGCTCTAGTCACCAAAATCCCACTTTGGGGCCCAGGAGGGAAAGGCATGTTCCCATCATTTTCTTGGACAGGAAGCAAGGTGATTGCAAACCAACAGGGGCTACATCCTGGGAACAAGGCACTGCAGAACTCTCAGGATAAGTAGTTCTGGAACACTGTAAACACAGAATACAGCCCACTGGTTGGGGCATCAGAATTCCTGTGGGGGTGCCCCGAGTAGCAGTCACAGAGAGGGGCCTTCGCTAAGCTGCTTTCAATCCAGGTTTGTGTGTGAGGATGTGTCAGTCACAAATGGAAGAAGATGTTTTTATGACTGTACATACGAATGTCCTGGGAACTTCTGAAATAACTAGGGGGAAGTTTCTTGTGGGGAAGAGTGAGCAGAGCCTCTGTGTCTGTTGGGAGTGGGGAAAGATGGAAAAGAGCCAGCCACACTCAGTTTCTTAATGTGACCTAATCTGACCCCAGAGGCAGATGGCTTAGGGAGACTTGGGGATAATATTTATAATACGGTAAATTTGGAAACAGATAAAATACCCAACACTAGAGCATTGGTTAAGTGAATTATCACACATCCATACAATGTGAGGTGGGGCTATGACTCAATAAATGTGTATACTTTCTCTGTATTTCACAGCCTCACTACATTCATTCTCACTGTTACCCCAAGGGAACTGCTAGACCTCAGTGAGCAGAGGCAATGCTCAGAGAAATTGACTGCCAAAGTAAAGACAGAAATATTCATGTTTGCAGAGGCTGCCCTCTTTTTTTTTAACAGCAAGCAAAGATGAGAAATACTATGGTGAAGGCAAATTGGGATAGGCAGGGGACCCACTATATTGTGCCTTGGGTTAAGAACTTCCCTAGGCATAGACTGACCACAGAATTTATGATCGAATGTGACAGAGGGCGTTAGCTGGATGAGTAACTGGGACTCAGAGAACCTTACTTTGCATGGGGCTGGTTGATCCTAGGCCACTGTTACAAACGGATCATTATGTAACCATTAAAGTGACAGCATAAAAACACACATCATAAAGTGGAAAGGTTCCACTGTGACATTACTAACAATCACGTTACAAAAAGGCTTGTACTGTAGGATCCCATTAAAATAGGAAGAGGCATAGAGAAGAATGACTGGCGTGTAGATGCCAAAAAGAATGATTATTTCTGTATTAACTGTATAAAAGGTTATTTGAATTCTGTGGTTTTCCATCTTTCTATTAATGGACATTTATTGCTTGTAAAATTAAAGTTTATATTAAAATGTGAAAGAAAGTTAGTTGACTTAGGACCAAAAGTACAGCTTATATGTGGCACTAGCTGCTTAATTTTGAAATTCAATTTCTAGACCACCTTTGGAATCATCACTACAATTTTACTGTGGACTCAAATGATGATTTTCTCAAGGGCATGATCTGTATCTTATTTCATCTCTTTACTTTTTTGGAGGGGTTAGAATAACCCAGTTTGTAGCTGTGATGTAGGTTAGCATGTGGCTGCCTTCCTGGGTAAATCAAATTGAAATATTCTACTTTGAGTCTTGATTCTCTAATGCAAAATTGATGGAAGTGCCAGAGTGGAGTAGACCCAATAATGATGACAACTAATGTTTATGGAATGGTTTCCATGTACCTGTGTGCCAGGCACTGTTGTAGGCTCTTTGTGTGCTTTATTTAATTCTCACAATAATCATATGACATAGGAACTCTTAACATCCCTTGTTTACAGATAAGAAAGCTAAGCAGAAAGATATGCAGTGACTTGTCCAAGGTAACTGAAAATATGTAATCTACTCTTGATCTGCCATGGCTTTGATGAAACTAGCAAGCCACTCTTGAGTTTGGCAGAAAAATGACTTAAAATAATTTTCAGTGCTTCATTATGGTTTTAGAAAATGATTTTTAAAAAACTTTAATATATACTTTTGATAACTCATTTATAAGATCCATACGTTTGGCTGCTCATCATAATTTACACTGTGTTCTGATGTTATACAGAAGAGGGCATTAAAATGATAGTTCATAGCCCTTATTTAACCGCCAGGATTGGTAATTTTCATTTTGTCCTTTAATCTATTGGGTTGGTTGACTCATTTGTTATAAAAACTTGATAACATTTTAGTAAATACATTTTTCTGCTTTAAAATTTATAATAGTTGATTATTATGATTAGTATTTACAGTTGCTAACTTGAAGAACAAACATAAACTAGGCAAATACAGGGAAAATATTATTTCACATTCTTTGACTTTATTGGCTGCAGAGATGGGAAAACAGCCCTACAGGTGCACCTTTGTCCACCTGTGGGGCTTAAACATCCAGCTCCCATGAGCTCTTTATTGAGGCCATCAGAAACACAGGCCTGTGACTATGATTCCTTTTAATGTGTCTTTGGGCTCCAAACCATAAGACTTCTCTCCAATCACTCTGTCACTTAACTCTAAATCCCACTTATACCATTTCATAAATTTAGTTTCTCTGAGGATCCTCCTCCTCCTCTGCAGGAGGACCAATTTAAATCATCCTTAAATCATCACATTAAACACTAGCTATCATTGGCTGCAAGGGAACCAAGAAGTATATTATACCAAGTCTTAAAATGCTGTCCATGCCTTTTTAATTTTACCATAAAATCAGAGATAGCTATTTGATCAGGAAGGATTTAATGAGTTTACCTTTTAAACTAATGGACTATAATGGGCTCCTTAAATTTTGCATGTAAAAACCCATGGGTTGGGAAACTTTCAATTTCTCCTTAATAACTCATCACTATAAATCAGATTCCTTTAATATACTATGCATCAACATTGCAATGAGCTCAGAAGGATCTGGTACCATTTTCTTCCTGATGTCTCAGCCACAAGGAAAGGCTGGTTTTTTTCTGAAAGGTAGTACTCAAAGCAATTTCATTTTATTTCCCTCTACAGAAGATATCAGATATTTAATTAAGCACTCCCATAAAAGATCTACCCTTAGGTATTTCAGAATGACCTGTTCCTTGAGGATTTCCTTGGTTTCTCTCTTGCTAGAAAAGAAATTAAAAGACATAGATCGTAGGGTTTGTCATGGTACATTCAGCATATATTTTGTAATTTTTTTTTATAGCCAGTAGTTAAATATTAACAGTAGAATGCATTTATTGGATCATTTCTCCTCCAACTAAAATATAACACTAATGATTATAATGATGATGACATTACAACATCCATAATGATGATGACAATGCTATTATAAAATAACGTTAACTTGATCCTTCTCCAAAGCTTTGCATTTCTCTAGATTTCTAAAATAAGAACAAAAAAGACAATAAAACACAAGTGATTCAAAGGACAGTATAATGTAAATAACAATGCTTTCTGAAGATTCCAAGTTTAGAAAAAGCCATGAAAAGAAATTCCAAGTTTAGAAATAGCCATGAAAAGAAATTGCTTCCTGAATTACATAGTAAATCACAATCTGATGCCTAAAGGCTTTTGACAGTGAAAGGTCTACACATTGCCAAATATTGGGATGAAAGCTTCATGTTTTCAAATACCCAGTATCAAACAAAACAAGGATATTCCCAATTCATCTGGAGTTGGCACCATGGTAAGTCACAAATGATCTGGTTTAACTTCTTAAACAAATGATGAATTTATTGTTTCATTTCATGGACCTACAAGCCATAGTCAAAGGGAGAAACAGAAATTGTCCAGCTTCTTTTCCATCAACCTAACTAACATGGCAATTCACATAGCAAAGTGGATTTGCAGTGACAAGAGAGGAAGCCAATTTACATGTATGGGTGGAATGGGAGTGGTGATACAGCCTTCTTGGTCTGGGGGATGGAGAAGGGAAAGAAAAATGCACTTTCAGGTAGAGCACTCCCAGGATGTGTTCACTTCAGCTAAAAATTCATCAATTACCCTGCCACAGAGAATACCAAGATTATAGTACAGCATATAATTAAAGAAGGTGGAGGCGCAGAGGCCCTGGCAGAGACTGTGTCTGTCTATCTTGCTTTGAATGTGTGTTCTACACAGCAGCACATGTAGCTTGCTGGAGTCTGGGCACCTGGAGAGAAGGGTGGGTGGGAGCCACCGCTGACAGAGAGTCATTCACTGAACACGCAAACTAGCTAAAAGAAATTAATGTTAACACCAATCACAAGATTAAATACACAACATTTGATGCAAGATCAACAGCGGGATGATGGTATAGCTTCTGAAAACAGGTGGAGTTGACCTTAAAGAAATCAGATCAGCAACGACAGACAAGAAGAACAGAAGAGACAAAGGGCAGAAGAAACAGAAGGAAAGAAAAAGATAAAGCAAAAAAAGAAAAAAATGAGAAGGAATAAAGAAAATATGATCTCTAGAAGATGACATCTATACTTCTACAAGACGATGCATCAACTCTAGGGAAATTTAGGGCTTATATGAAATATAGAAATTTGACTCAAAGTGACTGGAAGATGCTGAGTCTATTTTTCACACAGCTCCAGAATGAGCAGTAAGTATCTGCAAAGTTATGAAGAGAGGCCAAGTCTTGCTTGTGTCTACCTTAGTTATCAAAGGGCAGAAAAGGGACCTCTGTGGCCTGGATGCTGTTGCTGGTTGAAATGTGCATTGCTGGAGCCAATTTTAAAATCCAAGTAGCAAGTTCATGGTTCCTTGGCTACTGCCTGCATACCTACATTGCCCAGCTGACTGGACCACCAGGACCCACCGTATTCCCCTCTCCCCCTTGCCATCTGGCCTTTTCATGATTTTTTTTCTTTTAAATTAAGTTCCTATGCTATTTCATGGCAGGAAGTTTTGTGTGATGTATCTATGCCAGCTCTGAAGTCAGACTGTTCACAACTCAGTTTCACCATTTCAATCAGATAGTTATGTGACCAAGGGCAGGTTACTGGTCCTCTCTGAGGTCCTAGGTAGGAATAACAACACATTCCACAGAGGAGGAGCTGTTTGCTCATTTTGCTTTCACATACTAGAAATGTTCACAATTATTCTCCATCCTACACCATGTGTTGAGTACTATCTGTGGGTTACAGCATCATGTAAAAAGTTAGGCAGAGAAAAAAGGACCCCCTTTTGTTGATGGACTCTACCAAAAAAAAAGTGGGAGACAAAGGGAAAGCTGATGGCCAAGAATTAAGAAAGTTCCTGTAAGAAAATTCAACACTTGCCTGGGGGTGCTGTGTGTTGACTTTCCATAGCATGAGGCCTGGTTCAAGGGACCTGAATGTCATGTTCCATTGAGAGCTTATATATATATGGAAGAACTTATATATATATATATATATAAGTTAGTTTATATATATATATACGTATATGTATATATATGTATATATATATATGTATATATATGTGTATATATATATGTATATATATGTATGTATATATATATATATATATATATATATATATATATATATATATATATGGAAGAACTAGGTTGTCCTTTGAGGGCTGGGTCCTTCTGCTCCTCATTAGCTCAGAATGCACCTCCCTATTCTCCTTATTTAAAACTGTATTAAACTGACAATTCTACTTGATTGAGATCCTGATCTCCCTTGTGGCATTTAGGCCTTAATGTATGGCACTACAGTTAAGTATCATCAACTCCCAGCCCACTAGTGTGAAATCCAAGAATCAAAGTCCATCATCAGCAGGAAAGACATTGACTGAACTGTATATATTCCCAGAGAGGATCTTCTCATCCTTAAACCCTTCCTTGGTTTTTCTCATCCTCTCACGAAGCTTTATCTGCCATTCCTAGGTTGATGAATCCTCAAAGTAAGCCCCACAGGAACCTCATGTACCAAACTGAACCCTTTATCTCTCTCTCCAATCTCCTCTGTTGTGGAGGATCCAGAAACTAGGGTATAATCCTCCTTCTCTAAGACATGGAGACCTCCTTCTCACCCAACACTCCCACCTGAAGCAGGCCCTCAATCCTGTAGATTCTCCCTTTTTAACATTCCTCAAACATGTGTCCCACTGCAACTAATTATAACTTTTTTCTTTATTGTAAGCTGGCTTCTCAGATTCTAGGATAGCTCAATATAACATCCCCATAACAAATATTTATCGAGTTGTCCACTAGGTACCAGAAATATGCAGGTGGATAAGTAAAGAGCCATTGCAATGCTGCTAGGACATGAGTATATGATGCTATTGGGCATGCACAGGAGGGATATCTAACCTAGTCTTTGATAGCTCAGAGAAGGCCTCCTGGAGGTAGTGGCAATCATCCCGCCTTTGAAGGCTGAGTGCAGGTGTGTTAGCCAGGTATAGCATCAGTTGATGTTTCCTGGGCCAACATCAATTACCTATCTTTGGGAAAGAGTATCTTGACTTACGAGGAACCTCTTCCCCTACCCTACAAGTCACTGTTCCTGTGATTTGGTTGGAGCTGACTCCAATACAGCACCTCCACTCCTCCTGCTTTCCAGGTGGGAATGTAATGCAGGTTTGGCCATTCGGTGCATTCCAACCCCATGGCCTCAGTGACTGTTTCAGAGATGAGCCCATGACTCTATCAGAGTCAATATCAGGACTTTTGCTGGGAGGTGCTTAGTTTCCACGGACATGACTGCGAGCCCAAGATGTAGGTCTAGAAATGTTGGCCATTATTTTGCTACCCTGTACTGAGAGTCTGCCTGAGAACAGAGCAGAGAGATGGACAGAAAAAGACACCTGATTCTGATGACACCACCTGGGTTCATGAACGCAGCTATGCAGGGAGCTACTTCTGAGTAAATACACTGCCAGAACCAGTGTGAGTTAGGTTTTCTGCCATTTGTAACTAACAAAGTTCTTACTAATGCATTAAGGAGGAAAAGAGTATTCTAGGAGGAGGGAATCATACATGTAAAAGCTCAGAGACCAAGAAACTTTGACCCATTCTATGTACAAAGTTCTATGTGACCAGAGAGTAGGAGAGAAGAGTCACTTGGAGAAGAAGCTAGAAAAGTTAAGAGCCAGGCTTTTCCAGTAGAATGTTGCTCTGCCAGAGTCAATGTCATAAAATGCAAATGTGATCATGCAATTCCTCTCCCCTGCTTAAAATACTTTAATGAGACCCCAAAGGTTTTAGGATGAAGTTCAAACCCATTAGCTTGGCACCCAAGGCTTTTGATGACCTGGCTGTTCCTTCTCTCTCTGGACTCATCTCCCACATCTCTCCCATGGGCAACCTGTGCTCCAGCTAAATTAAACTACTTGTAGTTTTCCAAACAGGGCATGCTGTTTCATGCCTTTGTGCCTTCATATTGCAATGCATTATATAATTTAATCCTCACAAGGGCCCCCATGAAGTGCATATTATTATCCTGATGTTCCCAGAAGTATAGAGAAGTTGAGGAGCCTCAAAAATCATACAGCCAGCAAGACAGAGATCTAGGATTTGAACACATATGTCTGACACCAAAGCTCTCCTTCTTTCTTTTCTACTACCACTCATTCCAGTTCTTTTAACTTCTGGTCATGGACCTTTATGTTGCACAGCCTGGTCTTTTAATGGAATCAATAAAATTTCAGAATTTCAGGAGTGGGGGCTGGAGGGATGCATAATGTTCAATTTAAAGCTACTTTGCTACTAAAATCAACACAACTGCATCTTCTTTCAGTCCACCTTTTTTTTAGCATCTCCTTCATGCCAGGCACTGTGTGGAGAGATGGTGCTACAGAGGTAAACTAATCCAGCTACAGTCCTTGCCTTCATGGGCTTTCAGCAAAGTAATCTACTCCTCACACTTAATTCTCCTGAGAAGGCTTCCTGGATACACTTGAGAATGAACTCCACTTTGGTTATACAGACACATGGAACTCCATCACTGCTGTTGCTGAGAAAATATCAATGGCTACATTATTTTCAACTGCTGCCTATGAGTTATATCAGAGATTAATTGATCAGCTAAATGAGAAAATGCAGAGAATACACAAGGAATAAATCGATGAAGGAAAAAGTGTGCTGTGTCTTCTATACCTGGGATCAATTGTGTTACAGCTCACTCAGAGAGGCACCAGATTGCCAAACAGCCTGCTTGCAAGGGGTCACAAATAGGGCAAATCACCAGCTTAACAACATGTGAAATTTTCATTGTCTTATTTATAACCAATTTCTCACTAAAGTGAACAACATTTCTTAATGGTACAGTTCTGCAGAAGAACAAACTAGAAATGTTTTCTTTCCTTCTAATTGGGACAAAACTGATCATCACCTAATGGGCTCTTTACAGAGAATAAAAGAAACTAAACTAAAAAAAATGCTCAGCACGAATTGGACGCTAAGGATTAAATGAAAATAAAAGGACAGTTTTGTTTCATTTTTACCTCAGATCTTTAAAGGTACTGTTAGAAAAATCTAATAATTGTTTTATAACTCTTATTTGGTAGAAAAAGCTAATTATTATTAAAAATTTTAATAAAAATGAGAAAGGATTGTCGAGAAGTGAAAAATTAAAAGGGAGATTTCCAATGTTGAAAAAGCACCTTTTATGAACATAAAAATCTATCAGTCTGTCCTCCCCTAACCATATTTGGATAGGATCTGACACATTAAAAGCTGGACGTTAGCCCAGTTAGCCTGAGTGAGAAGTGATTCAGGAGACACCAGACATAAACCAAATGGCTGGCCCCACAACCAGTGGGTAAAAGATGCTTGCTGTCCAGCAGGGTCTGCAGAGCCAAGTGGTCACAGTGCCCAGAGAAGCCCCCTTGGGCAGGCGACCCCTACAAACCTCAGCTTCTACTCCTGGGCAGAGGCTTTTACAGTCCTGAAAATGCTATGCTACAGAAGAGACATTCTGCGAGTGAAAAAAGCCATTATTCCACCCAGGAAAAAGATGATTTTTTTTTCCCATAACCGCAGTGGCCATCAAAAAATGGATTCATTTTTCTTGTGCTGTACTCTGGGCCCATAAAATAGTTTCAGGATCTCAAAAAGACGATGTCGTAGATGGAAGTTTTGTTGCAATGAGCCAGCCAGAAGTGAGAATGACTTTAAAAGACTGAATTTTTAAAATGCTCTAAACCCAAAGATTAAGAAAATATAAAATATTACAGATAGGTCACTCCTTTTGTGTTGTGTGAGTTAATCATGTTTATTCAATGGGTCCCACTTTAAATGCAGTATGTCAAATCCTAAAATATTATTCTTAGTTCTTTTAAAATTACATGACATATTCTCTTATCAACATAGGCCAATAAAATACAAACAGGCATAATTGGTGCAAGACAACCCTTAACAGCTAGTCCAGGTTAATCCACTGGCATGGATTAGATTATGAAAGGTTTAAATAACTAATTTCAAAGTCTTACATATACATCAGGGATTTCATTTGACTAAGCTTAGTGATTATTTGAGTGTTAACCAGAGTAAGTTGAGAGGCTATAAAACCCATGCCAAATCACATTCAATAACATGAGACCTAGGGAGGTCTAACTGGAACTGCAGAATTGACGTGAAAAAAATACTAAGGAATATTTTCATTATAGATTTATGAATGTGAAGTGGATTGGGATAGATTTTTTTTTTAAGCTAAGGGTGAAAAAATAGAGATTTAGTGAAAATAAGTTAGGGCAAAATGGCACCTTGTGATTTAGAATTGTATGTTTTGCATCTCATACCCCTACAGAGGCTGGCTGTGCCTTAGACACAGTAGTGATTTGCTTCTTTTGGGGGCAGTGGTCTTCAACATTTTTGGCACCAAGGACCAGTTTCGTGGAAGATAATTTTTCCATGGACTTTGTTGGGGGGTGGGGAATGGTTTCAGGATGAAACTGTTCCACCTCAGATCATCAGGCATTAGATTCTTATAAGGAGTGCACAACCTAGATCCCTCACATGTGAAGGTCACAATAAAGTTTGCACTCCTATAAGAATCTAATGCTGGCCAGGCACGGTGGCTCACGCCTGTAATCCCAGCATTTTGGGAGGCCGAGGCGGGCAGATCAGAAGGTCAGCAGATCAAGACCATCCTGGTTAACACGGTGAAACATCATCTCTACTAAAAGTACAAAAAAAAAAAAAATTAGCCGGGCATGGTGGCAGGCACCTGTAGTCCCAGCTACTCTGGAGGCTGAGGCAGGAGAATGGCGTGAACCTGGGAGGCGGAGTTTGCAGTAATCCAAGATTGTGCCACTGCACTCCAGCCTGGGTGATAGAGCGAGACTCCGTCTCAAAAAAAAAAAAAAAAAAAAAAAATCTAATGCTGCCACTTATCTGACAGGAGGCAGAGGAGCTCAGGCAGTAATGCTCTCTCACCCACTGGCCCACTGCTCACCTCCTGCTGTGCAGCCTGGTTTCTAACAGCCCACAGAGAGATAACAGGTCTGTGGCCTGGGGGTTGGGGACCCCTGTTTTGGGGGATAGTTAATTCTAGTCTAAAATTCATCTTCAATAGTTGAGGAAGTAACTTTGCCAATGTGACAAAGTAAGGTAGGGGATACAAAGTTCTAAAATCAAGATTTCCTGACCACCAGGTGTTATGTTTTTTACTAATCTTTTCTAAAAAATTTTACGAATTTAGGGGGTACAAGTGCAGTTGTGTTACATGGATAAATTGTGTAGTGGAAGTCTGAACTTTCAGTGTAGCCATCACCTGAAGAGTGTACATTGTATCCATTATGTAATTTCTCATCCTTCACCCCTCTCTCACTCTCCCACCATTTTGGGTCTTCAATGATTATTATCACACACTTTAGGTCCATGTGTACACATTATTTAGTTCCCACTTACAAGTGAGAAATTGTGGTATTCGACGTTCTGTTTCTGTTTCTGAGTTATTTCTCTTAGGATAATGGCCTCCAGTTCCATCCATGTTTCTGCAAAAGATATGATTTCATTCCTTTTAATAGCCACTAGTATTCCATTGTGTGTATATACCACGTTTTCTTTATCCACTCATCCACTGATGGACACTTAGGGTTGTGAATAGTGCTGATATAAACATATAAGTGCAGGTATCTTTTTATATGATGATTTATTTTCTTTAAGGTAGATACCCAGTAGTGGAATTGCTGGGTCAAATGGTAGTTCTACTTTTAGTTCTTTGAGAACTGTCCATACCATTTTCCATAGAGTCTGTAGTGACCTACTTTCCCACAAATAGTATAAAAATGCTCTCTTTTCTCTGCATCTCACCAACATTTGTTTTTGTTTTTGGTTTTTGTCTTTTTAATAATAGTCATCTGATGAATATAAGATAATATCTCATTGTGGTTTTAATTTGCATTTCTCCAGTAATTAATGTTTAGCATTTTTTTCATTGCTTTTGGCCATTTGTATGTCTTCTTTTGAAAAATATCTATTCCTGTCCTTTGCCCACTTTTTAATGGGGTTATTTGTGGATTTTTGTTGCTGTTGTTGAGTTCCTTGTAAATTCTGGATATTCATTCCATGTCGTAGTCACAATTTGCAAATATTTTCTCCCATTCTGCAGGTTGTCTCTTCACTCGTTTATTTCCTTTGCTGTGGAGAAGCTGTTTAGTTTTATTAAGTCCCATCTGTCAACTTTTGTTTTTGTTGCTTGTGATTTTGAGGTCTTAATCGAGAATTATTTGAGTAGACCAATGTTCAAAAGAGGTTTCCCTAGGTTTTATTCTAGTTATTTTAATAGTTTCAGATATTACATTTAAGGCTTTGATTCATCATTATTAATTTTTATATGTGGTGAGAGACAGGGGTCCAATTTCATTCTTCTGCATATGGCAATCCAATTTTCCCAGCACCATTTATTGAAAATGGTATTCTTAGTGTATGTTTCTGTCAACTTTGTCAAAAATCAGTTGGCTGTAGGTGTGTGGCTTCATTTCTGGGTTCTCTATTCTGTTTCTTTGACCTATGTGTCTATTTTTATAGAAGTGCCATGCTGTATTGGTTATTATTGCCTCAAAGTATAATTTGAGGTCAGGTAATGTGATGTCTAACTTTGCTCTTTTTGCTTAGAATTGCTTTGGCTATTCAGGCTCTTTTGGTTCCATATTACTTTTAGGATTTTTTTTTCCCAATTCTGTGAAAAATGACATTGGTATTTTGATAGGGATTACACTGAATATACAGATTGCTTTAGGCAGTATAGTCATTTTAACAATATTAAGTCTTCTGATCCATGTGCATGGAATATTTTTCCATTTGTTTGTGTCATCTACAATTTCCTTAATCACTGTTTTGTAATTTTCCTCATAGAGATCTTTCATCTCTTTGGTTAAACGTATTCCCAGGGTTCTTTTGTTTGTTTTGTTTTTTTGCAGTTCATTTAAATGGGATTGACTTGTGGATTTGGTTCTCAGCTTGTTATTGGTGTATAAAAATGCCACTGATTTTTGTATTTTGATTTTGTATCCTGAAACTTTACTAAATTTATTTATTAAATCTAAGAGTTTTTGGAGACATCGTTAGGGTTTTCTAGGCATAAGATCATATCATCAGTGAACAGAGGTAATGGGCTTTAATATTAAGAAGTTGGGCAAAGGGGTTCACCAAGATAAGTTCTCCTTCTATACCTTCTACTCTTTCTTATGGAGAAGAGACAGAGCCATATTTTCATGAACTTTCTTGCATGTTGACTCATAATTGTTTTCCCCTTTCACATGTATAAAATATATCTGTTTCTTAAGTAAAAGCAAAATTTCTTGTCCTTCCCATATGCTTCTCTGAACCCTTTCTATAGTGCTTTGTGCATGGCTTTTGAATATAGTAGGAAATAGAACAGGATAGTGTTTAAGAGGTCAGACTACTTGGGAATCCAATGTCAGCTTTACCACTTATTAACTAACTGGACTTGAATAAGTTAGTTAACTCCTCTGTGCCTCAGTATCTCCACCTGTAAAATGGTTACAATAATACAATTATCTTATAAGGTTACAGGGAGAATTAAATGAATTATTCCTGAAGCTCTTAAAACAACATCTGGCATGTGGTAAGCACTACGTATGATAAATTAAGATAAAATGCTTGCTGAATGACCAAATGTTTCTTTGCACCTACAATAATTAATATTACTCATTAATTGATGAGGTTTCCTTAACAAAGACATGGTTTGTGTCTTTGCTAAACTGTGAAAAACTCTATCTCTTCTTTGAGATAAGCAGAAAGATAAATAATAGCTATGACACATATACCTATCTTGTAAGTTGCTTTGTAATTATTTATTACTTGCTGAAAAACTCAAGTGGGCAAGGGGAAGAACAAGGCAGTCATGTTAACATCTAAACCTTATTAAAGTTTCATCTTCTTTTAAAGTCCAGGAAGACAAATGAGCTACCAGAGGAATTTTCTTTCCTCTGTAAGGCTTATACACGAATTTGAACATAACTATTAAAGTAAATTAAATGGGATTTAGTAAATGGCCAAATAACACTGTGGTGGGAGCCAAGGGAGCAGACAGAAGCAAACTATCAAGTTTGGGTATGAATTTCAATGTCTAAGATGAAGTTAGACCTAGTCTAACTTCAAGACTCCTACGTGGTGGCTCATGCCTGTAATCCCAACACTTTGAGAGACCAAGGCAGGAGAACAGCTGGAGGCCAGGAGTTCAAGATCAGCCTGGGAAATACAGTGAGACCCCCTTCTCTACCAAAACAAAACAAAACAAAACAAAACAAAACAAAACAAAACAAAATTAGCTGCACATAGTGGTGTGCACCTGTAAACCCAATTTGATGGTATCTGGAGGCAAACAGTGGAGCCCCTGTGCAGAGCACTCTCCCTTTCTACCATGTGAGGACACAGCAAGCAAGAAGGCAGAACTCTGCAGACCAGAAGCAAGCTCTCCCACAACACAGAATCTGCCAGCACGTTGATTTTGGATTTCGCAGCCTCCACAACTATGAGAAAAAAATGTTTATTGTTTACACCACATAGTCTATGGTATTTTATTATGTAAGCCCAAAATAAGACAGAGGCAATGAAAAAAAAAATCACACAAAACACTTTTCTTGCTCTAACACTATGACTGTTTGATGCAGAATATTCTCAAAATTTACAATTAAACTAGATAATTTCTGGCTCTTTATGCAGATGTGATTGGCTTTGCTTGATTTGTGTTACCTGAGTTAACAAATAAAAGGTTAAAAAACCCTAAAAATATACTGTTAAAATTGTTCATATTTCAGAATCTGAAAAGTATTTTGGGAGTACAATTTAAGAAAATTAAATATAAAATATTATGATTCTCAGGAGAAGCTATGTACAGAGTTGAATAAAGCCACAGCTGCCTTCTTCATCTAGGTGAGAACAGTTCTTTAGGGTCTAGGAGCAAGCATAGCAAAGCTCTGTGGAACTCTGCCTCATGGTCATCAATAGATGTGCTCTCTATAATACAGGGGTAAATCAAACTCAGTATGATTTGCCTCATTTCTTTACTTCTCTCAGTGTTGTCTTCTCTTCTGCCCCATGTCCTTTTCCTATTATTGGTCACTATGCTGACTTTGTGACATGTCAACTTGGCTACAGTAAACTACATTTTCTCTGAATTCCCTTTGTTGTATATTTCAGATTAGGGTGAGCCACAAGAAAAATTCTTCAGAGATACGAGTCGTGGGCGTAAAACAGCAGCTGTTGTGTAGCTCACACAAGTTCTTGCTAATCTGCTGGTTTTTAAACTCGTGATCTGACTTGTCTGAGAGCATGCCTTGTGGACTTCAAGCCCCAGCATGAGATCCAGTGATAACAGCCTTGCAGAGACTACTTCCAACCTCCACAATTGTATAAGCCAGGTCCCCGTAACAAATCTCATACTGGTTCTGCTTCCCTGGTTGAAATTTGAATACAGTCACTCTATTGACCAGGACGACCCTGTTGCAGTACATGGTTGTCTGCAGTCACCTGGCTGGTAGATTCCTCCAAATCTAGGGGGAAGGACTAAAGGGCCCCCAAGAGGCTATAGTGATGATGTGATAATTAATTTTATGTGTCAACTTGAGTGGGCTGAAGGATGCCCAGAAAGGTGGTAAAACATTATTTGGGAGGGTATCTATGAAGGTGTTTCAAGAAGAAATTAGCATCAAAATCTGTAGACAGAGTAAAGAAGATCTGCCCTCCCCAGTGTGGGTAGGCATCATTCCATCACTTGATGGTGCAGAAAAGGTAAAAAGGTGGAAGAAGGGCAAATTCTCTCTCTTTTTCAGCTGAGACATCCACCTTCTGCAGAAAGGCATAGGAGCTCCCGGCTCTCAAGCCTTCAGACTCTGGAACTTTTACCAGTGGCCTCCCAGTTCTCAGGACTGTGGACTTGATCTGAATTACACCACTGGCTTTCCTGGTTTTCCAGCTGCAGATGGCAGATCATGGGACTTATTCCCATGTGAGCCAATTCCCATATTAAACCTCCTCTCCTGCCTCTCTATATATCCTATAGTTTCTGTTTTTCTGAAGAATCCTGACTATACCAACAACTTGGAAACTTAGAAGTAACAGGTAATAACAATGATGCTGCGGATACAAACATGACAGGTACACAGCATGTACTAAATGTAGGGTCCCAGTACTACAGACTCATTTTTTTCTCACCAACCACCCTATAAAATAGGTACTGTTATTTTATCTCCCTCTATACTCTGAGGCACACATAGCTGAAATAACTCGCCAGTAAGTAGAAAGCCAAAATTAAACTCAGGTACTCTGGCTCCAGAATCTGTGCTCTTCAATACTATTGCACCATTCCAAATCAACCTAAATGTAATGCTTTCCATCCTCTGGCTACCCTGACTTTTAGAAATTTTTCACAACAGAAAAATAGTGTGCTAGCCTGTGACAGTGCAGCCAGGAAACTTCTGTTCTGGTCCTGATTTCACCACTGACTGGCTGTTGTTAAAGCAAACTAAGTATGGCCTGAGAAGGACCGCATACTTCTGTATCTGAGTGATTGTGGATGAACTGTAACCTAGCTTAACAGGCAGACTAATAGGCCTAATAACAGGCGAATAGACTAATAGGCCAAGCTCTAACCAATCCAGCCATCTGTTCCTCACTTCCAATTTCTGTACGTCACTTCCCTTTTTTTTTCCCTTCTACCATGTGGCTGCGCTGGAGTCTCTGTGAATCTGCTGTGATAGTGGGGGCTGCCCGATTCGTGAATCATTCATTGTTCAATTAAACACCTTTAAATTTAACCTGGGTGAAGCTTTTCTTTTATCACTGTGTAGCATTGGGCAGGTCAGGCTAACTTCCTTACTTGTAAAATGATCTCAGTGCCTTCTTCCAGCTATAAAAGTTCACAATTCTATGGTGTTAAAGTTCTGATTATGATGTTAAAAGATCCTTGGAAAAAAGCTGCTCTGTACAATAAAATTAGGTAATAAAACCTACAACTGTATATTTGACTTCCTTGCATTTATTTTTCAGCCTCTTCCTACCTCAAAAATTATTCTGTAGCTCCCTAGGTAATTATAATAGTGATTTTTTACCCTTTCCAATTGTGAGGACCCTGTTAATCACACACATGCAAAAAGAGTTGTGAAATTCCATAGAAGAAAAATATAAAATTGTAAGTTGAGAAAAAATACGATAGAAAGACATGTTACACTTGATAATGCTTTTAAGTAAAGTTAAATTTCACTAATTATAACAACATCTAGAGACATTTGAAAAAGAGTGCATATTCACCGTACAGGAAAAACTTTATGGAGTTACTGACCTACAGGATTCTTAACAGTTACCTCTTGGTTCTCAGTTCCCACTCAGGGCGCTCCTCACTGGTAATCACCTATTACAATTGTATGCAACTTGTTAAATGTAACTATGCTAAAAATCAATATATGCTGAAAGCCAAAAGGAGGACTGTTTTATATGCCACAGCTTTATTTTCTTTAGACTTTACTGCCTATTTTTGTGTTGTTTTGTTTGTTTCTTTCATGGTTTTTAAATTGACAGATTTTTGGTAAGTATTATAAAAGTTTCTGATCTGGAGAAGTATCACTCCTCTTTGTTTTTCTTTTCTTTTCTTTTTTTTGTGTGTGGGTGTGTGTATCTTCATTGTCATTTAGCGAAAGTTCCCCTAATTGTTAAAAAGCCAAGAGTAAGCATCAAGTTAGAGACAGGGAAAAAGTACAGAGTGAAAAGCAATTTTAAAAATTGCATAATCAGTCTAAGAAGAGTAGAACTGGCCACTTTTAAAGGCCAAAGTCCAAACAAGGTCTTTAAGAATTTGGTAACACCAATGGCACTCACCAGATGGGTTAAGGCAACACTGCAATGGGAAAGGTGACAACTGCTCAGTAGAAGGCAGACATCATGTAAACAGTCGTACTAGCTGTTTTCTTGTGTCTGAGTCTATGCCTAGAAGGGGTTTACTTTTTCCACAAAAGGGGAAACATACTATGATACCCCTGAATATACATCCTAGAACTCACTGCTTAAAGAACACATAGAAAAAAACAAGGTCATGCAACCATCCCTAGGAAGTTACCAAAATTCATTCTTAGTTCCCATCTGGGGGCAACCCTGATGAGATACTGCAAGGGAAGAAAAGAAGATTAAAGGTAAACAGGCGTAGTTCAATATCAACACTTTAGGCAAATCTTTCCTGATTATCCTCTACTTTTTTTTTTTTTTTTTTTTTGAGACAGAATCTCGCTTTGTTGCCCAGGCTGGAGTGCAGTGGAACGATCTCGGCTCACTGCAAGCTCCGCCTCCCGGGTTCACGCCATTCTCCTGCCTCAGCCTCCCGAGCAGCTGGGACTACAGGCACCTGCCACCACGCGTGGCTAATATTTTTGTATTTTTAGTAGAGACGGGGTTTCACCGTGTTAGCCAGGATGGTCTCGATCTTCTGACCTCATGATCTGCCCGCTGCGGCCTCCCAAAGTGCTGGGATTATCCTCTACTTCTAACTCTCAACCACGAGCTGAAACACCCTCACTTTTTCTATATTTTGCCACACTTCAGTTATACACAACCATGGTTTGCACTATAAATATATGGTACCTCTCTGTCTCTCCCATTAGACCATGAGTGAGGGTAGAGGAACTGGGTCTCATTCATTGATCTGTTCCTAGTTCCTAGCACGGTGTCTAACATATGGGAACTGCTCAGTGAATGGGAAATGGAATTAAATATATCTATTAGTTTGCTCTAGAGATCCAAATTTCAGGTAGGAATCCAAGGGAAATTTTTCCAAGTATGCATAACAATTATCAAACTTTGTGTTTCTCACGGATTGTTGATAACTGCCTTTAATTGTATTTAAAGATAGGTAGTATTCTTTTGAAATGTCAGAAAAGGCAATGGCAAAAAGCCTTCAATTTGGCTGTGATCCCAATTAAAATTCTTCAACCCAAAAGAAATAGCTTTGATCTGATCAAAATGTATGAGTTTCTTTTTTTGTCACCATAATTTAAAGACAGAAAAATGGTATTTAGGATTTACATATACATGTGGAGGCCAACCTCATTATGATGATTGTACTGAGAAGCCAGGAAGTTCTGAATCATAAATGTATTTTCAGAAAAGAATTGTATTTTCAGAGGGGGAAAAAAAAGAGCTACAACAATAGCTCTAATTTAACTGGAGATGTTCACTACACAATCCCCGAAGAGCAGGATAAATTGTCGAGAGCATCAGCAGACTGTCTATTCATTTGGCATATTAGCATGAAAGGGGGCTTTTTGCCCAGTGGAGCCCAACCTCTTCTCTACAGGATCTTGCTTTTGAGATCTTTGAAACAAGTATTTCAAATACAGCATACTGAGATTTGCTCTAATCTTAACTATGGCATTAGAAAAGTCATTATAACTTTATGCATAAGTTGTTGGTGTATGGCCAAGTCAGAAATCTTGCCCTGAGGACCAACATCTACATAATAAGAGAAAATAGATACGTGTGCAGCCAATTATTAGATACCTCTGGTGATGGCAACTAGAAACTACGTGAAGTCATGGATAATTCAACATAATAACAATCACTATATGGAAAAATGTTCCTGGCTCATGCCTGTAATCCCAGCAATTTTGGAGATCCAGGCAGGTGGATCACTTGAGGTCAGGAGTTTGAGACCAGCCTGGCCAGCAGGGTGAAACCCCATCTCTACTAAAAATACAAAAACTAGCCTGACTTAGTGGCGGGTACCTGTAATCCCAGCTACTGGGGAGGCTGAGGCACGAGAATTGCTTGAACCTGGAGGTGGAGGTTGCAGTGAGTAGAGATCACGTCATTGCACTCCAGCTTGGGTGAGAGAGTGAGACTCTGTCTCGAACAAAGAAAATTTTGTAAAAAAGTAAACGATGACCCCACACTAAAACTATGAAAATCAAAGTTAAAGAAAAAAAACCTTTTAAATCAATTTATTTTACCTTAATTTATTAAAACATGTACATTTGTTAGACATTTATGAAAGACCTATTTGGTGCCAGACAAGGGTGATCATCTCTAAGACTCATAAACAAGAAGTTGTAAATGTTACCTAATGTGATGTGCCATCTCTAATGCCCTCTGGAACCCATTTGAGTGTGGAGAACTCTGTGGCTGTCTACACAACATCCATTTCACCTCTTGTATGTGAATATATAAAAGTCATAGGATTGGTCACTACTGATTCCCTCTTCACAGGTAGCTGCCCTAATTTGTCTTATCTAATTAAGGTTATGTTATCCCCTTTGTCAAAGTGATTGGGAAATATATCCCAGGGATAAACCAATCAGTACATGGCTTTTTTCCCAGCTACAAGAGATTGGTTCAGGGAAGAGTATTTAATTGATTTTAGGTCCATGAAGGTATCTGGGAAGTGAAGGCTCCCTGGGAGCTTTTGTAAAGGATAGTTCTGCATTTCTCAGGAACTCATGTGAGAAATTTCTTGGGTGATATGTTAAGTAGATTTGTAGATTGGATTGATGACAGCCATTTATCCACCTTGAAACAAGCCATCTTAAGAATGATGTTAACTCATGGAAAGAGAAAAGCCAAGAAAACTACACAGAAAGATGGAGCCTGAGCCTTCACCAAATTGCAGCACAAGCTCAACCTATGTCTAGACTTCTCTGAACATACGGCAGCTTGAGCCGAGTTTTTGTTACCGGCAGCCAGGGCATCTTAATTATTATAACTGTAACAGGAACTGTGGCATCAGAGCTGATTTCTGAAAGGAAAATAGGATTTAGACAGGTGAATGGTAGGTATGGGAATTGAGAGAGCCCTTTCTGGGACAGGAAATTATGGGAGCAAAAGCAAAGGGGTAGGAAAACACACGGTATGTTCAGGGGCGAGTCTATCACACCGGATGAGAGGTGGAAGGTGAAGCTGACAGTAGGTTGGGGGTGGTGGGGGACTTTACTGACCCTTCTGGAAAACTAACTAGTGGTGGAATGGGAGTTGGAGCAGAGGAGGAGAAGCAGATACAGGTGGTTGTTACCATCATCTGGGCCAGTGCTCACAAGGACCCTTGCTCACACCTTGGCAGTGAAGATGGAGTAGAGAGGATGAGTTCAAAGGCCATGCCAATGACAAGCTACACATGATGTGGTGTCGCACTTCATGAGAAGCAAAGAGAGTAAGAAATGGACTATGAAGTTTAAGTCTGGGGACATCTGGTAAAGGCTGGTGCCGTTAATCAGGAATGATAATTCAGGCAAAAGAGTTAAACTACCTTAAATAATATTTTTTTTCTTTTTTTTTTTTTTTCCTTGAGACAGAGTCCCGCTCTGTCGCCCAGGCTGGAGTGCAGTGGTGCGATCTCAGCTCACTGTAACGTCTGCCTCCCAGATGCAAATGGCTCTCCTGCCTCAGCCTCCCAAGTAACTGGGATTACAGGCGCTCGCCACCATGCCCGGCTAATTTTTGTGTTTTTAGCAGAGATGGGGTTTCACCATGTTGGCCAGGCTGGTCAGGAACTCCTGACCTGAAGTGATCTGCCCGCCTTGGCTTCCCAAAATGCTGAGATTACAGGCATGAGCCACTGCACCCAGACTGGAATATTTTCTATATAATTTCTTTAAAAAGTCATAGAAA
Organism: Homo sapiens; assembly: GCF_000001405.40. NCBI lineage: Eukaryota > Metazoa > Chordata > Mammalia > Primates > Hominidae > Homo > Homo sapiens. The sequence goes on from NC_000002.12 coordinate 132,936,323, forward strand.
CAACCTAAATCCAAACTAACAAGGAGCTGAATGACTGGATAAATTATGGTACATTTCCTGAATGAGTGAAATACTCTGTAGTGAGACATTAACATTTTCCCATGTGTGACTCACTTGTCTGATAATATTTCCATGCCAGACACACCCCCATAATAAAGGTTCCTCACTCCATGTGGCTGCACAAGGGGGTGGGTTACACGTTTATTTTTCAACACCATCTCTTTCTTTCTCCACCACAAATAGGTCCCTTGGCACTACACAGTTGAAAACTATTGTTTGGGAGGATGTCAAGAAAAATTCTTTAGACTTGGAGAAAAATATAACCAAAAGAAACTGTTATCTGAGTATTGAAAATTTAGAAGACTACATACACATGGAAAAAAAAGATACACACAAATGTGCTTACAGTAATTACTTCTGAGTGGTAGGATCTAGAGTATTTTTTTCTTTTACTTTTTTATAGTTTCTATTTACTTTCTAAAATGCATATGTATCAACTTTATAATTTTACAAGGACATCAATTATATTGGGTTCTTCAGAAGCAGATAATGAAATGAGGGTTTGTGTGAAAATGATTTATGAGGCAGGGAATAATTTTTACCAGCTTCCTCATTTGTTTAATAGTGATGATGTGAAAAAGAAACCAGTGAGTGAGTAGGGAAGTGAGAATCATCAAGGGAAGAGCCCCAGCAAAGGTGTCCTATTAAGCAAAGTCCCACTGAGGGTAACTTGAGATCAACTTCTGCTGACCTATAGAAGCTGGGGAATTTACTGGCCCTCCTCTAGTCAGTCACTATTAGAGAGCTGCCCCCATAAATACGTCAATGCCCAGGAACTTCTGGTTCTTCTTGCAGGTAGGAAAATGTGGGGACAGAGAGGCTGCCCAAAGAGACACAGGTGCTGGCTGCTAGGAGTAGGCATGGGCATGGTAAAGGGATCTGAGGGAATATGCACGGAACAACGACCGCATTTGCTGGAGATGCTTACAAAATCTTACTGCTGTAATTAATAAATATGGAAACCTCTGTTTACTAACTGTGTTCATTCATATTAAAAACATTTACTTAAAAGAAAGAGGACTAAATAGTAATACATTGTTGGCCAGCACTTCTTACTGGGAAAGGAGATTTGAAGAGTCTTACTTTTGTAAACGCTTTCCTAAGTGCTACCTGCACCTTAAATGTCACACCTTATATTGCTTTATGTTCTCAGAGTTCACATTCTAAAACTCATACGTTAGGAATTAGGACCAGTGGATAGAAAAACTTGATGACCCCTGGGGACACCAAATGTTGATTGCTGCTTGTTGTTACAGAGGCAAGACAACTGAAGTTTGGGGAGAAAAATCTCCCTTCCTGACAGCAACATGCCAGACCATTAAGAACTTTTGCAAAAATCAATATTGGTCTGAATTATTCAACTGGTGTGCAACAGGATATAGTGGAATGTAAACTATTGGGCTTCCACCAAAGATTTGTGGCTGGCATCCACTATAAATACACAAAGTAACTACTCTCTAGGGAGGAAAACAGCGAGAGGAGCAGGAAATGCCAGGTTTCAGAAAATTAGCCAACCAAGTTCACCCAGCATAAATGCTGATGCACTGCCATATTTGCTAATATAAAGGGTGGACCCTCTGATACATTACATGTTGAGAAGATCCTCAGCTTCTTGCCATGTTTCAACGTGGACTAAACAAAGCTATTCTATCCTCTGAGCTTTTAAGCTCCCTTTTCAATAAATAAATCACAAACTAAACATTTTGAAAGTCATCTCTTTCTCCTGTCCCTGAGAGTCCAGTCATAGGTCTACACAGATGGCTGTCAAGGTGGTATGATTTGAGGTGTGCTGGGAAAGTCCTGTTTGTCCCCAAATATCTCCCCTCTATTGGCCTGTCAGTCATGAGGAATCAATCAAGATAGGGCATTTCAGGAATCAGAGGATACAGTAGAGAACAAAGGTTCTGACCCTGGTGGAATTTATGAACAGATTTCAGGAGTCCTGGTTTCCCAAAAATTATTTGAGAAATACCATGTGTATACACATGAGTGCATTTCCAGGTTAGAGAATCCAGGGCTTTCATGGTATTTTCAGAGTAATCCATGACCCATGAATGGTTAAGGATCTCAGGACTGAGTCAGGAGATCTGGTTCTCTATGCCTGTCTGGCTACTGGCTGGCCATGTCATCTCAGACCGAGACTCTCCCTGCACTTGCTTCAGATTCCTGCATTTTTGAAGACTGCCTGGTTAAAGTCTTGGTGCTCCACCATGTCTCTGTGTGTAAAGGGCCCCCTTTCCAAGACTGCTGAGGAAAATGGCCAAATGCTTCTTTTGTACCTGCTTCCTATGGATCCCCCTCAGCTCAGGGAATAGTAATACTTTAAGACAGCATTACTGGAGAAAGGTAGAGGAAAGGGGAATAACAGAGAATGTTAGAGAAAGAAGGGGGAGAGAGGTGAGAAAGAGGGAGAGAGAAATGCCTCTCACTGATATAGGGGTGTCTGTGAGGCAAAGTCAAAACACCATTGACAAAGGTGGTCTTAGGATCAGTCCCTTGCCCCAGCCCCCGCCCATTCATTCCCTCTCACTTCCAAGTACAGCTGCAACATTCAAATGTTTGAAAATTCATTTTTTAGAGGTTTTCAATTGAACAAGGACAGGAGGAGAGGAATTACTTATGCGTGTATATTCATGTTTAGTTTTTACTTTTTAAATTATGAAACCATCGTGTCTTCCAACAAGTAATAAAGTACAAGGGAATAATTTTTTACTGGCTTCCTCATTTGTTTAATAGTGATGATATGAAAAAAAATGACCTTTTAAAAACACTTAAACGGTTAACTTTTGATCTCAAGTCTTCTCCCCACAGCTTAATTTATTAAAACTAAACACATCTTGACATTATAAATTAGGAAAGTTGAGAGGGCAGTACACTATAATTAGAAGCCTGGGCCAGGCATTCTACAGAACAGATAACTACAACTATTACAAGCCAGCTTACTGAAAATTTTATTGGATGTCATTCATGCACAAGTAATGAATGAAGAACCACCACTCATGGAGGGGCTGATAATACGATGGGTAGGGTGGGTAGAAGAGGGAAAATCTTTCTGGCCCCTCTCTGCATTCTAGCCTCCGGGCTTGAGACTCACCACCAACACTGCTTATAAACATGAAAGGGATTCTGTTTGTTCAAGTGCTGTAAGACCTATTTTTTTTTACATTAGTTAAATTTTTATTTGTATTTTATTTTTTCTCAGTTTTTTTATTTCAATAGATTTTGGGGTACAAGTGGTTTTTGGTTACATGGATAAGTTCTTTAGTGGCGATTTCTGAGAGTTCAGTGTACCCATCACCCAAGCAGTGTACATTGTACTCAATATTGTAGTTTTTGGCTGAGCATGGTGGCTCACACCTGTAATCCCAGCACTTTGGGAGATTAAGGTGGGTGGATCACTTGAGGCCAGGAGTTCAAGACCAGCCTGGTCAACATGGTGAAATCCTGTCTCTACTAAAAATACAAAAATTAGCTGGGTGTGGTGGTGGGTGCCTGTAACTCTAGCTACTCAGGAGGCTGAGGCAGGAGAATCACTTGAACCTGGGAAGCAGAGGTTTCAGTGAGCTGAGATTGCACCACTGCACTCCAGCCTGGGTGGAGTGAGATGCTGTCTAAAAATATGTATATATACATAGTAGTCTTTTATCCCTCACCCGCATCCCAACCTTACCTTCTGAGTTCCCAAAGTCCATTATATCATTCTTATGCCTTTGCATCCTCATAGCTTAGCTCCCACTTACAAGTGAGAATATATGATATTTGGTTTTCTATTGTTGAGTTACTTCAGTTAGAATAATGGCCTCCAGTTCCATGCAAGTTGCAGCAAAAGACATTATTTTGTTCATAAGGGCCTATTTTTATTCACTATGCAACTAATGTACCAGGCATAATCCCACAGGATTACTTAAGAGCTCATAATGGGCTTGAGACTAGAGATGGTCCTCAAGACAGAGTCCATTTCTGGTCACCCTTCAGGGCTCAGGGAACACTGGGCCCTAGCTGTGATCAAATTTGGTCATCACTGCTGCACTCTAAGACTTTCATGGGGTATTTACACTTAAAACATACCAAATAGAAAGACATGGGGTTATGACCTGTAAATCCTTGTAGTTGGTTAAATCTATTCTAAGAGCAAAAAGTAATATAGAAACTGAATAACAGTAAAAAAAATAACTAGCAACAAGCTAAATGTTCAATAATAGGGTAGTAAAATGACTTATGATTGACAGGATATTATGCAGCCATTGAAATGACGGTAGGAATCATTGTAGGTATCATTGTGGTAGGTACTTATGATGAAATGTTAAATTTTAAAAAGTAGTAAAAACTTATTTATTCTTTTTCAAAGATCTGGGTCTCTAATCATGCCACAAGATTATAATTAAGAAAAAAAGAAAAATATCCCATAAAGAAAAAAAAAAGTTAACATTTTGCCATGGAAGAGAGGTGTTAAGAAGTGATACTTTTCTTCTTCTTTTTCATTTATTTGATAATTATATTATCAATTATATTACACTTGTCTTACTTTTATACTGATACATATATTTATAATTAAAAGAAACATTAATATTACATTCACATATTAATTAAAATTTTAAAATATTTTCTCCTACATTAATTCATTTGCTACATAAAGGAAAAGTAAGAAAACTAAAAGTCAAGTTGCTAGATTTGGAAACTAGAGACAGTGAGTGAAAGTTGGCCAAGTCCCCACAACTGTCAGAAACAGAGCAAATCCTCAAAGACAGGGTTGTTAATACCCAGTCTAGAGCTCTTTAGCCTCCAAATCAAAAGGCTATTTCTGGCAGAAAAACAATTACATCTACTAGAGAATGTATTCAGGGAAAGAAACATCTTCTGTTATTGTACTGGACCTCTGCTGTTTGTACCTATCCATTCCAGCACTATCAGCATCTCCCTGTGACTTCCTTTGGTGGACCACTCTTCCCACATTCATGGTCCATTCATACAGTTTTAGGCAGTGCCTACCCTATGTCCCAAGGCCATGGTTATGCAATGGCCCATGCTGGACAATCAGTGTAGTCCAACCAGTTTCAAGCTTATCCAATGAGAGTGAGCCCTGGGATGTTGGCTGGAATGACATTCTTTCCACTGGGGCGGCAGAACTGGCAACACAGAAATCTGGTGTTCCTAGGTGACCCTTTTTACTATCTGGAGAGATCCTGCCTGAGAATAAGATAAACCAGGGAGAAGCACAGCTAAGAATAAGGTAAGATGATTCCTGGTCTCATGGCCTGAAACCTGGGTCTAGCAATTCCTGAGACTTGATAACACTGGATGTTACATTTTCATGAGTCGACAAATTCCGTTATCTCCTTTTAAGGCAATTTGAGGTAATTTTTATTACTTGCAATCAAAATACTCCTGACTCATATTTCTGCCATTTCCCAGCAAAGTGTATACAAACATTTTCTGGTTAAAAAAATAATTATTGATGAAAGAAACCATTGTAGTTCTATATCATGTAGTCACAATTGCCTGTGTTCATTCATCACTGTTGTGATCTATGTCATATTCTTCCCTCGGGCAAAAATATTTTAGCATCTTACAAGATGCTAAATAAAGGGGCAAATATGAAATGAAGCAATTACAACTATTTGTTTTGTCTCAAATGGGTGTGTTATAGTTCCTAATTAATTTTGGTAAGTCAACAAATAACTTTATATATGTTCATTCACATTTGACAATCTGAATATGTATGATGCTTAAAAATAAGTTTTGATAAACATATCTTAATTGACAGAGCAGAAAAGGAGGTTTCTTAACTTGCCATCTATATCCAATCTGGATTTAGACTTTTCAATAAACATTAAACATGAAAACATTTTTATTAGCGGTAATTATACATAATTTAGATAAGTGATTCTGAAACTTTAGTATGCATCAGAATCACCTGGAAAACTTGTTAAAAAAATTTATTGCTGGCCACTGCTCACTCTCTCTCCAGGTCTCTGATTCTGTGGGGCTGAGGTTGGGCCTGAGACTCTGCATTTCTGACAAGTTCCCAGGTGATGTCGACACTACTGGTCTAGCAACCACAGTTCAAGAATCACTGATTTAGACTTTGTTTTTAAGTTTTGCATTTTGCTGTAATTTTTATTTGGTGTAAACTGTAATATATATTTTATGTCTCCGATTAAAAACATGAGCCCACGTTTTCTGAGATGCCGATATAATTTAGACCTGAAAATTCTGGACACAAAGATAATGATGTGCTTTAAAGGTGGATGGGAAACAACAGAGTTAAAGTAATTTGGGCAAAACCTTGATTAAAATAATTCATTATGGAATCCAATCAACCTTAATTTCCAACAGATGACATGACCACTCAGGTATTCCGCTACATCAAGCAAAATTCAGGCTCAAATGTTCTCCTGCTGCACTGATTAGCAAAGTTCACCAGGCCAAAGTAATCAAGTATACCACAAATTCCTAGGTGCCTTTTTATCTCTGCCTAACACAATGCAACTAAGTGGTCTCTGTCTGCCAACGGGAGTAACTCTTAGGAAGAGCAACGAAACAGTTTGCTAAAACCTGGTTAGTCTGCAGGAAGTCATTAAAATGATAGAATAATTCAGGAATCTGATGATCTCCAAGTACAATGCCTTGTCATTTTGTGATTATTTGATAATTCCAATCCACTTCATTCAAGTAAGAGGTTCTGGGACTTTAAAATCAAGTAGGGTCTGAACCTACCAGGGTCTGAACTGAGTTTTACAATGTTAAAGCACAACATCTTACTGTCTTCCTCTGGACATACCCAAATGGGTTTTCTCTGTTGGTAAACAATGACATTTCTCCCTATCTTTCCATTCAAGGCTTAACCACTAATGAAGTAAGAATCTCTCATATTTTAACAACTAAGATTAGATTATGACAGAAACTTCATTAAAAGTCACATGTAAAATATCCTCTTTGATTGCATATCAATTTGAATATAGTCCATTTTAACATACCTTGTCAAAAGAAGAATATACATTAAATGTAAAAATGTGCCAATGTTAGCTGCAAGGCTAGTAAATCACCAGTTGGCAATAAGGATATTTATTTCTGTATAGTGAGGAAGTGTGATAACATAGATGCAAAGAGCTGAGAGAAAGCTTACAATCTGCCCAAACCCCTCTTTACACACAGGAAGGAAATAAGCTCAGAAAAGAGGAATATTTTATCAAAGGAGTTCACTTGGCTGTAAAAATGATGTTGCCGGTCATAAAGTTTTTCATTTTCCCAGTGGAGAGAGTCACCTTTTCAACACATCTGCAGCAGACTCAGAGCAGGGTGGACAGCACAGATGTTGCCAACAGCTTCAGGTTCCAGAAAGGCCCTGAGAGCCAGAAGACACCGATGACAATGGAATCCACCCAACCAGGTAAAACTTAACTGAAGTCAACATGCTGCCCTGTGATCAAATCAGAAACAACTGTGTAAGAACAAGGCGGGTGAAAAGACCTTACCAATGAGAGTTCAGAAACTGCAGACATGAGTACGTAGCCTCCTGGGGCTGGGTGAAGTGTGACCGCACACTTGGTCTGCTTTAAGAGTTGTGCAGCATGTGTAGAGGGGACAGAGGAATGAGAGTTTGCTCTGCTCTTCACTGCTCAGATGGGAACTTGAGTTGTGTTTGGCCAGATGCCACACTCATAAGGCATATGGAGAAATGAGGTCATTCAGGGAGATGGATCTGAATGGTGCAGGGACTTGAACCGTGTCTTATAACGCAAGAGCAGGAAAAACAGTGGTTATCTAGCCCAAAGAAGAAATGTTTTGGGGGCAGGGGGAATATGGGAGTTATCCCTGGGTGAGACAAGTTGTCAGGGAAAGAGGGATTCAATTGTTCTACATGGCCTTAGGAGGCAGATCTAGCACTCATGGATAGAATTAGTGGGAGACAGGCTGGAGAGAAACACAGAGAAGTAATTCTAAAAATGAGAGATATTCAAAGTGAATGACAGCTAAATACAATTTTATCTAACATTTTTATTGAGTCCTTATTTTGTGCCAATTTCTGTGTTAAGGACCTTAAAATTGTCATCTCATTTCATCCTTCCAACAACCGTGTTAGGTACATTACCATACTGATTTAAATATAGAGCAATGACAGCTGGAAGAGCTTGAGTAACTTGTCCAAGGCCACATAGCTGGTTAGCGCAGTAGCCTGGATTAGAACTCAGCTATCTGCTAAGCTTCTCGACCTCACCACGATGTTGCTATGGGCTACTTTGGGAAGTAGGGAGTTTCCTGTCACTAGGGTGTCCAATGTGGGCAAACATGGTCTTGTAATACTTTAATATTCTCTTCCAGTAGGAAGAAACTACTGTTCTATGCTTTGTCCTGAAAGAGCGACATTTTGAGCACGTAGAGCTATCTTTATATAAATAAGAGAAAATGACTCTAAGGACATTGTGAACATGTCATAGGATTTTCTCTTGGCCCAACCCCAGCCAAGAAGTCACTGCTTTCCTGGAACCAAGAGGATAAATGAGGGACTGTGGGCAAAGGGAAGACCTTACCCAGGCAGCAGAGATGGGTTCAGGAGTTAGAGAGGCTCTTTGGATTCCAGAGGCAAAGCCATAGGATAATCACCTATGGATATGATGGAGAAGGCCTTGTGCTCTGGGTCCCACAACAGAGAAAAGACTTCTAGGGAGCTTTGATTAAAACTGGCCCCAAGCGGGTTGAGTTGGCCAAGACACTCCACTGGGGAAAGGCTGTGCTGCTGGTCCTCAGGGGACAGGAGAAGGGAACTCTTGGATGACACACTCCCTACACCCAGATAAGTTCCTGGGGAATTATGGTCCTAGTAAAGGAGCTACCTGAAATTTCTTTCCATAGTCCCACTTACATCAACAAATACTGGGGGATCCCACCTGCTAAGGTGAGGCGGGGGCAGGGGTGGGGTGGGGAAATGATCATAAGCACAGTCAGGGGTTTCTCCAACTCCTTTGCTTGGAAGGAAGACAGGACAGATGAACAAGGGGATGTGGCCACAGTGGCAGCAACGAAATCATCTAGTTAGCTGAAAGGAGGATCTCTGTGCCCTTGGGAATCGATGGAAGTCATATCCCAACAGCTGGATGCGTGATAAGACACTAAGAGCCCACAGCACGAATCGATGGAAGTCATATCCTATCAGCTGGATGCGTGATAAGACACTAAGAGCCCACAGCACCCAGTGTCAACATCCTTAATGGGTCACTTCTCTTACAAACTGGGGGAAAAATTACCTCAATTTTACCTAGAGATAATAACCCTTAAGATTTTGCTATTCACTCTAAGAAGAAAAAGAAGTGCCTCTTATTGTACCACACCCCATGCTAGATGTTCAAAAGATGTTACTTTTTATTTAATCCATTTGCATATGTATTATTGCTTCCATCTTTTAGATGTGAGATTGAAACCCAGAAGTACATCCCCAAACTTAGTGAGAGGACCAGGAGTTGAACCCAGGGCTGAAGGATTCAAACTCTTTACTCATTTCTACCATGCTGCCTCAGTATTACGAAAATGTCAAAACACTAAGGTGATGTCCAGCATCAAAACAGTAAGCTCTCTCTACTTCTTCTGGCTATAATTGGTAAAGGCAAGTCCCATTTTCCTTTGTCAGGAAATTCATATTCGTGTGATATTTATCACAAGAGATTTGCATTTTAATACAGAACTCTTGGACAGGGAGGTGGATGTAGCTAAACATAGAGGAAATAAGTGAAATGGAAGAATTATAGATGATGTCAGAATCAGAAAGGAGGGGAAGGGAGGTTGGCCATGTGATCCCCCCTCAGGTTGCCTGGTAATCAATTTCCAAGTCTGCTGCAGCAAAAGCGTCAGGAGATGAGGTTCCATAAGATATTCTTTGAGAAAGAGGCTGTCCTCTGGTAGAGCCAATATGAGTGACCTTCTAAGGCACCCAGAGGAAAACAGGCAATTGATACTGTATCTAGAGCCATCTTTAGGGTGAAGATCCAGATTCAATTCAGTGGTAATGAGTAATGACAATGTTTTGCTGGTCTTTGGAATTTATAAACCTATAGGTGACAGCGGCCCTCAAAAAACTATTTATCTTTCTAATAGCGTTGACTATACTCTCACTGCCCCTACATGTCCCAAAAACATCTTAATTTCTCTGTTGAAAAGCTGACAAGGAAATGAAAACTTAACAAAAAAAGTGAACTCCACTTCATGAATGTTTTATCACCTTCATAAGTTTATATATGGGTTGGGTGCTGTGGCTCACACCGGTAATCCTAGTACTTTGGGAAGCCGAGGGGGGTGGATCACTTGAGCTCAGAAGTTCAAGGCCAGCCTAGGCAACATGACGAAACCCTGTCTCTATAAAAAAATACAACAATTCGCTAGGTGTGGTGGCTTGTGCCTGTAGTCCCAGCTACTCAAGAGGCTGAGGTGAGAGGATCACTTGAGCCTGGGAGGTGGAAGTTGCAGTGAGCCGAGATGGCGCCACCGCACTCCAGCCTGAGCAACAGAGCTAGACCTTGTCTCAAAATAAAAAAGTTTGTATATGAAGCCAAATTATTACAGGATGTATTTTTGAAAAGTGAGAGTTATAAAACATTAGATCAAAATGGATGAAAAAAGTTGTGGTGTTTCTTAAACATACATATAAAAAATTCAGTCTCACAGGGATATGTCATTTCTATTTAGAGGATCAGGGTTGTTTTGAATAGTTTCTTATTTGTCATATGCTCAATGTGCATTCAAATACAGGTGGCAATCCTTGAAGAAAATTAAACATGCTGTGACTTATAAATCAAATAGGAGGACTATAAGAACGATAAACTTTCAGGTTGTTAATATGAAAATTTTTTGAAAAGTTTTTATTTTGGGTACTAAAAAAAGTTAAGAAGACATCCTGTAGATTAGTTAACTCTTCATAAAGGTCATTAAATGGCTTTGAATAGTATAGCTGATTTAAAAATAAGATATGCTAATTTATGTACTGATAGAGTAAATGGAAACTAGCAATAAAGTAAAATAAGTGAGTCTATCCTGGGCTTTGTCACTTCTTGGTTTATCAGTATTAATAATAAAGTGTAATTTTAAAATAAAGTGATTCCTTCAGCAGATAGTACACAATTCCCTGCAGCTAAAGAATGGAAAAGAGATTAATTCCATGACAATTATCTTGGCTTATCATCCCTTTAGCAGGGCCCCTCTGCTTGTTTTAAACCTTTCTATTTGTATGTGAAATCTACTGCCTGGGAAATTAAAACAAATGTTACAATTCAACCCAGCGAGCTCTGTCCAATAGGAATTCAAGGTGAAATGTGGCTCACTGTCTCAGCCCTCCAGGAGCCCACCGTAGAGAGGACACTTGTTTTCTTTTAAAGCTTAATTCCCAGATATGGGAAATGAAGAATTCACAAGATTTCACTTCGGGAGATTTCACGATAGAGCATTCCTTTGCTGGTTTCATTGTCACCTGCCCCAGGTAACTCATGAAGTCTTATGAGAATTGCCTCTTATTCTTCGGGAAGGATTACTATATACCTTCTGCTATGAAATTAACCCCAGTGCTGAGATACACAAACTTACTACCCAAACTCAACTCACCCTGACCTGAGATGAATGGGGGATTGCGAAGTCTTTCTCTGAACCAACTTCTCAGCATCCTCACAGATGCCTCTTGGATGCTCAAGGGAATACAGGGAAGAGAGGGGAACTGTGAAAAGTTTCTGTGGGCAGACTTAGATAACAATAAACGGTAATGATGACAGTTTTTTTTATCTAGCCAAAATAGATCCCACTTCATTTACTATTTTCTATCGATGTACCCTTTCTCTGTACTCTTCCTGGTGCAGTGGTACAAGCGGGGCTTCAAGGGAAAAGTGGGCCCCTTTATGAATGGCTGGTTAGGGGGGGAAGCTTGGCTATATGTGGATTTGCAGCTCATTGCAACGTGATTCATCTCAGTTGGTTATGTGCAGAGAACAGCTGGCAGCAGGTACCCAACTAGTTGCAGAGAGAAGTTAAAAGGGACTGTTGCCTGCTGAGAGTGCAGAGGAATTGCTTTAAGGACTCCCTGAAGCACAGCCTGCAGCGAGCGAAGGGGCACAGGCAGGGAGGCAGAGAACCAGCAGCGGCTGACAGGCAGTTAGAGAAAACAGAAATCGGCCATTCAGAGCAAAGGTTTGGGGCCCTAATTTGAGTCCAAAAGGTGGAATGGCAAATGGTAACAAGCTCTTGGAGAGCCCCAAAGGAGAGGCTGTATGAAAGAAATAGCACCACCCTCCAAGCCCCTTAATTCAATGCCAGAGATGAAATGCACCAGTACAGAAGGAAATCTTGGCCAATGGGAACAAGGCCTCGTGGAAGCCCCGGCTTCTGAGATGACTACAGAGCCAGGTACAGCGCTCCACCCCTTCTCTTGCCTTTTCCCCACACCTCCACTTTGGCAGGTAGGTAGCAGCCCATGGACACAAGTAAATCAGGTCTAAAGCCTAAAACACCAAAAGATTAATACATGGTGTTTGGCTGATTCACTATGACTGATTTGTTCTGTGGAAGGAAAGAAAAATTCAAGTAAATTCAAAGAGGCCTGTGAACTTTTGGTACAGTAACTCAGAAGCAACAAAGATCCAGAGAAATGAAAAGAAAAGAAAAGAAAAGAAAAGAAAAGAAAAGAAAAGAAAAGAAACATGGTGAGGAAGAAGGACAAGACCCACCCCCCACCCTGCCCCATCCAGGGATAAGAAGAAGCAAAGAAGCTGGTGAACTGGTGAGGCCTGGGGGCCAGTGATGAAGGAAATCATCCAGAAGCCTAGGAATAAAATGTCATTTAGGTCTCACAGTCTGCAATGAACACGTCCTTATTTCCGTATTCTGAGGCTTTGACATCTGGGACCTTGCTGACTCTGGAGGGGCAGTCCCTTCAAGGTTGGCCAATTGCTAGAGACAGTGAACAACTCACTCGTGAGCAAATTTTGCAAATGCAAGCCAACCCAGAGCCCACACCACCTCCAACCAGCTCTCTCTCACTCTCACATGAAGGGCCCCTGTGCCCCAGAGCCTGCTGAAATCATTCAAACTGCCAACTCTAGACCTGTTCTCCCTGCCTTGCTTGCTGCTCCTTCCCACAGAAACCACAGTAAGGATTCCTGCCTGCAGTTTCCCCTCTGCCCCTTCCTCTGTCTCCAGACAGACCCTGAGCTTCACCTTGAAGCCCCCTCAGGGCATGGCATCCCCCTCCTTCTGAAACCTGTGAGAATAAGAACTATCTTTTCAGTAGCCCTCATCTCCTAAGCTACTGGCTTTGCCATACCTACATAAAGTAAAAGCTATATTTAAAAACATGGCTCCCAAACCATGTGTCGCTAAAAAAAAAGTCCATTCTGATACCTCATTGAAAACTGTCATTTTGTAACAGGTGAACATGGAATAAATACATTAACGTTTAGGCTGGGCGCAGTCACTCATGCCTGTAATCCCAGCACTTTGGGAGGCCATGGCGGACAGATCACTTGAGGTCAGGAGTTCGACACCAGCCTGGCTAACATAGTGAAACTCCATCTCTACCAAAAATACAAAAATTAGCCAGGCATAGTGGTGGGCACCTGTAATCCCATCTACTCGAGAGGCTGAGGCAGGAGAATCGCTGGAAACTGAGAGATGGAGGTTGCAGTGAGCCGAGATCATGCCACTGCACTCCAGCCTGGGTGACAGGGTGAAACTCCTTTTCAAAAACAATAAAAAAGAAAAAGAAAAAGAAATTACTTTAGTCTGTTCACTACACCTTTACTCCTAGATTGTATCTTACTAAAAATATTTTTGAAAAAGTCTCCGTTTTAAAATTGTGAACTGAACTAGTTCAAGATCCACATAAGATGATCAGATAAATGTCTTTTTATATTTTTCTCCAAGAAAATATTATCAGTGAATTTACTGAATTTATATCTGGCTGGCATCAAGAGGTTTCAATATTACATAAATGTTATAATATCATTATTATTCTTCAATATATGATTATTAAATCTATTGTAATAATTACATGGCGATGAGCATGGCTTAGATTCCATGTGATGATCCATGAAGCTCTTATACCTTTGCAATGAGGCCCCTGGGATCAGTTTTCAGACACTGAGGATGGGGTAAGGTCATAAATGGGATGTGCATTCAAGAATTTACATTCATCTCAGGAAATACCCCGACACCACTTTTGGGGAAAAAGGAAAAAGGCTGTTTGTTTTCTTATTTGTCTTTCTCTCATAAAACTAGACTGCAGGGAGATTTTTTGGTGATTTGGATTTCCAAGGAACCCATTTTATCATACGAACTTAGAAACACCTGCACATCATATGCTGTTTGCCTGCAGTTGCTTCTCATTTTAAGCTGGAATTACCTACAGAGTTACCTCCCCCAAGCTACTACACTGTATGGGAGGCAGTCTCCTCTAAATGAATTCCTGATCATCTTAGTATTTTATGAGATTACCAAAACCAATTTGACTTGGCCCCAGGAACCTAAGAAGCAAAAAACAAAACAAAGCAAAACAAAACAGAAACAGAAAAAAAAATGATGTCACAGGAAAAGGTATTTTTCCTGTTTCTAAGAAAGGTCTTGTGGATATGATTACAAATGAGACAAAGGTAAGGGAAAAGACTCTATCTTGGGAAAAATGATGCAAAATTTCCAACTGCTCATGTTCCTTGCTCTGTTCTTAAAAATATGTCTTCTTTACTTTGCTGGGTTGAGATGCTGTTCTCTCAAAACAAACCACGGACACGTGTTACAAGCTGTATCTTCTTTAGAAACACAGTCGAACCTGCTTTCTAGAGGAGCCCCTGTCCACCGTGACAGCTGAGCAGCAGCACTTACTGACTCTGAAAGGGAGGCTGAGCCTGCCCTGGGTGTGCTGTAACTAAGGCGTTCCAATTCCAAAGGCAAAAATGCTATTAAGCAGCCAAGGATGTTTAAATCTAGAAAGTTCAATTCATAAATTAAAGATGTATTTCAGATATTTCTGAAACAGGAGTAATTACCAAAACTAAGACTGTAGAGACTCTTACACCATGACAGCTGGTGTTTATAATCTCTCCTCCCACATCCACATCTTAAATCTCTGGTCCTTTATCGGACTTGGGTCACACTGCTTTGGTTATAAAGTAAAACTGCATATTTCCCACTCCCTTTGTAGTGAGGCTCTAGGGTTGGAGCTCATTTGAATGCTAATGAATTAGATCACCCTCAAAAGGTTGCTATCAGAAATCAGACTACGTGGATATTTTACAGCATTTCATAGTTTCAGGGTGATCGTGTTCCTGACTCAGCAAGTCAAGCCAATACCTATATAACAAGGGCATTTTTCTGGACCCCATTCTAGAGCCACAATTTTTCCCCCAAGGCTATGTAACATTTTCTCCTGGCAAACTATTAGAGTTAATAGAATGCTGTGGTTCTGTTCTGGGGACTGCTCATCAATCATACTGCTTTTTGAATCACAACTTGTGTAATTTTTATTCATGACACTTCAGTAAGTTACTTTGAAGCATCACATCTAAAACAACCCAGGGACTCACTAAACAAAAAAACAAACAAACAAGATTTGGGGTTTTGTTTTCCACTTCTACTCATGATATACTAGGCTTTAACTTACTTTGTAGAGTAAGGATTAAAATGCTTAATTGGCTATAACTAAGCAAACTGAATCCTTTAGATGAATCAAGCCAGCCAGCTTTCAGTTTCTGACATCAAAATTTATGCTCTGTGAAAAAAAACAAGGCCATGGCTACATAACATTAAACCAACACACAATTAACAACACTTTGTTCTAATTATCTCTGGGAACATTTAATGTTGCCCCTATAGTTCATTTTTCTTCTTTGATAGCTCTTAGAATATTTATGGAGATTAGTCCTTGATGCATTGGCCTTCTCTGAGATCTGGGGTTTTCTTAGAAGCTCCCACACAAATCTGAGCCATGCAAAGTAACATATTTATGCAGATTAATTCTTGACATATTGGCTTTTTCTATCATCTAAGGTATTTCTAATAAGCTTCTACCTAAATCTGGCCCTGGCAATGCAGGGCAGTCACAGACCCCCCCCACTCCTTGGCTTACCTCACACTAAGAATGTTTTTTTCTTTCTCTCAGCAGTTGGTCATAACTGATAAAAGGTTATGTCTTGATTGAACAAGCTTCCAGGAGTTGGAAGGCCAAAAGGGCTGCTGTAAAACAGCAATGGAGATGCTAATAAAACCCAAGGTAAGAGGAATCTTCGGCTGCCTATTACTGAGAAACCTAAATTGCAGACAAGTTCAGCTTCCTCACATCAATAGTGAGAGACAGGCCACAAGAAAACGAGCACTGATCAAAGGCTTTTGATGATGGTAGAACTTCAATTTATGGAATGCACGTATTTTTCTACACTCCAAAGGCGTTTCTTCTGAAGTCACTGGGGGCATTCACTTTAAAGTCATAAATATTCTCTCCATAGCTCAGGATGGTTTGCAGCGCCACTTGGCGTGTTTGTTTGGGCATGTGATTTGATGCTCTACAGATGGATTGAAGCACCACGAGGAGCTTCACTGTGGAAAGTGAAGGGGCTATTAGTTAAGAACACCTCTAAACTGATTAGAGGCTTGCTGAGGCAACTGCATGAGTTTTAAACATAGATGTTGTTAGCTCTTCATACTGATGTGTTGGATAGATAGGTAGTTCCATGTACTACCTATCTATCCAAAGAGTGTGAACAAGCTAAGTAACCAACAGTGAGGATTAAATAAATGGCACTTGCACATATAAACAGGCCGAGCCACTTGGCCTCATCTCTGGCCATAGGTGCCCTGGCCCTTGACAGGCCCATGTTCTGAGGGCTCCTTGAGGCTGTTTCAGGCTTTTCTGCTTTTGTCTAGGCAATTCCCTCTGCTCTTCATTTTACCATCTTTGCCTGGAGAACTGGCATAAAGCCTCAAAGACTCACAGTTCAAGTGCAACTTCTTTATCTCTTTGCTTCCTCCAAAACTAATTCAGTTAGATACTTCTGTCTTGGTGCTCCACTGAGCCTTGTACACACCTTACATTTTTCTAAAATTTTAATGTGCTTTATTTTTATTACCTTAATTAATTAGTATATTTTTAATTATTATATTTTTGTCTTCTTTCCAACAATGTGAGTATCTCAAGGGCAGAAAAGATGCTCTGTATCTCTTTGTAATTCCAGCATCCAGCAGGAGGCCAGGCCTAGAAATGCCAAAGGAGGGAGAGGAAGGTGTGCTAGAGAGAAGACAGACAGGCAGACAGAGAGAGAGAGAGAGAAGAGAAAAAGAAAGATAATATGCCACAGAAGGGGAAAAAAAAAATAAGCAGTAACATTCTTTCTGGGTGGTATTAAAGTAATTCTGACATTTAAATAACTAAAACACAAGAATTTTGCCAAATCTTTGATGGAATTGATGGAACTGCTGGTTGAAATGCTCCACCCTCCAGAGGCCAAGAGGTGGGCCTACAACTGAAGTCAAGCCAATGAGATCCCTCTCTCTGGACTGTAGGAGCTTTGATGGGATGACTAGGAAAGAGACATGGCCTTTTCACGGTGCTGCTGATTTGGTGCCATCACATAGAAAAGGCCTGCCTGAGAGAGGAACTAGCTCAAATGAAAGCAGAACTGAGAGTTGGAGAAAGCTTTCTGACATTGTCTGAACCCTTGCATTCATCCATGTCTTGTTACAGCTGATTGTCCAGTTATATAGCCATCCTTCCTTTTAGTTAAGTCAGTTTGAGTAGTGTCTCTATGACTTGCAACTGAAAGAGTAATCACAAATAGAATACCTTGAAGGAATACTAAGATTTCCCACAGTATAAAGTTTTCCCAAGATTTTAGGTCTTTGAAATTGTTTCAGCAGCCCACGGACCCTCTCAATATTGTATCCTATACTGAGTGACAATGGTGGCCCCTTGGAGCATGTGGGTTGGGTGCTCTTTGCCTAACTGTGCTGCCTCCATCAGCTTCATTTCTGGGATTCTTGATTTTGGTTCTTAAATAAGAAATCTAACTGTCTATGGACATGACTGCTTTAAAAGATAATGGTATGCTTTAAATATTCTATCACAATATGTATGTATAAAGACTTAGGCACCAGGATGCTCATAAGAACATTATAATATTGAAATACTGTGAACAAGGTAAGCAGCCAACAGTGAGGATTAAATAAATGGCACTCAGTATCCATTGAATAAATTTCTACATAGCCACTGCATCATATTTTTGAAAAGTATTGAATAATGTGGAGAAACAGGCTACTTAACTGTATACAGTGATATTTCATATATCCTAATTTGATTAGGTACAATAATAACAAAAAGACTAGAAATATATATGCTGAAATGCCAATTCCAGCCATTTCTGATTAGTGTAATTACAATTATTTTCTTATGATTTTTCCAATTTTCTGTAATGTGACTATTTACTACTTTTATAATCAGAAAACTGCTAGTACAAAGTTACATAATGACATAGAATGGAATTTTTCTAAAAACTTCAAGCCCCTTTACCAAAGAATAGTTTTTGTCTCAAATCCTAGCTTAGTGATGTTGCTAGGTGACCCACAGTTGGATGTAAAACAATCAAGAGAAAGATAAATGCCAGATACTTTAAGACAGGGATGTCTGGTGTTACCTGTCAGCAAACTGTCATAGAATCTAAAGATTAGAAGGAAACAATTATGAATTTCTATTCAGAATACCACTGGCACGTTGCCTTAATTTCTTTTACATTGTCTTAAGATAGGAGAGGATAAAAGTAAGAAGAACAAGGTAAGAACTTAAAGCCAATTAGAAAGGGAAAGAAAATAGCCCGTTCCTCTCACTGGCAAGGAGACAAAGCCAAACTTGGACATATCCGTGGCCATGTCAGGGGAGCCCTCAAAGGTGGCATGAAGCCACTGAAGAGCACTTTGGATGATGACCTTTCCCCAGGCTTCAAAGCTTGTGGCACTGGGCACATGTGGGAAGGGCCTCTGGATCTAAGTCTGAAGACCCAGGGAAAGTTCTACTTAAGAGGAGGCAGGGGCGCAGAAAGGTTAGATTACAAGGTGGTTAAGATCAGCTTCATCCATCTCTGAAAGGACATGAATTCATTCTTTTTTATGGCTGCATAGTATTCTATGGTGTATATGTGCCACATTTTCTTTATCCAGTTTATCATTGATGGGCATTTGGGTTGGTTCCAAGTCTTTACTATTGTAAATAGTGCTGTAGTAAACATACATGTGCATGTGTCTTTATAGTAGCATGATTTATAATCCTTTGGGTATATATCCAGTAATGAGATTGCTGGGTCAAATGGTATTTCTGCTTCTAGATCCTTGAGGAATCGCCACACTGTCTTCCACAATGATTGAACTAATTTACACTCCCAAAAACAGTGTAAAGGTATTCCTATTTCTCCACATCCTTGCCAGCATCTGTTGTTTCCTGACTTTTTAATGATCAACATTCTAACTGGCTTGAATTGACATCTCATTGTGGTTTTGATTTGCGTTTCTCTAATGATCAGTGATGGTGAGCTTTTTTTCAAATGTTTGTTGGCCACATAAATAAGATCAATGAAAGCAGAGAGTAGAATGTTGGTTACAGAGGCTATGGGGGTGTGAGAATGCAGACAGGGTGGTCAAAGGGTACAAAATCTGTTGATAATAGAGTATTACACATCTCAAAATTGCTAAGAGTCCATTTCAAATGTTCTCACCACAAAAAATGTTAAGTATGAGGTGATGGATATGTTAACTAGCTTGATGTAATTATTACATGTTGTATTATCAATCATAACATCACTCTGCATGCCATAAATGTATCTAATTATAAATTACCAATTTACAATTTTTAAAATGACCAGTGAAAGCTTGTTGGGTTTAGTACAGAACTGGACCTAAGTTGTTTTGATAGCTTTAAATGTCACTCTAAAAGTGGTTTCTGTGGTTCTCAATCCTGGCTGTGCATCTGAATAATCCACAGAGTTTCAGAAAAATACAGATGGTCAGTTTCCATTGTAGACTTAAAAGAGCTGGGATTTCCTGGGTTACATTCTAGACATCTGAGTTTTTAAAAAGCTCTATTTCTTCTGTGGTTTCATCTCCCTAGCCTGCTTGCAGATCTCATTCTTGCATTCATACTTCTCTCTCCCGCATCATCGATTTCGCCCTCTCCACTAGAACACGGCCATTGGCACACGAATGTGCCATACCATCAGCTGCCTTTTGAAGAGTTTCTCTTGTACCCTATTTCTCTTCAGTTTTGACTCTCTCCATGTCTGACCCACTTCAGGCCTGTCTATACATGTCTCCACATGTTTTCCTCCACGCCCACTCCCATCAGAAACTGTTGTTACCGAGGTCATAGCTGACCATGCCTTGCCAGAGCCGAGGATGGATTCTGTGATCCATCTTGCTGGTGCTCTTAGCAGCACTCAACAAGGATACCCTTGGAGCACTTTCTTCTTTAGGCTGCTACAACACTTCACCTTCCATTTTCCTCCTACCACACCAGACACTCTCCCCAGGCTCAGATGCTGGCTCCTCTTCCTCTGCCAGACCTCGAAAAATGGGGAACCTTAGAACTCTGTCCTCTGCCCTCTTCTTGTCCATTTACAGTTACTTCTGATGGGACCTTAATTAGTCCCACAAGGCCGAGTGTCATCTGTATGCTGATGACTCTCAAATCCATATCTCTAGCCCTGACCTGAACTTTGTATTTCCACCTGCCCATAGAACATCATCACTTGAATGCTTAATAGGCATCTCAACTTAACGCGGGCAAAAACCAACAGACAATTGCATGCTAATTTTGCTAAGTCACCTTTCCTCCAAGGCTTGCCTCTCTCAGGAATTTGGTACAACCTCACACTCAGTTGCTAAAACCAAAGAACTAGAAGTTATCCTTCTCACTTTTTTCCTTGTATTCCACATCCAATGGATCCGTAATTCCTAATAGACCTTACTTCTGAAATATATTATCTGGCTATTTCTTACTAGCATAGTATAGTGGAGCTATACATTGGGAGTTCAAATTCTGACTCTCTCACTGACTACATGACCTTGGGCAAAATTTCCAACCTTCTGGGGCTCACTTTCCTCATCTGTAAAATGGGGATAATAGTGCTAACTACTGTTGGGGCTCAGAAAAAATATCCCCAAATGAAAGCCTCAGAAGCCAAAGTTTTTCTCTGATCTTGTCCTCCTGTCTCCCAGCTTCATTTTCCCCTAGTCTAGTCATAGAAACTAGAATCCCTCTTCCCCAAGGCAGGTCAAAGAAACCAGAAAGCTAGACATAAAACCTAAAAAATATTACTCTAATTTTCCTTCTGCTTTTCTATGTAAAATCTGACCATAAGGAAATTATCTGACCTGTCTTGTTTGCTATAGGTCATAAGACCCCTATTCTAGAAGAGGTTTTGCCCCACACCCAGAAGGAAGGAATGCTGCAAGCAGAGGCCAAGAAGAATCTAGACAGGCAGGCCTCACAGGGTTTCCACACTCAGTCTATTACCATTAGATCATACTCTTTTTTTGTACAGTCATCTTTCTACACGGCTCTCTATACTCCGCTGAACCTAAGCATAAAAATGGACAATTTCTCCTGTGTCTTTGAGTCCCCGTTCTGAAGGCTCCTATGTATACACATTGAAAATAAATGTGTATGCCTTTTCTCCTACCAATCAGTTGGCCTTATGTCAATGATTTTCTGTGAACCTCTAGGCAGCCAAGGGCTCCCGCTAGTCCCCATACTACCATAACCCACAGGGTTACGAACATGAAAATAGCATATATAAACATAAATGGTAATCAGAACAGTGTTTGGGATATACTAAGCCTTATAGGAAGGCTTGCCAACATGGTTATTATTATTCCCATTACATCCCTCTAGTCCAATAACATTAATATGGTATGATTATCATTCCCTATTAGTCCTAGGCACCTACCCTAGACTAGTCTACTAATATTGTTTGTTTGAATCTAAAAACAACAACAAAAAATACCTTCTACCTGGTCTCCCTGCCCCTCCTATGTCCCACTATTAGCCCACAAAGCAGAAGGATTTGTCTTTATAAATGAGAAGTTACATCATTGCTTCTTCCCAGTTTAAAATTCTCTAAATGGCTTCCTTTTACATTTATATCATTTTCAGAGTCTTTATTGTGACCATGGCCTATATGGCTTAACCAGGTCTGGCCCTTGTCTACCTCTGTGAACTCATCTTCTTCCATTTTTTAAATCTTGTACCTTGTGTCCCAGGACAGACTTCTTATTTCTGTTCCTTGGACTTGCCAAGCTTTCCAGCATCTTCAGGTGGCCTTTCACCTTTGCAGCTGCCTCCTCTTGCAATGTTCTTCCTCTGATCTTCACACTGCTGTCTCCTTTTTATTTTTTATATTACACACAAATGGCTGATGTCAGAGGTCTTCTCAAGTAAATACCTCTCCTACCCCTAGCTCACATTCTCTCTGCTACTACCTCAATAAACTTTTCTTATTTACAGGCATATAGTTGCCTGTTTGCTTATTTATTATTTCATTTAAGTATATGCTTCCTGTGTCTGCCCACTGGGGTGGGGACCAAAAAAACTGATCTAATCCCTGTGCAAAGAACACGTTTGGCCCATAGAAGATATTTAATATATTTACTATTATTAAATATTATATTATTTATATATAAATATATTAATAATATATTAATAAATATATTATTAATATATTTAATATTAATATATATCTATCGACTACCAGTTCTACAGGTAATTGTGATGCACAGCCAGGTTTGTCTATTTTGAACTACCTAATTTTAAATAGGAATTAATGATTAACAAAATGCTTATGCACAGCACTGTAATTGTCATCATTTCATGGAAAGGTATAATTGAGTAGAAAAAGCTGTTATTCACCTTAACACATTTAATTGCCATATTTTTCTGCACAAAATAAATCATTCCTAGAAGCGGCCAAGTTCTTTCAACCTTGAGGCTATCTAGCTAAGTCATCAGCACATGCTTTTAGGCTTAGGACTCTCAGGTGGTGGCGGGCCTGTTCTCCCCCTGGCTAGAAGCTGAGTATCAGAGATGCCATGGGAGTTGGGAGTGAGCCAAGGGAACATCCAGCTTCACTTTTAGTCAGGTGTGCAGTTGGTCCCTGAGTGGAGAGAAGGGCCACGTGGGAGTGTCAGGAGTGGGGCCTGCAGACAAACAAATCATGTCTTTCAAGGAACATGCCATGAGCAAATCTGGGGCCTGAGTGGGGCAAATGCCCAGGAGTAGGGAACAGGGAAGACTCCAGATGAAGCCAGTGGATCCTGGAGGGCAGGTCTGGGAAGATCCCTTGAATCAGTGGCTTCTGGTGGGGTGGCAGAAAGGAGTGATCCTTTCGTAGAAGGGACCTGAGACATGGCAGTGCTGTTGAGAATGGTGAGCTTTGTTCTAAGTCAAATAAACAGTCTCTGAAACAGCAGCCTTGAAAACCCAAACTTTTAAAATACATAGAAAATGCTACAGTCAGGCACTGAGAAGTTACATAAAATGTGCAAGTGGCATCCAGATTGTCCATGTGTGCCCTATGACACCAATATACACCAAGTGATTTCTCCTCCAGGCACCAGGACCCTAAACACAAATTACAATTGAAGCCCAGGGGAAGCAGTGGCTGGGTAGTGAGGGTAAACGGTCTACTCTTCACCATGAAAAGCTGGCAACAGCTGAAACCAACGTACTCAGTAGAGAAAATCAGGCTAAAAAGAGAAAGAGAGAGAGTGTGTATAATTATAATTTTTATAATTTTGACTGTTGGCCCTGGAGGCGTTTTTAGGAAGGTAAAGGTCTTAATTAGCACAATATTTTGCTGAGCAGGCGGATGATATGGAATGAGCCCATGACATGGCATGCAGAGACCTAGACAGCTCTGCAAATTAAAAGACAGAACTTGGCTGTGGGAGAAGGTGTCTGAGGGAGAGGAGAGTAAGTGGGACAGAGCTGGCCACGTTCTAAGGCGGGATCTGGGAACTGAGGAGAAAGGCTACTGCGAAACGCCCTGCAACCAAAGGACTGGGAGGAAACAGAACTATCAAAAGACAGAGTTGAAGGCCCTTAGCCTCCAGAATATTCTGCCATGACCCCATATCCTTCCTAGGGTTGGATTTTGGAAAAATCAAGTAAAGGGGGCTCTGTTTCATAAGAGGTTGGTGCGTGGAGAAGAAAGAGGAATTGATTGACGAATGTGAGTCGGAACTTACCCCAGAAATGGTCACAAGAGGGAATAAATAATACAGGGGTGGCAGCTGGAGGGTGATTTGCTTAGACAATATTAACTTAATTTTCAAAGTCAGGGGCTCCTCAAGTTGTTTTTGAATATTACTGTCACAGTAATCAAGAACGTAATATAGAAGTCATCTCTGCATTTCATTTTCCACACCTTCTTAGAACCTGTTAGGGGAGCAGGAATTAAAGAAGACTGCTGTCCACCACCCTGAAAATCATTCCTTTCTGTGATCCACAACACCAGGGGCCAAGAGATTAGGGCATACAAATATGGTCATTTCAAAAATACGCTGATGGGGTGCTGGTGGTATATTGGTGAGCCTAGCTGCCTTCCAAAAATATGCTAATAGAAAAATTCTTTGTTTTTTTAAAATCTTGTTGTATATCAAATTTTTCCAAAGTAATTTTTGACACATTATAATTAATTCCCCTGCAATCTTCCAGGGGAGCATTTCATTAAAGCATAAAAATCCACATGGGGTCTGTGACCAGCTCTGACTGCAGTCTGTCAAAATCAGTTCTCTATTTTCCTACAATAATGTTTAACCCATGCAAAGATCCTAGACACTGAGAATATGGAGCAAATATTTTAAAATAAAAAAAATTAAGTAGCATATAAAATTCATATGAAAATTGAATTACATGTATGACAAAATGACATCTATATATAAGAAGATATATTTATATATATTTACAAACATATATTTGTATTTCTTATTTTACATACTTTATTATAAAATGAAATAATCTTCTTATTACCTGTTCAAGTAGAAGATAGTAAGATGTGAAGGCAAGGAGAAAGTTCATTTAATATTGAACAAAGAATTTTAGGAAACAAGCAGTGACACTATGACTATAGGAAAATTAAAAAATAAAATAGTTTTATGAATTAAAATAGTGGGTCTTAATGGCACTTACAGATATCATCTATTGCATTCAACTAATGCTGGAATCAAGAGTTGTTGCCTGAAGTGTAAAGAACTCTGTGGAAGGAAAAAAGATACTGCTTCTCTTTTACTCACTACAGTTTAAGAAACATTCGCTGCCAAATACATTTTTTAAAGACCTCTTAGCTTAATGAAATAAAATGTACTTTTCAATGTTGTCTCTAACAACAACATGAACTAAGATTAATTTTCTCTGTAGTCATAAACAAAAACTAACAATTTAAGTACACTGTTCTCTGGGAGTAAGAAATGATAATATCAGCTCTTTCCTATTGTGAATCTAGTTAATTCAACCTCAAGATAAAGTTATGAGTTTCTTAAAACTCAAATAGGAACCTCAGTTTCCCTTGAGAAAGCTTTCCTATCTTTTATAGTGACTATCTTTAAAAAATGACGAAAGAATGAGAACCCTTGGGGAGACAAGGGTGATTCCTAGCTCTTTGCCCAGAGGGAGTTGCTAGCGATTCCTTTAGTTGATATTTGTTCTGCTCTGTGTTTGAAGCTACTTGCTTACCTGTCTGCCTTCGGTCACACCTGTGTGGAGTAGCCCAACTCTTTCATTCACAGTCCTTATATTGTTAATCACTGTGCCCAGGTAAGTAGGAACAAAATTAAGGAAAAGGAGCAGGTTTGGTGTGGATGAATGAAAGAGACTATGCACCAGGCATCATTTTAAAAATAATTACACACGTAATCCTCGTTACTTCCCTGTAAGGCTAATTACTATTACTATCCCCATGCTTTCAGCTGAGGGAACAGAGGCATGGGGAGCCTAAGTAACTTTGATGGTTTCAAATCTAGAAAGTAGTCGAACAGGGATTCAAATCAAACCCCAAGAATTGAGCTTCAAAGTGCATAATCTCACCATTCTGCTTTATTATCACCGAGGAAATTAGTGTAAAATGGATATGCTCATTATAGACAATGTGGTAGATCTGAGGTAGAATTGCAGAAAGCAAGCATAGAAAACAAGGCCCCTCCAGGTCTTTTTGTTTTTTTGTTTGTTTGTTTGTTTGTTTTTTTGAGTCTGTCACCCAGGCTGGAGTGCAGTGGCGCAATCTTGGCTCACTGCAAGCTCCGCCTCCCAGGTTCACGCCATTCTCCTGCCTCAGCCTCCTGAGTAACTGGGACTACAGGCACGTGCCACCACGCCTGGCTAATTTTTTTGTATTTTTAGTAGAGACGGGGTTTCACCTTGTTAGCCAGGATGGTCTCCATCTCCTGACCTCGTGATCCGCCTGCCTCGGCCTCCTAAAGTTCTGGGATTACAGGCGTGAGCCACCGTGCCCAGCCTCCAGCTCTTCTTCCTTTATGCTAGTAGAGTTTTCAGGATTCTGTAGACTCTATGGTAGAACTGCGTTTTTAGATGTTGGGTGAAGGCCCTTTATAAGCTTATCGAAAGGACGTAAGTGAACTCATAGAAAAAAAAAATCTTTGCTGAGTCTTTAAGCATGTGACATTTCAATCAAGAACTAGTAACTAGAATGGTCTTTGATGACTGCTATAAAAATTCATGAATTAACACTTGAAATAATGTCGAATGCCACGAAGTAACAGACGGGTGTTATCATATCCCGGTCTGGAGGTCTCTGGAGGATGTCAGTGCTCCAAAAATCTCCTTAAGTCTCCTTAGCCAGTTTCAGCTCACTGTTAGATGCTTTACACATTTAATTCCTGCACGTTTTTTTTAAAGATATGACTATACTGCTTATAAAATCTCTGTGTGTGTGTGTCCAATCATCTTTACATACTATTAAATATTTTGCTTAGTCATTCATTCATTCATTCATTTTACCAGTTACTGGGGAAAACAAAGTAAAATATCACATAGCCTCTTCCCCCAAGGAGCTTGCAATTTTAGGAACTAATCCAGTTTGAGGGCTGAATTTAAGTTAAAATCAATTACTGCCCTATGTACTCCTTTTAAAACAACATTAGGTCAAGACCCTTTCAGTGCTAACTTTTTGCTCATTGTAGACAAATCTCAGCAGGAAATCGTAGATCATATTAGTCTGGGAGAACTCAAAAGGGAAGATTTATACTCACTCAAAACCAGTGCCAATAAAAGAAGCAGAATACTGTTATTTTTCTTGAAGAGTGTAAAAATTGCTTCATTTCTTACCTCTAGAGCTTTCAATCTCTCTAATAGCAATTTGGTCTTTTCTTTTCCCTCATCTGTACTGCTGCTTTCACTCCTCGAATCCTCATCAACCACCATGTGAAGATCTTCCAAAGCTTCCTTATGTTTTCTCTCTTCCTCTGACAGCTTTTCCTGAAGCAAGAAAGAATTACTGTTTTCAATAATCTCCAGTGAAAAATAAGCATGAGTGTGAGGCTGAAAAGGCTGGAATCATTCTCCTGCGTGTGCATTCTTCCGGGGCTGGGAGTTTGCTAAACAAATTCTGAGAGGGGTTTATTTTAAAAAATGAAGTAGATATTTTTACTGACCCCTGGAAGGACAAGGCCATTGGGTTGCCATCTCTCAATGCAGTTGTCCTTTGCACAGTTGGAGAAGTGACTAAGCCAGCAAAGCCATAGGTGGAGTCATGTGGTTAATCCAATTTTATCTGCACAATGAAACTCAGCTATACTGCAAACTGTGGAAAAATACATCAATTTTGATACCTTCATTTGTGAAAGGCATAGCTCCTCAAGATAGGGTCATTAAAGTCACTGGACATGCAGCCATTTAATTAAAAGAATATAAAATATCACAAAATACTGAAATAAGAGTGATTTCAGAATTCAAAGCTCACACCTATTAGTTCTTTCAGCTCAATAATGACACAACTTTTAAGGATCCCTCAGTCCCTTTCTGTAACACTGTTCAGCATTCGTACTATGGCCTTGAGGCAGACATAAAAAGTTATTTTGTCTTGACTCACTGTTGGAAGCCCCTCACTCAACCTTGTCTCTGGAAGCTTTTTGAAAGTTGAGAAGTACTAAGTTAAGCCTCATGAATAGCTCTTGTTTTCAAGGGAAAAAGAAGTATCAAGAGATTACCATATTAAAAAAAAAAGGATCCATTTTGTGCATGGAGACTCTTGCTCCCCACAATCAGGTGACATCCTTCCATTACACTATTTAATTCTAAACACAATGCTGCAGAAATCTTTGCTTTAATGTAGCTGGTTGTCAACCATCTGAACAAAACTGGATTATCAGTGGTAAAAGACTTCTCTATATTTTAATACTAAACTAAGATCTATTTGCAAATACAGAAGCACAAAACGTATCATTCTTACCCTCAAGGAGCTCATACAATCTACTTAGAAAAGAAGAACATAAGAAGAAAAAAAAAACCACGGCGTTTTCAAACTGTGCTCATCAAGGTACTTTGAAGGTTCCAAAAATATTTAAGTTACTTTTTGAAAACAAATTATGAATTATGTAAAAATATGTCTTAATGTATATGTATACATTTATACATATATATGTATCAGTGTATACGTGTGTGTATATATAAATCACTTTAGACCACAAAGTCAGTGAATTCATCCATGTGAACCTGTTATGTACAGATTTCAGGATCTAATTTCTCCTGTCATCTCTGTATATATAAATGCATAGTTGATTAGAAAGGTTGTAGTTCTTTATGAAATCAGGCCCAAGCATGTGTAACTGTATACCATGTGCAGGTGTGAGTTCAGCTCAGATAAATGCCAGGCAAGTTTAAGATGTACATCCACAGGCCAGGAAACAAGTCCAGGTCATGGTAGCATTTTTATAGCTTTGATTTTTTAGGGTTTGGTCACCTGTCAGACTTACATTTCCAAGATAAGGAATATGAAGTTTGTAGATACTGTTCCTAAACAAAGAAGTACCTTTACTTCTCTTTTGTGGTTTGGGATGACTGTAAGTAAACACTAACTTAGGTTGATGAAGCAAGCTGTTTTAAAATTATCTTCATTTTACTTTTCTGTATATAGTTTTTCATTCATCACTCAGCATATGCCACTTATATTTTATACATATACATATGTATATATGCACACATACATATATCCACACATACACATACACATATACACAGTCACACATTCCTTAGGAGATTTCATCATTGTGTAAACATCATAGAGTGTATTTACACAAACCTAGATGGTACAGCCTACTACACACCCAGGCTATATGGTACCTAGGTTAGAATCCTATATACCATGTTACTGTACTGAATACTGTAGGCAACTGTAACACAATGGCAAGTATTTGTGTATCTAAACATATCTAAACATAAAAAAGGTACAGTAAAAACATGGTATAATCTTACGAGACCACCATCACACATCTTTATAAGGTACATGACTCTTTGTGTGTGTGTGTGTGTGTGTGTGTGTGTGTGTGTGTGTATCTGTAGAAGTATCCTGTAATAATCAGAGCCCAATAGCTAATTAAAACAAAGAAAAGCCATTGGGGTGGTAAATGAAAAGCCAAAAGACTTTGGAATGTGACAGCCAGATTTCAGGTCTAACATTTATTTAGCAGTTTGGCAAATGATCTTACACAAACTTCCTTTATTTTTGGAAATGGAGACTCGCTCTGTTACCCAGGCTGGAGTGCAGTGGTGCGATCTCAGCTCACTGCAACCTCCACCTCCCAGGTTCAAGCAATTCTCCTGCCTCAGCCTCCTGAGTAGCTGGGATTACAGGCACCTACCACCATGGCCAGCTAATTTTTGTATTTTTAGTAGAGGCAGGGTTTCACCAGGTTAGCCAGGCTGGTCTCGAACTCCTGACCTCAGGTGATCCACCCTCCTCAGCCTCCGAAAGTGCTGGGATTACAGGCCTAAGCCACCACACCTAGCCTTGGACAAACTTTTTAATTTCAATAAGTCTTGATGTCTTTGTCTCCTAAACTCCTAAATGAGGCTAATGTCAACATATATACACTCACATACCATATAGTGAATTCGTGTCATTCACAATGGTTATGTTCTCTAAAATTTTCATGAACAGTACACCAACTTAGGAAATGTGAAATTATTGTTCCTAGGGGACATACAGAGTTAGGTTCCTGTGAGCCTCTGGTCACATTTTCATTAACCAGCCATTATATAATCTTGTTTTATGTGTATTTCTATTTAAAGACACCTTACATTTAACATATACTGTTGATTCATTCACACTGACCTAACAGCCAACAGCACTGTAACTCATCCTGAAGGAAGCTTATCCGACACACATGTATTTTATCTGTAGGGCGCATCACAGCCTGCATGTGGTTAGGAACACCAGACAGCACTTAAGCACTACACTCAGGGCCATGTCAAACAGTGAAATCACCAACAAAAAGCACAAAATACAAAAAGCATATCACTAAATAGACCACAAACAGGATACTAGTTTATTGCATGAAAGCTAAAACAACAAGGCACAGTCAGTGCTGCCTT
The DNA here is from genome assembly GCF_000001405.40 of Homo sapiens. NCBI lineage: Eukaryota > Metazoa > Chordata > Mammalia > Primates > Hominidae > Homo > Homo sapiens. Next base: position 132,966,984 of record NC_000002.12, read on the forward strand.
GCTCCATCTCAGCTAGTAACGTGAACCTTGGGTGACTAATTTTTCACCATTCCATGTATGTTCACGAATGACCACAAAAGTGACACAAGTATGGATTTTTGGGTTGCAAATACATTTTTGTGAGTAGAAAATTTGCAAATGCAGAATCTGCAAATAATGAGGAGCCACTGCCCTATCGTACACACACACACACACACACACACACACACACACACACATACACACACACATACACACACTCTTAAAGTACCTAGATACAGTGCCCAAGTATTATGATGTAGAAATAATTAAAGACAATATGGATTATGTATCAGTATTTAGATTACATAAAACGTCAGGGTCACTTTACATAATTTGAAGAAAGGGCAATCAATGAAAGCTGTGAGACATGATTCTATGGAAACTGAATGTGACTCATACTCTAACACAGTGATACAACTTAAATAGTTAGAGAGGCATAGGGTCGGTGTTTGGTGAAAGAGAAAATTTTAAAAGGCTCCTAGTCAAGAGTAAGTTTTGTCCTTACAGGTTTATAAGGAAATCAGTTTGATTATAATAGAGAAAAGCTTTTTGAGAGAATAGTTGAATAATAGGATTGGGGAGAAAAGGAGGGGGAGAGGATGCTTGGAAATGAGACAAAAATTCAGATACAATTCACTCATTTGTTCATCCAACAAATGTTTTGTTAAACATGGATTACTGGCCATTTGCTGATCTAGCTAATGGAGTATGGAAAACAAGACAAAGTTCCTATATTCCATGAAATTATATTCTAATGTTGGTAAACATGACAAACTCCAAATCAAATCTGTAAGTAATATAAGGTATTAGTAGCTGGTGGTAAATGCTATGAAGAAAATAATATCATCTGATAGAGAGTGGTGTGGTTAGGGGCAATGTTAGATGTGCTAACAACAGAGTGAGGCTGAGTGAGGAGGTGGCCATTACAGCAAAGGCCAAATGATGAGGAGGAAGTAGCTGTGCAGTGGTTTGGGGAAGAGCATTCCCAGCAGAAGGACTAGCAAGGCAAATACTCGTGGCAGGGCCAGGCCTGCCTTGCTGGCCAGCTGAGGGAGGGTCTGTGGTGGAGCATAGTGTCTAAAAGAGGAAGGCTAGCAGGAAATGAGATCAGAAAGAGAGCTGGACCATAGAGGGTCTTTCTAGGCATAGGAAGAAGTTTGGATTTTATTCTAAGTGCACTAAAGAGGAACTGAAGTCTAGACGTAGGGGAGTGGTAGGTTCTGATTTACATTTTAGAAACATCATCCTGACTGCTGCAATGGAGAATGGGCTGTGGAAGGAAGGAGCTAGGAGACTAGTTGGAAAGTCTTTATACAGAAGGAAATAAAAATCAGGAATATTTTGAAGGGATTGAATCAGGACTTACCAAAAGCAGTTTTTACGGTGGTTCAGAAACTACCACAGATGATGGGTCAGATGCCCTGAATTCAGTGCTTAGATTTTACAACTTTGGAACTTTCTGGGAAAATCATTCCAACTTTTTAGGCCTCAGTTTCCCCCAGAGATAAGGTGAGGAGTTGGACTCAATGTCTCTTCCAGTGTTAAAGTTCTAAGAATTCAATTAAGATACAGTTTTCAGAAAGAAAACGTTGTCAAGGCACTCAGTGGTAGCAGAAATGACAAGAGAACAGAAAAAAGCACCTCTACATTTTGTAATAAGAAGGTTGTTAGTGGGAACTTGAGAGCTGTTTGACTAAAGTGTGACAATGGTACCCAAATTGTCAGTGGTTAAGCAAAAAGTAAAAAGGGAGAAAATAGAGGCAATTTTCTCAGATGCTCATTTGAAAGTTTGGCAGGGAAGGAAATCTAAAGAACTGTAGCTGAAGGGCATTGTGGAGGCAAGTGGAAACCTTTTTCAAGATAGAAAAAAATGAGGTTGTCTGAAGAACTAAAAAGAAGAGGGAGCACCAGAGAGAGTAGCAAAGGTGGGAATGTACGAAGAGATTTCTAAAGCCAAGAAGGCAGGGGATGAAGGGCACTGATAGAGGAGCCAAGGTTTGGAAAATGCAGCTCCCTGTAAAATATCACTGACTTATTTACTTATTTATTTTGAGATGGAGTCTCCCTCTGTTGCCCAGGCTGGGGTGCAGTGGTGCAATCTCGGCTCACTGCAACCTCCGCCTCCTGGGTACAGGCGATTCTCCTGTCTCAGCCTCCCGAGTAGCTGGGATTACAGGCAGGTGCCACCACACCAGGCTGATTTTTGTGTTTTTAGTAGAGATGGGGTTTCATTATGTTAGCCAGGCTGGTCTGTAACTCCTGACCTCAGGTAATCCACCCACCTCAGCCTCCCAAAGTGCTGGATTACAGGCATGATCCATACTGCGCCCATCCCCCTGTAAAATATCACTTACAGTTTAATTTCTCAGTTAGCATTTCTAAATCATTAGTGTCTAGCCTGAATTCTTAGAGAACAAGGAATTGAGTACAAGCAGCTCATTTGGGAGATGCAGGAAACACCAGTAGGGAGGTAGGGAAGTGACTCAAGGAAAGGAAGAATTATCTGACCCCAGGGTGAGAGAGCTGAGGTGTTGGTGTCCCAACCCTGGAGGAGTCATTAGTTGAGGCCAGCTCTTGAGGCATTCATTTCCTGGCTCTTCTAGCCTGCTGGAGGCAGTGAGGCTCTGTGTAGTTCTCAAGTAAAAGTGCTCTCTGACACAGATCCTTGCAGCTGGAAGTCGCAGGGCCACTTTGAATGGTCCTGGGGTGCAGGTACTGCTGATGTGCTCGTGACAAAGAGAGTTTAAAGCTGCTCTGATGTAACGCCACCCAGGACCAAAAGCCACATCCGCATGCTGCTCACAGACTAGTCACTGACCTAAAGGCATACTTGCCTGTGCTCTACATGACAAAATGCCCTGATGCAAATCCAGAAGGTGGGGTTCTCTCTTGTTTCTTAATCATTTAAGATTAATCTTTTGTTTCTTAATCATTTACCAGTGAGAGCATTAGAATATAAGGTAACATTGAGAAAGAGAGAAAATGGAAGGGACGTATTTAGAGTAAGTGAATGAGCAAAAGAAACAAATAGGTGGAGACAGAGGTAGAGGAAAGACCTGAGAGAGCGGAGAGAAACGTGGCTATACCCTATCCACAGATCACCATAGTCCATTTTAGATAGACTAGCAGTTGGATTTATCCTACACTCATAAAAACACGACAGTATTTTTTAAAAAATCAAGTGTATGGGTTCTATCCAAAAATAAATAACTTATTTTAATCAGAAAAAATATCACAAATTTTAGGTCCTTTGCCAATTAAGAATCTGAGATATACACAGCAAAAAGGATATCAGACAGAGAGGTCAAAAATGTGTAGTGCTAAATACTGTGTATTTGTCTTACGAACCTCCAAAAAGGAAATAAGAAAAATTAGCCAGGCCCACTCATGAGGATGTCAAAGTTGAAGAGAATAAGTTGATTCTAGAGGTGACCTGTTTTCATTTTTATGGAGTTTAATCAAGAGTGAATTCTATAAAAGTGAAGCTACCATACAAACAACTTTCACTCCCCACATATTTCATATATGATTGAGACCATAAGCTTGTTTACCTCAACAAATACCAGCTAGAACTCAGAAAGCTAAAGATTTAGGAGCTCAGTTTGCATCGAAGGGTTTATATTAAATTTCACCTTGTCGCTACATAAAGCAATCCTTAGAGCTGTAAGTTTCCCTAAGTGGTATCTAGGGTAATGATTCACCTTTGGCAGAGCACTCACCTTTTGTTCTCAAGCAGTCAACATCATCAGGCCTATGTAAAATAACATCAATCAACACAAAGTTCTGGAACGCATCAAGTGAACTCAGATGACAGCCCAGGAAGCTTGGTTAGTCCTAAGAGAGGACAGCATGGCTCTTCATGGATGGCCAGCTGCTGCTCAGTCTATACCCTTCCCCAAAATGTGTAAATGTGACTTCTCCATCTTCTAGTCACTGGCTTTCCCCATTCCAGGACACAGGAGGACTCAATCAATATTCCATAAGGTTATTTTGTAATTCATTAATCAAGCTATTCAATTAATATTTGCTGAGCAGTTCCTACATGCTAGGCGCTGAGGAATATGCCAGGCATACAAAAGTGAAAAATACACGTGTGGCCCCTGTTCTCATGGAGCTTACAGTCTTGCAGAAGAAGATAGCTATTAATCAAAATGTCAGGAGCAAACATAAAATAGCACTGTAGTGTGTCCTGTGAGGAAGAGTTTCAAGGTGCTTTGAGAACAGATAATAGAGCGATATAAATGAGAGGTTGGGAGAGGTTTCCCAGAATGAGGTGAGATCCGAGGGCACAGTGAGACCAGGAAATAACCACGATGTGAGAAGAGGGGAGGGCAACTGAGAAGTCCAAAAGTAGGCCAGGGTCTCTGGGGAGGGAGATGAGGCTGGATGGGCAGATGGGGCTAGGCCACTTGTCAAGGAGTTTTGTCTTTACCCTCAGGGAAATGAGAAGTCACTGAATGGAATGCCACTGACTATTTTCAAGTATGGCAGCAGTGAGGGTAACACAGTCAGATTTGAGTTCTGAAATCTCTCTCTGATATGGTGTGGATGGGTTGGGGGAAGTTAACACAGATGTCAGAAAAACAAGATGCTGCTGCAATAGGCTATGCGGGAGTTGAAGGAACCATTATTAAAACAACAGTCTCACAAAATGAGAACCCACAGTTTGTAAGGCGTTCCATAATTCTGATTCTTCAGTATGTACTTCCTCTAACAGTGACAAGCAACATTTCCTTATTTCAATGTTTCTCAGAGAGTGGGCCATCAGCCACCAGCATCAGAGTTGACAGGGGCTGGGGGAGGAGAAGAAGTACGGCTTGTTTAAAACGCAGATTCCTCGGTGCACTCTGGCCCTAGTGACTCACAATACCTGGGAGTGGGGACAGGAATCTTTCATTTTAGAGAACACTACAGGTAATTCTAATCCAAGACTAAGTGCGTCTGGACAAACACACTTGAGCATAGAACATAAATCACTTTTACTTTAGATAAGCTTTTGAGGTTGCACATTTGATTTAATTTCTATTATTAACAAGTAAAATGAACAGATAATTAATCATCCAAAGCAACATTCCCTGGAGAGTAAGAGTGGGTGTGGCCATTAATAGTATACTGGAACAGTAGGTGTAACCAAACAAGCTGATACACATTTACCTATAGCTTGCTAACCCTACTTCAGTAATAGATGTCCTATGCAAACTACTCTACCTTCAAGTGATGAGAGACCCCTCAAAATTTATATTTGAGTTCTGAGACTCTGGGGCTCACTATCTTATGATTGTTCCTTTTCATAGAAGCAGATGGTATTAACAGCCTGTAACTACTTTCAGTGGCTTCTAGAGCAAAGGGCATTGAGGCTCCAAGAGACAGGTTCTATGTTTGCAACAATGAAGGGAAACATGTCTACAACTCTCTTGCTTAGAAAGCCTTAGTAATTTAGGCTGGGCGCGGTGGCTCACACCTGTAATCCCAGCACTTTGGAAGGCTGAGGCAGGTGGATCATGAGGTTAAGAGATTGAGACCATCCTGGCCACCATGGTGAAACACCATCTCTACTAAAAAAAATACAAAAATTGGCCAGGCATGGTGGCTCACACCTGTAATCCCAGCACTTTGGGAGGCTGAGGCGAGTGGATCATGAGGTCAAGAGATCGAGATCATCTTGGCCAACATGGTGAAACCCCGTCTCTACTAAAAAAAATACAAAAATTAGTTGGGTGTGGTGGCATGCACCTGCAGTCCCAGCTACTTTGGAGGCTGAGGCAGGAGAATCACTTGGACCCAGGAAGCAGAGGTTGCAGTGAGCCAATATTACACCACTACACTCCAGCCTAGCAACACAGTGAGACTCCATCTCCAAAAAAAAAAAAAAAGCTTTAGTAATTTAAAAACAATGCCTGCTTGCCCCTTGTTTTAATTAAATAAAGAGAGAAATCTGCCCATCAGTGTCCCAAATGAGGTAGAAAAGTGGCAACTTGTTGTCACAATAGGCTCACAATTTCTCTCCTAAGAAAAATAAGAAGAAAAGTTGGAACATTTTCATCCCAACTCCAATACTCAGTTCCACTGGGTGGATATAATTGCCTAGTTTTGTGTACAAAGGCTTAACCTCAACACGGTGGCCCTTCTGCCTTCTACACCGTCACTGGGGAGTGACTCTAGGTCTGTCTGAGTCTAGGACTGTGAAGATAACTAAAGAATCCCAAATTATGGCAGAGGGGATAGGCAGTATATATCACACTCGGACACACCTTGGTATTTCATTTGACAGTCAACCTTCTTGCGGATCATCAAGCACCGTCTCACTAGGATCTAAAAGTCTATTCTTCTCCAGGGTAGAGACATCTAGCCCCATTTTCAGTAAGCCTTAGAACAAGTAGAAGAAAGAAATCTGCATTCCCTCCTAGCTCTGCCACTAGCCAGCTGTGTAATTTTAGTTATCACATAAATTCTCTGTCCCTCAATTTCTTCATCCATAAAATAAAATGCACAAACATAGACTCACTCAAAGGTCTCTTCTCACTTTAAATTTATACAACTTTGATCATCTGTAAAAACTCAACCTTGAGAAATAAATACTTAAAACACTGCTGAAGTTCAGGGGTTTTTAATACATAATTTCATTAAGATTAGACCTGCCTAGAAGATTCCCTGCATAATAAAACTTTCGTGCTTCTTTTCCAGAAGTGTATTTCTATCTTCCCATTTCCTCACCTTCTTGGAAAAAAAAAAACACAAAAAAACAAAAAAGAAAACCTTCTCTTTTTGCTGTGTACTTTTCTTGGGCCCTAAGGTTAAAGCTACCTGTAAGAAACAAAAGGCCAGTGAGAGTTTAGTGAAAGATACTCCTAACACTTTCCAAAAATCATGCCTAATATAAGCCCTTTCTAATGGCATTTGCTTATGGGAAAATAGTCCCAAGTAGCTCTTGGTTGCAAGGCCTTAAAAAAATAAAGACAATTCACTCATCTATTTTTATTATTACTAACTCTGGTGGTGGACACAAAGCATCCATGTAGTAACACTGCACCTATCCTGACGGTAATAACAGCTACCCTCTGTTTCCAACTCACTCATTATTTTCTGATGGGGACTATCCTTAAATCTTAGCACTGTAGGGGGAAAAACTCTAAAGTACTTAGTTTTTTAACTTGATGGCAAAATGAAATTACAGGGATATGAAGAAACATCCAACTTTAGGAACTAGTCATTTGTAGAAGTTAAAACAGAACTTGTTCATTTTGAAAATGTAACCATGTGTCAAATCCACCTACTAATTCATAGCAACAATATAAAAAGCTATAATTTAGGACTGTTCACATGAGGCAGAGATCAGGGTGGTGTTAAAATGAAATATGCTCTTTCCAGAACACAAAAGACATAATAAATAACGATTCATATTTGTATAACATCTCAGGGTTAAACCAAGTGAGTTCAGACATACAATTTTACATATGGCAAGGGCGATATAGGGCAAATATTCTGGACTCCCTTTACAGACAAGGAAACAGCCTCTAATGGGTTGTTAGGTGACCCGTTTAATAGTAAGTGGCAGAGCCAGAATTTAAATACAGTTCCGATTTTGGACGTCATGCTCTTTCCACAGACTCGGTGACCTCTTTTGGACTTTGACATGCATGTACAGATCTATCCCTAACGGTAGTAATTCTATCTGAGAATCTGTGATCTTTAGCCAAGCGTGAACCATGCTACTGGCAGCGTTTCTCCCAAGGCTCCCAGGCCATTCCTCTACGGAGTTGGTGTTTGTATCAGAAATGTCAGATCTGGCCTCAGGTGACTACTAGCAGAATAGTTTTAACAAACCACCACCACTTCCATAGTTAATGATGACACAATTAGTTCAAAACATAAACACATACCATAATAGGAGCTAAATGGAAATGCAGAGAGGCCAGCCGTCTGGCTGACAGCTGCTCCAGCGTGCCCTGGTTGTTTCAGCTTCTGTGATTTATTTACTCATTTGTTTTCTGGTGGTGAGGAGGGTGTGCAAAATATATTGTCACTTTAGATAGCACTTCAGCAAATACCATAACAACATTCCCAGGGATTGCTAGCAGCTTTTGTTCAGCACAAGCATACTAAATTTTAAAGAGGGAAAAATAGCGTCAGATAAATCACAGGATTTTAAAAGAACATCCCAATTTGTTCACAGTTTAACAGTACTACTGTCAGGCAAAACATATAAAACTCTTCTTTTTCATCTCTGGATTTGACTTACAAAGAGAACTAAGCACATGGTAAAATCCCCAAGATTAAATGTGTATGATGGATAAGAGAACAAAGTGTTTTCTTTATGTCTGTAATATGAACCCACGACCACTGACATATCAATCCACATCTCCTCCACATTACTCTTCACTCAAAACCCTCCTCAACATTGCCGATTGTCTTCCATATTGAACAGATCCTGTGGAGTTACACTAATAAATTTTCAGATGATGCTTTTATTGCCTGCTCCATCTATCGGCAACACTTATTTCCCTAAAAAAATAGCCTCAATTCTAAAACCACTTTACATAAAGGGAAACTCTACTGTGGAATAGAATGGTGTGAAAAGTTCCCCTAGAATTTCATTAAAGGTATGCTCCAGGTGGCTGGACATCTAAGAAAACTAATAACAGAAATTATGTCCTTGTAGCCCACGGGTAGTTGTTTGAGTATAAGCTGGGCAGATAGAAACCAAAAACAGAAAGTAAGAATGCCATGTAGATAGGGAATTTCAGTGGGTAATAGTTAAACTTACATGCTTAAGAGTCAGAGAAAAAAAAAAAAACCTCATAACTTAAGGTTGAAATTTGCAATTCAAATTCAATCCCCCTTTATCCTGTTTTCTAAAGGAATTCACAGGGTAGGGAAGCTGAGCTCATGGACTTAGCAAGGGCCATCCCAGAAGGAACTGACAACCCCGTCACTGAGTTGTAAATGGTAGGTGGGTGGCTAGAGTATTGCTGTCTATTGTACTCACTTACAGCAGCCATGTGTCTGAGATTCCCTGGCAGAATTTTAATCAAAATAAATTTAAGCCAATATAAAATTTTCTACCCATTTTGTCACAAATGGATGAACCTGGAGGACATTATGTTAAGTGAAATAAGCCAGGTACAGAAAGACAAATATCACATGATCTCAACTACCTATGGAATCTAAAGAAGATGAACTCAGAATCAGAGAGTAGACTAGCACTTAGTAAGGGTTTGGGTGGAAGCAGCGGTTGAGGAGATACTGGTCAAGGGATACAAAATTTCATTCAGATAGGAGACCAGATGCAGTAGCTCACATCTGTAATCCCAGCACTTTGGGAGGCCAAGGCGGGTGGATCATGAGGTCAGGAGTTCAAGACCAGCTTGGCCAACATGGTGAAACCCCATCTCTACTGAAAATACAGAAAATTAGCCGGGCATGGTGGCACACACCTGTAATCCCAGCTACTCGGGAGGCTGAAGCAGGAGAATTGCTTGAACCTGGGAGTCGGAGGTTGCAGTGAGCTGAGATGGCGCCACTGCACTCCAGCCTGGGTGACAGAGCGAGACTCCATCTCAAAAAAAAAAAAAAAAAAAAGAAGAAGAAAGAGTAAGTATACTTAACAATGTATACTTGAAAATTGCCAAAGGCATAGATTTTAAGTGTTCTCACCACAAGAAATGATAAGTATGTGAGGTAATGCATATGTTAATTAGCTTGATCTAGCCATTCACAATGTGTGTATAATTAAAGCATCATGTTATATATAATATATATACAATTTTATTTTTTCAAGTAAAAATTCTAAAACAAAATAAAAAAAATTCTATCTCTGTTCTCTAGATGACCGAGGTGCTCAAATTTTTGTTTCAGAAAACACGGTCAATATCATATCATTTTTGTGTGTGTGTGGCAATTGCTGGCAAATAAATAGTTATATATCTTCTAAGCTTATTAAAATGAACTGATTAAAAAGCAACTGCTTCTATAAAGAAAGAATTCTTTCAGTGTTTAAATGAAATAACAATGATAATAATAATACATAGCTCCTATGGAGAAGGGAACTTCTCAGTCCAAGTTCAGTAAGTAGATACTGTATGCAATTCAACAGGTCACAATTATAATGTAAGACTCTCAGGGGCAGGAATAATGTTTTCTATATCACATCCCTATCACCACACACTGCACAACACAGAAGGCATTCAGCAAATGTCCAATGCTGGTGAATATGCTGATGCTTTACCTCTGATGACACTGGGAGTGAGAGTACTGCTGAACTACTTAACTATTCTTAAGTACTTTCAACAGAAAACATTTTTTAAACAAGTATTTTGGCACCATAGACATAAAGCAAAAAACCAATAGGATATTTGCACAGAAGATAAAAGCACCACTAAATTGATTTTCTCTCTTAGAAAATGAGATTTTGCACGCTTATCCTTTAACTGACACCCCCTGCCACATGCATCTTCTCACATAGGAGCAAATCAACTTTTAAGCCATAAATAGTTGTCTTCCCTAAGACACCCTGGGAATTTCTGGTGACTCAAAGACTAACTCCCAATCAAGGTACTCTATTCCTCCCACCTTCTTCCAACCAGGGGTTACCTAAAAGAAGAGCTCGAATAAGATGCATTAACTATACTACTTTTGAAAGTCAGACATAAATTACATAGTTAATTCTCTTGGGAGCTCATGTCAGAAAAGAGAGAAGCTCCACCTATTTGCACCTAAATGGAACTTAAGGATAAAGCAAGAAGACTACACTTCTTCTAGTACCTGCTGTCTCTAGTCAGGCAAAACTCAGTGCATAGGGTAGGGCTGAATTGCTTGAGGATTTGTACTGAAGACATTTTTGCTAGTAATACTGTCCTGGTATACTTTTCGACATTAAAACTATTATTTTTATCCCTAACCCCTCAAAGTGGCAGGAAGCTATCACTTGAGGTGCTTCTTTGTCACATAGTGGGATGTACATTCTGACAAACCACTCACAGCCTCAGTGGGAGTAGAGAAGCAAAGAGCTACTTGGCGAAGACAGCTGTAATCCTGCCAGATGATTCATCTTGGTGAGAGAGGAAAGGAAATTTAGACAAATTAACAGGAAATAAGTATGATCCTCAAAGGCAATTAGAAAAGTCAGAATATGTATGTGAAAAAGCAACAGAAAAGTGCATCCAAAACCTGGGTAACCAGTTTCTTCATGCAAAATCTCTGTGTTTAAAGAATAATAAACTGGCCAAGCTGTGGTTCCCATGACAAATGGCTCTCCCGGAAAAGCTCTTCCAAATTAATCCAAATAAATAGTCTTCTAGATTTCACCAGTAGCCATCTTAGTGTTAGGCAACCAAGTACATCTTCTGTTGCCACAATCATAGGGAGGGGAAAGTAGAAAACTGAGCATCCACTGAGCTGGATGCTGGTTCCAGGTCTGCCACTCGTAGGTGGTATGACTTTGGTAAAGCTACTGGGACATCTGTGACATCATTTCCTCATAGGCAAAATGAGGTGGTTGGATGCTGGAGGTAATATTTAGCTCTGAGAGTCAGTGACTTCAAATTACCTGTCTTGTCTTCTATTCCTCCTCCTGAGCACCTAAGACTTGCTGACCATCCTGATCACCCCACATGGTGACTGACCCGCCTGTGTCACACTACAGCTCTTTCCTTAGAAACCAGACAGAAGCTGGCCACATGGTGCACATCAACATGACAATAGTCGGGAAACATGGCCTGTGGTCTTGGCTACACGAATAAATGTGAGATTATCCAACCTCTCTGAAGCGGTCCTCGTCTCTAAGATCCTGGATGATCACTTTATAGACTTCTGCCCACAACAACCCTGAAGCATTCTGGCAATAACTCCCACTAAGCTGTAAGGATGCTGCCTGGTTCTCCGTGTCTCTTTCAACCCAGCAAACTTAGCAGTCCTGTGTGTCAAAGATTATGCCAGACACTGATGGGAGAGTCAGAAGCAATTATGGTTTGGGCCACTCTAGAAACTCAGCTCTACACGTAAGGCTTTGAACTTGTGGGGCTGAGAAGGGTTCACTGTGAGAATCAGCCCTGCGGCCTCGCTGCCCACATCCTCTCTGCCAAGCTTCCACTGAATTTCCAGGGCCTGTCATCATGTCAAGAAAAAAGTCTCAGTTTCGTAACTCTCTAACACTTGCTAATTGTTCAACTTTTAATAAAGGAAAATAGGCCTCAAGCTCAGTTAGCAGGCACCACTAACTAAGGCGAATTTAGAGTCCTGTCTTTTTTTTCATTTAGGCCATAATGTCCTCCCACTAATGCAGATGAAATGATTTTCTATTTCTAGGAAGGTTTTTCCAGCAGCAGGGTTTTCCTCCACACTCTGCTTCTTCAGACACCTCTGCTATTTCTCACCCACCCAGTCCAGTCTAGGGTGTCTGAACAGGGCCCACCCCATGCCCTAGTCACTTTTCTGAGTGACCCACTGACCTTGCTGCCCCATGCCTACTTCCTCCCCAGCAACGAGCTTCCTACCAACCCATGCTTCAAACATTTCTGGGAACTCCTCAGAGCCCCGAGAGGTTAAGTAATTCCCCAAACATCAGGCCGCTTGTGAGTGGCTGCTCAGTGATGATCTGAATCTAGGCTGTTGGCCTCTGAAGGCTTTAAACTTATCCAACATTCTCTGCTTCCTCTCACCAGAATACCCATAGTCCTCTGCTTTCTTGCATCACAGTGCCCATAACCCTCTGCTGTCTCTCATCAGAGAACCCACAGACCAAAGGATACTCCCATTTATCTGAATTTTACTCCTTCAAAGACCAACTCGACTCCCATCTTCTCCAGAAGCTTTGCATGTCTCCTATGCAGAATGCATAGGCTGGCCACTCTACAGTAGAGGCTGGTGTTGGGTTAGTGAAAATGAGATCACAGCCATGAGACCACAGCCACAGGAAGCTTTCACATAGTGAGCAAGAAAAATCAGCCAAGCCTTGCAGTACAATGATTTTTTTTTTCTTTTTCTTTTTCTTTTTCTTTTTTTTTTTTTTTGAGACAGGGTCTCTGTCGCCCAGACTGTAGTACAGTGGGGCCATCATGGCTCACTCCAGCCTGGACCTCCCAGGCTCAGGTGATACTCCCACCTCAGCCTCCCAGGTAGCTGGGACTACAGGCATGCACCACTATACCCAGCTAATTTTTTATATTTTTTTGTAGAGACGGAGTTTCACCATGTTGCCCAGGCTGGTCTGGAACTCCTGGACTCAACTAATCTGCCTGCCTCAGCCTCCCAAATTGCTGGGATTACAGGTGTGAGCCACTGCACCCAGCCCGCAATGATTCTTAACCCAGGCTTCATATTAGAATAGGCCTGCGGAAATTTAAAAAATCCTCATGCCCAGGCCACACCCCAGACCCATTAAATCCTTAGGGTGGAACCAGCACATTAGTGTTTTTTTGTTTTGTTTTGTTTTTAACTCTCCGGATGATTCCAAGGCACAGCCAAATTTGAGAGTCACTGGTGTAGAAAGTAATTAATGCCATGCTTGCAAGATATGGGACTTGGAATCAAAAGATCAAGTCCACTCCCAGCCTGACTCACTGTATGACCTGAAAAAGTCAACTGCCTGTGTCAAACAGGTTCTTCACCAGAGAGATGAACTTGCACTTTCTGCCCTTTCTATTTCAAAAGGTTAATGTGAGGTTCAAATGAGATGATGCTGCAAGAGTACCCTGTAAACTGTAAAACACTTTATTATTACTGTGTCAATTTTCACTACCAGTCCCCCAGTGGTGATGTTCAAAAGCTCAGAAGAAAAAAAAAGGTAATAAAAATGCACAGAAAAGAAAAATACAATAACAGTAGGGTTAGAATAATTAAATACAGTGACCCAAGAGAAATATAGCCTATTTTATATCTTAAGGGTATGTTTATAAATTATTTTTATAAGTACAATAAAAAAGGTTGTAGCAGGAAAGGAATTGTATTCAGGTGACCACTTATAGCAGAAGCTTATTAATACAGAACAAGGGATAGGCTTGGCCTTAATGGGGAGAAATGAGTTTCCTGTGCTAATTTATTAATTTAATGTGGAACAAAATTTATTAGGGGCTGAGGTGGGAAACCTACCAAATAAAACACAGAAAAAAGCACCTGTACATTTTGTAATAAGAAGGTTGTTAGTGGGAACTTGAGAGCTGTTTGTTACAAAACAATGGAATCATCATGAATGAGATTCTTGGCTCTTCGTTTAAACAAATGAAGTGAAAATATAAGCCATCATAAACCCCAATTCAACAGGCTTGTTCCCAAAGCCCCTTTGAACCTGGTTTGACACTTGGTGCATCCCACAGAAGGCATGCAGCAAATAGCCCTGAGACAGCAGGCCAGGCCCTCAACATTGACTTAAGACATACCAGCCTCAGGTCTGGATCCTGAGAACATGAGGGAAGGAGGACAGAGAGGATCCACAGTTTCTCTCTCCTTTTGCATGCATGTGGCATGTGACAAGCCCTAAAATGAGGGTTATAATTTGTAATTTGCATTTACTTGCTTTTTTCCTCACTTCTGTATCCCTATGCTAATTCCTAACAGCTCTTTCCCCCGGTTCACCCAGGGAACCATTAGGAATTAGTCTATTGAATAAGTCTAAGGTTTCACCCAGACTTATTCAATCACTGTAGAGGATTACAAGCTCCTAAATCACTTTAGGGAAATTATTTTCCTGTCTCCTTCCCCTTCGAATACTATGTCCTAAATTCCCGTTTTCTGAGATGGGTTGATACAGCAAACCCTCAGATTAACTGGTTCAAACTAATATGTGAATGATGCTCTCTGAAGTATCTGTCATCTTAATTTCTTTTGCTTTGGAATGATGCTTTATGGAGGAGATTTCAGAAAAACATATCTAAGTGAAAAATACTGGTAGCTGGAGTATGGAAACAACAGATTGTGCAGTGGAAGAAGACAGCACCAAAACAGCGTCTCCTGCCTAGGAATCTGACCCTGGGTTTGGCACTCCTGAGGTGTCTACATTTCTCACAGCTTCATGATTTTCTCCAATGCTAAAGCTTTAGGCTTACGAAAGGCATCCGTGGCACTGGCCATAGAAGTACAGTAAGGTGAGGCAGGAAGAATTTGGCTATGTGAAGGGGAAGAACAGTTAAGTAGATGGGGGATTAGCTGTATAATAATGATAATATCTACTGTTTATTGAATACTTAAAATGTGCTATGCACGCTATCATACATTATCTCTGATTGTTAAATGAAATTATGTCTAAGGAACCACTGGGAAAACAGAAATCTTTCCCTTTAGCCTCACTATACCCACTACATAGAAGAGGAAAGTGCAATTCCAGCTAATTAGGTTGCCCCAAATGACAAAACCAACTGAGGGAGAAAGCTAGGATTCATTTCCAGGTCTGCCTCTCCCTGAAACTTTTTCTCATTTAAATTCCTCTTCACAAATTCCCCAACCAGCACCTCTTATACATGTGGTCTTTAAGATGTGAGGGACTGCTGGGACTTCATAGCAGTCTTTTAAAAAAATATAATTTCAGCTTTTATTTTAGATCCAGGGGATACATGTGCAGATTTATTACCTAGATATATTGCGTGATGCTCAGGTTAGGGGTATGACTGATCCCATCACCTAGGTAGCAAGCATAGTACACTATAGCTTTTCAACCCTTGCCCCCTCCCTCCCTTTCCCCTATGGGAGTCCCCAGTATCTTTTGTTGCCACATCTATGTCCACAATTAGCCATTGTTTAGCTCCTTCTTATAAGTGACAACATGTGGTATTTTGTTTTCTGCTCCTGTGTTACAGGATAATGTAGGATAATGGCTTCCAACTGCATCCATGTTGCTGCAAGGAACATGATTTCTTTCTTTTTTATGGCTGGGTAGTATTCTGTGGTGTATATATACAACATTTTCTTTATCCAGACCACCACTGATAGGGACCTAGGTTGACTCCATGTCTTTTCATGAGATGTCTTTCCAATTGTTTGTGTCATCTCTGATTTCTTTCGGCAGTGTTTTGTAGTTTTCTTTGTGGAGATCTTCTACCTCCTTGGTTAGGTGTATTCCTAGGTATTTTATGGCCATTGTAAATGGAATTGCATTCTTGATTTGCCTCTCAGCTTGACTGTTACTGATGTATAGAAATGCTACTGATTTTTGTACATTGATTTCATATCCTGAAATTTTACTGAAGTCATTTATGAGTTCCAGGAGTCTTTTGGCAGAGTGCTTAGTGTTTCCTAGGTACAGAAGCATATAATCAGTGAAGAGAGATAGTTTGATGACTTCTTTTCCTGTTTGGATACCTTTTATTTCTTTATCTTGCCTAATTGCTCTGGCAAGGACTTCCAGAACTATGTTGAATAGAAGTAGTGAGAGAGGGCATCTGTTTCTTGTTCCAGTTCTCAGAGGGATGCTTCCAGTTTTTGCCCTTTCAGTGAGATGTTGGCTATGGGTCTGTCATAGATGGCTCTTATTATGTTGAGGTATGTTCCTTCAATGCCTAGTTTATTCAGGGTTTTTGTTTTAATCATGAGGGATATTATTGAAAGCTTTTCCTGCATCTATTGAGATACTCATTTAAAAAATGGTCTACAATTTCCCTTTCATCAGATTATTTCTTCCCTATGTTAATCTAGCTATTGCATGGAGAAAAGAAGAAATACTGAGTATTGTTTGCCTCTGTGTTTGAATGGATGGCTGACAGACTGACATGGGAGTCGGGAGGAGGGGGGCAACTTCAATAGACTTCTCTACTATCTCCACCCTTTCAGGGCCTAGGAGCTGACAAAGTCCTGTGCAGGGGGCACCTCTGGATAGTTTCACAGCTGGCACATGCCTAAAGTGATTTAGGATTAGATAGCCCTTCCCCTCCCAGGCCACAGCAAATAATTATTAGTGGAAGAAGAAACACCCTTTGAACTTCCATTGAGCATCCACATTCTCCCATGACCTGTAAGTCAAACTTCCTTAAGAATATTCTATGGAAAACTAAGCATGGTGGCTCACACCTGGAATCCCAGTGACGTTGGAGGCTGAGGCAGCAGGACTGCTTCAGCCCAAGAGTTCGAGACCAGCCAGAGCAACATAGTGAGACTCTCTCTCTCTCTAACAAAAGAATCTTCTCCCTGTGCCCTTCCTCATAGAGTTGAGCTGTCCAGAAAAGATCTTCAAGATCATGGAGTTGACTGATACTCACAATCATAGCAATGGTATTTGCATCACCTGGGGAAAATGTTTAACCATACTAAGGCCCAGTCTCAGCTGCCGGAGACTCTATGGAACTGTTCTGGGTTGAGGCCCAGGTGGGTTGTGAACCCCAATCCATCACAGCCCAATCCCTTGTCTTACAACCGAAAGCTGTAAAGGGGAAGATGGCCACCTTTCTAGACCCAGAAACTGCTCCAGAGGGCCCAGGAACAAGCTTCTAAGCCACAAAGGTTGTGGTTCTGCCTCCTCAGATATGCCTGTCAGGCCAATTAACACCTGAATCTTGCAATGGCTTAAATGCCAACAGCAGACCCCTGGCCAGACCATTTTCCTTTCACCCCACACCTGGCAATTTCTCTTCATCGCCATGCTGTGCTCGCCGTGCAGACAAAATCAATAAGGACAATATAGCTAAAAGGTTACCATATAGCAGAGATCTCAGTAATGAAAGTGTATGTTTTTTTCCAGCAGGCCTGTTCCACTTCTTTCTTAACTATTTCCTCATTCCAAAACTATATTTCCTGTCACAGCCTATTTTCTCTCCATTTCACAAAGCATTAATAAGCCAAGTTCTAAAAAAACAAAAGACAGTTTTTTAGCCACAAGTGAATAAAAGTAAGGTCAAAGTTCAAGGACTGATATCATCGTGATTTTGCTCTGTTCAAATTCATTTGTTTCTTAGACCAGGAAATAACTGATATACCTGGTTAATGATCTAGAATGCCCCAAGTATTTGCTCAAGCTGCACACTTACTAAAGGGCAACATCTTTTGGATGGTAGCCACAGAACCTCCTGACCTGAAACAATATTGGGTATTCAAAATAAAGGCTGGCTCTCTGCTGAGATGAGCTGGGGAAACAGCGGGTACATACATTGGCAATAACCAGCTCACCTGTAGTAAGAGAAGGTGCTTTTCCAGGGCACCATTTTATTCACAGGTTATATTTGTTTTAACAGAGAGACCATATTCTGCTTTTACTTGGTTAAGAACTCGGTTCAGGGTCAAAACGTCTAATAGGAAAAGCATTCGTGTCTGAGCACAGAATTTAGGTAGAAATTGAGAACAAGAAAGTAGAGTCAGAACCCATTAAACCAGGGATTTTAAATTCCGGAGAAGAATGTACATATCTATTTCAACTCTTAGTGATGTTATTTAAAACTCTTCTATTCCTTTCAAAGTATTTAACATGACTTTGGATGTACGAGACAAATACTTTTTAGTTAGTGTGCCAGCCAGCAGGTGCTCTCAAATGAAACTGTTTTGAAAACTTCTGGATATCTGGGAAATATTTCTGTAGGATGTAGAATAAAAAAATTCACCTTATAGAATAATTTCAAAGAGAAAAGGAAGATTCATCTTGTTTGAAAGACATTATTTTTGACTGACCTGAATCTAAGCACACACTTTGGTTATGAGAAATTCCGCCTTCTGTATCTGAACTTGTTATATGAACAGTGGATGCCACTTAAAACAAAAGAGGAAGAAAGAAATCTGCTTCCTCAAGGAAGAGTTTCAGCCCTTTAAATCTTAACACACAATAAAAATACTCCCATTACCACCATCACCCACTTCAGCAGCTATTCGAAGTTCATAACAATTCATAGAAAAGAACAATTGCTTAAAGCAGAATCAAAAACCCTTGAGACTTCTCAAGATTATAGGCCACAGACATAAATAAAAGCTCTCAATAAAAATACTTTATAACCTTATTGTGTATTAAAATGTTATAAATAACTGTGCAAAGACTTAGCCACTCTATCAACAAACAGAATTTTAGATTTCTTTTCCCAGCCTGTGTGCACTCAGTCACTCAATGTACTCACTGCCGATCTACATATTTACAGTTGTTTACCACATTTTGTTAAGGCTTAAAAAAAAAATAAGGAAAGAGAAAGGAAGCACTTTCTAAAGAACTGTAAATTACAATTGAGCTCTCTTAAGAGTTCACTTATCTTCGCTGATTAACTTCCAGGGTACTTACTGAAACAGGTGTTGTGTGTATAAAAATCAGTATAGATGAATATAGCATGTGCTGGAGTGAGACTTTGGGCTGTGAACTTCACTTCAACTCTATTTTAACCTTTTCAAAATGAGGGAAAAGGTTATGGTGAAATGAATAGGTGTTGATGTACCTCACTGGTTCCTAGCACAGATCTACGGACAAGAGGAATCAAAATGATCTGTCAAACCTGGAAACAACAAAACCAAGCAGAGTACCAGCCCGCATCACTTGAACTCAGTAGATTTAAGGAGATGCCCATACAGCAGATTCTGTTGCAAGTCCCTCAGGTGATTCTGATACTCAGTCAGGGCTGAGATGAACTAGTCAGGAACTTTCCAGTTCTTGAAAACCACAAACACTTCAATTTTGCCTTGTGTGTACATATGTTCATGAAAATAAAATCTATTATGTTAGAAATTTGGCAAATATACATTTTATACTAAAGATATTGCTATTTAAAGGAGATTTCTTTTAAAAAAGATATCTTTTATAATTGATAGTTTAACAATATAATTTTTCAACCCTAACTTTTCTCTCCAGTGTATTTAAATTTTGGAGTTTGCTTAAAGTATACTTAAATCATTACAAGGAAAGAAGGAAGTTGTATGGCAGACAAACCTGACAGCAATAACTTAAGCATACCCTGAGAATGACCCTAGGGTGTAAGAGGAATGTGTGTTTGGAGTTCCAAACTTATGAATCCAGGAGTGGACAATCCAGGGATTCATTCCTTATCAATGAGGAACATCAGAACCCAGGACCCATCCTATGGAACACAGGCTGGACAGGTGATCGAGGCCCTCTGTTTTGGGTTAGATGAAAGTTGCCAGGTGGAGGTTGCTAGGCGGAGGGTGCTAAGTGAAAATGCTATATAAACTGCATGCTTTTTGCCAGCAGTTGTGGTTCTCCTGTCCAGCCTGCAGCCACTAGACCACCCTGTATGTAAGTTCCCTCAATAAATCCTGTGTGTCCTCCACTGGCTCTGGGTGTCTTCTTTGTCTTCTCGAACATGGTGCTGTCCCTACTGAAGTTAATAGGGGTCTGGCACAACAAAGGTAAAGTTCAAAGTCAAAAATTTCCTGCCACCTCTGTTAAGAATTATAGTCTGTGGAATAATATCTCTGCCAGGCAAGTCTTGGGCTTCAGTCAGGAAGGTCTCAGGCCATGTCATGTGCTTTCCACATACCATAAAAGGAACTGGATATATATTTCATGATTGATAAACTTAGGGATAACTGGAAAAGGGTCTCTTTCCCCATGCTTAATTACATCTAAGAGTATGTTTAAAGAATTATTTAAGGAAAAAGTAATTATGATGTTCAGTTAGATCACTTTAAATGGAAATAACTTGGAAACATACTACATTGCTCTAGATGCAGACTAAGGGATCAATGACTGAAAAAAAAGAACATCTTTGGAAAGAATAGAGCTGGGCCCAGAAAACACAACAGCTCAGGGCTCTTTAAGAAGGTGGGATAAAGAGGTAGAGAGAACCAAAAACTTGGACATCACTGAAATTTTGCTGATCACTATACTTAACCTCTCTATGCTCTCCACTGGGGCAATGACTCACCAAGCACTCCATTTTTATGGCAGTCTACCCAGCTAATTAAAAGGGTGCAAAGGATGTCGAGTGACCTAACATTGGTAATGTGTAACTTTGGGCCAACTATTTAATTTCTCTGTGCCTCAGTTTCCTCTTCTGTAAAATAGGTGAAATTACAGTAACTCTTTCAAAGCGTTTTATGAAAATTCAGTGAGTTCATACCTGTAGAATGATCAGCAGCATAGTGACTGGTACACTGCAGGTGCTCAGTAAGTGTTAGATAGTATTAATTAGGTCAGATAAGTGGTCTATGCTATACCTCATGTAGTCCAGGCCTTATAGCATTGGGAAGAGTAGTGCCAAAATCCCAGCATTCTAAGAGCAAGAGGAAACCCTTGAAGTTATTGTTCTGTTCTAAGGGTTTCACTTGGTTTAGCACATGTTTCAATCATTCTACATACGTAATCCCAGCACTTTGGGAGGCTGAGGTGGGCAGATCACGAGGTCAGGAGATCGAGACCATCATGGCCAACACGGTAAAACCTGTCTCTACTTAAATATAAAAAATTAACCAAGCGTGGTGGCACACGACTGTAGGCCCAGCTACTTGGGAGGCTGAGGCAGGGGAATTGTTTGAACCCAGGAGGCGGAGGTTGCAGTGAGCCAAGATGGTGCCACTGCACTACAGTGTGGCTACAGAGCAAGACTTTGCCTCAAAAAAAAAAAAAAAAAAAAAAAGCCATCACTTACAGACTAAGAGATTTCCCATAAAACTTGAAATTGTATCTTCTTGAAACATGTGGCGATCTTTCTGCACTGGTGTGTTTCTGGGTTGTCTGAATCTGCTGCCACTGAGCTGTGGCTGCTTCCCTTAGGGCAGACAGAGGCTCTCCAGCCTGCCATAGGCCCCACCAGTCCCTCCTGTTTCTCTGGCATTAAATCAGGTGTGGGTTGTTATGGCATGGCTTTCAAAAGCAAGGCTTTTGCCTAGTAATAAAAAACAAATGACAAAAGTGCTCTGTATTTATTTCTTTATCAAAAGTGAAAAAAAGGAATGTAATCCCCTAGAGGGTACTTGATTTTTCTCATATCTGGCCTACTTTAGCTATTTACATTAATTGGTGACTCTAAATTCCCTTCTTTTAAAATATGAAAAACAAAGAACCCAGAGACTTTAAGTGACCATCTGAGGCCATAAGTCTTGGTAGTCGCAGAAGCTGTATCCATAGTTGGGTCCTTTTCCCCCCAGTTACCATTTCCACTTGTCCATTCACCTTCTTTCTAAATGAGTTAGCTAATGTGATTCAATTCATATTCCATACAGAAAAGTAGGAACAAGAGGAAGCATGGCGGCTACAATGAAGAAGTGCAGAAGGTAGCTATGGACATACGAGCCCTGTAAAGGGGGTAACCCTTTGTTAGTTCTGTGATTATTTGCATCTTACTCAGGCTGTCCGTGTTTAAATATTTTGGCAGATGAATGTGATGGAATGATGCCCCTCTCCAATGGGTTGCTCTATTTTCTTTATGCTTAATTGCCCCCTTTCATGTCTAATTGTAATTTTTTTCTAACATAAGTTCCCTAATTTACTTAATTAAATGAAATGGTGGTGTGAGTGACACAAATATGAAACATAACACATATGAAATCCTAAAACACCTAGAGAGAATGAGCTGGAAAGACAAAGCAGTGGGGACCCGGGAGGTGCTTTTCCTTCCTTGAGCTCCCTAAAGTTAATCTTTTCAGGTCTTCCCTTCTCCCTAATGAAATGAGTCTATCCTAGGGGCATATGTCACCTTCCCTGCACATATGACAATATTTCTGTGACTCATATGCTTGTCACTTCCTCAGGGGGAATGAGAATCGAACATTTTATAGCTTGTTAATATATCTCAGTTTACTTTATTATTGGATTTTTAAAATATTGAGACAGTGACTTTGTGACCTGAGATTTTAGACTGTGCCTACTTTCCACCACACCATCAAAATATTCCACAGATAACTGCTCAGTTTAACTTCATATGGAAAATCTGTGATTAATTTATAGTTCTACCACTTGGCATTTGCGAGTTCATCCTCAAAAGATACCCACATCCCAGTCCCTGAAGATTTGAGACCTCTACGAGCTTTGCCATAAAATGAGCCTGAAAATATCTCCTTTAGTGGCTATTGGAAGAAAGAAATAAGATCCACGTTGTGTAAGTGCTTTGCAAACTGTAAAGCACCAAGCATTGAGTTCCATGTTCCATAAGTGCTTTGCAAACTGTAAAGCACCAAGCATATGTGCCCTGACAATGAGACATGGTCCCAGAACACTGGGAACACAAGATGCTCTGAGAAAGGCAGGCCGTGGAACTCATGAGGAAGCTCATGACTCTCATGTCCATTTCAAGAGACAAAAGAGACTAAAAGAGAAGTGGATTATTAAAAATAAGCCTGAGTTAGGAAGCAGAGTCTCCAAGGAGAACAGTGGGTTTCATGACACATTCCTTTGTGCCCTCAGAATGTGTGGAAGCTTATATTTTGGCTTCTATTACGTTGTTGAATATATATGATTATCTACCTGCCTTCCCCACTCCCGAGCATCCTATAAACTGAGCATTTCAGGAAAAGACCTGTGTCAGGCATCTTTGCATCTCTGGTACTTAGACCAATATCTTCTGGGTACTTCCAGCCTGTTAAGTTAACATGTGCTGCTTAGTGTGACAGAATAATACCTATCCTCAAAACATGTTCACTTCCCAGTCCCTCAAATCTGAGAGCACATGTTACCTTATTTTGCAAAAGGGACTTTTGCAGATTTGATCAACTTCAGGATCTCAAGATGAGGAAATTATCCTGAATTATCCAGTTGGGCTCCATATCATCACAGGGTCCTTATAAGAGGGACCCTAGAGAGGACAATGAGATGTGATGATGAAATAAGAGGTTGGAGAGATAGACTGGAAAGATAGAGGCAAGGGCCACAAGCTAAGGAATGCTAGATTCTGGAAAAAGCAAAGAAGCAATTTTCCCTGGAGGCCCCCAGAAAGAATGCAGCCTGACCAATACTGTTATTTTGGACTTTTGACTTTCAGAATTATAAGAGAATGAATTGTGTTAAGCCACCAAGTTTGTTACAGCAGCAACAGGAAACTAATACACTTAGATAAGAAAGTACATGAAAAACTGGCATTTGAATGAATGAATGAGCAAATGAACAGAGGAATTAATGGAAAGAGCTCTAGATAGAAAGCGGAAAGGCCCAGGTTCAGATCTCAGCATAGATAATAAGCAGACCTATCATTTAACTTGGGGCCTATAGTGTAATCTCTCTGGAAGTCCTCAGCATAAGAGCTAATGCTGTGGAATCAGACTGACCAGGGTTCAAAACTCTTCTAGGCTACTTCTTGATTGTACATCCTCAGGCAAGCACTTGCCTCTCTGAGCCTATGTCCACATCTGTAAGACAGGGATAGTGCCAGCACCTCCTGCACAAAATTGTTGTGGAGACTGAATGAGCTACAGTCTAGTCACATTTGATGGGGCTCTGAACTAGGTAAATTTGAAACTGTGGTCACATGAAAATGTTATTAATGTCACTTCATGCACAAAACTTGAAATCATGCAAATTCCCCAATTAAAAAAAGGTCAGGAATGGCAAAGCTGGTAAATTGTAAACCTCTGATTACCACATAGTGGGACCGTCTCAGTTGCTGAACAGAAAACACCCATTGTCCTTTGAGAGAATCCATGTTGAATTATGCAAGCTATAAATTACACAAGCAACAAATTATGAAAGGCCTTTGGGAACACACCCCCTGAACAAAATATGACTACCTTTAATGCATGCAAAGCAATTAGCAGGGGCCTGGAACACAGAAAGCTATTACTCTGCTATTATTATATTAGCTCAATGATAAAAGACTCAGAACAAACACTGCTACCGCAGTGGAAAATGAAAGTAACTCCAGCTTTCCCAGGGGCCTAAGCTTTACGTGGGCCTCTGGCTCCTTTCAGAGAAATCTTGCAAGTTGGAAAATCTGAGACAGGTGTGCTAATGACACCCCATATTATGAAGCAATAAATTTCCCAGCTCTTGCCTGAAACGCAGAATTTGGCCGCAGGGAGGTGTTAACTATGTGCTCCACTAGTATCACCACGCATACATCATGCATAAACTATTTTGCCGCTATTAGCCTTATTTAGAAAAATAGAATTTGTGAGATGAAGGGGATCTCCCTGGGACTTGGCGCCACCCAGCATCACCTGCCCTTCTCTCTTTTCTCGTTTCTTGAATGCCCAGGGCACAAGGCTGTCCCTAGTGCATATGAGAAGTTCAGTAAGTGTTTGTTAAATGCACAGTGACCTTTACAGTTCATGTAACCCACCTCCCTTTCCCATTTTACAGATAAGGAGCCTGAGGCCAATTAAAGGAATGACTGAAATATCCCTATCATGTGACATTAATTCAAGTTAATGACTGTCTTCTCCCTACAGGGAAGAGTTCATTTCCCAAAACGAATAGACTGGGTTATGGAGAGGTAATAGTTTTAAAACACGTTTCTTAAAGCATATCTGTTTTTCTAAGCAGCTTTCCGTTTCGCAAAATGAATGCTGCTGATGATGTTAAGTGTCTACACCACAGATGTGGCTAATAATTGTTTAAGAGCTCAGAAGAGAATAAGCAAAAGAAAATATGAATCTGAATGAAAGAGATCCACCATGAAGAAATCAGATGTAGCCTAAGAATGATGCCTGATTATTTAGTTTTAATGAAGCCAGGTGTTACATGTGATGGGGAACAAATAATTTACTTCACAGATTCATATGACCCTTTCAGGCTGCATCGAACCATTCAATGCAGAATCGAGTCGCATTTTTTACTTACACCTCAACTTTGTACCAAAGCAGTTATAATATCTATGAAGAATTCAGAGCTAGGAGGACTAAAATTTTTTCCCTTTCTTTAGGTGGCCACATATCAGGAAACGCTGAGCATGCATTCCCTTTGTCAAGACCACCCTCTCAAGAAGAATCTAAGCCCTTTCCCTAGAAATTGATCTTAGTGATTTTTCCACTGTCTCTATGAAGCTAACTTTAATTTCTTCTGAGGTAGCTTAAGTCAACTCTTTGCATTATATTCACTGCACATGGGAAAGAATTCTTACTACCTTCTTGAAGTAGCCCTGTGTAGATTTCAAGGGTCAACAATTTAGGATACAGCCTCGCCTCTTAAGGTTAACTGTGGCCAGATTTCTTAACTTACTTTGATACTTTTACTTGTATTAACATATTCCTCCCAATCCCTTTTCACAACCAGTTGGGTTGCAGAGCCCACAAATTCAGGTAAGCTAATGCCACATTATGCTAATCAGCTGGGTTCCTATGCTTGCTTTCTCAAACCCACTGGCTTTTTAGCCAGCAAAAACCTAGGGCTGCCCAGTGATGACCTCACATTTCCACCAATGTCCTTGCTTTTTAAAGCTTTTCATACATAGTTGTGCAGTGGATGCTGGGTCTCTATTTGTGATTTGAAGTGATTTTCAGTAGAAGTCCTAAATTTATCTATATACAGTGTCTGTGCTGTTTCTATTGTATTTCCCTTTTCCACCATACCACAGCCTTCTCATCTGTACAGGCAATCTGGACCATACTCAGATTAGATGTCCTGCTTCCTGGCCTGGCAGCTTTGCTGGTGTTAAAGGACAGTGGGATAAGGGCTATCAGAAGAAGACAAAGACCTGTTATTTCACTGACTGCTTACTCTCTTTGGACCTCTTTAGACTCCTTGTTGCCTGAGATGCAAGGCCAGACCCAGGAGGACTGCATACACCCCAGACCCCATCCAGCTCTTCCCTGTACTCTCAGTCTCACTGTAACTTTTTATTTCCAGGACATTACTTAATTATCTGGAGATGCTTATTCTCCACAAGCCTGCTGTGAAGATTCACACCACTGCACTTTACCTAGGTGTCCCTTCTACCTGGAATGCCCTTCATGGAGTTCTCTATTCCACAGGCCCACCTTAAATGTCACACCTCTGGCAAGTATTTATTCCTCACCTCCTCAGCCAAGATGAGGCATTCTCTCTCCTGTGCTCCCAGAGAATGTTGTACACACCTCTCTTTTAGTCCTGGCCACAGAGTACTGCAATGCCTATACAAGTCTCTCTCATTCACCACAAACTTATTTTTTGCATCTTCTAGAATCAAATCTACACTCTGTTTCACAGTAGGAGTTTATGAAATGAATGAATTGAATAAACGTGTATGATTCCTCAAAACAGAGGTGACTAGGTGGCTTTTAGCACTGGGGTCTGGAACACACCTTTTATTTATCTCTGGGTTAGAGAGGACAAACCTAGAGAAATACAAGAAAAACAAGCAGACCAGTACCCAGCCAAGAATAATAAACATGGTGTACCTGATAGACCATTATATTAACAGTTTCTTCTTTTTTCTGCTCTGGAGATCCTTGACTCTGCAATAGATTTCGTACTGTTTCTTCCATCCTGAGAAACAAAAATATTAAGAATTTCTTAAAGAAGGTTTCTAATTAACACGGATCCACTCGAGTTGTAGAAATCACTCTTCTATGCGTATTTCCCAAGCTTCAACCTGGAAATCTCTTTTCTCTCTACTTCATCTTCTATCAGTTATCTGTCATGAAGTCCTTTGCAACCATTCTTTGGGATGCCTCTACATTCTCTTTCTCTACCATTCAGGTCTGCCTCTTTATACTTGGACATCTAAACTCATGCACCTATCTCCCAATATCCCTCTTCATTTCCAATCACTTCTTTTTAATTTGATACAGTATCACTACATCAATCTTCCCAAAAAACCACTTTCATTTTTAAACACCAATTTTCAAAGTTAACACATATTATAGGAATGCACTCTTCCCATTAATCTACTGTCAGGTCTTTCTGTGATGGTCTTTCTATGACAGCACGTAAAGATTTACTTCATTCTTCTCAACTACAGTCATGCATTGCTTCATAACAGGAATACGTTCTGAGAAATGTTGAAATGCATCATTAGGTGATTTTGTCATTTTGCAAACAGCATAGAGTGTACTTATATAAACCCAGATGGGATAGCCTACTACACAACTAGGCTATATTGTATTACCTATTGCTCCTAGGCTACAAACCTGTATAACATGTTAATGTCCTGAGCACTGTAGAAAAATTATAAAACAATAATATTTGTGTATCTAAACATACCTAAATGTAGAAAAGGTACAGGAAAAATACCATATAAAAGACTTAAAATGGTGCACCTGTATAGGCCACTTGCCACGAATGGAGCTCACAGGACTGGAAGTTGCTCTGGGTGAGTCAGTGAGTGAGGAGTGAGTGAATGTGAAGGCCAGGACACTACTGTACACTGTGAACACTGTACACTCTAAACACTGCAAACTTACACTGCACTAAATCTATAAAAAATATTTTTCTTTCTTCAATAATAAACCTTAGCTTACTATAATTTTTACTTTATAAACTTTTAAATTTTTAAAAAACTCGATGCTTGTAATGACATTTATCTTAAAACATAAACATGTATAAGTTATATAAAATATTTTCTGTATGTCCTTAGTATATAAGTTTTTAAAAATTGTTTTAAAAAACATTTTTTGGCTGGGCACGGTGGCTCATACCTGTGATCTCAGCACTTTGGGAGGCTGAGGTGGGTGGGTCACCTGAGGTCAGGAGTTTGAAACTAGCCTGACCAATATGGTGAAACCCCATCTCCACTAAAAATACAAAAATTAGCTGGGTGTGGTGGCAAACTCTTGTAATCCCAGCTACTCGGGAGGCTGAGACAGGAGAATCGCTTGAACCTGGAAGGCAGAGGTTGCAGTGAGCCAGGATCACACCACCGCACTCCAGCCTGGGCGACAGAGACTCTATCTGAAAACAAACAAACAAACAAACAAACAAACAAACAAAAAACATTTTTGTCTGGGCACGGTGGGTCACCCCTATAATCCCAACATTTTGGGAGGCTGACGTGAGTGGATCACCTGAGGTCATGAGTTCAAGAGCAGCCTGGCCAACATAATGAAAACCCATCTTTACTAAAAATACAAAAATTAGCCGGGTGTGGTGGCAGGTGCCTGTAATCCAGCTACTCCGGAGGCTGAGGCACAAGAATCGTTTGAACCCGGGAGGCAGAGGTTGCAGTGAGCTGAGATCGTGCCACTGCACTCCAGCCTGGGCAACAAGAACAAAACTCTGTCTCAAAAAAAAAATTTTTTTTACATTATTTTATTAAAAACTAAGGCACAAACAAACACATTAGACTAGGCCTACGCAGGGTCAGGATCATCAGGATGTCACCGGCCAACAGGAATTTTTCAGCTCCATTATAGTTTTAAGACACCACAGTTTTGCATCCAGTCCACAGTTGACCAAATATCATTATGTGGCACATGAATGTGCTTCCTAGTATGTCATGTTGAGAATGTAAGTTACTTAAGATTCCCCTACTTATGAAATTTAAATTACTTCAAAATTTTTGTTATTCCAAACAATCAACATCTTTACACATACCTCTTTATACACATGTGTATTTCTACAAATTATATACTACATGTTATAATCTTGTTTTGTTTTAAATGTATACCTCCAGTGATTCCCCATTAGCTCAAAGTAAAGAGTAAAGGAAACACACCCATTCCCATTTCCAGACATTTGCTTATGCTGGTGATACTTCTTAGAATGCCCCCTCCATTTCATCTTCCTATATTTCAACCCTCTTTTCAAATTTACCTTAAGTTTCACTTCCTAAGATAACTCCTCATTGATCTCCTGCTTCTTTGAATTCTTATAGCCCTATACTTCAAACCATTTACTCTATCACTTAAAAATCCTTCACTTTAATGCTCAAATATTTTGTATATGCAGGTCTTATCTTCTGGAATAAATGACAACATTTGGTATAGGACTATGCCATATATTTCTAATGTATCTCTCTCAACTGTAGATAAAATACATACTCACTAGACATTATTGTATGAATCCTTTGCTAATTCATTTTTTAAAGTGTGAAGTAGTTACTCTATGCCAGACACTCATCCTGTATGTTCAGACTGTGTCTGGATGACCTTGTCATTGGGGCCCACCATGAAGATTCATAGACCCAAACTCTGGGAGCAAGAAGCCTGAACTCAATGCCCTGAACACGATGCTCTCTGTCCAGAACCTGAACTGGTTATCTTTTCCAGGCCCATCTTGAAGCATGTATTTGAGTGACTCAGTATGACACTGGTTGAAGAGAACTGTGAAGAAAAGCAGGCTGATCCAGCTTCTCCCTCTTACTAAGGGCTTCTCGTATGACAAATTAAGGGCTCTAGGAGACCAGTGAATCCGCTGATGTAGGAAGCCCATTGCAGTAGGCAGGATAAGACAGTTCAAAATGCCACCTTTCTAATATGGCACGTAACTACTCAGCAGCAGAGTGAGGAAACTGCAGACAACTGGGACAGGCCAGACCTAGATTATTAATTGGAGAAATTCTGCCTTTACAGAGGATGGCACAAGGACTCATTTGGGTTTTCAGGAAGATGGTGGGCGCTGGTTACGAGTACTCTAAAAATGATTTGTGACCACACATTTATACAAGCCACCTCTGCATGTATCCAGCTGAGAAAGCAGAAGCTGTTCCCTATATTTTCACAAATCTTATGTTATTAATAATAACTCAATCTAATAGTACTTTTAACTTGACAAAGAACTGTCTCATCTGTTCATCATTATAATTTACTTTTAAAAAATCATTCTATCTATTTGGTAGATGAGAAACCTAAGGTACAGAAAGGTTAGATGGTTTGCTTAAGAGATCATGGTTAGTTGGATAGGGAGTTTGGATGAAATCATTTTTACTGACTCTAAATACAGCAGCCTCTTTCTACTTGACCTTATTGGTATTCAGGAAAATGGTTTTAAATGAGTAAGAGTCTTAACTCCTAACTAGGAGTTACCTTGGAGAACAACTTTGGTGGATGAACCCAAGAAGGCAACAATACCATTTCTGACCTGGGGAGAGCATGAGAAAAACTAAGCTTATGTGAAAAAAAAAAATCGGTGCAAAGAAGTCACAAATTCTGAAATAATAAGTGATCAGAACCCATTGCTAATACTTGATTTCATTTTATATAAACAAGCTCTTGAGTGGTATCAGATTTTCCATCATGTTTGCCGAACTATCATAAACAAGGAAGTAATGACAATGGTCCTAAGACTTGCCCAAGATCACTCAGCTTGTTCCTGGCAGGTAAAGGCCTGGTATCCTGGTTTTCTAAATATTAGTCTACTTTCTTCCCACCTTAGCACAGAAGCTGGATGTCTTCTTTTAATCCTTATTGCATTCATTTTTAAACATCTGACTTAAAAGTGGCCAAATAGTTAGAACTCGGTTAAAATGAAATCATATTATTTTTTACTAAGTTAAAACACAATCTTGTCTCAATGCATATCTTGCTAAATTATCTCTTCTGTAAAATTACAAGCTATAAACACAAGTTGCTGGATCAAAAAGAAAAATATCTATTCACCTTTCCCCCATTTTTCTTGGCTTTATACTTAAAAAATAGGAAAAAGTGGGGGTGGACAGGAAATTGTTAAAACAATCTTGAGCAGTTCAGAACCCTTAGTAATATGGTAAACACTCTTCTGGCACTACTTTATGATTAATCAAAACCAATTACATTTCCCACCCAAGTCTTGGAACAGAGTCACAGGGCCCCATCCTAACCCTTGGTAAAAAATCAAGTTGTCCTATCTTTTTATAACCTCTATGAATCATGTCACAGAGAAAATGTTATAAACCTGATAAGAATATGCCATTATTTACTCCCTGATGACATCTTTTTTTAAAAATTCTTATTTAACAAACTTCTCTATTTTCCCAAAAATCAAAAATCAAAGACTAAAGCATCTTCCATTGTTGTTTGACGCCCAATTACATTTTGCTTCATTTTATTATTTCGACGGCTAATGAATGAAAGTTTGCATTACTAGCCAGCACATAGTACAGTTCCACCATCTGTCTCCCCAATATGATTAAGAAATAAGCCAATTCCTCCCTCTCCCTCTGGTTCAGGCTTGGGCAGAGTTTTGTGTGTTTTGTTTGTTTGTTTATTAAATAGCTGGTTGCAATTTATCCTTAAACACTCACCTTAATTCATGTCTTCTAGCTCTCCATCTCCTTCCCCCACCTGAAACTAAGACCATTTTTTCCCCTAAATATTGGTCAAGTAGCTGCCATAACTAAAAATATAGAAACCAAAATTATACTTAATGAGTTGTAATAAATTCTAACGTACATCAAGTGAACTATTTTTAAAAAGTTAACTCCTAGGACAGCCAGAGGAAACAAACTAAATACATATATGCAAACAGTATGTCTCAGGTAACATTAGGTATAAATGCAGGCATTTTATTTTATTAAAATAGATTCCATTTTTTAAGGTACACACTATGTAATCAATAAATTCTTATTACACTGTTTCCTCTGGGAGAAGCAAAAACCTTGCTTAAGAAGGGCACTAAGTTAAAATTAGGGAAATTGCATATTAAAACTAATGCATGAGAAGAGTAACAATTCAAAAGCACCAAAGAGCAGGATCAGTGAGCCATTTTAACTAAATTCTCTCCCAGTTCCCAGGGGACCACCTTTGTCATTGACCTCCTTTTAAAATACGGACCACTGGGGTACTTGTCACTGGATCTGTTTCCAGTGTCTCAAGAGCTGGTCCGTCTAGACACCAAAGGAAGATCTTTCTGAAAGAAAATGTTAAAACACAGTGGTTTTCTGAACTCTTTCATGGTAAGACAACACTTGATAATATCAAAGGCCTTCTTTGTAATCAGAGACTATGGATTGGACTTTGAAGACCTGGACTTATTCAATAATGAAAGCAGTGTTGGAAAATATGGCTCCAAGCTACATTAGAAGCTGATTATTCCAACATGTAAATGACTGTGGGCTTTTTCACATGCTTTCCCTCCAACCCCAACCCAAAATCTAGCCCTCTGTTTTGATTAATGACACTCTAGGGACTGATCCAATTATTACACCAAATTGTTCTTTTTCACCCCTATATTCAGTTATTTAGTTGAGACTAACTTCATTTTTGACAGAAATAAAAAAGAACAGAAAACAAGAAGCCACTCAAGAAGTTATTCTCCCCAACTCACACTGATAACTGATAGGGTTCATTCAATTGAAGGCTGAACCAAATTAAATTTTGTTTTTAGAAAATATTTTAACATGTTTACTTGCTGATTAATCAAATACCTACTTAATAATGAAATTAACCATGAAATTATTCAATATTCCTTAATATTCTTTTAGTCAGGTGAGAGGGTGCAAGAAGTGCCCGCCACATTCCCTTTGATTCCCCCATGCCATGAAGTTTGTCAAGAGCTGCTGCTGAAACTTGCAAATTGCTTTTCTTTGTGTTTCATTGTATTTGACTCCCAAACTTCTCACTTTGAGAAATTGTGTCGATTTAAGAAAGGGTCCCACCATGACTGAACTTCATTTAATGACAGGAAGAAAGAGGCTGCAGTTAAATTAGAAAGAGGCAGGGGGAATGGGGTCCTTGAAGCATCCCTCCCTTACCCTAGGCTTCCCTCCTAGGAAACCTGACACAACACAGCCCCATGTAGAGAACAATGCTCATCTTCTAGAGCCAATGGCAACAAAGAGGACCAGCATACTTCCCATATTGGCTGGAAAAGAAGGAATACTTGCAATAAAATACTAGCTCCCTCATATTGGATGCCTATGTAGTAGGGTTAAATATCAACACATACTTCACTTTGGATGTTCAAGACAAACAAAATTCATTTATTTGTATATAACCAAACTAGTCGTTGCTTGAACCTCCACAATATGACTAGCATTAATTACTGTCCAAAACCCTAGTTTAAATCCTAACCCTAGTCTCTTATGATGGATTTCTAAAATTTTTAAATTTTTTAATTTTAAAAATTCAAAACAGGTGTCCATCAACATACAACTATCCTATGCATTTCCTGCAGTGGAATATATACCAGCAATCAAAAGGAGTAACTGATGTATGCAGCAACATTGAAGAATCTCACAAACTATGCTAAGTTAAAGAAGCCACACACAAAAGACAAAATACTGTATGATTTCATTTATACAAAGTTCTAGTATAGGCAAAATTAGTCTATGGTGGAAAATTTAAGAATAGCAATTGCCTTGGGTGGTGGCAGGGATTGACTGGTAAGGATATAAAGGAACTTCCTGGGATAAGAGTAATGTTCTGTAACTCTATAGGGATTTGGACTGCACAGGTTATATGCATTTGTTGGAATTCAGCCAATGTTACATTTAAGATTTATGTATTTCATTGTATGTAAATTTTATCAAAAAAAGAGAACTGTAAACACATATGGAACTCCAGTTATTGATATATATGTACACCTTGGGAATATGCCTTTGACTTACTTTTTTTTTTTTTTTTTTTGAGACAGGGTCTCACTCTGTCACCCAGGCTGGAAGGTTGCAGTGGTGCAATCTCGACTCACTGCAACCTTTGCTTCCCAGGCTCAAGTGATTGTCCAGCCTCAGCCTCCAGATAGCTGGAACTAAAGACACGAGCCCTCAATGCCTGGCTAAATTTTGTATTTTTCGGAGAGACAGGGTTTTGCCATGTTTCCCAGACTGGCCTCGAACTCCTGAGCTTCATGCCTCAGCCTCCCAAAGTGCTGGGATTACAGTAGACTTACTTTGAAATGCATCAAAAATATTTCATTTCAATTATTTAAAAATGCATACATTGAGGTTCCATGAGAATAAGGAACTCATTCAAGATGATACTCCCAGTAATAGTAGAGCTGGTATTGGAACTGTTTGACTCCAAACTTGTAATCTTTTTCTACTGTGCCACATCAGCATTCACTCAAATATTTAAACCACCCTGGCATTTACTTGGCTGGGTATCAACATTTTCTGCTATACTGTTATCACGTGGTAACATCTGGATTGATGGGTTCTCGTTACTTGCAAATGCTGCACAGTTAAGCCCTCCGTATCTGTGAGTTCTGCATCTGTGGATTTGACCAGTTGTACACTGAAAATATTCAGGAAAAAAAAACTGCACAAAGTTCCAAAAAGCAAACCTTGAATTTGCCATGCACTGAGTACTACATTGAATCCACATGAATGAAGTGTAGGCGTCGTATTAGGTATTAAAAGTAATCTTGAGATGATTCAAAGTATACAGGATGATGTGTGTAGATTATATGAAAATATGGTATTATACCATTTTATATAAGAAAGCTGAGCATCCCCAGATTCTGGTATCTGACGAGGGGTCCTGGAATCGATCCCCCATGGAAACTGAGGGATGACTGTTTTTGCATTAGTCAATCTTTTCTCCCAATCAGATCAAAATTCTTCTAGATCCAGGCTTTATGCACAGTGATACAGTAGTCTTCTTAGCCATGGGGGATATGTTCCAAGATCCCCCCAGTGAATGCCTAAAACCCTGGATACTACAAAGCTCTATGTATACTTTCCTTTTCCTGTACATGCATGTCTATGATAAAGTTTAATGTACAAATTAGGCACACTAAGAAATCAACAATAACAACTAATAATCAAATAGAATAATTATGACAACACACTGTAATAAAAGTTATGTAAATGTGGTCTCTCCCTCTCTCTCAAAATATCTTATTGTACGGTCCTCACCAATTTTTAACTGGTTGAACTTCAGGTAACTAAAACTGTAGAAAGTGAAACCTCAGAAAAGGGGAAACTATTGTGCATTATAACAACTGTTATTTACCTGTTGAAGCATTTAAGACCAGCTATTCATGGAAATATATGTCCTGCCCACTGGGTACTCTCAATTCCACCGAAATGCCACAGAAAACACAGAGCCAAGCCTTGACCCGTCCCTTGCCTAAGGAAACCCTCCCTTCATGTTTTCTTAACACTCTGAGCTCTCCTCCTGAGGTCACTGACTCCTCCTTGTTGTTTATGCTATCCATAGGAACTATGCAAAGCTTAGTTATTGGGTAGATATTTGATAAATTCTTTGTGGAGTGAATGATTGAACCTAATGGATTTTTTACCCTTGTTCATTCCCTGCATCTTTACATTTTCACTTCCCATAGACCTATGTATGCATGCGACTAGTCAGAGAAGTAGATACAGTGAGAAATGCCAGCAAGACTGAAGGGGCTATGTCTTCACATGCAGCTAAGATGCAAGTCCGCTGGTCAGATGTAAAACAAACCAAATATCTAACTGTTCTTTTTGTTACGTTGAATGTCTGTATGCTTCAACTCAGCTAATTAGCTATGGTGTTTAGAACATTACCTTAATGAGGAAAGGTTCTAGATTCAATCCCTAACTTACCACTGTCGGCTCCTGGCAGACTAATCTCTGCCAAGACAGCCCACTGCTCTC
Organism: Homo sapiens; assembly: GCF_000001405.40. NCBI lineage: Eukaryota > Metazoa > Chordata > Mammalia > Primates > Hominidae > Homo > Homo sapiens. Next base: position 133,003,187 of record NC_000002.12, read on the forward strand.
CTACTTGGGAGAGAGAGGATAGGACAATTACCTTAATGAAGAACATATTTTGCATTGCCTCCCATATAATTTGCTTTTAAGTTTCTATTTCTCATTCTAATTCCATTGCCTTCCTCAACAAACTATCCTACCTTCCCATTTTAATTGCAATGCAAAGCTTCCCTCAGGTTTGTGAGTCTAAAGGAAAGCTGACTAATTTTCAATTCCAAGAGCAAATTGTTCATGTGGAAAATGTTGGTTTAGAACTGGGTTCTGCCCAACTGCGCCACTTGTTTTCTTAGAAATGAGAATTTCCTCCCTTAGAAGCTAGGACATCTAAGCACGTAAGCAGGAACAATCCCCAGGTTGGTTGTCACTTGGATGCTCTTAACCCAATCTCTGCTTATCCTCGCTGCAATAGTTAGGAACAGTAAATCTACAGTGAACATAACTGAAAACTGCACTGAAACAGAAACTTACTCTGGATAAATGTTGGAGGACTGGAGTTTCTTACTTCTTTCCTAGATGATATATATTTTTAATTCAGCACAAATTTTGCAAGAATAACAGCACTGCACAGAAACCACAGCACTCTAATTCACTCATGAGGATGCAAGAGCATTCATAAACAGATCGAAAGATGCTAGTCCAATTTGAATTACTGCATCATATTCACTCCAGGGCCATCTCTATGTGAAGAGAAAGTGACATAAATTTTCTCCTAGGCAGGCTTGCACTGATCCTGCTTGGGGAGCTAACTGCACGGAGAGAGGCCGATTGGGAGAGGGCAGGGAAGCAGAGATGGGCACTCAGAGAAGTCCCGTTTTGCACATGGAGTAGAAGGAACTCCCCTGAATGTTAGCAAACAAATCTCAAGTGTTTTTGCTCAACAGTGGCAGAATACAAAATTGCATTTATGGATTCATGTGTTTGTAGAGTTCACACTCATCCACAAAGAGAGGGGGAGGGAGAAAGAATATCTCACATGTGCAAGTAAATGCCACAAAGGAGAAATACACCTCACTGGCTTTTACTTGCCTGGTTAACAGTTTGAAATCAGGATTGACACTATATCCAGATAATGCACAACAGGTCTACAAAATGGGTTATTTCCCTAAATACAGCCAGGTTTTAAATTAATGTAATAATTATAATTATTTATCAGGGGAACCAGCCTGCAATATTTCAATGTAGGTTCTTTTCTATTTTCCCTAAGTGTTGGCCGCTCTGAGAAATAAAGAGAAAGAGTACAAAGAGAGAAATTTTACAGCTGGGCCTCTGGGGGTGGGCATCACATGTCGACAGGTTCCATGATGCCCACCTGAGCTGCAAAACCAGCAAGTTTTTATTAGGGATTTCAAAAGGGGAGGGGTGTACGAATAGGGAGTGGGTCACAGAGATCACATGCTTCATAGGGCAATAAAAGATCACAAGGCAAACGGCAGAGCAAGATCTCAAGGCAAGGGTGAAATTAGAATTAATGATGAGGTTCCATGTCCCACTGGGCACGTATTGTCATTGATAAACCTCTTAACAGGAAACAGGGTTTGAGAGTAGACAACCGGTATGGCTAGAATTCGCCAGGCTGGAATTTCCTAAACCTAGCAAGCCTGAGGGCACTGCAGGAGACCAGGGCATATTTCACCCCTTATCTTCAACCGCATAAGAGAGACACTCCCAGAGCAGCCATTTTAGAGACCTCCCCCTGGGAATGCATTCCTTTCTCAGGGTTATTCCTTGCTGGGAAAATAATTTAGCAATATTTCTCCTATTCCCTTTCTGCAAGAAGAGAAATATGATTCTGTTCTGCCCAGCCCCGCAGGCAGTCAGACCTTATGGTTATCTCCCTTGTTCCCTGAAAATCACTGTTATCCTGTTCTTTTCTAGGATGCCCAGATTTCATATTGTTCAAACACACGTTTTACAAACAATTTTTGCAGTTAACACAATCATCACAGGGTCCTGAGGCAACATACATCCTCAGCTTACGAAGATGATGGGATTAAGAGATTAAAGACAGGCATAGGAAATTATAAGAGTATTGATTGGGGAAGTGATAAATGTCCATGAAATCTTCAAAATTTATGTTCAGAGATTGCCATAAAGACAGGTGTAAAAAATTATTAAAGTATTAATTTGGGGAACTGATAAATGTTCATGAAATCTTCACAATTTATGTTCTTCTGCCTCTGCTTCAGCTGGTCCCTCCATTCAGGGTCCCTGATCCCGCAACAATTATTAATGTGATTAATTTTATTAATACATAGTCAATAGTTAATATCATTTCCCATGTTCAGTCTCATGAGCTCATCTACTCAACTTCAGAACCTATCCTTGTCAAATGTGTCCTTAAAAAGGTCTTCAAAATAATAAAATTCCACAAATACATGGAGCATTAGGTCTGCTTTTTATTTTCTTGAGTAATCTGAAGCACAAACATTCTCTGATACCACGCAAAAAGGACTCTGAATTGCCAAGACAGCTACTTTAAAAATAAATCTATTATTTTGGGGATAGATCTTTACAGCTTAGAGTTCAAATCTTGGGAGACCTTGAAGACAACAGATGGCTGAATTTATTATTGGCCCCCATATTTATCTTTATTGGCCACTGTGTTTAGGAATAATGAAAATAATTTATAGTGAGGATACACCTTAAATTCTAATTAGAGGCCGTTCTCTTCTAGAAAACTAATGTAATAACAACCTGGAGCCTCTTTTCCCCCATTTGATAAAGATTAGTATTTTACAATTTTACCTTGGTGAAAGAAAAATAAAATATGGCCTGGACAATCAAAATTTCTTCTCTTGGCTGGGCATGGTGGCTCACACTAGTAATCCCAGCACTTTGGGAGGCTGAGGCAGGAGGTTCACTTGAGCTCAGGAGTTCAGGACCAGCCTGAGCAATATGATGAAATTCTGTCTCTACAAAAAATAAAAAAAAATTATCTGGGTGTGGTGGCAAAGGCCTGTAGTCCCAGCTACTTGGGAGGCTGAGGTGGGAGGATTGCTTGGACTCAGGAGGTCGAGGTTGCAGTGAGCCGAGATTACACTACTGCACTCCAGCCCGGGTGACAGAGTGAGACTCTGTCTCAAAGAAAAAGAAAAACAAACAGAAACAAACAAACAAACAAAAAAAGATTTCTTCTCTTAATATGCACCATGCTTTTAAAAGTTTGAATCTAATGTTAGGTATGCCAAATGTAGCTCACTTTGCATTTCACATAAGTTAATATTTCTCCACAGTTGTAACTGGCTCTTCATCAGATGGTTACAATCCCTAGAACACTTACTAAACAGGCCACATGCTGTCTGTCATGTTTCAAGATCTGTATGGGAGTTTGACTCAGAGAAAATTAAGAATTGAATGACTTGACTAAACTTGATTCTCACTGGCAAACTCACTCTAAATCTGATTCCCATTTTCTACATCTCACACAGTTTTTATTTTATTTTATTTTATTTTTTTTTTGACACATGTTTAGTCATTAAAGCTTGGAGAGGTCAAACTAACAGTCACACTGGATCTGAATAATGTCCAAAGCAGCACAGTAAGTAGCCGGTGTTAATCTGTTGCTAATTTTTTTGATGGAGGTGTAAAAGAAAGGCAAGAAAATCTAATTGGCTGTATTTGGGATAAAATTATAGTGTTATATTTTCTGGACAAGAAGATGGAACAGTGGCAAAGAGATGCTTTAAGAATCCACAGTACTGGCCCATCTAGCCGTATGGATGCCAACAGCACATTCTTCACTGGGCCTGCTATTTAATTTGCATGCTTCTTGTGACACTTGTTCCATGATATTTCAGAGTAGCTTCTCTTAAAGAAGCAGATATTGTAAACCACAGCACATCCAGAAAAGTCGCTCTACCAAATCCTCTTTCAGCCTCAACTCTTGGGGCCATAATATGGTCAGTGTAACCTCAGGCCCTGTGCTCCCTAAGGGGCGTAGGTGGAGCTCAGCGGAGGCCCTCTCACCACTATGCAACTTAGGACAGATCACATTTCCTGAGCCTCAGTTACCTGTAAAATGAATACATCCTCCCAGTCCTACTTACTTCAGAGAGATGTTATGAGGATGCAATAAGACAAAATAAAAAATGCTATATATGTTGATACTTGTTTTTATTATGGTTTTAAAGATCCAGGCTATCTGAATTGTAAACCTTTTGGTGCTGATGTGAGAAGGGCAGAAAATTGGCTTCTTGGAAGCCCCATCCAATCAAGTTAACACTTTATGAAGGCCCCTACCTGCTTTGTCTCTTTTTGAGAAAGTTCAAGGGGTAAAGCACCTCTCTCCAAGTTTCAGCTAGTAATTGGTTTAGAGAATAATCTATTATACTAGTTGGGATAGGCTAGGTTATGCTGGAGTAACAACCCCAACCTCTCAGTGACTGACTTACTGAATTTCTTATTGACATAAAGTCTGGGCAACTTCGGGTCTGAGCAGCAGGGTAGTCACTTTTCTTCCATGGGTAGGGGGTCTATGTCCTGGTTTCCCAGGACAGTTCAGCTCAAGCTTACTGTCCTGGCAAATTATTAACAACACCCCTTTCAGTCCAAAAATCGTCCTGGTTTGGATGATAAAGATTATAATCTTCATATCAATGGAATGACTCAAATATTTAGCCTGCCCCACTCTCTCAATATGAAGTTTTCTCTATGGACAGGAAAAGATAAACTGGAGAATGTAGTATGGATTTTCACTGCCTCATTCAACAGCTGTCACTTCAGTTTAAGGGCCACTGGCCAGGACTAGTCACATGGCCCAACTCACTGCTAGGGTAGCTGGTAAACTTAGTCTTCTGAGTGCCCAGCAAAGAGAAGAGAACCAGATATTGGTGCTAATATGCTGTCTTCTATGTGTGCATTGTGAGGACTGAAGATATATATGGGACTACTACTCAGTGACTGGCAGCCCAGCCTCGCTAACTTTTCAATTGTGTCCAGGTGACTCAGGGCCGAAATTCAAGCAGGGCAAGTAAGTGTTGCTCTTGGTGGCCTTTTCCCATTGGGTGTTACTTTTTTCCTCCGTTGGTTGACTGAGCTGTCACTATTGAGGCTCTTCTCTCACCTCCCAGCTAGATATTGATTGTCACTCTCCTTTCCCTCATGCCAAATTGATCGCCAGCCTACACAATTACTTTCCCTGAGATCTCTGAATTGTCCACATATGCATTCCCTCTGGTCCGGAAATCTTCAGACAGACACCTTCAAAGTCTGTTTTGCTTTGAAAAATACACTATCAAGCCTTCAGTAAGACAGTTAATAGACATGTTTTTGATGCAGGCTATTTTATAGCAAATATCTATAAACATGGAAAAGCAGCCTGTACTTGCAAAAAACTTTATAACCTTCCAAGATTCACTGGCAAGGAAAATGGAAGAGGTGATTTCTGTCCTGGTTTCTTGTAGTGTTGGTAAAAGGATACTTCTAATGTTTCACTACTTTTACCCAATATTTATTGTTTAAAATACGCAACTTAAGACACCTCAACAAGTAGCATGCTTGATCTTTAGGAACACTGGAGTATGAAAGTCTGTCTAGATATTTAATAGGTCAAACTAAAAACTGGGGGAAAAAAAGTCAATTTAAAAGGCTGCCTCTATGTTAGATTGAAAACAAAACAAAACAAAACAAAAATGAACCCTGAGAGTAATATAATTTACACTGGGGTCTCATGAATGTGGATTTTGCCAATCATCAAAATCATCTGGTATTTGGATAGAAATTTTTCTGCCAGCAGCTATGAGAAAAATGAGATTCCTTCTCTTCTCCCCTTGCCTATCCAAACATCATGCATCCTCCAGGTTCCAGCTTAAGTCCCATCTCCTGTATTCCTGACAATTGTGGCCCACTGGAGTGTCTCCTTAGTCCTGAAATATGTTTTCCCTGGAACATTTGCAGGAAGACACTGAGGACTCTTGCTAAAAGTCTAGATTCCTAGGTCTACTTGAGACCTAGTAAATCCAAATATCTGAGAGTAGAGGCCAGGAATCTGTGTTTTAAATAAGAATATTCTTGGACATGAACTATGAGAAACTCCATTCTAATGTTCTCCTAACTTATTCATAGACTACCCTGGCATGGTTACATACGAACAAAATGATTTCATGTATGGGTTTCTTAGTTAACAACTATTCTATAAGCTCATTAGGGACTCTTATGCATATCTCAAGTTTTTTCCTACTACCCACATCGCACAGTTGGTTAACTGTTTATCTTGTGTAGATGGAAATTCCCTAAATTAAGGAGCTATATATTGATTTACCTCATTTGAGGCGTATTAGATGCTGAAAAATAAAAGGAAAAGATGAATCTAATTTTACTTCCAATGCTGGAAAGCTTAAAAATAACACCTTATGTAATATGAATAATTGTTTCCTGATGTATTCATTCATTCATGTATCCCCTCATCCATTTATCTGTTCCTCTATTTGATAATCATCTGTTGAATGCCTATGATAGGCTTTGTGTGGTAATGAGTAACTTGAATGAAGAAAAACTGCCAACTGTAGGAGACGGGCAGACCCACAATGACCCCACAATGTATTAATGTATTAAGAGCCAGAAGAGGATGCCAGGGGCATGAAGAGAGTTGAGCATCAACAGAGGCTCTCTGGGCCGGGCGCAGTGGCTCAAGCCTGTAATCCTAGCACTTTGGGAGGCCGAGGTGGGTGGATCGTGAGGTCAGGAGTTCGAGACCATCCTGGCCAACATGGTGAAACCCTGTCTCTATTAAAAATACAAAAAAAATTAGCAGGGCGTGGTGGCGGGTGCCTGTAGTCCCAGCTACTCAGGAGGCTGAGGCAGGAGAATGGCGTGAACCCGGGAGGCAGAGCTTGCAGTGAGCCGAGATGGTGCCACTGCACTCCAGCCTGGGGGACAGAGCCAGATTCTGTCTCAAAAAAAAAAAATAAATAAATAAAAAAAACAAACAGAGGCTCTCTGGAGATGCTGATGTACTGAAGTTTTGAAAAATAAGTTGGACTTAGCTTGATGGAAAGGGAATTTTCAAACATAACTAATGATCTTATTCGCAAATTTTAAATTGCTTATTATGATTTTCTTCATAAGAAATATGCTTTAGGTATGTGTAAAATAGTCTCTCTCTACTGAAAGTAAGAGCGCTTCATTTTAGTTTGGTATACATGCTGGCATTTTAATCAAACACAAAGCATTATAGATCATTGTCAGCCCACCTACTTAAGGTTCTTCCAATGGAATTACATGCACTTAAAGTTATGTTCACTGCTACATACATCCTACATCTCAATATCAACCAGGCCTCAAGATAATGCTCCTCCAATGTGTACATATGCATATTTGCAGCCCCTGTCTCATTATAATCCATGTATTTGTGCATGTATTCCCAACATTTTTGGGTGCTCAGGTTTCCTTTAGTGTTTGGAATATGTTCTTCTTGACCTTGGATGTCTATAAGGATATAAAGAATAACCACATCAGAATATCTGTTGCTAAGAAAGAACTGCTATGATAAAACCAATACCAATAACCACAACATTCCCCAACCACAAGATTGACATTAAACAATAGTCAAGTGTCTTCAAGTATTTTTTATCATGGAATACAAGCTTTTATACAGCACTTTTATTGTACATTCCTGATTAATGAAAAGGATTTTGGAAATACATTAACTTTAGGCCAAAATAGTGTCCATTTATTCTTAAATTGTCAATGGTACAAAAAAGAAAAAAGCAAGGATACTTGAGGGGAAAGGGCAGAGAATCTATATACTGAAACTAATTTTTAAAAAAATGTCTTTGATATTTAAAAGCAATAGAAAAAGAAGCACAATTCTCAGATAATAGTATAAAATAAAAAATAAGGAAAATTAAGCATTGATAAACACCAAATTCCCAAGTGATAGGATTTTTAAGATGTAAAGAATGAGTGATAATATACTACATTGATTAAGCTGCTACAGAATACCATGACACTATGCACAGATACACACAACATTATTTTCTATCTTAAAGCTGTGCTGCGGGATTTTTAGATCCAGGATTGTAAGTTTTTCCCCCCATCTCACTACACAAACATGAGAAACTGTGCAGACCTTTGCTTTCTTTCCATCCACAGAATTTTACTGTAATATTGATAAAGACAATAGTACCTACGCTATACAGATGTTAAAAATCAAGTAATAAGCAAGATAACCTGATTCCAGTTATCACTGCCTCCCTCAAAACAAAGGACTGCGCTGAAAGAAGAGCAGATTTAATTGTAAAGTGCAAAGACTTGCCCCAGATTGGAAAAGAGAGGGAAAGGGCCTGTTTTGCAGCAACCAGTTAGAACACGGTCCCCTAGGACTTAATTATCTATATCTTGTTAGGCTATAATAGGGGCTTAAAATGATATTGCAGGTTTTCTGCAACCAAGAAACTGATTAGTGAAGTTGAGTAAATCAATTGTCAATCTTCTTATGAGTGAACATGGACAGCAACCCCAGACTTCAATAGAGAGCCTTCATTATCACACAGCAGTTAATAAGCATGGCTATTTGAAGCACATCAATACAGAAGAAGGAGCTTGTATCCACATCAACTGGCAGTGTGTTTGGTGTTGCTCATTTCCTGATTTTCAGTTTGGACAGAAGGGATGATTATCATTCTGTGAACCACGTTGCTGATCTCCTTGCTTTGACACCATACTCTTCAGGGGAATTCAATATGTTCCTGATTATCTCAATTTCAAAGCCAATTAGAATATTTACAGATGCGGAGGCCCCTGAGCCCTCTTTTGCATGGCTATTGCTGGACCCCTTGCTTCCATTCTCTCTTTTCTCTTCTGGACCTCTGCTTTCATCCTGCCCTCTTCATAGCTGTTTTTATCTCTCCACCGGATCTTCTTTATCAGATGGCAAGCAAGTAAATTTATCCTAATGGATGCCTCCTTTGTCTCCTTTCTCCCGTTGCAATCTATTCCTCTTTTCTCCCTTCTCCCCACTACCTGTTATAAAAAGGAATTTATATGTTCTGCTTTCACGTTTTTCCTCAACAAATGAACCTCAACAACTAACTTCAATCTGACTTTCCCCTGATCACTATACTTACAGTGGTTTATTATTTTATTTGTTGAGACAGAGTCTTGCTCTGTCACCCAGGCTGGAGGGCAGTGGTGCTATCTCGGCTCACTGCAAGCTCTGCCTCCCAGGTTCCCGCCATTATCCTGCCTCAGCCTCCCTAGCAGCTGGGACTACAGGTGCACGCCGCCATGCCTGGCTAAGTTTTTGTATTTTTAGTAGGGACGGGGGTTTCACCGTGTTAGCCAGGATGGTCTCGATCTCCTGACCTCATGATCTGCCCGCCTCGGCCTCCCAAAGTGCTGGGATTACAGGCGTGTCAGAGTGGTTTCTTATCATCAATGGGCCTGAAGTCCTCCCCTTCAATGGCTTTTTCTGCATCTTTCTGGTTATGTATGTGCCTGCACTGGCCACCCCTTCCCTCCTGAAGTTTTGCTCTCCCTTGCCTCCATGACTGCCTTCTCCAGAGTCTTCTCCTTCCTATCTCAGTTCCTACTTCCCTCTTCCATCAACTACAGATGGCCACACCCCTGTTTAGGATCTCAGTCTTCTGTTTGCCCTATCTGCTCATTCTGTCTCTCAAATCATTTACTGCCCCCTTTCCTTCAGATTTCCAAACCTAAATCTCCAAGCCTACACCTGTCTTTCCCATTACCTACTGGGCATACTCAACATGGGCCCCACCAGCACCTTGCTCTCAGCACATCTACAGGTGCCAGTCACCATATCTCACACAGGCTCTCTGCCTTCTCTCGTCTTTCTTATGAAATCTGGTACTGTCTGCCAGCCCTGGGCAGCATTCTCACCCCTTATTATGCTTTCCCTGGTGGTTCAGGAGTATAAAGCCTGGGAACTGCATTTTCTGACTCCACTGTCTACATTCAGGAACTGTTAATAAGGTGCACCAGCAGGGTTTTGAAAGCTGAAAACAGGTGACATTTTTCTTCCTCTGCCAACAGTGGTGGGATTAGCGTGTGCTTTGGCAACATTAGGTTTTGGCACAGCTGGCTGGACTCTGCACCCTCCTTTTTGTCAGCAGGCTGCAGGGCTGCTGGGCTGTTGTGACACTCACAGCAGCTCCACACATTTTCCACCTTTGGTAGTGTATTAGTCCGTTTTCACACTGGTGATAAAGACATGAGACTGGGCAATTTACAAAAGATAAACATTTATTGGACTTACAGTTCCACATGGCTGGGGAGACCTCACAATCATGGTGGAAGGTGAAAGGCACGTTTCACATGAATGGCAGCAGGCAAAGGGAGAGAGCTTGTGCAGGGAAATTCCCATTTTTAAAACCACCAGATCTCATGAGACTCATTAACCATCATGAGAACAGCGCAGGAAAGACCTGACTCCACAATTCAATGACCTCTTACTGGGTTCCTCCCATGACACATGGAAATTGTGAGAGTTACAATTCGAGATGAGATTTGGGTGGGAATACAGCCAAACCATATCAGGTAGCATCAGCAAGCTCCTAATTCAGGGACCACAGCTCAGCCTGAACTTGACAGCCATTAGAGGCCCTCTGGACTTTTGCTCCTTGAACCCTTTTTTTGTGTGTGTGTAGGCACCTACATCCTGGTTTACATCCTTCTGTGTTGGAAGTGTCTTCACAGGTCTCTATTTTCCTGACTGACAATGATACCACCCCAGTCACAGGATGAATGGCCTGGAGCATCTTTTCAACTGCTTTCTCTTTCCCATCAAAATCCCAACTCTTCCCAAGCACTGCCAATTCCTTCCAATCAACAGCTTCCTCTTTCCTTGACCAATGCCTCTATTTCCTGTCCTTGAACTGCTCTTAAAGTCTTCTAACCTGTTTCCCTGACTAGTGAGTCACTCCATCATCCTCACCCAATAGCAGGTCCATCTCTTCAAACAACAATTTTTATCATTTCAATTATTTGATTGAAAACCTTCCATGGACCCATCCTTACTGTCCGCAAGACAAAGACTGAACCACACAGCAAGGCATTTGAAACACATACTTATTCCTATGCCCTTATGTCTCCCTGTTCTTCCTCATGTACTATATGTGCAGATAGCCATGGATACTTGGGATTCATTCTTAAAATATATGCCTTTGCTTTCCTGCCTCCAGATCTACTTCTCATTTTCCCTCGTAGAATGTGACTCCCATCCACCACCAGTGAAGCTATTCAAATTCTGCAAGAATTAGTCCAAAAGCCACTAGAAATCTCCATCTCCAAATGGATTCCTGCTGCATTTTAAAACCTAATCTATATGATTCATCCCATTCTCAGTTTTGCACCTCAACAGGTGTGTTGTCCCTTATGGCACAATACAGGTACCACTTAACTTTTAGTTGAATTATACTGTCTATGCTGGGCTTGATTTTTTGGTTTATCAAACTTTGAACACCAGGAAAAACATTAGATCAAGTTCACTTACCATGTTTGTAATCCAAACTAAAACTTAACCTTACTGAGATCTGGGTGCTGTGGTCTTATCACAATTTCAGCCTTACGTTTTCAATATTAAATGATGTACTCCAGTGAACTGCCCAAGCCTCTTTGGCAAATGGCGGTTTTATAGAGACTACTGCTTGAAATCAGTGGATCATGAGATGATAAACGTTCCCATGTATAATGTTTTCCATTGAAAGACTTTCTAATTTATAAGCAAGATCTAAGATTCTAAATGGGTAAATACATAAAGTTGATTCACATAGAATTGCTGATATTTGATCACAATTGACCTATAAAAATGACAGTTTTATATGGTTCAACCTAATAAACACATTAAAGTAAATTTTGATGCGTAGTATTTGTTTTCACAGCAGGGCTCACTTTATCTAATAAAGCACAATGAACACATACACTTTATAACAGATAAGCCAGATGGTAAAAGGCTTTAATAATGACAGCAGTAATCATGATTAATATTCATTGAGCACTTGCCATATACCAACCATCATGGTAAGAATGCTACATAAATTATCTCTTTTTTTTTCTTATCACAGCTCAATTTTAATCACCATTTGATACATGAAGAAATGTGCTGCTTAAAGTGGCCAAGTAATTTGTCCAAAGTCATATAGGTACTAATCGGTGAAAGAATTTGAAATAAAGAAGACCTCTTCAAGAGTTGTCATTTTTGACCAGATAAAAGAACCGAACTCTTTTTTTTTTCTCCTGGAGACATTCTGACTTTTCATTTTTTGGTCCCTATACTAGGAGGAAGGATGAAGAATAAATATAACTCATGGAAGAGCTCAAATCCCAACTCCTCCACAAAGCCTTCCTTGATCACACGGCTCTGATCCCTCTGTTCATTGTACTACTCCATGGTCATGAACATGTCTGAATTTTCCAAATAATGATAAAGCTTCATCAGGGTAGTGAGCATGTTGAATGTGCATCATCTCCTGGAGCAAGGAGTGGACATTGTATTTCCATCCAAACACAATCCATTCATTCGCCCACTAATTATTGAGTCTTAACATTGTTGGGTGCAAACAATCCTGAGATACAAGACCCAGTCTCTACTCAAAAGGAACTTACTACTGCTTAATGAGGAGATGAACAAGTGTGTCGACACAATAGCATGCAGTAAGTACCATGAAAGAGGTAGCTAGACTGTGCTGAGAGGAGAGATGTGGGCCACCTGGAAGTGGGAGGGCAGGGGATTTACAGAGCTTTTCCAGAACTGAAACTGTTGTGGTGAAGCCTGGAAAGGTAAGAAGTCCTCGCCAATGGAAGGACTTAAGAAAAGGCTGTCCAACAAAAACAGCAGGTACAAAGGCACAAAAAAGCCTGCAATGTTTGGGTGGCTGTGAGTACTGGCATGGCTCTAGGACATGAACAAAAAAAATTAGAAAGGTGGGAGAGAGAAAAGAAATAGGAAGGAGAAATAAAGAAAGAAGGAAGAGAGCAAATTTGCTCTTGAATTTAGCAAAATTCAGATGACAGTAAAATAAGTAGCCCCATGCTCCGCAGTAAAACCAAATAAAATCCGAGCTACTGTCCGGTGGCCAGATCAATGCCAATGACCCTGAGGCCCAGGCCTACACACAAAAGAGCTTGGTGTGTGAGAGCACATGAAGTCTGACGATTTATAACAGATTTTGCAAATGGTTGGTAATACAGTGACAGTGGCACAAAAAAAGGTGATGAAAATAGAGAAGTTTCTATTTCTACCTGTTTTGATAATAGCGGCTCTTTAGCTGAACAGATGGTGCATTTCACCAAAATCTGATGGAAACAAATCTTTACAGGCCTTCCGTGTTAAGAAATAATTTCATAGCCTTCCCAAGAGATTTGGAATGTTCTTTGTCTAAATAAATATAATACAAAGAAAATGGTCTTTTGGAATCCGTAATTAAATAGTGTTAATGCTATAGAAGAAAGCGCGGTCTGACGGCTATCTAAAATGAATCATAATAAAATGAGAGAAGGTTTTCCAAGTCTGGACATGTTCCTAGCAACATTCAGTGTAAGGAAGGATTTCATTATGTTTCTTTTAAAAAGTTTGTGTCTGAAAGGTTCCAGAAAGGATAGCTGAGTCTGGCCAATAGAACAGAGCTAATGGCCACAGCCAAGGTGATCAACCTCACCAAGAAGATGTCAGCTTTCCTCACTAAAAAAAAAATGTATTTTGATGGGGAATTAATAGATGTGGCAATGCAATATTTATGGATTGCCACTCAAATGAAAACACCTTTTAATATGTAACTGAGACACATAACAAATTTATAATGCCTTCTACATTTCAAAATTTGCATTGAATAATGGTAAAGGGCAAGGAAACTAGCCCATTGTTAACTGATTGATAGGCAGTGTGAAATGTGTTCAATATTTATATCCTTTCCACACCAACCTTCTATTTTTATTTATATGATCATTTCCTGACAAACATAATATGAACGATGTCTGCAGAATTTTTATTAACAAAGTGCAAAGACAATACCTCTGTGTCTATACAAAACCATCTGCTAATGTCTCATGTCAAAACCTATTTATGTTATTTTCTTTGTTCTTCCTATGTTTTCTGAAGGCAACTATTTGCCATTAAATTAATCCTGTCCACCTTCGAGGCATTTATGCATTCTTCTGGCATTTCACATTCTTTGGGAAACCCTTGGGTATGCAGATTTCATTACAAAAATTCTTAAAACAAAGCAGGGTCAGGGTTTAGAAGTATAATATACCTTTCCTTTCCTAATGTAGAACCAGAAGGCTATGCACAAATACAGTATTTCATTTTGCAATTAAGTTCAGGTGAATTATTCAAAACTTCAAAATGTGAAATATGCCATGATTATCATTATTCAAACCCCTGTAATTCTCCAATATTTTTGAATGGAAACATGGCTGAAGGTGCCCGATTAGTAATGAAAAAACAATGGTATAGCATTCTTGCCTGTAGATTCTGAAAAAAAAAAATTGAACACTTTAAATCTTCCTCTCTTTACTAGACTGTACATTCATTCAATTGACAAATCCTCATGCATGCCTTGGGACTTTTCTGTAAGGCAAGTTCTTCCCCGCCCCCCCACTGTTTCCTTCTCTCCCCAGTCTCCCCAAACACATGAAAGCAGTAACACAAAAGAGATTTCCCTGGACTGAAATGGAGGCCCCAGAACATACTTTATAATCAAGATCATACTTTGCAATGGGCAACACTTCTCCCCTGCTACTTAATTTCTTGGGGTTATACAAGATGGTAAAAAACGAAAGAGCAGCAAATCACAGCTCTTAATGGAGGGCAAGCAAGGGCAAGGTGAAGAGTCTTTTCCAATCTTCCTCAGTCTCTATCTCAAGACCATACTGCCCCAGGAAGCTCTTATTGACCTTGCAGGTCTTGATCTTTTTCATCCTAGCAACCCCTCAAGAAGTGATTTGTGCTCTGTAACACTATTTTATCACTCACATTGTTGTCTCCCATAGCTTTCCTCAAATGTCCTGGGGTGCCTATTCTGTCTATATCCCAACCCAAACAGAATGGTGGTCAACCCACCATGCAACCTGGGCGGTGCAGGGGTTCTATGCAATGAGCGCCTAGCAATCGGGTTGTCTTAGGAAGCCACGTAGAAGAGGCCTGAGTTCTTGAGGGCACACTGCCTTGTTTTTCTTTTGGTTTAAAGTTATGACCCACCAGAATACTGACATACTGTCTACTAAGGAGTTACCCTCCCCAAGAGACAATGATTATTTGCATAAGGATTTCAACAGAGAAGTAGAAGTGCAAAGTAGTTAGGACAAATAGCTCTGGTTCAGACAGTCTGGGTTTAAGTCTTCTACTTAAACTAGATTTAATATCTACTACTTAGATTTCATAGCCCTGTGCCTCAGTGTTCTGACTCCTAGAACAGGGTAAGAGTACTTAACACATTCTTAAGGTGGTATGAAGATGACATGAGTTAAAAGGACTTAGAACACCTAGAACTGTGCACAGCAAGTGCTCTTATTGCCTAAGTGCTCCAGAAATGTATTTATCATTTGTTTGGGGATCCACAACAATTAGCAGGAGACCTTGAAATACAGGCCACTAAGGCTTTTATGCAGTTTGCTTTTGGCAGATACTCAGAGGCAGGAGGAACACCAATCTTTTGCCACAGTAATTCTAGGGAAATTTTATCTCAAAAAGAAGCCAGTTCACGGTCAGCATGATATAAAGTCACAGAACATGCCTAGAAGGTGTGCCAAGTGGAGGGTGCCTAAAAGACTTTCTACCCTTTAGCCTTGTTGCTATTTAAAAGTCAACCATTAGAGGTTCATTTCTCTAGCTTTAAGTTCTTGCTTACTAAAATGCAATGACTCTTGGATGGAAACCATATTAATGAAGAAACAGGCCCAACTATGGGAATGAAGACAACCCTGAAGTAGATTCCTAATTCTTCTACTTTTCTACTGTGTCCTATGATACCGTGGATTTCACTTCCTTAAACTTCTGTTTTAGCAACTGTAAACTAGGAATAACTTACTAAGTTGCTATACGGAGTGGCAATTACAGAAAACTACATAGCACAGTGCCTGGGAGATAGGAGGCACTCAATACGTTGCAGCTCTTTTTTTGTTATTATCATTCAACTCACTGGGGAGTTTATCAGATTTTTCTTAAGCGAAAATTAATCAATAGGGTATTTTGATAAGGGATAAAGAGAAGCAAAGAGGAGGGCACTGGTCAGTGGTGGGGAGAATTGGGGCAGGGGAAGGAAGGAAAAGTGGGGAATGATAAAATGGAAGCAAACTTCACCTGCTTTGAATGTCAGGGCCTGGCCTGCAGAGGACTCTGTCTCTCCTGTCATACTGTTTTACACCTTAATTAAAGTTCCTTAATTAAGAACAGGGAAACAGTCCTTCACATATTTATCTCTGAACTCTGATTATTCCTTGAACTTGTATCCCAAGAAAAGGGGATGAAGCCACATAAGATTTGGCAGCTGGCATTTTCATTTTCCCCTTATTGCCATTTGAACACTAGACCTAAGAGTGCATTGGATGTATCTAATCATATTAGAAAAGTGGAGAAAATAACCCAAACCAAACCTAAGAGAAGGAACCTTAAGATTTGAAAATGCAGCTAACTATAGATAAAAATCATAATGGAGGATTAAAATTTAACTTCCTCTGAGACAGGCAATAATTATTGTTAAAAACAAGCTCACTTATATCCTCTGGTTTACCCTTCCTTAGTGAAATCTGACAAGGCCTGTGTGGGTCGGAGCCTGCACACTGCTATGGGAGAGCACTGGGGCAGCTGCCTGCCTTCTCCTCCAGGCGGTCACTCACCAGCCATGTGGCACTGGCCAGTTGTTACCTCCACACACTTCAGTTTCCTCATCAGTAAAATGTGCTTGTCAGAAAATAGTTACTAAATAAATGTCAAATCCAAGCTAATTATAACTGAAGTCATTTATGAATTCAATATTTATTATGCATCTGCCACATATTAAGTGCTGCTGTAGACATTGGAGCCACCAAAGACGACATCATGGGAATCCATCTTTGTTCAGCTAAAGACAGGAAGGTTGCTAAGGAACACAGCATAAAGAACATTCAAATGATAAGCTGTAGAATTTGGACTTGGACCCTACTGCTAGATGAGAAACAATGAGGGTTTACCTAACAAAAGAGGTGTTTGAAAAGCTGAGTCCTATGGTGGTCAGCTGCAGGCAAGGCACCACCACTTAGTCCAGATAAGGGATGAGCAGGACCCAGACTAGGGCAGAAAACAGAAGAGGAGAATAAAAGACATGCATAAAAGATATGTTTTCAGGAGTCAACAGGACTTAGAGGCAAGTACATGAATGCATGAAGACAAGGAAAGCCAGAAGAAACTTTGGGGTTCAGGGGAAGTGGTTTCACAGTAGCATCCACAGAGGAACTTCAAGAAGAGATGCTGGTTGGGGCACAGGATAATGTGTCTTTTGTTTTTAAATTTCATTTCATCCTATTAAAGCATTCTGTCCTTTAAGGACTAAAAATCCGGGAGAATAGAACTTGTTCAAAATAAATACACTGTGGTGAGCTGCGTGCAATAACGCACAAGACACAGGCTAGGAGGAAGGCGGCTGTGGTAAATAATTCTACCCTACCACATCAGGGACATCCTCACAACACAAGGTAAAATCTAAGTGGGATTGTGAAAGGTGGAGAAGCAATCACCAAACGGACAAGGGGAGGGAGACTAGTCCAGGGACAGGGAAGAATAAGAGCGGAGCCCATGGAGTGGAAGGTGTCAGGGAAATGCCTCCAGGCACCAGGACGGACAATGTCAGCAGTTACCTACTTGTGGTAATGACACAAATGCCAAAATAACCTCCCTCTCTGCCCGGGAACACACACTAACCCTCCATTCAGCACACCCCCTCAGGAAGACCTGGCGAAATGAAAACTGTAGACTGGCCTTTTTTTATTTATGTTAGGGGAAACAGATTATTTAGCCATGACAGAAGCAAATAGTTTCCATGCACTATGCATTTTAACATTTCAGAAAGCAGTACCCTTAGAGGAAAAGCAGGTTACGGCATGCAGAGATTATATTGGAAAGAAGCATAGACATATTCAATGCCTAGAGAGCTGGGTCCCCCAGGAAGGAGCGAATCTGGGGATCAGTAGGAGGAAATTGGATACAGTGGGCCTGGAGGGAAGGGAGGCCCAGAAATGAACAAAGGGGTCCTTAGCAGGGGGAGTGGAATGGGAAAAAATAGATATTCTTCCACTTCAAATTTTTCCTGGGGCTGAATATATGTTAGAATGCTTATATCTAAAGCCTTGAAGAAAAAGTTTCTAATATATCTCTGTGAATGATGTGTGTGCATATACACATATAAGTGCATACACATCTACTCACATATGTGTCAGTAAGTGTGTATACACAGGCACACATGCACATGATGCTTAATCCAGGGATATGTTTGCTATTGTGTAAACTCTAGTTTTTTTATTGTTGTTTGTTGTTTTTTCAGAGACAGAGTCTTGCTCTGTCGCCCAGGCGGGAGTGCAGTGGCTCAGTCTCAGTTCACTACACCTCTGCCTCCTGGGTTCAAGTAATTCTTGTGCCTCAGCCTCCCAAGTAGCTGGGATTACAGGTACATGCCACCACGCCTGGCTAATTTTTTGTATTTTAGTAGAGACGAGGTTTTGCCACTTTGCCCAGGCTGTTCTTGAACTCCTGAGCTCAGGAAATCCACCCTCCTCCACCTCCCAAAGTGCTGGGATTACAGGAGTGAGGCACCATACCCAGCCTAAACTCTAGTTCTTAAGCAAGGGAATGGACAATGGTATGTACACTTCTGAGATGATCCCAAGGGATCATTATGATATATTTTCTCCTTTGGCAGAGGCCGGACCTAGCATCTGGCTTCAGCCAACAGAAAACAGCACACTTGATGGGATGTCACTTCGGTAGTTACATGAGGAAAGAGTGTGACTTCCATCTTACTAGTGTTGGGGCTAAGAACACGTCACCTCAAAATATGACTGTAGGAGACTAGGATATACTAGCCCCAAATATATTCCTCTGACATATTTTGAGCTGGTTATTCTGAGAAAATGCAGACACAGGAGTAGCTCTGAAAACCTCTCCTTTTGTAAAAGAAATTGACATCTACAAAGGAAATCTTCATTAGTAGAAGTATTTGTATCAGGAAGAAGGCTGCTCATTATAGAACTTTCATTACTTGAGAGCAGGAAATGCCATTCCAAAATATGCTGCTTTGAAATGCTGATTACTTCAAACTGAGGGCACCTAGGAAGGGAAGGTGCAGGGAGGGGCTGTCTCTGGGCTCCCCTTTATCTGCCTAAAGATGGATCCTCCAGGGGCGGCTCAGCTGTCATGAATCTCCTCTCTGGGAATCTTATCAAGTAGGGAGGTCTGACTCATCACAGAGAAAACCAGAGTTGGACACAATGTCCAATCACCTGTTCTTCGGAGTGTCCATTCCTCTTTTCCAGAATCAATTACTCCCCTGTAAGCTGCCTAAATGCCCCTCCTCTATCCCCTCGGAAGATGGTAATATGCTTCTAGATCTCACTGGGTTTGGGGATATTCACTTTTCCTTCCTTTGATGCCCTATGCATGTAATAAATGTGTCCACCTTTTCTCCTACTCATCTGTCTTACATCAATTTAATTTGTAGCTCAGCCAAAGAACCAAGAAGGATGAAGGGAAGCCATCTTCCTCGCCCCTACACTAGCAAACTCTGTATTACCTTCTCTGCTGGCTCACTTTGATGAGGCAAACTGCCACGTTGGAGAGGCCCATGTGGCATTGAACTAAGAGCTGCAACTGGCCATTAGGGAGTGAATCCCACCAACAGCAAATGAGCTTGGAAGCCAGTCCTTCTCCAGTGGAGCCTCGAGGTGACTCCCATCGCAGCCCACACCTTCAGCTAAGCCTCTGAGAAATCCTGAAGCAGAGGACACAGCTTACCCATGCCTGGATCCCAGATGCACAGAGATTGAGACAATCAATGTGTGTTTTGTTTGAGGGTAAAGATTTGAGGTAATTTGTCACAGGACAAGAGACAACTAGTACAAGCACCAAGTGTTAAACAGCTTCTCTCCATTCAAACTTTTAAGTTTTCTCCATATTAATGTTCACCAGCACTTTTTCATACTGTCTCTTAGACCTGTGAATATTTTTTCATATTATTTTAACATATACATATATTTGTTCTATTATAATGTTCTTACATTTCTTCATCCTGCTTCTGTTTCTCCTTTAAGTAAAGCTTGGTTGCAAATTATCTTTATTGATTTTTTATAATTGTACATTTATTTTAGATTTAGGGGGTACATGTACAGATTTGTTACATGGGTATATTGCATAAAGCTGAGATTTGGGGTATGAATCCCATCACCCAGGTACTGAGCGTATTACCCAATGGGTAGTTTTTCAGCCCATGCCTCTCCCTCCCTTCCACGTCTAGTAGTTTCCAGGGTCTATTATTCCTATCTTTGTGTCCATGTATACGTAGTGCTTAGCTCCTACTTGTAAGTGAGAATATGCAATATTCGATTTTCTGTTCCTGCCTTAATTTGCTTAGGATAATGACCTCCAGCTGCATCCACGCTGCTGCAGAGGACATGATTTCATTCTTTGTTATGGGTGTGTAGTATTCCATGGTATATATGTACCACATTTTTAAAATTAAATCCACCATTGATGGGTAGCTACGTTGATTTCATGTCTTTGCTATTGTGAATATTGCTGTGAAAATCATCTTATTTATAATCAGCAAGGAACTTATTCCCTATCAGTCCTTACACCCAGGACTGGCTCTCCTGCATATATTCAATATATAGCCTTTGCATTTGAGATATGTATGTATGTCTTAACTCCTTCTCACTGACATGAATGTAAACTATATAAAAACATTAAATAGACCTAACCATAAAGTATAAACATCTATGACCCAAATAGAATTGTGTGTACTTCACAGTTCTTCAATGCATATTGGGATTAAGTTTGCAGATATAGTACAAGCTCTTCCAAAGAAAATTCAAAGGATACTCAAAACTATCTCACAAAAAAGAAGTTAATGTCATCACCTACTGTATATATTTGAAATAAATAAGTTGCATGAAAACAAACTGTACACAGACACATATTTTAGTAGACTATAAGCTAAGAATGACAACTATCAGACCTTTACAAGATATCAAATGAGAATAATTCAAAGAAAAGTTTTACTCATATCTTACATAGCACTAAAATGTAATACTCATTATGCAATCAAATTATGAATCTGAATAAGCAAACATAAACTATGGCATTTTATTTAATTCTGAAAATTTAGAGTTAACATATCTTTCATTAAAGATAAAACATTTTTAAAAGATGTTCAAAACCTCATTTACTTGTATTTAGTACACTAAATGTAGGAGAAAGTTATACACTTATTTTAAACAATTATAATTTCCCCATATTGAAAACAACAGCTGTGGAAGAAAGTAATTAACATGATTTACTATATAATCATTCTATCATTATATGCTATTTGGAAATATAGAAGCAAAACTGAGTAGCTTTCTAGCTTGCGCTCATAAAGAAACCTGTTTTCTCAATCTTCTCCTCTTATTTATCAACTTTATATGAATAACAGTTTTGTTAATTTAGGAGAGAACATTTTATGATATGTTTCCTTGGATTTGGGAACTCAGTCCCAGCTGCCTAGCATGTGTGGCTAGAGCCACACACCATGTTGCAAAGAGACCCACCACACATCTTCCAGGAGTGATAATGCATTTGACTATATGCCATATAGAAAATATGATGATGGATCTGAAAAGATAACCAAGTCGTATAGTTGTCTACTATTTTTGACTATGCTTTTAGGTGTTTTGAAAAGAATGATAATACCAGATGAATTAGTCCAATTACCACCCTAGAGAAACGGACAAAGAAAATGTGCTTCCTCTCTTCACTTTACCATCCTTATTACCATCCAATTTTCTCCAACTTATTCCTCCTACTATCTTTTGTGGTTGAAGTATGATGTTGCAAGAAGATTTAAAACTAGGCAACAATCCAAAACTTTTTCCTACATTGGGGAAAATGATTTCCAGTACCTAGATCTCTAAACATGACTAAATGCTAGTTGATACATACAATGTAAAGCTACTAATCAGTCAGCATATGTTTATTTGCTTTATTTTGGCTTCGGAGAAAGAAAAAGCTTCTACTTTGCATGCTTCCAGGAAGAGAAAACTACGATCATGTCATTCAATGAAAGTTAGCTCACTGATGGAAAGTACAGGTGTAGGGGCTGGTGAATAAAGTATTACCGCTTATTTCTGAGTGGATTAAGCATCTGTGAGAGGTGTGAAAAATTGTCAAAAGTTACTGTTGGGTGCTGTGGGTAGAAGTGAGTTTTAGAGGAGAGCCTGACACTTTGTTAATTATGGCATCAACACTCCACTAAATGTTAGCAAGGAGCAGACCTAGAGAAAGACAAGACCAAGAGGAGTGAATTCAGAACTTTCCAAATAACTATAGCCTGGGATTAGTGAACAGATTATTTCTAGCACAGATTTTAGTGATATTTCTATCTGAGCCACAAAAGATTCAAGTTCATTCTTAAGCTCCAGGGATTGTAGTCATGATGAGACTGCCCAGAAAGGGTAGAACATATTATTTTAAAAAATTTTTAAGATCCACAGTACATGTGCATCATGTGCAGATTTGTTACATAGGTAAATTTGTGCCATGGTGGTTTGCTGCACTTATCAACCCATCACCTAGGTATTAAGCCCAGCATGCATTACCTATTTTTCCTGATGTTCTCCCTCCCCCTCTCCTCCGACAGGCCCCAAGCCTCTGTTGTTTCTTGGCTTTTTAATACCTGCTATTCTGACTGGTGTGAGATGGTATCTCATTGTGATTTTGATTTGCATTTCTCTAATGATCAGTGATGTTAAGCTTTTTTTCATGTTTGTTGGATGCCATAAATATTTACTTTTGAGAAGTGTCTGTTCATGTATTTTGCCCACTTTTTAATGGTTTGTGGTTTTTTTCTTCTAAATTTGTTTAGGTTCCTTGTAGACTCTGGATATTAGACTTTTGTTAGATGGATAGATTGCAAAAATTTTCTCCCATTCTGTAGGTTGTTTGATGATAGGTTCTTTTGCTGAGTAGCACATATTCTTAACATGGTCATCTAAAGTCACAGTCAACTAAATCTGTTCTAGTGTTTTTTTTTTTTTTTAAGAACACAGTCAAGGATCATTGTGGATTCACTCTCAGGAAACTTCCCTGGCCTTAAGAATAAGAAGAAGCATTCCAGAAGGAAATCATAATGAAAAATGTTCAAGAATTCAGAAAATCAGGCACCTTTCAACATAAGCAACATTTTGCTGCTATTCTGAACAAACCATAAAGACTTATTGGGAGGAAAAGATGTGACCTTCATTTAAACTGGCTTTATTAGATTTCCCTTCTAGGCCCAGGCATATTTAGTCAAAGGAGAGCTTGGATCAGAGACTGAACTGTTTTTGAGAAAGTCTGTGCGCTGAAGCCTTGCAGGGAACTATCCTTGGTGCTGGCCTCGAATTCCTTCTGCCAACACCTCTCTTACATGCTAATTTGATCCTAATCTTTCTATAGACAAAGTTCCTATCACTGTGGTCCATTGTGCTCATTGAGATACACTTCTCGCTTGATGAATATTTTTAGCTATGGTCCAGCCAGGATTCAGCGAGACCTCTAGCATCACATGCAACTCAATGCTAGCCTGTCTCTTCTGTCCTGCTCTATTCCTGTCTATGTCACCCAGGATACCCACCAGGGCAGTTCATTCCAATGCGCCCTTACAAAGTGCTGTGAGTCATGCTGTTGAGAAGGGTGAGAGACTCACTTCCAAGGGAGTAAATGCATCAGGGAGGGCAAGACATTCTGCAACTGGCTACTGTAGCTATCCTTTCAAGTAATAATGGCGTCTCCCTGTACCTACTTCCCCCATGACCTGGTAACCATTAATATGACTATGACAAGAAAACATGACAAGCGTCAAGGTCTGATGGTTCTAACGCAGACAGGTCAGTTCATACACATCACCCCAGCATGTAACACCCATGAACCATATGACAAATACCCTCGTCTCTTCTTTTCACTTAGTGTAGCTCCTAATTTAAAGGATTATAGATTATATGTCACTAAACAATTTATTGGTACCTATATTCCAAACCCCATTTTAAGTGCTTTGCATGTATTAACTCATATAATTTTCAAGATAATAATTTCTATGTGTAGTTATCATACTTCTCCCCAATAATTAGATGAAGCACGTGAGACAGGCAGGTCAAGTGACTAGCTCAAGGTCACACAGAGTGTAAGTGGTAGAGCTGGAATACAAACTCAGGCAATTTGGCTCCAGCATCCATTATCCAAACTGCTTCATGACACTAAGGGTATATAGGGAGTTGTAAAGGGGACTCCTGTCTCAGAGGGGAGGCTGGACTAGAACTGTTAGGTTCCTTCCAGTTTGAAACTTCTGTGATTCCAAGAAGAAACATATTTTTCTTATACAAATGATCTTTTCCAACAATGCATATTATATGCTAACATACAATTTATAAAATTATAATTCATTTAGAAATTATTTTTGGCTCAATTGCTCAGGTATTCAATTTTTGCAGTGTTGCATATGTTTATATAATAATATTTGCATAGTATCACTTTGAGTTTCTACTTGCATGTTAAATTTTTAAATCTCATAATAAAATTCCTAGAGGGAATTATTTAACATACCTCTGAACATGTTTTCTCATGGACCCAGAAAAGTTAATATAAATTCAAAATCCAAAACGTTTTGAGCATCGACAAGATATGCAAAGGAAATGCTCATTGGAGTATTTTGTATTTCAGATTTTTGGATTTGGAATGCTCAACCAGTAAGTACAATGCAAATATTCCAAAATCTGAGAAAATCTGAAATTTGAAATACTTCTGTTTCCAAGCATTCTGAATAAGGGATACTTATCTTGTATTACTGTCCTTAACATTTTTTTATTCTTAGAGGAATAAAAAATAAGATATTTCAAGTACATGGATTTTCCAGATAAATTATTAGCTGCCCATTCAATCAAGCAAACTTAAAAAGTGTGGAAATTACTTTCCAGAAATGAAGCATATTCTTTTAAGTCTTCTTGGTATGACCTGAAGATAATTTTACTTTTCCATGATCATTTAGAATAATCACTATAACTATCAATGCTGAGCATATATCATAAATTTCCTGTCCCTTTCCTTAATGTCACTTGTATGCCACTGTTATTGCCATAGGTACCTCTAAGAGTAATTTATATCCATACAATACTCCTCTTGCTGCATTGCTATGAATTTAGAAACCTTATAACCAAGTTGGTTAGCAATGTAAAACAAGGTAGGAGTACACTATTTATAAGTGAGAACCACAGTCCTCAAAAAGTAAAGCACTTGCAATTTAGTACATGGATCCTAAGGCAACTGCTTTAACAACAAAACCTTTTTAATTTCTTTTTAGATTTTGATATAGTTTAGATATGTGTCCCTACCCAAATCTCATGGTGAATTTTAATTCCAAATGTTGGAGGTAGGGCCTGGTGGGAGGTAACTGGATCACGGTGATGAATTTCTCATGGATGGCTTAGCATAATCTTCTTGGTGCTGCTTAGCACAATCCTCTTGGTGCTGTTCTCATGACAGTAAGCAAGTTCTCATGAGATCTGGTCCTTTAAAAGTGTGTGGCACCTTCCCCTCGCTCTCTTGTTCCTGGTTTCACCATGTGATGTGCCTGCTCCCCCTTTGCCTTCCGCCATGATTGGAAGCTTCCTGAGGCCTCCCCAGAAGCAGATGCCACTATGCTTCCTATACAGCCTGCAGAACTGTGGGCCAATTAAACTTTTTTTATTTATAAATTACCAAGTCTATAGTATTTCTTCATAGGAATGCAAGAATGGCCTAATACAGGTTCTCGGCTATGTCCTAGGGAATTGAGGTCATGACAGATGAGTGACTCTCCCATACATTTTACAGCAACATAGGCAGTTGTAATTTTTACTACAGCAATGAGGCAGATAGGTATCTTATGTCAGATGCTGTGGTAAGTATATCACTGTGGTAAGTAAGTATATTATGACATTTTCTTTTGCCACAATTTTCTGAGGTAGGCATTACTGTCCCCATTTGTAGACAATCAGATCACAGAGTTAAAGTAACTTGCCCCAGACCAATCAAACCTTGATAGAGGCAAAATTCAAACCCAGGTCCCTCTCACCCAGCGTACCACTACATGGGGAGCAGGGGGAGGTTCATTTAAGGAAGAAAAAGGGGTTGCTAGATAACACCATTGTGGATCCAATCTAGCTTGTATAAGTCTTTCAAAAATGGTTCATATTTAAAAGTAGACATGACATCTAGGGTGCTATGATCGGACACCTGCAATCAGTCAATATTTCCTGAAAATCTATTACATGGATTTTTATAAGTATCTATTACAAGGGATTTCCCAGTCCCCTGAAATGAGCGCTACTTGCCACATGTAATGGTATAGGCTAACAATTATCCCCAGGCATATCAGGCTGTGCTAGGGGACACAAAAAAGAAAAGGAAATTGGGGCAGTGAACATCAGTGGTGCCAGAAGATGCTCCCTGACTATTCACTCTCATTTATTTTCCTGCTCCAAACAAGCTATAATCGATTTTGGAAACCCATTGGACAAAAAGAAATGTTTACAAGGATTTTTCTGGTTATATAGCTAACTCCTTTAGAAAAGAAAATATCCCTCAGGCCCTGGTAAGATTGGCTGCCCAAATCAAGAAAATCCTCTCAGTTACTACGCAGCTGTCAGTGCAAACAGGCACTTGTAGAAGCTGTTGGTCAAAACCCCCTCCGACACAGAAACAGTGTTTCAGAAATGCCTCTCTAGTTTACACATGTAGAAATGCCGTCACTGGTATAGATTCGGTTTCAGGGAAGAAAATAAGAAGTTTAATCACTGAGAAATTTCCCATCAAATCACAGAATCAGAAAATTAACTGTGAGATGGGAATGACCTTGGGGGTCACAGGGGCCATCTCATGATGAAGTATTCTGGGGAGGCACCTGTTCTTAGGGTGATGGATGGGCACCTCACACTCAGTGCCTGCAAGGGCTGGGCAAGGAAAGCAAGTTGAGGGACAGGCCAAGGGAGCAGCCCAGCCGCCGTGTTTGTCTCTATCTGACCACGCCTGCTGGGCACCATGGTGAGCCTGTGTCGAAAGGTCTCTCAGTTCTCAGAAGAAGGTGTAAATCCGAACTTTATAGATATCTCCATATTTTTAAATGGTGGAAAGGATCTGGGGGCTGCATGAGGACCCCAGGATGAAAGCTTCACCTCTGATTGGAAAAACAAGTGACTCAAGGTAAGTACAAAGCATTCTGACTGGTCATTTGGATGAAGCTAGGTTGACATGTGGAAATCTTAAGACATAAAAACTAAGTTATTGCAAATATTATTTTTTATCATAAATAGCGGATACACAGGCACAAAGTGAGGCTTGGGGATTATCTCAGTTCAGGCTGCTGTAGGGGAATACCATAGACTGGGTGGCTAAAGCAACAGAAATTTATTCTCTCACAGTTCTAGAGGCCAGAAGTCCAAAATCAAGGTGTCAGTAGGGCCATATTCCCTCCAATGCAGCGGGAACCTATCCCTTGTCTCCTGCAGCTTCTGGTGGCTGCTGCCTTCCTTGGCTTGTGGCTGCATCTCTCTCTCTCTCTCACATCTTCACATTGCATCCTCCTCTATGAATTCTGTGAGAGGATATATGCATTAAGGGACCATCTGGATAACTCAAGATAAACTCCTCCTTTAAGATCAATAATCAGAGTAAGATGGTGGAATACAAGGCTTTGCCGATTGTTCCCCCTACAAGGACACCAAGTTAACAACTTCATATACAGAAAAAAAAAACACCTTCATAAGTACCAAAAATCAGGGGAGTATTCACAGTACCTGATTGTAACTTCATATTGCTGAAAGAGGCACTGAAGAGATTTTTTTAAAAATCCTGAATCACTGACACCATCCCTCCCCTACCCCCAGCAGCAGCAGAGGCATGGTGCCAATAGCATCTCTTGGTGCTGGGGGAGGGAGAACACAGTGATTGTGAAGCATCAAATTCAGTGCTATCTTGATAGAGCAGAAAGGAAAACCGGACCAAACTCAGCTGCTGCCCACTCTGAGAGGGAGCATTTAAACCAGCCTCAGCCAGAGGGGAATCACAGATCCCAGCTGTTGGAACTTGAGTGCCTGCAAACCTTGCCACTGAGGGCCACATTGCTCCATGTCTCCGAGTAAACTTGAAAGGCAGTCTGGGCCATAAGGATTGCAACTTTTAGGTGAGTCCTGGTGCTGAACTAGGCCCACAGACAGTGGTCTGCTGGCGGGTGGGTGGGGCATGTGACTTTCTGA
The DNA here is from genome assembly GCF_000001405.40 of Homo sapiens. Taxonomy (NCBI): domain Eukaryota; kingdom Metazoa; phylum Chordata; class Mammalia; order Primates; family Hominidae; genus Homo; species Homo sapiens. Next base: position 133,031,621 of record NC_000002.12, read on the forward strand.
GATACCAGCTGGGGCAGCCAAGGGAGTGCTGGCATCACCCCTCCCCTACCCCAGCTGCACAGCTCACAGCTACAAAAGACACCCCTTCCTTCTACTTGAGGAGAGGAGAGGGAAGAGTAGGGAGGACTTTGTCTTGCATATTGGATACCGGCTGAGCCACAGCAGGATACGGCACTGGTCAGAGTCATGAGGCCCCACTTCAGGACCTAGTTCCCAGACCACATATCTAGAAACACTCTGGGCCAGGAAGGATCCCACTGCCTTGAAGAAAAGGACCCAGTCTTGGCAGCATTCCTCATTTGTTAACTGAAAAGTCCCTGGGTCCTGAATAACCAGCAGTGATGCCCAGGTACTATGTAGGTAAGGACCTTGGTGAGCCTCTGAGACTTGCTGACTTCAGGAGAAACTCAGTACCTTACCAGCTGTGGTGGCAAAGGGGCAAAACTCCTTCTGCTTGAGAAAAGCAGAAGGAAAAGTAAAAAGGGCTTTGTCTTGTACCTTAGGCACCAGCACAGCCACAGGGGAGAAAAGCACCAAGCAGGCTCTTGGGTTTCCCAGTTTTAGGACTTGACTCTTGGATGACATGTTTGGACCTTCCCAGAGGGAAGGGCAATGCCCTGAAGGGTAAGTCCCAGGCCAGGCAGCATTTACCAGAAGTTGACCTAAGAAACCTTGGGCCTTAAGGGAACATTTGCTAGTTTGGCAGTACTCCTCATGGCTTGGGATGGCAGTGGGTATGGGTGAGGCTCCTATGGATTTGGAAAGAAGAGGGAGGAATGAGAAGGACTAGGTCTTGTGGTCTGAGTGCCAGCTCAGCCACAGTACAATAGAACACCAGGTAGACTTCTAAGGTTTCTGATTCTAGTCCCTGACTCCCAGATGGCACTTATGGACCCACCTAGGGGCCTGGGGGACCTCACCACCCTGCAGGGAAAAACACAGGCCTGGATGGCTTTGCCACCTGCTTATTGTAGAGCCCCAAGGGCTTTGAGAAGATACAGGAAGTAGCCAGGGAGTGGTTACAGCAGGTCTCGGGCGAGACCCAGTGCTGTACTGGCTTCAGGTCTATATGAGTCTGTTCTCACAGTGCTATAAAAAAACCTGAGACTGGGTAATTTATGAAGAAAGGAGGTTTAATTGACTCACAGTTCTGCAGGTTGTACAGAAAGCATGGTTGGGGAGGCCTCAGGAAACTTACAATCATGGTAGAAAGGCAAAGGGGAAGCAAGCACCTTCTTCACATGGTGTACCAGTGGGGAGAGACAGAGCAAGCGAAGGGGGAAGTGCTACACGTTTTTAAACAACCAGATCTCATGAGAACTCACTATCATGAGAAGAGCAAGGGGAAAATCTGCCTCCATGATCCAATCACTTCCCACCAGCTCCTCCCACAACATTGGCAATTACGATTAGATATGAGATTTGGTTGAAGACACAGAGCCAAACAATATCAAAGTCTAACCTGCACAGTCTTAGTGGTGGTGGCCACTGAGGTGTGCTGGTATCACTCCACTCCCAGCTTTAGGTGGCTCAGAATAGAGAGAGATACTTTGTATGTTTAGGAGAAAGTAAGGGAAGAGAACAAGAGACTCTGCCTGGTAATACAGAGAATTTTCCTGGGTCTTAATTAAGACCATCAAGGTGGTACCTCTATGAGTCTGCAAGAACCACAGTGTAACTGGGCTTGGGGTGCCCCCAAAGGAAGATACAGCTTAGATCACAACACCGAAGTCCTTTCAAATATCAGGCAAGCCTTCCCTATAAGGATGACTACAAATAAGCCCAGACAGTAAAGACTAGAATGAATACCTAACTCTTCAATGCTCAGACATCAAAGAACACCTAGTAGGATCAACACCACCCAGGAAAGCATGACCTCACCAAATGAAATAAATAAGGAACCAGAGACCAAACTTGGAGAAACAGAGAGATGCGATCTTTCAGACCAAGAATTCAAAATAGCTGCGTTGAGGAAACTCAAAGAAATTCAAGATAACACATATAAGCAATTCAGAATTCTATCAGATAAATTTAGCAAAGAGATTGAAATAATTAAAAAGAATCAAGCACTAATTCTGGAGTTGAAAAATACAATTAGCATACTGAAGAACACATCAGAGTCCTTTAACAGCAGAATTGGTCAAGCAGAAGAAAGAACTAGTGAGCCTGAAGACAAGCTATTTGAAAATACAGTCAGTGGAGATGAAAGAAAAAAGAATAAAAAAACAATGAACCAGACCTATGGGATCTAGAAAATAGCCTCAAAAGAACAAATCTAAGAGTTACTGGCCTTAAAGAAGAGGTAGAAAAAGAGATAGGAGTAGAAAGTTTATTCAAAGGGATAACAGATAACTTCCCAAACCTAAAGAAATGTATCAGTATCCAAGTACAAGAAGGTTATAGAATACCAAGCAGATTTAACCCAAAGAAGACTACCTTAAGGCACTTAATAATAAAACTCTCTAAGGCCAAGGATAAAGAAAGGATCCTAAAAACAGCGAGAGAAAAGAAACAATTAACATAAGCTGAAGCTCTAATATGTCTGGCAACAGACTGTTCAGTGGAAACCTTACAGACCAGGAGAGAGTGAAATATTTAAAGTGCTGAAGGAAAAACACTTTTACCCTAGAATAGTATATCCATTGAAAATATCCTTCAAACACAAGGAAGAAATAAAGATGTTCCCAGACAAACAAATGCTGAGGGATCTCATCAATACCAGGCCTGTCCTACAAGAAATGCTAAAGAGAGTACTTCAGTCATAAAGAAAAGAACACTAATGAGCAATAAATAGTCATCTGAAGGTACAAAACTCAACATTTATAGTAAGCACACAGAAAAATACAGAATATTATAACCCTGTAACTCTGGTGTATAAACTACTCTTATTGTATGTAGAAAGACTAAATGATGAACTAATAAAAATAATAACTATAACACATTTTCAGGACATAGTACAATAAGATGTAAATAGAAACAAAAAAATTAAAAATGGGGGAACAAAGTTAAGGTGTAGAGTTTTTATTAATTTTCTTTTTCCTTGTTTGTTTATGCCAATAGTGTTAAGTTGTTATCAGGTTAAAGTAGTTGGTTATAAATAGTATTTGCAAACCCTATGGTAACCTCAAACTAAAAAACATACAATGAATACACAAAAACTAAAAAGCAAGAAACTAATTCAGATCACCAGAGAAAATTATTTTCATTACAGGAAGACAGAAATGAAAGAAAAAAGAGAAGACCATAAAACAACCAGATAACAAATAACAAAATGGCAGGCAAAGTCCTTACTTGTCAATAATAACACAATGTAAATGTACTATACTCTCCAATCAAAAGACATAGACTGGCTGAATAAACGAAAAAAGAAGACCCATTGATCTGTTGCCCACAAGAAACATATTTCATCTATAAAGACACACATGGACTGAAAATAAGGGATGGAAAAAGATATTCCATGCCAAAGGAAATCAAAAAAGAGCAGGAGTTGCTATACTTCTATCAAACAAATCATATTTTAAGACAAAAACTTTACAAAGAGACAAAAAAGTCACTGTATATGATAAAGGCATCAATTCAGCAAGAAAATATAACAATTTTAAATAAATATGCACACAACCCTGGAGTACCCAGATGTATAAAGGAAATATTATTGCAGCTAAAGAGAGGAATAGGCCCAATACAATAATAGCTGGAGATTGCAGGCCCCACTTTCAGCAATGGACAAATCTTTGAGACAGGAAGTCAACAAGAGAACATTAGACTTAATCTGTACTATCAACCAGATAGATCTAACAGATATTTACAGAATATTTCATCCAAGAGCTACAGAATACACATTGTTTTCCTTGGCACATGTATCACTCTCAAGGACAGCCCATATGTTACGTAACAAAACAAGTCTGAAAACACTCAAAAATTGAAATAATATCAAGCATCTTCTCTGACTACAATGGAATAAAACTTGAAATTAATAATGAGAGGAATTTTGGAAACTATACAAACACATGGGAATTAAACAATATGACCCATGGGATCACTGAAAGAATTCAAAAGAAGGAAGAATTCAAAAGAGGGAAGTTTATAGATATAAGTGGCTATGTCTAAAAAGAAAAAAAACTTCAAGTGAAAAATCTAATGATGCATCTTAAAAAACTAGAAAAGCAAGAACAAACCAAACTAAAATTAGTAGAAGAAAAGAAATAATGAAGATCGGAACAGAAATAAATGAAATTGAAAGAAAAATGCAAAGTATGAATGAAACAATAAGTTGGTTTTTTGGAAAGTTAAACAAAATTGACAAACCTTTAGCCAGACTAAGAACAAAAGAGAGAATATCCAAATAAATAAAATCAGAAATGATAAAAGAGACATTATAACTCATATTGCACGAATTTAAAGGATTATTAGGGGCTACTATGAGCAACTATATGTCAATAAATTGGAAAAATCTAGAAGAAATGGAAAAATTCCTAGATACATAGAACCAAGATTGAATGAGGAAAAAAATCCGAAACCTGAACAGACCAATAACAAATAACAAGATCGATGCCACAATAAAAATCTTCCCAGTAAAGAAGAACTTGGGACCCGATGGCTTCACTGCTAAAATCTACCAAATATTTAGTGAAGAACTAATAGCAATCCTACTCAAATGATTCTGAAAGATAGAAGAGGAGGGATTACTTCCAAACTCATTCTACAAGGTCTGTATTACCCTCATACAAAAACCAGAGAAACACACATCAAAAAAGACCACAAGCCAATATCTCTGATGAATATTGATGCAAAAATCCTTAACAAATTAGTAGCAAACTGAATTAAACAATACATTAGGAAATTCATTCATCATGACAAAGCTGTTTTTATCCCTGGGATGCAAGGATGGTTCAACATATGCAAATCAATTATGTGATTCACCATATCAACAGAACGAAGGATAAAAACCACATGATCATTTCAATTGATGCTGAAAAAGCATTTGATATAATTCGACATCACTTCATGATAAACACCCTAAAAAAACTAGGGATAGAAGGAACATACCTCAACATAATAAAAGCCATATATGACAGACCCACAGTTAGTATCATACTTAATGGAGTAAAACTAAAAGCCTTTCCTTTAATATCTGAAACATGACAAGGATACTCACTGCCACCGCTGTTATTCACCATAGTATTAGAAATCCTAGCTGGAGCAATCAGACAAGAGAAAAACATAATGGGCATCTAAACTGGAAAGGAAGAAGTCAAATTATCCTTGTTGGCAGATGATATGATCTTATATTTGGTAAAACCTAAAGGCTCCACAAGAACTCTATTAGAACTGATAAATTCAGTAAAGTTGCAGGATACAAAATCAACATGCAAAAATCAGTAGCATTTCTACATGCTAACAGTGAACAATGTGAAAAAGAAAAAATAATCACATTTACAACAGCCACACATAAAATTAAATAGGAATTAACCAAAGAAGTGCAAGAGCTCTATAATAAAAACTATAAAACACAATAAAAGTGATTGAAGAGGACATCAATAAATGGAATAACATTCCATGTTCATGGATTGAAAGAATCAATATCATTAAAATGTCCGTACTATCCAAAGGCATCTACAGATTCAATGCAATCCCTATCAAAATACCAATGACATTCTTCAAAGAAATAGAAAAAATCCTAAAATATATGTGGAACCACAAAAGATCCAGAATAGCCAAAGCTATCCTAAGCAGAAAGAACAAAACTATAGGAATCACATTACTTGACTTCAAATTATTCTACAGAGGTATAGTAAACAAAACAACATGGTACTGGCATAAAAACAGACACATAGACCAATGGAAGAGAACAGAAAATCTAGAAACAAATCCACACACCTACAGTGAACTCATTTGTGACAAAGGTGCTAAGAACATACACTGGGGAAAAAAACTGTGTCTTCAATAAATGGTACCGGTGAAACTGGACATCCAAATGCGGAAGAATGAAACTAGATTCCTATCTTTCACCATATACAGAAGTCAAATCAAAATGGATTAGAGACAAAACTCAAACTATGAAACTACTACAAGAAAATAAATATTGGGGAAAATCTCCAGGACATTGTTCTGGTCAAACAATTCTTGAGCAATACCCCATAAGCACAGGTTACCAAAGCAAAAATGGACAAATGGGATCACATCAAGTTCAAAAGCTTCTATACAGCAAAGGATACAATCAAGAAAGTGAAGAGACAATCCATGGAATGGGAGAAAATATCTACAAACTACCCCTCTGACAAGAGATTAATAACCAGAATATACTTGTCCCAGTTAAAATGGCTTACATCCAAAAGATAAGTAATAACAAACGCTGGTGAGGATGTCAACAAAAGAGAACCCTTGTAAACTGTTGGTGGGAATGTAAATTAGTACAACCACTAAGGAGAATAGTTTAGAGATGCCTCAAAAAAACTAAAAATTAAGCTACCATATGATCCAGCAATCTTACTGGTTGGTATACATCCAAAAGAAAGGAAATCAGTATATTGAAGAGATAGCTGCACTGTTGTGTTTGTTGTGGCACTGTTTATAATAGCTAAGATTTGGAAGGAACTGAAGTGTTCATCAACAGATGAATGGATACAGAAAACGTGGTACATGTACACAATGGAATACTATTCAGCCATAAAAAAGAATGAGATCCAGTCATTTGCAACAACGTGTATGGAACTGGAGATCATTATATTAGGTGAAATAAGCCAGGAACAGAAAGACAAACATCGCATGTTTTCACTTATTTGTCGGATCTAAAAATCAAAACAATTGAACTCATGGACATAGAGAGTAGAAGAATGATTATCAGAGGCTGGGAAGGGTATCAGGGCATTGGGAGGGTGGGGATGGTTAACATGGGTACAAAAGAAAATAGAAAGAATAAATAACATCTACTATTTGATAGCTCAACAGAAGGACTATAGTCAATAACTTAATTGCACATTTAAAAATAACCTGAAGAGTGTAACTGGATTGTTTATAACTCAAAGAATAAATGCTTCAGGAAATAGATACCTCATTCTCCATGACGTTTTTATTTCACATTGCATGCCTGTATCAAAACACTGCATGTAACCATAAATATTGATATATATATACCTACTATGTACCCAGAAAAATTAAAAAAAATAAATAAAATCAAAGGTTAAAAAAAGATCAATAATCAGGTCTTTTGCCATGTAGGTAATAGTCACAGGTTCTGAGTATTAGGGCATGACATGTTTTTTCTAAGAGCCGCCATACAACCCACTATAGATGGGGAACTGGGGAAGATAGCAGAGACTGCAAAAATGTCCAAAAACATTGCACACATCACAGGATCCCAGTTCTGGGAAACCTGGGGAGGCTTATACAATTTCAACAAATGAATTCAATGGGCAAGACAAGGATGTGGCCACCAACACCAGGGCACCAATGTGACTGGCTCTGGAGGAGAAGGTTTGAGCGGCTCCAGCATAGGAGTCCTACCCACATCCTATTTACGAGGGCCAGAGGAGCCCCACAGAAATAGGAGGACACAGAGTGATGGGTTTTTAAGTGTCTCAGCAATGGGTGTTAGATCACCTTGACTTCTAGGTAATAAGCCAAATGCAGGTGAAACCGATATTACTGACAAATACATTTGATAATCTATTACAAACTTCAATAGTTGGCCATGGGAGGTAATATTTTAGGTGATGATATATTGTAGAACAAATCAAGATAACTTCTAGTTTAGTTTAGCTAGTAAACTGGAAGTAAAGATTTATTTTAAGTCATTTGCAAACAACCATCAGCACATCCATGCAGCTTAAATTTCCTTTTAGGATCAGAGTCTTTGATCTTGAATTTGGAGCAATAGCCCAGAGGCCTTAAGATCTTTCACAACTAAATGCCACTACAATTGCTGCACACTCTATCATCTGGCAAGGTTTGGCCTAACCTAGGAGATCAAAGACCATGAGATTAGGAACACATTATCCTACAGCCTGTACATAAACACACTAAACTTTTGAGATTATAATGCTATGACATAAACCAACAGCCCCTCCAGGACCAGGTCTGGCCCATGTAGTGCTAAAGCCCCAGAACTTCTGGCTCTAGCCCCAGAACTTCTGATTCTGACTCAACAAGCACTCCCTAAGCAATTCTGCTGTAGGTGGCCCAGGAACCACACTCCGGAAAACACTACCCTAAGAGAGATGGGCATTAGAAAATTAAAAGAATTATTTTAACATATCTATGCATAACAGGGCAGTATTACATATTAATGAACCATAAAGTGAAGCTGTTGATCATATACATGAGCTCAAAGATTTTAAAAATATTTTAAACATATCCTTCATTTGGAAGATCAATGTTTTGATATTACTTTCTCCAAACACTGATTTTATATCCTGTATCACCTTTACTCAGAATTAACATCCTAAACATTTACAGAGGGAAGTATTTAAACTCCTTTATTCATTCAGAAGCACATCTAGCATGCCTTATTAACAGGACTGGAAATGGAGGAAAATGTGCTACAATATTCCTCAACCTTCAACTTCTATCTGATAAAAATTTATCTGCTAATCTCCAGCCTGTAACTTCTCCTTTCTCCTCCAACTAGACTGTCTAGTTCTTGCGCTTTTATATTAGGTTGGTGCAAAAGTAATCATGGTTTTTGCTATTAAAAGTAATGGCGAAAACCACGAATACTTTTGCAGTGACCTAATACTTCTCTAGTATTTCTTACATCCCACACCATGACGCAATTATCTGTGAATGTCATCTACCACATTGGACTACATTTTCTGGAATCAGAGACATGGCATTATCTGACCTTGGGCATGTCCTCAGCACACTGCTATAAACAAGGTTGGTATAAAATAAAAGTTTATTGAATTCAATGGAAAATATGTATGCTCTTTTTAATTCCAGGATAATTACATAATTCATTATATAGGTATACAGTTATATTTTAAAAATCTATTTACATCAACCAGTGTGGTTCTGATAAAAAACTGTTTTCAAAAATGAGAGGAAAAATAATAATGTATCCAACATATTGCAAACTTTTGAAAGAATAATGAAGGTTAAGGTAGAAGGGCATCTTATCTCAGGCATCTAGGCATAACTAGACAGCAATAAGAATGAGTTACTTTACAAAAGGGAATTGATTTAGATATATTTGAAACGGGAGGTTGTGCAGAGTTGGGCTGGTCTATATTTCAGACATGCAATACAGGCAGCATTATTGCTTGCATGCAATTTCTCTTCTTTCTCCAGGTCATGCAAAATTAATTAAAAGTTATTGAATTTTCTCCTGGATAATTTCTGGGCTGTTCATTCGAATTTGGAGTAGAAAGAGGTTCGGAATGGCCTGAGCGCAAATGACAAATGTTAGCTTATGCAGAAGCAACATCCTAAGAATAGTGATGATTTTGTAAAATACCCAAAAGGAGTTTTGCATACTTCGGAAGTTTTGCACATTTAATGGACTACAAATGTGTATTCCACATGGGGTGACAGTGAATTTTTGAACTGGAGATGCTCTTTGCCTCTCTCTGATATGCTTTGGAAGTAAAGCTGGGAAAAGAAAAGGAAAACTCTGTTAAAGTATAAGGAGTGCTGAGGACTCAGTATAGCATCTCTTTCACATACTTGACCTGGAAGTGAAAAATAAGCATGTCTTCTCTCTACAGGAAATCACAAAGCCAGACACTATAATGAACAAGGACTGAATGACTACTTCAGTTAGAATTCTGATGATGTTAATGTCAATAGGAGGAATTTCACAAGTAGTTTTCATTTGTTGCACGAATTTTGAGAATATTCATATCAGAAAATTGATTTCCTATTACCTATACAGATTCAAAAGACAGATACTTTGAATGATATATTTATACAAGAGAAATATGTAAAAATATTTGCATATAGCATTGATGTGGTCATTAGTCCAAGGTATATGAATTGGAATTTTCTTTCTTATCTGAGATGAGGTTTAACAGTTCAATTTCACAAAAGGTTGCCTTGCTTCGTCTGCCAAATGAACTCCTAAAAAATTATACGAGATGAAATACACACCTCAGGAAAGAATCATCTTGATTAAACATTTGACCAATGTACTCAACAGTGAACATACACAAGGTCCTTTGTTCTATATTGATTAAAAGTGCAAACATTGACTTTCTAACACCTTTAGCCACACAAGTAAAAAGGAAAGAAACAATGTACATTTTTTGTAAAATAAAGGAGGATGCTTAAATTTTGTTAGAATTATTTTTTTCTATCAAAAATTCTCAAATAGCATTATGCCTAGTATAATTTAAATTCTGTCAATGACAAACACACCAAAGAATACCATATTGCTGCTATGTGAGAATGCTATCTTGAATAGCATATCATTGATTTGTCCTATTTTTATGACATACTTGATGATTTGATTAATCATCTGAGGATTAAATATCATCAATTTTTATTATGCATGGATTTGACTGAGTTTTTATAATAGAAGACAAGTTTTTATTACAGAAGAAAATCATACAACTTAACTTTATGCTAAGCTGTTTTTCCACCAATTTCCAAGTTTCTATATATATTCAACAGCTTAAACACAGTGAAATGGCAAGGTATAGAAAGCACCCAGTCCAAAGTCTGGCAAGTGGAGTGGGCATTCAGTACTTCCTTGGTGCCTCACTGAGTAGCACTGAGTAGATACTGGTAAATAATGAAAATTATGTAGCCTGGGTGGGAGGATGTATGCAGCCAGCCAGGATTTCTTTTCTAGCCTACATGTTAATTGGTTTGAGATGTACTTCCAAAAGAAAGGTGAGCAGACAGTAAAACAATTTCTACATGAAGCCAAAGAATTTGTTTGTGAAAAATGAATAGAATTGTTATTTAAAATATCTATGATAGGTAATTGTATCTGACAAACTTAAACCTCTTTTAAAATTGCTCTATATTAACATGCCAAAATTTGTATTCATAATAGAAATAGCTACTCTATAAACTGATCTAGATGTTGTTTGTGTGTATGCACACACACGTGTGCTTTCTAAATTTCTCATAATTAAGGACTAATATTAATTAAGAATTAGATGACCTTACTGATTCAGCCATGTTTGGACAACTTGTCATTGGCATTATTTAATTTAACCCCCACTAAATAGAGGAGTAAAAATCAGCCATTTCTTTAAAGGTGGTCTTTTCTCTCTATTTCATCTTGTGTCATTGCTCTTTTGTATTGGAGAAACCCTAGATTGTACACAGATATAAATAATTTTATATGATTATCAAATATGTCAAAAAATTCTGAAGAATTTCATCTGATAGTTGCAAGGTTATTTTTTTCAATGACCTCAAATTAAGGTCCTGAGAGGACCAAGACCTGGGATTTGCTTCCACATTAACCACACAGAAAGACCTGCCTTCCAGTGGGTGGGGCTTCCCACTTGAAGTCCACCTGGTTTGGACAAAGAATTCTAGAGAACCCTGACAATGCTCCTGTTGGGTTCAACATTTTATGCCACAAATTATTCTGTGAAAAAGAGCAGTTTTCTATAGAACTAATGTAACTCTAGGCAGAAATATAGATTTAGAAGAGTTTAAAAATACCCAAGTTAATTCAGTGCCAAGTACTTATACTCCTGTTTGCCCATCCCATAATCACACTCTCCCTTCTTTATAAATTAATAAATTATGCATAGGGTCAAACATGTTCTTGAACTTCTCTAGTACTTACAGACTAAAAAGTACAATTAAACAGAAATAAAATTTGCCTGAACGTATTCTTTAATTCAGGGGTTTCCAATCTTTGGCTTCCTTGGGCCACAGTGGAAGAAGAAAAATTGTCTTGGACCACACATAAAATACACTAACACTAATGATAGCTGATGAGCTAAAAAAAATTGCAAAAAAAACTCATTATGTTTTAAGAAAGCTTACAAATTTGTACTGGGCCATATTCAAAACCATCCTGGGTCACATGCAGCCCAAGGGCCACAGGTTAGACAAGCTTGCTCTAATTGTTTCATAAGAGTTAACATTGAATACCTAGAAAGATTAACTCCTTTAAGCTTCTCACAGGATGCCTAGCTCAGACTAAGTACGTAATAAATGCTTGTTCCTTGCTTTTCCCCATCCGTCATGAGGGCAGAGACTTTGTTTCATACTTTATTCTCTTATTGAACTCCCTGCACTGTTTCCAGTTCAATGCTGATCACACAGCTTGGAATTCTGTAATAGTTTTTTTTTTTTTTTGATTGACTAAAAGATAGACTGATTCAGTGATACTGATAGTACAGCAGTATGCTTAAAATAATAAAGGTGTAGTTCCTCACAAATGGAATATTAAATCTCATTAAGGATTCAGATGCTACAGAAGGAAGAGCCCAAAAACAGACCCACATACATCTGAAAACTTGATATGTGATGTAATTGGCATTGCAGACCAATAGGAAAAAGATAGGCTGCCCAGTAAATGGGGCTGGTAAATTGTTTATTCACAAATATATAAAAAGTTCAATGCTTACAGTACAGGATATTTTTATGAATCTAAGGTTGTAAATATTCCTTAAGCAGAATCGCAGAAGTACAAATAGCAAAGGAAAAGTCTGATAAACACAACTGCATTAAAATAAAATATTCTGTTCATCGAAAGACGCAAATAAAAACATCAAAAATGCAAGACACAAAGTGAAAGAAGATAGTTGCAATGCATATAACCAAAAAAGGACTGGTATCCCATACATCAATAAGAACCCAACAAACAATCCAAGGAAAATATAAGAAAAACACATGAACGGGCACCTCAAAGAAGAGGTACTTTAAATAAAGGGCCCATAAACATGTAATAAGATGGTCAGCTCCATTTAATGTGTAAATTCTAATAAAAACCACAATGATATCATGTCACAAACAATAGATGGACCAAAAAAAATTAAGTCTGGCAAAATCAAAACTTGGCAGGATGTGGCACTCTGGGAATGTTTAAGCAATCCTAGTAGGAGTATAAATCGGTGCAACCATTCTGGAGAGAAATTTAATAAGACCTAGTAAAGTTGAAAATGAGCCAACAACCCAGCAATTTCACTCCTACTTATTTATATGTCCCTGGAGAAGCTCTTACACATGCGCTTAAGGAGACATGACCAAGACAGTTCTTCGGACCAGGCATGTTGGCACATGCCTGTAATCTAATCCCAGCACTTTGGGAGGCCGAGGTAGGAAGATCACTTGAGCACAGGAACAAAATGTCACCCCATCTCTACAAAAAATGGAAAAGTTAGCTGAGTGTGTTGGTGTACATCTGTAGTACCACCTACTTGAGAGGCTGAGGCAGGAGGATTGCCTGAGCCCATGAGTTCCAGGCTGAAGTGAGCTAAGAAGGCACCACTACACCCAGCCTGGGAAACAAAGCAAGGCTCTGTAGAAAGAAGAAAAAAAAAAGAAAGAAAAGAAAAAAAAAGAGGAGAGATAAGAAAAGAGAAAATGAGAAAAGAAAGATCTTAGCAGCACTGTTTGTAAGAGCCACAAAGAAATGATAAACAACTGAAGATTATTCACATGATGGAACAATGCACAGCACAGAAAAAATGTGCTATCTCCATAAACTTCACACACAGGGTCCAGCCAGAAAGAGAGGAACAGAGGAATACATACAGTATGTTATCAGTTTATGATGTTTTATAAATGAAAAACAATACTATGTATAGACTTGAGACCCATGAAAATGTTAAAAAGTATATATATCTATATCTATCTATATATATATACATAATTAAGAGAGACTGAATTTAAGATTAGATTAACTCTGAGACTGAAAGGAGGAAAATCAGATCAAAGAGAAACATGAAGGTGGCCATATTTCTATTTGTAATATTCCATTTCTTAATCTAGATGTTGCGAAGACAAGGGTTCTTTCCATTAGTCTTCTTTTATTTATAGGGGATGCATTCCAAGGTGCCCAGGGGATGCCTGAAATAGTGAATAGTATGAGACCCTCTGTATGCTAAGTTTTTTCTACATACACTTATTTTTGTGATAAAGTTTAACTTACAAATAAGGCACAGTAAGAGATTAACAATAATTAATAATAAACTAGAACCATTATAACATTCTGTAATAAAAGTTATGTGACTGTAGTCTCTCTCTCAAAATATCTTATTGCACTGGACTCACCCTTCTTCTTGTGATGATGTGAGATGACAAAATGCATTTGCGATGAGATGAAGAGAGGTGAATGACACAGCCGTTGTGATGTAGTGTTAGGCCACTATCAACCTTGAACACAAGCACTGAAATACTGGATGCCATGACAGTTGATTTGATAAGCACGTGGCTATGCAATGACTAACAGGTGGGTAGCGTCTACAGTGTAGATATGCTGGACAAAGGGATGATTCACATCTCAGGCTGGACGGAGCAGGTTGGTGAGAAATCTCATCAAGCTCCTCAGAAGAGTGCCATTTAAAACTGATGAGTTGTTTACTTCTAAATTTTTCCATTTAATATTTTTGGACCATGGTTGTCTGTGGGTAGTTGGAATCTTGGAAAGTGAAACTACAGATAAGGAGGCATGGCTGTATATTTAGTCTTCATACAACATGCACAGAAATATTTAATTTTTCAAAATTTCTGCATTCCAAAAACTCAAATATATTTTAGTTTTGCTTAACTGAAAATTCTAAAATAGTTTTAAATTCTTGAAACAAATAGCTCAAAAGGAGAGTCCCTCCAATTCAGATTTTTATTGTTATTTATTATTTATTTATTTTGAGACAGAGTCTCCCTCTGTCCCCAGGCTGGAGTGGAGTGGTGTGATCATGGCTCACTACACCCTCGACCTCTCCAGCTCAAGTGATCCTCCGACCTTAGCCTTCCAAGTAGCTGGGACTACAGGCAAGTGCCACCATGCCTGGTTAATTTTTTAATTTTTTATAGAGACAGTACCTCTCTATGTTGCCCAGGTTGGTCTCAAAATCCTGGGCTCATGCAATTCTCTCACCTCGGCATCCCAAAGTGCTGGGATTACATGCATGAGCCACTGCACTTGGCCCAGATGAAGTTTCATATTTCACTAAAGAGAAACTACCTAGCTTCTAAGAAATCATTGAAAAACCATATAAGGCAATAGGCAAAGCATTGCCAATTACGTAGATGATTTTAGAAAAAGAAAAAAGGAATGTCTAGAAAGGAAAAGATTAGCATAAGGGTTCTTCAGAAGGGAAGAAACATAAGGGGTCGAGAGAACAGGTTGCAATTTTCGTTGGAGTTAGTGTATCCAGACATCCTTGAACCTGCCTTTCCTGTCGTTGGTTCTATCTCCACAATCCAAGTAAATTGGCAGGTTGGCTTATCAAAACAATGCATACAAAAAATATTTCAGAGTGATTTGCCCTTGTTTCCTTCTTTGATCACAGAAACCCACTTAAAGAGCACTATTCCACACATACCTTAGTAAATTCAATGACATTTTTTTCTGGCTGCTTCAGCTGCCATGATGATTGCAAACTGTACACTGCCCTCACCACGCAGACTACTTTTCATGCCTGCTATGTGAACACAAAGCTTTGTTTTTTTTCCAGTCCCAAGTCCCTTATTCAGGACCAAATTACAAACAATGCTGTGTTAGACACTTTTCAGAAACCTCTGGATAAACGAGTCTCAGCAGCCCCCTGGGCTCGACCCCACAGAATGTAATGCCTGCTCATGCCCAAACCACTGCTTCCTTGTGAGCTTTGAATAGTCATTAACGTTGCCAAGACTGGCAATCATCCTTAAAAGTCTTCCTATGAAGGGAATCTAATTTGTATATGTCTGAAAAAGACAATGAAAGAAAACATGCTGGACTATGAACTCTCAAGGTATTTGTTCCTCTGGCTAACTGAAATGAGAAACTTTTGAAAATATATGCTATCATTTTTTGAAAATAATGATTGTGACTTTAAACCTGAAAAGCCTCATCTGTCCCACCTCCTCCTAATTGCCTGGATGATAATGATGTAAATGCAGTTATAATTACAAAGAACTTCAATTCAATTTAATTTTAATTGTTTAAAATTTGTAAACACTCCAGAAAAACCTCATTAAGCTGGCTGAACTAGCTTGTTTTCAAGAGGGAACAGGGAGTCAACATTCACAGTTATTCATATTACAACATCCATTCACTTACACTAACCATTCTGATTAACCAGTAATCACACACATTTGGAGCAAGCAGCACTGGCAAAGCTTGTTACAGCTTTTAAAAAATGCTTTGCAAGGTTGCATATATAAAATGAAGCCCCACATTCAAAAGCAGAACTTTGGCATGCATGCACATTGAAGAAGGGAGAGGAAAATCCTCACAAAATGCATGCATCAAAAAGTTTATACTTCTAAAACTGAGGTCTTAGAATCCCGAAAGATTCAGGTTCATGTCTCCTTTTAGTATGAGATGATGTGGTCTGCATACCTTCCACAGTGTCTCACTGTGGTGTGAGTTTCACAGTCAAAGGAGGACGGCCTAAGTCCTTTGCACAAAGTACATCTTTATAACCAATTGCCCTGTAAGCGTAGCAGTGAAAAGAGCACTGGATTGGACTGGGGGAACCTGGCACATAAAATTCACTACTTGTGGGAACTGGGGTACATGTTCTAGCCTCTCTAAATTGGTTTTCTTAGTAAGATAAGCCAAACCTGAAGAGCTACTGCACAGAGTTTTGGGGACAATTAAATGTGCCTGGCATATAGAAGGTATGCAGTATATGTAGTTCATAGTATCCAAAAGGCTGAAACAAAAAGGGTTCACCTTTGGTTACCTTCTGCATAATTACTAACATTCTAGTGATTGATGATTGAATATATTTTAGCTGAAATCTTAAGTTTTCAGAACTCATCACCAATGGTTTATAATGGATACTTGTTTGTATCATGTGAAGGCCATATGTGGATAATTTTTAGAATTAACAAAATGTTGTCTTATGTCACAATTCTCTGAACTGTATGAGGGTTTATTGGACAAATTAAAATTCAATCTAGTAATATACCACTCATATTGTCACATTTTACCAGACATGTTTTCCTCTGTTATTGAAATTTTAGCACTTCCTGCAGATATTTGGAATAGAAATAGAATAACGACAATTGTTATTACTACTCATTTTTACAAAGGGCTTTTCAATTTCTAAGATGATTTTAATATACATTGTTTTGGCTTGTCCCTATAGCTTGCAGATTTGGTCCCAACACTCACAGTGACTAACAATGTTCAGAGCAGTGTAATCATTGGATAAAAGCAGCAGAGGCCTAAGGGCAGGGGTCAGACTTTGAACCCTTGCTTTCTGGTCTCAAATCTCATGCTCTTTTCTGGATGTTGAATTCTCCCATAAACACACTACGATCAACCAGAACTCCACTTCCATTCATTTATAAGAGTTAAAAAAGTGAAGCCTCCATTATCATCTGAAGTGTAAAGAGACATCAGATTTCAAAATGATGGCAACAGGGAAGAGCCCTTGCCAAACTAACTATTATTTTAACAACTAAATGACTGTGTAATCACTGTACTTGCTGCAAAAACACTGAATTGAGGTTTCCATTTGGGTGTTTGTATGTTCTCAAGTCCAGCAAACAGAGCTCTGAAGAATGTGAGCACAGGCTGCCTGGGCACGGTGGCTCACACCTGTAATCCCAACACTTTGGGAAGCCTAGGCGGGTGGATCCCGAGGTCAGGAGATTGAGAGCATCCTGGCTAACACAGTGAAACCCCGTCTCTACTAAAATACAAAAAAATTAGCCAGGCGTGGTGGCAGGCGCCTGTAGTCACAGCTACTTAGGAGGCTGAGGCAGGAGAATGGTGTGAACCTGGAAGGCAGAGCTTGCGGTGAGCCGAGATCACACCAATGCACTCAAGCCTGGGCGACAGAGTGAGACTCTGTCTCAAAAAAAAAAAAAAAAAAAAAAAGAATGGGCACACAGGCAAGTTTTTCACAGTACACCTAAGCAGTCAGTGATCATGGGGTATAAGTGGTAGAAAATACTAACTGGTTTATTTCATTTCCCTTAGGAACAAATTCATACAGTGTAACCCAGCCAAGAGATTCCCAGAGATTCTCATCCTGCTCATCTCCGTCACCAAGACGTGTGCTTGTGACTCCAGTGCTCCAGCATGCGATTGTCACTCAACCTAAATCCCAGGTCATCTTTCAAAATCTGAGCCAAGGAAGCCTTACCATGAACACTGAACATCAACCATGCCTAATTCCCTGGCCTAGTGCTAGAGCCAAAAGGTGTATGAACCTGGTTCCAAGAAGTTCCAAAGGAATGGGGACAAAGGAGACATTCATAAATACATAACTGTCAGTTTGGCCCACTGTGCTAAGGCACAATAAGAAAAGTGAGATAATACATCCTTTTGAGTGGAAGGGAGGTGGTCATCACCTACCATGCTGGCCTTTCCCTTTTCTAACCACCCATTGTTCTTCCTGGTAATACAATTTAGCACCTGCTGGGTTTCTTACAACTCCTCCCATGTTCTTTCTATATCTGTAGTCAAAGTGTAAGCCACTTGAGGATACAGATGTGTGTCATTCTTCTCCAGGATTCCCCAAAACACTTGGCATAGTCTTAGTTACAAAACCAGGGCTCCATAGAGACATATTAACTGACTGTGTATAGAAGATTCAGTGGGTGGGAAGGGGAAAAGACTAAAAACAAAAAAAAAATGGGGGAGAAAACAACCCTGTTGGAAAAGGAATGACTAGGAATGGTATCTTGGTGAGGGAAAAAGAGATGGTTTTATGTTAGGGGAGTTTATTTAGGTAGGAAAAAAAATGAGTAAACTTTGCACGATTTGAAATCTGCATTCCACTGGCTAATATAAAGTAATCTTTCCTGTTTGTAAAATGAAAACCATGAAAAGATGATAACACACTTTGTACTAAATCTACTTGGGGAAGGAACAACAACATTTTCTCCCTTTGCTCAGTTCAGCCTGGAATATAATAGATGAAATTGTAATTCAGAGCACATTATCAATGCTGCTATTTATTTTCTGAAACATTAGTCTAGGTATATTTTTCTACATTTTTATATCAAAATATGCCCCTTAAGATTCAGACATACATTCTCAAGGGAGCTGGTCTACACCAGTTTTGTAAAATGTTGACTAACTATTTGAGTGATGAACTGAATAAAAGGTCACTTACTTTCTTCATTTATCACCCAACAGCCTTTGATGGTTGAAAATATTTGTTAACCTTTCTTTGTCTCGATTTTATCACCAAAAAGAAAGAGGGATAAAAGTGCTTGCTTTGAAGTATATGCGCGACTGAACGCATGTGTGAAATTCTTTGAGATTCTCAGATGGAAGTGCTGTTGGAATCATTAAAATTTAGAGAACTTTAGGAATTTGAATCCTTTAATACTCTGAAGGTAAAGTAATCAGATTAATGGATTTTTTTTCTTAATCTTGTCAAGAGTATGGGTTGTTCAAGATCAGATGTTTTTCACTTCTCTACTGAAGAAAACTGACTTGAGGCTTGGAGTAGAGAAATAAAAGCCAACTTCCTAATTATTCCCTCTGTGTGGTCCTCAGAGACTACTGCTGATCTGGGGTTAAACTTATTCTTTAACTAATTAAACTCTTTTTCTTTAATTAAGCAGCCCTAACGACCTTACTTTGTAGACAGCTGGCTTCATTACAAGCAGAGTAACTTTCTTATACTGAACACAAAGTAGGTGAGGAATAACCAAAAAGGTCTTAGAAAATTACTTTTACCAGAAATTATTTTTCATCTCATTTTGCCAGATGAAACATTTAGTTAAAGGGTTGCTATTGAGCAACATGAAAGGAACGTGGGCTGGAACAGTCCCAAGATTCACTTGGTCAAAATTAAAGCAGGTGCTGGGCTCCACAAGTCCTGGGTACCACGGAAGGCAGGCGGTTTGCTAGCATTCACAGGATGCCGAACCCAGGCCTGCAACGAGTTTTCATGCTGAGCACCTCAAAGCACCAACAGAGACAGGATATGTGGATTAAAGCCCATGAAAAAATAACCAATAATTTATTTTCCAATGCACTGTGAATATTTAAAAGAATAAAATCATCTGCTATGCCTAAGGTGATTTATGTTTTAAGATATTCAAATATATCTCCCATAAGTTACTATCAAAAATGTTTAAGCATGGGTTCTAGAAAATGGTAGGCTCTCAATACATATATGTAGAATGCTTCATAGATGAAAATGGTTAAAAGATAACTTATTGATCTGATTCAATACCCTCCATTTGTAGATGAGAGAAGTGAGGTCTAGAGAGATTAAATGAAATCTCCAAGCTGACACATGTATTTTTTTCAATAAACCTTTACTGACAGCCTACAGAGTACCAAGAATCATACTAAAACTGGGACTACAATGATGAACAAACTGCACTTTCTCTGTGCCTACTAGCTACCTCTCCTAGAATATTTGTAACAAAACATTTGTCATTGGTTGTCATTGGCAGTACAAGTTAAATTTCTTGGTTTACAAGTTAGAGCTTCAGAAAACCTTGCTTTTACTTTTCATCAATGACAAAATAAACACACCATTAATCCAAATCCACCTCTGTGCCATCTACAGTAGCCAAATTAGGAAACCACGGACTATCATCACGTAACAGAACTCATACTCTGATCTGGAGCTAGTCCGCAGCTACCAAGACATTCTGACACCAAAGCTGATAGTGGGCAATGAATGCAGGGATAAAGGGTTGGTTTTCTACCTTTCTAGAGAAGTATATTAAGGTGGAGGCAGGAGATGGGCAAAGAGTATGAAAACTGGAGAGTTTGGGCCGGGCACGGTGGCTCACGCCTGTAATTCCAGCTCTTTGGGAGGCCAAGGCAGGCAGATCACCTGAGGTCAGGAGTTTGAGACCAGCCTGGCCAAAATGGCGAAAACTCATCTCTACTAAAAGTACAAAAATTAGTTGGGTGTGGTGGTGGGCACCTGTAATCCCAGATACCCAAGAGACTCAGGCAGGAGAATCGCTTGAACCCGGGAGGCAGAGGTTGCAGTGAGATGAGATTGTGCCACTGCACTCCAGCCTGGGCGACAAAAGAGAAACTCTGTCACAAAAAAAAAAAAAAGGAAAGTTCGATGTAAAAAACAAGTATATTTAATCTCAGTATGAAAAAGGTCTCTTTTCTTCCTTGAATTGATAAACAATTGTTTATCAACAATAGAATATTTGTTCAACTAATGTAGAACATTCAACAAATAGAATAATTACATTAAAGTAGTCTCTTTTGAAGGGTAAAAGAAAATTCTAAGAAAGCAGTAATTAAACAGAATGGTAGGGAGAAAACAAAATAAAAAAATACTCCTAATGTTTTGGCATCCTCCTTGGGATGGCATGAGAGGGGGAGATAAAAAACATAGAAAAGTGGGAGGAAAAAAAGCACAGTCTGGAGGTATATTTTAGTTCCCAATTGCCTGAGCTATAACATTCAGAGTGATAAAACCAAGTACCTGCTGCCCCTCCTGCCCTTCATTTGGTTAGCTGGTAAACCATTCTTCACAGCTTTTTGTCTGCTCAGATCCTTGAAGATTCTTTATTCGAGAGCAGTCAGGTCTAACAACCATTCCTCCAATAGCTTTAGTTTTCATGATTAGAATAACACTGTCCAGAAAGAAAGATGCTGTCTCCTGGAGGAGGGATTTGACTCCTGGCTGGAAGTTTGCCATCTCTGGTCTTGTTTTATCCAAGATCCTCAAGAAAATCAAAGTCTTTGGTCTAGTGGTAAATGGTAACTAGCATTCCAGGGACGTGCTTGCTATCTACTTGCGAACTATCCTAATCACAACTCTACTTCCAGACTCTTTATTTTACAATTAAATGCTTCCTTCTGAAATATAGCTTGGCTAAAGAAATGCAATTTTAATTGTATGACTTTGTAAAGCGACCTTCAAAAATTCAAAGGTTAACTTTCTTTACTTTCTGAATCCTACTGTGCCATGCATGGCCATGCAAATCAGCACTAGTCTAATCTGTTTCCCTTACCATTGCTACTCTCTTTCGCTAATTTCCACTTTATTTTTTCAAGTCCAAGTTGCTTACAGGGTAAGATTTCAAAGCAAGCTCCGGTTCCTGGTGTCTCTGCATAACTTTGGTTTTAGTTACTAAGGAAACACTTCTTTGCTGTGCTACACTGTAAATCCTTTAATTCTCCCTTTTCCTAATTCTTAAGTAATCCATTTAAACTGCAAAAGCAAATACTATGAGAGCATTTCATAAAACACACTGCATGCAATCCAATAAACAAGAAATCATATATAATTTAACTTCAAAATTTCATATTAATTGCCATTAGAAATTCAAATTCAAGTACTGTATGCAGGGTAAATAGATGAATAGATGCAGTGTATGATGGATGAAGCCAGCCCATGTTCCATAATTCTATGGTGTTTATCAGTATCAAGGAAGATGGCAAAGGCAAGTCAGAGGCTGGTACAAAATTTAAGGCTAAAAGTATCTAAGCTTGCAAGAAAAAGCAGGCGATATCTAATTATACACTAATTCTAAAATGCTTTGTTCCAAAGTGTTTACCCAGAAACTCAATTATTCCTTCCACAAACATTGATGGAGATCACACCTTGTTTAATAAAGTATTAGCAATATGATGGTATGTTACCTCCCCACCCCAGTAGGGAGAGAACCTGTACAGAAATAACCATAGAACAAAGCCAAATATGCTAAGGACTAAAGAAAGGCACAACGTTCTATGAGAGATCTATCAGAGAGGGGTTTACTGCTGGCTGAGGTGTTAGAGAAGCTCTAATGTAGAGACAAACATTCCTGCTGGGCCCTGTTAGCACTGCAACATGCCAAGAGGGAGCCTGGGAGAAGAACATGCATTCCAAGGAACCGTGTGAGCACTTGGTTTGCCTCTGAGTGTTTTTAAAGAATGTCAAGCTGGCTAATGTCCTAGGGGAGGTAGATGGAGTGAAGTCACAACTAGGCCAAGGAATTTGAGTTCTGAAATTAATCTACTGGTGACGAAGAGAATTTAAAGAGCTTTTAGTGGGGTTAGAAATACTAAAAAGTGCAAAGAGGAAATTCAGAACTAGAAAGTAAAGTATCCTCACATGGTAGAATGACATATGCCCACTCTTATCAAATCCAGTTTGAAATTTTCTTGGCAATCAGATGTCCAGGGGGCCACCGTGGTTCATTGTTCAGGAAAATCACGAGTCATATGCTGACATTTATTAGAGTTTTGACCTATAAGCAGGTAGGCACTATTGCTCCATCAAACAAAATGAAAACCCTGATGAAAAGTGGCTACAAAACAGCCTAGCAAAAATCTCAAATTTACACATATCTGTATAAGGCCTCACAGTTGTCTATTGATATAACTCTTGAAAGTCTATTTTGAACATTCTGCATTTTCTTGACTCAACCATTATAATTCAGAAAATTAAATGGGGAGAAAGGAGTGAGTAGTGGTGGTATCACAAAGGAACAAACTAGAGAAAGGTGTTGTTCTCTAAGAGTCTTGAGTTGATACTAAAATTAGGGCGTATACTAGTATACTGATCCAAGAGTCAAGGGAGAACTGTAGTCCAATCAGCCAAAAAGGAAATCTGAGTGAATCATCCAAAAAACAAAAAAAGAATAGAAAACAGGTATCAAAAGTGATACACCGAGCCAAGAATTAGGGTTCCTGGAAGAGAAGTAGGAAGGAGCTGAGAACAGAGAGTGAGTTCTAGTTTTAAATAACAATCTGAAGCAGTTCATTTTTATCTTAAAGTATGGAATCAAATAGGTCAGCCACCTTGAAAACGCCAGAAGATGGTGTGCTGCGAGATATCAGTTTAGATAAACTGTATATATATATATATATAGTTTATATATATATGAATAGTTTATATATATATGAAAGAACTAATACCAGGAAAGAATAAATAAGCTATTTTATATAGATTTCAACAAAAATTATTAATGTCAAAATAAAGCAATATAACAATATAGACATAATGGGTATAGCCAATTTAAGCTCTGAAATGCACACACAGAGGATGAAATGAGAATGTTGGGCATCATTTGTTGCATTATTTGATCTATCTACTAGTTATTTTGTCTCCACATCTCATTATAATAGCCAGATGCAGAGCTGTAGGAAAACATGACTCCCAGCAATGGCACCTGTCCTTTTGGTGAGTAATTCAAAAATAAAACTGGTCTTTTTGGAGAGATCTCTGAATTTTCCATCTGGCCAGGCTGCTCCTGAGCTTTGCCTGCCTTGCTTAGAGGGTGTTTATTTTATCATGAGCTTTAATTATGGGAACAATAAATGCTTTCTTCTTAAAATTACTTACAAGAGTTATTAAAAGAATATTACAAGAGAGGGAGAGGCACACACTTATCCCTGTGCCAATGTTTCCATCTGTCCCTCCTCTCCCTACTTTCCTCAACATTAACTTGTAGGTCAGGCAGGAAAGTTATATGATTGAATATTCCGTCTGATGTGGATTATTTTGTCTGTACCACTTTCTCGATGACCTGCTCAACTGAAATGCTTGTTTCTTTTATGCCTATCCAGAACATCTCTGTCCCCTAGTGTCCAGGTCAACTCTGGATTCTGCCTGAAAACTTTCCCCAAAGCTGTATCCTCTTCCTAAATTCCAACATTCATCATCCCTATTTTAACAATTTACCTTTCCTTATAATCCAACATATTATTAGTTTCAAATGATCTTATTATATAGTTCCATATTTTTCTATTGCTCTCCACTGCACCCAGAATGGTATATAATAGTTATTTAATAATATTTACTAATAAATTGTAAAATTTCTTCTTTAAAACATTAAGAGTCAAGTTTTTAAAATGCTGATTTGCTTCTCTTACTGCAAAATCTTAAAGTGTCTGTCTTCACTAATTTTCATTTTCAGAGGAGACCTGTGCCAATTACACATGAAATGCTAAATAAAGCTAGATGCAGGACTGTGCTAAATACGACCAGGATAGTTAAAGGCTACATGGGCTTCTTTTATTCTTTAAACCAACAAGTATTTATTAAACACATATTATCAATGACAAGCAGGAAATCTTTTCCTTGGATTTTTAAGTTACAAGTACTATATGGGAGTGCACATTTGATACCGTCATAACTTTTTTGAAGACAGATCATTCAGGCAATTTTGTTTGAAAATTTTTGTCAATTACACTTAGATCTGTAGCTCCAAAGTTGAAGCACGCAACCATGCCCTGTTTTAGTGTACATCATTTTATTGTGCTTTGCAGATTTTTTTTTAAACAAATCAATGGTTTGTGGCAACTGCATTGATAAAGTGTAGTAGCACTATTTTTCCAACAGCATGTACTCACTTCATTGCTCTGTCACATTTTGGTCATTCGTGCAATATTTCAAACTTTTTCATTTTTAGTACATCTGCTATGGTTAACTGTGATCAGTGATCTTTGATGTGACTATTGTCATTATTTTGGAACACCACAAATCGTGCCCATATAAGACAGCTAATTTAATCAATAAACGTGTGTTCTGACTGCTCCACCAATTGGTCATTTCCCTGATTCCCCTATCTCTCTCTCCTCAGGCCTCCCAATTAATTGAGACATAATATTAAAATAAGGTCAATTAATAACCCTACAATAGCCTCTAGGTCTTCAAGTGAAATGAAGAGTCACAGGTCTCTCACTTTAAATCAAAAGCTAGAAATAATTAATCTTAGTGAGGAAGGCCTGTTGAAAGCCAAGACAGGCCGAAAGCTAGGCCTCTTGCACCAAACAGGTAGCCAAGTTGTGAATGCAAAGGAAAAACACTTGAAGGAAATTAGAAGTACTACTTCAGTGAACACATGAATGGTAAGGAAGCAGAACAGCCTTACTGCTGATATGGAGAAAGTCTGAGTGGTCTGTATAGAGGACAAAGCAGCTACAATATCCCCTTAAGCCAAAGCCTAGCCTGCAGCAAGACCTTAACTCTCTTCAATTCTATGAAGCCTGAGAGAGGTGAAGAAGTTGCAGAAGAAAAGTTTGAAGCTGGCATAGAGTAGTTCATGAGGTTTAAGGAAAGATGCCAATACCATAACACGAAAATGCAAGGTGAAGCACCAAGTGCTTTAGGTGCTTTTATATGAAAAACTACAGCAAGTTATTCAGAAGATGTAGCTCAAATAACAGATAAAGATGACTACACTAAACAATAGATTTTTGATATAAATGCTGATAGAAGATGCCAGCCAGGACTTTCATAGCTAGAGAGGTGAAGTCAAAGCCTGGCTTTAACGGCTCAAAGGACAGGCTGACTGCCTTGTTAGAGACTAACGCAATGTGACTTTAGGTTAAAGCCAGTGCTCATTTACCATTCTGAAAATCACAGGGCCTTTAAGAATTAAGCTAAATCTACTCTGCCTCTGGCTCTATAGATGGAACAACAAAGCCTGGATAATGGCACATCTGTTTCCATCAAGGCTTAGTAAATGTTTTAAACCCAGTGTTGAGACCTACTGCTTAGAAAAAAAAAAATTCCTTTCAAAATATCACTGCTCACTGACAATGTACTAGGTCACCCAAGAGCCCTGATGGAGATGTACAAGGTGATTTAAATTGTTTTCACACCTGTTAATACAACATCCATTCTGTAGCCCATGGATCAGAGTTATCTCAACTCTCAGGCCTTATTATTTAAGAAATATTTTTTATAAGGCTATAGCTGCCACAGATAGTGATTCCTCTGATCCATCTGAGAAAAGTAAATTGAAAACCTTCTGGAAAGGATTACCATTCTTCATGCCATGAAGAACATTTGTGATTCATGGAATGAGGTCAAAATATTCAACATTAACAGGAGTTTGGAAGAAGTTTATTCCAACCCTCATGAATGACTTTGAGGGGTACAAACCTTCAGTGGTATAAGTAACTACAGATGCGGTGGAAATAGCAAGAAACCTAGAAGTGAAGCCTGAAGATGTGACTGAATTGCTGCAATCTCATGATAAAACATAAACAGATAAGTTACTTCTTATGGATGAAAAAAGAAAGTAGCTTCTTGGGATGGAATATACTACTGTGAAGATACTATGTAGATTGTTGAAAAGATAACAAGAGATTAGAAATATTACATAAACTTAGTTGATAAAGCAGCAGCAGATTTTGAGAGGACTGACTCCAATTTTGAAAAATGTTCTATTGTCCTGTGGATAAAATGCTATCAAACAGCCTTGCTTGCTATAGAGAAATATTTTATAAAAGGAAGAGTCAACTGATATAGCAAACTTCATTGATGAATTTATTGAATTATACTAAATAATTTAACCTTGCTCAAGTTTCAGCAACCACCAACCTGATCAATCAGCAGCCATCAACACTGAGACAAGACTCTCCACCAGTAAAAATATTCTGATATGCAGCCAGGGGTGGTGGCTCAAGCCTGTAATCCCAGCACTTTGGGAGGCTGAGGCGGGCAGATCACGAGGTCAGGAAATCGAGACCATCCTGGCTAACACGGTGAAACCCTGTCTCTACTAAAAATACAAAAAAATTAGCTGGGAGTGGTGGTGGGCACCTGTAGTCCCAGCTACTCAGGAGGCTGAGGCAGGAGAATGGCATGAACCCAGGAAGGGGAGCTTGCAGTGAGCCGAGATCGCGCCACTGCACTCCAGCCTGGGCGACAGAGCGAGACTCCATCTCAAAAAAAATATGTATATATTCTGATATGCTAAAGGCCCAGATGATTGTTAGCATTTTTTAGCAATAAAATATTTTGAAATTAAAGTATGTATGGTGGGCCATTACAGTGGCTCATTCCTGTGATCCCAGCACTTTGGGAGGCTGAGGTGGGCAAATCACTTGAGCCCAGGAGCTTGACACCAGCCTGAGGGTGGGACCCTATCTCTACAAAAAAATTACAAAAATTAACAAGGCCTGGTGGCACATGCCTGTGGTCCCAGCTACTCAGGAGGCTTTGGTGAGAGGATCGCTTAAGCCCAGGAGGTTGAGGATGCAGTAAGCTGCAATCATGCCATTGCCACTCGAGCCTGAGTGACAGAGTGAGATGCTATTTCAAAAAAAAAAAAGAAAGAAAAGAAAAAGAAAAAAAAGGTACGTACATTTTTAAAAGACATAATGCTATTGCACATTTAATAGACTATAGTATAGTGTGAACCTAACTTTTATATGCATGGAGAAATGAAAAAATTCACATTACTTGGTTTACTATGATATACACTTTATTGAGGTAGTCTGGAACAGAACCTGCAATATCTCCAAGGTATGTCTGCATCAGAAATGACTGTTTTACTTTGACCAAATTACAATTTCTCCAGAAAAAAAAAAATGAGGGAGGAAAGAGAAAGTTCCCTCACCAACAAAATCAGCTGAATTAACCTGGTGACTAACATGATGACAGATATTGCAGCCAGAGAGCCCTAAGCTCCCAGGACAAACAATGGGATGCCAAGCTTAAGATAACCCCAAGTAAATGCATAAGAATATACATTCATTCTTTCTAAGACATCAGTGGGACTAGGAAAATCATCTCAAGAGCTGAACTTTAAAGCTATTTTAGACAGACACATTTAATAGCATATTTTTTTAAATCTTGTGTATGTCATGACAAGTTCTTTTCTTTCATAACTCTAAATATCACATACAAAAGTAGCAGGTGTGAAATGTGTTTTGGGTAAGAAAAATATCAAGCTTCTATGAAAGACCCTTTTGGGAAAAGTCCCATACTAAAAGAGTCCTAGAGAATATACCCATCATGACACATCTCTTCAAAGCTAAAAAACAGCTTACACAAAATCCCAGATATCAACAAGTATAAACACTATGAAAGAAAAAAGTATTCAATGTCAATATATTTTATAGCTGCATGTTTATGTATATATTTTCATGGACTAGATTGATCAAAATATAAGAGGCTGTCTCTCTCCCGTTTTCTAGCCGTCCCTGAAATCCACTTCACTGCCAACTCTAATCCTTGCCCCCTTTTTATTTAAATGCCATCAAGAATCTGAAGTAGTAAAATTGAATGGAGATTTCAACGGTGGGCCAATTTTCCTTTCTTATGAGCTATGAAGATAAATGTACACACACGAGTAAAGAATATAAGCTTTGCCCAAGAGGTACACTGGGCAGAATAAAGAAACGTCTTTCTTTTCTTAGAAGGGAAGTGAAGATTTATGAGGAGGCAGCATATTGGGCAGCCTTCTGAATATCTTATAATTTTTTTGTGACATGCTCTTCCCCTAGTGGGCTTCATCATTCAGGCTGCTCTCCTCCCCTCACTGATCAGAGCTTATAGGCCTTCTGATGAATCCATCCTCTACAAGCTATGGGGACGGCCTGCATTCTTGCCTACGAAGCTGCAGCTAAATAGAAAAAGCACATCCAGAATGACCACTAAAAAGAGAAAAAGCAAAAGCAGTTTCCAGATCCATGAATCCCAAAATATTAAAAAAAAAACAAAACAACAACAACAAAAAAACCTATTTATATATTAAAAATTTGCTTCATTACTAGACTGTAGAGAAATTTGATTTTACATTGGATTCAATTCAAGTTCCAATGCATTTGGACAAAGAATTTAGAGTATTACATAAACTTAGTTGATAAAGCAGTGGCAGGGTTTGAGGACTGCAATTTTGAAAGAAGTTCTACTGTAGGCAAAATGCTGTCAAACAGTATTGCTTGCTGCAGAGAAATATGCCATTGACAGGGCCCCCACGCTAGGCACCGTACTATAGGCATTTGTAAATATTATCTCATTTAATCCTCAAAACTCGCATTCTAGAAGAAGTTTTTTTCTGCATTTCACCTGGGTGATGAAATAACATGTACAATAAACCCCTATGACATGTGTTTACCTATGTAACAAACCTTATCATGTACCATCGAACCTAAAAGTTACAGAAAACAAAAAGAAAACTGAGATTCAAAGAAGGGAGTAATCCTCCACCCAAGTCACAGAACCAGATCAAGAGCACAGCTAGGACTTGAACTTAGGTTTTAAACATTAACTGAGGCAAGAACCAGATGAACACATTGTCTGACGGAACTGCCAAACCTCCTCTTTCGATTTGTTGGGGAAAATAAAAATGGAGGGGAGAAAAAGAAAGATACAATTTCAGAAGAGAGAGACAGGTCATAATCAATCATAAGCTTTCTTGGAGAACTGAGCCTTTGCCATTAGTACCTGGTGGCTATTGGGCCACTATGGCTTCCCCACCTTAGATCAACACACTTGAGCCCCTCACCACCTCCTAAACACCTTTCTCCACTCCCCAACCACTAGGTTTCATTTAAAACTGACAGTGCAACATGCCCACATTTTTTTTGGTAAGTTCAAATGAAAAAAAAATGTATCTTAAGTCATGCTTGCTATGCAGAATATTTTTCAAATCTCTTACTATGCTTTCATTTTCTGAAATTTCTCTGATGATGAGTACTAAAGATAAAATGTAAATAATTCTAGAGATGGAACAAGCCAAGTGCTATCCATAGCCCTAGATGTAATGCTCCTGTAAGGAATTATAATGGACATGGTAAAACCTTTAAAACAAATTAAATGTTCAACTTCAGCCTCCATGGTAAAGACAAAAAAGCCAAATATTTACGCTTGGAATTTTGATCTCTGGTTAAAAAGGAAATATAGAACAAACAAACAAAAACCAAAAAGTTAACGTATCACTATATGAGGCTTGGCCTTGTGT
The DNA here is from genome assembly GCF_000001405.40 of Homo sapiens. Lineage (NCBI taxonomy): Eukaryota > Metazoa > Chordata > Mammalia > Primates > Hominidae > Homo > Homo sapiens. The sequence continues at coordinate 133,062,323 of NC_000002.12, forward strand.
CTCCTGTTAGATAAGAGATGAAGCAACACTCTTTGGCGACATATGGTGAGTCATTTAAGTGTATTATGCAGATTTGGAGTAGAGATATTAAACAGCATTTTCAAAAGAATAATACAAGGACTATGACTGAAGAACCATTGACAAAACACAAAAGCACAGCTTGAAATGTGAAGACTCAGCATCATCTTAAAGAAATAAATACTTCTATATTCTTCAATTGAGCTACTCAATAGTTGTGAGAACAAAGAAAATCCTGGAGGTAAAAATCCATGCAATAATTCTGGCTGGTCCTCTTTGCAGAGGTACTCAGGTGTGTGATCTGGTAGATGGCCTGCTATAAGTTTAATAGCAGGGTTATAGATTTAAAAATATATTTAAAAGATAGTTCACATTTAATTTTATTTCTGGTGAGATTAATGTGTTACAAAGTTAGATTAATTAAAATGCTCTGGGAAATAATTTTCTTGGTGAATCGATCTTTATAATTCATTTACTTACAATGTTTACATAGAAATCTTTATAAAACCAAAGAAGATTCAGTAAAAAGCACCCATAAATTGATTTCATGGGAAAAAAATAACGAGATTAAATTATCAGTGTTTTTCTGCCTAAATTACAGCATAAGGATGTGAATGTATTAGGCACATTGTAATTGGCCCAATCCTGGCTGCTCTTCTCTTCCTACTTCAAAGTATAAAGAAAGCACTAGAAGAGGCAGGCAAAACCCAGCTCCCATGGAAGGCACTAGCTGTACATATTATTTCAGAGAAGCAAAGCAAGGTTGATGCAATCCACACAAAAAGAGAGATCTGAGTAACTCCAGATTAATTAATCACAGCAGGAGGAAGCTGAGTTGCCAGAAATGTTACTAAGTTGCCCCCTACAGAATGGATCAAGAGTGACTCCCTTCCTTAGGAATGAAATGGAGACATGATTCCAAACACCACACTTTGGATTTATAATCAATAATTCTATTGTCATATCATTTACAATAAGTGTGTTTATTAAGCTGGCATTGACAGGGCACTCAATTTATTATCTCTGAACTGTTTGAAGTTACATATACACTACCAGCATGTATTTATATATGGCGAATCCATCTGCAGCTTCTCTTTTTCTGGTAGGAAGAGTTCACACAGCTTACCAAGGAGGGCCTGACCAGATCATAAATCAAGGTGAAGCAATTTCTGATAACTGAATATGAGTTTCCTCTAAAGCTTTTTATGTGACGAAAAGCTGAGAAGCTCTGTGACTAGCACAAAGAAAAACTCATCACATTTTTTTTTCCCAATAACTGCTGGCCTCTTTGTTCTAGAATAATCTGTAGGCTTTTCTTGGCATTTTAACTCACATTTGCCCTTATACCCAGGGAGGCCTCTGCAGCTTAACTTTCTCTCTAGTCATTGCTCTCTTCATATCCAATATTAGCTGAGCAAAGTGAGTTACTACCAACTTTTGACTCTTCCTGGCCAAGATGTTTTCAGTTTGTTCAAAAGTAGAAAAACTTAAGATATTTAACTGATATATTTGTGGGGAAAACTTGTAACATTTGAGAGCTAGGAAAAAACCGTTAACATCTGCCATACTACAGACTAAAGGAATGGAGACTAGAAAGATCTAGTGAACCCCTTGCTCCTTCAGGAACTGTCCATGGTGCTGCAACCCTCCAAAACATCGTTTCTTAGCAGTTGTTGCCACACAAATCAGACCCAACCTCAGCGACTCACTAGTCAAGATTGCTATTTGACTTCTCTCCTCACAGAGGTGCTGAGGAAAAGGAGAAAGGAGAAAATTCTGACATGATCAAAAAATGGTCGAACTCACACCATCTTTGTCTTGGCATGGGTTGTCATCACCAGCTATAAAACTATAAATAAAATGTCATCAGGGAACAAAACTGTATATAAACAAATTTGCAATGTTCTATCAAGTTAGAGTGCAAAGCACTGCCTCTCAGAAACAACACTGATTATAACTGGAAGGTGGATCTTTAAGTATACTGATAGTTTAAGTGCAGTGTTTGTTTCATTATGGTTTGTGTAGGAGAAGAAATCTTCCTAAAAGGGTCTGCTAACAATACAAAAATCACATACGTGCCAGAAAGAATGCTGAACTGAAAACCCAGTTTTCCTCTAAGCAGATAATGCCATGTTCACATGATTATACAACTGAAAAAAAAAACAGATTAAGAAAAAGTGTTAAAGAGCTTTCTTGTACTGCAGCAAAAGCATTTCAAAGAGAAGATAAACTTACAGAGCTATTACAAATGTTGTAAAAAGCCTAAGGAAGCCTGGTAAATAAGAAAGTTTTAAATTACTGCTCATATAAAAATAAATGTTACTGTCCATCGTTGCTCTGGGTGGGGATACGCTTGGCATAAGGAATACTTAAGACAATGGAAAGAAAAAAGGCAGTGACTGTGATTCTAATCCAAACACCATATTGTTCGCAATAGACAGTTAATTTGCCATCTAATCTCTCTCTCTGAGCATAGCCCCTTAGTAACCACATTCATATAATTTGTTTTTTCATTTAAAATTCCACTGGAACTTAAAAGTTTATTAAAGTGAATGGACTACTCCATCTGAGATGTAACTGAGGATATATTAGCAGAAGCAGGCTCCTTAGCATCTGATTAAAATCTCAGTGTTCTAAGCATTGGAAGTAATACTTTTTCCAAGCAGCAACAAACTGGATAAAAATTATCAGACCCATGAACAGAGTCATTTAGCCTCATTCTCTTGTTTTAAAGTGTTGATTGCCTGTAAGTTAGTAGAATAATCTCCTCTCCTCTCTAGCCACCAGAGTAAGCAAAAAGGAAACATCTCATAAGTCCACAGCCTGACAACAGCCATAGTTCTAATGGCTCTTTGAATAAGGAATACTTCCACATTAGAAGGAAAAACGACGACAACTATGATTCTAAAAATGGAAAGCACACACACAAAAATTAAAAGCTCAAATGGTAAAAACAGCTGCGCAACAGCCATTTCTATAGTTTTCCTCTTCAATAAAAATTGTTGGCCAGGCATGGTGGCTTATGCCTATAATCAAAACACTTTGGGAGGCTGAGGCGGGCAGATCACAAGGTCAACAGATCAAGACCATCCTGGCCAACATGGTGAAACCCCGTCTCTACTAAAAATACAAAAATTATCTGGGCATGGTGGCGCGTGCCTGTAGTCCCAGCTACTTGGGAGGCTGAGGCAGGAGAATTGCCTGAACCCGGGAGGCAGAAGTTGCAGTGAGCCCAAATTGGGCCACTGCACTCCAGCCTGGCGACAGAGCGAGACTCTATCTTAAAAATTTTTTTTCTCTCTCATTAAGTTAGTTTACACCCTCAGGGATAAAGAAGTGTGATTCAGAGAAAGGGTGGCATGGTTCACACTCTACCAGCAGGCAAGAGGACCCCTATCTCAGTGCACTATATGGTCCCAATGACTATGGCCACGTCACTGAGAGATCAGCCTCCTCAAAGCGGTAGTAGAGTCTTGTCTGGCATTTTACTTGTACTCTGACAACAATGTGAGATCACATATGATATAACGAATATTTGGTAGAAAACTGTTGACACCAGTGCAATATATAGTTCATGTAGCTATTACAGTTTGATTCATTCTCCATTCATCTTAATGGGAACTGCTAATTCTATTCATCACTAATGACACAGGTTCAAGCAAAATCTAAGGAAGGAGTGTGTGAGTGTATGTGTGAATGTGCATATACTTGTGTATACATGCTCATGTATGTATGTATTTCCCTCATATGCCTCATTAAGATAATTACAACTGAAGGAAGCATAATTGATGGCTAGAAAATTTAGCAGGAATAACACAAGGGAAATCTGGAGGTTTAGTACATCAATATGGTGAAAGACAAATTAAAGGCTTAATTACCAAACTGTAGAAGCTATTTAAAAATTATGATTCATGTTAGAACTCACAATTGAGCCAGCCTTGTCATCATCTTTCTCTTTGTTTTCAATAAGTGTTCCTTGTTCTTATCATCTAAAACCCGTCTTCTTTTTTACCCTTCAAATGCTTCTTACAATTCTATAATTAAATTCAAATCCATCACAAATTCTCTGGATAAGTCAGAATCTTAAGTTGGATTTTGCCAATTCAACTTATTAAAGAATAACAGCCCAAGTAGAGAAATTATATGTGTTTCAAAATCATTCATATCTACATGCATTCTTTCTCTCCCTTCCTTCTTCTATTTTTTCCTTTCCTTCTCTCTCACAGAAGAAAAACATTGTAAACATGGGATGCTGAGTGCCATATGTTCCATTACACAGAATAAAAGCAAACTCGTTTCCCATACAATGAATAGGAAATGTACACCCCCTAGCATACCAAGTCCTACTTTATATTTATTTTGGTCTCAGAAACGTTAGAATAGCCAGTCTGCAAAAATTTTTGCAATGGTTATGTGGGAAAAGTCAGTAGGGAAAGTCAGTAGGGAAAAGGAAATGTTAAAATCAAAGCTAACTTCTACCACAAGTGACCTCTCCTTGGTATGATGTAGTCTAGTGGCATCTATATTTCCTCCAGAGCGATTATCTCAATTTAGGTGCAACAGTGGAAGTTTCTGTTTTAAACCATTTTTGGGTTAGCAGTTATAACATTCAAGTGGTTTCTTGAGACTCTGAGGGAATAGATAACCCAAATCTGAACAGGATGGAGGAAACTCAGTGCCATTTTATTTTTTATTTTTTTATTTTTGGTAGAGACGGGGTTTCACCATGTTAGCCAGGATGGTCTCGATCTCCTGACTTCATGATCCTCCCGCCTCAGCCTCTCAAAGTGCTGGGATTACAGGCATGAGCCACCGTGCCCGGCCCTGAGTGCCATTTTTATAGGTACTGTTCAATAAGGTCTTCAGGATGCAACATCATCATATTGTTATAAGTGTTATTCTGAAATGTTGTGGTGTCTCACATAAGCTCCAGTTCTATATTTTCAAAAGCTTATAAGATTTTCCAACTAAGATATTCTAATGCTACTTAAATTTATGTTTTAAAAAAGAAAATACCATTTTTCAATCTGCCTCCAAGAAAATAGGCAACTAAAATTAGGAAAGGGTAAAAGGAATCCATGATCATGAGAATGGGAATGGATACAATTGCTTAGGTTTTAGAGCTGGCCTATGCAGTAGTCACTAGAAGCACAACACACAGTGTGGCTGGCAACTCTGGCTTGGTTCAGGAGAGGCTGATGTCTGAGGAAATCCAATATGGTGGATAGGAGGTCCAAGCACCAGGGGATACTCCAAGTCAAGTGGGAAATGATCTACTCATTCAAAATAGACTGTCTTCCAGCCTCTGGGAATGTAGGGAAAAGTTTTAGCCACAGCATAGCATGATCAGGGTTAGGTAGGTTGCAAGGACCTGAGAAGGCAAGCTGCATTAGAGAACATCATTTTGGATTTTGTTCATTGAGGAGCTGTTGCAGACTGTTTCCCTGGGAAACAAACTCTGAGACAGAGATTAACATGCAGGGAATTTATTGCAAGGGATGAGGGGAATGCTCTTGAAATTAACAATAGAATTGGGTAGCAGGAGCTCTGGATCCAGAACAGCTCTGCAGAAGTGTCCTCAATTGGGATAATACAACCAGAACTTTATTCCCCTCATGAATTATCGATTAGATATAGGCTGACCCTAATAAGAGTCATGAACTTGGACAAGAGTGTCTCTTCACCTGATGGCAAAACCCAGAGAGAGGTAGCTATCTTCCACCCATATTCCCAGCAGAGAAAGGCAAGGAGTCCTGAAGGGGAGAGGTCTGATGGCACATCCACTCTAGTAGTAGATGCATCTACTACAGATGCTCATAAAATAACTTAGATAGAAGCTTAATGCTGATGGTGGGGCTTAGGGCATACCTGAACCTTTGTGGGCACACAAGTGTCCAGGGCTCACTCAGATGTACAAGATCCCAAGGCTCTAATACCAACAGGACAGAGCTGCAAATGTCCTCCCAGCTTCCCCTCAGAGCAAGTCTCAGAAATGGCCATGTGAAATTACACATCCTGTGGCCTTTGGATGATCAGCTGTTTCATATGGTCTGTATTTCTCTAGTCAAAAGAATAGTAGTAAGATGGACATGGCCTGAATATACTGGCAGAGACATGAACAAAGGAAGCAGAAGGCAATGGGCAACACACTTGTGCTCAATTTCAGGACCCAAAACTACACTGAGCAAGGGGCTCCTTCTAGACATTGTTCCACAGAGAGGCTCCCTGACCCCTGTTCAAGCTGTTAGAGGGACTCGACCTCTGGGTCTGAAACATAAAAAACCAAAGTAGGAAAAGGGAAAATCATTCACTGAGGCATCACTGAACTCCTTTCAAGTCACTGCTGTCTGGGTAAGGCTAGAAACAGTGGCCACACTGAATCTGCACCATAACTTACGGTTGGCTGACTTTTTGCTAATTTGTCTATTACCCCAAGATGTTTGGAACTAACTTCTTGCATTGTTAAATATTTCAGAATATATATAGCCAGGAAAGATTCATTCTTTAGGGTTCAACTAAGAGATTTGTAACTAGCAAAATGATGAACCATGAATCAAGCTAAAGAGCCAGTTAGGGACAAATATAAATGTGAAACAAGGCAATCTTCAAACATTAAAATTTCAAGTTTAAAACCAGGAATTTATGATTCTGGATTATAGCTTTTCTTTGCTTACTCAATTGGATAATGAATGTAAACTGTGACGTTATGGTGCAAAACTGTAACCCAAGGAGTGAGCGATCCAGTACTGACTTGAGAAACCAATATTACACTGTGAGATATTCACGGTTCAATGGAGAGATGGAAAATTAGATGCCTTAAGGTCTTTCTTCCAGCCTAAATAGAAAATAACGTACAAATGTAAAGCACTGGAAAATAAAATCCCTTCCAGCCCAAATAGAAAATAACATATACATGTAAAACACTGGAAAATAAAAATTTTCTGTTGTTGTTATTTTATTATCTTTCTAAGCCCCTTTCCTAACTCTTTTCCTTCTTTGAAGTATCTTGAACTCCTTTTGGACACTAAATCTTCTTTGTCTGTTCCCCAGCCAGAGATCCCTACTAAAAGAGATAGCATGCTAAACTGTAGGCAATTTACATGTTCCGGACTTTCCCCTCTCATTTTTCATTCCCTCAAGGACTTCCTCTCTGTTAGGCAATTGAAATTACAAAAATTAGGCATTAATAGCCATTGTTGCTTAATGGGTTACCCATCCCCAGTATAGACAGATGCTGAAGTTTTATTCCCCAGCCTTTTAGTTCCTATCATTGTATCAAATAAGACTAGATGACGGTATCTCCGTAAAGCCTTCAATTTCCTCCCTGGCCCCATTAGATGCTCTGTTTGGGTTAAATGAGAACAGCTTGCAAGGTAGTTGTTTGAACACGACTGCATTAATCAGGGTAGAAAAAAACATGTAGCTGATTTACAGAAAGCATTAGATTAACAATTTAGAGTAATGTGAGGAAAAAACCTCAGTGCCTTATAATTATAGATAATATTTATAAATTTCATTGATTTATTAAAAATATATATATATACACACACACAAAACATTCAGATTCTAGTATTTGCTATCCAATAGGTACCTTTATTTTATATTCCAAAATGAAAATTTATGGTGGAAATTTCAACTAAAGTAGGTATTTAGGCATACTTGGATAGACGAACTTTGAAAATGCCATTAATATCACTTACATATATGGTGGTAATCAAAACTAAAGCTGAACTAACTTGGCAAACTCTGGAACTGATATTCATGTATGGAGTTTGTCAATGAGTAGGAAAAATGTATCATTTCAGTGTGAGTTTATGACTTCCTTTTTGTAAAAGGTGGTATGGGAACATTGTCTCCTTACTTAATGAAAAATAGTATTAGAATACACAAGACTGTCAGGATAATTACCCAGTAAGGATAATAACTGGAAACTAAAGACAAAGAGTAAATTAAAAAATGGGATGATATGGCTAATAAGATATGCCCTGCCCAACAGCCCATCAGACTCTTCTCACCCCAACTCCTGACAAATTTTCACATAGCTTTGGTTGCCAGGAGCCTCAATACCTGCTCCCCAGAAGGTGCCTGTGTGTCAATCTCTCTGTACTCAAGGGGGCATGCAGATGTTTCCTGTATCATATCTCTAGGATATCTAAGGACCGACTCCTTAGTTCTCATTTCCTAGGGAGGTCAAGTCTCTTACCAGAATCCTTTGGGGCTGGCAATGTTCATCACCCCATCCTCAGCCCTCTAACTTCAGAGGACAGCTGACTTCTTAAAGGAATGAAGAGATCTTTTTCAAGTCACTGCTACTTGAGGCCTCAGCAACCAAGAAGTTATACACTCCTCCCACCCCCACAAATTCACATACATGCAGATAGTAGGGTAGACTATACAGGTGTGTGAGTGTGTGTGTATGTGTGTGTGTATCCTCCTATATAGAGGCAGAAGATTTCATAAAATATATACATGAGATATACATACATGATTTTATGTATAAATACATATAGTACACGCATATAACATTTTACATATATATCTCATTTTAAAACATCTTGCTTTTGTAAAAATTGTGTGAGTATCCGATCACAGGAATACCTTTCTAATCTTAATAATTTAGTGGTTTAAATGTACATGAAAGGTCATCCTAGCTCATTATAATTCTAGAAGAGTCAATCATATATCCATCAATTACTTTGGAGCAAACTAATGGAATAGTTTTAAGCATAATAAAGACAAAAGGTGACACTAAAGAAGCAAAAATAAGTCTGTTAATTTCCAGGAAGCTTCAACTATAGACCAATCACATTCACAGGGAACAACAGAAAAGTAAAGCTGAGCTGCAGAAAAAGTCTGCACTACCAGGGTAAAATAGAAACAGGAAGATTAAGACCAAGAAAACTTACAAAAGAATCACAGTCAGTGAAACCCCGTCTCTACTAAAAATACAAAAAATTAGCCGGGCGTAGTGGCGGGCGCCTGTAGTCCCAGCTACTTGGGAGGCTGAGGCAGGAGAATGGTGTGAACCCGGGAGGCGGAGCTTGCAGTGAGCCGAGATCCCGCCACTGCACTCCAGCCTGGGCGACAGAGCGAGACTCCGTCTCAAAAAACAAAAAACAAACAAACAAAAAAAAATCACAGTGGCCCTAACATGCCAAGATTGGTGGAATCTCTATAGCAGAAACTGTCAGTCTTTATATTATTCTTGCTAGTCAAATTCCACTTTCTAAAAGCCAGAGAAAATTCATGCAGCTGGGTAGTCCTACAGATTTCTGAGATTCTCTGAGTATAGAGCCATGCAGGTTCTCCTATTCTTTCCGAGCGTCTATATTCCTAAGTAGAAAATAGAATTTAAGCCTCTTTCCAACAATCTTAAAGATACACTAGTTTTGAAATTCAGCAAAAAAATCAGTACATTTCAGGGTACCATATGCTTTGAAAGGGAGAGGAAGGCAGAGAATTAACATTTCCCAAGAGCCTACTGTAATAAAGACAGAAAGGCACATTGGATAAAAGCATAGACTAGGAGCCAACCTACCTGTTTCAGATCCCACCTCTGCCATTCACAAGCTCTGCCATAGTGTATTGAGTGTATTAAATGAACTCATAATATTGAAGAGAAAAGGAAGTACTCATTATGAATTAGCTGTTGTTTTTGTTACTCTGTGCTGGGCCCATTCTTACAAGATGCATGGTCTCTCCTGCCTCAGATATGTGCCATGCTGTTTCATTTATCCAGGCTTTTTTTTTTTTCTTTTTTTGAGACTGAGTTTCACTCTTGTTGCCCAGGCTGGAGTGCAATGGCATGATCTCGGCTCACTACAACCTCTGCCTCCTCTGTTCAAGCAATTCTCCTGCCTCAGCCTTCATGAGAAGCTGGGATTACAGCTGTGCACCATCACACCCAGCTAATTATTGTATTTTTAGTAGAGATGGGGTTTCACCATGTTGGCCAGGATGGTCTTGAACTCCAGGCTCTTCTAACTCTCCTGATCCTTTCCCTCTCTGCCCTCCCTTCATTTCCTCCAACATCTCACCTTTTCCAGGGAGCACTGCTGTGCCTCTCCAGACTGGAACAGGTGCCAGCCCTCCACCATAACAATATTTCACTGTGTCCTCCCACTATGTCCCTGAGTGCAGACAATTTAAGAGCACCCACCCCACTCCCCGATCGTCTATCTTAGAGCCAGGTACTTACAAGGACTCTATATGTACCAAAGTCGTGAGTTCTTCAAGAGTCCCAACTGTTATTTTCTTAATTATTGTATAACACATGCCATTTTTAATTCCCTGGCTAACATTCAGTAAGCAACTGTGTGCCAGGACTGTTCTAGGAAATGAGATACGATACCACATAAACAATGTCTCTGCCTACATGTTGCTTATAGTTTGAAACATTCCAATCAAAAATTTTTGCTTGTGAACAAAAATTAAGTATGTTTCAAAAATTGAACCAAGTCACGTTTGAGAAACATTACACATACGGTATTTTAATAATTATTATAAAATATGACTGTAGGAATAGGAAAGGAAGCCTCAAAACACTTATTTAAAAACCCACCATGGCTCCGAATTCTAAAGAAATGGAGTAAGCACACTCCCTTGCACTAACTACAACAAAAAAACTCCTGAACAAAATACATATAGCAACTATTTGAGAACTCTAAAAATAATAACAATAGGTAACTTGGGGAGGGTCAGACCTCAAAGAATGACTCATAAAGCAGTCATTTTTGTGCTTGTTTCTTGTAAATTTCCTGGTTTATATTGAGGACAGCCTTGATTTTCAAACTGTGGAACAGACACAAACAGAAAATCAAGGAAATCCAATACTTTTTGGCTAAAAGAAAACGGGGTGTCTGTAGGCTAGAGTAGACAGGGAAATCTTTTTTTTTTCTTTCTCCCTTTTTTTATTCTCCCTGCCACGTACTGAGTCAAGCAAGTCTCAGCAAGAACTGAAAAGTATGCAAGGAGTTGCAAAAAGAAAAAAACTAGAGAAAAAGATCCCTTAATCCTATATATCAAGTCCTTGGCTAACCCCTAAGGTACACATGTTTAGAAGTGACCTGAAGCTGCATAACAAGAGCTTTGAAAACATAACTAGAATGTAGACCATCGTGCAAGTCTCAGATAGTGCCAGGCTGGCACACATTCTGGGCCAGTCTGAACAGGACCACAAAAGTTCTAAGAGCTAAGCCAACACTGGAACCACAGCTCACAGAAGGGAAGGTGAAACTCATGTTCTAAGCCTAACCCGGCTGGCTGATTGCTGAAAACAAAAAGAATCATCAATTAGAGGACTTTAACAGAACCCAAAGTCTCTCAATGAAAGACCCAGGATACAATCCAAAATTATTCAGCATACAACAAAATGAGGACATTTTCAACAGCTCTCGAGTGTGAAACTTGATCATCCATATTGGGTCGTTTTTGTCATTCTTAATTAAAACAGAGTCAAAAAACCAGAAGGGAAAAAAGCACCCAGGGCACATAACATTGCTCCAAAAATGTAATTCATTTCAGGACTGGTTGCTGAAAATGTCTGCTTTAACCTGAAACCAGTTGTATCTAATGGCTACTGAGGCAAATGGCTGCAACTTAAGACTAGTTTTACCTATCACTGGCACTCACCAATGAGAGCTCATGAGCTTCCCAAAACCTTACCAGTGCTGATATACTTTCTCAAAGAGCAATAGATAACATTTCTCATTTTTTCTGTGTGTAAAACCTCTAACCATATCTTTGTTCTTTGGACATACACCAAAGACTACTCAGTTTGTGTGTATTCCTTGAATTGCAATTCTTTCCTCCCAAAAAAATATTTGTCTCTATATTTTGACTTTGACAAAGGAGAAAAAACAATGAACAGAAACAATTCCTGAGATGATGCAGATGTTAGAGGCATTAGCCAAAGAATTGAAAGCAGCTTTTGTAATGATATTCCATGAAAAAAAAAACAAGAACTTTGAAATAAATGAAAAAAAGCTTTAAGAGAAGAAATCATACCAAAAAACCGAAAATTTAATTAATTTTTTTTGAGACAGGGTCTCACTCTGTCACCCAGGCCAGAATACAGTGGTGTAGTCATAGCTCACTGCAGCCTCGACCTCCTGAGGCTCAAATGATCCTCCCACCTCAGCCTCCTGAGTAGCTGGGACTACAGATGTGTGCCAACCCTCCAGCTAGTTTTTTCATATTTTTTGTAGAGAAGGGATTTCACCATGTTGCCCAGGTTGCTCTCAAACTTCTGAGCTCAAGCAATCTGCCTGCCTCAGCCTCCCAAAGTGCAGGTATTACAGGTGTGAGCCACCATGCCTGACCCAAATGGAAATTTTAGAATTAAAAAATACAATCAATAAAATCTGAACATTCACTGAATCAGCTTAGTAGCAGAATAGAAATGGGATAGGAAGGAATCAATAAACTTAAAGATGGATGAATAGAAATTACCAATTTAAACAATAGACAGCAAAAAAGAATATGGTCTCAGAGACCTATGGGACACTACCCACAGGTCTAACTAACACCCATGTCACTGAAGTCACAGAAAATGAAAAGAAAGAGATTGGAGCAGAAAAAGAATATTTGAAGAAATGATAGCCGAATACCTTCCAAATTTAACAAAAGTCATAAACTGACAAGTTTAAGAAGCTCAGCAAATATCAAGCAGTAAAATAAAAAACAAAAACAAAATTAAGAAGAACCATATGTAGATACATCATAATAAAATGGTTGAAAACCAAAGACACAGGAAAAAAATTGAAATCAGCTAGAGGGAAACAAAACATTACATATTTGAATGATTCAACAATTTGAATACCTTTAGATTTCTAATTAGAAAGCATGGAGGTCAGAATAGTAAAACGGTACTTTTGAAGTGCTGATAAATAAGGAACTGTCAACTCAGAATTTTAAATCCAGTAAAACTATCTCTCAGGAATAAATGTAAAATAAAGAGATTATCAAAAAAAGAGAGAGTAAGTTGGCGGCATGCCTGTTCTAAAAGAAATGCTAAAGGAGCCGCTTCAAGAAGGAAGATGATACCAGAGAAAACTGTGGAACTTCAGAAATGAGGGAAGAGCAAATGACGAGGTAAAATCGAGATAAATGTATTATTTTTATTCTTTTAAGTTCTTGAAAATATGCTTGACTGTTGAAAGCAAAAAAGAATAACACTTTGATGGGGTTTTCAGTGAAGGTATGTGTAATACATAATAACAGTTACAGGACAAAAGGGTCGTGCAAAGGACCTACATAGTTAAAGATTTATATGTTCCACTTAAAGAGGTAAAATATCAACTCTAAGTAGACCATGAAAAATTAGGCATTAATGTTGTAATCTTTAGAGCTATCAATAAAAAGTCTACTCAAAGAAATACATTTGAAAAACAATAGATAGGTTTTAAATTTTCAAATAATCCAAAAGTGGGCATAAAAGGGAAAGAGAGGAGAACAAAACAGAAAGCAAAAGATGGGAGAAAAACAGGCCAAAAATAAAATGGAAGACCTAAATCCAAACATGTCAAAAATTACATTAAAATAAATGGTCAAACTACAATAAGGAAAGAGATTGCTGGATTAGAGAGTAAAAACAAGACACAACTGTAAGTCGGGTACTGAAACCCACTTCAAATATAATAATATAAAAAAGTGAAAGGATACAAAAAGATATACCATGTAAATACTAATCAAAAGAAAGTTGGGCAATGTTTGTCTTGTTCCAAAGTTTATCTTTTCTGCATCCCAATTTTGGTAATGTTTACACAATTTTATGTATTTATTAATATAGAACCATACATAAACAATTAATTTTTGTGCATGCAAATTTAAAAAATAAATTAAAAACCTACTTATAGTTCTGCCTTCTTAATTTACTTCTTTGTACACTCTATGGTTGGCCTCCATATCTGTGGAATTCAACCAGCCTCAGATTGAAAATACCTATACTGTATGTCCAAGGAACTCATGGATATAGAGGGCTGACTGGAGGACTTGAGCATCCAAGAATTTTGGTATTTGTGGAAGGTCCTGGAACCCATACCTCAGGGATGACTGAATACTGTATAATCCAAAGCATGAACTTTCTAAATTCTAAATAAATCTTTTACAATCACACGATCCATCCTACGTATGAAAAAAAAATGTTGATTTTAAATTCAAAGTTCAATATTGCAATTCCATCTACAATTAGGAACAGTATTCATCTGCTTGGAACAGAAACTCAAATTAACAGTGGTTTACAGAAATTATGGAATTATTTTTGCATTCACCTAAAAGAACACTAGAGGTGGGCAGCCCCAGGCTGCATGAACCACCTGGATGATAGTGGTACATGATACCTTCAGTGTCTCAGGGTTACACTATTACTGTGGTTTGCAATCCTCATAACTACTTCCATCCTCAAGGCCATCCATGGTCACAGGACGGCTACTGCTATATAGCCTTCAGGTCCACGTACAAGGAAGCAGAAGGAGCAGGTGAAGCAGAGAGAGCAAAGAGCCTTTCTGGAAGTTACATCAACAAATTCCACTCTCCCTCCCACTGACCACCTCTTTCTGCAGAGGAGTCTGGGAAACGTGGTTTTAAAAGCTACACTCACTGTCATTCTCAACAGCACAGAGGTCTTGTTAAGTGAGGAGAAAAAAGGGATAGAGAATTACTGGGTAGGCAAATGATAGTCTAGTTGTTTAAACCACTAGCCACAAATCTGGTACTAACTTTTTGGATATTCTTATTTTAGAAAAGCAATTCAAGTCAGGGGAATTCAACATGAAAAAAAATAGACAGCAATGAATTTCATTCATGTATTTATAAAACTAGAACCATGTTTGTAATACTTCTGTGAAAGGCAGAATATGACAGTTATTACAAACACAGTTGTTTGAATACATACTAACAAGCACATCATATCTCAAAATTATGGCATCATTCTATCTTTAGGATTCCAAGATAATATGTTTGAGCTAAGTCCAACTGGATTTAAAAACGGATGCTTCTAGACCAGAAAAAGAAAAGCAGAAAGACATGTGTTTTTAAGCTGAGCCTTACTTCTTCATGAGAGGTTTTTGCCTGCTGACCCTGTTCCGGTAGCTTAGATGCAGGCGGTGATGAAAGGTCATTTCACAACTTCACATGTTCCAGATGGTGCCTCTTTGGAAAGAATCTCTTTCTGGTAAAAGCTAGAAAAAGAAACTTCTCACTACTTACTGCTTTTAGCATTTTGTTTCCTGCCAACATGAAAACAAGCCCCGATGATGGGACAAGACATTTTCTCGTAATGTAATTGTATCCTTCGAAACACAGTGGTGTAGAAAACACAAGGGGACGCAAAACTGAAAGGAAGAAAGCTGTATCCAAGGCTAGGCTTTTCTGATAACCAGCCATTCAAACTCCTACAAGTTATTTCCCTTTAGCTTCTGCTACTCTGGACAGCTTCTGCACATTTTAGAAGAATTCTCAATTTTCTTCCTTTTTAAAATGAAGCCTAGAGTACAGTGACTTGTCCAAGACTCAGAAGCAGAACAGGAACCCAGATCTCCTGACTTTCAGGGAAGGTCCTTTTCCATCTCACCAAATGGATGATGCTTTTATGTCTAAGAAACCCATAGTCTTCACTTAAATGTCTTCGGCTTCTCTGAAGAAAAAAGAAGACTGAAAAGTGAGGTTAAGAGACCAACATGCTGGTCCCAGATCTGTCACCAACTAGCTATGGGACTTTAGGGTTCAGTTCCTCAGATGTAAAATGAGAGGGCTGTCCCAGACTAGGGAGAGTGCTGATGCCCACATGTATCTGGCCCTGAACTTTGTCAGATATTTTACATCACAGCAGGAACTGTTCTTGGATCACCTTCTTAGGAAATGTGATCAGTGCTTCCCAACATTTCAAGTCAGGACACATAAATAAAATGAAGATATTAACATTCTACAGTGGCAAAAATGGAAGTGGATGCTTGGAGCTGCAGGTGAATCTACCTGGGTGCAAGAAGGCTGAGGGGAAACCAGTGTCTCAGTGCATCTGTAAACTCACCTGCTGTACACTGCTGGGAAGTGGGGGCTAAGTGGGAGTTCAGATTTTTAATGTTTTGGTAGCAGTCTGGAACCTGTAGCTTTACAGTTTTTGTCAGAGCCAACTCTGCATGGGGAGATTCCCCCAGGACCT
This sequence comes from Homo sapiens, assembly GCF_000001405.40. Classification (NCBI taxonomy): domain Eukaryota; kingdom Metazoa; phylum Chordata; class Mammalia; order Primates; family Hominidae; genus Homo; species Homo sapiens. The sequence continues at coordinate 133,078,500 of NC_000002.12, forward strand.
CTGCTGCTGGATGGTGAGTTGGGGAGGAAGGGAAATACGGGACTGGGGTGAAGGTGGCAACTGGAAGAGCTGAAGAGACTCAATACAGTGTGAGAGTAGACAGAAAAGTTGTCAACCCTCACCAAGACAAGGAGAATGAGACAGGCCTCATGCTCCCCATTTATACTAATCACTCCTCCTATTTAGATCACTGGCTGCCTCTTTACAACTCCCTTTCCCTTAAACAGTCTTTTAGTATTTTCTGTTCACTTCAGATGGATTTCATCTGGGTAAGAATTTTGGCCTATGAAGCACTATAGGATGTGTTCGGTATCTCAGCAACAAGAGATGCCTTGGTGTGGGCCAGTCAGTACTTACAGGCTTAGATAAATACCCAGTGCTCATGGAAAGACATACAGTCTAGAAACAGCATGCTTTTCATATTTTATATGAGATGAAAGAGAGAAGGAAGACATGGGATCATAATCTGGAGGAACGAGGCTCTTAGTAACTAGAAAGTTCAAAGCACTAGATTATTTCTATTCTCTTTCCTTGAACTAAGCAAGCTTTTAGAAAAGAAAAGAAATATAACACAAACTCACTGACACCAGGGATTTATTCAGCCAAGCAATTTCCAGAGGCTATCCTGGAATCATTTCACATTCAGCTCAATACTCTGTATCTTCCACATTCATATCTTTTGTCCTATACAATGATAATTGATGGTCAGCATTACAGCCCTGAAGTCTTGCAACACACTGAATCATCAAAGGGAGATTCAATTATATTCATAAGACTGGATGTGCCATAGCAGCAAAGGGGACTTGGAGATTGAGAAGGGTTGAAGCAAAAGATTTTCTGGTTAACTCTTAGTAAGCCAAAATTAACTGAAAAAGTTTCAGCTCTATGCAATATACTGGTTGATGGAGAAATACTTTAATATTTGAATGTGCACAAAGAGGAACATTTATAATTTTATAACCAACTCAGCAGCAATGTTATTGGAAGAAGATTTTCTATTTTTGCCCAGTAGAAAGTAATCCTAAACATCTTTTCATGGGAGCCATCTTTTATTGTCAGTAATTTTGCATAATTAAAAATATCTCTTAGGGTTATTTTTGCTTGGTTATTTTAGAAAACTATGAAATACAAAAGCAAAAGGATGAGGAAGATCTTCTGGGAATTCTACCATTGGAAATTCCAAAGTAATTGCTAATATTTTGGTCAATATCATTGTAATGTTCTTTCATCTATACATATTAATACATTTCTAAGTTTCTTAAAACACTTGTATAGGTAAATTTTCACCTACCTTTTCACTTATTACATTTGAATATCTTTCCATGTATTCAAAATTCTTTTACAGTGTAAGTTTTAATGGTTGTAGAATATTCTGTCATACAGGTTTCAGAATTTAGCTGTTCCCCATTGTTGAAGACAAGATTTGTTATTCATTTATCTTTCTCGCAAACACTATTGTAATAGCCTATACCTCAGGCTTTGTTTACTTCCATAGAGACCCAATACCTAGCACAATGCCTGGTATGCTGTAGGCCCTGGGTAAACAGACAGTGAATAAATTAATGATTTCCTCAGCATACTTTCCAGAAGAGAACTGATACATACAAGACCATACATATATGATATGTAATACTAAAATGCCCCCAGAAATATTGAACCAATTAATACTCCTGGCAGCACTGTGTGTATGTGTCCAGAATAAGTATTACTTTTAAATAACAACAACAAAGTCATTAGTTGATTATCAAATTCTGAGTAAGCATCAAAACATCAGTGGGAATGTTTGGGAAGATGTCAGGGCAACTCTGGAATGATATTTCTTCCTTGAACTGGTGAACATCCCATATAATTTACACTGCTCTCAGTTAGTTACCCTAAGGTTAAATGGTATACTCGAGATGAGAGTTTTTCCTGTGCTTTATTTAAATTGGGGACTGGTAAAATGTCACCTACTGTCTGTTTTGTAAATAAAGTTTAATTGGAACACAGCCAACCCGTTGCTTACATGTTGTCTACAGCTGCTTTTATGCTACAATGGCAGAGGTGAATAGTTGCAACAGAGACCGTCTGGCTGACAAAGCCTAAAATACTTATTATCTGACCCTTTACAAATAACATTTGTCAACTTCTTTAAAAGAGCACTTCTTAAAAAATGAAACTAACACTACACCATAATAAATCAGCTAACAAGCATTTATTGAACACTGTGAGGCATGGTGTCTACTCTCAAGGAACTTGAAATATAATTGTGGAGTAAAGCAAATACAAATGTAAAAATTAGCCGAAAAAGGTACCGTGGCATTAGGAGTCGAGTACTGTAATGAAGTGAACAAGTAGTGAAAGATTTCAGAGACAGGAGGGAAAAGGTGGGATTGGAAAAATGGCAAGATGTCACTGAGACACAGAACTTGAATTAGGCTATGAATGAAAAGAAGGGCTTGGATAAAACAAAGCAGACAGAGCAGACTGTTCTGGAATGAAGAGCATGGGCAGAAGCAAAGAAGTGGGGCTCTGCACAGTGTGGAGATACCAGGTGGGACTCCATCCAAAATGCTGGCGGACTAGCACATCAGAAGCATGCTATGTGGTACAGTATGAAAGCAAAGTGTATCCATGATCTGTGTATTTCAAAGGCATTCATTTTCCATGTAAAGAAGCCCTAAAATACATTTTTTACTTAAGCAAAAAAAAACTCTCATAAAGCAAATTAATATTTTACGCTCTCTTCCTACAGTGCATATTATCTTTCATCTCCTCACTTCTGATTCTAATTAGAGTTCTATTTCTTCAAAAACTTGAATGCTGATGTAAAAACTAAAGTGAAAGATTAGGAAGACTAGAAAGAAAATAAGATCAGTATCATAATACAACAAACAAAAGCACAAAAGGACAGGCAAACTGATGTTCATCACTTAATATTTGCCAAAGCTTCCTAACAACACATTTTTCTGAATCAGTTAAAAATACAGTATCTGCTTATTTTCTAGTCCCTTGCATCCAAGCTAACAAATGCCATTGTAAAATTCATGTCTTTATTTTTTGTTGTGGTGTATGCATTTTAAAATTCAAAATGTTTTTTAAAGCTTGGAAAGAAAGATGTATTTATAGTATGGCAATTATTATTCAACTCATCTTTACTTAGAAGCACACTTTTACATGCTACAGGTGAGGTGAGATGGATACAACATTAAATATATTCTTTCTCAATGTCTTATATGTAAAGGTACAGGTAAAGATGGCCTTTTGGGAAAATGTGGAGCATGGGAGAAACGTTTTCCTCCTTTTCCAAGCATAGCTCCTTCATTCCAAGGTAGTAACAATGACATCTGCCATCAGATTACCCAGACATCAAGTGACACAGAAGCAAGGCTTATATAGCACTGTCACAGTTTTAACATTTTAGTTTCAGGGGTACATGTGCAGGTATTTTATATAGATAAACTGAATGTCACAGGGGTTCAGTGTACAGATTATTTCTTTATCCAGATAGTAAGCATAGTACTTGATAGGTGGTTTTTCGATCCTCTCCCTCCTCCCACCCTCCACCCTCAAGTAGGCCCTGCTGTCTGTTGTGCCCCAATTTGTGTCTATGTGTTCTCAATGTTGAGCTTCTATTTGTAAGTGAGAGCATGTGGTGTTTGGCTTTCTGTTCCTGTGTTAATTTGCTTAGGATAAGATTTCACAGCAGTTTTAAATGAAGGGTACATTAATAAATAAATTTATCAAAAATGCCACCACAGCATTTTTGATCTCAATATAAAATGTAGCAGGCATTCCTCCCAGCACACACAGGTTAAAGACTGCATCATCGGTTCAGTCCATGATTTTTCTGTTGACACACATCTGGTGAATACAATGTGCTGAAGCAATACAAAACTAAAACAAGGCTTTTGATGGAAGAGGTCTAAGAATCATAACATACTGAGTGTGTCAGAGGAAGTCACTCGTGCTTTTTCACTAAAAGAAGCTTTACAGGTGGGTGGGTGGAAGGGGATGGAGAACAGTTCACACTCTCCATCTCATCCTGACCTGGGACCTCCTTCCTGTTTCCTTGGCTGGTGCCAGCATTTCCATCTTTCTTACCCACTTCTGCCATGTTGAAGCTCAGCTGGGCATTGTATCCCTGGAGGAACAGTGGACAGAGCAGGGGCTTTCCTCTTTTGAGGCACCTACGTAGACAGACTCACTCTCTCTACTCGGAAAATAACTGTCCCTGGTGCCAGGTTTTGGAAGTTGAAATGTTTTGAGCTAATGCCTCCTGTGATTCCCGATGGCCTACTGTTTAATTGTGTAATTATAGACAGTTAAAAATGCATGATATGTGATGGTGAGAAAATAGTTGGTGCTTCGGGAGCCATTATGGATTACAGTTTTTGAAAATTTAAAACAATGCAATATTTATATAGACTTGGCTGCACTGAGTTATTATGCAAATGCCACATCCCACTCTAGGGCCAGCATTCCTCCCCAGAAACGAAGAAAGGCAGATGAGAATCAGGAGAGATGCCACAGTGACCACATGGTTGGGACAACGAGCATCTTGAGTGTCCAGCTGCAGGATACCCTGTGAGTTTCTGTGCCTCAGTGATGTCTGTGCCTCTCTTTAAGTGGTGTTAAGAAAACCCAGTCAACAATATCTAAATAATTATTTGACAGTTGCTCAGATTCGCTGTAAGAGAATTATATGAGCTTTCTTCTTATGGCCACTTGCATATTAGACAGGGCCAAAAAAAAATCACACCAAGCCAAAAGTACCTTAGGTATTCCCAGAGTCAAAGCATTGGCTTAGCAACTATTTATAGGCTACACAGCTTCCTTGAAGGTTTGATCCACTCAGGGGCTTGCTCAGCAATGGCCTATCTGGTCTATGGACAGCAATGGAACTGGAGTAATCAGGGGTGTGCTGGGGACTGAGGAGAATGGTATCAGTAAAACCAAATGGTTGTGACACAAGACTTAACAGTTGGCTAAAACCTGAAGCTCTGGTGAAATATTATTCATATAGGGTCCTTGTACTTATGCCCTACAAGAACTAGGATTGATTCCAAATTGTTTGTAAACCTAAGTTAAAAGCAATGGATTGGCATGGATCACGTATCTTACCAGACAGGAAGTTATCAGGGTGGTGGTAGGTGCTGGTGACCAAGGCATAGACTGAATTCTGCAGGGAGTACAATATACAAACAGTGTGTGTGAATGAAAAAGAAACTCTCACTGTTCATTCATTCACTCGTTCATTCTTTTTTCATCCGTGTGTTTGTTTCTTCTGTCATTCACTGAGTCACCGCAATCTAAGGTGATCCCACTATGTGTCAGGATTTGTGCTAAGTGCTGAGGATATAGCACTGATCTTTGATTTCAGTTCTAGGAATTCACAGTCAATTGAGGAAGAAAGGCAGAAGAACTTTGTTTCTGACTATCAGAGATATATAAAAGAACAACTCTGGTGAGTTCAGAGGATCTTGTGTAACTGCCTGGAGGAGTCAGAAATGACACCTAAGAGAATGTGAACATTGAGATGGTATCAGAAGGATGATTAGGAGTTTCTGAGCACAGAAAACGGGGAAGGCATCCGTGGCAGAGGCTACAGTGTTCAACAATGCATGGAAGCATGAAAGAACACAGTGTTTTGGAGAACTCACACATTATCCAGGGTGGCTGGATAAGGAAAAAGAAGTTGAGGGAGAGGAATGTGGCCAGGGAACCATGCACATGCCTGGGAATGGGCCTTGAATGTCACAGTAAAGAAAATGAAACAGATCTGGAATGAATGGTGTACAGTTTCATCTTGGGACCTGCCATCATCATTTAGTGTAATGACATCATAGAAGTATTCACCATGTGCAGAGCAAATATATACATGCAAGAAACAAAATATCATGGATAGTTAACATTCAGACAGGCTTATTTTCAAATCTGGATTCTATTTACTGTGTGACCTAGAGCAAGCTTCTGAAACCAGCAGAATCTCCATTTCCTCACCTGTAAAACATGGATGACACATATATGGTGGGCTTGATTTCATGAATAAATGGGATACAGTGAGGAAATGCTTCACTAAATGTCTTCACCAGGCTCTGAATCTCATTCTTGCTTCACTAACCTTAAGCACATCGAAATGGTATAAGCTTCTGAGCTTTGGTTCCAAAAGTTCAGTCTCACCTCTGCCTTTCAACTGAAATAAACTTCATACATCAAGCTTTCCACTACTGAAAGCCTCCTCTTTCAAGAGACTTACAGCCACCATTCATGACCTCAGCATCAGGACACAGAACATCCTACATGCTTAGCTGATACACTTAGGCATATGTTTACATGTTCCCCTCAAAAATTTCAAATCGTTTTTCATATAGAGAGACTTCATCGCCTTAAGTGGAAGGATAATGTTGAAGGTTCACAGTAAATCCAAATATGATCTTGCTGATTACAAAGTTTAACAAAGTTTTTATTAAAGGGCCTGATGTTTAATATTTTAAGCTTTGTAGGCCACATAGGTAGGTCTCCTGCATATTCTTCTTCTTTTATAACAATTATTTAAAAATATAAAAACCATTTCTTAGCTAGTTGGTAATACAAAAACAGTCAGGGTGGGGAGATGGGAAGGGTAGTTTTGGCCTGCAAACTGTAGTTTGCTTACCCTTGGATTAGGAAAATAACATAACAGTATTTGATAGAGCTCATAACATACTGCTTCAGAGGAAGCAATGGCTAAAACATAGTACTGCTAAGAAGTCCCCAAAGTGTGTGAGGCTCTCTTAGTAAGCATCAGGCACCTACCACCTGCAGCAACATTTTAGAGATGATGCAGCATTTAATAGAATCACAAAGCAGTAATGGTCTAGGTTGACTTTAAATTGTTTTGGTATTCTAAAAAATAAAATAAAGAAACTTCATAATAAGTATGGCAATTTTTTAAACAGTGAAACAGATACATAACCACACACAACATATATACACACACAAAAATAAAATGTGCAAGATTTTTAACAGTGCTTATTTCTGGGTAATGGGATTGACTGGGGGAAGTTAAAATGTTTTTCATACTGTTAGAGTTTGAGGTAGCATAAAAAAAAGCTGCCAGTTCCTTTTGGTCTGGTCTTGGAATCAACTGAAAGAGATATGTCAGGTAAATGCAGAATCAAATATGGCCTGTATAAGTGATGTGGCAGTTAGAGCATGTGTTATAGGTCCTTGAGTGGGCAAGCTGGCTAATTAATTCATCGCTGGTTTCCATAAACTGGCTCACCCTTGGAGAACTGCAGGTCTTCGCTGCAGCAGCAGGACCCCTCCTGTACAGCAGAGGAAAGATGAGAATACACAGACCACAGTGAAAACTAGAACCAGATGTCACTCCCTACCCTGGGGACAAGTAGATGAGAAAAGGTAAAGGAAGCCAAGAGTCCATTACATTGGTAATAAGGGTCCCCCAACATGCACTGATTTACCACAGATAAGAACCAACCAGGAAGTGCAAAAATTCCCAAGAGATTGAACAATCAATACTTGCTACCAGAATCTTCTTCTCTCAGTAGTTTCTAGTTAAAGAACTGCTACTTCTGTGTGACTTTGGATCAATCAGTTCACAGCTCTAACTCATGGTTTTCATGAGCAAGTTGTAGGAGCTGCACTAAAAGGTCTATTGAAGTCCTCTTCCGCCATTCTTTGTCAATTACTGAGCTCTACTGCATACCAGGTGCTACCCGTGCTCTGGGAATACAGTTTTGGACAAGATAAACTCAGCTGAGAAGTTTTCATTTTAGTGGAGAAAATATCTAAACAAACAGCTATTTTTATCTGATGCCCAGCTCTATTCCATTTTCCTTCTGAAGCAAAGTAAAATACCACATTAAAGAAATTTGAGGCAGAAGTGACTCACACCGGTAATCTCCGCACTATGGGAGAACGAGGTAGGAGGATCACTTGAGCCCAGGAGTTTGTCACCAGCCAGGGCAAAATAAGTAAGACCTTATCTCTACAAAAAAATCTTTAAAAATTAACCGGGCATGGTGGTGTGTGTCTATAGTCCCAGCAACTCAAGAGGCTGAGGTGGGAGGATCGCCTGAGCCTAGGAATTCAATGCTGCAGAGAGCTATGATCATGCCACTGCACTCCAGCCTGAGTGACAGAGCAAGACCTTATCTCTAAAATTATAAATAAAAAAAAATTTCTGATCCATTAACATTATTTTGCTTAATTTTCTCAAAAATACCAGTAGAGAGATCATACATGTTTTATAACAACATAAGAAATAAAACTAACTTTTCATGTGTGTATCAGCCTGGGAAACAACTACTAAAGAGGAAAGAGAAAACCGGATTTGTTGAAAGTTTAGGGAACATTGGGGGCAAGAAGGAGATCTGAGATGATTTTAGACACGAACATTTTATATTTCCATGCATCATCTATAATACAGGTATATACTTGCCAAACAGCAATGCTATCATGTTGACATTGCTTGAGTAAATTTTTAAAAATCTAGAAAAGTGATTTTTAGATGAGGGAGTGTGAGAAGCAGAAACCAAGGAGAATTCTCAGACACAGAACTTGTTAAAACACCTCATCTTGAGATCTATTAATCTCTGAGTTTAATTAAAAGTCTGAATGAACAAACTTATTTTATCTGATTTGGTTTTCCTTCTGATACCAAGTTCCATTTGGTTTTCCTTCTGATACCAAGAGAGGTTGCTGAAACTTTCTCACCTATTTACTTGCATTTACTCTTTGTAATTGAGTGAAGACCTAATGTGCGACCCCCTGGGGCATTCTATAGCTAAACTAAATTACTGGTGAAATTTACAAATCCAATGACAAAGTAACGCAAAGACCAAAAAGAACAGTCTAAAAAAATTGCTCCTTCTCTTTTTCAATCAATCCTCAGGATTAAAGGGAGAATTTATTGATAAAGACAGAGAAGTAATCTCTGATGGAGCGAGATGGTGTATCAGTGTTCTCCATATTCGTTCAATTAATAGACTTCACTGTATGCAAACTCTGATAAGTGGATGAAATGTGTTGTTTCTTAATGATCTAATTTGTATTCCAGCAGGATGTAGGCTCTGCTAGACAAACATTTCGCTTGGCTATTTCCCTCCAAACATTTATGCCTCTTGGTGTGCTAGCCATTTATTTTGACAGTGGGGCTTGATGCACATCTCTACTGTTAATAGCTCTGCAAACATTTTACAACAAAAATACCATACAACTGGAACTAATCTCATTATTTTCCATGTTAATAATTCTTACAGCAACAGAAGATCATTAAAACCCAGAATGGTAATGCACAGATGTTTAATGTAGATGTTCAAGAGCTCCTAGCCAAGTCATTCCTTCACTGCTTTTCACAACAAATATTTACTGAGCAATTACTCTGTTGCAGGCACTGTGTTGTTTGTACATATTTTTAATAAAACAGGTATGATCTCCTTCTTTACGGAGCTGCCATTCTAGTGGGAGAGAGATCACTGAGTTTAACAAACAAGTAAATGACTACTCATAAGTTGGGATAAATTTTACCAGGGCTGTATTTTCCCTCACCATAACCTCCCTTAACATGCCTCCTCTCTCACTATTAAAAGGCGGCTTCTATCATTTGCTTGTATGATATTCCTACCACTTACTTATTTTTCATCTCCAGTTCAAAGATTAACTGTAGAATCTTCACACCGATCTGATGTGTAAGAATCAAGTAATTGGCTCCTAGAATTCCAAATAAATGAAGATAAACATAGCCCATGCTTCAGAGTTGGCACGGGCACTAAACAAAGGCATACCTCATTCACATTTTTGCAGAAGCCCCTTGAATATTTCTATGGCCTCCAGTAGTTGGTCCTCATTCTCCCACTTTCCAGTCTTACCTCATTTGTCCCCCGTACGTGAAGTACAATAGCTCTTTCTGCACCAAACCTCTCACCCCTCTTCTTTTCAAATGAACCTCAGGGTCTCTAACACCAAGCTGTTCCTGTCTGAACAAGCTCTCCTGCCCTCTCTTAATTCTCCTTATACCTTCCTTACCATACCTCCTACTCTAACCACCCAGAGAGAGAATGCTGCCTTCACATTTTAAACTGTGTCATATAATTTATGGTAGTGTTTTCCAACCCCATCAGATGCAATGTTCCATTTTATAACAAATATTATGTAATGCTGCCTTTACTATCCTGAAATGAAATTAACAGATAATATAATTTACCTACAACATTATTTCAAGAAAAAAATCAATATGCTGCCCTAACTGTAATACAAAGGAGAAATAAAAGGGAAGTCATCTGTAATAAAACGATATGTACAGAGAAATGCTATTCTAGAATATAGAATGAATTAAGCAGAAGCTCGCACCTACCTATAATGAATAATTTTGTATTTAAAAGAAGAGGATTATTTTTGAACTTCCATACAAGGCGTACAAGAACATAAAAGAACACAAGTAGAAGCTGACACTAAAATAAAAACTAATAAAACAGACCAGACTTATCTGTATATAGGAAATAGAGGGAAACCACCTTAAATAAAGTACAGAGAAGATGCAGAGACAAATTACAGACTGTCAAAACAGAGATGTGAGAAAATATGATGTTCCTATAAATGACCCAAGACATATCCAAGTCTTAACATTATACCTTGAGTATGGCATGCAACAGGGTAGTGATAAATATCATAGAAAATGTATCTCTCATCTTAAAATCCCACCACCTGCTGAAGTTTCCATTCAGTCTATAGTACTCACAACACTTTGGGGAACATACTCTTTAGTGGGCCATTGCACATAAAACATGAATGGGAATGTGACAAGTACTTCATGTCAAAAATGAGAAATATTTTTAAAACAAGCTTTAATAAGTTTCAATGAGGTCTATTGAGTTTCATGTGTCTCCACTAATTTAATACTGTTTGATTCTAAGTATGTGAATCATAGTTTCCCATCTTGTTTACTACATATTTGTATGTGGCAACTATAAGTGGAGACTGATGGCTCAAAAAAAAGATGTCTTCTTGTTAACTTGGATGGTTCAAATGATGCCCCTGTTGAGGGCATAGTCTACCAAAATGGTGAAAAACACTTGTCATGCTCTGAATAAAACAAAGTACTCTTCATTTACAAAAGAGATGCATTCTAGGAAAATTCAATGTACATTGAAACTATGGAAAACATATCTTGTGTCTATACAAAAAACAGAGTTAGGTTCTAGACATTCATTTGTACATACACAAGTGTCCAGCAGAACCAGGGGCAATTTTTGTTTGGGAATCTTTATTGCATGCTAAAATAACCATGGCTTTCCTGGTTCCCACATATTAAAAGATCATAACACACCCATGATAACTGGGATGACAACAAAAGTTCCGGTAAGCTTTCAATATATTGCTAATGGGCAGTACTTTCCTAGTCAAGACCTTTGTTTTGTGGAGCGTTTCTACAGAGGAGCCAAAATCTCATACTATTCAGTCTTTTCTTTCTCCCCTATAGCTTAGAATCTTCCCAGGTGTCCTTCAAAATGCCTTGCTACCATGTTCTCACAAAATGCAGGTTCTAGGAATTCCAGATCTGGCAGGCTGGAAAATGACCCCTGAAAAACATATCTAACTCCAGGCCAGGTATGTGTCTCATGCCTGTAATCCCAACACTTTCGGAGGCCAACGTGGGAGGATCTCTTGAGCCCAGCAGCTCAAAGCCAACTGGGGCAATACAGTGAGACCTTGTCCATACAAGAAAATTAAAAAAAAAAAAAAAAGAAAAGTCTAACCCCAGAACTCTTTGCAGTTGTAATTAGGTAAAGGATCCTGAGATTAGGAGATGATCCTGAGATATCTGGGTAAGCTCTAAATCCAACGACAAGCATTCTTATAAGAGAAAGGTAGAAAGAGATTTGAGACAAAAAGAAGAAGAGAAGACAGTTTCTGCCTCCGTGGTCACACTGCCACCTCTTCGTTGTGGAGGCAGTGGGAGACCATGGAGGCAGAAACTGGAGTTACATGGCCACAGGCCAAGGATGGCTGGCAGCCACCAGAAGCTAAAAGAGGCAAAGAATAGATTTCCCCTTCAGAGCCCAAGGGAATGTGGCTCTGCAGACACCTTGATTACAAACATCTGGCCTCCAGAACTGTGAGACAATAAATTTCTGTCCTTTTAAGCCACCAAGTCTGTGGTAATTGGTTATAGCAACCAAAGGAAATGAATACAGCAGATGAGTTAGACACTGGCCAGGGTAGAAGAAAGGTTAATATCATGCTTTGTTTATGTGTTTGTTTTGCCCTAAGACTTCTACATTCTCTGAACACGGTTGGAGACTTGGCGGGGGAAATTACAGAATAGAGAAACCTCTGTTCTATTTCAAACGCTCTACTCAGCTTCCCTCCACTCCACTGTCCTTCCCAGGTAATACCTCGCTGATGTGGTTTGGGTCTGTGTCCCTACCCAAATCTCACATTCAATTGTAATCCGCAGTGTTAGAGGGGCTTGGTGGGAGGTGACTGGATCATGGAGGTAGATATCCCCCTTGCTGTTCTTGTGATGGTGAGTGAGTTCTCACACGATCTGGTTATTTAAAGGTGTGTATCACCTCCCCATTCATGCTCTCTTCCTCCTGCTCTGGCCATGTAAGATGTGCCTGCTTCCCCTTCTGCCATGATTGTGAGTTTCCTGAGGCCTCCCTAACCATGCTTCCTGTACATGCCTGTGGAACTGTGAGCCAGTTAAACCTCTTTTCTTTATAAATTACCCAGTCCAAGATATTTCTTCATAGGCATGCAAGAACGAACGAATACATTCACTCAGCCTATGGATCTTAGCTTGAGATTTCCTTCCCCATGGAAACCTTTCCTGTCCCTCTCCAGCTAAGTGAGATTCCACCACATGAGCTGGAATAGAATTGTTTTCCCATTCTGCAGACCACTCACCTCATTTTAAAACTAAACATTGACTACAATGAGTCCTCAGCAAATATTGGTTTACCCCACTAGAATGTAAGCTCCTCTAGATAAAGGGCCCTGGGTATATTTCCTCACCATTGCTTTTCTCTGTGGCCTGGCATGGTACTCACATAAATATTTTATGAATGAATATTTAGATACAGTCATTTACAGATGTTTTGGTTTAAAAAAAGATGCTTGGCCAGGCGCAGTGGCTCCCGCCTGTAATCCCAGCACTTTGGGAGGCCGAGGTGGGCAGACCACGAGGTCAGGAGATCGAGACCATCCTGACTAACACGGTGAAAACCCGTCTCTACCAAAAATACAAAAAATTAGCCGGGCATGGTGGTGGGTGCCTGTAGTCCCAGCTACTCGGGAGGCTGAGGCAGGAGAATGGTGTGAACCTGGGAGGCGGAGCTTGCAGTGAGCCGAGATCCCACCACTGCACTCCAGCCTGGGTGACAAAGTGAGACTCCACCTCAAAGAAAAATAAATAAATAAAGATGCTTGTCAGTCAGCTTTCCAGCAGCAGCAATAAATTTCTTTCCAGGATAAAGCCATGTTTTGATGAGTACATTCTTCTAGATACTGTACTTACAATACCCATTTCAATGGTCTCATCACCCCAACCTCTGACTCAATACTTAGTGTTTGAACATGATCAGTTCATGGCCACCACAGTGGGTTGAATTGTGTCTCCTGTAAAATTCATGTCTACCTAGAAAAAACAAATATGAATTTATTTGGAAATAGGATATTTGTAGGTATAGGCAGTTAAGACAAGGTCATATCGGACCTGAAATCCAATGGCTGAAATTGGGCCTGAAATCCAATTGGGCCTGAAATCCAATGACTGGTGTCCTAATAAGGGGAGGGAGATTTGGATACAGCAGAGGAAGATGGCCTCATAAAAACCAAGGCAGAAGTTGGAGTGATGCAGCTACAAGCTAAGGATTGCCGGTAACACCAGAAGCTAGGAAGGAGCAAAGAAGAATTCTTCCCTAGAGCCTTCTGAAGGAACTCAGCCCTGCCAGCACCTTGATTGAAGCCATCTAGCCTCCAAAACCATGCATAAATATATTTCTGATGTCTTAAGGCAGTAAGTCCTAAGTTAACATTTCAATAGGTTCTTGGAAACTGCAACTTTAAGTGAAACAACATACAGCAAGTCCTAAAATAACATAATTTTTTTTCAACGTCATTTCATTTTAACATTGATGAGGAAAATAACTGGTTTCATTATGCATCGTTTTGCCTAAAGTTGCAGTTCCCAAGAACTTATCTACTGTCCTTCATTACAGTGGCCCTAGAAAAGTAATACAGCCAGTAAACCACTGGTACGTTTTATGGTTTTTTGCCCATGTTTCTTTTATAATGAGTCACCTCACTGAGATTTGCCTTAGTAACACCATTCCTTTCAATCAGTTCCAGCCATTGGCTAATGAGATGGCACAATCAGAATTAGAGGAATATAGGGGTTCAATTGTAGAAAAAGACTGCAAACCAGTATAATCTGAGCAAGGCAGCAGTACTACACAGAACAGCTCAGGTGCCAGGTGGTTTTTTGTTTGCTTTTGCAGTTCCTGCCTCTTTCTAGTTACATGCTGAGCTCTGTGCCTTACCTTCCTCATCTGTAAAATGGAAATAATAATAATCCCTTCCTTGTAGAGTTGTGAAGATTAAATTACATGCTGCATACAAAATGCTTAGCATAGTACCTAGGACAAGGTAATTAAGCAATAAATATTAGCTGTTACTATTGCTAGTAGTGGCAGGGGCAAGGGTCAAAAATAATCATTTCATTCAATTAAAAAACAAAGGCCTAAACCCTAAGTATGTGATGGCTGTGGTAGACACCTGAAAAACTGAATGCTTTTATTCCATGTAGTGAAGATCTTATTTTTCTTGCAGATTATTCTGGAGTTTGACTCTAAGAGTTATCTTTAGATGCAAAAAGTCATTTCATTTTAAAACAGCAGTGCCTGAATACCACTTATGTTGCCTGAATTTGTTCACATTACTATTCACGAAGCTTGACATCCTGCAATGACTTCTGCACAAAACTCAAAGTCAGTAAAACTTTAGGCTACTTACCATCAAGACAGGGAACAAACCCTTCTCTCTGCAAGGTTTTTATAATTAAACATCATGACATCTAATGATGTCTACACAGAACCGCTTCTCACTAGCACAGAAAAGTTATCTCTAATAGAAATGTTCTTTCTAAATGGTAAAGGAGGGAGCATATAAATATCTCTGCAGTGGTGGCTTCTGGTATAGCTGGTCAGAGTGGACAGGACACATACCAATTACTGTTAGGGTTTGCAAAGAAAATAGTTCCCATTCATTTACTATTTGATAGAGGAGAAGGGATCAATGAGCATGAAATATGCCAACTTATAAATTCATATTTCTAAAACCTAAACTAGGCAAGGAGTAATGTTCACAATGTATAACCAGTGAGGATGGTTATGCCTCACTGTACTGCCCAATCAGAAAGAGTGGACACTGGCCTTAGGCCTGGAGCAGTCCTGGAAGGTCCCTACCACTGCAGATGTTTGCCCTTTACTTGCTAGATAGCAGGAGGTCTGAGGCTCTCAGGGAGAGGCAGGGGCTCCAAGTCATACAGGAATGGGTAGGCACTCCAGTTGACTGAAGGACACACAGGGGGTTTCAGGCAATGGCTATTTGCCAAGCAATATGGAAGTATTTTAATATTGTAACTGTGTGGCTCTAAAGGCACCAACTAGTGAACATTGTCGCCGGATAATACCATGAAGAATTAGACTGGCACTGTGAAAGTGAGGTGAATCCTAAGGCAGTCACAAAGCAGAGGACAGCTGAGAGAGATATAGGAGGGAGCCATTGTGGATTGGTGTATGCATGGTGAGTTCTACACAGAATCAGGGAGCCGGAGGGTTTGATCCCTCAAATTCTATTTTAGTATTTGGTATTATTTTCTAATTATATTGCTGCAGTAACAAAATTCCTTTGTTAAATAATTAAAAGACTCCTTTTAAGGCTAAATACCACCTGGCTCCCAAATTTTGGTCTACTCTCCCCGGAAACAACTCCTTATTACAAATTTAGTAGTCTCATTGCAGGTATCTTTCCATGTATACTTATGTGCATTTGGTACTGTTTTGGGTGCTATGTGTTTACATATGTGGTGGGCGGAATTGTCAAATGCTCCCCTAAAATGTCCTCTCTCATCCCTAGAACTGTCAAGATGATGAGATATCACACCCTGATTATGTTATGAGACAAAAGGAATTTTGCAAATTAGTTAAGGTTACTAATAAGTTGACTTTGAGTTAATCAAAAGAGATCATCTAAGTGGACCTAATCTAATCATACATGCCCTTTAAAAGCAGAGTTTTCTCCAGGTGGTAGCAGAAGGGAATTCAGAGAGATTCAAAGCATAAGAATTTGATGCACCATCACTGGCTTTGAAGATGGAACTGACCATGTGCCACGGAATGCAGATGACCCCTAGAAGTTTAGAGTAGCCCCCTCTGAGAGCAAGAAAATGGGGACTTCACTCCTATAACCCCCAAAAACTGAATCCTGCCAACAATATGAATGAGCTTGGAAGCAGATTCTTCTCAGAACCTCCAGATAAGAACCAAGCCTGGCTGGCACCTTGATTTCAGCCTTATGAGACCCTAAGAAGAGAACCCAGGTGAGCCCACTGAGACTTCTGACCTCCACACCTGTGAGATCATAAACAGGTATTGTTTTAAGGTAAATTTGTGGTAAACTGCTACACAGTAACAGAAAATGAATTCCATATATCATCCTACAATTTGTTTTAATTCAATAGTAAGTCTTAGGAATCTATGTGAATTAATTCATTCCTTTGAACTGTTCCATAGTATTCCATAGTATGTGGTAAACCATTTTCAAGGATGGCTGCCAAGAACTGCCCCCATCACTGTGCAAACCAGCTCCTTCTCTTGTTATTTTCCTGCTCTTAGAATTTGGGTCAGGCTCGTGACTGGTTTTCATCAACAAAATCTAGTGGAGGTGACATTCAAGAACTTCTGAACTCAAGTCTTTACAGACCTTGAGGCTTCTGCTTTTGCCCTTTTGAGATTGAAGAAGCATGAATAAAAGCTCAAACTAACCTACTGAATGATGAGACCCCGCATGGCAGGGGTGCAGCCCCCAGCCAAGCTTCAGATAATCTCAGGAGACTCTATGTAGAGGAGAGGAACCACTCAGCTAAGCCGGGCAACCCAGACAACTGTGAGAAAAACTAAATCATTGTTGTCTAAGTCACTGCATTTTGAGATGGTTAGTATAACTCTCTATGTGCTCAATAGAGACATAATAGCACATACATCATGAGTAGATAAATTACGACTATCCCAATTCATCCATTCTCCTATTGATAAACAGTGTTGTGTTTTCCAGTCATTAAACTGGACCATACGAAATTGCCATTTCTATAAGTGAAAACTGGTCTAATATCAGCAATCTTACAAACAAACCACTGTGAGTACTTCTCCCCATGCCTCTTTGTACACACGGTGGACACATGGCCTCAGGGTGAGAACTAGGCAGAAGAATAGGCATCCACAAGGTTGGCACATTTAAAATTTTACCAGATGCTACTAAATTACCCACAGACTGATTCCTATCAGTGTATAATACGGTGTTATATCCCTTGATCTATACATCTCTAGAAACTCCATTATAATAAAAATGGTTATCCAGGCCTCAAAATGCAGCAAACCTAATACGAACCAATCTAAACCTAAAGCAGTGTTGGCAAACCTGATATAAAATTTCTGATAATTAGGCCAGGCACAATGGCTCACACATGTAATCCCAGCACTTTGGGAGGCCAAGGCAGGTGGAACACTTGAGACCAGGAGTTCGAGACCAGCCTAACCAACATGGCAAAACCCCATCTCTAGTAAAAATACAAGAATTAGACAGATGTGGTGGTGCGCCTGTGTCCCAGCTACTTGGGAGGCTGAGGGAAGAGCATTGCTTGAACCCAGGAGGTGGAGGTTGCAGTGAGCCAAGATTGTGGCCCTGGACTCCAGCCTGGTTGACAGAGTGAGACTCTGTCTCAAAAATAAATAAATAAATAAATAAATAAATAAATAAATAAATAAGCAAATAAAATAAAATACAGTACAATTCTTGATAACCCAAACAACATTTTTATTTGACCTTTAAATATTCTGTGGCAGGTAATTATTTTAGGAAAGATAGATATGGCTTCCTATTTGTGGAACAGTTAAATTTATATTAAGTTGAGTTTATCTTCCATGAGTAGGCCTCCCCTAGGTGGTGGAAGTAAAACTGAAATAGGGTATACAGTGGGAGAGTTTTAGCAGCCTAGAAGTTCATACAAGTTCAAAGGTACTAGTCGCTAATGAATGAAGACACTTCACTCCGCAGATAATAGTGTTATCTATCCAGGTGCCAATATTGTGATAACTTGGAGGCTGAACAGTACAATAATATTTAGAACATGCTTATTAAGGGGTGACTTAATAAACTTTTATCTTAAGCAGAGACTCTCTATACAATACTTATGTGAGGTCTATTGTACTTATGTCCCTAATGTAAGTTCTTTTCTTCCTCTGCAGTAATACAAATCTAGCTGGGCACCTGACCACATTGCCCACGACATTTGGAGCGAGGCATAGCCATGCCTAGCTAAGTTTGAACTGACGGAACAAGGTGTGATGTGTCACAACTTCTAGATTTTAGCATGTGACACCCTTGACCCTTCACAATGGCAGGGAGGCAAGGAGGCATGGAGCAGCTGCCTTGGACTCCGAGATGATGGCTATGCACAGAGGGTGGCAGTGTCACCCCATAAGCCCTAGTCATCTACTTCTGGATGCTAAAGTGAGAGACAAATAAACCTCTCTTTTTCAAATCTCTATAGTTTGGAGTTTTGTCATTATGGAAGCTTTACAGGTATCCTGAGTTGGATTTCAGGGTTTCTAGAAATTCACACAACCAACCAGCATCATCTCCATCTCTTTACAGATTCCTGAAGTTATGCCATCGCAATTTAGTTTCTTTGGCTTGTGATTTCCAGCCTCTGATGAAATGCAAGTATCTCAAGAAAGAGTAAAACTGTAAGCTCCTAAGACATTAACTCCTTAATGTTTTCTTGATCGTCAGAACCTTTACTCGGGATTCAATAAGAAAGAAAGGAAAATGCAAGTTCCTTGAGTATTTGGTGGATGGCTCCAACAGTAGGGGAACAGCCTCTTAAAACTAAAGGAGGCTAAAGACACAAAGAATACGGCAATAATCAACACCTGATTCACAGTGTGGCCACATGTGTCTGATCCCACAGAGACTGCAAAATATGAACCCACCTTGCCCTAGCTGACTGGGAGAATGCTACGACATAGAGAGGAAAGAACATATGCTGTGGCTAGCTTCATTTATCTGGGGACTTGTCCTCAGAGCTTGTGTTGTTTGGGATTCCTGATGAGTAATACGTGCATTTTCTACATCTGGGTGAGTCCTGTTACCCAGGAAGGCTGCTGACACTACCTTGACCCAGTGAAAAAGCTCCATGATGGCAGGCACCTGAAAAGTCACTGGCTTTTGGCAATCTTTCTATTATATGATCTCCTCAAAAGTTGCATATGTTTAGAAAACACATCAATTTGTTTTCCTCAAAGCAAATATGCAGAAATAAAATTTTAAGAAAGGCACAAAAGTAAATGAGAGCTATTCCAAAGATGAAACCGAAAGTGCCTTCTGAAATACCAGCATAAATACCTAAAGTAAGAAAATTTCCAACGTAATGTGTTTTTAATCAGACACATCAATCTAAAGTTTCTGCAACATCTGCAAACTTGAATGCTATTGTTAATGTGACCAACGCCTTAAAATAATTGCATTAGGGTTTTTGGCATCACTTTATAATAAGTGGACAGTTAATTGTTGCTAAATTACAGCTGAATCTCTGCAGAATTGGATATTACATCCATATTAGGATCGAATGACTCCATCATGATTAATGATACTGCAGTGAGTACCAAGAGAATTAAAATTATTAGGCACTAATTTTAAAGTGTTGACATTTTTCCACAATTTTAGAGTTATGTTTCAACAAAACTTCCCAATTAAACTTACTGCTCGTGGTTACTGGGTAAAATTCCGAGACAAATATTCCTTCAAAGATCAACTTTATTAGTGAGTAAACATTAAAATTAAAAAAACATTTTGTTGAACTATCCACCTTATGTAACTAATAGCAGATGATGTGTTTTACACTCTAGTTATATTTAAATAATACAGCCATGTAATTAAAGATAGTTGGCCATAATTAAAATATTCATAACAATTTCCTTTCAAAACATTATGTGCAATTCAGACTGCATATTTGTAGTAAGCTAGAAAAAAGAAACACATTATTAGTTTTAGAGAAGTACATGCTTAATTATCAAGGGAGTTTCTGCAGATTTTAAAGAAATTACCAAGAGCACAAGCATAAATTGGTGTTTAATTGTTTCTGGAAGATGCTTAGGTTATAAAATATTTCAAAATATTTCCTAGGAGACAACTTGGTAACAATTCATCAGACACAGACTTGGCAGTGTCACAGAAAAGTAATCATGTACCTAAAAATGGGCATTAAACAGACATTCATGGAAAATGACTTATCTTTTACCCACTGTTTTAGTATTACTGAATATTAGTTTCTAAGTACCGTATTGGGCAAGTTACTGTGGTTCTTTGAACTAGCTATTCTAAGTCCCAAGAGTAATTTTGCAAATGAATGAAAAATGTAAATAATTTAAGACAGTAAGAATATATAGAAAAAAAAGCTCTGAGCTCATAATACTAAAACAGTAACAAGTTCAAATTTTGTATTCATCTCTGATTTACCCAGTGGTCTCCACGGAATTTGTTTTCTGCACCTGAATTTGATTATTTTTTTTCCAGGGTAGTTTCCCAGGTCAAAATAATGTAAGGAAGATAAATGAGATAATACTGAGAAAACATTTTAACTATTCAAAATAAAGCTAATTTATTTCCTCCTGTGTTTATCACTGTGCTTCAAAACCCTGTCCTGATATTCTCAGAAACTCAGGTATAAAATGAAGAGATATTTAAGTACATATTGGGGTCACTGCCACTAACTAGCTGTTGATCTCTGCTAAATTTGCCCCATGTAGCTTCTAAAAACACAGGTGATTTCTCAAACATCTTTGTTTTTGTGGCCCCTAAAATGCCTACCAAATGATCAGATAGATAGTACTATATTCTCAAAAAAACCCTTTTCAGGCTTCCAGAATTCTGGTAGTCTTCATCCCACACTCCCCTATTGAAAAATCACAACTTTTTTCCTTAACCATCCCTTTTTATTGTTACCCCATCCTCTTTTCTTATTTAATTCACTAGAATAGGGGTTGGCCAAGTATGGCCTGCAAGCCAAATATATACTGCTGTCTGCTTTTGCACATAAAGTTAAGCTGAAATGCAGCTCTTCTTTTACCTATTGTCTATGGCTACTTTTGCGCTACAAAGTCAGAATGTCTGTGACAATGATCTACGGCCCACTAGCTTAGACCACTCACACTGGCTTTTTACAGGAGTCTGTGGACGCTGGTATTGAATATGCGTTCTCAGTGTTTCTGTGCTGAGGATCTCCTCCTACCTCTCTAAAGTGCAGTTGAAAATGTCTAAGACAAAAGTTAACAGGGTAGATGAGGAATTACTCTTTGTGAACCATGGGGATACGTCAATAACTTCCTTCAAATAATCTACAAGCATTTCAAGTACACCGAATCTCCCAAAAGGGAGTCCGTAGAAAAGGTAAGCTATGGTCAACCACTTGATCTGACAGCTGGAGTGGATCCCACTTTAATTAATCATGTTAGCTACTGATTATTAATCACCTGATAATTATATTTTATCCATCCTATTACTCTAAGTTCTTTTGCTACTCTGCATCAAATATTTTATGTACATTATTTTACTTGGTCCAAGCAATAATCATATGTAGTTGGGCCATTTTACAGATAATGAAACAGAAATTTAGAAGGACTTTGTTCAAGGATGGACAACTAGCAAAAAGCAGAACTGGGACTGAGCCCCGGACTCCAGAGTCCAGACGTGGTAGGGTAATGTCACCTAGGTCTTTTCCATTGCCTCTCACCACACTATGGGCACTCAAATCAAAAAAGTAAAAATTGGGTTGTAGCAACAGCGTAAGAAATCCTTTTTGGTTATAACAAACTTGGAAGAAGTATCTCATTTAAACTCCATATAAATTACATTCTCAAATGTAATTTATCTTTTGATCAAATTAGGAGTAATACTTTTCATTTAAGCAGTTTAAATGCACTCTCTTCTGTGGCTTGGAAAAAAAAAACTTTTGTCTCAAAATATTTCCTTACAATGGTTTTCCCAGTACAGATGTGAGATTATAGTTACCTTTTTAAAATATTTTGTTGACGTTTGTATTCTTAAAATATTTTTACTATATGCAGAAGCTCTTTAGTTTAATTAGATCCCATTTGTCAATTTTGGCTTTTGTTGCCATTGCTTTTGGTGTTTTGGACATGAAGTCCTTGCCCACACCTATGTCCTGAATGGTAATGCCTAGGTTTTCTTCTAGGGTTTTTATGGTTTTAGGTCTAACGTTTAAACCTTTAATCCATCTTGAATTGATTTTTGTATAAGGTGTAAGGAAGGGATCCAGTTTCAGCTTTCTACATATGGCTAGCCAGTTTTCCCAGCACCATTTATTAAATAGGGAATCCTTTCCCCATTGCTTGTTTTTCTCAGGTTTGTCAAAGATCAGATAGTTGTAGATATGTGGCGTTATTTCTGAGGGCTCTGTTCTGTTCCATTGATCTATATCTCTGTTTTGGTACCAGTACCATGCTGTTTTGGTTACTGTAGCCTTGTAGTATAGTTTGAAGTCAGGTAGTGCGATGCCTCCAGCTTTGTTCTTTTGGCTTAGGATTGACTTGGCGATGCGGGCTCTTTTTTGGTTCCATATGAACTTTAAAGTAGTTTTTTCCAATTCTGTGAAGAAAGTCATTGGTAGCTTGATGGGGATGGCATTGAATCTGTAAATTACCTTGGGCAGTATGGCCATTTTCACGATATTGATTCTTCCTACCCATGAGCATGGAATGTTCTTCCATTTGTTTGTATCCTCTTTTATTTCCTTGAGCAGTGGTTTGTAGTTCTCCTTGAAGAGGTCCTTCACATCCCTTGTAAGTTGGAATGTTATAAAGAAACAGTGATTTACAAACATAAAATCATTATTTTCAATTCAATTCAAAAAATACAAAAAACAAATTCTGAGGCAGGTAGAAAGGCAGGCTCTTGATATCAAAGTAAGTTTCTGGATGTAATTGAAAGACTGTTCCACCAAGTGTTCACATTCAGATAGTGGTGTATGTTGAGCTAAGTGGGAAAGGCTGTTAAGAAGTAAACATGTCTGACAGGGTGCGCAATTGCAGAATGTGATGAACCTGACTCCGTCATGTAGCATGCAAATCAGTCACTAACATCCTCGACAATACATAAGCCAGGCTCAGCAGAGCACTCCCAGATTGTGAAAATTTGGGAGAAAAAAGGAGTCTCTGGGGAAAAAAAATAAAAGACTGGAAAAGTGATTTTCAAAACTGTGTAAAAACTAAGCACATAATGCAATGATTATAGGAGAAAGCATGAGGTCACTAAGAATGAATTGTAATACACTGATTTTTTCTTTTTTTCTTTGTTTTTTTTGTTTGTTTGCTTGGTTTTTGAAACGGAGTCTCCCTCTGTCACCCAGGCTGGAGTGCAGTGGCACGATCTCGGCTCTCTGCAACCTCTGCCTCCCGGGTTCAAGTGATTCTCCTGCCTCAGCCTCCCGAGTAGCCGGGACTATAGGCACGTGCCACCAAGCCTGGCTAATTTTTTTGTATTTTTAGTAGAGACGGGGTTTCACCATGTTAGCCAGGATGGTCTCGATCTCCTGACCTCGTGATCCACCTGACTCAGCCTCCCCAAGTGCTGGGATTACAGGCATGAGCCATCACGCCTGGCCTTTCTTTCTTTCAATACACTCTTTAGCCCAAGGAAATGACATAGGTCAAAGCATCAGGGAAGGAAAAAGGGAAGAAAAAAACCGTTTTGTTAATTAGCTTCCTGAAAATATTTTGTAAACTGCTATTTGTCCAAGATCATTCCGCTCTCTCTTAAGGATCTTTATTCCAAAGTCCAGGTGCTTTGCTACATCTCCCTCCACTACTTTATTTACATCTCTGTTACCTCCATGATCATGCCTTTGGCTCTGGCATTGCTAACTGGATCATTCTTAACTGACAGGTTAGACAAGCATGTAAACACACACACACACACACACACACACACACACACACACACACACACTGTACATAAACACAATGGCTGCATGGGTTCTGTACACTAACAATAACAAGGCTCTGAAGTGGTATGAGTTCAAGACTGAGCTCCCAGAGAGCTGGATTCAAGTCCCGTGAATGCAAGAGGAGACTTTCGAAATGCCACCTTCCCTCTTTGAGCCTCAACCTCCCCATCTGAAAAATGATGAGTTTGAATCCAAGGATATTCCTTTCAGCTGTAATATTTTATCACCTAGCATATCTTCTACTTCACTCTATTTCTAGAGTGCTAAAAACTCATTTCTTTTCATTTTTCCCAGTGAGAAAGATGGATAGCTTTCCCTTAGCAATCTCATTACATATTTTTACATATTTGTTGGTTATTATGTTTTCCTTCCATCACTTTTCTACATGAATGAATGGTATAAGTTATCTTCATCTTCAAAAGTTCTACTATTCTATGTTTGACTATTTTTCTTTACAGTTACTTTTTGAATACTATTTCCTAAAAGCTGTGTAGGGCAGTGGTTAAGAATGAAGGCTCTGAACATAGACTGCCTGGGATTGAAGCCACTTGCTCAAGGTAAAATTTCAGACAGGTTATCAATATGGTTAAATATTCTTATTTTTGAAATGAATATTATAATTGTGCCAAACTCTCCAACCCCTGAGAATTAAAAGAGAGAAAGCATTTTGAGTGCACACTGGATGCTGGGCCCATAACTGGCATTATTTATATGGAAGCTGTTGGCTGGGCTTGATTGCTTATACCTGTAACCTTAGCACTTTGGGAGGCCACAGTGAGAGAACCACTTGAGGCCAGGAGATCCAAACCAGCCTGGTGAAGACAGCAAGACCCTGTCTCTACAAAGTTAAAAAATTGACTGGGCGTGGTACTCCAGCTACTTGGGAGGCTGAGGTAGGGGGATCTCGCTTGAGCCCAGGAGTTCGAGGCTGCGGTGAACTATGATTACACTGCTGCACTCCAGCCTTGGCATCAGAGAGAGGTGCTGTCTCAGTCAGTCAATCAATCAATGAAAGCTGTTATTATTTTGGGTGGTGATGCTGGTTTTGGCTCTTCCTCATCCCCACAAAGTCCGAGAGAACTAGTGCTTTAAATGTAATTTAACCAAATGAGCACTAAAAAGGCAAATGAGAAATAACTCTATCTTCTTAGGTAATCATGGTACCTTCTTTTCAACAATAAACTGAGGTGACTTTTTTTTTTATCATGTCCTACACTCTTATCTTCAACTCACTGTGCCCTTAAAGAGTCTTTCCATATTTCTGGCCCAGAGCTGCCCCTCCCAAGTGGGGAGAAGGTTCTTACCTTCTTGACCTGAAACAAAATCATTACAGAATGGGGAAAACTATAGATCTAAAAAAAAAAAGTATAAGGAGTGATTTCTTACCAAATAACAGAGAAATCAGCCAGCTCCAGCAGCACCCCAAGTTGGACACAGAGCACAGCGTCAAAGAGATGTGGCTACAAATCAACCAGAACTGCTACCTGCTGAACACCTAATTTTTGCCAAATGTTTAATTGTACATCCTGGACTATGTCCTCCATCAGTGAACAGAAAACCGGAGATGTTATTGGTGAGACCAGAATTTCACTGTTTGATAAAGGAACTCAGTTTCTACATTTGGAGTTGGTTACCTCATCCTGAGCAACCAAATTCCTTAATGAAGCCAGTCTGAAGTGTGGACTTCAGAATCTTGACTGTGCAAACTGTACATGGAAATGACATTGGCATCAGTAGTCTGCAAAAGGCAGCAGTGTGAATTGCCATGTTTTTCATTTATATCTCATGTTTTCTTTTTCTTCCTTAATTCCCTTCAGGGCATGAGCCCATGATCCATTACATTACTGTTCCAACTTCCCCTTTGCCATGGCCTTTTATATGTTTTACCTACTTATGCAATAACAAAGGTATCCTTATTCATCCACACATATAATTCCTAAACACTCAAAGATCATTTCACTCACTCTGGTGCTCCTTCAGCTGTTTCCTTTAGGACTTTTAAGTGAATTTCACTGGACCTCAATGATTTCGACACATTCAATTATTGAAGTGTGCCTTAACCTGCTTCTTCCAGATGTGAACTCACTCACTTGTTCATTAACTGTTACTGTATTACCATCCTTTTGCTATTAACCTTCCTTGTGAAGGCTGAAGCAAAGGAGCTATTAAGGATTTTACAGCCTTCCTGCCATGCGCCTGCTCACACTCTCTCCCGCTAATAAGTAGCAGGCCTCCTCCTTTGGGGTAATTCTCTTCTGTCTTGACAACATATGCAACTACTCTGTTTCACCTCATTTTCTAGGAAATGCATCCTTTTGTATCTTTTACTTCATGCCTTTAGTCCTTCATATTTTTATTGTATCTTTAGACAAACTTCTTATCAATTACACCTAAAATATACTTATTTCCTCATTAAAAATTGTTCATGAAAAAATGTATCCTCATAGGAGTTATTCTTTGTTTTTAACATTCAACCACTGAACACAGATGCTTAGAATTATTTCATCCTTGATTTGCTAAGGGACATTACTTTTTTGTTTACTTGATGGTTTAGAAAGACAATAAATACATGGACATAACTACTGTCTTTCTCCTCTGGTTTTAGTTTGGGAAATTCTAATTGTTCTCATCTATAAGAGAATAAAATACTAATTTGCACTCAAATCTATCCAATTGACTTTCTCACTCTACATGGGAGAATTTCCTCTCTCTACTCTTTTGAACTCTTTATTTCCTTCCCTCTATTCCCTTGCCTCTCAAAACTGGCCTTCGTCTGTTTTTGCCATTTTACTTGCATTGGTAGGTTCTCCATTCAAACAACCCAGCCAGACACAGCCCATCCACTGGGCATTCCACCACACTAAACAGTGGGATGACAGAATCTAAGAGGACCAGCTGGTTTCAATGATTGAATTCAGTGAGTGCCGAGTGGTGTTCAACATATGCCCTGATAGGCAAGGAGCAAATGGGCAGAGGGTCTGAAGGAAGCATTTAAATAGCATCTCTTAAAAAAATGTTGCTGTTGCTCAGTTTAAACTATCTGCTTATATATTCTGGGATTAAGAGTTTTTAGTGATTTTTTCTCCCTCTTCCTAACATGTTTATATTGCGCTTTCACAGGCATAGAAATAAAACATAAAGCCTACTCACTGAAGCCAAAATATTACCATATGTGCTCTTCTCACCGACCCATCCTCCTTCTACCTAAACCCGTCCCTCCTTTGGAAGCTCTCTTCTCCTTTTATTAAAAAAGGAAAACTTCTGGGAGGTCGAGGTGGGTGGATCATGAGGTCAGGAGATGGAGACCATCCTGGCTAAAATGGTGAAACCCCATCTCTACTAAAAATACAAAAAATTAGCCAGGAGTGGTGGCAGGCGCCTGTAGTCCCAGCTACTCGGGAGGCTGAGGAAGGACAATGGTGTGAATGCAGGAGGTGGAGCTTGCAGTGAGCCGAGATGCCACCATTGCACTCCAGCCTGGGCAACAGAGCCAGACTCCGTCTCAAAAAAAAAAAAAAAAAAAGGAAAACTACAGGAAGCTGATTGTATTAGAGAAGAAGAGCATTAAGTGTGGGCTATGCCAGGGGATACGTTTTAGTGGGAATGGAGAAAGGATCATCCTACTACACCCTTTAGTAGGCAACAGGACCAGAAGCACCTGCTCAGTGGGCAATTATTTGGGGTGTATTTATAAGGCATCAGCCCAAATGCTAGTTCTTCCACTCTCCAGAGGAGAGATAAATGCTTCTCATTCATGCAGATCCCGAGTAAAGGTCACCCTGTTTCTGAAAACATGTGAAGAGTGATATTTGAGTTAAGTCATTTCTAAGTAATGACTTTCTTCTTCTTCTTGAATGCTATTGGGAAGTGGTGAGGCAGAACTTGTGTGACTGTAAAAACAGCAGTTTTTAAAAATATGGTTAGACTAGACTATTGGAAGAGGGAACAGAGTTGTGGAAACAGCTGCTTTGGAAGTTTGAAAAATTTTATTGACTCATAAAATGTTATAGCGAGAAGTTTATTTTAGAAATGAGGAAACCAAGACCCTAAAGCATTAGAGAAATTATTCAAGGTCATTAAGCTCCTTATTTATCAGGCAGAATCAGAATCAAAAGTGAATGGCTGGCAAAAACCAATCTTGTGGGTTTTCCAATGTATGACAACGTCTCCCTTCTTTTCTAACGTGAATCTTTTCCATAACTTATCCTTACATGGGAGCAATTTTTAGCCTGCTCCACTGATGCCTGCCTCTAAAATAGTGTAGAGTTGTAAAAAAAAGTCATTTTTACATCATCAAAACTTCTGAAACACTGAGTCAGAAGGGATCATCTAAACGCTCTTCTGCCTGCAGGTGAAGC
The DNA here is from genome assembly GCF_000001405.40 of Homo sapiens. Classification (NCBI taxonomy): domain Eukaryota; kingdom Metazoa; phylum Chordata; class Mammalia; order Primates; family Hominidae; genus Homo; species Homo sapiens. Next base: position 133,107,147 of record NC_000002.12, read on the forward strand.
TGGAGCAAACTCTTCACACTAGACCCTGCAAAGTCCCTCAGGGTAGAAGGGACCACGGCCAGCGCCCACTACCTCCTTGTCATCATCTAATCTTCATAACCTAAAAAGCCACCAATGGGCTCCAACAGGGTCTGTGGGTCATGACTGTGGCTGCATGTCGAGTCATGGTCTCTGCACTCACAAATTTTGTTTTGCATAAAAGCTGTATTACTGTAAAGTTGTAAGACTTAGTAAAATTCACATTTTGGACATTTTAATTCGAGCTCAAAAGCAGCAGAGATCCCTATTTAAAGGAGACTTGCAATAAAACTACACAAAATGTAAATACATGTGTTAATTTAACGTTAGTAAATCCATATGTTCTTTTGCTGAATTATCATATTTAGAACTTTGTAAAATAGCAGTCCATCTGCATGGAGTGAAGAAAATGCCCTTGAATAACCTGATCAGCCATGCTAGCCAGCCCATGACAAGCACCTCCAGGCAGACACTTACTGAGAGCCACTATGAGGCGGGTGCTGTGCCATGTTCCCTAGATACAGATATAAATATATAGTGCCTTGGACTTGGGAAGCTCAAATCTGGTAGGGGAAAATAGACTTTTAAAAAATAAGTTAGGGCGTCATCTAAATGGTTTTGTTGGGAATCATTTCACCATCGTCTTATTTCTGCCCATCATGAAGGCATATTCCTCTAAGGTAGGAAATAACCTTTAAACATTATCTAGTCCATCTCACTGACCCTAGGCAATAATAAGATTTAACCACTCTTGTCATTTGAAAAACTGAGCCTCTTCCAATAGTCTCTAATATTTAACCATCTTTACTGTTAAGATATAGTTGTATTACTTACAGCCTAAATCCCTCATGCTATTTTTCAAGTTCCCTTCCCTTCTCTTATTGACTCTTTGGAGATGATGATAAGCATTTAATAACTCTGCTAATTTAACTTGAAGATCATCTTAGTTTGCTGTTTTCTGTGATCCAGAGTTCTGATTTATAATTAACTAGGCAGTGTGCATAATTCTCTTCTGTGTCTGCCCTAATCAGAGAAGCCTGAATATTGTGCACAGCAGGCATTCAGAAATACCTGTCAAGACAACAGGCATTCCAGATAAGGACGGATAAGCACTGAATAAGAGAGAAATGCTAGAGGACAGTATCCCCGATGCACATACCAGCATCCCAGGATAGCACCTCTCTTTTTAATAACAGTCTTCCACGGAGTCCCTTGAGAGACTAAGAACCATGCTCCTACATCTCCTTAACTCTTTCCCTTCATCAAACGCAGTCACTCGCACACTACAAGTCTTCAATCAAGTTGAATGAATAAATGAATGAATGAAAACAGAATTTCAACTTTCACTATTATAATGAACCCTGTTAGCCTTTCCTTACATAAAAATTCATTTAACATTCAAGGGACATTATGTCCTTGCCAATACTTTTAAAAACCTTAACTACAGTCACCATGCTATATAATGGCTCTCCAGAACGTATTCATCCTTCATGAGTGAAACTTCGTACCCTTTGACAAACAGCTCTCCCTTTCTCTCACTCTCCAATCCCTGGCAACCACCATTCTACTCTGTGCTTCTATGAGTTCAACTATTTAAGACATAAAAGTAAGGTTATACAGTATATGTCTTTCTGTGTCTGGATTATTTCACTTAGCATAGAGTCCTCTAGCCTCATCCATGTTGTCACAAGTGGGAGGATTTCCTTCTTTTTTAATGATAATATTCCATTGTGTCTGTGTGTATACACATATTTTCTCTACCCATTCTTACACTGTTGGAAATTTAGGTTGTTTCCATATCACAGTTATTGTGAATAAAGGGCCTATAATATTTATATGCTCTATACTCTTTCTCCTTCTTCCACATCTTGTTAAGGACTAACCATTCCCTCTCGGGCTAATTTGTAAAAGAAGCAATTCCACCAAGCCCTTCTTAAAATTATATAAAAACTTCCCAGCCTGTACGATGAGGCCTCAAATTATACAACAATATAAGCTTCCTGAGCATCTTGGGATAAACGTGCTTTATAGAATTAAGATACCACTTACTTGATTGTAATATATCTTAGGGCTACATAGTCAAACCTTTGAACTCACATCAGGTGATGCGTGCTGCAGAATATAGAAACAAGATTCTACAAAGCAGTCTGGAAATAACATGTACTACTGAAAAACAAAAATACTGTAAATTAGTATAATAAATCAAGGAATCAGCAACTCTCTACCACTAACTAAATCAGTAATGCTTTCTTCAAGAGAGTTATGAGAATTATATTTCCCATGTGGCTTGCAAATGTAAAGAGATCTATTAAGACTGTCTGATAGTTACTGCCGAAGGATATATAGGAAGTAGAATACTAGGAAGTATTATATTCATGACATTGCTCTATTTTATTTATAATTTTTATAAGAGCTTAAAAATCTAGGTTTCATTTAAGCATTACTTGTGTGATACAAAAAATATAGTAATTTAGAGTTTGATATTTTTTGAAAGGCTTTTTCAAATAAACCATTCTTTTGAATTCAAATGATTAAGAGGATTAAAAGTATCAAGAATTTATTTCATTAGGCATTTCCCAATGGGATCAAGTTTTTCTGAAAAAAAAAAAACTTACGTAAAACCAAGTATTAAAACATTTCCACTCAAATACATTAGGGAAAGTCCCAAAATGAAGCACAGAAAAAATAATGGCAACATAAATTCAATTATTGTACCAAGTAATCGCAGAAACATGCAGAAACATGGGCATTCAAGTAAATAAATTATTCTGATTTTGCTCCTAGCTGACACAAATTACTCATTTCCTTGGACTTGATACAAGAAGGCTTCAGAGAAAAAGAAGAAATGCAATCAAAGAGCAAAGCACATTACTCATCATCTGCCAGCCTTGCAGCAACAGAGGTTTCCTACAGTCCCTCCCTGCCACAGCCTTGCAGGATATGTCTATAAGCCAGTCTAATACATGCTTAAATGTTCTCATTTACAGACTCGATTTCCTTTTGCGGGTTCCTGCAAAAGTTCTCAATGGTGGTATTGCAACTTGCATCCAATAGCAAAGTGCCTGTAGTTATTTGTTACTAATAAAGTCCTGAAGTTTTCAAATGACTTGCTTTAAAGAACTGATCCTGGATTATTTCTAAAATCAGCAAGGGCAATAAAGTATTTACAACTAGTAGGGCCTGGCATCAACTAATCAGAAAGGACACTGGCCTGAGAAGATGCTGCTGTCTCAGGTACTAGATGGTGGCGAGGTTCACGGTATCACAGAAGGAATTTGTTAGTGCAGGGGACACTGGGGAGGAGGGAGAGTCAGGACATTCTAAGCTTTCATCAACCAGGAGGGAAGTATTTCGGCATTTTAAAAACCTAGTGCATCTGTCTGTTAGGGCGAGAAAAAGCAGAATATCATTCCAGATAAATTATTTTAGCTTCACTCACATGCATCCTGGTGTGCTTTCTTGAGTGGAAGAAAGTAGATGAAGTAACATGCTGGAAATCACACATAACCTATGGCTTTCCTCATTTGTGAACCCAAGGAAGCGTGCCACATATAGAAATACAAAGTCAGAGTTACAACTTTGCCCCCGTATTCTCACACGCTGTGTTAGTTAAGGCTGCCATAACAAAATACCACAGACTGGGGGGCTTCAACAACACAAGTTTATTTTTTCACAGTTCTAGAGGCTGGATGCCCAAGAGCAAGGTGCCGTCGTTGCTGGGATCTGGGGAAGCCTCTCTTCCCGGCTTACAGATGGTAAATTTCTCCCTGGGTCCTCACATGGCCTCTCATCTGCATGGCCACAGAGAAATAGTGTTCTGGTGTCTCTACCTCTTGTTACAAAGGCACCATCAGTCTTATCCGATTAAGGTCCCATCTATAGGTCCTCCTTTAACCTTAATTACCTCCCTAAAGGGTGCATCTCCAAATACAGTCACATCAGGGGTTAGGGGTCGAAAATTCGAATTTTGGAGGTACACAATTCCATCCATAACACACACCACGTAAGAGGAAAGAGAGAAGCCTTCTCCCACACATTTTCTGCTTTGACCAATTTAAGTGAAGGTGAATTTGTGATTATTACTGTAGACAAAGAACCCTCTAAAAGCAGATTGTTGCTGTAGACCTGCCATATACCCATCTCAAAAAGGACCTCACCAAACCCCAGGCCACCTTGGCTAAAACCACACCTAATTACTATAACTGTGCATCTCAATGATCAGCCAACAAGCACTACTGACTACCAACTATATTCCCAGAACCAATGGAGAGATACAAGAAGATTCACATCATTTGGGGTGAATGAGAGTATGCCTGTGAATTACCAGTGAACAAGATCAACTCATTTACATGTAATCAGTGGGGATCAGAGCCTTCCTGATGGTCATGTAGAATGTGCACAGGTAGAACCTCACTCTACAAACACACCCATGACCATCACCTCTCTCATAGCCCTCTGCCATGATTCTCATGGCAACAAGAACATTCTCTGTCATAGCGGCATAACCCTAAGCAGACTGGGCCCGGGTACCTTTTGGTGTAGGCAACATCCAGATAGCTGTTTCTTTCTCACTGTAATCATTTCCAATTTCATTCAAGAGCCTCATTCACACTGGGCTGTGATGAACATTTGGCTAACAGATTGCTTAAGTGAAAAACACAAGAGAGTGACCACAGAGTAAAAGATAAATTAGTGGAAAAAAATCACTTGAAACTTTCACTCTAGGAAGAAAGGGACATAGCACAGGATGAGTAATAGAATCTCCCCCAGCCCACAGCCACTGCCAATAGATACTAAGATTCCAGGTAAATTAAAAGAATACATGAGAGGTCACTGAAACAGAAATCCAGCTGGGAGACAGAAATGCAAAATTCTCTGTAGAAGAAAATGGGTAGACCAAGGGCAGTGCAACATATAGAAAAAACATGAAACTTTACAATTGGAAAAATACACATCAGAAGTTCTTACTGGTCTTATGACCTTAGCCCTCTGAGTCACAGTTTATTCATCTTTAAAATAGGTATGCTAGGTATGGCGTGGTGGCTCACACCTGTAATCCCAGCACTTTGGGAGGCTGAGGCAGGTGGATCACGAGGTCAGGAGATCGAGACCATCCTGGCTAACACGGTGAAACCCCGTCTCTACTAAAAATACGAAAAATTAGCCGGGTACGGCAGCATGTGCCTGTAGTCCTGGCTACTCGGGAGGCTGAGGCGGAAGAATAGCGTGAACCCGGGAGGCGGAGCTTGCAGTGAGCCAAGATCGCACCACTGCACTCCAGCCTGGGCAACAGAGTAAGACTCCGTCTTAAAAAAAAAAAAAGTATGCTGTTCACTGGTTAACTACAAGGACTACATGACAATACAGAGGCCTGCAATCACACACACCCTCCAATGTCTCTGGAACATAACAAAAACCACTATAAATATCTGTTAACAGTATAATTAGGAGCTACACTTCCAATGTTAACTTGCAGCTGAAACCATCAACTATCATTCACAAGAATGGCAATGCCATCTGCAGTAAGACTCAGAAGTATTGGAAACCCTTCCAAGCCTTTATGTAGACAGATGAGGAGCAGCCATTTGGTTTAATATACAATTATTGTCAGAACTACCCTATAATTTGCCTCCTACAAATATCCAAATGCCACTAAATGGGGCACAAGGTCACCGTGGTGGAGCAGACTGTCTCATAGCTGACTGTTTTATTTCTATTAGAGATGACCCAGGGCCAGATGTGTGCATGGAATCTTCTGCTGGCCTTACACTTTTAGCAAATGGATACGATGAAACGTGTCCCCAGATAACAGGCCATAGGGCAGCCAGGGCAGTTCTCCTTGCTGAATTCTGCTTCCAGCTGCTCCATGGGATGAAACTTTGTGTTCTAGGGAAGTTTTCTGTCAACTTGTCAAAACAGTCGCTCCGGCCACTCACACTTACATTTATGTTATAGGGCCCAAGTGTTTGGACAGTGACCCTACCTTGGGTGGTGCTCAGAATCCTCTCTTCCCCTAAGGATAGTTTACACAATTGGAGTTTTTTTTTTTTTTTCTTGAATATGTTTCAAGCTGGTGTTAATTCTACAAAACAGATGGGCAGCTAAATCTTTTGAAGTTGCTAAATATATTTTGAGAGCATATAATTTTTATACAACTAACGTTCAGTTTATATTTCTATCAGCTAAACTGTTATTAATATTTGCAAAAGCCAAATGTCAAAAGCATTTAAAAATGTCAAACCATGTGAACACGATTAGGGAAGGGTTTCTTGTAAGAATTGGAAAATTTCACCTAACGGTATTGTCTCTCTTATACCCAGGCACAAAATGCCAAGCTCCAGGTCCTGAGCTTCAGGGGGCTTCACTCCGAGCCTCCTCTAGCCATCCCCTTCCACCAGGTGTGGGTTTCCCTGCATCATGGGGTTATGCCCATGCAGAGTCTGTGCCTCCCCTCTGCCTCATGATGTTCAGGGTATGCTGAACCAGGAATTTGTTTCCAAATGGGCCCAAGCCTGCTTCCAGGACCTGCTGGGTATGTGTGCGCACCCAAGATCCAAAAAGTAGCCAAATGCTGGCAGCAGGCATGGGATGTGGACAGAGTATAGACATGACAGCTAGGGTGTACACACATGTGCACCCCAGGCCCTTAGTGGTAATGGGAACATGGAGCTGGGGGTGAGAGAAGAAAGGGAGCCAACCAAACCACTGGGCTGCAAGCTGGGTGTTAGGAATTGGCTGCCCCTGTACCAAATGGGCCAAAATGGAACTCCAAGGACTATGAGAATGCCATGCTTGATTCGGCCTTCCAGGTCATGATGAAGATACATTCATCAAGGAGAACACATTTTACATGGCATTTTATTTTGCTGACTTGGTTTATAACTTGTATATATTTAGACCCGTAGAATGTGGGCTGCCATTTATATACTCTTGTTCTAGGCCTTGTAAATATTAGGAGTAGGACTGCATCAGAGTTAGGTTTAGAAAATTATAGACTTGCAAATAAGAGTAATTGTATTAAGTTCTGTTAATTTCTTCAGCAAAACTAAGATTGCAACTAATAATCTATAAGAAAGCAGCATGTCTTGGAGGTATTCTCTTCTTTTATTTTCATAAAACATTACAAACATCTGCAAAAGTAAAGGTTCCAGTATAAGAAATGCTCACATGCTTGATTATAACCAACTCAAAGCCAATTGAGTTTCAACATTAACTCCTGATCCTCCCTCCAAATTATTTAAATTACATCACACAAGCATATCTTTTCAGCCATATTTATGTCAGTATGGATAGGTATGTCTTTTAAATATGTCTTTTAAAAAACATAGCCATATGTTATCACACCTAAAAACATGAACTATATCAAATATTCAGGGAGTAGACAAATATTCCAACCATATCTTCAGATTGTCTCATTTGTTTTCTTTTTTGCAGTATTTTCAAATCAGGATCCAAATAGGGTTCACCCAATGTCTCACGACACTATTCTTGATCTATAGGTTTTCTCCCCACCTCTTTTTTCCTTCCTTGTACTTTATTTGTTGAAAAAAACAGGTCATTTGTTCCGTAGAATTTCCCATAGTTTGGATTTTGCAGAACCTAGTCTTATAGTGTTTCCTATAAGTTGTTCATTGTATCTACAGGCTTGATGAGATTCAAGGTTCATTTTTTTGGCAAAGTTGCTTCATAGATAGTTTTGGGTATTTCCATCAAGAGACACAAGATGTATAAATGTCTCTCTCTGGTATGTTAGCACTATTTCTGATGCACTATTTCATTAAAAATTGCAAAATAGCTTCTAATTATATTCTTCTTTCTCCATTTATTAGCTAAAATTTCTTACAAAGGGAAACTTCTCTCCACTGAGGATGATTTAGTTACAGGTCTTAAAGACAGAATGCTTCTTTCTCATTGCTTATCAATTTTGAAAATAAAAAGTTGGTTTCCTAGAATCCCCTAAAGGTTTTCCTGGGGTTGTTTTGTATTATTATAAGTGAAAGGATTTAAACAAAAGCTGACATGCTTTAATACACTGCAGTTAGTATTCTTATTGATGTATGAATTGAGCTGTTTTTGATTGGTGGAAGACTTTTCAAATTGGATCCTGGACATTTTAACAACAGCCTCAGACTGCTATGACAAAAACAATACTACCTCTAAAAATATGACCACTAAAAGCAACGATATTTTGTGGATTTCTTTTTGTCATGAATATGGATCCCACTACAAGTGTACAAGCATCTGTTTTCAAGTCACTTCAAATGATTGTTCACTCTGTAGATTTGCCATCAATCACAATTGCAGTTAGATTTACTGGTTTTGCTTTCAATCTGGGGGAATTTTAAAATTAGATGTTATGTTACAATTTTATTAAACATGTAAGTATTTATAAAGTCAAATCCTCAAAACAAGGTTTATTAAGAGAAATTTAGCTTCTATTCTTTTCCCATCCCATCTTCTCTCTTTCTATTTAAAGTTAACAACTTCTTAAGACTTACATCATTCTTCCAAATACATCTCTTTCTGTATGTTTGTTTACATGTGTGTGGACATACACACATGTACAAATTCCATTTATCTGGAGGTAAATTGAAGTATATATGTGTGTGTGTATATATATATATATATATATATATATATATATATATATATAGTGTTCACACACACACACACACACACGCCCTTCTCAACCTGGTATGGAGATTGGTGATTTGCTTTTTCCGGTGATTGATTATTTTGTTTTACATGAAAACAAGATTGAAATATTGAAAATGAGGAACTCTAGATAAATATTTTTTGTAAAGTAGTGCTATGGAAATGATGTTGAACTCTCTAAGTCACCATATTTAAATCTACCATTCACTTCAAATTTAACTGAAGATCAATTTCTCCAATTGTTAAGGGTTCATTAATCAAGTAATTCTGGAAAAGGGCATATTGATATTTGAACTTAATTATTACGAAGTTTTATAAGTTTTAGAATGAACTTGAAAATGTATGTCTAACTTTTTTGTAACTTACGCAAAATAAGAAAAATTTGTGGCCGGGCGCGGTGGCTCACGCCTGTAATCCCAGCACTTTGGGAGGCCGAGGCGGGCGGATCACGAGGTCAGGAGATCGAGACCATCCTGGCTAACACGGTGAAACCCCGTCTCTACTAAAAATACAAAAAAATTAGCCGGGCGTGGTGGCGGGCGCCTGTAGTCCCAGCTACTCGGGAGGCTGAGGCAGGAGAATGGCGTGAACCCGGGAGGCGGAGCTTGCAGTGAGCCGAGATCGCGCCACTGCACTCCAGCCTGGGCGACAGAGCGAGACTCCGTCTCAAAAAAAAAAAAAAAAAAAAAAAAAAAAAGAAAAATTTGTCAGTCATGCAGAACATACCTCAAGCAATTAATAAATACACTGATATATTCTCAAAGACACTGGAAGAAAAAACTTTAGTAAAACGGTATATATCTAAAACTATATACTTGCTCCAAACATAAATATTGCACTGATGCAAACACTAAATTTTTGAGAAGCTTAACATATATTAATTTTTGTAGTGTACAACAGGAAGAGAACCCTTAAGGGACAGACAGACCTGACTTAAATCCTGATTCAGCCATTAGTGGCTGTGTGGCCTTTGCAAATTGCTTAACCTTTCTGGGCTTTATTTTCTTTATTTATCAAATATGGATGCTAATAGTTCCTCACTGGTCTATAATCAATAAGATTATTTGTTTAAAGCATGTAGAAACACAACTGGTACAAGGCCAGTGCTCAATAATATTAGCTCACTTGTTCTTTTGTAGACAACATACATAGAAGACAGTATGAATAATGGTTAAGACCTAGGGTATCTGAGTTCATACAACAGCTACAATACATCCAAGCAGTATGAAGATGGGCAAGTTATTTAACTCATGGGAGCCTCAGTTTCCTCATCTGTAAAGGAGAGAGGCTAAGAATATCTTCCGTAGAGGACTGTTTTAAGAATTAAATTACATGTAATATTATAGTTCGTCTAAAAGGAAGGGATGCTTATTTGTTTCATTTCACTGTTATAACACTGGTACCTAAAATAGTGCTGGCACTTGGTAATTCTCCTTAAGTGTTAATAAAAAATAAATGAGATAACTGTTCGAATCTCACGTATTTCATGTTACTTTCAAGTTGCTGCTTTTCACATCTAAGAGTTCTTTCCTCATGCTCTGAGACTTAGTCCTTCGCCTCTCCGGATTTTATTAAATGATGGATGTTCTCACTGTCAGTGTAATCTCCAAGGTCCTGGCCTTTCCTGAACTGGGGTTTGGGTGCACTGAGACGGTAACTACAGCCTTACTACCCCACTACTCAATTCTTTACTCAAGAGAGGCTGCTTAGAAAGTCTGGGTCTGCAGAATCTCATAGTGATTCCAATCTATTAGATCTGTAGGATATTTCCGGATAACATATCATGTGCTTTGGTGATTGTTTCTGAAAAGGCAATAGACTTGTAAGTGTTCTATGTGTCATGCATATTGGAAGTACACTAAATATATTACTACTTCACTGGGGACTCTCTTGACAATAATGTGAATTGCTGAGGGAACAGAAATCAATTTTTAAAGTGTTTCTGACATCAAAGGTGACCGCTGGGCTTCAGGAAAAGAGTTCAAAGTAAGATTGACTTCGTGATTGAGATATTCATAAGACTCACACTGCAAAGGTAGGTTGGGCATTCTTCCACTGCCCAAGATGCAAGCGAATGATGCAGGCAGATTCCAAGCTGAGTTTGCTGAGATAAGGGCCTCCAAGGAACTGAGTTCCGGCAACATGCATTGTGAGTACCCATACCATCAGGTCTGTCTTTGTATTCTGTTCTCTGAACCTAAAATGCCCCTTCTTCAGTTCTCTATTAAACCCTCTTCACCTGCACATGCTTCAATACTCATCTCAAATGAATCCATTTCTGGCTGGCAGAGTTTTTCATCTATCATTTTTTTCTCCCTGTCTTATAGCAAATATTGGATCCTAACCTTAGTTATTTTCACATGTAACTCTTTTTTTTACCCTACGATCCTTGGCAACAGGGGATATGGCTTACTTATTTCTGTGTCTCCACACCTTGCTTAGCATAGAGCCAAACCAATTTTTTTTTTAATTATCATACTTCAGGTTTAGTAGTATCTGCAAAAAAAAAGTATTCTTTATACAGTATTATCTAAGTGGAAATTTTATTTTAAAATTCAATAGAAATAATATAAATTAGATTTTTTTTAAATCTCAATATGATGGACCAGGTTGGCCAAATACCATCCACAGTGAGGGTTATTAAACGGTAGATTCAAACAGCAGCATGGTCCATCAGAAATAATACTTTATTCATTTACTTCACCATTTATTGTGCACCTACTATGTGCCAGGCTAAAATCATAAGCAGCTTACATTTTACAAAGGGAAGATATAATATGCAGCTGCAAAATGCCAGCAAGAAAAAAATATAATTTTGTGATAAAAGTCTGTAATCAAGTGAGTAAAGTAGAATATTATAAAAGGCATCAGGGAGATGGTGAATTTGGAGCTGGATTTTGTTAGCTAAACACATATTGTCCAAGCCAACAGCAAAGGGAAAATTTGGGCCATCTTAGCTACATTAAATGGCTACACAGTCCATGTCATAAATGCAATTATAAGTTGATGGTGGTCTATGTATTTGGAAACACTGACTCAATCTTCAGCAAAAGTGGTTTGAAAATGAAATGGGAAAATACACTAAGCAAGCAGAGACCATAAAAGAGGCACTAATGACATAAACATTCAACCTTCCTTACAAACTTTGAAACAGAAAAATGGTGGTTGCCCAGTTTTTTGTTGTTGTTTGTTTGTTTTTGAGACGGAGTTTCCCTCTGTTGCCCAGGCTGGAGTGCAATGGTGCAATCTCAGCTCACTGCAACCTCTGCCTCCTGGGTTCAAGTGATTCTTCTCCTGCCTCGGCCTCCTGAGTAGCTGGAATTACAGGTGACTGCCACTATGCCAGCTAATTTTTGTAGTTTTTAGTAGAGATGGGGTTTCACCATGTTGGTCAGGCTAGTCTCAAACTCCTGACCTCAGGTAATCCACTTGTTTCAGCCTCCCAAAGTGCTGGGATTACAGACGTGAGCCACCATGCCTGGCCCAGTTTTCCTTTTAATTTGCTATAATTGTATCTATCCCACTGGCTCAAGAGTCTCTTAGGTGCAATCTCAGCAGGGTGATAATAATTAAGTTCAAGAAATTCTGTAGGTGGCAGAGCATGTCAATCTATGAGAAAGGATGAATTCTGCATGAAATACAATTGCTTAGATCAGTAGGGTAAATATAGTTTAAAACAATCTATTGTATATTTCAAAATAGCTAGAAGAGAATAATTTGAATGTTTCTAGCAAAAGATAAATATTTAAGGTGGTAGAAATCCCAATACCAGTAATTTCCTATTTTCAAATTATACGAATGTATTAAAATATCACTTGCACTCCAAAATTATGTACATCTATTATCTATCAATAAATTTAAAAAACCTCCACTTTCTATTACAGATTATAAACTACAAAACAAATAAATGATGGAACAGAAAGAGTGTGTGACCAGAAGTCAGAAGCCCTGGGTTCTGGGTTGGGGTCCACATAGCCATGTGATCATAAGCAAGTTACCTCATTTTTTAAGCTTCAATATAATATTTATTATTATTAATATATATGATTCGATATCATATAATAGGCTCTCCCTATCATATGTAAGGTTATAATGAGAAATGAATGAAATAACATAGGGAATGATTTTGGAAATGATAAAACATAAAAGTAAAAAGTACTGTCATTTCTGTAACCATGGGGATATCAATATTAATTAAAATGCTTATTATAAAACACAACTGCTAAAGCGGTTACAGAAAATAAACAAGGAAAAAGAAACGTATATTTCTGTCTTGAGAAAATGCATGCTGTCAGTTGTTACTCCTGCAAATGACAGGTGAAAACCTTTGGTCAGGAGAAATGTGCAAAGAATTCTGAAACACAGTTTAATGAAAACTACAACACATTTCTTTTGTCAGAACCCCATAGCTTCAGCATAGCTAATTCTCTGCTTCATTCTTAAGAAACATTCTTAAAAGCTTGAGGCTGTTTGTTAGCAACAGATGTAGACATTTATAAACAAGGACCATCTTAACAGAATTATTTCTCACGAATTAAATAAAGGATCCCAAAGAATGGTTCCAACTGTTTACAGTTAGCACTTAGACTTATACTATGTGGGAACAGTGTTCATTAAATGCACTGCCTATGGACCATAAAGGTAATCAGAACAACAATCTATACTACTGGGACTGCTGCCTCTGCCTCTGCCCCATATGCAAACCTTAGAGAGATTGGTATAAATGTTATCTGAGAGCCATAAAACACTCTCAGAAAGTAAACTTTAGCTTATGGGAAGTAAACCTTCAGTTCACCAAATTCCATTTAGTGCCCTGCAGAAAGAATTCTGCAAAGAGTATTCTGAAAGAGGCAACTCATCTTTTATAGGTGAGCACTCCATCACAGAAGCCCAGAGATGAGAAATCAGGTCTTCATCCTCCCAGGCCATCACAGTTTATAACTCTAAGAATGATGACTATTATCAAAACTTTAAAGATCCCCAGAAATGGCCATTCTACAACCTCCCTTGGAAGCAAATTTCTGTCATAAACACACTATCTGTAAAATTCTTCTATATGCTTAACCTAAGTCTAGCAGAATTCTGGCTGCATCTTTCTACTTTAGTGAAGATATTCATTCATTCATTCTTCAATCAACAAATTTTTTTTTAATGCTTATGATGGCAAAGGTTATTGGTGATTGTATAAGAGAGGAACAGGGGAACAAACAATGTCCCCTGGATAGGCAGCGACCTTTAACTCTTTATTTAGATCACTATTAGGAGCAATGTATGAAAATAACTGCCAATTTGTAGAAAATACCGATGCCAGAAAAACATGGTGCCCAGTCCCAAGTACGGTAATCAACAAAACTTAGACTGTAGGAAACTCTACAGGTCCAATATTATAGGTCTTTAACGCATAAAATATGAAGGAAAAGGAAGGGATGGACAGTAACCTGTAGGTTCAAAGAAACTTAAAAGACATATCCAGTTGTTTTTTTAACAGATGCACAAGACTAAACTGAAGGGTCTGGGAATGCACATTAAATGATGACACTATTAAAAACACAGGAGGGTTATTGCCATAAGGTCACACTAATAGCTTATTGGAAAAAGATAAAGGTTGAGGCTGAGAAGAGGTACCCAGATGGGATTCTGGGTGGCCGGCAGAGTCTCCTTTCTTGACCTAGCGTTGGTTACAAAGCCATTCACCTTAGAATTATTCCTTAAGCCAGACATTTATTTATTTTGTGTGGCTTCCTTTGTCTATGTTTTGTTTTTGAAGAAGCATGTATGGATATGAAGCAACTAGAGCTCCTATACATTGCTACATTGCTAGTAGAAATGCAAAAAGGCACAGATAATTTGGAAAACAGTTTGGCAGTTCCTTATGGAATTAAACAAATGCTTACTATATGGCTCTGTGGTCCCACCCTAGTTATCTTCCCAAAAGGTAAACACTCTAAGACCTGGACATGAATGTTGATAGCAGCTTTAATCACATTCACTCAAAACGGGAGGGAATCCAAATGTCTATCAACAGGTGAATGAATAAACAAATAGTAGTATATCTACATAACAGAATACTATTCACGAATAAGAAAATGAACTACTGATTTTTGCAAAAACATGGACACATCAAAAAAGAATCACACAAAGTCAAAGAAGCCAGACCAAAAAGTTCCATACTTTATGACTTCGTCATTTATAAGCCTTTCTGGAAAAGGCAAAACTATAAGGAGAGAAATAAGACTAGTAGTTACCAGGGGCTTGGGAGGGAAATGAGAACAAAGAGGGAGGGAGAGAACTGGTCCAGGACATGAAAATATTCTGTATTTTAATTGTGGTGGTAGTTACATGAGGGTCAATGATTGTCCAAACTTATCTAAACTATAAACGTAAGAAAAGTGGATTTTCTATAAACCACACCAAAAAATAAAACATTTATTATTGAAAGTAGAAATCAATTCAGTTTTCAGTTTTAAAACATTATTCTGTATCTCACACATTTTCTTAAAGGAAAAAATGTGTTGGAGTAGGAACAGTAATGTATCAGAAGTTATAATATGTTATTAAAACATATTTAGAGGAGAGACTAAATCATTGGTATTTTTATTGATGGCTCTTTCTTCAGAGAAATTGTTAAAAAGTGAAAACAATTCTGGTTGTCATAAAGTTATCTCTGTTTAGACTTTTTACCAAACCAGTTCAAATAAATCCTAAAGTGGACAACATCAGAGCCAAGAGCAATCTTGGTTATATGTTCACAGCAGAGTATCTTAACTTCCTTTTGCCAGCCAAGTTCCCCAGTATTTAATTTTGGCTGTTCCCAACAGAAATTTTTCATCTAGGCTCGGCAGTTTTCTAATCTCAACTTCTCCAGAGTCAAGTAACCAAAATAGACATGGCCAAAACCCAGTCCCACAGAGCCTCCCTGTGATTACAGCATGGACAATAAGACAGTCTCCTCCAAGACCTCAACATAAAACTCATTGTTAGAATCTTCAAGAAGGCCTGGTTACAAATGTGAAATTATTACTTCACCCAATAAGTAAGTACATTTCATTTCTAATGCAGGGCCTTTTAAAAAGCATAAAAAGCATTATAAAACTATAATGCAATTGAATTTACTCATGTTACAGATGAGCAAATTGAGACCCAAAAGGGTCAAATTACTTAACCAGAGTTATTAAGCTACTTAGAGGTACACTGACACCAGGTCCTGGACAACCCATTAAATAAGATAGTGCTCTTTGCAATGAAATTGGAACTATACTCTGTGTTAATACTGTTTTCTCTACAGGGATGAATAATAGGCAACATGACTTTCACGTTGTCTACTCAAAAACATATACCTCTTTAAAAAAATTTAAGAAGAAACATGTGACCATTTCATCATTTATTAGGCAGAAAGAGAAATACAAAACAATAAAGTAATGTTCAGCTTTCAGTAAGTTAGTATTTGCCCAAGGAGCCGAAAACAGCCTTTCTTTCCAGTTTGCTACATAATTGGTTTTGGCTTTCCTTTGCATTGCTTAAGGGAGAGCTTACATGCTAGATCACTAAGATACAAACTTCTGACACCAAAATATGATCCATATTATGTTATCCAGGCATTTTAAAAGAGGTCATTTAAAATCTTTTCTTCCATCTGTTGTAATTTGAAGAAAATTTATCCTTGAACCAATGTTGCTTTACCATCTTCAACTTCTGGTAGATTCACACAGAGCAGCAGATGAGAGGCCCCAATTTTTATGAAAAGTCTCAGGCAGAAATATTGCTGATGATGTGGAAATAGCAATTCCAAATCAACAGAAAATTGCCCTCTGTATTCATCAGGAGGAGCAAGGCACTCAGGAGAGCCAGCCTCTGAGACAGGTCAAAGTTGACGAACAGTCAGACATGGGAACAAGTGCAGAAGAGGAGAAGAGCTCTGTGCTGATGCTTGTCCAAAGGTCAATTGACAGCTTTTCTCATCTTGTTACATTTTCCTCCTTCTAAAGATGCAGAGAAAATGTTCTTTTAATGTACCAGATACAGAAGCAGAAGGGAGTACATGGGTAGAACATTTAAGGGCATATTATCCTCTTCAACACACACTTCTATGCCAGGTGCCTACAGTTTCCAAATGGGCAGCAGAAAATGAACCCTAGGATTCCATAAAGTCTCTGAGAACCGATAATGTGAACAGCAATGAATGAACGAGTTAAGCGGTAAAACCATCTCCATTTACGACTCCTTGAAGTTCAGCATGCAGCAGACTGCACTTAAGCACAGCAATCAACTGTGATAGGAGAATCCCCATTACAGTAAGTAAAGAAATAGCTTCAAGGCTGTGGATGACGGTGCCAGGGGAGAAGGTCAGAACAGGTGCAAAGAAATCCTGAAGGTAGGGAGTGAAAGCTTGAGTTCCATGTGGGTGATTTTTAACTATCCTGGTCAAATATGGGTGGCAAACCTTAATTATTCCCCCTTATTTAGAGGTACAATGACTGGTGTAAACACACAAGGAACATTTCAAGGCTGAAGAGGCCTGAAATCAAGTATCTTTATTCCTGATATTTGGGTTGTAAAATGGTTTGCTAAGAATGTTTACAAATTATGTCCGCCAGGTGCTAAATCTCCCAGATCAATTTTAATTTAAATCTTCAAACACGCTGCAGCACAGAGCTGTGACACAATAAAATGTGTAGTATTACTGTTGTCACTATGCAATCATTAATTTCATCTGACTATTCATGCCTCAGCATAATAAACCATTAACAAGTATGAAGTCTGGCTGTTCTGAATCTGGACAGAAGTCCTCTTTATTTACAGCTAAGCTATAAATACGGTGTTTTGTTCATATATGTACGTAAGACTTCTCTATCTAAATTCTACTTTTTCTTGAGGGCATAAACGGTGTTACTAGGCACACAATAAAAGTGTTTGTTTCCTGTTGAAAATAGCAGCTTTCATTACTAATCTACAAACTGGGCCTGGCATGGTGGTTCACCAGCACGTTGGGAGACTGAGGTGTGAAGATCACCTGAGCCCAGGAGTTTGAGACCAGCCTGGGCAACATGGTAAAACTCCGTCTACCACAATTACAAAAATTAGCCAGGCGTGGTGACACGCACCTATAGTCCCAGCTACTTGGGAGGCTGAGGTGTGAGGATGGTTTGAGCCCAGGAGGTGTAGGCTGCAGCGAGGTGAGGCTGCACCACTACACTCCAGCCTGGGGAACCTGAGCCAGACCCTGTCTCAATAATAATAATCATCATCATCATCTACAAGTTGATTAGATTATTTCCAAAGGGACCAACAGAGATACCTTTGCAAATCCTGCATGATATGCACAATTATATATATGAAATTGGTACTCTGTAGAGTTGCTTATCTCCTCACTTTATCACCTAAGTGATCCCATTACTCTACCTTTTTTTTTTTTTTTGTAAATCACTGTTATTTCAACTCAACGTACCCCACCCTAACTTGGAGACAATATTCCTCAAAGTGCTCCTCTAGGTGAATCTAACTGATACACAAACACTTCATTACCTCAACATGGATAATAAATCCAGGGGTCCAAACAGTGATTGTCTTTACATACAAGGGAAGACAGTTCCATAGTCTCATCTACAGCATTCACCTTGGCTGTCTGGACAATCACAATTCAAACAAGCGGTTAGAGGAGTGGGGAGAGTGGGAAGAATTTGGAATTTTAGATAGTTACAAAGCTAACCCCTCATAAAATATGCCCAGCCACACAGACAATGGGTTAAACAATCACTTTCACATCTGGAAAGCACCTTTGATGTATATTGCCAAATAATAAGATAAAGTGGCAGCCCTAAGATATCACCACCTGCCTCTAACTACTACCTTATTGAAGTGCTCTCTCAACTGTGAAGGCTTAATTTGCAAGTACCTTTCTTTATCCATATTTACATTAAAGAATGTAAATGGTCTGAACCAAGTTTGTTATGCCTGTCTGAATCACCCTCATTGCAGGCAATTTCTGATGTATGAGCTTATGGCTGATTAGGTAACCTCTGGTGGCATATCCAATTTTTTTTTATTGCCTAAATTTGGACCATTTCTGATCATTATAGCCTAATCAGAGGTCAAGAGGGAAGAACAGATTGTGGCTGAAGGTTTGGTGGTGATATAAAAAAAAAACTACTCATTCAAGCATTTGTATAGATTTTTATCACCTCAGCGATCCCATTACTCATTAATAGAGACAATCACAAATGTTCAGGCTTGCCTGGTGCCTTCAAGCCATCAGGCTCATCACACAGCTGAAACTGCATAAAATTAAGCCATGGACCACCTCTCCTGAATCACTCATCCTGACACCTGAACTCTACTTCCCACGTGTACCTAACTGTCCCAGCATCTAACTTCATTCTCCGCTTCTCCCTCCATTGACTCACCTTGTTACTGAAGCTGAGACTGGGAATCCCATAACTACTGTTTAGAGACTCCCATGCCTACAAGGCCATCAAACATACCAATAAAACACATCACCCAGCCTGGGCCAGGCGTCAGCATCTTATGCCTCTGTTTCCCACATTCATAGTATTAGAAAAGCACATGTATATATCTGGAGATTCCCATGAATCTGAAGTAGAATGGTTGCCCTGAGAACTTTAAGCACCAGAGTACCGGAGTAGTTCCTATTTCACTTGTGATCTCTTAGACATGACCCAGCATTCTTATTCCATATATTAGGAAATTGAAAAACTGCTCAACTTTCCAGATATAAGTGACATAGTGAAAGCAGCAGCCCTTGCAAGAATTAATCCTAATTTGCACCATTTTGGGCCACGTCTACTGTATCCTTCAGTGTCTTCTATAAAGTGTTCTATGTGATACATTCTATTATGAATTTATTAACAGAGATAATATTCCTCTCTTTAAGGAGTAGTAGCCTTTGGCCATGAGATAATAATTACATATTACTTGTTTCTTTTTTTCTTTTGATCTTGTCTGCCAGGAATCTTAGAGCTAAATTACATGCTCATACTCAGAAAACTTGTTGGGCTATGTGAAGGTGATAACTTGCCACATTCTCCTTTCATGACCTTTATTTTGTTTTTATTTTATCAGCCCTATTGTAAATCTACCTTTTATTGTAAGCCATACCACATTCTTTGAGAAAGTGGTTATTAGCTTAGTTTTTAAAAGTAACCTCAGCCCATGAACAATGTTCAAAAGTAATTTCACATCCCAGATATCATCATGCACAAAATGAACTCATTGGCCCAAGAGAAAAAAAGAAAAAAATTATGAATATAAAGGTTTCTAATTCAACAGAATAATTTATATTATGGAAATTATTTAGATGACCATATTGGATGCTAACCCCGTCCAAGGGTGATGCAATAAAGGCTTATTCTATAATATTGAGAATTTTTCAAAGACTTAATAAGATTATTTAAACATAACTAGAAATATCTTAAAAACCAAAGTTTAAACTGTGAAAGGCCATCAGAAATGGTTCAGTAGGTCTACTCAAATTATTGTGTAATTATCTGTTACATATGCTTTTCCCCTCCATGTCTTTTACTGATTTGCATTAGTTCTCTGGCTGTAACTGGACTTGAACTTTTCAGTTTCAATGACACTTTACATGAGAAAACTAATTATAATAGGATAAAAGTCCTTCACAAAAGAAGTATGTAAAAACCAACCACTACTTATTGTACACATAATTATCTTCTCTTTCAGCCTAGGATGTAGTCTTGGCTCTTGTGTAACTTAAATCTGTAGGGGATTGGCATCTGATTTACAGCAGAAGACCCAGCATCATATGAATATAATTTACTATGCCATGTGTCTCCTGCCACCTAAATCTATAGCTTGAATATAGAGACATCTCAATTAGACAGTGCAAAGAGAGCAAGATCTGCCTCCTCCTATCCTGTGCCATTAAAACAACCAATATTACCAAGCAGTGCTTGTTTTAAATTCACTTTGGAGGGGTGGATCTATTATTTTAAGTTGGTTAGGAGACACAAAGGGAGAGTTGCCATCAAACTGAATGAAAAATCGAGCATAAGGTGATATAAGTAATAGCCTATGAGGGGTGGGACATGCATTTATTAAAGTATTGATTGGTGTATTTCTATAGCACCTGTGTATTATCATGGACTTGAGGAGTTGAACTGGTGTTAAATTATAATGCTGACCACACAGGAGTCATCCATCCTTCTTGTCCTGTTCCTCCATGAACTCCTACACCAAAGTTGAAGCACATACACAGTATTGGCCATAATGAGGTAAATTATCTGGAGGCTCAACTGTGTTTGTTCTCTCCCTGCAACACATCTAAAAATTAAGCTGTCATTATAAAAACTTCATAATGACAAAGCTATATTATTTATCACCGGTCACAGTGTTCTCCAAATCCTGGTGAAAAGTTAAAGACAAGACCCACACAGTTTTCTCATGACGATTTTAGGGCAACTTCTCAAACATGGATACTGCCTGGGATAATCTCAGGAGAGAAAAGTGAAACAAATTATTTTCCTGATTTTATAAATGGTGAAGTATAGAAATGAATGCAGATTGTCCTTCACAAGGTTCCTATATCTGGTCCCAAGGCTGTAAATGCACAGTTTTCTGGGGGATTCCTCCCATGGAATTGAAGGGATTTTAACATAATAGTTTGAACCATCACCTACCCTCATATTAACTATAATTGGAAACTGAAAGATTCCAACTGCTAGAATTAAATCTAGGAGCTACTTTTTCAGAATCTTCCTTTCAAATTCTTTGAAAGAGAGATTCTAGTGATCTCTCTCTCTCTCTTTTTTTTTTTGTTTTTGTAATGGAATCTTGCTTTGTTGCCGAGGCTGGAGTGCAGTGGCGCAATCTCGGCTCACTGCAAACTCCACCTCCTGGGTTCAAGTGATTCTCCTGCCTCAGCCTCCCGAGTAGCTGGGAATACAGGCACCTGCCATCATGCCCGGCTAATTTTTGTGTTTTTAGTAGAGATGAGGCTTTGCCATGTTGGCCAGGCTGGTCTTGAACTCCTGACCTCAAATGATCCGCCCACCTTGGCCTTCCAAAGTCCTGGAATTACAGGCGTGAACCACTGCGTCTGGCCACATTCAAGTGTTCTAGTGATATCTTTTTAAGGACAGAAACTCACTGATTTTTTTTTTTTTTTTTTTTTTACTACTCCTTAGTGTTTCCTCTAAGCAATGAGGAAGAGTTTATTGAATCATTAGAGTCACATACTCTCTCTTTGTCTTAAAATAGGATTGCGATGACCACTGAAATCTCATCCTTTTGGCTGGCCTTTTTTTTTTTTATTATTATACTTTAAGTTTTAGGGTACATGTGCACAATGTGCAGGTTTGTTACATATGTATACATGTGCCATGCTGGTGTGCTGCACCCATTAACTCGTCATTTAGCATTAGGTATATCTCCCAATGTTATCCCTCCCCGCTCCCCCCACCCCACAACAGTCCCCGGAGTGTGATGTTCCCCTTCCTGTGTCCATGTGTGCTCATTGTTCAATTCCCACCTATGAGTGAGAACATGTGGTATTTGGTTTTTTGTCCTTGTGATAGTTTGCTGAGAATGATGGTTTCCAGTTTCATCCATGTCCCTACAAAGGACATGAACTCTTCATTTTTTATGGCTGCATAGTATTCAATGGTGTATATGTGCCACATTTTCTTAATCCAGTTTATCGTTGTTGGACATTTGGGTTGGTTCCAAGTCTTTGCTATTGTGAATAGTGCCTCAATAAACATACGTGTGCATGTGTCTTTATAGCAGCATGATTTATAATCCTTTGGGTATACACCTAGTAATGGGATGGCTGGGTCAAATGGTATTTCTAGTTCTAGATCCCTGAGGAATTTTGGCTGGCCTTTTAAAGGACAAGCCTACTGGCTGCAAAGCCACCACAACTCACTTGAAGACCCTTAGGAAAGCCATCAGGAAAGAAAAGACAACCAGTTTCAATAAAGCTCATGTCAGGTACAAATGGAAAGTTTCAGAAAATTGGTCTGAATGCCATAGGATGCTTCAGTCAGAACAGAAGGTCTAAATGGTTGGTAAATTAGCTCATCAAACACAACAGAAGCTTACTCAATGGACATTCAATCCAAGGTGTTACTGGTGCAGAGAGAGATGCACCTCAGGAAGCAATCTGCTCAGCTAAGAACAATACCTGGAGAACTGCTGCTGCAAGCTACGCATCTGAATTCTGTTGCGTTCAGACTCTAGGGTCACCTCCTGCAACCGCTTCTCGCTTTGAAGACGTAAGTGTCTCTCCTCTTCCAGTTCATGTATCAGCTTCTCATGCTATAAAAGACACAAAGGGGATGACTTTTAGGAAGGTGTTTATGACAAAAATAAGAAATAGCTGGTTATCAAGTGATAACTTGAGCTTTATATATATGAATTTCATCCTTTGAACAACCCCACGAAGTAGGTCCTATTCTTAATCTCTTGTTATAGACAACGAAACCAAGGATCAGAGACACCTAAGTAATTTGTGCAAGGTCATATAAACCAGAAGGTAATAGATCTTGACTCCCAGGTGACTTAATTCTAACACTTGAATAATTTCCACTAACCCAGAGAGCATCCTGTGAAGAACTATGACCCAAAAATACTATTGAATGCACAATAAGTCAGATAATAATTAGTAAGATTATTACCTGTTCAGAATTATTTCATCTCTTCCATCTCTGGTATATCCTTGAAAGAGAAAATTACTACTTTTATAGAAGGACCAAAAATTTCAAGTTAATTAGAATGTGAAGCTGATGAGGGTGAGGCTCAAGAATTGTTTTTCATTTTGTCCAGTTAGGTCTTCAGATATAAAACTAGGCCAAGCCACCCACTGTTTTTATAATCCTAGATAACTAGCTCATCTCACGAACGGGTATCAGGGACTGAAAGAGGAACTGGATGACACAGAATAGACGGTTCAGCAGAAACTCATTCCTGGAACTGGTAAAAAGCACACAGCTCAGATCCTCCTGATAGCACTGAGTCAGCTACACTAATGTCTTTGTTGTTTTGTTTTTGTTTTGTTGTTGTTGTTGTTGTTGCCTTTTTTAAAAAGCATGCCATGCTGTTATTGTTACTGCTGTTACTACACTAAGCATTTTGTACACAGGATATACACTCTATGATGAAAACTATACATGCAATGTCTGATCATGAGGGACATATATACTTAAAAGGAAAGAAGGCAAACAGTGACCTCTGTTTTGAAATAAACCAAACACTATGACTGTGTACCATGCACTATGGATTAAATATGATTCATCTCATGTGGCATATTCACAGGAAGTGATAGCAATGACAGATTTTCTCCAGCTCTAACTCATGAGAAAAAAGGCATTCTGAGGATCATGAAAGAAACATTAGACTAGAATCTAGATGTGAATCCTGATCCTCTAAAAATACTTACACATCCTCCTGCCTCTGTACCTTTGTTCCAGCGTGAAAAGCTGCCTAGGTCTCTCGGTTGAAAGCCTAGGGTTCCTTCCAGGCTCAGTTGCAAGCCATGTCCTCTACAACTTATCCCTCATCACTGCATTTCCTCCCTTCCCTGAATTCCAACATCACCTACCATCTTTACCACCCTTTAGGTCTTTACTTTTTCTACTGTTATTTTTCATGTGAATTTATCATAATTCTCCACCTGGATAAATATTTGTTCAAGATGCCTTATGTGCAGATATATTTTACATTTTTAGCA
Organism: Homo sapiens; assembly: GCF_000001405.40. Classification (NCBI taxonomy): domain Eukaryota; kingdom Metazoa; phylum Chordata; class Mammalia; order Primates; family Hominidae; genus Homo; species Homo sapiens. The sequence continues at coordinate 133,131,523 of NC_000002.12, forward strand.
CATTACCTAATATGCAGTAGTGCTGGAAATATATTTGTTTATTGATTCTGAAGCTGGCCTTTTGCTTACTCAGGCCTGACTTTTTGATGGTCTACTTTTAACTCCCATAATCAGTTACTTTTACTGAAATCAGAAAAACTAAAATCAAAATTAAAATCAAATCTTTATTCTGTCACTTTGGAAAATGACATTCTGGAAGCGCTGGAAAGAAAGAAAAATGTGGTTGTGGAAGATAAATGGGTTAATTAAAGTTAACTCTTTACAAAAATGGTCAAAATTGCAAATTTCATGTTATATACATTTTACTATAATAAAATAAACTCTTTATGGTTATATACACAATTGACATTCCTCTTTTTATTGACTGATTAGACTAAAAGAAACATGGACAAGTCACCAATACTACAGAATTTGGAAGATAGTGCTTCGATTCCAGAAACAGGCCAAAAAAAAAATGTACGCTAAATAGTTCAAAAGTACATGCTACGAAGAATGTGAAGTTCACACCTGTAATCCCAGCACTTTGGGAGGCTGACACGGGTGGATCACGAGGTCAGGAGTTCAAGACCAGCCTGGCCAAGATGGTGAAACCCCGTCTCTACTAAAAATAAAAAAATTAGCCAGGTGTGTTGGCGGGTGCCTATAATGCCAGCTACTCGGGAGGCTGAGGCAGTGAATTGCTTGAACCCAGGAGGCGGAGGTTGCAGTGAGCCGAGATTACACCACTGCAATCCAGCATGGGTGACAGAGCGAGACTCCATCTCAAAAAAAAAAAAAAGAATGTAAAGTTTTGCAGAGAAAACAGCATCCCTCCTTCCTTCAAAAGCAAAGAATGCTCCATAGATTCACTCACTGCCATATCAAAGAGTCCCAAAAACATGATCATGAGAGAACCTTTTCCACATGAATAATCTTTTCTCTTCAATTTATTTATGCCTTTTAAAACATGAAAAAAAAAGCACACACACACACACACACACACACACACACACACAAACCCTGATAACACAGAGAAAATTCTAAGGAATTAAGACTATGAGGGCAAAAGCTTTTTACTAAAATATATTCCCTTCAAATGACGTGTATTTCTATTAATCCATCAAAACTTGACAATAATCCACACCTACTAAATATGAAAAATATTTGTACCCAATTTTTTTTTTTTTTTTTTGGAGGCAGAGTCTCTCTCTGTCACCCAGACTGGAGTGCAGTGGCGCGATCTCAGCTCACTGCAAGCTCCGCCTCCCAGGTTCACACTATTCTCCTGCCTCAGCCTCCAGAGTAGCTGGGACTACAGGCACCCGCAACCACGCCCGGCTAATTTTTTGTATTTTTAGTAGAGACAGGGTTTCTCGATGTTAGCCAGGATGGTCTTGATCTCCTGACCTTGTGATCTGCCCGCCTCAGCCTCCCAAAGTGCTGGGATTATAGGCGTTAGCCACCACGCCCAGCCTGTACCCAAATTTAAAAACAGGCTACACATAGAAAAAATATAGTATCAATAGATTGGCTATTTTTTTTCTGTATTCGCTATATTCTGGATATAAATTGATCTATCCCCAAAGTAATTTTAATTTGTCTCCCAAATGTTGGCTCTGGATCTTTCCCAGCAGAAAGTGTGAAAGGCAATGAGAGATGGAGAACAGTTGCTGTTATTTACACAACGCCACTAGGTACTGAAGAGCAATAAGTAGAGGACAATATCCTGGGAATCTGGGTTACAAATCTGACAGGACCACATTTCCACAGCAACAGCTCTCTTTCTGCAGAGCCACTGAGCTGGGATGGCTTGAAGACACCTGCCTAGGAGAGCCTCATGATGATTTTCAAAGCTCCTCAATCACCACCTTTCAATTCTTCCCATGTTCTTCGAGCAAGATGCTCCATGTTCGTCACCTCTTCCCTTTCTCTTTGGCTTCTCTTAGCAAAGATCTCAAATCGCTGCACCAGAACACAAGCAACAGCTCAAAGGCTGAGTCTAAGCAGTGACATTACATACATGTTCAACAAAACTTGCCAGTCACAGGCTCTTCTTTCCCTTTACAGAGGTGAGCTTTGTTATTAGTAAAAAGGTAGGTTTCCCTGTTTTTCTGAAGAAAAGCTGTGAGTGGGTTAACTTTCAACTCTGTTATTCGTTAGCTGCTGTCTCTAACTCCGAAATGAGCAAACTCTGCAAAAAATATCTTCAATCTGGAGAATATTTTACATTTTACAAAATGTGTCCACCTTCATTACTGTATTCAGTCTTCAGAACAATTCAGCAATAGTGGTTATTATCACCTCCATCTAAAGATAAGTGCAGAGGACTGAAAAGAGAGGCAGGAAGCTTGCTCTGTTTCCATGGTTAGAAATAGCAGCTCTGGAGCTAGAATTGAGTTTTTCTGACCCTAAGTCTCCCACTTTTTTCCCCTACTACTGTCAGCTCTGCTGTAACATTTCTTTTAAAAGTGCTAATTTGTTCCAATGCAACTGATATGTTGTGAAAAAATTTAAGCATGACACAAATCTTAGGTTTGCCGATTGCCTGATTTCATTCATGAGAAAAATTAGGTGAACACAGAAAACTCCACCCAGTTGAACTGCATCGAAACACACAAAACACATATTTCAAACAGACCTCAGTCCACTGTGTGCATTACGAGCCACAACCATCCACATGTGGTGTTTACAACTTCCCCTCCAATTTCAGACAGCGTTCCTTCCACCACTTCACAGTAACTTCTGAACTGCATCCCTGTTGATATCCACTTCCACAAAAAACTCTTTCAAGGTAAAGCACCATATTTATTGTAGTATTTATGTATTTTTTAACCACTGAACACATGGCTGCCAATTGTATTAGGTTCCTACCTTTTTGTTTTTAGTGTGTCACTGACAAAGTTTTGAGTATTTTTCCCATAGTCCTGTTTCCCCCAAAAGCTTTGTGGTTTTCACTGTGTGGTTTTACAGAGTGCAGTAATTTTCAGTAACACACATGTTATACCAGAGCTGACTGGACACCATGGTGGAGAAAAAGAAGTCCAAAACAAGAGTGGAATTCCAAAATACTTTTCCTATTTGGACATGAGCAAAGAGTTAAGTTCTAGACAAAGAATCAAACATACAAAGAGAAAGACAGGTATTTCCTCCATGGTTCTACAGAATGATCTTGTCTATACCTCATAGCCTACACATAGCAACAGAGCTCAAACTGAGCCATCCTCTGATTAAACCTCAAATGCAGGAGATTCCTCCATTTCCCTGGGTAATCTATGTTTCTGACCTTTTCTCCTGATAATTTTGTAAAACTTGCTTAAATCATTAAAGTATCAAAAGGTCCTTTCTACATGCATGTTCCAAGGAAATGAAGCAAAATCTATATAGATTCTGATAATTCTCTAATTTAATAGAGAACTGTGCGTGTAAAAGCAGCTATGTACCCCCAACATGGAGTCGTTTACTTACTTGGCCCACAAATGTTTACTGAGTAGCTGCTATGTGCCAAACACTGAACTAGAGATGGAAACCAACAATGAGTCAAATGGACATGGTTCCCGGCTTCGTTAGACTTACAGACTAATGGAGAGGGCTGGCGCTAAATAAACATCACACAGATAAATACGGCAGTATAAACTGATTGTTAATTAAGAGTATGCTGAAAGGTGAAAGTGACGGAAACTGATTTTGTTTGGTAGGTCAGGGAAAGGCCTCTGAGGAAGTAATATTGAAACTGAGACCTCTGTGATGACCAGGTGCTACCAGGCGAAGAGAGGGGACCAGCACTGCAGGCAGAGGGAGAGGCAAGTGCAAAGCCCTTTGTCGTGTAGGGAGGGAGGAAGAGAAGCCCAGTGTGGCTGGAAGCTGGTGAGCCAGGGGACAGGAGTGGCATAGGACGCAGGTGGAAAAGAATAAGGGATAGACCACGTAGGACCATGAACATGACATGACAGATTTGGGACTGTAGCCTGGGTAAAATGATGACTCATTACCAAGGGCTTAATCAAGTGAGGAAGATGATTTCAGATTTGGCAAAGTTCATTCTGACTACGGTATGGAGAAAGAACTAACAGGCTAAATTATAGAATGGGAAAACATTTATATAAATATTTAAATATTTAAAATAAATATAATAAATTAAATAATGCTACCAGCTTTTAGTTTGTACCACACCATTTACTAGAGAAGTGGTTTTGAACAAGCCACTTAACTTAAAACTTAACTGCTTTAAGCCAGTTTCCTCTGCATACTGGGGACGGTGAACTCATCCAAGCCAATTTCATAGTATCATTGTGAATAATAGATGAAATAATGTATGGTAAGGCACTTCAAAAACTCAAAAGTCCTATATAAAAATAAAATATGGCTAACTAAAATTGTACAGCTTATATTGTCTAATATACTTCAGCTACTTTTGATAAACTCTGTATAACATTTGTCTTTAATAACCATTACATATTAAAGATAATCATAGATATTTCAAAAAGTTCAAAAATGTGTGTCTAAGCAGATCATACATTAATCTTGAAAGAAAACACATTTTAAATATGATTTTGATGTAAGAATGGAGAGGATAACTTAATCACAAATGCCATCTAGAATATATATAACCCTGTGTTTGGCCTTCCCTAAAATACATTATTTTTTATTCTCATTTCCTAGTATGATTTCAAACAGATGGCTTGATGTATGGTATGAGAAAACTTCAGAATGAAATTAAAATATTAACACTTGATTCAAATATGGAAAGCCAATAAATACCTCTATTCTAGGTCTAATTATAGTTGGTGATTCTCATTATATCAGTGGGTGGTAATACTGCCAGAGTTAAAGACAATTCAAAAATATGAAAAAGAAAGAGGAATTTATTTGGCTTGGAAATTCTAGCACCACATTATGTGGCATATATTTGACGAAACATATCAGGCATAACAAGAGGCACGTCCCACATAGGCTCCAAGCCCTCCGTGAGTCCTGCCTCGTTGAGTGTCATGAGGTACCAGCTCATCTCAGGTGTCCTATGCTGGCTTGATGTCTGAAGATACATGATAATTGAGAAGTAATCGCTATATGTCTGTTTCAAAAGATTTCCTGAAATGTGTCCAAGTGATAATATTCGAATTGAGTCATACTTTATGACCAAAGAATCATGGGGAAAACATTAGTACTCTTGGATAATAAGAGGATCTTAAGGTAAGAAATGAATAGAGGCCATTAGAGAAGGACAAAGGGATTCAATGATATTCCTGTATATTGATAGAAAAACACATGAGCTCATTTGAGAAATGTGGAAACTGAGAAGCAAGCTACCAACTAGAAAACGTGCCCAGTCACAGGTATCTCCACGTATTCATCAACCAACATCCAATGTGCACTCAAACATCTTAAGAATTACACGGAGACCCAGAACAATCCTTTTAATTCTCTCCCTACCTATTGAGAATCTAAATTGACACCTGTGTTTTTTCTTCAGAAGTCCATAAGCCAAACACATCAGCAGAAAAATTAATGTCTTCATGAAAACTAGTTTTTAATGGGAAAACTCTATTAACCAACTCTGTCAAGCCAGTATGAAATGGATCTAAATTAAGCTATAGTTATTACATCTAATTGTAGCCTTGTTTTTGTTTTGCACACATATTGCAATACAGTTTCACCATAAAGCTCTCTGAATTCAATATCCCCATTAGTTATGAAAGATTTGGTCATCCTAGAAGCAGAGAAACAGATAAGGAACTTGAGGATTGATTTTTTAAAAACCCGTACTCTTGGCTGTAACAGAAGAATCAGAATCAGATTTTGAGATGCAAGGATAGAAACAGCCAAGTATATATCTGCAGTGCTGATAACATCACCCAAGAGAGACAAAGCTTTTATTCTAACTAAAAAAAGATGCAGAGCTTGGTTTTGTGTGTGTGTGTGTGTGTGTGTGTGTGTGTGTGTGTGTGTGTGTTTTGGAAAAGAAAGGAGAAAGGGTGAGATAAATAAATACAGAAGAGGAGAAGGGTGGGGTAGAGGGTAGAAATTTCAAGGGCAAGTAAGACAGATGGGCACTTGGATGGATCTTAAAAATGTCCTCAATGCTAGACAGGAGCTCTATAACAGAAATGGCACAGGTGAAGCACCCCATATGACTAAATTTTCTTAGACAAAGATTATATATGTCCTTATTATTTAGCAAAGGGATAGAGATGTGAACTTGATGAAAGGAGTTTTTCCAGGGTGGGTTGTGAAGAAAAGCAAGATAAAATGAAGGTGTTAGGAATACCGCTCAAAATCCTAAGGAAATTGAACACTCGAACAAAGGATTCTTAGCAAAGCAATTTTACTTCCGCGCAGAGGGGTGCCTCCTTGGCCAGTTGCCATGAGAACACACCTGAACAAAGGGGCAGGAGAGCCTTTATTCCTGACGCAAGTCCTGCCCCTGTACCCTTTCCCCATTGGCTGAGGTGGGGTCGTACAATCTAATCTTGGTTAGCTAAACATTTGATTTTTTTTAGATGGGGTAGGCACGTAAAAGAAAGTGGAGGGAAAGGGGAAGGGGTGTCTGTAATGAGCTAGAAAGTTAGTCCTCTTTCCAAATAAGGAAAGGAGTGTGAGCTGGTACTGATAGTGCTTGGTACTGTGGTGTGCATAGGCATCTATCAAAGGCAAAAAGGAAAAAAAGGAGAAAAAGAAGGGGGGGTACTATGAATTAAAGAATAAAAGATTGATTCGATTATTCGAAGAGAAACCTCATCATATCCCACAAAGGTCTGGCACGTGGAGATTGATATGCACTATAAAGTCATGGTGGAAAAAATTACAACAAATTTTGGGATCCTACCAAGAGAAAGTAAGTTGTTTACTGCATAGTCAATGGTTTTTATTATTTATCAACTAGGGCTACAAATGAATAATAAAATGGTAACACTGTATTTACAACAAAAAGTAATACAGTTTTGCTTTTAATATCATCCTACAGCAGAAAAAAAATAGGATGAAAATTTATATATTGATCAACTTCTCACATTTTTCATCAGTCTAAGTGTCATTTTCACATCATGATTCCTACAGTGGAGAAGGCATGAGGCTAACAGACTGGGCTAGAGTTTCTGTCTTCCCATTAACTTGATAAGTGACCTTGGGAAATATACTTACTGTCTCCGGACCTACTTCTAAACTGCTGTAGTAAGTTCTTATAATTTTATGTTGCCTTGGCCTCCATTTTAAATATAAGTTGGATTCTCTCATACCAGAAGAAGGGCTCAGTCATCCTTGGCAGAATTTCCAGTTCTACGCCTAACTCACACTCCTAGTTCCTCAATGTGTTCAATTCAGATATCTGCATTACACAGTTGCTCACTACGGGTCAGCTAGACACAGCCTGCTTGACTGGCCCTGCTGCTCCTACCCCCTGCATGAGCTGTGCAGATACGCCACAGTGACTAACCCTCAGTCACAGTGTGGCCACCTGGAACTCACACCTGTTGCTTTAAACTCACGAATTAACATTCCCCATAGGAAACCTGTTTGGACAACACCCTGGATGCCAGTAAAGGCATTGGCTCATGGATCTCTCTCTACATGTGCTCCTAGACCTCCATATGTGTGACCCTCAGGTGTATCACATACCCCGAGGGCCTGTAAACAAGAAAATCTGTATTTCCCTCTTGTGTCTCTTCTAATCATTGGAAGGTTCCCTCCATCTGGAAGATTCTAAATTAACACTAATGCTAAGGTCCCTTCCAACTCTCACATTCTATACAGCAATGAAATTAGCCACAACCATATCAGGAAAAGCATAAGCAATTACAAATAACATTAGTGGCATAAAGAGATTAAATGCAATGTCTACAAGTGGGGTGTGTGTGTATACACATATTTTGGGGGTTAGTGAAAGTATAAGTTTCACTTAATACTGATGAAAGTGACTGGCATCCTTGTTTTGGATAATTAGTGGGTGAAGATTTAAGAGGCAAAGGGCACAGTTTTTGGGTTAAAGAGAGCCAGGCAATGTTAAAACAATGATATTGCACATTACACAATTAGGAAGAGGAGTGATAAAATAGACACACCAAAGGCATTGGTTTTAATTTGATTCTGAAATGATTGGGAGTATCAGTAGATTTTGAGGAGAATGACAGAATCTAAATGATGTTTAATCTAAATCTAAAGGATGATAATTCTTCCTCAGAGTGGACTCTAGAGGTGAGATACTACCATAAAAGGAACAATTTCCTCACTGTCATTCATTAGCAATGGTTCCTTGGGTTGGAAAAGGCCTTTCCACAGGGTTTTCTACCTCACTGACTTTATGACTTCTATAAGCTTCTCAGAAAACTAATTCTTCTCAAGTCTTTGAATATCTGATGTTTACAGAGGCTGACCAAGGAAAGCAAGACATTGAGTAATAACCCAGGTAGGTAGTAAGCTTGTTATCAATAGTCAACTGCCTAATTCAGACTCTCTTTCCCTTACCCGAATCTTTTCCTTGAGTTTATTCAGTCAAAAGGCTCAATTCTCAGCTTGACTTAGAAAAGAGCTTTATTTACTCAACCAGTGGGTCCTTTCATAAAAAGTCAATGACTCATTCTTCTCCCCTGGTCACAGATCTTTCTTTGTTGTCATGTTAATTGATCACAATTAACAGTAGCTACTTATTATTCTATCCCCTTGAAGTTTTCAGAAGTTGATTTTATTAAATGCCTTCATACTTGACTGAAGTCTTAAACATTGTTTCCTTTTCTGTGGAGACAGTATATTCTATGCAAAGAAGACACAGCATTTCAGGTTTTTTGTTTTTGTTGTAGCAACTTTTGCTTCCAGTTCTGTACCCTGAACCACATGTGCACTTTCAGAATGGCTACAGATCTATGCCCCATTTTACCCCCAACTCTGTTCCTTTTCTGTCTGTACTCCACAACAATCGGTGAACAACAAGTGAATTCTCTGGCTAGTTTCATTTTCATTTCAAACTTTTGGTCCCTATGTTTCTCTCGTTGTTCTCTGTTATGGAGGATTCCAAGATTTTTCATCCTCCCATCTACGCTCTAGTCTTGAACTTCAGCTATATTTACTATGAAGGTTAACACCTGTTCTGCCTCAACTCTGATGTCTCTCTTACTTCACTGCCCGCCTAATTTATGGTTTATAAAACATACTTGTGCTCTTGCTTTATAACTTAGCTTTATACAGAATATATAATGCCACAGTCTTTGCTGTTTCACATACATATGACGTATTAATCATTATATAATGATATGTATAATATATATTATATATAAGTAAGCTTGTTAATATAATAAATTATATTAACATTAATAAAATGAATAACAAATTATATACAAAATAATATATTACTATATATTCAGTTTAATGTATATTATAACCAATAATATATTATTCCCTGTCTCTTCAAAGAGCACACTTTCCTTCAGGCAGGGATTAGGCCTCAAACACAGTCACAAAACCCCATAGAATATTAGCATATTGCTGAGCTTTCCAGAATGTTCAATACATACTTGTTAAGCTCCACATGAATCCTCTTGACCCCCCACGACCTTAGTGGGCAGCTAGCTCTAGGTTTATAAAGTTTCTCTCGGTAACAACTTTTAGTCTTAATCCTGACTGAGGATAATGTGATGAGATTTTCTCTGGTTTAGAAACTCCACAGATACATTTCTCTCTGTCATCTTCTTTCCCTTACCATTGCCTTCTCCCAACAGCCCAGGGATTGCAATCCCAACTTCATATTCACATCTCTTAACTGATGATTCACTTTCGCTCAATAACTATTAAGTCAAAAATTTAATTTCTGAGAAGATGTGCAGGAGTTTCCAAACAAAGCCATTTATAATTCTATTTTTAAGGATAGTACATTGTACCGTTCTTTTTGTTCGCCCTACTAGACTGTACAGAGTAGTGGAAAGGAAAAAAAAAAAACACAACTCTATTCAGACTAAGAATCCTTTTTATCCTGTAGCTGGAATCCTTATATTCCTTCCTTCAGTGAATGGGTATAATTATGTGTATTGGAAATTAGAGTATTCGCTATAATTATGCACTCTTTTAAAGTGGGAGAATAATTATAATGTCTACAACCAACTGTACAAGGTACTACTGAAGCTTTTGTTTTAAATCTGCCAGGGAGGACCTCAGTAATGATTAATTTCTTACAACTACTTTTTATTCATTTGGAGAACATACTAGGAATGCCTTCACACTTCCCGTTTCATTGTGGAAAGTTTCTTTAAACAAGAATATTTCTTTAAACGAAGACTTGAGAACAAGTGGGTTGGTTTTTACATAGCCAGCTTCCATTATTTCATCGTAGATTATATGAGAAACCTAAAAATTTTAAAACAGGACTTTTAGCAGCTTCCCTTATCCTTGTTAGCAAATGCAAACTTTTACATTTTATCATGCTGCTAAAAGGTCAGCTACAACATTTAAAAACTCAATGTGGAACTAATCACAAGCTTTGGTTCAATGCTTTAGTATTTTATTTCATACAATTACCAAAGTTAGAAGAAATTGAAAGCACCAAATATTAAAGAATTAGAGATTGTGTTATTTCTGGGAGGTAAGGTTAAACAGAAATATCATTTTTATGAGGAAATCATTAAAGACCTATAAATGAGCTGAGTGAGTGCAGTTAATCTACAGAAGGGGAAAACATATACTCTTAAAAGACAACCAGAGGGCCTCTTTTGAAAGTATATTTAACCCTTGGTTAACCACATCAGTCAAGGAGAACATCACAACAGACAATCTCACTTTCTCAATGATCGACACAGTCACCAGAGGAAGCAAATGGAAAACACAGTTTCACATGGTCTAAATACTACTCACAAAAGATAGGCCAGTGTGGCTACAATTACTACTATTAATAATAGAATACCTGCCTGGCCCGTTGTTGGGTATAGAAAAGCTCACAGAAGAAACGCTTACATCATGACTGCAGGTCTTTTGCATGCACTTTATGTGAGTGTCAGAAATTGTGTTCTCAGGTGCCCTTTTTGTAATCTCCTGGTCTCTCCCCAGTTTCCACTCCTGGCAATGTTTAGCCCTTTCTCGTTCAGAAGTGGTCTCTCCTGGAAGGCTTTGTCAGACTTGACTGAACACAGCAAGAGCTATTTTTCCACATGGACACATTAATATCTGCCCCTTTCTAGAGGTCTTATGATCAAAGGGAAATGAAAGTTTGCAGACCTGGAAGGGTGCTTGAGGTCACTAAGTCCAATTGAGGTCCTAAAAGATACCAATTTGTCCAGGGTGATCCAGCTTACCATAAGCCTTTGTCGCTGTGGACAGAGAAGATTCAAAGATCCTCCAAAATCTCCCTTTCCAGGCAGTCAACAATAGAGCAAATTTTCAAGACTTTGGCAGAGTTTTGCATTTGGACCAGTTAGATTTATATGTAAAACTTTCATATAAACTACTTTCCTCTGCAATATAGACCTTTTTATAAGCTCAAAATTAAACTGCTGCATGAAGATGGAAAAGTGATTTGGCAAGACCATAAAACATTTTCATCCTTTTTATATTAGTGTCTTGAAAGCCCTTCTAGAAAATTTTGCCTCCTTCTTCAGAAGACAACAATATTAAAAACGTGTTTTTTTTTTAACCAGGCCTTGAATGTTATGTACATTGCTCCACAAATGTACATTTTTATATAGGCTAAGACTCTATTTATGATCAAAGAATCAGATTCAACATGCACAAAGAAAATGGTTCCAATTAGTGAGAGTTACCTGCCATCTTAGTACCACTGTCAATCAGAACAGGTGTGTTATTACAAAAGTGTGCCATTACACAGGTTATAACTCATCCACGTGCAAATACCTACAACAGAGGCTCTCCACCTCTTAGGCCAGGAAGAACTGCAAAGCATCCACAAATTACAAACGGTTCAGTGTACTGAACATGATGTATTGACAGGTATTGAATAAATAAAAACACAACTGCTATAACACAGAAATCTGTGGCCTTATTTTTTATGGAAAAAGGATCCATGTCTTCATAAGATTGTGGCCACTGGCATTAAATCTGAACTACAGCTAGTGCCAGCAGCCCTACTGATGATACGTAAGACAGGGAAACATGTATGTACAATTAAAGTGCACCTCCTTATTCACAGAGAAGTCACAAAGTAATTCCAGGACAAATAAAGTGAAGGAAAATAAGAGAGAGAGAGAAAAAGAGAGACTCTTCCCAGCATCACAAATAAGAATGATAATGATGAACCCTGGCTGAGAGTTCTAAGCCCTTTTCACATAGCTGCCACTGAACCCTTGCAACAATACTAGACAGTTGGCACTATTCCCAACCAGATTTTTTTTTTTTAAGATTATGAGGCTAAGGCCACAGTAAGTAAATAGCAGAGCCAAGGTTTGAGCCCATGCAATCTGATTCCAGGAACCTAGGGCTTGACTGCCTCTCTTTACAGGTATGAAGGAGTTTCTTTCCTGGTCTAGTAAACTTTCATCGCAACCAGCAAACCAACTGATGCATTTAAGCCTCTCCCTTTCCAGGACCTTGTTAGAGATTGTAGGGTATAGAAGAGTTCCAAGAGATGGTCTGAAAAATAGAGAGACAGAGATGGTCTTTGCCATTAAAAATATTGTAATCTTGTTAGGCCAAGATTATCACACATTCAACAATTAGCTAGTAAAGTATGAATTATCTAGAGCAGGGGTTGGCAAGTTTTTCTATAAGGAACCAGAGGGCAAACATTTTAGGCTTGATGTGCCACACAGTCTCTGTTGTAATGACTCAATTCTGCTCTGGTAGCACGAAAGCAGGTATAGATAATACATAGACTAATGTGTGTGGATGTATTCCAAAAAAACTATTACAAAAATAGGTAGGGAGGGAAATAGCTCAGCCATAGTTTGTGGACTCCTAGTCAAGATTACCAGCTATAACAAAAAAATAATCAATTCTAATCATTCATTTTCCAGGAGGTGACATTCCCTTTCTCCAAAATGCATAAACTCCCTAGAAGCCATGGGGTTGCAGAACTGTCTTCTTACTGTTAAGAAACAAAAACAATTTGAAACCTCTTCCCCGAAACTTAATGAAACTGTAGCTACTGTCGAAAATGAAAAAATTAAGTGTGTGTTTTCTAGAAAGGATGAACTTTCAGCAGTGCTGAAAATCACGTAATATTTGTGCTTGTCAGTGTGCTAGAAACAAATCTTTTATCTATCCCTGTGTGATTACGTCTCTGTACAGAGGCACCTGCGTTGTGTTATACATAGAATTATATTTTACCCTTTGGTGTTGAACCATTAGCCAGTGTGTCTTCTTATTCTCAATTAGGAACAGAGTTCCTCCCACTGGAGGGAGAGCAGAGGCTCTGCAGTCACTCGCTGCCGTGTTAGTGTTGTTAGAGATTATACAAGTCACTTTAACTCAACAACTTACAAAGGGTCTACATTTTACGTCAAACTAATCTCAACATTAGATAATTTTGAATACTGGTCATAATATACATACAGGTAGATGATAATTTAGCCATACAGATTAACATTTTGTTCTTTTCTAACACTTTGAGAGCCTATGAGATTTAATGTTGACAGATGCTAACACCTTTAAATGCTTTTCTATTTTCTCAGATGCTGAAATAAAATTTTAATTTTATTATTTAAATACATTTAATTTATTAAAAACAAGTTGGAATATACAGTAAGGCTCTGTAGTGCATGGATTATACAGGTTGTAGCAGAAAAAAAAATCTATCTCCCTCTCTCTACCAAAAGTTTTATATTTACTATGTGCTATTTAATAAATAAGTTAATTTTCCAATGAGAACACATGGACACAGGAAGGGGAACATCACATACCGGGGCCTGTCGGGAAGTAGGGGTTAAGAGGAGGGAGAGCATTAGGACAAACACCTAATGCATGCGGGGCTTAAAACCTAGATGATGGATTGATGGGTGCAGCAAACCATCATGGCGCATGCATACCTAGGTAACAAACTTGCATGTTCTGCACATGTATCTCAGAACTTAAAGTAAAATAAAATAAATAAATAAGTTAATTTCCCTGCACAATCAATCATTAAGTCTTCTACCTCCCAATATATGAGCTGGCCTAGGAGGGGAAGAGTAGTAAGTTTATAATCTAAAATTTGTGTACCCTTGGGTCGTAACTTTTACCAACAACTTAACTCTCCATATTGTGCATGTAGTTCATATTTTAAAGACTTCAAAACTTCAGACGTCCTTTTGTCTGTTACACATTGATTGCTGTTAAACTAAATGTTTTTCACTCTGTAATCAATACTTTCTTACAAAAATAAGCCCAGGCATTGACAAACAACTCTGCAGCACATTGCAGCTTTCCTGAATGAAAAACTACCACCCCCAAGAATTAAAAAAGATTGCATCGACTCCAGTGCTTATTACAATTTTTACAAGCTTCTTACAGCTGAATCATTCCACTGTAACAAGACTTTATTAAATTAGACAGCCATTGAATCTTAAGCTTTCTGAGAATAACAAGTAATATGCCTTTGTCCTTTATTATTGTTTCTGCAACCATACTGCTCATGTTCATATTTACATCTTCTCTTGTGATGAAGTTATTAAAAAGCAACATCTAGATAAAAAGCAACATCTAGATAAAATGGGAGGGAAGCAACATCTAGATAAAAAAGCAACAACTAGATAAAATGGGAGGGAAGCAACATCTAGATAAAATGGGAGGGAACATCTAGATTAGAAAAGCAACATCTAGATAAAATGCAACATCTAGATAAAATTAAAAGCAACATCTAGATAAAATGGGAGGGAAGCAACATCTAGATAAAAAAGCAAATCTAGATAAAATTAAAAAGCAACATCTAGATAAAATGGGAGGAGGGAAGGGGTGGTATAACATGTAAACGATGACTTTGTGTTTCATGCGACTACCATTCTAGATCAATTTTAAAAAGCACTACTACCTTAAGAAAATGCTGTTGTACTTTTAGACCCCAAATGCAAGGAATCTTTTAATCTGGGACTTTTATTTTACACACTGTAAAGTGTGAGTTGCTTTTATAAGCATTTGCCTTCAAATTATTTGTTCATCACATGGTTCACTCTCTTAATACAACCTTCCAGTGAGAATCCATGGTGAATGCGAGGGGCAAGCAGCCAACCATACATCAGGTTGCCACCAACATGCACCAAGTATATAACTCTCCCTCCAATACTAATCCACACAAACACCAAATTCTTAAGGCATATAACCCTATATTCCATCAGTAGGCATTTAGTGGTCTGGGTAAAAGCTAAAGCAAGTTGAGAATAATAAAAACAAACACTTCCAAATACAACAAAGAGAAAAGCCCTCACGTGCATACACCTTAAACAAGCTAAGGCATGTTCTCACCTTCATGTTTATTAGCAAAAAAGAACTCAAGAAACAATTGTTTAAATCATTTAAACCTTGCATGTATATATCCATGGCAAACAGCAACAAAGGCATTTACAATTTTTATTAGTGGGTGATATTTCCTGTCAACAGAAGTGGTTTTGTATTACAGTGACATAAGTCAATGTACAGACTCCAAAGTTTTTCACAAAAACACTTTCTATTTTTTGATCCAAGATAGCACTTCTATGCAATAGCTCAAAATTGCCACCAAGTGGACGGACAAACACTATTCTGGTTGTAGTTGTAGAGTAAACAGCTGCTTCTGATTTGAAGAGTGTTGAACTAATCACATCAACCAGTGTTTACTAAATATTAATACCTACTAAGCACAGGGTGCTCCTCTATGCACCACAGATGAAAGGCATTCTGATCAGAGTGAGAAGGCTAAAGCCCTGTCACGGGCACCGCATCTTGCGTGCTAATGTTCTCTGGACTTCAATAGGTAAATTATTCCATTTATCTCTTTAGAGGAGGAAAAATAACCTATTAAGGCTACTGTGAGTGAGCAAAACAGCAACATCCAGTCTGGGAAGGGCATTCATATCGCTAATAATTGTTGAATGATATGAATAAGCTCCAGAAGGTATAAAATTGGAGTCACTCCTAAAATCACTGATAGTGTTCAAGAGACTAATAAATTAGAGGTTATGTGGACCCCACCTTACAATCTTTCATGGAGACACTGCTCTAGACATAGCAGTGGTGATGTATAACTCACGGTAGGTCTATAACCAAGGCTAGATAAGCATATGGATGAGCAACATCTACATTCCCAGCTAGTAAGCGGCCTCTTCCCCATGGGTACACCCTGACCTTTCACATGGAAGAGTTTAGTGTATGTGAAACCCCAAAGGATAGGAATCTACATACATATTTGATGAGCCAATTTATTTAATAAAATATCTAATTTTTCCAAATGAGTGACTCTAAGTCCTATTTAGGCAAATCCTCAGCTTCTGGCATTATTTATTTTATGTTATAAAACATACCTTCTCTCTTGGAAGCATGGGTACCAAAGGGAAGAACAGTAACTTTTAATGGATGCAGTTAGATCTTGAAATTTTTATCTGAAAACCATAAAGCTTTTAAAAATAAATTTGCAAATGTAATTGAGCCTCTAATAGCTGCTACTGATAGTAATTAAAGAAATCTCATTTCCCTAAATTAAACATAATGAAATGTTTTTCAAGATCAAATAAAACTAGAAAATGCTATCAGCCTGATAGAATTTGCCTCTGAAAGTGGTGTTCTGGAGTTTACAGAGAAGCCTCAGTTGCCAGCAAAAGTCAATGGTTTATAGGGTTACGGGCAATATGGAAGCCATTTCCACTGTATCATATCAACTTTTATTGGCTGATAACTGATCTGAAAGCCAGTATATGGTACAGCTTCACATTGCAGTGCTTATGCAAATGAAGCAGACACTCTAAAATTCTTCCTTTAGTGCCTTTAAAGAGTTTGTTATTTAATTAAACGTTGTCAGCATATCTTCAGTTCAACTTACACATTTCACACTCTTAATGTTCAATTTTTACATTACTTTTGCTTTTCTTAAAGTGAAATGGCATTTGGGCATCAGAGTGACCATCTTACCCAGGTCTCTCTTAAGCAGGGAAGTGCTTCAATTTGCTGTCTTAGTATGGGCTACTATAACAAAAATCCTACAGACTGGGTGACTTAAAGAACAGAACTTTATTTCTCACAGTTTTGGAGTCTGGGAATTCCAAGATCAACTTGCCAGTCCATTCAGTTCCTGGTGAGGGCTCTCTTCCTGGTTTACAGATGGACACCTGCCCACTGTATTTCCATGTGGTAGAGAAAGGGCAAGCAAGCTCTCTGAAGTCTCTTCTGATAAAGTCATGTTAATCCTATCATAAGAGCTCCACCCTCATGACCTAACTGCCTCTTAAAGACCCAATATCCAAATACCATCACATTGGAAATGAGAGTTTCAACATTCGAATTTTGGGAGGACACAAACATTCAGTCCATAACAATTGCTCAGAATTGATCATTGTCTTCTCATTTCTTGATGGTCTCCAGACAAAAATACCTAGTTTCCCTGTTATTTCAGCAATGTATCATCGTGGTAATCAAAAAGGTTTTCCTTATGTTTGATAAAAATATTTTGTGTCTTAATTCCTTGCCTTATTATTTGGGCTTCTATGAATCTAAGAAACTGTTCATCTCTAAACTCTTCATAACAAGGCTTTATTCCAGGAAAATATAATTAAGCCAACCATTAGCCTTCTGTTAACAGACACCTTACCTGTCACATACATAGAAGCTTCTAACATCTCACTTGAGTATGATAAGAAGTATGATGTATTTATGTCATTTGTCATCCATTTTTTATCACTTTTGCCACATTTCTCTATATTTTTACATTCTCTTTAAAACTGGTATATCCAAAACCAGATGTAAAGCTACATAATGGGTTTAGTTAATGTTATGCTCAGGCAAAGCATGGACTGATCTTACTGGTGCTCTATGTTGGCTCCATACTTCCCTAAACGAAGTACCACTCCCATCCCCACCCCACCCCCACCACACAAACAGCTCTTCTCTACTGAGAGCCTCTCATTTGCTCGTCAAATTGCGCATAACATGCAGGCAACAAATACCTATCTTGGACCAATTAATGACTCTTATCTAACTCTTAACTACAACGATGCCCCAAATTTTTCTTCTACATATGTTCCTTGATTATCTCCCTGCTGAAATGGTGATTTGTTTTCTTAATCCTAATACATCACACTGCTCTCACTAATTATTCATTCATTAACTATTTAGTAATTACTTCTTGCCAGACACTCAATAGGTATTGCCATTCAATTCAGAATAAGACAAGTTTCCTGTCCTGAAGATACTTAAAATCTAGTCCATGCCCCCTACTTAAGGGGGACTATTGTTGTAAATCATTCTATTTTGTGTCTCTGTTGTTCAAAGTATAAATTAACTGTTCTATGTTAACATTCTTTCAAACCAATGACTGAGCATTTGCTGTCTCCACTCCATTCTTGCCCCACCCTCACCTCCAGATGGATGTCAGTCTTTAGCACAATCCTCCAATCAATTGTTTATTCACTGATAGCCTTGACAGGAAAGGTGATTACAAACTGCTAGCTTAATAACAGAAACAACAGGATTTCTTCAAGTACTTAAGGGGGCAAGTGTATTCAATACTGCAGTATCCCCTTACCTATGATTTCAGTTACTCAAGTCAACTGTGATCCAAATATAAAATGGACAATTCCAGAAATAAACAATTCATAATTTTTAAATTGTACATCTTTCTGAACAGCATGATGAAATCATGCACATTCTAGCTCTGTCCTACCCAGGATGTGAACCTAGTGTATCCATACTATAGCGGATACCTGCCTGTCAGTCACTAAGTTGTTGTCTGGGTTATCAGATAAAACAAGCAAAGTGTATCTAGGGTCCAGTCCAGTCCACAATTTCTGGCATCCACTGGGGGTCTGAATGGAGCATATATACTGAAGATAAGGGGGAACTAATATAAAGTGTTCTTTACCTCCAGGATTTCTAACTGAGTTGGGGCTGAGTCTCACATCTTACAGTTTGTCCACCTTTCTTTGCCTCTTTTCAAAGGAGCACTTTCTGTCGGTGAGGGCTTCATCTACATTTTTACCTCCTAGTTCATGTTTTCCTAGAGCATCATTATTTAGGGGGAAAAGTAAGCTGTAACATTTTTAAATAAATTGGTTTGCTGATGGGAGTTTAAATTGGTGCAACTGCTTTGGAAAACCATCTGGGAGTATCTGATTAAAGCTGAATATATACATCACCTGTAACACAGCAGTTCCAGTTTAGGTGCATATGTTTACCATATATGTACATCTGCTCACCTAAAGTCATATACTAGCAGCATTATTCATAAGAGCCCCAAAATGGAAACAACCCAAAGGTCCATTAACACAGATAAATTATGGGATACTCAAACACTGTAATAGCATACAGCAATGAACAAACTACAACTACATGCAACAATATAGATGAATCTCACAATGTTGAGTGAGAAGAGTAAATACTGCATGATCTCACTTTATATTAAAGAGAAACAGGCAAAGGTAATCCATGTCATTAGGCGTCTACTGAAGGGGATTTGGTTTGGTGCCTAGAGAGGAACTTCTAGGATACTGGTAATATTCTATTTGTTGGTTTAGGTGCTGACTCACAGGTGAACTTGTGAAAATTCAGTGAGTTAACCAATATGTACGCTTTTCTGTATGTACATTATACCTCAATAAAAAGTTTTTTTAAAAAAACAGAAGAAAATCTAGGTGACCTTGAGTGTTGTGATGACTTTTTAGATACAACACCAAAAGCATGACCTGTGAAAGAAATAATTGATAAGTTGGACTTCATTAAAATGAAAAACCTTAAACTTCTGCTCTGTGAAAAATACTGTTAAGAGAATGAAAAGACAAGCCACAGACTGGAAAAAATCTTTGCATAAGATACATTTGATAAGAGATGGGTATACAAAATATACAACGAATGCTTACAGCTCAACAATAAAAAAAACCGCGTTAAGAAGTGAGCAAAAGATTTGAAAGAACACCTCACCAAAGGTACGCAGAGGGCAAGTAAAAATATGAAAAGAGTCTAGGGAACTGGAAATTAAAACAATGAGATACCATGACACACTATTACAATGGCCAAAATCCAAAACACTGACAACACCAAATGCTGATGAGGACCTGGAGCAACAGGAACTCTCATTCACTGCTAGTGAAAGTATAAAATGGTACAGCTAGATTAGAAAACAATCTGGAAGTTTCTTACAAAGCTAAACATAGGCTTACCTATGATCCAGCAATAATAATTCTAGTTATTTACCAAAATATATTCTAAACTTACATCCACACAAAAAAAATGCACATGGCTGGGAGCAGTGGTGTGCCCCTGTAATTGTAGCTACTCAGGAGGTTGAGGTGGGGGGACCTCACTTGAGGACAGGAGTTTGAGACCAGCCTGGGTAACAGTAAGATAAGATCCCACCTCAATAAAAAACAAAAACCAACAACCTGCACATGAATGTTCATAGCAGCCATGTTCATAATTGCAGAAACTTGAAAGGAATCAAGATGTTCTTCATTAGATATGAAGGAAACCAGAATATTTCTCCCCAAAATATGAAGGATTATTGAGATGAAGACAAGTAAAATGCAGGGTAGCTCTCTGCCTTCCCTCTGTTTACTTAAAGCAGAATAAAGAATTACAAAGACTTTTAAAAGGTCTTTTGATCTCTCCCTATATCCCACCTAAAGAAAAAATGTAAATTTCCCCTTACTGCAGACAATCTCGACAAAGTTAGGGATGGCGCCAGAGGAATGTGAGCTTTACTTTACTTTGCCACAGTTTTCCCCCCTTTGGAAGCCTGGAACTAATTTCCTTTGCCCTGTAATTTTTCTAAAATCTATTGCTCTTTGTTGAAGATTTTATGTAAGATTAAACTCTAAACCACTGCCTTAAGTTACTTTACTCCTGTGAGATGTACGCCGAATGCATTAATAAACTTGAGTGTTTTTCTCTTGTTAATCTGTCTTTGGTTGCAGAAGTCTCCCAACTGCAAATTTATGAATACTGAAGAAAAATTATAATTTCTCCCATTCAGATGAATGAATAAACAGGCGTGATACATCCTGCAATGAAATATTATTCAGTGATATAAAGGAATGAGCTATCAAGCCATGACAAGACATGAAGGAACCTTGAGTATACTGCTAAGTGAAAAGAGCCAGTCTGAAAAGGCTATATACTGTATGATTCCAAGTATAGTCATGTGCCATATAACAAAGTTTTGGTCAATGACTGACCCCATATACAACAGTGATCCCATGAGATTATAGTACTGTAATTTTTACTGTACCTTTTTGTGTTTAGATATCAAATACTTACCACTGTGTTACCATTGCCTATGATATTCAGTACAGTAATATGCTATACAGGTTTGTAGCCCAGGAGCATGAGGCCATACCATATAGCCTAGGTGTATAGTGGAGTAGGCTGTAGCACTAGGTCTGTGTAAGTACACTCTGTGATGTTCAAACAATGACAAAATTGCCTAATGACAGATTTCTTAGAATGTATCCCTGTCATTAAGCAATGCATCGTTGTACACAAAGTTTTGGCAAAGTTAAAACCATAGAGACACTAAAAAGATCAGTGATTTCCAATGGTTCAGAGCTAGGGGTCATGGATGAATAGATGGCATGTGAAATATTTTTAGGGCAGAAACTATTCTGTATGCTACTATAATGCTGTATATATGACATTTTTATACATTTGTCAAAACCCAGAGAACTATATAACACCAAGAGGGACCCTAATATAAATGATAGAGTTTAGTCAATAATAGTGTAGCAATATTGCTTCATCCATTGTAACAAATGTACCATATTAATGCAAGATGTTAATCATGGTCATGGGAAACTGTGTTGGGGGTGAGAGTGGAGCAGGTAATATAATATGAGAACTCCCTATACTTTCTGCTTAATTTTTCTGTAAACTTAAAACTTCTCTAAAAAATAAAGACTACTGATTTTTTTTAAAAAATAAACTCATTTAATAGTTACAAAATACCAAACTTGATTCACTCAAATCTATTCAGGTTAATCCAGGGATCACAAAGCCCTTAATTTTCCCCTTCTACCTTCAGAATAAAGTTCCCAAACCCCCAGGCATACAACATAAAGCCCTCACCCATCAATCCAGCCCCATCTTTAAACACTCTCTCCTGTGTCCACTGTGCTTCTGGCATATCTCCATGCTTTCCTACTGTTCTTTTCCTTGGTCCTAGAATGCCTTCCCCTCCCAACACACCCCTAATCGCCTTAGTTTAGCTGGTGAGTTCCTATGCATCTTCCGAGGCCCACTTCAAATAGTTCCTCCTTCTTTTTTTTTTTTTTTTTTTTGAGATGGAGTTTTGCTCTTTGGTCCAGGCTGGAGCGTAACGGCGCAATCTCAGCTCACTGCAACCTCCTCCCCCCAAGAAGGGTTCAAGTGATTCTCCTGCCTCAGCCTCCTGAGTAGCTGGGATTATAGGCGCCCGACCACCACACCTGGCTAACTTTTGTATTTTTAGTAGAGACGGGGTTTTGCCATTTTGGCCAAGCTGGTCTCGAACTCCTGGCCTCAGGTTATCCACCCTCCCCGGCCTCCCAAAGTGCTAGGATTACAGGCGTGAGCCACCACTCCCGGCCAGTTCCTCCTTCTTGAAACTCTTTACTGTTCTTGATTAAATGAGCATCTCTTTCTTCTGTTTCCTAATCACATGCTGTGATTATGCAACTGGCTCTTGATGAAATGGGCATCGCTTTCTTCTGTTTTCTAATCACATGCTGTGATTATGTAACTGTTTGTGTTTCTGCCTCATTTGTGAGAATGTGAACAACTCTCACAAATGAGGGACCATGTCTTAAAGCCACCTCTGGTGAACACTGGTGCCGAGTGCATAATCAACAAGACTTTATTAATCAATAAATGACATAGTTATTATTCAAGTTGTTATTAGCACTGGTACAGCAACCCATGTGAGCTGAAGGTATAACATAAATGTTAACTCAGTAAAGTCACTTCTGCAAGGGGCTGAGATAATATGGCTTAGGTATTTGACATGCTGCTTCTATAACTTACCATGGCAATAACACTTAAAGTCACAGAGGAATCACTTGCTCATTAGACACACTCTCTGGAAGACCAGATGTCTCAAGGAAGACTTTGATAAGTGCTGGACTGCAATTGATTCATGGCTGAATTCTCTGAGGAGCGTCACAATGGTAGATAAGCTATATGTTGGGGATGAAATAGGGATGCATATGCTTTATATGCCAGACATGCATACATCAGAGGGAGTGGTCTATTTGAGAAATTAAGGACTCTAACTTACAGTTTTTATCTGGCAAAAAGCCAGTTCAGTTCAGCAGTGAGAGTTCAAAATATAATGCGATCTTAGAAGAAAAATCACAGATGCAACCCACCACTTAAACCTGTAATATTACACACTTAGGCTCTATACCTGGGCCACTTTTCTTTCCTCTTAAATTCTGCTTTGGCAATTTCATCTACTCTAAGGTTTGAACCATTATGCCTATGTGAGGTACCTCCTGGTATATATCTCCCCTAATGCAGGAGCAGAACACCTTCCACTTGCTTTTCCTGACCCTTCTCTACTCTCTCCCACTCTGATTCCTGCCCTGGGAGGCTAATGTTTGTGCCCTCATCAATAATCTGTTTTCTGCCTCTGGCTTCCTGTGAAGTCCAACCTTGGAGGAGCTCAAACAGGAGATCAGAGGAAGGACCAGGGAGGGAGGAGTTTTATTCACCTGACTCAATGATTCCTAAACTTTAGAGTACATCAAAATCACACAGATGAAGGCCTGTTAACAGAGATTGCTGGGCCCCACTCCTGGCATTTCTGATTCAGTACTGCTGGGATGGGGCTGAGAATCTGCACCTCTAACTAGTTCCTGGGTGATGCGGATGCTGGTGGCCAGGACTCCACTTTGAGAACCCCTGCCACAGCTCTTTCCCTGGAAGGTTACTGAGCTACTTCTACCAAAAGTCTGTGCTCTTCTCAAGGTGACCCACTCTACAAGACTGTGGTGATTAATGTTATGTGTCAAATTGGCTAGGCCACCAGTACCCAGATATTTGGCCAAACATTATTCTAGATGTTTCTATGCAGGTATTTTTTAGACGACATTAACATTTAAACCAGTAGACTTGTAGACTTTGAGTAAAGCAGATCACCCTCTGTTATGTGGGTGGGCCTCAACCAATCAACTGAATGTCTTCATAGAAAAAGACTGACCTTCTAGGAAGAGGGAATTCTGCCACAGACTATCTTTAAAATCAAACTGAAACTCTTCCCTGGTTCTCTGGCCTACAGAACTACCCTGCAGATTTTGGACTTACCAAGCCTCTGCAATCATGTGAGCCAAAATAAGTCTTTCTCTTTTTCTACGTGTGTGCACACACATCCAGTTGTCTCTGTTTCTGTGGTGAACTCTGACTAATATAAAGAATTCATCCCTCCAGGTTCAAGTAACTGCTCCCTACTCCCTATACAGCTCTTAAGACAGGGCAATGACAGTTTGACTGCTACAAAGTCCCCAGTTTCTGTACTGTCTCTCACCTGTTTCTACACCTTTGCAAACAGTCCTTGTAGAGTAAACCCTTGTTGAATTATCCTATTTCAGATGTGCCATCTATTTCCCATTGGACTACTCTTTGGTACAATGCACCTTAAATTAGAGGGAAAACTCACCTTCTCTGCTTTCTTTCTAAGCCTACTGCACCTGCTGTGTTCCCTCTTGTGATTAATAGCATCACTTCCTCCCAGGAACCCAGACGCATAAGCTCAGCGTCAGTTTTTCACCTCTTGTAATTGCTGGTCCAGCTTTCCGGGTTTTCTATGATTCTGGAAGCTCTTTAGCAGAAAGTTTATCTACTTCATTTCTGTATCTCCAGACCCTAACACAGCATGTTCCAGGCATCTCCAGGTAGCCCAAAAATATGTGCTGAGAAAACAAATAAATTAAAATGTGTATGAAATCTTAAAAATTGTATATGCCTTTCATATACAATGTTTCCAGACTCCAAATTCCAGTTTCTTTCCCTAACGCTTTGCTCCACACAAGCAAAGATTCACTGCTAACATACTGAGTATTGGTTCATCTTCCACGACAATGCTTGTATCTATTCCTTCCCGTTTCCACAACTCTGCTTCCTGTTTCTATTATTTGTGACCGGGATAATTGGGTATTAGCATTCTAACCTGCTTCCTTGCCTCCTAACCTGCTTCCTTGCCTCCAATCTCCCTGTTCTCTAATCCATCTTATATCTTAAATCTCTGATCATGACTTTGTCTCTATTTAACAGCTTCTTATTACCCAATGAACATGAGCCAGATTTTTTAGGGTTTGCATGCAAGATCCTTCATAAGCTGGTCCCAAGCTAGCACGCCAACCTAATCTTACCATTCCCTCATATGAACTCTCCACTCCAGGTGCTGTTCACCTGTACCTTGCAATCTGAATATTTCCAACTCTGTATCATACTGTGTATGTCCCTTGCTTAAAACAGCATGCTACTCATTTTTGTTCACATCTCTCAGAACCTAGCTCCTGCCCTGTTCCCAACACAATGCCAACCCACAATAATTCCATTTTGCCTCAAATACTGTCAATAGCTATTTTCTATATCTCACATCTGGAATCTACCAATTTTATTGCTTTTGAATGTAAGTATATCTTATCTTTCAAATCAGGCTGTAGGTAACAAGCGGGCCCATCAAATGGTGGTCTACTTTCTTCTATCCTCCAAACCTCAAGCACAGTCATTGGAACAGTGCAATAATAAGCATTTGCTACATTCTTCTTCAGTGAGTATCTCCACCACCTATGAAAAGGCATGTCTGTGAAGAACTAGTACTTACTGTGTTCCTACCAGAGGGCATTAATACGTAGAGGAAAGGTTTCCCATCTGCCTGGGGTTGACAGATTTCAAAGGGGCAGGAGGCTCTATATTTAGCTAATCTTATTGAGTGTTTGTTAGGAAAAGAGCAATGCATTCTGTGTTTTGATTAATGGTTTTCACGCTTTTGTTTGTGGAGATTTTCTTTGTTTCTAAGGAGTATTTTTTCTTTCACAATAAACTCCCGAGAATAAAACTCAGAAGATTTAGACATGCCCAGGAATTTCTCTATTTAATCAGCACTTTAGGTGCCTCAAATGTTAGTGGCTTTGCATTTGGCACTCACTTTGAGAAACGCTGGGATAGTGTATAAAAAGAAACTGCATAGAAGAGAAAGACTTCATGTTAATTATGGAGTGGTGGTAAACAACATTATTAAATGTGATCTACTAATGGGAATGCTTGCTCAAATTAATGTTTTCATTAAAAAATCCATGTAATCTAATAAATTAAGGTATTTTTCCAACTGAGAAAGTGATTCTCCACTTGCCTTACAATCACCCCATATAACTGGCAGGTCCACTAGTTAATTCTCTACCTCATGAAACACTGAGAGTAGTAGTAATATGGTTGCCACATGATACAATGCATGTTGTATCATAAAAATATATTTCAACTAAAGGGTAGATGTGCTTCTAAATGAAAGAGGATATGGGTAGCCAGAGAGAGCAGTATTGCTCCAAACAAAAATCGGACACTTGTCCTTTAGGAAATTTAAAATATGCTGTCCTTCCTTTCTGTTTGCTCTTGGTTAGGGAGGTTTTCACTGGAATCTATTTGAGGCAAGTGCTGAGTATATTTGCTGTCATTGTGTTCTTTGATCTCAGTATATTGATTGGATGCAGCTGCAGAAACAGGTAATGTGGGCAAATATGAAGAAAACAAACTGCTGCCTGCAGATAATTTTTTCTGGAGTGTTAGGGGAAATCCAAGATAATTACACATTTTCTTCCATTTATTTTTAAGAATATGAATAGCAATACACACTTCAGTCTTCAGAATGGAGGCTGCACCTTTTAAACTCACTTTGAATTATGATTTAAAATCCATTGTGCTGCATTCATTCACTTGCTTGTTCAAAAATATCACTGAGATTTTGTGTTGGACACATAAATAAGGGGCTACCTACTCTAAGACTAGCATCCAGGTGTCCTATTCACACCTCAGAATGATGCTTCTCTATTCTCTATTTCCACAACAATCCCAGAGTTACATAACCCATTACC
This sequence comes from Homo sapiens, assembly GCF_000001405.40. Taxonomy (NCBI): domain Eukaryota; kingdom Metazoa; phylum Chordata; class Mammalia; order Primates; family Hominidae; genus Homo; species Homo sapiens. The sequence continues at coordinate 133,158,642 of NC_000002.12, forward strand.
TCATTTATATGTTATCTCCACTACTTGCCAGTCTAGACACCTCTAGTATTTTGTGGTTTCAATCTATCTTATATTCAATTAACAAAACAATCTTTCCAAATATAATTTAGATTAGCCACTGGTTCAATAACACAATATCATGCCTCATTGATTACCCATCATTCAATTAATCACTCAACAACTAAAGTTACAGAGAACCTACTGCTCTTCTGGGCACTGGTGCTAGGGTCAAAAGGGAGAGGGAATAAAGAAGAAATACAATGCATGGCTTGTGCTCTTAAGGGCTACAGTAGATAGAACAACAGCCTACCAAAGTTGTCCACACCCTAATCCCTAGAAAATGTGAATTTGGCAAGAGTGGTTTTGCAGATGTCATTAAGGTTACAGACTTTAAAATAGGAAGATTGTTTTGGATTATAAGGGTGAGGCCAGTCTAATCTGGGAGCCCTTAAAAGCAGACAATTTCTCCGGCTGGAAACAGAGAGATGCAGCAAAAGAAGAAGTCAGATTCCAAGCATGAGAGGGACTCAGTGCGCCCAGTGCTGGCTCTGAGATATAGGCCCACATCAAGGACTGAAGAGAGGCCTTTAGGAGCTGAGGTTGGTCCCCGGTTAAAACAAAATGAGGTCCTCGGTTCTGCAACTTCAGGGAACCAGATTCTGCCAACAACCTGAGTGAATCTGAAAGCAAATTCTTCCCAGAGCCTTGCAATAAGAGTCCAGCAGACCAAAACTTGATTTCAGCCTTGGGAGACCTGGAACAGAGAAACCCGTCAAGGTATCCCAGACTGTTGACCTACAGAATGGTGAGATGCCATGTATCTGTTGTTTTCAGCTGCTAAATGTAGACTGTTTGCTATGGCAGCAATAGGAAACTAATACAAAGACCCTATGAACGATCTATAGGGAGGGCAGTCCCACTCCATAAAGCAACACATTCCATCATTAAGTACAATATGCAGGGTTGGTGAGAACCACTGGCATGTTCCTGTAAGTTTTGAAAGGATTCAGAGGAGAGAAAAGTCAATGAGGCTCATGGTAGTTAGAGAAGGCTTTATACAGTAAATAGTATTTAAATTGATTGAATAAAGATGTTAGATTTTTTTAAGCAAGCATTTCAAAAAAGTAGAACATGACAGTGACAGGCACAAGCAAGTTGGAATGACTGTGAAAGAAAAGCTTGACTGGAATGGCAAATATAGTCCAATAGTACACATAATGAGCCTCCTAAATTAAACAGTGGCTTGAAAAATGTTCTCAGGGGTCACTCTAGGCAAAAGTATGATGGGGAGCAAAAGGAAGGGAACTGTTTGTACACATGATGGGGATATGTAGTCCCTCTCTCCATCTTCTCCCCATCTGGTCTTCAATCAGAGTACCTCCACTCTGATAGCTTTTACATAGCAATTTGAACAAAGATTCAGCAGCTGTATTAGTTTTCTAAGGCTGCTGTAACAAAGTAACACAAACTGGGTGACATAGAACAATAGAAATGTATTATCTCACAGTCCTGGAGGCCAGAAGTCTGAGTCTGAAACTAAGGTATCAGCAGACCACCTTCAGGGCTCCCTGAAGGCAGTAGGGAAGGATCTGCTCCAGGCCTCCCTCCTAGCTTCCAGTGGGTTCCTGAGCTTAGCAGCATGACTCCAATCTTCACAGGACATTCTCCTTGTACATTTATAGGGTTCACTCTATTCCAGTCTCCAAGATGACTTCATCTTAATAAATTACATCTCCAAAGACTCTATTTCCCAATAAGGTCACATTCTTTTTTTTTTTTTTCTTTTCCTTTCTTTTTCTTTTTTTTTTTTTTAGCAGCGTTTATTTGATCAAAGAACAATTCATGAATCAGGCAGCCCTTAGGATCAGAAAAGATTCAGAGAACTCCCAGGTCATATTCTGAGGTACTGGGGACCAAATAAATTTTGGGATTTACAATCCAACCCATAACAATGGCTGAAATAAGGTTTGAAAGCTAAATATATAAAATAGCAACTCTGACCAGCATCGAAAGCTCTTCAGCCAGTAATTTACCCTCCAATGTGGACAGACTGGCCCTTTTAGGTGCACAATTTACTCACCCTTCCTGCTACTTACTACCCTTTTCTTCTCCTAGAACTTTCCATACCCAGTTCTGAGGATTAGTCCCAGAGTTTTCTCCTTTAGAAGAAATCTAGATGATAATCTATTTCTAGGGAGAGTCTTCTACTTTACAGGTTATATTAGTAGTAAACTGTCTTATGCTTACTAAACTACTTAGTAATCACTGAACTGATATCCTCTGTGACAGGTGTCCCCAGCCCCCAAGCTGTGGACCGGTAGCAGTCTGTGGCCTGTTAGGAATGGGGCCACACAGCAGGAGATGTGCAGCCAGCCAAGAGCAAGCATTGCCACCTGAGCTCTGCCTCCTGTCAGGTCAGCGGCCGCATTAGATTATCATAGGAGTGCAAATCCTATTGTGAACTGCACATCTGAGAAATCTAGGTTGCACCCTCCTTATGAGAATCTAATTCCTGATGATCTGAGGTGAAACAGTTTCATCCTGAAACCATCTCTCCAACTTCCACCCCCAGCCCATGGAAAAATTGTCTTCCACGAAACTGGTCCCCGGTGCCAAAAAGTTTGGAGACCGTTCCTCTATGAGACTGGAGCCAAGATGTATGACTCATCTTAATCATGCTGCACCCAAAATCAGTGTTCTACAGCCAGCACAAACCCTATATATGTTTATTGAAAATTAGTCCATCTAAAAATATATTCAGATGTTACACACCTAAAAACAACGCATTCAAGGCTAAATTTAGACTTTGTCCCATAGAAATACACCTCTAGCCCAGATTTTAATTTAAGCACTTCAGTGTGTCAATCACTTTGGCAAATACAGCCGGGTACCCACATAGCTCTGTACTGTTGATGCTAAGTCAGCCTTCCAGCCAAAACCAGAGAGGCACCACCTAGCATTGTGATGTCAGTATTATGTGTCAGCAAGATACTTAGCCCTGCAACCCTTAGGTGGTCATGCTTTCTCCCAGCCCATGAATTTCTCATGTGAAATTTTCAAGATGTAACAATTTTTAAAATTAAGCTTTAGAAACTCTCAACTGAGATTCACGTTTCAAAGTAATGGCATCCTGAAAGCTCAGGCCTGTCCAAGGAAGGTTTATTTTATTCTTTTATGCCAGAAAGACATGAGGTATATAGGGCCCAGAACTGTCCACAAAGACATCTTCTCCTATATAGGATCTTCTTCCATATAGGATCTCCTGTATCAGGGATCTACAACCAGGGAGAAAAGTACAGAGTTTTTAAACTTTTTCTAGAAATCCCTTGAAACCTTAAGTTTAGAGTCAAGGGGCTTCACCTAATTCTTCCTATCTCCAAGGAACTATTTAAAGCAGATTTGCACTTACTCATTCTTGGCCTTTTCTGTGCCCTCTTGTATAGTTCATATATAGAACCTATAATTAGGCACTCACTACTTTCAAAAGCATGTGTTTTTCACACCATACCACCAGCCTTTGGAAAAAGGATGTTCTACATAAATAGGCAAAAGGCCAAGAACAAATATTTTTTAAGTTTTAGATAATTTTTTATCACATCCAAGGGTGGCATTTGCAAAGACTTTTTTTAAAAGAAGTCATTTAATTACTGCATTTAAAATTCACATAAAGCACTGTGCTAGAGATTAACGATCTATGTGGAAAAACATTTTGAATTTAAAAAGTACTGTACCAACATTTACAAGAGTTGTAGCATCTTAAGTTGAAAAGGGATTGATCTATGGAAAGTAGAAGTATAAATACATACTTAAAGCTGCAGAAACATATTTGTTTTTGAAAAAAGAAGTTGAACATTTATTCATCCCTGTAAATATAGAGTGTTACTATGAGAGAAAAAAAATCAGCATAATCTACAGAAGCCCTAAATTCTTTCATGAACACCCTTGAGACCGTCACCTATTACTTGGATCAATCTTCACATTCTATAATCCATTTTTACTCTTAAGGAAAAATTTAATTGACTTCTTGATGCAACATTGTTTTTTTTTGTTTCTTTTTTTTTAATTTAGGAAATGTTCAAGTCTTTACATCTCCACAATACATAGTCTTATAAGAAGACAATTCAGGAAACTGAGAGCTTTCAAAGCCACTTGTGGCTACTCTTAAATTACTTTCTGCAGTTAAAATAACTGTGTGTTTGTAAACAAAGTGCTTTTCAAGAGTAAGATCCCCAAACAGTCATACGTTATTTTTTTCCATGTGAGAAAATGCATTATTGTGAAGGTTCAGAGACATAAAGATGGCACTAGAGAACTAGGATGATGCTTTCACCTCCATAAAAGGAGAAGTATAAAAGAGAACTGCCCAAGGAAACTCCAATATTCAGTTGCATGTCAGCAAATGGGGGAAACGTTCTAAAATGCCCTACCTTTATACATTTAAAAAGATGAAAGATTAAGTTTCAAGGAACTCACAGCAAAAAAAGAGAAAACACCCCAAACAGTACTTTGACTACCTCCAGAGGAATTAAAGGGCTATCATTCCACATGAAAATATCCCAGCATTTCTGTTGTTGTGTCTCTGCCTATGTGATTGGTCCCGAAGGCCCCATACACACTGGTGTTCTCAGATCACAGCTGCTTCTTGTGCTTTAACTTGATTGCCTCTACACGTACAGACACAGGGCATGAAGCCCATTTATCGCAGGCTCAAATCTCTGTTGATGTCATTGGAATCTAAGCCTTCTTGCTCCTGAGCTGCAACAGGCAAGTATAGAGGCCCATAGAAGACGGGAGATGAATATTTAACTTGTCCAGAGTTCCCAGACACCTCAGAAAATATTATTACATCTACTTAGTACTGACTGTTGTTATCAGCACCAAGTCAGGACAGCTTTATATTTTTGCTGGAGTAAAATTTCAGAATAAAAACCTTTTGGTATTGGAACTCAAAAATGCGTAACTTCTGCCTGAGGAATTTCATAATTCAGAGATGCTGAGATGGTATCTACCTATGCGTTCTTGTAAAGGTGCAGTGAGGAACAGAGCTTAGTTTTGTTGTTGTTTAAACTTTTTCCATGTTCCCGTTGACTTCTATTCTCATTTAAAAGGAATTTTTATTTTCACTTCTCAAATATCCTCACACTTGAACTTCAACTTTTAGTTTCTAGGTCAAGTAGTAATTGTATGAGATGAATTCCAATTCAAAGATTCCTGTTATTTGGAGCCAGTCCCGTAACTAGGTAAGAACCTTTTCTTGTACATCTACACTAAATAATTTGTCTGTTTTGCAAATGTGGATTCTCAAAACATAGATATCTTAAATATGGGCATATCTCAACTGAACAAAGCAAGCATCAATTGAACGCCTACTTTAAGCACAGCAAGGCCTCAGAAAACAGACAATATAAAGGAAGTGAGACGCAGCAAACAGTGAGAGAATAATTCCAAGCCCACAGGCGAGAAGTCAATTTTCAAACAGTTCACTGTGTACAGGTCCATGCTATGCAAGCACAGGATATTTTTTCATAATATATAAATTGATGCCTTCAACAATCTGTGGTGGTCCATCCACACACACAAAAAGAAAAAAACCAACTATGGTGCCAAGTAGTATAAAAAGTTATTTATCCAAACTGCTGCTTTTGTTTTGATATTCAAATATAGATTGTAGTCACAGGAAGAGGAAAGATGATAGAAGGTAAAAACGAGCTCTGGAGTGAGAGCTGTGTTTGAATCCTGGTTTTGACTCTTTCTAGCTGTGGGTCTTGGCAACGTTGTTCACTCCTGGGTACCTCATTTGCTTCCCTTTGTTTTTGCTGAAGAGTCCATAAAATGAATTGCAGAGCACTAAACAAATCTTATTTATTATTATGTAGTCTTGTTGTTACACCTTACAACACAATTGTATAAACCATAGCTTTTTATGAGGTTTTAAAGATTGTTTGATGAGAACCTGCTCTGCATCTTGTCTTTCACCATTTCTACTCCAAATCAAGTCCAAGTTCTTGCCACTTTCCTTGTGGCTTTGGGATTCCAGTCTGTTTAAATGGCCACACACCAACCTGGCTATCCAGGTTCTTAAACCCCTATCCTTCAGTGTCTCGGGAATCTCTGCTTTCCATGGATCTTTCCAGATGAAAACTTAGGAGACCCCTGAAGATTGGAAATGAAATAATGTGTTTTAGAAGAGAATCTTGGGAAAATATTTAACATGAAGCAATAAGCTGTATTTGGATGCCTGAAGAGATCCCTCATCCAAGGCACAGGACGTCTGTATCAACATGCCTGGCTTTGTGCTGTTAACAGGTATGAAGACAGACTAGGTAACACAAAGTGTTGGCAAAGAAAGAGCAGTGGTTCTCAAATGAGGATGATTTTGCCTCCCCTCTTCTAGGTGACATTTGGCCATGTCTTGAAACTTTCGGGTGTCACAGCTGGGGATGGGAGGAGGTGACTGCCATCTGCAAGGTGAAGGCCAGAGTGCCAATGAACATCCATCAATGCACAGACAGAGCCTACTACCCCAACACAGAATTATCTGGCCCAAAATGTCAATAGTGTCAAGGGAGATAAACCCTGACAAAAGCAAAAGTAACTCTCAAACACTGCTGGTGGGACTGCACACTGTACAATCCCTTTGGAAAGCAATTTGGCATTATGTGATACAGCTCAGGTTCAAGATGCTCACAGCCTGCAACCCAGCTTTTCTCCTCCTGGGTACCTTCAAGAAACTCCTATGTAAGAGTTTTAAGAAAATCTTTTAAAAGTCATATTCAGTATTGTTTATAGAAGCAATCCAAATTTCTATTAGGGGAATGGCTAAATTGTGGTACATCCATGCAATGTGAAACCATCTAGTAGTGAAAATGAATGAGCTACAGTTGCGTGTGTCAAGAGAGGAAAGCACAGAAGCAGACTGACTTTCTCAGATGAAAGGAACTGCAGAAAATCAAAAGCTGGGGTGATAGAACAAGCAGGGTGTCCAGTGCTGACAACAGAGACAGTGATGGGTGTAAGCTTTGGGCTGTGACACACAGATGCTTCTCCTGTGTTATGAGCATGCAAGGGTCTTGCCTTTAAGATCACCTGCCATCTTTGGTATCAGATACCCAGGTCATTTGCTGGCTACTATTTGGCCCCTTAGATCCCCTGGTAGAAATCCTAAGCCTTTTGTTCTCATAAAAGGAAGATATTTCACTATAATCAACTAAGTTGATTTCATCATCAACTTCTCAGATCAGTTTATACAAAGATTATATTATTTTTTGGTGAATTCCATTAGCATTCCACTAGTCAACCAATGTTTGAGTGCCTGCTCTACGCTGTGTTCCATGTTTGGTGCTTTACCAACAGTGGGGATGAAAAGTATGTGGTCTTTGTTTTCAGGGACCGCCAGAAAAACTAAAGAACATCCTCTGGCAGTATCAAATAGGGCCCTGCAGTGGAAGGAATGGGGTGAGGTCCATCAGAGAAAGTCTATCAGAATAGGAAACAGCTATAGAGAACAGAAGGATGAAAAGGAGTCACTCATGCAAAGAACTGGGAGAGAAACATTCCACAGAGAAGGAACCCTGAAATTTGAGAAGATAAAACAATAATCAGTAAAACCATTACTTTAATGTAGCATACTTCATGTGAGTCATTTTGCCTGGTTCATACTTTATAGAGATGCAATCATAATTTACATACAATTTTATATCTTGCTCATTATTATATCATGAATAACTTTTTCACGTTGTAATATAGTCTTCACAAACATTTAAATGGATGCATTATATTCCCTAGAGTGGTTAAAACATCTTTTATTTAATTAGTGTTTTGGGGCTTAGTCATTCTTATTACTTGTTCTTTGTCCCTCTAGTGTAAAGATGAAGGTCTCTCTTTATGTAACTTTTCCCTATGTCTTTTGCATTATTGCCTTAGGCCAGCTTTTCCTACCTTAAATTTAAACACATATACACACAAATGATGAAGTATGTTTCATTCCTGTTTCATCTTAATCACTTTTATCTTTAAAATCCTTAAGCTTAGAGAATAGTTCACATTACCCAAGCCATACAATGTCTTTCATTTCGGCACAGTCTTGGACTGTCTTTAAAATTCATCACATACATAAACTGAAAAACTGAACTACAGCTACCAAAAAAGGTTTTAAAATTGAAATCTGGTTTTAGGGGGCTGACATTTCTTGAGCTTGTGATTTAAAGTACATTTTTTCTTTTTGTAGTCTCTGGCAGTCAACCTTACAGATCTCCCGTCTGAGCTGGTTTATGATCAGCAGGCTACATTCTAGATGACAGGATTACCTACTAATGTCTTAGAATTAAGTACCACTAACTTGAATCATAAGCAAATTAAACATTTCAGCTCAAATGCTTTCCTGTGACTCCAGCAACTTTCAGGTCTTAAGATTAACAGGTTGTGGTCTGTAATAAAAAAATAAAATAAAATCCCCTACAACTTCAGCTTCCCTCAAGAATCCACTTACCTAAGAGCAAAAGAGGTATCCTGTGATGGGACTGAAGCCCTTTGGTGAAAATAAAAAGTTTAAGTGACAACACTTAGTGTCAGCATGACAGGTTATAACCCAGAGAAATCTAACCCACTTGGCTTACTCATCTTAGTATCACTCAGGGTGGAAGGCAGCATAATGATTTAGCTATTATTTAATAACTAAGATAAATCATTGAAGTAAATAATATCCTTGCCATCATTAAGAATAATCCCAGTGTAAGTCATTTCTAAACTACTTCACGGTGTATGATGCAACAATAATAAAAGCTTACGTTCACAAAGTTCTTTAGTTCACAAATCATATTAATATTAACATATTTGATCCCCCTACCATACATGGTAGATAGGAAAGAAAGCTTCTTTATCTTGTGGATATTTTAGAGCATCATTTTCAAGGTTAAGAGACCTGCTTGAAGTAGTATATAATGAAGTGAGGCAACGAACCCTGGTCTCCTGATTCCAAATCAACTGTTCTTTCAACTGCACCATGATACCCTGGATCAAAGCGTAGAACACGGATTAGCTTCTAGTTCCAGCTTTGACATGAACTAGCCATGTCACCTTATACAAGTCAAGTAACTAAGCCTCAGTTTATTAGTAAAATGTCATTTGATCACATGATCTCTGAAGGTTGAAAATTCCATTTTCTATAAAAGAATTTTCTTTTTACTTCCATGGGAAGAAAGTGTCTTCCCACTACAGATTCCTGCTCCCCACCTCTCCATCCAATTATTCCCCTGCAAGTATATAGATATGATCGATTCATTAAGTCAGCTTCAATGCTATAACATTATCATCATAACAGTGATAAGGTAATATTAATAGCTAATTTTAAGTGTGTGTTTACTGTTTGCAAGGTACTATTTTAAGCGCTTTATATGATAATTCTTTTAATCCTTACAATGGCCCTAGAACAAGCTGAAATTATTATTCCCACTCTCCAGATTAGAAAATGCAGGCCTGAAGAGGTCAAGGAATGTGTTCAAAGTCACAATGCCAGAGCTGGGATTCCAACTCAGACAGCCTGGCTCTTGAGCCCACGCACTTAATCACTACCTTACGAATCCACATTCCTTGACTTAACAATTTCACATACTTTCTAAGAGTGAATTTCAACTGATAACATTTTTTTTTTTTTTTTTTTTGACCACAGATGTTGCCTGAATCTCACTTTCTGGAACAGTAGCATATGACCATATATAAAGCCCCCAACCAACACTTTCCCTAATGGACTATTCCCTGCTCATTCCTGACAGAGGTGTCCGCACTGTTTCTGGGGTTCCTTTCATTATACAGACTCTCAAAACCAAACAGGTTATTTGGTAAATGGAAGAGATCTATTACAGTGTGGAGTCATTAAAACAGTCCTTCCCAGTATCCAGCTCCCTTCCGCTTTGCCTGCTTGACTTTCTAGAGAGCCCACCTCCTCTTTCGAGTCAGTAGAGAGTCACTGAGTTCAATTTGCTGCAAACTAATTAATTCCTAAGAACTTTGACACTAGAAGCTAAGACCCCAAAACAGCTCCTCCTCCTTTCATCCTGAGAGAAAATATTTCAGATATAATACATACATTTTCAATTTCCATATTTAAAATTCGCTTCAATCCATTTTTCCCCATATTTATAAGGTCACATTTGTTCTTTATGTTAATGGCACAGATTTCAGAGCCAGGAGACTCAAAGTACTTCTCAAATAAAGAGTGTATTCCTCACTGTGTGGTAAAAGAGTTTACTCAGCTTCCTCTTTGAACCATAGACAGCATTTCCACCTTCTAAACGCTGTATCCCAAATGGACAGGCTGCCCCTCTTGCTGGACAGCCCTGGGACCCAGGGGACATGCTAGTCGTTCTCCATCACTGTCCTTGTAAAGTTGTACAAACCAGTCTTGAACCAAGTATTTCAGCATAAGGGGGACTATACAGGAAAAATATACCAGCATCTGTCAGTAGCAGTGAATGTATAAAATAAACATCATAAAGTGGGAAAAAGACTTCCAAACAACTCTCAGCAATCTTGTCTAACTATCCTGACCTTAAAATGCCAAAGTACACTGCAGTAAATGGGAGAGCAACATATCAAGTGCTGTCACTATTTGCCGTTCCATTCTAGAATTCCACCACCTCGATCTTGAAACCTCCAATCAGATGTGCTACAGTAAATCTCCCTTCCACTAATCAAGATGGAAATCTTTTCTTTCCCAATCAGGTCCAATTGCACAGACAAAGCAGTGCATCTGTTTCCCTTTCAAGACAGCTCACCCAGGGGATGGTGGAGCTTTACCGACAGAACAGCTAGATGGTTTGTCATATATCTTCTCCTCTCGCAGAGTGTCTCTGCCATCTTTTATCAGTGGTTATCCAGAGCTTCCCTTTTTGTGACAATATTAACCCAGGACTGCTGCCATAAGCATTCAGACTCCACTTGCTGCCTGCAGGGACTTCTGAGGAGAGTTTATCAAGACTGCTGAGCCTGATGCTTTTACGTTAAAGTGGCTCCCACTCGCAGTTATTAGTGTGTGCGGCGAGCCCACACCCGCACACACATGAGGCCAACTCCCCACAAGAGTGCTACGCAGAGCAGTAGCAATCCATCTGTTTTCAGTTAGAAAATACAATTGCTTTTGCACAGTTGAAGAACTGATCTGATATGAAATGACCCTGGCAGTTTTGAGGTGATAGCAAATACTCTGATGTGGCTGCCAAGGTAAGGCATTAAAGGGGTTACGTAAGCATAAGGCATCCCTGTGCCACTTAGGAATGTCCGTAAAGCAATAAACAAACAGACCAATAGACACAGAAGTTGCACTATATTCCCAACTTACAATACAAAGAGCCTGCAATCATCAGACCCTGACTTTCAGAACACTGAAATGCTTACCTTGGATGATGTTTTAAAAAATAATTTTATTATGGGCATATTATATTTTATAATTCTCAGTGATTCATACAAAAGCAATACTCTTTAAAATGGCCAGAAGGATGGGCATTTTAAAAGAGATGATATTAGAGGAAATGTTTAATTTCATTGCCTTTGGGGCTCCTTGTAAGGATGGAAGGCAAGATTGTGCAACGGCTGGGAACGTGGGTGAGGGCAGAGTGGGGGCAGATAGAACTCAAAAACCAGCTCTGCATCTTCCTAGCTGTGGGACCTGGGCAAGTTATTTAACCCCTCTGAACTAGTGCAACTGGGTGTTAATAACCACAGCTACTTCTCTGGGTTGTAAAAAGCTTGTGCAGATGCTGTGCAGAAATGGTGTGTCATGAATATGAGGATAATGGTTTGTCATCATCATCCATAGTATACTATGGTTTCTATCATTGTGAGTTCCCAAAGAATTCTGCAATGACTGTAACGAAGTAATCTGTCCCATGCCTTGCAGAATCATCTCTACCTCTGTGCCTTTCTTTATTCCACACTGTGTTTGTATTTTTGCCATAGAAAGCAAAGATGGAGAAAAAATAGCTAGCATTCCCTCTAAAGAGAAATGTCATTCTGCCCTGTAACAACAGGAACATACACAGCCTATTTTGTTGAGGCATTGACAAGACTCCATTCACAGCAATGGCGATGGGAGTGACTATTCCAAAGCCATGGCTTCTTCTTTTCTACATTTCATTCCATATTGTCCTTGTGGATGTCCCATTTCACTTAAGCTTTCTTTTTGGCCCTGAGACATTTATCAGCATAGCCTACATGCAGATCTACCCTCCCAAGCATGCCCCAGCAATAACTCGTCTCCAGTCCTCTTTAAAACACAACCTTCTCCTGGTTTACTCAGGTGACAAGCTTGCTAAGTCTAATAAACTGATCTAGTATACATACATAGCTCCTGATAGATTAATATATTACCATACTGGCGATACTGACAATTTTTGAAGAGACTATCTGAAGCAAAATGTAATAATCTAAATGAATTACTTTCTCACGCTAGAATTCTAGACATTTAAGCAGGTCAGTAGAGAGATAAAGGGAGCATTTTGAGGCAGGGTGCTTTTGAAGGCATCTCAAGTTATAATAAAAGGCAACAACCTGTTTTTCATACTGTGACATGAAACCCACAAAAGGAGACAGTTGTTTTTGTGGAATGATAAAGAGAAGTAGGCCATTACATGCTTAATTAAAGATTCAATCCTTTTAATCCAGCAGAAATGTGACCCCCAACTGAGTAGAAACGTGGTCTTCAGGGAATAAGCATGTTTTTTTTGTTTGTTGTTTTGTTGTTTTAATAGAGAAAAGCATTAGGACAAATCTCTTTATTACAGGGCTGAATGCATCCTCATGCCATTGGCCTCCGGTGGTGGTCTCTGAGGTGGTCTCTTTCTCACCCAAGAGAGAGGTCTGGTTCCATCATGCCCAGAGCACTATGTCACATGCATTCAACTTGCCAAGAAAAGAAAGAACTCAACTAGGATTATGGATGCTGTTTTAAATGAATGTGGCTCCCTCTTCTGGTGGAAAGCCTGAATCAATAATAAAATCATCTCAAAGGAGAAAAGGTGCTTAGCTTCTTCCTCTCCCAGCTCCAGAAATATATGTCAACACAATACCACTAACAAGTGAACCAGACAACAATAGATCCGCCGTAGTTCTCATATTCTGCAACCAAGGCTAAGTGGTGAAGAGATCCACAACTGAGATGCAGCAACAAGAGAAGAGAAAAAGAAATGGACTTTAGAGGGCTGGATCTCTTAAAAATAAGCCCTTCCTATAAATATATACATGGATATAGGGAATGGAGAACTAATGCTGCTTTGGAAAACTACTGCTAACAGAATTCTTCTGGGGAACAAGTTAATAATGATAAAATGTCTATTTGACATCTTGATTTTTAGTGAGGTCAAATCTACAATATTAAAAGTATCTTCCATCACATTTCAGTAAGTCCTATGGAGACTCTGGACACTTTGAAAACACTTTTGTTTACTAGAAATAATGACTTGAGCCCCAACTATATACCTATTTATCATTAAGCCAAAAATGTAGATAACCTTACAAATGGCGTAAAATATCTATACTTAAATAAATTCCAAAGCAAAGCAAACAAAAGTATATGTTGATAATGCACTATGCTGCTTCCTAAATAAATTCTAACAGGCTGAGGGTTATAGAGGCCTGAGAAATAAACACGGAGAACAAAACAAATAACCCTAACACTCCAAACAGAGGAGCCCAGTTAGACTCCCACATTTTGTGTCTTAACACTTCATTGATTGTTAAATTATATTCACTCCTGAATGACCCCAATGTTTCTGCATCACAAATCTTGCCACTTGCTGGAGGCTACAACCCATATCTTTTCTTTTTGAGACTGAGTTTATCATATCTGTTTTTTTGAGACTGAGTTTCACTCTTGTTGCCTAAGCTGGAGTGCAAAGGCACGATCTTAGCTCACTGCAACCTCCGCCTCCCAAGTTCAAGCGATTCTCCTGTCTCAGCCTCCAAGTAGCTGGGATTACAGGTGCCCACCACCACATCTGGCTAATCGTTTTTTTTTTGTTGTTGTTGTTTTTGAGATGGAGTCTTGCTCTGTTGCCCAGGCTGGAGTGCAGTGGCACAATCTGGGCTCACTGCAAGCTCCGCCTCCCGGGTTCATGCCATTCTCCTGCCTCAGCCTCCCGAGGAGCTGGGACTACAGGCGCCCACCAACACGCCCAGCTAATTTTTTGTATTTTTAGTAGAGACGGGTTTTCACTGTGTTAGCCAGGGTAGTCTCGAGAGATGGGGTTTCATCACATTGGTCAGGCTGCTCAAACACCTGACCTCAGGTGATCTGCCTGCCTCGACCTCCCAAAGAGCTGGGATTACAGGCGGGAGCCACCGTGACGGGCTATCATATCTTTATGGAAGGGTTTCAGTGCTGGAAGCAATGCACTGTGCTGTCAGGCAGAAGGTTCAGGTTCAGGAGCACTGAGGGCTGCATCCTCAAGCCAGGGGCAACCAGTAAAGACTCAGGTGAGATTATGTTTGATCTCTGAGGAGTGCCTGTCTCCTCATTCCCACGAAGATTAAGTAAAGTCTTTAGATTTGGGGATGGCAGGAGGTTGGGGTGGGATATTGCCAGAGACAACTTGATAGTGGTCATATTTTCTGTTCTTTCATATAAAGAGGTAGATTTCAACTCTGGGGGGAGCTGGAAGAAAGAAAATGGCTATGGAAATACTGAGCATCATTCATATAGACAAAAAGTCTCTCCTTGACTGAACTCCACTCAGGTTATTTTGAACTTTTATCAATGAAGCCCTGACTTGTGAACTTTCATGTTCATCTCTCCATTGTTGATTTTGGCAAGAATCCTGCTAAGTCAGTTTAGACAGAATTCCCCAGCCTCCAAATCTGATCATCCTCCACCATCCCCCAGGTGATGATGTCTGATCACCCTGGCCTGTCTTCAGCAAGAATCCTGTTTGGCTGGTTTACCAGAATCCCCCCTTACCACCCACTGGTCCCCCTAACCCTGGCTCCTTTGCTATAAATTCCCACTTTTCCTTGTCGTATTCAGAATTGAGCCTGAATTGAGTTCTATACAGAGGCCTCTTGCTCCCATTGCAATACTCGAGTAAAATCTGTTTTTACTATTTTAACCATGGTCTAGCTCTGGCTTTTCTTTGACAATATCCACATATGACAGATTTACCAAAAATAAAATCTGTTTTTGCCATTTAGTCATGGTCTAGCTCTGGCTTTCTTTGACAATATCCACATATGACAGATTTACCAAAAATCTGGACACTGGGATAGCTATAAACGACAGATATATGAGACATTTGGAAATCAGGAGAGGGGATAAACAGAATGGAGAGAAGGTAGAAAAATACATACGCTTTTTTTCCCCCAGTGATTAAAAACACAAACCTGGTACAATACCATTAACTGAATTAAAGTGTTTATTTGAATTTCATCAATTTTTCTCCTAATATTCTATCTCTGTTCCAGCATCCTATCCAGAATCCCATGTGGCATTTATGGCCATGTCTCCTTAGTCTCTTCTAAGCTGTAGCAGTTGCCAAGTCTTTCCTTGACTTTTATGACCTTGATAAAATACCCTCCAGTTTGGGTTTTTCTGATGTTTCTCATTATTGGAATGAGGTTATACATTTTAGACAAGTATACTACAAGAAAAATATTAGTGTACCTTATCAAGAAGTTCATGGTGCCACTAGATCTTAATACTAGGGATGTTTATCTTGATGGCTTACTTGTAGTAGGCTCTACCAGGTCTCTCTACTGCGAAGTTACTATTTTCTCCTTGTATTTAACATATATCATGGAAGAGATACCTTGAGACTAGGCAAATTCTATTATTCCTCATACTTTCACCCACTAATTTTAGCATCCATCATTATGGACTCAAGGAAATTTATTTTATTCTACAGGCTAAAATCCATCACCGAGGTTAATTGCATTATTCATTTTCTTGCTCAAATTGTACCAGCTTTGGTTATTAAAAGCTCCTTTTAGGTTGCATTCTGTGTCCTTTTGAGAAATCCCCATCTATTTGGGAGGCATTTCCCTATTCTCAGGCACAACAAAATATTCCAAGTAACATCTTTTTTTTTTTTTCTCCCCCCTGCTCCAGCTTTGGAATCAACCATTTCTCCAAAGAGTCCCAGTTCATTTTACTCTACAAGAATGGTGTTTAGAAACCAAGATTGGTCTCTAGCTGTACTCTCTGTAATGAATAACCTCATGCGTGTTTACTTCTACACCACCGCAGATGCATCATGAGGGTAGATCCCTAAACCGAGACTGCCAAGTCCAAAGATGTAGGTAATCTTGTTAGATGTGACTAAATTTCCCTACAGAAGAATTGCACCAATTTGCATTAAGGCCAGCAATGTATGAGTGTCTGTTTTCCCACAGCATCACCAACAGAATGTGGTGTGATATTATTTAGTTTTCACCAGTCTGATAAGTGAGAAATGGTATCTCCATGGTTTTTAAATTTACAGTTCTCTAACTACTGAACTTTTTTTTCATATGCCCAGGGGTCATCTGTATATAACTTTTGTGAATCATATGTGCATGTCTCCTTCCCATAATTGGGTTTTTCTATTGGATCCTTGAACCTAAGATTTTAAGGGTTTAATACCATAGACATGTTAACCCTTTCTTGTGATATATGTTGCAAATACACATTTTTTTGCCCTAGTTTGTCTGTTGTCTTTTGACTTTATAGTATTTTTTCATGCAATTTTTTAGAGTTTTTATATAAAATCCATCAGTCTTTTGTTGCATCCAGATTTGAGTCATAATTAGAACGTTTTTCTGTACTAGGATTAGAGAGGAATCCAGCTATGTTTTCTTTGGAATTCTTCTGTCTTTTCCTCTAGTACTTAGTTTCATGTACTGTTCTTCACAGTGATTTGAAGTAACAGATTTTTTTTTGGTGGTGATTTCAAAGCTGTCAGGGTTATCCAAAACTTTCTGAGAATTGCTTTAATATCTGTACTCCTACTTAGACCAAGGCTAACTCCAATAGTATATATTTCACTTGGAGTCACTAGTAAGAAGGAATTATTTGATTGAAGAATTATAATCCTATCTCTTCTGTTCCATGTCTGCCTCTGTCTCTTACTCTCTCGCCCCACAGATGGGAAACTAGAATTCAAATGATAAGCCTAATTGGGTTAGGAGCCACCATGGAATAATTCCCAACAGCCCATTCTTTATTTGAGGGTACACTCTCAGCTCCATATACCAACCTTCATTGTGAAGGATGAAGGCCAGAAACCACGGTAAATCCATTCATAGGACTTGCTTCCCCATTATTAGCACCATCTGAGTCTGTTAAAAATCTTAACTAGGAGTTTAATTTCTCTACAGAGGGCTTTAAATTAATTAGGGATGTACATGCTAACAAAGAGCCTGATGCATCCATAAATCAATCTGGGGTAGGAGGACTAGTCAGGGAGGATCGTCTATTCAGTGGAGACCGCATATCCAGCATCCCTGTTGGGTTCCCAACAAAAGGGTGCAGGTGTGGAATAGGCCACTGTGACAAGGAAGCCCCAATAATTATTTTGCATCACTTAAGCCACAGCAGGTAATATGGCAAATCAAAGTCCCAGGCGCTCACCAAGTGAAACCCATGTTGCCATGAAAAGCCACATCATATCACTTTAACCTCTATAAATGAATTGCCATAACACTGTGATTTATTTTATACCAAGCCTAAGAATTAAAAGGGCATTGATCAAAATGATCTCCTTTTTCCCCTTTTGTTAAGAATAGAAAGTAACAGATGGAACCACTTTTTTTTTTAATGTGCTGAACATTATTTAGAACAACCTCGGAAATTGCTGGTGTCTTTTATTAAATATACTTGCTTTAAGGTTTACGCTCACATACAATTATGTTCTTTGGATAGAATGTTACTTATATTCCATTAGTTAAACACAGCACTCATTTGAAATCCACTTTAAAACTGCGTAACAACAACTCCCAATATTCAAACACTTCCATGTGCTAGTAACCTGGTTTCTAGTCTTTGATTAGCAAACATCTGATGAACAAAAGCAACCATGGATCCTTTTAAAACAATTTTGTATTTTATTTGCCATAATATCATCTATATCTATATGACAGTCATGAGTGTATGTGAATGAAACAAAACTTTTTAAAAAATCTATAAACAATGCCCAGTTTCAGTGTGGTTACAGTCTCTCTTGCAGGAATTTCTTTGTCCATCTAAACTATTCAGACTCCACCCCACTTCCCCAACTTTAGGGTTCTGAAGTCCATATGCTAGAAAAGCAAATACATTTAATTCCATATAGGGAATATTCTATAATTAATCCCTCTTTAAGCTAAAAATGTGTTATTACATAAGCCCTCACTAATAAAGTTAAGAAATCAGTGATTTTAAAATATGAAGCCCAAAAAGTCTCATGATGACATCTCAAAAGTTATCACTGATTTAAGCTACATTATCCAGGCGGCAGATATTTAAGTTTAGAAATACTGGAGTCAACACTCTAAGAATTTTAGCGACACAGGAGGTTTTGTTTTCTATATATATATATATATATATATACTCAAGAAACTTCTGTAAAATGCATGTTTTCCATCTCTCCATCCGTGATCACAGCGTTGTAAGGCTTACAATGACTCAGGCCCTACAGAGTTCACAGACATGGCAAGCAAAGAAAAGAAAACGAAAAAAGGAACACTCTGTACAAAAGATGAGAGATTTAATCACATTCCCTATACTGAAGGCCCTGGACCAAACCATGAAGATGAATGTGGGGGTGTGGGGAGGGGATCCAGTAATGTACTGTCCAAGCCATTCATGTGCAACCCCGCACAGCTTCACTTTACCCCCTTAAACCACACAGATGTTCTCAGAATGCAAACATGGATTACTGCCAGCCATGTTAAATAACCCTTATCCCATATCCTGACCTAAGCTCTCACCCCAACTGTTTGGCTACTTTCATACCACAGGTTTGTAAAACTGTGGTCTATATCTGAGGTCTCCACTCCTACACCAGATATTTTCTAGTCGAGACTTCCATACTAGGGAGGCTATCATGAGGCACCCCAACAACACCCATGGGAGTGGTATCAGGGAAGGCCATGAAGGGAGCCAGGACTTCCATCACTGCCAGGTGGTAATGAGCTCCCCATCCCCACAATGTAAGTGGAGACCACCTGGGAAGTCTGGACTTCCACCTCTACCCAGCAGTAATGAAGCATCAGCCCACCCCCAACAATTCCCCGTTGGGGTGGTGTGAGAGGAGGCCTGGTGGAGAGGCAGGATTTCATCAATGCTGAGTGGCAAGGAGGCTGCCTACCTCTCCTGTCAACGTAGGCCAAGTGGATGACAATAGCAAGGCCCTTCTTCCCATCCCAATAGGGGTGCAGGGTAGCTGTGGAAGCCTAGTAGGGAGCCAGAAGTCCCACACCTGCCCAGCAGAAGTTCCCCTTTGGTATCAATGGAGGCTGATAAAGAACCTGGACTAGTTTCCCAAACTGGCAGTAACTAGGCAGATCCTCCCTTTTCTCCTACTGGAGACGTAGCAATAGATGCCAGGCAGAGCCGAAGGTTTAAATAAGAACCAGGGCTGGGAGCAGTGGCTCATGCCTGTAATCCCAGCACTTTGGGAGGCCGAGCAGGTGGATCCCATTGAGGTCAGGAGTTTGAGACGACCCTGGCCAACATGGGGAAATTCTGTCTCTATAAAAAACATGAAAATTATCCAGGTGTGGTTGTGGTGGGACAATCCTGTAGTCTCAGCTACTCAGGAGGCTGAGGCTGGAGAATTGCCTGAACCCGGGAAGTGGAAGTTGTAGTGAGCCAAGATCAGGCCACTGCACTCCAGCCTGGGTGACACAATGAGACCCTGTCTCAAAAAAAAAAAAAAAAAAAAAAAAAAAAAAAAAAAAAAAGGCCAGGCGCATTGGCTCACGCCTGTAATCCCAGAACTTTGGGAGGCCGATGCGGGCGGATCACGAGGTCAGAAGATTGAGACCATCCTGGCTAACACGGTGAAAACCTGTCTCTACTAAAAATATAAAAAATTAGCCAGGCGCGGTGGCGGGCACCTGTAGTCCCAGCTACTCGGGAGGCTGAGGCAGGAGAATGGCATAAACCCAGGAGGCGGAGCTTGCAGTGAGCCGAGATAGCGCCACTGCACTCCAGCCTGGGCAACAGAGCAAGGCAAGACTCCGTCTCAAAAAAAAAAAAAAAAAAAAAAAACCCAGGTCTCTCCTAATATAAACCAGCAGGGCCTAAGCATGGTAGCTCATTCCTTTAATCCCAACACTTTGAGAGGCTAAGGCAGGTGGATCACTTGAGGCCAGGAATTCAAAACCAGCCTGCGTAACATAGGGAGACCTTATCTCTACAAAAAATATTTAAAAATTATCTGAGCTTGGTGGTGTCAGCATGTAGACCTAGCTACTCAGGAGGCTGAGGTGGGAGGATGCCACTGCACTCTAGGCTGGGTGGCAAAGCCACACAGACCCTGTCTTTAAAACAAAACCCCAAAAAACAAAAGAAAGCAAAAAGTAACAAAAATAACAGGTTGAGTATACCTTATTTAAAAGGCTTGGAACCAGAATTGTTTCAGATTTGGTTTTTTTTTTTTTTTGGATTTTGCAGTTTGTATTACACTTACCAGTTGAACATCCCTAACCCAGAAATTCAAAATGCTCCAACAAGCATTTCCTTTAGGTGGTATGTTGGCACTCAAAAAGTTTTGAATTTTGGAGCATTTTCAATTAAGGATTTTAGGAATAGGGATGTTTAACCTATACTCCAAAAGTCCAGGTTTCAATTAAAAAAAAATCACTCATAAAACAAAAAACCAAGATCTCTAAGTGAATGGAAAAAGACAATCAATAGATGACAACGAGAAGACAGAGATGTTTGAATTATCTGATGCAGATTTTAAAGCAGTTGTGATTAAAATGCTTCAATGAATAGTAATGAACATGTTTAACAAGTAAAAACCAGAAATCCTTAGCAAAGAAATACAAAGTCTTAGCAAAGAAATTAAAGATATAAACAAGAACTAAAAGAAAATTTAGTACTGAAAAATTCAGTAGCCAAAATATACAAGTCAATGAGTGGGCTCAATCGTAGCATGGAGGTGCAGTGAACTTCACAGACAAAAGAAAATACACAGTCTGAATGAAAGAGAGAAATTCAACTGAAAAAAAGGAATAATGAACAGTGTCTCAGGAATGTGTAGGAATGAAACAGAGGGTTTCAGATTTACGTCCTCAGAGTTTTTGAGGAAGAGAAAAGAGACTGAAAAAGAATTCAAAGAAAGAATAGATAAAAAAAAAATCAAATTTGACAAAATACATACAGATTTAAGAAACAGAGTAAACCCCAAACAGGTAAACCCAGCGAACTCTGTGCCAAGACAAACCATCGTCAAGCTTCTGAGAATGAAAGACAAAGGAAGTCTTGAAAGCAGTGAGGGAGGAATGACACCATACCTACAGGGTAAAACACTTGCATTAGGAATCTTGGAGGGCAGAAGGAAGTGGCACACCATTTTTCAAATGCTGAAAAAAAAAGAATGCCAATCCCAGAATCCTATACCCAGTCAAAGTATCCCTCAGTAATGAAGGAGAAATCAAGACATCTCAAATAAAGGAAAACTCAAGAAAATCTGTTGCCAGTAGACTTATCCTAAAAGAATGATTAAAGACGTTTTTTTTTCCTTTTCTTTTCTTTCTTTCTTTGAAACAGGGTCTCACTGTGTTGTTCAGGCTATAGTACAGTGGCATGATCTAGGCTCACGGCAGCCTCGAACTCCCCAGGCTCAGGTGATCCTCCCCACTGCAGTCTCCGTAGTAGCTGGAGACTACAGGAACACACCACCAAGCCTGCCTAATTTTTGTATTTTTTTGTAGAGACGCGGTTTCACTATGTTACCCAGGCTGGTCTTGAACTCCTGAGCTCAGGCCATCCATCCGCCTTGGCCTCCCAAAGTGCTGGGATTACAGACGTGAGCCACTGTGCCTGGCCAAATGGTTAAAGAAAGTTTTCTAAATAAAAACAGAAATGATAAAGAAGTAACCAACTCAAAACAGATTAAAGATACAAATATAAGACCTGAAACCATAACACTCCTAGAAGAAAATATAGGGGAAAAGTTCCTTGATATTGGTTTGGCAACAATGTTTTTAATATCAGGCAACAAAAGCAAGCAAATGAGGCTATATCGAACTGAAAAGCTTCTACACAGCAAAGGAAACAATGAACAAAATTAAAAGGTGGCCTATGGACTGGGAGAAAATATTTGCAAACTATGTATCTAATAAGGGATTAAAATCCAAAATATATAAGAAATAAAATAAAAATAAATAAAAACCTATGATGCTTATTTACACATACACACTCAAGAAGGAATCTTGGAACATCGGGGGAAAGAAAGAACATGGTAAGAAAAAATATAAATAAATATAATGGGTTTTTATTCTCATGAGTTTCTAAATTATATTTCACAACTGAAGCAAAAACAACACTATGTGATATGGTTCTAAATGTGTGTCAAGGAAATCTTTAAGACATTTACATTATAAGCAGGACAGGTAAAAGGGACAAAGATTTCTGTACTTTACTTGAACTGGTAAAATGATGACACTGATATACTTCTTAGTTATGTATATATAATGTAATACTTAAAGGATCCACTAGAAAAGCTACATAAACCGATACACTAAAAAATACTCTAAATACATCAAAACAGAATCCTAAAACATGTTTACATGCAAGGAAAAAAAGCACAGAAATGAAAAACGGAGGGAAAAATGGAAGGCAATAAATAAAATGACAGACTTGAATTGTAATACATCAATAATTCCATTGAAAGTAAATGATCTAAATGTGCTAATTAAAATCATATTTCTCTGGGAGGCTGAGCTGGGCAGGTCGTTTGAGCCCAGGGGTTCAGGGCCAGCCTCAGCAACATGGTAAATCCCCATCTCTACAAAAAAAAAAAAAAAAAAAAAAAAATTAGCCAGGCATGGTGGTTCATGCCTGTAGTCCCAGCTACTTGGGAGGCTGAGGTGAAAGGATTGCTTGACCCTCGGAGGCAGAGGTTGCAGTGAGCCGAGATCACACCACTGCATTCTAGGCTGAGTGTCAAAGTGAGACTCTGTCTCAAAATAAGGATAAAAATGAAAAATAAAGACAGATTTGTACTTGTACAGTGGATTTAAAAACATGACAGACACAAGTAAGTGCTATCTACAAAAAACTCACTTAAAATAATATAATGATATAGATAGGGTTAAAAGTAAAAGGACGAAAAAAGATATATCACACTAACATTACTCCAAAGAAAGCTAGAGTGACTATATTAATATCAGGTAGACTTCAGAGCAAAGAAAGTGACAAGAGAGGTACATCATAAAATTATAAAATGGTCTATTCACCAAGAAGACATAGTAATCATTAATGTGCACCAATCAAGAGCTGGAAAATATGTGAAATGGAACTGAAAGAACTGAAAGGAGTAATAGACAAATACACAATTATAGTTGTAGACTTCAACACTCTTCTCCCAACAACTGATAGACCAACTACACAGAAAATCAGCAGGATACACAACAATAGCATTAACCAACAAATAGGATCTATTCAACATTTATGGAACAGTCTACCCAATGTAATTAATACAAAAGTACATAAAATACACTAAAGAAATTCAATGCACATCTTTTCTGAGTGCCCAGGGAACATTTGCCAAGATAGACCATATCCTGAGCCATAAAAAACTCAGCAAATATTAAAAATTTGAAATCATACGGACTGTGTTCTCCAACCACAATGGGATTAAACTTCGAATAAAAAATAAGAGACCAGTAAAATATCCAAACACTTGAAATTAAACAGCACACTTCTAAATAATTTATGTGTCAAACAAGTCTCAAGTGAAATAAAAAATACATTTGACTGAATAAAAATGAATATATGACATATCAGAATTTGTGGGATACAACTAAAGCAATGCCATGAGGGAAATTTATAGCACTAGATTCATACATTGGAAGAGAAGTCTCAAATCAGTAATGTAAGTTCCCAACTCAAAAACAGAAAAAGAACAACTAAATCCAAAGATGTAGAAGAAAGGAATGAATAAATATAAGAGCAGAAATCAATGAAACTGGAAACAAAAGCAATAAATAAAATAAATGAAAGTAAGAGCAGATTCTTGAAAAGTTCAATCAAGTTGACAAATTTCTAGCAAGATTGCAAAGGAAAAAAGAGAAAAGACACAAATTACCAATAGTAGGAAGAAAACAGGAGCTATCACTACAGACACAGCAGATATCAAAAGGATAGTAAGAAAATACTATGAACAACACTGCATACATAAATTTGACAACTTTGATGAAATGGGTCATTTCCTTCAAAAACACAAACTACCATAACTCACCCAATAAGAAACAGATAATTTCCATGACCCTGTTAATAATATTAAGAAAATTCAATTTATAATTTAAAAATCCACACACAAAAGAAATCTCCAGGCACAGATGGTTTCACTAGAGAAATCTACAAAATGCTTAAAGAAGAATTAACACCAATTTTATACAATCTCTTTCAGAAAATACAACAAGAGGGAATACTTCCCAATTCATTTTATAAAATTAGTATTACCCTGATACTAAAACGAGATAAAGGCAAATAAAAAAACTACAAATCAACATCCCTCATAAATGTTAATGCAAAACTCATTACCAGCACACTAAGAAACAGAATTCAGTAATACATAAAAAGAATTATGACCAAATAGAATTCATCAGAGGGACATGAGAATGGAAAAAAATATCCATCTTATCAACAGTCTAAAAAAATCAACATCAATTGATGTGGGAAAAAGCATTTGACAAACTTCAGCCCATTCATGATGAAAACTTTCAGAAAAATGGGAATGGAGGGGAACTTCCTCAGTTAAAAGAGCACTGGCCAAAAACCAAACAAACAAACACCTCACAAACTACAGATAAATGGTGAAAAAAGACTGAAAGTTTTCTCACAAATAATGAGAACAAGGTTAGACTGTCCACTTTCACTAATTTTGTTCAACATAATGCTGAAAGATCTAGCCATTGCAATCAGGCAAGAAAGCAAACTGAAGTCATACAGGTTAGGAAGAAATAAACTTTCTATTTTCAGAAGACATTGTCTATATAAAAAATCCCAAGGAATCTACAAAACCTCCTAAAATTAATAACTATATCTCACAGAATCATAGGATACAAGATTAGCACCCAAAAATCTACTGTATTTCTATATATTATCAGCAAGTATGTGCAAAACAAAATTTATATTTTTATTTTTATTTTTTTTCTACTTTTGTGTTACATTCAGAGTGTACACGTGCAGGGTTTTTACATGGGCATATTGTGTGATGCTGAATTTTCAGGTATGAATAATCCTGTCACCCAAGTAGTGAGCACAGTACCCAACAGGTAGTTTGTTAGCCCACTCACCCTTCCTCCCTGCTCTAGTAGTCCCCAGTGTCTATTGTTCTCATCTTTACATCCATCTGTACTCAAATTTTAACTCCCACCTATAAGTGAAAACACACCATATTTGGTTTTCTGTTCCTGTGTTAATTAGTTTATGATAATGGCCTCCAGCTCCATCCATGTTGCTTCAAAAAAACATGATTTTGTTCATTTTTATGGTTGTGTAGTATTCTACGGTGTATATGTATCATCTTTTCTTTATCCAATCCACCACTGATGGACACTTAGGTTGGTTCCATGTCTTCGTTATTGTGAATAGTGCTGTGACTAACATATGAATGCATGTGTCTTTTTGGTAGAACAATTTATATTCCTTTGGGTGTATACCCAGTAATCGGATTGCGGGGTCCAATGGCAATCTGTTTTATGTTCTTTGGGAAATCTGTAAACTGCTTTCCACAGGGACTGAACTAATATGCATTCACACTAACAGTGTATAAGTGTTCCCTTTTCTCAACAACCCCTCCAACATCTGTTATTTTTTGACTTTTAAATAGTAGCCATTCTGACTGGTGTGAGATGGTATCTTACTGTGGTTTTGACTTGCATTTCTCTGATGACTAGTGATATTGAACATCTTTTCATGTTTGTTGGCTGCTTCCATGTATTCTTTTGAGAAGTGTCTATTCATGTTCTTTGCCCACTTTTTAAGGGGTTGGTTTGTATTTTGCTTGTTAATTTGTTTAAGTTTCTTATAGATTCTGGATATTAGACCTTCGTCAGATGCATAGTTTGCAAATATCTTCTCCCAACATACAGGTTTTCTGTTTACTCTGTTGAAAGTTTATTTTGCTATGCAGAAGCTCTTTAGTTAAGTCTCATTTGCCTATTTTTTATTTTGTTGCTTTTGCTTTTGGGGTCTTCATCTTAAATTCATTGCCTAGACCACTATCTACAAGAGTATTTGCTAGGATTTCTTCCAGAATTTTTATAGTTTGAATTCACACATTTAAGTCTTTTGTCCATCTTGTGTTAATTTCTGTATAGGATGAGAGCTAGGGGTCCAATTTCATTCTTCTGCGTATGGCTAGCCAGCTATTCCAGCATCATGTATTGAATAGGATTCCTTTCCCTATTGCTTATTTTTTGTCAACTTTGTCAAAGATCAGATGGTTATAGGTGTGCAGCTTTATTTCAGTGTTTTCTATTCTTTCTCACTGGTCTATGTGTCTGCTTTTGCACCAGTACCACGGTGTTTTGGTTACTGTGGCACTATAGTATAGTTTGAAGTTGGGTAATGTAATACCTCCAGCTATGCTTCTTTTGCTCCAGAATTCTTTGACTATTTACGCTCTTTTTTGGTTCCATATACATTTTAGAACAGTTTTTTTTTCTATTTCTGTGAAAAATGACATTAGTATTTTGACAGAAACAGCACTGAACCTATAAATTGCTTTGGGCAGTATGGCCAACTGTAATAATATTGATTTTTCTGATCCATAAGCATAAAATATTTTTCCATATATTTGTGTGATCCCTGATTTCTTTCATCAGTGTTTTATAGTTCTCCTTTAGTGATCTTTCACCTCCTTAGCTGTATTCCTCGATACTTCATTTTTTATGGCTATTTTGTAAATGGGGTTGTATTCTTGATTTGGTTCTCAGCTAGAATATTATTAGTGTAAAGAAATGCCAGCAATTTTTTACACTAATTTTGTACCCTGAAACTCTATTGATGTAATTTATCAGTTCTGGGAGCCTTTTGGTAGAATCTTTAGGGCTTTCTAGGTATAGAACCATATCGTCAGTGAAGAGAGATAGTTTGACTTCTTCTTTTCCTATCTGGATGCCTTTTTATTTCTTTCTCTTGCCTGATTCCTCTGGCTAGGACTTCCAGTCCTATATTGAATAGGAGTGGTAAGAGTAAGCATCCTTGTCTTGTTCCGTTCCTCAAGGAGAATGCATCCAGCTCTTGCTTGTTCAGTATGATGTTGGCTGTAGGTTTGTCATAAATGGCTCTTATTATATTGAGGTATGTTCCTTCGATGCCTAGTCTGTTGAGGGTTTTTATCATGAAGTGATGTTGGATTTTGTTTAAGGCTTTTTAGGTGATTAAGATAATCATATAGTTTTTGCTTTTTGTTTTTATGTGATGAATCATGCTTATTGATTTGCTTATGTTGAACCAACCTTGCATCTCAGGAATAAAGCCTACTTGATCATAGTGAATTAACTTTTTGATGTGCAGCTGAATTTGGTTTGTTAATATTTTGTTGAGGATTTTTGCATCTATGTTCATCAGGGATATCGGCCTGCGGTTTTCTGTTTTCACTGTGTCTCTGCAAGGTTTTAGTATCAGGATGATGCTGGCTTCGAAGAATGAGTTAGGGAGAAGCCCCTGCTCCTCAATTTTTTGGAATAGTTCTAGTAAGACTGGTACAAGTTTTTGTACTTCTGGTAGAATTCGGCTATGACTCAATCTGGTCCAGGGCTCTTTTGAGTTGGTAGATTTTTTACCACTGATTCAATTTTGGTGCTTGTTATTGGTCTCTTCAGATTTTCACTTTTTTCCTGGTTCAATCTTGGGAGGCTGTGTGTTTCCAGGAATTTATTCATTTCCTCTAGATTTTCTAATACGTGTGCAGAGAGGTTTTCACAATACTCTCTGAGGATCTTTTGTATTTCTGTGAGATTAATTGTAATGTCATCTGTGTCATTTCTGATTACACTTATTTGGACAATATAATTTTTCTTCTTTGTTAACCTAGCTAGCAGTCTGTCAATCTTGTTTATTCTTTTGAAGAACTAGCTCTTGGTTTCACTCTTTCTTTTTTACAATTTTTTTTGCATCTTAATTTCATTCAGTTCTTCTCTGATTTTAGTTACATCTTTTCCTCTGCAAGCTTCGGGTTTGGTTTGTTCCTCTTTCCTAGTTTCCTACTGCCATGTCAGATTGTTAATTTGAGATTTTTCTAACTTCTTGATGAAGGTGTTTAATGCTATAAACTTTCCTCTTATCATTGCTTTAGCTGAGTCCCAAAGATTTTCATAAGTTGTGTCTCTATTTTCATTAATTTTAAATAAAGTTTTTTGTTTCTGCTTTAACTTTGATTTTCACCCAAGAGTTATTCAGGAGTAGGTTAATTTCCAGGCTTTTGTATAGTTTTGAGAGATCTTCTTTGTACTGACCAAGAACACTGTTGTACTGTGTTCTGAGAGTGAGCCTGATGCAATATAGATTTTTAAAAATTTATTGATACTTGGAAAGCACAATGTAAAAGACAATGCCATTTATAATCACACAAAAAATTAAAATCCAGGCATGCTGGCATGCATCTGCAATCCCAGCTACTTTGGAAGCTATAGTGGGAAGATCCCTTGAACCCAGGAGTTTGAGACCCACATGGGCAAATTACTGCGACCCCATATATAAGTATACAATAAATATTTAGATGTCAAGCTAACAAAACATATATAAGATTGTATGCCAAAACTATACAATGATAATTAGATAAATCAAAGATAATCTAAATAAGTGAACAGAAAGAACATACTTATGGATTGGAAGACTTAAAGATGTCAATTTTCCCAAATTGATATTTAAATTTAATGCCATTTCTATAAAATTTCCAGTGAGATGGCCTTCTTTGTCTCTTTTGATCTTTGTTGGTTTAAAATCTGTTTTATCAGAGACTAGGATTGCAACACCTGCTTTTTTTTGTTTTCCATTTGCTTGGTAGATCTTCCTCCATCCCTTTCTTTTGAGCCTATATGCGTTTGCACGTGAGATGGGTCTCCTGAATACAGCACACTGATGGGTCTTGAATCTATCCAATTTGCCAGTCTGTGTCTTTTAATTGGAGCATTTAGCCCATTTACATTTAAGGTTAATATTGTTATGTGTGAATTTGATCCTGTCATCATGATGTTAGCTGGTTATTTTGCTAGTTAGCTGATGCAGTTTCTTCCTGGCATCGATGGTCTTTACAATTTGGCATGTTTTTGCAGTTGCTGGTACTGGTTGTTCCTTTCCATGTTTAGTGCTTCCTTCAGGAGCTCTTGTAAGGCAGACCTGGTGGTGACAAAATCTCTCAGCATTTGCTTAATGGTAAGGGGATCAAATCAACAAGAAGAGCTAACTATCCTAAATATATATGCATCCAATACAAGAGCACCCAGATTCATAAAGCAAGTCCTTAGAGACCTACAAAGAGACTCAGACTCCCACACAATAATGATGGGAGACTTTTAACAGTCCACTGTTAACATTAGACAGATCAACGAGACAGAAAGTTAACAAGGATATCCAGGAACTGAACCCAGCTCTGCACCAAGCCGACCTAATAGACACCTACAGAACTCTCCACCCCAAATCAACAGAATATACATTCCTCTCAACACCATATCGCACTTATTCCAAAACTGACCACATAGTTGGAAGTAAAGGACTCCTCAACAAATGTAACAGAAAAGAAATTATAACAAACTGTCTCTCAGACCACAGTGCAATCAAACTAGAACTCAGGATTAAGAAACTCACTCAAAACCGCTCAACTACATGGAAACTGAACAACCTGCGCCTGAATGACTACTGGGTACGTAATGAAATGAAGGCAGAAATAAAGGTGTTCTTTGAAATCAATGAGAACAAAGACACAACACACCAGAATCTCTGGGGCACATTTAAAGCAGTGTGTAGAGGGAAATTTATAGCACTAAATGCCCACAAGAGAAAGCAGGAAATATCTAAAATTGACACCCTAACATCACAATTAAAAGAGCTAGAGAAGCAAGAGCAAACACATTCAAAAGCTAGCAGACGGCAAGTAATAACTAAGATCAGAGAAGAACTGAAGGAGATAGAGACACAAAAAACTCTTCAAAAAATCAATGAATCCAGGAGCTGGTTTTTCGAAAAGATCAACAAAATTGATAGGCTACTAGCAAGACTAATAAAGAAGAAAAGAGAGAAGAATCAAATAGACACAATAAAAAATGATAAAGGGGATATCATCACCGATCCCACAGAAATACAAACTACCATCAAGAATACTATAACCACCTCTACACAAATAAACCAGAAAATCTAGAAGAAATGGATAAATTCCTGGACACATACAGCCTCCCAAGACTAAACCAGGAAGAAGTTGAATCTCTGAATAGACCGATAACAGGCTCTGAAATTGAGGCAATAATTAATAGCCTACCAACCAAAAAAAGTCCAGGATCAGATGGATTCACAGCTGAATTCTACCAGAGGTACAAAGAGGAGCTGGTACCGTTCCTTCTGAAACTATTCCAATCAATAGAAAAAGAAAGAATCCTCCATAATTCATTTTATGAGGCCAGCATCATCCTGACACCAAAGCCTGGCAGAGACACAACAAAAAAAGAGAATTTTAGACCAATATCCCTGATGAACATCGATTCAAAAATCCTCAAGAAAATACTGGCAAACCAAATCCATCAGCACATCAAAAAGCTTATCCACCACGATCAAGTTGGTTTCACCCCTGGGATGCAAGGCTGGTTCAACAGAGGCAAATCAATAAATGTAATCCAGCATATAAACAGAACAAAAGACAAAAATCACATGATTATCTCAATAGATGCAGAAAAGGCCTTTGACAAAATTCAACAATGCTTCATGCTAAAAACTAGGTATTGATGGGACGTACCTCAAAATAATAAGAGCTATTTATGACAAACCCACAGCCAATATCATCCTGAATGGGCAAAAACTGCAAGTATTCCCTTTGAAAACTGGCACAAGACAGGGATGCCCTCTCTCACCACTCCTATTCAACACAGTGTTGGAAGTTCTGGCCAGGGCAATCAGGCAGGAGAAAGAAATAAAGGGTATTCAATTAGGAAAAGAGGAAGTCAAATTGTCCCTGTTTGCAGATGACATGATTGTATATTTAGAAAACCCCATCATCTCAACCCAAAATCTCCTTAAGCTGGTAAGCAACTTCAGCAAAGTCTCAGGATACAAATTCAATGTGCAAAAATCACAAGCATTCTTATACACCAACAACAGACAAACAGAGAGCCAAATCATGAGTGAACTCCCATTCACAATTGCTTCAAAGAGAATAAAATGCCTAGGAATCCAACTTACAAGGGACATGAAGGACCTCTTCAAGGAGAACTACAAACCACTGTTCAATGAAATAAAAGAGGATACAAACAAATGGAAGAACATTCCATGTTCATGGATAGGAAGAATCAATATCCTGAAAATGGCCATACTGCCCAAGGTAAATTATGTATTCAATGCCATCCCCATCAAGCTACCAATAACTTTCTTCACAGAATTGGAAAAAACTAAAGTTCATATGGAACCAAAAAAGAGCCCACATTGCCAAGACAATCCTAAGCCAAAAGAACAAAGCTGGAGGCATCACTCTACCCAACTTCAAACTATACTACAAGGCTACAGTAACCAAAACAGCATGGTACTGGTACCAAAACAGAGATATAGACCAATGGGACACAACAGAGCCCTCAGAAATAATACCACACATCTACAACTATCTGATCTTTGACAAACCTGACAAAAAGAAGAAATGGGGAGAGGATTCCCTATTTAATAAATGGTGCTGGAAAAAACTGGCTAGCCATATGGAGAAAGCTGAAACTGGATCCCTTCCTTACACCTTATACAAAAATTAATTCAAGACGGACTAAAGACTGAAATGTTAGACCTAAACCTATAAAAACCCTAGAAGAAAACCTAGGCAATACCATTCAGGACATAGGCATGGACAAGGACTTCATGACTAAAAAACCAAAAGCAATGGCAACAAAAGCCAAAATTGACAAATGGGATCTCATTAAACTAAAGAGCTTCTGCACAGCAAAAGAAACTACCATCAGAGTGAACAGGCAACCTGCAGAATGGGAGAAAATTTTTGCATTCTACCCATCTGACAAAGGGCTAATATACAGAATCTACAAAGAACTTCAACAAATTTACAAGAAAAAAAATCAAACAACCCCATCAAAAAGTGAGCAAAGGAGATCAACAACATTTCTCAAAAGAAGACATTTATGCAGCCAACAGACACATGAAAAAATGCTCATCATCACTGGCCATCAGAAAAATGCAAATCAAAACCACAAAGAGAAACTATCTCACACCAGTTAGAATGGTGATCATTAAAAAGTCAGGAAACAACAGGTGCTGGAGAGGATGTGGAGAAATAGGAACACTTTTACACTGTTGGTGGGACTGTAAACTAGTTCAACCATTGTGGAAGACAGTGTGGCGATCCCTCAAGGATCTAGAACTAGAAACACCATTTGACCCAGCAATCCCATTACTGGGTGTATACCCAAAGGACAAATCATGCTCCTATAAAGACACATGCACACGTATGTTTATTGCAGCACTATTCACAATAGCAGACTTGGAACCAACCTAAATGTCCATGAATGATAGACTGGATTAAGAAAATGTGGCACATATACACCATGGAATACTATGCAGCCATAAAAAAGGATGAGTTCATGTCCTTTGTAGGGACATGGATGAAGCTGGAAACCATCATTCTGAGCAAACTATTGCAAGGACAGAAAACCATACACCACATGTTCTCACTCATTGGTGGGAATTGAACAATGAGAACACTTGGACACAGGATGGGGAACATCACACACCGGGGCCTGTCATGGGGTTGGGGGGAGCAGGGAGGGATAGCATTAGGAGATATACCTAATGTAAATGATGAGTTCATGGGTGCAGCACACCAACATGGCACATGTATACATATGTAACAAACCTGCACGTTGTGCACATGTACCCTAGAACTTAAAGTATAAAAAAAAAATTCCAGTGAGATATTTTTTAAATATATGCAGGATTATTCTAAAATATATATGGAAAGGCAAAGCTAAAACTAATGTGAAAAATGAAGAATAAAGTGAGATGAATCTACTAAATTCCATGACTTATTATATTGCTGCAGTAATCATGACTGTGTGTTATCAGTGGAGGGACGGACATAGATAAATGGGACCCAATAAAGAAACCAGAAATACACCTGCATGAATAAGTCCAACTAATTTTTGACAAATATGCAAAAGTAATTCCATGTGGGAAAAACAGTCTTCAAAAAATAGTGGAAAAATTGGCCATCTATAGGCAACAAAAAGAACTTCAACCTAAGTCTTATACCAAATGTATCACAAGCTTTAAATTGAAACTGTAGATCTTTTAGAAAATAGGAGAAAATTGTTGAGAACTAAACCTACGCAAATAGTTCTTAGACTTGCTACCAGTAGCACAAATCCATAAAAGGGAAAACCTGGGCATCATCGAAATGAAAACTTTTGTTCTGTGAAATATCCATGTTAAGAGGATGTAAATCAGTTATACACTGGGAGAAAACATTTACATACCACATATACTACCAAGGACTAGTTTCCAGAATATATAATGGACTCTCAAAGCTCGAAAGAAAAAAAAATACAATTCAATTAGAAAACGGGCAAAAAGACATGTAGAGACATTTCAAAGATTATACACAAATGACAAATAAGCACATAAAAGATATTCAATGCCACTAACCATTAGAGTAATGCAAACTAAAACGACAATGAGATATCAATACATAACTACCAGAAAGGCTAACAAAAAAACAGTCATAACACACCAAAGGCTGATGAGTGAGGATGTGCAGAAACCAAATCACTCATACATTGTTGGTAGGAATGTCAAGTGGTACAGCTGCTCTGGAAAGTTAAGCAGTTTCTTAAATAACTAACCATGCAACTTAGCACACTGCAATCCCTGGGAATTGATCTCAGAGAAATGAAAACTTATGTTCGCACAAAAACCTGTACACAAATGTTTACAGCAGTTTTATTCATAAATAAAGCCCCAAACTGAAAACAACCCAAATGTCTTTCAATAAGTAAATGATTAAAAAGTTGTGGTACATCCATATCATGGAATAGTATTTGGTGATTAAAAAGAGAAACAATGCTTCATGCATACAACAACTTGAATGATTCTCCAAAGAATTATTCTGAGAGAAAAAAGACAATTCCAAAAGATTATATACTACATGATTCCATTTATGTAACATTCTTGAAATGAGAATATGATAGAAATGTGGGAATAGATTAATGGGTGCCAGAGTTATAAAGGGCATGGGGAGAAGGGGAAATGGTTGTGGCTATGAAAGCACAACGTAAGGGATCCATGTGGTGGTAGAAATCTTTGTGTTTTGACTGTATCAATGTCAACTGATACCATGATTTTGGTATAGTTTTTCAAAGTGTTGCCATGGGAGGAAATTGGGTAAAGGGTCCTCTGGGCTCTCTCTGTATGATTTCTTACAACTTCATGTGAATGTACAGTAGTTATCTAGCAATGAAAACATCTGTTAACCAGCTAGAGAAATTATTAACTTTTGCAAGAAGACACTTTCACTTTTCAAGCACCTTAAAATTTAGTGTATTCTAGTGATTATTATAATTTTATGAGATTTATAAATATAAACACTAGTAGTCGGTATAAAAAGCAGCAGTTCAAATAAACCGGAGAAACTCACCATCTTATATGCCTGTACTAGCGATTCAACCAACATGTAATTGTATTAGAAGCTCTGAGGAGTCTTGGTGAGTAGACAGCTAACTTTGCTTAA
The DNA here is from genome assembly GCF_000001405.40 of Homo sapiens. Taxonomy (NCBI): domain Eukaryota; kingdom Metazoa; phylum Chordata; class Mammalia; order Primates; family Hominidae; genus Homo; species Homo sapiens. Next base: position 133,193,747 of record NC_000002.12, read on the forward strand.
CTACTGTTAAACTTTAAACTCAGTGGAGCCAGAGTATTTGTAGTCTCTGTGTCACTTGGATGTACTTTGTCTTTTGATATAGAAAGAAAATTTCTGATTTAATTCCAAAGTATATTTTAAAAGACTGTTTCTACAAAATACCAACATATTTTAGTCAAAAATTAAGCATATTGATAATTTTCTACAAACAAATTGGATCAGCGGCTGTGTTACAGTTGCTAAGGGCAAGCTGACAGTGACTTTACTGCTTTTAAATTTAATACACAGTTATGCACAAATATACATTGATATGCATAAGTGCATATGCGTATACATGCATATACATATACACCCGCATATATGATGTTCTCATTAGTATGCACTCGGGTAAGAAAGTGAAAATTTTTCTAAGGCTCCTTTTTTTAAAATAAAAACTAATGAAAGCTAGAGAAAGGTGGCACTAGCTCTCTTTGAAAAGGGTTTAAAAGTGGTTATCCTATACCTGAATTAATCACTCACTTAGGCTGGTGTATTTCAGTTTACACATCATGAAGCAATAGAACACAGATTAGCAACTATGATGTAATCCTATGATTTTTACCCAATGGCTGAAAAAAAAAATCTTCCACCACACAAAGCTGTTGAAATGCATCTTATTCCACACATACGGTAGGAACAATACTTAGCATCAGGAACCAACAAGTCAGTTTCCTGGCTTCCTGACTTCTTAGTTTAATTACGTGTAGGACAAGCACATCCTCCTCTGTGATCTCACATCTGGCAAGCACAGCTCTCATGCCAAGGACACTGATGTTACGATTTTTATTTCTACTATTCCAAGGTGAACTTCTCTCCTGAATTTCCATGTTCCTACTATCTATCCCCGTGTTTCCTATTTCTGGTAATTATACACCTCTTCCTATAATCTTTTATTTTCTGCAGCTTTGGTCTTGCTCACTTTTACACCTAATACTAAAATTTAAATTTTATATAACTAAATATTGGTGCTAATCATGTGAAGTGAATTATTTTAAGAAGAATGCATTCATATTCCTGCATTCACAGACCCAGAAAATAAAGAGGTAATTATTATGCTAGATAAAAGAGCTCGTGGAAGTATAGACAGATACTAGATAACAGATTGTTCATAGGTATATATGAAAAAAATATTCTAGCTCCATTGAGTTAAAATTTAACAGTAGTTGAGCAAAGTTAGCTGTCTACTCACCAAGACTCCTCAGAACTTCTAATGTAATTACATGTCGGATGAATCACTAATACAGGCATATAAGATGCTGAGTTTCTCCAGTTTATTTGAACCACTGCTTCTCATACCATATACTGCAGGTGCTATGAGCCAAAGGTTCATCTCAGAAGCAGTAACCAACAGTAAAAAGCCGCCTCACTTACTTGTGCACGAACTCTGCAGTGTAGCTAGAGCTGTGTGCCAGGACAACATGAATGATCAGATGGGCACAAAATCAAGACACTCAGGTTATGAGCTCAAAAATTAGGTTCTTCTAAAAAGTGTGGCTATCGAAATGACAAAAGTTAAAAGTTTCAGAATATATGATTATTAGGTGACACAGATTTCCAAGAATTGAGTGAAAGCACTTTTCCAGGATGTCCAGAGAATAGACGAAATCAGAATCATTTGCAGCACAGGCTCCTTGACAACAGAAAGCTCTTCAAAATAAGTGTAAAATCCAGCATACATGTGTCATGCTTTCCTCTTAATTCATTCTGTCTTCCACTCAAGCCACTATCAATCACTAGGCAAAAGGTATTTGGATGAAAGTTCTCCATAAATACTGAAGAGGATATTTTCCTTGTCTGGGCCATTGAAGAATGGCAAAGATAAGGATGGAAATTAACTAGTGTAGAAATCAAGATAATTACACTTGAAAAGCAGCCTTATTATGGATCTTTGGAATATCATGAAAATCAGAAATTCTGAAATTGAATTTTAATAATAATCAGAAAAAAAATTGTGACAAATATGCCAAGGCAATTCAACCCATAAGAGAAGCCTCTTAGACAAATGGTACTGAAATAACTGCATAACATATTGACAGGAAAAAATAAAACTTAGCTTGTGATATAGTGTATCTCAGGAAAACATGGTTACCACCTTAACAAGGAAAATAAGACTGATAGAGTCAAGATTATAAATTTTAATGCCTGTTAGAGAAGTAAAGCCATTAAGAAACATACATCAATTGAAACCCAGGAATGGATTCCCCGGCCACCCAGCACCCACAAGGAAATAAAGAGGAGACCCATGGCTTCCTTCTTTCTGGGTAAAACGATGGACAGAAGAGAAGGCTGCCATTAATAGGAGTTAGAAGAAACCAGGTAACGTTTTACAAAAATATAAAGGTTCACTATGCTCGTGTGTTGGTTTAGAATCCCTAGGCAGTTCCTCTACCCACCTGCCAATGTTTTGCCATGGACCTTCACAGAATCTTCAACTGGAAATGATGGGTGAGAGAAAGAAGAACTTCTAAAGTGTATGAGCTTCAGTGACCATTGAAAGCTAAGAGCAGGGAACAGGAACCCCTGAGGTATATATCTGGGCTTCCAATAAGTACTAGGCAGGAAATACTGGTGGCTGGGGATGGGTCAGGGAGAGCTAAGAGAGAATTACCCTCAGGAGCCAAGGCATAGAGCTTCCTAAAGCTGGGGACAAAAGTAAGAGAACTGAGGCACACAAGCGCTTGACATCTTCACTGAATATACTGCTACAGCCTCTAATGCAGAGAAGAGCACTAAGGTAGAAAGGCTGGGAGTAGAACTACCACAGTCTGTACCACAGAACACAAATATAAATCCTAGACATGGAACATCTATCTAAGGATTCTGGAAAGTAAACAGTAGCAGTGGAGAAGGAAACCAGAATTAGAAGTTCCGCTGAACCAGCAGTGAGCCTACCATTTTTCACCGCCTGGTATCACCGGGTCTAGACTCACAGCCCAAAACTCAGAAGTATACACCAGATGTGGACAGAATAAGCTCCAGAAGCAGCATTCTTTCTAGTCCAAGGAGCAGGAAAGGGAGCCCCAAAGGATCAGAGAAGCAGGGACTTACAATGTTTAGTTTTTTCCTAGTTTCCCTTCTCTTGTTCCCTAGCCCCAGAAAAATCTGCACTGATGGTGGCAGCAGAAGGATGGCACTCAGATGGCAAGGTCATCACCTAAAGCTCTGAAGGAGGGGGACCTTGTTCCTTCCCAGAGGAGCTTCAATCAGAAGAGTAAGAAACAAATTCCTAATACCTTTTTCCCCCTCTCTATCTTCTGACTGTTTTGTTCCAGACATAGATGTAATCATGAGAAGTGGGCAGAAGAGAAGAAAAACTAATGTTCCAGCTTTCTAGATAAAAGATCAGGAAAGGAGGCTCCAATGAGGCTAAAAATGCCAGAGAGCTCCACAAAGAGAGGGAATCATCAAAGGAGCAATACCATAAAGTCGTGCATGAAGTACTATGCTTGCCTCTGAGCTACACCTATGTGGATCTGATCATAAACACCACAAAGAAGACCAGAGACGAGATCACACTGGCCTCAGGTAGTACACACATGGAATAAATCCAAAAAGTATTGTGAACACTATGGAAAGTCAGGTGATATTAGAGCCACAGCCCACAGAAGGCAGGTCAGAACTTGAGGCCTGAACCTCACCTGGCCAATTGCCAGCTAAAACAAAACAAATCAACATTATCTTTTGAATTAAAGCAAGACAAAGAATACCATAATACAATATCCAAAATATCCAGAATACTGTCCAAAATCACTCAACATATGAAGAACAGGGAAAATCTCAACTCATGAGAAGAAAAGATCAACAGATAACAACCCCAAGATGACACAGATGTTGGTTTAAAAAAAAAACAAAAACAGGGCTTTAAAGAACGAAATATAACCTTCTTTTCAAAAGAAGAGCAAACAGCTGGGCATGATGGCTCATGCCTGTAATCCCAGCACTTTGGGAGGCCAAGGTGGGCAGATCATGAGGTCATGAGATAGAGACCATCCTGGACAACATGATGAAACCCCATCTCTACTAAAAATACAAACAATTAGCCATGTTTTGTGGTGCGTTCCTATAGTCCCAGATACTCAGGAGGCTGAGGCAGGGGAATCGCTTGAATCCAGGAGGCGGAGATTGCAGTGAGCCAAGATCGTGCCACTGCACTCCAGCCTGGTGACAGAGCGAGACTCCATCTCAGAAAAAAAAAGAGTAAACTCTTGAAAAAGCGGAAAGATAGAATGTCTCAGCAAAGAAACACAAAATACAAAGAAAAATGTTAAAACTGAAAAATTAGAGAAAGCAAAGTAAAATATTTACTGGATTGAGAATACCAGAATGGAGATGATCAAGAATCAATTAATGTGAAAATATATAGATAGGCATTATCCAATATGTTCAAAAGAGAACAAAAATGAAGGGCAATAATAAAAGTTATAGCATTTATATCAACAGCCTCAGAAAGACAGGAGAAAAAGTGTGGTGCAAACATACATGTATCTGAAGAAATAATTTGGTGAAAGACAAATTTGCTGATTCAAGAAACTCAGTGAACCCCAAACAGGATAATTTCAAAGAAATCTATGTCCAAACACATCATAACCACACTGCAGGAAACCAAAGAAAAAAATAAGAATATATTGAAAATTGCCAGAGAAAGAAACTGGGGAAGAATAACTCTAATGACTGTAGGTTTCTCTTTAGAAATCATGGAAACTAGAAGGAAGTAGAACATTTTTGAAGTTCTGAAAGGAAGAAACTACCAACAAGCTTTTAGAAAATAAAACTTGTAACAAGTTTTGTTTCATTGTCATCAAAAAGTAAAAAATAATTAGGATTCAGGAGCTCTATGCCAACAACTATCAAATATTGCTGAGAGATATTAAGAAAGACCTAAATGAACAGAGATTTACATCATATTTGTGGATTAAAAGATTCAATATTTTAAGATGTCACTTCTGCCCACATTGATACAGAGATTCAATGCTATTATTAAAAAGTCACTGGAGGTAGTGTGAGGAAATTGACAAGCTGTTTCCAATACTGACATGGAAATTACAGGGACCTAGAACAGCAAAAATATCTTGGAAACGAACAAAGTTCTTTTTTTAAAATCTTATTACACAATCAAAATAATCAAACAGTGTGGTATTTGCAAAGCACAAACAAACAGAAATAAAAGAAGTTAGAGTCCAGATATTGAGTTGTGCATGTAGAGACAAAGGGTTTTCAGCAAAGGAACCAAGAAATTCAATAAAGGAAATAAATTCATTTCAAAAAATGATACAAATGTGGATATCTACATTTAAAAAAATACAACTTAACCCCTAAACACACATCATAGATAAAAATTAAGTCCCAACAGATCATGGACCTAAAACATAAAATCTAAAACTATAAAACTTGTAGAAGAAAACACAAAACAATATTTTTTGTAAACATAGGGTAGGCAAACGTTCCTAGAATACAGAAAGCATAAACTAGAAAAATAAATAGAGTTTTAATACTAGACTGCTTCTGTTCACCTAAAGACGCCATTATTTAAAATAAATATGCAAACCAAAGAATGGGGGAAAAATTGCAACACATATTTTGACAAGAGACTTATATTCAAAATATGTAAAGAACTCATACCACTCAATGATTTCTTTAAAAAGCAGTCACCTCCCTCAAATAGGCAAAATAATTTAACAAATACATAAATGGACAATAAGCACATGAAAAGTACTCAACATCTTTTATCATCAAGGTAATGCAAATTAATGCCTGAGATATAAATACATATCAATTACACTGGCTAAAAATAAAACTGACTATTTCAAATGTTAACAACAATATCAATCAACCAAATCTCTCATATATTTCTAGTGGAAATGTAAAATGGAACAGCTACTTTGAGAAACAGAATGGTTCATTATTTTAAAGTAAAACATATACGATAATACCAGCAATTTCACTCCTAGGTATTTATCAAAGAGAAATAAAAATATATGCCCATAATAATGACTTGCACATGAATGTTCATAGTAGCTTAATTCATACCAGCCAAAAATTGGAAACCACCCAAATGTATAAATGTGTGTATATTTATACAATGAACTACTAATCAGCAACTAAAGGAAGGAACTACTTACTAATTTATATAATGACATGAATGAATTTCAACAACATTATGCTGTGTGGAAGAATTAAGACACACAAAAAAGCATATAGTTCAGATTTCATTCATATGAAACCGAAGACCCAACAGAACTAATTTGATCCATTCAATGCAATTCCTATCAAAATCCCAGTTGGCTTTTTTTTTCTTTCTTTTTTTTTTTTTTTTTTGCAGAAATGAACAAGCTGATGCTAAAATTGATATGGAAATGCAGATGCAAAGAGCTTAGAATAGAAAAAAATCTTTAAAGAAAAGAGAGAACACACACTTCTCAATTCCCTCAATTCTAAAGTTTACTATAGTAGTATTTGTGTTATTTGATTACTACAGTAACCTAGAGAGTTTGTTACTGGCACACAGATAGACTAATAGATCAATGTAATAGAATTCAAAGTTCAGAAACAAACCTTCACGTTCATGTTAACTGATTTTTAAAAAGAGCACCAAAGCAATTCAATAAAGACAAAAATATTCTTTTCAACAAATGATGCTAGGATGATTAGATAGCCACATGCAAAAGAATGAGGTTGGACCCATTCCTTAAGCCACACAAAAAAAATAATTCAAAAAAGACCACAGACTTCAATGTAAGGAAGGGCTAAAACTATAAAACTTTTACAGGAAAATCTTCATGACTCTGGGTTAGTTAAAGCCTTCTTAGAGATTATACCAGAAGTAAAAGCAACAAAAGAAAAACCAAATTGAAATTCTTCAAAATTCAAAACATTCATGTTTTAAAGGACAATATCAAGAAAGCTAAAAGAATGCCTACAGAATAGGAGAACATATTTGCCAATCATTTCTCGTAACAGACTGATACGTTTACAAAAACAACTGCACAAGAATTTCATAGCAGCCTTATTTGTAATACGCCACACTGCAAACAGCCCAAATATCTGTCAAAAGGAACGTGGATAAACAAATTGTAGTGTATTCATAAAGAAACATACCACTCAGCTATTTTTTAAAAACCAAGCTATAGTTGTCCCCGCTTATCCACAGGGAATATGTTCCAGGACCCTGAAACCACATGTAGTACCAAACCCTACATATACTATTTTTTTCTTATAATACACATGTACTTATGATAAAATTTAGTTTCTAAATTGTGCACAGTTAAGAGATTAACAACAATAATAAAATAGAATCATTACAACAATATCCTAGAGTAAAAGTAAAATAGGTGTTCCTTGGAAACAAGCACTGAGATACCATGATAGTTGATGTGATAACCAGGCTGGCTACTAAGTGACTAACAGGCAGTGGTGACTACAGCGTGAATCTGCTGGACATAAGAATGACTCACATCGTCAGACAGCACAAGATGCCATTTGATTTCATCACGTTACTCAGCAGGGCACACAATTTATAACTTATGATTTACTTACAGGATGTTCTACTCAAAATTTTCAGACTACAGCTAGACACAGATAATAGAAATGGCAGCTACTGAAACCTTAGATAAAAGAGGACTGACTACTGTACCAAGACACACAAAATATAGATGAATCTCAAAAACATTAGGTTGAAGTAAAGAAGCCAGACACAAAAGAGTACACACTGTAAACATTTACATAAAGTTCAAAAACAGGCAAGACTGATACATATATTACATAAAGTATATCAATGATTGTTTATGCAGTGGTGGGTATGTGGCTGACAAGAGTTAAAAGAGAATTTATTGTGGTGATAAAGATATTCTATACCTGGATCAGGGTGTTGTTTCACAAGACCATATAAACTCATCAAATTAGACAATGAAGACATGCATTTCACCACATGTAAGTTTTACGACAATTTCTTAAAGTAAAATGGAAAGAAAGTATCATGCTTCATGGTGTCCTATGCTTCTCCGCCTCATTTCAAAAACAACACAGAGACATAGAAGGCCATTCCAGCCACAAGAGGAACTAGGAGATTCTGCGCTTAAGAAAGTTGAAGGAGAACTACAAACCACTGCTCAACGAAATAAAAGAGAACACAAACAAATGCAAGAACATTCCATGCTCATGGATAGGAAGAATCATTATCATCAAAATGGCCATACTGCCCAAGGTAATTTATAGATTCAATGCCATCCCCATCAGGCTACCAATGACTTTCTTCACAGAGTTGGAAAAAACTACTTTAAAGTTCATATGGAACCAAAAAAGAGCCCACATTGCCGAGTCAATCCTAAGCCAAAAGAACAAAGCTGGAGGCATCATGCTACCTGACTTCAAACTATACTACAAGGCTACAGTAACCAAAACAGCATGGTACTGGTACCACAACAGAGATATAGACCAATGGAACACAACAGAGCCCTCAGAAATAATACCACACATCTACAACTATCTGATCTTTGACAAACCTGACAAAAAGAAGAAATGGGGAAAGGATTTCCCTATTTAATAAATGGTGCTGGGAAAACTGGCTAGCCATATGGAGAAAGCTGAAACTGGATCCCTTCCTTACACCTTATACAAAAATTAATTCAAAATGGATTAAAGACTTAAATGTTAGACCTAAAACCATCAAAACCCTAGAAGAAAACCTAGGCAATACCATTCAGGACATAGGCATGGACAAGGACTTCAGGTCTAAAACACCAAAAGCAAAGATAACAGAAGCCAAAATTGACAAATGGGATCTCATTAAACTAAAGAGCTTCTGCACAGCAAAGGAAACTACCATCAGAGTGAACAGGCAACCTGCAGAATGGGAGAAAATTTTTGCAATCTACCCATCTGACAAAGGGCTAATATCCAGAATCTACAAAGAACTTCAACAAATTTACAAGAAAAAAAATCAAACAACCCCATCAAAAAGTGAGCAAAGGAGATCAACAAACACTTCTCAAAAGAAGACATTTATGCAGCCAACAGACACATGAAAAAATGCTCATCATCACTGGCCATCAGAGAAATGCAAATCAAAACCACAAAGAGAAACTATCTCACACCAGTTAGAATGGTGATCATTAAAAAGTCAGGAAACAACAGGTGCTGGAGAGGATGTGGAGAAATAGGAACACTTTTACACTGTTGGTGGGACTGTAAACTAGTTCAACCATTGTGGAAGACAGTGTGGCAATCCCTCAAGGATCTAGAACTAGAAACACCATTTGACCCAGCCATCCCATTTCTGGGTATATACCCAGAGGATTATAAATCATGCTGCTGTAAAGTCACATGCACACATATGTTTATTGCAGCACTATTCACAATAGCAAAGACTTGGAACCAACCCAAATGTCCATGAATGATAGACTGGATTAAGAAAATGTGGCACATATACACCATGGAATACTATGCAGCCATAAAAAAGGATGAGTTCATGTCCTTTGTAGGGACATGGATGAAGCTGGAAACCATCATTCTGAGCAAACCATCGCAACGACAGAAAACCAAACACTGCATGTTCTCACTCATAGGTGGGAACTGAACAATGAGAACACTTGGACACAGGAAGGGGAACATCACACACTGGGGCCTGTCATGGGGTGGGGGAAGCGGGGAGGAATAGCATTAGGAGATACACCTAATGTAAATGACAAGTTAATAGGTGCAGCACACCAACATGGTACATGTATACATATGTAACAAACCTGCACATTGTGCACATGTACCCTAGAACTTAAAGTATAATAATTAAAAAAAAAGAAAGTTGTCTTCTAAAATTCTTGCCTTATTTGAAAATGGAACAAACCAGTATAAAATCTCCATGTTTCCTGGAAGAATGCTATCTCTGCCTCCGGTATCTGACTTGGAATAAAAGAAGGGAGGAATTTACCTAAATCTAAGTGTCGGCAGTCCTGGAGTCAGCAGGGGTTACCTGGAGGGCAGAGTGCTATACAAAAAGAATACGATCTTTGGGAATGGTATTTTTCCTTGAAAGAATACTAGGAAAATCTAAAGGTTTCAAACCATTCCAACTTTTGAAAGATAGTTTAAAGTTGGACTAAATCAGCTATATAAATCCACAGCATTATTCTGAAGATTTCTTTGCAAATTCCTAGAATTTTATCTCTTTACAAGTGTTTTATCTGTTGGAATAAAAAAGAGGGTGTTTAATTTATTAACTTGGTTTTATGTAACCTTTTGCTCAACAGAAGTTATTGCTTTTTACAATATCTACTCTCTATCTTTTACCTTCACAGTTTATGACCCTAGTGTCAGGCTTAGACGTGCCTTCACTAACCCCAGATCATAAAAATGAAAAAACATATTCTCTAAAATTTCCCCTAGGAAAGCTAATATTTTCTTCTACTTTCTTGTGTCTTCTTTTCTGATGGTATTATGGTTTTATTTTTAATTTCAGCATTTTTATTTAAATTTTCTATCAGATTGATACTGATAAAATATTTTAAATACTCACAAAATGAGACATCAGTTAATACCATTCAGATTTCACAATTTTTAAACAGTTTTAGGATATCTGCTTCATCAAAACATTAAATAAATGGACATAACTGAAGACTCCCCCCCATCAGAGGTATCCAAATTTGGCGTGTGTTATTTCCATACATGTTAGATTTTTTTATGTTGTTTTTCACATCCGCCAAGTTCACACACACAGATCGACTTCATTTTAACTGCTGGATATTATTTCACTGTTTGAAGAAATCAGTTTATTCATTTGTCCTCCTGAGGGGCCTTGAAATTGTTTGACTTTCTCATTTTTAGAAACAGTGCTAAAGAGTAAATCTTTATATGAGCCACGTTTCGCATATGTTAGTGATTTTCTAGGACTGAAACATGTAAGTGGGATTGCTGGGTCACAGGCTGTGTTTTGGCTTCAAGTTTACTGGGAAACAGAAATTAAAACTCCCACTGACAATGTAGAATTTCCATTTCTACATATCCTTGCCTACTGATGTTTTCAGACTTCTAAAGTTTTCCCAAATAAATGGGCATGGGGTGCTAACCCAGTGATGTTTTGACTTACAATGTGCATTTCTCTGAAAGAGAAATTTCAATGTTTATTGGTCATGACACTTTCCTACCAGCTAGCTTTGCATATTTTACAAGTCTTTTATTTATCCAAAATTTACTTTTGGCCATGGTGTTTGATAGCAATGAAATGGTATCATTTACTATATAAATTGTCACAGCAAGCCAGGCATGGTGGCTCACACCTGTAATTCCACCACTTTGAGAGGCTGAGGCTGGTGGATCCCTTGAGCCAAGCAGTTCTAGACCAGCCTGGGCAACATGGTGAAACCTTATCTCTACAAAAAAATTTAAAAAAAAATAGCCAGGCATCGTGGTGTGTGCCTTTAGTTCCAGCTACTTGGGAGGCTGAGGCAGGTGGGTCGCTTGAGCCCAGGAGGCAGAAGTTGCAATGGGCCAGGTTGTGCCACTGCACTCCAGTCTGGGTAACACAGCCAGACTCTGAAATTAGATAGATAGATAGATAGATAGATAGACAGACAGATAGATAAAGATAGATAGACAGGCAGACAAAAATTGTCAGAGCAGCCTTTTAAAATTGTCCATTTTATTCTCACTAAATTGTAATTCTACTTCCATTATATATTCCTATATATGTGTGGGTCTACTTCAAGGTTTTTCATTCTGTTCTCTAGTTTACTTGAATATCTTTGTCCCAACATCACACTAATTTGCTTTACCTTCAAAATAAATCTTCAAGTGTAGTGGGACACCATATCCTTCCATTATCTTCATTTATAATCATGTCATATGTATTTAAACTTATATATTTTCATAGTAATATTTGTATTAGCTTGCCAAATGCTGTGAAAACCTTCTTGGGATTCTCATTAAGATTATACTGAAAGCATAAATCATTTGGGGGTAAGCTGATATCTTTATGGTATTCCATCTTCCCTTCCATGAATATGCCATATATATATATCTCTTTTTATATCCATTAATAATTTTCTCCATCAATATCTCATACATTTCTTCTTAGATTTATTCCTATATGCCTTTTTTACTATTTTAAATATTATAGTTTAAAACTATATTTTCTAAGGGCTGATGATTGATATGTAGGAATTCTATTAATTCATTTTATATACAGCAATCTTCTAAATTTTGACTAAAGATTCCTTTAGATTTTCTACTTAGACAATCATTACTTGCAAATAATCTAAACTATGCTTTTTGCCCAGCTCTTATACTACTTTTCTTACTCCAGTAGCTAGGATCAGAAGTACAACAATAAAATGAGGCAATGACAGAAGGCGTTCTAGTCTGGTTATGGTTTTTAAAAGGAATATTTCTCACATTTCATCATTAAGTACAATGTTTACTAAAGATTCTTAGTGGGGATATCCTTTATCAATTTAAGGAAATTTCCATTTTTTAAAAAAATTATAAACTAATATTACATTTTATCAAATATTTTATACTATGTGTGTTGCGGGAAGTCAGGGACCCTGAACAGAGGTACCAGCTGGAGCCGAGGCAGAAGAACATAAATTGTGAAGATTTCATGGACATTTATCAGTTCCCAAAATTAATACTTTTATAATGTCTTATGCCTGTCTTTACTGCAATCTCTGAACATAAATTGTGAAGATTTCATGGACATTTATCACTTCCCTAATAATACTCTTATAATTTCTTATGCCTGTCTTTACTTTAATCTCTTAATCCTATTATCTTTGTAAGCTGAGAATGTACATCACCTCAGGACCACTATTGTACAAACTGATTGCAGAACATGTGTGTTTGAACAATATGAAATCTGATTGTAAAATATGTGTTTGAACAATATGAAATCAGTGCCCCCTGAAAAGAACAGAATAACAGCAATATTCAGGGAACAAGGGTGACTGCTTGCAGGGTCAGGCAGAATACAGCCATATTTTTCTTCTTGCAGAAAGCCTATAAACGGATGTGCAAGTAGGAGAAATATCGCTGAATTCTCTTCCCAGCAAGGAATAACCCTGGGTAAGGAATGCATTCCTGGGGGTAGGTCTATAGACTGCTGCTCTGGGAGTGTCTGTCTTATGCGGTTGAGATAAGGACTGAAATACGCCCTGGTCTCCTGCAGTACGCTCACACTTACTAGGATTGGGAAATTCCAGCCTGGTAAATTCTAGTCAGACCAGTTCTCTGCTCTCGAACCCTGTTTCCTGTTAAGATGTTTATCAAGACAATGCATGCACAGCAGGACATAGACGCTCATCAGTAATTCTAATTTTGCCTTCTCCTTGTGATCTTTATTGCCCTTTGAAGCATGTGATCCTTGTGACCTTCTCCCTGTTCATGCACCCCCTCCCCTTTTAAAATCCCTAATAAAAACTTGCTGGTTTTGTGGCTCAGGGTTGTCATCATGGTCCTACCAATATGTGGTGTCACCCCTGGAGACACAGCTGCAAAATTTCTCTCTTTGTACTCTTTCTCTTTATTTCTCAGACCAACTGACACTTAGGGAAAATAGAAAGGACCTACAGGGCTCTTTTGGGGGCTGGTTTCCCCGATATATGTGTATTGAGATTTGTTTTCCCCTTTAATCTATTATTACTGTCAATTATATTAATGATTTTTCCAATGTTAGGCAGTCACTGCATTCCTGGAATAAATACCACTTTAAATAAGCCTTATAAATGTGGGCTGGTACACAGCACCAAGATCTTGGTTTCAAATAACTCTGTCCATTAACAGGAACCAGGTGACCTTGGAAAAATTGCTGATTCTAAGACGGGGGTAAGAAATACCCAAGATAAGCCTGGAGCATCTTACAATGCCAGAAAGAAAGAAGAAGTGCTAAGAGAAAAAGGAAAAACAACAACGACAACAACAACAACAACAAAAAACAAGATGGGAGCATGTCAAAAAGACCAAAAGCTAGGATAAATTGAGCCAAAAAATAAAGCAGTACTGCTTTACAATGCAAAGTATAAAATAAATACCAATGCAGTCATATAAATAAATGATTGAATAAATAATAAGGAAGAAGAGACAAACATCCCATGCAGGAGAATTCAAAATAATTTCTGTAGATATTCCACCCTCAATGAAGTGGAGCATATTTCCCATGTCCATAAGTATGCGCTACACATAGTGACTTCCTCCCAAAGAGTACAGGAGAGAAAGGGTGGTGGGGTGGCAAAGAGTAACTTTACAGCAGAGAAATCTGACAGACACTACTTCCGCCAAATGACCAAGATTCATCTCAACAGTGACAAGCTGGGCCAGGTGTGGTGGCTCATGCCTGTAATCCCAACACTTCAGGAGGCCAAGGCAGGCAGATCACTTGAGCCCAGAGGTTCGAGACCAGCCTGGACAACATGGCGAGACCCTGTCTCTACAAAAATAACAAAAATTATCTGGGCATGGTGGTTTGCACCTGTAGTTCCAATTACTCAGGAAGCTGAGGTGGTAGAAACTCTTGAGCCCGGCAGGAGAGGCTGCAGAGAGCTGACACTGTACCGCTGCATTCTGGCCTGGGCAACAGAGCGAGACCCTATCTCAAAACAAAAAAACAGTGACAAGTCATGTTGATAATATATACTTTTGATATGGTGTGATAAAAAATGGCAATTTAACTCATGGTTTACTTCCCAAAAATATACCCAAATCTAATCGTCAGAAAAACATCAGACAAATCCCAATGAGACAAATGCCACAAAAAACCTAACCAGTACTTCTTAAAACTACCAAGTTGTCAAAAACAAGGAAAGCCTGAGAAACTGTCAAAACCAAGAGAAGCTTTAGGAGTATGATAAGTAAATTTAATGCGTTTCTTGGATTGGATCCTGGAGCAGAAAAAGGACACTACAGAAATCTGGATAAAGCATGGACTTCATTAATAGTGTATCAATATTAGCTCATCAACTATGACAAGTGTACCATGCTAATGCAAAGTATTCATAATAGAGAAAACTGGGTAGAAGATACACAAAAACACTCTAGACTATATTTGCAATTTTTCTGTAATAAAAAGTGTTTATTTTTTAAAAGTGAGTTGAGGATCTCATTTTCTATTTTCAGGACTAGTTTGCGTAACAGAACTTTCAACAGAAACGTATAAGCAGTCAAGTAATTGATGCAGGTTGATATGAGCATTTGTAATATGGTAAGGGTAGTAATAAAGGCTGCACTGTTCATTAAATGATGTCGAAAAATTAGCTATTAATTTGGGGAAAAATTTCTCTCTGATCTCTACCTCATGTCAAAATAATTCCATCTGAAATTTGCAAAAAATTACATTAAAAAACTATAAAAGTTCTAGAAGATAATGAGAATGAATACCTTCATACTCTTGGGGTAGGATGGACCATTTTTATGCATACCAATATTGAAGACAACACTGAAGTGTTAAGGACAGAAGAGGCCTCTCAGTAAACTGAGCCAGTGATATTTCAGCACAAGCTGAAACAACCTCCCAGAATGAACAGAAATATAATCTCAGAGAGTTTGTAAAAAATACTGAACAGTAAGTATGAAAAACGGTGGTGGCATTTATTTCCTGGAAGAGGAAATTAAGAACAAAGAAAACAAATATAAAACATCTAGTATGCTGAGGAAAGTTGCCAAAAATAAAGATCTGAGTTAACAGAACAAAAAAGCAGACAAAATTGACTAAACAAACAAACAAACAAAAAAACAGTGAAGTAACATGTCCAAGCTAACATTACTTAGGTAACTACTGGTGGGGATGGACTTTGGATCCAGGCTGGTCTCACTTTCAAGCTCGCATTACTTCTACTTCTACATATGCGCTCACTTAGCCATTAAAAAGAAGTCATCTTCTTTTTAGAAGAAAATGCAGTGTGGTACCCTGTACTGGATCCCAGATCAGAAAAGGAACATTGCTAGAAAAACTGCTCTAATAAAGTCTTAAGTTTAATTGTAGTAGTATACCAATGTTAATCTCTTAGTTTTGACAATTACATCATAGTTATGTAAGATGTTTAATGCTAGGGGAAACAGAGTAAAGGGTAGGCAGGTGTGTAACTTTTCTGTAAATCTAAAATTATTTCAAAATTAAAAGCTTATTAAAAAATAAAAGAAATCTCAGCCAGGTGTGGTGGCTTATGCCTGTAATCCCAGCACTTTGGGAGGTCAAGGCGGGATTACCTGAGGTCAGGAGTTCGAAACCAGCCTGGCCAACTTAGTGAAACCCCATCACTACTAAAAATACAAAAATGAGCTGGGTGTGGTGGTGAGCACTTATAATCCCAGCTCCTTTGGAAGCTGAGGCAAGAGCATCGCTTCAACCAAGGAGGCAGAGGTCGCAGTGAGCCGAGACCGGGCCACTGCACTCTAGTCTGGGCAACAAGAGTGAAACTCCATCTCAAAAATAAATAATATAATATAATATAATATAACATAATATAATGTAATGTAATGTAAAATAAATCTCTCAAAATGCTGCTTTGGGACTATCTTAAAACTTGTAAGTGTAGAGATTTATTGCATAAAACCAAATTTTAAAGAGGCATGCTTTGTATTGAAGATTTTGATTATAACAGGTTTGTTGATGACTTTAAAAATAAATATCAGCCTCAATTTAATTATATAGCTTTTCTGTAAAGACTGCTTACATAATTTCTTCTATACCATTTTTCCTTTCATGTGAATAAAAATATAAAAAAAACTGTAAACAGTAGTCTCTAAATACACATGGTGATCTAGTTGTGATGAACTGTTTTCCATTTCTGCTACAGACGTAACAAAAGTTCTGTGAAACAAACCTTGTAACAGCAATAATTAAATTTAAAGGATTAATAGAACAGCCTGATTTTTTAGGAGCTGTCAGATACTGAAAGAATCAGGACTTCAGAAATAAATGAATTCTAGGAGCAGAAAAGCTGAAGCATATAATTAAATAGAAAAGTCAGAAGAGTTTGACTATGCAAAGGAACAGGGAGAAATAGTTACTGAGGAACAGGGAGAAAAACTAAAATAAATTAATGAAAGTCAGGGCTCATGGTGTCTCCAAGGAATTGAAATGTGACAAATCATGGAATGGGAAGGGAGATGATAAGAATAAATATGAATAGTATTAAGTTCAATCACTTAATACTTAGGCCTTGTTAGAAGCCCTCCAATGGTTCCCATCTCTCAAAGCATGAGTCAGGGATCCGTTGAGACCTTGAGGGTGCACCCATTCCCCCAACCCTCCCTACCCCCCCAACCCCATCACTTTTTTCTTTCTCTTTTACTCTTCACCTTCTCCCCTCACTCCTCTCAAGCCAGCCCTGCCCGCATGCAGTCCCCTGGCACTCCAGGCCTTTACATTTGCTGATACCCCTGCCAGAATCCCCCTCCCCCAGACATCCCCATGGTAAAAACTCCTTCACCTACTTCAGGTTTTGCTCAGATACTAACTTTTCAGTGATTTACTACTATGCCTGTTCTATTTTATTTATTTATTTAGAGACAGGGTTTTGCTCTGTCACCCAGGCTGGGATGCAGTAGTATGATCATGGCTCACTGCAACTTCTGTCTCCTGGGCTTAAATGATCCTCTTGCCTCAGCCTCCCAAGTAGATGGGATCACAGGCATGCACCACCACGCCTGGCTAATTTTTTATATTTCTGTAGAGCAGGGTTTTACTATGTTGCCCAGGCTGGGCTCAAACTCTTGAGCTCAAATGATCCTCCTCCAATGGCCTCCCAATACTATGCATGTTCTATTTTAAATGGTGAGCTCCTATAACTACCAAACTCCCCTACCCTGCTCTTTTATTTTCTCATAGCTGCTTCTATGTCCTAACATTTTAATTACATTGAATATCTGTCTCACCAATCACTAGACTGTAAGCTGTCAGATTTTGCCTGTGTTCACTCTTTCTCCAGTGCCTAGAATAGTGCTGGGCACATAATAAATGGTTTTTTTATAAACATTTGCCTAACCAATCAATACAAACGTGTGATTTTTCATTACCATAATTAAAATTAGAATAATGAAACATTCGTAACTTTTCCAAAGTCATTTTTTGAGCAACTGGGCTTGTCCTTGTGCCTGTGTTTTCTGGGTATTTTCTACACTGAACTTCTATAATGTTTTAAAAAGGGGTTTTGTCTTTGTAAAAGACTAGACAGCTGTCTGAGATCATTTCAACTCAAGTACATTCAATGTCAGAGTGAGAAAGAATTAAAGTTCATTCTTTCAAGGCCTGTTCTTCCTGTGAGCTTAAATGAAATTTAGTTATTACCTGAAAGAGATTCATATCACGAAAACTTCACACGGGCAAATGCTCAAAATCATGATCCACTAAGTTAAAGGAATCACAAAATTCCCACCTTCCCATTTTAAAGATGAGGAAACTGACCTACGAAAGTTAAGTTACTTCCTCATATTCAACTAGAACGTCGCTGACGAAGTGGTGAGCAGGAGCTAGTCTTAAACAAAAGACTGAAACATTACAGAATGACCTAGCCCATCAACATTTTGAAATGCAGTGAAAAGTCCAGATTGGAAATGCTCAGTCCACCATCCAACTAGGCCTTTATTTTCTCCCTCTTGTTTCCATTTCATTGCTCAAAGATGCTTGTGAAAGTTTCCTTATTTATTTGTTTGTTTTTGGGAGACAGGGTCTTTGGAGTGCAATGGCACAATCTCGGCTCGCTGCAACCTCCGCCTCCCAGGTTCAAATGATTCTCATGCCTCAGCTTCCTGAGTAGCTGCAATTATAGGTGCCCACCACCACGCCCAGCTAATTTTTGTATTTTTAGTAGAGACAGGGTATCACCATGTTGGCCACGCTGGTCTCCAGCTCCTGACCTCAGGTGATCTGCCCACCTCGGCCTCCCAAAGTGTTGAGATAACAGGCGTGAGCCACCACACCCAGCCGTGAATGTTTCTTCATACCATTTGAACATTCAAGATTCTTTCTGCATTAAGATCCCTAGCAAAATAAACACTGTGATCACCTTCCTAAGTATTTTAGCATGTTCAAGGGCCACTGTGCCTTCCAGACCCCACTCAACATTTGGCATCTTACTCTAGCCCTTTGATTTCCCTGTTGACAGAAGTATGAGGCCAGCATATTTTACAAATGTCTTACCCTTTTCAGTGGATGGCCTGTCAATTAACTCTCATGAAATCAAATGGAAGCAGACTTCAGGGTATAAAAATGTACTACTTATCTAATTCTTTTACTGAAAGCTTGCACACATTCCATTGTTTTTCCATAAGTGGAGGAAAAAATAAATCTGGTGCTGTATTTTCGTTTCAGAAGTAGCAACAGCAGTTACTCCACGCATGCATTCCCCAGGTCCCCAGACAGTCATCTCTGATGTTATAAGAGGCACAGAGGCAGATACTTCGGCAAAGACAGTCTATAAAATGAAGTTGCTATGGACCAAAATAACTGTATTGATTTTTAGTACAATTCAAAATACAAGGAAACATCAGTTTTCCAAATGGCACAAGCTGAAAAGGACAAGGAAAAATATATTGCAAATAGTGAAGAGAAGGAAAATAATAAAGACAATTACATTAGCAAACATCTTGGTGTTCTTTTTTCAGAACACTAAGATGGCTGTTGTTTGTTTTTTAAGTTCAAAGAGCTGAGAGGTTTGAATTATGTTGAACTGTTGCTCATTTGTGGACATTGTGCCCACTGCTGGAAGTCTGACCTTCAGAAAACAAAGCCTTATAATCCTTGGACATGTGAACATCTTATTTAAAGCCTCATTTTTTTTTCAATTAATATCTCTCACTCTGATGGCAAATGGCAGAGCTGTATAAATTCTATTATAAATACATCATTTGCCAAAATATCATTAAGTTTGCTGCAAGCAAATATTTTCCTTAGATATCCTTAATGAGGCAAAGTAGCTTTCAAGCCAGAGACCTCTGGATGTTGTGGAATGAGGGGACGGCAGTCAGGACTTACCATGGCCCCCTCACTTGTTCTTTGGGCAACTTCTCGCTGTAGTCGGGCCACTGCCAACTTCTCCCTGAAGAAACAAAAACACATGATTAGTTGACCATTCTCAGGGTAGAGGTGACACTGGCATGGCCGTGAAACATTCTTTTGAGGTCTCTAGAGGAATTCCTTCCTTGGTTTAGCTCACTTCCTCCTCTATACTTTCTATAAATATTTAAACTGATTGGTCATGAATGCATTGTTTTCATTGAGTGTCATGAAATTTGCCATAGATTTTACAATAGCCAAATAAACGTTAAATGGTGAGTAGATGCTTTGCTTTTAGTTCATTAACATATATCACTCACAAATAAATTTTTCATGGCTATAGTATTTTAGTTGACTTTTCTCTATCAACTTTGCTTAAGCATTTTTAATTATTTTTATTTCTTTTGTTGCTCTCCACACCAATAATATTAAGAAGCAAACAAAATATAACTCCTTACTACTTTTAAAATAACAATAGAAAATCATTTGCATGCTTGCTACATAACAGGCATCATGCTGGGCAATGCACCTGTTCTCATTTGAGCCTGACAACAATCCCATGGGTGATTTCATTATGCCCATTTTATAGATGAAGAAACTGAGGCCCAAAAAGGCTAATACACTGAGTCCTCAGCTGGTATATAGTAGTTTTTTGGAATCAAATTTTAGATTTCCTTACTTCAAAGCCTAAATAAAAAGTCTGCTTATCATTTCTTCAGTGTGTAGGTAATATAAAATGTAGACTTAAAAATCAGATTATTTATTTATTTTAGTACTCCTTATTTAACAATGGGGTTCATTTTTAGATCCCTTATAATTCTGCTTTCACTTAAAATATATCCAATATTCACCAAAATTTTTAGAATACTTTTGTAAAGTGATAGATGACTGCATTTTGGACAGCTTTTCAATTGTTCTTTAAAATAATTGATTAGATGTCATAGGGGTAAGTGAATTCTTCTGGTAATCCCTAAAATGTTAGCTTTAGTAAGTATTTCCCCTGATATTCTTCTACTACTATACTACTATCAAGATGAGAAATTATTTGAGTGACATTTCATCCCTTAGTCTTCTCTTTGCCCAGGATCAGCTATATGCAATCAGCTATATGTAAACATAAAGGATGCAGTTCAATCCCCAGAAAATTTTCCCACTGGGGAAAAGAGAAGTGAAAACTTCTTCTCTCCTAAGTGCTTGGATCTTTGAAATGCCTAGGACTACCAAGAAGACACGTGCTTTTGTTTGGTTGCAGCTGGGCAGTCTTTTAGTAGAAATAGTTCTCTCTGAATAAATACCTAAAGGCACAGACTAGAAGAAGGGAGACTAGACTAGGAGACATTCCAGGTATACAAGTTTTGGGAGCCTGTGGCAGCACCTGTGAGTACACTTCTAAGAAGGGGCAACAGAGTAGATAGGAAGGAGCCACAAAGGGATGGAAGCCATGTAGAGAGGCCAAGTAATCAAGGCAGAAAGCTCCTGTGTGTTCTCTGACTCAAGTTCTGATGAACAGATCAAATAAGTTCAATGAAAAGAACAAATTAAGGGAACAAATAATTGAAAAAGAAGGATATGAATGAATTCTGTTTTAATATGAAAATTAAACACATGAATTTATCTCTTCTCTCCCCAGAAACTGTTAAAAATGTAGTATAGAGGTAACACTGGCAAATACTTATAAAGTCAAAGAAAACAGGAGAATCACATACTCCATACTCTATGAACCAGCAATTCCACTCTGAGCTCTAAACTGAACAGAACTATATGTTCACCAAAAGACATGTACCAGAATGTTCATAACAGCACTTTAGTAATCTTATAAGCTGAAAATGCACACACCCATTAACAATAGAATAGATATGTCAACTTTAGCACAGTTACATGATGGAATACTATACAACACTGAAAAGGAATAATCTACACTTAATCACAACAATGTATGGAATACTGCAAATATGCTGTTGAGTAACAGAAGCAAGTACAAAATGTATATACTTTATTTCCTATTTATATAAAGTGCAAATAGAAGCAAAACTCCTATACCATTTGATAAGACAAGAAAAAGAAATAAAATACATGGATATCAAAAAGGAAGGGGTAAAACTGTCTCTATTTACAGATGACATTATTTTCTAAGTAGAAAATCTGATGAAATTTACTACACAACTTATAAGTGAATTTAGCAAAGTCAGAGGATAGAAGCCGATGAACAAAAATTAATTATATTTTACTAGCAACAAACAATTGGAAAATAAAATTTTAAAGCATCTCCTTCTAATAATGTCAAAAATTAAAACATTTAGCAAAAGATTTGCAAGACGGCCACACTAAAAACTACAAAACACTGCTAAGAAGGATTAAAGGAGACTAATAGAAACATATATCACATTCATGGATTGAAAGACTTAATATTATTACACTGTCAAAATCTGTATCAAATAAATCTATAAATTCCTATTCACTGATACATATAACTCTACCAAATAAAGAGCAAGACTAGGTAACGAGAAACAAGAAATCCAATAAATAATTGGATTTTTTTTTCTTTTCTTGGTAAAAAGAAGCTCCTGGACAACAGCTGTGTAAGAATCCAGAGAATAACCAATCTGGACTGCAGCAAGAGGATGGAGAGCCTCAGGAGGATGACTCCAAGAATAAAACAAAGTTGAACCAAAATAAATTACCTATGTGTTCGTAAGTATTGAGAAGAGATGTAGAGTTTTATTTTAAAGCTTAAGAACAAGAAATTGGAACATGAAAACGTAAGCCAATGGCAGGAAGTGACAATTATTCATGCTAGTAAAAACAAAGTTATTCTAGAAATGCAATTCTAAACTTCTACTAGACTCAGCTGTGAATGACATTTATCATTTTAATTATTAACTAAATTAATTTACTATTTAGTGAAAAAAGTAGAGAAAGGGAAGCACAGAGAAACAGTTGGTACAGAAACACTAAATTCTTATCTTCCATAATAGAAAGATAATACATAATGTTTAAAAGTGATATAGAAACAGAAGTTCAGGCATATAATTCAGATACAAGGAGGCAAAACTTAGAAGGTAGATCTAGAAGAAGGAGAGTGGCTGTGTCGGAGGAGTAAGATGCAGAGGTAGGGAAGGCAGTGTGTACATCTTACAGATGTTACCATTGCATTTGATTTCCAAAGTATGTGCATGTACTACTTTGATTAAAAAACTTCGCAAAACATGTATTTTTAAAAACCAACTGGCTCATGTTATTTTTATTAAAAACATTATAATAATGCATTACTAGAAAGATAAAGGATAGATTATTCACCAACCGAAGATTCAGCATCAAATGACTCATTGCCTCGGACCTGAGAGGCACCTATTGAGAAGCTTTGGTAAATTAAGGCAAAATAAGAAGTCACTATAAGCAACGAGTCTTTGGACAAACGTTTTTAAGTACATACTGCAAACAGTTTAACATGTTACAGAGATATTTTAAATTTAAAAGTTTCTCTTTACTTTTGTAATGAAGTATAAAGTACGCAGAAAAATATCATAAAAGCACAGGTTGCTGAATAATCACAAAGTGAACATGTCCGTATTAGTCCCACCTAAACAAAAAAACAGAAACACTGCCAGAACACCAGAAGCTACTTTGATGCTAATGATAATTAACTTCCTACACCAATACCTGAATTCACTTGCCACACTCTTTTCTCTGTATACTGAAACATGGAGATATTTAACTTCTCATCTAAAGTATATTAAACACATTGTCTCATATTTTACTCGACTGTTTATTCAATATATTTTTCCTCTAAATAAGACCATAAATTCCTCCTTGACCACAACAGTAGCAACCAAAAATGATGATCCATTCATTTTTGCAGGTGGTCAGTTGTGGCGTAGTTAGTATCTTACTGTAACAGCCGGTTGCCTGAGTGGAGATTATATTTAGTTCATCTCTTTAACACTACTAAGGCCCCTTAGTAGGAACAAAATAAATATTTGTGATTTGCTGAATGAGGAATCAGTTACAGAATCTAATACCAACTTGCCTGGCATAACAGAATTTTAAATAATATTACCATCTTGCATTTACATAGTACATAACGCAGGTACACTGCACACATATACCCTGATTCCCACAGGGTATCCTCTGGTTCTGGTTAACCACAAAAGCTTTTTTACATACATTCTAAAATTACGAAAAGTACAACTTCCATAGGCCACCAGATAAATATGTGAGTAAGCTTCAACAGAGTAAATTCCTAAGTAAGAGCACTGAATGAGGGGACTGTAGAACAGTAGGTCCCAAATATTTGAATACTGAGTTCTCAAATATTTGATCCTTTTGTATGCAGAAAAACTGAGGATCCCAAAGAGATTTTGTTGTTATGGGTTATTATCTATTGATATTTATGACATATAAATAAAAATGTAATTTATTAAAATATTTATTAAATCACCAAAAAGCCAATAAACCCATGCCAACATAAGTAAAACATTTTTATTAAAAGTCATCCTAAACAGTAATTCCAAAACAAAAATACACTTTGCAAATAAAGGGAAAAAATAAATTTTGTGAGAAGAATGATACTGCTTTAGAATTTTGCAACTCTCTTTAACGTCTGGCTTAATAGAAGACACGTGTATTTTCACATCCGCTTCAGCATTTAATCTGTTATGACAGAACATGTCATAAGACTTCTAGAAAACTCCACTCATGGAAGCTGAGTGGAAAAGGCAAATATCATCTTAGTGTTATGACAAAAATAGTTTTGATCTTGCAGTTCCTTTGAAAGGGTCTTGGAGATACCCAGGGTCCCAGGACCAAACTTTGAGAACTTCAACTGAAAGACAGATACGGAACTAGGAATGTAAGAATGTTCTAGAAAATTGCCTTGAATCCTCATTCTTAATTGTTGAAGCTTCAGAGAAAGGTTTAATATATATGTTAATGGTATGTTAATTTCTCACAAGAGCAGTGTAACATAAAAGAGACATTTCCAGGAACAGATCAAAAGCCAATCTTATCCCCACCATCCTACTAAATGATAAAAGAGTCCTAATACAGTGTAAATGTTAGGAACATCACTACTTTATGCTTAAAAGAGATGGCCTTTATAAACTATTAGGACTGTCACACTGTAATGTGCTTCTCAAATCTTATTAATTCAATTTGAAAGAAAACCATAATGGTTTTAGTCATTACATAGTTTTTAAAAAGGAAAATACTATATTAATAAATCATGAAATTTTGTAGACTGTCCACACATTATATTCTTTGGCATTCAATAAAGAAGGAACAAAATGAATGAATCAACACGAATGGGCTATCTCTAAAGGGGCAGCATTCTAGCCACTTGATTTGGTGAAACAGAGAGTAAAATACATAAAAACTAGAAACACCGTT
Organism: Homo sapiens; assembly: GCF_000001405.40. NCBI lineage: Eukaryota > Metazoa > Chordata > Mammalia > Primates > Hominidae > Homo > Homo sapiens. Next base: position 133,219,122 of record NC_000002.12, read on the forward strand.
TTATATCTGACCTACCACATGAGTGGAGGAATGCCCAAATTCAAACAGCCACGTGGAAACAGGTGATGCAAACATGGAAAATTTCAGAGTAGTGTAGGCCACAGGGGAGGCAATCCCCAACCCCAGCCCGGCTGCTAGCCTTCCGTATCGACAACTGGGGAAATTGCCTAGGTGTAGACAACTGGAAGTTACCCTGACTCAGGGCAGCTAGGTGATGAAGGAGCAGAATTTGCAAGAACAGCAAACACAAATGTCTTTTGGGGACCATGCTCCGTAATTGTTTTAAGACATTTATGCAGGAAATGCAACCTATTAGATTATCCAACAAAGATCTCTCAGGGGTCCAAGGGACAGTTCAGGGGCCTCCCATGGAGTCAGTGGGCAAAGCCAGTGGCAGCTAAGTCCCACGACAGCAAGAGCACTCCAACTCTAAGTTATTTTATATATTAGGCTTCTGAATTATATTCCCTTTTAAAAGTGGGTTTCCAATGCTAAAACACAACAAATAAGGGATTCCTCAGTAACTTGTATATTCCAAATATTTCAAGTCCTTGTGTGTACATTTTACATCAGCTGGAGTTTTTTTTTTTTAAGTAGAATTTGTATTTTATTTTTGCATGAAAACGTTATTTTTGTATGAAAGGGTCTTTCTTTTCTAAAACTAAGGAAGTGGTGAAGTTCTTGACATGGTAAAAACTTCTATGATAAAATACTCAGTATTTCTAGATGTTATTTCTGGAATCAAATTATCAACTCAATCAAAATATTAAAAATAAATGGCCCTGTCTTTTTCACAGAATCTCATTTGTCCTTGCGTTTAGTAGTTCCTGGCACGCCATATTTTCAAACCTCCATGGTCCCAATATATGTGTGAAACCAATTGGGACTAGTATCTTTTTCATGCAAATTCACAGTTCATATAAACAGCTTTGTGTAGAAAATAAAGAATGCTGGATTTGCAAGCTACCCAAGACAAATTAAATACACTCACATACACATACACCCTTGCTCCCATTTAAAGGCCTCAGTTCATCTGCTGGAAACAGACAACTGTGCTTCTGCAATGCATCACTGTTTTGTTTTGTTTGTGGCAAAGCCAGTAGCTCATTATGAAGTGGGTATTGACTTTATGATTGCCAAACAAATGCACAGGGATATTTTATCAAGAGCTGTGGATTCTTATTTACTGAACAGGTATAAAAAAAGAATATAAAGAAAATACAAACGATGAAACAAGAGACCACAGTACTTACTTCTCTTACAGTTAAATGTAAAGACAACTTTTCTCTCCAGGAAGAATGAAACAGAGCTACTCTTCTTACTCAATTTTATATCCAAATGGACAATTAGTTCCAGGTTTCTAAAGCCCTTCAATATAGCCCCAGACTATCTGAACTAAAGATCATAAACAACATTTTATAGGTTTTATATATTCTTATATATTCTTCAGAATACCACTGACACCTCTGCAAGTTAAGCCTGTGGAAATAGTGTTCCCAATGAAGCCAACAGGATGTTGGCATTCGTAAAATTCAGAAAAGACCTGCAAGGTTTGCATGTTTAAAAAAAAAGCATTCCCCAAGGAGAAAGCAGCTTGCAGAGGAGGAATATATTCAGTTTGTGTTATGTGGAGACCTCAGGCTGCAGGGTGCTACAGAGCCATCTGTTGCGAGAGTGTCCCAGGGCATGCCTGTTGGGAGACAAATCAATGTTCCCTTGCCACTCTTCAGGAAGCCCAGGACTTATACCCAACCTGAATGGGAGAGCATGGAGATGCTGTGTGCCCCACTCTCCACCAGGCAGATGGTGCCCCTGTGAGGATGCCCTGATGGAAGAGCAGCAACGGCACTTAGTGTAAGTGGGAAGAATTATTTCTACTCATTGTTAAGTCTCACGGTCACAAATACCCTATATATGCAACGCACTTAAAAGGTATGAATCCAGCTCACGTCAAGCAAACTGTTAATATGTGAAATACTCTGTGAGTTGATGAACATGCAGGATGATCTGTGTGATCACTTGATCTTTCCAGGAAAATAAAGTATAACAAATAAACATGCTTACATATGAATTTAAAAAGGAAAAATTTTCTTGGGCATCTTAGCAATCCAAAGTCAGTTTCCTTTACTGTGGTAAAGATATTGTGATATTAAAGAATCCCATAATACTCTCCATACAAAACTCTAGGTTCATGTTAGTTTTGATTTTTAGGTTAAGTTTCTATAAAGTATTTAAAACTTACTTATGTTTATGTATTAAATACACCTATATTGGTTTTTATTAATTCAGAATATTTTGCTAACTGAAACTATATAATCCAACAATAATGGAAATTTTTATGCATTCAGCAAACACTTAATGTGAGTTTACTACAGGCCTGGTACCATTCTAGGGTCTGAGAAATAAACACAAATAATAATACAGTTCCAAATTCAAAGACTTCAGGATTGATAGACAGAGAAAGCATGCCTACGCACATGCCTACACACGAGTGTCATAAGACGCAGTAAGTACAACACTCTGTATTCAAAGCCAGATTTTAAAACATGGTAGGTGGCTATTTTATCAAAAGATCAAATCTGAACTTCCTTTAAATAAGAAGGCACTTTCTGCTATTTCTAAGATTTTTTCAATTTCAGACTTTTCAGCAACAAATTACATAGGAGAACAGATCTGTCCTCACAAATATTTTAATTAGGAAGAATGTCTATCACATATTCTATGTTATTCTCTAACTTCATTAAGTCTTTTGAATGCAATGCTGTTAGACTTTTGTTCAGCACCATGGTCTGCCACTTTGGTGCCAGGATTTTATTCCAGGTCACTTCTTTGAGAGATACTGGACCTATTTTACTTTTGCATTTAAAAAGATAACCATAATAGCTGATATTTATTGAATAGTTGCTATGTCAGGCACTATTCTAAACACTTCACATGATATACTTAAACCTCAGAGAATCCCATGAGGTAGGTATTATTATCATCTCTATGATATAAAAGTTAATCAAACTTTTTGGATTAAGAACCCCTTTACACTCTGCAAAAAAATTACTGAGAATCCCAAAGAGCTTTTGTTTTTGTCAGTTATGTCTATTGATACTTACCATCTCCAAAATTAACTTAAAAATATATATTAATTTAAAATAGCAATAGTAATTATATTACAGGTTAACATAAACATAATTATAAAATATGACTATAATTTTCAAAAATATAATAAAACAAGTGGCACTGTTTTATACTTCTGCAAAAGTCTTTAATATCTAGGTAACAAAAATGACATCTGGATTATCATATTTGCTTCTATTAATACATTCAATATGCTGCAATGTCACATATGGAGTGGACTCTGGCAAACCACTGTATACTCATGAGAGAATGAGAACAAAGAAGGCAAATATCATCTTAGTATTCTTATAAAATTCTAAGTATTCTTATAAAAATTCTTTTAAAATATTCTTAAAAAATAACATCTTAGTATTCTTATTTAAACAAAATAGTTATAAAAACAGTTTTGACCCCGTGGATCTCTAAAAAGGTCATAGGGCCCCCGGAGGCTCCTGGTCAACATTGCTAACATGCAGCAATGCCTGCCTTCCATGGATAAATGGAGGCTGCTCATGCAGACTGGAAAGCATGCCTATTATCCCACTGCTCAAAAGTTTAAATATGGCCATTCATGCTTTAACAAATATGTAAAATAGCAATGAATATATATTTAGCTATAATCCTATTTGTTAGAACTTGTGCCTCTGTAGCTACCATTGCCTGTTACCACTGTCTCTACTGCCAGTGAGGTCATCACAAATAATGCAAGAATTTGGGGTCTCCATGGACACAACACATTTTTGACCATTTTAATGTGAATCAATGGGAAAACCACCATTACAAATTTCCAGGAACACATTGAATTCCAAATACTATAAATCCACATTTTTGCAGAGTAGAAGAAAAATACTAATCAAACTCCCAATATAAACCTATGCTCAGGCATAGGTTTTGTTGTCAGTTAACAACCCCCTCCACCCCATATTGTTTCCCTGTGAAGATATCACCAAATGTCTATATTGAAATTAGATAGATGATTACTCTCATTTATGCCTTGGGGTACAGAGTCATACACTAAAATCTTAAACAGAAGATTCAATTAATCATCAACCTTCCCCATTTCTGGTGGATCCCAAGAATAAGAGCCCGGTGGCGATCTGGTATGCATGTGGGGAGAACAGGTTTGCTCCTCTGAGGAGGCCAAGACCCATTCTCTCCCCACACAGAAGTGCCCTGGGGAGTCACCCGCCGCAGAGGCCATGACAATGTCGAGTGCCAGGTGCACCTGTCGTGTGGGCAGATGGGGAGACCAGCGACGGCAGTCCCTGAGTAATGGTTAAGTTAATTAGCCTTTCCATGGCAGATCATTTAATTACTCATCCCCTCTGACAGGGTGAGAGGAGATTTTAGAAAACTTTTAGAGCCGCAACTCATATGAAAGAAATGTCTTTATATACTTTTTTCCAATACGTAACATCACTGTTGCCCCCAAAACTTTAAAACAGCAACAAAATCACTCTGATTATATGCTTTAGGAGACTCTATCAACATCCATAAAGCATAAAAGTCGGTAAGTTTAGAGCGTGTTCTAAGTTGTGGATCTTCACAGGATTTTGTGCAGTGAGGTCAGTCAGCAGGAAACTCAACAGGACTGGCATGTAAAACTCACCAACATTGGAAAAGCACAAGACTTTAATAAATTGCACTATGCCAATTAAGGAATGTACCCCAATCCTCCCAAAAATTAACACAGAGACTTTTTAAAGAATTCAGTGTGTTGGAATACAGAGATAGTTAGTAAACACAAACTAACAAAAATCCTAATTTTAGTGGCCTGACTTTCTGAAGGTGTGTTATCCACAGGCTTGTCCTTAACTAGCTTTCTGGAGCTCCTGGAAAATAAAACGTAGCCCTCTACATCCTTATCCTATATATGTATTCTCAAAATTGTTCTTCTGCTCTCAAGAACGGTGCCTCGAATGACACCCACATTTTCATTCATTCGTTCATTTATCCATCCATACAGTCACTCATGCAGTCCATGAAGTAACAAGTGCCTTCTTACCTATTTATCTCCTTAGTGGGAGGTAAGTCCCTAGAAGGCTGTGACTTTGTGGTCTTTCTGCATCCAGAGCACAAACATATCCTTAATAAATGAACGATCATGCTTCAGAACAAAGATGGTCTCACTGACTTGAGGCAAGATTACAAACGCCTTCGCTCATATTCAATATCAGAAACTAATCGCATGTTCCAGATCTTGACAAAATAAGCCAATAAAACCACACAAGCTACCTGTACTCCCTACTACAACAGTCATATGTGTAGCATTTTGTACATTTTAGATGCTCCATATAATATTGGTAGTAAATATCCAGTGAAGAAGTGCATTTGTCCTTCTGGGTTTTCTCCTTTTTATTTCTACTTGGAACTGTGAGCTTTCATTAGAATAATATATGCTTTCATCCTCAAATTTTTGATAAAGTTGGAAGAGCCTGAATTTAGCACAATACTGAATTAAAGTAACCCATTTTCTCCTCCTCCTCTCTGGTACAGAGTGAAATCCCAAAGCACTCCTACCTAAAATGTTTCTAAAATACATATTAGAGCAAAAATTCGCCTAATTTTAATACAGATATTTCTAATCTTAACTCTTGCAATTACTTCTTCCTCGAGTGTAAAGTCAAACACTTCAAAAAAAAGCTTTCCTTGAGATATATACTTCTTATAAATCATTGAAGAAACACTTAATTTCTTAATTATTGTGGAAAATCTAGGTTTCTGAATGGGTATTCCTTATGTTGCCACGCTCTCTAAGAAACTTGGAATTCCCTATGTTTCCAGGTATACCCCTGCCTCTGCAACCCCACTTTGCCACCCTGATATTTCTTCTTTAAATTTTAAAATTCCACTAAAATAAATCTAGGTTTGTGTTATGTCTGACAATTAAGACAAACTTTTAAAAACAACAGAACTTTATTAATAATGTTCAAGTTGTTCCATCAATTTTGGTAACATTCAAAACAGATGAACTATATGTAGCTTAATATGGAAAGGGAATTCTTGAGGGAAAAAAAACATGCTAATCAAGCATGCTAATCATCTCCTAAGGAGCATTACATACCTGTGGGGAAAGGGGGTGACGATAGCCCTTACATGACAACTAATTTAGTTTTCACGACTTTCAATTATCTATGCCTCTGAAATCTCATTCTGTCTCTGTTTTGACAACGGCCCCAACATAGTATCTGTGAGGAGGCTTGAGCCATTTATCTAGGCTCAGAAAAAGAAGGTTTGTGAGTTCCAAAGGGAAGAGTTGAAGGAGGTACTGATGGAATCCCTGATGGACTGTCACACAGGAAAGTTTATACACTAAAACATTCCTTCATTTGTGGAATGATTTACACACACGAGGGTGAGTTCAGCTCAACAAAATGGTGGTTTTATTATCATTATTTTTTTGAGATAGGGTCTCACTTTGTTGCCCAGGCTAGAGTGCAGTGGTGTGATCATGGCTCACTGCAGCCTCAATCTCCTGGGCTCAAGCAATCCTTTTATGTCAGCCTCCTGAGTAACTGGGATCACAGGTGTGGGTCATCATGCCCTGTTCTTTTTTTTTTTTTTTTTTTTTTTTTTCGGAGTCTCCCTCTGCCACCAGGCTGGAGTTCAGTGGCGCGATCTCGGCTCACTGCAACCTCTGACTCCCGGGTTCAAGAGATTCTCCTGCCTCAGCCTCCCGAGTAGCTGGGACTACAGGCACGTGCCACCACATCCAGCTATTTTTCTGTATTTTTAGTAGAGACAAGGTTTCACCATGTTGGCCAGGATGGTCTCAATCTCTTGACCTTGTGATCCACAAGCCTCCAAAAGTGCCCCAGCCTCCCAAAGTGTTGAGATTACAGCCGTGAGCCACGGTGCCTGGCTGCCACACTCAATTTTTAAAAAATGTTTCTTAGAGACACGGACTTGCTCTGTTGCCCAGGCTGATCTTGAATTCCTGGGCTCAAGTGATCCTCCCACTTCAGCCTCCCCAAGTGCTGGGTTTATAGGCATAAGCCGCCACACCGGGCCCAAAAAGGTGGTTTTTAGGCTAAATTGGAAATGCTATCAATCTATTCCACAAATATTATGTTGCTTACTAAGTTGGAGGGGCTTTGCTAGGCTCTATGGAAACTACAATGATGAGTGAGACTCAGTTCCTGCAGTTACAGAGCATTCAGTCTCAGAAAACAGATAACACACCTATGGTTCAGCATTATGAGTTGGAAAGTGTCCCCCAAAAATGCATATATTGAAGTCCTAACCCCCAGTACTACAGATGTGGCTTTAGAGATAGGGGCCTTTACAGAGTTAATCAATTTTAAATGAGGTCACTAGAATGGGTCCTAATCCGACAGGAGTGGAGTTCTTAAAAAAAGGGAAAATTTGAAGATAAACACACACACACACACACACACACACACACACACACAGGAAGAACACCATGTGAAGATGAAAGCATACATTGAGGTGACACTTCTACAAGCCAATGAACAAGAAAGATAGCCAGCAAACCACCAGAAGCCAGGAGAGAGGCATGGAGCAGACTCAGAGGCAACCAACCTTGTCAATGCATCTTGGACTTCAGCCTCCAGAACTTCAAGACGAACTTCTGTTGTGTAAGCCACCCCCATCTGCAGTACTTTGTTACAGCAGCTCTGACAAACTAATACATCCAGATATATTTTAATATAAAATCTATCAACTATGTATGTTTGTACATAATCCATCTCTATACAAATATACATATACACATAGCCTGGGAAGATATAATGGGTGCTCCAAGCAAAGTGTGATGTATTTTGGGCAGAAGGAGTATTTGATTCCGACCAGGAGAATCAAGGAAACCTTCATAGAGGAAATGGCAGTCACATTTTACAAAAGTTAAGAGCACAAAAGTCAGATGTCAAATATGAAAATTTATAACTCTAGAGTTATAAAATCTTTACTGCAAAGTGGGTTTTTTTCCAATCTAAGGAACTTCTTCAACATGCCATTTCTCAAGAGTTGAAGATGACTATATGAATGATTCAAATGGCACACTTCATAGCTAAACATCCACAGGCACACATAATCTCAGCCATAGACATTTTTGGTATGTCCATCTTCATATTCTTTTTACTAAGTCTACTGCTATGCCCAGTATAAGATGCTACCTCAGTGCTTTATTAGGGGAATATTGACTTAGTTCATATTCCAGAGTGGAGACGGTTTGCAAACACATGTATATACTCTCTGGCTGCCCCATTATTGGAGCATATGTTGGCCACTTGTGGGTGTAAGGAGTTAGGTGACCTGTGGTCTTGAAACTGGTCTGCCCATAACCAAGCCTTCACTAACTCAGGTCTCTACCCAACTGAGCCATTATTAAACCTCAGGAGCACTATAAATTTACTGACTTTTATAAACCATTCAACTAAATAGCCTTCTCTAAAGCATTTGGTAAGAGTAATTTGATGCTCTGATCATCTGCCAATTCATTTTATGAGTCCATAACCTAACAGAACCCATCTCACTTTCCTTTCAGAGTCATTTTCATCATTGAGCTTTGTATCCTGTTTAGATTCTTCTTTTCTAATCTTTTCAGGACTGTATGAGTTGGATTTCTCCTGGTTGCAAGTAACAGAAACAAACTTCAGGTACAATAAGAAAGGGGAGGTATTTATTGAATGCGGTATGGTATTTCAGGAGGAACTGAACCACCAAACTCTAGGAGAAGCAAGAGCTGGGTAAGCAGCAGGGGTCTCTGCAGCAAGAATTTATATACCACTTGGCATGACACTCCAACGATGCCCTAGTTGAGCTCTGGGGACTCTTGGTTTCTATTCCATCAGTTCCACGTTTTAATTCTCTGGAGTAAGATCCTGATTGGCATAGCATAGGTGAGGTACACACCCTGAAGTGACCAGCTTTGACCTGGGAGCAGGGTCATATAGCACAGTCTTAGATGTGGTCCTGTCCCTTATAGGTTGGGGGCAGTTCTAAGAGAAGGAAATAATTGTTAGAGTCTACCACATGGGTCGAAAATTTATACTTCTACTATACCATCCTTTCTTTGAAAAGCACTTTTTATATATTTCTTAATTAATCCTTACTTGGACCTGTAGCAAAAAAATAACCGGATCTCTTTTTGTTTTTGGAACTCAATAGTTTTTGCATCCATTTCAATTATATTAACTCCATTTGAGGTATGCCATTAAATACCTTACTAACATTGAGCCTACATCTTGTTTTCTTCATACTATCTTGACCCCTTCCTAGTTATTGTGACTTAACAATTTATATTAAGCACATTCTTCATTCTTCCCTCTACAACACTTAACCAGCTTAAGTCTATATATTTCTGTGTATTCCCACTGTCACCACCATCAGCACGTTTTATACTGTGCACATTCCTAGAAAAGTTAACTATGAAACACTGTGTACATGTTCACAAAATTGTATAATATTAGAGCCAGAGAGTACAGTCTTAGGAGGCACACAAACAAATCAGAAAGTATCTTTCTGTTCTATTCCTATCCTTCACACCATTACCAGGAAGACTGTTCAAAATAACAAGATTTCAAGACACAGACCCTTTTAAAAGAATGTCCATTGTAAAAATCCAGAGAATAAAAGAGAAAGCCAGACTTCCCTATATTCTTTGTAAAAAATCAAATCGTGACCAAATGTGGACAATATTCAATTAGTACCTGATTTGACAAGTAGCTGAAATCAACAATAAAGTCAACAATGAGAATCTTCAGAGGGAAAAATAAAAGAACCTAATAACAGACAGCCTAGAATCTTAAGAGAGGTGAAATGAATGGAACCAATCTGTAAAATAATATCTATTCCACTACGTAAAACTCTGAAAGGAAGAAAAAATTCTTAGATGTGTAACCACCTAGGACACTCTCAAGAGAGGTAAAAGTGTTTCAGAAAACAGGAAAGCAATTGGTGGGCAAACAACAGGAAATGTTTTTGTAGAAAAAAAATAGGATAACAACCAGGCAGGAAAATTCTGTCAAAACAGGCTACTGGAAACTTTCTGTTTATACATAAATAAATCTAAGTATTCATAATTATCATCTATTTCACTGACACAGTGAGAGAGAACAAAATAAGAAATGAGGGCATTTCTTGTATCTTAACACAAGAGAGGGGAAAAGCAAATAGTGAGTTCAGACACAGAGCCAACAAAAAGCCACTTCCTAAAGGATATGAGATACCCATCGTGCCCGAAGGCAGATGATAGCTCTGGTGCTGAGCACAGTCTTTGAACATATTTTGTTTACATTTAAGATAAAAGAGGATAATGATAATGATGAACACTTATAAAGTAATTACATTCCGAGTACTTTACGTTAGTTATTAACTTGTTTAATCCTTACCCCAACCATGACGTAGGTGCTATTATTTTCCCCATTTTACAGATGTTGAAAATAAAGTACAGAGAGATTAAGTATCTTCCACAAGGTCCCAGAGCTACACCTGGACACAGGCACTCTTGGCACCAAAGTCCTCATTCTTAACCTTAATGCTATGCTAGCAACATGATTCTAGCTGGAGTTATGATTTTTATATTACATATAATTGTTCAGTAATCCGGACACACACACACAAAACCTCCATGAATTTCATGGGAACCTCTCAAAATCCATTTTAATTCATCATGGGAGTCAGACACTGTTCTGCTTGAGTTCAGACTCCCAGCTCTTCCACGTACCAGCTCACTGGCTAGGGAAAGTTACTCACACTCTCTCTGTGGGAGTGTATCTTTATTTACAAACACACACTGCCCCTTTCTGTTGGGAAGATTTTACTTCCCCACCCCACTGATACTAGACTTGGCATCTCACTTGTTTTGAGCAATAAATCATGGATAAAAGAAGCACACATAACTTCTGTGCAGAAAACACTAAGAGCCAGACAAGATCTGCCATGTTCTCTCATTATGATCAGCAATGGTCAAGAAGGACACTGGCCTGGGTCCTGAAGTGCATATACCTTGGAGCAGAGCAGCTGACCCACCACAGGCATCTGGTGGGCAATAAGGATGCCACTGTAGTTATAACCCACTAGGATCTGGAGGCCATTTATTACCATAACATAACCTCCTCTCTCCACTCATATACTCTCTGTGCCTTAATGTCCTACCTCCTTCTAGCGTTGCTGTGGGCATTAAATGAGTTATTTTTATAAAGCATGTAGATAAGAAACAAAGTATGAGTGAGCCAGATACTAACCTGAAGAGTGCAATTAGAGAAAAGAACACTAGAGGAAACATTACCAATACTAATCAAATCAAATGCTTTTCTGGTTCTCAAATCCTTTTGACTGAGTTCTAATGTTACACTGGTCACCCTGAGAGCTTTTTGCAAACTTCTTCTCTTCAATGCTCCCTTCTTGATCCAGTAATAACACATTTATTTACATATAATTCAGGGCTTTACTCTTGCTGACCCAAAGGCTCCAGACAGCTTTCCTTCTGCAAAGTTTGGTTGTTTACTTAGACCATGAAGATATTCCTCCTTTTCCCATTTTCCTCTTTTCCCTCAGCTATCTTTTTCTGAAACCGACTTCAACACTAGTTTCCCATATGTAGGAGGCAATTTTAGTGAGATATTAATAACTGGTATCTCTTTGTTTTTACAGGTAAAGGATTAGAAATCACTGTGACAAGTTTGTTTCTTGAGTTTTTACAGGCTTCAATTTGCTAATGTACAAAATTTTATAATAAAGCATCTTACCAATTAATGTTCCACACAAATGGTTTTTAGGGGATGCTGCTGCCAACCATTCCAAATATGTTGTAATGAGCAGATAGCAAGACATCTCATGCCCAAGGGAAAGATATTGTGAGGCTCCCTCCAAACCATCTTATAAATCATAGACTACTACACGAAGGTCTTCGAGAACAATACCCTCATTTTAGTGACAAGAAATGGAGGCTCAAAGAATAAAGAATGGAGAAAATGGAGGCTCAAAGAGGTTGAGTATTTTATTGAGAAAAATCAAAGTGAGTTAAAGAGTAAAACTGATTACAACAGAGTCATCCATGGATTCAAACTAGTCCTCTTTCCAGGGATGACTGTGTTTAAAAGGAAAACACATGGAAATATGAGTACCTCTGTCTAGACTAAAAGACATGTTTAAAACCAATCAACATATTCACCCTTTGTTACCTAACATCTTACTGGGTTTTAATCTGGCCCATTCACAAAAGTCAAAGGGGTTACTAGGGAAGGTGACAATTAACAGAGCCCAGTTTAACTACGCTCATGTGTGAAGCAGGTTGGAAGGGATGAATCAGGATCTAGGCTTATCTAAACTAAGATATAACACAGACAGCAAGTTACTCCTGCTATCAAAAGGCTTTATTTGGTACTTACTTGCTGTATAAATAACTCACTAGCTATTTGCTCTGAAACAACAATGATTAGAATGGCTCTCATATCCAACAAAACACTGAAACAGGCAACAGACAGGGTCCATCAAAAAAAAAATACTAACGGTACCTATGACTGCTTTTCACTGTTAACAGTGGCAAATAAAACCAAAAGTTATTCTGCACACTTACCACTCTCATGATCTCTAAATTTGCTTGTCTGAAAGAAATGTACCAAAGATTAATAAATCTTACAAGAAAACAAATGGAACATGTAAATTGCTGAGGAGTTTGTTCCCTTTAATTTTATGCTAGTCATTTTCCGAAATCCAGAAGAAAGACATTTGCTAAAGCTTTGTGTGTCTTCTAGCAAAAATCACTTCGCATGTAACTAAATAGGTACAGAAAGGACACACTTTTTAAGTGTATAATGATAAAACTCAGATATGTAGTGTATGTCATTCTCGATCACAAAAGCTGTGTGGGTTTTCTCTGTTTCTTAGCTAAGTTCTCCTGTCTAAAAGACAAAAGAGAAAACAAAACCAAAGAGAAAAGGATTCTGCAGGCATCTATACACAAGAAAGGCATAATATTCAAAAGTCACAGAGCCAAGCATGGCAGTGAGTCTGTAGTTTCAGCTACTCAGAAGGATTGCTTGAGCCCAGGAGTTCAAGGCCAGCCTGAACAACATGGCAACACTCTATCTCTAAAAATATATATAAATTAAATAAATGTTTAAAAATGTTTTAAGTCACAACAAAGAATGGATATTGTCAGAGATCGGAATTCCATTTAAAAAATATATTTCTGCTTTGGAGAAGGGCTCAAGCCATTGAAAAGAAAAAGAAAAGCACTAACAGACAAAGTTAGGAACTGAAATACATTTAAAAGGTCAAAGGGAAAACAACTAGAAATGTCCTACTTAGTCCAAAAGGAAAGAAAACCCAGCAACAAACAGGGACTCTCACAAATGGAGAATGTCTTTAGCACAATACAATAAGACCGTTGTGTGTGACACCTTGATAAATTAAAGAAACAGAAACACTGTCACCAAAAGAAAAGGAAGAAAGGAAGGAAATTCACAAATAGTGCCCACAAAAGATGGATAAGAAAGTTTTAAGAGAATATGAGCACTGATTAAAGGCAAGCAAGAAAAACAAGATAGGCTCTATCTAGCTAAGCCCCTACTGCACAAGCCTATTGTCTTATTTCCTTTGGCACTGACTACAAGAGAATTTCATCATATGTCTAATAATAGTATTATTTATAAAATAGAAGAATAACATCTTGATAAGAATATACCTCAATGGCAAAATGTCTCCTTCTATATAATCTGAGTGTATAGATGAAAAAGAAATGTTTTCAAAGTAATAACAATTACAAGGCAATCAGTGAACGAGATAAGCACTTGCAGAAGGAGCCACATTAAATCTATTCAACTGACTGGCTTCTGTGTTATGTGAGTCCAAGAATGGATAACTGCTGCTCCCTGGAAAAACCTGCAGTGCTGTAAAAACCAGCCCATGCCACTGTGTCTGTGGGACGAGGAAAATGTTAAAGAAGCAATAGAGACAAATGGGAAAGGCTGACAACACAACTCCTTATACTTCTTAATTCAGCATTATATTCATTGACCTATTACGTATAGGTCAATATGAAGAAAAAGGATTTTAGAAATCACACACTCACAGATATGGTCCCTGCCCTCCGAAAGCTAGAAGTTGTTAAACACTACTTTGGTCATTGACCTTACCAATACCCATTTTATGCAAGCATAAATAGTGTCTAACTCTATAAAGTTATGTTCAACACTGGCCAGTATCCCTATATTATTTTGCTGACATACATACATATTGCATTGAAATAAAAAAATCAAAAGAGTATTTTCACAAGTCCGAGTTTATAAACAATTGAATATATTCATCCATATATAAACATCTATATTCTGCTGAATATAGATGCTTCCTATTTCCTAGTTTCATATACATTATATGTATAACTTAACTACATTTAAATACCAATTTTATATACCAAGTGCAGCCTGATGAGCTATTTCAAAGCCTATGTTGACAATTTGCTAGAGTTGGGAAAAAATAAAATACCTTCAACATAATTAGCTGGTAAGTACCACATTAAGCCATCACTGTGTAGCTGCTACTATTCTACATGCTTTTACATGCATCGTCTTATTGAATCCATACAAATCTCTTCTTTTTATAGATGAGGAATCAGAACTTCCAACTGAGCAGCCCACACTCTAAACCACTGTACTATATACCCCTTCTCCCCACATACCTACAGAGGCGATTTCTTTGGAGCCTAATATTTGTTGGCTATTAATGGAAATTTTACTTTGCTGTGGAAACACGATCAAACCAACAATGACTCAAATCATTGAAGAACCCATCAGGACTATCGAAAGAAGGGCCAGACAACCAGACTAAAACCTGGGAGCAAACACAGGCTCCAAACTGCAGCAGATAGGAGCACTCCTCATGAGAGCTTAAGGGAGGATCGCATGAGAGCTTAAGGAGTTCATTTTGTGACAGGGTTTGGCCAGAAGTGCCAGAATGTCAGGAAGGGAGACTCTTATGAAGGGGATTTCAAGGCTGGTCATCAGTGGAGAGAACTGGATAGAACTCCAATTTCTGAAAGGTCTGATGGCCATAACATAAGTCCTTTAGATAAACAAAAGTACACTGCAGAATTTCAAGACATTCACACAGCATGGAGCAAATCAGCAACAAAGATGATCTGAACACATTGCGGGGCTCTTACATTTCTTTCCCAATAAAACTCATAACCATTAAACAAAATGTACTAGTGTGCTATTCTGCCAAACTATGAGACCATTAGTTCTCTGGACCCTGACAAGTCTGCCTTGAAATACGGCAGATCTAGGTCTCCACAACACTGATTCTCCATGAGGAATAAGCTAGCTCT
This sequence comes from Homo sapiens, assembly GCF_000001405.40. Lineage (NCBI taxonomy): Eukaryota > Metazoa > Chordata > Mammalia > Primates > Hominidae > Homo > Homo sapiens. Next base: position 133,234,522 of record NC_000002.12, read on the forward strand.
TGGAACACTAATTCCAGTACTGACCACTGTATGTTCTTTAACATGTCGCTCATATCTGGAGAAGTGTGTCAGGAACAAAATATAAAACTGTTCGCAGATTTTCTGACTTTGACCTCCATCTCTCAGTTCTCGGCTATGGGCTAAACTGTATGCATTCTTTATAATTTTCCAGGTGCTTTTGAAAGAAATGTAGTTCATCCTAGAGGGTGACAAGAGAAGGCTTTATGTCAAATTTTACTTTTAAAATAGTTACCTAAAGTTTTAAAGACTGACTTTACTTTTCAGAAAGATGAAAAATGTTAAGGAAAGAACAAAGAAAAAATACATTTAGACACAGTAAGCAATTCATTCTTAAGTAAATATTTATATAAATAAGTGTCCCTCAGTCGAGACTTATGACCCTGGTTGTTAATTGGCCTTAAGACAGAAATTCTTAAGGCCAGTTAACAACCAGGGTCATAAGTCTCGACTGAGGGACCCCATCCAACTCAGTACATCCTCAATGCACGTTAGGTCCTTGGTAGAGTCTCATGGAACTGAAGCTACTTAACATCTGAGTCTTGGATTCCTTATCTTCAAACTCTGGTGATAATACAGTCAGTCTTCATTACTCACACAATTATAAATTGGTAATTCCACAATTAGAAATTGGTCTGCTCACTCAAATGTATTTGCAACCCCAAGATCAATACTCATGATGCCTTCACTGTCCCTTGCAGACTTGCACAGAGCAGTGAAAGTGTGAGTGACCAATGTGCACATTCCAAACTGAGGTCACGCAAGGGGTGACGCTCCACAGCTCTTGGTGTCCTTTTCGTGATCTATTTAGTGCCACTTTTTGCATGTTTGTGCTTTCTGTTGGTGACTGTATTGATTAAAATGGCCCCCAATTACAGTACTGAAGTACTAAGTCCTCCTGAGTACAAAAAGGCAGGCTGGGCATGGTGGCTCACACCTGTAATCCTAGCATTTTGGGAGGCAGAGGCGGTGGATCGCTTTGAGCTTAGGAGTTCAAGACCCAGACTGGGCAACAAGGCAAAACCCCATCTCTACAAGAAAATAATAATGCCAGAAAGTGGTGGCTCAAAATACAAAATACAGGCTGGGCACAGTGGCTCATGCCTGCAATCCCAGCATGTTGGGAGGCCGAGGTGGCATGGATCACCTGAGGTTAGGAGTTCGAGACCAGCCTGACCAACATGGAGGAACCCCATCAGTACTAAAAATACAAAATTAGCCAGGCATGGTGGCATGCACCTGTAATCCCAGCTACTCGGGAGGCTGAGGCAGGAGAATCACTTGGACCCGGGAGGCAGATGTTGCAGTGAGCCGAGATTGTGCCATCGCACTCCAGCCTGGGCAACAAAAGTGAAACTCTATCTCAAAAAAAAAAAAAAATGCAAAAAAATGGTGGCTTGTGCCTTGGTCCCAGTTACTCTATAGGCTGAGGCTGGAAGATTGCTTGAGCTGGGAAGTGGAGGCTGCAGTGAGCCAAGATCACATCACTGCCCTGCAACTTGGGTGACAAATCAAGACCCTGTCTCAGACCAAAAAAAAAAAAAAAAAAAAAAAAAAAAAGCTGTGATATGTCTTATGGATAAAATGTATGTGTTAGACAAGCTTCAGGTATGAGTCATAGTGCTGTTGGCTATGAGTTCGATGCTGATGAATCAACAATACATATTAAAAAGGAGTCTTTAAGCAGAAACATACATAAAACACCATAAGGTTATGCACTGATCAGCTAAAAAACCAGAGCCAGAGGCTCACAGGAATCTAACCCTGTATTTTCCTTAGGAGCAATGGTTCAGTGTTTAAGGTGACTTCATAGAACATAACTACTATGAATAAGGAGAACTCAGCATATATACCCTACCAGTTGTTTTTAGGTTCTGAAAAAATATACAGGTTAATGACCTGTGAAGTGACCAGCATAATTAGGAACGCAAGGGATTTTACCTACCTATAAGTAAAAGGACTGTTCTCTTAGGTGTCTGACAAACACCACAACTAAAAATATCAAACTGAGATACAGCATATTTCATAGATGATGATAGGAAAAATGAAATTTCATTTGAATGTATCACTTAAGTCAATACATTAGAAGTGGGAAATATTAAGATATAATTTAAAATCCATCAAAAGGCATTTGGATTCTAAATCAGGTTAACATTGTTAGACAATATGCTATCAACTCTGCTAATTAGAAAGTCACAGCCTTTTATTCATAAGCCTTCAAGTAAATCCAATTAAAATGGAAGTTCAAGCTTGGGAATCTCAGTCACAGGTCTATTACCTCTATAGGCTTCAATTATGAAGCTGTCCCGAAAGTAGGAAACACAGGGTTTCAACTCAAAGTCCACATAAGAGTAGAAATTCACCATTTACATTAGGTATATCCCCTAATGCTATCCCTCTCTCCTCTCCATGTCAAGTTAACGGGTGCAGCACACCAACATGGCACACGTATACATATGTAACAAACCTGTACCTTGGGCACATGTACCCTAGAACTTAAAGTATAATAAAAAAAAAAGAGCGAAATCTCTGTATCAAATTTAAAAAAAAGAGTAGAAACTCACCAAGAAATGCTCCTATTGGCTGAATCTAGAAAATTTACTTTATGAAACATCAGTGCATTGCTTATTTTAAAAAAAAGCTGTACTTTGATACCTTGATTAATTATGACAAATTATTATATTCCTAAGCAGAGATAGATTTTTTAATTTTGTGTACAAGTATAACAAAGTAAACCCTTGCTTGATGGAGTTAAGACCACTTTAATCCAGATCTCCTTAATTCAGAACCAAGAACCTAGACAAGTATTTCTTTGTTCTATGAAAATATAAGAATAAAAGGATAGCAAAAGAATAAGTGACATTAAAAAAGGCTAAAGTTTTAGAACATTGCATTAAAAACTGAAGAAAAAACTTCAAGACTTTGAAAGCACCCATTTACATATGACTTTATTTATTCATTCAATATTCATTAATTCCACACACACTTATTGAGTTCTGCTCTGGGCCAGCCATCAGAAATCCCCAGGAGAAGCAGATACTGAACAGCCTTTCTGAAGCTCACAGTCTAGTAGGTGAGACACACGTGTAAACAAATGCACTGCACCGTGATAAAGACAATTGAAGATGTAACTGCAAAGAAAAATGTTACTCAGCAGAGGCTGCTGCTTTGAAAATAACCCTTTAAAAGATGTCTCACCTCAGCATTGAAGGCTCCTCCTGGGGACACACTTTACTAACTCAGCTCTAGTTAATAGGAAAACTGCAAAAATGATGCAGCTACAATTCTCTGGAGGTAGGAGGGAAACCTCATGCACTCAGACTGGATTGTACCAGCACCTCTCCCCTTCATTCTCAAGTCACTTTTGCCACCCAAACCTCAACTAATGGAAAGTAACCAAGTTAACCAGAAGGTGAAGGCACGGGTCCTGCAGGAGGTGTTTCTGGCTGTTACAAGCACGGGAAGGAAAGCTCCACCACTGTGGCCAATGAAAACTTGTCATTCGCTCTCATGCAAAAGAGAACACAACTTCCATCACTTGACTAAGCCAGAGGTTAACTCACTTAGTCAAGTGATGGAAAGTTTCCTCACTTTAGTTTTTCTCAAAAAAGTGACACTTTAATTATATGAGCACACCTATTTTATCCTTTCTTACCTCCCCCTCTACTTATAAAACAATATATCTGTGATTCTATGTCTTTTCCCAGGTTTAGAATCTGAGTGGCTCATGTGCTTGAGGCTCCTGGAGAGAAATAGAATCAGTGGATAGAACTCAATCTCCCACATGGGTCATGGCGAAGGCAGTGGCTTCAAGCCCAGCCTTTGGTAAAGTCTCTGGTAGTATCACTGCCAGGGCCACAGGACCGCAGAGCCTATAGCATTCTCTCTATGACTAACTATAGAAGGCTCTCAGTCTTGTGGATGAGAAAGAAGCTCCTTCATGAAATGGCTTGTCTCCCTGTTAAAAAGAAGACACAGGCACCGTTGTTTTTGCTTATTTTTTCTCACTCAGTCAGTACCATCCAGTACTTACTTACATTTGTCTAGTCTCTCCTAAACGACTTCTGGAAAAGACTCCAAAATCTTTTTAAGCAGCCCCAACTAGCTACATTCCAGAGCAAAGCATTCTTTATTTATAAATGAAAGGGCTCAGCAGTAGCTTCTAGCCTTATCTCACTCTTCTCTAGACAAGGGGGTTCCATGAAGACATGTTCCACAGGTAGGTTTGAAAAAACATTTCAAGTATCAGGGGCCAAGGTCCTGCTTCCAGTTCCTCTACCACATAAATGTTTAGTCCTACAACCTGTCTGGTCCTGGTTTTCTCATTACAAAGCAAGAGGAATGAATGAAAGAGGGTCTGTAAAATCCCCTTCCCATTCTCTCAGTCTGTATGTAACCTGGTAATATATCTTCTATTCCAGGTTAATAGTGAACCCCAATTCCTTTATGAGGTCCTTATGTTATACATACAATCCCTAATGTTAAAACAGGATTTAAAATACTATTATACAGTCCATCATGTTGGATTCCTATAAATATGGGTTTTTCATACTTGCCAATCAAATTAATTAGCCAAATTCACTTATCAAAGTCCATTTAATACATTATGTGCTGGCATCTTCTAAAATATGTTCACTTATTATGTTTACTAGAAAGAATTTTTAATGAGCAGCTGCCTCAAAATTAATTAATGTATATAGCTTCCACTATAAAGTTACAAGCCAAATCCCACTAATACAATTTCAGTGAATAGCTCAGACTGCAAAATACAGCAAAACTCCAACTGCTAGCCCATTTATTTAGAGAAGCATGTGAATCAACAAATTTACAAGAGCATGAAACAAGCAGTTATGATATTCATGTAGATTTTGAGTACTATATTCCGTGAAATACCACAACATGGAATTCTAGCAAATCAAGGAAACTCTATTGGTACCTCATATCTTCCTGTATACTCTATACAGGAAGTAGAAATACTTTTCTGTTATAGAACTAGACTATAGGAAAATCAAGGTATTTGACTGTACCAGCTAGATTCTGATTTTTTCTATTCTCTAAAAATCTCACACCAAAGAATTATTTTACAGCCCATTAACTGATTTCCTTCAAATCCTGCTACCTTTTATTTATACTCTGTTTATGTGCTAAATTCTAAAGAGTTTCTGAAGGAAACTAAAGTAGGTTAAATAAAACTGAAACACTGCTTTGCCAACATTTTTTAAAAATCAAAGTCAGGTGTAATTAAAAGAAAATGATTATACAGCTTGCTAGCACTTGTTCCATTTTTAAGAACAAATGTTCAGACTTACCTAGGGGATGTTTCCATCTGCTTCTCTCAGTTTGGTTTCCATGCTTTAGCTTTAACTATTATATGTAGGCAAATTACCAATGTCTGACTATCTAACAATAAATAACCCTGGCCTTATTTTTTTTTCAAATAACCCTTACCAAAACTGAAATCATATTTTCTCAAATCATATTTTAACAGCTAGTCTTACATTAGCCAGAAAGGAGACCTCACCATCACAATTTGGAGAAAATAAACACCTCATTATTGATAACACTGTCTAGAGTTGCGCATTCCGGAGTTACGAACTTAGCCACCATGCAGATAGAATACCTACTCTCCTAAAGGCTAAAATCCAAAATTAATGTGAAGGTGTATTTTAAGAAATGGTAAACAATAAAGATAATAAAATAGTAAGATAAAACCATTAAACAGACACCCAGTGGCCAATATATTACAATTGGAGATAAAAATATATGCATTTCTGGCTTAATAAGTTAGTGACTTAGAACAGTACAAGAGTGACATGGAATCACAGAAGTGACAAAACTTGGCCACAACAAAGCCCTGATGAAAAGCAAATTGCTCCAATACAGTGTCCGTACACTTCACCCTTGCATGCCCATCTCTGATGCCCCCCAAAGTAGCTGCATAACTGATTTATTTTTCATCCAGATGGCTGGCGTCCTGTACAGACTTACAATGCTGACTGTCTTGGGGATGCTTATTCAGTGAGTCTTGAAAGCCATTATTCACTAATTTCATGTGGAAATGAAATTTCAGCCTCCCATTGTGTACGTATAACTTGGGTACTTCCACCACATACAAAAAGTGCTTTTTGCCAGGCGGGAGAGGATGACTGGAATGCAAAACCCTTCCTGCATGCCTCCCTGGCCCAGACCCAAGCTGGCATATGGCAGTTCCACCAACCACCTCCATATAGAACACTAGGTGAATGCTTTAAGCAAGTCCTAATAATGTGATTTACAAAGCACTCACTGGATGGCTGTCTTCTGCCTCTATTTTCATTCAGGATAGGAGATTAATCTTATTTCATGAAAAGCATTTTACTACATTCTGTTTCTTGCATTCACCCTCCTCCCTACATCTTTTTTAAAAGAAAAAACAATTTTGCTAAAATTCTGTATATCTAAAAAGAATCATGAGTTTCCAAGTTTTCTTACCTTACTATTTTCTTATTCTAGAACTTAATCCTCAACACAGGATTTACTTTCTGTTTCAAGCCTGTGACTAGCAGGCAAAGAAAACTGGTCTTTAGAGAGCAAGTTAAACGTTTTAGCTAAATTCATGTGCTTTGAATGAAACATTCCCACGCTGTGCTTATAAACAACTATTGATATTTTCTGTAACTTCATTCCAGAAATTGTTTGCTTTTAAATGTCAGAGAGCTCTCTTCCTCGCCCTATTTTGGGTTTTATTTCAGTCGGCAGTGTTGCTCATCAGTAATAAATACAAATTCTTATGTAGAGACACACTCACATCACATGCTGGAGCTGAGGAGCTCAAAGTATTTTACAAACATGATCAAAATCACTAATGACTTCCAGCTCTGGAATCTGACTTCTGGATCTGTCTCAGAAGACTTATTTACATCATCTTTGCAAAATATAATTTGTATTTATAAACACAGGCATTTATCTAGTACTTAGCAATGAATGCAAGTCATAGCCCTGGCACTGACATTCATTTCCAACTGTGGTTCCAACTGAACTTCCCAGAGATGTAAGATATGACTGTCTATGGTAACCTTCCTCCTTTGATTCTGAGGAGTAAACGGCATTTCCTCTCCTCTTCTATTTTCATCTACTCTGCCACATAACTCTTCCTCACCAGTGGCATCTGCAGGGGGACAAGCCCTCCTTCTTTCACATATCCCAGGAACGTGGTTTGTCCACTAGGCCTTCTCCAGGCTTGTCTCTCAGATATATGAATTTCAGAATGAGATGGGTGATATGCATGTAGGGATATTTTGCATATTAAAAGTAAAAATAGCCGGGCACGGTGGCTCACACCTGTAATCCCAGCACTTTGAGAGGCCGAGGTGGTTGGACCTTGAGGTAAGGAGTTCGAGACCAGCCTGGCCAACATGGTAAAACTCCATCTCTACTAAAAATACAAAAATTAGCTGGGCATGGTGGCGGGTGCCTGTAATCCCAGCTACTCAGAAGGCTGAGGCAGGAGAATCATTTGAAACCGGGAGGCAGAGGTTTGCGTTGAGCCGAGATCACACTGTTGCACTCCAGCCTGGGCAACAAGAGCGAAACTCTGTCTCAAAAAAAAAAAAAAAAAAAAAAGCAAAAATGACCAAGGCAAAATAGCTCCATTCTGAATTACACATCCACCTTCTGAAGGTAACCAATGCTGTCAGAATCCAGCTTGGTAAATACTCTGTTTTTCTTTTCTTTTCTTTTCTTTTTTTTTTAACTGAGAGAACATATACAAAATCAACTTTATCTTATCCTGGAATCACATTCTACTATAATGAAAGACAGATAGCCTTGTCTCAAGAAAAGTAAAAGCAAGAAAGTAGCTCTAGCATGGAGGTGATACCCAAATATAAACAGGGCTGGTTTCAGAATTTCTAAGCAGGCTTCCAAGAAACAATCTGATTGGAAGCAGAAGGCAACCTATTGGTCTTGAAGCTACATTTGCAGAACCAGATCACCCTTCTTACTTGGATTGTGGGTTTACTAAGAGTGTTGGAGTGGGTAGCTAACGGAGATTCTACCTTTAACTATATTAATGCAAACTGTGGTATAGCCCTGGAAATAATACTGCTACTGCATGCAATATCATCAGCCAGATCTTTCTTAGAAGACAGCTCCAATCTATCGACTTTAAAAGAAATACAAATGAATGAGAAAATGCTTTTGAAAAACAGCGAAGACACTCAAGGATGCATAAATGTAAACTGACAAACATGTAAACAATAAAGCAAAAGTGAATGTCTATTTCTCCTCCTCTCATATCTTGCAGGGCACTACCGGGAAAGTTTTTTTATAGTAGGCCTACATGATAGAGTACTTTGTACAAAAGATCAGAGCATGATTAGCTCAAGCGTTAGATGACCATAAAACTGGAGTTACACAATATACCCCAATGTACAGTTTATGTCACAAAATAAAAAGAAAGACTTCCTCATAATCATGTTTCTTTCACATTTTAAGTGTTTGGTGTTTTTGACTAACCATATTATGCTATAAAATCAAAAGTAATCACTTTTAGGGTCCTTTGAGAAATCCTTCTTCATACTTATATATATTTTTTAAAAAGGCTAGGAGCAACAAATCCTGGATTCTTCCATAATTTAAGTGCAACCCCCATTTTTTAAATCATGAAATAGAGTTTAAATTGGCAGGAGGGGGAGCTGCCCAACAAAGTTGTACCTAGAGAGAACCTTTCCTGTAAGTCCCTTTTGAACAAATAAGTGGTTCTAATCAAATTGTGGATGTATGATGAGATTCTCAAAACAAAGGAAGTCTACTCCTCTAGGAGACACTAGATTGAATGAAGCATTTCATAGCATTTCATCTATGGAAGAACTAGGCCCTCTCCTGAAAAATACTTGCTTTGGTCCCTACCATAAAGCAGCAAGGTAGTAAAGGAGAAAATGCTGTGACAGTGTTTTCTTTTGATTCAGTCCAGTAGCTATGGAAACTATCTTTTAAATGCCAATTGGTCCTCTTCCCTGCAACTACATAAAATAAAACCATTTCTTACCCTCACGGATGCCATGGCTGGAAGCTCCATTTTTCAACACGTTCAACTAATCTAAGCCCTCTCCCACTTTTGCTCAGTATTTGCAAGCTGAAGCTATCATATTTGATTGATACTATGGATTTAAATTAGAATACACATGAATGTACTTCTAACTAAGGCTGCGAGGAGTAATAATGCCCAAACCACAAGTAAACATTTGTTAAACCTGCTTGATGTGCTCCAAGAAAAACAACGTTTGCTTCTTTCTCTTTCCCTATATCTCTTCTTCTGAGGTAAAAATGCATGTAATTCCCATCACTTGTAACGTGTTTTTCTTTTCAGTGCCTGTGCATATACCATAGGCCACAAGCTGCAATTCAGGGTCAAGAGTTTCCTTCTATTTACAAATATAAAAAATTAAGATTTTTCTTTTGTGGCTCCCTCAATAGGAAAATGGTAGACAAGCTAAAATATAAACTGATACTAGGGTCTGACTGTTTTTCTGCATGGATTTCAATCCTATCCCATTCAAAACAGAATCATCTCCAGAGATCTATTTCTAGATTTATTCATTGTTTAATTTTTTGAGATTTGTCATTTTTATTTCCTTCACTATATTTAAACTTTTCTTTCAGTAAACAAGTTTGATAAAGATGGATATTCTTTGTGTACAGCTTCCTACTTCAATATCACCTTAGTTCATCATCTTTATTGTCAAATTCCCTTGTAATCTATCTCTTTGTAAGATCCTCCCTAAAATTTTGAGATTTGCAAATGCAAAATACAACAAACTGTTATGTTCCAACATGCATTAACTTTTCTCACTGATTTTTTTCAGTGTGACTTTTCTCTTTAACCTCCAATCTGTCTCATACAATTTATTGGTAGTATAGTATTTATATAACCCTATTTTATGCACAGTTAGCATGAATCTTAAAAAATTAAGGGCTACAATACCCAAGACAATTCTAAAGGACAACAGAATTAAAGGACTTAACCACACCTTAAGAAATGCCATAAAGATATAGAATTAAGACAGTGTGTTTGAAGCAAAACATATAAATATATATTTAAAAAAACAGGCCCATGGGAGAAAAGGAGGAGCTAGAAAGAGACTCACAGTTAAGACTGTCACTTGATATACAACAAGAGTGACAAGGAAAGTATGGGAAAAGTCTTCTCACTATATGATTATGGGTCAGTTGGACACCCATATGAAGGAAAGTAACTCTTAATCTTTAATTCATACCACAAACAAAACTCAATTCCTGAGGGACTGCAAATATAAGAGAGAAAATAACAAAGCTTCTGTAAAAAATAAAACAAGAACATAAGAACATATCTTGATGACTTTGGAAGAGGCAAAGGTTTCTTAACACATAGCAAGTACTAAGCATAAAGGACTTTATTAATTTTAATAAATCTATAAAGGGAAAATGTATTTGCAATATCTACACCCAGTTAAAGACTTGAAAATACCAAGTGTCTGTAGGCAAATATGTGGAGAAGACAGAGGTCTCTGCCACTGCTGGTGGGAGTGTAAACTGGTACAAACACTTTGGGGAACTGATAGAACACGTGTATACCCAAGAGCCAACAAAATACTCACCAAAAATATGTACAAACCTGTTCATAGCAGCACATTACACAGAAGACCCAGACCAGGACATACCCAATTGTCCATCAACGATCAACTACATCAATAAATCATGCTATATTCATTTAATGAAATGCTGCCCCGTAACTAGAATGAAGTGTTTACGACTACTTGCAATGATATAGGTAAGTATCACGAATACAATATTGAATGAAAAAACAGCGAGAAAAAAACAAACCATAAGTATTGAATTATTCTATTTGTATTGAATTATTCTATTCATACAGAGGTCTAATATGGGGAAAAACCAATTTATGGTAACAGAAATCAGGATAGTATTTGTGCATGACAAACAAGGCATGGAGTGAATTCTTGGATTCTTTTTCTTGACCTGGGTGCTAATTACATAGGTGTTTTCACTTTGTGAAAAACCAGTATACTAACACTTGATTTGTGTGCTCTTCCGTATGTATGTTACACCTCAATAAATTTTTTTTTAATTAAAGGCGCAATCCCTATTTTCAATGAACATACAATTAAATTTTGAAACCAGAAAACATAGAGGAAAAACAGGAGAATGTTAACAGGAAACAGGCCACAAGTAGTTTCAATCAGCACATATTCAGCAAATTCCTATGCTTGTGGCCAATATTTTAGGAGTGATTGAAACATTTATAAGTATTGAAAAAATTCCCCCTGCTCTCCAGGAGTTTATAACTCAGAGCAAAAAAGGATTTTTTTGATTTGATCAGGAAAAAAAAAAAAAAAAAAATGGAGGTGGGGAGAGTCATAGCAGACACTAAACAATTATAATGCTAGGGCAGTCAACTAGCATATGTTGCAACAGCTGTGCTGTGGGGATTGAGAAAGAATCATGGTTGGGGTCTGAAATTATCAAGAAAGGCCTCATGGAAGAGACGAATGTGACCGTGGAGTGGAAACATGCATAGCATCTGAATTCACAGTGTGAGGACCCAGCAATAGGAATGATTCCAGGGAGGGAGGCTGTAGGGGCAAAATGAATGGTAACTGAGTAGACGGAGCTTTCCTGGTGAGGTAGGTAAAGGGGAGTCACTGAGGAAGAAAACACTGAAAACCAAACTGTATTCTAATGGAAAAAAAAAAAATCACTGTCTATCCTCAAATGGAGCAATGACATGAAAAAAAGCTTGTTAAAAATATGTATCCCTTTAACAATACTGCTTGTCTCTGGAAACTTTTTCAAACTGTAGGTCACAGCAAATTAGCAAGGAGTAAAATCGCTATAATGTATGGTAACCCATTTTCCCTAAAAGTGAAATAGAAAAAAAGCAGAAAACACCACAGTGCCCTACACAGATCCTTAGCAAGAATGTACGTATTCCAGCTGATGCTGCCGCCAATTGCTGGAATCAGTGGGTAAGACATGGTGTGGGCAACGTAAGGAATACATACAATGGCTGCCTCATCCAGCTTCATTTTGTGAAATAGCATTGTTTCTTGAAATTTTTGTTTTTGTGATTTACATGTGTGTGTGTATATATTTGCATTTATATGCATACCGCGTTGAAAATAAAATGTGTTTCTCACTGCGGCTTCCAATCAAGAAAGTCTGAACAATATTCTTCCAGAAGTGGAGTTCTGCAGAATTCATTTGAACAAGGAGTCTATGCCCAAATAACATTAAATGAGGAGATGCAGAATAAATGAATGAGCAAACAGGTAGTGTTAAAAGTCTACATTAAGACATGTAGACCCTCCCCAGGTTGTGCTTCAGCCTTAGGATTATTTACTCCTCCTTGGATTCCCTGTATCCCAGAAGTTACTCAATCCAGCATCCTTTTCAATAACATGAAATGAGGCTGGAATTTAACCATTTCCTAAATCCAATTCTTCCTGCCTGCCTGATCTATCTAGCACGTTGTGAGGCCTTGCAAATAGAATCATTTATATCACATGCACTATTTAAAGTAATGTTAGTTTGTATTTTTAAACACTGTTCCATTTATAAACACCTAATACACACAGCCCTGCTTAAAAAGAATCAAATAACTGGCAATTTGGGGCAGAACTGTGAGATGTCTTCACTTTAAATTATCTTGATATTTGTCATGTTTCTTCCTGATTTTCAACACACAAATCTAGCTTCAGGGTGGCTAATGGCTGTTTTATGATAGTCTCATTAATGACGTTGTTATAAAAACTGTGAGAAGCATTAAAAATAAATTTTTACATAAAGTGATTTTATTCTATGTTAATTTCCTACCCCTTTAAAATTTTGCAGCATTCAATTAAAATCACATAAGAATTTCCAAACCCCTTCAAATTTTACAGCATTAAATTAAAATCCCATAAGTAGCCTCCATCCATGTTTCCACCCCCACCACTTTAAATTAAAAGGGAAACTCACTAGAAACCCAAGGTCTTACGCTATTAAAAGCATTCCAATCAGCCACACAAAGTATTTATTGTGGGACAACATCCATGAATAGTTAAAGACCCACTTAAAAATATGAATATGTTTTCTTTATAGAAGCTTATCCTAGGAGCAGAGAAGGCCTTCATTCATTCTGAAACCTGGCAACCCGGAAGTAGGCAGCATGAAATCTCTCAAGTGTACACTCACTTCCTGTTTTGCATAGGTTAGCCTTTCTCCATGCTCCATAGTTCTGCAATTTCTCCCTTCCACATCCTATTTTCTATTGCGGCTACTTCAAGTCATGTGTGTCTCATGTTACTTGTTCCAGAGTTACCCTAAAGTATTTTCATATGTGACTATACTAGGAAAAGGGAATTGGAAATTGTAAAGTCCTATGAGGGGATTAGCAGTCTCCCTGCCAATGAGGTCATGTGTTGACTAGTCACATTACTGATGAAGTGTTCAAAGCAACTAAGAAATTTATCCCAAAAAGCTGCATTGATATTCTGGAGAAACTGTTTGTTATTACTTAGGAAGGAAGTTGGCTGCATGCTAAAAGGGAAAACTAGAACTTGTCCATGTGCAGTTGCTTTCATATCAGCTGGTCACACAACTTTCGTTGATTTCATTACAGCCCCTGGGAGAAGGTGGTGGAATCATAAAGCTACCTTGACTAAGTGTGGTGAGTGATCTGCACTGCCTCTGTTTGGGACTATTTATTCCTAAATCTACACCCCACGCCACAGAAGTTGGGCGTCTTCCACTTCCCGCCCTATGCTATTCAGAAAGGGTTTCTTTTCTTCTACCTTATCCTCAAACAAAACCACCCAGAGTTCCATCACAAGGCCACCTGCTATTTTTAGATGGAGATCCTGGGCATGTGCCCTGGGCTCGTCTCCCATGCCCTTCCTCTGCAGTGTGCACTAAACAGGGCAGGGAATATAACATGTGAGAGGATTTCAGAGGAGGGCCTCTGGTCCACTGGGAAAAAGGCAGCATTGGTGCCAGGACCCTGGTTTCTAGTCCAAATTCTGAGGTCAACTGGCCATGTGTCCTTGCTCAACCCATTTGAACTTTCCTAGGTCTTAGTTTCCTAGTTTATAAAATATAGGGACAAGACTGGACAATGTTGAGCTGCACTGCAGCTTTTAAATTCTCTTCAGTGTAGAGTTGGATAATTCATGGTTTTACAGGGACATCCTTGACTCAGACTGATCCAGCCCAGAGCACATGTCTAACCCTTGACTGCTCCGGTTCGTTCCCCAACCAGATCAACAGACCCAACCCTGGTCCTTGGAAAAGTCCATTTCTTCCTTCCTTCCTGAGTTCCAATTTATCACATCTTATCCTGAGAAAAATCATCTGCTCCTCACTACTCAGTTTTAAATTGGCAGTATCCCTGAACATTTCTTGGTATCTTACTTTTAAATTTGTTTTTCTTGCTCAGCGTCTGCCAGAGAGATGCCTCTAAATTCATTTAACCTGGACCGTGTCTTCCCCTTTAGCCATTCCCTTCCCCCATCCCACTACCTGAATCACCCCTACTTATGCCACTGCCCCTGCCCCTCCCACCCAATAGGTCTGCATTCTCATCCAGAACTTTGAATGAGTTACCTTACACGGTAAAAGGAACTTTGCAGGTGTAACTAAGTTAAAGATCTTGAGATGGGGAAGTTATCCTGGATTTTTTTGGCAGGGCTCAATGCAATTAACAAAGGTCCTTGTGAAAGGAACTCGAAAGAGTCAAAGCTTCAGAAAGAGATGTGAGGATGGATGTAGGGGTCAAAGTGATACCTCTGCCAGAGGCCAGAAACCAAGGAATGTGAACAACCACTAGAAAGTGGGGAAGGTTAAATTCTCCCTGAGAACCTCCAAAATGAATGGAACCCTGCCAACAGCTTGATTTTAGCACTTTTGACCCCCAGAACTATGAGATAATACATTTCTTTTGTCTCAAGCCAGTAAGTTTGTGGCAAATTATTATAGCAGCAACAGGAAACCAATACACTTTATCTCTGATTGTTCTAGGTACAACCACCTTCAGGCTGACTTGACGTTAGTCACCCTTCCTCCTTCAAAGTAACTGTTGATTGAGGACCTCCTATGTGCCAGCTCTGTGATGGGTTCTGAACAAAAGACAACACAGATTCAAGCTCTATGTCTACGAAGCTGACAATCTGACAATAAATTCTGACTTGAAACCAATAACTACAAATATAATGAGATCTACAAAGGAAGCACATACGCCCAAGGGAACACAAGGTGGGGCGGTTTGGGAAGGGCCCTAACCTAGTCTTTGGAGGAAGGAGGTTGAAGCTAAGTCCTGAAAGATGAGGTGGCAGTATCCTGGAGAAAGGACTCAAGGCAGCCAGCAATGTGCTTCTGAAGCAACGTAAAGAAGGCAGGTGAAGAAAGAAGACAGAAAAGGCAGAACATGTAAAGCCACCACCAAGGGTTTTATTATTATTATTATTATTATTATTATTATTATTATTTTACTGCAACCTAAGAAGAGAGGTTTTAAACAGAGGAATGACAGGAAATCTGAAAACATCAGGATCCTGAGACATCAGGGAAGGAATGCCAGAGCACAAGGAGAAACAATGGGTCCAAGCCTTTGAGGTTTTGTTTCAATGAACAGATATTCCCCAGGAAGGAATACCTATTAATCCACAGCTATGTGATCAACCTTTATCAGGACCTTGACGTGAGGGTGAGGCAGCCAGGGAACAGCCCAGGTCTAGGCGAGCGGGGCAGGCAGAGCGGATGATCTGCTTCACCACCGTACATTTCCTATGGGTTGGAGCCCTGGACAGCTCAGCCCTCTGCCTCACCCTGGACACCCACCACCAGCTTAGGGCATGTAAGACAGCATGCAGGTGTGGTTCCTCTGCCTCATCCTGGGTACCCACCACCAGCTTAGGGCACGTAAGACAGCATGCAGGTGTGGTTCCTGACACCATGTGGAGGGCCAGCCGAGGGCAGGGCCACCTGCTTCTGAGGCAGGCTCTGCTCTCCTGAGGTTCTCACTGCCTGCTATTTTCTCAGTGGAAACAGGTTCTAAATTGAAAACAGGTTCTCTCGCAATTTTTAAAAAGCATTTAAAGAAAATACAGCCAGGGGCAATGGCTCATGCCTGTAACCCGGACACTTTGGGGAGCCAAGGAGGGAGGATCACTTGAGGCCAGGAGCTTGAGACCAGCCTGGACAACACAGGGAGCCTACATCTCTACAAAAAATTAGTTGTGCATGATGGCACAAACCTGTAGTCTCAGCTACTTGGGAGGCTGAGGTAGCAAGATGGCTTGAGCCCAGGAGGTTGAGGCTGCAGTGAGCCTTGATCATGTCACAGCACTCCAGCCTGGGTGACAGGGTGAGACCCTGTCTCAAACAAACAAACAAACAAACAAACAAAAACAAGAAAAGAAAATATGCTTTCTTCTTAAAAGAGAAAGAAAATATATGCCCCTCCATATCTCAAAGTTTGGCATCCATGGATTCATCCAACCACACACTGAAAACATTCTTTAAAAATAAAAAAAAAAACCCAGCATAACAGTAATAAGAAAACACAAAGAAAAAATACAGTGTAACAACTGTTTACACAGCATTTACATTGTTTTAGGTATTATAAGTAATCCAGAGATAACTTAAAGTGTACAGGAGGATGTGTGTAGGTTATATGCAAATCCTATGTGGTTTGGTATCGGGGACTTGAGCATCCATGGATTTTGGTACTGGTGAAAGGTCCTGGAACCAATCCCCTGAGCACAGTGAGGGATGCCTGTATCTGCTGCTAGCCACATACAGTGGAGTGGAAAAGAAAACAGACAAATTTTTTTTTTACCCAGACCCTAAAACTGCCATTGAGCTCCCCCAAAGATAGGCCAAGCCTTGCATGAATTTGCCGGACTTTATTTGGCCACATGGTTTTGACTTCATTGGGCACAGGAGTGTTAAGGAGGATGACAACACTAAACACAGCATTTAGCACATAGCAGATGCCAAAGTATAAAAAAAGCATATAAAATCATTCATTATTGACTCTACAAGGCACTCTATCAAACTGTAACCTAAAGCAGAGATTTGCTATGCAATAATAGTTCTTATTTAATAGATGTGAAGATGAGAAAAGCCCTCATTCACTACTATGAAATATATGCATCTAACAAAATTACACTTGCATCCCAGTAATTCATACAAATAAAAAGAAAAAGAAAATATAAGTGAAATCAGTGTATAGACTGTAAAGAAACATGAACTCAACATTTATCTTAAAAAGCATATTCCTTTTAACAGCAATGAAGACCAGACACAATCCAAATGCATATTTCTGCCCCAAGAGTAATCAACTGCATTTTGTTTATTGGAGTGGTTCTTTGAAATTGAGGCCAGAGGCCCTGAAACTATGAGGAAGTCTCTCCTAATGTTTGGCCACAGTCATAACCCACTAAAATTTTAATTTTTATTTTAATTTCTTTAGGAAAAATAATATTTCACAGACCTTTAGTCCAAGAATTGGAACTGCATAAGGTAAGGGAAAGATAGGCTCAGTGAGTTAAAAGTGTCCTTCCTATACTGGAAGCATCATTATTCAGAGGATGATGACATTTTCATCCCCACATCTCCTGATTAAACAAACAAGAGAACAGAAGCTTGGTTTTCAGATGGGAGAGGTGCTTATTATCAATGAGGAGAGAGTTCCTGGTAGTAAGGATTACTTAGAAGAGCTATAAAATCACTTTGCCCAGAGGCCCTTAAATGGAAAGAAATCCATCTGCTCATGTTCGTTTGGATGTAACCATTCCTAGAAGCAGTTGCAGAAAAGAGATGACTTGAACTTCCATTTTCACTACGGGGCTCTCTTTCTAGTCACAGCCAAGTAGAAAACACAAAAGCACAAGCTCCCAACAACATCACAACTCATAGACATCCTACCATTGGCTGGAGCTGGGTCCCCTCAGCAGCACAGGGACTGTCAGATCAGACCACGAGAGGTCTTTGCGTACAGTAATGCTGCCGTGAAGCAGTCCCTTTTAAACTCCAATGGCATGTTTCTTCTGCCCTGTCACTGATTTAGACAAAAGAAGGTGCCCTAAGATTTTTCTATGCCCCTGGGGGTCTGAGCCCCCATGAGACCAGAGGTTTTTTAGGCCAAAGTCAGGCTGCCCATGGGCACCACCAAAGACAAATGGAGAAAGCTTTCCTCAATGCCAGCCAAAAATAGGGTCTACAAGGGTTCTAAAGTTATAGTGCATGATGCCCATAAATTTAAATTCATGACTTACTTGCAACTGGCAGAATTCGTTCCAATGTCCAGAATAATATGCTGAAGCAGCCATTTACAAAAGCAAGCCACAACCCTTTACCATTGTCCTTCAGCAGGCAGCCAGCCTCAGGGGGTCTGCAGATAGCAACTTGTGGCACGTGAGGTGAAGACTCTGTCAGTCCCATTCATTCACTTCGCCAGCCTTCTTAGAGAATAATGAATCCTGTGTTTCAGGGTAAAGATGCCAACCTCACCAAGACTGCCTCTTGCTAAAGTGAATAACCATAACAGAGTTCCTGCTGGGCAATCAGGCAAGCAATCCCCAACTTTTCCACTCAACGATGCAAAGTACACCAAGAATGCCCAATGCATTTCAAAATGTAACCCAGGTTCAGCTCTGTGGCTCAGAAAGCAGATTCCTTAAGAAATTCTGGGAGAGAGGGAAAGAGAATTAATGTGTCTAGAAGACTCACTCTGTGCCAGGCATTCTGCCGGACCTTTACATAACTTACTTCATCAAACACTGATGATAAGCTTACAAAGAGCTTAAGGCAAGTATTGTTCTTCCTTATTTCATGGAAGAGGCAGTATATCCCACAAATTAAGTAAATGAAGGCTATAGAAGACAGAAGTTAATCACTGGGTTTCACAAAGGCAGAAAGTGGCAGAGCTAGATAAGATTTATGCCCTCTCTACCACCCAAGGCTTCCTTTCAATGCCCCCATGCCTTGGACTCCCTCACCCCCCGTTTCATCATATTTATCCCTTGAATGGAACCAGGATGGGGAAGCAATATTCCAGTTGTAGAAACTCTGGGGTAGAGCTTGAGTTCTGCCTTTTTCAAGCTAGGTGACATTTTAAAGATCATTTAAACTCCTAGTCTCAGTTTCCTTATATGTAAAATGAAGATGCAGGCCAAGGCCAAATGTGTATTTTAGTGAGAAAAAAAGGGAAAATATATGTAAAAGTGCTTTAAAATTATAAATTCAAATGTGAGAAAGTGTCATCACAAAACCACTGAAGGACCCATGCCAGACATGTCCCACCAGCTCCCCTACAATGTGGAGCTCAGAGTAAGAGATAAGGCTGGACTCCAGCATGTTCTTTAAAGAGCAACCAGGATATCTGCCTTCCGTCAACTCCAGGAGTAACAAAAATAAGCAGAAATTCACTTCTCTCACTGGCATTGACTCATTCATTGCTCCACTGCAAAAGCCTGGGAAACATGCCTAAAAAATTTTAGATGATGATAACTATAGCAGCTGATCTCCAAAGATGGCCCCCAATGACCCCTGTCTCCCAATATTCATGACCTGGTGTAATCTCCTCCCACAGCGAAAACAGGTTGGTCCTGTGGCATGCTGTGATCTATAGAACATGAGAGAAGTGACACAATGCCAGCTCCAGGACTAAGCCTTAGGAAGGTCTAGAAGTTTACACTTTTGCCCTGAACCACCATGTAAGTAGTCCTGCTAGAGAGAGCATGTGGAGAGATGATATGGAGGGAAAAAGACACCCAGTCACCCCAGAGGAACCCAGCTTTCCATGTCTGATGCTTCAGTAGGAAGCATCAGACATGGGAGTGACCCATCTCAGATACTTCGACGAGGCTGAGCCCTCAGGTGACTGAAGTCCCAGACAATATCATGAGGAGCAGAAGAACCACCCAGCTGAGTCTAATCAACTCTCAGAATTGTGAGAGATAGTACAGTTGATATTGTTGTAAACCCTAAGTCTGGAGATTGTTATTCAGCAACAGATAATATCAACAAGGAGGAAAAGGTATCATCATCTGATCCTTTACTATGGGTTTCGTCCTTCACATACATAATCTAATTTAATCTTCACTATAATAATTTGAGATAGGTATTAGGACACCAATTTATAGGAGTTTGGGTGAAGTTACGTAAGTTATCCTAGGTCAGGATTTGAAACCCAGCTGTGGTTTGTAACTGCAAAGCCCATTCTCTCAATATTCTTGTTATGTTTTTCATAAAGTATATCACAGAATTACTGGTCTCTAAAGAGTTGAAGAACTGGGATGAATAAAAAAGAAGTGTTACTAAATAAACATTTATTTTAAATAATATAATAAATAATGTAAATGGAAGCAATGCAGTACAGTGAAAAAAGAGCTTTCAGTTAGGAGCCTGGAACTTGAATTCAACTTCTGACCTAATCATTAGCTGTGTGAAACTGAACAAGCAATTTGACTATGAAAAAAAAGTTTTCTTTTATAAAATAATAAAATAACTTCTTAGATTTTTGTGGTGGTTGTCAGAATAAAATACTGGACATAAAGGACTTCTGCAAACAAAAATAAAAGAAAGAAAAAAGGAAAAATGTCCTATAGATACATAAAGAACTGCTGTTGAATTAACTTGAGAGTTCTCCACTTCATAGTTACCACGGAAGTATTCAGTTCCCAAATATTTGTATTTTCCTGCCTCCTTCCAGGATAAATGTTCTTATAAATACTGTTTTGTTTCCAGAGCTTTGGGACACATCACTCTTTTAAAAATGCAAAATAAAATAAACTGAAAGATAACTATTTAATACATCACTTCTTTATTAATATTTTTGGAAGCAAAGCCATGAAAAGCAGAAACCCTGTGGTTTCTACTGAATAGCTACATTTTCCCACCCCATTGATCCACTCACTTATGTTAGTTTCCTTGGGGGGAGGGGTGTAAGTGACAGCTTTAGGGAATGTGTGTACAAATACAGTCCTGACACAGACAAACAGAGGGCTCCTAGTGCGAATGGATACGAAATGAGGTCTACAATAGATAATGGCTGTTCTGTTCAGTGGAATGAGATACAAGATGTCCCATAAAGACAAACTCTGCCCCTTGGGTGGGCAGTGGCAGCTAAGAGTATTAAAATAGCCCTTGCCAACCATTGCTTAGAATCCTTGCAGCAGCTTTTATCCTGTTTTGGAAACCAAATGGTATCTCTGGTAGTCTCAGCAATTTATGTAACATTCTGTCATCGGAAGTAAAATCTAGGATCAGAATGGGTATACAAAGCTTACATTACAGAATTAAAAACAAGTGTTTAATTAATGAACAAATTATGTGCAAACTCATAAGTATGAACTGACAGGGAGTAAGGAACATGCTTTCCCTTAAAGATTTAAAATTTTATTTTTCCAAAGGCCCCAAGTCTGTATATATATCTTCTATTATGTAAATAAACATCGTGCTTCCTATTTCAAAGTGGAAGGAATGATGGTTAATTAAACCCGAAAAAAGCAATCTGCTTGATGAAATAATTGGAAATTTTAAGTAAACCAAAGAAATATAATCTGATCAATTTAATTTTGAGTTTTTCACTTAGTTTGGGGTTAATGGTACTAATCTAACACTAATATGTACAATAATTGTATGCTTATATTTATGTGATATATTCTCACTTGTTTGACATATTATCATTGAACAAATAGGAGCCTTACCCCCTCTATTGAACTCGATAATATAAAAATAGAAATTACATTGAGGCATCTAGATGAAACCCTTCATCTGAATTAACAACCCCATTAGGAAAAATTGTGACCCCAAAATAACCACTGTAGAGTGATTATGGCTCATTTGGCATATGTTTATTCCAATCTTCCTAAATTGCTTGTAATTGTTTTATTATAAATGTTAATAATATATAATGTTTACATCTGTATTTTTATCAAATAACATTTAGGAAACTTTAGAAAATTATCCTAAGTCCACATATTAAAAAGCAAGGTCAATATTCTCACAAGCATACACAATTTGTAGTTTAAAAAAATAGATAAATGTAAAATATCTTCAGTGTATTATAACCACCTAATTAGAAAATGAATGTGCCCACATGAACCAGTAGAGACATATCATTACCTCACATTCATTGGTTGTCACTCTACAATTAATGGAAGAAATGTAC
This sequence comes from Homo sapiens, assembly GCF_000001405.40. NCBI lineage: Eukaryota > Metazoa > Chordata > Mammalia > Primates > Hominidae > Homo > Homo sapiens. The sequence continues at coordinate 133,256,729 of NC_000002.12, forward strand.
AGTCAATAGTTTAAAACAAAGTGAAAGTTCCTGTTTCAATCTAGCACACTAGAGGCCATTTATTAACATAAATGTGCTCAGGTAAGTGCCCTTTGGGGCTGCAGCCCTCATCCTCTGTGTCTTCTCTCCTAGATTCATATAGTGACAGAAGACCATTTAATCTTGGCTAGTCAAACAGTGACAATAGTTAGATAATGAGGCTGGACACATCATAATTTTCCCTACTTACCCTCTACAGACTGTAGGACCTACGCGCGCACACAATCACTACTCAAAAGAAAAGTGCGAATTTTGCAATTATACCATGACTTTATCTAATGTAGACAGCCAAAAAAGAATTCAGGAATCAATACGAACTTTTTCAGCTTGAAGTAGTCAACATGCTCAAGGACACTGATATGTCTATGTAGCACAAGTTAATTTAATATTAAGATACCAGTGGTCAGAAACCTGTCAAGCAAGAGCATAAAGAAACACAGCTGAAGGTTTTCAAGGCCATGTGAAGTGCCAACAAGCAATATAACTAGGAACAAAATGGATCCAGATACTTTATGAAATTGCAAACAACAAAAGAGAAAAACATTCAGAAATATTCACACTAATAACTACTAGTCTGAATCATTTGTAAGCTCCCAAATGCAGGAACAGAATCATAACAGGCGTAAGAATGGAGAGAAGCAAATACAGAGAACAAATGAGTTATTAATTAAGCAGCTAAATGCATTTATATTCATAAATATATAAGAAAACTAAGACACTTACGATAACTACTCTGATAAACAATTCTAGAGAAAAAGCAGCACAGCTTTTCATCATACAGTATTGCTTTATTCCTCTGCCTTTTTTGTAAATATTGAGAACATTTCTCAAAAATAGAAAATAATCAGGGAAAAAGAAAATCATTATTCCGTGTAATCTCACATAAATAGCTGAAAGGCCAGATGCTTAACTTTGTGTACATAGACAAAGGAGAACATGAAGATTGTGAACAAACCTAGAGGCCGGTTCTTGGAGACCAGAGAGACAAATGAAGGGACCCAACATTATGTGCTAAAATCTTTGCATAGAAATGAATAAACTCAAAAGAGCTGGCAGCAACATCTGTGTGACCTTTATACTGTGCCCACTCTCCTTTCAGATAAAGGTCATGATGAGGAAAACCAGCAGAAGTGCACCTGGGCCACGCAAAGAACCAGATTCCCAACTGTAGGGTGTAGAGTCTCTTTTCCACATTGTAGATACTCCCTCAGCCTACATAAGCCCATTCCAGTGCAGGAAGCGCTAAAGACTGCACAGAGTCACTAAGGGCACTATTACTTACACTTGACTTTTGGCTTGAATTAGCTGGGTTGCGTTTTAAGTGCATTTTATTGAGAAAGCATTTGGACTATACAGTGCCCACCAAAAACAGACAAAAACCAAAAACAAAACAGTGCATGCTTGTAAAGACATCCCTGTCTCATTGGGTTTGGAATACCCTTGGAGCACCTCACTGTCTTTGACTACTGCATAGAAGTAGTTTAGAAATCTGAACTACTTGTGACTAGGCCCCTAATCACTCCTTGCTCCTCACTCAAATCCAACCTCTGCATCATTTTCAGATTCATGTTCCTAAAACCACCTACCCAACATCACCTCTGACTCAAAATTGTCAATGGCTTCCAACAGCATTTCCTAAGATAGCCTCTACAAACAGCCCCCACAATATGTTCCCTTAAGAATAAATTCAGTGGCTGGGCATGGTGGCTCACACCTGAAATCCCAGCACTTTGGGAGGCTGAGATGGGCAGATTGCTTGAGCCTAGCAGAGTTTGAGACCAACCTGTGCAACATGGCAAAACCCCGTCTCTACAAAAAGATACAAAAATTAGCCAGGCATGATGGTGCATGCCTATAGTCGCAGCTACTAGGGAGGCTGAGGTGGGAGGAATACTTGAGCCCAGGGAGGTTGAGGTTGCAGTGAGCCGAGATTGTGCCACTGCATTTTAGCCTAGGCAACAGAGCAAGATCCTGTCTCAATTAAAAAAAAAAAAGAAGAAGAAGAGAAGAAGAAAACCAAAAGTAACAGATTCAGTGATCAAAACTATTTTAAGAAATTCTTAGAGAGAACTTCTGTAGGAGAGAAACATTTTTTAAACTTTCTCCCAGCTTTTCTTACTTTTTCAACCATGGGGACTTCTTTTGACTAACAGTTCTACAATATCCAACAGAACTAGCCTTCCAGAAAGAGGGGTCTTGGGAAATGCTGGCCCAAAAGGTGAAGTTCAAATTCCTTAGCATGCATGTGATGACCCATATTAATGGGTCTCTGCTACCGCTCCACCTCCACCTCCCACCCTCTCTTCCAGGTGCTCAGGTCCCTGCCTGAGCTCAAGCCCTCTGCGGGGTAGAGTGCTCTCCCTCCTCATGTCTAAGTCCCACTGGGGTCAGCTGATACTCTCCTTCCCCCAGCTGGCCTATCCCAACCACACCAGCCTCATCCATCACTTTATCTTCCAATCTCCCATTCCACTGATTTCCTTCTTCTAATTCCCAGCTCCACATTAAGTGTTTTGGGGGAATCTTACAGGCTTTGTGTCCTTTTTCTTCACCTAAATTTTAAGTTCCTTGAAGGCATTTGTATTTTATAAATAATTTTATAACTAACTTATAACTAATTACATATTATAACTAATTACTATGAACTCATGAAACCTAAGATCTTGTACGTATGTTAAATAAATGGTATGTTTTAATGAAAATAAGATGAGTTTCTCCAACTATGTCAGTGTAGCAAGAGGAAGAGGGAGATCATGTCAAAACAGAATAAAAATCTCAGAGTAATGTAATTTAGCAGAGTGACTGAGGGATGTCCTCAAAGCAACATCAGGATTCCAAAGTTCTACAAAATCATCACCAGTGCCAAAATGTTGAACAAGAAACCACAGATACAAAGTCGTGGTGTGCACCAAGCCCTGAAATTGACTGTCCAGTGAAAAAAGAGGATATATTCCCTAATCTGATCTAAAGTAGACACAACGATTCATAGGAAGAGAAGAAAAAGAGGGACAGGTCTTTTGGGGTCTGTTAAGTGCCAAATCAGATAATTTGCTAATTTCTAATACAGTAAATCCCCAAATTTCCTTCCTTTCTACGTGTCTTCTATTCAACACATATTTATTAAACACTTACTAGGTATCAGGCACTGAGAAAAAAAGGCAGCTGGAAATGTCTTGGGGAAAATTGGGATAAAGTATGAGGTACAGAGACACAAAGGTTTCTTCCTTCTGAAAGCCCTAGTAAAATGAGAAAGCAATTTTTTAAAGTATATTAATGCAATGAGGATGAGGCAGCCTAAAATAAGTAAGTCTCATCTAAAAGCTGTCAAAAGCCATAAGTGGGCAGATGCATGTGATGTCAACTTTATGTGTTTCTTTCATTTCTTTCAAGAACCAGTGACTTTCTGTTGCCAAATGTTCAATATTAGAATAAAGAACACCAGTGGTAATCACTCTTTTAAGTCCAACTCATTGCCTGACACATGGTAGGCACCTAATAACCATCTGTTGAGTAAACTAATAAATGAACAGATGAGTGAAAAAAGGCAGGAAAGGAGGCCTTCCACCTATGCACAGAAATGCAGTGTTTAGTTGGAACTTATTTGGTGCTGTAATTCCTTTACACTGGAACACAGTGAAGGGTGGGTTATACAGATCAATCAATGCCTTCTTGAGTTAATTCACAACTCCCTTAAAAACATTCTTATTAAAGATCAAAATTCATAGGTGAAACAAAATATTTAGATAGCCCTACATGATTCTTCTCCCATGTCACAGTAATGCAGGCAAATTTAGGACTCCTACAATAAAAGTACCATGCCAGAATTTTGAATAAATAGTCCATTTTATACAATCACAATAGGAAAAAACAGTGGAGCGAGTGACAGCTGAATTTGGACGCCTGTCCCTCGGACGGAGGTAAAAAGAACTGCACTACGATATTAGTATTTTAACAAGTTTATGTTTTAAAAAAGTGACTAAGAGGAAAAACAAAAGTAGAACAGTCTGGGAGAAGGCAAGCTGATACAAATTTGCATCAGGTGAACTGTGTGTTATATATTGAATCTGACTGTAATGCCAGTAGGTTGAATTAATTCATCTTATCTTACTTACAATGCCATGCTTAACATTTGGCACATGTGGGCATATGTGTGAAACTTGATACAAATTAAATTAGAAAAAAATGTTGGTAGTTTACATCTCATTAATAGAAAAAATAAACCAGAAAAATTACTGATGATAATGTGGTCTTTAGACTAGGAAGAACCTTACAAGGAAGGTGAGGAGGATCTTTTCCCAGGAGGTATTTGCAATGAAAATGAGCAAAGAACTGAGAAATGGAAAAGAATAAATTCTTTGCTGTGTGATTAAAAAAGCCCAATCTTTTCTCTCGCATTTCTATAATGCTGTGAACGGAGTGTAGGGGATCAAGAGATTGTTGAACCCAAATACAACCCTGTATATTGTAGTTATTACAGAAATCACCTTCAAGTTTTCCAAACGATTCAAAGTACCAGCAAAAACCACCCAAGGTAGGCTTATCTCATAGGATAACTCTCTCCTTTGCAACCCACAGTGTTTTATTTAATAACACCGCTATAACACTTAAGTTTACCTTATTATATAATAATTCTAACATAACAGAGAAAATATCTATTTCACAGATATCAATACTGCTGTCTTTGAAAAGGTCCAAAGATATAGTATGTTTCTGACACAGACCAGGTCTTAATAAGTGACAGATGTATTTATTATGATGATGTTCCTTACTATGATGCTATTATTATTTCTTATCATACAAACCCCTCTTCCAGCTGAGAATAAGACTGTGTTCTTCATCTTTGCATCCCTTGCAGCCCAAGCACAGTGACTTTTTACAAGCATTTGATGAATTTAATGTTAACTGAAATGTCGAAGCTTATCTTTAAACTAAACTGGTTTATCTCATGAACTGACCTGTTTGTATCTCAAGGAAAGAATAGGTATCATCTTCCATCATACTTGCGGAGGGCCACACTCCCTCTAAAAGTAGCTGCAGCAATATTTAATAACCCAGAGACTTAGGTTAGCTCTGAACTAAAATGCTATAATATTTAGAAATGAAAATAATACCCAGGAATGCCAATGTAATGCCAATGCCAATGTAATTGCTTCAGGTTATAACTTCCCTATTAATGATTGTTCTCTGTAGGGTGCAGGGAGGAGGTTGAGAGACGAGGTTAATGTGAAATAGCCAGTCTCATCCAGTCCAAAGTGATATGAAAATTATATTAAAAGACCATAGCTGCTAACATCTGTTGGCTTTCTTGTGTGTGGGCCACTGTCTCATGCCCTAATATGTGTTAGATTTTATTCTTAACATCTTATAAATGCACATAATTTTTTTTTATTTTTATAGATGATGAAACAGGTTAGAGAGATTCATAAACTGGCCCCAAATCACATCAATAATAAATAAGGGAATCAGGCTTTGAGTTCAGACCTACATGTTCCCAAGTTTGAAGGAGTAATCCCACATAACATGTGTTCTTAGCAACATTCTGAGTTCCCAAATCTCCGGCTATTTAGAGGCCATAGTTTTACCTATAGCAGCAAGTGCTATGACTTATGTTCAAGACCTTTCAACACAACACAAAATGATTAGCTTCTCTCCCGTTCTCTAAGCCCTTCCCACCTGCTACAGTACCTGGAAATCTAGGTACCGACATGCTTCTTAAAGCACTTTGTAGGCTATGTTCATGTCTGAGATGAGTAACAAGTTCACAGAGCCTGTTCATTTATGCCACCTACTCTCTGAGAGAAAGGACCATGTGAAAACAGTGTTTATTAGGAGAAAGAGGATGGAAGGGCGTAATATCCAGGAAGCAATCCCCGTCGGGGCAACAGCCTTCAGGAGCAATACTGCACCTCTACCCTGCAGCAAGAAAGTCTCAACCACCCACATTCTTATTCATCTACAGAAACCCAACAGGACAAAACTATTAAACGTTTTAAAGGAACAAGGTATCAGCTAAGTATGAAATGGCACAGTTCCACATAAAAAGCAGGAAGGCTTGTTCTCCAAAAATGCCCCTTGGTAAATATTTACTGGGTGATGGCACAAATAATAGGGCCGCTGATTAGGGGGTTACAAAGAAGACTGACACCCCTGAGCCCGGATGATGTTAGCCATCAGCACAGTGCTCTTAACTTTCCCTGCTCAAGTCTCTCATGTTTTATAGAAAAATTTGAGGAGTATGCCTAAGGTTGGAATCAGCCTCACCTCTCTCTCAACTTCATTTGAAAACCTGAAGCTACTAAAGTCCCTTGCCAGAAGAGGGCTCACCCGCCCCACTATGCCCAATCTAACTTCCCAAATAGATCTACATTGTTTGCATTATGTGCTTTTCATTGACATATAATCAACCTAGAGATTTAGGTTAGCTCTAAACTAAAATGCTGTAATATTTAGGAATGAAAATAATAACCAGGAATGCCAAATACAGAGTCACAGGCTTGAGTAAACAAACTCTCTAGGAAAAAAAAAAAAAAAACTCTACATGTCTAAAACTTGCCACCAACCTTCATGGTTATTAAACAATAAAAAGCTCCCTTGGGCATCTTGAACCTTCCTCATAACAGACCTTGCCCTAGGATTACTTCTTGGCTTATCTGTTATCTAGTCATACCCAAAGCCAGCCCCCAGCCATAATAATCTCCCTATGGTATACCACCCTGCTTGTAAAACTTCTTTGAACAAAAGTTTTCAAAATGATACACAAGATCAGCATGATATCTGAAATGCAAACCAAAATTTATGACTATCAGCTAGCATTATAAAAACCATTTCTGGAGGAAAGTCATGAATGATATTCACAACTACCAAGTCAGAAGGGCTGCCCTCCATGTTCAAGGAGTGGAGAAAAGGAATCTACACAAAGGCCTTCTGTACATCCTCCCTAAAAATTATTTTAAAAAAGAGAAACTGCCATTTATCCATGTGAGATATGACTGGTTTTCAAAGTAATGGGTAAAAATGACCAAAACCTTGATTGTCTTCATTATGGCTCACATAAGGCACACAAACTCTTTTTTTTATATTCTAAGTACAGAAAATTGCTTCATTTCTCAAGTAAATATATGCTAGAAACTTGCGGATATCTCAAGAATGCTTTGTAGCTAAAGAAAGTAACATCATTGCCTACTCATTTTGCTTAATTTGCTAGTCTCCCAGCAACTTTGTGCTAACACTTTCATCCCATTTTAGATCCTAGGATAAGGCAATAGTCCAGAGCCCTGGAAAGCCTCCACCTCCAGCAGTTCACCAGGCCACTGAAGCCCCAGGATGGAGTTTCTCTCCAAGACACCCTTCTGGTAATATACATGTTACGTGCATTTCACTTATCTTCTCCAAGTTACATTCCAGTAACTAAGCTTCAGAAGCTTCTTATGAATTGTTTATTCTGTGTTTTAAAGCTCCATCAGCTGTTAGGATGATTTGCAATATTTTTCTTTTTGGTTAAGCAGGATTGGTGAGCATTACTGGGCCTTTTGGTGGAATCCTTGCTATTTAAAATTCCTGCTGCTGGGATTAATGGAGATAATGTCTTTGAAAGCCTTTTGTAAACTGTAAAGTCCTAGTCAAATGTAGTGTGCTGTTATCACATTAACCATCATAGCAATAACCATAAACCAGCTGTAATGGGGGCTTTAAAATGCTGAAACCCATTTGGGTCTTGTCTTTGCTCCATTCCCACCCCCGGGGGCCTACAATGGTGCCCAACATATGGGAGCCTCTGAAGGAAGTTTTGTTTGGAGGAACAAATCAGTGACTCAGAAACATCACATGGTTTTCCAAAGTAATGTCCATAGGCAAAAAGAAGCTAAGTACGACAATTTAAATAATGAAAATACTCTGCCAAAAATATTGGGGTCCTGGAAAGAAATGCTACAGAACAAAGTTCTTCTAAAGAGAATTGATTTGATAATGAAATCTGGTCCTTTACAGTCAGACTGGGAAGGAGAAGGAGTAGAGACAGGTGCAGAAATTTATTAGTCCAGAAAATGTTAGTCCAGGATGGCTCAGAGAAGGAGGCTGCCATCCCAGAAAAGGGAAGGGAGGCTGCAGTTTGAGAGGGAGTATCAAACAGAAAACAAAAAACAAACAAAACCCCCACAAAATAGGCAAAAGCTACTCCTGCAAAGAACATTATAAATGCAGGCTTTTTATCTAGACTGTGTCTTTAAAGTGGTGGAAATGACCAATTCTGTGTCTTAGGAGGGAGGTGGCATGAAGCCGGGAAATGACTGAGGAAGGGATACTGATATGAAATGATTTATTTCTGGAAAATGCTCTTGTAAGCGTTTGCAGGAATAGTTCTGGTTACTAGAGGGGTAGTCTATTTTAGGTACCTATGTATAAGGAGGAGTGAACGAGTGAACAAGTTAGTGGGGATGAAAATAAAAAGGGAAGTGGTAGCGTCCAGCAACACGGGCCTCATTCATAAAACTCAGAAGCCTCAAGGATAAGAAGAGAAATTCCGGGGTGGCTGCCTGTTACTCAGCAAGAAAGCGAACACTGGCTTGCTGGCTCAGCACTTAACCTGAGATGAGGATGTCCTAACAGCCCTTTTTCTCTAAGGGGTAGTGTAGGGTGGGGTGGGGCCAAAAGGAGAGGAGGAGGAAGGCCTGCCACCCGGGAGGTCCCTAGGACTCAGCAGCAGAGAGGGCCTTGCACCAGCGCTCCGCTCTGTTCCAGAAAATATCCTATTTCTGACCATCAATCAGCATTAAGCCAGTTTGGGGGCTGAGCTTTAGGCACAGGCAGTTGCCAGTAGCAACAGGGCACACGCTCCTGGTGAGCTGGGCGGGAGGTGGCAACAAGGGAGGGGCCGCCTGGGCAAGTGGCCTGCAGCTGGGCAGACAAGGTCAGGGATCTCCCCTACACGCGCAAGGGAGGCAGTGCGGAGGGTGGGGGAGGGGGGATCGTGGCATTAGGTGGGGACAGGCGCGCCCTGCTGGGGCCGGGCCAGGGAGTGGCCCAGGCCTCTGACCTCGCTGGGGAGCAGGGAGGGAGTTTTCCCAGTGGCACAGCTATGCCCCTGCCAAACCCAATGGCCTCCCGGCCCGGGAAAGGCGCCACTCCAGTGGCCCCTAGACACTGGAGTCAAGGCCAAGCGACAGGAGAGGCGCTGGCCCTCTGCTTGGGAGGACCACAGAACTCAAGATCTGCCCCTCCCCTGCAGCCCCTTTACGCCCCCACCCTTTAGGAGTCTCTGGAAGATGCCAACGTGGAAGTGTTTCTGCACGTGTGTGTGTTTTCATTTGTGCTTCCCACACAAAAGCGAGGCCCCACAGGTGGAGAGGAGGGCGTGTGTGCGCGCCTGTAGAGCGGGGCTCGGGCTGCGTGGGAGCTGGGCGGGGATGCGCACACACGGACCGACTCCCACAGACTGTCCCCCTTCAGGTGTCCTGGTGCAGGCTTTCAGGGAAGGGAGAGCCCCTAACCTCGCCCCACCTCCCAAAACTTCTCCCCCTGCCGTCGGGCTATGGTAAAGGGGAAAGGACAGGACTCAGGACCTTGAGGGAGGCATTGAGTCAGAGGGCAGAGAGGGGTCAAGGAGACCCAGGCGGGAGGCGCGGAAGCATACAGTCTGCGGGGACAAGGACTGAACGGGGTAGTGGGAGCCAGGTGCCGAAGGGCTGGGGCTAGGGTGGCGGCGCGCAGGGGGCGCGCCTGGGCGGGGAGTGGGCTGGCGTCTCCTTACCTGGCCTTCGGTGGAGCATGCTGCTGCGGGCTGGGGGCGGGGTGGGCGCTGCGTCCCCAGGGGTTGACTCCGCAGCGCCTTCACTTCGGGGGCAGCAAGGCGCGCGCTGCAGAGCCGGGAGTTGCCAAACTTGCCATGTCCAGAGCGCGGAGGCAGCCTGGGCCACGCGCTCACCGCAGCCCGGGCACCTCGCGCTCCTCCGCTTTGTTGTGTTCCGCCGCCAGTCCCCCTGCGCCTGCCTGCCAGTGTCCCCGAGCCCTCTCCTGCCGCGGGACGTTTCACTGGCGCTCAGGGAGGCCCCTCGGGTGGGCAGTGCCACTTTCCTCCTGGAGGCGCGCGTTAAAGATCTGCCTGGGAGCGCCCGGCGGGCGGCTCGGCTTGCGCTCTGATGAGGAGGCTGGGGCCCATCGATTCCCACCCCCTACCCACTCCCCCTCCCCTCCCCTCCGCCGGGCCCCCCCATCAGAAGCTGCTTAGGATCGGCGCTGTCAAATCCAGCCCATCTGCTGCAATCATAATCAGTCTCAACCGAACGGTTCTGACAAATCTCCGCCTGGAGCTGGAGTTGGAGAAGCTGGAGAGTGAGGGGCGGGGAAGGGAGGTGGGGGTGAGGGGACGATGGGGACCGGGCGCCCTGAGAGGGGGCCTGGAGCCTTCTATTGTCTGCCCCTAACGGAGGAACTGAAAAGGGAAGCAGGGATCCAGAAGGGGAAATAGTGCTTTCATTTCCTAGTAAGAAAAAAAAAATCTATTCCCGCAGGTCCCTGGTTCCCTTCACGCCCCCACCCCCAGCCTCAGCTCTGTCTGGGTGGAACGAATGTCTGCTAATGAACTAAACAAACAGGTCTCTTAATCTTATCATGGAGCTGACCCAGAGACTGGCACAGATATCCAAAGTATCATAATTGGCAGGTAAGAGCTGGAACTAACAGCCATTTGTCTGGAGTCAGAAGTTGGTTCCCAAGTGCAGTTGGGAATAAAGCTCTTGGGGGGGAGAACGGCCGTGTAGTGTAGTGTAATTGGCCAGGAAGCTTGGCCCTTGGCCTCCTGTTGGCATTTCCAGAGATAAAAGGAAATCTGCTTTGGGCAAGAAAACGCTGAATTCCCCTTAGCCTCATTTTGAATTTAAAAGATTCGCATATTTTTTTTTCTTTTTCTCATGAAAATACTATTTTTCAAGAAATGCTATTTTATTAGAAAATAATGACTTCAAAAATTGAAAATTTTCCAAGCAGAAATTGCTCCACCTGTAGATGAAATGAGATGCTCCTTTCAATAATATACTTTGAACTATTCCAAAAATTCCACTTTAATACAATCACATATATTTGTACTGGTGATAGATTCACAAGGATTATCTCAAAAAAATGTTTTCAAGTATAATATAAATGGCAGTAGTCCTAGAGACATACAAACAAGTCTTAAAGCATGGAAGAACACAACCAATGGGATTATGTCTAGTTTTATACATTCTTCTCAAGTGCTGGGAAATGTCCAATTACCTTGAATGACAGTATTTGTTTGGGAAATAATTTGTTGGATAAACAAATCACCAGTGGAAAAGTTGAAGAAAATTTTAAGCCCTTTATTCAGATAGGTATAAGAGCTAAGCAAAAATAAATATAATTTACTGTGAAAACTGAATAAAATTCTAAATTAGGGCTCAAATCATTCTTTTGCTTTATGCTATACTTGAGAAATGTGTGCAAGCCACATTAAGCACTCACTTATCTAGGCAGAGACTGTGTTTTCCACTTATTTTATAGCCCAGTGGTGCTTACAACAGCACTAGGCAACTATGGACACTCTATGAATACTGATGGTTTGAAATTTTGATTTACAGGTCAGAATTAAAACTACATACATCATGGTGACTTTATAGCTGAGGCAAAGTGGAGCTCAAGTGTTACTTTCCCAGTAAGCAAATCATGTAAGTCAAGGACAACTACTGGTTAGATTTTACAGCCTTTTTTTTTTTTTTTTTTTTTGAGACGGAGTCTCGCTCTGTCACCCAGGCTGCAGTGCACTGGCGCGATCTCAGCTCACTGCAAGCTCCGCCTCCCGGGTTCACGCCATTCTCCTGCCTCAGCCTCCTGAGTAGCTGGGACTACAGGCGCCCGCCACCGCGCCCGGCTAATTTTTTGTATTTTTAGTAGAGACGGGGTTTCACCGTGGTCTCGATCTCCTGACCTCGTGATCCGCCCGCCGCGGCCTCCAAAAGTGCTGGGATTACAGGCGTGAGCCACCGCACCCGGCCGATTTTACAGAATTTTTATGAATATTTAAGTTTAGAGTTTTTCATTGATAATTTGTTTAATGTGTTTATTACTATTCAATAAAAATTTTGCTAAAATTAACATGGTGCCAAGAAATGAGTATTTCAAAAAGGGTCCTCTCTTACAGAATGAAGTATCATGCTGGTGACTAATTTAACTAACATTGTCCAGGAAATTGCTGTTGTCCAGGAAGAGAAGAGTTGAGCCGAGTGTCAACTACTAGGCTTCTGGCACCATCCTGCACAAGAAATTGGTAAGTTCTACTGTGTTATTTCCTAGCTTGGTGGTCTCAGTTGCATCACAGCTAACTTATAGCCTAAATTGACAGGCCCACCTCCAATTTATTAATTCCTTGGTCTTAACTTCAAAATATATCATCTCATGTTTACTCAATTATTTATTGAACAATCACTATGTGTCAGTGTTGGAATATATGAAGGAAAAATCAAACAAAAATTTTTTACCTTGTGGAGCTTACATTCTGGAGGAGAAGACAAGTTAGAAAAGAGTACATAAGTAAATTATAATGTCTATTAGAAGGTAATCAGTGCAATAGAGAAAAATAAAGCAGAGTGGGCTGGGTGGTGCACAAGTTTAAATACAAGAGTTCTCAGTAAAAATCTCACTGAGAATGCTAAGCCTGAATGAATGATTAAAGGAGGTGAGGGAGCAGGCAAGCCATGCAAATATCTGGGAAGATGGTCCCAGGAAGTGGGAAAAGCAGGTGTAAGTGGCCCTTAAATATGATTGCACCTGGCAAGGTCTAGGAACATTAATGAAACCTTGAGAACAGGACACAGTGAAGGGAGAGGTCAATGAGGGTAGGCTTAGAAGACAGATCACTGGGTGGGGCCAATTAAAGGACTTGGAATTTTACTCCAAATGACAGCGGAGGACACAAGACACAGAGGGAGTGACATGATCATCTGACTTTTGTTTAATAGATCACTCTGGCTCCCATGTTGAGAATTAATTATAGGAGCAGAGAAGGGAGCAGGGAGATCTGTTATTAGGCTATTGCAAGAATCTAGGTAAGAGATGATGGCTTGGACTGGGTGATAGCAAGAAAGATAATGAGAATTGGTGGTGATTTTGAATTGCTTTGAATGTAGAGCCAACAATGAGTGGCTCGAAAGAAAAGAGGGAGTAAAGAGTAACTCCAAGCATTTGGCCCTAGCAACCGGAAGGATGAAGTTGCTATTAATTGAAATGAGAAAGACTATGGGTGGAGCAAATTTTGGTGGAAGAATCAGCTTATATGGGTTAAGACTGGAATGCCTATTAAGTTAAATTTTAAAAATAACTTACGTAAAGCTCTTAGAATAGTTCCTGACTTTTCGTAAGTGCCATACAAATGTTTATGGTGGTGATTATTATTGTTATTAATGTTTGCCAACCAAAATGAGATGTTGAATAGACAATTGTACCATGATTGTGGTGGTAGTTGCAAAACTATATTTTGTTATAATCCAATTGTACACTCAAAAATTGGTGAATTTTATTGTACGTAAACTAAACCTTAAAAAAATTATTAAAAAACAAAGAACTTACTCTCATGTTTTAAAAGGGAGAATATGGAACTTTCCCATCTGAGAAGAAGCAGCTTCGGAAGTATCACCATTTTGTATACCCATTGAAATAACTGATGTAAATAAAGATCACCAATAGATGCTAAAGCCATTAAGTAAAGGTTTGATGGAAAATAGTGAGGTAGGTGAATAGGGTCTGGAGGCAGAGAACCTAAGGCCGATTCACGCTGACTTCCTAAAGCTAAATCAAAAGGAAAACCCCAACTTTCCACACTTAAGCAACAAAAGTACTGGAGGCTGCTCCCTTTACAAACCACCCTCTCCTTTCTGCGTGGCAGATGGAAAATTGAAAGTATCTTTGATTGGTTGCTTTCCACAACCAATCAGATGCTTGCATAGGGTGTAACCTTTGTAACTTCACTTCAGCCTGATTGGTTGCTTCCCTCCGACTGATTGCCGGCCACTCCTTCATTTACATAGGGTGTACACCAAGTAACCAATGGGAAAACTCTAATTCTGTACTGGGGCTCTTGGATCCTATTCTTGGACCCGCTCCCACCCTGCGGAGTGTACTTTTGTTTTTTGTTGCTTCAAATTTTTTTTTTTTTTTTTTCTTTTTTGAGAGGGAGTCTCACTCTGTCGCCCAGGCTGGAGTGCAGTGGCATGATCTCAGCTGAGTGCAAGCTCTGCCTCCCGGGTTCACGTCATTCTCCTGCCTCAGCCTCCCGAGTAGCTGGGACTACAGTGGCCCGCCACCAGGCCCGGCTAATTTTTTTTTTTTTTTTTTCCTATTTTTAGTAGAGACAGGGTTTCATCGTGTTAGCCAGGATGGTCTTGATCTCCTGACCTCATGATCCACCAGCCTCGGCCTCCCAAAATGCTAGGATTACAGGTGTGAGCCACTGCACCCGGCCTTGTTGCTTCATTCTTTCCTTGCTTTGTGTGTTTTATCAAGTTATTTGCTTAAGAAGCCAAGAACCTGGACACCCTCCAACAGTAACAATAGAATATTCCAACTACAAATACTGCCTCCTGACTTTTTGTTAACTGCGAAGGGGAAAAGCTGTATTAGACAAGGGAGAAATCACCTGACATGTTTCTCCTTATGTGATGCTGTATGAAAAGTTTTTTGCAATATATTTTTGCAAAAAAACATGTTTAATCTGAGTCTGAGCAAGGCCTTTGCTATAATTCCCACCTTACAGGAAATAAAGATGATAGAGGAACAGATAAATGACATCACAAGGAAACCATTAGGCATAGCGGAATATGGAACTTGCTAGAGGTCTTCAAAAAGTCAGTGTTCATAGAGAATTAAAAAAGTAGAGGCACTATCATAGATTGAAAGAGACGTGACAAATGCAACTAATGGGACTGGGCATCAGTGCAAAATAAGCAGCTATAAAAGACATTTGGGACACGATTAGAGAAATTCAAATAAGACTGGTATTAGCTGATATAATAGAATTTTCATTAATTTTTCTGGGGGTAAAAGTGATACTGTGGTTATAAAGAAAGTAGTCCTTATTTTTAAAAGACACATACTAAAATATCTGGGGTTGAAGTATCATGGTATCTAACACACATTTTGGAAAAAATATCTGTGAAGTAAAAATATTAACATTTGTTGATGCTAAGTTGTGTGCAGATAAATATTTTATTATTCTGGTCTTTTAATTTTTCTATATATTTGAAATTTTTCTTAATAAAAATTGAGCAAAATATACTTATAAAAATCCATGCTCAAAAAGTAATTATAGGAAAATTAGAAAAATTTAGAACTTGATGTCTCAAAAATATCCAAATTATAAGATGGAAAGAAAGGAGTATGTAGAAGGAGATTAATAATTTTAGTGGACATGTAGAAATGAAGAAAAATGGAAATAAATGTTCAAAGTACCCAAACAAAACAGAACAAAAAAAAATAGAATAAAAGAAATGAAATCAAAGTCTAATAAAAGAGAACACAAATCAATACAGGATCAATAAAACAAAGTCTGGTTATATGAATGAAAAACAGTGGAGACATAAATCAATAAGCTTAGGGATAATAAAGACTATATAACTAAGGATAAAATAGATTTTAAAAATAGGACTACTTTACTATGAGCAATTTTATCTGTTTTCAAACTTATTGACATAAAGTGATCAATGTCCTAAAATAAACTTTTAATAAAATTCAATAATCCACGGAATCTTGAACAATCAAATAGATTGAATCAGTAGTTGAAAAAAAATTTGCTGCTGCATAAACATAGGTCCAAAATTTTAAACTTATTCCTTGAGATAAAATTTACCCAAGTTGAATTTGTTTTTAGCATATGCACCGTTATGCAACCATCACCATCCCCTTAGAACAATTTATTTACCCCCAAAAAGTACCTATTAACATTCACTCCTCATTCTCCAGCCAGAGGCAACCAACAATCTGCTTTCTATCCCTGTAGAATTGCCTCTTCTAGACACTTAGTATAAATGGAATCATACAATGTTTAGCCCTTTCTCTGGCTTCTTTCCCTTAGCATAATGTTTTCAAGTTTTGTCCATGTTGTAGCACGTATTGGTGCTTCATTCCTTATTTCCAAATAATATTCCACTGTCTTCATGCACCACATTTTATTTATCCATTCATCAGTTAATGGGCATTTGGGTTGTTTCTGTTCTTTAGCTATTATAAATAATGCTTTTGTAAACATTCATGTACAAGTTTTTGTGTGGGCATATGTATTCATTTCTTCTAGGTATATACCTAAGCTGTGGAATTGCTGAGTCCTATAGTAAGTGTTTAACATTTTGAGGAACTGCCAAGCTAGTTTCCAAAGCAGCTGCACCATTTTACATTCCCACCAGCAATGTCTCAGCGTTCTAATGTCTCCACAGCCTCTCCAACACTTTTATCCTTTGTTTATAGTCATGCTAGAGGATATAAAGTGATGTCTCATGAATTTTATTCGCATTTTCCTGATGGCTAATGACGTTCAGTATCTTTTCATGTGCTTATTGGTCATTTGTATGTGTCTTCTTTGGAGAAATTTCTTTTCAACTCCTTTGTCCATTTTCACATTGGGTTATTTGTCTTTTGATTGTTGAGTCAGGGGCTCATTACCCAATCTTCACAAAACTTGAAAAAATACAGAAACTCTAATAACCCATATCTCACAGAGAGTTACAGGGAATTTTTTAGAAGGGGGAGGAGGAGAAAAAAGGAAGAATAGGAGGAGGAAAGGGGAAAACTAGGGGAAGGGAAGAGGAAGAAATATTTTTATCAGGTTAGAAGGACTCTGATACCAAAAGTAAATATAGGCTGTATGGGAAAGGAAAATTAAGGAGGCTCTCAAAAATTCTTAAGAAAACTTAATCCATCAGTGTGGAAAATTATAACAGTAGTAATAATAATGGTTATAATTAAATGGTGTTACTAAATAAGATTTATCCTGCAATGTAAAGATGATTTGGCCCTAGAAAAATCTATTAATTTCCAAAAAAAAATTTGGGGGAAGATAAAAAAAATTAAAAAGATAATCATTTCAGTAGATGCTGGAAAATTTTAATAACATTCAACACTTATTCAGGGTTTAAAAAAAAATAAATTAAAAAACATTTCACCTCCCCAGGAATAAAAGGGAATGCCCTTAACCTGATAAAGTTTGTCTACCAAAAAAAAAAAAAAAAATCTATAACACGCCTTATATTAAATAGTTAAGTTAAAGAACATTTCCTTTAAATTTTTCCTCTAGACAAGGATCCTTCCATCACCACTTCATTTTCTCTAAGGTCTTAGAGCAGTTATTATTTATCACCAATATTATCAGCATCTCCACAGAAAATGGAAGAGAACCCAGAGGCAAATCAGATATAGTAAGAGAGCAGTTTGTTTACTAGATAAAAGAACAATATACCAAAATGGATAGTGTTCTTAAGATATGTACCAAATTATTAGAAGTGTATACTTTTTAGGAGATCCCACTTAAAAATAGTAAGAACAAAAAAAAATTTAGAAGATACGAATAAACTTAAAGATGTGAAACACCTTTATAGAGAACACTTTGTTGAAGGGCTTAAAAGAATGGAGTAAATAGTAAAACATATAAAAGTGATGGATTGGAAGACTCAATCTTCTGGCTTAATCTTTAAATGTGAAACATTATCAACCAAAATCTCAGCAGATTTATACACTCAACTTACCAGCGAGTCCTAAATTTATTTCAAAAAAGGAAAAGGCCCAAATTAGCCAAATATATTTAGTAAATGTGAAACCTCTAACATTCCAAAAAGGGTCAGGTACCTTACTATAAAACAATGTAATTCAACAGGTAAGAGATGTGGGTTAATTGGAATAGAAAGAGACCCTAGAAACAGACTCACATTTATGGACTCAGGGTATATGAAAGAAATGGCATTATTAATTATTGGGGAAGGATTACTGTCAAAAAATGGCACCAGGTTAACTTTCTATGTGATAATGGAAAAAAAAAAATTAGAATCCTACCTCAGGCCATTTGCAAAACCTAAACTCAGATTAAAAACTAAACATAAAAAGCAAATTTATAAGACTTTTTGAAGAATGCTTTGGAGGATACTTTCATATCAGGCGGGGAAGTATAATGAAGCACTTTACTGTATTAAAATTTTAAAACTTTGTAAAAAAAAAACCATAAACAAAATGAAAAGTCAAGGCATAGACTAGAAGAACCATGAAAAATATGTATTATAAACAGAATACATATCCTAAATTTGTAAAGAACCACAAATCAGTGGGAAAAAGTGAAAAAAAAAGTGGGGGGAAGCATAGAAATAGGCAGTTCATAGAAGATAGTTAAGTGGCAATAACTATATTAAAACTGCTTAATATCAGTACTGGGGAAATGCAAATTAAAACAACAATGAGGTAGCATTTCATGCCTATCATAATTCCAAAATATAATTCTTATTACACTATGTGTTGGTGAGGATGTGTAGAAAGACCTCTTCCACATTGCAGGTGGGAATAATTTGGATATATTTATTAAGTTGAAGGTGTTCGTACTCTGTGACATAGGAACCCCATATCTATGTACTCACGGAAAAGGCTCACACATACACACATACACACAACCACACATGGAACTCGCACGAAATCCATTATATTAAATCTCAAACTTCAGTATGTTCTGGAAAGTATAACCATTATAAATACCACCTGTTGATAACAATGCAATAAAACAAATTATTTAAAAATAAAAATAGAAAACTAACATTTAAGCAACTCTTCAATGAAAGAGATTACAAACCAAAATTTCTAAATTTCTGAAAAATGACAGTGAAAACTACCGGATGCATTTACAGCAGTGGTTACAGAAAAATTGGCAGTCCTATGCACGTGTATCAATGAAAATTAAAAAATATAAATAAAATTTCAGCTCAAAGGCACAAAAGGAAAAATAACCAAAAGAAAGGAATTAAGGGTAACAGTAAAATGTAGTAACAAATTAACAAATCAGAATCTAGTTGCCTTTCTTTTTTAAATAGATCACTACATAACTTAATCATGAAAAAAATGAGGGAGGTGAATAAATCACCAATAAACAGTTGACCCTTAAACAACACAGTATGAGCTGTGCAGATCTACTTATACACAGATTTTTTTTTCAATAAAAGTTATACAGAGTATGCCTGTCTCCCGTTCTACCTCCTCCACCCATTCCACTTCTATCACCCCTGAGAGAGCAAGACCAACTCTTCCTCTTTTTGCTCCTCCTCCTCAGCCCATTTACTGTGAAGACGAAGAGGATGAAGGTCTTTATGATGATCCACGTCCATTTCATGAATAGGAAACATTTTCTCTTCCTTATGATTTTCTTAATAGTACTTCCTTTTCTCTAGCTTACTTTCTTGTAAGACTGCAGTATATAACACACATAACATACAAAATATGTGTTAATAGAATCTTTATGTTATCAGTAAGGCTTCCAGTCAACAATACCATATTAATAGTTAAGTTTTTGTGGGAGTCAAATGTTATTCAGGGAATTTTGACTCTTCAGGGGTCAGCACCCCTAACTCCTATGTTGTTCAAGGGCCAATTATACAAGATAGGAAATGACAAATGGGAACTAACTACAGAAACAAAAATTAAGAGGCAACTTTATAGACGTCATATACATGGAAAAAACTTGAAAACATGGACAAAATTGAAACTTTCTTTGGAAAATACATTTACCAAAATTGGCTCTGTTAGAGATAGAAAGATTAATCAACTCTTCTAGAAAAAAAAAAATACCACCCCACAAAAACATCTCTAGGCCCAAAACAAACTCCCAAAGGCAGACCACTCCAATGCTCCACATTTACTTCAGGACATGGAAAATGAAGAAAAACTTTCTAATTATTTTTATAAAGCAAATATAGCATTGATAATTTAACCTGCAAAAGTCAGTTTTAAAAAAATGAAATGACAGGGTGATGTCACTATATATATCACTGCAAAAATAGTGAATAAATATGACCAAAACAATGTAACACTACATTAAAAAAATATCACGGCCAAGTGACATTTAATCCAGGAATGCAAGTTTGGCTCAATATTAATTGATCCTTTAGTATATGACACCCTGTTAATAAATCTAAAGGAAAAAAATTACAAGATTCTCTACACAAGTGTTTAAATAATCTTTGAGAAAACTGAAAATTTAACACTCTTCCTGATGAAAATAGGAATTGATGTATATTTTCTTAACATCATAAAACATATCATGCACACATATGCTTAGTCCTAACATCAGTATCTCACTTAAGGGGGAACTACTTGAGACACTCCATTTGATCAGGAACAAGGCCAGGATGTCCGCTGCCTCCACTTCTATTAAACATTTTATTGGATTCAATGCAATTATGCAAGATAAATCAAATGGAGGCATAATAATTGGAAAAGAGCAAGTAAAAACTGTATTTGTAGATGACATGGTAGTACTCCTGGAAAATGAAGAAAATTATGATAAAAAATTAACTTGATAAAATTTAGATTCAGTAAAAATTAATATATAGAAGTCAGTTGCTTTCACAGACATTGATAGTAAACTGGTGGAGGATATACTGATAGAGAAAACCTCATTTACATTAGCAACAGAGATGAATAAATATGTAGGGAAAATTAGAAGTCGAAATGTATAAAACCTATCTGGGGAAACGTTAAAACTCCTGTAAATCACAAAAATAGATGTGAAGTAATAGAGACATTGGCTGTTCTATAACAGAATGACTCAAGATTATAAAGCTGTCCGTTCTAAGTTACTTTATAAAATTAACACGATACCAATAAAAATAACAAGGTTCTTTGGGAGCTAGACTAGTTAATACTTAAGTTTATGTGAAGAAACTTCCAAGAAAAGGCAGGAAAACACTAAGAAAGAAAATCCAGGAAGAGAAAATAAAGTATACAGTAAATTTACTATAAAGTTTCTAAAATGAAAACAGTGTGGTGCAGGTGCGTGTCTAGACAACCAGGGAGAAACAGGTTTGAAAATCCAGAAATAGATCCAATTATCTATGGACATTCAACATACAATAAAGGTGGCATTTCAAATCACAAAGAAGGGACTTTTTAAACAAACAGTGCTGGGACAATTCGTTGGCCATTTGACCAAACATAACATTAAATGTATACCTCCCAAACCATACACAAGAATAAATAAATAGATCCAGGATCTAAATGTAAATAATGAAACCACGCCATCACAAGGAATAAAAAACCACAGGTGAATTCCTTTATCAGCTGGATGAAAGGAATGGTTACCTGACAATGACTCAAACTCCAGATGCCATACAGGATTAGTAAATTTGACTATGTAAAATTTTTAAAATAGTATGGTATATCAGCTTTCTATGGCTGCTGTAACAAATTATCGCAAATGTAGTGACCTAAAACAATACAAAGTTATCATCCTACAGTTCTGTAGATTAGAAGCCCCACAGGCCTCACTGATGTAAACTGAAGATGTCAAGAGGACTGCATTTTTTTCTAGAGGCTCTAAGAAAGAACTCATTTCTTTGCCTTTCCCAGCATCTAGAGGCTGCCTACATTCCTTGGTCCATGGCCCCTTCCTCCATCTTCAAAAGCCAGGAACTTTATGTCTCTTACCCTTTTCTGTAGTCACGTCTCCCTCTGCCCACAACCAGGAATGGCTGTTAGTTTTCAAGGACCTGTGATTACACTGGACCCACCTGATTAATCCAGGATAATGTCTTCAACTCAGAGCTCTTACCATCTGCAAGTCCTTTTTGCCATGTAAAGTAACATTTTTAAAAATTCTAAGCATTCTGATATGTATTTTTTTGTGGGTAATTATTTTTCCTACCACACATAGCAAGAAAAAACTCAAAAACAAACCAAAAAATATTTTTAAAATAAATTGAAAGACGTCTGACAAAATGGGAGAAAACATTTGTAGTGATCACAAATAAGAGGCTAATATCCATCCCTAAACTACAAAAAAAAAAAAAAAAACCCTCTTAAAATAAGGGGGAAAGGCCAAAAACTTAATAGAAAAGTTGGCTATAGTCATGGGCAAACAATTCACAAAACGACACGCAAGTGGCCTTTAAACATAGGAAGAGGTAGTCAAGCTCACTCTTAACTAGAGAAATAAAGTTTTAAACTACGCTGAGATACTATCTCTCATTCATCAGATTGGGAGACATTTAGATGTTGATCCTTTATTCTATTGGTGCGACTGTGGGTAATCATGCAGTCTTATACATTGCTGGTAGAAATATAAATTAGTTCAACCATTTTGGAGGAAAATTTGACAATAAGCAAAACTCTATTTTCATTTACCATTTGAGTACACATTCTCACTTTTTGGAGTTAACCCTGAAAGTGTACTTCCAATAATACAAAAGTGCATAGGCACTTTGTTTATTGCCGCACTATCACTGCCCACTGTTGCTTAAAATGTCACTTAACTCATCCTTGGTCACTATATATCCATTTGTATCCCTATTTTATGGCTTATCCGTCAGGTTTGGATTGTATACTACAATTCAGATTTGCAGTCCTTCATTGGGCTTCTACACCACTCTCTGCATAGAACTGAGTAAATGTTTGCTGATTTGAACATTTTTAGGGCTAAACAATCATTTTGTTTTCAAAAATTTTATTTTGGAAAAAAGTTCTCCTACATAACTAATATCACATAGCTTTATTAATTTTGAATTTAACCCAGATTGTTGTCCAATATACTTTTTTTTCACAGTTGTTACTAAGTTTCTGTTTTATCACAGCCAGTCTTAAGTAAGGAAATTAGATTTATTTAATAATTAAACCTCTATGACAATGGCCCAGGGCCAACTGAATTCAGCACAGCAACTTAGAATAAGATTCTACTGGACTTTCTATACTTTTCAGCCACAACTGAGCACACCGTTGTTCTATGATAGCATTATTGTCATTAATGAAATGTATAAATGGAATGCAACTAAATAGTGCCTGGTTAAATAGTTCCTGGGGCTTGGTAACAAAACAAATAAATACACAACCATACTCTGAAGATGAATGTTCTTGTCTTAATTTAGTTATTCACACAACCATCATTCATTAGGAAATTAATACAATCAGGTTCATGTGTCAGGTTCTTAGAATGAGAAGTGTATGATCCTTAAGCCAAAAAAGGTTCATTACTTCAATTTTTAATAATACATCTTCTAGATATTTTATTATCTGTATCCAGATCCTCTTTAGACTGTCTCCTGAAATTACTATGCATATATATACACATACACATATATAGTACCTGTATTTATTGTTATATGCCTATATGCTACTTTTACTGGAATACTTCCCTTTATATTTGAGGACCTCTATTTAAGCAAAGTAATAACCTAAGTACAAACAGGGAAAAAATTCTCCCTCATGTACACACATGCATATTTTTAAAGTTTGTCCAAATCCATCACAATTGAGGCTTAGATTAGCATCCACATGTCTGAAATGGCTGCATAAGGGGGAAGGGTGGTATATATTTAAAGAAAACTTGCATTTAAGAAATTCATTATTGACCCCTTAACCCTAGCATAGGGATAGTTTCTTTTGTTTTCTGTTCGTTTGTTTATTTATTTATTTATTTATTTTTTGAGACAGGGTCTGACTCTCTTGCCCAGGCTGGAGTGCAGTGGTACGATCTCGGCTCACCGCAACCTCCACCTCCCAGGCTCGAGCCATCCTCCCACCTCAGCCTCCTGAGTAGGGAGGTCCCGGGGCTTAGCAGAGTGGCTCCAGGGGATGGCTTAGAAGGACATGGGCACAGGAAATCAAATTTGTGATGACTTAGATCCTTCTTATTTACTTATTTAGGAGTTAGTACATCAAGGTTGCAAAACATCCCAAGAAAACAATTTTTAAAATTCATTCTAGATCAGGAATTGGCACCCACAGGCCAAACCTTGCCAGTTCTATGTAAATAGCGCTTTATTGGAATAGTTATACCTGTTCACTTACGTATCCTTTGTGGGTGTTCTTGAGCTAAGATTACAAAATTGAGCAATTTGTGACAGTGACGATATGGGTACCACTCAGAAAACCAAAAATATTTACTATGTGGTCCTTAACAGAAAAAGTGTGCTGACCCTGCTACAGAAAATATTGCCCTCTTACAAGATGTCATAAACAGGAATGCATACTTTCAAAAAACTATTAATGATTATAATTTTGAGTTATACTGACACAACTAGAGCAATTAAATCCATGTTATAAATTCTAAGGAGTCTTCAAGTTTCTGATATAACTTGTTCTACAGCACATACATTGCTGCTGAATATCAGTGACATTCCGTTTTTAACAGTAAGAATAGAAGTGATTTTAGCTAATTAACTTTTGAAATTAACTTTTTATAGCCAGCAATAACTACAGCAAGATTATTTCTAGATAATTAAAATACAGTGCTCCTAATGAATGGATATCTACTATAACTTTGTTTATAAAGACAAGTATAGTTGCTTATATCATTTCAAATTGTGCTTTGTGTATTCAAAATTATATTTTTTTCAAAATGTAAACTTGGGTTTTTTCAATCTATTTATTTTTATGAACTAGGACTACAACAGTTGCCAAATTTCTAAAATATCTTATAAAATCTTAAAATTACAAAGTCACTATTTGGTAATTAAACCGTTAAAAATATCAAGAAGCCTGGGCCTCAGAATTTCTTATGAAAGGAATAGAGTTTTGAGAGGTATTCTGGAGAGATATTGGAAATTAACATAAAGGAAATAATGAAAGCTGAAATTGATACCTACGGAATTGAAAAATGTTAGCACCATCACAAGTTCTTAAAAGTTAAGAACTATATTCTAGGAACTTAAAGAATGTGTTCTGCCTTTCTACTATTTTTGGCCTGTGTAGGCAGGATATTTTGGAAGGATAGGCTGGGTTGTACCATGGTGACAAGCAACCCCTAGATCTCAGTGGCTTGAAACAAATGCCTATTTCTTCTTCATGCTAGCTTTTGGTGGGGACTCTGCTCATGGTAATCATTTTATGACCCCAGCTTTAGAGAAACCACCATCTTGAGAGCTGCTGGTTGCCATGCAAGAAGAAAGAGCATGTTGGGCAGTTGCAGACCCACAGTTAAATGCTTCAATTTGGAGTGTCACTTTTGCTAACAATTCATTGGCCAGAACGTGTCCCATGACCCCATCCATCCTCAGAGGAGCAGGAGTTGCAATTCTATCACGTGCCTATAAGGAAGAGGGCTGGATATATTTAGTGACAACTCATTAAATGTTTAGGGTAATGATTAACGACCCAGCCCTCCAGCCAAACTAGTTAATTAATGTTTGTGCTTCATTTCCCTCATCTGCAAAATGGGAAGACTAAACCTCATAAAACTGTGATGATTAAATGACTTAATACTTGTGAAGTGTTTAGAACAATACTGTCATATAATGATAAAGTATTATTATTTCTTTTTAACTTTTGTACCTGCCACCCTGGTCTTCAGTGCCAAAAGCAGAGATGAGGGCAAAAACAAAAGTGGGCAGTCTTAGGAATGCTGACCTGGACCCAGTAGGGATGCCTACAACAGATATTCTTGAGAAAAGACCCATGACCAAATGAAAGAGATCAAAGATGCTAGGATTTCCTTATAAGTAACATTGATCCAGAAGGTATGAAACAAGCCATTAGCAGAGCAATGATTTATTTTTAACGGGAATTGGAAGATAAGGGGGATAAAAACACCTAAACTGAAAACAGGACTTTTGTAATATGAAGGCCAGAGGATGAACTTAGGGTGTGGTCATATAATGTATAACATGGATGCAATCAGTGGAAGATGCTGAATAGGGCTATCATATAGCATGCATATTTGGGTAATACGGTATATGAATGAATCTCTTCTAATCTGTGGTTTAGAAGGCTTACACCAGGCTAAACAGGAGTTCAAGTAAATGACTCCCACTAGAAAGAGCTACGGCTACAAAGAAGAGAAATGGGAGCAAAGTGAAAGTCAACCCAACAATTATGTAGAAACATAGCAAGTGGTAGACTAATGACATGGTTCATTCCTACCAGAATTCCTGTTTCCTCAGTACTGGCAGCAATGAGATTGCTCTGAATCCATGATCATCCATATGTATTAAAACAATCCTTGACTGTTGGACACCAAGGAGATGCCAAGATAAACAGACATGATTTCTCTCTTCCAGGGGCTTATTGTTTAACAAGAAAGACATAGGGTATTAACCTACCTTAACATAAATCAGAATGAAGTAAGTTTTATACTACTCACATAAGCAGAACATTATGGGAGTAGAGAAGGAGCAGAGGTTCATTTTTAATATGGAATTTGGGAATGCATTTTGGTGGAGATGGCATTTTAAATGAGATTTTAAAGAAGAGGAAGGGATGAAAATGGATACAATGAATAAGATAACATAATATCATGAGAAGCCAGGAAAATGGGTAAGATTGACCATTTGAAGGAGGTAGAGGAGAAATAGTTTTTTTTTAAAAGGAAGCTTTTGTTCCTTTGTTCCTTTTGTCCTTTGTTCACCCCCAGTAATTCAGCAGCACACACTAGACTGTCTCATTCTATAATTGTATGTATTTCTATCATTCTATAGATTCTATAGATATAATTCTAAAATCATTCTATAATTTTATGTTTATGACTCCCTTTTATTTACCTAAAACATTAACTATAATTTTTAAATGGCTATTTGATGTTAATTTTATTTCTGTAATCTTTAAATGTAAGCGCTACAGTTCACATTTTTCTAGATGGTCACAAAACAAATTCAAAAGATAATAAAGCTGAAAAGGATTTTTTTTTTTTTTTTGAGACAGAGTCTCGCTCTGTTGCCAAGGCTGGAGTGCAATGGCAGGATCTCGGCTCACTGCAACCTCCACCTCCCAGGTTCAAGCGATTCTCCTGCCTCAGCCTCCCGAGTAGCTGGAATTACAGGCACCTGCCACCATGCCCAGCTAATTTTTGTATTTTTAGTAGAGATAGGGTTTCACCATGTTGGCCAGGCTGGTCTCAAACTCCTGACCTCAGGTGATCCGCCCGCCTCGGCCTCCCAAAGTGCTACGATTACAGGCGTGAGCCACCGTGCCCGGCCTTGAAAAGGAATTTTAAGTTAAATTTTTGCTTTATAGATAAAGAATCCAGTGATCAAATGATTTCCTCATAATTGTAGAGTGGCAGACTCAAGAACTTGTAGAACTCATATCCTAATACTGAATGTATTTGTTACTTTAAAAGATAAAATAATCAAGAAAACAACAAAAATGAGTCCAGGGTTACTCTTGTGGTTGCTCTGTGAGTATCATTTGTCAGAAGCAAGGTGAATGATGCCTATAAGATTGTGCATATATATATATATGATTGTATATAATATAAATAGAATAAACATAGAATTAATTACTAACCCCTAAAATGTCTAATTGAGGAGTCACCAATTCAAGCTTGTCTGTGTTTAGGACAAATAAAAGGAAGCCCTACCCCATAGAGTAGGGATTAAGTTGATGGAACTCTTTACCCAACAGGAGGTAGAAGAAGTTGGAAATAAAAACAGATTTTAAATGGCTTATATAAATTAATGACTGGCCCATCACACAGTTAATAAGAAAAAAATAGTATGTGTGGGTCATGTTATGCATGTTTGAAGTTGACATCAAAGAAGTCCTTGCTTTGCCAACTCTGCCAAAGACAGATGGCACGTGGCCATGAT
This sequence comes from Homo sapiens, assembly GCF_000001405.40. Taxonomy (NCBI): domain Eukaryota; kingdom Metazoa; phylum Chordata; class Mammalia; order Primates; family Hominidae; genus Homo; species Homo sapiens. Next base: position 133,284,523 of record NC_000002.12, read on the forward strand.
GCACCGTGGCAATTCTTGCTTCTGTTTGTGAAACTCTCCAAAGGCTGTGTTTTGGAAGTCATGAGAAATTGCTAGGTTCCTGGGTTGTGAATAGAAGATGGACATTCAAGGAACCAATCTCTATCTGTATATTAACCAAGACAACTATATCTAACATTTTATTCCCAAACAGGAGCATAAGGGACATTTCCACATTCTAACTTTACATGAAGACTCAGGACTTTGAAAGCCCATGAGAAAGTTTTCATAAGGATTTATCCACAATTTCTTCTTTGATTTGCTCAGATGTGAAGCAGGAAACCTTCCAGACATCCTGAACCTCTGAACTTTTTGTGGATTGCCCATCAACACAGGCAAACATTCATGAAGCAATTCAAAAATCTCTTCTCACTGCATTATAAGCATGTCCTTACGTTATTCATATATCAAGAGCATGCCCATTCCCAACCCACAATGGAATGTGAGCCTAATTACATGTTCCTTTGGAATAAGATCTCACCAGCCCAGGAGTGTCAGAAACCCTCTATCATATATACGTATCTTGTTTCCAAAATGATCTTCCCAAGCCACCCTAACAGGCCCCCTTCAGAATGCTTCCTGCTGACAAGTGAATCTGCTTTTTGCCTTTCACCCAATCTCAGCTCATGCTTTCTCTGTGAAAATATCACAGACCACATCTGACAGTGGTCCAGCTAATTAATGTACTCCAATGTCTAGCAAGCATTTGACAGGAAAAATAATCTATACAGTATTTATTGCAAAATCTTCACCAATGTGACAAAGATGAATGTAAACTTTACATAATCATTTTTCATTTGTTATCCAAAGTTGAAAGTGATTTTCAAATGCTAACTTTAAAATTATGATGAGGAAGATAACAGCTCTGCTTTAAAACTGCTTGGCAATGGAATTTCTATAGTATAATGGTTTAGCAATGAGCTAGAAAAATAAACTCTCTTGCTAATGTAGTAAATGGGCCAGAAATAAACTTCTCAGGGATTTGGGTGGTGGGGTGGGGTGAGGGAGGGGCACACAGAGGGGATAGTGGAATTGGATTTCTGGAATAAATGATCTGAAACCCTTAGCACACTATATCTTCAAAAAGCAATGTCTTCCTTTATATAATGCACGTATCACCATCACGATACGAGAGCAACTCGAAGAATCTTAACGTATACCACGGTAAACACCTACGGCACCCAACTCAGTCTACAGCAGGACACCCAAAAGTTAAATTCACTTTGGCTGTGGCTGTGCTCCAGGTACATATTTTCTCATGAGCTTTGTTTCTTTGTTCTAGAACCATCCTTCCCAATATTCCTTAACATTGAAATTATACATGTTAAATTAATTATTGTTCATTTAACTGATGAGCTGAAACTCACGTCCTTCCTTTTGAAAGCTAAAGTAATCTTCTAATAAAAGGTCAGGAATTATCAAATTTACTTGTAATTATTACTAATTCTTCTGTGACTTCTTTTTTTTTTTTTTGAGGTGGAGTCTTGCTCTGTCGCCCAGGCTGGAGTGCAGTGGCACGATCTCGGCTCATTGCAAGCTCCACCTTCTGGGTTCACACCATTCTCCTGCCTCAGTCTCCTCAGCAGCTGGGATTACAGGCGCCCACTACCATGCCAGGCTAATTTTTTTTGTATTTTTTAGTAGAGACGGGGTTTCACTGTTAACCAGGATGGTCTCGATCTCCTAACCTCGTGATCCGCCTGCCTCGGCCTCCCAAAGTGCTGGGATTACAGGCGTGAGACACCACGCCCGGCCTCTTCTGTGACTTCTTAACCACAAATAAAGTCTTGGCCTTGGAAAAAGGAAGATCTGAAACAGAACAAGGCAATTAAAAAGTGGGTGGAGGAAGTATAGGAGTAGTGGAGAAAAAAGAAAGGAATGGATTTTCTAAATTTAAAACACTCTTTGCCCTTTCCTGAAATAATGACTTATATTCTTTGAGTTCACAAGAGAGTAATTGGATATGCATGATGCAATGCTGGAATTTTAGGTATTTTGCCTAAAGGTTATTAACAATTAGTACCACTAGGGGAAAAATCATAAAGTTAGTTAGAATAACAACCCTCTCTCAAAGGATAATGAAAACTGGACTTGTAATCTGGTCATAATAAAAATATATTATGTTTATATTGGAGCCTCACATGTCAAGAGGAAAACTCACAAACTAGAATATGTCCAACAGGTGGCCATGACTAAATGAAGACTGAAAAACAAGTTGTATGAGGACCAATGAAGGAATCTTCCTTTGAAGCAGTAAAGACTGCGAAAAAAAACATGAAAAACTGTCTTTAGATAAATCCTTTAACAGGAATGGTACACAGAACAGGGAGATGTTATAAGTGGAGCTACTGATGACAGCATTAGAGCCAAAGGGTGAAAGGCAGATGTTGAGTCATTCAATAGAAGAGGTGTCTGATCTCTTCCTATCCAATGTAGCAGAATCCATCCCATACTATATCTGAAAGATGACCACTTTGCTTTGACATTTGCAGTGGTACAGAACTCACTATCTCAAGAATACCTTCCTCGGGATGGTAATAAGTATGAGAAATGCCCTTTCTAGTTCTAAATTTCTTCTCCACAAGACAACTCATTCCATTTTCAAACAATTATTAGATCTATCCATCTCTTAGTCTTCTATTTGTCAAGCAAACATCTCCAATTCCTCACATCATTATTAATTCAGTATTGTGAACCTTGTACCATTTTAGTCACCAGCTTTGTGGATAATCTTTGGATTGTAGTGTCTGTAACTGACATCCAAATTAAGTGCTCTTGATATGGTCTAACTAGCAACTGACCCCATCCATATTTCTATTTCCAAAGCAGAGAAACAAGAAAATCAATTGGCCAATATAACTGAATAAATCCAGGTAAATACATATTTGGCTTTCAATTAGTCAGGAAGTCTGAATTTCTAGAGGATATTGAAGATACAGCATCAGACAATGCATTTGTCTGATTGCTGACAACTTTTAATTTCCCTGTTCAAGAAAATCGATCAATGTGTGTTAGCTAAACACCTGTTATGTTCAACCCTGTGTTAGTCATCATTTGATGTGTAACAGAAGTGTAAGGCCAGGTACCTACAATATTTGTAGAGTCAATACTAAGGTACATGAAATAATTTTAGAGTTTTTACAAGATATACATCATTATGTATACTTATATGAAATAGTCTCAAGTTCAGCAGGGAAGACTGGGCCCAGGTGGGCTGAGGAATGCATGTGAAGAGGTAGGGAGGCAGGAAACTTGAAGGATGGTTAGGGCTTGTCTATTTGGAATGGAGAGAGAGGCCACAAAGGAGTGCGTGTGTAGAAATAATGAGTAATAAAGGAGGTCAAGGTTAGTAGGGACGTGTGTGGTTACAAATAGAAATATTTGGATTTGTACCATAACATTTCTATTACAACTTCCTTTCTCCCATTCCAAACATGCTTGGTTTTACAGAAAAAACTTCCAGGACTCAGATTTCCATGGGTATTAGTTTGCAAACTAATCCCTGATGAGATATTATGAGGAGCTAAGAGAGTGATGCTAGAATTCTCAAGTGGCAATGGCAAATTTCAGGGCTGACTTCCTGGATAACCAATTCTTTTTTTTTATTCTGAGCATGGGAATTTCAGTTCATCCAGCAGAAGAAATGTTTTTTGATAGATGTGACTTTTGGTACATTTTGAATTATGTCATCTTGGGGACAAATGGTCCCAAAAGCCAAGGTCCTAAATGTGTACATCTGATCCAACTCTAAGAACTTTTGCTCAGTTGTGACGTCAAAGAATTTCTATTTTAGAGTGGTCTTCTGCAACTGATACCATCCATATTTCTGTCTCCAAAGCAGAGAAACAAGAAAATCAATTTGCCAATATAACTGAATAAATCCAGGTAAATACATATTTGGCTTTCAATTAGCCAGGGAGTCTGAATTTCTAGAGAATATTGAAGAGACAGCGTCAGACAATGCAATTTCCTTTAATAGGGACCATAACCTCAGAGTTGCTGCTCTGTTTTTTAATATTGTACAATTAACTTTTTTTTTTTTTGCAGCACACTCTGCTTATAGCTTCTGTGGAAACTTAAACATTATTCAATAGAATAATTTCCTGGAAAATCTTTTGAAAGTGGTCACAGCCCTGACCTTGCTCTGGTGCCCTGGGTCCACCAGCATGCTGTTTCATTACCTCAGGAAGGTTTGGTGCCAAGAGACAGTCCAAGAGTTAGTGCATAAAGAAAGCTAGGTTCATAAAAGAATTAATATCTGCCTTCTTTCAAGGAGGGAAACTGCCACTTCCAACCATTTTATGCATCTATCACTTCTCTTCTATCTTCATCATTCAACCCTTCAACTGGCCTACCTAGATGACAGGTAAAAATTATAGATTTTTAACTCTTAAGAAATAACTGCCGAAGTCATTTCTTCCAAACCATTCTCATTACCAATGGGAAACTCAGGCCCAGAAAGCCTAAATGACTTTTGCAAGACCACAGAGTAAGTAGCAGAGTCAGGACTTAAACTCCACATTGCAGAAGATGAACCAGGGATGATATTTTTAAAACTTAGCAATGGTATGACAAAATCACCAAACAGTTAGAATAGAGCCTCTGATTGTACTGGTGTGCCATTAAATACCAGCCCCAACTGGATTACAGTGTATATCAGTAATACTTTAAGGGATAAAGAGAAAAAATGTGCCACTTACTATCAAGCTATTTAAAGGAGCTAGGTAATAAAATAATCATAATTTATTTTTACTGTTGGTTCTTCCCTTTTTCATCTTTTTGCCTTTTTTTTCCATTGTCTTTCTTGTTACTAATCCTGTGAAAATTCACCCTCTGTTTGGCAGCCCGGGTCATTGTTATTTGTGCTAAGCTCCTATATTATTAGTCTGTTATCATATTGCCATAAAAAAACTACTTGAAGCCAGGCGAGGTGGCTCATGTCTGTAATCCTAGCACTTTGGGAGGCCGAGGCAGGCAGATCACTTGAGGTCAGGGGTTTGAAACCCGACTGGCCAACATGGTGGAACCCTGTCTCTACTAAAAGTACAAAAATTAGCTGGAAATTGCTTGAACCCAGGAGGTGAAGGTTGCAGTGGGCCGAGATCGTGCCACTACACTCCAGCCTGGGCAACAGAACAAGAGTCCGTCTCCAAAAAAAATAAAAACAAACAAACAAACAAACAAACAAAAAAAAACAGCACAACTACTTGAGACTGGGTGATTTATACAGAAAAAAACATTTTATTGATTCACAGTTCCATAGGCTGTATAGGAAGCATGGGTGGGGAGGCCTCAGGAAACTTGCAATCATGGTGGAAGCCAAAGCAGGCACATCTTACATGGCCAGAGGAAGAAGCAAGCAAAGGTGGAGGTGCTACACACTTTTCAACCACCAGATCTCATGAGAACTCACGCACTATCACGAGAACAGCAAGGGGGAAATTCACCTTCATGATCCAGTCACCTCCCACTGGGCCCCTCCTCCAATTCTGGGGATTATAATTCCACATGAGATTTGGGCAGGGACACAAATCCAAACCATATAAGCTCCATTCTGCATTCAAGTGTATGTTGGTCTTGCCAAAATTATCAATACCTTCTCCGTAAATACCACTTTCAAGCCTTGTAGGTTAAGCCCTGATTATGTTTGTAAAAGTAGCTTGATCTACATGTCTACAATTGTTCTCTAATTTGCTTTATCCAAATGGAAAAAAAAACACACAATATTTTAGGCCTTGATTTTCATCATGAATTTTTAAAAATCTAAAATTGCCTCTTCATTGTGTTATTTCAAAATCATGAGATATCCTTTCATTGCTTCTACTGATAAGGTTGTTTGTAACTCAAAATCATAATTGGTAGATCAACAGAATAAAATTATGAGATACAAATATACATTTGATTATTATTGCTACTGGTTAGAGCCTTCACTATGACATGCAGTGACATGCTCACAGAAATGACAAGCCCTAAAACTTCTTGCTTTTTGGTTAAACACTTTATGATTAAACATTTCAATCTTTAAACTTTCTAATAGTATCTTGAAATTGTGTATCTCATTTTAACATTTTTAAGCCACTTAGACAAATGACTTTTTGCCATGCTTGCTTGACTTTTTTTCTTGCATGGACTTACAGATAAAGGTGGTCTCATCCCTAATGAACATATGAGGCCACAAGAATTTCTCCTTTTTTTTTTTTTTTTTTTTTGTTGTTGTTGTTGTTTATTTTTGATACAGGGTCTTGCTCTGTCACCCAGGCTGGAGTACAGTGGCAGGAACAAAGCTCACTGCAGCCTCAGAGTCCTGGACTCAAACCATACTCCCACCTCAGCCTCCTGAGTAGCTGAGACCCAGGAGCACTCACCACTTCCAGCTAATTTTTTGTAGAGACAGGATCTTAAACTCCTGGGTTCAAGCAGACTGCCCACCTCTGTCTCCCATGTGCTGTGATTACAGGAGTGAGCCACCATGCTTGGACAGTTTCTCCTCTTGAATCATCAACAGTCCCTGTAAAGTCTCAAGAAAAGTGTTTGGAGTATCCATAATGTGCTAAGTCACTTAGGAACAAAGTTACACAAAACACATCCCCAGTTTTTGTCTCTATGCTTTCAAGATGGGTGAAACTTTATGTTTGAAGTTTCATGTTTTATGCCAAGCATGATGAGAGATAGAGGAATGGGAAGACTTGGTCTTACAGGTTAAAGATGTGAAACATACAAAACATGCTCTCATGAGATAATTAGACAAACAAGTCAGTGTGATTGAGAGCAACATGCTGGGAACTGGTTTAGAGGCTCCTGGAGGTAAGGACAGAGTCACTGTTACATGTTTGGGGTATTTTGCTGAAGCATCGCAGAGGCAGCATTGTCCTCGTCAACAGGAGATGGGGCGGGAGGAAAGGAGAGCAGAGGGCTGCAACCAAAGCAACCCAGGGTCCAGGTGACAGATCTCCCCTATTGGTAAAATGTGATTCATGTGGTAGCACCGCACTGGGAGCTTCAGTACCTTTAACTTTCTCTCTCAGGCTTTTACACCTGGTGAACGTCTAGAATAACTGCCACAGAAAATACATCTATGACATTTAATCACTGAGTGTTCGAGAGAAGGCAAAGCCCGGACACCAAGTAAGCCAGGTACCCCTGAGGCAAACTCCAGAGGCTTCCCTGGGCCGTGAAACCAGCCAAAGAAGGCAAAATTCACCCACCCTCCAAAAGACGTTTGCGTTCCCACGCATGTTCTCCGCCCTGAGATAGCTTAGAACACAGCTCTACCAACGACTTTTCATTTCCATTAACCTATTCCTGATTCTTTGATTCAAGGAACCTTGCCATCCTTAGCTCTTTGGATTATTTATGAGGTCTGATTTATAATACAAAATTATACAGTGTACCATAGTTAAAACCTTGAAGGAAAAAATGCATTTTGTATTTCTTCTTCTTGGAGAGGCCCAAACACCCCTCCCCAGGGTTGGAAAGGAGAGTGGAGGTAGGGTAATGGAACTCCCTCTCAGGCCTCTGAATATGGAGAAATTAAGAAGAATGGGATGGGGTTGGGGGACAGAGGTAGTAAGCAAACAAATGACTTATTTTTAATCTAGAGTTACCCATTTGGAGAGAGATACAGGGTTATATCCTAACGGTACCTTTTTAAAAAATAAGTCATAAGTATGCTCATGCCCTAACAAGTTAGTGAATTTTTCCAGTAAAATTAAAATTAAATAGAAAGCCATGGTAAATTACCCATTTCATTTCTCCTTCTAGATTTAAAAAAAAAAAAAGAGGCACTTTGTCGCTTCTTACTGTGAGTGCACTTCAGCCTTAATACATGCATTTATGTCAAGGGGGCCATTTACACTGTTGTCTGCTGGAGTTTTTCTTCTTTCAACTTAGTAGGGAATATTTGTAATCTTTATTACCCCAAATAAATCTACAAAATGCCTTTTGCTTGAGGCCTTTTATTTTAATTTCAGATAAATAAATCACATTAGGTTCCTGGCTGTCATATTAAGATAAGCATGGATCTAAAAATAACAAAAGTGTGTTTTAAGCTAATGTCTTTAGATTAAATAGTGGTAAATTTCTCTGGGTGACCCCCAAATCGTATTGATGTTGGGATATTTTTTGGTACTTTTGGAGTGTTTCTTGAAGAATATAAACCTGTTTAAACTAGAAGTGGAGTTTTTAAGTCATGTATGGGCCTACTTGTACAGTATTATTCAAATCCAAGCTTCTTGCGGTGGCAGTAAATCTATCTTTTAAGTACGAATATTTCCCCAGTTACATTAGGGATCAATTTTATATCTTTGTTGGTTAATAGTGACTCCATCTATACAGTGGTTTATTTATTAACTATAAAGATCCTAGTCCTGAATTTCTCGTCATCCTCTGTACTGTTAGAGCTTAAAGTCTTAAAGACAATTCAAATTCAATGTATTCCATTACTGACTCTTCATCAGCCCTCACTCCAATTCTGCTCCTAATCAAGCCTTGGTTCAAAATGCCACCTCCTCTGGGAAGCCTTCTTTGGACTTCTGCAGGACAGAGTCTCCTAAAATGTGTTTTATAGAACCCCCTCCATCCCTCAATGCCCCAGTGGAATAATCTTGATAAATGTGAAATGTTTCTTGCAAACAAGGTTTAGAGTGAAGAGGAAGGGATAAACTCCCAAGGTTAGGACCTAAATATATGTTCTATGATGAATTAAAGAACAGTGGGCAGATTTGATAAGAAACAGGAAATCACAGATAGAAAGTGAGTGCAGAGTTTTACCCTGACCCTTTTTGTGTCTCCTTGCCCCAGAAAACCTGGATTCAAACTCTAGGCACCCCCTAATTAGACACATGCATATCACATACAGGTGACCTAAGTAAACTATAATGAAGATCGATCCCAAGGTGCAAGGTGATATCTTCTGGGTGATCTGGTTCAATCAAACCAGATGTCTTTCTGGACGTAGTTCTACTAAACCCTGTTGTTGCTGGAAGAAAGGTTCTTGGAAGACAGTGATGTTATTTCATCAGGGGCTTCATGGTTATAAGAAGCCTGAACACTCCCTTGCTTCTCTAAAGTATGACCAGCAGTCTATAATAAGTATCCTTTGGTGGATAGCTTATCCCATAGCTCTCCCTACGACCGTTCAGGAATAACATAACCATTGAAGCATGTGGCAATACCCAATTTCGAGAGCCCTGGTTTCATCTCCCTTGTGCTGGACAGAGGGCATAGCTGAGAGGCCAGACTCTTATCCTGGCAGGGGTCTGGGACTGTCTGCATCTCTGAAACAACTCCTGGTGGGTAATTGGGGAGTGACATTTGATGGGTTTCCAGGGTGGCTCTGGGGTCTGCACTTGGCTGAGAATACAGCTATGATTTAGAAATTCATCCCAAGGGTTGAGAACAGGGAAAGATAATGTGAGGCACGCTAGCCCTGGTCTCCTTTGACCTCAGCAGGGTGAATCAGGGATGCAGAACAGGAAACCATGTGCTGTTATTGAGTTGGCATAGCGTGATGTTTTGCTTTCAGAGCTTTTATTGCTATTACAGAGCACTGAGCTCTCTCTTTGTTTGCTACACATTCTCTCCCCAAGAGACAGCCTCTTTTCCTCTTGAGGGATTTAAAAAACAAATCATAGTTCTTATTTTATTCAGTGTCCACCATTAAGAATTCATGCAGAGCAATTTTACTTGTTGCCAATTAAGAGCTCCCAGTGGAGGTCTATGATTACAGTGAAGGCAACCTGTTTAATACTCGGCGTCCCCTTAGTCTACATAAATTAACCCCATGAGGATAGAGGCATGCTAATTCTTAAGATGCCTGGATGATAGGATTCTTAGATACAGGATACACAGAAGGTACATCTTCAAGAGGCTCTGGGCCTGACTCTTCTCAGAGAGCATGTCGGCTTTTTCTTCTTACCTGTATTTTACAACTACAAGATAATTTCTAGATAACATTTTAGCAAAGAATATTTCTTCCTCAAGGATAGAATAATGGCATGTGGCCTCGCAGCAAGCAATTTCTCTCTCTCAATTTAGAGCTGGAGGGAACGTTAGAGGCACCAGGGCCATTAACCTCTAGCTAAAAATGTATAGATATATCAAAATTATGGAGAACATGAATGAGCATTTTGAGCATGGATCATTTTATTTCAATGTTCACTCTACTTAGTTAAGACATATTTGAATCATAAGGAGAATGAAAGCAAAGTTTTTACCCAATGTTTTCCTATTTCTGTTCTTAGAATAAGAATCACATGCAAGCCAGAAAGGAAAGGTAAAATTCCATTTTAAAAATCTTGGATATATAAAAGTAATTATCTTTTTTTTGCTAGAAGGGATGAGCCTTAGAGGATCTTCTTCTGACTAGGGACTATACATGCTTTAAAAATTAGTCTTTTACTCCCCCTGGTGATGTAGGAAACCATCAGTTCCCCCGCCTTGGGAAGCAAGAGTTAAGTCTTTTACTTGGGCAAATGGTTTGTAATCAGTAGTTTAGATTCTTGGAAGTTTGTACTGAGGCTTTGACTTCCCCTCAGGAAATTAGTGAGGAACTTGGGATTGAGGTTCCTACAGGTTGACTTTCCCCTTTTACCAACAACCCAGACTCTTTTCCCCTTTTACCAACAACTCACTGCTAGATGCCCTTAAGTCACCCAGCCCAGTACCAGTGAAGCAGGTGGTACAAGTCATATGTATTCTATATTTGGATAGCAGTTAGATAGATCACCACTTCCCTCGATATGTTCCTTGAACCTTAGAGTAGATGCTCTAAGACAGATAGGATTTGGAGTTTTATTTTTAAAGTAAAAAATAAAATTTTATATCCAATATTTGCATATACGCAGCACATGTTAGCAGGATTAATGGCTCTGAGAAGTTCTACAATTAAAACAAAATGTTTAAGACTTGGTTTTACCTAAAATTTTAAAAATTTATTTGACCATGGAGTACCCTCATTTTTCTTAAAATATCTATGACATAGTGACGCAGAGTATTGGTGTTTCTTGGAATATACTCAGGAAAATGCTTGCATAGATTATTTAGACCACTGATGCTCAACTGTGAGAGGGGACGACTTTGTCCCTTAGGGAATCCTTGAAATATGCCCAGAGACATTTTTGTTGTCACAACTGAGGGATACTACTGGCAGGTGGTGTGAAAGCCAGGGATCATCCTAAACATCCTCCCCTACAATGAAGAATTGTCTGGCCCCAAATGTCGACAGTGCCTTGGTTGAGAAACCCTAGTGCAGATATAGCTTGTTCAAATGAGGCTTAGGTGATCTGGAATCCGTGGTTGGTAGCTGGCACTCTGCATTCAGATTTTGTCATTTGATTTTGATCATGGAGACCTATTACTCATTCTTCATTACCTTAAGGTTTTTGATAAAACTGTCACCAATTTGACTTATGAAAATTTGAAATAAAGATGCTAACAGTCCTTTCCTGAAACAAGCCCCTCCTTGGCTGGGGACCAAACCAACTGCCCTTATAACACTAACAAATTAGCCAACAAGATTAGAAATTATGGCTCAGGAGTCATGCAGCCAGAGGCCGCAAGATTCCTCACATGTCCAGCTGCTCCTGTGGGTAACATCATTATGGTAAAACCAAAGATTGGTATTTGAGGTGTTTTTCAGACCCTGCATTCTCATGGATCAACTGGCACCATCCAGAAAGGTGAACTGGCTCATCAGGTCTTGCAGCCCCCACCCAGGAACTGACTCGGCGCAAGAAGACAGCTTCGACTCCCTATGATTTCATCCCGACACAACCAATCAGCACTCCCCATTCTCTAACATCCCCACCCCCACCGCCAAACTATCTTTTAAAAACTCTGACCTCTGAATCTCGGAGGAGGCTGATTTGGGTAGTAGTAAAACTCCAGTCTCCCATTAACACAAAAAGAAAGAATATCTTAAGTGAATACTTGGACATTATCTAGTTGAGCTACTGGCAAGTTGTTAGATTGTTCCATTAGTCATTTCTACTCATAGGTTCTTTGAAGCTTTCTATGACATTTGTATTATGTAGCTGTATCATTGCATAATATTTAAGTGTTATTTAAAAACATGTGTTTTATAAATGCAATATAATATTCCAGACACCATTTCATAATCTCAGTGCTGAGTAATCTTAAATACTAGCTATATTAATACCTTCTTTTCACAGATAAGAAAACTCCATTTCAGAGATGTTATTTAGCAGCCAGTTTATGCAGGCCAGACAAGAGTCCAAGTCCCCAAAACCTCCAGTCCAGTTTTCTTCCTATTGTGTAGTATTATGCTGCTCTCACTTTTTTATATATAATTTTACATTTGTGGCTTGAAAGTAATTTCAATGCCATAAGCATTCATAAATTCAATTTGTATATTCCACCTGTTTATTCTAAACTCTTAATATGAGGCCGCAAATGGATAAAGATTTTTTATCACTTGTTAGGAAAGACATTTTCAGCACTTTTTTCTTATGTTTCTTGTCACAAATATATTTAGCCAAATCAGAAATAGCAACAAATGATATAAAAAAATTCTTTTTCTCCTAATATTAACTTTTCACATTAGAACAAATAGAAGTACAGGAAATTATGGTTGTGTTTCAACCTGAACTAGTATACAGGTTGTCACAGTGTGTGTGTGTGTGTGTGTGTGTGTGTGTGTGTGTGTGTGTGTTTTAAATCAAGCAGGGAGATACAGAGCAGATTAAACTCACCCCGACTTATGCTCAAGTCTTAGACTAAGTTCTAGATTCTGACTCCATTCTCTTCTTTAGATGAATTCTCAGTTTTCCTCTTTAGGAAGGATTTGTTGCTATCAAAAAGACAATTGAGCTTTTAAAGGACTGCTCATTGCTAGACAGTTATTTATGAACTCCATAAATTCCTTTGCAACTTGAAAACCCAGAGATAGATTATAGGTCTATTTCAACAGAATATTAGACAGGACCCCAAAATAACCAGTTATCTCAAGAGTGTTATTGCAATATATTTTTGTGTCACAGCAGATGGTTATGCTATAAGAACCAACTAAAGTTGGTTAAAGACTAGCAGCCCCCTCCATGGAGGAAAGGAAACTTTTTAATCTTTGCACCTAGTCCTATATTATTTATCCAAGTCTTATTCACCAAGTGGCAACAAGAGTATGCCTTATTTCAACCATGCTTCTGATCAGTCCTCAAAGGTGGTAGCCATAAATTAATCCTGACCACAATTATTATTGGAAGATCTAGATGTTCAGAACTTGACTCTAAGTTAGCTCCAGTATAAATGGAAGGCCACCAGTTAACATTAGCAGCAATGACAAATAGCCCACTCCATGACAATGGTAGCAGCCACAAATCAAAGGCATATAAAATCAGAGAAGGAGCCTATACTGATTTATGGGAGCATTTGTTTAACTTCAGGCAATCTGGTTGTGCTTGTGAACATGACATGCTATTCCCATGATCCCCTGTATATCACAGATTCTATTCTAACTTATGAACAAGCACTTAAAAATTTAATCATAACCAGAAAGGATTTCCTACACTGTTCACTGTCACTCACATATTCTTCTCTAAAAACAATTTGGCTACAGTTGTTGTTATGAAATTGTAACAACCATCATAAAGCCTGTCACTTTAAGTCAGTGAAGTCAGGATCTGTTGGCAAAAATATAATCAAAAGTAATTTCATGATTCAATAAATAGTATATAAATCTGCTATTATTGGAGTTCATTTTCTTTCAATACCACCCATTTCCATCTTCTCAATGGAATTATTCTGACTATCCAAGTGTCATTATTACCTTCTATTGTTATTTAAATGGAGCATTTTTATTAGATCCTCTGACACTATATATAAGGCTTTGCTTCCTCAGCAGTAATAATTCCATTTCTGAAGGAAAATAGAAGTAACTGTACAGAAAATTCTAAGCTCTCACTTTATGTTAACTCCATGCCTGAAATGGAATTTTAATTTAATCATATCTGAGAAGACCTAGGTTTTTATTAGCTACCTCAAGAAAGTAAGAAAAATAGCCCTTTCCATGCAGGTTGTTTTGGTTCAAAGAGCCCATGAAACCATTATTCATCTATAATAATGCGTGTAAGATACACTTACTAACCAAATTAAACTCTAAATTTCTTTCATCAGATGGCATTCATTATTTTTTGTAAATTTTTCTTTTGGAAGATGGGAAAAATAAAATATTCCGTATAAATAGTTGAAATAAAACATTATACCGGTTATACAGTTTTAAAAATATACTTTCCAAGAGATCTATGGAAAATATAATTAAAAGGATACAACCATACATGTTATTGCTGATTTAATTAATACATTGGTTCACAAAATAAAACTATCAGAATCAGGTTATAGTTCTCAAAGACAAATCTAGCAAATATTGCATCAATTACATAAAATTAACTGGTGTGCAACATGACGCATGTATACATATGTAGTAACAAACCTGCACGTTGTGCACATGTACCCTAGAACTTAAAGTATAATTTAAAAAAATAAAAATAAATAAATAAATAAATAAATAAAAATTAACTGGTGTGTCCATTAGGGTCGAACAGACTTCACTGAATTTTTGTTGTATCCTACCAGCAGTTTTTCTATGTATAGAAATAGAATATTCTCTATTACTGTAATCAGAGGTCTGTCTTCCAGTATAAAAACAAATATAAGAATATAACAAATTAAAACATATAGCACTTTACCCAAGACCTAGAACGCCTGAAAGAAGATAAATTTTGAGGTTATTAGAATTTTTACAGTGGCGCAACAAGAAGAGGCAACCCGGCCTGGTGAGGAGCCCCATGGTGATGGATTTGGATGAGGTCTAGCAAGAAAACAAGAGAGTTAGTAAGTATTTACCTGCCATCTCTGTGTACAGAGAGAGCACTCTCCCCATGCCGCAAGGAGATGAAAAGAAATAAAGGGGCCGGGCCCGGGGGCTCACACCTGTAATCTCAGCACTTTGGGAGTCCAAGGCGGGTGGATCACCTGAGGTCAGGAGTTCGAGACCAGCCTGGCCAACATGGTGAAACACTGTCTCTACTAAAAATACAAAAAAAAATTAGCCGAGTGTGGCGGAAGGCACCTGTAATCCCAGCTACACGGGAGGCTGAGGCAGGAGAACTGCTTGAACCAGGGAGGTGGAGGTTGCAGTGAGCCAAGTTCCTGCCATTGCACTCCAGCCTGGGCAACAAGAGCAAATCTCTGTCTCAGTCAATCAATCAATCAATGACTTTAGGGGCTTACTGAGGGTGGGTGAGACAAATGTACTTAATAAAACAATTTCGGTACAATATGAGGCATCACGTAATTAAGCACCAGCATATTTATTTCATAGACCGCTAGCAAGACTAATGAAAAAGAGAGAAGAATCAAATAGACACAATAAAAAATGATAAAGGGGATATCACCACCGATCCCACAGAAATACAAACTACCATCAGAGAATACTACAAACACCTCTACGCAAATAAACTAGAAAATCTAGAAGAAATGGATACATTCCTCGACACATACACTCTCCCAAGACTAAACCAGGAAGAAGTTGAATCTCTGAATAGACCAATAACAGGCTCTGAAATTGTGGCAATAATCAATAGTTTACCAACCAAAAAGAGTCCAGGACCAGATGGATTCACAGCCGAATTCTACCAGAGGTACAAGGAGGAACTGGTACCATTCCTTCTGAAACTATTCCAATCAATAGAAAAAGAGGGAATCCTCTCTAACTCATTTTATGAGGCCAGCATCATTCTGATACCAAAGCCGGGCAGAGACACAACCAAAAAAGAGAATTTTAGACGAATATCCTTGATGAACACTGATGCAAAAATCCTCAATAAAATACTGGCAAACCGAATCCAGCAGCACATCAAAAAGCTTATCCACCATGATCAAGTGGGCTTCATCCCTGGGATGCAAGGCTGGTTCAATATATGCAAATCAATAAATGTAATCCAGCATATAAACAGAGCCAAAGACAAAAACCACATGATTATCTCAATAGATGCAGAAAAAGCCTTTGACAAAATTCAACAACCCTTCATGCTAAAAACTCTCAATTAATTAGGTATTGATGGGACGTATTTCAAAATAATAAGAGCTATCTATGACAAACCCACAGCCAATATCATACTGAATGGGCAAAAACTGGAAGCATTCCCTTTGAAAACTGGCACAAGACAGGGATGCCCTCTCTCACCGCTCCTATTCAACATAGTGTTGGAAGTTCTGGCCAGCGCAATCAGGCAGGAGAAGGAAATAAAGGGTATTCAATTAGGAAAAGAGGAAGTCAAATTGTCCCTGTTTGCAGACGACATGATTGTTTATCTAGAAAACCCCATCGTCTCAGCCCAAAATCTCCTTAAGCTGATAAGCAACTTCAGCAAAGTCTCAGGATACAAAATCAATGTACAAAAATCACAAGCATTCTTATACACCAACAACAGACAAACAGAGAGCCAAAGCATGGGTGAACTCCCATTCACAATTGCTTCAAAGAGAATAAAATACCTAGGAATCCAACTTACAAGGGATGTGAAGGACCTCTTCAAGGAGAACTACAAACCACTGCTCAAGGAAATAAAAGAGGACACAAACAAATGGAAGAACATTCCATGCTCATGGGTAGGAAGAATCAACATCGTGAAAATGGCCATACTGCCCAAGGTAATTTACAGATTCAATGCCATCCCCATCAAGCTACCAATGACTTTCTTCACAGAATTGGAAAAAACTACTTTAAAGTTCATATGGAACCAAAAAAGAGCCCGCATCGCCAAGTCAATCCTAAGCCAAAAGAACAAAGCTGGAGGCATCACACTACCTGACTTCAAACTATACTACAAGGCTACAGTAACCAAAACAGCATGGTACTGGTACCAAAACAGAGATATAGATTAATGGAACAGAACAGAGCCCTCAGAAATAATGCCACATATCTACAACTATCTGATCTTTGACAAACCTGAGAAAAACAAGCAATGGGGAAAGGATTCCCTATTTAATAAATGGTGCTGGGAAAACTGGCTAGCCATATGTAGAAAGCTGAAACTGGATCCCTTCCTTACACCTTATACAAAAATCAATTCAAGATGGATTAAAGATTTAAACGTTAGACCTAAAACCATAAAAACCCTAGAAGAAAACCTAGGCATTACCATTGAGGACATAGGCGTGGGCAAGGACTTCATGTCCAAAACACCAAAAGCAATGGCAACAAAAGCCAAAATTGACAAATGGGATCTAATTAAACTAAAGAGCTTCTGCACAGCAAAAGAAACTACCATCAGAGTGAACAGGCAACCTACAACATGGGAGAAAATTTTCGCAACCTACTCATCTGACAAAGGGCTAATATCCAGAATCTACAATGAACTCAAACAAATTTACAAGAAAAAAACAAACAACCCCATCAAAAAGTGGGCAAAGGACATGAACAGACACTTCTCAAAAGAAGACATTTATGCAGCCAAAAAACACATGAAGAAATGCTCATCATCACTGGCCATCAGAGAAATGCAAATCAAAACCACTATGAGATATCATCTCACACCAGTTAGAATGGCCATCATTAAAAAGTCAGGAAACAACAGGTGCTGGAGAGGATGTGGAGAAATAGGAACACTTTTACACTGTTGGTGGGACTGTAAACTAGTTCAACCATTGTGGAAGTCAGTGTGGCGATTCCTCAGGGATCTAGAACTGGAAATACCATTTGACCCAGCCATCCCATTACTGGGTATATACCCAAAGGACTATAAATCATGCTGCTATAAAGACACATGCACACGTATGTTTATTGCGGCACTATTCACAATAGCAAAGACTTGGAACCAACCCAAATGTCCAACAATGATAGACTGGATTAAGAAAATGTGGCACATATACACCATGGAATACTATGCAGCCATAAAAAATGATGAGTTCATATCCTTTGTAGGGACATGGATGAAATTGGAAACCATCATTCTCAGTAAACTATCACAAGAACAAAAAACCAAACACTGCATATTCTCACTCATAGGTGGGAATTGAACAATGAGATCACATGGACACAGGAAGGGGAATATCACACTCTGGGGACTGTGGTGGGGTCGGGGGAGGGGGGATGGATAGCATTGGGAGATATACCTAATGCTAGATGACACATTAGTGGGTGCAGCGCACCAGCATGGCACATGTATACATATGTAACTAACCTGCACAATGTGCACATGTACCCTAAAACTTAGAGTATAATAAAAAAATAAAAATAAAAAAAATAAATAAATAAATAAATAAATAAATCTTGAAGCAAGCAAGGATCAAATAATTTGGGCTCTAGTTTTCACATTACAATTTTGCCATTCCAAGATGATAGTTTCTTAGAATCTAACAGTTTTTAGCCAGACAAGGACTTAGTATATATTCTGTAGTCTAACTGAAATATTTTAGATCAGCAAAGCTATAAAGGATGCTACCTGAGCAAGCAAATAAGAACATGAATTGAACTCACCTCCAGAGACTCCTGTGTTGCTCCTCAAGCTGAGTCAGCAGATGCTCAATGTATTTATTGGAGTCCATGTATTCCTGCACAAGCAGACAAAGACAGATGAAAACTCACTATGACAGTCCCCACCATCCTAAGACCCTGACCTTATCTCTACAAGGAGTATTTTTGACAACATTATCCCTACTTCCCTTCCGGTTCTAGGATTCTCTGCTTCTATGACTTGCAATCATATGTAAATACTATTTTTTCATGTCCTATGATAGTTTTGTAAACAAATCACAGAAGTGAACTGTCATTACACTGAGTCAGCATTACAATCCTCTTATTCACAGAAGAAAGGCCTAAATTTCATAGTCATCTAAACTGGAGTCTGTGTTCTACTGTATATAAATATTTCTGCCAATTATAGAAAAAGAAAATAGACAAAACAGTTCTTGATTTTACTGGTCTTATGACAGTCATGTTCCAGCAAAAGTAATGTTTTCAAACTATGTAGAATGTTTTATATAAATATAATATATACCCATATTCATTGGGCACTTGTATACACTAATGGACATGTCCATTTTTCTTCAACTCCATATATACACACAAAACAGTGTATTTGCTTTTTTTTTATTCTTAAACATAAATCTTTGGCTTCTAAAAAGACCTGAAAGGTATGGTGTATTCTGCTCTATAGAAATGTATATGTAAATTTATTTCTCTAAATCAAACTATTTTCCTGAAATGTATCTGAAAAAAAATTAAAGAATTCACGTGTTACATGAGAAGTAAGCAGAAAAATCCATAGGTTATTACAATGGATTTAATTTGTGATTTCTGCATACGAGGCTCATATGCAATGGTGTTTCCTTTGCTAACCTGGAGCAAATACAACCTATACAAATTCTTTTGTATTGTTTTCCTCTGAATCTGGTATTTTATTCCCTTTCTGTTTAGAGGTCTACCGTGCAGGCCTCTGCTTCTACATTATAGCAGCCGTCGATGGAACAGTATTCAATGATTTCAATGTTAAGGCACCCAAGAAAGCTAGAGTTCCATTTCTATAGATTTGAAATAAACTGGGAACTTTGATTAACAGTGACATTTTTCTTTCAGAAATATAGGTTTCTTTTGAAATGCTATACATAATATACTGCTCTTATAGAAATATTCACTATAATAAGGTGAGGGGCTGGGAGAAAGACAGGAGTTGATCCCATATAATGGAAAGGGACCAGTCCTGATTTCTTTTGATCCTGGATCTACCCATGCGGCCTTGAAAAGCCTTTTTTACCTTCCCAAAATGTTTGTTAGACTAGAGGGTATACTAAGTCCTTGTCTAGCTAAAAACTGTTATGATTCTAAGATACTGTAATTCTGTTATAGATAATTAGCTAAGAAGTTTTATGCTTATTGAATAAACATTTATTTTCAGGTGACTACTCAATAGTTATTTAAACAAGACCACTGGGAATGTTAAAAACAAAGCAGAAAGCTCTGCTACTGCAGGAAGTTGCAACATACATGGTTACGCTTTTAACTGTCCTGATCAAGGCTAAACCATGATTTAGAACACTTGACACTATCAAATACATGAATTCTCAAATATGTTCAGCCAAGAAAAACTAAATACGTTGTTCCCAAGTAGAAATAAATGTACAGATCTTAAAGTTATTCATTTTTTCTTCACTTAACAACTATTTTTAAACATCTGTTAGATGCGAAGAGCTGTTCTAAGTGCTGCAGATACAGTAATCATCAAGAGGGGGAAAGCCACTGCCCTCAAGGAGCTTACAGTCTGTCAAAGGGGTTATACTAAATAAGTGAACGGATTCGTTTCATGTTGGTTACGTGCTATGAAGTAAACAGGTGATAGGAAAGACTTTGGGAGGAGCAGCTTTGTCACGTGAAGACTCCAGAAGAAGACTCTAAGCAAGTGATATTTGAGCTAAGACTTGGAAGAGGAGAAGGAAACCATATAGAGAAAAGGGAGCCAGACATTACAGGCAGAGAAAACACCATATACAAAGGTCCTGAAATGTGCTGTTGGAGGAACAGAAGGAAGCCAGTGGGTGCTGGGAACAGGGACTCAGGGATACTGGGTCTAAAATGAAGTTGGACAGTTAGGCAGGACCAAATCATGTGCAAGCCTTAGAAAGCAGCTTGGACTTGTCATTTTGTTCATTCTGATTATCTCAAGTCAGAAGTTGAAGCTGAAAGGTGTAGTGATGACAAATGAGACTTTAGTATCAAAGAGACTGAGGTTCAAATCCTGGTTTTGATACTTACTAGCTATGTTCCCCTGGTCACATTATTAAATCTCTCTAAGCCTTAGTTTCTTCATCTTCGTCAGAGGGATAAATAATGCTTCATTTATGGAGGCATTGTAAGTGTTAAACAAGAAGTTTAAGTACATACATACCATCATGACTGCCAAATAGCAAGCATGGCCTTTTTCAGAGTATTATGTACCTCTTTTCAAAAGGAAGATCACTTTACAAGGTGAAGGCATTATTCATTTTCTCTTCTCTTGCCAAACTTCAAGATTTTTAAGTGTACAGTTCTTAGGTTATACACACTAAATATTAGAATAGGCAGTTAGGCAGAGATTGATAATACTGATCTCTAATCTGAATGTAGTTGTCACTGGCTTGTGATTTCAAAGCTATTTCAAATAAAAATACTAGCTGCTTCCATTTAAACTAGCTTTATCCTGTTTTCCATATAAATAACTATGATGACAAATCTTAAACCACTTAAAAATGGGAAACTAAGATTATTGATTCTTCATCCCTCTTTTCAGCTTTATTTTTTCTCTATGGCATTCTTACTTCCAACATTCAATATATTTTACTTATTTATTAAGGTATTGCCTCAATATAACGCTAACAAAAATGGATTGCGAAAAGAGACATTAATCTTACATATATTTTTTGTTAAGTGAAATTGTTTTTGCTCAACCTGAAATAGGAAGTACCTTCATACCTGTATCATTTCTGGACCCTGAACTGGAAAAGTTAGTTACCTAATGTGAAAACACTATCATAGGATTATAAAATAGGATTACTCCTAGGGGGAATTTTGTGGATCCCTTTGGAGATTAACTCCAAGAAAACAATGGAGGGTGGTAGCATTGGGGCTGGCAGTGGTTAAGAGGAAACTATGGTCACCATAAGTAAAATGCTATTGGCACAGTGGCTGCAAGAGCTTTGGGAGCAAGTACATACAGGAGGTTATTGTACAGAGACTTCAGTATCCCAGCATGCCTGCAAAGGCGAAAGAAAAGGTCCAGAGAGATTTTTTCAGAGTAAACTGAAAAAATGCAACATGGAACCCATGAACAAGTACTGTAGGACAAGAGAGAGGACATGATCCTTAATCATAAAAGAGGGTGTGACGGTGAAAATTATTTACATAAGAAAGATATGTAAGCATTTTAGAAAGAGCCTCAGACATGCTGACTAGTATCCAGAAAGATGTGGTCTCTCTGACACATGTGAAGAAAGTTCTTTTTTAATGTTGAGATGAAAAGACAGCAGAATTAGATTTTAAAAGATAATAGGGTGAGCAGCCAAGATAATAAAATGACATAAAATAAAGACAGGGCTGAGTGAGCTAAGAATTTCAGGGCAACATACACCTTACAGGCAGAATGGAAATCTATTTATTGCTGTCCTGTGATTCTTATTATGAGGTGACTCTCCCTACCATGAAATGGTGCTTCAGAGAAAGCAGGCAACAGGTTTTGGTGTATTGGCACTGAATCGTTCATACAGATGAAAGTCTATTTCTCAATATCTCATTTGGGAAACAATCAAATTCCCCAACCCAGGCCAGGTACTTACATACTCCTCTTCTCCTATTTCTACAGTATAAGTCAATTAGTGTACGTATCATTCAGTTAGTGAAGAGCAAGCATCCTGTCATCTAGGGAGAAAAAATAAACACCCATATCCACATATCCCTTGATGTCAGTGTTCACTATTCCTAACACATATCTATGAAAAATATCAATTTCCCAAGCCTTGCTTTGTTCAGCATGCAACTTCCTACCTCATTCAGCACAAAGATACTATTAAACTATTGTTACTAACTTGATGAACATCCTATTCTACTGGTTTCTGTTAGAATTACGAAACCCACCTTAGATACAATAAACAGTAGAATTGACAACGAAAACTTACATACAGTCCTGAGGAGGATAAACTTAATCTGTAACTAAATTAAGAAATAAAGGATAAGGATGAAAATGAATGCAGATGTGATTGATAAAAAGGCCAGAAAATATCAGTTTGTCAAACAATGATAGAATTTGAGTACTTGATAAGATTTGAAATGCAAACAACAAACAAAGGGATAAAGAAATATTTCAGCACAGGGGAAAAAATAAGGACGTGATTATGTACATCAAAAGGACTCATCACTTTCCAGGTAGAGTTAACGGAAAACAATCCACACATCTATTGGCACAAGAGTTGAAAAAAAATAGTGAAGAAAAAAAAGGGGGACTTGTTTGAATGCTTATAGCTCAACAAGGAGCAAAACCACATAGCTCCATAGCTTCCAGCCACCCCAAATGCCCATTGAAATTAGTTTATAGACAAACCATAAATATTATTCCCAATTAAGTAGCTCCTATATAACAAAGCAACAGAAAGACATTCTCAGGCATTCATGAATTCATAAAATACAGGACCTACATCTTTTAATTAAAAACTTATGTTTTTATGCATATGTGTATAACCAAAAGGTGTCTGTGTGCAGGTAAGTATATGTACATATACTATGCATTATCTATGCACATATGTAATACCTGAGCAAAGAATAAAAAAATATGGAATTCACAATATAAAAAGAGGCTTCAAAGGAGGTTCATCCCCCCAAAAAGATGTTTTAAAAAGTAATTACAAAACAAACATAAAATCCCAGAGAGAAAAAGTGGAATATACATTATCTATTTTTGTGATGGGCAGAAGGAGGACAAGAGGGAAAGAAAGAGGGAACTGTTAATAGAAGGGTGCATAAATCACTTTGAATATAGGGGAAGAAATTATTGTTCTATTTTTTTTTTTTTTTTTTTTTTTTTTTGAGACGGAGTCTCGCTCTGTCGCCCAGGCTGGAGTGCAGTGGCGGGATCTCGGCTCACTGCAAGCTCCGCCTCCCGGGTTCACGCCATTCTCCCACCTCAGCCTCCCGAGTAGCTGGGACTACAGGCGCCCGCCACCACGCCCGGCTAATTTTTTGTATTTTTAGTAGAGACGGGGTTTCACCATTTTAGCCGGGATGGTCTCGATCTCCTGACCTTGTGATCCGCCCGCCTCGGCCTCCCAAAGTGCTGGGATTACAGGCGTGAGCCACCGCGCCCGGCTATTGTTCTATTTTTGACTCGATAATAAAAAATGCTTAAGTATAAGGGTGTGTTTTGCCTGTGTATGTACAACTGGGGAAAGCAATTTGGTGATCCATGTTGTGATTTTAAGACATCCGTGCCCTTTTGATGTAGAAACTCCCTGTCTAGAAATCAGCCTGAGGAAATAATCAGATGAAAGCAAATGATATTCATTGAAATACTATTTGTGACAATATGAAAAGACTGGGTATGTCTTATTTTCCAAAACTATAGAAATAATTAAAATAAAGCATGCTTTTTTCGTTTGAAGAAATACAATTCTTTTTTTTTTTTTTTTTTTTTTTTTTTTTTGAGACGGAGTCTTGCTCTGTCGCCCAGGCCGGACTGCGGACTGCAGTGGCGCAATCTCGGCTCACTGCAAGCTCTCTGCTTCCCGGGTTCACGCCATTCTCCTGCCTCAGCCTCCCGAGTAGCTGGGATTACAGGCGCCCGCCACCGCGCCCGGCTAATTTTTTGTATTTTTAGTAGAGACGGGGTTTCACCTTGTTAGCCAGGATGGTCTCGATCTCCTGACCTCATGATCCACCCGCCTCGGCCTCCCAAAGTGCTGGGATTACAGGCGTGAGCCACCGCGCCCGGCCGAAGAAATACAATTCTTAAACTTTGTAAAGAATATATAATAAAGTAGAAAACAGTGTAATGCTAAGTGAAAGAAGGATAAAAAAACTGCACAATCCCTCTTATCACAATTTAGAAAATATATATGAAAGATTAAAAGTAATATCCTACAGTAAATGGTAATATTATGGGCTAATTTAATTTTCTTCTGTAAATTTTTTCTTTGTCTATAGTTTTACAAAACTATATGCTCATTATAAAAATTTAAAGTAATGGATATTATATAGAAAAATACAGTCCCAGAAAATAATGTCCATGAAGATTTGATTATAAATTTTAGAAAGCTTGATCTGAAATACCACAAGGAAACCATTTCCTTTATATTATTCTAAAGCTAGGCTCATGTTTGAAACAATGAACCCCCCTTTCCACTTGCCCTCGTTAGTGTTCTGATAAAAGCATTTCACCAAAGTTAGGATTAAGGGGGCTGAAGGTGGGGGGCACCAAGTTACACCAAGTCATATTTTATGTTTTAAAAATTTTACAAAGGTACAGCATTAAAAAGACATCTGTTCCCTGGCTAAAACTTATGCAAATTAGAATCATTTTAGAGATATATTTCAGGAAGTTTGCCTTTCACTTCTTTTAATGCACATGTTTCAGGGCAATTAGTATGAAACATTTAAAGTGATTAGAGGTTTATAGATACACTGAACATTGCAGGTCTTTGTAGCATAAGCCCATTTAATGTGAATCTCCTATTGTCTGAAATAGGTCAGTTCTGAGAGAGGCCCATTATAAATGAATTCTAATGATGTGAGGATCTTAAGTATCATTCATATTAAGTGGAGTTTAAAATAAAATCGTGTATCAAAGCTTGCAGAGATCCAAAAATCCCTCCAAATAATCTTCGTATTATAATCAGCATAACTTATGGCAGAGCTTGTGAAATCCTGCCAGCAATTTTGTGACTAGTAACATAGAATCCCCAATTCACCTTTGGGCAAAGCAGCACCAGCAAGGCGGCCAGCTGTTCAAATCAACACAACTATCTGCAATTAGGAAATGACTAACTACCACAACAAAGTAATTTTTAAGCGGGGGAGGGCATCAGTTCTTCTCTTAATAAAAAGGTATACCTGCATGGTGAATGCAAAAAACTCAAATAAAATACCCACTTTGGGAACTATACAGACAAGGTAATAAATAGAAAGGTGTCTCATAACTAACTGGCATCTGTACCAATATAAATTCTTCCGAGGAGACTTTTTTAAATGTTAAACACCACAAGCAAATCAATTTAGGAGTCCCAGCTTGAACAGATCCATCCTCCCACCGCCATCTTAGCATCAGCCATCTTGAATTCCTCTTTCCCATTGCCTCCTCAAACAGCTGCAACCTGGCTTCTAAGGCAGACTTTCTAGTGGAGCTTTCCCATTAGAGCAAATGATGGCCTCCGCAAGGTGGAATCCCAGGATTTTGCTTGGTCCTTGTCTTATGACCAGTGCCTACAGCACTTCACATTTTAAAATCATACTCTCCCTCCCTGGTATTCTCTGAAAGTGTCTCCCCGTATTCCATCACTCTGAGGTCCAGCATGGCCTGTGCTGCTCAATCACGCTCTGCAGGTCCAATCCTGTGAGTCTGGCTATTTCCCAAACAGGTCCCTTTGGATGTGCCACATACTCTTTCGAGTAGGCCATCCTTCATTTCTGTGTCCTCCAACACCTACCACAGCCCTTGGAACATCTCAAGCACTCAAAGGTGTGTTAAGTAAGTGAAAGAGTGAATTAATTGTCTGGATGTAACCAGGCTCATGAGAGAATCTGAGATTAGGCTATAAGTGGTCTTGGTCTTCCAAAACTTTTACTTGTAAAGGTTTTGATGATCATGGAGACATTAGGCAGTCATGACAAGATGGCAGAAACAGTGTTTTTGTTTTGTTTTCCCTCTCCTCTCATACACCACTCAATGTGATGCTTCTGACAGCAGATGAATGGGAATTTTTCCCTATACGTCAACCAAACAATTCTCCAGCAGACACCAGCTAGGTGTCCTAAAATTTAACTCAATTCTGACACGATCTACCTGGAGATAGCATCACATCCCTCAGGGTGAGGGCTCAGTCCCATAAGACTGCCCCGGCTTCAGACACCAATCACAAGTACCACAGTGGGCTGCCACCTATAATTCTGATCAGCCAGCTATAAATCAGGGTTCCCACCACAACATCCTCAAGCTTGATTAATTTGCTACAGCAGTTCACAGAACTCAAGGAAGCATTTTACTTAGGTTTACCCATTTATTGTAAGTGATATTACAAACGATACAGATAAACAGCTAGATGGAAGAGCTGCATAGGACGAGGTATGGGAGAAGGGGTTCAGAACTTCCATGCTCTCTCCTGGCACACTGCCCTCCAGGAACTTCCATGAGTTCAGCTATCTGGAAGCCCCTTGAGCCCAGTCCTCCTGGGTTTTATGGAGGATGTATTAGGTAGGAATGACTGATTACATCATTGGCCATTGGTGGTCAACTCAACCAGAGCTTGGTAGGTAGGGCTGAAAGTTCCAACCCTTTAATCACATGTTTGGCTCTCCTGGCAACCAGCCCCCATCCTGAGGCTATCCAGGAGCCCACAGTCTTCTAAATAGAACAAAAGATGATCCTATCACCCAGAAAATTCTAAGGGATTTAAGAGCTCTGTGCCAGATGTTATCACTCAGAAAATAAGAAACGTTTTAGGATCTCTGTGTCAGAAACCAGGAGTCAAAGACCAAATATTAGAACAAAAGGTTATCCTAGTACCCTATCTACAAGGGTTTTAGGAGTTCTGTGCCAGAAACTGGGAAGCAGAGACCGAATATATATATTTAATCCTAGCAGTTTTCTAAATTACTTTTTACTCATGATTTTATTCTATTGGTACTAGCCAGAAATGACATTCCAAACTATTGATAATTTCACAAAATAAGTGCGTTTTTCTAATCTTGCAACTCTGAGAAAAATTTAGGTACATTGCTCATCTATGGCATGTAAATCACATGAGCTGTCAAAGATTTCAACACAGTAAAATTCACAACCAAAATTTGCTTTCAAATGGAGAGATAACTGATGATAAGAAAGCATGATGACTAGCAAACTGCACAGAGTGAAAACATCTCTTTATAACCTCTGTCATATATGGAAATTTCATCAGTATGAATTAACAGTGACAGAATTTAGACAGATAGCACATGAGACCATTGAAAAGCCTCGTGACCTGTTATTTGGTACCAAGGCAGTAGACTAATGCCGATCAGACTATGAGTACAGCTTAGCAGATCTTCAGAGTAAAACATACTTCAATTTGTTGGATACTGCTTAACTGTTCCCTATTAGATATTTTTCCCCTTTTAAAAAAAATCCCCCATCTCTCTCCAGCTGTAGCTGGACACACTGCTCCCAAGCTAGAAATTATGTTTCCCAGTCTCCTGTGCTTCTTGGGGTGAACACGTGCCTGAGTTCAAGCCAAAGAGAGGTAAGCAGAAATGGTTTGTGCAATATCCAGGAAATCCCCAGCCTAAAGACAAGACACTGCCTATTGTGCACTCTTCCCCTGGCCAGAAACGGTGAAGCCTTGGGCTCAGAGACAGTCCTACATGCTAAGGATAGCTAAAGTGATAGTTCTTAGAGCACCTATCTACTGACCCTAGTCTTTCTACCTCCCTTTGGCCTAAATAAGATAGAAATAAATTCCTATCTTAATTAAAACACTGTATTTTGGGCTTTCTTTGTTACTGTACACCTAGCCTATGCTACAAGTAATATAAATATTGGTCAATTCTTTTCAAAGTTAACATGGCAAACTGTGAAATACGAAGCAGCAGTCATCTCTATATTACTTTATTGATTGATGTTGTTTGTAGATGTTATAGTTTTCCAAAGCACTTTGACATCCATTCACATTTAAGCCTCACAACATCTTTGAGTCATGGTCACCATTTCAATTTAGAAAACTAATGCTCAGATTATGGTTAAGTAATTTGCTTAGGGTCAGACAATAACAGACTTTAAAAGTCTGTTTTTGCTCAGTTCAGCACATTTTTTCACTGCCCTAAAGAATGCCCTTCCCACAGCTAACTGCCCTCAGAGTGGATTTTATGTTGGTTAGATGGAAACTAGCTACAGAATGACCCCCTCCACCGCAGCCCTCTCCACCAATTTGTAGTGTGTGCTGGGGGGAATCTGGCTAGATGCAAAGCCATAAAACAAAAATCAAGAAATGAGTTTTCAAATTCTACCAATTGGGCATCTGTGTAAGTTTGGCTTTGGTTCCACTTTGATTTCCCTGCCCTAGTGCAATGAGGGTGAGGGCAGAAGTTAAGTTGTATTCTCCCATTCAGTATTCTATTCTATTAATAATAATGAAATAAATCTACACAAAAGTTAAACAATTTTTAGTTATATTTGACAAAGATGCTATTACTAATACTTAGATATTCTTTTTTAGGTAAAAAGAGTTATACTTATTTTTCAGCAAAATAGTAACTATTGTATTTCTCAGCAGCCTGTACTATTTTCTTAAATATTGTTTCTATAGCAGCTTGGGAGATAAACATATATTGGTCAAATGAAGGAATTCATTTAGGTGGAAAAAATAAGTTCACTTATTTTGTTTTTGTTTTTTTTTTCTGAGGTAGAAATAAAAACTAATTCAACTGTCCTCAAGTTCTGCAAGTCAGTAACATGTCATTTGTCAGCATGGCAGTAATTGTGTATGTTTTTAAAAAGTCACCATAAAAATACAAATGACATAATTAGAAGAGTCCTCATTTCAACCTCTATTTTTCATTTGATGGAGAAACACTGGTAGAGCCTTATATGAGTGAAAAGTCTTAGGACCCCAGCTACTCTACATGAAAGAATTTGGCCATGGAAAGTTCAAAGACTAATTTAAATCCCAGCATTACATCCACACACAGCAGGAATTGACCAATGATCCATTGCATCAGTACACTGTACTTTCAGACATTTCCTTCTACCCAAATACTGGATCACGGACTGCCATTTCATTCACTACAGTATATCAGGACCGCCTGAGCCTATGATTATCAATATCATTCAAAATCTGGCCAGGTATGTTCTAATTTTCTCTCCCATTACTCCCCAAAGCTATCCTGGGAGTCCAGTGAAGCCAGGCTCCTTGCTTTTTCTGAACAGGCCAAGTTATAAGTTCTTTGCAGTCTCAGCACCTAGCACAAGACCTGCAAATAATAGATGGCAAGGCATTTCTAGAAACCAGGGTTTCTAGAAACTGGAATTGGGTTACGGCATCAAGTAGGGAAAACACATTTGTTTGCTGCTACTTATGGCTCCCATCTGTTCATCTGAGTCACCTGGTGGGCTAGTTAAAACACAGATTACTGGGTCCTGACCCCAGAGTTTGATTCAGTGGGCATGCAATGGAGCCTGATATTTTGCATCTCTGAGAAGCTCCCAGGTGTTTCTAATGCTGCTGGTCTGGGGACCACTCTGTAAATCACTGGCTTATGGTAACCAGGATTAGTTTACTGATTACCCCGATTACCACCCACTGTCCTCCTAAAGAGATTAATAAGGCCAGTGTAAATAATGCCAGATGCAATTATTCTGCAAATATTTTCAAGGGTTAATTATGTTCAGGCACTCTTCAAGGTCTGGGCAATACAGCCATGTACAGTGCAGGCAAGTCTCTGCCTGCATGAAGGTAACATTTTTGTGAGGGAGACAGACAAAATAAGTGGAGGTAAGTGGAAAAACAAAATAGAGAAGAGGAAAGGAGGGGCTGAAGTAGAGGGGTGGCATCAACATAGACTGGTGGAGGAAGACCACACTGAAGACATTTGAGCAAACACCTAAAGGAAGTGACGGAACTAACCGAGGTGGCTACTTTGGGAGGCTCATTCTAGGCAGACAAAACCAGCGTAAAGGACTCTAGGGGCAGGAATGTGTGCCGGCATGCTGCAGGAACAGCACAGAGGCCAGTGTGGCTGGAGTGCAGAGATGGGGTGAGGGGAGGAGGGTGATCATCACAGCTGCATAAGCCCTTGTAGGGACTTTGCATTTTGTTCTCAGTGACATAGGGAACAATTGCAGTGGGATTTGATTTGAGGAGTCAAATGGTATCACTTAAGTCTTGAATGGATCCTTCTGGCTGCTGTTGACTGAAGGAATAGGGGGCAGGGGCAGGAGCAGCTGAGGCCACTGGAAGGAGATCAACATCACTTTCACTAGGGAGGTCACCAGGAGAATCATGCTAAGTTGTTGGATTCAGGATCTGTTTCGAAGATGGAGGTAACAGAACTTCATGATGGATTCAATGTGGGATATGAAATAAAATAAAAATCGAAGATAATATTTGATTTGGGGCCTGAGCAGTTGGATAATGTGCTATTTTGGGGTAAATTTGTGCAAGGGGTGTTGAATAAATTGTTCTCCTTTGGCAGTGAAGTTTGTGACGTCATTACATATGAAAGAGTAGATGTCAACCAGGTCGTTAGTGCTCAAGAATTTTGGATTCCAGTGTGTATGGATATAAACATGGAGCCGTGACATCGAATGGGATTACCTGAGGAAGGAACCACAGTAAAGAAAAAAGGACCTAGTACTTGGAGGTTGAGAGGAGAAAAAAAAAAAAGTAAATGAAGGAGAGGCCAGTGAGGGAGGAACAGGAGAAGGTGTTCTAAGAAGAAAGTAGTGTTAAATACAATCAGTGGTCAAGTAAGACAGGCCCCCAAATTGGCCACCAAATTGGCCAATATAGTGGCCATTAGCGGCCCGACAAAAACAGTTTCAGTGGAGGAGCCTTTCCAAATACCTCACTTGGGGTAGAGGTTGGGGAAAGGTGAAGAATAAAGACAAAATTTTATGCCAAGGGTAGGGAGAACAAGTAAGAACAAAGCTTTTTCAGAAAATATCATAAATATCATGTGATTCTTGAAAATCAGTCTCCAAGAGACCATGGGGCTACGGAGGCCCTTGGGAAAAGGGTGCATTCCAGGTCCTATCCCAGAGATTCAGGTTCAGTAAGTCTAGGAATAAGATGGGACCCAGAGATGTAATTTTAACAAGAACTTGTAGGAGGATGTTGCCAGTTCTCCTTGGGACACTTTTGGAGAATGGTCTCCCAAACAGAATTTCTGGTTATTTCCGATGACTTAACACAACAAAACAAACCAACTGCCACAACCACCATGCAACCAACACACTGAACCTTTCCTTGAAACACCTCCAATACCTATTCTACCAAAGTGAATCAGGGCCTTGGATTCTCTTGACATTCAAATGAGATTGGGGACAAGGTGATAAACATGAAGACTTTTTAGAAACAGAGCAGATGGTGCTTCTCATGTTGGATCTAGGAACTCTTTTAGGAAAACCTAGACTGCCTATCCCAGGAAGACTCCTTTTGCTACACAAGAGGACCGTCAAACTATTTAAAAATTTTGTTTCGTTTTTATATTTATCTTTAAGAGACTTCCCTCAAGAAAGAGGTTACTTCCTGCAGTGTGAGGAGATTATACATTTATGCACTAACACATAAACCTTGCTTGGATTTTATTTTCTAAGCCAGAAAGCATTTGTGGATGTGCAGATTTCAGTGTGTTGCCTGTTAAACTGCATTTCTTACTTATGGGCACTGAACATAAATCACCCAAGAGGAGCGAACATTCCTCCTGGAGTGAGGTATTTCAAAGACTGCCTCTACTGCCGCTGGGTGGGAATGGGTGGTGCCCAGGATCTGATCACATTTATGTCTCTATTTTCATGGTAAAAATGTGAAGACAAAAGTAATGGACCAGATCTGAGTTCTCCTGGCTGTCATGGGCTGCAGGCTGTTGTTTGTATTAAGCAGCTGAACACTGTTTGACTTGTCTTGGTGAAAAGAAACACTAGCTCTATCTTGTTGCTTCTCCTCCAACAAAAAGGCAGCAGAACAAGTGAATCACCATGACTGACCAGCATGTTTTCTTCTTACCCCTAAATCTCTTCTCCATATTAAGAGATATACTAAGGAGACCATAGGCATTTATTTCCCTGCCACTGGCCTCAGGAAATAAAGGATGGAGCGCCTGAAGAGACCTTCTCAGACCTAGTATTTTGCACATGCCCTCACAAAAAATAAACGTGTATCACCAATAGAGAACATGAAAGCAAACCAAAAGTCATAAAGCATTCTGGAAGTCAGAAAGAAGTTTCCATTTGATTGACAAAAGCTGCAAAACCAGAACCCAAAACACATCCAGGATAAAATCACCATGAAGATGAGGACTGAACTGGGAAAAACTGCAAGCTCAGATTGAACATAAGAGCAGGAGGGACCTCTTGGGCAATCGTCTGTGTGATATTTAAGTATGGTATTCCATGGCCACCCCCCTCCTTCCAGCAAGTGGTAGGAGAGATTGAACTCAAGATAAAGAACTGTTCTCTACTGAGGATTAGTTTCCATCTAAGGAGGTAGAGCCATGAGGCTGGGTGGGGTTTTGGGGTTGGGTTCTGTGCAGGTGTGGAGGCGTCACCAGGGCTGAATTCATGGGCACCTCCCCGCAGACACTGTAGGCCTATTCAATAGAACCTGCTCTCCAGTCAAGGCTGCCAACTCAGAGGGCTTCTAATGTTATGTGGAGAGCCCTGCATCCTTCGCCAGCTGTAGCCGACTTAGTGCTGAAAACACTTGAACTTGCCCAACATCCTCCACAAAGAGGCCAACTCTATAGAAAGACACTTAGCTTCCTAAGGACTGGTTAATTGGTATTTCAATGTGATGCCCTATGCCAACACCAGGACTGGTATAATGGGTATAGGTGCAAAGCAGGACCCATCTGGCTGGCAATCCTCATTTCAGATCTTTACATCTGACCATGAAAAGGCCAAGCTGGAAACAAAAGGGTGGCAGAGTAAGAATGAGGGCCTCTGCCTCCTGGAAACAGAGGAATCCCTTCAGGGGGCTGTGTATATTTTCACTGTGCAGCTCCTCTTTCTCGTTTGCTATCTTAGCAAGCCCTGTCAAGGAAGAATGTGGAAAAGGGAAACAGTGGGAAAACAGGAACTCCTGATACTACAGAACCCTTTTCTCCTTCAACTTTACCTCCAGAGACTGAGCCTATGTCATAGTTGATTCTCTAATACCAGCATAAACAGCTTTCAGGAGAATCATGCCTCAGTCAATTGCCAATCATACAGGGAAGATTTTAGGATGGTTTAAGAAGATGGAGAGAAAGGATTTATGAAGTAGTAGATACCCATCCCTGCCCCACCCAAAATAAACAACTCAGTAGCATATACTTCTCTTTTTTCCAATAAAGAGACTGTCGTTAAATACAATCTGTTTCTTGGCTTCTTCTGCTCTCAACTCTAGCTTGTAATATGTGAAGTAATTTGAGATTATCCTCAGAAGTTCCACAGATATCTTGTGGTACAAAATGATTACCAATACTGTGATTAAAAAGTGCTTTTATAGGTGGTAACCTGGAGGGCTGATACAACCTGATGTAAACAGCACTGCTGCCTTGTTTGAAAGGTAATTAGAAAGCCATTTTGTTCTGACAGTGGAGAATCCGATTCAGGAGAAAAGTTTCTTCTCTCCTGAGGGGCCAAACCAAATATGTGATGGAATATAGCTGTGGCACTCTTTGAACCTTCTCATTGGAAAATCTGGAGAGAAATGGGACATACGGCAACTTTTAAGTTGAAAGCCCTTGTGCCCAGGGCCCCTGTCTCTGTGCCAGTCCATCCCTGGAAGAGCAATGGTGCAATGCAATAACTCAGCGCTGCCCTTCACATGATGGTGGCTGGTATGCTCCCCTGGGTTCTACCTGGGATGACCAAATGGTACCCTTAGCCTCCACTGAACACCCACTTCACAAAGACACATTATCCTGACAATTAAGATCTAATGCAACGGTTCTCCCACTATGGACACAGACCAGCATTGTTAACATCACCTGCAAATTTCATTAGAAATGCAACTTCTCTGGCCTTTCCCCAGGCCCACTGAACTCTGGGGGTGGAGGGGCCCAACAATGTATGGTTTTAGGAGCCCTCCAGGTGATTCTGATCCACTAAACCTTAAGAACGACTCTTCAATAGTCAAATTAACCCATCATTACAATCATTCATTCCAGGTGTGTGAGCCACCCCTCCCCCCCCGCCCCCTTCCACCCCCTGCATTTTCAAGATAAATCATTTGACGCTATAGTGAATTTGAATTACTATCAGCATTGATGAACAATTCAAGGTTTCTTTTCAAAATATCTCATTTTTGAGGGTAGAGGGCTGGGAAATCAGACCTTGCATCAGGTGAAACACTGAAGTTTAATTAAAATAATGCAAAACCAGCAACAGCTGCCCTGCTGTGAAGCCTATGTTTGTACTTAATGATTTAGGTGCTGTTTTTCAGGACGAGAGAAGTACCCATGATAAATATGATGCAGGTGCACCCGGGATGTTACCTTTTTTTTTAAGTATCTCCTCTCAAAGCGTTATGCAGCTAAAACCATTCAATCAGTGGACTATGCACTATTTGGGATTTGAAGAGACACCTGGACCATGTAAGAATTTTGTATTGGGACGGTCACCTAAGACAGAAATTCCTTTTTAAAATATACATATTTGGGATAGCAACGCAGACAGTTCACTTACCAGTGGATAGTAATTTAACTATTCTAATGCTTATTTTTCATGAAAATCAGCCACTCTTAGACAAGGCAGATGTGTTAAATCAATTTAGGAAG
Source organism: Homo sapiens (assembly GCF_000001405.40). Lineage (NCBI taxonomy): Eukaryota > Metazoa > Chordata > Mammalia > Primates > Hominidae > Homo > Homo sapiens. The sequence continues at coordinate 133,319,741 of NC_000002.12, forward strand.
GCAATTTACTATGATGAGGTTGTTAAAGAGTCAAACGGAACATCAGGAAACTTATGCAAATATTTTTGGGAATTTGTTCTGAGTATGCAAATGCTATATAATTAGTTATCATGCTTTTCATGCAAAATTAAATTTGCTATAATAACGAATCACACTCAAGAATAAGGCTAGTTAACATGAAAAGAACCCTCATTTTTATGACTGAAAGACTGCAAATTGAGGGTAAACTGCAGGTGAATCTAATTCCAGCCTTTAGGATTATTATTCATTCCGGTCAAACGAAACCAACTGCAACAAGGGATGGGAGGGCTCTCTGACTCTGGACAGCACATGTATGGATGCAAAAATCACAAGGAGTAGAAGCAATGGAGTGTTGTGCTTTTTGGACTAAGGCTGTCTCAGCTATCATTAGCCAGATACTCTTTTACCCTCTAATTATTTTGGAAGGACTCAGTGCTATCATTTAATATTTATCAGACTAGCAAAGCCAAACTTCTATTTTGGAATATCTCTAAAGTCTAATTACTGCTCAGTCCCTTCCTGCCCCAGACTGACAATTTGGAGATAATTTGGACTTCCAGCATGTTGGCTCTTCCTGCCTCACTCTGTAAATGTCCCCACTTGTCACGGGGCTCTCTAGACCTCCTCTCGCTGTCAAAGTCCTATGTCTGCTATATTTGCCAGGCTATGTAATAATTAGGCCCTTGGCTGGGTGCGGTGGCTCACGCCTGTAATCCCAGCACTTTGGGAGGCCAAGGTGGGCAGATCACGAGGTCAGGAGATCGAGACCATCCTGGCTAACATGGTGAAACCCCGTCTCTACTAAAAATACAGAAAATTAGCCAGGCGTGGTGGTGGGCACCCGTAGTCCCAGCTACTCGGGAGGCTGAGGCAGGGGAATGGTGTGAACCCGGAAGGCGGAGCTTGCAGTGAGCCGAGATCACACCACTGCACTCCAGCGAGACTCTGTCTCAAATAAACAACAAAACAAACAAACAAAAAAAAAGAAAAGAAAAAGGCCCTTTATGCCTCCTGGCCACTTGTAGACCACTCCCATTTGGCCAGGAATGAGACATGTTCCATAGCATGAAACTTTCTGTGATGACGCTGGAGAAGTCCTGAGCAAACCAGGTGAGTTGGTCACTCTACCACAATCACACGTTTCCCCATGACTCCCAGGCTGTTTGCCCATTCCTGTGGGTGTCAGTTTTCCTAACTATGCTTCAAATTCCTCACTGGAGTAGGCTTAGCCATAACTTCTAGTGCTGCAGACTAGCCCTAACCCCAGGAGTCGTGTATGCTCATCTGCTATCCACTAAAGAAGTGGAGGCTCCATCCAGTGAGCCTGATCACTGACCCATGTCTTGCCTTATCCCAGGTGGACTGCTCAGGAATAAAGGGGTTTCCAGCTGCCTGAGGACTGACAAAGGGTTCCTTCTGTCACCTCCCCAGATCGGAGCCTCAAAGATACCAGTTTGCATCACAGCCACCCCCATCCCACCCTCACCCAATCTGTGATTAGACTCAGTGCCCTTCAGTGGGACTAGCACTTTACCTAGGTTAGGCTCAGTTATATTCTTGCTTTATACCTACTCCACACCGGATCATTGTGGAGGTCCCAGGTTTTACCTAAAAATACCTTGCAACCTACTATTAAAAGTGAAGACTGCACCTGAACATTCATGTTGTCTTTACACATAGGATCACAAGATACTGTTGATACAGAATCTAGAGTTGTCAAGTACTTTGTCATATTAAGCTTACAATGACAAAACTAGGTTTTAGTAGCATGATTTTAGGACAAAAAGGAACCCAAAGCCATACATTTGAAGACTACATCTATCCCTTAGACTGAAAAGTCAGACATGGTAGAAATGTTTTATAAAAGAAGAGAAAAGCGGGAAATGAATGCCTTGCTGCCCATAGAGACGTCCAGTTTTCTGTTGAGGCTGGCTGTTAAAAGTACCTGACTCCATTGGTTTCAATAAATAGCTCAATCACCTTGTTCTTGCTAAAGCTCAAGCTCAATAACCCAATATTCCCTAGCCACATACAATGCATTTAACCCTTTTCCTCATTATCCCACTTAAGCTAAAAAACAAGACAAAACACAAACAGGATAGCCAGATGAACTCTTAATTCCAAAACAATATCAATTGAATTCACTCCATTTGCTAGTACTGCCTTCTCAACCATGCCTTGTCTTAGCTCAATATTAATTAGGTAAAACTTAATAGTCATGCAACCTGGCCCACATCAAAAATTATATACCTATAAAAATGTGCATTTTTCTAGTTTTTATACATTTCATACTTCGTCTCATAAGTCATTCTGTAAAGTGAGTGTCATTCCCTCATTTGTCACTTTTGTAAAGCCCATCTTATAAAGGTTTATTTAGCAGAAAGGCTAATAGATTTTATTAATAGGCATAGTCTTTCCAACCTGTAAAAACACCAATACTTAAGTCAAATATTTTTGTACCCACTATGCAAATAGTACTTTGCTAAAAACATCACCGTTAGCCTAGGAGAATGAGACAAAGCATAGATGCAAGAAAGTTCTATGCAGTAAGTGATACAGACATTTTACAGCAAAAAGGTATCATCTGTGATTGAGATCCAGAGGCAGGTAGAAATGAAAGCTTAGAGAGTGAGCTTGTGGAAAGATAATTGATAAACTACATTTTACATGATACTTTATTTTCAACACTCCATTACAAAGTTTGCTTAATTATCTTTTACAACATACCAGTAAAACAGTGTGTCTGTCTCTGTATTACTGATGAGAAACCTGGGCTCATAGAGTTCAAGTAACAATATCTGAGTGGGTAGTTGAAAACAAAATGTTACACTAAATCATTAAAAGTAAAAGTTGAAAAATTATCTTTCTAGTAATTTTCACCACCCATCCAGGATATTCTTCTAACAATTGCATTTGAGAATCTATCCTGGGGGATGAGACCCTAGGACACATAGAAGCTATGTGGACCTTGAGTACTTTGGGTCTATTTCCTTATTTATAAAATGAAGAGATGGGGCCAGATCAGTGGTTAGCAAACCTCAGCCAGCACTAGTACCACCTGGAGAGCTTGCTAAAACAGACTGCAGGGTCCCACCCCCAAGAATTTCTGATTCAGCACATCTGGGGTGAGACCTGAAAATTTGCATTTCTAACAAATTATCAGGTGAGGTGGATGTTGATGCTGCTTGTCCAGGGACCACTTTGAGAACTACTAGACTGGTCTTTAGGGCCTCTAGGATTTTGAGTATGGAAAGACAGACAATATTCTTAACTTCTAGACCAGCTGCAAGTAAGAGTTCCCTCATTTATCCTTCCACCTATTCATTCAACAAATGGACACTTGTTGGTTTGTGAACAAGTGTGTTTTCAAATAGTTCCAAGTTTGCCTAAAAGTAGGGAAAAATCTCAATTATTTAATTGATATCATTTATGGATATTTGGCAATTTTCTTTAACTCTATTTCGTGATCATGTAAAATCAGGAAAAAATCAATTAAATCAGGAAATGCATGCAAAAATTATTAACAGTGTCTGACATAGAGATCTCAGCAAACATTAGTTCTATGGATCAGGGAAACAATTTACATATCATATTGCACTTTTGCCTCTCATATTTTTATTCCAGCTGCTAGCATCTATCCTATTTCAGCATCTCAGGGTTTTCCTCCTCATCCTTTGTTGGAGAAGCTGATGAAGTTAGCAAGGCTTGGGTCACGGTAATACTGAGGGAGGGATAGGCTGGGTTAAAGAGGAGAGAATGATTATATGCGAACTATATGACTGGTTCCTAACAAAAGTTAATGGATTAAATACAAAATCCCTGCCCTTCAGTGTGTTCCAGCTCTCATTAGTGCCAACTGCATCTCAAGGCACACCTTTCTCCTGTGCCACCTATGTCCTTGGCATACAGTTGGAGCAGGAGATGGGGGCGCTACTGGCAGCCAAAGAAATGGACAGAACCAGTGTGATTGTCTGGGGAATCTGACAGAGAGGTAAATTGAACTTAATCACTGTCCCAGCCAAATCACATTTGTAAAGGCTGAGGCTCTGTGGACACCTGTTATAAATAAAGCAATTCCTAATGTTTTTCTACAAGACCTGAGCCTTTGGTTGATCTCAGTTTCTCAGTATAAGAACCATTTTTCTCACCCAGGGCCTGGCATCAGCAATTTGGTGTTATGTCCCAAGAAATTCCCCAAAACTCCTGGGATGGCACAAAGTTGTCCTAGCTATGTGAGTTAGACTCTGAGCTCCAGACAGAAATACTCATTTCCAGGTTCAGCTTCTAAAAATACCTGCCTTCACGTATGTCCTTTGGCTCCGGGAGGTTTCCAAACTACAACCAAAGTCTGAGATGAAAACTTAAAGAAGGCTAGACTGCATGAAATTTACCTCACCTATCCCGGCACAAGCCAGAACTGGATGAGGCGTAAACCAGGCCTGCTGTGCAAACAGATGCATTCTACCTCTGGGGATGGCTCAAGGGAATCATAAACACCCCACATTGAGAGGGCAGGAGGCCTGAGTGGCATTTAGGTTTCTCTGAGGCTTATTTTGTGAAAGCAAAACTGACTCACTGAGAAAACATTTTAAAAATATTTACTTGGAATTACATAAAAAATATTTTAAATGATTTTTGTTTTTTCAGAGGTAGGAAAGTCTGTTTTATAGCTGGCTGCTGAGTCAGACAGAATAGCCGGAAAGACTTTGGGAAACCTCAGCCTCTCTTTGGCCTCTGCAGTTGTGAGGCCGGGAGATGTGGTTCTGAAACCCAGGCAAGTTGCTGAAGCACACAGAGGAATTCCCAGAATTTCCTCTAAAGTTTTCACTTAGATGTCACAAAGAAGGCCTGATTTCAGCGAAATAAAAGTTTGTTGCAGAGTCACACATGAGCACCAGTTGTAACTAAGAAAATATATATATACATTCTAAAGCACATACTGTATTCCAAGTGCTTTTTTTTTTCTTTTCTTTTTTGAGACGGAGCCTGGCTCTGTCGCCCAGGCTGGAGTGCAGTGGCACGATCTCGGCTCACTGCAACCTTCACCGCCTGGGTTCAAGTGATTCTTTTGCCTCAGCCTCCCAAGTATCTGGGATTACAGGCACCCAGATAATTTTTGTATTTGTAGTAGAGACGGAGTTTCACCATGTTGACCAGGCTGGTCTCGAAGTCCTGACCTCAGGTGATCCACATGCCTTGACCTCCTAAAGTGCTGGGATTGCAGGCAAGAGCCACCACGCCCAGCCTGCCAAGTACTTTTAAAATGTATTCATTTGATTATTCACTCGAATTCTTCTGAGCACCTGTTATGTGTAGTGCTAGGAGCCGTTGGATATAACTGTGAAAAAAATGGACGATGTCTCCTTCCATCACTGCCGTATTCAATCTACCTGGGAGGGAGGAAGGCACTGGAATGCAGAACCATAGCTTTACCATGTTAAGCCACTTTCCCAACTGTACACAGGGAAAGAGCCAGAGAAATTTGAACAGGATTTTGCGTCTCCAAAGTGTGTACTCTGGCCTTTGGGGAAGGATGGATCCAAACATAAAGGAAGAAGAAAACTAGATGACTCCAGCTTATGAAGATAGCATTTATGTATTCCCCTAAGTGCCTACATAAACCTGAGAATAAGGTACTCTTCTAACAGAAATTGGCATTCCTTTTTAGTACAGGGACTTTGTGATGTTTCCTGAGGGATTTCCATGTACTGCAACTCATTTTAATTATTTCAACCCTAGCCTTCCCTAAGCTCTTGCATCTCTAGTTTCTACAGCCAACCATATACTGGTTTTAGGGGTGTTGAATTGCTCAGTTATTGTTGGGTGCAGGCACTGGACATTTGTTATTTTGGAGTACATCAAGCCCCCTTCCTTGTGGGGATCACTCCCCCGCAGCTCTGTGCACTCTATCTGCTCCCAGGGTAGAGTTTGTGACCTGAATGAAAGCTAGTTAACACACCACATTTGCCTGGAGATGTCAACTGGTTCAATGATGGGCACTGGACCTAATCAGAACCAATGAGACTAACATGAGAATGGCATCTCTGCTAGCCTTGGCCTCCCAACTTCAGCATTTGAGTACTCACTGACACCTGGACCCATCATACATTGTGTTTGGATATGACCCCCCTCTTAAAAATGCTTGCAATGTTTATTTTTGCCGGATGTCATCAAAAAGAAGTTGTTGATGGTGTGTGCTGGAGTTGGTAAAGCTGAAACTACCCAAATGGCTGTCACTAGAGGGCCAATAATGATGCTGTCTTTCAGCACTTCTTGTTAATACGTAACTAGAATCATGCAGCTCTCTTCTTTAATTTGTTCTGGACAGTGGGCCACTTTAGGGATGAACTGCTCAGCATTTCTGGCAGAGGAACAGCAACCCCTTAGGATATCCTTGATTGAAAAACTATAAGGCCGGGCACAGTGGCTCAGGCCTGTAATCCCAGCACTTTGGGAGGCCGAGGCAGGCGGATCACGAGCTCAGGAGATTGAGGCCATCCTGGCCAACACGGTGAAACCCTGTCTCTACTGAAAATACAAAAATTAGCTGGGCATGGTGGCACATGCTTGTAATCCCAGCTACTTGGGAGGCTGAGGCAGGAGAATCACATGAACCAGGGAGTTGGAGGTTGCAGTGAGCCGAGTTCACACCACTACTGCACTCCAGCCTGGTGACAGAGCAAGACTCAGTCTCAACAAAAAAAAAAAAAAAAAAAAAAGAGAAAAAGAAAGACAACAAAGCTGGTCACAGAGCTGGTAAACTGGGGACAGCCACAGCAAGAGTCCTGTAACAGCAGAGAACAGTCCTCCATTCCCTCGGAGACATTTTCCAGCTCTTTATTTGAAATGCTTTGCAGAAACCTGGAATTCTGGACATTATGGTTATTAATATAAAGACTCCTATCATTCCATAGCTCCCATCTCCACTGACCTCTACCCCATCTCTAATGACCTGTTACAGCTTTGACGTCACTCTCAGAGCAGGATTTAATGATGACTCATCTTTGATACCTCTTCCTGCGTAAATTCAACAGCATCCTGGCTGCTCACAGTAGAGTGCATTTACCAGAAACAGCAGCATTTCCTGGGTGCTTGCTGGAAATGCAGCATCTCAGATTCCACTTCAGACCAACTGAATCAGAATCTGTTCAAGAATCGGCTTCTAACATACTCGCAACTGCTGCTGCTGCTGCTGCCGCCAGCCTGGGAACCACATTCTGAGTAGCAGGAATGTAGACCTCAGTGTTTCCTAACCGTACTGATCATAAGTTCTGTTGGGGAGCTTCTTCAAAATACCTGTTTCTGGGCACAACTTCAAACCCTTTGAATCAGAATCTTCAGAAAAGGGACTTTGGTATTTACAGCCAGCCCAGGTGGTTCTTCTGGATGGGCAAACAGAGGAAACACTGGGAATCTAATTTAGAGTTCTAGGCCGAGCTCTCAGCTGCCTGCTCTTCTCCTGCCTGAATTTGTTGCTTAACAGATGGAAGCACAATACAGCTTCCACTAGGGCTGTTTCTTTTTCCCTTTTGTTCCTCCAAAGACTTGCTACCAAATGCTGTGTCTTCAGCATCTGGAATTGTTTTTTTACCTTCTCTCTATGCAGTTAGGTAAGAAAGGACCTTGGAAGGATTCAAATCCCAATTCTAGGCAAAGATATGTTAATAGTCACATCCCAGTGGCAATGCTGTTTAATGTTAGTGTTTTGAAGACAAAATGCAGATTCCTGGCCCTGGTTGTTCTGCAGGTTGTAGCCTTAATAAACTGGTTGGTCTGAGTACATAAGTTTTCTTGAGGACTGACAAAATGCAAGAACAGTGTTAGTAATGGAAGAAAGGAATAAAAATGATAACCCTGTCCATCTAGGATGTAGGAAAACAGTATTTGTTAAGGTTTTCTACATCTTTGAAAAACTGGTAAATAATATAGTTGCCTAAAATTCTTAGGATCTTTGTTAATTGCTTCAATATTTTTCCTTCCTTAGCCTTGGATTTTTTATAAGACAGTAGCGACATTAATACCTGCAGGGCTCCTCATGTGAAGACTAAAAGTGAATGCATAGACCAGTGCTTCTCAGTGGGGGATGACTTCATATCCCAGGAGACACTGTTGTCTGTCATACCTGGGAGAGAGGGGCTGGTACTGGCTGTTAGTGGGTAGGAGCCAGGGATGCTGCTAAGCATCCTACAATGCCCAGGATAGCCCCCACCGCAGAGATTATTGAGCCCCAAGTAGTGCCCAGGTTGATCTAGACCAAATACTCTCCACATCTTCAGAGCTTAATGATCATCACCCTGTTGTCTCTCTACCAACGTTGGGCCCCAAGTTACCCGATTGGTAGAACCAAGATTTGAAAAAATGTTCCTCTGCCTCCAGAGCTGTATTCTTTTCATCCCAACGTGCTGACTCCCACTGGTAGCAGACTATGGTAATTTTTTCGTGTTGATTTATAGGAGTGCTGCAAATTGCAAATCCTGTTCTCAGTCCCCCAAATTCGCTGCGTATCTGCTCTCATTATGTCATTTTCAGATGGAGAATAGAGGGTTGAGGCTTGGAGCAACAGAGGAAGCAGAATATAGAGAGAGTTGACATAGACTGGGATTTTTATCTATTTTGTTTTAAACAGAGTAACTGAGCTCTTATAAGAATCAAGAGATTTAAAACTTAATACATTTTAGGGGGGAAAGCCGAAGACTCAACTACAGAGGCAGAAGGAGAAGTAGGCTGGAAGTAACTAACAATTTCTGACTTGTGGTGCCACCAGGTAGAGCTCCTGGAGTCTCCACTGCCTGGGCAGTCCTTGACATCCTTTGAGAGCCAAAGTGTTAAATATGTAAGAGCACTGGATAATGAACACGTAATTGGAGCATGGGAAAAATCAGACACTGTGAACTCGATTATGATATGTTGGTAACAAGGAGTGAAAGCACCTAACCTATTCAGTGAGATTACTGATGAAAAATATATATAATGAAAAAAATATATAAATATTATTCAAAGGGTAGACTAGCTGCAGTGCCTCATGTTTAATTTAAAATACACTTGCATTTCAACCTCAGATGAGCAGTTCTGAAATGTCATGAAATGCTGGGAACTTTCATGGAAAGAAAAACTTGCGGCAATCATAATATTAGAATTTGTTTGCCCTAGGGTGTCCATAATCTTAGAACAAAAAATACTCTTTATGTGGAAATACCTTGTAGTTACTAGGAGCCTTTTATTATAAAGAAAAAGAAAGGCAATAAAAAGGAATTCATTCTAAGGAGGTGTTTAGAGTTTCCTTTAACTGTTTCCTTTACCCACATAGCTTGCCGTTAATACTTCTCTATTAAGCTTTCAGAAAGAGGAATTGCATTTTCCACCTCGCTGAAGAGGCATGAGAGTGGTACACTTGGGCTATACTGAGATGGAGGCTTCGCTGACAGCAGCCATCCAGATCTGGGTCTGCTTTCCTTTTTCACCTTATTAGCTATTCCCACCTCATAGTCCACAGGCCTGTGGAGGGGGCAGGGGACAACCAGGGGACAGCCACGTGGACAGGGAGCAAGGGAGGAGGGGCTGGGGAAAGCACCTAAAAGAAGAGGGAGTACCAAGCATGCCTTAAATATCTCACAGGTTTCCAGTTGGCCTAGCAAAAAAAGAGATGATATAGAGATGTACACAGGGGAGCGCCAGGTAGAATCTACCTACCAAGGACACCACTGGTCTTCATAAAGAATAGCCAAGTGTTATGGAAGAGAAAAGGAGAATAAATCTGACAAAAGTGGGGGGTATTGAAAGATGGGCAAGGTGTTTGGAAAGAAACAGAAAGGGAGGATGGGCTTAGCAAATGAGCAGACTATATAAGCCCACTGGAATTGTCAAAATTAAGGTTACACACAAGGGAGAACATCTGTATCATGACACATTGAAATAATAAGTATATTAATTTACTTATCACATCCAATGCTAAGACAGATTATGTACCTTTTGTAACTCCTGAATTCTCCAGAATTTAAAAAATGCTAAAGAAGACACACACTGTACCCCAAAGGTGAGAAAAAGGAGTGGTTGCCCAAGACCCCTCTTCTGTTCAACTTCATGAATTCACCTGTGGAATCTTTTAAAATAGGGATTCTGAGAGATTCTTCTGGTTTGTGAGGAATCTGAGTTTTTTAAAGGCTCTCCAGATATACCCCTGAACAACCTTTTACCGGAGGGGCCAGCGTCTAAGACACTATGAAAGATAAAGAGTATAATACTGAGCATTATTTTCCAGATTTTGGAGGGAATGTGGCCAAGAAAGCAAGACCTTTTTTTTTTTTTTTTTTTTTTTTTTTTTCTGAGACAGGGTCTCACTCTGTCACCAAGGCTGGAGAGCAGTGGTGCAATCATGGCTCAATGCAGCCTCTACATCCCAGGCTCAAGTGATCCTTCCAGCTCAGCCTCCTGAATATGGGTTTACAGGCATGCACCACCACACCCAGCTACTTTATTTTTTGTATTTTTTTTTTTTTTTTTTTTTGTAGAGATGGGGTTTCACCATGTGTCACAGGCTGGTCTCAATCCCCTGGGCTCAAGTGATCTGCCTGCCTCAGCCTCCCAGAGTGCTGGGTTTACAGACATGATACACCATGCCTGGCTTACATTGTTTTTGTTTTTTTTTTTTCTTATTAAATGTATCAATAATTTTTTTATTTAAAAAAAGGACACGTTTTGTGTTGCCTTTTAAAAATACATGTTGTAGCAAGCATATAATATCTATTAACAAAAAGAAAAAATAGTTTGCAAAACTCTTAATTATAACTTTATTTGATATGTAACTTTCTGCATCATATGGTATTAGTAGCAGCTAAAAAATATTGAGGGCCAGGCACAGTGGCTCATGCCTATCACCCAAGGCTTTGGGAGGTTGAATCAGGAGGATCACTTGAAGCCAGGAGTTCAAGATCAGCCTGGGCAACATAGCAAGACCCTGTCTGTACAAAAAACTAAAATTAAAAAAATTAGCCAGTTGTGGTCGTGTGCACCTGTACTCTCAGCCTACTTGGGAGGCTGAGGAAGGAGGATTGCTTCAGCCCCGGGATTTAAGTTTGCAGTGAGCTATGATTATGCCACTGTACTCTAGTCTGGGCTACAGAGGGAGACCCTGTATTAAAAAAAAGAAGAAAGTATTAAGCATATACTATGTTCTAAGCACATATTAACTCATTTAATACATACACAGACATACATGCACACACACTCCCACTGTACCATGTGCTATTATTATTCTTATTTCACAGATCAAAAAATGAGCAAATATGTGTGCAAAAGTATGTGTGTGTGTATGTGAGTGTATGTGTAGTTTTAGGTAAAAGAATAAAAGATATCCTAATTGTCGTTGACTGATACAGAATTTTTTAGGCTATAATTAGTATTCTTGTGCTGTGCTGATTAAGACTTTTATCAGTTCTTGGGCTAAATATAAATATTTATACTCCTTTTTTGTTGGCAGGTTTTAATAGTTAAAGATAGATTCGTGGAGAGGGTAGAAGATGAATAGCAAACAATTGATGGAGTCTTCTAAAGTTTAACATTAATGATTAAACAACATGATCTGATGACTTACTCAGCAACTCAAAGACAATAAAACATAATAAATCTGTCAATTAGCATTTTCATCTTCTCTCCCAACAGAGCTTAATGGCACCTGCAAAATGCAATTTTCAACCCAGAGCTCTTTGACATTTTCTGTTTCCTCCCATGTCCCTCTCCCGTTGTTCCCGTTATGACTGAGAGCAGCAACGTGTTCTGCTCCATGGTGGCAAATGAGTCACCTGCCATTGAAAGGAAAGCAATTATTGTGTCCTCTCTAAATCTCAGGGATGACTTGGGTACTACTTTTCCACTTAAGGGCATAAACAGCCAACCCAGGACCGGTTTTAAGTGGCTGAACCTTAGCAACAGCAGCTGGGCTACAGGTTGATGTCACCTGAGGTGCCCATTAAAGGTGTGGAAAGCTGCCAGACAAGAATGACTTCCAGTAACTACGACTTCTCCCTGGAGGGAGCACAACGCACTGCCACACACAAAGTGACAAATAATGACTGCAAAGATAGCATCTTGCCTTTATCTTCCTGGTCCTTCGGTTTGAGGACAGTGACCCAGGCATGGAGGTTAGGCTGTTTCTTGGATGGGTTTCCAGCTGGTGGGAGTAGATGCTATTTACACAAGTGTCAGGAATTACAATTCTTCCTCTTCCAGGCAGCTATGTTTAGCTCACATGTGTGTCACACGTGTGTAGACCCCAACACCACCATCTCTGAACTGTCAAGTAAGGAGATTCTGGGTGATGAGAAAAAGTGTGCCCTCAGGGAGACTTCAGATAGTACCTTGGAGCTTTACATCTAATGAGGACATCTCAATTGTTTTTCTAAGCTTCAGAGTCAAGTGCCTTGACAAAATGGGCCCAATATAACATTTCCCCTTGAGTCATTTTTAAATGCACCTTTTTCTTCAGTGAGCTAAAGAAAACTGCCTTATAAACACCATCAATGTACCAAATGAAAGATTCCATTCTAAATAAATACGGCAAGCCTCCATTAACCAGAATCCAACACTCCAATGCACCCAGTTAACCAGAATTAGGTTCACTACCTCATTTTTAGAATCAAAAACCAATACTTAAGAGCATATAATAATTTCAGCCAAAAAAACCCCACAAAATTTTCAGGTCTTTTTATGCAACCAATTATCTCAGGGGTGCATTTTCTATCTACCTGTTTACACAGAAAATGAGTTTTTAGAATAATGATTCTGAGGCAATAATCATATAGTCAATATATATAATTATTGGTATACTTGTGCTTAAGACTTGAAAGTTTTAGAAAAAATGTCCACTGTATTTGAAAAGAAAATTTTTAAGGATTCTGAGATTAATGATAAAGTAAACAAATTTATATTCACCCTTACACCTTGGGCTTCTAGTATTCCAGAAAAAAAAATAATAATAAGTGTTTCTTTTACCCTGCTATTTGCTCTGCTTCTAGGGGAGGTCTGGAAGCTTTCCTTCACCTCACAGATGGGTGACCCAAGGTGGGAGGTCAAATGACTTGCTCAGAGTGAGACAGCATGTCAATACCCAATGCAGGGTTAGACACCAGAGCTGTGGACTAAGCCCTTCACGGGCAAATCCATCACTGTAGAGGTATACTGCTTGAAACCATTTTTCCAAAAGGTTCTCTCTGGAGGGAAAATTCTGGTCTCAAGAAATGAAACTTTGATTACCCAGCAATGGGACTCCTTGCCAGCTCTTTTTTGAAATAATTATGAATCTAAAACGTGCCCTTGTTTGCTCTGAATTTTCCTTTAATGTTTACTGGCAGGATGAATACAAAGCCTCCACAAATTAAGTCTTCCCAGAATTAGTTCAGAAGTGCACTTTCTATTACTCTGACTAGCAGCTCCTAGAGTTTCATAGGAGATTGGAAGTTAATTCTTTTCAGAGTTGCTCCAGGCAAAAAAGCAGGGGATGATAATGTTTAGGTACTTTTCTCCCTCTTTTTTAGATAAATCCCAGGTCCTGAAGTCTGAAGAGGTCATTAGTCAGCAGAGGGTATGATACATCGGAAGAGGAAAGGCTACGGAGTCACTGGGGGCTGGGTTTGAAGCCTGGCTTGGGGCCTTTAATGCATTAGCAATGAATGTTAATGCTCTCTGCTTTCTTCCACGACGAGGAAAAGCCATGGCCTTGACGAGCTCAACAAATAGAGTGTGGAAGTGAAGTCACACAGAAAGACTCAACGGTCCTACCTTTCTACAGCTACTATCCACATTAGCCACACTCTGTCACCTTGTCAGCCACCACTGAATTACTAGTAGAATTGAGAGTGGTGACAATCTAGCATCTTCCTACTTACTTTCAACATTTTCCATAATCATATATAAGTCCTTAGAGCCAATCAGACTGCATTGCTGAACACCATGCAAGAGAAAACTTCTCAAATCTCCTTTGCCAACATTTTTATATCATATTGATTTTGCTCCCCTACACAGTGAGGGACTGCACTGGGTGTTGTGTGGAAATGAAAGTGATTAACACACAAGGAAGGTGCTTGTTTCAACAGTACAAACTGGAATGCTACAGAGAAGATTCGGATGGCCCTGTGCAAGGATGACACCCAAGTTTGTGAAGCACTCCATATAGAAGGGAAAAAAATTAAAGACACAAGGGAGGACTTTGCAACCTCCTATGTGCATACGCAGATTGAGTAGAAGGCGCTGTGATAAGGGCTATAGGAGGGACTCAATTTGCTATCAGAAGAAAAGGCAAGAGAAGAAGGCCGTTAGTGATCCGTTGAGAGATGGTTTATTTCAATGGTTATGTGTGTGGACACTGGAGCCATCTTGCTTGGATTCAAAGCCTGGCTCTGTGACTTAATGGTCGTTTGACCTAGACCAAGTCTCTCAGTCACTTTGTGTCTCAGGTTTCTCACCTGTAAAATGGGGATAATAATGATTCCTGTTTCATAGGGCTTTTCAGAGGATCACGTGAATGAATACATATAAAGCTGGCACTGTCGTATTAGACATTTCTTTTGAAAGCTGAATTGGAAGTGCTCACGGTGGTGGTAAAGTATCTGTCATGGAGGGCATGCCATGCGACAGATGCTAGCTCGGGCACTTTTATGTTCATCATCTTATTTAATTGAAACTTCCCAGCAAATAGATATTATCACCCAGATTTTAAAAGCTATTGATCACGAGAGTTGAATATGTTGTCTGACATTTCATAGGTGGCCATTGGCAAAGTGGAGATTCAAGACCACGACTGTCCAGCTCCCAAGTTCATGCTCCTTCTGTCCCTCAGCACTACCTTTGACCATTTCTCCGTATATGCATATAAAAAGAATTTCCTTTTATTGAGTATATGTAGATTGGGCTTGGTTATCAAGCTGTTCTCCAGTGATAACTACCCCCTTGAAGGAGGCTGCTGCCCGTTTTAACGGTGGAATCGCAGTAATGAAGCATGTGGAGCAGCAGATGCCTTGCCAGAAAATAATTAGCAAAATTCCTGAATTAGGGTGCCCCTCACACTGCTGCAGTGCAGAAAACAGTGAACTGATTGATGTTAGATTTTTTTATCTTGGTAAGAAGGATCAGGTTTGCTCCTTTACAGCATGTGGCTGAGCTGGGTCTCTACTGTGAATCAAAAAGAATAGAAAGCCAAACTCAGGTCCATTTACTTGAGGTCATTCACTACCTCCTATAATAATGACACACATTTGCTGAGTACTAATTGTGTGATATTCATTGTGCTAAGTGTTTTGCATAAAATGTCTTAAGTTTCACACGGCCCAGTGGTGCAAGCTTGTTGTCATTCCCATTGTTTAAGTGCCCAAATCTAGACACGGAGCAGTAAAATAACCTGCCCAACCCTTCCTGGTATCCATGGAATGTCTCAGTGGTATTGGGATACAAATGAAGGCAATCTACTTTCTGAGCCATAATCACTGCGTTATAGTCTCTTACCCCTCTCACTCTTAATCAAAGCAAAAAAATTGGCTTCAAACAAGCAAATTGCTACACTTGACAACAGAAATATAAGCCAAATCTGAATTATTAGATTGCTAGTAATTCTTATTTGACTATTAATTGGGTGCTTTAGCTGGGCTGGGTGTACCTTTTGCTTTCCTTTAGTTGGATAATTGCAAGCGAAAATTTTGGATATTACCATTCATGTACAGAGAGAGGTAGAAGTCAGCAATTACACTAATCCCCTTAATCCTTTATGTACTTTACCTGCACTGTAAAATTCCTTGATTTTAAATCCGCCACTTGTTCTATAAAAAATGTATAGACTAAAGAACCACAAAAAAGTTAAATAAAAATTTTTGCCTGATGATATATTGATTGTACATACATATCTTTACTTTTGCATATTCTATGTTGCCATTAAAAGATCCATTAAAAGCTGAGTTCAAATAATTATTCACTGCTCACATTACTATGATAATCAATTGCCTGTTATGAAAATTATTGCCATCTTTAAGAATTGCTTTGCTAAGTGAAGTAATTAGAACTGATATTTTATTTTCTAGTTCAGTTCCAAAAATTGATTTTATATGCTAATCAGAGTGTGAAAATTGGGACATAAATTTTATAAACAAAATGAATGGCTAGTCAGGCTTCCTATTTGACACTTTATATAGTATTTGTTGTTTCTCAAGGCATCTTGCTCTTGAGAACACACTGCTGATTACTGTATCTGTCAGAACTAGGTAGGATAAGTTTTTCATTTTACAGAGTCTCAAGTATCTGAAGTTCCAAGAATTAAGAGGTGTGGGCCTTCAATCAGGACAGAGGGTGGAAAATCACACCTTCTGTCCACCGAAATAGCCATTATTTCTTGCAGCCCCAACAGAAAAGCAGAGGAAAGACAGGTACCATTTACCAACTGTCTTGAGTGTGCCTGGTGTTAAACTCCTGACATATATGTTTTTTCTGTTCCTTATGGTTATCTGGCTAGGTAATTACTATTATTATTACTCTTACATATAAGGAAGCAAACAGACTAGGAATTTAATTTGTGATCGCACACCAAGTAAGCGGCTAAGTTGGGAATCAATCCCAGTCTGCAGGTTCACAAGGCCATGCTTTTCCTTTCCTTTAACAGGCCAAGTGCAAACAGCTGAAGTGAATACACTTCAGCACAAGGCTCGAGCTTCATGATGATTTTGCCCTTTGGCACAAATGTCTTGGTAAATGTTTCAAAAGAAAGTTAATGCCTTCACTTGGTTTTTAGGTGATCATGAATTGTAGAGGAAGATGCAGGAAACCACAGGTTGAAGTTGCATTTAGAAGCAAAAACAAACAATATTTTCATATATATTACTGGAATTATGAGGTGAAATGAAAGGAAGAACCAAATTTGGTAAAATAAAACAAGATGGTAGTCTCAATTCCAGCTCCGCTAATAAGAAAATGGGAAATTTTGAATACATTCCCTATCTGAGTCTGAAACAGCTCATTTGTAAAATGAAGGGTTATGCTCTTTAGGTTAAGAGTTTCTCTTCTGGCTACACGGGTGGCTGATAAAGTTGATTTCATCTCCAAAAGTGACAGGGAGCAGGCTTCTGTTTGGCAGAGGTATATCCCTACCGGGTCTCACTGCCACAGGAACAGAAGGGGCACTCGTTAAATACTGTCACCCTGTTTTGCCCTCATGATCCTAGGTGTCTCTTAGAGAGACATAAGTGACATTTTTATAATAAATACCAAACAACAAACATTGTCAGATCCTTTAGGGGCTTGGTCATAGATCAACAGACTTCCTGTGGCCATAGCTAGAACTCAGGCCTCTTTTCAATTTGTTTTCTGATCCCCCACTCTTCATTTTATCATCATAAAGAACCCAAATTATTAATATGCCAGTAGGACAATTTTAATTTTTCACATAGTACATGGACTCACACTCAACATACCTGGGTTTAAATCCAGCTGCTGCTATTGTGTAGCTGAACTTCTTGAACTTCCTCTAAACTTTTCTGGCCTTGGAGTCCTCGTTAGCTTGAGATTTCTCATGTCCTTTATGCTCCAGATTCAGGACAACTTGAGATGCAGGCTTAAAGAAGAAGTAAGTACCAAGCTTGTGTGCTGCATTAATGCTCTGCTAAATGTCTGTGCTATAGGGATGAGTTCTAATCAGACTGACATAGAAAGAATTTCCCTCATTATTATGGGGTAAAGTTCATACATTACCCCCAGTACTTTAGAATGGGCTTATATTTGGAGATAGGATCTTTAAAGAGGTAATTATGTTCAAATAGGGTGGTTAGGGTGGGCCCTAATCCAATATGACTGGTATCCTTGTAGAAGAAAAGATTAGGACATTACCAGAGAGAGACAAGTGGATGCACAGAAAGATGACTGTGTGAACACACAGCAAGAAGGTGGCCATCTGAAGCTAAGGAGAGGGGTTGCAGAGGAAGCCAATCCTGCCTACATGTTGATCTCAACCTTCTATCTTTCAGAATTGTAAGAAAATGAATTTCTATTCTTTAAGCCACTCAGTCTGTGGTATTTTATTATGGCAGCCCTAGCAAACAAATATGCTCATTATACCAATAATCAACTTCCTTGGATAGAATGGACCATTCTTATGATGAATTTCATGCTGTAGCACGGGATGCATATGTTTAAACAATTTTGCCCCTAAAGTTAATAAACACTATATAATATGGGCTATACTCAGATATCTAAACATTTTATTCCTTCAAGTACAAACATTTGAATCAAACATTCAAAAACTCTAGATTTTAATATTAGCAAATAATAGATTCTTGGAATATTTAAAGAGCATGATTGAAGGATAAGCTGAATTATATGGGTCTATTGCATTTTTTTTTTGTTGAAATCAAATATTTGAATTTCATAATTTGGTTAAGAAAAAATATAGCAAGTACCATCACAGACATTTGGTTTTTAATGCTGTGAAGCAGTGGAGTGAAATTCTATCTATAGAGTAATAGCAACATGCTATTCTCTAAGGCTCCCAACAAATGTTCAAAGATGTAGAGTTCCTATATAAACATACCAATTCTAAATGTACACGAATGATTCTGTCATTGCATTCTAATTCTTAGTAACAGAATGTAGTAAGTAAGCATTCAGAGCCTAAGGTCTTTACTCACATACTAGGAACCTGAATCATGCACCCCCATCTTATAGTGCAGCTTTCATTCTGAAAGATTAAATCCTATTGCACCATCATTAATCAATTCTTCTCATAGCATTCCAGCAAAAATAATACAATGAGTATCAGGTTCTTTTTTGGTACATAAGAAGACAGGCATAGCTGATTTGCTAAGGCAGGAGGCCTGTTATATGGTGTTATCAAGACTAAAACTACCAAGTGTTTTCTGTTTTAGTCCGAAAAGATTTATTTTCTCTTTCCAAGAGAATGTGCTATGACATATATGCTTTCTTTAAAATACAAGGCCATGGCCAGGCATGGTGGCTGACGCCTGTAATCCTAGCACTTTGGGAGGTCGAGGCAGGCAGATCACTTGAGGTCAGAAGTTTGAGACCAGCCTGGGCAACATGGTGAAACCCTATCTCTCCAAAAAAAACAAAAACAAAAACAAAAATTATCTGGGCGTGGTGGTGGTCACCTGTAATCCCAGATACTCGGGAGGCTGAGGCAGGAGAATTGCTTGA
This sequence comes from Homo sapiens, assembly GCF_000001405.40. NCBI lineage: Eukaryota > Metazoa > Chordata > Mammalia > Primates > Hominidae > Homo > Homo sapiens. Next base: position 133,338,941 of record NC_000002.12, read on the forward strand.
ACCTGGGAGGTTGAGGCTGCAGTGAGCCAAGATCTTGCCACTGCACTGCAGCCTATGTGACAGAGTGAGACTCCATCTCAAAAAACATAAAAATAAAAATAAAATACAAGGTCACTTTCCCATTTCTATGATCCTGCCTTATAATCAGTTATGTGCAGGGAAAAATCAAAGAAATTTCAACAGAATTAATATAATCTAAATTATTGAGAATTTATCAATTTTCCTTGTTTCTCCTTTCTTATGTCTCTTAGCAATAGAGAGAAATGAGAAGTTGTGTACCTTTTAAAAAATAAATGTGTCAGAAGAAAGAATCTCCTAGAAATAATGAGAAGTTTATGGAACTTTTTCTCTTTTGATCTTTAAAAAGAACACAAGGCCAAGTCACTGGGGAAAAAAAAAAATTCTATGAAACAGGTCCCCTGGGCTGTGAATCCATGGCCCCAGGCTATTTGTAATAAAGCATATAAAGTGTATAGGTTGCTCTGGTCTTTGAAGGTCTTTCAAAGATGAAATAATTCCATGACTTTTGACATTTGAGAATCTTTATGGGTGTGAAAGGGACCTAATTGAACAAGTGGGCTAAGCTGCCAGGAACAGAGATGGAGTAGCCATATTTTAACCAAGCATTGTAATATGGTCAATGGCAGCCATTAATTTATTTCTGCCAAGACAGATGGCCTTCTCCTTGATACCAATGGGGAAAAAATAATTAAGAAAATCTAGAGCCAGAATGGAAAAGATAGCTGTCTTTTGACAAGGTGATTCTTCAGTTTGCAATTAACAACTGATAAAATGCTATGCATGTTAACTTTGGGGAAGAATAGCTAGTCATTTGAAATACTAATCTCACTTTCTTTTCAAACTACCTTTTACTGGTATCTGCCCTTTCTGTCCCATCCTGTAAGTAGGCCATACATTTTATGGAAAACAATTTAAAAGAACATCAGTAGATATCAGCTATAATTCTAGAAACCTTTGTGCGGTCTTTGGTTTTACATATATGGTTTCAGAAGCAAATCCAATGGGCATTGTTAAGAGTCACATGGTTTAGCTTCCGGGTGTTAGAAAGCAAACTTCCACTCTTGTGCCCTACAGACACTCTCTTCACTGGAGTTCTCAAAATATATGATCCCTGGCCAGCAAATTATTATGTTTTTAAAATTATACTAGCTGCCATACATATCAAGGATGGCTTTTCATGGGGCAAAACGGAATCATTTAAGAATTACATCAGATCACAGCAGTAGCAAGTTATTCACAACTACCTTGAGCTGACTAGCAATTTTTTTGTAGCTTGGAGGTAAATGACTTTTTGTTGAAATTGAGGATAATAAATTCTAGCTCTCATTTTAGTAATGAAAAGCAGCTCTTCGTCTCCTCATCTTCAAGAATGTGCAGAGAACTAATCTCCCCTCAAAGGTCCTTTCCTCTGGCCAGACTAAGTTTTACCAAAAGAACACATGGTATTTCAAACATTGGAAGACTTAGCCTTCTTTTCTTCCTCCTCTCTTTCCATTCCACAAATATTTATTAAGACTTCATTTTGCCTTAAGTTGGATCCTCTGTAATTGCCATAATATTCTATTATTTTGACTTACAACAGTGGCTCTGGATACCCCCTGACAATGCATAAGAAAGAGGAGACGAGTAAGATACACAATCTGTCTGTAAAGATCTTATAAACAAGTTGACAAGCCAAGAATGAGGTAATGAATGCCCTATAACAATAATCCTTGATGCACCTAACTTGGGTGGCATTAAATAATAAAGGTAATAAGAGTTCAGAGATGGCAAAAATCCCTAGTACAAGAGTAAGCAGTGATTTCTTTTTGAATGAAGAGATGAATATAAATCTTAAAAGTACATTTGGAAAACAAGACATTGTATCACTGAAGCATTCTGTTTCTTATGCTTATTGCACCTGTGTTTTCTTCCTCATCTCAGCAGCCAGCTCACATCCTCAGAAGTTATATTGTTTCCACACTTCTCATGCAACACTGCAAAAATGGTTTTACTTAGGTACTATTCTAGTCACCTGCTTCATACAAGCCACTCTAGCTGTTCATACATCTTTTCAATCAGATTATAATATTTACCTATGACATTTTTTAACCATTGTCAATTCCATTAATTCTATTTACCTGTGAATGAAATCACTAAGACCATTAGATCAAATGGATTCCTTGTTATCTCCTACAACCACATTCTTTTACCCCATGGAAAAAAAAACACTTATTAAAGTATATATACAGCTATAAATATGTCAGAATATAGCAACATAAAAATGACCAACTGGGTCAGACACAGCACCTATCTTTGACTTGTCATTCTGGAAGTGAGCAGATTTTTTTTTTTTTTTGTACCCACACACCTGAAGATCATGACTAATTCCCCTCATTAACAAGAACTCCTTCAGGCAATGTTTCTAAGGGGGATAAGGTGGAGTGGGCTCTCTTGCTTAGAGGAATATAGGATGCTCCACTGGGAAGAGAAATACATAATTCAAAGAAGACCTTCAGGTAATTTTGATATTTTATTCACTCCATCTTCAGGTCCACACCACAGAAAATTATTACTCTACTGTACATATTTCTTCTTGATATCAAGCTCAGTGAGTACCAAAATATGTTCTCTTATCAATCTGTTATCTGAGAATGTATCTATATAATTTAAGGTTATCCATATTTCATAATACTGGTGTTCAAATGTCCTCCCAAATTTGCCAGCTGTTAAGTAAAGTAGCACAGCACCCATGACACTTAACCATGCTAGATTATCCATCTTTGTACCCGTATCTCTCCACCCACATTGTCAACTCCTATCTTTCCTGTCTTTACATTTCCAGCACCTGGGACAGAGCCTGGACTTTAAAGTTATATAGAACCACATTAAATTGCCATTTTTTGCCACTTAACTGTGGTTGCATAGTAGCAATTTCATAAGGTTCAACCTAATAATTGTAAGCCATGACTAATGAATAGAATTTTAAAAAGGATCTAAACATTCTTTTTTTTTTGAGACGGAGTCTCACTCTGTTACCCAGGCTGGAGTGCAGCGGTGCGATCTCGACTTACTGCAAGCTCAGCCTCCCGGGTTCACGCCATTCTCCTGCTTCAGCCTCCAGAGTAGCTGGGACTACAGGTGCCCGCCACCATGCCCAGCTAATTTTTTTGTATTTTTAGTAGAGATGGGGTTTCACCATGTTAGCCAGGATGGTCTCGATCTCCTGACCTCGTGATCCGCCCGCCTCGGCCTCCCAAAGTGGGATCTAAACATTCTTTAGGGCTTCAGGGAAAGGAAATGGGGGAGGGGAGGGAACTAAGATTTACTGAGATTTTGATGCAGTAGGTCTGGGATGGGACCCAGGAAGCAGCATTTTAACTAGTATTGCAGATGATCTTATGCAGATGACCCACGGACCATGTTGTGACAAATGATGCCTTTAGGGACACAAAGGGATAGGATAAGCTTCTGGTCAGTTAGAAGGCAGCAGGAGACAAGGCTACTCCCAACTCCTCCTTTTCATGCAAATCATCTTCATCCCATCCAGAGTAGGCTGTGTGAGCCAGAGTCAGAGAGGCCTGGGCAGTTTGCATGGCTGTCCTTAGCAGGTCTTATACTAGTATGCTTTTTTTCCAGAGGTATTTTGTTCTTTGGAAAGTCCCTAGCATCTTTGTGCCTACCAATTAACAATACCCCCTCCAGCCACCATCTGCACTGTGTATATGCAAGGTGGAGTCATTCAGCTCTTGCATTCCCAAGTAATCCTCTTTTAGGAAAAGGGTTCTCTAATGTGCTCAGAGACAAAAGCACCCAGAGGTCACTGTGTTCTTTGTTCAAGTGGCTGCAATGTCTGAAAACACAAGGGACTTCTTGACAGATTTCACAGTGTTGTGATTAATTAGTGCCCACACTTGACAGGCTAGGAGGACACCAGAATGATCCCTGCAGGATGGTGCAACATCTCTCCATGTCACAGCAGTGAGGGACAGGTGAATGATGATTTCTACAACTAGATGGGAGGTAGTGTAGAGTGGGCTGCAGGCTCGTCAGATCTCAACTTGCTTGATCCCACCTTCTAAGGTATACTAAAGGTGAAGGCTTATTCATTGAAAATCAGAGACACAAATCCTCCAAGGCAATGCATCACAGATTGTGTGGTACACTGATGGACATGCTGTGTTAATGACTGCATTTGTTACAGTTTGCACAGTGCATCCTGCTAGGCAGTGCTCATAAGGGACAGCACATTAAACTTATCATGTTATGTCACTGAACATATCATGCAATGTGATGTAGTATCAGCATACTATTCATTGCATATGTTTCCCAGGGTTTCCAGATTAATAGCTATCTTGAAGAATATAAAAAAAATTCATAGGTTTAATATACACATATACATGAAGGTAAGAAACATGTTAGTAGCAAAAAATGACAAATAGATTACCTACAAAAAGAAACACATGTATCTGCACATGTTTAAAAAAAAAAAGAATAAAACCTGTGCTCAGAGCAGAGGATTATCACAGAGGCCAGTAGTATAAGGCAAATATAAAAGGGCAAAAATTAAAAAAAAATTCTACTCTTCAAAAAATTTTATTTTTTATGTCTAAAACTGAGATGGGACTATCAAAATCTGAATTTCATCCATCCATGCATCCATCCATCCATTCAACCATCCATTTACCACCCAATACATATTGATTGAATGCAAACTATGTCCAGATACTGCCATAGACAGGATGTAATCATATGTAAAGGACATCCCAAGTTCCCTGTACTCACGGAGGTTAAATTCTACTGTGGGAGTCAGACCCAAACATACAAGTTTAAATCTGAATTCACGTCGCCATAAGCAGTGGTATAAATGTTGAACAAGCTTGGGAGTCGGAAGGATGTGATTTGTAGCTTTTGCCATAGTGTAAGTGCACCCATCCTGGACAATTTCAGTCTAACAATGTGATGTCACCGGATGAGGAGTTGGAAAGAGATGTGTACAGTTAACTCTCTGGAGCAGTATGAGCCAGCCCCAGCTCACCCTTGAATGTGATGTGAAGAAGCAAAGTTGGGTAAGGGGCCAGAGACTGCGGGGAATGGTGGATCTTTTAGGCAGGTGTCAGTCATTCTTTGATTAGTGACATTTGAACAGAGACCTGAATAAAGAGAAAAGAAGTAATAAAAATATGGCCAGTCACAGCGGCTCATGCCTGTAATCCCAGCACTTTGGGAGGCCAAGGTGGGTGGAATGCTTGAGGTCAGGCATTCGAGACCAGCCTGACCAACATGGTGAAACCCCTGTCTCTACTAAAAATACAAAAATTAGCTAGGCAGTAGTAGCGTGCCTGTAATTCCAGCTACCCAGAAGGCTGAGGCGGGAGAATTTTTTGAACCTGGGAGGCAGAAGTTGTAGTGAGCTGAGATTGCACCACTGCACTCCAGCCTGGGCGACAAAGTGAAACTTTGTCTCAAAAAAAAAAAAAAAAGGGTAATAAAAACGCGAGGCAGGGAGTTGAAGATAGTGGGGGAGAAGAGTGAGCACAAAGGCAGCACCGAGCACAGAGGAAGCACTGCACTGCAGCAAAGGTACTCTCTGCAAAAGGGAAAACAGGATGACCAGTCAGGAGTGGTTTGTATTCATCTAGGCAAGAAGTGCAAATCGCTGGACGCAGAGTGGTAGAAGTAGAAGTGATGTGAAATGCTTAGATTTGGGATACATTTGTGAGGTAGACTTACTTGAAGTCACCAATGGATTGGATGTGAAGAGGGTAACTGAGGAGTCAAAGGCAATCTCGAGAAAGACTCTTAGTTAGCTTTTGCTGATAATATATACCACCATTAGATGCAATGGGGAAGACCAAGGCAAAAGTTTGTGTAGAGGAAAAATCAAAAGCTCTGTTTGGGTCATTTTAGGTTAGAATTATTGACAGACATGTGGAGATGTCAAGCAGGTAGCGGGATATGCAAAAGTCTAAAGGTCAGAGGAAGTCAGGGATGAAGATATATGAAGATATGAATTTGGAAGTCATCCAAATATCGATTTCAGTGACTATGCCCTCAGTGCGTCATTTGAGAACCAATGCCTTAGAGAATAATGACAGAGATTCAGCCTTTAAGGGGCCCCTGGGGAGGAGGCAACCTTTTATAGAAAGAGGTGTGAATCATTGCCCCAAAATATCTCCTGTTAAGCTCTCCCTATTTCTGAAGGTACAGCCTTTAAAAGATAACCCATTTTCACCACCCGGGAAATGAGGAGCACCTCTGCCCAGCCGCCCCATTGTCTGGGAAGTGAGGAGCGCCTTTGCCCAGCTGCTGTGCAACCCTCCAAGTGTGAAGTGACAGCCTTGTGTGTGATCTTTCTGCCCTCCCCAAGTTTGCGTTTTTGACATTAAAGTTTACTTTTAAATTAAAAAAAAAAGATACTCCATTTTCATCATAGTCCTGTTAAAATCCATGTTAATACTTACTAACAAACTAATAGAGATTTCCCACCTGTCAACTTGACTAGAGAACTGGGTATTTGATGTTCAGAATATGGAGCAATGGTTCTTAACCCTCGGTACACATTATAATCACCAAGTAGAGTTGAAATATGCTGACACCTGAGGCCCATCCCAATGATTCTAGTTTAATTGTTGTGCAGTGGTGAAAAGTATGGATTTCTTTTAAGGTGTAAACTGGACAAGGGACAGGAAAGGTGGTGATGGAACCAAAGAGCTGAAGGTCTCAATAATGTTGAGGATACTTGCCAAATCCTCTAGTAAGAGAGGAGTTGTGATCTGCTTGTGGGGTGATTTCATTGTGACTTTGTAGGTGGTTCAAGATGTAATATGGGAGTGGAGATGGAGTAACGCAAAAGATCACTGGGGATAAAGGAAGTGCAGTTACTGAAGGCCAGGGTGTTGGGAAATTCCTAGGAGGTTTGGGGTATGAGGTATGATAGCAGGCACAGAGATGGAAGATGACTGAGCCAAAGAACCAGGAGTCAAAGTCTTCAATGACTGAGGAGACTAGAAGAACAATTATTTGAGGACAGCAAGAAGCAGCAGCAGGAAGTGTTTATTCAGGACTGAACCTGAAAGTTTCATATCCAATCAATGAGAGACTTCTGGTAGGTTTCCCTATCAATTATATTCTAAATCTGACAATTTCTCATCACTTCCACCACTCCACCCCACTCTAAGCAACGTTTGCCTCTTACCTAACCATGGAGAAGGAATAAAATGACCCAAATATGGTAGTAGAAAGCAGGGACAATACAACCCTCAAATCCAAGCCATGAATTTGCAGGAATCCAAAGAAGTGAGCAAAAACACATCTATTTGAAAGGGCTGCAGGGATGCAAAATCCTCAGAATGGGGTCTATATGCAGGGAAGGCTATTAAGTGGTATATTCCAAGAAGAGGAGAGATTGATGATGACAGACTGTGAATTTGAAAGGATTTTCAGAGGATGAGAGGGGATGAGAAATTGGGCCACATACGAGTTTGCTGAGACGTGTGAGATTAAGAGATTTGGGTACTAATGGATTTCCAGCGCTGCTTAAATTTCTGGTGTTAGCTAAGGGAAAACATGTTAGAAAAGATGTGATTAGTCTCATAGCCTCTTAGAGAACAGTCCTAGGGTGATGGTCTGAAATATTCTAATTAGCCATATGGCAGCTTCCAGGGCTGCGGGCCCCTCACAGAGCATGTGTTCGCAAAGTGGCCCACGCAAGGAGCACTGGGTGATATGGTCATCGGACTGGGCCATGGCCCTCACGAAATACAAGGATGAGAACTTGTGAATAAATGTGTGCAACCAAGCTTCATCCATGGATGGCGATGCAACAGGAGGGCCACTTGCCAGTAGAGTGGGAATCACCCTGGTATGCATTACTGAGTAACACATCCAGTTAATGACACTCAGCAACAGCTTGCTCAGCAGAAGACTTGAGTCATTTTAACAAATAGAAGGCTGGGTGAATTTCTGTGAGCTCTGACAAGTACAAACTGTTTTCTTAGACTCGTTGAGGACTGAGTGTTGTAGTTGCCTCATCACTGTGGTGGGCCCTGCCCTGAAAATGAACATGCTTACTGCACCAAAGGTTGACAGCCACCTGTGAAATATAAAACAACCTTACTCCCTGATTTGTGAAATTATTTATGTTAAAAGTTCTACAAAGCTATGTACATAGAGATAAGGCTGGAAGGAAATACTCCTAAACGTAGTAATGTTACGGATAATGTATTTTTTTCTCTTTATTCTTTTTGGTGCTTTTCTCAACTTTCTACTATAAGGTCATAAAACTTTCAAAATTGTGTGGGGGGAGTTAATTATAAAGTATAAATATTCAGCCGGGCACGGTGGCTCACACCTGTAATCCCAGCACTTTGGGAGGCCAAGGCGGGCAGATCACCTGAGGTTGGAAGTTCGAGATCAGCCTGACCCACATGGAGAAACCCCATCTCTACTAAAAGTACAAAATTAGCCAGGCATGGTGGCACATTCCTTTAATCCCAGCTACTCAGGAGGCTGAGGCAGGAAAATTGCTTGAACCCAGGAGGCGGAGGCTGTGGTGAGCCAAGATTATGCCATTGCATTCTAGCCTGGGCAACAGGAGTGAAACTCCATCTCAAAAAAATAAAATAAATTAAAATAATTAATATAATATAATATAATATAATAAAGTATAAATATTCTACAATGGCATTGAAAAGGAAATCTGGGCTGTCCTAAGCCATCCATGTTGTCTGGCTGCTGTCCTCTCCCTCCCTGTCCCCCTTTCATTCTGGCCTCCCCTCTGACCTGTATGTGTATTGGGCCCCTCTGGGAGAATTCACCAATTCTTAGCAAGTGCCTTTCCCTGAAAATTGCTTTCTGACCTACAAGGCTGGGCCCACAGCATGCACATGTCATGGCATAGCTCTGCCTTCTGACCAAATCAGCTAAACCAGAAGATAGAGTCCTTCTTTGGTAATTTTAATTTATCACAGAGATTATAATTGGGTTTAAAATATGTTCTTGAACCAAAGTGACAAACCTTGAGCTCTGTGGCAGCTACCTTCTGCGATGGGGCAGGAGACACAGAAAACTGGCTTGCAGAAGGGACAGGATGAAATTTAGCAGGCAGAGAGAAAAGGGATGTGGCACAGGGATAGCATTCTACCTATGAGGATCCCTGTTTTTAGACTTCTCAGAGATCTGCCATTACCGCAATATGCTTACACCACTTGCTGAGTGTCTGCCGCTCAAGTTAGCTCCTCTCACTTTAAACTAGAAAGTTCCTGTCTCTCATCCCTTCTCTCCCTCCTTCCATTGCTGAATTAAAAATTTAAAAATTCTTTAATGAAGTAAAAACTCATTCAAGTTTCAAACAAGTGATCTTCAGAATATAACCACTTAATAAGCAGGGAGCAATTCAATACGTCTGTGTGTGTAGTTTTATTTGGGGAGTAGAGTTTAGAAATCATTCCAATATTATACATCACTATGCATTTGTTTTACTCATGTATCTACTGTGACAAAAACACAAAAACTGCATTTTTGGGGTGGGAGTAGTTTTTGGAAACTATGAAGAATAAAGTTACAGCCCTACTATAGCCAACATCACCATGTTTTCACATCCCCAAAGGCCCTACTACCCACACTGTGGCCCCCATTAGCCCACACGTCATACTACAATTTATATGCTATTGATCATGAGAAATGCAGGCCCAAAAACTACCTTGAAGCAAAAAAAATAAAAATAAAAAATCTTTTTCTCTTGACTCCCCCCTTCTCCATGCTATAAAATATATTGCAGACAACATTTTCCTGCTGATGGTTAATAAGTGAAGGACAATTCAATATCCAGTAAAGGTGATTTATTTTATCAAGACTGTGACCTGCTGCCCAGCTGGGAAGGATTTACAAGAAATAAGAAGACACATGACAAAGAAAAGCTGAAGTTTAGAAAATTCCCAAAGACATAAAGCAAATAAGGAAAATAAGTAAATACCAAAATATTTCTTCTTAGAGGTCTTCCAATACTGGTGTGTTCTCTCTTATGCTGAGTAATGTAAAATATGTCCTTCCAAATATAACTCTCAAGCACTTTTTTTCCCAAAAGCAGCTTACTTTGAGCACACAACCCTCTCTATCTTACACTCCTTAACAATCTAAAAATGCTGTGTCAAATCTTTTCACTGTTTTTTCTCTGCCCACAAAAAGAGGATATTTTGATCATTTTTAGGCAGTAAATTCAAGGCCTATATTCCCCCATTCTGTAGCATTTGGCTTAGGGGAATCACTATCTTGTTTCCCTAGAAGACAGAACATAAGGTGAGTGAATTTGCCTTTTCCAGCCACTACCCTGGCTGCCCTAGGAAGAAGAGAGTTTCCAGTTAACGGGAGGAAAACTGCACATTAGAAAAGGCTGCCACAGTGGGCCTGACTTCTGCTCCGCACAGCAGCACACACCTGGTTCATACTCAGCCTCTCCTTCTCCCACTTGCCTGACTGCCTGTGTTCCTGGATCAAGTGGCAAGTTTGCAGTCTTCCTTGAATTCCCCCAGCACTGTCTTCCTCGACGGCACTTGACAAAGCGGAGAAATGAATATTCTGCTTCCTAATGAGAATACACAGTTTTAAAACATCTTCTCCTTCCCTAGCACTGTGAGTTGGTGCCATTAGCTTGTCATGCTTGTTTTTTGTTTGTTCATTTATCATGGAAACTCATTTCTTCCACTTTGAAACCATTAGGTTCACATGTTTGGCATTTTACAGATCCTCTTGGCAGAACCTCTTGGGAAGCACAAAGAAATAAGTCCAGAGTAGCCCATTAGTTTTATGTCTTAAATATCTCTTCAAACAGTTCACTTCCTTCCAATGCCTCCATACTATTGTACCCTCAACTCTAGCCTGGTCTATAGAACTATCCTCTTCTCTGAATTCTGTGTTTCTGGCTGGCCTATCTCTTATCTACTTTCAGCAACCAGGGTAAACTTAATTATATTTTTTTAAATTTTAAAATAATTTTAGGCTCACAAGAAGTTGTCAAATCATGGCAGAGATTTCCGTGTACCTTTCACATAGCTTTCCCCATGATAATATTCTACATAACCACATGCATAACATTCAGGAAATGGATATTAGTCCAATCCTATCAACTAAACTCAGAGTGATCCTATAAAAATGCAAACCTGGCTGGGAGTGGTGGTTCATGCAAACCTGGCTGGGAGTGATGGTTCATGCCTATGGTTCCAGAACTTTGGGAGCCTGAGGTGAGAGGATCACCTGAGCCCAGGAGTTTGAGATAAGTGTGGGCAACATAGTGAGATCCCATCTCTACAAAAAAGCTTAAAAGTTAGCTGGGTGTGGTGACACACAACTGTAATCCTAGTTACTCAGGAAGCTGAGGTGGGAGGATCACTTGGACCCAGGATTTTGAGGTTAAAGTAAGCTATGATGGTACCATCACATTCCAGCCTGATCAACAAAGAAAGACCCTGTCTCTAAAAAAGAAATGAAAATATATAAATAAATAGATATGAAACCTGACCATAACACCCCTCCCCTACTTTGCTAAAATGTATTATAGCTTCCCATCACTCTTAGAATAAGGACCAAAATCCTTAATCTGGTCCACAAATAGTCTGACCAGCACTTTGGTTTGGCCAAGACAGTTCTGTTTCCCACCCGCTGTCCCAATGAATTATCCCATTTTACATGTCAGCACCCTCAAAATTGTGGTAGTTTAGATAATAAATTATGGTCATCCCACAGTGAGCTCTGGATGGTCTGGTCCTGCCTACACAGACCTGTGGCTTTTGTTTTACACCTGTCCCCTTCTCGGTCTGAGCCCCTGTGACACAGACCCCCTTTTAGTCCTCAGGATGGGAGGAGGATGCATAAAAGCCACAAGACCTTTGCACATGTTGTTGTCTCCGCTTGGAGTGAATACTATTTCTTCCCCCTTCACACCCTCTCCCTCTCTCTCCTTCCCCCTTCACCTGTCAGCTCCTACTTGTCTTAGCTCAGAGAAATCTTCCACAGACTAGATCACATCTCTCTATTAAATGCCCTCAAACACCCTGAGCCACATCTTTGAATTGCTTATTACAGTTGTAATTTGACATCTGTGTCTATACATGAAGAGTGAGCTAAAAGAAGGTAAGGCGGAGTATTTGTGTTTGTAGAACATCACATCCCCGGAGCCAGCATGAAGCTGGTGGACAATTACTTTATAGTTATCGACTGAATGGATGACAGCTTAGTTGATGGGTTCATAAACAACAAAAGCAAATTGGTTAATAGCTTCAGGAAAAAGGAAAAAAAAAATAAAAACCACTCACAGGGTTTTCTCTGCAGACTGGTACCCCTATGGCCCATTTAATGATTTAAAAACCAAGCTTTGGAATGAGACGGGCCCAAGTGTGAAACTTGGTACTTGTAAACTGAGGACATTTATGCCAGTAATATAACTTCTTTGAGCCTTAATTTTTTTCATCTGTAAATAGTAGTGGTAGGAGTAATGGTAATAGTGTTAATAATAAAGTCATCTACTCTATAAAAGTCTTATGAGGGTTGAATGAGAAAATGTACCGTGCTTAACACACACATCATTAGGTAAGTGTTAGCTCTTATTACTATTTGGCTAAAGGTGTTTCAAAGACATCATTTCCTCTGTGTCTAAGATGATTTCCTTGTTTCCTAAAAGACACACAAGGAGGAGGTAATGCTCTTCACCTGGCATGGCTCTCTCCTCACCTGTGCCCCCACCCCAGGACTTCCCCATCCTCCTGTGCTATCCTCCTTGCAGCAATCCAGGCCAAACCTGGGCACCTGCCAGACCACTCTCTCTCATGCCACACATTGGATCTCAGGAAAGCATGTCTGCTTTCTCCTCAAAATATATTCAGTATCCCACCACTCCCCACCACCCCATAATCACCACCTCCAACTGCCAGCTTATTGCAACAGCTTCCAAGTGGGCCTCTCTTCTCTAGCCTTTGTCCTTCAGAATATCCTCAAGAGGGCAGCCAAAATGATGCTGTTAAAATGTAAGTCACATCATGCCATTCCCTTCCTCAAGCCCTTCCAAGGTTTTCCATTTTCTATGAAAAAAAATGCAACTGGCCTCTGGAGGGGTGACAGGACCTGCAACCTGCCTCCTATCTTGGATCCCCCATAGCTCGTCACCTCTCTCCTTCAGGTATTCCCTCAATGGAGACCCTGTCACCATCACCCATTTAAAACCTAAATAACCAACAACCTTCACACTCTGTATCCCCCTCCCTGTTTTATTTCTCCATAACTTTCATTACCTTCTATACATTTTCGTTATATTCTTGATAGCCCAACTCCCTGACTAGAATGGAAGCCCCATGAGGGCAGGGATTTTTGTCTGTTCTGTCCTTGCTGTTCCTCTAGCATCTGACACTGTGCCTGACATGCATAAGTTGCTCAATAAATACATCTTGAATGAATACACAAAAGAATAAATTAATGCACAAATGCAGGAGGCATCATTGCTCTCAGGGCAAGAGCTGTCCTCCACATACAATTTGGGATACGTTATGAGGCATAGAGAAGAGGTCTGAAGGCCTTTCTAGAGTGTGTTGGGTAGAGGCAGGGGAAGAGGAGAAAGAATTAGCTGGGGTGGGCTATCTCTTAGCCTCCTGAAGGCTAAACAGACTTGACCCTGACATTAGACTTGCTGAGTGGCTGAGTGTAGTGGAGGCATGGGGATGGGTGGACTGAGGGCTGAGCAGGTACAAGAGAGCATGTGTTCACATTCAGAGAATGCTCTGCCCAGGTGGGCCTGCCAGACAGAGATTTATGTGGACTGCCAAAACTCAGGGAAACATCTGCTGGAGAAGACTCTGGCCAGAAATCCCACTGGCCTGAGGGCTAACATGAGGCACTTTTAGTACTAGCCAAGCTCATTTCCCATTGTCAATTTGAATGAAATTTCCAGAACATGTACTGGCTCAGGATACATTGTCCAGATGTTGGCAAAATAAAAGCCAAAAAGGAATATTTAAAGTCGGCTGCTTCTCTTGTGACTCCACAGCTCTTTTGCCAAACATGCAAGCTTGTCTTGTTAGAAGCTGAAGCCTGAGCCAAGGTCTTGGGTGGACAGGACTTGAAGGAAACTTTGGGCCATATTCAAACAATCTTGGACTGAGTAGTGGTCACTAAATTCTCCATTAGAATACAGCTATTCACAAACTCAAGGGAAGTGAACTGCGAAGCAAAAACTCAGAGCATTAGTATTGGGACTTTGTAAAATCAGCCTGCAAATCTGAGGAACCAACCATGCTAGTGTCACCAAAAGGCATGAAGGACATGTGGGAGGAAGTAATGGGATTATCACCTACTATCTGAGACAGAAGGCATTTTTGGAGTCTTTAAGACTAGAAGGTACCTTAGAGACCCTCTGCTCCCAGTTTTCCATATCTATCTCTACCCTGGACTTCTGAGCTCAGTCCTCTATAAAAGTTGGCCAGAGACGGTAACATCAGGGCATTTGCTGAATATTGAAGTCACATCAACCTGACTTCTCCTCAATTTGATATAGACAGGAGACAGGGAAATGCTGGGTAGAAGAGGGTGGTTCCCAGCAAAAGCCCCACCTTCAAGCATGGAGACCCATGGCCCTAAGTGGGAACAGGCATTTGTTTTTGTACCCAAAAAGTTGCCTTTTGGCCTGAGACACACCCCTATCCTGTCACATAAACTGCAAACCCCAGGCTCCAGAAGCAGATGAGGTGGTGAGAAAAGCAGAAGAACAGTGGAATGAGACAGCAAAGAAAGAGAGAAGAGGAACATCTCAACAATGAGAGGCTCAGCTGGGGATAGTCAGAAAGGAGTTCAGCCACTGGACAGTCAAACTCCTGGGGAAGATCATCTTCCGACTCCATCCCCACTTCCAGCTCCCCATCCATCCCACTAAGAGCTACCTCCACCACTCAGTAAAACCCCTATCCATCCTTCAAGACCTGCTTCTTCCAGGATGCTGGACAAGAGCTCAGGATACACAAAGCTGTCACACTGGCCCTCTATCCCTGCAAAAAGGCAAAGGGTCCATTGAGGTGGTTAACACTCAAGCCATCTGTGAATGGCAGGCTAAAAGAGCACACTGTAACACACAGCTACTTGGGCTCCTGCACCTGTCTGCATGTTTCCCCTCCCCTCAGGGGTTTGGGCAGTGAGGTGACAGAACAGGAAAGCCACAGCCCTGTCACACATCTCCCATTTCAAATTCTTCTCCCCTATATGCATTATATAATACTTAACTCAATCTTCTTCTTTAGAGACAAACTTCCTTTCCTATCTCTGGTAGATTAGTTCTCTTTTTTTTTTTTCCTTTTTCTTTCCCTTTTCTCTCTTTCCTTTTTTTTTTTGAGACAGGGTCTCTCTATGTCACCCAGGCTGGACTTGAACTCCTGGGCTCTAGCAAACCTTCCACCTCAGCCTCCCAGTAGATGGGGCAACAGGCATGCACCACCATGCCTGGCTCAGTTCTCTTTTTGATTCTTGCCTACAGGGTTCCCTGTTGTTATCATTACATATCATGTTGGGTTAAGGAACAAAATCCCCATCAGGCTTGGCCTGGGGGATTCTTAGCAGTTGGTCTGACACATCACCCAATAGATAAGAAGGTTCTAAAGGAGGGAATTAAATTGTCTAACATCACCCAACTTATTAACGATAGAAGCAATTTCACAGCTCAAACCCTCTGATTCTTAACAGAATACCTCTACCAAAATTATGAGGATAGGTAAAATATATTTACTTCTATTTTTTCTAGTTTGTGCACAGGACTATAAATAACTTCTAATACATTAAGACATTAAAGTTATACAGGAAGCATCCCAAAATCTTAGAAAATAATGCTTGGTCAATAGAGCGCCAAATGCACATAAGACACACAAAAAGACATTCTAAAGAGGATGCTAAAATTACCAGAATCATTAACTAGATATATTCTGAGTTTCTATATAATGTCATCATCTTAGCTGAAAAATAAAACAATTCCAGGTGGTTAATATGGTGTGGAATAAAATATTTACACTTTTTAACATTTGTATTTAAAATACTCATTTGAGGCCTTCACATAGAATCAAAAATAGAAATTTAATGGTTCATTGACCTTTATATTTATAACTTCTAAAATTCTGGATAAGAGAATACAGATATTTTATCCAAATGAAATCGTAATCTTTTTGTAGCTTAAGTTTTCTCTGGCTTGGTTTGGTAACAGCCTGTTACTTTACATGAGTGATTATAAGCCTATCTTAAACTGTAGCCATTGCCCTAAAGAAAATGTTTATGGCCTGACTGGGATAATTGTATTCTCCTATTAAATATCACTCCTTCAGGGCTAGTTACTGTTGAGTATAAATGTGCCACTTTATATGCAAATAAAATGTCCTGAGATTTGAATAAAAAGTTCTGCATATACCTACTGACAAATCAACTTATTATGATTCATATCAGCAAACAGAACTTCTCAAGATATAAGATGCTAATATTACATACAACAAGAGACAGTTCTTTCCTTGAATTTTGTTTTCAAAATGTTCAGATACAGCTGGAAATGTCTTTACTCATAGATATAGCAGATTTTGGGTTTGCATTCTGAGTTTCATTTTTAGTCAAAAGATCTTACGGTATTGTGATTACTTATTGCCAACCTTTTTTTTTTCTTTTTGTATATTTTAGTCTGACCTTGATTTGTCTTCAGTCCTTTTCCCATATACCCACATACCTGGGAAAAATCAACTTTTTCTCAGATACTCTAGCGCAAAGGCCAACTCAAAGTTCAGCTTTTCCAAGAAGCCTTCTTAAATTCGACCTAGGAAAGCATAGTTTCCTCAAACCTTGCGTGTGGAGTATAATCACCTCACATATTTGCATTTTCTTTTTATTTTTTTAACCTATCATCTCTGAATTTGATCTTTGAGCAAAAGTACCCTCAGGAAAACTATCATTTTGCTGTTCACATTTGAAGGAGCAGTGTTTTTGTTTTCTGTTTTTTTTTGAGACAGGGTCTCCATCTGTCGCGCAGGCTGGAGTGCAGCGGCGTGATCATGTCTCACCGAAACCTCAGCCATAAGGCTTCAGAGATCCTCTTGCTTCAGCCTCCGGAGTAGCTGGGATTACAGGCATGCACCACCATGCCTGGCTAACTTGTGGATTTTTGATAGAGATGGGGTTTTGCCATGTTGCCCAGGCTAGTCAAGAGCTCCTGGACTCAAGCAATCCAACCATCTCAGCCTCCCAAAGTGCTGGGATTACAGGCATGAGCCACCTCGCCCAACTAGAAGCAGTGTTCTTATATCTCAAATCCCATCTCAGACCTGTGCCTTGTGTTTTTAACAACCTCTCAGGGGTACTGTGCAACAACTCTTCAGAAAAGCAAAGCAAAACATATTATGTGTATTGGGGCCCTGTCTGTGCAGAGATAGTAATATGAGATAAACATGGATGATTTAAGGGAGAAACTATATAAAGCATTTAATCCCCATTTTCTCCACTTTCCCTACAGCTCTGCTGTCCTTGCCTGGAGCTGTCAGAGGAAAATGGGAGAATTCAATGGCATGATGTTGAAAACTGAACTCTGATTTTCTGGCCAATCCATCTACTTCCCTAGAGTTAAAGGATTCATAGGTGAATGGGAGCTGCAGGACCGTAGGAAAGGACATCTTTGGGTTATATCACCAAATCAACACAATATTGCATGTTTGGGAAGTTCATTGCTTTTGTTGAAACTTTGAGAAAGCCCAATACCCAACAAGAAGAAAGTCATTCACTCAGGAGTTAAAGCTAAATACTTACACTTTTTGAGAAATACCTAAAATTTTATGATTGGGGTCTATTGTACTTCTTAATTAGAATTTAGGGCTAACAAGAGATATTATAACATCAATACTTGCATTATATAGAGGAGGCCTTTAAACTACTGTCTAGGGAATTCAGAGAGCCATGTTCCTTTACAACATTCCTTCTCGTGCAATTCAAAGACAATTGATAGCTAGAAAATGTCAAGGAACCAAGATTCTTGACCAACTTGAAAAGCAAGACTTGGATAAATGGCATTATGAGATATATTTGCACTAATTGTTTCAATTTGACTGAAGTATGTCATCTCTGCTAGATTGTAATTTCCACAAGGGTGAGGCTCATGTCTGCATATCACCCCTTATTTATACTCAGAAGGGTCCCTATTACCTAGTGGGCCCTCAAAAATATTTGATGGATCATGGAATAATAAATTAATGCATGCTTGCCCGACCCTAAATATTGTTCTATTTCTTGTAGATTCTTCCAAAATTATAGTCACTCAATACTTATTCCTATTAGTTGGGTCACACACATACACAGACACACACACACACACACACACACACACACACACACACACATACACAGAGGCTAATGTGAATATAGGGTCTTTCCTTATAGCCTTTAAAATAGAATAAATTCTTATGTGCATTTAATAACTTAGATTTTCTGCTTGAAAGCAAATAAATGGAGTAAATCAGTCCCAAAAATTAGAATAATTTCTGTAATACAAAATTAAACCAATTTAATTAACATTTTAATGTTAACAGGACACAGCTAAGATCACCCTTAGAATAATGAATCTATGTAAAGATCTTCATGGATAGAAAAGGTACAAATGGGTTTGCATGAAGCTTGTACCTACCTCTGATATTTGGGACAAAAGAGATGGGTCACTAGAAAGGTTTCTGCTTTAGAAATGACCTCCTTATCAATCTCCTTGTTTTTAATCTTGCCCTATAAATTCCATTCTTCAAAATGAAGTCAGAGTATCTGTTATTATCTCAAATGTAGCTTCCTTGCTTAAAACACTTCAGTACTTCAGTAGTCCTATTGTCTTAGAGCAAATTTTTGGGGTCATTTCACTGGCATAAAAGGCCTGACCTAAACTGTGTTCCTTTCTACAGATAGAATTTCATTTCATATCACTCATTGCCTTGAGCTATGTGCTGTGGTAATACCAAAGAACTGGTGATTACCTTGCTGAATACGTTGCATTAATTCAAGCCTCTGTACTTGTGCTCACACTATTTCCTTTTCCTGGGGTGTTGTCCTCACCTGTCTTCCCCTTGTGACTCCTTCTCCCATTAAGACTTATCAAGTCTCCTCTAGGAGGTATTTAAAATGGCCTTCTGCTATGGTCCAATATAAGTCTGCATACATTTTATTATTTGCTGCATTACATTGAAATTAACCAGTTACGTATCTGTTTCTTACTCTAGACTCTAAGTATTCCCATTACACCTCTTTATGGTTATCTTTATGGTTCTAGCTCCCATTTTGAAATCAGTTATTATCCCAATAAAATCAATAAGTGTTGAACCAGGCTGAGTGCAGTGGCTCACACCCGTAATCTCAGTGGGAGTTTGGGAGGCCAAGGCAAGACAATCGCTTGAGGGCAGGAGTTTGAGAACAGCCTGGCCAACATAGTGAGACCACATCTCTAACAACAATAACAACAAAAAGCCAGGGTATGGTGGTACATGCCTATAGTCCTAGCTACTCAGTGCTGATATGGGAGATCACTTGAGCTCAGGACTTCAAAACTGCAGTGAGCTATAATCACGCCCTGTGCCCCAGCCTGGACAACAGAGCAAGACCCTGTCTCTTGAAAAAATGTGTTGAACCGCACTGAGTATATAACATTATCTTGTTCTTTTGCCCATCTCCATCATTTCAATGTTCTGTTGTGGCCTGGGAGTTTCCAGAAAGTAACATTCTCTTTTCTTATGTGAATTGCTGAACTAAACTACTAATATTCTTCAGAATTATAGAGTAGTAACACTATAAATGGCTGTTAACAAAAGCCATATGGCTAACACTGACCTGTTACTAAATAAGAGTATATTGAGGACTCAGGTGGGAAAAATATTCAAGAATTAGTTAGCTTCATGTGCTAATATTTATAAGAAATAATTACATTGCAAGAAACGTGTTAAAGCATCTCAGTTATGTTTAGTAGTAACTAAACTTGACACTATTTGCATATTTGGAGTACTTCTACTGTTTTTTCAACTTAAGAGCTCAAGCAAGTTTTATACATTCATAAAAAATTATAAAATCATTTCTTTATTTCAATTTTCAAGGCCAACGTATTGTGTAGACTTTCTTATAATTGTTACAAACTCAGAAAAAGAAAGATTTATGAAAGAAACATTGACATTCCTTTAACAATGGTAGTTTTAGCAGGCACCTTGGTATTATCAGATATTGCGGCTCCCAGTCTCCAGTTTCCAGATAATGCAGTGACTTAATCAGTCCTCTCTGAAGTGCAAAGCAGGCAATCTTCTTTGTCCTTTGTGCATTTCTCACGTCTTACAACTGCCCCACTTCAATATTCCTGTGTGTCACCTACCCCACATCCGTCTTACCCTATATCACTATTCTTTGTAATTTATTCTGGGCTTAGTTTTGTTACTACACTGAAATCTTATGCATAATTATGTGAGGTTGCTATGGAGATTTTGTGTGATTTGTCATGAGGAAAACCTATTGTGTTTGAGATGATTCTCCATACTAATGATCAAGAATCCATTTTTTTGCCCATATTTTCTCTGGGATTATAACCAACTGCATATATTTGAATATCTATAAGCAAAAGTTATTCTATAAATAACATAAGCAGAAAAAAGTTATTGAATTCACCATTAAAGTGAAGCACTTTAGTGCAACCAGTTCAATTTCTCATGATTTAGAAAGAACTTCTAATGTAACTCTTTTTGAATACCAGCTGAACTCTTGCCTGAATCCTTTTAGAAGAGACCCTGAAGAAGTTATTCTATAATCACATCTCTTAAAATTCTGTCACTAATACTATATATTTGGCTATACAATAACTTGAAAATGTAATTTTGGAGAATCTGTGAAACTATTGTGCAAAATTAAGAGAAGATATAGCCACCTTATTCGAAAATGTTTATTCATAATTCTTCAATTATACAGACTTTTTGGAGGTGGAAACTGAGGGCGAAATTGATTATTTGGCATTAGTCAAAGGCAATTCAGACTAAAGACTGTGATTGAACAACAGAAGGTAAATATCACACCATATAACAAAGTCATGATTTTATACCTCTCTTGTCTGACCGCCCCACCACCAGCCTAGGATGAGGAAAAGCATGAAATATCATGAGACAATGCACATGAATCTCTCCTTTAGCCCCCAGGTCAGCAAAGCTAATTTCAGGATCATGATTGATTTTTAGAGAGAAACATTCCCAATTCAAGTAGGTAGAAGTTTCCCAAGCAGGCAGAAGAGAATTGTGATGAATTCGGCAGCTTGTCATCAGGAAAGTGGCATCCAGAGGATAAATTTAGAAGTTAAGAAGTGAAATCTCAAATCAAAGGCAGACTAATTATAGAAATGTTTTCTAGGCAACTATTTGTCTGAAAACACAACTAAATTACCAATCATTTCTGGAAAGAGTGTGTGGTTTTCACTCATGATAATTTGTTGCCATGGGTACCCAGTGTAGAAATCTAACAGGAACAGAGATAGCAAGTAAGGAGAAGGAGAGAGAGGGGCTCAGTGAGATGCTCTGGAAGAGGAAGATCATAGTCAGTGTTTGCGTGACAAAGGACTCCAATTCAGTCGACTATCTGGTAAGTCTGGACAGCAAAGGAGTCCTTTCATTGTCTTCATGGGAGCCAATGAAGTACCCTCCTCCCAGAAGCCGAGAATAGTCTATACTGGACATGCAAGTCAGTGTCTGAAAAGTGTCAGAGCAGGTGATAGATCTTAAGGGATTATTCTCTATACTACAATTGATTCAAAGGGAGAGGAGCTTCTGGAAACAATGAATGATCATTTAGGGAGGAAAATAGGAGAACACTTTTGTAAGAATATAAAAGGAAAATAATACCTGCCTTAAAAGGCTGGTGAGTAGAAGATCATGGCTAATCAAATTAGAGTGGAGAAGGAATTTAGCTTCAGCAACTGGAACCAATACATGGTTTGAAAGTCTTCCCATTAAAAAAAAAAAAAAGTACTAGCATATAGGGAAGACTCACATGATAGGTGCAAGAAATCAATGGGCAGACCCAAGCAGGAGACAAGGACCTATGCTGGTGACTGGAGAATCTTACTGAGGTCTTTAGAGGAAGTCATGGGCTCCTACCACAGGGTTAACCAAAGGTTGTGGCTTTTCTAAGAGAATGCATCAGAGATGAGAGGAGGAGCTTCACCAGCCCACAACCAATGTACCCTACTTCTAATTCAGAGAAACTTGTAGTGAGATCTCCAGTGGCTTTGGAATTCTGCATAGAAAGCTAGAGAATGTGAGCGCCTAAGTAGCCATGTCCAGTTGAAGAACAGGTAAAAGGGAAAGGAGGGCAATTTGGAGAGGAAGAAGATGTCAAAGTATTAGGTTGTCTTGATCAATATTCCTTAAGCAGAGCTGCAAAGATAGATCCTCAGGGATTTCCTCAAGACCCAAAGTCCTATTTTCATGGTTTCACAAAGTCTCAATAAATATCTTTAAACTCTTAATCTCATTTCAGTGGCATTAAAATAAATACTAAGCATATTCTAAATGTATTAGTGAACAACTTTTGACTGAATACTGCCATGTGGTCCAGTGTTCTTTGCACTTTTATTTATGATGCTCTTGTTAAAAGTGAAGAAAACGGACGTGAGCTTAATGGACAAATGGAATATTCCTGCCACAAGAAAAGGCCAAAATGATATAATCCCATGTTAAACTAACAGTTTGTAGCTTGATGGGTTGAACATTGGAAAGACAATTGGGTTGTCATCCATTACAAGAGTCTACAGGACAGCCAAACTCAGAAGAACCTGCTCCTAGTGGAAAAGACCATTAACAAATATGCAAATTGCAAATAAGTCTAGCAAATGTCTTAGCAAAATAGCACCATCTGTTATATTAAATCCAGTTCATATATTTGATTTCTATTGGTTTTATAGTTTTGAATTTATAAATTTATTTTGATTCTGCACTTAAGAAAGAACTATAAGCATAAAGAGTGTATGGTAAGAAGAAAAATAATCAAGGAATTGAGAGAAGCATAAATCTGTTTAAAAAATGAAAAAAAAAACAGTGTAAAAAAGTCTAGAGTATGCTGTGGCTTACAAATACTGATGACATCTATAGGGAGTGTTAGGTTAAGGCTGTGTTTCGAGCCATATGAGAACAAGGATGGGATTGTCTTATTGCTTGAAGCCGATGATGTAATGCTAATAGAAGCCAGAGAGAAAGCAGAACCATTCAACTTCTATATTGCTTCCACCTTTGCTATCAAGACAAACGATCACCGTGTTGAAAAGAAGAGGAAAACATGAAGCCCAAGACAAGTGAGGAGATCCCAAGGGAGATCAGCAAACTGCTTTGCATAAATCCAAGTCTCAGCAATAAATGACACCCTGGGGTAATGAAAGGACTTCAGCTGAGACTGTGGAAGTTTGCTGGCAAACTCTGGGGAATCATGATGAGTCAGAGGGGCCCCATATTAAGAACAGAAAAATGTGTTTGTTTGTTTTTAGAACATGTCAGGAGTTTTTAATTTTTAAAATCAAAAGAAAAAGCTGCATTTAGAAGTTACAAGTCAGTTTTTAGTCTGGTTATCATGTTCCCTCAAAAATATTTCTAGAATGCAATGTTTTAAAAGAGAGTGTATGACCATCTAGAAAAGAAATCAATGGTCACTAGGAGTTACAGGGGCTTCCTAAGATAAACTCCCATTCATATCTTTTTGGATAAAGGTAACAAGACTGAGAGGCAAAGTGAATCTGGATTGCAGCCAGATATGTAATCATGTATTTCTTTGTTGTTGTTGTTGTTGTTGTTGAGACAGAATCTTGCTCTGTCGCCCAGGCTGGAGTGCAGTGGCGTGATCTCAGCTCACTGCAAGCTCTGTCTCCCGGGTTCACACCATTCTCCTGCCTCAGCCTCCCGAGTAGCTGGGACTATAGGTGCCCGCCACCATGCCAGGCTAGTTTTTTCGTTTTTTGTTTTTTTTTTTCGGTAGAGATGGGGTTTCACCGTGTCAGCCAGGATGGTCTCGATCTCCTGACCCTGTGATCCGCCCGCCTCGGCCTCCCAAGATGCTGGGATTACAGGCGTGAGCCACCGTGCCCAGCCATAATCACGTATTTCTTGATAACCAAGAAGCAGGCTATAGAAGTGGGGACTAGATGATCATTTTGTGAGGTAAAATTGAGGAGGTACAAGGTGGTTGTTCTCTGCCTAACAACTGTGCTGAAATAGTATATCATGAAAAGCCTGGGCTTCAAGTCAGAAATCTGAGTAACTCTTTACCACTGACTAGTTCGGTGGTCCCACAAATCTAACCCACTGCCCATTTTTGTAAATAAATGTTGGAATACAGCCACACACAATTTTTTTTTTTACCTATTGTCTGTGGCTGCATTTGTCATTCAGTGGCAAAGTTAAGTAAGTAGTTGCAAAAGAGATCATGTGGCACACAAAGCTAAGATATTTACTATCAGCCTATTTACAAAAAGAGTTTGTCAATTCCCTGACTAGTTACATAAACAACTAGGATGTTTCATAACTTTACTTATACTCATTTTCATCATCGACATTAATCTACATTAACAGAAATTGATTACTATAGCATAGTGCTTCAAAGGCATCTAATGAAATAATGTATGGGAAAGCTCCTTATGGATTGTAGTGTGTTGTACAGAGATAAGGCATGTCTTATGATCACTCTGGCTACTGAAAGATTAATAGCAATATTTTCATGTTAAAGACATGCCAATCTCCGGTACAAAGAAGACTCTCAAAAATACTAGATGGACTTTTGGATGAATGGATAGATGGGTGGATGGATGAATGAATGAATGACAGTAGTAATTATACCTCGCTTATCACTGGCTATGTAACAGGGACACATACTGTTTTACATGTATTACCTTGTTTAACTGTTGTAACAGACTTGTAACATTATTTACATTTTGCTTCTGAGTAAAAGAGATTTAAACAATGGCAACATCATCAGAAGCAATAACAAATATTTATACAGGACTTATGACATTTAGCCACTGTGATAACTACTTACCAAATATTATTTCATTTAATCCCTCAATTACCTCATGAAGTAGGTGTTGGTATCATCATCATCATCATCATCATCGTCATCATCTAATCATCATTATTATTCCATCTTTATTGATGAGAAAATAGAGGTTCAGGAAAACTAACAGACTTCCCAAAATCAGGCATCTGGTAAGTGGCAGAGCTGGAATTCAAAACCTTGTCTGCTTGACTCTGAGCTTTTAACCATCAGACACTGAGACAATGGATTTGCATTGACATGACTCAATTTTCTAAAGATAAATGTAATGTCTTATTGAAATAATTAAATATTCTTGACTCTGAAGTGCTCTGACCTTACAACAAACCATGAAAACTAGTTTTTAAAGGACTTTTTATGCTGAACTAGTTTTAGACTTCAAGAAAATTTGCAAACATAGTACAGAATTCTCTTTATATCTCCCATCCAGCTTCCCATAATATTAATATATTAAATAAAAATGACACAATGGTGAGAACCATTTAGTTGTCATTTCTCCTTAGTTTCCTTCATTCGCTAACAGTTCCTTAGTCCTTCCCTGGGTTTCATGTTCTCGACACTTTGGAAGAATATTGATTAGTTACTTTGTACAGTGACTCTCAATTTGGGATTCTCTGATTTTCTGTTTTTCAGAATTTGACTGAGGCTGTGCAGTTTTGGCAAGAATATCACAGAAATGATGCTGTGTGCTCAGTAGATCACAGTGGAGCTCGTGAGGTCATTGTGTCTTTTTTTTTTCTTTTTTTTTGAGACAGAGTCTCAATACTGTCACCCAGGCTGGAGTGCTGTAGCGCCATCTTGGCTCACTGCTGCCTCTGCCTCCCAGGCTCAAGCAATGCACCTCAGCCTCCTGAGTAGCTGGGACTGCAGGTACATGCCACCATGCTCGGCTAATTTTTAAACTTTTTGTAGAGATGGGGTGTCACTATATTGCCCAGACTGCTCTTGAACTCTTAGACTCAAGCAATCCTTCTGCCTCTGCCTCCCAAAGTGCTGGGATTACAGGTGTGAGCCACCATGCCTGGCCTTTATAATTTGTTTTAACAGACTGAAGTCTCAATAAACTGACAGGTACCCTAGCTAGAAACACACACACACACACAAACACATACACAAAACCTCATGAGAGTTTTGACTGTGTTAAGAAATTCCTGAGAACCACAAGCAAAAGTAACATCAATTCTGCCTTTTTCTCCAATGACATGGTTACTGAAATAAGCACTGGTTAGCAGAGGCTGAGGGCATCTGGAGTTTACTTCCTATTTCTTATTGTTTCCCTACTAGCTGGCGAAGCACATTGTCTGATAGAAATGAACTTTTGGTGTATGTGTATCTCTGAGCCCCATATGACAAAGCCAGCTTGAATCATGCTCCAAATACTCATTCATTTCCTTGTATATGCCAGGCTAGACTCTGGTTGCCTGTCCTACCTATGAGCCAGGATCATTGGATGATAAGCACTAGGAAGGTTTTTCTAGAATTCTGCCATTATACTTAGCCTACACACACACACACACACACGTATATATACATAAAACATATTGATTCTATATTAAGATTGAAAGACATAAGTCCCATGAAAATAAGGGTTGTTAATTTTCTCACATCTTGCTCTGCTCAGCTATAGTCAATTTAAAATTGCAGTTGAATACAAAGAGAGTTTGCTGTGAATACATTGAAGGCCATTGCTTTATTCAGGTGGGCATAATTACAGAGACCATAAGGAGACTCCCTTTTATTTATTGATCTGACTTCTATAAGTTTCCTGGATTTCAACATTTTTTCTTGTTTAGAGATATACTGTCTGAAAACTATTCAATTTGAAATGTGTCCACTGTACAATTCAGTCCTTGGAAAAAAAGCCTTTAGTAATTAAAGCAGCCATGGTGTACCTGCTGGCACTAAAATATCCCTGTAAGATGTTAGCCATCAATATTTCTATAGAAAATGCCTTATTCAACAATATGCTCTTATTATTTCAGTTACAGACACTTTTGTAAAAGCACACATTTAAAATGCACATTAAAAGAATAGGGGAAAAATTGATGGTTTGTCTTAAAAAGGAAAAACCTGCAGAATTGGGAAAAATAGTTTTGTGAGCACATTTTTTGATAGTTGTATTTTTTTTAATTTTGGACAACCATTTTGAGTAACAATGACTATTCTGAGAGCCTATCTCTGTAAATCTCTTATCAATAGTAAGTAAAGAAGATAAAGTCAGATGTTGATTAGATCATATTTTTAAATATTGGTGATTTAAATCTTAAATAAATATTTGGGATTTTGTTGTTGTTGTTAAGACAGAGTCTTGCTCTGTTGCCCAGGCTGCAGTGCAGTGGTGCAATCTTGGCTCACTGTAACCTCTGCATCCTGGGTTCAAGGGCTTCTTCTGCCTCAACCTCCCGAGTAGCTGGGATTACAGGCACGTGCCACCATGCCCAGCTAAATTTTGTATTTTTAGTAGAGATGGGGCTTCACCATATTGCCAGGCTGGTCTTGAACTCTTGACCTCAAGTGATCCACCAGCCTCAGCCCCCCAAAGTGCTGGGATTACAGGCGTGAGTTACTGCACCTGGCCTTAAAAAAATATTTGAATCAAATATTGGCAACTAAATAAATATGTTTGGGTAAAACCTATTCCAATGCTTAAAACATTATAATGTGCCAGAAAAATTATACACAGTTCATAAGAGAATATTTGTTAAATAGTTATTTTTGATTTAATGTGACTCAAAATCAGAACTTAAAGAGACTTTAAAAGTCATATGGGGAGTAAATTGGTAGAAGTGTCTGGAGGATAATCTGAAGTTGCAAAAATTTTAAAGTATATGTGTGACACTTCTGCTTGCCCAATTTATCATAAGGAAATAGTAAAACAAAGTTACAATAATGCCCATGAAATTACGTTCACCACAGTTTTACTTATCACGTAAAGACACTGAAAATGACACCAATGGCCCAAACAGCGATTGGCTGATAAACTTTAAGACAAGTAGTCTCAAGTCCCACACCTTCAACCTTGAAATAAACCTGGACTTCCACAGATTCTTTTTAAATGCTAAATGTGAGCTCTTGTTCATCTGACCAGAAAAGAAAACCAGAACAAAACAACAGCAGAAACATCAACAACAAAACCCTTCCCAGCCGAGGAGCGGTGGCTTTCCCTGCCTGACCAGCAGCCTGGGTTACAGACCTGACCTCCTTGGTATCATGGAACCTAAGAAATTATTGGCTATTTTCTGCAGCTGTTTTCACAAAGCCACAGCGGAGGTGACCTTGGGGTGGGGTGAGGCAGGACCCAGCAGACGGGAGCTCTGGGCTTCCCCTCCAGTGAGAGTGACTTGAATTTCATCTCAGCCACAACTGGTTTTCTAGGTAAGATTTTATTTGAATATGCTTTCTAAAGCCAAAAAAGAAAATATAAGTTTAAAAACCACTACTGTACCACCCAACAATTAGTTGTTGTTATTGTTGTTGTTGTTTTTTCAAATTAGCTCAAACCAGGAAAACAAAGTGCTGATTTTAGTTACAAGGATTATAGATCACATAAGTCTGGAACAGGACTGCCATCTCTTATTCAAACCCCTTTGTACCAGATGAATTCCAAATACTTTGTATTTGTTAGATAGTTAATATAGAACCTATATATTATGAAACACCCCTAGCAAACATGGAGGCAGCAACTCACACTCAAATACATTAATAGTTCTGAAGTGAGTCATATAAAAATTCACACTAGATGAATTAAATAAAAATTTAAGTTACCTCATATCAATTCATATCAGACTTTTTACCAACTGAGTTGGGCCAAATCCTTAAGAAAATTAAAGAAACAAACAAACAAAAAAATTGGCTTTCAGAGCTTTTTGGATGTTAGGATTGTGGCTCAGGGGCTGTGCACCTGTGTGATGCAGACAAAGCTGGAGTTCATGAGGAGCTGCAGGTGGAGACCCCAGCCCAGCCAGATGCCCCCCAGAACTGAAGTCAGACACGTGGATGCTCACTTGGGAAGGCAAAGAGTAAAATTCAAAGCTCCATACAGAAGGTAGAAAGAGCTCATCAGAGAAAACAAATTAGAGGTCACATGCCCTTTTCAGCAGTCAATATATATTTCTATTCTTTAAAACACATTTTCCAAGAAAAGGACTATGTATACTTTAATATTCATACAATGCCATAATAATCTGGTAAAGTGAAAATATGTCCACCTTATATGGGTAAGTGGGAAATGTTGCCAAAAACTATTTTTTTCTATTAGATAGATCCCTTACCCAAGTGTGCACATGAATTTTAAAAAGATGCTATGTAAATGGATAAATAACCAAAATGTTAACAGTGCTTAATTTCAGGGAGTGTAAATTTGCTGATTTTTATTTTTATTTTATTTTTCCTTTTCTAAGTGTTTCTGTATTTTTTGAATAATGAGAAAGTATGATTTTTAAAAAAGAAAAACAGAACTCTTTACTCTTGGTGAAAAATACAATTATTAGCGGTTCACATGTAATTTAGTCCCTCAGGGACCAAGTGATTCACCTAAAGTCACATTGTTAATTTGGAGAAAAACTATGCTTGGACTCAAGGCCTTTGACTCCAAGCCTTGCATCCTCTCCATTTCTCCAGGCTGCATTTTGAAATGAAGCATGAAGGATGGCCCCTGCCTTCAAAGTGCTAATGATTAAGTTGAGGAGATAAGAAATATAACTAGGAAGCAATTAACAAACATTACAAGATGCTATCTATTTAAGTAACTGCTGCAAATCCTTTTGGAAGTGGGAGGGGTCATCTAAATCTCAAATAAGAGAATACAGTATAACATTGCATGACACGTATTGCAAATTCCTATGAATTCAGAGGAGTAGAAGATAAAACTTAGTAGTCCCAGAGAAGGCTCTACTGGTAAAAGACAGATACGCTTTGAAAAGGTTAAGGTCAGGAAGGATATTTGTTTCCACAAGGACATATCCAGACAACAAGACCACTGATTGATGGTAGAAATAGTTCTCTGCATATGCTAGAGAGTAGGAGAACAGGACTGGACAGGTGGAGTAGGCACAGTTTACAGAAGGCTTTGAAACTGAAAAATAAGAGGATGATTTAGAAATGATGTGGAAAGAAATAGGAGCCATGGACAGCTTTCATCGAGGGAATCACGGGTGGGACAAAGGCACTTAAACTGCATGAATGTTCCAGAAGTGGCATGTAGGGTGGATAGGCAGGTGAGGATGATGTCGTGGAAGTCAGGTGCAGAACTATCGAAGCAATGTCTGATGTTGGGCAGCAGAAATTCACAAGGAATCAGGATCAGACATGGAAGCAGAAGGCTGAGTCACAAAGATGCCAAGGTTTGGAATGGATGTCTCTGAAAACAGTGATGACCTGACAGAGATAGATGATTTAAGATGGGGTTCACTATTTCAGAAGGCAGAGCAAAGAGTAAAGAAAACATGAAGTGCTCTTGTTCGTTAAAGTTATAACTGTTTAGCCATGTAGGTTTGAGCACTAAGGCCAAGGGGCTAGGTTCAAACTTTCAATTTGCAATGTGGCTTGATTCTGTTCTGATGCATCAGCCATGCTCCTCTTATTTCATGCAACTATAGCAAACACAGGGGGATTAAAAATAGGGAAGACAGACAAGTCAATACCAATTATAGGAAAATGATTTCATAAACAAGCAAAATTCATCCAAATATGATCAAGTAAGAACATGATTTTATATGGCTTAAATAGCATCTAAATGTTTTCTTTCGATTTATTTGTGCGAGAAAAAAGAGAGGTTATAAATATAGAAAATGGATGAAAATACAAGTAGTTACATCTTCCCTGTGTCTGCTTAGGCATTCTATATTTTGCTTGAAGTGTTTTTTAAGAAATGATTTATCTTCATTCCATCTGCCCTGTCAGAGACACCTTGGTTGGGTCAGAATGACTGGTTTAGCTGGGACCCCATTGCCTCTGAACCTTTAAACAGACAGCGCTTTGAATTTCATTTCAGAGATCAGGTGACATCCAAATCCACTTAATGTGTAACTGGTATGGTTTTTGATGTCACTGGAGACCCTGATGAAATTACAATCCTATTAGTCATGACGGGGGAAGACAGGAGACCTTAGGTGGCTAATGTTCCATTCATAACAAGAAAGAGCCATTTAGCATTTGTAAAGGGCATTGATTTCTGATAGTTCCCTAAAGAACAAGGCTCAAGTGAAGAAATATGACCAGAAAGAGCTTGGGAAAGAAATGATAGAAAAGGCAAGATTGCATTTATCCAAACAGCTTTACTCTGTGTACTTTTTACAACTTCACTTGAATCCAAAGAATTGAGTCTTCATGTAAAAGTGGATATGAGGAAGGACAGGAAGGACATGCTCAGCTACACAGAGATTCTGTTACTGAGAAATCTGGGGAATTATACCGTGCCCTTGATTGATACCAATGAGGTGCCTCTAAATATAAAGGGTAAGTAGAGGTTATGTGGAAAAAGGGTTTTAATCTGGGTGATAAATTGCCAGATTCCATTATGCTTAATGAGTCTCATCAGTGCATAGCTAGACTCAAGAAAATAAGACCCCTTTCAAAGCCTAGTATAAGCAAATTAGAAGAATTAATAATAAAAATCCTATTAATGTGTATGCAATTTCAAGCAGTTAATGAAGTCAATTTAAAAAGTTTGGCTAACGTATTTTTTTTTTTTTTGCATTTTTTAAAATAAAAATACCTGATCATCAAAATAGATTTGTTCTTCAGGATTTTTTTTCTTTTTTTCCCCCAAATATATCCTATGTAAGACTTAAAGGATTAGATTTCCTTTGGTTTACTCTTCTCCAGGGAGGGCCCTACTTAGAAGTTATGGGATATGACAAAGGGAGTGTTGCAGGTCTTCAAATGTATAAAATGCTTATTGACCTGAAAGTTACAAATGAGATTCATTCAAGCAAATTTGCCAAGCTTCATAATATCCCTCCTAAGCAAATGGCGACTACCTGAAGAAAAAGGTTCTCAGTCACCTGCCTGGTAAAACATAAATCTTTGCTTCTCAACATAAGGTCTCAGGTAGGAAATAAGAAGCAGGGTCTACAAACATCTATGTGTGGCTCAAAACAGCAGTAGTTGTTGTCTCTGACCAGCTAAGACCTTCAGTCCCAAATAACAGAGAATCTGCTGGATTTGCACCAACAAATTTTTGTGCAATAAACCATCAGTCATGGGTTAAAAATCAGACTCTCACTTCTTGCCAATTGGATTCTTTTAAGCCATCATTTAGAAAAGAATCTCCATACTCAAGCATATAATCAAAGCATGTGGGAGATGAGAAAAAAGGTAGCCCCTGTTTTGTAGTTAAATCCCTAGGCAAGAAGCACAATCAGACATCTGTGCGTATTTAGATTTCCATGAAAAGGAATGCCATGTGCTCCTTAATGCCATGTGAAATAACATAACTCATGGTTTTCGGATGGCACCCAGGGGCATGGAGAGTGTAATGATGTCCGCTTCAGAAGTTAGGAACACACTTGTGTGCAATGTTACCTAGATAATAGTCACAGTGTCTGGCACAGAGTAAGCACCCTATAAATATTTCTTCAACTCTGAATGGAAGAGTGAGTTCTTTCATACACAATCTGCTATGTAAAGTTTGTACATCCTCTGTTTTGTTACAAAAATAATATATGTTCTCACTAGCTTGTGGTTTAACCTCTGAATCAATGAAGAATGGGAGCCACTCCCTCCTCAATTTTTTTCCTTCCTGGGCTGCTAATGTGCTGCCCCTACCTGGTTCTACCTCCATACCTCAGTGCTTCCTTACTGGGCTTCCTCTTCAAATTACTTGTCGCCATCCCAACCCTGTTTATTTTCTTTTACATTTTCTAATCAAGGATTCATTGAGTTGTATGACTTCAACAAATGCCTTTATGCAACCGTGCCCTGAAATATTTACAAGCTTATCATTATACTAGATTCTGTAAGGGATAATATAGTTTAGTAAGAAGTGCACTCATATACTTGAAGATAAATGACAATTTTATGGCCAAATGATTGAAAAGATGCAGAACTATCATTAGAAAAGAAAAAGAGCCCTGTTGTTTCTGGCAAAGGATGTGAGATTTGAGTGGTCCTTGAAGGATGGATGAGAGTCATACATGGAGAGCTCGAGAAGGAGAGGCTATCAGGAGGTCAACTGTTATGGGCAAAGACGGTGGTGATGGAAAACTATGTGGCTGGTTTGGGGTCAATGAGGAGACTGCTGGGTCTGCCTTGAAGGTTTCATTATAGAATAATGGGCAGTGTTGTGGAAAGACAGGTGGACCCACTCTGGAAGCCCTCAAATGCTTGATTAAGGAATGGATTTTATCCCATGGGAAAAATAGAACTATGTGGGATTTTAAGCCTGTAAGGGACTTAATAAAATGATTCCTACTGACTAGAAGGTTCTTTCTCAACATCTCCTCACTGCAAGTCCATTCCAAATCCCATGTTTCTTTTTCCTTTGTCCACTGGCTTAATTATTTCTGTCAGTGTTAACAGCATTTTTCTTGGACTCAAAGGCTGTTATCCTTGGGAATATCTTTGAGGTTTGTCTCCAACTTCAAAACTATTTGAGGGTTCACTGACCAAAAGCACCTTGGTAATGCTTTAAATAAATACATATTCCTAGACCCTGTTCGAGACCAACTGTATAGTGGTAGATTTTAGGACCCAGATTTCTACCTCTTACAGAATGAGTAAATCTTTGCTAATGGTTACTTTTCCTTTCAAATATCTGTCAACCTTCCCATTTCTTTTCAAACCTACTGCAGTCACTGTAACTCAGAACTTCCTTATCCTTGACTAGTTACTATGACAGGCACCTTCTGGGTTACATCCTTCACTCTAATATCAGCATCTTCTTTACAGAACTCATTTGGACTCCAGGAGAATAGCAACATAATCGTAATTCAGATCAGTGGTACTCAGATGTTTCAGTGGAGGTGATTCTAATGCAAACTTTTCTTCAGGAGGGAAATAAAATATTTAGGTATACATTTGGCAAAAATATATGTATCTTTTTTTGGATGGGGGATGACAGAGTCTCATTCTGTTGCCCAGGCTGGGGTGCAATGGCATGATCTCAGCTCACTACAACTTCTGCCTACCGGGTTCAAGCAAGCCTTGTGCCTCAGCCCCCCGAGTAGCTGGAACTACAGGTGTGGCCACCATGCCTGGCTAATTTTTGTATTTTTATTAGAGACAGGGTTTCACCATGTTGGTCAGGCTGGTCTTGAACTCCAGGCCTCAAGTGATCCACCCACCTCGGCCTCCCAAAGTGCTGGGATTATAGGAGTGAGCCACCACGCCTGGCCAATATATATATGTACTATCTACAGGGAAAACTACAACTCTGATGAAAAAAATCAAAGAGCTAAATAAACAGAGAGATATTCCATGTTTATGGATAGAAAGACTGAGTATTGTCAAAATATCAGTTCTTTCAAACCTGATTCACAGATTCAATGCAATCCCAATCACAATCCCAGCAAGTTATTTTGTGCATAATGACAAACTAACTCTAAAGGTTATATGGAGAAGCCAAAGACCCTGAATAGTGAAAAATATCGAAGGAGATGAATAAAAGTTGAAGAACTGAGACCGTCTGACTTCAAAATGCACTACATGGAGACTCAAATCAGGACCTTGTGGTACTGGCGAAAGAATAGACAAATCGATTAATGGGACAGAATAGAAAGCACAGAAACAGCACAGAAACAGACCCATATAAATATAGTTAACTTGTCTTTGACAAAGAAGCAAAGGAAATACAACGGAGAAAAGATAGTCTTTCCAGTAAATGGTGCTGGAACAAATGGACGTTCACATGCCAAAAAGTGAATCTAGACACAGACCTCACAACATTTACAAAAACTAATTCAAACTGAATCACAGATTTAAATGTAAAACACAGAATGGTAAAACCCTATATGTAGGATAGTAATGGTGCAATCACATGCCTGGGTATTTACCCAAAGGAATTGAAAACTTATGTCCATACCAAAACCTCCACACAGATGTTTACAGCAGCTTTATTCATAATTGCCAAAACTTGGAAGCAAACAAAATGTTTCTCCATAGGTGAACGGATAAACTGTGGTACATCCCAGACAATGGAATATTATTCAGCACTACAAATAAATGGGCTATCAAGCCATGAAAGGACATAGAGGAACCTTAAATGCATAGTACTACATGAAATAAGCCAATCTGAAAAGTACTGTATGATTCTGACTTTATGACACTCTAGAAAAGGAAAAGCTATAGAGAAGATGAAAATTCAGTGTTTTCCAGGGGATAAGGGGAAGGGACTGGGCACAGAGGATTTTTAGAGCAGTGAAACTACTGTATATTGTAGTACTGAATATATGTCATTATACATTTGTCCAACTCATAGAATGTACACTAAGAATGGACCCTAATGTAACTGTGACCTTGGGCGACCATGATGTGTCAATGTTGGTTCAACTGAAACAAATGCACCACTCTAGTGGGAGATGTCGGTGATGGGGTGAAGTGCGTGTGTAGGGCAGTGGGTGGGGGATGTTGGTGATGGGGAGAAGTGCATGTCTAGGGCAGTGGGTGGGGGATATTGGTGATGGGGAGAAGTGCGTGTGTAGGGCAGGGGGCATGTGGGACATCTCTGTACCTTCTGCTCAATTTTGCTGTGAACTTAAAACTGCTCTCAAAAATGTCTACTAAAAACAAACAGAAAACAAGCAAAAACCCTACTTTTCTCTGTGCTGTTGGTCTTCAGAGAAAGGAGCGGCATCTTCAAAGTATAGTAAAAGCCTCACAACTGGAGAAGTAATCAGCATCAGGAAAGCACTCACTAAACTTTCTGCCCAAGGCCAAATTAACTGTCTTTTCTGCGCTCCGAAATACTCAGAAGACTCTTGAAATTCCACTGAGTATAGAACCCAAAGCCAACTGGATTTCAAACAATTCCAAGTTCACAAACTCAGTCAGTCTGTCCCTGCGCTTTTCTTACAATGGGGAAGCACTGCCAAGCCCTGCAGAAGATGGTGGGAAGCAGTGCTTATCTGGTAACGGAACACCTCCTTAAAATGAACTCTTTCCAGGTTGAAAATTCCCCTGTTCCAACTTCTACTATCATTTGAAGTGATGAACACAAAAAGAAACACACTTCTCCCCACAATCTTGTCCTGTCTTTGGCATTTTAGAGCTTATCCACCATAGTTTCTTATGTTCCAAGAAAATTACATTCTTTTGGTATTCTTCTAGGGTGTTAGTAATGTCTTGAGGAAACAATGTGGGTTAGAGATGATCAGAACACTGTGACATGAGCCGTATGAAATAAACCTGGACTATATTTAAATGTCTGAAAAACCGGATAATAACCCAAACTGGATAACAAGCCAATATTTTTTTAAACTTTTATTTTAAGTTCATGGGTACATGTGAAGGATGTATAGGTTTGTTAAATAGGTAAATGTGTGTCATGAGGGTTTGCTGTACAGGTTATTTCATCACACAGGTATTAAGCATAGTATCCATTAGTTATTTTTCCTGATCCTCTCTCTCCTCCCACCCTCTGCCCTCTGGTAGGCACCAGTGTGCATTGTTCTCATCCCCATGTCCACATGTTCTCATCCTTTAGCTCCCACTTATAAGTGAGAACATGAGGTATGTGGCTTTTTGTTCCTGAGTTAGTTTGCTAAGGATAATGGTCTCCAGCTCCATCCATGTCCCTACAAAGGAAATTATCTCATTGCATTTTAATGGCTGCATAGTATTCCACGGTATATATGTACCACATTTTCTTTATCCAGTCTATCACTGATGAACATTGATGAAGCCAACATTTTTAAGAATAGGTGTATAAATGAATACAGAAAGTCAAAAATGGGAAATGGGTCCAATGTCTGAAAGATAAGCACATGGAGGAAAGAGAGGGCTTCAGAGTGGGCCCAATAAATTCATGTCAAGGAAGTCAGCTCCTGCAGGACCAAATGCCTGGCTAGGTGTACAGGAAACAAAAGTGTGGTGGCATCACCAAGAGGGTCTGGGCAACAAAATCAGGCACAGGTACAATAAATATTCAGTAGACATCTATTGAAAGAAAGAATGAATTTATGAAGATTTAGGTATCAGAAAGGAAGAACTGATTCCAATACATGATGGCTGTCATCTCAAATTGAGAATATTCAAACCTAACAAAATTAATACACTTATGAAGACCATGTTATCAGAAATTGGAAATAAATTCCAGTAAATGTTGACTAACACCAGAAACTCAGTATGTTCAAACCCAACTAAAACCATGTCAGTGTGGCATCACCATTCAGCCCCTCACACAAACAAGGAATCTGGGAATCATCCTCGACTCCTCCTTCTCCCCCGTTTGCCCGAGTCCTCATGCCACCAAGTTTTTTTGCTTCTACATTCTACATACTCTTGAAATATTGCCCCTTGTTTCCATCCTCATAGCCACTGTGATTCAACTGTCTTTATCAACTTTCACTGAGACCGTGGCAGTGACTTCTTCGTCACTGTGCCCAGCTTGGGTCTCATCCCTACTACCACCACTACCCAAACTGTGGGCTGGGTAATCTTTCTAAAACACAGACTCTATTACAGCATACCTTTGCTTAAACCCTTCTGGTGACCTTCCCCTGTCTACAAAATAAAATGGAGAGCATTTGGGCCCTATGTGCCTTTCCAATCTCATCTCTTGTCATTTCCCATCTTGATCACACTGGGACTAGAAATATGAAAGGCAGAATAACACAATTGTTAGGAGCTGAGCCACAGCAGTGCTAGACATTGCCAGTGGTACCTGTGTGACATAAAGGGGACACTGTCGCTGGTATATCCCATTCCTATAGGAAACTTGGATTCCTTTTTAGATGAGTACATATAACCTTACAGCTCTGTAGAGAGGCCCAAAAGAAATTGTAAGTAGTGTATTCATTTGTGGGTAGGAAAAAATGTCTGAGGTATCAGAAGTAATGTTTTTGGAGTTCCCTGCATAAAAGGTATTAGGGGAAACTAACATACAAAAAAAGAAAATTCTTACAGATGAGTGTCTTGTCTGGTTTTTCTGAGTCATCACATTTTTTTCCTATACACTGGACTCTCTCATTCATTTGTAGCCATCCACCAGACACCCATATACAGCTATTATTTCTTATTTTAGGTTAATATTGCCAAGAAGTTACATAATCAAAACAGAAAATCTGCCAAAAATCCCAAACTGTATAACTATTCATTTCAAAGCCAAATATAAATTATTTGAGATTAGCCAAAGTTTCAAATTATTATGTGTATCAGTGGATTCTGAAAAGCATACAGGCTGGAATAAGCATAGTAAAAATGACAGAGCAAGCTTCTTGAATTCTTGGTGAATGCTGCAGCAAATAATTTTGCCAACAACCACACTTCCTAAACCTCATTAAGCAAGTAGGAAAGAATAAACTATTCCATTACCATTCCTCAAACTGGAGAAAAAAATCTAGGAGGAAAAGCCAGGGGAAAGCACCCAACAAAAGCATTTCACCTCAAAAGCTCTAAGGTAGAGCAATTTGAAGTTAGAAAAATGGGTTTAAGTAGCTACTTTGGTTGATTTCTGCCTAGTTAGGCTTCCAGTGACCCCCTAATTTGCCTGGAAATAATGCAGAGACCACCTACCGTGTGCAAAGCAGTGTGACATTTAGAACAAAGGTGGCAGAATCTCAATGTTCAAAAGAACACATACCACATGAGGTAGGGGACTCAGAAGAAGGAAGTAAGAACTGGGCTCACTTCCATTTACTTACCAGGCTAGGGATGGAGCCATCTGAGGGCTAAGCCCCAAACTGGCCTTGGATTCATGAGACCAGGAAAACCCCTGATCCACACAGGGAGCAGTCTAATTGGCTGGGGGCAGGGCTGCTCTCATAACCCACCCCAAACAGTGGCAGTCACAAGCGAGGACAAACTTGGAAGGAGGCAGGGCTTCCCAGGTGTGTTATATGAACCACCGGCTTTTTGGAAGATTAGACAATCCCCATAAAAAGATACCTTAATAGCTATATGCTGATGTCTGTATATATTAGAAGAATATAAAAAATAAAACTAACCTATTAACCTCGTGATTTCTATGCTAAGTTTTAAAAAGTTGACAAAGAAAAATGGTAAGTAAATGATAGTACAGATCTTACTAGGATATGGACACATCATTAAGATTATATCCAAATGAGTGAAGTTTAGAAAAGCCTGGACTAGACCAAAGAGATAAGATAAAGCAAGTCCATGGAATGAAAAAAAACTTCTAAGGCTAACTCTGAAAAAAACGTATATATGATACTCTCACAAATTTTTTTCCTGCCTTTTAGATAAATTACAGACACTAAACATCTGAATTATAGTGTAGACTATCAAATTTTGTCAGGACAACCAGTTTGGAAAACCTGCATCCCACTTCTCAGCTTCTATCTGCCAAGTTTTGCATCCAATTGCCCCTTCCACTGCATGCAAACCTCAGGTGGGGTGTGGGAGTGAAGAGTAACAGGTGTAATTAACCTGCCCACACTTCCTTCCCAAGTCTAGCTGTTGCAGCAGTCTGGGAGCATCCCACAGCCAGGGAAAGGGTATTGAAGGGAAAGCAGTATCTGCCACCTAGGAAATTAATTGAAAAGAAGGAAACCTTCCTCCGTTCTGTCTCACCCCAATTCAGAACATGTTAATTGCAGAGAGGCTAAGTTCATTAAGTGCTGCTTAACTGTTGTCTGAAGATTATCACATATTAAATGTAAAACCTAACAGTCTTCACTCTTCTGATAAAAGTTTGTAAGAGTATTTTTCCAGAAGCCCAATCTGGAATGATTGTGGAGCGGTGACTTGTTAAGGAGCTTACCCTGCCAATGTGTATGTGGGCACTTTGTTTCTAATTATTTCAATAAACGAGCTTTATAAGAAATCCTAGTAATAAAGTAACTTATGCCACAGAAGAATAAATCCTGGTGCTCTCAATATCCAGATAACATAACCATGCTATTAAGCACTGCCTCGTCAATAATGGTAGTCTTTGTATAATGATAGAACTCTATTTACATAATACACCAACAGTGCCTAATGCAAAACAGGGTTTACATATAACATTAGTTGAATTTACAGCATGAATTCACATTCCACCTTTGCATTGGTCAGAAAACATTATTTCACACTTCACTGCTCTAACAAATAAATTAATAAAGCTCACCTCATCTCCAGTAAATCCCGACGTGCATACCTCGTGATTCAAAATAATAATAACCTCCAGTCTTGTCCTTGCATGTCCTTTGAATCATTCTCGGAGAGACAATCATTTTCTGGACTACCCCACCCTGCATCTGAACTCCAGATGTGTTCAAACTGGATTCTGGCCAAAGCTAGAGAAGTCTCAGGGATAGTGACGATCTCATCATTTTATGTCAAGTGAAGGGAGGAAAGTTACCAGGATTTTCTTGTTTTCCTTAAAAATTCACAAAATACCAAGTCTCATCTTTCTAGGGTAAGAATTCAGTAAAACACTCCATGCCTGTATCTTTACTTGAATTGTCAGCTCCATGTGGACAGGAACCATGGCCTTCTCATTTATTCACTTTTCTGTCCCTTAGTTCCTGGTACAGACAGGTGCTCAATGCCTGACACATAGTAGGTTTTCAGTAAACACTTGTGGAATCAATGAAAAACCTTACTAATATTGCATCTCAGATTGGAGAAAATGATCCAAGGTAATGTCAGCGCACTTCAAAGTGCAGTAAAATGCAGCTGTCATTTATGTATCAGAGACTTTATACCCATCCCTGTGTAAGATATTCTGTGAGAAGTAAATAATAAAAATTGGGATTTATAGTCAGATGAAGGGAAACAGCCCAGTGCAACCGAAATACCAGCAAGTGAATAGATGTATGTACATAATTGGAAAGATGTTCATACTATTACAATATATAACTGTCAAAAAGCAAATTGCAGAAATATGAGAGAGGGAAAAAAATTATTTTTGGCCCCTTTGAATCTCATCCTGTGGAACCTAAAAGCAAATTTCTCCTTTTAGAAAGAAATAAAAAGATATTTATTTATTCCTTCTATGATATTTATTTGTATATTTATGTGCAGACAGACAGATGAATAAGATTTATCCTAGTATAAGAAAAAGTCTAAAAGGGCACACACCAACCCATTCAAACTGTTTATAACAGTGCTATTAAATCTAAAAGGTAGAGTTTGGGAGAAGATTTTTTTTCACTTTCTATTTAATGCATTTCTGCATTGTCTACATTTTTTTACAGTGAGCAATTTTTTTTAGTAAAACAAAACAATTAGAATTTTTTTAATGTTATAAATAACTAACTACATTTGTGGTATATATTGAGTGTTTTAGGAGCTCAATAAAACTTTAATTGTCTGGAATATAATTAACCAAAGACCTCAATCAACCAGTATTTTTCCTCTACATTCTACTCTTAGAAAAAAAGAAGCAAATCAGATAAAAATAAATTCATATCAAGAATTTATGGAGCAGTTGTATTTTTCCAAGGTAAGTAGCTTTAGGGTCTTGTCTAACTTCCAAACATTCAGCTCTAATGTATCCATCTCCATGTTGTCTGTACAATGATGAGTGTTGTTCAGACCTTTGCTATTCTATCTGTGCTGCCAGGCAAGCACCTTGTCAGGATCTCAGGCCCAATCAGACTTACTGAACCAGAATACCTGGAAGTAAAGTCCAGGAACCTGGGTTTTAACAAGATCCCTAGGTAATATGTTTGCACATTAACTTGGAGAAGCACCAGTTTAGAAGACTAACCCCTGAGTTCCTGCATGATCCTCAACCTATAAAGGAAGACTTATTTTCATCAGATTGTCCATTTAAAAATAGAAAAGTAGACATTTTACATATACTGCAGGAAGTGCTAAACAATGTTACCCACTGAACAAAATTAACTAGACATATATTGAACCCCCTCTTATCCCACAAAATTGTTGGAAATGACATTAGAGCACAACACAGTAAAAGATAGATAGTCAAAAATTTCAGCTCCAGAACAAGTCTGGGAAAGTAGAATCCTGCAATTACTTGTTTTAACCATCAGATAGTGCTTACACATTGGCAGGGAAAACAGAAGGCCATATCTCAGGACGAGGATGACAAGGCATGGCACTTAGGCTGCTGCCAGTCCCCATTCCATACCAATGACAGACATCGTCAGTCATGGTGCTTTCTCATCCCACCCAAGATGCTGCACCAGAATCCTTCTCAATGGATATCACAGGTACTCATGTCTCATGAATCA
Organism: Homo sapiens; assembly: GCF_000001405.40. NCBI lineage: Eukaryota > Metazoa > Chordata > Mammalia > Primates > Hominidae > Homo > Homo sapiens. The sequence goes on from NC_000002.12 coordinate 133,381,321, forward strand.
AAGTTAGCACTTAAGAAGAAACATTTCTAACGTCCCTATTTGAAAACTGCTGGACATGATAAATAACCTGATTAAGAGATGATAAATGAAACATGAGTGATTTAAGTCCTCATCGGGTGGGCAAACCAAATATGAGAGATTCAAAATAGCCAAGAACTGCTCCCTCTATCCAGAAATGTATTTATTTACCATTCCTCAAACTGTTTGTTTAGTGTAGGCAAAGATTAGAAATTAGAATAAATGAACATTAGAGCCAGGAGAACTCTTATAGACTATCTAGTTCAACTGCTTCTCTTACACAGGAGGAAATACTGATCTAAAGAAATCACAGTGGCCAAATCCCATAGCTAATTCTGGCAGAACCCAAGTGGGAATCAATGCTTATCTAACCAGGATTTCTCCCATTGCACCAAATGGCCCCTAAAGCCATAGCAGCCACTGGCACCATAAACTGGATACAAATACACATGTGGATTCAGAAACAGAGAATCACATCACCCCTAGCTCTGGGGATAAACCAAACTCATGTAGTGGCGGACCATGCTCCTTGGTAAGAGGCTATAGCCAGCCACCAGGGAGCTCTGCGCTGAAGTTTGGGTAAGCCCACAAAGGGGAAAGCTCCTCCAGAGGCCCTGCACAGTTACTTCTGAGAGACTTGTGTTCTTAGATCTCCCCAAGGTATTCCAATTTAACACATGCAAAATCAAACTCATGATTTGCACGACACATCCATGCCAGAACAACAAACCTACTCCTCCTCGTCTGATAGTTGTCTTTGAGTAAAACCACTCTTCACACAGTTATGCAGGGCTGAAAGCTAAGAGTCATCCTTGTCTCCCGCCTCTTCCTCAATCTCAAATTCAACGAACATCATCATCAATTATATTCTTAGATGTCTTGGGGATCATCCTCTTCTCTATACCTACCCCATTACTATGGTAGTGTTAAATACTCTCACCTGTTGGCTTAGTCTTCTGCAATAGCTTGTTAACTGATCTCACACGTGTATTATGCCCCTCCCTCGAATCTGTTCACCACACAGTACCTAGAGTGACTTTTTGCAAATCAGAATGGTATGCCACTCACCTTCACTTAAACCATTCAATACCTTCTCATTGGTTTTAACATGACACTCAAGTCCCTACAGGATCTGACCGCTGTCTACGTCTCCTGCCTCACCCCTTAACTCTCTGCACACCACACTGGTCCCCTCTCACTTCCCCTGCTCCTCATAATTCCTTTGACTGCAGGGCCTTTATACATGCTACCTCCTCTTTCTGGAGCCATCTGCATCCTTCACATCCCAGTTCCAGATGTAAGGCCTCCAAGAAGCCTTTTCAGGTTCCACTGAATATGTTACTTCTCACAGGTAAGCATTTACTCTCTCATGAATAAGCATTTGTTTTCTTAGGAGACTTTCATCTGTTAATAATTAGACATTCATTGGGGCATTATATGATCAATGTCTGTCTCCTTACTCACCACCCCATTCTCTGTAGTCTGGAGAGTTCAGGACAGCAGGAGAGATGCTAGAATCTTTGTCCTCTTTAGTTCATCATTTTGTCCTCAGTGTCTTACCAAAGGCAACACACAGTAGACATCTAATAAACACTGAATTGAATGAATGAAAAAATGAACAAATAAAAGCCTTGTATTTAAGCATAAGCCACTGATTATGCTTAAATTATTATTCACAGCTTCCAGGCACATGTAAAAGTGATGCATTCTAGGATTGCTTTTTTTAAAAAAAATTTTTTTATTATACTTTAAGTTCTAGGGTACATGTGCACAGTGTGCAGGTTTGTTACATATGTATACATATGCCATATTGGTGTGCTGTACCCATTAACTTATCATTTACATTAGGTATATCTCCTAATGCTATCCCTCCCCACTCCCTTCACCCCACAACAGGCCCTGGTGTGTGATGTTCCCCTTCCTGTATCCAAGTGTTCTCATTGTTCAATTCCCACCTATGAGTGACAACATGCGGTGTTTGGTTTTTTGTTCTTGCGATCGTATGCTGAGAATGATGGTTTCCAGCTTCATCCATGTCCCTACAAAGGACATGAACTCATCCTTTTTATGACTGCATAGTATTCCATGGTGTATATGTGCCACATTTTCTTAATCCAGTCTATCATTGTTGGACATTTGGGTTGGTTCCAAGTCTTTGCTATTGTGAGTAGTGCTGCAATAAACATACGTGTGCATGTGTCTTTCTAGCAGCATGATTTATATTCCTTTGGTTATATACCCAGTAATGGGATGGCTGGGTCAAATGGTATTTCTAGTTCTAGAACCCTGAGGAATTGCCACACTGTCTTCCACAATGGTTGAACTAGTTTACAGTCCCACCAACAGTGTAAAAGTGTTCCTATTTCTCCACATCCTCTCCAGCACCTGTTATTTCCTGACTTTTTAATGCTTGTCATTCTAACTGGTGTGAGATGGTATCTCATTGTGGTTTTGATTTGCATTTCTCTGATGGCCAGTGATGACAAGCATTTTTTCATGTGTCTGTTGGCTGCATAAATGTCTTCTTTTGAGAAGTGTCTGTTCATATCCTTCGCCCACTTTTTGATGGGGTTGTTTTTTTCTTGTAAATTTGAGTTCTTTGTAGATTCTGGATATTAGCCCTTTGTCAGATGAATAGATTGCAAAAATTTTCCCCATTCTGTAGGTTGCCTGTTCACTCTGATGGTAGTTTCTTTTGCTGTGCAGAAGCTCTTTAGTTTAATTAGATCCCATTTGTCAATTTTGACTTTTGTTGCCATTGCTTTTGGTGTTTTAGACATGAAGTCCTTGCCCATGCCTATGTCCTGAATGGTATTGCCTAAGTTTTCTTCTAGGGTTTTTATGGTTTCAGGTCTAACATGTAAGTCTTTAATCCATCTTTAATTAATTTTTGTATAAAGTGTAAGGAAGGGATCCAGTTTCAGCTTTCTACATATGGCTAGCCAGTTTTCCCAGCACCATTTATTAAATAGGGAATCCTTTCCCCATTTCTTGTTTTTGTCAGGTTCGTCAAAGATCAGATAGCTATAGATGTGTGGTATTATTTCTGAGGTCTCTGTTCTGTTCCATTGGTCTATATCTCTGTTTTGGTACCAGTGCCATGCTGTTTGGTTACTGTAGCCTTGTAGTATAGTTTGAAGTCAGGTAGCGTGATGCCTCCAGCTTTGTTCTTCTGGCTTAGGACTGACTTGGCAATGCGGGCTCTTTTTTGGTTCCATGTGAATTTTAAAGTAGTTTTTTCCAATTCTGTGAAGAAAGGCATTGGTAGCTTGATGGGGATGGCATTGAATCTATAAATTACCTTGGGCAATATGGCCATTTTCACAATATTGATTCTTCCTACCCATGAGCATGGAATGTTCTTCCATTTGTTTGTGTCCTCTTTTATTTCATTGAGCAATGGTTTCTCCTTGAAGAGGTCCTTCACATCCCTTGTAAGTTGGATTCCTAGGTATTTTATTCTCTTTGAAGCAATTGTGAATGGGAATTCACTCATGATTTGGCTGTTTGTCTGTTATTGGTGTATAATAATGCTTGTGATTTTTGTACATTGATTTTGTATGCTGAGACTTTGCTGAAGTTGCCTATCAGCTTAAGGAGATTTTGGGCTAAGTCGATGGGGTTTTCCAGATATACAATCACGTCATCTGCAAACAGGGACAATTTGACTTCCTGTTTTCCTAATTGAATAGGCTTTATTTCTTTCTCCTGCCTGATTGCCCTGGCCAGAACTTCCAACACTATGTTGAATAGGAGTGGTGAGAGAGGGCATCCCTGTCTTGTGCCAGTTTTCAAAGGGAATCCTTCCAGTTTTTGCCCATTCAGTATGATATTGCCTGTGGGTCTGTCATAAATAGCTCTTATTATTTTGAGATACATCCCATCAACACCTAATTTATTGAGAGTTTTTAGCATGAAGGGTTGTTGAATTTTGTCAAAGGCCTTTTCTGCATCTACTGAGATAATCATGTGGTTTTTGTCTTTGGTTCTGTTTATATGTTGGATTATGTTTTTTGATTTGCATATGTTGAACCAGCCTTGCATCCCAGGGATGAAGCCCACTTGATCATGGTGGATAAGCTGTCGGATGTGCTGCTGGATTCGGTTTGCCAGTATTTTATTGAGGATTTTTGCATTGATGTTCATCAGGGATATTGGTCTAAAATTCTCTTTTTTTGTTGTGTCTCTGCCAGGCCTGGGTATCAGGATGATGCTGGCCTCATAAAATGAGTTAGGGAGGATTCCCTCTTTTTCTATTGATTGGAATAGTTTCAGAAGGAATGGTACCAGCCCCTCCTTGTACCTCTGGTAGAATTCGGCTGTGAATCCATCTGGTCCTGGACTTTTTTTGGTTGGTAAGCTATTAATTATTGCCTCAATTTCAGAGCCTGTTATTGGTCTATTCAGAGATTCAACTTCTTCCTGGTTTAGTCTTGGGAGGGTGTATGTGTCGAGGAATTTATCCATTTCTTCTAGATTTTCTAGTTTATTTGCATAGAGGTGTTTATAGTATTCTCTGATGGTAGTTTGTATTTCTGTGGGATTGGTGGTGATATCCCCTTTATCATTTTTATTGCATCTATTTGATTCTTCTCTCTTTTCTTCTTTATTAGTCTTGTTAGCGGTCAATCAATTTTGTTGATCTTTTCAAAAAACCAGCTCCTGGATTCATTGATTTTTTTGAAGGGTTCTTTGTGTCTCTATTTCCTTCAGTTCTGCTCTGATCTTAGTTATTTCTTGCCTTCTGCTAGCTTTTGAATGTGTTTGCTCTTGCTTCTCTAGTTATTTTAATTGCAATGTTAGGGTGACAATTTTAGATCTTTCCGGCTTTCTCTTGTGGGCATTTAGTGCTATAAATTTCCCTCTACACACTGCTTTAAATGTGTCCCAGAGATTCTGGTATGTTGTGTCTTCATTCTGGTTGGTTTCAAAGAACATTTTTATTTCTGCCTTCATTTCATTACGTACCCAGTAATTATTCAGGAGCAGGTTGTTCAGTTTCCATGTAGTTGAGCAGTTTTGATTGAGTTTCTTAATCCTGAGTTCTAGTTTGATTGCACTGTGGTCTGAGAGACAGTTTGTTATAATTTCTCTTCTTTTCCATTTGCTGAGGAGTGCTTTACTTCCAACTATGTGGACAATTTTGGAATAGGTGTGGTGTGGTGCTGAGAAGAATGTACATTCTGTTGATTTGGGGTGGAGAGTTCCGTAGATGTCTGTTAGGTCTGCTTGGTGCAGAGCTGAGTTCAATTCTTGGATATCCTTATTAACTTTCTGTCTCATTGATCTGTCTAATGTTGACAGTGCGGTGTTAAAGTCTCCCATTATTATCGTGTGGGAGTCTAAGTCTCTTTGTAGGTCTCTAAGGACTTCTTTATGAATCTGGGTGCTCCTGTATTGGGTGCATATGTATTTAGGATAGTTAGCTCTTCTTGTTGAATTGATCCCTTTACCATTATGTAATGGCCTTGTTTGTCTCTTTTGATCTTTGTTGGTTTAGTCTGTTTTATCAGAGACTAGGATTGCAACCCCTGCCTTTTTTTTGTTTTCCTTTTGCTTGGTAGATCATCCTCCATCCCTTTATTTTGAGCCTGTATGTGTCTCTGCACATGAGATGGGTTTCCTGAAGGCAGCACACTGATGGGTCTTGACTCTTATCCAATTTGCCAGTCTGTGTCTTTTAATTGGAGCATTTAGCCCATTTACATTTAAGGTTAATATAGTTATGTGTGAATTTGATCCTGTCATTATGATGTTAGCTGGTTATTTTGCTCGTTAGTTGATGCGGTTTCCTCCTAAACTTGATGGTCTTTACAATTTGGCATGTTTTTGCAGTGGCTGGTACTGGTTGTTCCTTTCCATGTTTAGTGCTTCCTTCAGGAGCTCTTGTAGGGCAGGCCTGGTGGTGACAAAATCTCTCAGCAGTTGCTTGTCTGTAAAGGATTTTATTTCTCCTTCACTTATGAAGCTTAGTTTGGCTGGATATGAAATTCTGGGTTGAAAATTCTTTTCTTTAAGAATGTTGAATATTGGCCCCCACTCTCTTCTGGCTCATAGAGTTTCTGCCGAGAGATCAGCTGTTAGTCTGATGGGCTTCCCTTTGTGGGTAACCCGACCTTTCTGTCTGGCTGCCCTTAACATTTTTTCCTTCCTTTCAACTTTGATGAATCTGACAATTATGTGTCTTGGAGTTGCTCTTCTCGAGGAGTATCTTTGTAGCATTCTCTGTATTTCCTGAATTTGAATGTTGGCCTGCCTTGCTAAGTTGGGGAAGTTCGGGATAATATCCTGAAGAGTGTTTTCCAGCTTGGTTTCATTCTCCCTGTCACTTTCAGGTATACCAGTCAGACGTAGATTTGGTCTTTTCAAATGGTCCCATATTTCTTGGAGGCTTTGTTCATTTCTTTTTATTCTTTTTTCTCGAAATTTCTCTTCTTGCTTCATTTCATTCATTTGATCTTCAGTCACTGATATCCTTTCTTCCAGTTGATCAAATCGGCTACTGAAGATTGTGCATTCATCACATAGTTCTTGTGCCATGGTTTTCAGCTCCATCAGCTCCTTTAAGGACTTCTCTGCATTGGTTATTCTAGTTAGCCATTCATCCAATCTTTTTTCAAGGTTTTTAACTTCTTTGCGATGGGTTCGATCTTCCTCCTTTAGCTCAGAAAAGTTTGATCATCTGAAGCCTTCTTCTCTCAACTCATCAACGTAATTCTCCATCCAGCTTTGTTCCATTGCTGGTGAGGAGCTGTGTTCCTTTGGAGGAAGAGAGGTGCTCTGATTTTTAGAATTTTCAGATTTTCTGTTATTTTTTTCCCCATTTTTGTGGTTTTATCTACCTTTGGTCTTTGATGATGGTGACGTACAGATGGGGCTTTGGTGTGGATGTCCTTTCTGTTTGTTAGTTTTCCTTTTAACAGTCAGGACCCTCAGCTGCAGGTCTGTTGGGGTTTGCTGGAAGTCCACTCCAGACTGTTTGCCTGGGTATCAGTAGCGGAGGATGCAGAACAGCAAATATTGCTGAACAGCAAATGTTGCTGTCTGATCATTCCTCTGGAGGTTTCGTCTCAGAGGGGTACCCGGCCGTGTGAGGTGTCAGTCTACCCCTACTGGGGGATGCCTCCCAGATAGGCTACTCGGGGGTCAGGGACCCACTTGAGGCAGTCTGTCCGTTCTCAGATCTCAACCTCCATGCTGGGAGAACCACTACTCTCTTCAAAGCTGTCAGACAGGGACATTTAAGTCTGCAGGATTTGTGCTGCCTTTTGTTCAGCTATGCCCTGCCCCCACAGGTGGAGTCTACAGAGGCAGGCAGGCCTCCTTGAACTGTGGTGGGATCCACCCAGTCCAAGCTTCCCGGCCACTTTGTTTACCTACTCAAGTCTCAGCAATGGTGGGCGCCCCTCCCCCAGCCTCGCTGCCACCTTGCAGTTTGATCTCAGACTGCTGTGCTAGCAATGAGCAAGGCTGCGTGGGCGTGGGACCCTCCGAGCCAGGTGTGGGATATAATCTCCTGGTGTGCTGTTTGCTAAGACCATTGGAAACACGCAGTATTAGGGTGGGAGTGACCTGATTTTCCATGTGCAATCTGTCACAGCTTTGCCTGGCTATGAAAGGGAATTCCCTGACCCTTTGCGCTTCCCAGGTGAGGTGATGCCTCGCCCTGCTTTGGCTCACTCTTGGTGCACTGCACCCACTGTCCTGCACCCACTGTCCGACAAGCCCCAGTGAGATGAACCCGGTACCTCAGTTGGAAATGCAGAAATCACCCGTCTTCTGCGTCACTCATGCTGGGAGCTGTACACTGGAGCTGCTCCTGTTCGGCCATCTTGGAACTGCCCCCCACATTCTAGGATTTCTGAGGGAAAGTTGCTTGTTGGCTATTTCAGTCATTCAAAAAGTCCACCTGCATACACTTGCAAAATGGCGTCTTCTTGAAAGATGTATATATCCTCAGATGCAGGCCAAGCCACTCCTCTGTGTTCAGACATCCTGCTGTGATCTCTTGTGTCTTGTTATCTCAGACTGATTATCCCTCCCAAATGTCACACCTCATAATTTGAGGCAGAGATGCCAACTACATAGGTACCTGAGTTAGTCCCAGGTAAGGGATAATGAGTAGCCTGAGAACTGTTAGCAACAGAACAAACCAGGGAAAAGTTCCTAACGTTTTGGTATGTATTAGAGACTCGACATGGAAGAGCAGAAAACAAAGTGTTCTCTTGCTCTATATCATAGTCTTGAAGCAATTTCTGACATCCAAAGCTGATAATTAACTGTACTAAACGATACACCTATTTCTAACTTGGGCCACAGCCAAGTGGATCACAGTGTTTTCATGGTAGTTAAAATAATTACGAAGTATAATCTTGGCTTGTGCACACATTCGTGTGGGTGCAGGCCCGTGAGCTCACCCTCTCTCTTCCCCTCCCTCTCCTTTGCCAGAAGACTCCAATGTTGAGCAATGAACTCAATTCTTTTCACACAGTTACTTGGCTTTTTCAGAGTGGCCGTCTAGTGGCTTGCTCCTTCAGTCATAGAATCCTGAAACTGAAATGAACCTTCAGAATACATTGTGCCAAGAGCAGAGCTTCCAGGCCACCTAAGTAATATCTTGATTAGAACAGCCATCTCTTTGGAGAAGTGAAGCATCCCGATTGACTCCTCAGTACTGAAGCAGCCTCCAACCCCAGTTCCAAAATATACCCACAACTAAGGATGGCAGGTAACATTCATGTGATAACACTCACCTATGCAAACAAACAGGAAAATAAATTACCCTGTGTCCCATGGGCCATTCCTGGCACACCAGCTGTGACCCCAACCCTCCAGGCCCACTGTGGTCCATGCCTGTGTATATGTCGCAGGACAAGTCCATGCTTGGTACCCTTCAGGCCCTAAGACAAGAAAGACTCCTTCCAGTGTCTTCTATTTTACAACCGGAAACTATTTTAGCCTCTGGGAGTCTTCTGGGTACCAGCCAGTGATGACTAGCTCCTTGACTCTCCTGTTGAATGTGGCTATTATGTGCATACCAGGGAGGACATAAAGCTTCCCACACACGACCCGATACCCTGGAGGAACACAGGCCTATTTCCACACTAGTTCCTCCTTTTAATCCAGCTCCTCAGATCTAATGCTTTCCTAGGCTAAGATCTTTGCCTGGTTTCTTACAGAAAATGCTCTTTCTAATCTTAATTTTCCTCTTTTTCTAAAACTATAACACTTTTCAGTTTTCTCTTGGCTCCTTCCTCATCTCCCCAGCCAGGACTGCCATCTCACCAACTTTTCATCAGCCTCTAATTTCCCCTAGAGTAGTGGTTCTTAACCCTCACTGCAAATTAAAATCACTTTGGGAATTAAAAATAGACGCCTATGTAGAAGTGTGTGTGTGCCTGTGTACACCGTTACCTGTGTCTAGGCTCCATCCCAGAAAAACTAAGGCAGATCTCTGGGAGTGGGACTTGGTCACGGATAATTTATAAAGGATCTTCAGTGATTCCAGTGTGTATTCAGGGGCAAGAACCACTGCCTTAGAACTTGTTTACTTAACTATACCTTTTAGTTTTCATTCACACATGCAGAGTGTATTTATTGGTAATATACTCATTTTTATGTATTAAGAATTTCGTATGCACCAAGCATTGTGTTGGGCACTGGAATGCCTCACCATGTAGATGGAGCCTTCTTTGATGTTGATGTTCTGAACATTTCTATCCTCAGCCCTCCTATTCTTTCCACCTACACTTTCCTGAGAGCTCTCTGCCACGTCATTGTGCCAACTACCATCTACTTTCTGAGGAACCCTGAGGCTCAATCTTGGGAGCTTGTTTGGAGGTTCTAGCAGGGAAGCATGGCCACTCAGATATCCTGAATGAAAGAACAGTCCTCCTGTATTGGGGAAGACTGTCCCCTTCAATCCACAGTGCAGCTTCAGGAGGGTTGCACATGGAGCGGTGAGGGAGGAAGGAGACACCTGCCTAGGCAGCCAGATCAGCCGAATCAACCCTGGCAGTCAATGGGGGACAGATATCACAGCCAGATCACCCTCACATCCCGAAGTCTAAGTCTTGAGTCCAGACAGCTACCCTGTTACTTAGACTATAGACTATCTGACTACATGTAAGACATGCTGGCTTTAGTGACCCATGGACAAATCAGACCCATATGTCAAAATGGAATGTTTTAACTTCCCACTGAGTCTTCCTTCTCTATCTTCTTGGTGGCCCCACAGTCCATCTGGTCACCCAAGTTTGAAATCTGGGAAATCTTGCTCCCCAGCCCTCTTCCCCGCACTCATCCTCTAAATCTAATGTTGTGTCCAAAACATTGTGTCCCTAATCCAGGCCCTCACCATTTCTCTGTAAGGTGGCTGATGGATCTCCTGCCTCTAGTGTTGCTAGCTATAGTCTAATCTTCACCAGAATTACCAGGGTAAACTGTCTCAAGGGAAAATGGAATCATGTCACAGTTTTCCATTACTCACAAGTGAAATTTAAGGTCCTTACCTGGCACACAATGCCATCCAAGATCTGGCCCCTCCCAATTCTCCAGCCCCCGCTAGAATGAATTGGGAGACCAAGATTGCTATCACAGCAACACAGCAGGGGTTACAACGTCCCTTTGCCAGTTAGGCTTTCTTATGCCCACCCCCATGGTTTTTATCATGCTGTCTTCTCTGTCTGTAAAACTCACCAACTCACCCCATCCCACATACACACACTGATTAGTTGTATTGCCATTAGTCTCAGTTACATCTCAAATTACATCTACAGTTATGGGCTGCATATGGACACTTGGATCAATGACAGACCACATATTCAATGGTAGTCCCATAAGATTATAAAACCATACATGTACTGTATGTTTTTATGTTTAAATATGTTTTGATACATAAATACTTACCATTGTGTTGCAGTTGCCTACAGAATGTAGAACATAACATGCTGTAAATTAAGGTTTATAGCCTGGGAGAAATAGGCTACACCATATAGCCTAGGTGTATAGGAAGCTATATCATCCAGGCTATGTAAGTACACTCTGTGATGTCTGCATAATGACAAAATAGCCCTAATGATGCATTTCTCAGAATACATTCTCATTATTAAGTGACATATGACTGTAGTATACGACTTTAAAAACAGTATAATTATGTGTCTTTGTTTCTGTATTCCCCATAGATGGTGAACTCCTTAAAGGCAGTGACTATAACTGTATTGTTACAGTTTTTGTTGTTTTTGTCTTTATATATTTCACAACCTAGAACAATGGCTACAACATCTCAAGTACTCAGATGCTTATGGAATAAATAAATGGAGACATAGGTTCCTCCCCTTAATAAGCTTAAAATTGAATAAATTTATTTTTGTTTCTATATCCATTTATCCAAGTCCATAGTTTCCTTTTCCCCAAACTCTTATATATACTCAGAAAGGCCCATTACAGTCAAATACAAACAAGGCAATTTAATTCAGCATTGGGAGTATCTAGCTAACTGTAATATTCCAAGAATGTAGAGGGATCATGTGTATTACTGAATCATAATACTGATGTACGATGATTTATAAGGCAACAGCGTCGAAAACTGACCCCTAGCTTCCTATAATTTGATTGCCTTTCAGAAAAAGTTCTCAGCAGAGAACTGAGTCTAGAGTCCTCTCAGTACAGAAGCCAGGATACGCAACCCATCAAATAAGACTGGTTTGCTGAATCAAGAGCCACTGACCGATTTGACAGCTCCATATTCAAACTAAACAGCTCTTTTTGGAAACTAGACTTTTGGATGTTATACCAGAGATGTGACTGAGTAGAACAGAGCTTTCCAGGGGCTGAATAATCCATTATGCTTATTTTATCAGAGATTCAAGTTGAAACCATTGGGCCATTGAGTAATAAACTCAGTTTGACCTTGTCAAAATCCTACACCTAGCAGTATTTTGAGAACTTGTTTGTTCTGCCACTTCGTTCCAAGTTGTTTGAACTTTAGTTGAGCCCATGAAAGCTTTACAGTTATCAAGTGTGCTTATATATGCACATTATTTCACATTGATCCACACCTGCCTGGTAGCCATCACTAGAGGCCCTGGAAATATTCAGAGAATCACTGAAGTGTGAGCAACAGTTAATAAAAAATTCTTGCAGTTTTAATTACAAACAAAAAGCAAGCATGTTTCAACTCTATAAAATTCAACTGGAATATCCAGGGAACTATTGCTGTTTATAACCACCATAAATTATATTCATCTTTCATACTGAGTTAGTGCAGCTTACAGATTGATATATAAAGCAACAAGTTCTAATATTTATGAAAGTGTGAGTTCTACCACCTGTTTCAGGAGTTCTAACCTAACCTCCAGAACAAATAAAAATGAATAAACAACTATCTTCGCCCTTCCTGCCATGGGAGTCCTTTTGTTCTCTAAGTCATGTTTCTATCTATGAAGCAAAATGAAGGACTACTAACAACCTTGGTGCCATATGTATTAGGAAGGAAAATTGCTGTGCTTTGTCCAAAGGCAATTAGTGTTAGGAAGGAATCAAGAAGCAAGCCAATATTGGAGCTGCTCTTTCTTCTGAGCTGTGACTGCTAGAAACCATGACAAAAAATAATGTGAGAGATTCTCATCAGGGATCTTGGGCCCCATTTGCATATTCTTTCATTCACCACTTACTTTGTAACCAGCCCTATACTGGCATTCAACACACAAAGACAAATTAGACAGACTCCTGCCTTCTTTACAGAGAAGCTTCCTGCACAATGGGTGGTTCACATAAGCAATAAAATGATTTGGTAAATGTGAGAATGGAGACATGCATTATTCATTCACTCTTTCAACACATATGCTAGCTTGACTTTTTAAAGTCAGATGCTGTATTAGGTGCTAGCGAACTAAAAATAGTCCTTGCCCTTGAAGTGTTTGTGGGATGTGTCTATATGGTAAATACCCAATTACAAAGTAATGAGATTGGGAGTATGGTAGGCCAAATGCATGGAAGCATCTAGCGAGTCCCCTGTCTCAGATGTGGAAGTGAAGGAAATCTCTCAGAGAAGATGGACTATCCAAGACAAGAGCTAAGAATGGAGGCACATCAGTCATTGAAAGAGGCAGGTGTGGGGTTGGAAGCTACTGCAGGCTACAAGACCTAGAACCAGCAAGAACGTGGTGCACTGTAAGGTTTTCTGGATTAAAGTCTAGGTTGTAGTGTTCATCCTAAGAAGTTTCTTATAGCAAAGCTTTAGATATTATAACCCTTTAGTATAAGCTTTGGAAATTATCCAAATCTTGCAAATGAATGAATGAATCAATACATAGTGACGTTTCTTTACAGTAACCCCAGGAACCATTTTGTTGGATGAACTTCAAAAAACACAGAACACCAAATTCGAACACATGAAAGGAAAGGAAACCAAATTTATCAAATAAGTCACCAGGAAAGAAGACAAAAGTAAAATGTCCTTGGCCTTAAAGACAGTTGCAGGAAGATATAATCAAAACTTTAAATCATGCATGAAAATGCAAAACCCATGGTCTTGCAGGCCTCAGTGGATGGAAATATTTAAAAAGCAGATTTGTTCACCTGGTCTCAAAATAATAAAATTGTGCATTTTCACCATTCTTCTTAACATATTAAGTGAGGTAAAGAAAATGTTTAGCAGAATGCCTGCCAGTAGTAAATATCCCCTAAATGTTAGCTATTATCATCATTTATGAGACACCAGTTAATAATTTATGTAACACATTAGTTTTTCTAGGAAAAGCATTTCTTATTTAAGAAACAAACAGTTCAGACTAAAACATGAAAGTTTTCTAAAAGGTTAGTGAGGGGACCTGGGCTTGGGTATGTGAGAAGCAGCCTCCCAGCTTCTGTGCTCAGGGCACACTCCACCTGAGAGAGATGGATTGGCAGGAAGGCTTATGTAATTAACTCAATGTCATCCAGAAAGTCCTATTCACGGAAACACCCTTCAATGATATGAGGGCAACTCTTCTCAGAAATAATGGCCAGTGCTGAAGATTTCCTTGAAAACAAAGTATCCAAGGCTTATTTGGGTCAGAACAGGTAAGACCAGACATACCTTTCCCATTCAATGGTACTGGTTACCACTCGGCCTTAACATGGTTAACGTGCAGGAGAGACCTCCTTCTAGTCATGATTTAAGTTGTGTATTTAAATATTTTGAGTGAATTCTTGGAATTATCAGAACATTATACAGTAGTTTCTAGAAAAAGTATCCTATGTTCATCTAAATACCTTTTATTTTCCTCAAGCCCCAACTGTCACATACATAGCAAAGATACATTATCCTGCTGTGTTTTTTTAGAGACAGGGTTTCTCTCCGTTGCCCAGGCTGGAGTGCAATGGTGTGATCATAGCTTACTGCAGCCTTGAACTCCTGGGCTCAAGCGATTCTCCTGCCTCAGCCTCCTGAGTAGTTGAGGCTATAGGTGTCCCACCACACTCGGCTATTTTTTAAATTTTTTTTGTAGAGATGGGTTCCCTCTATGTTGCCCAGGCTTGTCTTGAACTCCTGGCTTCAAGCAATTCTCTTGCCTTGACCTCCTAAAGCACTGGGATTACAGGTGTGAGCCACTGCACCAGGCCTATTCCTCTACTCAACGTACCATTTTAGCAAGTTTCTTTCTCTCACCATCTCCTTCACATTTTCTTTCTCTTTCAACTTTACCATCCATTGCCTTTGAGAATAACACAGAGAAACTCAATCACCAACACATGTAAAATCCAATGGATATGGATAGCAAAGTTGGCAAGCTGAGGAATGCCATAAAAATTCTGCTTGGAGTTTAATCAAGGTAAAGTTCAATGAACGTTGTCCATTCAAATGAAAGGTACAAACAAAATTGGGAAGCATAAAGTAAATTTGAAAAAGCATAAAGCAATATTGGTAAGCATAAGCATAAATCTCAATGAACAAAGTGGTTGCAAGGGCTTTTTAAATTTGCAGGGACTCCATTTACCTGGCCTCAGCTCTCCCAGCCAAGCTGAACTCAGCTCGTTTTCACCAAACAAGAATGACTTATCCTACACTCACTAATTCTTTCCCTTCTCAAAACCTGTAGTGGCCCCTAAATGCTTCTCATATCACATTAAAACACCCAACATAGAATTCAAGGGTATTTATCCTTGGCTTTTGAAGATACTAGTTAAGACATATAGTGTATTAGTTTGCTAGGGCTGCTGTAACAAAGCATCCCTTGGCTTGTAGAAGTATCATTCTGATATCTGCCTTTATCTTTACATGGTGTTCTCCCTGTGTGTCCAAGTTCCCCCCTTTTTATAAGGACATCAGTCATATTGGATGAGGACCCACACTAATGACACCTCATTTCAACTTGGTTACCTCTATAAAGACCCTATCTCCAAACAACATCATATTCTGAGGTTTAGGGGTTAGGATTTTAACACATAAATTTTTGGAGGCCACAATTCAACCCATAACATACAGTACTATATTGTCATTATTATTATTTGGTGGCATCTGTGGAACTGTAAGTATAATGGGAAGGACACATGCTTGTCGTCAGACAGACTTCAATTGAAATTCAGCTCTGCCATTTACTCTGAGCTTCCTGACTGCGTGAGATAGAGATAAAATCCCTATAATGCAGAATGGTGTGAAGACTAAATGGGGAAGCAACTTCTGTAAATATGTAAGGACAGACCTTTGCACATTACACCCAACTGGAATGACCCATATCAGGTTTGAACTTTCTTCTAATAAACCAAAGCATAACACAACATAATCAAACTTGTTTGCCTATTCCAAAAAGGAAAACCTGTAAGATAATTCATAAAAATCTCTCAAATCTCTCTGTTTAAGACTCTGAACACTCTCTCTTCCCATAACGAAATGCGTTTCTTGTTCATTCATTTATGGCTGTTCACCCAACTCTATAGAAACCAATCTAAATCAATCTTTCTTATGGCCTCTTTTCATGTTTGAATTCATCTGGCCATTTGATCGCAAGCTCTTGGAATGGAAGAACAATGTATTCAATGATATAATTAAGTATTTGAAATATTTTGATATAATATGTGAAAATATTTTCTGAAGACAGCCTTCATGTTAAGCACCTTCTCTATGTAATTCATTGATAATTAGGGAACTTTGAAGCATATCTTTGTTTCCCAGACTGTTCTTTCTCATTGACCTGGTGTCCACTGTCTACTACCATATGCTTGTTGCCTCTGTTATCTTTATTCTCAAAACCTCCTTGCAGAAAAGACACAGATGTGTTTTGCGGATTAAGCAATAAAGTGCTCTGGGGCTGCTGGGTACTATTAAGCAGGTTGTAGAGTGCACAGGGTGTCCCCAAAACACAGGAGATTTTCATATTTATCATAATTCTTTAGCAGATGGTTGTAGGTCTGTTTTAATATAAGTCTGAATGTTACAACAATTTTCTACTCTGTATAAGGAGTGTTTTATCTAATTTGCATAGGGCACTGCATGGGCTGGCCTTGGCCTTGCAGCTGATAAATCTGATATGTAATTCCCCCCAAGAGATTCTCAGGCAAGGAGATCTAAGCCAGAGGAAGGGAACTCTGTGCATTTTCTGACTTCAGCAATGTGAGAGATTGGTTTGGGGAGAATCTTTTGACAAGTCCTGTATTAAGGAGTGGCCTCCCCTCTCAGTGTTGGAGAAAACTGTAGTCAAGCAGGCTCTGGGGTGGGTAGTGAATCTGCCAGCATTGCACGCTACTCACAAGAGAGATGGAGGAGCAAAGCCATGGAAAACGTACTGCCCTGGTGCTACTAGATAAGATCAGAGACCTGATCCTCAGGGAATTGACAACAGTGTCTTCTTCACTCATATCACAGCTGAATCATCTAGAAGATCAACTCAAACTCATCAAAAGGAAACCCTCAATAGGAGAAACAAGAGATATGTAATATTTTGCAGACATCTGTCACACTGCTATGTGATAAATAGCTTGGAGTACCTAATGCATGCAGGGCTTAAAACCTAGATGATGGGCTGATAGGTACAGCAAACCACCATGGCACATGTATCCCTATTAAACAAACCTGCACGTTCTGCTCATGTCTCTTAAAACTTAAAGTAACATAAAAATAAACCTTAGAGTGGTGCATTTTAATACTTCAAAAGGAGAGTTTGTTTTTTAATCATCTAAATCATGTCAATACAAAATATTAATAGCAATCTGACCAATGATGATGGCCAATGACATCAGTATGAACCATATTTTTAAAAATGTAATTAGCATAAGAATTAGAGGAAAATATGTCTGTTTTTAACAAATGCATATTCTGGTTGGAGAGCATAAAAAATAGCAAACAATAAAACTTCCTAGGTGGCAAAATTATGTGATATATCAACATTGACATCTTTGCAGAAAGACTTAAGGGGTGATTGGGAGCATAGCCAAGCAGATGGAGACTGTGTGAAAGCAGAACCAAGTGGGAAGGCAGCTCAAGCTCAACAACTCCTGAAGCATGGGAGGGCACAGCACCCTTCACTGAGAGGCCCGACAGGGTTTAAACACTTGACTTAAACTTAGCCAATCACAGGCACCAGGAAACAGCCAGGGTGAGAATGCTAGGGGAAGTTTATAAAGTGGAGCTGGGCTGGGAATTGGCATCACAGATAATGGTGGAAAGCAATGGAGATGAAAAAAGAAACACAAAATATTTAAGAAAGGAGGAACCTTGTAGAAATAAAGAAACAGACACCTATCACAGAGACCGAGGCCGCTGCTCGGCAGATGCATTTCCTTTTAGAGCACGCCCTGGAGCCTTGAGACAACATGCTCTCGCTCTTCATTTTAGGCAGCCCTGATGAGGTTCTGCTTCTTACAATCACAGCTATGTAACAAAAGCTATAGGAATACCAGGAAGAGGAAGAGGCAGGCCAAGGGAACAGCGAAGGGCCTGGGACAGGAAGAGGGGTGGAATTTTTTGTGGAAAAGCGGGGGAATCAAGCTATGGAGGACTATGGCAGGTAGAGTAGGTCCAGGGTCTTCATTGCACAGATTAAGAATGACTCATTGACCCTAAGATTAAAAAAAAAAAACAAAACATAAAACAGCTGTCATTATAAAGTTGGAGGAAGGCCGGGAGGCAGTTGAAGGCAGGGAGAAAAGAGTTCTAAGATTCTGTACATATAGATAGGCAAGAATTCAAATTGCCAAAGCCAACTTGAGCATTTTGTGGGGGGCATTTTATATGAGGTTTTAAATTTTGTTTTCTTCTAATGTTTAGACTGAAGAGAAATTCCCTTCAATAAGAACAACTTTAACAGATTATTAAAAGGGACAGTGTGAAACCTTCAATAATATTTAGAAATATGTGTAGGAGAGCTAATTTGATTCATTCATCACATTTTCAAGTAACTGGTGCGGGCTCCATAACACAGTACAGACTACATAACACAGTACAGGCTTTTGTGTATTAAAATTAATGAAAAAGTAGGGGGTACTTATGGGTCTCAGTAGTTCTCCCAATTTAAATACACTTAAATAACTGTGAAAACTGGTCAGTTTACACATAAAATCATGCCAATTTCAAACAGAAAAGTTCCATTGATATTGACCACATTTTTGGCTCCTATTAAATTGCTACATAAATATATAAAGCAGGTCTGTAATACTATATGTCTGCAAAAAGATATTTTTGGCAAATAAAACTCATTTTATTTTCTAATTTCAATCTTCCTTACCCAGTATTCTTAAATATATAAAAATTATGTTTGGTTCTAAATATCCAAATACCCCCACTCCCACACACTTTTTTCCACATTGCTTTTATCCATCCTTTTACAGATTTATGCATAAAATAGTTTCAGTTAATGAGGATCACAATTTTTAATCTCCCAAAATCCAGCTTCCCATTGTCACCCAGAGCAACATCTGAAGTTTAAATGTAAAGGATCAGTGATTATCATGAGCTGAATGGTACCCGCTGCCCCCCTAAAAAAAAAGATATGCCCATGACTTTACCCCTGGAGCCTGAGAATGGGACCTTATTTGGAAGAAAGGTCATTGAGGATGTAATTGTGTTAAGGATCTCCAGATGAGATCATCCTGGATTACTGGTGGGCCCCAAATCCAAAGATAAGTGTCCTTTTTAGAGGCAGCAAGAGAACAGATCTGGAGAGAAGAGGAGAAGTGAGAAGGAGAAGATGACCATGTGGGGATGGAGGCAGCGACTGGAGTTAGACAGCCTCAAGTCAAGGAATGTATGAGCCACCAGAAGGAAGCTGAAATTGGCAAGGAAGGATTCTTCCCTAGATCCTTCAGAGGGAGCCCAGCCTCATTGCAGGCAGCTGGCCTCCAGTGCAGTGAGAAAAATTTCTGTGGTCTTAAACTACCAAGTTTGTGGTAATTTGTTAGAGCAGCTCTGGGAAACTAATACAATGATTAAATGGTATCGATTTATTTTTAAATTTGCATTTCATTAAGTTTGTGGCCCATATAAAAATGCTGATTTTTTTTCTTGTGATATTGTGATTTAATAAGAAATATTTATTTGTTCTGTATCCCTGCTCCCTGGCACAGAGCTTCTGAAGCTTCTGAACCCTTGGAATTTCCTGAGTGATACGAATGAGGGCAGCAGCTTTTGTTATTCACAATAAACCCCTTTCTAACTATACCTGAGTTACTCTGATGAGGTGACTCTTTGTGGGACCCTAGATAGTTTCCGGATGGGACCTGGTTGCTAGAGGAACCAACCATGAAATTAGAGGGTTGGGAGGTGAAAGGGGCTAGAGATTCAACTGATCATCAATGAACAACGATTTAATCAATCACGTCTATGTAACAGAACGTCCACAAAAAATCCTAAACGAAAACAGGGTTTGGAAAGCTTCTGGGATAGTGAACGCATTGAGGTTCTGGCAGGTTGGTGCCTCCGGAGAGAGCATAGAAACTCCATTCCCCTGCTCCTCACATCTTGCCTAGAATCTTTTCCATTTGGCTGTTTCAAACTTGTATCATTTATAGTAAACTAATAATAGTAAGTTAACACTTTTCCCTGAGTTCTGTGAGCTGTTCTAGCACATTATCCAAACTGAGGAGCAGGTCATGGGCACTCTCAGTTTGTAGCCTGTCAGTCCTATGTGTGGGAGGCCCAGAACTTGTGGTTGGCACTTGAAATGGGGGCAGTCTAGTGAGAGTTTGATGCTAACTCAAGGTAGTTACTGTCAGAATTGAGTGGAATCATTGGACATCCACTTGGTGTCTAGAGAGTTGGAGAACTGGTCATGGGTGTGTGAAAAACCCACACATTTGGTGTCAGGAGTGTTCTGTAGGTAGAAACCAATCATCATAGTTGGTATCAGAGGTATTATGGAGTAAAAGTAGCACAGGTTCCTTAACTTAATTTCTACCATAATTAAAAAAAGGATATTGGGTTATCTCACCCTGGTTTCCCAGTCAGGGCTCCAACCTGGGCTCTCATAATAACTTCCTCCTTTCCTTTTTGACTTTTGTTAGCTTCCATTGCCCATGGAGTCAAGTTTATTAAGCTCCCTAGAATGGCAATGAAGTCCTCACTTACTTTCCAAACTTATCTTTTTCTAAACCTTCTCTTGGACCTACTGTACTACTCTAATCTGCTTGTGGCTGCCAAGCTTGCCTGTCATGATCTCTCGAGATTCAGCTCAAGGGATGAGACCATAAAATCTCTTCTGCCCTTCCAGGGGGATGTCACCCTGTCAGCGTCATCAAGGAAGCTTTAAAATTTTGTGTCTTCCTAAATTAATAATCTCTGAGTGGTTTTAGTTAGGATTTAATCCAGAGGGTTGGATTATTGGTGGAAAAGAGGGAAACTGAAAGTGCTTAAAATGCCTCAGTGCTAAAGAAGAAGGACTCGGTGTATAGTTTTAGTGAAGACAAGCACTGTGCACTCACGCCTACTGATGGTACCAAACACAGATCCAGAAAAACCCTAAAATAGGACCCTGAGGCCTGGTCTTCCAGGGATGAGGAGGAGAAGACAAAGAGGATGGATAACAAGTGGAGAAAGACAGGATTTGGTAACTGATAAAGAAAACTTACTTTCCTTTAGATTGTAGGGAGGGGAGAGTTACAGATAAGAGATAGAGGTCACAGGTAATAATTTAGTAACAAAGTAAACTGTAAGGCAAAGCTCTTTGGTAGCTGATAGGGTTTGGATGTTCTGTTCCCTCCAAACCTCATGTTGAAATGTGACCTCCAATGTTGGAGGTGGGCCTAGTGGGAGGTGTTCGTGGGCCTGGATCCCTCATCAATGGCTTGGTGCTGTCCTCACGATAATGAGTGAGTTCTCATTCTGAGTTCATATGGGATCCGGTTGTTTAAAAGAGCCTGGCACTTCCTCCTTCTCTCTCTTGCTTTCTCTCTCACCAAGTGACATGCCTGCTCCCCCTTCACTTTCCATCTTGATTGTCAACCTCCTGAGGCCCTCACCAGAAGCAGATGCCAGCACCATGCTTCCTGTACAGCCCGCAGAACTGTAAGCCAAAATAAACCTCTTTTATTTATAAAATACCCAGCTTCAGGTATTCTTTCACAGCGATGCAAATGGACTAATACAGTGACAATGCATCCTGACTTACTTACCTGGCCACATTTTTCTGTTAAGAATTTCTAGTGACTTTTGAGGAACAGAAACATTTTTTTAAATTGTGGAAGTAATTAGCCAGAGTTAACTTTTATGTCCCAATGAAGAAAGATTCCCAAGCTCCAGGTGGCACACCACTTATCTTTGAATAGCTTTGAGAAAAAGAAATCATGCCACAAAAACAATGTGATTCATTGATTGTACTTCAGACAGCAAAGAAAGTTCTAGGGTATGATTTAGAAAGTGAGCCTGCAAAAACTCTTTTTCAAGACAAATAATGTAAAACTAGGTTCACTAGGATTGAGGCATTCATTTTACAAAGAAGTAATTATGAGTAATTAAAATGTCATGCACCAATGATGATTAGTGACAATTGGCATTGCCACAGTATTAAAAAATACAGAAATTAATTGAATTAAATTTACTTTAGCCAGCACCTCATAAGAGTAAAGTAAATGGCCTGTGGCAGATATGCATGGCCACAGGGTGTAGCAAGTAATTTCTTATAGGTTTTACTAAATGTATTTAGTCTAGTCAATGATGTTTTATTGAGTTTTGAAAATTTTGGATGTCTAGTGTTTAACACAAGACTCATGGTTCAAGATGACTATATTTCATATCCATGTGAAACGTACTAGATTTTCAGGAAAGTCCATGTATTGTAATTCTAAGAACTCAAGGCTGGCACCAGCTTTAACGGCGGATGGTGCAAACTGCTTTAGTTACTGTGGCCCTTCCTGTCACCACCTTTGCAAAGTGCTGCCATGGAGAATGTCCCCACTTTGGGCACGTTTCCTGTGATGCTCCAAGTCCCATCTCATTCCACCAGTCCCAAATTCCCTTCTGAGTAAAAGGTAGTATAGAGGGTTAGCATCATTTAAGTCTATCCTTATGCCATGAAACACATTTTACTGATGTGTTTAATCAGTGGGGTTCCCATAAGCTGGTCTGCAGTCAGGTGGATGTGTGTGTGTGTGTGTGTGTGTGTGTGTAGGTGAGTTTTCACCAGTCATACCTGAGCCCCTTGACTGCCATGTGATGAGCCTTGGCCCTTGCCCCTCAGCTGGGCAGCCCAGGCTCTGTGGCTCCTGGTCTTGCCTACACACCTGGGTAGCCCACACCCTACTTTCTCCAGGCCTACAAACCCCAGCTATAGTGTCTCAGCTTCCCTACCTCCTCTTAGAATATTCTGAATTGAATGAATTAAGAGACTGGCTTCCAATTTTGCTAACATACTTACCTGAAACTACATTTTGATCATGACTGGGTAGAAAATGAACATTTGGGCTCCCTGTCCTGTTGAACTGTTGAAATACAGGCCTAAATTGAGCAACATTAATCAAGATCACAATTATATGCAAAACAATATTATGAAATAAAACTTTGTTATAGTAGTCCCCCTTATCTGCAGGGGATATATTCCAAAACCACTAGTGGATGCCTGAAACTTCAGACAGTACCGAGCCCTATATACATTACTGTTTTTTCCTATACATAGATACATATATAGCTATGATAAAGCTTAATTTATGAAGTAGGCATAGTAAAAGATTAACGATAACTAATAATTAAATAGAACAATTATAACAATCTATGCACTATAATAAAAGTTATATGAATGTGGTCTCTCATTTATTTCTGAGGTTTTTCATTTAATATTTTTGAACCTCAGTTGACCATAGGTAACTGAAACAGTGAAAAGTGAAACTAGGTAAGCGAGGACTACTGTTTTCTTTAATTGTAAAAGCAGAAAAATGATATCTTTTTATACTTGTGTTATATCAGGGAAAATTTGTCCATTGTCTTTCTTGCAAATAACTATGCTTTCCTCTTGACTTTTGGGATATTCAGGTCTTTTCTTTCACTAAGTGATGTTACTAGCAGATGGCCCTGCTGTCTTCCGCTCTTTAGCCATCATTTTTACCCCTAGATTACAGAATGAACTTCCAACTTTTCCTCCGTCTATCAGTTCTCGACCAGCATTAAATGAATAGTTAGATGTGTGATGAGATTAGTGTTTCACTCCCTTGCCTCTCTTCCAATCTCAGGCTTCCCACTAAACTTAGAACTAGACCTAAACTCTCTAGTGTAGCCAATAAGGCCAAATACAACCTGGCCCCTCCTATAGGGTTACATCTCATTATTCACAGTAGTTATGTTTCATAATGTCATTGCCAACATTGAATTAGCAAATCCTGAACCATTGCTCCTTGGAAAAATACTGAGTTACGTTTCTCTGAGCCTAGGGTCACAACATTTTTGTCAACTGATCAATACATAACCTTGTTTTGTGTGTGTTTCTGTTTAAAGACACTTTATTTAGCATAGAAAGTTCATTTATTAACTTTGGACTCCTGGTCAACAGCACTATAACTTATACTTGAACAAAGCTTATCTAATACACATACTTTCTACATAAGGCACATCACAGCCTTCGTGCACTTATGAACACCAGACAGCACTTCGGCACTACTCTTCGGGGCCATTTTAAACAGTGACATCAACCAAAAGCACAAAAATGTGAAAAATGCAGTACTAAGCAGACCTCAAAAAGGACACTTGTGTATAGTAAGCAAGTGAAACCAGAAGGCGGGGCATTGTCTTGTTCAATCTCAACTGGGGACATGTGCATGGGGAGACTTCAAATTTTTTGCCAGTCTAAGTCTGCAAGTGATAGTGAAAGCACTGTGATGATTGATTTTGGGGTTATAAGTGAATTTCAGTGAGTAGCAAATTCATAAATAAAGAGTAAAGTTTTTCTGACTTTATCTTCTACAAATATCCTTTGTGTTTGCTACACTCCAGCTATACTGGCCTCTATGCTTCTAGTCCATGTCCAGCTCACTTCTGCCTCAGAGGCTTTGCACTTGCTGTTCCCCTTGCCTGGGTTATACCCTGCACAAACCCCAATCTAATCCCCAGCATCTATGACAGAGCCAGATGCCGTAGGCACTCAATACATAGTTGGTGAATGAATGGCAATTGTTTTCTTAAGATGTCATTTCTTGACAAAATAGAAAACACAGGCAACTCTTCGACAGTACTCAAAATTCAGGGGAATAATTTACAGGTCTGTATAATCCCCGAATTGAAGATCCATTGCTTGTAAAAAGCACTCTCTACAAAGCTGCAGCCCATCATCTTTTCCCATCATGTTGGGATTTTATTTAGTCACACAGCCTAACATGTCATCAATAAGTCAACAGCAGTGTCTCACATTGGAAGCATCCCTGGAACAGTTAGAAGAAGAGAGGCTTTAGGCAGTTTTACCTGAGTATTGATACAGATTGCTATCCTCTTAACTACCCGAATAAAGACACTTTCCTTTCATTTAACTAAGTTGATTTGTACTAACAGAAAGAATCATTTTGATGAGTTTTGGGGAGTGCTTTTGGAGAAAGATAAATGTAAGAAAAGTTATGCAGAAGTAGGCTGCAGGGGGCTGCTCTGGAGAACTGGAATTCAGCCTGAGTCTCTGAACTGCAGTAGGTGAGAAGAGACGTGAAATATAACACAGGAGAATAGAGAGGGCAAAGGGAAGGGCTTCAGAAAAAGAATCCTCCCCCTTTTTACAGTTTTGCCCAAGGCTGGACCTGCCTCATTCATTCTTGATGTGGCATCAATTTGTTAAAAACAAACCAACAAAAAACTTCCAGGAAGGAAGGAAGGGAGGGAGGGAGGGAGGGAGGGAGGGAAAATAACAACTGAAAAACAGTTAGGAAAAAGAGTTTAATAATTTATCAGATAAATAAAAGATCAAAGTTGGGAATCTGTCTGGGGTAGGAATGCAGGTATAGCTTTCTGCTGAGTAAATTCAGTTCTCTCACAGACTCAGCCAGACACTGTCTATACTGTCCCATTCCCAGAAAACACTGACTTTGGCCACAGTTTAGCTCCCCTTACAGCAAAGCAGCAAAGTCTATATTCAAGCCCCACCTTGCCCTTCCTTCCAGGGGACCTGCATTATTCCTATCAAACCCAAACTGTTCTCTCTGTGGCTGGGGACAGCCTTCACTGGTTAGCACAGTTTTTAATATGAATCCAACCTTCTCACTTCTCTTTTGAGCTTTCTTGTGTCTCAGCTCTAGCATGGAGAGCACTTACAGAATATCCCCCTAAATGGGAACATCTGGTTTGCCAAAGAGGTGACCTCATACATGAGCCTCTTGAAAGCCCATGAGCCTGAGTCTTGTAATGGGGAATGTTTATCCGCCAGGTATGAAAGATGAAATGAGGGCTCCAGGAATTTCGTCTTAACTTGCAAGGGAGGAGGATCTTTTGTTCAGGTGCTGAACAGTGAAGATTTTCAAGTTTTCTTAGGAACACAAAAGTGTTTGCTGTCAGGAGAACTATGTTGTTTTCCTTGAGGGCTTCTCTGTACACAATGGAAGCAGAGAAACCAAACTAATCCTGGTCCCTCCTGTTGGCTTCTTTCAAAATTTTGAGTTGTTTCCAGTCCAAACCAGACTGGCCCAGGCTTCCGTTTAAAAATAA
This sequence comes from Homo sapiens, assembly GCF_000001405.40. NCBI lineage: Eukaryota > Metazoa > Chordata > Mammalia > Primates > Hominidae > Homo > Homo sapiens. The sequence goes on from NC_000002.12 coordinate 133,407,419, forward strand.
TCCACTTACCACAGCATTCAAAGCAATTTGGCAAGCCTAGGAAGAAGTGTGACAGGAGGACGGGTGGGTTGGTTGCGGGAGGCAAGGCAAGGAATCCATTTTTGTGTACCCTCTCCACGTGGTGCAGGCGCTGTGCCGGCCACTTAACACGCTGAGCCCAGGGCCTATTGAGAAGAGTCCAGTGCTGTGAATGAGCATCCCTCAGGCTCCCAAGCTGGCTGGTTTGAAATCTGTGTCTCCCTTGACTATCATGAGCAAAGATACCAAGTAAGTGCCATCTCTGACAGGGCAAAGCTGAGAAAACATTACAACAAAAACACGATCATTCCTTAAACTTCAAATCATAGAAAAAAATGAAGAGAAATTCTGGTGTTCAGCTATCAGTAAACAAACATCTTGTAAATATTTACGAGTGGGCTTGATATTATAAGTTGTTGTTTAGGAAGGAGGTCGATAAAGGGGACCAAGGTTAGCCAGCAGTAGAACAGATAGGAAAGTCTCACGATCCTAGGTGCCCTTTGACTTAGGGTGCCTACACTAAAAGGAACACAAAGACAGGCCATATGCCCATCTTTTCCCCATCCTAGACTTTGTGATCTGGTCCACAGCCCTCATTTCACAACTGAAAAATCAGAGGGTCCTGAGAACTTCAGTGGTTTCCCTGGAATAGTGCAGTCCATTGGGGAGCCAGGACCTGGGTCTGGTCTTCTAATGTATTTTTCTTTCTCCTTCCCACTGCTGATTTGGGGGCAAACCATCTGATTGAAGGCATGATGATGATGAGGAGAGGCACAGAAGCCTTGAGCTCTCCTCTGTCCTCAAGGCGTGTGGCACAGCTTGTGCTAAAATGGAACAGTGGACCTAATACTACTGCTTGTATAATGGATTTTTGCATGGCATAACTTTTGCATTCACTTTGTGTGCAGCATATATGTTTTTTCAACTCTCTCCGAATGTTGTTCCATAGTATACTTATATGGTCCCTGAGACCGAAATAATTGCTCCTCTCCAAGACTATAAAATCCTCAAGGCCAAGACCTACCCCCTCTACATTGCTGACTCACCCCCATCCCAAAAATGTAAAGCAATCCGCAAATATTTAGTTAATGCTTGAAGAACTGACTGCAGTTGGCATCATGCTGGTGACTTGGGGACACAGAAAGGCCCTGTTATTTAATTTAGAGGGTGAAAGATGATATTATTTGTTCACAATTCTCCTTTCCCTCCTACTCCTGCTGGTGGGAAAAGTCTATACCACCTCCCAGCTATGCTGACTGTAGGGTTTGCCATGGGACTGTCACTGAACACAGAAACATGAGCAGAAGTAATGGTGTGCCAGCCACTGGCAGAGCCTTTCTGCTGCCCCTCTTGTGGCCCTGCCTCCACCTTGAGAACCTCGTGCCCCTGAACAGTAGTGGGGCTGCCACTGGAGTCTGGGCACTGGGACAAGAAGATCAGAGAAGCAGACCCCAGCCCATCCTGAAGCCTGGAGTCAAGCCCAGCCACACACAGCAGGGACCCAGTGGAGCCACAGCTGACACACAGGACTATGAATGAGGAATAAATGTTGAATACTGTAAGCCACTTAATTTTTTCCTGGGTTGTTACCACAGTAAAAGCTAATATATGGAATCTCTCTTAAAAGCACATTTGCCATAGAGCTGAAGTGCTGTGAACCAATTTGGTCACACAAAATATTTAGATTCTTTTTGGCAGATACTGAAGCAGTTTGACCTTGCTACTGAGTTATAATGAAAGCAATCCTCAGACCAGATTTCCCTACACATATGTGAACATTTATTAAATAAATATGTGTTAATGCAGGCATAAAAATGGACCTTACTACCTGCTGTCCCAGCTCAGGAAAGTCCCAGCTCTCTGTCCCTTTAGTGTCTCACCCACCATCTTTACTGAAAGGTTTCCTAGAAGCAGACGCTAAACATCTCAGAGGCAGGATTGTACCCTTTTTGTAGGCATTGGGCAATTAAAACTCTTTGTAGCAATGCCTGGACAACAGACTTATAGGAATCAAGATTCAGGTGACATCCCTAAAGGAGTAAGCCACGGGTCTTGCTGGATTCTTAAGCCCTGTTCAGGAAACCATGGTGAATATCTCTAGCATGTAGACAGCAGAGATACAAGTTGAGACCAGTTACAGACCTTGTCATGGAGAAGTTTACAGAGTTGAGCAGGGGCTTTTGGAGCCAAGGTTAGGGTTCGTCATGGGCTTTAGTTGTCTGAGAACACCCTAAAAATCAAGGGATGTGTGTGCATGTGTATGCAATGTTGTAGGAAAAGGTCTACATTGTTCATCAGATTTCTAAAGGAGCCCATGACTTAAAAAGGGCAAAGAAATGCTTTCCCATGGGATCTGTAAGAGATGACTCTATAACAAATGCATTTACTCAGACTTTGCTATGAAGGATCAAACTATTGACTATATAAGAATAGACTTCTAGCCAAATGACCAAAAAAGGTTCTTACACATAATAACTATGGTAGTTAAGAGGTTATTTTAAAAATGTCCTAACAGAACTAATGACTAATAAAAATGGTACTAGACATGTTCCAATGAAGGAAACTCCATGCTGCACCATTATAAAAGTCAATCATAGACTCAGCAAAGCAAAGGCTCAAGGTTGCTTTGATATGCAACAATGCCCACAGGGTAATAGTAGCAACTCCCAAGTCTCATTTTAATCACGATTTGCCTCTCCGTGCCAAGTATGAAGTAGAATGGGAAGAATTTACAGCCATGATTTAACCATCTACTACACATTGCTGGTTCCGTTACTTAGAATAGACATCACACGTAAGATAATAAACATACAGGTAGCAGGGACATTTCCCCCTCAAACTGTCCAAGACTGTTCAACAAAGAGCATAGCTGATGTCAATGAAATTCATGGCCCAAGAAGTCATGTGTTATTCATCACGCGGTTTTCATAGCCCCTGCTACATCCCTACACATCCCAGTTTAAGAAGCACAGGCTTCACTTCTCTGAGGTTTAGTTTCCTCCATATACTAAATGGGAATAATCATACTTACATCAAAGGGTTCTTAGGAAAATTAATTGTCATGTATTGGTTCAATCCTATAACATAGCTATGCTGCCTAGTACCTAGCAGGTACTCAACAAATATTAAAACCTACCTCCATTCCCACTTGCTATGCAGCTCTGTGCTTCTCAGAGTGGTCTCCAGAGCTGCAGCATCGCAGGGAGCTTCTTAGAAATGCAAATTCTCAGGCCCACCCTAGACTTACAGCTTCAGAAATTCAGGGGGTGAAGTCCAATGAAGTATGTTTTAATAAGTCTTCTGCGTGATTCTGATACATCCTAAATTTAAAACCACTGATGTAGATAAATCATTCTTAACCATGGCTGTACATTAAAATCATGTTAGATGCTTTTAAAAACTACTGATACTTAAACTCTCTAACCACCCCAAGACTACAACAGAATCTCTATGGGGTGAGGGACTGGGAGCATTGGTCATTATCAACAGTTCCCCAGGGATTTAAATAATTGAATTTAAAGGGCCAAGGGAAGTCCACTTCTCTCCTCTTGGCAGTCTGCACTGGATGCTTGAAATCCAATCAATATTGAGTCTCTTCTGAACTCAGACCTGCCACACCAGTAACTAGCTGTGGGGCCTTGGAAAAGTTTCCTATACTTCTGTTAGCCTTGTTTTGTCACTTATAAAATGAGGATCATAATGATCCATCTTGCATCTTCTTATTTTCCAATGGGAACGCTGAATTCCAAAGTTTTTGTTCCTTGCCCATGTCACATATAGCAGTAGTAGCAGACCAGGGCCCAGCCTTTGCCATGTCCTCTTCTGCAGAGAGTCATGTGTATGGGTGTGGGACAGAGAAACATCTGGAGCCCTGGTGTGGGCGTTGGTAAACTTTATAATATTTTTGGCATAAGTATCGGAAGGGAGGGCTTCCAGCTAATGACTGGAGAATGTGCCACTAAGAAAGGTGAGTGAAGGACTTGCAGGACTCAGTGGAAGCTGTGTGGGATGAGGAGAAGGATCTGCAGCAGGACAAGGAATCACCGATGAGCGTACACAAGGATAAATACACCATTCATTTTCCACTGGGGCTGGTGGAGGGGCAGGCAGCTTTGGTTAGGATACGTGGAGACTTTGAGATTTCAGAGTAAAATTGGGAACAGGGCTTGGAAAAGCTAGCAGCAGCATGAAACTGAACGGAAAACAGGGAGGGTGCGGATATCTTTGTGTACTCTGCTCTGATTGGGAGGGAGAAAGGGGAGACCCAGGGATGATTTAGCCATTTCTCTTGCTTGGGAAGGGTGGCATAAGCCCAACAATTCACAAGCCCAACAGTGTGGAAATGCAGAAAGGAAGTATTTAGCTCTAGCAAAATTCGACTTTGGGTTTATTGAATCTATTATCTTTATTTTTCTTCTCCTTCCCATGATCCCTCCCCATGATGTACACACACTTAAGAATCACCATGTCTGCTAGGTGAGAATGATTACTGTCATCTGAGAAGAGGCTTCAAACTAAGCTTCACTGTTCCTCCCTCTAACTCCTGTTCATCTGCATATCAGGGATAAAATGAAGGGGAGGAGGCAGCTAGCTCTGCCCTGCAGCCCCCTGATGGTCACAGTAGTCACTGCTTTGGAGTGAATGCCTACGTACTCCCCGGATTTTATATGTTGAAATTCTAGCCCCCATGGTGATGTTATTGGGAGGTGGGGCCTTTGGGAGGTGATTAGCTCGCGAGGATAGAGCCCTCATGAATGGGTTTAGTGTCCTTATAGAAAGGGACCGCAGAGAGCCCTCTCTTTTTCTGCCATGCGGGGATAATGAAAGCAGCCATCTGCAACCTCGAAGAGGTCCTTACCAGAACCTGACCGTGCTGGCCCTGATCTTGGACTTCCAGACTCCAAAACTGTGAGAAATAAGTTTGCATTTTTATAAGCTACCCAGTGTATGGTACTTTATTACAGCAGCCCAGAATAAGACAGTCACCATGTGCAGTGTGGGTGCGAGGCTCTGCCCCACATTTTCTTTCCTGATTCTGAATTTCTTATTCTGACCTTGGCCTTCAGACTCACAAGGCTCAGGTCTCTCATTAATGTGCTGAGATGACTCTTCCCACCTTCTGCCATTCACTATTGACCAGGAATGACCTCTACTGTGGTGACTTTGAAGGCAACAAGACAAAATCAATTAACTGGACAAAAGTGAAGACCTTAACTTTTTCCTGTAATTATTATAAACCAGAAGGAACTCTAGAAGTATGATTTTTATCCCAAGCATTCTAAAACTTTATTGGCAACTTTTAAATCAGTATCACAGAGGCTTTAAAGCCATTTACACTAGAAAACTGGCTTTTATGTCAAATATTTATTTAAAAAACCTCTGTAGTTGTAATCCTCAAACTATGACTCACTTTATCTAAAGAAACATTTGAGATTTCAAAATTCTGGCACAAACAAATAAATATCTTGGGTACCTACCACCTTGAAGTGTACTACAATGGTTTACCTTCTGCAGGGAGGGAGGAAGGAGAGGGAGCTGAGAAAAAATTTGAAGAAAGCAAATATGAGAGTCCTGTGAGCCCAGAAGGCATATCATGGGCCAAAGCCTGCAGGTCTGGCCTGCCTGGAGCAAACATGCAGAGCCCACCAAGTTCAAGTAGAAGCTGAGCTCAGCATGTGGGTGGGGAGGCACAGTGGGAAGAGACAGTGCAAGTGTCAGAGCACAGGCCCAAGCCAGGCACACAGCTATAGGCACATGGGGACTAGTATGCAAACTGGAAGACTGGAAAAGGATCCAGGAAGGAAGTATTAGGAGAGGTCAATCTTCTAGCAACATTGTAAATGGCTTCTTTAGCTTCAGCTGTTAGGACCCAGAGGCATGGGCTGGTCCCCTAAATCTAGCCAGATTGTAATGCACACAGATTGCAAACAGAAGTAGTGAGCTAGGCTAATGCTAGCCCTCAAATGTGTTGTGATTGGCCTGTACAGAGTTTAAAAGGAATGAACTGATAAGATCAGTGTATCATATCAGTGTCAATGTCCTAGTGGTGATATACTATAGTTATATGTGATGTTATCATTAGGGGAAGGAGGGAAGGGTGCCTGGCATCTTTCTGTATTATTTCTCACAACTGCATGCAAATCTACAATGATCTCAAAACCAGGTAAAAAAAAAAAATTTAATGAGCTAAACTTTATAAATCAGAAGATGTCACATTTTTTAAAAAACCTCATTTTCCAGCTTCTCTTGAGAAGTTGGAAGATCCGGCAACACCAGGCCCACCCTGTGTTCCCACAATAACATGTTCTCCCGTAACAATCAGAAGAAGCAGAGAAGCATCTGATGCCTTCAGACAGGCATTACAATCTTCATTTTGCCCCCTTCTCCATCCAGCCTGCTTCACTATTTATGTTATTTGTCTGGTCCCAATGGACATTAGATTTTTCTGTTTTTCTATATAGAGGGACGGAGTTAAAGACTTGGCCGTCCAAGAGGTCATCTGAGTTCACACAATTTGTCTGGAGTTGAACACTACATCATGAATAAGAACACAAGGACATCTCACTATCCTGGTGCCCTTGGGGCCTTGCACATAATAGGTATCATTATAGTATTCTCCTACAGTAGAAGAACCACTTAGGATGGGTTCCAAGAAAAATCAATGACATACTAAATGTCACGCCACAGCAATTTCTGTCATAACTCAGGAGCCACATAAAATACAGTGAGTTCTTAAAGTCATAAATACTCTGAAATTATTTATGAAACAGGTATTAGGTAAGGTCCAATATACCAAAATTGGAAATACCTAGACACAAGGTTTAACTGGAACTCTCCATATATGTGTGCTCTATGATTCCAAGACAAGGTGCCATTCCAAATGGAGTCTGTCTTTTCGTTTTCTGAGGTTAAAACATTTTCCACATTAGAAACCTGTCCCCTTTGGTTTCCACATGGTAAATTACTCTAGTGGAATCATTTACCCTAAAGGCAATGCAGTGTTCCCATTATCACTAAGCAGCAAAGGGCAAAATAGCCAATGGGACGGAGACAGGGAGGATAAATTCAGGTCATTCTTGTTGCACCAAAAAAAAGCAACTCACATTACTCAAAAAAAAGCATTATATTGACTCACAGATTTAGATACATCTCTGTAGTTATGAAATGATACTTTTTACAACCTTTAGTCTGCTCAATATATGGTCCAACCTCCTTACACCACCTCTCACTATGCACATTCTTACACATCATACTCAGGAGTTGGCATTTTTCCTGGTTAGGCCATTCTAATAGTGGTGCTTTCTCTGAATTTTACTATGAAAATTAGATTTTCCTCCCAAGGAGTCTATGAAGGGTGGAATATTATAGCACACAAACTAATAATACGGAGAAAGCATGGTATTTTTACGTATTCCTTAACACATGAGTTAACTTATCAGGAGAGTTAAATTACATTTAAAATTCAGGGGCAGATGTAGGTCCTGGCTAATGGTCCCTTCAGTGGCCTGAGATAAGGATTCACTGACAGGGTTCTCTCAATCCCGCCCTAGTGTTGAACTTTGACCTGCAATATGCTCACTCTATGCTTAGCTGTTTTACAAATTGGTAAATACACAGGCCAAGCGGCTGCTGTCCATTATGTCTCAGATTGATTCAGTTTGGTTACTCAGGTTAGCTCAACCCCATTGCCCCCGCTGATGCTGCCTCAGTTCACACTGGCCGAAATGGACTTATTCATGTTGCCATTTGTACCATGTCATGGCCAAAGAAATTATATCCTGGAAATTCCTTGCAAAATGCCTGCAGTCTGAGATTTGGCTGTTGCCAGTGGCCACTAATCTGACCACAGTCATGCATCTGGAAAATTAAATTATTAATGTGAGATACTTACTCTACTGTATTGAAAGTAATGGCTGTGACATCCAAGCCAAATCATTTCATATGAAACACGGAACTGGTTTGCTCTGTGTGGGGCATCAGCTGGACTCTGCTATAAGGCATCTGGTGACGCCATGAGTCCTCTCCAAGTTTTCTGCTGCAAGCCTGTGATAGCCAGCTGGCAGAGCAGCTGCAGGCCCAGGTCACTTTGGGAGCCAGCTGACCATACTCCCTTAGATAATACATGTATAGGTCAAAGGAGGCTCTGGCTCTCACTTTGAACAAGTGTGTTTGGTCACCAGGGGTTCCACTGACCACTGGGCTGCAGAACGTGCAAATAATTTGCAGCTTCCTTAATTAAGCTAAACTCCAATCCCCAACATAGAGCTTGACCTCAAAGTGCTATTTTTATTTCTTATTCAAATGCACTGTTGCAACCACACATCCCCTATCTGTATCAAAGTCTCTCTTTGTGAGGCTTTTGAAAACAACTATTTTCTCTTTCCATTTTTTGAAATGATACATTTATTTTGAATAGCTGTAGAGTTACAGATATATGGACAGAGATCAAATGCGGTTTTGATTCCCAGAGATGAGTTTATCTGAGCAAAAGTAAAACACATTGTGAGTGGTAGATCATAAACAACTTGTTTGGATTTTGGTGAAATAAGTGTGTTAGACCAGTAGTCACATGGAATAAAATATTTCTGATGTTCATTTAGTGATGTTTCTCTTTGTTACTGAGATATGTCAAGTTTCTGTTTGGCTCTGATAAACGTCAGGTCTCTCCTACCTCTTCATAGTTTGGCAGCTTATTATACATTAAACAAATATCTAGAAAACACCTCCTCTATGCCAGGCGCTCTGTGGAGCTCTGGGTGTAATCAGCACTAAGATAGATGAAGACCTTTCCTTCAGAGAATAAAACTAGTGGAAATTCCACTCTAGTCATCCTTTCCTAGCAAAAACATGTGTCCCGTTTTCCAGATTCCAAGAGATGGGAAATTTCCCACATGGGCTTAATAGAGATACCCTTTGGATTTGTTTTTTAGAAATCATTTATCAATGTATAGGGATGAAAATGACATTTTTCTGGAACAACTTTTTCACATTCAGAAAACTACCTTCATGATTTCTGAGAACCTGACAGCCATAAAAGAGAAAAAATGCTGTTTCTCTGTGCTCTTTGTAAAAAGGATCACAGCAAATGGAAACTTCAGGCTTCTTGGAAAGGCTCTAGTTCTGAAAGATTAGGGTTTACACTCTACTGTTAAACTAGACTTTCAGAGATGAGGGCTAATGCTCAACTTGGCATTGGAAATAATCTGCTTTGGCATTATGCAAAAAAAAAAAAAAGTTAGGTTCACATTGTACTGAAATAGCCACCACCTGTGGAATTTTTAGAGGCTGTTTTTGTTTTTATCATGTCAAAGCATTTCTACTCAGCTCAGACTCACCATTCCGAGCTTAGGATGAGAGGCAGCTCATGCCCCTGGACCAAATGAGTTTATCCTGGAGAAAACTCTAGTTCCAAAGCAACATGCAACTTCCTCGAGGTTTGGAAAAAGAGGCTTCCAAGTGTAGCATCTTTTTATTTTATAAAACTCCTTTCCCTGCCAAACATTTGGTCTTGCACGCATCTGAGGGTGGGGCAATGCTTAGAATGAGAGTGAGAAACACAAGATTTAGTAAAAGCGTTGCCAGATACTCTGCTTTTGAAATGTTGCTTAAAATAAAAAAACACTTTTCTCCTTACTCTTTGATATGAATAATGAAAATATCTTTCTTTTTTGCCCTGGAAAGTATGTTAAAAAAAAAAAAAAAAGGCAGTGTTTTGTTTGTTTCTTTCTTTTAAGGACCACAGGCAACTCTTCCATTTGACTCATTTGGCTATTTTTGATTATTGGCCCCCGACACGTGGAACATTGTTCAGATCAGTCCTAGAGGGCCCAGAATGGCCAGCTCTCTCAGTATCTCATTTTTGGCAATTCAAAGCGCAATTTCCCATTAACCCCGATTGCCTCCTTCACACCCCTGGAAGACATGCACTTCTCTCCTACTAGGTGAGCCCACAGCACTCCTAAAGACTGCGCAGCCTGGAATCGACCCCAGGCCCACTTTCCCAGGTTTATTTTGCGAGCACAGTGGGTCAGTCTGGCAAGTGACCGTGAACTGCCAGAGCAGTGGCAGGTGTCCTTCCCAGCAGAGAGCTGTCGAGGTGCACAATGTGGGAAATATGCTAATCCAAGGGGTTGGGATGGGAGCCCCAGGCTTTGTTACCTCTCAGTTGAGAGGCCTCAGTGAGCTTTTGACAAGATGGAGCTATTGTCCTCCTGGGCCTCCAACAGGATGATTCAGAGGAGAACCACAGTGTAGATCAAAGGATGGAACAACAGGACCTGGGAGCAAAGGCTAAATAGCCCTGGTATTATTTTGCCTGGAGAAGAGAAGGCTGGAGGTGGGGTGGGTCAAGTAGGCCATAATGGTGAAAAAGCTATTATGTCGTGAATGTGACCAGCTGTCCGACATTTTGAGTGAGAAGAAAAGGCGTAGGAGAAAATGAATGTAAACTGCAATGTGAGAAATTTGGTTGACATAAGGAAAACATTTCAAACAGGGAGCGTTGTTAGACGCTAAAGTTAGTGACAGAGGGAATACGTTTCTTAGATGAACTTTAAAGCTGTGATTTTTCAGTCAAGAGGTTTGAAGGCAAACTTGCTCGGATGTAGGGAGTCAATAGGAAAAAATGTTGAGACCCACTTCACTTAAATATGTGCAACATATGATTTAAGCCTTTGCAAACTGCTCTTTACAACGGATATTTTCTCAGAGGCTAGCATCAGAAGCTGCTACACAGGACTTCTTTGACCTTGCTTTAATGATTTACTTAGCTGAGACAGGAATTGTCTTTGTGGCTAAGTGATTGACAAGTACCTTGGGTGATGGGCATTCTGATTCCAGTTCTGCAGCTAAACAACTCTGAGACTTCCAACAAGCACAGAACCTCAATTTCCTTAACTGTCAAACAGAGACAATAGCTCTGTTCTACCTCATAGGATGGCTTGGAGGAACAAATTATAAAAGGAATAAAAAGCACACTGTACCCAAGTATGTAGTAATTAGACTGTTCAGACCTCAGGGCTACTCCCAAATACAAAAGTGCTTGGCTCTCTTAGCATTGTTTTAAAAAGTTACTCCCCAACCAGACTAGGAGTGAGAAAAGAGAAGGATCAGGGGACAAACGGAGGATTCAAGAACAGAGTTCAAGATGGTATGGGGGCTGTTATTTTATTCTTGCCTCTCCCAGGTCTACAGCCCAACATCAAGCAAAACTGGGTGGTATATACCAGTGCAAGGCAAACACCCAGTTCTTTGATTAAACTGTGACCTCTGCAGTTTGGGTCATTTCAATTGGAAACGTTTCTCCATGAAATCTTCAAATAACAGAACTAGAAAACTCCATTGCCGTTAGTGTTTCTAATAGGTCAGTCTTAAAGAACTTTTGAAATAAACAAATAAATAAACCTCAGTGTTTCAACACAGTGATAAAGTGATGGAATTTTTTACCCTTAGTGTGGGTTCAGACCGAGGGCATATTGAGTCACAATGAAAGAAAAAAAGCCTTCTACAGAGAAAATTCTTTTAAAAATGAAGGCAAACTCAAAAGACCTTTTCAGATAAAGGCTGAGAGGTTGTGTCCCAAGCAGATTTGCACTACAAGACATGTAAAGGAGGCTGTTTAGAGCACGCCTGCTTCTTAAGGTTGTAGTCAGTTGGAACTCTGTTCTTCTGTCCCTAATGCTTCTGTGCTGCTGCAATCAGAGACGGAACCCTCAACTGTGGCAGTCATGCCACTCTAGAATGTTCAAGGTAAAAAGGACCATGTGAGCACATTTTACCAAATTCCTTTATTTTCCAAATAAGAAATAGATGGTCCAAGAAATAGAAACAAAGAGTAATGGAATTAGTAGGGAGACAATATTGGAATTTGTCCCCAAATCTTGTGGTTGCCCAGTGATATGATTTATCCCACTGGAAAGGCCACAGACTGATCTCTAATGGGGTAAATATGGTTCACAGGCATATTTCATTTGGCCCACAAAGTGGATTTTTTAAAATAATTTTAAATTTGTTATCTTGAAAAACTAGAAGACATGGTTAGGTGAGCCATGTACCTACATGGAACATAATTATAAGTACATGAGCCTACAGCTGGAGTTCCAATGTTTCCTTCCCTTTTTAGATGAAAAGTACTCTTTTGTTTGCCACATTCATTACCACTCCCTAACGTCTCCCTGATGATGAAGCCATAGGTGATTTAGAACGTATCTCCATACTCACACAGATGCTCTCTTAACCATCCATTTCACTCATTTGTATGATTTTCCTGGGCTATTTACACATTTAATTTTGCAAACCCTTCCCTACCACATGCTGCTTCTATTTTCCTACTCAGCAAAATCATTCACAATTATTCCTGCAAAGAACAAAGAAACAAAAAAACATAATGACCACATGCATATATGACATACCTCTGATCCTGTAGTGATAATGTGTATAGCCCTGGAGACATACACGCATTCACAAAGCAGTTCAAGAGACTGGTTTATTTTACTCACTTTTGCATAAGACTCTAAACATTGCTGAAGACCCACTTTTGTATTCCAGTATTCTGAAGGAAAGTGATGACCATGTTGACATTTCTGTCCATTTCTGCTGAGTAAAAGGGGGCCTCCCCTCATACTCTCTACTGTGTTTTCTAATATCTTTTAGGGAAGATGGGGTAAGAGAATCTATTAGTTTTAAGACACTATTAAAAAGATAGACACATTTGTCCACCCAAAAATGTGTACATGAATTTTATAGTAGCATTATTTATAATAGCCAAAATGTAGAAACCTAGATTTCCATCAATGATAAAAGAAGTATTCTATACTTGTACAATGGGGTATTATTTGGCAATTAAAAAATGAAGCACTGATGTATACTACAGCATGGAGAAATCCTGAAAATATTATGGTAAGTGAAAGAAACGAGTTGCAAGCCACTACATATTGTACAATCCATTTATACGAAATGTCCAGAATAGGCAAATTCCAAACAGCCAGATTATTGCCAGCTAGGCTAGGGCTGGGACATTGGGAGGACATGAGAAATAACTGATACTGGTTATGAGGTTTCTTTTTTCAGTGATGAAAACAACCTAAACTGGATTGTGGTGATGGGTGCACAACTCTGAGAATAGTACACTTTAATGGGTGGAAAGTATGTATGTAAATTATATCTCAATAAAAATGTTACTTCAAAAAGATAAAATAGGATAAGGCTTTTGAAATCAGGAAAAGGGAAATAATATTTTTGGGTGAGCTGCTACGGGCCAGGTAGAGTCTGATGTGTTTTTTTATATATTTTATTCAAGCCTCACAGCAAACCGCCAGGAGGTTTTATTCTGTCCATTTCACAGATGAAGAAATAAAGGCTCACAGAGATTAGGCTGCCTTACCTCGTCACTTGCGAAGCTGAGTTCTGAACCAGATTTGACTCTCAAACAGCCTGCCTCGCCCCACTGCTGCTCAGCAGTCACGCAGCGTTTTCTCCTTCTCTAAAGACAAGGAACTAATAGAGACTTGCCTCCACTGGTTCTTATTGCCTCATGTGACTATTTAATGATGAGCAGGATACCAACTCTTCTTTCCTAAAGAGCTACCCTGAGCCATGCCAGCTGACTAAACAGTCTTTCTAAAGTCAAATGGGGCCTTTTTTTCTCAAGGTGACATGAGTGCTTTTCTAAATGCAGAGCTAGACTCGCCTAAAACAATTCTCTGTCTGCTGTCTGTTGGCATTTTCTCATTTACCCAATATCCTCCTTGAACTCACCTCTGCTTGCTCCCTCATTCCACATTACAGCTAAAAACATTGTCTAATGCAGTTTTCCCTCCCTACCCCACCCCTGCCTATATAAAGCAGCATCCAGGTAGCAGTGAACATGTTTACGCCTCCTAATTCTTTTGTTACACATGTCTCTAATCATTAACATCGAATAGTGCTTACAAATTAATTCATATGTACAAATTCCTCACCTGAGCATTCAAAATGCATGAATCAGCATCCAGCCCCAATCACTTTAAGAGGTTACATTAAAGCACAGATCATTAGGGAGCATGGATAAGGTGAGGAGAAGGGAGAGAGATTCAAATAGAATTCATGTTCCTTGCCTTAAATGAGGATCAGTCTGAGCTATATACAAGTGGGCAGCCAGCAGAGAGCGTCTGGGATACAAGCCATCTCCAAGCCACAGGCACAGCCTGCGTTTACTCACATCACAATCCATTATCTTCCCAGCCAGGATCCAAATCTTACCTCTACTGAAGCAAGAGCCAACCAGTGACCTCAGCTGGGTCATCAGGACCACTGTAGCCACTTCCAGCCTCAGCTCTCTGATCTGACAGCCTCAGTCAGCCCTTACTTTCCTCTTTCTGAACAGGGCCAGTGTGCTTCCTCCTGTCTGTCAATATTTAACTACGCTGTCAAGTCACATTACATCACCTGCACTAAATCCCACCCAGTGATAGCTAGAGGGTGTGCCTGCTCTATTCAATTCAACTCAGCTAACCTTTATCTAGTGCCTTCCACTCATTCATTTCTTTCCACATGTACTCAGCACCTACTGCATTTGGCATTGGGGATAGAGAACTGAAAGATCCACTCCCCAGATTCTAGTGGAGGAAACAGACAAAATAATGTGGTATGTGCTATTGTGCTAGAGCACAGAGTGCAGGGGACACTCCCATTCCAGGCTGGCTGGGGAGGTATGGAGCAAACAAAGCCAGAGAATTCCCAAAGATGGCAACACTTAGAGTGACATCTCTAATGGACCAGGCTATATCAGGAAGACAAAAGGATGATGCATACATGGCCTCTGTCCTCAAGGAGCTTACTCCCAGCACAGGTTGCTCTATGTTCCTACAGATGAACAGGATTGCTTACATAAATGCCACGGCAAAGTGCAGAATATTAAATCAAAGAGGGCAGCCCTTTCTTGTTGTTGTTGTTTTTTTGTTTTTTGGTAAGTTGTGTCCTGAACAAAGATGTCTCAACAGTGAAAGCTGGCTGTATCCTATAGATCCCTTGGTGCTACAAATCGAGGGGGATTCTTCCAAGAGCCGAGAGAGCAGATAAACCCAGTGAATAAAGGAAGTGTCTGTGACCCATTTTCAGGACCAAGAAAAGAAGAATTCAGGTCACAGAGTAACATTTTTCTCTGGTCAAAGGAATTAATCTGGTACAAACAGGCTTGGCCAAAGGTAAACAGGGATCTCTCACATGCCCTCCTAATCTCTCTATGACTTTTCTAAGGCAACATTTCCTGACACTTAATGAAGTGTTGATGGCTCTTTTAAATAATAGAGATAGATATGCAGAACCACTTGGCATCACTAAAACTGCAGCCTTTAACTTCGTCTGTGATCAGAAGCCTCAAAAGCTATTCACTTTGGGATTTTTTTTAAGGTTGAATTTACCACCAAAGCATGGCTCTCAAATGTACCCATGCAATCCCTTTTCTACCAAAACTTACTGCAGTTTCATGCACCAGAGAACAAAGACCCCCATTTATGTGTGAACATTCAAAGGACCCCACCACCGGGAAGCCTAAGAGGCTGCCACGGAAAGTCCCGGTATATTTGAATTGCAAAACACAGCCTGGGGATCTCAATACATCTAATTTGGGACATGTTCCAAGCTCAGGAGCCTCTCTGCATGGAAGCAGCTTTATTAGTCACTTTCTCAGACAATTTTCTAGTTCCACATGCACACTTCCCCAAGTGTTTCCAAGACGAACATTTACAGTCTGTTGCAATATTTTACTACAAGGTATTTAGGGTTTTGACAAATACTAACTGACATTGCCACCATTCCAGTGAAAACTGATGACCCATAGCTAATGCCTGCTTCTTGGTTGTGGCTCAAGACCGTTTTGAGCCAGTCAGTGATTGTAAGCAGAATGACACTCCAGACCTCTCCTTCACATCCTGGAAGCACAGTTTGATTTCAGCCCATTAATACATTCGCATTGAATGTTGAATCGTCATGAAACTGAAGTGAAGTGAAGCTGCACCTCAGTCAAGCCTGTTCTTTTTTTTTAAACCAAGACTTATTCAGAACCCTTTTTGCTTACTAACATATAACACACTTGGCATTAGGAATATTATATGTTATTAATTGGGGAATTGTTACTACTAATTGCCAAATGCCCAGGGACTTCTGGATCCAATTAGAATGGATGTTTGACATTTATCTTGCAATCCCACTAGAAGGACAAGGTGCTATGTGACCTTTAGTTGGTTTTTAAAGGCAGTTTTAGTAAATTTTAGCCCACATGAAGTAAATTTTTCAAATAATATTATGCATGTCGTGACTGGTGAGATAACTATCAGCTCATGGAAAATAACTAGCAAATACAACTAACATTTCCAGAAGTAAACCATAAGAAACTTCAACTTTCAAAAGAGAATATTTAAAATGAATTCTATTTATCTCTTGTGTACTCAGCTTTACAAAATACAAGAAAGGGAAGGTTTTTGTTTGTTTGCATTTTGTTTTCAATAAGAAGTCTTAAAGAGAAGTTCTAAAGCAAGACTAATTTCTCCAAATCCAATTGAATAATATTCATCCAAGTTAGAAAGCAACTGGTATTGTGCACTCATCATGGCAGAAAAGTATAGATAGAGAACTTGAAGCCACAGTTAATTTAATGTGACCCTGGGCAAGTCAATCCCATAATTAGGGTCTAAACCTGCTCTACTGAAACTAAAGTGATGGATTGTTTAAGGTACACACCAAAACTCATAGGTGTCAGGGAGTACTGTGCCTTTTAAACCCATAGTTATAGGGTTAAGACCCTATAACTTGTCCAGGGTCACAAAAGAGTCCTTCTCAGGCTGCTGTTAATGCTCTCAATTTTCTCAGGCCTCAGAGGTTTCCCAATCAGTGTGACTGTCAGTGCCAACACCAGAAAAGTCCCTGGCCGACCAAGATGGCCACCCAACTTGCTACTACTCAGATAATGTCGGAACACCATCTTGGAAGTGATTTCATATTATATGATAAATAATTACGCATCTTGTCTGAGCCAGCAAGTTCTGATTCTTTAAAATTCAGTTGACTTTTTGAAATAGCTATCATTTGTAGCCAGGCTTAATAGATGAGTTTTCAAGGTGAGTAAAAATTGTGATGTGAAAAATAAAATGTTTTCATTAAGTATAGAGATTTGACTTTTTGTGTGGGGTTCAGAAACTAAACCCAAAACAAAAATGTAAAAACCTAGAAGGATTTTACTTGCTACTTTGCCTTGCTACTCATGGTGTGGTCTGTAGGGCTAGCAATGTAGCCTCATTAGGAACGTGTTAGAAGTAGACGAACCTGGTTGCCCTAAATCTCCTGAATCAGAATCTGCATTTCTACAAAATCCCTAGTGGTTCTGAGGCACGTGACAGTTTGAGGAGTCCTGTTTTAGAATTTGTTTAAGCCTAGGGGAAGGGCAAACCAGCCTCCATAAAAACACTTGATACAGTCATAAATAAAAAACAGTCTTGCAATTCAAAGCATTTTGACAAAAAAAATGAAAGGCATTGTTGTAATTGATGTTTTCTGGGCCTTGTGAATTTTAACTTCAGAGCTGAGAAGGCCATAAAATATAGTTAAACTCTAAATGAGGCCAATGATTAAATGGTTTTCCTACAAGGGAGCCTTGTTGGATGCCAGGGCCCACTTCAAAGAGTGGAGCAGTCAGTCTGCGGGAATTCCCCTCTATGCACAGTTAGTCACCAACCTCTGTTCCAAACATCTCCCTGGTTAGGGGATCAAACCCAGGGTGTTGCCTAGGTTTTAATGGTTTACATCTGAAACATTATCGCACAGGTGAAGAATGGGGATAGAGGGAATTTCTAACATACAGATTGAGAGGACTATTTTGACTGTGAGATTTGAGAAGTCTAATAAACACCTATGTGGAGAAGAAACTGGTATTTGAACATAGGAGTCTGAGGCAGAGCCAGTCAGAAAACAGTATGTACGTGAAACATCCTTGGAAAGTAATCAGGGGGGTAGTCAGCTTATGGATTATATCAGAAAATGAGGGAATAAAAGATTACAATTATAGGGAGAGCATTTCAGGCCTAGATAACACTGGAAACAGATGCCCTGTGGCAAAAGGGAAAAAGAGGGCAGAGCAAAAGAAAGATAAAAAGAAGTGACAAGCAAAAATTACTAGATGATAAAGTGAAATCAAAATGAATGACAATAACATATAGAGAACTGCAATAGTATGAAGGTTAAAAAGTTTTCCTTCCTAAAACAGAAGATGCATATTATTGTGGGAAATACAAAAAGAGTCTGAAACCAAATTCTAAATATTTCAAATGGGGAGTCAGAAGAGGACTGAGCACAGAGTTTGTATTTGCATGTAAATGGATATTTGGTATGCTAAACAGAAAATGCACAGTCTTCTTTTATGCTTATGGGATAAAAATTCACAGAAAATAATTATGCATGTGGCCACAAAGAAAACACTGAAAATTCCCTGAAGTGAACGAGGAAAAGGCAAAAAACACAAAAACTCTCAAGTGCCTTTAAATTAAAAAACAGTCTTCTAACCAAACCAAGGATAGAAAATGCAGGCCAGGCACGGTGGCTCATGCCTGTAATCCCAGCACTTTGGGAGGCCAAGGCGGGAGGATCACGAGGTCAGGAGTTCAAGACCAGCCTGGCCAACATGGTGAAACCCCATCTCCACTAAAAATACAAAAATTAGCTGGACGTGGTGGTGCGTGCCTGTAATCCCAGCTACTTGGGAGGCTGAGGCAGGAGAATAGCTTGAACCCAGGAGGCGGAGGTTGTGGTGAGGCGAAGTCACACCATTACACTCCAGCCTGGGCAACGGAGCCAAACTTCATCTCAAAAAAAAAAGTTCAAGTTATTTAGACATAAATACAACAATGGAGAACACCTCATATCAAAACTGTGATGCAGTAAAATCCAGAGGAAAATATATAGCCTTAAATGCTTTTATTTAAAAAAAAAAGATAGAAAATAAATGCATTACACATTCAGCCTTCTTAAAGTCTTCCAAAAAAAAAAAAAAAAAGACATAGAGGGGCTATTTCCAAATTTATTTTAAGAAGCCAGCATCATCTAATACCAAAATCAGATACAGACACTATAAGAAAACTGCAGGCTAATATCTCTGATGAACATGGATGTAATAATCCTCAACAAAGTATTAGCCAAATAATTCAACAACACATCAAAAAGATTATACCTTGTGACCAAGCAGGATTTATCCCAGGGATGCAAAAATGGTTCTAACGATCATACCTTATTCAAGTATGGAAATTCAAATAAAGTATGATCTTTAGTTAATAAGAGTGTATCATTAATTGTGACCAGTGTACCATACTAATGTAAGATGTTAATAATAGGAGAAACTAGATGAGAGGTATATGGGAACTCTGTACTATCTTTCCATTTTTTTTCTGTAAATCTCAAGCTGTTCTAAAACCACACAAAAGTCTATTTTAAATTTTTAAAATAAGTAGATAATTTCTGATGGTGATATACAGAACATAAAGTAGTGTAATGCAGTACAATGTTCTGGGATTGGGAGGGTAGCCAGGAAAGGCGGTCAGCAAATTTTCCCTGCAGCATTTGAGCTGAGAGTTTTTCATAATGCAGTAGGGAGAGCCATGCAAAAATCTCAGGGAAGATATTCTAGCACAGGCACAACATCAAAACACAAAAGCAACAAAGAATCAATTAAACTGAAAGCTGGTTATTTGAAAAGACAAATAAAACAGGTAACTCTCTGTCATTCTGATTAAGGAGCAAACATAAAAGCATACAACATAAAGACTAAGATAACAGACATAAATGAGTAGGAAGACAATTTGAAAAATGATAAGACTATGTGAGTGACACTGCATTTGAAAATGGGTATTTTTTAAGCAAAACATTAATGACTGAAATTAATACAAGAAGTATGAGACAGAAGTACACAAAAGAAGGTAAGGTAATAAAACTGTCACTAAAATGTTATAGTTTTAAAATAGGCAAATATAGCATGACAGTCTGATTTTATTTAAATTTTAAGAAATAGATAATTCCCATATAATTTAATTTGTCCCAGAAAAGAGCAAAATATAAACATTTTCATAATTAACTTTACTGAGCCAGCAGATCCTTAGCACAGATAAAGAAACTCTGATAAAACTAGCACAGAAAAAGAAATTCTAATTTCAGTTGTAAAATTAAATAGAAACATTTTAAATAGAATGTTAGCAAATTGTATTCAGCCTTGTAAGAAAATCACAATGCAATGTGAGAAAATCACATATGATATGACCGAGCACAGTTTATTTTAGTGATATAAAAATATGTTAGCATTAAAAAATCTATCAATTAAATTTCTTATATTAATACATCAAGATCACTGGAAATAAGATACATATAAAAGGTTATCATGCTTATTTATACTATATAGTAACAGAAAAGAAAATTAAAAGCAAAATCCTGAAATTCTGATGCATCTAGGAATAAATTTTACCCAGATAGTTCAAAGAAGACCTATATGAGGAAAATGTTTAAAACTTGCATATGAATTAACAGTAGAAATAAATGTATATTTGGATACAGGTATTATCATAAAAGTGATGATTGTTCCCAAAGTAATACATAAGTGATATAATTCTAATAAGAATTACAACAGGATTATTTTTGAAAGAACGGGCACTAGGCAAAAGTCACTCTACAGTTCATGTGGAAGAATAACTATTCAAGAATATTCACAAACCTTTAAGGAAGCTTTGTCCTACAAGATATTAAAACACACTTTGAAATACTATCACCAAAACAGTAGCTAATTGCTACTAGTGCAGGGAAAATAAATCACTGGCACAGAATAAGAAGTCTAGAACCATGTCCAGAAACAGTGCCAGAAACTTAATTATGATAATATTAATAAAATTTTGATAAAACTAATATTTCAGATGAGTAAGAAAATCATGTTAATCAGTAAGTTACATTATTCGGTAAATTATATGAGGGTATTTGCTTTGTAGGTGGAAGAACATTTCATTAGAACCCTATTTTACACAATGTGCAAAACCCATTCTTGAGGGATTTAAGTTAGAAGTGCAAAACAAAACCCTGAAAAGCAAGAGCATTGTGAAACAATATATTAAATTACTTTTATAAACTCGGAGTAAAAGAGATAAGATATTCAACTCAGAAGCCATAAAGGGAAAAATAGACATAATTTACATAACTCATCACGTGTTTACACAAAGATACTATGAACCAAGCTAAAACACCCAAAATATTTCCAATTTGCACTAGAAACAGACTCCGGTAGAAAAATGGGCAAAGAATACAAACACACAATTTATAAAAGACTGCAACTGGACAATACGTATTTGAAAATATAGGCTACTATAGTCAGTCAACTACAAATTGAACAATATTTTACCTATTAGATTGACCAAAATTATAAATACTAATAGTATCTAAATGTTATTAAAAGTGTTGGGAACTAGGCAGTTGAATACACTGTTGGAGAAAGAATGAAGTTCCTATAATTTTTTTAGAAATTAATTTGGCAATATTAATTTAAAATGTACATATGATTGGACCAGCAGTCACTTTTAGGAATCTCTCCTGTGAAAATAAATGCAAGACCACATAGGATTTATGCCCTCTGCGGGACGGTTATAACAGCACAACACTGGAAAGATTCTGAATAACCACCAGTGGGTGGACAGTTGCAGAAATTATGCCATGTGGAATATTATACAGGAGTTACAAAGGGTAAGGCCATTCTAAATACAGTGCCTCAGAAGAAGGTTCATGATAAGATGTTATGTTAAAAAAGCAAGTAAAAACAACAGTATTAGATGATTTTGCTTTGCTTTGTTTTAATTTGGAGCTACTTTTTTTTAATTTCCATTTTTATTTTGGATTCATGCAGTACATGTGCAGGTTTGTCACAAGGGTATATTGTGTGGTGCTGAGGTTTGAGATTCTAATGATCCTATCACCCCAATAGTGAATATAGTAACCAATAAAAAGTTTTACAGTCCTTCCCCCTCTTCATCCCTCCATTTTTAGTCCTTGCCTCCCTCCCTCCTTCAAGGTCTACTGTTCCCAGCTGTATGTCTGTGTGCCCCCCAGATTTAGCTTCAACTTATAAATGAAAATATGCACTATTTGTTTTCTTTTTCTGTGTTAGTTCACTTAGGATAATGGACTCCAGTTGCATCCATGTTGCTACAAGGGACATAATTTTATTTTTTATGGCTGCATAGTATTCCACGGTGTTTATGTACCACATTTTATTTACCCAATCCACCGTTGATGGGCACCTAGGTTGATTCCATGTCTTAGCTACTGTGAATAGTGCTATGATGAACACATGGCAATACAGTGCATGTATCTTTTTGGTAGAACGATTTCTTTTCCTTTAGGTATATACCCAATAATGGGATTGCTGGGTCAAATGGCAATTGTATTTTTAGTTCTTTCAGAACTCTCCAAACTGCTTTCCACAGGGGCTGAACTAATTTGCATTCCCACTAACAGTGTATAAGTGTTCCCTTTTTCTCCACAACCTCACCAATATCTGTTATTTTTTAACTTTTTAATAATAGCTATTTTGACTGATGTGAGATGGTATCTCATTGTGGTTTTGATTTCCATCTCTCTGACTAGTGATGTTGAGTATTGTTTCATATGTTTGTCGGCTGCTTCTATGTCTTGTTTTGAGAAATAACTGTTCATGTCCTTTGCTCTTCTTGATTTTTTAATTTTTGTGGGTACATAGTAGGTATATACAATTATCTTTGCCCACTTTTTAATAAATTTGTTTTTTCTTGTTGACTCATTTAAGTTTCTTGTAGATTCTGAATATTAGTCCTTTCTTGGATGCATAGTTTGCAAATATTTTCTCCCAATGTGTAGTTTGTCTGTTTACTCTGTTGAGAGTTTCTTTTGCTGTACAGAAGCTCTTTAGTTTAATTAAGTCTCATTTGTCTCCTTTGGTTTTGTTGCTTTTGTTTTTGGAGTCTTCATCATAAATTCTTTGCCTAAGCCAATGACGTGAAGAGTATTTCCTAGGTTTTCTTCTGGCATTTTTATAATTTGCGGTCATACGTTTCAGTCTTTAATCCATCTTGAGTTAATTTTTACATATGATGAGAGGTAGGGGTCCAGTTTCATTCTTCTGCATATACTTAGCCAGTTTTTCCAGCACCATTTATTGAATAGGGAGTCCTTTCCCCATTGCTTATTATTGTTGACTGTTGAAGATGAGTTAGTCATGAGTGTAGAGCTTTATTTCAGTGTTCTCTATTCTGTTCCATTGGTCTATATGTCTATTTTTGTACCAGCACCAACTGTGTATGTGCATGGTTGTTGATACATGAATAAAAAATCTCCCAAATGGGTATAATCTGAGAGTTATCACTGGGTCCTTAAGGTGGATTAAATAGTGGGGGTGGGGGTGGAGAGGGAGAAGGAAGGAGGAGTGAGGGAAGCCTATTCTTCCTTTCTACAGGTCTGAAATTGTTAAATTGATATCATCAGGAAGCCAAAATTTTGACCTTATAAATCATATACTAGGAGAAAGGGGGAAAAAGAAAGAGAAAGAAAAAGAAAGACAGAGAGAGAGACAGAGAGTTTTCTAGCTACACAATGTTTTCATTTTTCATGGAAATAAAGCTTCATTTCATTTCTAGGGTCATTTTTCCAAAGTTCAAGGAAATATAACATGAATTCAGGTTTCCAGTTCCAGACCATGTGCTGATGAGACAGATAGGAAACTAGCACTGCATTTAAAAATACTTCAGAATATTGAATAATAATTCCCCTGAAAGCAAATACCCACAGAATGCTGCTTTCCTGCCAGGTTGGTCAGTCATACTCTCCATGTTTTATATATTTAAACTGGCCATTTCAAGTTGTCTTCAGATGTGTAACCTACTTCCTGTACAGAATTAATTACTGTATGTTGATACAACATTTTAATCACCACCCACTCTGGACTTTTAGAGGTAGAAGAGGAGAGAGGTGTAGACAACCGTTTCCAAGGTATACAGCTTGGAGGCCCTGAAGGCTTTTTCTTTGATGTGAACTTTCTGTTTCACTGACTCATTCTTGGAGAAAACATTCCGAAGTTGTCGAAGAGGGCAGCTGGGATCTCTGCAGCTGTAAGCATGAATATGTAGCTTTACGATGCTTGCACAGATACTGAGGCACAAAGAACCAGGATAATCTGCTTGAGGAGTGGCCTTTTTGATGGCAGAACAAGGTTTTTGTTTATTTGTAGGAGGCATATTTTATTTGTAGCAATCATACCTATACTTCAGAAGCAAATCCTTCTTCATAATACCATCATCAAAGATGGGCAAAGCAATGATGCTGATAAAGAAGTAAGGAAAAACACAACTTCTTTTATCACTAAAATAAGAAACAAACAATAAGTTTTACTTGGATTGAGGAAAGGAATCAAATCCATTTACATGAGTATAAAGGTTCAAGAACTGAAGGGTGGTTACTGATTTATAACTTTGTAAAATTGCCCATGGAAGAGAGGGTCCCATTTAGAAGAAATAAATTTGTTTCTCTCTGAAATAGACACATTCACCAAACACATGGATCCGATAAATACCAAATCATGGAATTGATCATTATATCATTCCTTAACCTTTGCTTCAACAGCCACAAATCAGGTCAATAATCACCTAGCCTAGTGTTGTCCTTTGTCACAGCAAGAGCACATTAAACTTTGAAGAGGAAACATCATAGAGTTTACAATAGAACTGCAGGACTCATACTACCAAATTATCTGTATCATGCAACCAACTTAGCATCATTATAGTTTCATGAGATAAAATAAAAATTGCTCATTCATTATTAATAATCTGTTTCCAGCACACAGAATTAAAAAACAAATACCTGAGAAAAGCAGAAATGCTGATACCCTAAACATTTATTTAAGTCAAAAAGACTCAGTTGAGTTTAAAATATTGCATTTCCCGTCTCCTGGTAGCACGGATCACTGAAGTGCTTTGAGAACCCCTTCCTTCCTCCATGCCACCCAAATGCTCCCAGTGCCTGTTGTTGCTATTAAGCCAGAGATAAACTCAACATCAGGGTTATCTATCCTGAGCACTGATGGACTCGGCTCCAAATACAAGCCTGTCAAGTAGCTTGTTTACAGCAAGTCTTTTAAATAATGAAACTGTTCCCTCTAAATACCTGGCCGTCAGGGTAGCATGCTCATTTCACTACTCTAATACTCCTGCAAGACTATGAGCTCCATGGGCTCCACAGGAAATGATAATGATTTTGCTCATCAATATAGTCTTAGAACCCGACACAGTGCCTGGCATATAGAAGACAATCATAACTATTCATGGTGAATGGATTATATGTTAAGAATTTCTCCACTTTATGCATCTGCACAATATCCTATGAAATGGGGATATTATTGTTCTTTTATTTCTACATTTCTGGGGATTCAAGTTGCTTCTTTTGTAGTATTTTAAACACTGCTGTGATGAATATCTTTATTTTTGTGATCTCTCCATATGTTAGATTCCCAAAAGGAGAATTAATGGGTCAAAGAATCAGAACATTTTTATAGCTCTTGACATATAATGCAAAATGACTTCTGGAAAGGATGGAAAACAGCATAGCACCAGCAAAACACAGAAAACAGTTTTGACCACTTTCCCAGGCATACCAGCTATTAGCTTTTTAAAAGAGATGATAACTAAAGGGAACAATGAAATATTACCTAAATATCTGTTATAAATTTGTATGACTTTAATGTGGTAAATTGGACATTTTCTCTGTTTATTTAACTAGTTAGATTTTCTGTTTTGCATATCAACCAAGGAATGATTTGATGTGGCTTCTGCTGTGTGAATGGGAAACCTTTCATAGATACTTGGAGAAACTTTGACACTACAACTTCTCTGCCAATTTGATACCTTTTACTTTGAATATTCCTCAAGAGAATGACAGGAACTTTGAAAACTGGAGTTTAGGTGATACTTCCACTGTTCCAGGGATCTCTTTATTCTATGTATGAATTCCAAGAGACCAGGAGCCTCTTAGATAGATTACTTACATGTGTGTTGATAAATATCTTCAGAGGTTTTCACATGGGAAGAATTAGTGAGTTATTTTGCAGAGTTGGGCCAGTTTTACAGGCCAATAAATAATGAGCTAAATAAATCACAGTCAGGGACCAGCCTACACAGAGAAATTGTATACCTACAAAAGTTTTAGCAGTAATGAAATTGAAAGCTGTCACCAAATCCTGTTATCTGTCTGGATAGAAAAGTGCTCAACAAAAACACTGATAGCGTAGGAGATAGAGAATTGAATTAAGGCCAAAGAAACCTTTCAGTGAATGGCAGATTGAAGACAATAACTGAGTAATAGAATAAAACTTTCTCAGGAACCCAAGTCTTAATAAATTGCTCTGTAAGTACTTTGGGACTACAGATCTATCTAACTTCTTTAAGTTCCCAGGGCTCAAGGACGTTTGGTTTTGGGAGGAGGCACCTTTAGGATGTACAGGAAACCTGGGCAACTCATAATAGGGCCCAAGGTGGAATCCAGTTCGTGTAGTCCAGTTAAGTTTGGTATTATTGTGTAAATACTTATACATGATTTCCAGAACAAAGCATTCTCTCATTGTTCCAGACACTCATTGCTTAAATACTTGGAATCAAAAAAAAATTCTAAGAATGCTTATAAAAATATTCTAGAATAAGTATTTAAAAATTCTCAAGGATAATCCAAGATATGTTTAGTGAGCCCAGTGTTTACCTCTTCCTTCCTTTCTATTTTGCCAGGTGATGCTTGATAGCAACATAAAGGTTACTTATCTTTAAAAACGCTCCTTTTCAAGAAGGATTAGTATAGAGAGAGCTAAATGTTAACTACAGGTAAACAAATAACTGCATTCTATAAATAATTTCAAGGAAAGTTTTCTTTTCATGTCTCCCTGGAGATCGTACTTGAGTCAGGGAGAAAAAGTAAAGCAGTAAAGTCAAGAACATAGGCTGAAGCCAGAGGGCCTGGTCAAATCCCAGTTCTATCTTTACTCGTTATATAATTTGGGATGAACCATTAAACTCTATATTCCTCAGTTTCCTCATCTGCAGAATGGGGTTTATAGTGACAATATCTATCTCATAGTGTTGTTGTAAAAATGAAGTGAGTTAAATATGTGAAAACACTTTACAATAGTGCCAGGCACATGGCAAAGTGTATTTTCCATTCTGATATTATGAACATCTTAAGAGTAGTTTATAAAACTGTACTGCCCAGTACCCAACATCATTCCAGCACATAGTAGGTGATTAGTGAACAATTGCTGAATGAATGGTTGACTATAAAGGATTTTCCACCAATATTTTTTTTAAAGGACCACATTTCTTTGTATCTTCAAAGCATGACTTAATTCAATACAGGACTGACAGGTAACTTTCAGAAACAATTCCAGGGTTCAGAGTATGCACACCTGTACGTATCAGCAGAATGAATAATGAGAGAGCAATGAACAATATTAGATAAAAGCTAGGAGAACTATAGAAGACAAGTAAGAGTCTTAACCCAAATCCAAAAGACTTTGAATTAATGCAAGTATTATTTCCTTGGCAAAGCCCTGGCCTGCCCTTCTAATCTTCACTGATAAGGCCATGACTATTACACCATCTGGGATAGGTCAAGATTAAGTGAAGATTCTGATCTCATCACTAACTACTCTTATATTCAAGTGGGGGTTGGAGAGTGGGTGGGAATGTTTCAGGGAGAGATCTTCTAATGACAGATTCACTCATGTAATGCTCAGGAGGTGATTTAGGCCTACTTAATCTCCAGGACATCTGAAACAACACAATTTCTGGAACAACTTCTTATCCTGGAAAATCCCAGACGAGTTTAATTATTTTTTTAATCCCTGTGTTTAGTAGTCATATCACTCACCACTGAAATGCAGTTCTTGTTGCTGGAGTAAAAGAGAGCAATGTTTTTAATAGGTACCAAAGATAATAGGATGACTAGGCACACAGCTCACGTCACTGAAAACGGAGACAGACTGGCTCTACCAGGTTGGAACGAAGCCAGTCTCTCCAGGGCTCACTGTACTCTAGGTATGGCATCATCAGCTCCCCTACCGGACAGTGATGAGGTGAGAGAGTAGGCAAGAGAAAGAGGGAGAGAGTGAGTGATTAAATGAACAAATACAGCAAAGTTAGAGAAGGTGCTGGCCTACAAAGGTTTTAGTTAAAAAAAGCAGGGAATTTTGCATTAATGAAATCCACTGAATAATCGGTTTAATTTGAGATATCCACATGTGGCTAGTGGCTGGCATATTGGACAGGGAAGGCTGGGTGAGTTCACTTGATATCTCTGTTCTTTTTCTATCTCCTTCATGGTGTTCTCTTCTCTCACCTGCCACTTCCATGTCGGGGTTCCTTTTTGGTTCCCTGCTTTTGTGACTCTGCTCACTTTCCATGGCTGACCTTGAGTCACCTCACATTCTACGCGATCAAAACTGAATTTTTCGTCTTCCTTTATAAAATAGTTACTCTTCATGAATTTGTTAGTTCAGTTTGAGGCATTATCATTCACCCAGACCCTCAAGCAGGGAACTATCCTTGACAGCTCATGCCCCTCCATCCCATACATGCAATTAATTTTCAATTCTTGCTATATTTACCATCCCCCCACTCCCCAAATCTATCCATGTAGCCCAACTACAAGTATCTTCTCCAAACTGTCATCCTCTCTTGCCTGCATTCCACCTAACATTCTTCTAGTGCAAGGATTCTCAGTTCTGGCTGCCTGTTAGAATCAGGTAACGGGGAGTTTAAAATATGGCCAGAACCTGGATCCACCTCCAGAGATGCGGTTTTATTCGGGATGGAATAGAGACCAGGCATCACCATTTTTTAAAGCTCTCCAGATGACTTTTTCAGAGTCAGACTGGGACTCACACATCTAGCTCATCTTCCTGGCTCTAGTTTTTTTGCACCTATGGCCACACCATAAAGAAGCACCACAGGGCTCTTTACAGAACATTCACTTGTCCACTCTGCCTAAACCCTTTCAATGACGGACCACAATCTAGAAAATGAAATCCAAATTCTTTGACATTCCCTGGCCTTTCTAGTCATGTACTGACATTCTCGGCCTCACAGCTAGTTCCCCACCTGCAGGTGCCTTTTCCTACCTGTGCTTGTGACCTCTTCTTTGCTCAGATCCCCACTCTTCACCTGGGGAACCTCTACTCATCCTGAGAGACTCGGCTTCGGCGTCGCCCTTCTAGGAAATCTGTTCTCACTTGCTTATGAGAACAGATTCTCTGTACATTGAACATCCTGTGCATAATTATATGTATGATACATCACGTGTATGTTAACATGGGTGCCTACACCTGGATGCCCCGTTGCCTATGAGCCCGTTTTCTCAGAGCATGTATGGTTTATACCTGCTGTCTCCTTTAATTATTAATGGTGCTCCCTTGAGTCTCAAGGGTATCTGTGCTACCATAGATGATAAATTGCAGATTACCCTCCTTGTAAGATTGTTGAGGTCAGTAACATTGTCGTATTTTTCATTGGGATCTCAGTGCCTAACACTTCTTCTAAAACTTGGTGTTAATTTATGTGCTCAAAAAAATTAATGAAGGTGCTGGGCACGGTGACTCACTCCCGTAATCCCAGCACTTTGGGACGTCGAGGCGGGCGGATCACGAGATCAGAAGATCAAGAGCATCCTGGCTAACATGGTGAAACCCCGTCTCTACTAGAAATACAAAAAATTAGCCAGGCGTGGTGGCAGGCGCCTGTAATCCCAACTACTCAGGAGGCTGAGGCAGGAGAATCGCTTGAACCCGAGAGGCAGAGGTTGCAGTGAGCCGAGATCGTGCCATTGCACTCCAGCCTGGGTGACAGTGCGAGACTCTGTCTCAAAAAAAAAAAAAGAAGGAAAGAATGAAGTATTTACCTGGGAAACTATCCTTTTACCTCCAGAAGCACATGGTAACTGTTAGAAAGGCTGGCGTAAAAAACTGAACAAAGAAACAAATGGACACATAGCCACTTGTAAAAAAACGTGATTTTAGAGAGTAAACTAAAGCCTTCTTTCTCAGCTGAATATTACTTTTTGTACTTTTGTGTTTTTCCCGAGGCCCTACTGATGTTGGGGAAGTTCCACATAGTCATCAGGTAGGTATAGATGATTCCTAAAGCAGCCCCAGCCAGCGTCAGTTCTCAGAAGGGCAGCTCTGCTTTTTATGGCCAAGGATTTAGAATCTGATGTCAGACTTCTTGCATGTGAATTTTGCTCCTCCACTGGGAGGACATTTGACTTCAGTTAAGTTATTTAAACTCTCCAAGCCTGCTTTATAAATAAGGATGTTAAAAGTGCCTACCACATACAGTTCTTTTGAGAATTAAATAAGGAAATCTATGCAGAGAGTTTAGCATGGTGCCTGTCATAGAGAAAGCTCTGAATAGAGTAGCCCTTATTATTTTATCTATTTTACTTGTTGAACTTACAAATATTTCATTTGAAGAAGGGATTTGCCTGCATTTAAAAATACTTTGAAAAATCACTGTTCCAGAATATTGGGATTGTAGAGATTCCAACCCAGTTCCCCCTTGGGATTTTTGTAACTTGAGTTGCTAATGGAGCCAGTGTTATTTCTTTCCTCTGCAATTCAGCAACCTAAGTCCATACCTTGCCTGTTCACTAGTACCCATTAGTGGAAAAGAAAATACCAACCCAGGACTCATATTTCAGTGTGAGCCACAGGTGTTGTTGGGTGCCAGCTTCTGGCAGCATGGCATACAAACAAATGAATGCTCTTGCCAATGTTGGGAATATTACTGCAGTATGCCTATTACAAATATTTACTTTTTTAGCTGGAATATCAGGGGACACTAGGGTTTCTGTTTGAACAGTGCTTTGAGGCAGAACTCATTGAAACAACATGGAAAGCTTTGCATAAATAAATTCTTTTATGATTATACTTGTAACACATCGTATCATCAGACTGCAAAATAAAACTTGAGAGGATAAATAATCCCAGTTATTTGCACATAATGCTAGTTACTAATACAGAGCTGTAGATAACTTCGCATAAAGTATAATAAGAGATATTTCATTTTTGGTAAAAGGCTCCTATCAACTAGCATTGAAAAAGCAATATAATTTGTGAGTTACAGGCTGGGGGTTATAGACAATGCCTTTGGAGTCAAAGACACATAGGTTTGAGAAAATAATGCACTTAAGAGTGTCTGGCACCTAAAACAAATGCAACAAATTGTAACTCAGAGTAAGAATATTAATAATAACTAGTATTAATATATTATTCTCTAGGGATATTTGATATAGTTCTACCAAACAGAAATGATTAGATTATATTTTGTTCTATCCTATGTTATTTTTTACTGCTGCTTTTGTCTGTAATTTTAAATCAACCCCAAAATATTCACATAAACTTAAAACCTGACTTCAATAATTTCAATTTTCTCTGAGAAGTTGGTGGATCAACACAGAAGTGTGGAAATGAAATTGAGGTGTCTGCATTTTCATGACCAGCAGGCATGATAACTTGTCCTAAAACTGTTTGATCTTGTTACAATTTCTGCTGAATACTTTGAGTCATGCAAGAATATAGAATGCCTTTTATTCAAAAGCTTCCAAAAGAGAGATAGCATCCACAGAAATTCAGAGTGAGCTGCTGAAAGGCAATATTAATCCTGATCTCGGGATATTACGCTAAATATTTGACAGGAATCCAAATTTTCCTGTAGCCTTCCACTAAGAAGATAATCTTTCATAATTTTAACTGTGAAAGGGGAGGATTTGATCCTTTGAAATGGAAAGGGTGAGCCTAATTGAATTTCCTTCTTTGGTTTCTTATTAAAGATGGGACCAGATTGAATCATATTCAATTAATGATTGTACTTGGATATATTGCTCTTTTCAGAAGCTGAAATAAGATTAACAAAGCTTGAAAAAGATGTCGGGGGCAACAGTGCCAATTCAACACTTAAAGGGCTAGGCATACAAAAGAGCAAAGCCCTATTTCAATGCCGTTTATTTACATGATCCTTGAGCAGGCTGGGCCATTGTTCTTGACCAATTCAAGGACTGAGTAGAAGGTTGTGTGACCTTGAACATC
Source organism: Homo sapiens (assembly GCF_000001405.40). Taxonomy (NCBI): domain Eukaryota; kingdom Metazoa; phylum Chordata; class Mammalia; order Primates; family Hominidae; genus Homo; species Homo sapiens. The sequence continues at coordinate 133,439,574 of NC_000002.12, forward strand.
AGCTATGGAGGCAAAGTAAACATACAAATGTACATATGAATATACATACATGGAAATAATAATTAAGACATACCATTCTGACCTGCCCTCTCTTCTGACTACACACCAAATACACCATGATCCTTGTCAATGATGAGTCAGTATACCCCTATAATGTCTCATCTAGGCCTACCCAACCACTTTTCTGTCTGCCTTCATTGCTCAGGTTAAAGAATGTCTTCTTCTCTAAGGTTTTATGCAAGTCTAGTAACCATGGAACCATGTTTTATGGACTAATAATTGTGATACAAAATATAACAAGTAAATTAGCACAATTACTCTGAAGATTTTAATACTGGGACTGTCCAGGAGCACAATGCCTACATAATTAGTCTCCATAAAATTCTCCCTTTTGTAAGCGTTCCTCGGGTATGTTGTTTCTATGTTAAACATTAGGATTTACCACAATAGACCTCACATTATTTGCTAACTGTCTCATGTTTCTGTTTGTATGATATACTGCTTCACTGGTGACTGTGTAAATTGACTAGCCCTTTATTTCTTCAGTGTCTGCATAGCACAAAACACATAGTAGGAGCTTGATTGGTACTTCTCCAAATGCAGTTGGTGTGTGTGTTTGGGAGGTGATACAAGTTTGGAAGATAAATCTGAAATTAGTATCCTAGCTCTGACCCTTGACATCTGTGGGAGCCTGAGTACGTTTCCACATTTGTAGTATAGGCATAAAAATACAAATAGTACATGCACTGTGATGATATTGTAGGACATTTGTGCAGGGACTGGTATGCAGTAGGAGCTCCATCCACAGTCATTCTGTTGTTGAATGAAAACACTGGCTTAAGAATGATTTTAGAAGGCCAGGCCCAGTGGCTCACACCTGTAATCCCAGCACTTTGGGAGGCCGAGGAGGGTGGATCACAGGGTCAGGAGATCGAGACCATCCTGGCTAACACGGTGAAACTCCATCTTTACTAAAAATACAAAAAATTAGCCAGGCGTGATGGCGGGCACCTGAACTCCCAGCTACTCTGGAGGCTGAGGCAGGGGAATGGTGTGAACCCAGGAGGCGGAGCTTGCAGTGAGCAGAGATGGCGCCACTGCACTCCAGCCTGGGCGACAGAGTGAGACTCTGTCTCAAAAAAAAAAAAAAAAAAAAAAAAAAGGAAAGATTTTAGAATATGAGAGGCAATGGAGTATGGTGCTCATTGGCTTGGGGATCCTCCATCAGACTGCCTACATTTAAACCCCAATTCTAAGCCTTCCAGTTGCAAGGGTTAAATGACTGAATACATATAAATCCCCTTTGAGCGCCTGACACAGACAAAGATTTAGCTTCAGTATTATTAAGGATGAAACTACTTGAGACACACAAATGAACTTGGTCAATTTTCAAGGTCTTTTAAAACTCTTAATCTATATTCCTGTGAAGAAATAATACATGTTCTTGCCTTTAAAGCTCCACATATTAGAAAACACAGGATTATTCTGAGACAGCTCTCACACCCTACAGACACACACACTCACACACACACACACACACACACACACAGAGCAGCAGCAGCATTGTCTAGGTCTAATTTTTTCCTTCCTCTGTCACCCTCATATGTGTGCTAATTGTAGTAACTGTGAGTCCAATCAATATATGTTCTGTCATAAGGAGAGAAGAAGCTGGACTAGGAAGATGGAGTTGACGCTATACCTGACATTCAGTTTGAAACACTGAATATTAGAATGTTAGTCTTTTCCAGAGGGTCTGAATAAATGACTTGTCTAAAATAGATTCCTGAGGAAAAGATCTAGACTCAGAATCATGCATTGAACCAGAATTATCAAAGAAAAGCCTAATTCTAATAAAATTAAGGCTCTTCCAGCAGATGGACTAGGTCAGCAAAAGGTGCTCTATTTAACTAACTGGAAGTCTTTGCAGCGTTAGGATACAAAACATTTACCAAGAAAGTCTAGGTACAAATTGCCCATGTAATCACACATCTGTGAATTTGCAGAGTTTTCAAAATCATTTAGAGATTCCAAGGAAGGGGTAGTGTGAACTCAGCAACAAAATGAAAAATAAACTAAGATAATAAACTTACTTTGTGATCTACTCAGTATTTAAATTCTTTGAAATAGACCTCCTCTAGCAACCACCATTCCACATTGCTTTCATTCTTCTGGCCTGGTTGCCTCCTCTTCCCTTTCCTTTAAATGAGGTCTTCATAGGATATCTCAGTTTCTTTAGGCATTTCCTAAGCGAACTCTCAGGGAATTAATACCATATCTAAGACTTTTATTTAAATATAGACTCTTCTCTGTATCAGTTTCGCTCTTTCAGTCTCTGTCATAAAAACTCTACCAGGTATCATTCTTTTTTTTCATTCCCAAATACAATATAATTGCATTTCAAGTTACAGAAACTGAAAAGGCTGCTTTCTGAATGGAACAAAATGTCACAACAAAAAAGACCCACTGGAGAAACACGGACAGAGTGCAATGTCATAGGAAAATCCAGAATGTGGAGAACAGCAAGTTGCCAGAGGGTTCCCTGCAGCTACCCCCGGAACTTAAAGGATGTTCTGAAAGGGCATCACACGTGAGCTCTGTTCAGTGGTTATAAGAGTCAGGTACTGGAATCAAGACAGGAAGGAAGAAAGAGAGGCAGGGAGGAAATATAGAGTGGTAGTAATTGGGCTGAATTAATGACTCTAGACAGAGCTATGCACATAGGAGGCAGTGGTTCTGACAAAGACGACCCTCCTCTGGAGGGACTTGCCCCACTCCTCCACCATCAAAACCTTCCCCATCTGTGAGTCATTGCTGAGACCCAGCCTTCCCTGTAGCTGTTGAAGCTGCCTAACAGCTCCCCTCTGACATCTGATGAACTTATTGTCCGCACCAGGGGTTCTCAACTAGGGAAGAATTTTGCTGCAGTCATCACATCCATCATAAAACCATCCAAGCCCCCAACCCCACTGCTTCCCTTCTAGGGTGTAGGTCTCCTAATGGACTGCCTCCTAATTGATGGTTCCCAGGCTATTGCCCCAGGGCTGAGGGCCAGCTCCCTGGTGCTGTCACCACCTTTAGCCATTAGTTCCCCAGCACCTAGCAGAGTGTGGGCTGCCAATGGTGTTTGTTGAACTATCGAAAGGGAGGACTTGTGACCTCCTGAGATGAAGAAAAACCATGTTTAAAGGGGCTAATATCCAGCCATGACAGCACCAGTGCCAGACAGCCTCATGTCAGGCTGTGTCAGGCAGCTGCTCAGATGGCAAGGCCTGCTGCCCTGAAGGCTTACCTGCCTGGGAGAAAGAGGCAGCCACAGAGTGCTCCTCCAGAACACCCCTACTCTTCAACTGCATGTGAATTTCTGAGTACTGATTTCTAGTAAGATAAACAGCATTTAAGGTTGCCTCTTGGTGCTAGTTTTTAAGATGATATGAATTGCATAGTCCACAAAACATATTTGCCAAGATGTAGCATTTCTTTTTATACTTATTCTGCCTGATGGCAAAATACAAAAACGAAACCTAAAACTAGTCCAGGATTGAGAGATTCGCTTTTCTCAAGCCCATTTCCTCAGGGGTTCAGGTTTATGGGACTATGGCATTGGGCACTGAAATGTTGTCTCTCGCTGTCTCCTTGCCCTGCCTGGCTGGGGTCAGTGTGAACTTCACAAGTCCTACCAGCAATCTAGGGAAGAGCTAGTCCTGCCTGGTTCCACTTTCTGTTGGTTTTAGATGCCTTTGCTCCGGATAGTTCTCTTCTTATCAGGACATTAGTGAAACAAAACAACTGTGCTCCTCCAGTAATGGCCACTGGCTGGTCTGAAGGACCCCAAAACCTCCCACTTGGATGATCTGGTCATGGCAATGCACTGAGGTTCAGCTGCATTTTCTACCTCAGCCCTGGTAGGAAACTTCCTGTTTCACTGAGATGCTCCTCCATGGGAAGGGCCCTCCTTTCTTGCACACTCCCTCTCCTTCGGCTAACTTTTGGACCCTGCTTCTGGAAATTTCCTGAGACCTTTGAGCTGCCCGCAGCCGTCTCCAGCATGGATCACCACTCTTCTCCCTGAGCCCAAGCTTGAAGCATGCAGACTTCCATCAACTGCAGCTCCAGCTCACCCCTGAGTCTCCTCCTTCCACTTCAAACCTGCTCTTTCTTCTTCCTACCCTAGAGCTGTTTTCTCTACTGGAAGAGGGGAGGAAAGGATGAGTAGAGGGACCTCTTGAGTCTGTTTGCGTTCTCCTGGTGATCTTTTCTTTTACCTTCACAAGTGACTTTTGAACCTAGAAGTCAAGATTATGGCAGGCTTCTTTACTGGTATGTTTTAGATAATTTCATATACTCCTGCCCAGGGCAACTGGCTGCTCCTAATTGCATAAAACAGTGTTAATCAATGTATAATAAAAACAAGTGTATGCTTTTGTGACAATCCAATTCATGTTAAGTGCACAAATATTGTTTTTTAAAAAGTCCTTTTATTTTTTTTTCAGTTTGCTGTATTGTCTAAAATGTTCTCATTCTCTTGACTGACCTAGGTGAAGCTTTTAAATGAAGCTGGAAGGTGTCTGGGGCTCCAGTGGTATGTCCCATTCTTCAGGTGAGAAAAGAGAAAGCCCAAAAGAAGGAAGGACTGATGTCCTCAAGTTTTGGTACCATGGTCTAGGGAAAGACTCACAGCGTCTTAGGGCTATCTCAGCGCTGTTTAAGCACAATGGAACAGCTAACATAGGGGGCCCAGAAACTTTGCCAAATGGCAAATAGCTTTTAAAGACAAAAACAAAGATAGATAGATAGATAGATAGATAGATAGATAGATAGATAGATAGATAGATAGATATAGATATAGATGTAGATATTTAAAAAGATGTATACATCTTCTGGTATTGCTTTAAAATTGCTCTTAATCTTTGAGAGGGAAGTTGAGACTTGGCTTGTCCCTCTCTCTGTTTGCAGTCAAACAAGAGGTTAGTGAACCCTGCCCTCCTTATCCCAGCACGGTGTTAAAAGGATCAAGTGAGATAACAAATGTGAGACACCCATCTAAAATCAGGAAACTCTTAGAGGTCTCTGTGTGAGTGTTATCTGCAGGGATTTGCCAGAGTTCTGTGTTCTTCTTCCTTGCACTCTGATCTTTGCTTTTCTACTTTATGAACTCAGCAGAACAGGAGTCAGCCCTCTCCATGAACTTGATGGCCAGCTCCTCTGAACTCCAGGCCTGACCCTCTGACTAGCGCTGGCCTTGCTGCTCCTTTGAATCCATCGCAACATTTCCTCCACAGCTGACTTCCTGGATCTTCACTCATTGTGATTCTCCTGTGGACTGTCGCCTCCATGTGAAGAATTATTTTAACTAATTACTTGCATTTTAAGATCTGAAGAGGCCAGAATAGATACCATGTGATAATAAAAAATAAGCTTTTAGGTAATTTTGTTAATTTCACCTGAGGACACTAAACATTTTCTTGTGATTGAGTGATTTACTTGGGAAAGGAAATAATTTATTAAAAGGTCATTCTCTTTATACTAAAAAGGGGCAAGTTGCAAAAATATCAGGCAATTTAACTTTCTCATGTTTTACTGTCATGAAACAGTTCTCAAATCTAGGTACATCTGAATTAATACAAGAAATGAGCTTTTTTTTTTGTAGGTTGAATCTTATAGATTTATTCACAAATAATGATTCAATACCAATTTTAAAAAGAAACCCTGATGCTAGGTATTGTGGAGTTTATAAAGATGTTAAAAATAAAATCCAAAGCAACTACTTTTTGGGCAAAATTGGTTTTTAAAAAATTAGTTTCAAAAGACTTCCCATATATATTTGACTTAATTCTCATAAAAATCTTGTGACACAGTTATTATTGCTATCACTGTTTTATATTTAAGAAATCCAAGGCTCACTTTTGTAGACCTTGGATCAAAAATCCCAGAACCCCTGACTTCAAACTCTAAATCCTTCCCTTTACAGAGCATGTAGACGTTTGGTTTGCAGGAAATAAGTATCTCTAAGAGGCTCCAATGCAAATTGTTATTTGGTCCTTCTAGGGAGGAGCTACTTTTCATTGGAGTGATTGGAGAGGGTATAATTAAATTGCGATTCCACCTGGTCCCAGAGAAAGGGAGAGACTTTTTGGCAGCACAGGGAGAGTAAGGAAGGGGGAGTTCAGGTTGAGGGAGGGGATAGGTGAACAGAGGCACAGAGGGGAAGGGAAGCTAAGAATTTTTAGGGAATAGCAATTGGAGCAGCTTGCGATAATGTGACACCCCTGAAGAAAGCAACAACAGCAACAAAAAATTAGCAATAATTCAAGAGATGGGTTGTATAAGACCTTATTGCTGGACCAAGGGATTTAGACATCCTCCAGTGCTGAGTGGAACCCACTGTGTGTGTGTTTGTGGCAGCGTGGTGGTGGTTTCAAATGAAGATAGAACGATTAAGCTTGTGTTCCAGGGCACTTGGCCATGTCTTAATGCAAGACAGACTTGCAAAGAGAGGAGGTGAGAACCAAACAACTGCAGGAGAAAACTAGGAAGCTGTCAGAGTGGTCCAAGGAAGAATTAATATAGCAACCATAGGAAAGGGGAAGAAAGGCAAAGATATGAGAAACGCAATAATTAGAAAACTGAAAAGCCTTGACAATTTCTAGAAGGTTGAAGGTGAGAAAAGAATGGAAGTCCTACATTTCAAGCTTCAGCAAGTAGAAGATTTGTTCATGTTATAAATAGATATGATATTAAAGAAGAAAAGCTTTCTGGAGCCCAGAAGTGTCTAAAGATAAAGGAAAATAAAAACAAAAATAGCTAACACATACTTGCATGCTTACTGCATACCAGGTGTTGCTAAGCCCTTTTCGTGTAATAACTCATTTAATTCTTACCCCAACTTTTGGAGCTAGGTAATATGGCACCTACTTTAAAGATGGAAACACTGAAGCAAGGAAAATTTAAACAAGTTGTCCAAGGTCACACAGCTGGTAAGTGAGGGAGGGAGAGGGAGACCAGGCCGCCTGGTCCCAGAAGTCGTGTGTATGAGCACCATGCTCTGCTGCCGCTCTATCATGAGCCTCGTCCTGAGCATGCTGCTTGATTTTGCCCTGGAATGACCAGATGAAGATGCATAATGAGAAAGCCAAACTCAAGATGAAAGCTTAGAAGAGTAACCAAAGCTAAGCTTGCATGTCTGGAGATGACAGCTGAATAATGGAGGAGATGAGACAACCATGGGAGAGAGGGGAGAGGCAGGAAGAAGAGGTGAGAAGTGAGGGGAAAGGGAGAAAGGATGAGAAAGAAGACAGAGCACAGCTTGAAGTGCCCATATTTAGTGGGTGGGAAAGAGGAGGAATCAGAGAAGGGAACCAAAAGCATGCAGTAAACCCAGGAAGACCTCTGGGCAAGTTTCAAGTGCAACCCCAGTAGTCTGAAATGAGGAAGATCGCTCAGGCAAGGAGCTAACCAAGAAAGAACCATTGGTAAAGCTGAACTAGTGACTCTATGCGTGGTGGAAAACATGCCAGGAAATGTGCGTAAAAGGTATGGCTTCATGGGAGGAACACACCACGACTTTGAACTCCATCTCTACCCGCCATCAATTCACTGCCCTTCCCGCAACCAAGCAGTCAGTAGCAGGAAAAACAAATTGCCATAGACCCTAGAGGGGCTCAATATTGATGGGAAACATTCATGTGCATATCTTACTGAGCTACATGCAGAATTCAGAGGTAAATGTCAAGGTCCTTGCACTCGTGCTTTTAGTAAAATAGTCTTACGTAAATAATAAACCTGAATTGAATCGGCTCAATAACTTTATTTTTAAGGCCTCTTTCTCCGTCTTTTTCCTTCCTTCCTTCCCTTTCTTTTTATTTCCTTTTTTCTTCTCTCTCTCTCCTTCCTTTCCCCTTCCTTTCCCTGCCTTTCCCCTTCTCTTCCCTTCCTTTCCCCTTCCTTTCCCTTCCTTTCCCTTCCTTTCCCCCTTCCCTCCCCTTCCTTTCCCCCTCCCTTCTCTTCCTTTCCCCTTCCGTTCCCTTCCTTTCCCCTTCTGTTCCCTTCCTTTCCCCTTCCCCTTCCCCCTTCTCTTCTCTTCTCTTTTCTTTTCTTTTTGTAGAGATGGGGTCTCCTTATGTTGCCCAGGTCTCAAACTCTTGGGCTCAAGTGATCCTCCAACCTTGGCCTCCCAAAATGCTGGGATTACAGGTGTAAGCCACTGTGCCCAGCCTCTTTCTTTTTCTAAAAGAAGGGAATTTGAGACAGTGAATCATCTTGCATCTCTACCTGTGGCCTTCATCAGGGTTCTCTAAAGATTAGCCAGTCTATGTCCAGCTGGCTGAGACAGGGTGCCACATGTGGTACTTCCAATAATTCTGTCCACATGCATGGGCCATTTCACCTCTACAGCTCTAAGCTCACTGCTGAGAGTACCCATCAGACTAAAGCAAACATGCCTATTAAACATGTCATAAATAGGCTAGCAAGAAGCGCCACACACAGCAGCAGAACAAAGCAGAAGTGGGCTGATCATGTCCTAAGTCCATCCACTTAAAATTTATACTTCTACTTTATTCCTCTGAAAATATTTTGATTATGTTACCATCTGAAATGAAAGCAAGTATAAATCTTCTGTTGGATTTATTCTCCCCTTTGTCAACCTTCTGGCCAATAATAGGTTTGATATTGTTCTGGGAAAAAAAAAAAAAGAGGGAGGCGGGTTGGTGGCCACAATTTAAAAGCTTCCGGAAACTCTTTTCCACAAATCAAACCTTTGAATCATTCTGTAGCATGAGGAAGCTCATGTATTTCATTGACATGAGAGGAAGAGCGAGCCCGTATTTAACTAATCTATCCTGTATAGTCACATTAAGTAATACCATTGTTTACCCTGAGCAGTCAAGAGGAAAGACTTACTAAATCTAAAACAAAAGTAGCGCATGTATGTTCTTGGTTTGGTTTTCTTCAAGATTTCCCCAAATGCTGCAAATTGAACTTGGCCTTAGGAGTGCATGGTTGAGCAGTATTTTTTTCTTAAAGCATTTTTCTGCTTTAAAGAAAGTCTACTGACAAAAGAGGAATCAGAGTTTCTTCTTTATTTTTTTTAAAACAGGGTCTCACTGTTGCCCAGGCCAAGTGCAGTGGCATGATCACAGCTTACTACAGCCTTGACCCCCCAGGCTCAGGAGATCCTCCTACCTCAGCTTCCTGAGTAGCTGGGACTACAGGTGCATGCCATCACACTTGGCTAATTTTTGTATTTATTCTATGGACGAGGTCTCACCATGTTGCCCAGGCTGGTCTCAAACTCCTGGGCTCCAGCGAGCCACCCACCTTATATGCTTCTTAATCTCTGTAGCCATCTTTCTCCTTTCTATAAAATAACATAGATAGACAAGATGCTGTGTTTACACAGACATATGCACCATGTACACATGAATAATGAGAGAGGATGTTCTTATTAACCTTTTTTCCACATAGATTTAATTATCCTTGCACTTCCAAGCTTTTTGTATATTCCCCCATAATGGCACTTATCATATTGTATAAAATAATTTCTCCCCTACCCAACTGGGAGTACAAAATCAAGGGTAGTTTTAGATTCACTTTACATTCCTGTTGCCTATTGTAGAGTAGTTGCTCAATAAGTCTTTATTGGCTCAAGGAATGAATAAATGAAAGAATGTTTCCCTAAACTGCTATTCATTCTCATGTTATGTATATTAGAAACTGAATTTTTGCCCCTAGTTCTTAGTCCTTTTTCCTTCACTTTTAGCAAAACGATTTAGAGCTCTTGTACCTTGGGCAAAAGCAACTGAATGGAATATATTTTATAGTCAGAATATTTCAAGGAATTTTTTAACAGAGTAATAGAAAATAATCAAAACAGGTGAATGGCATATTATAGACAACAGGGAACACACGTTCTCCCTAAAATGGGAATACTAAAATCAGATATCTCTGAAATTCGAAATAGTTGGACTTTTGGGTCCTTTTCCACCTTGAGAATTCTTTGAACAAGGAAATATAGAGGTTTACCCTAAGGCGTGACGGTTCCTTTTAATGATATGACTCTTCAACTTTCAAATTCTCTATCTTCAAAATCTACAGGCCAATCTGAAATGGATTCTATGTCAAGGTTGCGATCATAGATTGTATCATCTTGACTTTACCACCTTTTCTCTCTTATGTGCTGTATCGATTTGAACTATAAAGGAAGGTTAAAATATATAATTAACATTATTATGCCTCATCCAAATCTCACAGTTTCCAGCTTTTTTTTTTTCAACAGAGATTTTAAAACTTGGATGCATAAGAACTCGGTTGCATAGCACAATTTTTGTGGGTTGAAGTGCCTTGACAACTACCTGCCAAATGTCTGTGCATCTCTATGTTTGAGCATCTCAACTCCCACGGGACTCACCATCTCCCAGGCAGTCCATGATCAGTTGCACAAGGCCTTGTTGCAAGGCAGCAAAGATGTACCTACCAGAAACATTTATTGATTTGCCCATATTTGTCTACTTGAGGCAATACAGGCCAAGTTGAATTCCTCTTCTCAACACACACGCACACACACGCGCGTGCGTGCGTGCACACACACAACAATTTAAAGGTTTAAAAGAAAGCTTATTTGCTCAGTCTGTGCTGCCCATCTGTTCTCCAGGCTAATCTTCCCTGTTCTGTTATCCATCCCTCAGGTAATGTCAACTTGAGTCATTTTATTCTCCCAGCAATTCTTCTCTGGGTATATTCCAATATGTCCATCAAGTGCATTTTCATATGTGGTAACCTTTCCTGAACACAGTTGTTTTCAGCATATGTTGACCAGTCCAATGCAGAGGAAGAGGATGACCTCCATCATTCCATTAATGCGGCCTATGGTAACATTACGTTTTTAAAAGCCATTCATATTGAGATTACTATTGACTATTCGGATGCATACTGTTAATAAGCTTATAGCCCTCTGATGAGTTGACTGTACAGTTGATTTTGAAATAATGACAGAATTTACATTTATTTCTTTTAAATCATTTAAAAATATATATCCAACAACTTTCATTGGGTGAAACATTTTCAATTTAACCACACACTATTCTCAAATGGGATATACATGGTTCTATTCTCTTTATTCATACTATCAACCAAAAACTTGAATAGCTCCAAGGCCACAAAAGAGGCACGTACTATGCCACAAAAACCTTCTGGTTGACATCAATCTTCCTTTGGGGACAATAATTCAACCAAGATCTAATTCACCACATGGTATTAGTATCCAGACTACAGTTCTCCACCTTTTCCACCAGGGTAAAATGAGAAACCTTATAAAAGGTTTTCATATGCTAAAGCCCTAAAAGAATATTTTACCAAAAATCAAGGCAGAGAAAAATATATTATTTCATTCATTGCTCAAGCTGTATTTGGGTTAGAGCCCCCAAACCCCCAAAATGTATGCCAACCTGGAAGCTGTGAATGTGACTTTATTTGGAAATAGGGTCTTTGTAGCTGTAATCAAGTTAGGATGAAGTCATCCTGGATTAGAGTTGGTTCTAATCCAATAATTGTTTTGTACATAGACACAGACTCAAAGAGAAGATGGCCCAGTAACATGAAATATTGCAATTTTTAGAGCCTAATCAGATACTTAAGAGGGACCCAGAAGCCATTCTTTACTCTGATCTTACAGTCATGGATCTGAACTTCTAAATGCAAAGCAAGTTCTCTGGGAACCCTCTCTCAACCTCACCTTTCTCTGCATTTCACCACTGCAAATAATTGATGGCCAAAGTTTCAGTCAGGTGGGTCAGGACCAGTTCATGTTCACATATCAGAAAGCATATGCCCCAGTGGCACATGAGTATCCTTTTCAGTAATCAACTTCATCAGCGAAAGTCAAGTCATTTTCTGCTGAAAAGTGAGTTGTGAAATCTTGTCTGTCTTCTAACAGATCTTTTCCCTGGAATGCCACACACGGCCATGCAACAATCACTCTTATACACAGAACTTTTTTATCTTTTCCACCAAGGTAACATATCAACTTCACTAAGAACAGATGACTTTCATGTGATTTTTGAGCTAAACCTCCCCTTCCCATTGCAGGGCAGAGAGCATGACCATATTAGTGTCTATCAACAAAGTGACTTGCATTCTGGGTCCTAACTGATGCCAGCAACCCCACAATCTCAGAAAGCCTGGCATGAAAGTGAATTATGACTTTGTCTCTTTCTGGGCTAAGCCATCTATATGGCTTGCAAATGTATACTTGATGAATGCTACTATGGAGGATGTCTCTTCAACCCGAAGGAGTGATGGGAACTTCAAACATTTCCCTGCTTAAAAAATAATTGTGTGTTGTCTTCCCTCAAGCACAATTACACACACACATACTGAGTAATGGGGGCTATATGTGCACTGCACAAGAAAATTTAGAGGAGGAGAAACTTCATAGGGAAGAAAGGATTCCATTTAGCAGTCTTAAGGACAGGTGATCTAGCAAATGAGTCCCCTGAAACAGCTTACCAGCTCACTCCACTATAATAATATTTCAATTATCTGAGACCTGTTAGAAAACAATCAACTGGCCAAAAATAATAATGCTTGGCCCCAAATACCATGTCAAATGCAGCCTCCTCTCCTTGAGAGAAATGTTTCCCATGTCTGCAATTGCAGAACACACTGAAGGGCATCCCTGCTCCAAAGACAAGGGAGAATTTGAAGGACCAAAGCATTAAATGCAGCCAACTAGGAGAGGCTCCTTGCTTGGGAAAGCAAGCAGCAGTTGTGCAGGCAGTGCATATGAATGGGATTATGGGATCAGGGGAAGCCCTGATTAAATGGAATATGTGCCCAAGAAGGAAATCCACTGATGGAGGATAATCCACATGCTATAAATTTAGACCTATGGCTGATAATATGTAATGGAGAAATTGTCCCCAAATCTCACTATAAAATTTCATTTGTAACTATGCTTCTAAGTGGCATAGATGTAGGAAGGAGGCAGTAGGGGAGAGGCAGGTGATACATTCCTTGCCTGTACACAATCTCCTCAAACAACACCTGTTTAACCATTTCTAAAATGTAAGATGTTGACATGACAGAAAGGCTCTCAGAAGCAGCAGTGTGAAATCAATCCTTAAATCCATTCAGAACAAGATTGACGCATCAGGAGTTAGACTGTGAAACACACAGAAAAGGCAATCAAAGCAGGACTTGTTTTTACATGCCCTCCCGTGATGTCCCAGACCCAAGCCTTGCCTTGGGAAGCCATGTGTGGCCTCTTTCCCCTGTACAGTCATGCCCTGGTGTTAGAAGTTACTACTTTTCACCACACCCAAATTTAGTATAATTCATTTATTTATATTATTAGATAGTGAGCAACTTGAGGGATCCTCTTTCCTTCTTTTTCTCTCTCCTGCTATTACCATTGCTACCTAAATAAATTCACTGTTGAATAAGTGAATGTATATACAAAGTAGTAGGACTCTCAGTTCTCCAAATAAGGCAACCAGTAATCAATTTAAAAATCTTCAATTTTACAGAAAACAATAGAACTTGAAGTGTTTTATTGTCTTTATCTCATCATCCTAAGGGAAGAGTCATTAGTTAAAATTAAACAATGTCTGATAATTTTGCCCAGTCATCAGGTCACCTCAATCAGGAAGTATGTAACTAGAAAATCCTGAAAGCAAAGGTTATCAAAATAAATTCGTCATTTGTCCATTTCAAGATACTTATAGAACCACTGAATAAAGAACCCTAGAATCCTCCATCTCCTTAATGCAACCAATAGTTTTAGACAGAACTGCAATAATTCCAATTGACTAAAATCTCACCCACTTAAAATAATCTGATAAAAATATTGTGCACAGCATTGACCAAATAACTTCAATTCTAATAACAATTCCTAACACATTAGTAATAGAGGTGGACAAACCCTTGTGAACAAAGATGTTCACTGCATTTCTATTTATAATGGCAAAAAAAAGGAAAGAGAAAGAAACACAGTTGGAATTTGACAAAATAAGGGTTATTCATTCAGTGGAACATGATGTAGCCAGTAAAATATATTTATGCAAATTGTGTAATTCCATTGGAAAACACTAATAAGGTAGTATTCATAAAACAGGAAAATGAAAGGTTATATATCCAACGTGCTCTCTAATGAATGGAAGGAAGAAACAAAAGAAGGAAGGAAGGACAAAATATCAAGTAAGTTTTATTTCTTTCAACTTTTCTGGATATGTTTATAATGAACAAGTACTATTATAGTAATCAGAAACATTAATGATAGATTTGCAAAAAATTAAGTTGAAAACAAGAAAGAATTACAGGAGAAAGAGTCCAGTTTTGAGCCCCCCCACCACCGCTGAATCACTATCATGTTTGTCACTTGCATGGTACAATTCATCATGTATATCTAATTTACTTTAATAATTATCTGAAAAACAGTAATGGTTTTCTGTTAGGTTGCTTTTATGTCAGTTTGCAAATCAGTAAAAGGGACAGTATATGTTCATTTTTAGTACGGCTAAAAACAAACAAACTGGTTGCCTATAATAAGAAATGAAGAAATTAAGCTTATAAGCTTTAAAATGTTCTTCTAAGTAGCTTTTAAACATAGAACTTGGCTTTTAGAGGGCAGCATATGTACAATGGATAATATAATTTAAATATAAATGGCTATTCAGAATGTGATTACCATCTATAAAGCACTGGTGACTTACTTTGAAGTAAGTATTTGGTATAGAATTATACTTCAACATACTGAGGATATTGATAAATATTGTGTTTGTTATCTGAATTAGGTCATCAGGGACAAGATTCAGAAAATGGAGAAACACATTAGAAAGCTTTAACAGTGCTCTAAGTGCCTTTGAGATGGGCATCTCATTAATATTCATATCAAATCATGTAATATTTATTAAACATTCATTTGTGTCAACATTTGGTATTGACATCATAGATCAAACAACAGACTTGTAAACTCAAGGTCTTCTCTGCCCAAGAAAGAAGTATTCTCAGCATTTCCTATTTCAGCTTCTGTAGTCTTTGGAGTGCTTTTGACATGGCTGAGATTTTAAAAATAATCATACCTATCATACAAATGAAGCACAGTTAAATATAAACATTACTTTCTTAGATGGTTCAACATTTCAAGGCTATCTGGATAAACAGGTTGTACGGGCCTACATACTTTCAGGGATTTTGTTTTTCTTTCGAACTCAAAAAAATTAGGTCAAACTATCTTACCTACAATTATGAAGCTATCTGCAGAACCCAAGATATTCTTTAGGGTCATTAAGCAACAATAAATGAATATAATTGGAATGTTACCTATCACAGGTACAAAACATCTGGGGAGCCAGTTATATACTTTCATCCAAAGGGTCTGATTTGAGAAAATACATTGGCATGATATACTCAACTTTAATATTTAAAAATGTTTAAATAATATTAAAAAATATTTCGTGTTGACTTGTATCTGAGTCTTTGTTAAAATGCTAGATGAAACACGATTTTCTACCTTTTGTAGCCACAACATGTCCATCCAGCCTGATTTGTTTAAAGCAATACCAACAAGAACAGGATATTATTTACAGAGATAGTCAAAGATGAAAGGCTCCACAATTTTTCTTGGCATGATTATAATATCTCAAAGCCTTGACATCTATTTTTTGTAAAGCCTAAAATGATACATCTCGATGAAGTTTATGCCCATTTCATCCCTTTCAAAGTTTAAGGTCAGCTATTTGGTATGCCTTTATGAATAATAAAATTATGGCTTTCCTCCCTTCTAGGCCTTATTGTAGCCAAGTGGCTTTAGTCATTTTCATGGGACAGATTTTCCAATGTCTTTATTATTACTCTACCTTCGCCATCTCATATTTTTACCACTGGGCCCTAGATATATATATCATCCATTGTTCAGCATGCTCTACCCAGTGGAATAATCATATTTAGAATGGTCTATAAGATGATCATTCTCCATTGGGTCCAATTTACAATCTGTTTCTCCCTTTTTTCTTTCGTATGTTTTTCTGCTCATTCAAATTATGATCAGAAGCTAAGGCATTTTCATATCCAAATGCTCTCCCCATCACTTCTAATACCATCACCATATATTAAAAATAGAAGACAATATGAAAGGAAAGCAATAAAAGACCCTCGCTGAAAAAGTCCTTGCACTTTGAAAAACAAACTTATTTTTTTATACAAGAAAACAGAACTTAAACCCCCTTTTTATGTTTGAAATCCTGACAATCAAATAGCTGTGACATTAAGACTTCACAAGCATTAAGTCTTATATCAGCCGTGGTTAGATGTAAATAAATCCACCATAAAAGTCAGTCTAGGCAAAAACGCACTGTAACTTAATTTTCTAAACCACAGGAGCTGGGAAGCAGCTGAACTTCACTAAATCAGACAGTACCAAAATGGATAAACATCCGGGCTCTGTATCTTTTGTGATGGTGTGCCATATCTTGTTAGATTCTCTGCACATTTGTTGTTTTATGAGCAATGATATTATCACTTTATGATCTCAAGGAATAACCCACAACAAGCATAAATTAAGGATGGGACCTGTAGCAGACATTGGGAGTTCCTTGCTAAATTTTCATTGTTGCTTTTATTCTTCACTAACAAAACCCCCATATTGCAGCGGTAGCAATCTACCCAACTGCAAGAGAACATGTCCCAGGCCCCCATGCAGAAAGGAGTAGCAATTATGATGTAAGTAGGAGGCACTGATTGCCATCGTGTGGGCTTTCAGGAAAATTCTCTAAAGGTGCCTGATTTGGCAGGTGCCCTTTTGCCCTTCCCTCTCCGCCTTCTTGCTAGCTGCACTCTGCATCAGTCATATTGTGACCTGAAGTGACCTTGAGAGCAGAAGCCATGTGATAAGAATGGCGGGACAGAAGAGAAAAGGAGTGCAGGCTCCTGATGACATCAAGGAGTCATCCATATCACCTGTAATTCGCCTTCCTCTGCAGTTCATGTTCCATGGGAGAAAGATAAATCCTTTTTTGTATGTCATGATATTTTAGATGTCTTACTTGCAGGTGTACACAACTCCTAGTTGATGAAATAACCTTATTATGTAGTGAATTTGAAGGAGGCTGCTGACCCCAAATCAGTAATACATTAGTCTGAAATTATTTTTCCATTAGTAACAATTAGTTGGATAAAGCAAACACAATTTCTTTTTAATTGGCCTTTCTTGTTTAACAGAAGTACTTATTTCCCAGATACTTGGCCAAAGGAAAGTAAACTTTACCAGTCTAAGTAGTGTCAAACCCACACATTTAACCACCTTTCTCTCAGCAACTACATAGCTGCTTATGAACATTATCAGGACTGTCGGACACGTCATAGGTGTAACAAGATCTTTGTATTTCCATTTCTGCACTGTCCAACCAATGTCTTCCGTTAACACAGCTATGAGCTTCATCTCTAATGTGCAGCATTCGTAGCAAAGGGGCCCCAGGTAAGAGTAGGTCCTTAAGTCAGGACAAGGATGCATTGTATTTCATACAAAAAGGGGACTTGAGAGGTACATGATGAAGACAGAGATTCCATCTGACAAACTGATTCCCATGTGGCCGGCCTGGAGACAGGGGAAATTGGATTAAATAGTTTCTGATGGCTTTATCCAGGCTAAGATTTCAATGATCTTTATAAACCTCCATTAATCATGTAATCATCTTTCCATTTTGGAACTGAATTTAGAGCATTTTAAGATAATGGCTTCCAGTGTCTGTAGAGCCAAAGCTAAAATATGACCTCAAAGAGTCACCCCTTCCCTTGGTGAGATATCAAATCCTACCACTGAGAACTCTTTCTCATTTGATGTGAAGAGAAAGATGCCCACAGAAACACACCTACACCATTTCTAAGACAGAATGGCAATGCAGCCTTAATCTGCATATTTCAAAATAGGATGCTTTTAAAAGATTTTACAGCTGGTTTAAGGATGAGTGTAAAATATTTAAGATGGGAAGAGAAATTATAAGGTAATTATTTTTAGACAGTCTGAAGGAACAAAATCTTATGGAAATGGTTTCATTCAGAACAATCAGTAATACAGATCAAAATTAACACTCATGGGTTGCCAAGTAAGGAGAGGTGCAAGGCAACTCAAATAGCATTCGTTTGTGTAATTTGAAAAAAGGAAATCTATTCTTAAAGGGCCAGTTTTTCTCCCTCTCCCATTTTTTAGAATTAGTGAGTAAATCTCAATTCTTTTTTCTAGTTTTTTCATGCTACACATAATAATTGGTTATGCAACTAAAATGGTACACCTTACAATTTCTAACAATTCTGTTAAGGACAAAAGTTAAACACGATTTTCTCCTCTTGTCTCTGTTTAAATTAGTGTGTAAGTGTGTACGCCCTTTCCCACCACTTTATGTGATTCAGCCTTGATGATAGGTCTCTGTTACATTGCAGCCAGTAAATCTGTTATGAGCTTGGCTGCCATGTGCAACCATGCCTGGAGGCTATGTTAAAAATTCTGAGATCCATGAACATCAGCAAAGTTTTTGTTCAGTTTAAGCTGAACAAACAGAGTTAAAGACAAACTTTATTGAGTTTGGAGTGGGTCCATCCATTGTCACTGGACTAGGTACTGACAGGCTACCAGCTAGAGTAACGTTTACTGGATTAGCGAAAATCTACTAGCTGTTGGAGGAGAGAATAAGGTGCTAATATTAATCATGAAGAGCATGGGAAAATGAAACTCTTTCAACAATGAAAGCAATGCTCCTTTCTACCATGAAAGTTTTCATCCCTCTTCCTCATCTCAATTTCAAAACGCCATATCCTAAGCATCAAGTGCAATTTAAAAACATGAGCAACATTATGTGTTGGGCATCTAGATGGTTCATGTGTGCAGAGCCGGTGAAAACTTGAAGGGCCTTGCAACATCCTGGCTGCTGTCCAACCAAAACGATGAAATATGGAGTGAGACATTATTTCCTATCCCCACAATGCACACCTACCTTGCAAGTCCACAATGTGACACTGAGTCTTTTGGATTCTGAGTGTCACCTTTGATAAATCTACCACAAGGGAAAAGTAAGCCCCCAAGAAAGGAAAGGAAATTTTGTTATTGTTGTTATATACACCTCCAGAAAAGTTATGGATACATTTTCCTGGATGTTAACAGGACTGCAAGAGGAGGATCTGGGTGGCAGGAGGGGGATGAAGAGGAGGCTGATAAGGACTCTCGGGGTTTAGGAACACAGGCACAAGCCACAGTCTGTTTAAATTGTTAAGTTATCAATGTTGTCAAATTGAGATGTCAAAATTATGAGCTGGTCTAGGGGGAATTTCATCTGCATGTAGACAGATCTCATTAGAAAATCCTTAAAATGGTTTTCTACAACTGAAGCAAATCTTGCCTAAGAAAGAGTTGAATCACTACCTGCCTTGTGAAATCTAAATATGCATCTAGTCCATCTTTGGCTAGTGATGGACCTTCCTCGGCTTTACCTGAACTCTCTGCAGTTCTGTGTTCTTTTCTCTCTGATGCTAAGTTCATGGCAAGTAGAACTAACACAAAGCCTTGGTCAATAGTTGTAGCATTTGGCATCTGGCTAAGGAAGGATTTTCTTAGCATTTTCCTTCACAAAGCCAGATTCCATGTATGTTTTGTACAATTCTCTCAAATTGATAGAGACGGGGTCTCACTTTGTTGCTCAGGCTGGTCTGGAACGCCTGGCCTCAGGTGATCCTCCTGCCTTCCAAAATGCCAAGATTACAGGTGTGAACCACCACATTTCGCCCAAATTGAGAGGTGAGCTTCAGCAAAGCCCAAGACTTCATGGGCTAACAATTTCTCTTTGGCTTATATGAGTGTAAGGTTCTTATAGGGTTCCTCTGGGGCCTATCAGAGGAGGCTCATTTAGTCCAGGCCTTCCTTTCACCCATAGTCCCAAAGGTAGACGTTCGGTGTTATCTCCAAGTGAAATCATACCTATGTATAAAGAAATATACTATAATAGTTGAAAGAATACCACATGAAGGATTTAACTTTAGTTATTAAATGAAAATGCCTAAAATGTGTCTGGACACATTTTAATATACTGGGATCCTCAAAAACTGCAATGGCCTGGATTCTGTTGACCTGATAAAGGCCTATTGAGGTATACTAATCATTACAGACAGCTTTCTATGTGAATCATGAAGATGTATTTAACTCATGATCACACAATGCATGGGTAATTACAAACACGTAATGAGTCTGTAACTTCCTGTTCAGGCGTGGGAAGCACACACTTTCATTAGGAAGCACTTTTACATGAACTATTACTCAAATGTGTGTAGGTCCATGTGGAATGAAATGTTCCTACTTTAAATATCAAGTTCAGTGTTATGTCTGTTTGATATTTAAAACATTGATAAGTACATTTTCAAAGACTTACGTGCAAAAAGAGGAAAGATAAAACTCGCATCAGTTCATTTTTCCTTTACTAGTAATTAGCAGATAGAAAAAAGGTGCTATTTGTGACTAATGCTTAGTTTTATGATTTTAAATTACACTCTGTCTCCATTGGATGCATAAATAAGAGCCCTCTAACTACATTTTCCTCTTGCTACCCTTCCAACACTAACAAGGAAATTAGCTCACACATATTCACCACCCTATATGGTTATATACTTTAACATTCAGCAAAAAATTCTAAATTGCTCACTTACTGAGCTGAATCACATAGAGGGCTGAAATTCATCCATTAATGAATTATTGTATTGCCTGAGGTCTGCTTAGAGCTACCTGATTTTAGAATTAATGGCAGAATAAATCTTAAGAAGAAGGCCAATATATTTTAATTTTATGCATATTACCTATTTGAGCAATATATTCTAACATGAGTTTGGCTGTAAATATCTTATTACTACTAAGTATCAAAAGGAGTTCAGAAATATTCACTAATATACTTCATATTGCAACTTTAAATAAAATTAAAATTTAATCTACACTTCTGAGAATAGAATAATTGTCGCTCATTTACTAGAATAACGCTTAGGAGCAGATGCATATAATGCTCATAAAACCATGAAAGAATAGCCATTGAACATTTAACTAGAATTGTCAGGTACAAACTATAAACTGTAACTTAAAATAATTTTATTTTCTTCCTCTAACTGCAGAAATAGCACCTAAATCAATTAGAGAGAGCTAAGAAATTTAATCTTGAGGAAAAAATAAGATTTTTATTAAGGAGAGAAAAATCCTATATTTTATTTTTGTATTTAGACTATTTCCTTTACAAAACAGCTAAATACAACATTATGATAAAAATTTCATAGGTAAGCCAAAATAGAGAATTTATAACATTTAAGCTAAATCAAAGCATTATTTATAGTTTTCAGAGAAAAACAGGCTATCTTTTGATATAATACAAAGAAAAATCTATTAAAATGATTTTTCTAAATTTGGTTTGGAAGAGAATGGGCTTAAGTAACTTTTCTGTTGGTTGCTAGGAAATCTAAATGATGTTCTTCCTGAACAAGCAACACAAAGCGCTACGTTTTACTGCAGCCAAAGGGAGATGGGATGGGGCAGGTGAATAGAGAGGGGCGGGAAATGACAGCAGGTCTCAGGCAATCTTCATGCTGTGCCCATTGGGAGGAAGGACCTCCAAATAGAAACATTATTTATCTTTGAGAGGTGAAGTCATGGATAACTTTTTCCATTCATTTTCTGTTGTATTTTATGAGTTATATAAGTTAAATGAAGATTTTTTTCTAGAAGTTCTATTTGATTCTTTTTCAAATCTCCTTGATCAAAACTTCTTAATAGTTTACTGGGTTTTGCTTCCATTTTCAAGTTTCTTTATTATTTTTCTAACAGCTACGCATTAGGGTAAAGCTAGAGCTTCAATAATGAGAAGCAGAGATTGAATGACCTAAGGTTTATATCTCTCTCACCTGGTCTCAGTGTGAATGGGCTAGATCAATGGGACAGATCTCCTTTCTGCGCCCACTCAGAGTTCCAAGTCCCAACCAAGCAATTGCTCCACCATCCCCTAGGACATGGTCAACATGTGTGTGGTTAAAGCTAGGTTGATGCCCTCCTGGGCTCCAGCCGAGTGTGAAGAGACAAGAGGGTGCATTGACACATCACTTCTACTTCCATTCTATGTGTGAGATCCTGATGACACAGCCTCACCTGATTGCAAAGAGAACTGAGAAATGTGGCCAAGCTAGGCAGTCATCCATCCTACATACTACTACTACCGTGGAGTAGGTTAAAATGGACTTTATGAGTAGCTACCCATCACAACATGAAACGTGAAGATTTCATAGGATATGCCTAATATTTCCAATATCAAAGTCTCTGCAGGTCTGACTCTGCTATTTCTTCTGCTTTTCACTTACTGTGTCATGTTTCCCTTTATGTTTGAGGATTTTTGACCATGAGTTCATGTTTATGTTCTATGGGAATATATGGTTATGTTCTATGGGAAAATAATTTTGCAGGAATGTTTTGAAGTCTGGGTTAAAGTTGCATTATTTCACATAGGGAATGTATTTGCTTTTGCCTAACAACCCTAAATAATTTTAAAAATGTATTTGCTTAAGTTCTGCTTGGGCCTTATAGGCAAGTTTCCTTGTTGGTATCTTCCAGGCAGTACAGTCAATTCCAGCTCTCATCATTCTGAGATTGCATCCCTTTTGGGTCTCACCTTCATTGGGCTCTGATCTTTACCTGCCGGTCACATCACATGATAAAGTTGTCAGAGTGGAGCCATAATGGATGGGCAGATGTCTTGGTGCCCACTTTCTTTCTAAATTCCTGTTGTTACTAAATCTTGGCTTCTACAGATTCCTTGTTTTTGTGCCGGCTTCGCAAGGCATTTGAAATTATGGGTTTTTAAAACTGTGTATGTTTGTTTTATATTTTTAACCAGCATTTTAGTTTTCTTATTGGAAAGAATGGAATCTCTGGTCCAAGATAGCATCAGAAATGGAAGTTCCAAATATACTTTTATAAGACAATCATGACCATGATTTTAGAGAGATCATCACAAGTAGATGAGAACTAGCAACGCAAGCCTAGAGTTTTACTACTGAGTCTTGTGTGTTATATCATACACAGAACTTGGATTTCTTGATCTGTAAAATGGGGAGAATAATAACCATATTACCCATGTCAGTAAGTTATGATGATGACAGAATAAGGAACTTTGCAAATTCTTAAACAGTATTGCCAGTTGGAATTGAGACTGAGAACCTCACAAGCCACAAGCATAAGAGCATGAATATGTCAATAGGCAACAGACATGTTAAAATGCAATGATTTACAAAGTCGTTTTCTGATATCTTCCACCGGCCCTACTCCTGCTGAGCCAGCCCTCTCATTATTGGTTTCACCTGTGAAACAGTTCTCTGCCACTGCTGACTTCACCGAATATCTTCTTTGTACTTCCATCTGCGTTTTATGTGAACTCTGGAGCGATTAGTCGCTAATATCAACATTGGTGCACAGTCTAGGAACATTTATTGCTCCCCTGCTTGGCTTAATGTTTCTGACTTGGTACCATAATATTATTAATAGTCACAGGGTACAATAAAAGAAAATTAAGTGTTTATTTTGTTTAGGCTTTAGCCACTTTACCTACAGCCTTTTTCCATTACATTTGCACATAAATGAGCATACGCCACATTTTTTAGATACAAATCAGGTTTTAACTTTGCTAATCATATAGTTTCCTTTCTGGTAGTCTTCCAGGCTGGTTTCAGTGTGACTCCAGATGCATGCATATTGTAGCAAATGAAGAAATGGCCATGTGGTAGATGTTTGCCCTTTTGTGATTCACAAATAGTGTTTTTGAAGAAAAACTATATTTGTAAATCCACTCTGAACATTCCTTTTCAATTCCAGGAGCACATCTTTAAGTTTTAGGCTGAAGTCCATTGTTCAATTCCAGATTATTTTCTAGCAAATAGTTGGGAACAACTGCCATGGAATATGTAATCATTGAAGGCATGAGAACTACTTGAAATAAAAGTTACTAGAACCAAGTTTTAGCATTAAAGGGCCCCCATTTCTCAGCATGAGAAGCCCAAAGCCCTGAGATACTTAAGTGGGCATCCAAGGCCAATGCAGTGAGTTTATTCCATGTTTCCTACTTTCTCTACCACCTCCTAGGCAATGTTCTTCCAAATGAAGTGTTTGCTTTGCCTTGAAAAGACAAATTAATATTTTACATGGCAACAACTCTTTATTCCTTGGTGGGATATTTCCAACTTGATTTATATGATGGTGTCTAAATGCTTAAAAGCTTTTGTAAGGCAGGGTTTCAATCGATTAAAGAATTTAGTTTTCCTTGAGGTTCTTGCATCAGATATTATCTCAGAAGGCCTACTTCCTAAGATTTATAATCCAATCTCTTCCTCATGTTAACCATACATTTTGGTGAGCATCCCATTGGACCAAGCTTGGGGATTTCAGTTCAGCATCATCATGTGGAGTGACTGCAAACAGCACGGGGGAGCCTGCATGCCCCAACTTTCCATCAACGGGCTCTGGCTGTACAAGACTTCAGTTTGCTTGCTCACTAGCAATATATATGAGTCCTCTGGGCTTCTGGGAATATCTCACAGGTTCAAAAAACAGATGATTTTGAACAGAAAGACAGAAACACAGTATTCTAAGATAATCTGTACACATGAGTCCTTCTTTATTAAATCAAGAACTTTTACCTTTTCACTTAAAGGAAGTACCTTATGGCTTCTCTTTGACATATATGAATTGCCAGCTCCTTGAGGATAGAAATGGCACCTATCATAGTACCTAGGTACAAAAATGTTCAGCAAACATTTGCTAAATGAATAAATAAAATAAATGGGCTGGGAGTGGTGGCTCACACCTGTAATCCCAGCCCTTTGGGGGCCAAGGCAGGTGGATCATGAGGTCAGGAGATTGAGACCATCCCGGCTAACACGGTGAAACCCAGTCTCTACTAAAAATACAAAAAAATTAGCCGGGTGTGGTGGCCGGTGCCTGTAGTCCCAGCTACTCAGGAGGCTGAGACAGGAGAATGGTGTGAACCTGGGAGGCAGAGCTTTCAGTGAGCCGAGATCCCACCACTGCACTCCAGCCTGGGTGAGAGAGTGAGACTCCATCTTAAATAAATAAACAAATGAATAAATAAATGTGGAAATAAGTTAATGAGGAGTAGCCTGAGATGTGGGAAGAAGGCAGTGAGGAGTAGAAAACTTGGATGCCACCTTGTCATTGCCTTCAGCTTTGTCTGGACTGAGACTTCAACTTAAGAAGAGAACTTGCAAGTCAGACACTCCTCATCACTTGCCAACGTGGCATGGGGCTCTCGGTGAAGCTTGATGTTTCCATCTGTAACTTGGGGCCAATTATAGACTAATTGAGAAGATCACATGATTTAAGATATGTAAATACACAGAATAGTATCTGGCACTGCTTTTGCTTTTTTTTTTTATTATTATACTTTAAGTTTTAGGGTACATGTGCACATTGTGCAGGTTAGTTACATATGTATACATGTGCCATGCTGGTGTGCTGTACCCACTAACTCGTCATCTAGCATTAGGTGTATCTCCCAGTGCTATCCCTCCCCCCTCCCCCCACCCCACAACAGTCCCCAGAGTGTGATATTCCCCTTCCTGTGTCCATGTGATCTCATTGTTCAATTCCCACCTATGAGTGAGAATATGCGGTGTTTGGTTTTCTGTTCTTGAGATAGTTTACTGAGAATGATGATTTCCCATTTTATCCATGTCCCTACAAAGGACATGAACTCATCATTTTTTATGGCTGCATAGTATTCCATGGTGTATATGTGCCACATTTTCTTAATCCAGTCTATCATTGTTGGACATTTGGGTTGGTTCCAAGTCTTTGCTATCGTGAATAATGCCGCAATAAACACACGTGTGCATGTGTCTTTATAGCAGCATGATTTATAGTCCTTTGGGTATATACCCAGTAATGGGATGGCTGGGTCAAATGGTATTTCCAGTTCTAGATCCCTGAGGAATTGCCATACTGACTTCCACAATGGTTGAACTAGTTTACAGTCCCACCAACAGTGTAAAAGTGTTCCTATTTTTCCACATCCTCTCCAGCACCTGTTGTTTCCTGACTTTTTAATGATTGCCATTCTAACTGGTGTGAGATGGTACCTCATTGTGGTTTTGATTTGCATTTCTCTGATGGCCAGTGATGATGAGCATTTTTTCATGTGTCTTTTGGCTGCATAAATGTCTTCTTTTGAGAAGTGTCTGTTCATGTCCTTCGCCCACTTTTTGATGGGGTTGTTTGTTTTTTTCTTGTAAATTTGTTTGAGTTCATTGTAGATTCTGGATATTAGCCCTTTGTCAGATGAGTAGGTTGCGAAAATTTTCTCCCATGTTGTAGGTTGCCTGTTCACTCTGATGGTAGTTTCTTTTGCTGTGCAGAAGTTCTTTAGTTTAATGAGATCCCATTTGTCAATTTTGTCTTTTGTTGCCATTGCTTTTGGTGTTTTAGACATGAAGTCCTTGCCCATGCCTATGTCCTGAATGGTAATGCCTAGGTTTTCTTCTAGGGTTTTTATGGTTTTAGGTCTAACGTTTAAGTCTTTAATCCATCTTGAATTGATTTTTGTATAAGGTGTAAGGAAGGGATCCAGTTTCAGATTTCTACATATGGCTAGCCAGTTTTCCCAGCACCATTTATTAAATAGGGAATCCTTTCCCCATTGCTTGTTTTTCTCAGGTTTGTCAAAGATCAGATAGTTGTAGATATGCGGCATTATTTCTGAGGGCTCTGTTCTGTTCCATTGATCTATATCCCTGTTTTGGTACCAGTACCATGCTGTTTTGGTTACTGTAGCCTTGTAGTATAGTTTGAAGTCAGGTAGTGTGATGCCTCCAGCTTTGTTCTTTTGGCTTAGGATTGACTTGGCGATGCGGGCTCTTTTTTGGTTCCATATGAACTTTAAAGTAGTTTTTTCCAATTCTGTGAAGAAAGGCATTGGTAGCTTGATGGGGATGGCATTGAATCTAAAAATTACCTTGGGCAGTATGGCCATTTTCACGATATTGATTCTTCCTACCCATGAGCATGGAATGTTCTTCCGTTTGTTTGTATCCTCTTTTATTTCCTTGAGCAGTGGTTTGTAATTCTCCTGGAAGAAGTCCTTCACATCCCTTGTAAGTTGGATTCCTAGGTATTTTATTCTCTTTGAAGCAATTGTGAATGGGAGTTCACTCATGATTTGGCTCTCTGTTTGTCTGTTGTTGGTGTATAAGAATGCTTGTGATTTTTGTACATTGATTTTGTATGCTGAGACTTTGCTGAAGTTGCTTATCAGCTTAAGGAGATTTTGGGCTGAGATAATGGGTTTTCTAGATATACAATCATGTCATCTGCAAACAGGGACAATTTGACTTCCTCTTTTCCTAATTGAATACCCTTTATTTCCTTCTCCTGCCTGATTGCCCTGGCCAGAACTTCCAACATTATGTTGAATAGGAGTGGTGAGAGAGGGCATCCCTGTCTTGTGCCAGTTTTCAAAGGGAATGCTTCCAGTTTTTGCCCATTCAGTATGATACTGGCTGTGGGTTTGTCATAGATAGCTCTTATTATTTTGAAATACGTCCCATCAATACCTAATTTATTGAGAGTTTTTAGCATGAAGGGTTGTTGAATTTTGTCAAAGGCTTTTTCTGCATCTATTGAGATAATCATGTGGTTTTTGTCTTTGGCTCTGTTTATATGCTGGATTACATTTATTGATTTGCATATATTGAACCAGACTTGCATCCCAGGGATGAAGCCCACTTGATCATGGTGGATAAGCTTTTTGATGTGCAGCTGGATTCATTTTGCCAGTATTTTATTGAGGATTTTTGCATCAATGTTCATCAGGGATATTGGTCTAAAATTCTCTTTTTTTGTTGTGTCTCTGCCTGGCTTTGGTATCAGAATGATGCTGGCCTCATAAAATGAGTTAGGGAGGATTCCCTCTTTTTCTATTGATTGGAATAGTTTCAGAAGGAATGGTACCAGTTCCTCCTTGTACCTCTGGTAGAATTCAGCTATGGATCCATCTGGTCCTGGACTCTTTTTGGTTGGTAAGCTATTGATTATTGCCACAATTTCAGCTCCTGTTATTGGTCTATTCAGAGATTCAACTTCTTCCTGGTTTAGTCTTGGGAGAGTGTATGTGTCCAGGAATGTATCCATTTCTTCTAGATTTTCTAGTTTATTTGCGTAGAGGTGTTTGTAGTATTCTCTGATGGTGGTTTGTATTTCTGTGGGATTGGTGGTGATATCCCCTTTATCATTTTTTATTGTGTCTATTTGATTCTTCTCTCTTTTCTTCTTTATTAGTCTTGCTAGCGGTCTATCAATTTTGTTGATCCTTTCAAAAAACCAGCTCCTGGATTCATTAATTTTTTGAAGGGTTTTTTGTGTCTCTATTTCCTTCAGTTCTGCTCTGATTTTAGTTATTTCTTGTCTTCTGATAGCTTTTGAATGTGTTTGCTCTTGCTTTTCTAGTTCTTTTAATTGTGATGTTAGGGTGTCAATTTTGGATCTTTCCTGCTTTCTCTTGTGGGCATTTAGTGCTGTAAATTTCCCTCTACATACTGCTTTGAATGCATCCCAGAGATTCTGGTATATTGTGTCTTTGTTCTAGTTGGTTTCAAAGAACATTTTTATTTCTGCCTTCATTTCGTTATGTACCCAGTAGTCATTCAGGAGCAGGTTGTTCAGTTTCTATGTAGTTGAGCGGTTTTGAGTGAGATTCTTAATCCTGAGTTCTAGTTTGATTGCACTGTGGTCTGAGAGACAGTTTGTTATAATTTCTGTTCTTTTACATTTGCTGAGGAGAGCTTTACTTCCAAGTATGTGGTCAATTTTGGAATAGGTGTGGTGTGGTGCTGAAAAAAATGTATATTCTGTTGATTTGGGGTGGAGAGTTCTGTAGATGTCTATTAGGTCCGCTTGGTGCGGAGCTGAGTTCAATTCCTGGGTATCCTTGTTGACTTTCTGTCTCGTTGATCTGTCTAATGCTGACAGTGGGGTGTTAAAGTCTCCATTATTAATGTGTGGGAATCTAAGTCTCTTTGTAGGTCACTCAGGAGTTGCTTTATGAATCTTGGTGCTCCTGTATTGGGTGCATATATATTTAGGATAGTCAGCTGTTCTTGTTGAATTGATCCCTTTACCATTATGTAATGGCCATCTTTGTCTCTTTTGATCTTTGTTGGTTTAAAGTCTGTTTTATCAGAGAGTAGGTTTGCAACCCCTGCCTTTTTTTGTTTTCCATTTGCTTGGTAGATCTTCCTCCATCCTTAGATTTTGAGCCTATGTGTGTCTCTGAACGTAAGATGGGTTTCCTGAATACAGCACACTGATGGGTCTTGACTCTTGATCCAATTTGCCAGTCTGTGTCTTTTAATTGGAGCATTTAGTCCATTTACATTTAAAGTTAATATTGTTATGTGTGAATTTGATCCTGTCATTATGATGTTAGCTGGTGATTTTGCTCATTAGTTGATGCAGTTTCTTCCTAGTCTCGATGGTCTTTACGTTTTGGCATGATTTTGCAGTGGCTGGTACCGGCTTTTCCTTTCCATATTTAGCGCTTCCTTCAGGAGCTCTTTTAGGGCAGGCCTGGTGGTGACAAAATCTCTCAGCATTTGCTTGTCTGTAAAGTATTTTATTTCTCCTTTGCTTATGAAGCTTAGTTTGGCTGGATATGAAATTCTGGGTTGAAAATTCTTTTCTTTAAGAATGTTGAATATTGGCCCCCACTCTCTTCTGGCTTGTAGGGTTTCTGCCGAGAGATCCGCTGTTAGTCTTATGGGCTTCCCTTTGAGGGTAACCCGACCTTTCTCTCTGGCTGCCCTTAACATTTTTTCCTTCATTTCAACTTTGGTGAATCTGAAAATTATGTGTCTTGGAGTTGCTCTTCTCGAGGAGTATCTTTGTGGCACTCTCTGTATTTCCTGAATCTGAATGTTGGCCTACCTTGCTAGATTGGGGAAGTTCTCCTGGATAATATCCTGCAGCGTGTTTTCCAACTTGCTTCCATTCTCCCCATCACTTTCAGGTACACCCATCAGATGTAGATTTGGTCTTTTCACATAGTCCCATATTTCTTGGAGGCTTTGCTCATTTCTTTTTATTCTTTTTTCTCTAAACTTCCCTTCTCGCTTCATTTCATTCATTTCATCTTCCATTGCTGATACCCTTTCTTCCAGTTGATCGCATCGGCTCCTGAGGCTTCTACATTCTTCATGTAGTTCTCGAGCCTTGGTTTTCAGCTCCATCAGCTCCTTTAAGCACTTCTCTGTATTGGTTATTCTAGTCATACATTCTTCTAAATTTTTTTCAAAGTTTTCAACTTCTTTGCCTTTGGTTTGAATGTCCTCCTGTAGCTCAGAGTAATTTGATCGTCTGAAGCCTTCTTCTCTCAGCTCAACAAAGTCATTCTCCATCCAGCTTTGTTCCATTGCTGGTGAGGAACTGCGTTCCTTTGGAGGAGGAGAGGTGCTCTGCTTTTTAGAGTTTCCAGTTTTTCTGTTCTGCTTTTTCCCCATCTTTGTGGTTTTATCTACTTTTGGTCTTTGATGATGGTGATGTACAGATGGGTTTTCGATGTGGATGTCCTTTCTGTTTGTTAGTTTTCCTTCTAACAGACAGGACCCTCAGCTGCAGGTCTGTTGGAATACCCTGCCGTGTGAGGTGTCAGTGTGCCCCTGCTGGGGGGTGCCTCCCAGTTAGGCTGCTCGGGGGTCAGGGGTCAGGGACCCACTTGAGGAGGCAGTCTGCCGGTTCCCAGATCTCCAGCTGCGTGCTGGGAGAACCACTGCTCTCTTCAAAGCTGTCAGACAGGGACATTTAAGTCTGCAGAGGTTGCTGCTGTCTTTTTGTTTGTCTGTGCCCTGCCCCCAGAGGTGGAGCCTACAGAGGCAGGCAGGCCTCCTTGAGCTGTGGTGGGCTCCACCCAGTTCGAGCTTCCTGGCTGCTTTGTTTACCTAATCAAGGCTGGGCAATGGCGGGTGCCCCTCCCCCAGCCTCGCTGCCGCCTTGCAGTTTGATCTCAGACTGCTGTGCTAGTAATCAGCGAGACTCCATGGGCGTAGGACCCTCCAAGCCAGGTGCAGGATATAATCTCGTGGTGCGCCGTTTTTTAAGCCTGTCGGAAAAGTACAGTATTCAGGTGGGAGTGACCCGATTTTCCAGGTGCTGTCCGTCACCCCTTTCTTTGACTAGGAAAGGGAACTCCCTGACCCCTTGCGCTTCCCAAGTGAGGCAATGCCTCACCCTGCTTTGGCTTGCGCATGGTGCGCGCACCCACTGACCTGCGCCCACTGTCTGGCACTCCCTAGTGAGATGAACCCAGTACGTCAGATGGAAATGCAGAAATCACCCGTCTTCTGCATCGCTCACGCTGGGAGCTGTAGACTGGAGCTGTTCCTATTCGGCCATCTTGGCTCCTCCCCCCCTGCTTTTGCTTTTATGTACTGATCATCATCATCATCATCAATCATCAGTCATTCCACAAGAAACTCGGGATTACACTTTTTGATCCTAAAAACAGTTCAGCTCAATTGTCAGCTCTTTAATTTTTTTTTCAAAGGTTAGAGTCCTCTCAGGTGGCATGCACCATCCTTGGGTGCACACCCCTCTTTTGTGGGTGTGCTTACCTGTCATCTTGGCCTCAGCACGAACAGCCACTTTACTCCTGCTAAGTGAGCGGCTCATATGCACTTTTTTAGACTGTATTGGATTTTATAAAACCTTAAAATTGGTAATTTAAGTGCCACTAGCAACTTGTCTTTAACAGGTGGAGAGAGATCTGGAGCCCATCCTAGGAAAAAGCAAATGACATTTCTCTCTTGCGACCCAGTCATTGCAAATTTGGTCTGTCTTTGCAAGGAACCTAGTGCTAGAGCCATTGCTAGGTTTTCATATCAGGGGGAATAAAAACCTGGGAGGGGAGGGGGGAAGCAAGCAGGCAGAGGGTCTCAAGCTGTGGGTTGGTTGGGGTATATATACTTAGAAAGACACTGCCTTGGGTGATCTCCTGATAATTGCTTTCCAGGACCACTGATGCTTTGGATACACAGTTAACATGGCTTCCTCCCAGGCTTTATCATCATAGGCTAAACTCCTCTTGCATGAATCTCTTACCTAAGGTAATGTTGATCAGCCACTACTCCTCTCCCCTTGTCCTGACCAAATGCCCTCTACTGTCTCTCACCTCATCAGGGCTACCACTGCAATGCCCAGGAGATGATGCAAGCCATCCCTACCTCACTTGAAAAATTATCTTACTCAAGTCTCAAACTTTCACGACCATATGTTATGCTTTAGTTTGACATGGTCATTGATCATAAACTTTTATTTATTTTTCTTTTTATCTCAACTTAGTGTCCTGGATGTAGAAATTTAATTGAGTAAACTTCTAGAAGCAATTGTTATAGACTAACATAAAAGAAAAACCTGAGGGTAAATATAAAATCATCCACAATCCCACCATCTTAACTCTAATACCTTTACCATTTTAATGCAGCAAATCACCCCTTTTATATGTAATTTTATGTAGCTGTAACCAGATTCTCCTTGAGCCTTTGCCTGCCCTAAAATTCTGCTTGTTTCCATGATATTATAAACATTATTTTCCATATGTGAGAAAAACATGTTTTCTCACAGTTGTAATACAAGGTTTATAACTATCATTTTAATGTCTGCATACTGTAACTTTCCTTTAGATTTCTTATAAATTATCTTGTATCTAGTAGCATAAGATATCAAGAGCATCTTATGCTTCTAGACATTACTGTGGCTTTAGATGCTTTTCATTTAATTATATGATGAAGATCTTGGTGCAATGGAGTTTTGGCACTTTGATTATTTTGTAAGGTTTTATTATTGCTTCTCCTCTCCTTTTTAGGCTCCCCTCCACCACCTATCCTTTAAAGGTTGGGGTTCTCTTGGGTTTCATGCACAAGCCTCCTTCCACACGTCTCTTCGGCCCTTAGTAAGCTCATCTACTATCAAGCAAGGCCTTACCTCCCCAAACATTCTGCAGGGTCCGAGACCCATATGTACTAACCCTGCAAAAATGTACCATGTAATCACATTAACTCCTCAAATATTTTCCCAAACACTAAACAATAACTTCTCCTAGAAGCTGCTCTACCTTCTGAGCAGATATTCTCAGATAATGGCACCCCTATCCACCAGATCTGCTTGGTTAGCAACACCTCTAGGAATCTTCTCTCTCTCTTCTCCGTATCCAATAGGCATCAAGTCCTCTGCAGTGCTGCCTTAGAAATCTCTTTACATGTTGGATTGCTTCTCTTATTGGCTTCCACATGGCCACTGCCTTGATCCAGGCCTTTATCATCTTGATAAAGATGATAATTGTTACCTGGTTTCCATGCTAAAAATTTCTTACCACTGCAACCAGTTTGATCTTAAACAAAGCTCCCTGATTAAAAATTTAGTTAGGGCCGGGCGCGATGGCTCACACCTGTAATCCAAGCACTTTGGGAGGCCAAGGCGGGTGGATCATGAGGTCAGGAGATCGAGACCATCCTGGCCAAGATGGTGAAACCCCATCTCTACTAAAAATACAAAAATTAGCCAGGCCTAGTGGCCTGTGCCTGTAGTCCCAGCTACTCAGGAGGCTGAGGTAGGAGAATCGCTTGAACCCGGGAGTCAGAGGTTGCAGTGAGCCGAGATCGAGCCACTGCACTCCAGCCTGGGCGACAGAGCGAGACTCCGTCTCAAAAAAAAAAAAATTAATTAATTTAGCTTTTTATTGGCTACAGAAGTAGTTGTCAAAGTTTAGCATGCCTCAGAATAACCTAGAGGACTTGTGAAATCAGAGCTTGCTGGGTATTATCCCCCAGAGTTTCTGATTCAGTAGGTTTCATGGGGTTGTGAGGAGATGGACAGCAGAGAATCTGCAATTCTAATGAGTTTCCAGGGGATACTGATACTGCTATTCTGGGAGCCATACTTTGAAAACCACTGTTCTATAAGATAATAGTTAAGTTTCTAATCATATACATTTTGAAATCAGGGCTCAGTTTATCCTTCCAGCCTTACTTTGTAAACGTTGTCTAGTGAAAATTACTTTTCAGCTATTCTAAAATTACCAACTATATGTGGTTTCTATCTGCTTTCAAAATTACCCCTCGTTGTATATGCTGTAACTTCTGACTGAATAGCCTCATATTTAAGTTTTTCTTTGTCAATTGGCAAACAGTGCCAATTGGCAAGCCAGTTACTACAGAGCTACAAATTCAAACATGTATCTAGAGCAGTTCAAGAGCAAAAATGCATAAAGCAGGAGGAAGGAAGAATAAAGAGAGTTCCATTTAAAGTACTGTATGATCCAGCAAACCCACAAATGGGTACATATCCAAAGGAAATGAAATTAGTATGAAAGAAAGTGAATCAGAGGTATCTGTGCTCCCATGTTTATTGCAGCACTACTCCCAACAGACAAGATAGGGAATCAACCTAAGTGTCTGTCAACAGATGAATGGATAAAGAAAATGTGATATCTATCTATCTATCTATCTATCTATCTATCTATCTATCTATACACACACACACACACACACACGTACATACATATACACACACACAATGGAATACTATTCAGCCATAAAAAGAAGGAAATACTGTCATTTCTACAACATAGATGGACCTGGAGAACATTATACTAAGTGAAATAAGCCAGGCATAGAAAGACAAATACCACATGATTTCACTTATATGTGAAATCTTAAAGAGTTGACCTCACAGAAGCAGAGAGTAGAATGATGGTTATGAGGGGCTGGTGAAGCTGCAAGGCAAGGATTGAGGAGATATTAGTCGAAGGACATAGAATTTCACTTAGACTGCAGGAATAAGTTCAAGAGATCTATTGTGCAACATGGTGAATAGAGTTAATAGTAATGTATTTCATATTTGAAAATTGATAAGGGAATAGATTTTAAGTGTTCTCATATTAAAATATGGGAGGCAATGCATATGTTAATTAGTTTGATCTAGCCATTCTACAATGTTACATATATAAAAACATGGTTATGTACACCATTAAAATGTACAATTTTTGTAGATACAAAAAATAAACAAATAATGAATAATAAATAAAAGGGCAGCCTCTATCTCTCTCCTACTAATTATCCTCTGAGAATATTGCTAAGTCTTTGGAATTTTTCAATAGAAGCCAGAATTCTAGGGTTTTTTTTTTGTTGTTGTTGTTGTTTTTGAGACACAGTCTTGCTCTGTTGCCCAGGCTAGAGTGCAGTGGCACAATCTCGGCTCACTGCAACCTCTGCCTCCTGGGGTCAAGTGATTCTCCTACTTCAGCCTCCTGAGTAGCTGGAATTACAGGTGCGTGCCACCAAGCCCAGCTAATTTTTGTATTTTTGGTAGAGCTGTGGTTTCACCATGCGGACCAGGCTGGTCTCAAACTCCTGACCTCGTGATCCGCCCGCCTCAGCCTCCCAAAGTGCTGGGATTACAGGTGTGAGCCACCATGCCCAGCCTAGAATTCCAGATTTCTAAGCAAAGTCTCCACATTCTTAGATAGTGGTAATGGATTTCAACAAATGTAAAACCATATGCTGGCTGAATTAAACATATCTGCAGGCTGAATTCAGCCCAAGGCCCATAAGTTTGCAACTATAGTGCTACTCCTTATTCAAGACCAAGTCCAATAACTGTTCCTCCACACAGCATTCCCGATGTCTGCCAGGACTCCCAATGTGCACACACACATGCACAAGCTTAGTCACACTGTCCTTTCTGTTCTTAAGGTACTGTGTTAAAATTTATATAAAAGCATGTGCTTCAATTAAACCATCTACATAAATGACATCCCCAACCCACAACTAAAGGCTCAAGAGCAGAAACTTAGATTAACTTCTTTTTTTCTTATTTTCTAATGTAGTATGCCTATCAAATATCTGTTGAAGGATGGAAGAAAGATCGAATAAACAAATAAAGGTAAACTCTATTAGAAAATAGCAGGCGATATCTTATTCCATACATCTTAACTTCCCTTTGTATGGATTTCCTCAGTGACATGTTAGATTTTTCACAATGAAACAGTCAAATTTTAGCCATGCTTTCCACAGATGTACAGAAAAATGTTAGTCCAAGCTAATATAAACACTGGAAGGATTTAGATCAAGCAGCATTATTTTAACCTGTCTTTCAAGAGAAAAATGATGGAATGATTCATGACAGTGACTAAAGGCATCAATATTCTCTTATCATAACTCCAGGTAAGCTTTCACATACATGCAATTAATCACAGCATTATAAATGGGAAAAGGTATGTGTCAACCCAAGAATCAGCTGTCTCCTACCTATTTAATCCAAAGAAACCCAACAAAAACAAAAAGCAGAACAGCAAGAACAAAAAATCAGTTCTGTACTGTGCCAGACAAAGAAGAAGTCAAACCAGAAGATTCTTCCTTATCCTCCATCCATGTCTCTTTTTTATTCCTGAAGTTGTCCAGCCTCACAGTTCTGCATGTGATTTGAAAGCAGTTAAATAGAAAGTTAAAAGTTTTCGAATTAATTTTAACAGAGGTTTTGTTGAGCCCTGAAGGGTCTTTCCTAAGAAGAAAATGTTATTGTCAATGGTGCCCTTCAATTTATACTTTCTGTCTTAATAAAACTGGTTGCAGAGTGTGCAATGCAAAGTCAGGTTGCCTTTCATCTTTTACTAAGCATTAAAGCATTGAGGAAAGGAAAAAACACTTTAAGATAATTGCAATTTTCTTCAATTATATAATATAACTTCATAACCTGTAAGGGTTTTCATTAACCAAGGTTCATCAATTCTAATCGGGCTGCCCTCGCATTGGAGAGGCCCATACCAGTGTAATTAAAGCTGCCGATTCTGCTGACAGCATTCTTCAGTTTCCAGGGCCCTTATCATTGATGGATAAGTCATCGAGCAGCATGTGATGGCCCTACATATTGCCTTCCTGCCTTCACTTTTCAGGAGAGAAGCTAATCTCCATGCTTTTAATTTACTCTTCATACATTCTTCCCCTAGAGCCAATGATATTAATCAGTGTTTTAAAAGAAAGAAATTAGGCAAAATTATGTTTTAAAATGTTTAAATAGAGCCATCTGTCTTCGGTTCTCCTTCCCCCTTTCTCGTGGAATAGGCTTCATGCTCTTATAGCACATTGATTTTTATATCATGGATTAATATTTTCTTTAGGAAAATACATCTGATTTCCCGGATCCTCTAACATAAAGTACCTAAATCAATAAGGTAGTTACAGATGATGCTGTTATAATTACCTCTTTTCTTTCAGAACAGCTTCTCATCATGAGTTAGATGTGAGATTGGAATGCATGCCATGGTCCCTTATTTGAAATGACCCAGGCTACCACAACAGAACCAAGCCTGCAGAGGTCTGGCTCTGAACAACCTTTTCTCACACATCCGCTTTTGTTGGTCAGTCTCAATACTTTCTCCAAAAGCACTATTTTAATCATGATACTCCCTTATGGAGAAACTTAAGGTTGGATTAAACTATCCTAGTCAGCAATTAAACACTTTCTCCAAAGTCATTGTGCTACGAGACTCTAATTTTACTTCCTTAGAAGAGCAAAAAGGAGTGAGGAACATTGACCTTGAGCCCAGGCGTTCTGGCCTAGTGGTCTGCCTTCATCAGAGCTGGTTGCTCCTGCTGTAGGTTCAAGGTCAATGAACTCTGACTATTGCTTTCAGCTTGCCATTGGAGAGCTGTATCCTCCCTTTGATAAAATCTTCTTGGCTGACTTATTTTCAGCTTGAACATTCTGCTCTATCTGCTCCAGGAAGACAGATCTGCTTTTGGTGCCCTGCCCATGACTTACATATCTTCCACTTAGTTACAAGACAGCCTCCTTTTCCTCAGGGGATCTGTTCCAAGACCTTCAGTGGATGCCTGAAACCTCAAGTAGAACCCAACCCTATATACACTATGTTTTTTCCTACACATACACACCCATGATAGAGTTTAATTTATAAATTAGATACCACAAGAGATTAACAGTAACTACTAATAAAATAGAACAATTATAACCATATACTGCAATAAAAGTTATGTGAATGTGGTCTCTCTCACTCTCAAAATATCTTACTGTACTGTACTCATCATTTTTTTCTTCTTGTGATGATGTGATAACTTAGGCTACTAAGTGACTCATGGGTGTGTGGCATATTCAGTGTGGACCTGCTGGATGAAGGGATGATGCACATCCTGGGCAGGATGGTGCAGGTCAGCATGAGATTTTTTCAGGCTACTCAGAAAGGTGTGCAATTTAAAACCTATGAATTATTTATTTCTGGATTTTCCCTTTACTATTTTCAGACCATGGTTGATAGTAATTGACACTGCAGAAAGCAAAACTGAGGATAAGAGGGGACTGCTGTGCTGAGATTTATATGACATTCATCCAGCAGTATTTTTTATAAACACTCTTATTATTCCATTGCACCTGGATCCACATCAAGCCTTTAAAAAACAGAGGAAAACTAAGGACTCCCTCATGAAGAACTAAATCTTCAAAATCTGGTTTCAAACTCACTTTCTCTTTTAGATATTGTTCTCTATCACAGTGAATCTCACCTGGTTCCAATCATGCCAGCAAGTCCACTGCCCTTTACTGACAGCAGCAGTGACTTTTGCAATATTACTGATATTTCTAATACCTATTCCTGACACATTTCTTTGCACTTTTCCTAGCAACCCCATTTGATAATGAACTTCTTAAGGGCAATGATCTTTGTTTTCTTTGAAACTTCTTCCAACAGGTGCAAGAGGAACCCTGGATTTGGAGTCAGTAACTCCAACATTTACTAGCACTGGGATCTTGAACCTTCCTAGAAATCTCTGGAAGACTCAGTTTATTATCATTACATGGGGACAATCATGTCTCCTGCCCTGACACCTCGATAGGCAGGGCTGTGGGTAAAGATCGAATCAATTATAGTCCACCAGGGCACTTTGTAAACAGCCAAGGCTCATGCAGATGCTATAACACTTATGCTGAATAAATTTTGCTAACAGAAAAACTAGCCAAGATTTATGACGAAACATACAGGATAGTGATTTCACTACCCTTACCCTAGTCAACTGCGATGCATTTCAAATGTTTCATCTCTTTTCTATCACCTTGAAAAAGCCAGAGTCTTAAACCCAAATATGTAAGGATCAGGGAGTCACTAGAAATGTGTAAAGAATACCTCGCACAAGATAAGACACTAAAGCATGCTGGGGACAGTGACAAAATGAAAAGTCCATGTCTTGTCTAAAGCAGAAAGCTGGCACTAGATCCGCCCAATTGTCACCCTGAAGAAAGGTGAGCCAACTATTTCAAGGGAAACTGCAATCCATATTTTTATAAGTGAAATACCTAGATGTTTAAATTGTTGGCCTTTAATTTGGTTATTAAAATAAATGTGTAGTGTTCAAATATATCATTAATGGATATGCCCCATGTGTCACAAGGGTTTGCAACTTTGGCTCAAGATTTTTAACATCTGAGTTTGTATGAACAATCAGCAAGTGTTCTTCAGCTCCAGTAAAAACTAACTCTGGACCAAGTTTTTGGGGGCTGTTAAAAAGAAGTATAAGGCATCATGCCTGCATCGAAGGAGAGGAATTAATAATTATTATGTGCCTAACATTTATTCAGTTACTTTACATACTTAATCAGTTTACTTTAACATAATCCTTATGAATTTATAAGGTGATTACTGTTACAATCACTTTGCTAACGAAGTAACCAAGGTTGCTTGCCCAGGAGCATGTGACATAACTGGTAAGTAGTGGAGCAATAATGTTAACTCAGTTCTGGTTATTGTCAAAACTGATGTTTCTCCACCATGGAAGGGAACATTTCAAAGTAGCCAGAAAAGAGAACTTGAAATATTTCTAATGCACAGAAATGATAAATGCTCCAGGTGATGGATGCCCTAATATACCCTGACTTGCATATACATTCTATGCATGTAACAAAATATCACATGTACTTCATAAATATGTACAAACAGTATGTATCAACAAAAATAGAACAAAACTATCACAGATCCATTTAGTGGAGACCAAATTTAGTGAAAATCAGTTGTCTTTCTGCTTTATTGCAGTACAAGGGAATAAATAAAAGATGATGAACCCAGAACAGAATCAAAAGAATCAAAGACCCACAGAATAATCGAAATTTATGCTGGATGGTGGTGACACTTTGATAAGACATTAGAAAAAGATATAAACTGGTGAGGAATATGTCACTCTGAGAAACTTAGTGGAGGATATGGGCATTGGGTTAGGGTTATTTAGGATTTGTTTTCTTTTTCCTTTTTTTTTTTTTTTTTGAGACAGAGTCCCACTCTGTCACCCAGGCTGGAATACAGTGGCATGATCTCTGCTCACTGCTACCTCCACCTCCTGGGTTTAAGCAATTCTCCTGCCTCAGCCTCCTGAGTAGCTGGGATTACAGGCATGTACCACCATGCCCGGCTAATTTTTGTATTTTTAGTAGAGATGGGGTTTCGCCGTGTTGGCCATACTGGTGTTGAACTCCTGACCTCTAGTGGTCCACCCACCTCGGCCTCCCAAAGTGCTGGGATTACACGTGTGAGCCACCACACCTGGCCTAGGGAATTAGAATTTGGATAAATAGAGGATGGTAGGGGGAACAGCATAAATGAGAGACTGAGTGGATATGAGTACCTTACCAGGTAGTAATATAGTTCTGCTTTCTCCTCCCCTTTCCCTTCTAACAAACACACTCCAGCTTCTGTGAAGGAGTATCTGTTGGTTTTGCTTGGCTCCATGTTCTCCCAGCTTTTGGTAACAGCACCCTTCCTGTTTTTCCTTTGGGGAACTGTCCTGCCATCATTCTGTCCTGGGGTTTCTCTGATCCTGTGCATAGAGCCTCCTGTACGAGGTCACACTCACATATTCAGAATCTGGAAGTGAGAAAGTGTTTACTCTACAGAAGCAACACAGGCCTAATGGTGTCTCTTCAATCCCTTGGGTAGACAATTCTACTCTTCAGAAGGTACCAGACAGATTGACCCTCAGTTGCCCACAGCCATGGCTGATTCAACAATGCACCTTTGCATGGGCTTCTCCTCCTTCTCTAATTCACTCTTGCTCATCTCCTACTCCTACTCCGTGGATTCACTTCCCAAATGAACTGCGTGTTCCAAGCTTTTGAATTATGCCCTGCCTGGGAAAAACTCTGGTTAAGGCAGTTGTTCGTGACAAGATTCCCAAACTGTCCTGCCATCCAGCATTCCCAAAGCCGGATTGCTCAAGTCAAAGCAAGATAGCTTTGACTCTGCTATTGACCTATCCTCTACTATTCTAAAAATTTCACCACTTCACTTTTATCAGCTGGTGTCCATTTCTGTTTCTTGCCACCAAAAAACCCGAACTGATTTATGACTCTATTTCAAATAGACCTATATCATACCATTGGATAATAGAAGAAAAGTTCTGTACACATACTAATAAAAAAATCTCACTAAATGTCAGTGTGGCTATTGCTTTGGATGGCAAGAAATTCTGAAACATCTGACAGTATTATTAAACGGCTCTTGAAAAACAAACATTATGGATGGGCTGCACAGTCATCTGGCAGTGATTCACGGTGTTTCTGCCAATGCCCACACCTGGCATGATGAAGTGTTGGAACCCAGCATTTCCTTCATAACCACCTGGGCCTTGAAGGCTAAGATTATATATGATTTTTAAATTTGTGCAAATCTATAGGATGTGTGATAAGATTTTTACATGTATTTAATGTGGAGAGATCAAGTCAGGGCATTTAGGGTGTCCATCTCCCAAGCACAACACATTTTTTAAGACTTTTAAGTTCAGTATACAGGTTTGTTGCACACATAAACTTGTGTCATGGGGGTTTGTTGTACAGACTATTTTGTCACCCAGGTATTAAGCCTAGTACCCATTAGTTATTTTTTCCTGATCCTCTCCCTCCTCCCATCCTCCACCCTCCGATAGGCCCCAGTGTGTGTTGTTCCCCTCTTTGCGTCCATGTGTTCTCATCATTTAGCTCCCACTTATAAGTGAGAACATGCGGTATCTGGTTTTCTGTTCCTGTGTTAGTTTGCTAAGGATAATGGTCTCCAGCTCCATCCATGTGCCTGCAAAGGACATGATCTCATTCTTTTTTATGCCTCCATAGTATTTCATGGTGTGTATGTACCACATTTTCTTTATCCAGTCTATCAATGATGGTCATTTAGGTTGATTCCGTGTCTTTGCTTATAATACATATTTTAAAGTATAGTAACACTACTCTGCTATCAAACATTGAATTATACCTTCAATCTTACTATATATTTGTACACTTTAACCCACTTCTCTTCACCCACCCTCTCCTCTAACTCATGCTAGCCAGTCTCTGATCTATCTTTCCACTCTTTACCTCCTTATGTTCACGTTTTTTAATCTTCCACAAACATGCTATATTTCTTTATGTATGTGCATGGCTTATTTCACTCAAGATAATAACTTTCAGTTCTCATCCATGTTGCTGCAAATGACATGATTTTATTATTTCTAATGGGTGAATAGTATT
The DNA here is from genome assembly GCF_000001405.40 of Homo sapiens. Taxonomy (NCBI): domain Eukaryota; kingdom Metazoa; phylum Chordata; class Mammalia; order Primates; family Hominidae; genus Homo; species Homo sapiens. The sequence continues at coordinate 133,482,184 of NC_000002.12, forward strand.
ACATTGTGTATATATATAAAATTTTCCTTTTTTTTTCTTTTTCTTTTTCTTTTTTTTTGAGTCATGCACTGACACTCAGGCTGGAGTGCAATGGTGTGATCTCGGCTCACTGCAACCTCCACCTCTTGGGATCAAGCAATTCTCCTGCCTCAGCTTCCCGAGTAACTGGGACTACAGGCATGTGCCACCTCACCCAGCTAATTTTTTATATTTTAGTAGAGATGTGGTTTCACCATGTTGCCCAAAGTGGTCTCAAACTCCTTAGCTCAGGCAAGCTGCCTGCCTTGGCCTCCCAGTGTCCTAGGATTACAGGTATGAGCCATTCATCTGGCCCCAAATTTTCTTTATTCATTAATTCACTGATGGATACTTAAGTGGATTCCATATTTTTGCTATTTTGACTAATTCTGCAATGAACATGTGAGTGCAATTATTTCTCTAATATATTGATTTCTTTCCCTTTGGGTAGATATACAGTTGTGAGATTGCTGGATCAAATCATAATTCTAGTTCTAGATTTTTGAGAAATCTCCATACTGTTTTTCATGGTGGCTTTACTAGTTTGTGTTCCCACCAACAGTGTAATAGAGTTCCCTTTTCTCTGAATCCTTACCAACATCTGTTATTTTTTTTTCTTTTTAATAACTTCTCTATTACTCTAACCCACCAACTCATTGAAATCGTTGTCTTTTTTTGTCTCTCATGTAAGGACCACTCCTGTGATACAGTTTTCTCTTTTCCAGGTGAGAAACTATAGAACCGATGCAAAAATTAAACTTATATCTCATTTTTCCATGACATTGTTTGCCCACTAAATCATACAGCTTTCCATTGCCACTTTAATTAAATGGGTTAGATTCATACTGAGTTCAAGTATTTTTAACATTCCTTTATCTATCTATCTATCTAGCTATTGTCCTTCTTCTTATCTATCATCTGTTTTTCTATCATTTATCATTCTATCTACTAAGTAGCTCCAAATACACAAGTATATCCCTGAAAAGTGGCCATTTTTCTAAAATCTGCATCCCAAATTGCAAATGGAAAAATCTACATTATTATGGTGCATCTGGTCCTTGTTAATTCTTAATCTGTTGTATCTTTTACTGTCATGATTTCACCAGATGTGCAAGTCTATCTCACAAGTTAATATTTTACATAAACTACTCTAAAGAATTGTTGAAACAAAGTTGAGACTCCTTGGCTCCCAACACTCTCTCCATACAGGAGCAGTCTAAGTCTAGCTGACCAAAAGCCAAGAAGATCATAAAAATCCACTGACTTAGAAACTTGCAAATGAGTCCAAGATTCTCCCCACCCTCCTTGGGTGTGTGTGTTTTACCCTCTGTTGGGTTTACAAAAGAAAAGATGCTCAGGATAATCCAGAATTTTATTAAAGATTAATACGTTTTTGAGAACTTTGCTAATACTCTGCAAAAAAAAAGGGGGGGGGGCTTTTTCTCTCTTAAAATAGAATTCAGAACAACGGGCTTTCTTTTAAACAATGGGTTCAAAAATAGAACTTGCCATTTGGAAACCTTCTTGAGATTTTCTAGAACAGTGGCTTCCCAAAGTAGCTGATCATTAGAATCGCTCAGGGGACTTTTAATAAAAATGAAGATTGCATGGTCTCCCCCCATATCTATTGAAGCAGAATTTCTGGCAAGTTGGACCAAATTTCCTGGGTGATCCTGATATTCAGCCAGGTTTGAAAACCATGGCTAGAATGTGGAGTTGGAACATTAAATACTATCTAAGCAGTTAACATTTTAGTGCCTGTGGTTATAATTTTATTCTATTAATTTCCTTTGGATTTATGTTTTGGAAGTGAAGCCTGGATGGGGAATCATTTGGCTATTATTTTGTCCAAATCCCTCATTTTGAAAAAGCTCTTTGAAAAGCTTAAAAAGGCCCTTGCATGATGGATTTGCCCACCAGTGTCTAGATCCTTTATTGCTGTAGTGACTGTTGCTCTTCTATCAGAACTGCACCTCTAAGAGCATGAAGACAGGCCTGAGGGGAAGATGGAAAGTTATTTCTATCTTGGCTGAATCCTCAGGATTGAGTCAGAAAACTGGAGAGGACCAGCAGAAACCATCTGGTCCAGTCCTTGTCTTCATGTGGTTATGATTTGCTTCTAGGAATTTCAAAGCAGAGAGAGTCCACTGCTGGTGTTTCAAGATCCCGATAGTGAGTAAGTTCTTCCCTAGAGCCACCTGGTGTTGCTCACAAGCCGGCATGTCCTGATTCCCAATGCAGGGGAAACGATGCCATTTCCCATCCCTTTCTAATTTATTCCCTAGAACTAAGAAGCTACACATAGAACAACATGACAAGATGGATTAATCCTAATACAAGTTAAACATCCCTAATCCCAAAATCCAAAATCCAAAATTAAAAAGTTTTTGAGCACCAACATGATGCCACAAGTGGAAAATTCCACACCTGACACCTTTGCTTTTCTAATAGTTCAATGTACACAAATGTTGCTTCATGCACAAAATTATTTAAAATACTATATAAAATTACCTTCAGGCTGTGTGTATAAGGTGTATGTGAAATATAAATGAAGTTGGGTCCCATCCCAAGATATCTCATGATGTATATACAAATATTCTAAAATCAAAAAAAAATTGAAATCTGAAAGACTTCTGTTTTCCAGCATTTTGGATAAAGGATACTCGACCAGTATGACCATGGTATAATGACAACCCTAGACTAAGTCAAGAAATCTAGATGGTAGTCCCAGCACTGACACTAACAGAATATGCAAAATCAGGCTAATCATTAATATTTTTGTGGCTTAGTTTCCTCATCTGCAAACGAAAGAAGTCAAACCCTTTCTGGCTTGATGTAGTATATGCCTATCATTCCATCATTCATTTACTTGGCCATCAAGGCCCTTCAATGTGCCTTAATGAGGTCAGTGCTCAGTAAAAGTAGGGAATGAGACAAATATGTCCCGTGACCACAAAGATATTATATTTATAAAGAAAATGGACAAATAAGAAACAAACATTGGTATGTAATTACGTTTATATCTTTTCTGCAAAAGAAAAGGAAAATGTTGAGACAGTCACCATTTAGGCTAGAGTCTTTCCTCCCCCCGACAGCACGCCTGGCCCTCTAATTCCCTAAAATGTGGAACAACAGATGGCCCATGCATTCCAAGAATTCTCTAAATGGACTGATTTACCCATTAGCATGAAACTGATCAATCTTATTAGATTTTGGCAGCTTCTAGATGACCATATTTATGAGGAAGTGTCCAAGTTTGCTGGCAGAACTATATATCTTCCAAGAAAACTAATAGGGTCTCCAAACTTTAGAGTCTAAAGAGATATGGCCCTAGTGTCAGTATTATCACTTGGCTAGGAACTAGTGACAAGGTCAAAATCAGAAACTGAAGTCATCGATCGGCACATCAGCTTCACATAGAAAAAGTGTTTCATGGCCACAAAATGAACTATTAACTCAGCCCTTCACCCAAGTGTGTGTTGGTTACAAAGGAACCCAATATTATATGGATAACTCACTTAAATATATCACTAGTGATGGAAAACATCTTCTGTAGCATTTTATTTGCTGCATACTGGGGGTGGGGAGGAGGGTGTCAGTCCAGTATTAATCAACTCTACTAACAAGCTGTTTCTTTACACTGAGGCAACACTTGTAACTTTCCAGTATGTCTTTGGGTCAGTTGCATAGATGATACATGCAACAACACTATGAGGCAGATGGGATGATGTATTGTATCACATGCCCATCTGAAAGGATAAACTATGGCCTAAGAGGATTGAGTGAATCCCTCTCCAGTCATGTAGTTAATTGGAAAATGTGTGCACGCACTGCCTCCCACCCATCTCCCCAAGTCCCTGTCTATACCAAAGGACTGCTTATGTAAACACGGATAGTGACAAAGTCCACAAAGAATATATTACATGGAGGAGAAAACACGGAATAGATCACACAGAAGAGAACAGAGCACAGTTGGTCTCTGCTCACTCTGTATAATCCATTGCATTCTTTCTCAGAAAGCCAAGTTGCCAGTGACTATACTAAATGCTGAAGTAGGTAGACATCACATGCCTTTTTCCGCTTATTTGTTTTTAAAGAAGAAAGGTCTTAGGTTAGACACTTCAGTTCTTTGTTCAATTGCATTTGAGATATTTCACTGTTGTTGTTGTTTATCAGCAACAGTGGCTGCATCGTCATTTTCACTATTCCTTTGGGATGAAATCTCAAACCCCCATGCAGTGAGGCTAGTTGTGTGACAGTGATGACAAGCACTTGTTCCATCACCTGAAGTACCTTCTTGGCAATCCCTCCTATACCTACCTGTGATTTAAAGTAGGAAAGCCCTTAAACATACAGTCTGAAACAGAATTGGAAATTACAGATGGTTTAGCATTCAACACATGTGAATCACAGAAATCAGTTCAGTCAGCTGAATTTACCTCATTAGATTATCAGAAATTTTGACTCTGTGACAGCTTGAGTGGTGAACGTCTACAAATATTTTTTTTCTCTCAGCAATTTTGCAGAAGGCCAAGATTTTGATGTAACTAAATAGTGTCAGGCATTATGAGGAGCTGTTTGTTTTTGTTCTCATAAAAACAATTAGTAAGCTATTCCCTAGAATCATTGATGGACACCAGTTCATTCAACGGGTCATTGTATTTCCTGTAATTCAGTCTTCCCACACTTTTTCATAAGAGCTGTCATTGGCTGGGACCTTCTTTGAGGGAAACAAGCCCTGAAAGAAACAATGACTCCAGCTTGTATGAATCGCACCCTGGAAAACTCAGCCCAGCACACTGCAGGAGTAAAAGGCAGTGCCCAGCCCTGTGTCTTTGAAAGACTGGCTCAAAAATAGCCCGGACATTTTCCTGTTTGGAGAACTCAGTAACAGCTGTTCATAGCCCACATTTCTTTCATACCCTCCCCAGCCACAAAGAAAATACAAATTCACACTAGCTGTAGGAATGGACGTTATTCAACATTCGTGTGCCTTCAAAAATAGCACAGGAAGAGTTATAGACACAATGGAGGGAAAAATGAGGAAAACTCAGGAGGAGTAGAGAGACTAGGGAGGAGATGCTTTTAAACAATGAGAAACTTAAAATAAGCAGGAAGGCAAAAAAGAAAGGGCAGGATTTGAAAAGTCTACCTCTGAGAAATGATAGGGTGGTGTGAAAAGGGCACTGTAGTGGGAGCTGTAAAAGTCAAGAATGTTGTTGGCTCTGCTGCTAATTAGTTGTGTTTTCTAGAGCATACCCCTTACCGTCTCCAGGCCACTACCATAGAATGGTCAGGGGGTGGAGGCAATAGAGATTAAGCGGTCTCTAAAAATTCATCCTGATTCTAAAAATGTCACATTGTATGAAAGTATAGAATGTGGTTATTAGGCAGGGGGGAGTTGGGAGAAACACTGGATATACCCTCCATGTATTTATGTATCAGTCCCCTGGAGAAGGGCATTCAGTGGTCTGAAGATGAGGAAAAAAGAAACACACCCAGCTTCATGGCCACTTCCTTCCCCTATCCTAGAATAGCTGCCTGAGAGGATGGTGAGAAAGTGGTCTTACCCACCCCAGGCTACAGCAGTAGCACCCAGAAAGACGTAAAGTCCAGTTCTCAAAGACCCACGACCACCAAATTTCCCCTGTCTTTCATGGAGTCCCCTGTAGGTTCTTGCCAAGGATCACAAATTCAAGATGGCAGAGTGCATGGGCTCCAACAGAAGCCATTTAGCATGTAGGTAAAAAGTCAGGTACTGAGCCAGACAGAACTGCATTTTCACTTTAACAGAACTGCATTTTCACTTTATTGAGGGTTTGATCTGTGACCTTTGGTATATACCTTAATCTCTCCCTGAACTTAATTTTTAAAATATTTCTCAAATGGAGACAGAAATGCAGTTATGAATTTTAAATGTAGTTGTCAAAGTGCATAGCACAGATTAAGTGCTTAATATACATATTATCTATTATTATTGTTAATGTTATATTCATGGAATGCTTTACTTAGCTTGGAGAAGTGTTTTTTGTTTGATTTTCTCAGGTCCCTTGACCTCCTGAATCACCATATCATCTTTGATGAAAAGCAAACAAAACAACCAAATCAGAAGACCTCTAGCAAGGGCTGGTCAAAGGGCTTCCAACAAGTGCTGGTGGCTGTTGATCAGACATTGACTAGAGCTCTATCAAGCATGGAAAAATCAGCCTTAAATCCCTAATGTAGACCAATTAGTGAGTAAATCTCAACATTTTAAACTGGGATTCCAATTTTATAGTTAGAGCTCCCTAGGGCAACAAACGCACATTTTTCCATCCAGTCTAGGCATATGGAGTGTTTCCCTTACCCCTCCCTTCAGAAAAAGGGGCAGGCTGAGTACAGTGGCACTTTGGGAGGCAAGGCAGGAGGACTGCTCGAGCCCAGGAGTTTGAGACCAGCCTGGGCAACATAGGGAGACCCCATCTCTACCAAATTAAATTTGGGAGGCTAAGGTGGGCGGATCATGAGGTCAAGAGATCAAGACGGCCAACACGGTGAAACCCCTTCTCTACTAAAAATACAAAAATTAGCCGGGCATGGTGGCACGCACCTATAGTCTCAGCTACTTGGAAGGCTGAGGCAGGAGAATCACTTGAATCCGGGATGTGGAGGTTACAGTGAGCTGAGATTGTGCCACTGCACTCCAGTGGGTGACAAAGCAAGACTCCATCTCAAAAAATAAAAAATAAATTTAAAATAATTGCTGGGCATAGTGGTGCATGCCTGTGGTCCCAGCTACTTGGGGAGCTAAGGCAGGAGGATCATTTGAGACTAGGAGTTTGAGGCTGCAGTGTGCCATGATCGTGCCACTGCACTCCAGCCTGAGCCACAGAGGGAGACTCAATCTCAGAAAAAGTCGGCAGGTAGTTAAGGGGGACATAGTACATCTCCATTTTGGCAATCTCATAGGAAGATAAGATGTTTTATTTGGTTCTTCTGCATTTGAACTGTGCTGAGAAATTAGTTAACAAAAAGAAACTATAGGCATACATACTTATCTGAAATGAGGAACCTAACACACAATGTCAGCCTTTTCTGCAGACACAGGGGTTAGATAATCTGAAAGGGCCCCATGGGACAAATCATCCTGAGTGAGAGGAGACTCTGAGGGACTATTTGATATTCAGGCAGACAGAGATTCAAAAATGTGTTTCATAGGGGATCTTTCTTAGCAGAAGTCGGAGAATACACAGTCATCCATTCAGAAGGATTCATGTGAGTTTCTGTATGGAAGCAAGGCTTTGATAGAATGGTATTTTAGGGGCAATTTTTACTTCTAACACACATTGATGTAGTCTTCTTACAGCAAAATAGAATCATAGGATTTTTAAGTGGCACTAAACTTATACAATCTTCCATTGAACCCCTTCATTTTATTTGTCCAGGTAACTACTTGACTGTATTTTAAAGTAAACCCTGAATGACCTAAATCTTCGTGCAATAAAATCACAATACAATACATGAGAGTTCTGTTTGTTTGTGTGTTTGTATTTGTTTTTGTGGAGCACTCAGTCAATCTGGCTAAATGCCCAAGGCCCTGGACATTGGACCATTCCATTTGAAATGGACACGGTGACAGAAATGTACCTAAGGACCTTCCAAGGACAACAGAACACACAGGAACACAAAGGTTCCAACTAAGTGGTAGAAACTGTGATAACCAACTCTGTAAATCTATGGATCAGATTTCACACCAGGAACTAGCTGGGCTCTAAAGGGGAGATTTCCAGGGCACCAGGCAAAGGTGGTTGTGGAGAGGGCTGAGGGGAAATAGGCTCAGGATGCTGACAGAACAGGGGCCACAGGATCTCCAAGACAGAATCCCAGTTCTACAAATGGTCAGGGAACAACCCTTGGCATCTTTTCATTTTCAACATAATTTCCTGAATATCCAAATGAGGAGTACTCATGACAGAGCCCTCCCTCTGCCCAGCATCAACGGCTATAACCCTGGAATTGGGTACAGCCCAAGTGTTGAGCAACCCTCACTCTCATTTCCTGAGTGGAGTCTGGTCCCCAGCCAGGCCAAGTGTGGTCCATGGAGAGTAGTTACGGCGATGCTAGTTTTTCTAGATCCTTTAGGGAACACCCACCTATTCCCAGGTGATTCCAAAGCTGATCCAGAAAAGCAACACATACAAATCCTACCAACCCTGTTTTTAGATTTCTTACTTCTACTGACGGAGCAGTTAAGACCTGCCCTGTGGTAACAATGTTATGTGGAGAAAAGTACAAGAGTATCACCAAGGTTATGATTAAATCCCAGAGCATCTCTAAACAAATGAAGCTTAAGGAAAGACAAGAACAGAATAGGGCAAAGGCAAAAGATCCCACCTAAAATTCAAAACACTATCTCTATTTCTGCACGGTCAGCATAATGGTGAAAAGGTCCCAAGCTGAGGGATGAGGATGTGATCAGAAGCAAAGTCAAGTGAGGACACTGGGATAGGAGGCACCTCATGGGCAATCACTGAGCACACACCCATATTTTCATAGTGCTGGACAGAACGAGGCAGACCCAGGCTGCTAGGTCCAGGAAAACAGAACTGACACAATTGACTACAAGTTTTTCCAAGGAAGTGTTCATTTTTAGCCAAGTTTTCTTTGTGGACTCCAGCTCTGGCTGTTTGCTTTGTATTTGCCAAGTTTATAATGTAAGTTTTATGATTTCTGTTAAGAGGAGTAAGTTTCCCTCAAGGAGAGATCTAAAGTAGGTAAGCCTGCTTACTTTTCCAAAAGAACCAGAGGAAACTTCAGGGAAATGCTAAGCTGTGGAAACAGGAGAAGAAAAGAATTTGGATGTAAGAGACAGAGAAGATGAGAAATTCTCAAAGTGATCTCACATTCATCTATGAGTTCATACTCCTATCATTCAATAGTCATCAATTCATTCATTCATGTGTTCAATAAATATTTCTTGGGCTTTTATGGTTTGCCATGTTAGGCATCAGAGAATGGGCAATACAGCTGCTCTTGAGCTTGCCACCTTGTGTAAGAGATGGATAATACACACGTAAATAAATAGGAATGTAATGTCCGGGAATGACCATTGTTCTGAATCCAACTATCACAGGAAGTGGGGTTCTTGATGGCCCAGCATGAGCTACTTCTAATAAGGTGGTCAGGGAAGGCTGTCTGGGAGGGTGGTGGAGCAGAGAGGTTAAGACCTGCCTCATGGTAACAATGTTGTGTGCAGAGAGGTCCAACAGCGTCACCAAGGTTATGATTAAATCCAAGATCACCTCTAAGCAAACGTAGGCTAGGGAAAGACAGGAACAGCAGAGGGCAATGGGAAAAGACCCTATCTAAAATTCAAAACACCATCTCTATTCTTCTGATATTCTATATGTTAACAGATAGAATATTACTCCTTTCCCAGAATACATCAGAATAGATCTGTTCTTCTCCATCCCTATGAAGTGAGGGAGGGAGTTTTGACAAGACGTGAAGGAATAGCCAGCTTTTCTGCTAAGGAGATGGGAGCATAGTTGAAGGGCCATAAGATGACCAAAGTGACTAAAGCCACATGGGCAGAGCTGAGATGGAGGCAAGAGACAGTAGTCACTTCCCGCAGAGACCGTTAGGTCAGGAGTTCAGCATATTGTTTGCCACATATAGGTCTGTAATTTGTTTATTTCTGTTGACAGAAGCTTGTGAAAATATGTATTTCTTTGCAATAAATCTGTGTATAAATGTCCTTCACGCATTTTTACTACTCATATGGTAAACAGGGCTTTTTCCATTTCTTCTCTATGTTACCTTCTCCAGGAGCTCCTGCCCCTGCAAGCTCTTCTGTAAGGCCTTCCCAGCCACTCCAGGCCAGCATGCTTGCTCCCATCTCTGATGCATCTCCCATCCTGCCCCCAATCCCTGCTCTACCTGTATCCTATGCCATATCTAGTTAGTGTGTGTGTGTGTGTGTGTGTGTGTTAAGGTCTATCTTGTCACCAAAGAAGCTCCCGGTGAAAATACGGGCTTTGGAGTCAAGAAAGATTTGCCCCACCCACTAATTCAGCCCCACCATTCACCACATAAGTGAAATTAGTTTCTCAGCCTCAATTGTAAAATGGGGATGACAACATTGGTACCTTACAGTATAGTTGTAAAGAAGATGTAGTATATGAAGACAGTGTTTGGGAACAGGAGTGAGGCCAGCAGGTCTGTGGGTTCTTGCGGAAAGCGGGACTGTGCCTGTGATTTTCAGTTCTATTTCATAGCACCTTATAACACAACGCTTCCTGTGCGTGGTCTCTGAAGGGAGCACAACACACTCCAAAAATCGCTGGATCTGGAACGATCAGAAATAGATTCCCTTCTAGGTTCTGTCTCTAACTAGTTATATGACCAAGAACCAAAGTAATTTAATTATTCCAAGCCTCAGTTTCCTCATCTATAAAATAGGCATGATTATGCCAATCTCACAGGGATGTTAGATATATAACCTGTGAGATTGTATATGGAAAGAAGAAAGCATTTTCTGTTCTAAAATTCTGATCCTGTGATTTTTCAACTCTTGTTGATCTAATATAAAATCCAATTACATGAATCCACAATTTATTTAACAAGGAATTCATAGACTCAGTGCTTCAGTACCTTTCTCTGACAACTCCTTCCTGGACTGGAAGACCAGGGAGTGGTGAAAGCCATCTTGCTGTTGCCCAGAACAGAAGTCACAAGGGGAGGGCCAGTGTTTAAGGTACATGTGACTCAACACATGGCTATCAGAAAACAATGTATTTCTTTCCAAGATGAAGGTCATTAACAACCTCTGCACTGGCAAACCTGACAAATTACTCTGTATTTATTTCAGCCTCAGATCTTCTACCTGAAACAGTTCAAGTGACATTAAAAATATCTCACTAAGTGGCAGTGTAAAATTGGGTGTAGCTAGGGAAGGTCACTGTGCCCTAACAGACTCGCTCAGCGACTTTATGCAATTCTAAATGTACTCTGGCCTTGACAGAATTTACATTTTGCTGTTACACTTCAGTGTGTTTTAGAGAGAGCCAGATGTATAACAGTTGACAGGCATGCATGTCAATACAACAGGTCCATAAAGCAGGAAGAAGATGGGCATAGGGAAAAGGTAGCTGATAAATAACAATTACCATTAGCCAGTGACTAAATACTAATACCTTCATACTATTCTTTTTCAAGACTATCACGTAACCCTCACCATGACTTTGGCAAGCATATGAAAACTGGTAATAGTTTGGGTCCTACTAAAATATTCTGTAACTCAATCTGTAGGTACCACGGGAGTAAAGAATTTTGTTTACTGATGTGTCTCAAACACTGAGAACAGTGTCTGGCACATAGTATGTACTTAACAAATATTGAAACAAAACCCAAAAAGGAATGAATAAATGAGAATCCTGTTTTGAGTTTCCCTGCTTAATTCCAGGTTCATTTTATATCACAGTTGCAAAGCAGTTTGTGTTTAGTCATCGTCATCTACACAATTAAACATGGTTCACTAGTTAGTTTATAAAGCTAATGTTTCCATTTGCTTATAGTACACAGAAGAGTGATACATTAGAATGGGCAATGCCATCTCAAGAAAGAAGAGTGAGCAGGCTGGTTAAATGATGTGACAAAGATCAGGCAGAAAAAATAGTGACAAAAGGAGCACCTGGAAGGCCCAAGGCCAGCTGCTCCCTGGCTCTCCATCACCCAAGGGCACTTATCACTCTGTGGGAGGAAATTAGGCAAAGGGAGAGAGGTCAAGACTTTCTTGCTTGTCCAAGAAATCATTCTGACATCAGGAAAGTTTGGGTTTGTGAGAAAAAGTTGGTAGCCCTTTAACTTGATCTATGTGGAACTCATGCTTTGGCCTTTTTGTTCAGAGACAGTGCCGTTGCACTGATGCAGCATCTGGAATTGGGAGTAAGAGGCCCATATGGGACCCCTTTCCATTTCTGTTTTACCATTTGCCTCTGCAATTTGAGACAGACCCTTCATTGTACCTTAAGTGTTCATTCTCATATAGCCAAAAACCATACAGGCTTACCAACAACACTGCTATCAAGGCCTAATTTCTGTCTTATACAAAACCTTGGGCTTAGGGCTTTACCTTTACCTTTGTTCACCAAGATATCTCAGTTTTTTTCTCTCCTAATGACCTTCTCCTCTGCATTTCCATGTCATTGCCTCAGCTCCACCTTTTCTTGAGTCTTCCCTAAACAAACAGAAGTACTTCCCAGCCAGTTTCAATGTCTCAAGTCCTGCATCCCTTCAATCCATTTTCCATACTTCTGTCTGTACACCAAAAATAAATTTCTAAGCCTCCTAACCAAGTGAATGAGCCCCCTCTTAGCCAAGAGCATTCCAAAGTAAACCTGAAACTCGACTTCAGGCCATGATGAGAAGGTGCGGTCAGACATGCCTCATTATACCCTCCTCTCTATGGAAATCGGGTACAACTAACCAGCCTTAACATTAAAGCAGGGATGTTAAGACTGATAAAATAGACTTTTTATAGCAATAAGACACCCAGTTCCAGCCTAGCTCTGGTATAGCCATACATGTCAGAGAGCAGGCACCAAAAGAAATTATTTTACCCCAAAATATATTTTTGACATACTTTGAAATGGCCCTGCAAAGTAGAGGAAAATCTACATTTTGTCGAGAATCCCCTTCCCTTTCCAGGTCTTTTCCCTGATCCAAGAGAGAACTGACTAAGAGTCTGGCATCTTTTAAGGTATGATAAGAGCTCTGAAGCCTGCTACCTGGAAGCTTCATCTGCACAACAAAACCTTGGTCTCCACAACCCCTTATCTTAACCCAGAAATTCCTTTCTATTGGTTCCAGGTCTTTAGATAATAACTTTTTCAACCAACTGCCAATCAGAAAATCTTTGAATCCACCTATGATCTAAAAGCCTCCAGTTTGAGTTGTCCTGCCTTTCTGGACTGAACCAACATACATCTTACATGTATTGATTGATGTCTTATATCTCCATAAAATGTATAAAACCAAGCTGTAGCCTGACCATTTGGGCCCATGTTCTCAGGATCTCCTGGGACTATGTCACAGTCCATTTCTCACTCATTTTTGGCTCAGAATAAACCTCTGTAAATATTTTACAGAGTTTGACCTGTTGCCTCGAGACTTCCACCCTACACGCGATTCCAAAAGGCAATCTTGATTGCATAGGAAAACCAGTTGCTTAGCACAGAAACACACTGACGCTTAGTGCAGTAGGCACAGGGACTGTGTACAGATCTACACATGCAGAATAAACTGGAAACCAGCCATTACCTCCCTCAAACCATTGTTAGACTCATCCAAGATTTGTGAAGTCCAGCGACAGAGCAGCTCCTTCAGTTACTGCAACTACTGTTTCATGACAGCCAGTTTTTGAAGGACTGTAGTCACTCAGGCACACAAAAAGCTCCGAACTACTGAATAACAGGATGATATAGAAGGATTCAGTCCAGAGACATGTCTGTGGAGGGGGAAGGTGGAAGATTAACTAGTCATACCTAGGAATAAACCTGCTAACTCATCTGGGTAGTGTAAATAGTAGATCTGGGTAGAATTACCAGCTGAAAATTACATTTTAAATATACTAATAGTAAAATATTTCCTTGCTGGTTACTCTCAGGCAAAATTTTATGCCTGCCTCATATAGTGTCAGGATGTCTCAAAATCTAAATTAAATTAAACAACACACTTGCTTTGACAGATCATGTGTTTATTCAGAAGTTTATTCAAGCCAGGAGCATGCACAAAATCTGACAGTATTCAAGGTTATAAATTTTTTTAAACCACTGTTTCAGTCAAATGTATCTAATTAAATGCTTTTGGAGATGATGATGTTAGTAAACCAGGTCAACTTTTTGACATTATTTACAGACATGCAGACGTTACTTGCTTAACAAATCAGCCCTTGAATCTTCTTGAGTCCCTGATTGATTACGAAGGGATTACAAAGAAAATAAAATCTTGCAGAAAAAGGGAAACCCTCCTCACCTAAGAAACTGTTAACCCTGTAGGTGATACATGGGCACCTCTGGGACAAAATCCTGAGCTACTTGTTCATTTCTTACTGAAAATTACCTTTCTGAAAGTTCCATTTCTCATTATCCTTTATGGTCAGTTCCAGTCCAACATCTTTTTCAAAGTCTGCTGAGTCCTTCAGCTCATGTTCATCTCCCTTCCCTTGGCCATTTATAGGACGAATTTTTTATTCCTCTTGATTTTGCATGTAACTTATATATTATCAAGACAGAAAATGCATCTCATAAAACTTAGGACTGTACCAACCACATAGCAACTACTACAAAAATGCTTTTGGAGCTTTGTGGCAACTTCACATTGACTAGAACTGTGATTCTTAAGGTGTGAGCTCTAGCCCACCAGCATGGGTATCAGCAACTTGTTAGAAATGCGAATTCATGGCCTCACTCAGATCTGCTGAATCAGAAACTCTGGGGTTAGAGCCAGTAATCTGTGTTTTAATGAGTCTTTCAGGTGATTCTGATGTATTTATATGCTCAAGCTGGAGAACTACTGTACTGGGAAAATTGGCATCTATTCGGAAAAACTTGACCACCTATGAGAGCCACTGAGGCTCTTATAATAGATTCAGAGTTGTTTTATTAAAAAAAACTTCCCAAGTATATTTGCAAAGAAGTGTTTCTTGCAAAAAGTAGGCACCATAAGATTAGACATCTGAGGAAAACAATAACAACAAAACAGGAAAATGTTTCTCTAACAAAGCAACACAGATGATATTTCCAGTTATCAGGAGAATTACTTAGCACTTACTGTCAGCACAACCACAGCCTCCTGAATTAATTCATATTCTGGGCTGAATGAACGTGCAAAGCTTATTCCCATGGAAACTGAGCACTATACAGATTGATAGGGTTATAGAGCATATAACTGAGCTAAAGCAATTGCCAATTTTAAAAGATTAGCATTGACAATTTAATGCAACACATTTATTTCCCAAATATCAGGAGTGTCTCATCTACATTCAAGGATAAAGGACTGTCAAAATTTGATTTAAGAAAAAATAAAAAGCCCTACTACAACACAGCTTATCATCTTTTGAGCTTGGGCCAAAATGAGGCAGAAGCTCTGTTTTCTTAATACTCCCTTAATTACAAGGAGACTGTTTTTAACATTGGTATTAAATGGGTTGCTATGGCTTCCTGCCTGAGAGTTCAGCATGCCAAGTTTCAGTCAGGAGCAAGCTATGAATGGGCTGAATAAGATCCTCACAAATAGGTTTCACAGCCCAAATTCCTACCACAGAGCATCCCATTAGGAAGATTCCTGGGAGGTAACAGGGAGCTGACAATGGTGCTGCCTCCCTTCACTTTCCAAGACATTCCTTCTATGGCTTCTCACTAATCGCCTTGTCCTATAGGATCCTTGTCCTGTGTAACAGAAAGCTGCTTCAAACAGAAGCGGATCTGCTGCCTGCTGCTTCCAAGCACAGAAACCATGTGGCAGTTTGTTTAGTCCTCCAATAGGTTTGTTTGTTCCTTGGGCAATTTCAGCGTTCTCAAATTTTATATATGACTGTGACCAGAAGGGAAGAAGGCAAACAAGAAGTTCAAAGCAGAGTTAACCATGCTTAGATACAGGCCCCTGTCTTTGGTAAACAATGCAGAAAAAACTACTGGGGATTTTATCTCTGTGTTCTCAAAGATAGAAAGAACCCCAGGTAACACAACCCGCAATGGTGAAAATGAGCAAATGCAGTCCCCAGAGCCATGCGTATGTCTAATATCTATTCAGATATCCAACAAGCCTTCTGGCTTCAAAATTCTCCACTCCTCTGATCTTGTAGCTTCTCATAGGGACCAAGCCTTTGAAATTTCATGCTAGGTTTTAGTGATTTCGGTTTTTGTGAGGAAAAAAAGATATCCATAAGGAACATATGCCCGACATTTGTGGCTGTTTTTGTAAAAGCTTAGCCTTTGAGAGCTGTGGCTACTGTGTTGAAGAGCAAGCTCTGGTCGTTTCCAGAGCTTCATCATTCAGAAGTTAGGGTCAGAGCAAACTGCTGCAAAAGGCTGGGGAGGGGACCCAGACATGTTCCTGGATTCCTTTCAGGATATTTACATTTACATGCAGTTAGGCAGGATGTGTATGAGGGAGAAATAGAGGGAGCAGAGTAAAAGTGGGAAAGAAAGAAAGGATGAAAAGGGAGGAGGAAGGGAAAGAATGAGAAAAACGGAAGGAAGGAAGGAAGGAAGGAAGGAAGGAAGGAAGGAAGGAAGGAAGGCAGGCAGGCAGGCAGGCAGGCAGGCAGGCAGCCAAGAAGAAAAGGGCGGCAGGGAGGAAGGGAGGGAGGGAGGGAAGGAGAAAAGAGGAATGGTAGGGAGACAGGGAGAAGGGAAAAATGGGAAAAAAGAAAAGATAAATATGTACAACTTTTATGCATCCATAAAAATAAAGAAAGAAAAAAAAAGAAAAGAGAGACGCGGAGGGAGAGAGGGAGAGAAAGAAGAGTAAACACAGCAAAGACATACTGTAAAAGAAGGAAGTGATTTTCACCATGTCTTTCATTCAGCTGTGCTGACCTGCAGGTGTAGAGAAGGTGAAGGAGTTTGTACTCTTTCTCCAAGAAGTGATCAACTCACACCTGGCAGTTTGACACAATTACCTCACAAGCTTTAATACTCATTATCTTGGCTTCCACAGATACAATTGTTTTATGGCTCCAAGAATAATGCACTCCTTTCGGAAATCCAGCAGTCATGCCTGGGTTGGCGACCTCCTGAATCAAGGAACTGCTAACTGGCAATACTGAGTTCTAATACAGGTGGCCAACCCAAGACAATTTACTTTGCATGGGGAGTAGGTGGCTATGTAATACTGTGAAGTTACCAGTAACATTTCAATTCTGGACTGCGGCTGCCAGATATAAATGGCTTTATCATTTTGTTTGTGATTTTGCAGATGTGGTTAAAGTCACACAAAGGCTCATACCAAAGGAATATGAGCTGTTTTTTGGTTTGAGACCCAGTACCAAATTGGTAAAATGAGCCAGCTTTCAGTAAGAAGTTTTTATTATGTGGACATGAGATAAATATTTAACTTGCAAAGCTTACTTGCACGTTAAACGTCTATCACAGAAAAGGGAAATACCCAAGTCTTTCTGTCTCAGTCATCTGTGGGTTCTAAAAATGCACAAACTAGATGGAACATCATAAACACATTTTCAAAAGGCCATGCAAAAAAACCAACACCAGGTGGACACATCTTCTTGCCACCTCATCAGCGGGCATACCACATAAACCAGACCAGACTCAATGCTGAAGAAAAGTGACATAAAAGTCTAAGTGTTCTTTTTTGTTTTTTGTTTTTTGTTTTTTTGAGATGGAGTCTAGCTCTGTCGCCCAGGTTGGAGTGCAGCAGCACAATCTTGGCTCACTGCAACCTCAGCCTCCCGGGTTCAAGTGATTCTCCTGCATCAGCCTCCCGAGTAGGTGGGATTACAGGCACCCATGACCACGCACAGCTAATTTTTGTATTTTTAGTAGAGACGGGGTTTCACCATGTAGGCCAGACTAGTCTCGAACTCCTGACCTCATGATCCGCCCACCTCGGCCTCCCAAAGTGCTGGGATTACAGGCGTGAGCCACCGCGCCTGGCCCCAGTGTTCTCATTTTGCAAATTCTTTGATTTTTCAGAAATGAATGGATCCCAACTTGTTTCTGACACAACACCATTTTTCAAATAGTTTCTCTGATTATTCACAAGGATTTAGAAGAGCAAGCACTGTAAACACTTCCAAGTCTGGGCTTGATTACCTAGAAATGTATCTAGAATGCATTCTATCATTTAATCTAAAATCTGAGTCATCTTGAGGGGAAAACACAGAATCTTATAAAAAGGATAAACTGCTTTTAAGAACGTGGATGTCTGATTTTGGATTTGCAAAGCAATGCCAATTACAAGTGATCTATTTGTTTGGAAAAACACACTGAGGATAAATTCTATTAGTAATTAATTCAACAATAATATGAATTTGAAAAGATGCATGCTCCGCTCTCTAAAAAAGAAATCAGTCAGAAAGTCTACCTCAAATCTGCCAAATCAATGAGGTTTTATCCCTCTGAAGTTCACAGAATTGTAACTTTTGACAAACTTTACCTTCTAACTTACAACTCAAGCGTGCTCATCACACCAGAGACACTGCTCCAATAACACGTGTCTTTCTGCTGCAGCATTTTGGAAAACTGAAGACTTCTGAGGGACAAAGCACATGGGAGGTCTGCTAACCAGACATGGCAATAATTAATCTCAAATACCAAAATTACAACTGTAATGACCACGTCCTAAAGAGGCAACAGTGGCCTCAGCAAAACAGCACCCCTAAATTGATTGTAAAGTTAACAGAGCAGCTTTGGGCAAAGTGGGGAGTTCAAACATTAAAGTAGGATTACAAATTAATTTTTTAAATTTATCTTGACACACTTGAAAGAAATTTAAGCAAATATCTCATTTTTAGACAGCAGTATAAACAATCTATATTGAATTTTCTTCAGGATCATCTTTATACGTAAGTTTATTGGGATAGTGATGTACTTGTGACAGATTTCTTTCCCTATAAAATATCTCTCTTCACTAATAACTGATGCCTGCAATTCCATCATAGACATTTCCATTATTCCTTACTTAAATACAACACAGGGAAGGGGTCCCTATGCTTGATTAATCCTTGTAACACCATCTCTACAGCTGTACTGGGAACACTTTGATGGCTGGAACCTTGTGTTTTCCTTCTTCGTTAGTATTCCCTGCAGGACCTCATCCTGTGCTAGGCGCTTGATACCACAGAATCATTCAGCTCCAAGGAACTGGACAGATCGCTGGGCTCCGTCCTTTGATTACAAAGACAAGAAGGTACAGCTGAAACTCAGAAGAAAACTGAGACTTCTCTGGAGTGACTCAGCCAATTAGTGACAAACCTGGGACCAGACGTGTGGAGCCCATAGACAGAAAAATTTACCCGTCAAGCATTTACTGAGCTCTGCTGTGCACTGGGCATTGTACTATAAGCTGAGGACATGGAATGATAACTACAAATACATTGTCCTGCAGAAGCTTGTGATCTAAATGAGTTGGCTAGACTCATACACCAATGATCACAGCAAATCTACCTAAGTGCCATTATAAAATTGAGTCCTTAATTAGCCCTGTTGATTCAATCTAGGGAAGCTTAGCAATTGAGACATAGAAATGATTTCTTTTGGAAGATTTCACCTAAAAAAAAGTACTGGAACTTAGATTCCACAGACAGGTCTTTAGCTGAGATTCCAGCAATTTCGAGTTAACTTTACTAATCAGAATATTTTATTTGCATTTATAGATGTGAATGAAGAGCTCATACATTTTAGTCATATACTCAAAATTAAAGTCGTGTTCATTCATTTTTCAGTCAATGTGTTAGTTAGGTGTGTATACAAAGAATGCAGACAGAAATCCTGATTTGATTCGTTCTTCTGTTCGGATCTAACTAGTTAATATTAACAAGAGCTAAGCTATTAACTTTTCTAAAGGATTAATTTGTACATTCTCTTGGATGATGGTGAATCTCATTCAAGTGAGAAACCTTACTCTATTCAATTTTTCATGAATTCTCTCAAATAATTGGTTTCAAGAAATAGCACTACACAACATCTTATCATTTTCTAGTCCTCCTGGGAATTCCTAAATCATGTGACAAGGACACTAATCACAAAATTCAACAGGGAAGTGGTAGTAACATGAAATACTCAACATGTAGTCTTTGCTTTATAGGAGCCTCCAGGCTCCGTAGATCCTTGAGTGTCCGTTCGCCTCGCTTGCTGTGATAATTTCCCGTGACTGCTACTTTGGTGATCCTTATATAAGCCCAGAAGAAAGTCTTGGGTTTCCCCAGTATCTCAAGACTCCACCTCTGTCCCTGTCTGGCTAGTTTGCTCATATCTGCATCTGGTTTATATGTGCCTCTACTCAAATCTTCTAGATTTATCTAGTTTCAGAGATAGGGAAGAAATGCCATGCTTGGCTTGTGATCTGACATGACAGTGACCCTTTGCTACCTCTTCTCCATGCAGACGTTATGGGCCATGGGTTCTTTTTTACTCTGTACCTCCACACGAATGGTGGCTGATTTCCAAGGGGCTGAAAGAGTGGAGAGAACATTGGATCAAAGGCAGCCCTCTAGTGTGTGTGGTGGTGGTGTTTGATGACTTTTCTCCTTCCTTTGGCCAAATACAATAGATAGATAGATATGGATATAGAAATATAGATATCTCACTGCTTGTCCTGAGATTCATCCCAGTCTTAAAATCTATTCAGTCTTCTACCCTCTTTCCTCTGTATGCCATATGTCTACATCATATCCTTGATATTCATAAAAGGTCAAAGCAGATAAAGACTCAGGACCCAGCCCTCCCTCATGCCGTGAGCCTCTGTGCCTTCCACCCCGGTGACTCCCACAGGGGCACACACCACAGCTATGACAGAAGCACTGCAGACTTTTCAAGAAAAACGCATTTTAAAGAATAGTAATAGTTTCAAGATTTTAATAGAAGCACAGTACTTCGGAAATGAGGCGTTCAATGAACGTGTGATGAATGAAAGAATGAATGAATGAATGAGTGGCAAGCTTCCAAGTGTGCCTGGGGAGTGAGGTGGCTCCCTGCAGAGGAGGGACTTGGATGGAAGTTGGCCCCTTTCCCTTGCTCTATGTTGCGATGGTAGGCATCTGAAACGATCCTAGGTCACATCCAGTTGGGTGAGCCTACTTCTGGCATCTGAGAGTGGACAGAAACAATTTCAGCTCTCAGGGGTGAGCCAGTTTAGGTGAGCCAGTTAGGTTAATCAAGAGTGTGTATGGTTTATCCACAGCACTTACTGGAATAGAGCTTTACTTGGTAGTAAACCCAGTCCCACCAGCAACAACCCTTGGTTTTTATCTTATTATAGTGACTGTTATTCATTTCTTCCTTTACTCAGTCATTCATGGAACACCTTGGAATGCTCCTTTCTGCTCAACTGTACTGGGGGTATAACTGTGAACGAGTCAAAGCTCCTGTTCCCATTTAAGTTCTCAAATGATCACAGTTCTTACTGTTCTGGAGTATGACTTTTAACTTTCTCAAACAATTGCTTTTGGCTCTTGCCTCATCTGATCCTTATATAAGCCCAGAAGAAAACAGAGGCTCAGAAGAGGTTAAAGATTTTGAGGGTAGCACATGGCTAATTAGTAGCAGAGCTGGGTCTTTTTTTATGACATGGAGAGCTATACATAGTTTCTATTAGCCAGTTTCATTTTCCTTTCAACAGAAGCCCTGCAGCAACACACTTATCAACATGGGCAGTGATCTTTGGTTGGACCTTCTCTGGGCAAAGGACTTTGGACACCAAATATGCTTTCTGTAACAACCACTACACCCAATTTTCCAATTTTTCATGGGGATCCGGTAACCATATAGGAAAAAGGAGGAACCATCTTCCTGCTCCTATTATACTAAGACTCATCCTACTTAATTCCTCATTTAAAACAAGAACTTTTGTTATTTCCAAACAATATTCAATTACCAAAGAGTTTCTCTGGATTAATTGCAGGACGTCACTCTCCTTTAGGATAGAGCACATTGTCCATCAGCCCCACCAAATCAGTCAAGAGTGAAGAAGGAAGATATTGCCAGGGAGGAACCAAGGCCTAGGAGCCCTAGCTGTCACTCTCCTCCTCCTCCTCTGAATAGAAACTCCCTCTGGGCACAAGAACGGGCTCTCCAAGACCTTCAGGGCTCCTGGGAAAAGTGCTTAAATCCACAATACCCTCTGTGATCTGTTTTCCATTTGCAGAGGGAAAAAAAAAGTCTAATGTTGGAGGTTTAGCTCCATGGGAAACTACAACTGCAAATTGAATTTTTGAAAATTAAATCCAATTTAAAATGCATTAAAAACTATTTAAAGCAATCTTCTGGTGAGTCCTTGGTTATATGAGGAATCTTTCTGGGAAGAAGAAAAGGCAATCCCTGGTGTATCTGTTGTATAAATCTGGGTTTACACCAATAGAATCTTCTTAAAACAAGGTTTGGGGGCCTGAACTGCAAAGGGGTGAAGGCTGACTTGGACAAACTGATTCCATTTATGTCCAGCCTTCCAGGTGACATACTATAGCTCAGTTTAGCACTTAAAAATTAACTTTAATTCTAGAATTTCTGTACCATTCAGCACATGCATTTAAGGTAGCAATGTACCAGAGCTGAGGATTAGGCCCAAATTAGAAGCAGGCTGAAAATACTATAAGAGAACCCTGATGTTTCTGCCTGATTCAAGTTACACTGACTTCCAATCATGCATTTTATCTTTTGGCATGCTTATGTAGGTGGCCAATAAATGTTACCTTTGGTGATAATAAAACAAAAGCCAAACTTTCATAAGCTAGAATATCCAAAAGACCATTGTCTGCATTCTTGGCAGCAGCCAGATAGCCAGTTTTCCCAAGTCAGCAGCCTCTGAGGAGGCTGGCGAGGGGCCAGTTCCCAGGGTTGGTGCATTCCTGGGGCCTGGCAAGAGGCCACTGGGACCCTGTTTCCTCTTTCCTTCTCTCTATGTAGTGGAAAAATGTTCCCATTTTGACCCCTCTGAGTCTTTTTTCCCCCTATCGGAGCAAAGGCAGTCAGATGGGAAATGTTCCCCAGTTCCCCCCCAAAACTCATCTCCCACTGCTCTAAGCTGGCAGAGCTTAAAGCAATTGAAGGCATAAGACAAACAAAGGAGGGTTCCTCAGGCCAGTCATCCAGCCTGATTCTATCAGGAGCATGGTGCCTGGAGCAAGGAGAACCAGCGGGACCTTGTGCACAGGGAGTCATTGTACCTGTGCTTGGAAGACTATGGGCACTTCTGGAAGCTTTTGGAATAAAATTACCTGTTATAAATAGACACTGGCTGGGTTTCAGGGTTGAGAGCAAGAGGCCAAGATTTCCAGAAAAATAGAATGCTCCATATAAGAGGGTCTGGTGTACAGCTCATTAATAGGGGACTGCTGAGCAATTGAACTAAGAAGAAAGGAATTTGAGGTTGGTCAGACATGACCTGTAGTAAACACCTGGGTAAACATTTCTGGCAGATAACATCATGGATATGCTATTCCACTTTTAAACATCATATATATATATATGTAAACCAAACATTAATAAAAATCTTTTCTGAATGCTTCCTTCCATGTACAGACAAAGAAAGCTGCCATCTGGAACGGCCACATCAGCTGGTCCACATGTTTCCAGGGTAGAGAAGTCTGCATGCCAGGCATGGTACTGCATGCCCTATTTGTGTTGTGAGTCCTTTCCCTAAATTCACTCAACAACCCTTTGAATAAGAGACGATCACCTCTACTAATAGATGAGAACACGGAGGCTCAGAGAAGGCAGGTGACATGGCCAAACTCACACAGGCAGTAGGAGGCAGGTTGGGATTCAAATCCAGTTCAGCCTCATTCTCCAGCCAACTCATGCTCTCTCCACTGCATTACAGGGCATCTATTTCCACTGTGCCCTTTAAAATTAGTGCTTTGCACACAGCAAGTTCTTAATACAGCTTTCTTCCTGAGGCTGCCACTGCTACTTCTATATTTGATAGAAATTTTGGAGTTTAGCAGATAGGAGCTGCACCGCTCTCGTCATAACAATGTATTTCCTTTGCATAGGGTGCCACAGCCTCCAAAACAATTCCTTGTTCTTTATTTCACTTAATGACAACATCCCTCATCATAGTGTCCCACCATTGAAGACACAGATATTCAGAGAGTTTAAGAAATGTGCTAAAGGCCACACATCTACCAAACATTTCAACTCCAGCTCTAGTCTAAGGACTTACGCAGTTCTAATGCAGTGATCGATCCACTAGACCACCCTCCCTGCACCTCAGCATCACACAACTTTTATCAGGACTGTTGAAGAGAACACCATGTCACTGGTTACATGGAACTTGTGTTCTGAAGGTGCCACATCAAATTGTCTGGTGAAACCAAATTGACAAGTCCAAGGGAATAGACTGGAAAACAACACACAAAAATCTATTTCAAATAAAATATTAAAAATGGGCTAGTGTTTTCTCAGCCCAGAAATGTGAGAAGAGATGGTGGCAGAGTATATTATTTTATAGAGTCAATGTGCTGGATACACTCGTTTGGCCTCTCCAAATCTACCCTTCACCCTTCCCTGCCCTGGTCTGGGCCCAGAGCACTCTATGGGCCCCATTCCCTCTGGCTTCCAATTGGGTTCAGCCAGTGGAGGCACCAACAGGGGACAAGACAGTGTGAGGAGAATGAAGTGGGAGTGTTCACGTCCCGATCCCCTTGCTGCAGGGCCAGCACGGTTGGCCATATCCCTCCACCTAAGTGGCATTTCCCGCCAAATGGTTCACTCCTTATAGCCACATGGTTCTATAGCCACTTTCTAGGCCTAGTGGCAATGACTCCCCACTGTTTCTAGCTGCAGGAGGCTCCATTATTATCTTGTTGCACTTTCTATATCCTGCCACCCCTTTTAAAGAGGCCCTTTATTAAACTCTCCTCCAGTACCTGGCATGAGTGTGCAATGTGTCTCCTTCCCAGACTTTGATGCAGTAAACAATAAAACAATATTACTGATTTTGTCTTTGTAGACAAATGATGGGAAGTTACTCAAATCCTCTAAGAGGATGAGAAAGGCTAACTACTTTAGACCAGGCTCTCTCTTTCAGTCACTTCCTTCTCACCACACCTCACCAAACAGAAATTAGGTCAGATATCCTGCCTCAGGGACCTACCAAACTGGGCCCAGGAGATCTCCACATAGCTACCTACCACACCCACAGTCTAGCCCGGAGTCTACTCCGGGAGGAAGGCAGGACACCACTGGCCTCATCCCAGTCTGTCTAGTTGGTGCCTTCACAGATTTCACTCTCAGCGTTCACCAACCCAAGCTGGATCACTGCCAGCCTCATGGCCACTCCATCTCCAAAAACGGCAGGCCTCTGCAAACAGCTCCTCCTCACAGAAAGGGCAACAGCCCTTGAGCCTACTTATCTGCCGGCTCTGACAGATGGACCCCAGAATTCACCAAACCAAATGATTTTATTTCCCTCTACACATCTATGTGCATGAGAGCAGTCAACGAATTAATTGCATTAGGAAACCTACCAAGCTGAAAACAACTGCTTAAAACCAAGAACCAAAAAGGTGCGGAAAGACAGAAGGCAAGCAAACCTCAGGGGCATATTCGGAAATGGACAATTATGATCCATTAAGCCTGGTTAAGAAACTGAAATTTATGAGGAAGAAACATCTGGAACTGCCTGGCATGTAAAGAAACCAGGAGGAACCACTTTTTGGGCTTAGAGGGAGCAGGCCAGACAAATAGGATTCCATGTTAGGAGAGAATTGCAAAATTAGTGTATAAAAGGACAGAATGGAGGCAGTGCCTCTGGTGTTAACTGAAGCGTTTGAATATGATGGCTCCTGGATTTCCTTTTGAAATATTAATTGAAATTGGGCTGGAGATGAGGGCTGCATGAAAACTGGCAGAAAGATCATAAATACTGGTTAAAGTGAGCCAGAGGAATGGAACATGGCAATGCAACACGAAGTAATGAGAAATACTGCTCCATTCATGGCCATGAACCCTATGGATGTCTAATAAATATTAATTGATAAAAATGAACTATACTGCTGAGTGGTAAATTAGTGTAAGATACCTAGGCTGCTGAAATACAGCTAATATATATACAGTTTGTACAGCATACACCGATCAATGAATGAGAAGAAAAGATATGAAAATGATTTAGCTATGTGATGCATTTTGCCTTGCACCAGGAATTAGGGGTAAGAGAATGTTAATAGAGGAGTCAGGAGGGGTGGTCAGAGGGGGCAAGAGGAAAGTTAGGACAATAATTCAAGATTATAGTAGACCTTGCTTAGGGTCTTGGCAATTTCTCATGTATAAGCCAGGCACCCTGGAGTCACACCCCATTCTTTTAGACACTGTGGCTTTCTCAATAAATTTCTGCTTCAGGGAACTCAAGGACACCATAGATTAAATTTGGACCAATTTATTGGAGGAAGATATGACAGCCCTCCTCCTTGGGGAAGCCCTCGCTGATCAATGTAGCCAGAAGAACAACTTCCTCTTTGTAACCCCATCAGCCTTGTTGTTTGCACCACTGTATACCTCCTGGTATTCTGAATAGTGTATATGTGACAAGATTTTTTTTAAAGCTTTGCAAAGCAGAAATCATAGTTTACATTTCTTAGCACTCATTTCACTGTGTTTCAGACCAAGTAGGTACTCCATTCCTGTGCTGATCAATGAGAAACTCGAAAAAGAAGAGCAGGCTCTTATCAGAGAGAACACCCAGATGCCTGTTAGGTTTGGGACCAGCTTCTAAGGGGATCGATGAAAGCTCTACCTCCTGTTATGGACAAAGCACTAGAGAGTCTGCCATGGGAACGATCCTAGGCTGCCAGAGAATGATGCGGAAAACTCAGTTGCCATGGAAACTTGTATGATCTGATGATTCCCATTGTTGAAAGATGGTGAGACAACAGGAGAATGACAAACAGATCTTGGAGCCCTAAGAACACATGGAACATGCCAAGCAAACATCTCTACTCATTTGTACTTATTTCTGCTATAGAAGCAGTCTCATTTCATCATCTGTCAATAACATAGCATTTATAAAAGGCTTTCAAAATGTGTCCAGTTCCTGTTTTTATGTAGTGATCTCAGCGACAACAAGGATGCACAGAACTACCTCTGATGCTGGCAGACAACACTTATCACAGCAGCTGAATACAGCTGAATGAAACAGGTGTCACCCGAGCTCCTGCTCCATGACTCCAGCAAGGGAAGCCATCCATGGGCAGATGCTATGGTCAGCACTAATGGCACGTGAAGCTACCTAACAATTTTTGCATCACAGATTCCTGTGAGAATCTAATTATACCTACAGACTCACTCCCCAGAAAAATGTACAAATGCATATAACATAAAATATATCAAAGAATTCAAAGCCCTGGAAGTCTTTTCATAAATCTCCCCTATCAAGCACCTTGGGACTCAAGAGAATCCAGGACACCATATTAATAATCTCTGATGTAAAACAAACAAACAAAAAACTTTACACACACACACTAGAATCATCCTTGGGCAAACCTGAAGAGCAGCATGCCATTTCCTCTCTCCAACCTTCCCAAACAGCACCCTGGGCCTGCTGCATGTGGGCCCCCTTTATCCCATATTCAGCACCCCCATGACTGTGTATTTGGTTCATAAGCAGCTGCTCACTGCTAAGTTCACTCACTCATTCATTCATTTTACTGAGCTTTTTCTATGTGTCAGACTTTAGGAATACAATGTGAATATGACATGGCCCATGCCCTCAGGAAACCTACAGTCAGGGGTGATTTTTCTTCTCAGGGAACATAATGGCCATGTCTGGAGACAGTTTTCATTGTCACAATGAGGGAGGGGTGCTCCTGGCATCCAATGGGTAGAAGCCAGGTATCCCAATAAACGTCCTACAATACACAGGACAGCGCCCATGACAAAGAATGATCAGGTCCAAACTGTCGATAGTGTCGAGGCTGGGAAACCCTGTTCTAGAGCACACTGGCCTGTGGGAATGTGAAAAGGCCAGAAGTAGGTATTATGCCAGCTCAGGAAGGGGCGTGTTCATAAGAACTCCGGAACATGTGGCTTCGATGACAGCCTGCCTTCTTTTCAGAGATGAAAGGAAGGAGAGAAGGAAGCAAAGGAGCCATTCAGAGTGAGTAACAACCACAATGAAGGTGGATCCTCCTTCAGGCAGTGTCAGAGGAGGCAGGACCAATTGCAAGTGCTGGGCAGACAAATGGCATTTCTTCCAGAATCTCCTCAGGGGAAATGCTGCTGACCCTCTACTCACCTCCATCAGTCAGTGGCCCAGCAGAGGGAATGTGCAGCCATTTGATAGGACCATCACTCAAGTCATAAACCCCACTGCATGCTGGGGGACGGCTAGATGCTGGAGGTGCCCCATCGCTCACCAGGTTCTCCCTACTCTTCTCCCATTCTAGTCAATAACTCCACCTTGTACATGAACACGCCATAATCAGTTCTCATATGAATAAAAACACAAAATTGTATATATATGGGTATGTGTGTACACACACACATGCACGTACACACACACACTATTA
Organism: Homo sapiens; assembly: GCF_000001405.40. Classification (NCBI taxonomy): domain Eukaryota; kingdom Metazoa; phylum Chordata; class Mammalia; order Primates; family Hominidae; genus Homo; species Homo sapiens. The sequence goes on from NC_000002.12 coordinate 133,510,424, forward strand.
TAAATCGCAATCTCTTCTAAAGTTGGTTCCAAGGTCTGGTTCATCAGAAAATCACAAGATCAGAAAATAGACCTAGACCTACATTCTACATTCCTTATAAGTCTCCCCTTCCCACCTCCATTCCTTTGTCAATTGTTTTGCTGAAACCAAGTCTGGCTTCCCTCTGATCTAGACTGTTCTAAACTGCAGGCTCCTCAGTGGGCACAGATACAGCAGACGTGCTAATGCACATGGTCTAGTCCTGTTGAGGTAGCTGATGCTCTTTCACATTGTGAAGCACCGTGAAGGAGCTCCCAGTCACTGGCATAAAGCAATTTTCTGCTTCAGAGCTGTTAGCTGTGCAGATGCATTGTAGTCTGGGGATAGCCCCAGACCTAAAGTGAAATCCCAACTCTACCTCTTACCAGTTCCATTGCCTTGAGGAAGTTGATGAACTTGTTAAGCTTCAGATTTCTCATTTGTAAAATAGGGGTAATTAGAGTTCCTACCTTAAAGGGTTGTTGTTAAATATTAAATGGTAGTTTCCATATAAAGTATTGAGCAGCATGCCTAGCCTATATTAAGCCTCCATAAATTTCAGCTACTATTACTAAGGGAAGGAAGCCATCCTGGTTGAGACTTAATGCATGATTCACTAAGTGAACATGCTGAGCTGTCTGCTAAAGTGGCTTTGATGTTCGATTCTGCCATCCTCATTGCTGACATGCTCTATGTCCACTGCTTGGACCTAGTCTACTTCCGTCCTCCATTCAGACTGTCCCCAGCACCAGTGTTGCTGCAGATCTCCAATGGCCCTCCAAGACTTTTCGTGTTAGGATCTGATCTCTTCCCACTCTTTTGGGGCTCCCTCAAGACTTGCAGCAAGTAGCACCTGTGGGTGGTGCCCTCCTGGCCCAGCCTCCCCTGCCTCCTCCTAGCTCATCTGCTCCCAGCTCCATCCATGGGACCCGGAGATCTGCACTGTTGGAGAACAGGTGGGCAGGGCACCTCTCCTGCATTTCTGTACCTGCAGTGATGGGCTGAGCTCGGCTGGTGGACAGATTCACTGGGTAGATACTTGTCTAAGGGTCTGACACGTCTCTAACTCCACCTCCACCCACTCTCAAGAGGGCACAGTCAATATTTCAGCGTGACATTTTGGAAAGGTTGCTAAACCAGGCCAAAGCTAGTCTATTCCCCACCAGTTACTTTTCTCCTAAAAATGGCCTTCACTAGATCCTCAGATGTCACGCCATCTTCTGATACCTGGCTCAGGCCATGGTCTCTATTCTAAGTACATGTAAGAGACACAGAAATAATAGACAAGTTAGGGGAAATGAGGCAGTTGGAGGAAAAGAAAAACTCCCTCTTGTTCTTTGGCCCTCCCTGACTTGATGCTCATTTGGGAAATCTCAAAACCATCTTGATATCAGAGAACAAAGATCAGGCTTCCCAGAGGACAACTTGGCAGGTTCCCAGTGGCCAGGGGCACAGGGCAAACGGTACTTTATGTACTCTTCCATCAGTAGACATGGTCAAAGGGACTGAGATTAGACTAGCTGGAAACCTTCTATAGGAAGCTGGTGTTTTGGGCTCTGTGCAGTATCCCTATGGTAAGAGGAGGTCTAACAAGAGAACCATGAGAGTCAAGAAAGATCCAGTCATATCTGAAGCAGTACAGAATAAAGACTTTTGTTTTCTTAGTATTCATAACCCACTAGCTGTAGGCTGTACTGAGCAACACCAGCAATACCTCTATTTTGCATTTAGAAAAAGTATCCGCAAGGCTGAACATACTCTATGTCAATATTTTCTAAATATTTAGAAAAATGCCTTCTAAATATTTTTCTACTATTCTTCCTACTGGGGTATATGTACCTTTGATAACAGCCTAAACCTGTTCCTCTGCCTGCCCGCATATCACATATACTGAGGGTAAATACAAATCACTACTTAGAAAATCAGCACCCAGGAAACGTAAAACAGGACTTTCAAAATTCCCATTGCTCTAATGCATGCGGATAGCCATTACAATCCAGCCTAGTGCCTGTCTTTGTAATTAAAGTGTTTTTGTAAATAAAATAGCTACATTTGATCATGTGTCTTCAGAGGCAGCTCTCTTCCTACAACAAAGGTGAGCAGTTGTAACTACTCACGTGGCCTGCAGAGCCTGAAATATTTACTATCTGGAACTTTATAGAAAGAGTTTGCTGATTCCTGCTTCAGAATTACATCTAGTCACTAAATAGAGGGGAAATAACTGAAGATAAACAGCAGAGATTTAAATTCAATATGAGGAAGAAGTTTCCCTGGGAGAAAAAATTCAGTAATGACATGAATTGGCACCAAAGGATGCAGGACCAATATCCTTGGGTTGCCTCTTTTTTCTCTACTCTCAGTCTGCAGTTACCAAATTCCCTCTGACGCTTCAAACTACAGCTCCCCCATGGCCCCTCCATGTAGTTGCACAGCTCCAACTACCGCTTCCCCATGGCCCCTCCTCACATCTTCCCAGAGTGACCTCAGCATCTACTACTGTCAGTGCCACACAGTTCATTTCCATGTGATGATATTTTTCCTGCTTATTAGGACAGCTTCCCTAGATAAACTAGAAGCACTTGAGGAAGCCTATCCCCCTGTATCAGCCAGGGAGACCTTCCAGGAAAGAGATGGCACACTCAAAGCATCTAACTGAGGAGAGTTTGGTAAAGGGACTGTTTACTGAATTGTGGACAGAGCTAAGTCAAACCAACAAAAGATGGGCTAACAACAACCAAGAACCATTACTATGAAGAATCGTTAAGGTATGGGAAAAGAAAAGGTGCCAGAACATAGATAGAGCAGTGGTTCTAACTATAGCTGGAGTTCTGGGGAGAGGGTTGTCCAACAAAAGCTGCAACTTTAGGCAAAGGTGCCCAGTTCCTGTGGTCCATGACCAAGCAGGGTGAGAGTGGGAGAACAAACACCTCGACCTCTGATCTCCTGCTAGGAGACAAGTAGGACCTCTTTCTCCCATTGGCTAAACCCAACCAGATGCCAAAAGGCAAGTCCATGTGGTGCATCCTCCAGGGATGATTGGCCAGGTAGAGAAGGAAAAAGAGTGGATCTGGAGGGAAAATGGAAACCATCCAGCACATCCCCATAGCTGGTTTTCAATAGTGCTTGTTGACTGATTGTGTTATGAATGTTGTGGAAGTCTTGATTACTATAACGATTTGGATACAAACAGTCAAGAGGCTGAAGGTTGAATTCAGGGATGTGTGCACGTCCTTTTTTTCCTCTACAAGCTTATAAAACTATACTGCTGTCGGAACTGAGGATTTAGTGTGGCAGTGTGGCAAACGTTTTTTCTTCCTTTTGTGGGGGAGAAGAAAAGAGGGTACCAGGAAGAAATTCATACTGTTACTCTCATCTGTGCTTAAAAGCTAAATGTATTTCCCAAAAATTAAAAAGAGAATGTTTGTTACTTAAATGTGAGCTGGTAAGAAAGATAACTCATGCTCCAGCATGCTCATCAGCTAAATACTACCACAGCTACAAGTGTCAAACAGCTACATGGGCAGCCCGGGAATGAGTCTTGCAAATAAAAGAGCACAGTGTGAAATGATGACTTTTTCTGATCAAAAAGCACCCTGGGAAGGGCTGAACAGTTTTGGGTCAAGAAGAGGACTCGATTTCTGGGGTGATTTTTATCGTTATCAGAGAGTAGACTGTACTTGCCGTGAACGTATATACGGCTACTCCGCACACTCCTACTGGTGGAGGCAAACTTGTAGTCACTTGTCTTTCTCTCTGGGCCTTTAACCCCCACAATGAAACATATTTTTCATTTCAGTTTCACTTACGTATCACTTTCTCCTTTAAAAGGGTGAATAATAAAGTAAAAAAATCACCATCAATGAATATTTCAGTGTGTTACCAGGGCACACACACATGGACATGTATATGTGTGCACACACATACACTCAAACCCTCCCCCATGCCACGTGACTAAGGACCACAAACTTGTTTTCCCCAATTGGAGCTTTTTTCAGTTTTTGGACTGTGAGTTTCTTTATTCTGTGATTCCTCCAGTCTAAAAATGTAAAAGCCATTGTAAGGGAGCTATAATTTCTACTCAACACTTCAATGATTTGATTATATAAAATAAAAAGTGTAATGAAGTTAATAGCACCTTATTCTTGCAATACATTATGAGAATATTTTCCTGTAAAATCTGAAAGTGGAAATTACCTCTGGGCCCCCTAACTCTCAAAAATATGTGTCATGACGATTATTGCAATGGAATTTTAAGACTTAAGAACGTAATATGTTTCTCTTTCCTCTATTCAGTTTCCCACAAGGACATCTTCTGTTCCTGGGATAGTATATAATGAAAGATAAAGAACTTAAGTGACAGGTTGTTCTACTTTTGGTGTAATCCTAGCGTGTGAGCTCAGGAAGAGCAGATAACCTCTCTGGGCCTTAAGCAGTCTGCAAAGTGAGGAGACGAGATAACCGATTTTCACTTTAGCATTCTAGATTCAAAAAATAAAATAAAAAGCATGCATTGGGAATGAAAACTGTACTGTAATGCCAGGTTTGTTGTTCTTGTTGTTTTCTTGTATTTCACAGCAGCCCTTATCTAGAATCTTCCCTACCTGCTTCTTGCCTAGTAATTTGTGTGGCTTCAGCATAAAGCTGAAGAAGAGGGCAACATCTTGAGTTCAGATCCCTCACAGGCCAGGCATCTTTGATCTCATCCCTGGTCTAGCTTTCTTTCTGATACTTGGAATTCATTCAAGGTGCTTTCAATGGTTCCCATTCCCAAAGAATCAACTCAAAAAGAATACTCTAGCTGCTATTCTCCCAGAAGTAGCATCTTATTTGAAGAAGAGAACATAATACTATAACCGGGGGCAAAATTGTAGTAACTTGGCCTAAGTGCTATAATGTTGAAAAGCATTTAAGCACCCCCCTACACACTGTGATAGGAAAGGACATCCTTTTTCAGAATTTTCCCAATCTGGGCATGCAGATGTAACACAGTCTGCCTCTAGGAAACAAGGAAAAGATTTCACTAGTGTAAAAGCTCTCCTAAGCATGACACAGGGAGACTTAACAGGATTAAGTCTCTCAGGTGGTGCCAAACAAGTTCTCATTTTCACAGCGTTCTTCTATGCCAGCAAGTCAAGAAACATATTTGCAGCCCTCAACAAGTTTCAGGGTACAGCCATATGCCAGAAAGAATGCAAGCTCAATTTAGGGTTTTCAGCTAGACTGGTAATGTGACAGGATTTTACTTATGCCCATTTTCAAGCTATCTTTAGGCAAAATTTAAATATGAGCATTGACACTGTTTCCCTTTTTCCGATCTGCAAGTACCTACGATCCCCATTGGGGGTTACTCACGTCCCCCTGCCCTGTCTTGTCCTGCCCTATCCCTGCCTTCGCAGCTATCTGGGCTCTGCCTTCTTCTATTTTACCAATTCCCACAACAAAATTCTGCTCATCGGTTTGACATTTGGCAGTGATCCAAGGCCATTTATTAATGAGTGCTACTATGAATTATTGAAAGACAATAGCTTATTATGTTTAACTTTATAGGGTATTTGCATAAAACTTGAGATCTGAGGCAGAAATCTATGGCTTTGGGGACCAACCAATACCGATGATATTTCTGGGTTAAGAGAATCTTTCTTGAGCTGCTCACATCATACCCTACGGCTGTCTCTGTCCTTAGCCTAGGCCTAAGACAGACCCTATTGGCATGCTGATATGTAAAAAGTGTTTTTCTTCTGCAAAGGAGAGGCTGAGAAATTATCTCTTTATCCCAGGTTTCCCCAGAAGTTGAAAAGGGAATACACATACATATACACACAGAGACACACACACAGACACCCAGACACACTCACACACCAATGTCACCACGTTCAACCTGGAGTTAGCAAGACGTAGGAGGTGAGATGGGGTCAGATCTACGGAGAGGAGAACCTGAAATACACCAAAGTTGGCCTCTAAAGGTATGCTGGTCAATGCACAGACCAAATAGACACAGACATTGATTCTGACTAAGGAGAGAAGAACTTGACATAAATGCTTAACACAATCCTCTTCTCAAGTCCCAGAAACTCACATCTATGAATAATTTGTGAGGCAGAGCCTCAGCCGCTAAGAGGTAAATAACTAATCTGTCCGTGACAGAGCAAGACCTACAGCTGCAAAGTTTGAAAGGTATAACGGATAAATCAAACCAACAAATAGTTCATTGAACCCCCACTCTGCTAGACTCCAGGACAGGTGCTGAGCATATACAAGTGAATAAAGCACATCCCTATAAAATGTGCACAAGGAACCAAGCTAAATCTCTATTTCAGAAAGTTTGCTTTCTATTTCAAGTTTGCTTGATTTGATTCCTTGCTCTGTTCACACGCATTGCGTAACAGAAAAGGTGACCCACACATGTTGGCCCAGAGACTGCAGAAGAATAGCCAACCATCAGACTTAGTCTAAAGTGAATTAGTCTGTTTCACTGGACTAAGCAGATTTTCACACCGGATAGCAAACCCAACCAGGTTGTTAAGAATAATATTCATCAGCATTAAAACTCTCAGAAAGTTAGTTTACAGACAACTGAACTAATGCACATACCTAAGAAGGTCTCCAAGACTTCCTCTGCTCTTCAATATTTGAACCTGTATTGAATTCTTGTTCAACTTACCCCCAAGGTTAAGATAAATGGGGGATGGAACAACTATACGTAGGCTTAGCATTTGGCATCAGCTATACAGTAGTGTTTTTGTATAGGCTGAAGTCTACATCAGTTGTAATTAATGTAATTATATATAATGTTGACAGATTATGACATTTGCCTATTAAGACACTATACAAACATTCCAATAATTTGCTGGCTTTTGAGTTTGTAAAAAATAAATGAAACAAAATCTCAAGGGATGTTGCTAATGGTGTAACTGGAAGAGAGGTTTCAAAAGCACAGCGTTCAGGAAATAACAGTCAAAGAATAATGCATTCAAAGCCAAAACATATAGAGTGGTAAATGAATATTTAGTACTTACCACAAGACTGCTGTCTAGAGACAGCCTTTTTCCAAAGTCCCTTTTCTCAAGCTGTCTCTTTCCCTCCATGGATGAAGTTATTTATTTTCTTTTGTGACTTATAAGAATCCCCCGTCTGTTTCCAGGGTCACTGAAAAGAGTGAACATGTGTTTTACTATCCAAGTACACAGTGTTTAGACCTTTGTTTTTAACTCTCTAACCAGAAACAAGCATTGAAGTCAAAAAATACCCAGTCCCAAATAATAAGTATAGAACTAGGCTCTCTCTACTCAAAAGACCACTCCGTGTTACAAATGTCAGAGTTGTCTTTATGGCGGCCCCTGTGTTTTTATAGGTTTTGCTAATGGAGTTGGGGAATGGGTTTGCAGGTTGAATCAGCAGACTGTAGAAAAAAGCAAACAGTCCGTTTCATGCCACACTTGCTCCACACCCGTCCTCTCTCTATCAGCCAGAATAATTCTGTTACTGTGCACATAGATGCTGTCTGCAAATTCCATGAGATCAAACCGACAAAACCACGCTCTATAACCAAGAGTTATTGAGCTCAAGGCCCAATGAAGGGAAACTGAAACATGAACATTGTTTAATTTAAAAAATATGTAATTTAAAAATATTTGAGGAACATTGTAAGATACATTCCTTTGGGGATAGATTGATTCAAAATGAATGGTGGGTGATGTCATTACTGTCAATGAGTATTTATAGAACCCACTGTATTTTTACCATATTAGATATAGTTCATCCCTGAACTCCACTGAGATTGCTTTTTCTAGAATGATTAAGTATTCTGGTTAATAAGGATTCATCATATATGTTAAGTGCCAGCTTCCAATTTTCACAAAGATGTAAAAGGCTTGAAATAAAAGAAATGGGTTACAGTAAAGGATTTTTTTTTTTTTTTTTTTTTTTTTTTTGGGATGGAATCTCGCTCTGTCACCCAGGCTGGAGTACAGTGGCACGATCTCAGCTCACTGCAAGCTCCGCCTCCCTGGTTCACGCCATTCTCCTGCCTCAGCCTCCCGAGTAGCTGGGACTACAGGCGCCTGCCACCATGCCAGGCTGATTTTTTGTATTTTTAGTAGAGACAGGGTTTCACCGTGTTAGCCAGGATGGTCTCGATCTCCTGAGCTCATGATCTGCCTGCCTCGGCCTCCCAAAGTACTGGGATTACAGGCATGAGCCACCGCGCCTGGCCCAGTCCAGGATTTCTTATCCACTAGCCAAGTGACCTTGGACAAGTCATTTAACCTCTCAGAAACTCATTTTTCTCAACTACAAAACATGATGATAGCAATCAAATGATGTATGGGAATATGATTTGGATGCCATAAATTACAACTCATATGTAAGTTATAATTACCCACAGATTACATTTAAAAACAGTTAACCTGAAATATGAGTCAATATAATTCAATATATCCTTGATGATTCAGAAGGTGCTTTGAGATATAGAAATTGCTCATAATCCTTGTAAATAAACATAGACATTGTACTGCTGATGCAGAAGAGATGAAATACAATGCTATACCAATTAACTTTTTAATATAATTGGAAAGAAATATGTTCCACAACTCTCAATTGCTCCAAGCCTGACATGGATCAAACAGGCAGGATTTCATGGCCCACAGGATGTGGGCTGTCTCTCTTGGTTTTCCTCATCAAGAGGGTTGAGACAGTGGTGCCTGAGATGGGGAATGCCCAAACTATAGTCAATCATGAGAAACTGATGGGCTCATATTCCAGCTTAGGCTTCCTCCTCCATCTTAGTCATTTTATCTCTTACTTTCAAGAACACTAATTTTTAATACATCACTGGTCCACTCAGAAACTCTTAAGAGTTCAATCAGAATTTAGGATAAAATCCAAAGTTTTCAATATCATTTTCTAAAATTCTAGGCAGTATTTTTCAGAAAAGAAGTTAGTTCTGTATACTGCTATAGGCATGACCACTAGTCAACTGAAATTTGTTTGGGAGGCTGCCTTTTCTACTTTCAGCTGTTCCTGCCTACTTTGTAGCATTCTCCCTCTCCCCCAGTCTCAGTGACTGTAAACACTGGTAGTTCAGAACACCCTCTGCAGTGATGAACCAGCTAGAGACTACTCTGACCCTCATATTTCCCTCTCCACCAAAAACACACCCTCCTAAGTCTTGATCCCAAAGAGCATGGGAGTTTGATAGCTCATAATAGATTGTGCTTTGGCCTTTAGCACATATGCATTGAGTGCCTACTGTACAGAAGACAGTAGGAATACCCTAGGAATACTGTATGGAAAACAATCCTTACATGTTAGTGACACAGTCATGTACAAGAAAAACAAAGTCCCCGCCTTTGTGGAACTCATATTTTAGTGAGGCATATAGAAAACAAGCAAACAAACAGCTCTAAACTGTGGTAGGTACAGTATGAAGGAAATAACCTCCAGCAGGTGGTGCCAAAGTGCCAAGCGGCCGGGCACGGTGGCTCACACCTGTCATCCCAGCACTTTGGGAGACTGAGGCAGGCGGATCACGAAGTCAAAAGATCGAGACCATCCTGGCCAACATGGTGAAACCCCATCTCTACTAAAAATAAAAAAAAAAAATTAGCTGGGCATGGTGGTGAGCACCTGTAGTCCCAGCTACTCAGGAGGCTGAGGCAGGAGAATTGCTTGAACCTAGGAGGCGGAGGTTGCGGTGAGCCAAGATCGCGCCACTGCACTCCAGCCTGGCTGGCTACAGAGCGAGACTCCATCTCAAAATATAAAAATAAAAATAAAAAGAGAGAGAGGACCCATTTCTTAGGAAGAAAATAGCCAGGAAGAGAATGCGTGAAAAAAGTCCTGAGTTACAGGCAAAAACTACAGAGGCTTGTAAGCTAATGTATCTCTCTCAGCTCTTATGCTAAACACAAAGGTTAATCTTAGGTTTTAAATTCCCTACCTTACTCCCTACTAGCAGGTAACATTCAACAAATTATTTAACCTATTTAAGCTTCCACTGCTTACTCTATATGACAGCATTGATAATAGGACCTTCTTCATAGTAGGGTTTTCTGATGATTAATGAGACAAGCCATTGAAATAGTTAGGCTGGGGACAGATACAGGTAGGTAAGACTTAAATATTAGATATATTGATCATCCCTTCTGGCAAATATGATTAAACTCATTAAAAGCAACTCTAGCTACTGAACTTTATGCTCCTTCACAGGCAGATGAGGCTGTCATTTTGGGAAATGGGGATCCTTTTGATAGTTCTCAAATAGTCCAATCTGCCTATGTGGAAAGCTGATTTAACAGCTTTCCAAATGGATTTGGTCCATTTCTTTTCATATTAATGGTACCAATAATATAGGCAGATATAATATTCAAATGATTTAGCAACAATATGGCATAAGGGTTGGCCAATCATAAACGTACAGTCCAATCAGGGCTGACAATGGCAACAAGCGGTACAGTTAGAGCAGTGTATCCTAGCCAATTCCCAGCCTAACTACATGTACTGGCCCCACTCCAAGAAGGTGAAAATTTGTGAGTTAGACCATAAAACAATCATGGAAAGGTTCAGAGTAAATTTATCCAAGTGGATCAAAGGAAGACTATCTAAAAGAAACAAAATGGCAACCAGGATGCAGCAATATGAAAAGGAACCTGATTAACAATGAAAATATCAGAAAGGCTGAAACATTCCATTGATCGCACTATTGGGAAAAGACTACATACATACAGCAGAGACTGCAGATCCAGGGGGGAAATGAGTATATCATATCCTAAAGATGCCTGGGATTACCTGGGCCATTTGTACCATCCATCTAACTCAACTAATTCAGAGACTAGTGTCATCAAGTAACCTTCCAATTTTATTTAATTCCTATGCAGTATCACTTATAGAAGAAGAATGTGCTGACCAGCAAATATCAGTAGACAATCTTTTGAAAAACTACATTTCTAGTGCAAACTAAAAATGACAGTTTGACATCTTACTCTTTATATTTATTATTTACCTATTTGGTTAGCATATTAGTCAGCTTGAGCTGTCATAACAGAATAACACAGACTGAGCGGATTACACAACAGACGTTTATTTTCTCATAGTTCTGGAGGCTACAAGTCCAAGATCAAGTGCTAGCAGAGTTAGTTTCTGGTGAGGCCTCTCTCCTTGTCTTGCAGATGGACATCTTCTCACTGTGTCCTCACATGGCCTTTGCTTTGTGTGTGCACATCCCCATGTCTCTTCCTCTAAGGACACCAGTTGTAGCACGTTAGAGCCCCACACTTATGACCTAATTTAACCTTAATTACCTCCTTAAATGCCCTATCTCCAAATACAGTCACATTGGGAGTTAGGGGTTCAACATATGAAATTTGCAGGAGACATGGTTCAGTCCATAACAGTTATTTTCAGTCAGGTTTCAAATCACATCTGAGTGTTCTATTAATCAAATTCCTAAGTCTAAAAAACTAAGGGAAACCTCCGAGTAGTGGGGCTTATGGTGGCTACCTCCAGACTCCACACCTCTCTGCTTGTTATGTGACTGTTGGATCTTACTGCCCCCTTTCCACCTCACCTTGCCCTGCTGTACTCTTCTCTGTATTGTGCATGTACAGATGCAAACATGATCAAGACTTCTTGGTCAGTGTGTTAATGTTGAATTCTGCTAATGGGAGGCAGTGAGAGGAGATTAGAAGGCAATGGGAAAGAAGAAGCCATTCTGCTTCCAGCTCTAGCAGAACAGCATCAACAGCAGGTGACTGCAGGCTCCAGCAACTTCTGTGATTCCTCCAATAGATCAGCTAAGAAAGGGCACCAGCAATGCCCCAGTCTGTGGGTACCGCCACCTTATCCCTCTGGCTCCTCCAGCCCTTTCAACACCATCATAAAAATTCCTTGCATTAAATCCCTCTTTGCTTGAAACATCTACAGTAATTTCCTTTTTCTAGGCTTGACAATGTTTGATGTGCACCCCATGGAGATGCCTTTGGAAAGGCAGCAAGCCTTCCTTGGGAAATACCTGGATTTGTTATTGTCAGTCTTCTGAAATAATAGTCTGGAATTATTTTCTAATAAATACTAAGCCTCTAGAGGACAGAGAGAGCATTTTATGTTCTGTGTTCCCCTAGGTAGTATAACACCTAATGCATAGCACATGAAGAACATTTGTTGCTTGCATAAATAAATGAATGAATGTTCACAGCTGTCTTTGTGAACATATAAAGAGCAGGGCAAAAATACAATTTTGTTTAGCAAAGTAATACTAGACACATTTACAAGAGTGAGGTTGCTTTTTAGCCAAGCATATTCGGATACACCCAAGCCTCAAAGAAAACATTTTGTCATGATTTTGAAATGTCATCAACCTAAAATCTATTTACCTGCACCTACAAAGAGCCATAACCGAGTAGTGTTAATGTCTTTTCTATGTCTTCCAACATCTCTGGTTATAAAAGAATACATATATTCCTCAGAGCAATGGGTTGGAGGCCTCTCCTTCCCTCCGTGGGGAAGAAAACGGTCATGGAGTTGAAAGAAGACAGGAAATTAAGCATCCTTTTATTGACTGATAGTTATTGATACTAATCTTCCCTTCCCCCTCACATACACCCATCTCTAGCTAGTGAAACTACTTCTACTCAGTATCTGTAGAAATCTAAGTTGGCCTTAATAACTCTTTTTTTTTTTTCAATTTTTTCTCACAGTTAGTAATGGCCTTTTCATGCTAGACAGATTTTTAACCTTTCTAAAGATGTCAGTAAATTCTATTTTCTGATATACTTCGTTAACAGGCTGTATAATTTTCAAGAGAGTAACAAAACCGCACCATTGAATAAAATCTCAAAGGCATATCCCCTCACATACACACAGTCACACACACACACACACACACACACATACTCACTCACTCAGACACACACACCTGATCTAGACACCACTTTCTCCATCTCAATTTCTGCCTTTCTGATTCTGCCACTTCCCATCCCTGCTTTCATATATTAATGGTATTGCCAGAAGAAATGCAGAAAAACAGTAATGCCAAAAGGGCTCTCTTGCTTAGGCATTAGAAGATTTGGTTCCTAGCTTTCTTTGCCATGTAAATTTGAGTAGATTCCTAACTTCTCTGAGTTTACATTTTTTATGCTTTTCTCACCAGGTCATTGTGAGGTTTCAATGAGATAATGCCCCAGCAAGCTTTTCCACATCTAAATTCAAGATGTTTTCCGGTCAGCTTCGTTAAGCAACAAACAATGCAAAATATAATTTTTTGCAGCCTCATAAACATCCCGAGAACAGAGACTGTGTCAAATTCATTGTTATATTCCCTGCAGCATCCAACGCACCAGCTCCCACACGGTAGGCATGCAAAGAATAACTGCAGAGTAGAGCACATCAAGGACAAATAACAAACACAGTAAGTTTCCTGTCGTTGACAAGGCAGCTCCATGGGTTTTCACCCTGGTTGTACCTTAGAATAACCTGGGGAACTGTTAAAAAACATATCAATGCCTAGGTCCCACCAGATCACTTGAATCTCTGGGGTATAGGCTGCAGGGATCAGAGTAAAAACAGCCAGGGTTGGCAACCATCAGTTAAGAGCAGTGGCTGTCAAGCTTTGCCGCATGTTAGATGGAGTCACCTGGGGAGTCATTAAGGCCCATCCCTAGATGGAATAAATCAAGATCTCTGGGGGTGGGAACCAAACATTATTATTTTAAGATTCTTCAATATTTCCAAGGTGCAGTCAATGGAACACCAGTTTAGGAAGGTGAAGATGTCAGTCTTTTCTTGATCTCCGTCCTCTTCTCAAAGGCTGAGGGACACATGATTGTTGGTAGCAGCAACTACCTTTCCTTAGCCACCATACCCAACAATTTTTAATCTGCAAACCCTGACCCCAAAGAAAAGAAATGTTAGATACAAACAATTTGGATAAATACCTTTATCCGTATCTCCACTCTCAGGCTCATCATTCAAAATTAAGCTGCTTAAGCTGATCCTTCTTTTCATTAAGAAAACATTGTTGACTAAAGGTAGAAATATTAAATCTAGATTCCAAGTTAATGTACGTATATCATAAAACCTCAGAGTGAGGTCTTCACGTAGAGTTTCAGGGAAAGAACTTCAAATGGCAAGCCCAATGTTGCAGAAAACCATGACTCAGATGCCCCCAAACCCACGACCTCCTTTCTTCCCACTGCTCTCCATGTGCACCTAGCTCTCTTTTCAAAGTGCTACCAAATAGAATGTTTGAAACTCCAGTCCTCTTTGTATTGAAATCTTTTTATTCTGATTTATTAAGTCCATAGAAAGGAAAGCACTGGCTTTCTGTATGCTTTAAACACGTACCTACAGCAGTCTCATTTTGGAAGATATATCAGCTCAATAACTTTCTCCTATTGATACAGCTATTTGTGGTATAAATGGGTAAGGGTGTGTTTGTGCATGCTTATGTGTATGTGTGTATGTGTTGAGTCTGCATCTGTGCATGTGTGTTCATGTGTGTATGAGCATGTGTGTACATGCGCATGAGTATATGAGTGTATGTGTGCATGTGTGTGTGTATTCACATGCACTCTGACAACAAAACCACCCCCACACAGAAAAGTGTTGTGTCCATTTTGAATATGAGTATAAAAACATGCCAAATGATGTAATTTTCAACCATAAAAATTTTTTAAAATCCTACCAGCCCCCTGAAACTGATTTAGAAGAAGATTAAATGCTAACAAATTTCCCAAATGTGGTATTCATCCTTGCCAGATAAATTAGTGGCTGGAAATAGTCTCAGAGAGACATGACAACAACCCTTTTCTTTCAAGTGGAGGAAAATTCTGCATGATGTTGAAAACTGGTTTTAAAAAATTGTTTCCTACATTCATGCTCACTAAACGTCTCACTAATAATATTCAGTAGCTTCCGGTTGATGGTTTCAATGCCAGACAGGCCCCTAAGAATCACTTTCCCATGGGCCCCTCCTCAGATAAATGGCTATGGCCAACACAGAGAACTCAGGGAGCTGCACAAAGTCTGGGTCTGGAAATCTTGTCTATTTTTCAACATGCAGCTCAGTGAACTGGAGCAGTAAAAAAATTGCTATGAATCTGAACTAAGTTTCTTAGGAAGAGAGGTCAGAGAAGAGAGGTCAGAGAAAACTTCCAATATTCAGTAATTTCTCTCACTATTAAAACAAATTATTGAGATATAATTCGTATATCATATAATCCACCCTTTTAAGTATACAATTCAGCGTCAACCCTTCTAATACCAATATTTATTCATTTGCTGCAGAAACTGGGGATTATGTCTCACTCTCAGTGGGGACACAAAGAAGTTTCCTCATCACTTCTTGAGGCCTCATCAAGCCAGCTGTCCCATGTCACCATCATCTTGGGTAGCAGCATCCTGGACAGGCCTGAGTTCACATTCTCCAACTGCCACTTACAAGTTCTGTGACCTTGAGCAACTTATTTCACATTTCTTTGCTCTAGTTTCCTCACTGATAAAATTAAGATAATAATAAAAATCCCCTTAACAACGTAACTCTGGGGATTAAAATGATTCCTGTTTTAAAATACCGGAGTAGATACTCTGTTGGTATAATCACTCAAAAGAGTTCCATTCATTCAAAATTAAGTAATATATATTCTATACCTATTTTGTCCCAGGCCCTGTGTTAGGCCCTGAAGATTGAAAGAAAAACAAAAGAAGAAGGGAGGAACAGAGAAAGGGAATGAGGAAGGAAGGAAGGAAGGAAGGAAGGAAGGAAGGAAGGAAGGAAGGAAGGAAGGAAGGAAGAAAGGAAAGGAGGGAGGGAAGGAGGGAGGGAGGGAAGGAGGGAGGGAGGGAAGGAGGGAGGGAGGGAAGGAGGGAGGGAGGGAAGGAGGGAGGGAGGGAAGGAGGGAGGGAGGGAATACATGTCCTCAAATTTCAAGGAGACCTAAAATGTAAGAGAGGGAGATTTATATATTGATTAGTAAAATGCAAGATAAAATAAACATGTGAATGAACAAATGAACGAGCACATGATTTGAGCAAGGAGGATTCACTTTTTATTGAGCTAACCCTGGAGGACTTGCCTTTATTGTCATTCCTGGTGTTGCCAGCTGATTTCCAGACACAAACTATTGCTACATCTTCAATGTATGAACTAAGAATGAAGAAACAGAATTGCATGGGCTTAGACCAGGGTAAGCGTTTTAGCTCTGGCTGCTCTTCTCAAACCATCTGTTCCTTCTCTCCCACTCTTCCTTTGTAAAGATCTCCCCCTGCACCACCACTCTTTCTTTCTTTCCTCTGACTCTTCTCCATTTATTGCCTTAAGGAAGATTTATAATACATTACATAAAACGTCTACATGTTGCCTGTGAACTCCTAAAGGGAAGGTCGGTATAGAAACAAAACAGATAAATACATTTTATAAATAAATAAATAAAATGTACACATAACCCCAGTGGATTGGAAGAATATTTAGATAAGTGGCTAGGGAAAAGAATTTTCACACTGTGTCATCTGCTAACATTAATGAGTGAATTAAATTAGAAAAATTCCACTGCCAAAAGCAAAAACATCCAAATATGTGGGATGCTGGGGGAATTATAGACCATGCTACTAAATGCATTCTGTTCAAGCTTACTTTTTTTTTTTCTTTGAGCAGGCTGTGGAGAGCTACACTTAAAAAGCCATCCAATTTCAAGACAGTATTTTCCATCTGGGGCCAGTTGGGTAGAATATGCTCTAAACTCTGCAAAGCCTGCTGAGAGACAACACAACTTGTTAAGAAAACTGTTTATGAAAAGGGATGTTTTTTGAAAATCCAGCAAAAGGTTTAACTATGATGTCCCCACACATTGCAGAATTCATTATTCTCCATTGAATGTCTTTGTGCACAAGTGAAACACCAAAATGACTCAGGAAATGAGTGCAGTACAATAAATTGGAAGCCAGTACATTTTTGCTAAGGCCCTAGCTGGTAATTAGAATATTTCCAATTACCTAGGAGCTTTTTTTTCCACTTTAAGAGGTTATTCATTCTTCATGTATAGTAATCTCCCTCCACCCACCCACCCCCCAAAATAATCCCGATGTGAAATGCTAAAAGCCAAATCAAGATTAAGAGATTAAACTTTAAAACCAATTAACATACTGAAAACAATAGGAAGAATTTTTAGTGAACCAGAAAATATAGAATGACATTAAAGATGTCCTAAGTAATAATGGCTGCCAAAATGAAATGTATGAGAAAAATCTCTAAGATGTTTATCTTTTTCTACTCAATGATTTAATTAAATTGAGACTGATATTCATTTGTTGAGAGGGCAGCGGGCTAAACTCCCTCAAAAAGGTAAAACAAGGCCAGGTTCGGTGGTTCATACCTGTAATTCCAGCACTTTGGGAGGTCAAGGTGGGAGGATCACTTGAGCTCAGAAGTTCAAGACCAGTTTGGGCAACATAGTGAGACCCCTGTCTGTAGGAAAAATAAAAAACTAGCCAGATGTGGTGGCACGTGCTTGTAGTCTCAGCTACTTGAAAGGCTGAGGCAGGAGGACTGCTTAAGCCTGAGAGGTTGAGGCTACAATGAGTTGTAATAATGCCAGTGCACTCCAGCCTGGGTGACAGTAAGTCCCTGTCTCAAAAAACAAAACAAACAAACAAACAAAAGACAGTAAACTAGTCAATGACCACCCACTAAAATGGATAGCTAGAAAGTAGAGTTAGGTTTTACACACACATATATGTGTGTATACAGACATATATATATATTTATACTATGCATACATATACACATAAATACATACATGTGTATATACACACACATATAGTCATTTCTTTTCTTCTGCTTAGAATTTCCACCTAGTTTTGAGCAATAAAAATCAAAACTTCAATTACTGGGCCTTTTTTTTTTTCCCATGTGTAGGTTGTTTCTTTTTATTCAGGCTTTGAAGGCTCAGGAATAAAAGGAGTTCTATGGATATTTGGACAGACCAGTGCTTCTCAAATGCATGCATGGGAATCACTGGCAGATCTCGTTAAAATACAGATTCTGATATAATAAGGCTACAGAGGAGCCTGAGAGTCTGCATTTCTAACAAGCTGATGCTTCTGGCCTGTGGGTTGTACTTCAATAGCAAAGGATCTGAAACTTAAAACAGAGAACTTATCTATGTACATGTAATAGCGGAATTCCAAGCATTTTCTCATAAAGCTATGCACAGCCAGCCAGTTCTTATGATGACTTAGTTCTTTGCAGAATCCAAGACAACTATGGCTTAGGTTTTGCCCCATGATTCTCGTGTTACCCTTCACTCAGGACATTTGGAATCCTAGAATCTTAGGTTTAAATGATGCCTTCCCGGCCCCCTCTTCACCTACCCATCAGTACGGTTACTGCTTCTAAGACAGGCCTCACTAGGGCTTGCCCATCTCTTCTTGCCGCTTCCAGTGACAAATGGGTCACATTGTCTTTCGGAAGAGCCCCTTTCACATTTGGCTGTCTCGAATGCCTAGAAAGTTTCAATTTGTCTCTTGGATTTTCACCTACTAGCCATAGCTCTGTTCCCTAGAGCAAATATAATTTTTCTCTTACTCAAGGAAAAAAATCCCAAGTTTCTTCCACATTTTCTCTTGTGAGAAAGTTTCCACAGCCCATACCCTCCTAGTTACAGCCTTTGAAATGTTGTAGAACTTGGCCAATCTATGAGATAATTTTTTTTTATTTTGTAAAAAACATACCATATTAAATGCATTTATTTTCTTTGTAAAAGATATAAGCTATAACAAATGTATATAGAGTATAATATGAAAATTGTATACTTTTACTCTCCCTCTTTCTACTCTTCTCCGCAGAGATGCTTTTAACAGTTTTTCTATTTGTTTACCTATATACATATATATTGATTTTTCTCTTTCTATATAAGTGGCATTGACATCTATTGTTCCGTGACTGCATTTGTTCACCTGATATATTCAACACCTGGGCCTAGTTCAGTTTTTACAGCTTCATAGTACTATAAAACAGATTATCAATAAATTGCTTATTAACTTATGGGTAGAAATTTAGATAGTTGTTTGTGTTTTCTGATTCTAGACCATCCCACCATGAGCAAGTCTATGTATCTGTTGTGCCTGTGTGAGTTTCTCTATAAAGCATAGATCTCAAAAGATGGAATTATAGTGTAAAATTTTAAATTTGGTTAGAAATTGACTAATTGCCTTCCAAAAATATTTAAGAATATGTAAGACTACCTGTTTTCCATAGAGTTATCATAGCTGAACAGAACCAATCATAAAGCTTTTACAAATTTGTTGGTAAAATAAGTGACTTCATTGTCTGAATTTATAATCCATGATTATTGGTGAAGCTGGGCATCTTTGTTTTATGTGTGGTTATCTGAACTATTTTTCTCTGGATTGCCTACTTAAATTATTTGCTCATTCTCCTATTGCCTCTTCCTTTTTGAGCTCTGAATACATTTTGAATATTAACTCCTTATTAAGAGACATTGCAAATATTTTCCCCCCAGTCTACCTCTTGTCTCTTCACTTTGTTATGGTATAGAATGTTATAATTAATTTGCAGTCAAATGCATCAATCCTTTATGCGTTCTAAATTAAAAGACCATTTTCCATATGTCTTCCTAATATTTTTATGGTACCATCTGAAGATAATTTTGTCTTGTAAACCTACGTAAAGCATAGGTTTAACTTTATTTTTAAAAGAATATAAATTCATTGATTCTGTGATTAAAGTATTCCTCCCACGGATTTGAAATGCCCCCAATCATAACAAAAGTCAACATATGCACAATCCTTTTCCTTGACCCTCAAGTAAAAAAAAAAATAAGCTAATCTATGCACCTGTCCTTGTGCCAATATCACACTGCTTTAATTATGAGCTTTTAGTAAATTTTGATGTCATATAGGCCAGACTTCCCATGTTGTCTGTTTGGAATTTTTCTTGGCCATTTGTGTTCATTTTTGTCTTCCATATCAACTTGAGAATCAGCTCATCAGGTCCAACAAAAAGTACCATATAGGTTTTTATTAAATTGGATTGAATTTAAATTTACAGATTATTTAGGAGAGAATTTACATCATTATATTCTTGAGTCTTTCCATTCAGCGACATGAAATGGGTAGTAGATTGTTTAATGGCAACAAATTCCTCCCTTCCTATGATGCCCAACTCTCTTTTGAAATGTGTCTTTTATGCTCTTCTAGCTTAAGGATGGTGCTCATTTCTCCACCCCTTGAATCTGGTAGGGCTTATGAACCTTTTGACCAATAGAATGTGGCAAAAGGGAAACTGAGTTCTAGCACTAGGCTTTAAGAGGTCTTGAAGCTTCCATTCCCTCTCTATGAACCCTCAGGCTATCATACTGAGAAGAAGCCCAGTCTAGCCCACAAGAGGGTGACAGCCACTGGAGGAGAGGTGACAGCCACACCAACTGCCAGATACCTGGTCAAGGCCACTGTGAACCCACCAGCTATAGTCAAATACTGAGATAAACAGAGGCTGATGAGTGATTCTAGGTGAGAACAACAAAAGAAATACACAGGTGGTCATCCCATGGAATCAGGAGGAAAATCAGTCATTGTTTTAAGTAACCAACTTATTGGGGTGGTATTTTGGGCAGCAACAGATAATTAATTTGGGTCACTGTGTTGTTCACATCCTTCAGTAAAGGATGTGAAGACTGAAAGAAAAAAAAGGAAGAAGGGAGGAATGGTGAAAGGGAATGAGGAAGGAAGGAAGGAAAGAAGGAAAGAATGTAAACAGCACAATGACCCAAATTAATAAATATTTTATTAATAACTTATTTATTAATAGTTATTGCATTAATAAATTACTTCAATCATTAATTTATTGAATTAATAAGCTAATTCAATAGCCTTTGGGCATAATTTCTTTAGATACTAAGTATGTTTTATTACTCTTGAGAATTATTTACATTTTTTTCTACTTACTTTTTCTAATTGGTTATAGGCAGTGCCAGAAATAAGCCTATTGATTAATAAACTTTAAACTTCTGCTTAGGTAACTTTCTGAGCACTCTTTCTGGTTCTAAATGTGCTTATTTTTTTCTACTGGATTTTTTTACATAGAAAATTGCAACGTTTTTGGCTTTTCCTGTCCGATACTTACAAGTCTTGTTTCATTTTCTGGTCATACAGCATTGACCAGGGAAGCAAGTTTTTAGCAGAAACTTTTGCTCCTGACTTCAGTAGAATTAGTAGTAATGTTTTTATCCATAAGAATGGGATTGATTTCTTTGTAGCTACCAATTACCAGATTGAGGAATTTTTTTATACATTCTTGAATCTCTATAGTGCTTTAAAATGTTTCATTTTTAAAAAGTTAAACATACTGAAAAGTACATAAAGCAACAGAGATTCATGT
Source organism: Homo sapiens (assembly GCF_000001405.40). Lineage (NCBI taxonomy): Eukaryota > Metazoa > Chordata > Mammalia > Primates > Hominidae > Homo > Homo sapiens. Next base: position 133,531,830 of record NC_000002.12, read on the forward strand.
ACCTACTACCCTGTATTTAACACAGATTAATCTTGTGCCATATTTGCTTTAATCTTTCCTCTCTTTTAAGTAATAAAAGCACTGTAGATGTAGTTGTAGCCCCATTCCCCTATTCTATCCTACCTTCTCTCCAGCAATAGCCACTCCCCTGTAGTAGGAAAGCATTCTTGCTGTGCATAAATTATATTTCTACTGTGTATGCATAAACCTAGAACGATATACAGCACTGTTTTATGTGTGTTTTAGTTTATGTACATATGATAGTCTACTTTCTATATTCAGTTGTAATTGTTTTTCACTTAATGTTATAGCAGCAAGATTTATCCATGCTGATAAGAGAATTCTAGTTTATTTTTAAATACTTTAGGAATCCTATTGAATGGACTTAAAACGGTTTACCCCAATTCCAAAAGAATGGGTATTAGTTGTCTTACATTTTTTACCATTTTCACATTGCAAACAGTAATGTTGTGAACATTCTTGTTCTGGCATCCTTGGATCAGAGGCAGAAGATTCTTTCTCATATGGGGAAATCCTTGGGTCACAGGTTGTGCACATGTTTGAGTGAGAAGGCAGTGCCAAATTGCTCCCCAAAAATGACTGTACTGTAGCAATTTATACTTATATCACCCATGTTAAAAGTTCTTGTTTTTCTCTTTTATTGAAAATAAATGCTCGGTTATTTGGGTAGTTGGATCAGATGGGCTCTGGCAGTGCTAGATGAAAGCCAGTGCCCCCACCCTGACTGGATTACTGTTTCCTTTACACATTTATTCAGGGTTCCTCCTATAAGAAGGAGCTACATTTGACAGGAAAATATCAGGCCAGGCATTAGTCTTTCTGAGTTCTTCCTTTATTTCAGTATATATGTAATTTTTATTGCCTGCCTGCCACCCAGAATTCTTTAATTTTTCCCCCTAATTTCACCCCCTTCACTATGAAATTTTAATACCACAGATTTACCGAATATCTGTTTATGTACAGATATGTGTGGCTTCTGAAAGGCCATGGACTATTATGATATTTTAGTATTTTTCATTGTCCCAAGAACCAATGCTCACCTTCATTGAGAATGTTTCTAAGATCCAAAATACTTGCAGGTTCATAATTTTTCAGAGGCTAGAGGGAGGTGGAGCACAATTCAACTTGATTCTCTTACATAATCAGCAGGGCTTGTGGCTCTTTTGATCAAAGAATGTGGTAATAGTGACAATGAGTTCTGAATTATTTCACTAGGGGCACACTCATTTAAAGAAGTACCTTATGGGGAAAATAAAGAGCTGAGTAATTGGGCTAAGTCAGAGATTGCAAACCCAAATGACTAATATGTTGGGAAGGTAACGTAAATGCGTGAAGCCGCCCCTGGGAGCTGTGCCCATCTGGGCAGGACCCATGCAAAAAGGGCAGCTGGCATCCAATTGCAGCTAAAAACCACCATGCAGAAAGGAAGGTTCACTTTACCAAACTCTTCAGTTTTTCGAGAGTCAGAAATCCAGATCATCTATGTAAAATCTCTCAATGTTTGAAGATTAGTTCGGTTTTTAAAAAGTAGTTCACAAACCAATATCTCTGAGAAGTGTGCAACCTATAGACTACACTTTGATTACATGAGTTCTTATAAACCTTCCTCTTTCTCTAAAGTTTGATAGTTATTTTTAAAGTTTGAATTAATGTAAAACCCCAAGAAGAAGAGAAGATTGAAGTCTCAAATATGAACACAAAAAAACTAGGTACAGGAAAGGGGAAGGCAGCCTAATTTAATTTCCCATCACCTGCCTGTGCAAATGGAAGAAACTCTAACTTTCTATTCAAAGATGATTTACTCTCCTTTTACATGAAGTCAAAATGTGGAAGCAATTATCATAAGTTATAGAAATAAGTTCTGAAAGCACAAAGGTTTTTTCTTCTTACATTAAAATTAAAATTAAAATATTACTTGGGTTACTGAATAATTTTTAGATATTCATATATGACATTGCAGCCCAGAAATTTGAAAGTCTCTCCTTCAAAGACAATTTTATTTATTTCTTTAATTTAATAGATTACCTAAGGTATGTAAGTACATGCCTCTGTAATCTTTCAGTTGTCTATATGTCTTTCTTTCTTGTTAGTTTTATTATTTGTCTCCTACACACACACAAAAAATAAAATTCAGGTCACATATGGATATTTTGACCTGGATTGGATATTTGACCAATTATCTGAATTATGACCACATCTATACGTCACATTTTGCTGTGTAGATGGTTTCAGTGGAGGTTAGAAAAATGTTGATCCATTTTGGAAATTAAAATATAAGGTGTGTATTTTTGGTTCCATAACTACCTGTATACCTTCTGACAAATTAATTTCTCTAGTCCTCAATTTCTTAACCTCACATATAGAGAAAAATGAAGTAAGCAATCTCTAAGATCCCTTTGGCCTTAAAATATTTTGATCAATATCACAATTTTAAAAGAATTTAATGCCTTTAAATTCATTGCATCTAATTTACAGCTTTATTGAGGTATAACTCATATACCATAATATTGATCCATTTAAAGTGTACACTTTATTGGTTTTTAGTGAATTCAGAGTTGTACCACTAGTACCATAATCTATTTTTAGAACATTTTTAACACTCCAAAAAGAAACCCCATACGCATCAGCAGTGCTTCTCCATCCCCTACCCCTTACCCAGCCCCCGGCAACCATTCATCTACATTCTGTCTCCATGGATTTGTCTACTCTGGACACTTCCCACACATAGAATCATGATAAGTAATCTTTGTGACTAACTTCTTCCACTTCGCATCATGTTTTCAGGAATCATCCATGTTGCAGCACGTGGCAATGCTTCATTCCTTTTTGTAATTGACTAATATTCTATTATATGGGTATACCATATTTTATTTATACATTTATGTATATATTTACCAGTATTGGACAACTGGGCTGTTTCCACATTTTTGTTAAAACACTCCTGTACAACTTTTTATATGGACATATGTTTTCTTTACTCTTGGGTATATACTTAGGAGAGAAATTGCCGGATCAAATGGAAACTCTGTTTATCAGTTTGAGGAAATGCCAAACTGTTTTCCAAAGTGGCTGCATCATTTTACATTCTCACCAGCAGTGTGTGAGGATTCCAACTTCTCCACATCTTTTCAACAGTTGTTGCTGCCCACCTTCTTTTTTTAACTATAGCCACTTATAAGTGGGTATGAAGAGGTATCTCATTGTGGATTTGATTCCCATTTCCCGAATGACTAATAATGTTCAGCATCTTTTCATGTGTTTATTGGCTACTTGTATATTGTTTTAAAGGGTTATGTAAAACTAGATTCAGGAGATACATATGCAAGTTTTGTTTCATGCATATATTGCATAATGATGAGATTTGAGTGTTAAGTGTACCCATCACTCAAACAGTGAACAATGTACCTAATAATTTTTCAACCCTCACCTTCCACCTCCCATCCTCCCTCCCTTTGGAGTTCTCGGTGTCTATTATTTCCCTCTATATGTCCGTGCATACCCATTGTTTAACTCCTGCTTTTAAGTGAGAACATACGATATTTGATTTTCTATTTTTGAGTTATTTCACTTAGGGTAATGTCCTCCATTTCCATCCTTATTGCTGCAAAAGACAGTATTTCATTCTATTTCATGACTGCATAGTATTCCATGGTGTTGTGTGTGTGTACATATGTGAATATATAGAATATTTTCTTTATTAAATGATTCATTGATGGACACTTAGGTTGATTCCATATCTTTGCTACTGTGAATAGTGCCAAAATAAATATGATATAATGACTTATTTTCCTTTGAGCAGATACCCAGTAGTGGGATTTCTGGGTTGAATGGTAGTTCTAGTTTTAATTCTTTGACAAATCTCCATACTGTTTTCCATAGAGGTTGTACTAATTTTCATTCCCACCAACAGTGTAAAATAGTTTCCTTTTCTCCACATTTTTGTCAGCATCTTTTGATTTTAAACTTTTTAGTAATAGCCATTCTGACTGGTGTGAGACATTATCTCATTGTGGTTTGGATTTACATTTCTCTGATAATTAGAGATGTTGAGCATTTTTTCAAATGTTTGTTGGTCACTTGTACGTCTTCTTTTGAAAAATGTCTGTTCACCTCCTTTGGCCACTTTCTAATGCAGTTGTTTTCTTCTTGCTGAGTTGTTTGAGTTCCTTGTAGACTCTGGATATTAGTCCTTTGTCAGATGCATAGCTTGCAAATATTTTCTCTCATTCTGTAGGTTGTCTGTTTATTCTATTGTTTATTTCTTTTGCTGTGCAGAAGCTTTTTAGTTTAATTAAGTCCTATTTGTCTATTTTTGTTTTGTTGCATTGGCTTTTGAGGTCTTAGTCATAAATTCTTTGCCTAGGCCTATGTCCAGAAGAGTATTTCCAAGGTTTTCTTCTAGGATTTTTATAGTTTCAGGTCTTACACTTAAATCTTTAATCCATCTTGAGTTAATTTTTATATATGGTGAGAGGTAGGGGTCCAGTTTCATTCTTCTACATATGGCTTTCTAGTTTTCCCAGCACCACTTATATATTAGGGTGTCATTTCCCCATTGTATATTTTTGACAACTGTGTCAAAATTCAGTTGATTGTAGGTATGTGCCTTTATTTCTGGGTTCTGTATTTTCTTCCATTAATCTATGTGTCTGTTTTTGTACCAGTACCATGCTGTTTTGGCCAGTATAGCCTTGTAGTATAATTTGAAGTCATGTAATGTGATACCTCCAGCTTTGCATGTCTTTTTAAGAGAAATATCTGTATTCCAAATATCAATTCAGATTTTTGTCCATTTTAATTGGGTGATTTGGTTTTTATTATTGAGTTCTAAGAGTTTTTTTTATATATTCTGGTTAGAAGTTCCTTGTCACATATAATATTTGCAAATATTTTCTCCTATTTCATGGGGCTTTTTTTCTTTCCTGCTAATATCCTTTGAGGCACATTTTTTTTTAAATTTTACTGATGTCCAAGCTATCTGTTTTTTTATTGTTGCTTATGGTTTTGATGTCAGATCTGAAACTATTGCTTAATCCAAGGCAGTGAAGATTTACTTCTATTATGGAAGTTTTATAATTTTAGCTCTTACATTTAGGTCTATAATTCATTTTAAGGGTTTTTTTGGTAGGTTTGAGATAGGAATCCGAATTTCCTCTTTTATACATGAATCTCCAATTATCCTAACATTATTTGTTGAGAAGATTATTCTTTTTCTCACAGAACTGTTTTGGCTCCCTTGTCAAAAGTCTATTGACTATAAGTGAGAGAATTCATTTCTGCACTCTTAATTCTCTACCTGTGATGTATATGTCTAGCCTTATGTCAGCACAGTACTATCTTGATTACTATAGATTTATAGTAGGTTTGAAATTGGAGGTGTGAATCTTCCAACTTCATTCTTTATTTTCAAGATGATTTGGCTGTTTTTGATATCTTGCATTTCCATATGGAAATTCATATGAATTTTGAGATCAACTTATAAATGTCTGCAAAAAAATCCAACTGGGAGATTGCATTGAGTTTGTAGATCAATCTGGGGAGTAGTGCCATCTTAACAATGCTCAGTCTTCTGGTCCATGAAAATTTGATGTCTTTCCATTTATTCAAGTCTTAATTTCTTTCAACAATGTTTTATAAGTTTTAGTGTACAACTCTTGTACTTCATTTTCTAAATTTATTCCTAGATGTTTTATTCTTTTTGTTCTATCATAAGTGGGAGTACTTTCTTAATTACAGTTTGGATTGTTTATTGCATTGTATCTCCTTTTAGCTTCAAATTGAAAAACTAGTTCGTATTTCCTTCATTCATTCTAACTTTTTTGTTCTTTGCTTTAAAAGATGCATTTTTATTTTAGCTGTAATATATTTTCTAGTTTTATTTTTAAATCTTTTTATTAAGTCATGAAAAGACTCATAGGGTTGTATACAGTATATCTGAATTAAACAAATTGAGATGCTTAGCCTCCTCAATTAAATCACTTAGAATAAATTATAAGACTTCCATCATCTTTCACCAGCACTCATTAAACACTTCCTAAATGTACAAAACTAACAATATCTTAGCTGCCCACATTTGCTGACAATGCATGCAACTCCATCAACAAGCAAACTGCATTTAACTCCTATAACCTCAGAAAAACACAGTTATTAAGAGACCAAAACATAAATACCCTCATCATTTCAAGCTTGTTGCTTAATATTTGCATTTCATTCCATTAAAGGAATAATTTCCATTGACTGCCAAAACGAACAAACCATTGCACCATAAAGCCACATTTTAATTTTACTTTAAGGGGACTCCATGCAAACCCTTTTGAAGGCACTACTCTACTATTGCCTTTTAAAATTATGCTAACATTGTTGAAGGTATAAAATATAATTATTTGTCTCAGAAGAGAAATAAAAGAAATTGTGGTTACTTTGTCTTTTCCTTAGAAATATAATATGAATTCAAACTAAAGAAGTCAAATTAGGTGAGTGGCTCTTAAAAACTTTGAGAATCAGGGGAAATTAAAATACATTTAATTTGCAGAGATTTTTTTAGCCTAATTTGAAGGATTCTTGATTATTCTAAAGCCAAGCCATGGAAGAAATGGACCTCAAAGTAAAAATCTTCCATAAAATAATAGTTGAGTTAGATATGCAACTTTTGTAGGTAAATTCCCTGGCATATATGAACAAATAAACATTTCTGTGAACAAAAAAAAAACTGAGCTCAGAGAAGGAAAAGGACACCGAAGTCTTGGACCTACTGACTTCTGTGTCCAGAGGGACACAAAAATGGGAAAGAGTTTGACATCAAGTATACATCAGGCACCAAAAGCTTTCCATAAATGTTGGGAGACAAAGGCCAGCCAGCTTACTTCATGAAAACATAGTCTGGGAAAAGGGTCCCTCAATCTTGAAGAAGGATTGTGAAAACTAATTACTGCCTGGGGTCACAGCTTACATAGGATGTTGATCTGCATAGTAGAAGGAAAGACAGTCTGAAAGATAGGTCTTGAACCAAGTCACTTGATAGCTCAGCTTCATCTGAGATGTACCTAGTTTTTTTTTGGTTTTTTTTTGTGGTTTTTTTGGGTTTTTTTTTTTTTTTTTTTTTTTTTTTGAGACGGAGTCTCACTCTGTCGCCCAGGCTGGAGTGCAGTGGCGCGATCTCGACTCACTGCAAGCTCCGCCTCCCGGGTTCACGCCATTCTCCTGCCTCAGCCTCCCAAGTAGCTGGGACTACAGGCGCCAGCCACCACGCCCGGCTAATTTTTTGTATTTTTAGTAGAGACGGGGTTTCACCTTGTTAGCTAGGATGGTCTCGGTCTCCTGACCTCATGATCCACCTGCCTCGGCCTCCCAAAGTGCTGGAATTACAGGCGTGAGCCTCCATGCCTGGCCCCCCAGTTTTATATTATAGAATAGATGCCTCAAGTAACTCATAAAACCTAGTTCTAGTTGGGGTGTCTGGTAAGCTTCCCAGAGGCATCCATAAATCCTCTAGGTGAGGAGAAGTGTGCACAGAGATGAGAGGAAGCTCCAATTCAAGATGAAATTGACAGTTTAAAGCACACAAAACTAAGAAGACAAGCAAAATAAAAAATACAGATAATTCAACATCAAACAAACGAAAACAATGAAAAGCTAAAACTGACAGTAAAAAGAAATAAAAACCAAAACATAAAATAGAATACCAATCATAAAAAGGATGAGAAATATGATACAAGAACAGGCAAATAAGAAACAAAAACAAATGTATAGGAAGAAGATCTACTATAAATCTACAGAAAAAAACTACGGTCTAAAATGAAATGCCAATAAGACAAAATCTAGAAAAGACAATCAAAGGGATAATTAATGAATTAAAAACTTATGCTGATGAATCCACCTAGAATAAAGCACAGAGAGAAAAGTTGAAGAGAAAAAATATCCATTCAAAGTCTCCAAAATGTATCCAAGGAATTCTGAAAAGAGAAAATAGAATAACATAGAACAAATATCCTAAGAGATAAGGGCTGAGAAATTTTCAAAACAGAAGAACATGTGAAAAATACTATACAGGCTGGGCGCGGTGGCTCACGCCTGTAATCCCAGCACTTTGGAAGGCCGAGGCAGGCAGATCATGAGGTCAGGAGATCGAGACCATCCTGGCTAACACAGTGAAACCCCATCTCTACTAAAAATACATAAAGTTAGCTGGGCGTGGTAGCACGTCCCTGACAGTCCCAGCTACTCAGGAGGCTGCGGTAGGGGAATTGCTTGAACCCGGGAGGCAGAGCTTGCAGTGAGCCGAGATCACACCACTGCACTCCAGCCTGGGTGACAGAGTGAAACTCCATCTAAAAAGAAAAAAGAAAAAGAAAAATGCTATGCATATCAACATGTATACTATTAAAACCATAAAAACCTCAAGTGAAAGACAAAATCCTAACACATATGAGAGATGTTTTTTAAATGACATAAAATGAAATCCTATTAGAGAGCTAGACTGCCAGGATATTTCTAGTTAGCAAAAATTAATGAATGAACACAAGACAATGATGTAATCAAAGTGTTTACAGCAAATAACTGTGAACTTAGAATTTCAAATTGAGCTAAAACATAATCCAAGAATGAGGGAAAAATAAAAACTTTTTAGACTTACTAAAAACACACGTTTTTACCTTCCCCAGACACTCACTAAAATAATGAAGGATATACTTTAGCAAAAAATGAGAGAGAAGGAGTAGAATATAGGAGATTGCAGTAAGCAAAGACATGGATCAAACATGTTTATAAATCTAATTATCTATTGCCATTAAAAATAGCAATTGAAGGCCAGGCACAGTGGCTCATACCTATAATGCCAGCACTTTGGGAGGCTGAGGCAGGTGGATCACCTGAGGTTGTGAGTTCAAGTCCAGCCTAGCCAACATGGTGAAACCCCATCACTGCTAAAAACACAAAAATTAGCCAGGCGTGGTGGCATGCACCTGTAATTCCAGCTACTCGGGAGGCTGAGGCATGAAAATCTCTTAAACCCAGGAGGTGGAGGTGCAGCAAGCCGAGATTGGCTACTGCACTCCAGCCTGGGTGACAGCACAAGACTCTGTCTCAAAAAAAAAAAAAAAAAAGAAAGAAAAAAAATCACAGTGGGTTTCAATGGGTAAGGGAAACACGATAAGGTCTTAGTGTTATTTTTAAAGGGTATAAAGATACTAAATAAATCTTATTCTTTGTTATAAATATATAAGTATTTTATATATATAGACATTAAAATTAATATGCATGTCACAAATTATAAGGTAACCACTAAACAAATAACAAAATTATCAAATCAAATCCAAGCAGAGGGGTAGAAATAAAAAACATAAAAAATTAAATCCTTTTGAAGGTAACTTCATGAATTTTTGTCTCATTGTCTTTCCTACTTTGTTAAAACTTTTAATTGAAAAATATAATATGATAAATTTAAAATCACAATATTTTAAATGGAAAAGAGAAAAGTAAAAGGATTCAACTAAAGTTGGGAACTACATAAATGAGAACAAAACATGAGAGCAACATTCACAGAGAAAATAGCCTAATTTAGTAATAAAATTAAATCAAAGATGGCTACAATAATTTAAATACATTTTATGCAATATATGGTAATTACATCACGATCCTTCAAACTCATTATATGCTCATACAGCCTTTAGAAAAATCATTGCCAAGATTATTTAAAGAAACATTCCTGACTGTATACATAATATGTGGACTGGAGGCAAAGAAAGCATCATAAGCATCTTTGCTCCTTTAGGACTTGGCTGAGTTCTCAGCAATGGTAGACAGTTAATAATTTTTTGTTGAATAAATGTTTGCCAAAAAAAAAATAAGAAAAAGAGTAAAACAAAAAAATTAGTGTTAACATTGGGCTGTAACTACATGATATTGACTAAGAAGTTTATAAAGGAGATTTTTTTTTTTAAGTGTCAGATCTTTCACAAAATAGAGAGGGCTGGGAGCTAGGCTGAGGACTAAGTCGCCATAAACAATGCCCCAAACCACTTTGCAAAACTAGGCTGAGGAGGAAGCTGCTACTGCTGCTGCCTCCAAAACAGTTTCTCCCATGAACTCCCTCAATAAAATGTCCCCACCTGTTCAATAAAATGGAAGGGTTTGCACGGGATTGTTTGCACACTTGACTCACTTCAGGACTGAATTCTCTCACATGGTACATCTGGTTGGTGGAGCTGAGATCATATGCCTGCATCCCAGTTGTGAGGCTGAAAATTTGAGTTCTGGTTTCAATGTTGGGGAGGAGATGGTTATATCATGGGGATGTCCCTAAACATAGAAAAGCTGTTCATGAGATCACAAGCAGTCACGAACATGACGAATGTCTATGACAATACAGTTACAAAAATGGGAATGCATACTCCATAATTCTCCACCTACAGCTACGTACTAAGTATAATTTAATGTCATTAAGTATTCTTCCACAGTACCATATTTGAGGACTGCCCAGTATCTCATTAATTGGATGTCCTATAATCCTATAATGTGTTTTAGCTACTCCTTATTGGACATGTAGGTGGTTTCCAAATTATAGTAGCTTAACTTTGGGAAAATCCACGATCATTTGCTTCAGGTAAACGGGGAGAGATTGCTAATGTCCTCCACCACTACCCTGTCATCCCACGCTATCCAGTTTTAAACCTTCCTTAGCCTTCAAGTAGCAAACCTCAGAACATGCCGCCATATTTCACAGTGCCAGTGAAATCGCAGTTCTCCTTTCCTCCCTGCTCACATAACCAGCAGTGGCTCCAGTGTTTGCACAGACTACCTTGACATCTTTTACACTGTGATCTTCATCCCATCACCATTTGAGGGGTCCATCTGAATAGCTATGTATTACGTTCTTGTCATCTCCTGGAAATTCTTAAACTCTGCAGACTATACTTCTGATACTCCCTTCACGATAAAATCTGAAGGTCTTCTACTTCTGGTGCAGTATTGGCATATGGATAAAATCAGGAGTTTTAAGGTGGTGATATAAAATCACTTAAGTTAGCTTCTCTGGTCTCTACTTTTCTTATTTATAAAATGGAAATAACAACACTATGTATACCATAGGTAGGATCATAATACTATTTACCTTGTAGATTGTTATAAGTATTAAATGAGATCATTTATATGAAGTATGATATGGTTTAAATGTTTTGTCCCCTCCAAATCTCATGTTGAAATGTGACCTCCAATGTTGGAGGGGGGACCTAGTGGGAGGTATTTGGGTCAAAAGTGTGGATCACTCATAAATGGCTTGGTACTGTCCTTGCAGTAATGTGTGAGTTCTGATTCTATGAGTTAACATGAGATCTGGTTGTTTAAAAGACCTGGGGCCTCCTCCCTCTCTCTCTTGTTCACTCTCTCGCCATGTGATATACCGGCTCCCCCTTTGTCTTCCACCATGATTGTAAGCTCCTGAGGTCTCACCAGAAGCCAAGCAGATGCTGGCACCATGCTTGTACAACCAGCAGAACTGTGACCCAATTAAACTTCTTCTCTTTATAAATTACCCAGCCTCTGGTATTCCTTTATAGCAATGCAAAATGGACTAATACAAGGTACTCAGCACAGTACCAAGTAAGTGTACGAGAAATGTTAGCTATTCAAAGTAACCAGATAAAATTGTCTCTTTTTGTAGGTCACTGGAAGCTTCACATCCAATAGTATTATTTCAGTCTGATATTATCACTCCTAAGTTTCAAAAATGAAATTTTCATCAGCACCAAAACCTCTAGTCTATTGACTAGCATTGTGGCCCCAGGCCTTTGGCTTTCTCCATCTTTATTTCCCCTGTGGGAAATGAAGGTCTACCAAAAGACCTACAAAATCTACCAAATTTGGGGTCTAGAAAATCAGCCTCACATGCTCCTTATGAAAACTGTATCTTTATTTCCCTAAAAACAATCAATACTTATTTCTTCCTTTGTGTGTCTACAACTTGTTCCCCTTCTGGGGTACTTCATTCAGTCTTGGAGTATTACAGTGTGGACTCACAAGCAAGTGGTAGGTGTTTGCTTGTCTGTCTTTCCCACTAGATTGGTTCCCCTCAAGAACAGAAGCCACAGCTCATTTATCTGGTTATCTCTATCCCAGTACTGAATATCTAGAACAAGCTTATCTTGTTTGAAATGAAGTTAAACTACTGAGCAATGGATTTCTTTGCAAATAACTTATGCTGCTTCATGACTACTTAGAAATAGCTGATGATTTGTATCTTAACAGCGTTGATTTGTATCTTGAATTAAAATTGCCATGTCTGGAAACTGATGCACCCAGAGAAAAACTGAGATTTCATTCCTCTTTTATATTACCTTTGGTTACCTCAGGTTACTTATTTGGAAAAAAATAAATCTCTTTTTCATTATTCCATGAAACATTCCTTCAGAATATTCTATTATTAAAATATATACAAATATACACGTGTATACACAAACACACACAATATATCATTCTTTTTAAAAAGTAATCATGAATATCTTCTTAAAGTAAAAAGTTAAAATTATGTAGAAACCTACATGGAAAATACATGTACTTATTTAATATGTAAGCTTTTTAATAAACATAAATGATACCCTATTATACATATTTCTTGACAATTTGATTTTTTCCCCACTTAATAATATGTCACAGAGGTCTTTCCATGTCAAGATACCAATAGCTCTTCTTCAATTCTTTAATGATGACTCGGGCTCCATCGTGTGAATGGAGTATTATTTGTTTGATTTTTTCCTTCCCTGTTGATGGGCACTTCACTGACAAATAACTTATCACTATTACAGATGCTACTGCAGTGTGCATTCTTGTGCATGTCTCTTCACACAAATGGATGAACTGTTTTCTAGGATAAATAGCTAAAGGTGCCCTTTCCTTTCAAATACAACCAAATTTCTATTAATCTAAATCACTGTCTCCTTCCTGTTCTATCCCAATGATTACTTATACTTTCAGTTCAGAAAGGCAGAGAATGATGCCCACAACTTCCCAGAAATGTAACTATCAGCCTTCAGAATCAAATTCACATCTCAAAGTCTCTCCTGCCTATAGAATAATTCATTTGCAAGCCACTCTGATCAATATCATTAACCCAGAACTCCCATGACCCCATATTATTCACAGCCTCATCTTAAGGGTAGTTCTCCATAGTTTTGAAAGTCTGTTTAAGGCAGGCAGGAAGACAGAACTCCCCTGGGTCCCTACAAAACGAGGGCTTATACAAAGTCCTGATCAGGCACTGGGAGGGACACTCAAAAGGAAAGAGATGTAGAACCAAATAACAGAGGCAGCTAGTGTGGACAATCTCAAGCTACAATCAGTTTTTTCTTCATCTATTTTTCTTCATTATCTCTTTTAGAATATTAAACTTTTTGCTCATGCTATTCTTGGCAAGATTGCCTGCCTAGTTCTGCTTGAAGTCAGTGTGGCAGGAGATGCAGAAACAGCCAAGTTGGGTGACCAAATTCACAAGGTGCACCTAGCTAGCGGAAGCTGGCTGACGCGTTTGGTCCTCTACTTCCCTCTGCCAATAGTTTGCGCAGATTTAGGAAGCTGCTGTCCAAGGCAGAGAGTGAAGGAGATGACGGAAACTGAAAGACAGGTATGACCTCTAAAAATATGCATATTTGTTTCCATTGATCAGCATCATGATACAGAGTTTGATAGGCTGCCTATCTGCCTGTGGGCTCTGCCATCCCACAAGGGCAGGCTCCAAGTCGAATCTACCTCAGTGGTTACCGCACCTAGCACCCACTACTAGATCTAACAATCTACCTTGTTATAATGCTTTCATTGGCACTCACTAACTATGTATCTACCTGGCCTAAGAAACAAAATTGAAACATTTTGAAGTTATGTGTGAGAATTTCGTACCTTACAAGAAGATAGCATAGAAGGGAGGAGGGGAGAGGCAGGATTCGACAGTCCAAACGCTTATCTTTTACAATGATAAAAGATACATAATGGCTTAAGCATAATCCCAATGACATTGGAGAAAATGATACACAAACCTCTTCATCAGGAAAATACTGTTGTTTTTGTAGAAGATTGATACCGTTTGCTAAAAATGCCCTGAAATTATTTTGGTTTGTTATGGTACTAGATTCGATTAGTTTAATTTGGAAATCTGAGCCGGAACAAAATAATAGTCTGGTTTTGTCTAACTGAAAGGGCAAAACCAGAAATGCTGAAACACAAATGCATTGCTCATATGCACACACACACCCCCCACACCCCCGCCTTGCATGTGTACGCACACACAAACACACAGACTCAGAACACATCTTAACCATGCCCAACTGGCTGAGCTCAGATCTTCAGATACAGTGAAGTACATCCAAGAGGAAGCCAAAGGTGAAAAAGTGCCCCCACTGAGGAGTATCTGAGTGAACAGATTTGCAGAAAGGACAGGAGAAAGAGAAAGAGTCAGGAAACTCATTATTGCCCAAGAGATTATGTATTTTCAAAACGGTAGAAAGGGCTTAAAAGGAGTATTTAGAAGAGTACAATTTATCAGATTTTCCACAATGACTGCCTCTGTGGAACTTCCCTGGAGCATTCTTCAGCTCTGTGTGATAAACCTGCCGTCCTGCTCATGTATACTCCACTTACCAGATATACAAGCTGCGCTATAGAGTTTCAAGGGATATCACGCGATGTGTGCTTTGACATAAGGGCACGGTTATCCTGAATGTGGCTCATTCAGTGGGGCTTTGGAAGAGCAGAGGGCAGTGCTCAATGATTGAGGGATGCCCCCACCCTGTGCCTAGAATATGCCTGTTCCCAGCACCAGCAGGCAAAAACAAAACAAAACAAAACAAAAAAACAAAACAACAACAAAAAAAACACTTGGTGTAAAACCATTTCAGGCATATGAAAACTCTGAGAGACATAATGAGCCCTCCCATTAATTCTACAACCCTATCTAGGCATTCTGCTAACCTGGAATGCTTGGGTCTAGGAAAAAGAGCAATTCTTTGTCCAATGCTTCAAAAGATTGAGAAAGGGGAGGAGCCAAGATGGCCGAATAGGAACAGCTACGGTCTACAGCTCCCAGCGTGAGCAACACAGAAGACGGGTGATTTCTGCATTTCCATCTGAGGTACCGGGTTTATCTCACTAGGGAGTGCCAGACAGTGGGCGCAGGCCAGTGGGTGCGCGCACCGTGCGCGAGCTGAAGCAGGGCGAGGCATTGCCTCACTTGGGAAGTGCAAGGGGTCACGGAGTTCCCTTTCCAAGGCAAAGAAAGGGGTGACGGACGCACCTGGAAAATTGGGTCACTCCCACCCGAATATTGCGCTATTCGGACCGGCTTAAAAAACGGCGCGCCACGAGATTATATCACACACCTGGCTCGGAGGGTCCTACGCCCACGGAGTCTCGCTGACTGCTAGCACAGCAGTCTGAGATCAAACTGCAAGGCGGCAGAGAGGCTGGGGGAGGGGCACCCGCCATTGCCCAGCCTTGATTAGGTAAACAAAGCAGCCAGGAAGCTCGAACTGGGTGGAGCCCACCACAGCTCAAGGAGGCCTGCCTGCCTCTGTAGGCTCCACCTCTGGGGGCAGGGCACAGACAAACAAAAAGACAGCAGTAACCTCTGCAGACTTAAGTGTCCCTGTCTGACAGCTTTGAAGAGAGCAGTGGTTCTCCCAGCATGCAGCTGGAGATCTGAGAACCGGCAGACTGCCTCCTCAAGTGGGTCCCTGACCCCTGACCCCCGAGCAGCCTAACTGGGAGGCACCCCCCAGCAGGGGCACACTGACACCTCACACGGCAGGGTATTCCAACAGACCTACAGCTGAGGTTCCTGTCTGTTAGAAGGAAAACTAACAAACAGAAAGGACATCCACATCGAAAACCCATCTGTACATCACCATCATCAAAGACCAAAAGTAGATAAAACCACAAAGATGGGGAAAAAGCAGAACAGAAAAACTGGAAACTCTAAAACGCAGAGCGCCTCTCCTCCTCCAAAGGAACGCAGTTCCTCACCAGCAACGGAACAAAGCTGGATGGAGAATGACTTTGACGAGCTGAGAGAAGAAGGCTTCAGACGATCAAATTACTCTGAGCTACGGGAGGACATTCAAACCAAAGGCAAAGAAGTTGAAAACTTTGAAAAAAATTTAGAAGAATGTATGACTAGAATAACCAATACAGAGAAGTGCTTAAAGGAGCTGATGGAGGTGAAAACCAAGGCTTGAGAACTACGTGAAGAATGCAGAAGCCTCAGGAGCCAATGCGATCAACTGGAAGAAAGGGTATCAGCAATGGAAGATGAAATGAATGAAATGAAGCGAGAAGGGAAGGTTAGAGAAAAAAGAATAAAAAGAAATGAGCAAAACCTCCAAGAAATATGGGACTATGTGAAAAGACCAAATCTACATCTGATTGGTGTACCTGAAAGTGATGGGGAGAATGGAACCAAGTTGGAAAACACTCTGCAGGATATTATCCAGCAGAACTTCCCCAATCTAGCAAGGCAGGCCAATGTTCAGATTCAGGAAATACAGAGAATGCCACAAAGATACTCCTCGAGAAGAGCAACTCCAAGACACATAATTGTCAGATTCACCAAAGTTGAAATGAAGGAAAAAATGTTAAGGGCAGCCAGAGAGAAAGGTCGGGTTACCCTCAAAGGGAAGCCCATCAGACTAACAGCGGATCTCTCGGCAGAAACCCTACAAGCCAGAACAGAGTGGGGGCCAATATTCAACATTCTTAAAGACAAGAATTTTCAACCCAGAATTTCATATCCAGCCAAACTAAGCTTCATAAGTGAAGGAGAAATAAAATACTTCACAGACAAGCAAATGCTGAGAGATTTTGTCACCACTAGGCCTGCCCTAAAAGAGCTCCTGAAGGAAGCGCTAAACATGGAAAGGAAAAACCGGTACCAGCCGCTGCAAAATCATGCCAAAACGTAAAGACCATCGAGACTAGGAAGAAACTACATCAACTAACGAGCAAAATCACCAGCTAACATCATAATGACAGGATCAAATTCACACATAACAATATTAACTTTAAATGTAAATGGACTAAATGCTCCAATTAAAAGACACAGACGGGCAAATTGGATCAAGAGTCAAGACCCATCAGTGTGCTGTATTCAGGAAACCCATCTCACATGCAGAGACACACATAGGCTCAAAATAAAAGGATGGAGGAAGATCTACCAAGCAAATGGAAAACAAAAAAAGGCAGGGGTTGCAATCCTAGTCTCTGATAAAACAGACTTTAAACCAACAAAGATCAAAAGAGACAAAGAAGGCCATTACATAATGGTAAAGGGATCAATTCAACAAGAAGAGCTAACTATCCTAAATATATATGCACCCAATACAGGAGCACCCAGGTTCATAAAGCAAGTCCTGAGTGACCTACAAAGAGACTTAGACTCCCACACATTAATAATGGCAGACTATACATTTTTTTTCAGCACCACACCACACCTATTCCAAAATTGACCACATAGTTGGAAGTAAAGCTCTCCTCAGCAAATGTAAAAGAACAGAAATTATAACAAACTATCTCTCAGACCACAGTGCAATCAAACTAGAACTCAGGATTAAGAATCTCACTCAAAACCGCTCAACTACATGGAAACTGAACAACCTGCTCCTGAATGACTACTGGGTACATAATGAAATGAAGGCAGAAATAAAGATGTTCTTTGAAACCAATGAGAACAAAGACACAACATACCAGAATCTCCGGGACGCATTCAAAGCAGTGTGTAGAGGGAAATTTATAGCACTAAATGCCCACAAGAGAAAGCAGGAAAGATCCAAAATTGACACCCTAACATCACAATTAAAAGAACTAGAAAAGCAAGAGCAAACACATTCAAAAGCTAGCAGAAGGCAAGAAATAACTAAAATCAGAGCAGAACTGAAGGAAATAGAGACACAAAAAAACCCTTCAAAAAATCAATGAATCCAGGAGCTGGTTTTTTGAAAGGATCAACAAAATTGATAGACCACTAGCAAGACTAATAAAGAAAAAAAGAGAGAAGAATCAAATAGACACAATAAAAAATGATAAAGGGGATATCACCACCGATCCCACAGAAATACAAACTACCATCAGAGAATACTACAAACACCTCTACGCAAATAAACTAGAAAATCTAGAAGAAATGGATAAATTCCTCAACACATACATTCTCCCAAGACTAAACCAGGAAGAAGTTGAATCTCTGAATAGACCAATAACAGGAGCTGAAATTGTGGCAATAATCAATAGTTTACCAACCAAAAAGAGTCCAGGACCAGATGGATTCACAGCTGAATTCTACCAGAGGTACAAGGAGGAACTGGTACCATTCCTTCTGAAACTATTCCAATCAATAGAAAAAGAGGGAATCCTCCCTAACTCATTTTATGAGGCCAGCATCATTCTGATACCAAAGCCAGGCAGAGACACAACAAAAAAAGAGAATTTTAGACCAATATCCTTGATGAACATTGATGCAAAAATCCTCAATAAAATACTGGCAAAACGAATCCAGCAGCACATCAAAAAGCTTATCCAACATGATCAAGTGGGCTTCAACCCTGGGATGCAAGTCTGGTTCAATATATGCAAATCAATAAATGTAATCCAGCATATAAACAGAGCCAAAGACAAAAACCACAGGATTATCTCAATAGATGCAGAAAAAGCCTTTGACAAAATTCAACAACCCTTCATGCTAAAAACTCTCAATAAATTAGGTATTGATGGGACGTATTTCAAAATAATAAGAGCTATCTATGACAAACCCACAGCCAATATCATACTGAATGGGCAAAAACTGGAAGCATTCCCTTTGAAAACTGGCACAAGACAGGGATGCCCTCTCTCACCACTCCTATTCAACATAGTGTTGGAAGTTCTGGCCAGGGCAATCAGGCAGGAGAAGGAAATAAAGGGTATTCAATTAGGAAAAGAGGAAGTCAAATTGTCCCTGTTTGCAGACGACATGATTGTATATCTAGAAAACCCCATTGTCTCAGCCCAAAATCTCCTTAAGCTGATAAGCAACTTCAGCAAAGTCTCAGGATACAAAATCAATGTACAAAAATCACAAGCATTCTTATACACCAACAACAGACAAACAGCCAAATCATGAGTGAATTCCCATTCACAATTGCTTCAAAGATAATAAAATACCTAGGAATCCAACTTACAAGGGATGTGAAGGACCTCTTCAAGGAGAACTACAAACCACTGCTCAAGGAAATAAAAGAGGATACAAACAAATGGAAGAACATTCCATGCTCATGGGTAGGAAGAATCAATATCATGAAATGGCCATACTGCCCAAGGTAATTTATAGATTCAATGCCATCCCCATCAAGCTACCAATGACTTTCTTCACAGAATTGGAAAAAACTACTTTAAAGTTCATATGGAACCAAAAAAGAGCCCGCATCACCAAGTCACTCCTAAGCCAAAAGAACAAAGCTGGAGGCATCACACTACCTGACTTCAAACTATACTACAAGGCTACAGTAACCAAAACAGCATGGTACTGGTACCAAAACAGAGATATAGATCAATGGAACAGAACAGAGCCCTCAGAAATAACGCCGCATATCTACAACTATCTGATCTTTGACAAACCTGAGAAAAACAAGCAATGGGGAAAGGATTCCCTATTTAATAAATGGTGCTGGGAAAACTGGCTAGCCATATGTAGAAAGCTGAAACTGGATCCCTTCCTTACACCTTATACAAAAATCAATTCAAGATGGATTAAAGATTTAAACGTTAGACCTAAAACCATAAAAACCCTAGAAGAAAACCTAGGCATTACCATTCAGGACATAGGCATGGGCAAGGACTTCATGTCTAAAACACCAAAAGCAATGGCAACAAAAGACAAAATTGACAAATGGGATCTAATTAAACTAAAGAGCTTCTGCACAGCAAAAGAAACTACCATCAGAGTGAACAGGCAACCTACAAAATGGGAGAAAATTTTTGCAACCTACTCATCTGACAAAGGGCTAATATCCAGAATCTACAATGAACTCAAAGAAATTTACAAGAAAAAAACAAACAACCCCATCAAAAAGTGGGCGAAGGACATGAACAGACACTTCTCAAAAGAAGACATTTATGCAGCCAAAAAACACATGAAAAAATGCTCATCATCACTGGCCATCAGGGAAATGCAAATCAAAACCACAATGAGATACCATCTCACACCAGTTAGAATGGCGATCATTAAAAAGTCAGGAAACAACAGGTGCTGGAGAGGATGTGGAGAAATAGGAACACTTTTACACTGTTGGTGGGACTGTAAACTAGTTCAACCATTGTGGAAGTCAGTGTGGCGATTCCTCAGGGATCTAGAACTAGAAATACCATTTGACCCAGCCATCCCATTACTGGGTATATACCCAAATGACTATAAATCATGCTGCTATAAAGACACATGCACACGTATGTTTATTGCGGCATTATTCACAATAGCAAAGACTTGGAACCAACCCAAATGTCCAACAATGATAGACTGGATTAAGAAAATGTGGCACATATACACCATGGAATACTATGCAGCCATAAAAAATGATGAGTTCGTGTCCTTTGTAGCGACATGGATGAAATTGGAAATCATCATTCTCAGTAAACTATCGCAAGAACAAAAAACCAAACACCGCATATTCTCACTCATAGGTGGGAATTGAACAATGAGATCACATGGACACAGGAAGGGGAATATCACACTCTGCGGACTGTGGTGGGGTGGGGGGAGGGGGGATGGATAGCATTGGGAGATATACCTAATGCTAGATGACGAGTTAGTGGGTGCAGTGCACCAGCATGGCACATGTATACATATGTAACTAACCTGCACAATGTGCACATGTACCCTAAAACTTAAAGTATAATAAAAAAAAAAGAAAAAGAAAAAAAAAAGATTGAGAAGCGGGTGGGGCAAGCCATGAGGGGGAAAGAAAGCAGATGAACGAACACTCTTTTTACAGAACAAATCCCTTTCTTATCAGTTCAACCATCAATCTTTAGTTTTCTGAACACTGTTGCTATATGCTCAAATTGTCCAAGGTATGATGAGGGCATGAAGCAAGTAGAAGTCAGAGCCCAAGTTTTAAAAAGTTTTACTGTTGTCAGGGAAACAAGATTCATGCACATTAAAATATTAGAGTACATTCTTTTTCTGTTTATGTACTTATTTCCAACCTCATTCCCCCAAAGGATTTGTGATTACTTACAAAAATACACACAAAAACCAAATGATAAAATAAATAAAAAGTAAACGGGCAGGATATAAGTGGGAAAATAATAAAACTATGGTCAAGATAAATACAGGAATATACAGTATGCTGTCCAGACTAGAGGTGGACTATAAGTTTTGAAATCCTTAAGCACAGGCAGTAAATCGCACTGGGCGCTCTATGCAGAGCCAACTGGTATGAATATGGCAGAGCAATGAGTTGCCAAACCTAGCTGTCCAGAAGTGTCACTTATTAAAGGCTTCCAAAAACTCCATAATGAACCTGAATTCCTGGGGCAGGCAGGCAGGGAAGGAATGCTGGGAATCTGCATTTTTAATGTCGTCAGCCCAAACTTGGGAACCACAACTGCAGGGATTTGGAAATAGGGGTTGAAAAAGAACTCAAAAAATCAGATTCCAGGAATTACGGTGGTTGTGGATCTGAAGCAGGGCCTCTAAGGTTAGATGGAGTTTAAATAGGTGGAGATGATGATAGAAGACATTCCCAGTAGAAGTGTGGGCTAGAGCCAAATCACAGAAGCAGGAAGGAGCCTGAGGCCATGAAGGAGACAGCATCATCCCTAGTCACCCTGGAGCAGTAGTAAGGGGACTTAGGACACTAATTTATTGCTCAACCCGCTCAATTTTGATCAAATCCCAAAAATAATTAAAGAGGCTATATACATAATAAATGAGTTATATACAGAAATAGAGATGGTAAGAATGTATATATTTGTTATCTATTGCTGTGTAACAAGTTACCACAAATTTAGTGGCTTAGAATAATACACATTTATTATCTCACAGTGTCTATGAACCAGGAATCTGAGCAGAGCTTAGCTGGAACCTCTACTCAGTTCTCACAAGGCTAAAATCAATGTGTCAAGTGTCAGACCTCAGGTGTCTGGGATCTCATCTGAGGCTCTGGGTCCTCTCCCAAGCTCATGTGGTTTGAGGAAGAATTTATTTCCTTGCTTGTGGCTGTAAAGCTCATGATGACTTGCTTCTTCGAGGCCAGCAGCAGAATCTCTGAGGCTTCTAGTTTCTGACCTGTAGATAATCTTTTAAGGAGCTTGCCTGATGAGGTCAGGCCCACCCAAGAAAATCTCCTGTTTTTATTCACTCAAAGTCAACTGATTAGGGACCTTAATTATACCTACAAAAGTCCTTCCACAATTGCCATATAATGCAGTCTAATCACAAAAGTGTTATCTGTTATATTCTCAGGTTCTGTCCTCACTTGGGGAGGGAATCGTACAATGGGGACCTGGATCTTAGTTTCCATCTTAAAATTCTGCTTTGCCACAAAGTACAAAGTAAAGATGAGAGAAAAATGTTGCAAAGGTAAGGTATATGAACCAACAGAACATTGGTAATTACACATGTCAATTTGGCTCTGAGCTTCCCAGCAGTTGAAGTACAAAGGAGTTATGACCCAGTGATTTCTTAGTACTCTGATCAGTTCCTAGTACTGACTTATACAATATATTTCTCATGTCTATTAGAAATCATGAAATACAGCATCAAAATAAAGTGAAAGATACAAAATGAAGTCAGATGGAATTTGATCCAAAATAACTCTTTGCCAAGTATGGGATATGTTGACCCTACCGATACAATGGGAAATTGGCAATGACAAGAACCAAGTTCATTGGGGTGCTTGGTCAATATCAGGTACCATGGGCTGGTGATTGGGGTCCCTATAAAAGAAATCAGCTGTGAAGACATACCAGGAGTTGTTCCAAGGCAAGGGGGGAAACTGAAGTCACACATGAACTGAAGTTACAAGTCAGAGGTATCTAGGTGTGGAGGAGATGAGAGCAGAAGTTGAAGCACTGCATAGCTACCAAAGAATCTTGCAGAAAGGTTACCCTTTCTGCAACCTTGGAAGTGTTCTTGTTGTCTTGGTGTTATTTGGCCACCTCCCTGTGGAACAACTTTTCCCCGGGACATCTTAAGGGCATCACTTGATCTCTGTCAGAGCTGATCAAACATCTCTGCTTTGCTTTACAATTCTCATAATTAGTTCTAAGCATTCGGTAGCATGAACTGCTTCACCCTGTGTTCCATTGGGACTCTATAATGAACCTGCTTTTGCATGCAAAATGCTGTTCTTTCTTCCACCGACTAACATATTATCTCTTTTTATGACCTCACTCAATTCCACCACTGTCTCCCTTCCTTGAATGGCTCTCGTCTACTCACAGAGTCAGCACTGTCTGTGTAATTGCTCTGGCTTAAGTCTGGTCTTCTACAATCTGACTATCTGGTCCACCACAATGTCCTCTTCATTTTCTTTCGTGTTCAAATTTCCCTGGAGCTCACTATATTGCATATACAAGGCTTATAGATCAAAAAAGCCTTGGAATCCTCCAGCTCACCTGCCTTTGCAATGAAGCCCATTCCAGCATTGTCTGAGGACTTCCAGGGAAAAGAATCTTTTTCATAAGTTCTCACCTTGTTTCTAAATGAACAAAAGTTCTTCCTAATATTAGACCACAGTAACTTCTCTTTAACTTCCATTCTTAGTCATAGTGCTGCTTTCTTGAGTAAATTAAAATACCACACTTCCTTTCATATATTGTTCCTGGGAGTATAAATTGGTATAATCCCCTTGAAAGACTGTTGGGCATTAGATCTGAGATACTCTATTATTGCTATGTGTAGCAATTACACAAGCACTCTTAACATATATGTGTATATTTGTTTACCAAGAGACATGAGAGACATGTGCCAGCATATTCATAATAGAACTATGTGTCATGGTCCAAAATTGGAAAATATCCAAATGCCCATCCATAGTAGGAAGACTATATGGTGGCAGAGTCACACAATGGAATATTATACAACAATGTGCATAAAGTTATAATTAAACACAGCAATACAGATGAATCACACAAACATAATTTGAAGGAAAGAAGCCAGACACAAAATTACACAAACCGTATGATTCCAATTAGATAAAGTACACAAAAGGCCAAATTAATCTAAGCCACTGGAAGTCAGTATGGTGGTTACCTTAGAGAATGTGACTGAAAGGGAATTTGAGGAAGGCTTCTAGGGTGCTGGCAATATTTCTTGTTTTGAGGATTAGTGATATGGGTATATTCAGTTTATAAAAATTTATCAAGCTTTATACTTAGGTGCAATTATCTGTATGTATTTTATACTTCAATAAAAAAGGTTAAACATTTTCCTCTTCCAAATGTCCCAAATAAATCTAATTTATTTAGCCATTTCTAATATGATATGGACTGTAGAATGTTCACGATCCTAGCCACCTACTTATAAAAACTTTTCATTTGTCAAACCTCTGATCATTCATTTGGAACTTAATCCTACTGATTGGTGTGTAGTATTCTTTAAACGCCCCACGTGGGATTAACTCCTTCTCCCCACTATGTTATGAAACCCATAAAGATAAATGTTTTCCCCTTTGATTTTCCAGTAGCATGTGTATTCAGTGTAGATTGTACACTAAGAAAATACTCATCTTCCCTTCTCTTCCTTAGCAAGTGCAGATGAAAGTGGAGATTGAATTTACATAGGACCTATTTGATAAACCAATTCAAGAATCTTTCTTTTTTATTTCAATGAAAGTTTAATGCTAATGTATTCAGTGAAGCCAAGTTTTATTTTGCTTATTTTGCTCTCTGCCCTCAGGCTGATTGAGGAGTGACCTTTGCCTTGATTTATGACAGACGTTTGGGTATGGAGAGATGGAGACTACTATTAAGCAGATCCCTCTAAAAGATCTGAGTAAGTATTTCTTATTTCCATTCCTCTCATCTTCATTATTCATAAATTCTTCCAATGTCTGAAACCCTTCCTTATAATTTTCTCTTCTCAAGAAGGAACATACTCATTTGGACAATGAGACAATGAGAAAGAAGTCTTCTTATTCCTGTAGTTAGTGGTATCATCCTTCCTGATAAGCTCAATAGAGGGTAAAATAAATGAGCAACAGAATACAAACCACATGCCTAGCAATGGAGAGAATTCTAGGTTCTAAATAATGAAATGAAAATAATATTTTTGGTGCTGATAATGCTCCTGGCCGATAGCTTGTCTTTCCAAAACAAATATCATAAGAGAAATCTGCAGACATTCACATCATGAATGCGGTTTTTCTCTCTGCACACACACTCATTTGCACGCTTGGCACCTGGAATGCTTGGTTGGTACACAGTTTGCTGAAATTTCCTTTCCCATTTGGCACAACTTTTCCTAGATAACATTCATGAGCATCAGTCACCTCCACAAATAGCAAAGAGAGAGGCCAGCTTCTTGGCCACATTCATATTCCTGCCACCAGGACACCTTTATAACCATACTTCAGACTACACAAGCACAGCCCTCGCCTGCCCAGGTTTTCTATGTATAAAAAGACATATGAACGAAAGAGAGAGAGAGATAATGAAATTATGAGTCTGCAGATTCTTACCAAGCCTGTTGAGGAACTATCTCTACAAAATTGAAGACATGTCAGTCCCTTATAAGATCATACAAAACATAGAGGGAAAATCTAAGAAAGCTACTCATGCAGAAACTATTTAATCAAAGGAGAAAGACAATTATAACATCTGTTAATCTTCTGTAGAGGTTATAATTAGATGCTTTGGAGAAACACCCTTTCAAGGGTGATCCTTTAACATCTGTTGTGAGGACACACAGCATTGTGCAGTGACGAATCACCTCGGCACTTTGGGAAAACAGGGGACTACTGGGATCACAGACACTGCCAGGGTCCCCAGGCTGCCCTTGCATGCAGCCCAGCCCTGAGCCCACTGCCCTGAGGTGGGGGCTTTCCTCCTTGGTGCTTTGATAATTGCCTGTGTTGTGAATCAGGCTGCAATCATTGTGTGACTATGAATAACAGGATCACAGCACTGGAAACGGCCTTGAGACCATCTCATCTTCTCCCCCTTCACTTTGCAGATGGGAACACTTGATCCTATGTCCTTTAGCTGGCTCATGGCAGGATTTTACAAATAGAATTGTTCAATCTCTCTGTTCAGATTACTCTCCACTCTACCATGCTGCTTGCTCCTTTTGGTCTCCCTTTCGTTTGGCCTGTAATGTGGATGTGTTCTTTGTTTAATGAGATGAGCATTATAATAAAGTCCTAGGGCATTTGAAGATTATGGAGAGGTGGTCTTTTTCTCTGGTCTCTGGTTCATTAAGAGACACTGACCATGGTCCCTTCTTTGCTCTGGAGAGGAGGAGGAGGACGAGCAGTAGAGATAAATGAAGATGAGGAGGGAGAATAAGAGCAAAAGGGAGGAGAAAATAGGAGAGGTGAGATGCAAATGGTGTAGAGGGAAGAACGAAGACAGAAGATTGAGAAATAAGGTGGCATAGACAGAGAGATGTGAAAGAGGAAGGGAGCAGCCAGGGAAGATGGTCCAGGACTACAGAAAAAGGGTATTGAATGAAGACCCTATAGAAGGAGTCACATCCTCCCTACACCCTTCTGACTCCGTTACCTGCTTCTACTCTACTTCAAATTAGCAGTTCTACACACACAGAAGACCACAGGATTTGACAATTTTGCCAAACGAAATGCAGAGATGATAAAGCCAGGGGCATCACATAAACAGATGCAATGTGCTGAGCAAAAAAAAAAAAAAAAAAAAAAGCCCATATGGCAGGAACATAATAAAAGCACTCATGACCCAGAAGCGGATTGGGGGTGCACATTGTTCTCTGTAGTTGTTTTGGAGTGGCAAATACTCATTTGTGCCAAAATACTGAGTAAAGGGAACTGTTGACATTTGACATTAGGATTAAACAACTTCCTAAACCTGGGACACACAGTGCTGTCCTCACCTCTCTCATTGCCCTAAGACAGTCACTGAAGTACAAGGGCCTACGTCGTCCTCAATGATAAGAGCCAATAATGAGAACAGTATTATTAATATGTATTAATAGTATTATTAATAACGTATTAATACTACTTACATGTATTGTGAGTCTATTTTGGTACAGGCACTTGAGGTAGCTTATCTCATTTATTCTTCACGATGAACCTGTAAGAAGGTAATATAATCTAAATATGTGGCTCAAATAATTACTGTGTAATCTGGAACATATTAACCTCTTGGTACCTTGGTTTTTGCATCTAAAAATGGGATTAATAATAACGTCTATCTCAGTGGTCTGTTTTAAGGATTATATGAGACAATATGAATAGAAAGCACAATGGGGTCAGACACATCATACACATTTAATAAATACTGGGCAAAATCGCTGCTGATTTTTTAAGAATCTCACAGCCTAGAGTGCAGTGGTGCAATCAGGGCTTACTGCAACCTGGAACTCTTGGGTTCAAGTTATCCTCCAATCTCAGCTTCCTGAGTAGCTGAGACTACAGGTGCACATCACCATGCCCAGGTAAGTTTTTAAAATTGTTTTTTTAGAGATGGGGTCTTGTTATGTTGGCCAGGCTGGTCTTGAACTCCTGGCCTCAAGTGATCCTCCCACATCAGCCTGAGTCACTGAGATTATAAGCGTGAGCCCCTCACCCAGCTACTGTTGAAATTACTACATTTTATGGATGGGGAAATCATGCCTGACAAGGTTAAATAACTTGCCCAAAGTCAGTAGAGTTCAGAACAGAGATCAGAACCCAGGGATATCCAAGGATAAATGCCACATGGGTAAGAGCTGTAGTTATAAGCCTTCCATTATACTGTCTGCATTAATTGACTCCAAAGATCAAATCCTGGTCTAACGTACCATGATGTCTCAGGAAAAGAATGTTTCACAGCATACAGGGCTCTAGAAAATCTCTAGCCCAAAGTAGGAAACAAAAAGGCACATTACTAAGCTCAAGACATCTATCTGTTCCCACTCCTCTTGTCTTCATCAATAAGAAGATAAAAGAAATCCTTGCCCATTTTCTTATTCATTTGCTCTCATACCTATAGAGCCCCCATTGGACAAATGCCATGAATACTGATTCTTGTACTATGGGGAATAAAGAGGTACTCACACACTTATTGAAAGTTAGGTATAAAACCCAATGCCAAGCTTTGTGCCCCGAGTCCACAGGCATTTTGACTGCATGAGATTTGAATGCCATCAGATGAGGTATAAACATGAATATTTTCGTAAGTATAAAAATGGAGAAGAGAAAGTACTAATTTAAAAATCAGAAAACTTGTGTATATTCATCTATTCACCAAATATTTGATGGACGCCTACTGTGGGCCAGCCACTGTTCTAGGTCCTAAGGTTACAATTTCAAACAAAACAGACACAGGCTCTGCTTTTGTGAAACATAACAGCCTAGATGGGGAGATGTTCTTAATCAAATAGTTGATGATATATTTAATTATACGGGTGATAAGTGCTATGAAAAACAGAGAGATGGAGCTACAAGAGTACATCACAAGTAAAGAAAGCCTTCCTCAGGAAGTGTTCTTTAGGCTGAGAAGAAGTTGTACCCAGGAGGATAGAGTGGGGAGAAGAGAACCTTCCCCAGAAGGAGAGATTTGGGTGAATAAGAGGAGCTGGAAACAAGCCAGCAGGTAGGAAGAGAACAGCTCTGGACTACCCTGCTCCTCCCCACCACTGTTTCCTTGACTGGAAAGTGGGTGTGATGGAGAACATGACACGCTCTCAGCTCTCGGAGTCTAGCTTCTCTTTGCTGTGTCCAAAGTGAGGGCTTACTATAGAGTGAGAAGATTCTTGTCCAGCTGCATAGAATAGAAAACCCACTTTTGTTGAGAGTAAGGCTCACTGAAATGTAGGCAGCAAGTATAACTTGTGCCTAGGTCAAGAGAGCCATCATCTCTCTCAGCCATGTTCAACAGTCAATACTGGGTTCCCCAAAGGCTCAGATCCCAGGGCCCCAACTCCAAAATAAATGTCCTAGAGAGATTTTATGACTAGGCCTCCACAGCCCTGGTTTGGTTGATGGCTTATTAATGATCTATTCTAATTCTCCAATTTCCTCTTAAGAAAACAATGAAAATGAAAAGTTAAGATATCTAATTTTTCCTTATAGAAATAAATAAGATGCACTTTAAAATACCATTTTCACAGTTTTACTGCTATTTATCAGGAATCCTAAAAACAAGAGCTTCTTTAACAGGGTGGCTGTAACTGTTGGCAATTGGCCTGTATGTGAAATTTTACTTAGTTTAACAAGGCCCTCTACTGGCAATCTGCATGAACACCGTCTCCAAAGGCAAAGTTTCACATTATTTTAAGTGAACTGTTTTAACTACTCTCAATAACAAAGTATCTCACATTCCTGATTCTATAATTCAAGGCTCAAAGAATAAGTGGGGAGAAAATCAGGAAGGAAAGAAATAAATGTCATTTTGAGCATTCATTTAGTGGTTCATAAAATAACATTACATGAGGTATCATTTGCTTTCCTCTGATGAAGCTATACTACATGTCAAAGGTACTCAGAAAGGAAGGATATTTCTTACACTGAAATGTATTGAGTATTCATGAGACTATAAAACCAAGTTATGATTGCTATTTACCAACTACAATAAACCAGATCGTTTCTATTTACCCAAATATGAGTAACTGGCTGTAATGAGAATAAAAGAAACATTGGAGGCAGGCATTTAAAATTGTTGCTGATATGGCACAACTAATTATTAACTTATCCTCCTTGGCAACTGACAAAAAAAGAACATGGTGACTTGAGAATATAACTACTCACAGAAGATGAATGTTTTAAAAGGAGATTATATTTGACATATATGTCAACGGGCTGTTGGAGCAACTGGGAAACTTCAGCTATAGGGTCTTAGAAAACTAAGTAAATATTAAAAATGAGGCAATAACTTTAGGAAAAAATGTTAACATAAAGATGTGATCATAGTGATTTGACTCAACGTAAACAATATTTGTAATCAAAACAAAAATAAGCACTATGCATGTAATTAAAACTGCGATATAATTATATTGAAGAATAGGGATGCTCTGGGAGGTACAAAAAGATATATTATAATCTACCATAATAATAAAGAAGTAGTACTTTGACATACACACAGAAACATATGATTTAGGAATATTACATAAAAACAGCTGAAGAAAAAAAAAACTCAGAAATGGGGTAGAGAGGGTGGCCCAAGAGACTGTAAGATTTTATATAAATATACACACACATATATATATACACATATAGAGAAACACATACTCAATGTTTATATATATGAGCATGTTAGAGCTATTGTTTAGTACTAATATTCATATATATACATAGATATATAAACAATTTACTATTGTTGGATTTTCTGATTTATGAGCATGTATTACTTTGACTTTTTAAGTTGCTACAAAACCAGTTAGCACTGACAATGGAAACCATTTGAGAAATGCCTTTTGGGCTGGCCTGGATCAGTTCTATGTTTCTAGATTCAATTTGCCAAATGAAGCAAGTTGCCTTTATGGAGCGGTTTGTCAGACATGCGTCTCGACAGTAACACTTGTTCCCACATTTCAGAACTAACAGCTCTTCTTTCAACACCGTAATATTTATCTGCCATGTTATTATTCCCAGTGTATGCTCCAAAATGGGCTTGGGACTCTCCTCTTTCCTCTTGAACTCAGTCCACTGGGCTTCTACAATGCATCCAAATTCTCCTCAAAGGAATCACTAATCCGGTAAAGTTGATTTCTAAAAGGAGAGATCTGGTTTCTTGCCCTGAAAATACCAAGATTAATTTATGTAACTACGGGGAAGTACCCTGTGTAATTGAGGCTTCCAAACTGACACGATACACTTCATTAGGCAAGTATGTATTGGGGCATTGTAAATGTGTGGGTAATGTTCTATGTATCTGAGAGATTTATTATTTCATCTATAAAGGAAGGACAATTGGGAATCCAAAATTCCAAAGGCATTAAACCCTGTAGAGTTAGAGAACTGGAGAAAAAGAAGGCTATAAGGTACTTTGTGCTTAACTGGGTCCATGACTTGCCAGAGTGTTCAGACTAAACCCTTCTGGCTATTTAAATCCACTTTCACAAAATGCTACCATTTCCTTAGGTTACCATTTTCAGGGACCAACCAAATGGCCAAACATTATTTCCAATTTTTTCTTTGTATCTAATCCCTGGATTACACTCTTGACCAAACTTTACTAGGCCTACCAAAACCCACACCAAGAATGTAAATAATCTTGATGTTTAACCATAAACTTGGGCTACTCTACAAAAAGATTCAGGTCTGGCCGGGCGCAGTGGCTCACGCCTGTAACCCCAGCACTTTGGGTGACCGAAGTGGGCAGATCACGAGGTCAGGCTATTGAGACCATCCTGGCCAACATGGTGAAACCCTGTCTCTACTAAAAATACAAAAATTAGCTGGGTGTGGTGGCACATGCCTGTAATCCCAGCTACTTGGGAGGCTGAGGCAGGAGAATAGCTTGAACCAGGGAGTCAGAGGTTGCAGTGAGTCGAGATCATGCCACTGCACTCCAGCCTGGTGACAGAGAAAGACTCCATAAAAAAAAAAAAAAAAAAAAAAAAAAAAAAGATTCAGATCTCTGAGATTAAAGGAAAAATAAAAATAGTAAAGGACTGCGCATAGGCGTTAGACACTTTGGAAAGACTAGAAAATGTGAATTGCCAGTTTGAATGGGTGGAAGTATTAATCTGCTATACTGCTCTGCCAGTGCAGTCAATCGGGGCAGATGTGAATGACCAAAACGTCATTGTGGGTGAATGTGAGGCTCATGAAGCCTCCATATCCAGAAAGCGGTAAAATGAAAGGTTAAGAGTATGCACTGTGGGGTTGAGTGCAGTGTCTCATACCTGTAATCCCAGCACTTTGGGAGGCTGAGGCAGATGGATCATTTGAGGTCAGGAGTTTGAGACCAGCCCGGCTAACATGGTGAAACCCTATCTCTACTAAAAATACAAAAATTATCTGGGTGTGGTGGCAGGCACCTGTAATCACAGCTAACCAGGAGGCTGAAGCAGGAGAATCACTTGAACCTGAGAGGCGGAGGTTGCAGTGAGTGGAGATCGTGCCATTGCACTCCAGCCTAGGCAACAAGAGTGAAACTCCATTTCAAAAAAAAAAAAAGTACGTGCTGTGGGTTCAAATCCTGCCTCTGCCTCTTATCCACCCATGTGACTTGTGCACATTACTTAACCTTTCTGAGCATCAGTATTTTTGCTTGGACAATGAATACAATGATCATAATAAGATAGCATGAGCACAGAGCTTGAAAGTGTGCCTGGTATACAGTAACCACTCAATAGTGATTGATGTTGGAAGAAAACATTTTAAATCTGTTTTTATTGTGCCCATCAACCATGTATCCATACATTTTTTTCATTTATTGAGAACTCATTGTGTGCCAGGTGCTGAGTTTACAAACTACACTTAAGATTACAAATTTGACAACTCAAATTTGGCAACGACTCTATCTCAAATTCACTAGAATCTAGTGGCAGCAGCGGAAGGTAAAGAAATACTTTTAAAATGGGGCTATGCAGTGTAAGCATCCCAACAGAGTTTAGATAGAATACCATGGGGTGTGACTGTTTCTTCATCTGAGAGAAGTAAGAGGGGAGACAGAGCAGGGAACGTTGTCAGATGAAGCCAAGGAACGTGGAAGGATTTCAGAATGCAGGACCGCAGTCTTCTCTCTTAAGTAGGGAGGGAGACACCACCTGAGGGAGGAGCACAGGCAAAGCTGGGACTCAAGAGTGAAGCAAGGCTCACAGGTGCCACCGTGGGAAAGGGGTAGGCACAGGGCAGGAGTCAAGTGGAAATGAAGGCATTCAGTGAGCAGTATTCATCCGTCTACTCAACAAGTAATTCCCTAAGGGCAGTGTCATGCATGGTGCTAAGTTTGGGGAGTCAGTTGGCAGGTGTGCCCTCGTGAGACACAGAGGCTGAAGAGGGGAACAGAAGCACAGTGAACCAATGCGGACGGAGTTCCATGGTGCACAGGGACACCTACCTGCGGTGACTGGGATGTGAAAAGCTGCTCACAGGACAGGAGGTGCATGCAAGATATGGAGGATAAACTGAGTGTGTGGAGAGGTGCTGCAGGAGTACAAAGGTGCAGATGTGCTGAAGAACATACAAGCCCAGCATATTTCAGTAATAGAGAGCAGCTCCTGGTAGCTAGGCCAGTAATTCCCATCGAAATCATCTGAGGAACTTTTTAACCATGGCTGGATCTGAATCCCACCTTAGAGGTCATGATTCAGTAAGTCTGGGGTGGGACGTGGGCATCAGCAAGATAAATAATAACTGTAGCTAATACTCATTAGCACTTAATGTATGCCTAGCATTGTGCCTATTGTTTTAGCTACATTAAGATATCTAATCCTTCTCCATCTTCCCATGAAGGAGGCACTCTCATTATCCACATTTTAAAGAAGAGAAATTGAAATAGAAAAGTTAAGTGAATTAACCAGGATCATAAAGCCGGCAAGTGGCAGAAGCAGGACTTGAGCCTGGGCAGGCCAGTTCCAGAGTCCAAGTTTTCAGTCACTGTGCTGTGCTGCATAGTGAAGACCCTGATTAGCCATCAGGCCCAGAATCCCCAAGACAGCTCTAAGTCCACACTGTGGAGTAGAGTGAAATGAGCCAGGAAAGACAGCCAGGCATCACATCAAGAATATCCCCGTCTTCATGGTCAGAAGTCTGGCATCAAGGGCCTTCAACCACAGTGAAGAAGAATTTAAAGCCAATCAGCACAGTAATGTGGTAATTTTGCCAACCAAGTCCTGAGGCTTGGGTGTTTGCAACAGGAAAATGGATATTTAATTCATTCATTTATTTAGCATAATACATTGAATAACTACTCTGTGCTTAGTGCTGTAGCTATAAGAAGTATTATATAGCAAGCAGCCCTTGCTTTCGACGGAAAGAGGTATTTAACAACATGGCAAAGAGCTCCAGATCCCAGGGCAAAAAATGGCACAAGATACCATGACAGTCGAAACAAGTGAATCACCACTTGGACCAGGAGAGTCCAGGAAGGCCCCCCGCCCCTAGGTAGGAATGTCAGGGACAAGGAAGGCTCCAGAGAGAAGGGTAATGGACGGGTGTATGCGATCTAGCTGAATACTGGAAACTGAGGTCCAGGCTTCAGTGAGAGAATGAAGTGGGAAGGAGGAATCAATGAAAAAGTGAAGAGAAGGTTCCACTGGAGAGAGGGGCCCAAAAGAGGAAAAGCAAAGCAAGCTGTGGCCATAAGAAGAAGTCTGAGACTTGGAAGTAAAGCACAAACACTGAGTATCAGAGTTGGGAATCACCTCAGGTATCCCAGCCTGTACCCAGTGCAAAATGCCTTCTGAACTATTTCAACTGCTGAGGCTGCTCCATTTGCTTTTAGGCCATTATCTGTAAAATAATCACAGAGTTCTCTTTGGTTTGCTAGTGAAAACAATGAGGAACAGACACCTTAAGAAATGTAACGAGAGCCAAAGACAAAACGGGAATGTTCTCTCTTTGCCAGACCACCTTCATCTGTACACCTGCACATAGCCCTGTTCCTACAAGAAGGCATAGGAACCGCGTGTGGGTCCCATTTCTTTTTCAATATTTAAGAACTTGAGAAGTGGGACACATGCTGGAATGAACACAGGAAGCTCAGTTTCTAGTTGTAGCTTTGCCACCATCTTACTGGGTGCTCTTGGACAATCACTTCTCTTCCTTGTGCCCCAAGTTTTCTTCTGTGAAAGGATAAACTTTGATGAATAGTTTGAAATCTGTTTTAGCAGCAAGTCCCTTATTTTAAGCAAAGAATTGCAAAGAGCACTGAGCTCTAATACACAAAACATATCTAAGCCTAATGTGTTCTGATGGAAAAAAATGGAGCTGACAAAGAGGCAGGATGTTACCCACCTTAGGACTCCCTGGAAAACAGTCAAATATTTTGAGGCCTTTTGACACTGGCTTCTCACAATTCTGAGACTAGAGACAAGGAAAAGGTAGTGAAGGCTGTCACCATGTTTCTGGGCTGGTGACAGAGCAGCTGAATTCAGGAGCAAGCCAGGCTCCTGAGTGAGTCATGGGGTTCACATGCGGAGCTAACAGGCTAACAGCCACTTCTTGCCAATCCGTGCAGCGGGCTGGGCTGTCAGGTCTAGAGGGCAGGAATCAGCTGGGATTTGCTACTGGTTGCAAGAGGCTGAACTGCAGGCACTGAGGAGCAGAGCTGGTAGCTTGAAGGACAGAAAGACAATTTTTCACTGGGCTCTTAAGCAGAACTCCCGGGTGGCAACAGAGAATAGCTCACGGGCCAGCCGGTGCAGGTGGGATAAGAGGTTCCTGTCCAGGCTGGCGGCATACATGAAGCTCACTCTTCCTATTTAAATCCCAGAGAATATCTGGAGAGTTTTAAAGAGCCCTGAGGCAGGCAAAAGAGAACATGTGGATTTTGTATACCGATCTAGCTCAGTGTCAAAGTTTGCCTTTTTCAGTAGTACATTAACTTGGGTTCCAACTCAGAAGACAAGTCAGAACATTGAACATTTCTCCAGATACTCAATGTGAAAAGAATCCAAATAGAAACAGTTTCAATTTCAAAATATTTTTTGATACATACACATTCCTGAGGATGAATGAGCCTGTGTGTGTGTGTGTGTGTGTGTGTGTGTGTGTGTGTGTGTGTTTGGGGAGAGAGTGTAGGTAGGAGGGGACGAGAGACCATAAACATCAACATCCACACACTAGAAATCCATAAACCACAGAAAGAATCAGAGACAAAAAGTGGGTTCTCCCTGCAGTGTACCAGTTCATGAAAAAGTAGCCTTCATAGTTGTCTGCTAAACTTTCTAGATCAGCCTAATAGTTTTTTGGTTGGTTGTATCTCTTTAAAAAACAAAAACAAAACAAATGAAAAACCAAACCTGACCTCCCTGCAGAGGCAAATGAGGATTAGCCATTCAGTATCTCCTTATCATCTGCATCCTGGTATTTGTTCTCAGAGACAAGGGGTCCTCTACCCCTAATTCCAGTCCACTTTAGGGCCCTATAGTTACTTAGAACAAACGCATACTTGCTGTGACAGCCGAAAGAGCCTGGAGAAATATGTAAACATCATCATCTCACTTTAGAAGGAAAACAAGCTGTATAAATAAGAAAAACTGTTACAAGAGTTTAAAAAAAAAATCCCAACAGTCTTACTTGTAGTTAGCTCTTCAGTCAACACATATCACAGTCCTGGAGACAGACACAGGAACTACAACTCTCTCCAGCTAAAAATTTCCTCCCGCGGTTGGTTATCCTCTGTTTATTTTTGAAGCATTCAAAGGCCACGCTAACAGAACAGACTCGGTTTTCCTGAACATCCACAGCGGCTGGGAAGTCCTGCCGTGAATGCGGAGCAAGTTTGCGGAGACTTGCTCCCTGGGCTGCGGCTCCGTAGTTGCTTCGAGCTTGTAAATACAAGCTCCGTGGACAAAGTCCCAAATGACATCACTGGCAGCTGCTTATTGTTGAGTCTTTATTAACTGACTGTCAAAAAGAAAGGAGGGGGTGGGGAGGAAGAGTATCTCTTCTGCAGCAAAATCGGCATCTTGGAGTGGATTCCAGTTATACATGCGTAAATAATCCCATTGATTCACATTTTTGAGAGGATGGCTTCTTTCAGGTCTGAAAAAGACAGAGAATCGCCTCCACCAGCTTACACTGGAATAGCTGGAGACCTGGAGGAAAAGTTTGAAGTGCCAGCACAGCCCTACCAAATTGTTTACCCACCTGTTTCGAGTCAACTTCAGAGCCTGATGATTCATGAATATATGAATACTGGTTGTGTCTTACATTGCTTAATTACTTTTACTGTGATATATACACCTGGCCGACATTTTTCCTAGATAGATTGTCTTGGGTGCAACTCCTTTTAGATACATTCTAGTGTCTCAGCTTGGAGTAGAAGGAAGGGATCCTTGAAATCACAGCAACATTTTGTGTGCATTTGCAAATATGCAATTTTTCTTTTCCTGAGAAGAGTGCTGGAGGCTTTCTTCTGATTCTTAAAATTTTAACCACCCACCTGCACCACCCCCGACACTCCAAAAAACAAATAAATAAGAATCTGTGCCAAGTCTTTCTAATAATCTCACAGAACACTGTAAATCCCACTCACAACTATCAAAATAAAAGTGGGCCTTTTCTCCCCTATTTTCCACTCTCTCATGGAATCTCTCTTCTGTCCGTTGGTTCTTATAGTTTTTACAGTTATCTCCCCTCCAACCCCTAGCCCCCACCTAGAGAAATTCCACAGATCCAACACCTAGTCTCTGCCACGAAGCGCGAACACTCCAGCCCACTGTTTTCCTTCCTTCCTCTGGACTGCTATAACGATGCTTACTATTTATATTTACTTGCTGCTTTTTATATACTGACTAGTATTTTTAGTTTGTTTTTTAGCCATCTGTGTTCTGTCTCCCCAACTCAGTTTGAAAGGTCTTTGAGGGCTGCCTTGTAAGTGTTATTTGTTTATACCTAAATCACTTGCCATAGTGAATCCTAAACAGAAATGTGGGAGGTGGGGGGTGAGCATTGAGGGTGGAGGCAGGAACAAGGTTAGCTGATTCTGTGGCATGGAGTGTATGTTTAGATTAAGCTCTCTCCCTGGCCTTGGAAAACAATGACCTCACATCTCACTACCCCCAGCAGATGCTCATTGCATGTCTGAAAATTATTTCCTCAAAGAGTAGCAATTGGTTATTGATTTGGTAGGGTCCCAAGACCCCAATATATGCTACTTTCATGTGGGAAATAGTTAAAGACAACACAAATTGTGTATGTCACTGATGGGTCTTCAATGAGCCCCATGTTAAGAGAAAGTAAATTAGATGTACCTAAAGATTTTACAAGTACAGACCCTTAGACCCAGCAATTCCACTTTTCCATAGTGATCCCACAAATACACTCACAAAAGAGCACAAAGATATAAGCACAAGTTCTTTGCAGCATTATTTGTAAGCCAATAAAAGGGAGACTAATATTCATCAATACAAGAAAACAAAAATGGAGGTAACTGTGAATATACTGATGTGGACAGAAGTAGGTTGTTGCTTACTGAGTGGATAAAGCAAGGTGCAGCGTAGAAGGTGGCATATTGAACACGAAAAAGAACTTTGCATATGATGAGAGGAATTATATAAATGATTAACAGTGGTTACCCTCGGGAAAAAAGGTGGAAAGAACTTTCACATTTGTATGCTTTGTGTGTGGTTTGACTTTTTTTCAATGATCATGTTTCATTTTTGTTATTAGAAATAATAATAAAAAGACTTGGTGGTACATTTTCAAAATAAGCCTCAAAAAGAAAAATTGCTATTTCTTCACTAAATGTCTGACCTATAGTAGGTGCTCAAGAAAGAGGTATTGATTGAATGAATGTTGATGAAGTTTCTCCCAGGATGCAATGGTATGTGGGAGTGGAATAGGGTTGAGAAGAGGAAGACACAAGCACTAGTTTTCATTTCTGATCCAAGGACCCACCCCTTTCCCCTTATATTTGAGGACTGATTTAAAGACCTCTTAGACTCTGTCCACCTTCAGAAATGATTAAAGTTCAGTGCTCAGAACATAAAGTGCTGACCTTTTCCTTGTGCAATCCTGTTTGACAAATGAAGTTTTAAGGTAAGACAAGTGTGAGCCGCTTCGGTTCATTTTCCTGGCTGCTAGCAAGCACCGGAGCGACAAGTCAGAAAGCTTGTAGGGGCACAGGTGTGACCAGCTCCTTGTCATGGCTAGTCTAACATTAAGGAAATCTCCAGGGAGAGCTTAGAAAGCTCTAACCCACAATGAGTCTGCAGAGCTTTATTAAGAAGGGAC
Source organism: Homo sapiens (assembly GCF_000001405.40). NCBI lineage: Eukaryota > Metazoa > Chordata > Mammalia > Primates > Hominidae > Homo > Homo sapiens. Next base: position 133,570,877 of record NC_000002.12, read on the forward strand.
TTTGCCTTTTTTCAGTGGCCGGGAGTGATGGCACAAAACCCAGCCCTGCCTACCTGCTATACTGCCTACCAGGCCTTTATAGTAGAAACTCGAAGGCATAAGCCATACATTAGAGCCTATGTTTTTCTTTAGGGGGGAAAAAAAAGTCCAAGAAAAAGAATGACTGAAAATTTCCACCAAGATAGGATAGACTTTTCAAAGCACTATTTCTATTCCTCTAGAGAAAGCATATCCAATTCTTGTCTTACTTCATAGTGAGAAGATATCTTACGTCTATAATCGTTTCAAGAAAAGGAAAGCATAGCCCATGTTTCCTGCATATTTTTATTTTTTTTATGGCCCACATATTATAGGAACCTGAGGCCAGATTCTGTTTAATGCACTTTTGGAGCCCCTTGGGTGTGATCCAGGTCATACCTTCCCGAGGGAGAGTTAAATACAAGTATTTAGCTAGACTTACGACTTAGCATAAAAACAAAAGAGGGTGGGGGTAGGGGAGGGAAAGGCCATCCTCACCACCTCTACCTACTAGGTGATTATGAATGCTGCTGCCAAAACTCCCCCCACCTGCTGAGTGTTGTCTCCCCGCCTCCTGCCCGCCTGCTAGTCCTGCGCTCAGGTAATGTCCTCTCTCCCTGAGGCCTGGGAGAAGGACGGCTGGGTGACACTGTAACAGGCACATATATGGCTATTTACCTGATCATTTTTAAAAATGTCTTATGCTGGTCATTTTATTATGTTAATAAGTGTTTTCTGTCTTAAATTGGAAAATTCCTGAAGTCAGAGATGGTAATCAGATCTGCATGGAGTAAAAAACAGCCAAAAGGTCTCTTAGAGCTGCTTACTGGTGATGACATGTATTACAAGGGACCTACAAGGACCATGATCACAGGCACAGTTTCTACCTCCAGCGTCTGAGTCTGCCACTCCCCCATTCTCATAAACAACTGCCCCTTCTTCAGCATTTCTATGTGCCATTGGCTTTCAGTGCATCATCTAATTTACCCTTAAAAAAGCCCAGTGAGGAGGCGGAGGTTGCCGTGAGCCAAGATCGCACCATTGCATTCCAGCCTGGGCAACAAGAGTGAAACTCCATCTCAAAAAAAAAAAAACCCAGAACCAAAAACAAAACCCAGTGAGTTACACACTATTATCTTCACTCACCTTTCACAACCAAGGAAACTGAGGCCCAGGGAGATATGTTCCTGAACTAATTTGAATGTGATTACACAAAGAGTCAGTGGCAGATCCGGAATTTCAACTCAGGTCTGCCTGACCCTCCAGTGTCCTAAGGAGCCCTGGATCCCTCTGAGGATGATAAACATTGAAGAGGAAGTTAGTAAACTAATATGAACAGTGGTAACTTGGAATAAGAAGCATGTGACCACCATTAATACTCCTGGGTCTGATTCCTATATGCAAATATATGCCAGTGGGCATTCAGCAGAGCTTCAGATGTCAACCGCAAACCCATGTGACTTCTGCTCCTTTATGTAACCCAGCCCCTCTGCTTAGCTCTTCCAAGAGAAGATAAGTCATAGGCATGAAAGACAAGTGCAAAGACCATGGGAATCACACTCACAGGGCTGAGTCCTAGGGCATTACTGTGCAGTAAATTCTCCATGCCCTTGGAGGTGGGCAAGATTCAATTGCAGGATGGAGAAAATATCGGCGGTGGGGGAATTCAGTATATTTGTTGCATGCTTCCCTTTGCACTGAGCCTTTAGTAATGAGTATTGTCTGCTGCAGTACCTGTGTCTTCTCCTGGAGCTAATTGTTCTACCAGGGCTTAAGAGACAGCCTGAGGCCATCCAGTCTGCTCTGTAAGAGTTAATATGGTCAGGAATAGGAAGCACAGGAAATTTTAGAAAGGGCAGCATAGGAACACCTCAGCATTCATCAAACAAACTGGCATGGTGTTGAGAGTGTGAGTCTCAAGGGGCCTTGAGAACCCTCGTGTTTAGAACGTGGCCCATGTCATTCTCACACATATGGTCCTCAGACCATATTTTAAGAGGCACTGGTTATAACAAGAGAAGCAAACAGATGACCTTCTAGTCTACAATCAGACATTGATAAAGATCATGTAGTTTTGTCCAGGTTCTTTAGGAGGGAGCCCTGTGACCAATTAGAAAATTCTTGGTAACCATAACTTACAATAGATCATATCTGACACAAAGTTGGTGTACAAAGTAAAACTTAGAAAAGACAAAACAGGTGCCACATTGAGGGCCCCAAACGCATAGTGGGATAAAGACATTTATAGGCTTTAATCACTGCAGATGTTATGGTAGCCCTCTTACATAAATCAAACAAAAACAAGACTAAACCATAAAGTGAGCATAAGGAATTCCAACAAAGTTCAGATTACTCCCATAATGACTGCTTTGATGCATTTCATGATATTTCAAATTTCAAACTTACAAATGCTGTTTTCCCTCCTGAGAGGAGTGAGGGCTGCCTCCTGGTCCCCTCAACACACATGTAATCTGTCTGTTTGGTTGTTGACAGTATTGCAACCCCAAGGACCTTTGGCGAGGGGGCTGATACAGCCTACATCTGCTGGGAGAGGAGGTGAGGGGAGAGATGTAAAGTTTCCCCTATTTTGAGAAACTACCTGGAACCTGCCATGGAAATGAGGTGTCAGCCCACCATCCCTTTGCTTTTTCACCAGCGTAGGTTCTAGGCCCAGCCCAGGGAGGCACAGTGAGGGTTAATGTACTAAGGCACTGGAAGGCTCTTCATGAAAGGCCCTATGTAAGGATAAAGTATCATCATGAAGTTGGAGGATTTTATTTCAGCCTCCTCATTGTGTTGTTGACAGTACATACTGTGAGATTGACATTTTTAACTTCTTTGCTTGCCCCAAATAAAAAGTGCTGAGACAGAGGAGGTGGGAAAAGGGAACGGGTGTCGGGAGCCGTAATCTTCTCCTGACTTTGATTTTACACAAATCCAATGCACAAAATTGAAGTCCAGTTTGCCAGCTGGGGTCCAGCAATACTACTTTAAGGATTTATGTAAATTCATTAAACTACAAGATGCAAGTTGCATTCCTTTTAACCTGCGAACAGAGTCTGCCTGAAACCAGAGCCTGGAGGAGGCAGGGGATATGACTGTGTGGAAACTGAGAGTGCAATGAATTTTGTGTGCCCCGATTGTCTAAATAGATAGACTCTGAGTCCAATTTTCACCTGATTCTGGGAGGCCATTAAAATCAGTTGATAATACTAAGAAATGGAAGAGGATAAGAAAAGGAAGAGGATGGGGACAGCCACTGACTTTCCCCTGTGTGAAACCTGGCTTATTGTAATCAGCGCCTGCCCTGAATGGTGTTGACAGTGGGTTCCCTGTAGTCCCTAAAACACACTGAGGCTTGACGCATAATAGCCCCTGACCCCACCAGATCATAATAGTCCCAGACGACCACGCTAGGATGTGATGAGGAGCTCCCAGCAGATAACATGCAAAGATGCCCCAGGGAAGAGGCAGGGATGCTCTGCTTTTCCTTGGTGGCCCCAGGGAACAGACTCTTCAGGCTCTGGTGGCCCTGCTGCATTTGCCCAGATGGCCAGCAGAGCCCTGGGCTGATTACTCAGCCAGCCCCTGAGTTCCTCCTTTCATGTTGAGAAAGCTTTTTAGTTAAAACGACAAAAATGGGAGTGGTGGCAAGGAAGGTGGCTCAGGGGTCTGCTGGAGTGGGCTGGAGTTGCATTTTCTTCTTTCCTTTTTTTTTTTTTTTTTTTGGAAGCACACACACAAGCACATGTGCACACACATAATATAAATTCTTTGCTCTGATCACCTGATATTTTAAGCTCCAGAAACAGCTTATTTTTGTGGCAAATATGCTTCAAGGGCCCTTCAGAAAAGGCATCCTTACAGATCAGAGGAAGAGTGAGTCAGCCCTAACCCAACAGTCTGTTCCTAACCCAACAACCCTGGAAAGTCAACAGAAATGGCAGAAATTGGGTAGGGGCAGCCAGAGGAAAGTTGCCAGCTCAGGTGCAAAGAACACCTGTCCAGGCACAGGGCCAGGGCTCTAGGGGTGAGCAAGGCTGAGATGCAGCTGTAGGCTTTTCCATGTCCAGCGTGGGGACTGCTCCCTTGCCTTGGCCTGACAAAGAGAGAAAATGGTCATCATCCAGGCAGCCACAGCGCATGTTTACTCTTTCTCCCGGGAAAAATTGCCTGTGCTTTCTCCAAACTCAGGCAAAGCCCACTGTGGTTTGGAGAAATGGTCATTTGTCCAAGAAACCACAGTATTAGAATTCTCTGCACTTCCCCTGAGACGCCAGGAAAGTCCAAGGGACTTGACCCTGGGCTATTAGGCAGGAGCCTCTTGGCTCTGTTGTCACTGCTGGCTTAAACTTTACACCTTAAAGAAATCCAGGGTGATTGATTTGAAACACATTGAACCTTTTCCAGGTACAATAACCATTGTTCAATCTACAAATCTACTGGATTTGGGAAATTATTTTAAATGACAGCCTTCTATTAACAAAGGAGAATAACCACTCAATTTATCAGTTGCCACTTATTATTTTGACTGATTATAAGAACATGAGTCCTATCGGTTAGGGTCATGAGAAGTTATTGCTAGCTTCCACATTTTCAAGCATTCCATATTTTGAAATTGCTTAATTCTACGGCCAGTGCCTTCTGAATAAATATAAAAATGATAACACTTCTTATTTTATAAGAAGAGTGTAGACAGTATAGTAAGGAGGCTTTTGAGTGTTACAATAGCAATAGAATACATTTGAAATGAAGTCTTAGGTTCCATTCGGTTCCATAAACAGCTCAGAGGGTGATGTCCCTGGGTAACGTCCTACAGCCCATCCTACCAGCCCTCTCCTACTGCTGCTGGCCAAATCGGCAGAGAAATTGCAGACAGGGCTGGATGAACTGAATTAAAGTACATTCTTCTTTCCCTGTCCAGCTCATCCCTTATTGACTCCTGAGCTCTTTTGACCCATAGCAACCATCTGATCTCTTAACGATAAACATGGACTTGCATGTTCACATTTGCTTTTTGTAGGCCACTCTCACTCCAAGCCAGACTGTGGTCACCTTGATGCAGAGACCTTCTTCTATGCCTCAGTAGTTCCCTCCATGCTAGCATGGTGCTAGCCATGTACAGCTGTGTAAACAGGTTTATTCCAACTGGAAAAGGAGATGAAAGTCACAGTAGGCCTAAAAGGTAAGGCAAAATAGGTAGATTTGACGCAACTTGGGCTTCCAGCTACAGACTTGAATGGGTGATGAGGAAGTGGGAAGGCAAGGCTCCAGGGCCTAAGGTCCAGAAACTTGGCTGCCATTCTTTTCTTTGTTCTTCCCATTCTTTTTTCTTCAGCTACTCCTCTTCCAAGCCACTTGTTTAATAAAGATTGTCATATCTGCCTCCTCTCCTAGAGGCAATCAGCATCACTTAATAGTGGTGAAAAATACATGGGGTGTTCACAGAAAATAATATATTACTGTGTAACAAAGGGCAGGTAAGCTTGAAGGGTACATGAATCTACTAATCTTTGAAATCATTAATTTGTTATTTATTATTGAATGTGCTTATTCATTCACTGAGTCATTCACCAAACATTATATGGAACAGTATACAATTTATACCACAAATCCTCACTGCAAACATATAGTACTTCAGGTTCTATGTATATTTTGCAATCTGAATGCCTATAGAACATTCTGTGGGTGTCTACTGATTGGGAGACACAATTGAAAAATACATTGAAATATTTCCACCTCTGTTTTGATAAAAAAATAAAGTCAAAGCATAGGCGCTGTTTGTCTGAGTGAGAGGGGGTAACTAAGATTGTACAGAACTGGAAAAGTTAGGACAATCTGAAAATAAAGTGCAGCTAATTGAACATGATACACTAATCTCTTGGATACAGAGAATTCAGTTATTAGTGGAAACCCAGTTCATCAATGGAAATGTAATTGTTGACAGAGCATGAACTATGATTGACATGAGGTCAGAAAGTCCAAAGGTCGCAGGGTTAGTGATTCATATCAGCTTGTCAGAGCCTTTCCTGTAATACACTCCATACTTGGAAACCAGAGTGATTGGAACATGCTCTCCTTTCATCTCAGAGATGAGACCAGTTTCCACCTAAGCCTCTGGTATTTGGACTTGGGCTGGTAAGGCAACTCATAGAAATGCATTCCCAGAAGCAGGGAACCTTCCCACCCCCAACATCAAACTTCCATACCAACACCAAATTATGTCCAGTCCCCAGGAGAGACTCATCTCACCCTAGGAGGGGGCAGTGGGTGATATGCCCAGGGCTTCCTGCTAACTTTGGCCCCAGGGACTGCTGAAGAATGCACCACCCCTGTGGTGAGAGAGAAGGAAGAAAAGAAGGAAAGGACATTCTAGAATTGATGTGGTGAGGTTGTGGGTAGAATGAAGGCCCAGGGTTGTTCTGTAATACACATGAATACAAAAGTACCTGGTCTGGCCTGGAAGACAGGGACTCCAGGAAGACCCCTATAGCATTGTAATGTTTGGGAGCATTATCACATTTAGCTCTGGTTTGCTCCCTAGATATATTCCCTATTTTACCATTATTTCCCTGTTCTCAGCAGTTTGTTCTCTTTTTTTCTTCTTTTTTTTAATAGGATTTTTAAATTATTATTATTATACTTTAAGTTTTAGGGTACATGTGCACAACGTGCAGGTTTGTTACATTGTACACATGTGCCATGTTGGTGTGCTGCACCCATTAACTCGTCATTTAGCATTAGGTATATCTCCTAATGCTATCCCTCCCAACTTCCCCCACCCCACAACAGTCCCCAGTGTGTGATGTTCCCCTTCCTGTTCTCTTTTAATTCATTGCCCTCATGTTCAATTTCCTTTTGATCTATATGTATGAGCGGCCAAGTATATGTGAAGTACTGCAGGAACCATCCAGAATGTCTCTGCTCCCTGTCCTCTTAACCAGATGGAAAAACAACTGCTCTTGGTTTCCAAACCCTCTCCCCATTCATTATTCCATGGCTTCATTTGTGACCCTTCCAGGTGGCTTAGAAAAGGCTTCATAGAAAACCACCTAAGACGACCCAGCTCCAGCACTGAAAGTCAAGTGTCCTTTCCATCTGGGCAAAGCAAAATGGTTGGTCACCCTAAGCCTACTACAATTTCTATTAGCAACTTCTCAAAATCTCAAAAATAAGAGAAAGAAAATCTAAAGGAAACAATGTGCTCCTATACTAGTTGCCTAACACCATCTAATTGCCTCTAATGGTCCCTCCCATGTAAAGATTCTGTGTGGTTTCCTCTATATCTTGTTGACTCTAGTTCCTATGGTAACAAACCTCTGCTCCATTCATCTCCATTTGTCTTGCCACCCTCCCTTTCTTCAGCATCTTCCCTTGCACCCTTGCAGTGACCCCATCTATCCCCCATCTATCCCTGTAAAAGACATTTGGCAAATTGTGCAGTCTTTACAAAGTGATGCCGTGTTGAGCCTTTCTGGGAAAGTACAATCTTTCAGCCTGGAACTAACCCTGGGGAAGACGCAGACATGCACTGCATGGGTCCCTTGTCGGGGAGCAGGAAGCCTCCAGCTGCCAGCTCCCTCAGGCTTTGCCTCACCCAAGGACCCTTCTTCCCCAAGTGGCCTACAACCAGTTACTGATCCATGTAGGAGCATAAACGCCAAGAAATCCCAGACTGATTCCAGTCACTCCAAGGGGCCATACTCACTCCACAGTATCCTGCAGGATTGGCTGTGGCTCTGTCGTGCCTGACCCCAATGCACGTCTCCTATGTTCAGTCCTGAATTCTTCCCCTCCCTCCCATGGATGTCTCTTCTGAAACAATATACAGCAATGTCCTTATTCAATCAATACGCAGTCTCATTTCAGTGTCTGCTTCTAGAGAACCCAGTCTGCGTCATGACCTCAAGAACTTTAAGTACCAAAAGGAGAAGTTTGGTTTCTCCAGAGTCCACAGTAAAATCTGTTTGTTCTTAGATAACTGGAACACTGACTCAGGGTAAGAAATTAAAATCTGGAGAGCCACACAATGAGCTCTGGTAACCCAACAAATAATCTGTTCTTAAGAAACACATACTTAAAGCAGAGCAGAGTAGCAGCTTAGACAATTAAATAAGATATATAAGGCCAGGTAATAATAACAGTAACCGTAATGGTCATAAACATTTGGATAGCACTTAGGATATGCCAAACACCTTTCATAGCCCTTTACATATCTTAACTCATTTAATCTTCACCATAATCATATGAGTCAGGTACTTTCATTATCCTATTTTCCAACAAGGAAACTGAGGCACATACAGGTTGAGTAATTTGCTAAAAATTGCACAGCTACTGAGTGGGCAGAGCTAGGGTTTTAAACTCTAGCAACTGTCTCTAAAGTCTCCACCAAACTGTAATTGTATGTTAATGTAGTGTATGTACTCTGACTATAGACTTATAATGAAACTAAAGAAGGAGGTTTGTCCGTAAGTGAGAAATCAAGCAATCAGGAATCTGGAGACACATAGAACTCAAAGGGTCAGGTCAAAATGGAACATGAGAAGAGTGAATCACAGCAGAGACTTTGATTCTCTGGCAGAGACTTTGATTTTCTGGCTGGATTCTGGCCCAGACTCCACCCTTCTTTTGCAGGGCAGGAGGCCAGTTGAGGGTTGGCCAGCATAGGTCTGCATGTGAAGGCAGATAAGTAGGTGTCCCTGGATAGAATAAAGGATTTAGATGCAGGAATGCAGACAGGTTTTGACAGAGATAGGAAATAAAACTGACTCAGTGGAAGGGAAACAAGCAGTAAGATTCATATCCTCATCCAACCCATGGCAATAAACACTGCCCTCCATCATCAACAGGCTGCATCAATATTTCGATGACATTCCTTTTTCCTTAAATAAGGAAATCCTCTGTGTTAAACTGAGGTATACCCAGGCCCAATTTCAACCCCCCATTTTAATGTCCCTCTGGGTATCACATATGTACCTTTCTCTCCCCATTATAGTTCTGCAAACATAATTCCTTAAATTTCCAGCAAATAGGATTCATAAAGAATACATAAATATTTTTGGCTTTCATACATGTCTACACAAAAAATAGAGATGATTGTTTTCTTTTACTTTTATTCAACTGTGGTGCTGCAGAGAAGCTAGACAAACCAGTGGCCCGTCATTAGCACATCAATCCAAAGGTACAGGGTAAGCCATAGATTGTTCCCCAATACTCAGGAGGCCACTGTCTCCCAGCTTCCTTTCGGGAATTGTTTACTCATCCATGAAGTTACTGCTATGCTGGGATAATCCAGGTCACTACGGCTTCTTGGAAATTAATTTTTAAGCCCCATTCTACCTCCTGACTCTCTGCAGGAGAAAATAGAAGAAAAGATAGAGATAAATAAATTTTTTAAAAATCCTATGTTGCAAATTATTTATACTTCAAGTCTTTGGTCAAGGAGGATCTAAACTCCTGCACCTCTGGTTTCTCTGAGCTCTGTGTATTATTCAGATGGCTGTGGAAATTGAACCCCAGGCTAAGGTCATAGAAGGGAAAATAGCTATTTTCTCTTTTACCATGGAAACTCTCTGCACCGTGGGGTGCTAAGAAGAAATGGACAGCTTTAATAATTTGGGGGGATGTCTGCCTCTACCTTAGCCAACATAATGGAGTTATGGTATAGTATAAATCATGGGTGTCTAACTCAGGCTGCCTCTCAAGGGTTCAGGGAAGCCTCGTACTCACTTAGAACAAATCAGCATGGTTTATTCCCAAGACAAATTAAGCATTTTCCCCACAAGCTTTAATCACCTCTGAGTACCCTAGAAGACGCAGTGCACAGGTCCTCAGAGAGAACATTTGTGCATTTGTGGACAGACTTTGGTTTTGCATGTGAAGCTTCCATCCCAAATACAAAATCACACCATCAAAGACATTCATTATTTTGTAAGATTATGTCTTATGAATATATATTCAGTACAAAGTTTCTCTCTCTCTCTTTGGAGGAGAGTTTCGGAAATGAATAGCTCCAAACTCAACAGCTACTTGCAATCAGTTCTGGAAACCCTAAGTGACAGCTTGTTTCTTCCCTTTTCTTCCAACCTCCTTCCTCTTTCCCTTCCTCTTGCTCATCTTTTTAATATGACTTAAGTAAGGAAGAACTTAATGATATCTACCTTAGTCCCTAACAGTTTTTTCAGAACTCTGTGTCTGAAAGAATGATCTCATCACAAATTAATCCTCCATTGCTCCTAAAATAAATCTGTATAGAATGACGACATCTGTTTCCAACTCTACAATATGAGTTTAAAAAAAATCTTAAAAGTAAACTTGGGAAGGAAATGTCTCAGATGCATTTGAGTTCCTGGTGAACAGCATCAAAAGGCTTTATGCTGGTAAGACAGGGCCAGAGATGGTTATCTTATTGGACACCTGTGCCTCATCCCCATCCACTTCCTGTTGTAAGGGATTCTTCCTATGGAGAGTGAAGAACATGCTGGCTAATTTAAGTCCCACTGTTCTTCTTGGTGGAATCTCAATGGCTGTCCTGAGCCCCAGGTGTCAGTTTGGGAATGCATTTTCACAGGGCAGGCATCTGGCCCTGAGTCCTTGGCAAACCAACTGTGACAGGTTCCTCTGACAGCTGCAGTGGCAGGGCTGGGCCTCCAGGTGATTAAATAATCCTGCTTTCTGGCCCAATCATGTGTTTGGATTGGACCCATTTCCCTGGAATGGGGCTGAACCAAACACAGCTGCTGCTCACTGACCACAGTGAGGTGTCTATGGGCTGAGCACTCCCCACCCTAAAATTGTGAAATGTCCCTTTTTCTTTCTCAGACAACTCAAACCTTCAGTTATCACAGACATGCCCCTGGAAATATAAGAACCTCCATCTGTCTGAAATGGAGCTGAAAGTTCACTTTTCGTTGTAAGTATTGTTAAATTTGATAGCTCTGCTTTGAAAAGCAGGGGCCATTTCTAACGTTAGCTAGAAATATTCCTTTCTTTCAATAGTAGTAGGCATGCCCATGCAATACACATTTGACTACATGTGTACACCAGATGAAGAAATGGATCAAGAGGATGTATACTCAATGTATTTACATTTTCCAAAGATATGACACCACGTCCTGGAGAAAAAAATTAAAATACCTCTTTGTGGTGAAGCTTAGTGTTGCAGACACACAAATATCAATGGCCTCCTACTGAATAAAAACACACATTCATAGCAGGTGGGAATTCAATTTCACAATAGTAAAACTGCTGTGAGGGGATTCTATAGACCAGTGGTTTTTAAAGTGTGGTCTCTAGACCTGCAGCACCAGCACCATGCAGGAGTCTATCAGAAATGCAAATTCTCAGGCCCAACCCCAGACCTACTGCATCAGGGACTCTGTGGGTGAGACCCAACATTGTTCCACAAGTGCCCCAGGTGATTCTGATGGATGCTAAAGGCTGAAAACTGTCCTGGCTGAAACGGGCTAGACATGATCAGACTGGGGGAGTGTGAGGATTGCTCTGGAGAATTTTTCATGCATGCTCTGAATAATCACTCCAGCGTAATTCACTCCTCCTTCAGCTAGATCTAATCCATGCTGCCATTCTCTCCTCAAGGGTGTTACTATCAGTTAATTCCCTGCTTCTATACAATTTTACCCCCTCACACACACATGCACGGTAGTAATCAGTGCTTTGCTGTAGTATGGGCAGTTCGGCAGACATCCAAATGCATCAACTCATCATGAATTCTAATCAAAGTGTTTCCAAGGGGCAGACATAAATGTCCCCATTTTACAGATGGTAAAAACCTAGCTTGTCTATTAGCGTTTCGATTAAGACAACATAAAGATAGTTCTGGCTTCACCCTTTGTTATAGTGAATAACATATTTCCAGTTTCCTGGTCCAGTCAACCTGATATAAAATCTGGAACCTCAAATACTCTCTCTAAAGCCTTCACTCAGCCTTGACCAAATTGAAGGTTAGGGTAGGGATATACTGTTTTTTGTTCAAGATGTCTCCAGCCAACTAATAAGAATTTTCACTGACAAAATTGTTTTGCAGAACAGCATTTGTGGTCATACCCCCTGTTTCTGAGGTCATGTTGACCCAGGCATCTTTATTCAATTCTAACAGGAGTTGTAAACTGATACAACCTTTCTGGGAAGCAATTAGGCTATTATTTGATTTTGTAATGATACTTCTTGGAATTGATCAAAAGGAAATAAATAGACCAGAGATGATAAAAAAATATATATATGATATGATGTGGATGTTTGTCCCCTCCAAATGTCATGTTGAAATGTGATTCCCAATGTTGGAGGTAGGGCCTGGTGGGAGGTGACTATATCATGGATCCCTCACCTCCTCATGGACCGTCATTCATGGATCCCTCATGAATGACTTAGCAACTCCCATCCCTTGGTGGTGGGTGAGTTCTCACTGTGAGTTCACATGAGATCTAGTTGTTTAAAAGAGCATGGCACTTCCCCCTCATCCTTGCTCCTGCTATGGGATATGCTGGCTACCCATCACCTGTTGCCTTGATTGGAAGCTTCCTGAGGCCTCTCCAGAAGCAGATGCCAGCACCGTGGATTCCTGTAAGCCCTGCACTGCTGTAAGCCAATTAAACGTCTTTTCTTTATAAATTACCCAGCCTCAATACTCCTTTATAGCGATGCAAGCCTAATACAATATATAAGGAAGTTCTCTATCATGGAGTTTGTAAAAGTTCACATAAAATGGGCAAGGTTAAACAAACTGTAGTTCTTCCATAAGATAAACTATAACATAGCCATTTAGAAGCCAACTTTTTAGCACAAGTTATTAAATAGTAGTCGTAAGATAAAGTCAAATGAAAATGGCATGATATAAACCTTTTTTTTTTCTTGTTTTGAGGTGGAGTCTCGCTCTGTCGCCCAGGCTGGAATGTAGTGGCGCGATCTCAGCTCACTGCAAGCTCTGCCTCCTGGGTTCACGCCATTCTCCTGCCTCAGCCTCCCGAGTAGCTGGGACTACAGGCACCCACCACCATGCCTGGCTAATTGTTTTGTATTTTTAGTAGAGACGGGGTTTCACCGTGTTAGCCAGGATGGTCTCGATCTCCTGACCTCGTGATCCACCCACCTCAGCCTCCCAAAGTGCTGGGATTACAGGCGTGAGCCACCGCACCCAGCCTGTGTGGGTAAATGGATTAAGAATTATTTTCATATATTTTCCATAATAAATATGTTACTTTTATACATGGAGGAAAATAATGTTTTTTAATAGGAGATGTGGTTTCCATATTCCTAGGATAGTTCAGGTAATTAGAAGTCTCACACATGCACACACACACATAAAATGAGCTAAATTTATTGCTAAAAAATATTCTCTTAAGAAAGCTCTGCACTTTTCAGATGTTGGGGAAATGTAGTCAAGGTTTGGACTCCCTCCTTGGCAGTCAATTCTGACACTGAAAGGTAATGTATCCTGAGAGGCAGTGCCTAGCCTGAAGCCCCACTGACAAAGGGCCAGGCAGGGTTTCAAATCAGGGCACATTTGTATAGATACCTGGAAGAGGCTTCTTCTTGCTTCTTAATACTTTTTTTTAAAAAATGAGGGCAGGGCCAGGTGCAGTGGCTCATGCCTGTAATCCTAGCTCTTTGGGAGGCTGAGGCGGGTGGATCACTTGAGGTCAGTAGTTTGAGACCAGCCTGGCCAACATGGTCAGACCCATCTCTACTAAATATACAAAAATTAGCTGGGCATGGTGGCATACATCTGTAATCCCAGCTACTTGGGAGGCTGAGGCAGGAGAATTGCTTGAACCCAAGAGGTGGAGGTTGTGGTGAGCCAAGATTGAGCCACTGTGTTCCAGTCTGGGAAACAGAGTGAGCCTCTGTCTCAAAAAATAAAATAAAATTAAGGCAGGGAATGGGAGGATGTAGGTCAAAGAATACAAAGTAGCAGATAAAACCTGGAGAGCTAATATACAATATAAGGACAATAGTTAATAAAACTGTATTATATTCAGGATTTTTGCTAAGAGAGTAGGTTTTAGCTGTTCTTGCCAAAAAAAAGAAAGAAGGAAGGAAGGAAGGAAGGAAGGAAGGAAGGAAGGAAGGAAGGAAGGAAGGAGGGAAAGAAAGAGAGAAAAGAAAAGAAAAGAAAGTAAAGAAAAAAGAGGGTAATTGTGAGATGACAAATTTTAATTTTTCTGGGCTATAGTAATCATTTCACTATGTATATCAAAACATTCTACAACTTAAATATATACAGTAAAAATAAAGCAAAATCAAGATAAAATGAGGGCAAAATAATTTGTTATTTGCAAACAGTTTAGGAGACATGTTTAATGCAGTTTTAAAATGGGAAGAAATAATATTAAATACAAACTATGTCCTAGGACACTTTTCATACAGGTTTCATTACATCAAACCTGGAAAAAACTATTATCTCCATTTTATAGGTGAAGGAATGGGGATCCATAGACACTAGCTGGATTGTCAACTTAAACACAGTCACTTAATGACACAGATCAAGGCCATGTTTGTCCAAATCAAAGCCTGTGCTTTGCACACTCTATTATCTACTACCTCTGATAGCTTAAGTAGTTTGAAACATCTTGGTTGAGTCGGGAATGCAGGTCAGGCCTTTTACTTCTTGTTTACTATTCTCTTGAAATGAACATCACAAAATATCATTTTGTCATGGATTATACACCACTTCCATTAGATTTTTTCCAAATATTTCAAGAAGTTAATGATATAAAATTACAATTATTGAATGTATAATATGTATTAGACATGTGTCAGTCACTTTACATATGTTATTTCATTTACTAGTTTTCATAACAGCAGTCCTATGCATTATTCATGCTCTTTTACAAATGAGGAAACTGAGACTCAGAGGGGTTAATTATCTACCCCTACTCACAGGTAGGAAGCACCAAAGGCAGAATTCAAATGATCTGTTGGACCTCAAAGTCTGTGCTCTTATTTTTTCTATTCAGAAATATTTCTAGAGAAAGAGATTCCACAAGCTCCTTCCATCTCTTAGTCTGGCATCAAGTTTATGTGTTTTGGCAAAAATAATATCTTGGCATGGTGCTGATCATTAAAAAAGAAAAAGTGAGAACAAGCACTATTGGCCTTTGTAAGGGTCTGGGATTAAGTATGAACAGATATTAGAGATAATGGGCAGATTTGGCGTTTCCTTCTCAACATCTTTAGCATAAAGTTCATTAGGAGCTGGGGTTTTCAATAGTAAAAGTTCATTCAGTTACAATGAACTCAGACTCTTAGTAGAATCTCATTCAATACTTAAGTATTAATGACCAACTGAAGCCAAGTGATCTCTAGGTATCTAAGCACCTCCCTCAGAGGGTCCAGCCTGCCAACACAAGTCCACGTGATCTGCGGCCCAATAATGTCCACCCTGAACCCTCAGTCACTTCCTTCCTTCCTTCTGCTTCCGATTCCTGGCCAGTTCCTGAAGCCCCCTGTACTTGACGTTGAGATTGACCTCCTTGAACTCACTCACCTTCAGACCTAATGCTTGCTGTGGGTGATTTACCATAGCCTCAGCTGCCTCTCTGAGCCATCACTCTTACTTATTACTGGGTCACATATTATTGTATCAACTTCAGGAAAAGAGGTAACAGGTCATCGCTCAAGGACAGTGCTACCAATGGGTTCTCCTCCAACAAATGTGACTCAGGCATCTTCACATAGATGTGAAGCACTGTGTGGAGGATGCTGGCTAGTCCATGTCCAATTTGTCTTCTCTTAATCTTTGTGAGCAAAGTGGTGGTGTGAGCAGATGGTTGCTATGTTGACACAAGAAATCTGGGGTACAATCATTGGCACTTGATCCCATCTTAAGACAGCAATATCACACACACACACACACACACACACACACACACACACACACACAGGATTTAGGATAGGCAGGTAGCGTGAGTGAGGAATAGGGTGGGGCTGCAATAGAGAATGGTGGGGACTACGATGAACTGGAAAGGGCATGGCCAGCAAAAGGCATTTGGATCTACAGTTCTTGAACACTAAGCAGGCAAAATAAAAGAGGTCTGCAGCCAGTTCAGAATCTCTGAATTGGACAGTCTATCTTTTAGCCCTGACTAAGTATACTCCTAGCAAAACTTGAATTCAGAGAAAGTCGAGGTAAAGGACTCACGCGAGGGGTGTGCCCTGCCCTAATCTAGCAGGCTACCTGACGTCCTCACCTTTTCCCTTCATAAAGCAAAAGGCTGGCACCATTTTCACTATGATATCAGTCATCACATTTTTCAGAACAAGTAATGAGTAAGCATGAGAGGCCGGGAGCCAGATTGCCAGGGCTGGAATGCTGGCTCCACCACCAAGATCGTTCCTCAGTCAAGCCTCAGGCCTGCAAAATGGAGACCAGTGGCACCATCCTCTCAGAGGGTTGTTGTGAAGTGCTCAGAACAATGCCTGGCACTTACAGAGGTTGTGTCAGGTAATAATCATTGTGTGGCCAACTTAACTGCCTCAAGCCTGCTTTTGGGAAGACAACCTGAGTACAACACACCCAGTTTGGGAGGTGACATCGGAATGGAAAAATCTGGAATGAATTGCATCTTTCTGGGAAAAGCATTGATGCAGATGACAGAAAAGTATTTATGTTTTGTGCACATGGTCTCCACCTGAAGGGAAAACTGAGAAAAGTCCTCAGGGCAGCAAGAGAGAGCCAGCCAGTAGGAAAGCTTCTGAAATGTGGACAACATCAATAAAGTGTTTGGCCCTAACCAAAGTTCCTGCACAATGAGGATGAGGTTTACTTGGCATCTTCCTTCCTCATCTCTTCCCCATGCCTTGCCACAAGCATGCAGCCCACGTTTCTCTCTCTGAAGGCAGCATGCTAGAAAATTACCCTTTCCTCCCTGCTGTAACAAAATGCTGATATTTAACCAAGAAAGAAGTTTGATTTGATTTCATTAATTCACAGGACAGCACGCAAATGAGTGGATCAGTGAATTCACTTTAACTTTTATCGCCTGACAAGACTTTCCAGTTTCTCTAGTATAGTGTTTTTCAAACCAGGATTTATGACCCATCAGAGGTTTAATCAGTTTAATGAGTCCAGCCCAGCATTTTGTTAAAGAAAATAGAAACTGTTAAAATAGAATAAAAAGGAATAAATAAATAAAAAGAATAAAATAGAGTTGATGCCATGTCATAAGTGTGTGTATGTCTGTATACACACACACACTTACATACACATGTGAGTCAACTATGTCACAATGTTAAATGTATTTCTTGTTGGCAATGATCAAAATAATTTTGGAAATACTATTCTAATGTAAAGTCCTATGGTCTGATGTGCTTGGATTCTGGCTTAATGGGGACTCTTGATTCCTTTTTCCTCCCTCCCTCCCTCCCTCTCTCCCTACCTCTCGTCTTCTCTCCCTCCCTCCCCCTTCCTCCCCTCCCTTCCCTCCTTCTTCCCTTCCTTCCTCCCTTCCCTCTTTCCTTTCTTCCCTCCTTCCCTTCCTTCTTCCCTCTCTCCCTCCCTCCCACCCTTCCTTCCTTCCCTAATTCCTTCCCTAATTCATTCCTTCCTTCCTCCCTTCCTTCCTCCTTCCCTCCCTCCCTCTCTTCCTACCTTCCCTCCTCCCTGCCTCATTTCCTTTTCCCATTTATCAAAAGTTTGTTGAGCACCTTCTGGGAGCCACGCACTCTTTAAGCATTAGAATTATAGAAGTGAACCAGAACACTAAGGTCCCTACTTTCAAGGAGCACACATTTTAGAAGGACATATTAGGCAATAAACACATAAACAAAAATATGCATAACATGCAAAGTAGTGGTAAGTATCATGGAGAGCAAGGTAGAGAGGTAGGGATACAGGTGATGTGGTTGGTCAGAAAATGATTCTCTGATTGGGGACATTTAAGTAGACTTGAAAGGAGTGAGGAAGCAAACCATGAGACTATTTAGGGACAAATGTTCCAGGCAAAGGGACCAGCCAGAGCCAAGGGCCCGAGATGATCATCTGTTTGGTGTTGGGGAAGATACCAAGAAGCCAGTGTGCCTTTGGGGAGGGAATGATGGAGCGGCAGGGAGGAAATGAGGTGCAGTGGTTGTGGAGGTCACATGGCCATTGCAGACAAGGTAGCAACTCTGGCTTGGACTCCAAGTAAGATGTGGACCCCCTAGTGGGTTTGGAGCAGAGGACTGACATGATCCTGCCCACAATTCTTAAGGGATATTGGGGTTGCTGGGAAAGATGAACTGCAGAGAAACCAAGGGGACACAGGACAACAGATAGGACATTCTTTGTAATCCAGAGAGTGACATGGCTCTGGCCATACAAGTAGCAGTGGAGGTGTCAGGATGAACTCGGGTTGGGAATAGTTTATATGTAGATCTGACACAGTAATGAAGTAAATATGAGTGTGGAAGAAATTAAAAAGGCAAGAATACATCTGAGGTTTTTACCTGAGAAATTGGAAAGACAGAATCATCTTTCCTGGAAGGGGGAGCCTGCAGGAGAAGCAGTTTCACGGGGGAATTGGGAGTCTGTTCTGAATAAGTCAGGATGGGATACCTAGCAAGCATCCAAATGAGGAGACGTCCAGGGGGATTCTGGATGCACCGTCCTGGGACTCAGGAGAGAGAGACCCAGGATGGAGGTATAGATCTGGGAGTTGTCAGCATATAACTAGTATTTAAAGCCATGAGGCTAGATGAGATCACCAAGGAAGTCCACATAAATAAAGAAGAAAAGATATTCAGACAGTGAGGTAATGTTCAGGCACATTATAATCCTCCTCATGCCCACCAGATGGCCAGAGCCCCTTTATATGGATGTAGGGAGCCATCCAGAAATATCTGGACCACTGCATCAGGAAGGCTGCCATTCTTTCATCCAATAAATATTTATTGACAGCCTACGGGTGCCAGGCATTGATGGCCTTAGAGAGAGAAGAAGATGTTTCGATGAAAAGAAGAGACTTGCTAATGTACATGAAACACAAACTGATGTAATATCCACAGCTAAGGCAAAGTTGGTTGACTCTCTCCCAGTTGCCTGAAAGCAACTCAGTGAGAAGGCTGTGGACAGAAAAGAACATCAATGGAGCTAAAACTGAAGCCTCCTTTGCCCTGCAGGAGACACACTCTAGAATCCTCTTTCCTGCCTTCCTTTTTTGTTAACCGGGGCTCCTCAACTCCATCTCAGCCTCCACTCACTGAACTCCACAACCTTCTCCCAAGGAGTGTCCACTTGGCTGGACCTGCCTAACGAGTCAGTTTTCCTACATCCCTATCCTCAGCATCCTCCTTTGAAGACATTCACTTAAAAGTGGTGGCCGGGCGCGGTGGCTCACGCCTGTAATTCCAGCACTTTGGGAGGCCGAGGTGGGCAGATCACGAGGTTAGGAGATCGAGACCATCCTGGCTAACACAGTGAAACCCCATCAAGAGATCAAGACGGCCAACACGGTGAAACCCCGTCTCTACTAAAAATACAAAAAACTAGCCAGGCTTGGTGGCGGGCACCTGTAGTCAGCTACCTGGGAGGCTGAGGCAGGAGAATGGCGTGAACCCGGGAGGCAGAGCTTGCAGTGAGCCGAGATCGCGCCACTGCACTCCAGCCTGGGTGACAGAGCGAGACTCTGTCTCAAAAAAAAAAAAAAAAAAAAAAGAAAGTGGTGAGGTTGACTGTGGGTGCAGAGGCCTGAGAACATGACTCTCACAACCATGGCAAACCACAAAACCCAGCAAAAGAAAAGTAGAAATTCCCAAAGGAGGAGTTACTCACGGGTGAATTCTCAGTTCGTTGAACTGTCATGCATCTTTAAATACCATCGCCTAGGACTTTATTATTGTTCACAAGTGCCCTGGTCATTTATCTGCAGTAAAAGTTGCTCCTTTGCCCAGCCCTTTGACTCACTGAAGCAGAAGACTTTGATTTAATAAGCAGTTTTCTTGATGCCTTCTCATGTTTCCGAAAGTTTGTTCACAAAGTAAATGTGATGGTGAGAGTATGCTGTCTGTGTGTGTGTTTGTGTGTGCATGTGTGTGTGAGAGAGAGAGAGAGAGAGTGTTGTGTGTCAATATTTTGTGTGTTGTATGATGTGTTTGTGAGTGGCACGGGTTGTGTGTTTGTGTGAGTACTGTATGTATATGAGTGTGTGTGAGTGTTGGGTGCATGTATGTCCAAATCTGTGTCATTCTTCTGCTGGAGTCCACACTGCAGAGAAGCTGTAATTAAGCCAGGAACCAGTGAGTGCGGGGAGAGGGAAGGGACTTCCTACCACCCTTGGAAAATAAAGTAGGGCTTCTTGTCAGGTGGAGCAATGATCATTTATTTAGATACTGATGATCAACATTAAACTAAGAGCCCAAATAAACAGTGAGCTGAAGTTGGGCCCATAAAGAACTTGGATGGCCGGGTTTCCCTTCCTGCTGAGTGAATGTGTTTGCCAACTGAAGTCACGTGCCTCAGAAAACAGCTGCCCCTTTCTGCTGCCAGGGGAGCTGCTGCTCTCTCTTGCTCTTTCCAAATGGATAATTTAAGCATCTTCCACTGCATTGGAAACACAGACCCACGTGTTTCCAGGAAGGAGGGGGAGAGGACTTCTGGGTCTAGGTATTTGTCAGAGGCAGAAGGGAAAGTATAGTCTGAAAATCCTGGTCGTCTAAAAACAGCTTGGAGAACATTTTAACAACTGTCGCTGTTGGCACCTGGCTTCATCACACTCAAATGGAAAGCGCTTGGGCGGCACAAAACAAAACAAAACAAAACAAAAACACCAACAAAAACACCTGGATCCCACCTTAGAATGTGCAGAGAATTGTTGTATGTATCCTACTATTTTTCTACATAACAACTCTGTGAAATGAGGAATTGAAGCTCAGAAAATTTTCTTTCACAGAAGCAGTCCCAGAAATGACACTCAAGCCCACGACTTTAATTTTTTTCCTAATTTTAATCATAAAAGCAGTTCATGTTTATGATATGAACTTTTCCCCTAAACTGTACAGAAGAGTATAAGGCAAACAGTTAAAATTCTGTTCATTCTTAGGACCTCAGTATCAGTTCTCAAGGGTAATTATCTATTGCTAAGTACCTCTTGTATGTCCTTCCAGAAAAGGTCAATCACTTACACACAAATGCACGTTTATTCTTTTTAAAAATATAAATAGGATCATTCTACACACACACACACACACACACACAGGGGTATGAAACATTTTTCATTTGACAATGTACTTTATACTAATTTCAGGACATACTATCTGCGTAGAATTCTCCCAAACAATGCACCCTAATTTATTTAACCAGCTCCTTGCTGATGAAAGTTCAGGTGTTTTCAAACCCAAGTCTCTTGATTGTGCAAACCAGGCTCTTTTGCTTACAAACTATGTCACTCTAGTCAGAGAATGAGATCCAAGTCAGCCTCAGGCAAAATAAAAGTTGTTTATGTGTTTAGGCATTTATTTATTTATATAACACCTAATGCCAGATAAGACTTGTACCTTCACAGGCATCTCTCTCCTTTCCGAATTTCTTTCTTGTTGCAATATTCATTGACTCTTTCTGCATTTCCCCATTAAAACCATGAATTGCTAGCAAGGAACTGGAAAACAATTTCTTGACTTCATCTATACCTTAGACTTTGCCTGGATTCTTACATCACTGGGAACCAGTTATTAGGATACCAACAACAATTTGATATCATGAAGAGCAAGCTGCTCATTGAAGTCTCCAATTTCAGCCATTCAGCTGATGTCATGAAGACACAAATACTGAAATAGATTAATATCCATTTAATTTTATAAAAGGCATCTTTGATTCTTCTTCAGAATACACTTTGCCTACACTTTTGCCTTTATGAAAGGACAGCATTTGTGTGTTTTAAACCAGTATAACATTCCTGCTCAGGTTTTGATGAAAAGGGTTTTCATTTTTCTATTTTGTCTGAAATGTAAACATTTAGGAATTATAAATTATAGTGTTATGACATGCCCAGCTTCATCAGGGGCTAGATGGGGATTAATCTGGGTTAATCCTTGTTCTCATCCTCAGCCCAGACACCAGAAAACAAAGTATAAAGTTATCTTTGAAGCAGAAGGTAGCTGTCAGTCCTGTTACAATCCAGTTTCAACAGCACTGAGAACCATGAGCATTCCTGGATTGTCCTTCCTGAGGAAGATCCAATAGTTCACAGTGTTTATAAAACAAACAGTCACTACTACCGTAATTTTAAATAGATTATCTCCTAACAAAGCTGATGCAGAATTCACAAGAGGAACCCAGAACTACTTCTTTAAAATTTGTTCATGTTTGCACATTTATCCATAGATAGATGATATACACTATCTGTTATCACCCAGAATTGTATACACATTTGTATATATACACACACATAGATATGTCATCTTCACAAAAAAAAGGAAGAAGATACCCAATTCAGTTGTGCACTATAGATAAGGGGCTCTAGAGCTTGAAATTTTCTGACAAAATTAAAAAAAAAAAGCCAGCATACACCCTTGGACCAATGGTGTCTTCTGTTATCATTACTGCACACACACACAAGAATATTTTAATGCCAAACAATAAATGGTAAAAATCTTAAAATAGGTTTTGATACTTTAAAATGAATACTTAAAATTTTATTTTTTTTAAGTCTGTATTATTTTTTATTCTCTTTTTGCCGAAGGCTGGGGAAAACCACTTGACAGACTAATGTTTGGGTGCTATGGGTGGCAGAGAGCCATCTAGTTCAGTTGGCCACTTTGCAATCTTGCCCAAGTTACTTTTAATTTGTATGAGTACATAATAGGTTTATCTATGTATGACGGTTTGATACAGGCATGCAATGCATAAGAATCACATTATGTGATTATGGAGAATTCTTCTCTTCCAGCCTCTGTTTCTTCTTCTGTGAAACAGGATAGAACTTCTTTCAGGATGATGTGAGAATTAATGACATAATGTGCATAGGGGATGCAGCCCTCACTTCCATACTAGGTAAACTCCTGAGTTATGGTCCCCTGTGCAAGTGCCAGGAGTATCCACAGACCCTCTAGGCAGGTCCCCTCCGAAGAGCCCAACCTGGAGACCAGGCCCAGGTGGAGCCTCCTAGAGAGACACAGTGATAAATACACGCTGTACTTTCTTCCCACCCAAATCTTCTACAACTCCAATTAGTAACATTGTTTTTCTTCCTCCAAAATTTCCTTCAGCGTGGTGGGACCATCACTTTGTGTGGAGCCCACGCTTCTTTGATGAGTCAATGAAAGTGATGAATTCAGGAGAGGCCATCATTGCAGCCGTGGGACTCTCAGGCAGGATGGCTTGATGGTTAGGTGGCTGGGTTACCATCTCCACCACAGTGTGTGGCTGACTCTCGACTTCGTTGGCTGGGAGGAAACCTAATGAGAAAATCTCTCTCTTTCTCTCTTCTCAGCCTCTTTCTCTCACTCTCACTCTCTCTTGCCCTGGGGTCGGCTCCTATCATCTCTCTTCTTGGCACTCCCTGACATGCCACCATGAGGATACACAGCCCATCATGCTAGTGTCCCACATTAACCATAACCTCCTGGAATCAGACTGTGATTTGTTCATTTTGGGATCTTTAGGGCCTAACAGAGTGCCCGACACTAAGTAGGTATGCAACACTTTTCTGGTGACATGACACTGAACTGAGAGAACCAGGAGGTCCCACTTAAAAAGAATGGGTTTCTAGCCCCTGATTGCTCTTAATAGTCATTAAACCATTTTCTGCTACCCCTGCTTTCTCATCTACAAAAGGGAGGTCATTCCTCTTACCTGCCTTTTCTTGCAGGGTTTTGTCAAGAGAGAACAAGATACACAAATTCTAAAAGAAACTTTGATACAAAGTTTAAAAGGAGTGAAAAACAATATAGTTACTTTAAGACACCAAGAGGATATGGGTATGTTACATCACTTCATCGCTATATGAGGACCACAGGACACTGCTGAGTTGCTGAGTTTACTCATTTCCTCACTTACACATTCATTCATTCATTCATTCGACAAACACACACTGAGCGTTTTAAGTTAAATGAGACAACATCCCACCCTCAAGCAGCCAAGGGTCTCATGGAAGAGACCAAAGACTAAAGAAATACCTGAAATATAATGGAATTCAAGATGTGAAAGAAACAACTGTGGATTCCCAGGGGGCACTTAACACAACTTTCTACTGGAGATGGCCATGAGATGACTCCTGGGGGAAGAGCAGGAGTTGAACCAATATAGTAGCAAGAAAGGGCATCCCAGGCTAAGTAAGGTCAAGAACAAAGAGGCAAGGGACAGTGTTATGCGCATTGATACCTTGTGGTTGATATCACTTTTGTTTTGTATTGTTTTGTTCTATTTTAATGACTGTTTAGGTGGGGCGTATATAACCCAGTTCATCAGGGGGCCCAGCACTACTCTATTATCTTCACCTCTCCTTCTCCTCTTCCAATTTCTTCCTTCTCCTCCCTCATCCTCCCCCTTCTTCTTCCTCCTCCTCCTCTTCTTCTTTTTGTTCCTCCTCCTCCCCACCTCCTCTTCTTCTCCTCTCCTTTTCCTCTCTTCCTCCTCCTCTTCCTTTTTCCTTTTTCTTCACTGCCAGCCTGGTTCTTGAAGGTATTTAAGATGGCAAAGCAGGAAACTGAGGGAGGTTAGGCAGAAGAGACAGGCAGGGGTCTTGGTGGGGCATGCTACAGAGCCTGGACTTTCCTCTGGGGTCTCTGAAGTACCCTGGGAGGGTTTCAAGCAGAAGGACTTGTTCAGGTTTGCTTTGTAGATCAAGGTTACCAAACTGTTTCTGTAAAGGGCTAGATGGTAAATATTTCAGGCTTTGTGGGCCATACAGTCTCTGTTGAAATACCCAGATCTGGAAGCAGCCTGGAAGCAGCCACAAACAATATGTAAACAAACAAGCATGGCTATGTTCCACTGACTCTTTATCTATAGACACTGAAATTTGAGTTGTACATAATTTTCATGTCATAAAATACTGTCCTTTTACAATTTTTAAAAATCATTTAAAAATGTACAAACCCACATTTAAAAATGTACAAATCATAATGTGATTATTATGCAGTGCATACTTGTATCAAAACATCATACCTATATAAATCTATTATGTAACCATACAAATTAAAAATAAAATTATTTTCCTAAAAATGTACGAACCATTCTTAGCTTGTGGGCTATACAAAAACGTGGATGTGAGCGTGATCTGCCTGCAACATCTGTCACCTCATTGATCGCCAGGGTTGATTTGACTGATCTGGCTGGCTAGGCGGGTGTCCCCTTCCTCCCTCATCACTCCATGTGCGTCCCTCCCAAAGCTGTGTGCTTGGTCAGAGAGGACAACCATCTCCGATAGAGGAGAACCAGTCTTTGGTCAAGGGTATACGAGTAGCTGTGCTCCCCTGCTAGAACCCCCGAACAAGCTCTCAAAAACAGGTAGTGTGCTGGCTTTGGCCCAGACCTTTGCTTGCCAGCCTCTGTTTTTAGATGGATCATTCTGGGAGCAGTGATAAGGATGAAGGTGCAGCACTGAAGGTAGAGGCACCACAAAGGAAGGAACAGCAATGGTCCAGGTGAGACATGACAGAGACACAATCTCAAGCATCAGAATGGAAAATGGGGGGAGAATCAGATTCCAGAAACTGTGATCACTGGATGTGGGGGATACAGTAGAGGGAAGAGTCGAGGATAACCCCGAGGTCGCCAGCATGAATGAGCGAACAGAATGTTGCTATTAACGGAGAATCCAGCAGAAGCAGGTTCAGGAGTGGAAAGAAAATAGTAAGGTCTCCTTCAGACACGGGTTGTGGGAAGACTATGGAACAAGAAGGTGGAGGTGAGGAAAGCCATGGTACCACCTGGAGCTGTTATGAAAAATAAACACATGGCTTATGTAATCACAGACTTTAGGGACTGGAGAAGCATGCAGGAGGAATCTCGCCAATCTCTCTGCCTCAAGAGAGAATTAGACCTGAATCATCTCAGACCAGTGAGAATTCCTCCTTCTCTGCAGGAGGTTTAACCTCCATCTTTCATGCAAAACAGACACTGCTTTCCTCTTAGTTGCTGCAGGAGAGACAGAAGTCTACTGACAAATTCCATGGACTAACATTGCAAAGGCTTTTCAGTTCCCCCATTTTCACAAAAATTGCAGCTTGAAATTTGCTCTCCTAATCAAATTGCCAGTGGCATACTTGGGAAAAACCCTGTCAAAGATCCCAGTCTGTGGCATCTGTGATGATCTGTGGAGCGGAGCCACAGCATCCGGCAAAGCAGAGTGGGAACTGGGGTGAAACAATGCATCTCTCAAGGAAGTCCTCAGACCAACTGCACCAGTGTGACCTGGACATCTGCGAAGGCTGGACCCCAGACCTACTGAATCAGAGACTCTGGGGATGGAGCCAGCAGTCTGTAGTTTCACAAGCCCTGCAGGTGATCCTGATGGATGCCTAACTTGGAGAGCCACTGGCCTAAAAGAGGAGACTGCTGGCTGGGCGCAGTGGCTCATGCCTGTAATCCCAGCACTTTGGCAGGCTGAGGCAGGTGGATCACGAGGTCAGGAGACCGAGACCATCCTGGCTAACAAGGTGAAACCCTGTCTCTACTAAAAACACAAAAAATTAGCTGGGTGTGGAGGCACGTGCCTGTAGTCCCAGCTACTCGGGAGGCTGAGGCAGGAGAATGGCATGAACCCAGGAGGTGGAGGTTGCAGTGAGCCAAGATCGCGCCTCCAAGATGCACTCCAGCCTGGGAGACAGAGCAAGACTCTGTCTCAAAAAAAAAAAAAAAAAAAAAAAAAGAAGAGAAAAAAAAGGGGGAGATGCTACTGTCTTTTCCCCAAACCTCCTCTCATGCCTCTGGCTTAGTGTGGACAGCTGAGGTCAATCTTCTCACCCTAAGCACAGCCAGTGGATGCACAATCAGGTTCTTTCTGAGTGTGGTGAGAACCCACCTCTCCTCCCAGCCTGTGCCCACTGCATTTTCCATTCTGCGATGTTCTCATCTCTGGAGTTTCCACAGAATGCCCATAGGAAAGGAAGCTCTGGGCCCAATGGCATAAAAACCGGCATGGGTATGAATACCCACCTGGGTAAACTGGGAGAAACAGAGCTCCAGGTAGTGTGACTAAGAGCACAAACTTGGGAGCCAGACATTGTAAATTGGAATGTCTGCTCTATCACTTACATGCTGGTTATCCTCAAGTGAGTTATTGAACCTCTCTATGCCTAATTTCCTCATCCCTGTAATGAGGATGGTAAGAGTGCCTAGTTCATCAGATTGCTGTGAGGATTAAATGAGTTAATATTTGCAAAGAACGTGAGCAATGCCTGGCACACTGTGCCACATAAGTGATATGAGTTTCTAGGCCTGAAATCCCTCATCTTCAACCAGTCACATAACACACTGTAGGCTCATGGGTCAGTCATGCTCTGAAGATCCTGGGGAAAACTCAATTCTCTTCCTGTCAAGTTTAGGCCTTGTCTCCAAAATCCTGTATGGTACCTCAAATTGAGGAACTGGCTGGACCACACAACTCTGAGAATGATCCTTTTATTCTCCTCTAATTCAAAAGGCTAAATTTCCCAAAAACTCACAGCTTGACCTTAGCCCTGTGGCTTTTATAACTCCCACAGCCCAGTGATGGACAGGAAATGGAGCCCAATGAAAGAGGCTTTCTCCTTGACAACAGGGGCCCAGTTGCTTTAAGCTGCACAAAAATAGATTCCTTTCTTGTGAATACCATGTTGGCTCTTCCAAGGTGGAAGAGATGGGGAGTCCCAAAATAGGTGACCTGTATATTGTGCCAGGTGGACAGGATTCTGGCTAGGGCGAAAGGTAGGAAGCACTAATATGTCAGTTTCCTAGGGCTTCCATTACAAATGACCACAGACTGGGTGGCTGAAAACAACAGAAATTTATTCCCTCACAGATCTGGAGGCCAGAAGTCAAAATCAAGGTGTCATGCTCCTACTGAAGGCTCTAGGGAAGAATCCCTCCCAGCCCCATCCTAGCTTCTGCTGGTTGCTGGCAGTCCTTGCTATTCCCTGGCCTAGTTAGCTGCATCGTGCCAATTTCTGCCTCTGACATCACATGGCATTCTCCCCGTGTGTCAGTGTGTCTGCAAATCTCCCACTCTTTGTAAGGACTGTCATTGGAATAGAACTCTTTATAAGAACCAGTCAGTGGATTAGGGTTCACCCTAATGTTCTCATCTTAACTGGAGTACATCTCCACAGGTCCTATTTCCAAATAAGTTCACAGCTACTGAAAGGTTAAGATTTCAACATGTTTTGTAGGGGACACAATTCAACCCAAAAGAGATGGCAGATGTTTCATCTCAGGTGAAAACTTGGAGATGTTGACAGTGACATCCTAGAAGGCACTTTGAGAATAATTGTGAGGTCCTTGCAGGACCCAGAGGGGAAGAGTACGGAGATCAGATACTGGTGTCTCTAGGGGTAGTGGGAGCACTCAGAGGCTCTCCTGCCAGGTGTCTGCATCATTCACAGATACAAAGTACAGGATTGCACAAGGAAGTGCAATGCCCACATGCAATGTTGAGGTGAGGAATACAGGAGTCTGGCTTGGCAGCATAAGGATACTGATTGGCTTTTGGCTAAAGAGAAGCATTTACTGGAGCCCTTTCTAAGTGCCAGGCATACTGGATAATTGGATAATGCATACATTATCATGCATATAAGACACACTTCACTGACCTAAAGCAGGCCCAGCCTTGACTGTGTGGACTGAAAAGAAGAGACTGATGGGAGAGAGGGAAGGGCAGGCAGTGGCAGTTGTGGGATCCTGAGGTGCTGGGAGGCACACCGAAGCCCTTCTTGCCCTCCTGGGGCCCTGGGTGAGATGCCGGGAGAGCATGAGGAGCGCCTGCACATGTGTCCGCCTGGGAACCCTGTCTACA
The DNA here is from genome assembly GCF_000001405.40 of Homo sapiens. Classification (NCBI taxonomy): domain Eukaryota; kingdom Metazoa; phylum Chordata; class Mammalia; order Primates; family Hominidae; genus Homo; species Homo sapiens. Next base: position 133,599,820 of record NC_000002.12, read on the forward strand.
GCCCAAGAGGGCATGAAATCAGAAATCAGGATGGGAGAGGGGCTTTCCCAGTGCCCCTTGGGAAGAATCCAATCTGTTTATCAATGCCTAGCAACAACTTTAAAGCCAATCCGTCACACACCCTGTGGTGGGGTGAGCGAATGCCAAAAGATTTCTGAAGAGCTGGGACTAGAAGCCAACTTCTGTCGGCTCCCCTGGCTGGCTGAAATTCAATGTCGCCAGGTTTGCCTACTGTGCAGTCTAAACAATGCCACTCAGCTCATCTGTGTCGCGGAATTTCTTCGGGACTCCATTCGAGGATGTGCTCAGAAAGGCCAACTTGAAAAAGCTGAAGCATGGTGTTTGCCATCGTTGAATAACAGACGTCACAGAGACTTAATTCAGCTCCTGGAATCAGTTGTTCTCTTCCACATATCCAAGTGGCCAGAATCTTCAGCTGAAATGCATTTGATTCCATGACCATTTGCCTAAGAGAAGATTTCCCTTTGAGTGTCTCAAGACCAGAGCTCAAAACAAGGGAGAGAGAGAAGAGGAAAGGGACAGGAAGAAAGAGAGAGAAGTTGGCCTCTAGGGAAAAAAAAGAAAAATTCAGTCCTGGCGCACACTGCAGCAAACACACAAAACCCTTTTTGTTCCAAGGCCAAAGCCCCGAACAATGAGCCGTCGGGGCGCCTTTGAGAAATGCTCACGTGCCCACTGGAGCAGAGCTGACTGCGTTACAAGCAGGGAGCCCAGGAGTTGTCTATAAATTAGTGGAAAATGAAGTTCCATTATAAATCCTTTTAACAGGAGATATCGCTGGCACCCTTCTTGATGTGTGGCACTTTCTCAATTTGAGAAAATGTCTCATCCCTAGGAAGCAGCGGAGAAAGTTCTTTGCCAATGAATCCTTCCCGACAGGCCCCTGACTGAGGCAGTCACATTCACAGGCCCTGATGTGCGAAGCTCCATCCCCGCTCAGGCTCTGCTTGTGTTTGCAAGCCTGTGGCTGGACAGAGACTGAAGGCATTGGCTTAGAAGGGGTCACTGATTTAGGCCTCCCTCACCTGTGAGGCTTCTTTCCTGTAAGTCAACCTCCACGCCAGAAGCAGACTCCAGTCCCTACAGGGATGTTCTGAAACACACATTCTGAGACATAGGCATCTTGTGTGTTTCTGACTTCTACTACTGACTTCAAACTTGTTTTCTCACGTAAGTTCCTACTTCCTCTGTGACCTGGCCGGGCCCTCCACCTTTCCGGCAGTCTTTACGGCGCCTTGTCCTGAAGGTGACGCTTACCACTTCTTCTATCACTCAGCCTCAGCCTCCCAGGGGAGTCCAACTGTGTGGTTCATGCAGGCTAAACGACCTGAGCTGTATGATGGCAGGACAGAGAACCATCTTTGGATGTGCTGATAGAAGGCAAATTGGGTCTTTTGAAATGAAACACAAACAGCCTTGCCTTCTGGCCTCAATGAATGATTTATGAAACGTGTTTATTCAACTACCATTACCCAATTGAAGGAACAGGAAGACTCACCCACTCATTTATTCATTCAACAAATAATTACACAGCACCAACAATGTGCCAGGCATGCTTCTAGGCATTTGGAATACACTGGTAACCCAATTTTTTAAAATTCTACCTTGGCCGGGTGCAGTGTTTCACGCCTATAACCCCAGCACTTTGGGAGGCCAAGGTGGGCGGATCACCTGAGGTCAGGAGTTTAAGACCAGCCTGGCCAACATGGTAAAACCCCATCTCTACTAAAAAAAATAAAAAAATTAGCCAGTCATGGTGGTGGGCACCTGTAATCCCAGCTACTCAGGAGGCTGAAGCTGGAGAATTGCTTGAACCCTGGAGGCGGAGGTTGCAGTGAGCTGAGATTGCGCCACTGCACTCCAGCCTAGGTGACAGAGCAGGACTCAATAAATAAATAAATAAATAATAAATAAATAAACTCTACCTTGAAGAACTTTTTAAAGATTTTTTTCAGGTGCTAAAGTCCTAAGATACGAATGTCCTAAGTGTGGCATGTTTAGGAGCAGAAGAAGGTGAGTGCAGTCATAGTACAGCAGAAGTAGTGGCGAGTGGAAAGCAAGGTTAGGCAGAGCTCAGATCACAGACCCGGACACCCAGGTTGATTTTATCCTAAGAATGATGAGCACAACAGTAATGGTGTCTAAATAATGTTTTAAATAAATAATGTTTTAAAATATTAATGTGTCTGCTCCTTGGAGACCACGTTTTGAGGGAACGAGAGAGAGAGGGAGACCAGTGAAGAAGCTGTTGTAGAATGACCTAGGCAACAAGAAAATTCTGGGAAGTGCCTCGAGGATGCTGCTGGGAACCCAAAGGGGAGACTATTCTGGGATGTGGGATCAGAAAACTTCCAAGTGTAGAGAGCTCAGGGGAGGTGGTGTTTGACCTGAGCCTTGGACATTTGGGGACAGCAAAGAAGAGAAGAATGAGGAGCTTGACCTGAGCCTCGGAGATTTGGGGACAGCAAAGAAGAGAAGAATGAGAAGCCTGTTCTGGAATGTGAGCAGTGAGGCATTCCTGGAGGACTTGTGGGGTGTAGACAAAGAGGCTGGGGAGCTGAGGCTGTAGACGCTGCTGAGTGCAGATGGTGAGAGGCTGAATGCAAGACTAAGGTGCTGGTCCTTTCTTTTGTGGCTGATAGAAAGCCCTGGGGATTATTCAGGAGGGAGGTAGGCACGTGGCTATCTTCAGTGGTGGTGTGGAAGACAGTTCTCAGAAGAGGCTAAAGTGGAGGTCTGCCGGCATTTTCCATGAAGGGCCAGAGTGCATCTTTTGACTTTCTGGGCTAAGTCTTGTTTTACAACTGCTCAACTCTGCAGCAGTAGACAAATTCATAAGCAAATGGGTGTGGCTGTGTTCCAGCCAAATGTTATTTACAGAAACAGGCCTTGGGCCAGCTTCAGCCTGCTGGCCATGGTTTGTCAACCCCCGGGTTAAGGGAAGGGAGGGAAGTTAACCCAGTCTTGCGAAGGACGGAAAGGGCCTGGTGACTCCAGTGGCAGAGTGGAAGGAGGAACACAACTTTGAGAGGCCTTCTGCTGAATGTCAGGGCAGTAGTGGGGAATAATGGGAGTTGAGGATGACTGAAAATTTGTAGTCACAGGCAGAAGGGCTTTCTTCACTGGGTAGCAGGGGTGTAAGCTATGGAAGCAGATGAAACATCTTCCTCCCACTTACCCCCTCACATACACAAGGATGAGAGAGAGTGAAGGGGAGGATCACCGATGTTTATCGGATAGCCAAAAAGTTAAAACCATGGCTTCAGCTGAGGCAGGAGGTGAACTACAGAAGGAAGCAGCCTCCTCGGAGCCTCCCAGAAGAGTATTTGGCCCCCAGAAGCAGAGCAGTGGCCCTGATGGCATCGGTTTTTTTTTTTCTTTTTCTTTCTTTTTTTTTTTTTTTAAGACAGAGTTTCACTCTTGTTGCCCAGGCTGAAGTGCGATGGCGCAATCTCAAATCACTGCAACCTCTGCCTCCCGGGTTCCAGCAATTCCCAGCCTCAGCCTCCCAAGTAGCTGGGATTACAAGCATGCACCACCACACCCAGCTAATCTTGCATTTTTAGCAGAGACGGGGTTTTTCCACGTTGGTCAGGCTGGTCTCAAACTCCCCACCTCAGTTGATCCGCCTATCTCAGTCTCGCAAAGTGCTGGGATTACAGGCGTGAGCCACCGTGCCCAGCCCGGCATCAGGGATTTTCTTTTCTTTTCTTTTTTTGAGACGGAGTCTTGCTCTTGTTGCCCAGGCTGTGCAATGGCACAACCTCAGCTCACTGCAACCTCTGCCTCCTGGGTTCAAGCGATTCTCCTGCCTCAGCCTCCCCAGTAGCTGGGATTGCAGGCATGCACCACCTCTCCTGGCTAATTTTGTATTTTTGGTAGAGCAGGGTTTCTCCATGTTGGTCAGGCTGGTCTTGAACTCCCAACCTCAAGTGATCCACCTGCCTCGGCCTCCCAAAGTGCTGGGATTACAGGCGTGAGCCACCGCTCCCAGCCGGCATGAGGGATTTAATCCAGTGCTTGGTTTCTCCAGCATCTTGTTCTGATCTCTTAGCAACCAGGCAGCAGCTGTTTACTGAGAGCCTGCCACCAATGTGACCATGGACTAGGTACTCTCAGGGGCCGGGAAACACTGTGTCCTGCAGCCCTTACTGCTGTGAGTCCTGGGAGAGGCAGGAGCTATTAAAGACCACAGGGAGTCTGCTTCTTTGCAGTGCCTGAGAATGCTTTCTGGGGAAAGGAGGAGTTGTGCGAGGTAGGTAAGGCCGGTAAGAAATGTCCAAGTTGGGAGAGAAACATGCAAATATACCTGATGGCAGGAATGACCAGGCTTTAGGAGTAAAGATGAGTCTTTAGGATGTTATATATTTTTGTTTGTTTTTAGAGACAGAATCTCGCTCTGTCGCCCAGGCTGGTGTACAGTGGCACAATCTTGGCTCACTGCAACCTCCGCCTCCTGGTTTCAAGGGATTCTCCTGCCTCAGCCCCTCGAGTAGCTGGGATTATAGACACATGCCACCACGCCTGGCTAATTTTTGTATTTTTAGTAGAGATGGGGTTTCACCATGTTGGCCAGGCTGGTCTCGAACTCCTGATCTCAGGTGATCCACTTGCCTCGGCCTCCTAAAGTGCTGGAATTACAGGTCTGAGACACCTCACCCAGTCAGATGTTACATAATTAAAATTAGGACACGTGGGGGGAATTCTACTGTTTATTCTCTTTCCCCTTGTCTTACTGTACTTGTTATCACCGAGAGAACAGACTACAGCAGCTAAGAACGTGAACCCAGGAGACAGCAACCTGGGACTGAATCTCAAACTCTCCTGACTGTGTTAACCTCTCTGTGCCTCAGTTTTCTCTCTCTGCAAGATGGGCTGATGGTAACAGCCTACTACACAGGGCTGATGTGGGCATTCAGTAGTCAGTACACGAGTAGGGCTAAGACCGGCTTGGTCTGGGATACCCTGTGTCAGGGACCACCACTGTATTTCCCTGTCATCCTTCTGGACAGGTTTCAGCAACAGGAATGTGGGAGTAGCAGCTAGGGGTCTAAGAAGCCCCCCTACTCAGCACTGATCATGGCCCCGTCTCTTTTGCTGGCTGTACAAGACACAGTGATGAGAAGGCTATCGCCTTCCCTTCCCTCTTCCCATGCCTTTCTGGGAAAGATATTTTCTTTCTCAAGATTGAAACTAGGTAGGTAGAGAACATTTTGCAGTTTTAATTAATACAGATTTATCTACCTCCCCGGGCTGTTTGCAAGATTAATCCCTACCCTATGCCTTAAGCTCCTTAGCAGACAGACACTGTGTTCTCACCAAATAAGCTGGACTTGTGATCTTAAGCCTGATTCTCTCAGCCACTGCCCCCTCTTCTCATATAACGGCCTCCTTGCTCGCTTTAAATTGGTTGGTTGGTCCCTGTGAATTTGAGTTTATCCTCTGCCTGGTGCAATTAAGTGTGAAAATCCTTGATCCTTGCCTTGGGTGAGGGGAGGTAGGGATATTTGTGTGGTCTGGGGAGGGCACTGAGCTTGAATTCAATCCTGAAGTGATTCTGACAACCGAGGCTGTGGTCCCCGACCCCCTGGGTGGGTTTCTGAGCAACTCCTAAAGGGGATGAAGACCCGGGGTGTGTGGTGGGGGGAAGGGACACAGAGGAGAGAATGAGCAGAGTTGGAGGATATTGATGCATCTGCTAACTTGGTAGAATAGCTTGAAACCACAGTCCCTGAATTAGTCATACAGTTGTGTTTAGAAATGGTTGCAGGACATCACTCTGCTCATCGATTTGTAAAAGCTTCTTATGCATAGGGTATATCAACATAAATAATTTGCATCTGGGGTTTGCCCAGCACAGTGCTTTGCTTTTGTTGATTTGATTTGTTCTTATGTGAGCATCTTATTCCTTGAAAAAACCCTAAAGAACCAAGTGTTACAAATGTATCCCTGCTTTTTGGTCATATTTAAAATTTCATTCCCTAATACAGTAGCACATGTCTTACCAAGCTGCAATGACCTGGGTAAATCAAGAGGAAAAGGGGGGCAGGAGGCTCCTCTGAGGCTCTGTGCTTCAAAGAACCATAATAACATGTTAAAAGAATGCCAAAGCATATACTCACTAAAATGGAAATTGAAGCGAACTATCTCTTTGCATATGCCACAATTACATCAGCAGGTTAATGTGGAAAAAAAATGCTGATTTTTATGTAAGTTAACAGTGGAAAAGGCTGTAGTTCTCACCTCAGCCTTGCTAATACTCATCAAAACTAACCAGAATCAGATTCTAATAGAACTTCAAAAAAAATTGAAGGCAGAATTTCTTAAGAAAACTATGCAACATCAGAGGTCTAGTAATATGCTCTATGAAAAAATAATACCATGCCCAATAAATTTGATAAATATCCCATATTATAATATCTCAGGAATTCATAAGAATAAGCATGTTAAACATTCTAAGAAGTCTGTAGACAAATAAGTTTCCTACTTTACTTAAACAAGGAAGCCTGTTGACCACAAAGAACTTACCGAACACCCCCTGAAATTGTTTTTCATCAAAACGTCTTTGGAATTTAGTCTGTAGGTTCTAGGAGGAAGCTCGTGTGGACTTCTCAATATTGGTGATAACTGCATCTGAAAAATTTTAAAATACCCAACGCCTCCTAAAAGGCCTGGGCCCACACTGAAGAATAGAACTGGTGACTGACCATGCCTATGAAAATCTCTAAAACAATCGTTCTCAAACTCTAGGATGTATCAGAATTGGCTGGAGAACTGGGCTCATAGAGCGGGACAGGGCCTACACCTCCAAAATTTTGCCAAGTTTCCCAGGAGATCCTGATGCACACCAAGCTTGAGAATCTCTGCCATAAAAGCTGGTTGCAGAAATGGAAAGGAGTTCAGGGAAAAAAAAAAAAAAAAAGGTTTTAGCCTGAGAGCTTTTCTACATACTGAAACCACAAGTGTGAATCTGCCCAGCTGGGGACTACAGCAGTGCTGATACCTTGGGAGCTATACTGTTTGCTTTGCCCCAGATATTGCCCATCAGAAAATAAGGAGAACTAAATAGAAGGAGCCACAAGTTACAGCTCCACTGGTGTCCAGAAGTCCTCATGCCTAATCATTCATCCACCTAGGATATCAGATAATAGAAAGGTTGCTGTGGGAGCTTGAGAATGAAGGACCTGAGACCATCATTAATCCTTTTAAAAAAATCTCCGAAAGTGAGCCTGAAATATACCAAAATCTACAATCTTTCTAATGGCTCTTACAATTTATTACATCAGTATGTGTACCACATAAAAAGCCTTCATTACCTCCAACTCTTTTTAATTTGTAATAACTGACTCAAGAGCAAATGCCAAAGAGTCGTTTCCAGGTTGCCTTTTTTAGAAAATGGCTTATCAAGTAATTAAAAGATTTACACCATGCTCTAGATAGTGGAGGTGAGTTTGTTGCTCCCTTCCCAGTCTACTGTCAGACATGGGAGCTCCCCACTGGACCCAGGTAGAGTGTCTCCACTTGGATGGAATAACATTGCATTTCTTTATCTTCAGTCTAGTATGCGTCCAGCTCACAAACTTTAACCAGTCACCCATCCCTGCTCTGTTAGAGAAATTGACTCTCACTCAAGAATCAATTAGGTCTGCATATTTGCCAAAATCAAACAAGCTGAGACAACACTGGATTAAGATTTGGAAGTGGTGGGAGTTGAAAGAGACTGAGGAAGAGAGACTCTTTGAAGAAGTTCTCCTGTGAATAATAGATACTATAAATTATAAAATTTATTTGATGATGCCTAAGGGTATTTTAATGCTACCAGAGTTATAATAGAGGGAAAAAGCACTCATGATTTTTAAAAAGCTCAACCCTTTGATTTATTAAAGAAAACAGTGAGATTTCTAAGCACTTGCTTAGAAGGCCCATGTATCTCAGACAAGTATGATTCAAACCCTGCCATCACCACTGACATTCCTATCCAACCCAAGCTTGCCACTAGGAAATCCCCACATATATTTTCTTGTATGGTGAGTCTGGGACTCATTTTAATGACTGCATCATAGTCATGAGCTTCAGCTCTTAACATGATAGTCCAATGCTGATAAAATCCAATAACAACTTACTGGTATTAACTCACGTCCTGTTAGAAATTTCCTGTTCCTATATCAACTTTCAGTGATTTGGGAAACTTTTTTTAAAAACCTATGTATTCAACAAATACCTAATGTGAATCTGATTTTAATATTTCATCTATTTCCAAGATAGAGTTGTTTATTCTATTTGATGGAACTCTTAAAAATATGGCTTTTATGTCCATAAAATGGTGCAACTGGAAATAAAGCCATACCAACATAATCCTTATTAAAACTCCCCTTTATAGCTTTTTCATGTCTTTTCTGATGATCAAATTGCTCTTCTCTCTAGAGATATGTTTCACACTTTCTCAAATGGTCTTCATTCTGCTTAAGTCCTGTAGGAGCCAAAGGATCTTAAGAGAGGTTAGCATCTCTTCCTACTTTCTTGGGTCACCTTTATCAAAAGCTGTATATACTACAGTCCTGATACTTCTTTGGTGTTAGTCATTTAGAATCAAGGGCAAATAGCTCACAGACAGACACACAGGCATAATGAGCACAGTCCCTTTCTTGGCAAGGAAAGGAAGGGTCACTGGCAGCACCAGGATTAGAGACAGGGCTTTGTGGAGTGACTCTACATTAGTCAGTGTTCTTCCCTGGATGAACCTTATCCTTCTCCAAGTTTATCCTCTTCTAGGTAAAATAGAGATAACAATCCAAACCTGACTGCCTCAAAAGGTTTTGTTTGAGCCTCAATAATCAATAATAGAGGCGAGTGTAAAATATCACAGTTGACGATGGCCACCCTCACCTTTCCAATTCTTCCTGAAATGTTCTCAGATTTACTGTCCTCAAACCCAAGTTCAATTGTGTAACTTTCCTCTGCACAGATTATTGGTTTCCCATTATCTAGAGAATAAAGACCAAACTCTACATGGCACTCAAGATCCTTCACCATATATGCTTCTCCTGCTACTGCTCTCCATGGTCCCAGACCAACCACACTGAATGGATTGGCATTTTTTGAACATTTGAACATTTCATGTATTTTCAAGTCTTGATCTTTGCACAAACTATCTAATCAGTTACTGACAAAATCCTGCGCCTCCTTCCACAATTAGTTTGAATGTAACATTCCCTTAAGGATACTTTCCTTTATGGCATCCATTCATGCAATTATTATAAAGTGCTATTCACGAGCCAGGCATCAGAATTCTATAACTTCATTGTCCCTACCACAGCAGTTTGTGTGTATTTTTAATGTACTCATTTTAGCCTGCTTTGTGGGATTTTTTAATTATTTAACTTTATGTCCTTACCACTGACTGGAAGCTTTTTGAGAAAAAAAATATTATCTGTTGTTGTTCTCCATATCTCCACGCTAGTATAGAGAAGGCACATGGCAAATGTTTGTTGAATGAATAAACAATGTCATATTTAATTTGATATGTTCACGGTTTTGTTTTTAAGAAAGTCACATGAGTTTAATTGCACCTTATAACTTCTGAGTGGAAGAAGAACAATTCCTGGCATTTTTTCTTCTAGGAATGAGTAGTTGCAAGCCACCTTTATGAAGGCTTTGGATCTTATTATTATTACTACCAACTAAATAAGCCATACTCTCACCCGATGCTCCCCTTTGCCTCTTCCTCATTATTATCTAGGGGCCATAAGTGGAGCAAAGTTGAGCTTGTGGCCAGTCTTCCTGATTTTATCTCCCCAGAGACAACCAGGCTTCTAGCTTCATGTCTAGGATCATCTCCACCAAATGGCTTGGGTTTCTCCATAAAGCTGGCCCAACAGCTCTGAGTTTTATACCCCAAAGCTTGCCAAGATAAAGAATAAGGAAGCTGTAGAGATATAATAAGTATCCATCAAAAATATTAGGAACATTTCTCTAGAATTATAGAGCTCAAACATTTGGAGAGGGTGTGTCAAGAGTGACTCATAATAAACAGCAATAATAAGTAAGGCAATTAGTAGAAAAGAGGGCACCACCTACAAAGAGTAGTTCCTGAGGAATTTTAATTTAAATTCCTGGGTCAGGTTCATTCTGAAGAAATGAGGTACTATTTAACTTTCAAACACCTGCTTGATCCCAATAGGAGGCAAATGATCCTAAGATAAATCAGCATCCCTTCCTGCTTTCTTGGGTCTCCTCCCTCCTCATTGTCAATACATCGCATCGATTTTCTATCCAGAACAGAAGCTTAATATGAGTTCTTGCTCTTAGATCATCTTTTTCCTCCTTAATACCATGAGAAAGAACACAATGGGGTGATTTCTGTTCAGAATTATAGCCTGATGGCTAAAAGAGACATATTTCTTGCAAAATAGCAATTCTGCAAGTACCCCATAGACCAGAGGGTTAATGAAAGAGACAAAAGAGGCAATAAACTGGGCTCAGATGAAGATGAATTGGAGCTGTATCTGTTTGGTGGCAGTGTGTATTTTAGGAATGCACTGGAAGGGTGAGGAAGAAGAAGCTTGGGGAGACAATTTCTCAACTCAGGGCTAAATGACTATCATTCTGAGTTCCCACAATCATTCCCCAGGCATCTCTTTGATCCCCATAATGTCATGGAACATAACAATTAGTAGCCTAAGAAGGGGTGTTCCCTCCTGCCTGTGCTAAACCTGGGGGGCAAGAGAGTGACTAAAATGTTCCAGGCAATCCCAATATTTAGAAGAAGGCTAGATATTCTTTTCTTCAAGTGAAAAATGAAGGCTCCAAAACAGACTAACATTATTCCACTGGTTAAAAGTTAATAAACACACACACACACTCTCTCTCTCTCTTTTAAAAATAGATTAAAGGAAAATGCAACAAAGTGTTTACAGCTCTTGTTCTCAAGTGGTAGAGCTATGGATTATTTTATCTTCCTTCTTTTTATTTACATTTTCTACAGTAAACTTGTATTACTTTTCAAAGAAAAAAATATATATTCTTTAAAAGTCTCTCCCTTTTACTAGATATTCTTGCCCACTGACAAAGATTTTTATAAAAACACAACTTATACTGGCCAGAGGAGATCATGTGATTAGGAAGGTGCTTCAATGACAAGGGAAGACTAGAGTCTTTGTTTTCAGGGGTTTTGGGGGCTTTTGTACTTTTTCTTTTCAGTTCTTAGAAACATGAGAGTGACCTCCTACCCAGAGAAGTGACCTTGGATTTAAATGTGAAATGCTAGCCCCCCATGTTAATGCCCGAAAAAAAAAGGCATTTCACTCAAGAACAGGAGGTGAAGTGTTTCTCTTTTCTGTGTTGACATATGATGCATCCATCAGATCTCTTGCAAGAAAAGGGATGTTGCATCTCTCAGAGACCACCCCCACCCTCAACCTCCACCCGCCACCCGCCACCACCTCCTCCATCTGCAAAAAGCATTTCTGGTCTCCTTCTCCCTTCTTCAAGGTTACAGCAGCCATAGTCCTCCACGGTGATACCCAGAGTACAGCCAAGAGCAGGAAGGTGGTCATTTGGGAAGAATTCACTTTGCATTTGATTGCTTTCCTTTGTAATATCTACCAGGATGACAGGTTCATGAGCCTCTCAATTTCCCAAGATTCTGTGTTTTCACTTATTTGCTTGGCTATCAGTAAGAGACAAAGCATACTCCTCTCTAAAAGGTGTCCAGTGGGGTTTTTGGTCTATTTTTTAATCTTCATTAAGACAGTAAGGCTTCTTAGCCCTCATGAAATGACATGATGTCTGAGATTTGCTCTAAACTATTCTACCAAAGATAAAAAGGCTGGGTGGGGTGTGGCAACTAATAGCCTCTCCCTGCAGGCTCCCACAGGCCATTGGAAGTCCCTCACTTCTCTCCAAAATAGAGAAGCCAAAACATTCTCTCCCCTATTAAACCCCCTTCAAATAATCATTGTTTTCAAGTGACGAATCTTCTCTTTTATAGATGGGACATGATGATGGGTTTTGAGATGATTCTTTCATTCTGAGCACAGCCTATACAGAAGTGTCTAGCAGTACCCTGTAAAATATGGATGTACTTTGGACCCATAGATTTCAGCTTCGACATTTCAACCAAATTTCTTAGACATCAGAAGAGGCATTTCAACATAATTCTATGGTCAGGTAGGTATACTGTTAACTTTGCCCACAAGTGAAAGAGTATAGTTGCTTTTCATGAATAGTTCACCATTCAACCTGGCTGCCATTGATAGGATACAATAGACTTCCCATATTCTTGAAAACTTTAATAGCTCCAATGATGACCTTGGAATGCATAGGAAAGATAAGGTAGAAATTTGAAACCAGAAAACACCAAAAAGACTTCCAGAGAGATGCTCCCAGCTTCATAATGGAAATAAGATGTTATTGTATAAAAGAAACAAAAAGACATAGGCATTGAGAAAAATATCTGGATTTAGTTTCACAACAAATGACACAATTGATTTATTCCCAAAGAGAAAAGAAAAACTTGAACCAGTTGAGAGCATCTGGATTGAAAAGAAACATCTTTCTTTATCCCAGTATGGATTTTCAATCTCAAATACACAAGCATTGTGTTTTACTAGAGCACTTTAAAGCATGGTACTTCAATATATAATCAATCAATCCGTTTGGTCTCCCAAATAATATATATTGAAGTACTTTTAAAACTGCAAATGAAGAACAATGCAGACATTGTGACTTGTAAGTTGGCATTTTAGATTTTATGGTGTTAAGTTCTTTTATATGATCAATGTAAATGTTCTTTCTGGGGGCCTCCATTTCTCCTTGTTGTCTCCTTGTTTATATTGGTATGTGGAAACAATGCTTAAAAAATAGATGTAAAGATTTATGTTTCTACACTTGCTACATTATATAGTGTGGCACTGAGGAAGAAATGGATCAAATGAATACTAAGAACTACTTTTGCTTTGTCAACCTGACCTTTAAGACAGGTTGACTGGATGTGAAGCCTTTATAACATTGCTCTTAAGCGCGGTTTGCTGAATTAACCAGGAGCTTGCACTGAACATCTACCACACACCATTGGTAAGTAGCAGGCATTGAGGAGAAATGGATGCTAAAGAATAGACTTCCAGGAAGGAAACTTACAGCACTAATAAAGCAAAGAGTGAGGAGAAACAGTTTCTGAGGGCTAAGAGGAGCATTCCCAAAGAGCTGAAGTAAAGCTGAGATACCCAGACATTTCTCAGATCTGCTGCCATTCCAACCCTTAATGTATTTCCTCCTTACCTCTCCAAGAATCATACCCAAAAAAGTTATTGAATGGTAAAGTCAAAATCTACATCTAATGGAGACATTCCCCCAGAAACACTCCTATGGCCATTGATAGAATTATTTTCTTGGCTGAAAGCTCACAATATGACAAAGGGGCCCATTCCACTCCTCTAATGTTCAATGGATGCAATGGTACTTTATAACAGAAAACAATTATACCAATGTCCACTGTTATAATTATTAAGAAAGATTTTCATTATGAAGACTGTTTATCCTCCATCAGGATAAACTCCAAGTTTACTTTTAGGCCAAAACTAAAATTAGGGTTGCAATAACAGTAGCTAAGTAGTATTTTTCTAGCTCTGCCTCTCACCAGTGTTTTCACCTCCATTCAATTATTCAAAAAAATATAAGCAGTGTTTCACATTAGCTTGAAAATAGAATAGTCTAAGATATGAAACAGAGTTGGAGACTCCCAGCAAGTCCTTTGGCTGGGATTTGACATCAACCATAGCTCTCCTGCCGCTCCAGAGGCATCTGTGCCATTTCTTGAATTTCACTGAGAAATGTCCTGCACAGCCTCCTCTGCCCACATGCGGACTGGTTCTAGGCTGAGGCCACCCTCTTTATTCTCTTCCCTCTTCTAGGGGTGGTCCCGTAGTCCCTTCACCAAAATGGGAATGGCGCTCTTCCCAATGTTGGACAGCGTGTGATTATACGTGAGCTGTAATGCAAGAGTTGCTAGTCTTCTTAGAGTGTTAACAGAAATTAGAAAACAGTACTCCTTTTCCTTGTGTTGCCTTCTTTCTCACAGGTCCTATATGAGTCGTTGGAGAGAGCATTCAAAGAATCTTCTGGGGCATTTGCAGGGGACTAAGATGGCAGATAGCAGGCAGGACTAGCTTGCAGCCCCTGCTCGGATGGACAGAGCAATGTGTGGAGACTCACACTGTGAACTTTGTCTCCAAGACTACACAGGAACATATCAGGAAAACCTAGAGAATCCGCAGAGCCTTTGAAGAAACTGGGTCACCATTACAGGCTCCCTGAGATACCAAAAAACTGTGAGCCCGCTTGCTTTCTCAACAGGGAGTCTCGTGGTCTGGGGCAAGTTCTCAGCCCTGGTCACCGGCTGCCAGGAAATAGATTCAGTTCTGTTGGTGGGGCACTGTGGGAGTGAGACTAGCTGGACGGAGAATGACTTTGACAAGCTGAGAGAAGAAGGCTTCAGAAGATCAAATTACTCCGAGCTACGGGATGAAATTCAAACCAAAGGCAAAGAAGTTGAAAACTTTGAAAAAAATTTAGAAGAATGTATAACTAGAATAACCAATACAGAGAAGTGCTTAAAGGAGCTGATGGAGCTGAAAACCAAGGCTCGAGAACTACGTGAAGAATGCAGAAGCCTCAGGAGCCGATGCAATCAACTGGAAGAAAGGGTATCAGCGATGGAAGATGAAATGAATGAAATGAAGCGAGAAGGGAAGTTTAGAGAAAAAAGAATAAAAAGAAACGAACAAAGCCTCCAAGAAATATGGGACTATGTGAAAAGACCAAATCTACGTCTGATTGGTATACCTGAAAGTGACGGGGAGAACGGAACCAAGTTGGAAAACACTCTGCAGGATATTATCCAGGAGAACTTCCCCAATCTAGCAAGGCAGGCCAACATTCAGATTCAGGAAATACAGAGAATGCCACAAAGATACTCCTCGAGAAGAGCAACTCCAAGACACATAATTGTCAGATTCACCAAAGTTGAAATGAAGGATAAAATGTTAAGGGCAGCCAGAGAGAAAGGTCGGGCTACCCTCAAAGGGAAGCCCATCAGACTAACAGCGGATCTCTCAGCAGAAACTCCACAAGCCAGAAGAGAGTGGGGGCCAATATTCAACATTCTTAAAGACAAGAATTTTCAACCCAGAATTTCATATCCAGCCAAACTAAGCTTCATAAGTGAAGGAGAAATAAAATACTTTACAGACAAGCAAATGCTGAGAGATTTTGTCACCACCAGGCCTGCCCTAAAAGAGCTCCTGAAGGAAGCTCTAAACATGGAAAGGAAAAACCGGTACCAGCCACTGCAAAATCATGCCAAAATGTAAAGACCATCGAGGTTAGGAAGAAACTGCATCAACTAATGAGCAAAATAACCAGCTAACATCATAATGACAGGATCAAATTCACACATAACAATATTAACTTTAAATGTAAATGGACTAAATGCTCCAATTAAAAGACACAGACGGGCAAATTGGATAAAGAGTCAAGACCCATCAGTGTGCTGTATTCAGGAAACTCATCTCATGTGCAGAGACACACATAGGCTCAAAATAAAAGGATGGAGAAAGATCTACCAAGCAAATGGAAAACAAAAAAAAAGCAGGGGTTGCAGTCCTACTCTCTGATAAAACAGACTTTAAACCAACAAAGATCAAAAGAGACAAAGAAGGCCATTACATAATGGTAAACAGAGCAATTCAACAAGAAGAGCTAACTATCCTAAATATAGATGCACCCAATACAGGAGCACCCAGATTCATAAAGCAATTCCTGAGTGACCTACAAAGAGACTTAGACCCCCACACATTAATAATGGGAGACTTTAACACCCCACTGTCAACATTAGACAGATCATCGAGACAGAAAGTCAACAAGGATACCCAGGAATTGAACTCAGCTCTGCACCAAGTGGAACTAATAGACAACTACAGAACTCTCCACCCCAAATCAACAGAATGTACATTTTTTTCAGCACCACACCACACCTATTCCAAAATTGACCACATAGTTGGAAGTAAAGCTCTCCTCAGCAAATGTAAAAGAACAGAAATTATAACAAACTATCTCTCAGACCACAGTGCAATCAAACTAGAACTCAGGATTAAGAATCTCACTCAAAACCGCTCAACTACATGGAAACTGAACAACCTGCTCCTGAATGACTACTGGGTACATAACGAAATGAAGGCAGAAATAAAGATGTTCTTTGAAACCAACGAGAACAAAGACACTACATACCAGAATCCCTGGGACGCATTCAAAGCAGTGTGTAGAGGGAAATTTATAGCACTAAATGCCCACAAGAGAAAGCAGGAAAGATCCAAAATTGACACCCTAACATCACAATTAAAAGAACTAGAAAAGCAAGAGCAAACACATTCAAAAGCTAGCAGAAGGCAAGAAATAACTAAAATCAGAGCAGAACTGAAGGAAATAGAGACACAAAAAACCCTTCAAAAAATTAATGAATCCAGGAGCTGGTTTTTTGAAAGCATCAACAAAGTTGATAGACTGCTAGCAAGACTAATAAAGAAAAAAAGAGAGAAGAATCAAATAGATGCAATAAAAAATGATAAAGGGGATATCACCACCGATCCCACAGAAATACAAACTACCATCAGAGAATACTACCAACACCTCTACCCAAATAAACTAGAAAATCTACAAGAAATGGATAAATTCCTCGACACACACACTCTCCCAAGACTAAACCAGGAAGAAGTTGAATCTCTGAATAGACCAATAACAGGAGCTGAAATTGTGGCAATAATCAATAGCTTACCAACCAAAAAGAGTCCAGGACCAGATGGATTCACAGCTGAATTCTACCAGAGGTACAAGGAGGAACTGGTACCATTCCTTCTGAAACTATTCCAATCAATAGAAAAAGAGGGAATCCTCCCTAACTCATTTTATGAGGCCAGCATCATCCTGATACCAAAGCTGGGCAGAGACACAACCAAAAAAGAGAACTTTAGACCAATATCCTTGATGAACCTTGATGTGAAAATCCTCAAGAAAATACTGGCAAACCGAATTCAGCAGCACATCAAGAAGGTTATCCACCATGATCAAGTGGGCTTCATCCCTGGGATGCAAGTCTGGTTCAATATACGGAAATCAATAAATGTAATCCAGCATATAAACAGAACCAAAGACAAAAACCACAGGATTATCTCAATAGATGCAGAAAAAGCCTTTGACAAAATTCAACAGCCCTTCATGCTAAAAACTCTCAATAAATTAGGTATTGATGGGACATATCTCAAAATAATAAGAGCTATCTAGGACAAATCCACAGCCAATATCATACTGAATGGGCAAAAACTGGAAGCATTCCCTTTGAAAACTGGCACAAGACAGGGATGCCCTCTCTCTCCACTCCTATTCAACATAGTGTTGAAAGTTCTGGCCAGGGCAATTAGGCAGGAGAAGGAAATAAAAGGCATTCAATTAGGAAAAGAGGAAGTCAAACTGTCCCTGTTTGCAGACGACATGATTGTATATCTAGAAAACCCCATTGTCTCAGCCCAAAATCTCCTTAAGCTGATAAGCAACTTCAGCAAAGTCTCAGGATACAAAATCAATGTACAAAAATCACAAGCATTCTTATACACCAACAACAGACAAACAGAGAGCCAAATCATGAGTGAACTCCCATTCACAATTGCTTCAAAGAGAATAAAATACCTAGGAATCCAACTTACAAGGGATGTGAAGGACCTCTTCAAGGAGAACTACAAACCACTGCTCAAGGAAATAAAAGAGGATACAAACAAATGGAAGAACATCCCATGCTCATGGGTAGGAAGAATCAATATCATGAAAATGGCCATACTGCCCAAGGTAATTTATAGATTCAATGCCATCCCCATCAAGCTACCAATGACTTTCTTCACAGAATTGGAAAAAACTACTTTAAAATTCATATGGAACCAAAAAAGAGCCCGCATCGCCAAGTCAATCCTAAGCCAAAAGAACAAAGCTGGAGGCATCACACTACCTGACTTCAAACTATACTACAAGGCTACAGTAACCAACACAGCATGGTACTGGTACCAAAACAGAGATATAGATCAATGGAACAGAACAGAGGCCTCAGAAATAATGCCCCATATCTACAACTATCTGATCTTTGACAAACCTGAGAAAAACAAGCAATGGGGAAAGGATTCCCTATTTAATAAATGGTGCTGGGAAAACTGGCTAGCCATATGTAGAAAGCTGAAACTGGATCCCTTCCTTACACCTTATACAAAAATCAATTCAAGATGGATTAAAGCCTTAAACGTTAGACCTAAAACCATGAAAACCCTAGAAGAAAACCTAGGCATTACCATTCAGGACATAGGCATGGGCAAGGACTTCATGTCTAAAACACCAAAAGCAATGGCAACAAAAGACAAAATTGACAAATGGGATCTAATTAAACTAAAGAGCTTCTGCACAGCAAAAGAAACTACCATCAGAGTGAACAGGCAACCTACAAAATGGGAGAAAATTTTCACAACCCACTCATCTGACAAAGGGCTAATATCCAGAATCTACAATGAACTCAAACAAATTTACAAGAAAAAAACAAACAACCCCATCAAAAAGTGGGCGAAGGACATGAACAGACACTTCTCAAAAGAAGACATTTATGCAGCCAAAAAACACATGAAAAAATGCTCACCATCACTGGCCATCAGAGAAATGCAAATCAAAACCACAATGAGATACCATCTCATACCAGTTAGAATGGCGATCATTAAAAAGTCAGCAAACAACAGGTGCTAGAGAGGATGTGGAAAAATAGGAACACTTTTACACTGTTGGTGGGACTGTAAACTAGTTCAACCATTGTGGAAGTCAGTGTGGCGATTCCTCAGGGATCTAGAACTGGAAATACCATTTGACCCAGCCATCCCATTACTGGGTATATACCCAAAGGACTATAAATCATGCTGCTATAAAGACACATGCACACGTATGTTTATTGCGGCATTATTCACAATAGCAAAGACTTGGAACCAACCCAAATGTCCAACAATGATAGACTGAATTAAGAAAATGTGGCACATATACACCATGGAATACTATGCAGCCATAAACAATGATGAGTTCATGTCCTTTGTAGGGACATGGATGAAATTGGAAATCATCATTCTCAGTAAACTATCTCAAGAACAAAAAACCAAACACCGCATATTCTCACTCATAGGTGGGAATTGAACAATGAGAACACATGAACACAGGAAGGGGAACATCACACTCTGGGGACTGTTGTGGGGTGGGGGGAGGGGGGAGGGATAGCATTGGGAGATATACCTAATGCTAGATGACGAGTTAGTGGGTGCAGCGCACCAGCATGGTACATGTATACATATGTAACTAACCTGCACATTGTGCACATGTACCCTAAACTTAAAGTATAATAATAATAAATAAAATAAAATAAAAAATCAAAAATATGATATAGGATATGAAAGAAAAATACTTCAGCGAAACAGAAAGCATAAATAAAAAACAATCACAACTTCTGAAAGTCAAGGATACACTTAGATAAATGCAAAATGCACTGGAAAGTCTCAGCAATAGATCGAACAAGCAGAAGAAAGAACTTCAGAGCTTGAAGACAAGGCTTTTGAATTAACCCAACCCAACAAAGACAAAGAAAAAAGAATGGAAAAATATGAACAAAGCCTCCAAGAAGCTTGGGACTTTGTCTAAACCTAAGAATAAATGTCCAAACCTAAGAATAATTGATATTCCCAAGGAAAAAGAGAAATCTAAAAATTTGAAAAACATTTTTGAGGGAATAATCAAGGAAAACTTCCCTGGCCTTGCTAGAGATCTAGACATCCAAATACAAGAAGATCAAAGAACACCTGGTAAATTCATTGTAAAAAGATCATCACCTAGATACATAGCCATCAGGTTATCTAAAGTCAAGACGAAGGAAAACATCTTAAGAGCTATGAGGCAAAAGCATCAAGTAACCTAAAAAGGAAAACCTATCATATTAACAGCAGATTTCTCAGCAGAAACCCTACAAGCTACAAGGGATTGGGGTCCTACTTTTAGCCTCCTTAAACACAATTATCAGCCAGAAAATTTATGCTTAGTGAAACTAAGCTTCATAAATGAAGGAAAGATGCAGTCTTTTCCAGACAAACAAAGGCTGAGGGAATTTGCTACTACCAAGCCTGCTAAAAGGAGATGTAACTCTTGAAACAAACTCTTGAAATACACCAAAACAGAACCTCCTTGAAACATAAATCTCACAGGACCTATATAACAATAACACAATGAAAAAAAAAGGTATTCAGGCAAAATATAGCACAATGAATAGAATAGTATCTCATGTCTAATACTAACATTGATGTAAATGGCCTAAATGCTCCACTTAAAAGACACAAAATGAGAGAATGGAGAATAATTCACCAACGAAGTTTCTGACAGAATGGAGAATAATACGTCAACCAAGTTTCTGCTGTCTTCAGGAGACTCACCTAACAAATAAGGACTCACATACACTTAAGGTAAAGGGATGGAAAAAGATAGTCCATGCAAATGGACAAGAAAAGCAAGCAGGAGTAGCTGTTTTTATATCAGATCAAACAAATATTAAAGCAACAGCAGTTAAAAAAGACAAACAAGGTCATTATATAGTGACAAAGGACTAGTCCACAGGAAAATATCACAATTCTAAATATATATGCACCTAACACTGGAGTTCCCAAATTTATAAAACAATTACTACTAGACCTAAGAAATAAGACAGACAGCAATACAATGATAGCGGGGGACTTTAATACTCCACTGACAGCACGAGACAGGTCATCAAGATGGAAAGTCAACAAAGAAACAATGGACTTAAACTATACCTTAGAACAAATGAACTTAACAGATATTTGCAGAACATTCTACCTAACAACTGCAGAATATACATTCTATTCATCAGTACATGGAACATTCTTCAAGACAGACCATATGACAGGCCACAAAACAAGTCTCAATAAATTTAAGAAAATCAAAATTGTATCAAGTACTCTCTCAGACCACAGTGGAATAAAACTGGAAATCAACTCCAAAAGGAACCCTCAAAACCATGCGAATACATGGAAATTAAGTAACCTGCTCCTGAATGCACACTGGGTCAACAATGAAATCAAGAGGAAAGTTAAAAATTTCTTTGAATTGAACGATAATAGTGACACAATCTATCAAAATTTCTCGGATACAGCAAAAGCGGTGCTAGAAGAAAAGTTCCTAGGACTAAATGCCTACACCAAAAAACCTGAAAGAGCACAGGTATACAATCCAAGGTCATACCTCATGGAACTGCAGAAACAAGTACAATCCAAACCCAAACCCAGCACAAGAAAGAAAGAACAAAGATCAGAGCAGAACTGAATGAAATTGAAACAAAACAAAAAAAATACAAAAGATAAATCAAACAAAAAGCTGGTTCTTTGAAAAGATAAATAAAATTGATAGACCATTAGCGAGGTTAACCAAGAAAGGAGAAAGAAGATCCAAATAAGCTCAATTAGAAATGAAATGAGAGCTATCACAACTGATACCACAGGAATACAAAAGATTATTCAAGGCTACTATGAGCACCTTTATTTCCATAAACTGGAAAACCTAGAGGAGATGGATAAATTCCTGGAAATATACAACCCTCTTAGATTAAACCAGCAAGATAAAGAATCTCTGAACAGACCAAGACCAAGACCAATAACAAGCAGTGAGCATGAAATGGTAATTTAAAAATTGCCAACAAAAAAAGTCCAGGACCAGACAGATTCACAGCTGAATTCTATCAGACATACAAACAAGAATTGGTAACAATCCTATTGACACTGTTCCAAAAGATAGAGAAAGAGAGAATCCTCCCTAAATCATTCTATGAAGCCAGTATCACCCTAATACCCAAACCACGCAAGGACATAACAAAAAAAGAAAACTACAAACCAATATCCCTGATGAACATAGAGGCAAAAATCCTCAACAAAATAATAGTTAACCAAATCCAACAGCATATCAAAAAGATAATCCACCATGATAAACTGAGTTTCATACCAGGGATGCAGGGGTGGTTTAATATATGTAAGCCAGTAAATGTGATTCTCCACATAAACATAATTAAAAACAAAAATCATATGATCATCTCAATAGACACAGAAAAAGCATTTGGCAAAATGCAGCATCCCTTTATGATTAAAACCTTCAGCAAAATTGGCACAGAAGGGACATACCTTAAGGTAATAGAAGCCATCTATGATAGACCCACAGCCAACATTATACTGAATGGGGAAAACTTGAAAGCACTCCCCCTGAGAACTAGACCAAGACAAGGATGCCCACTTTCACCACTTTTATTCAACTTAGTACTGGCAGTCCTAGCCAGAGCAATCAGACAAGAGAAAGAAATAAAGGGCATCCAAGTCAGTAAAGAGGAAGTTAAACTGTCTCTGTTTGCTGATGATATGATTGTATACCTAGAAAACCCTAAAGCCTCACCCAAAAAGCTTCCAGAACTAGTAAATGAATTCAGCAAAGTTTCAGGACACAAAATTAATGCACATGATTCAGTAACTCTGCTATATACTATCAGTGACCAAACTGAGAATCAAATCAAGAACTCAACCCCTTTCACCATAGCTGCAAACACAAAAACAAAAACAAAAAGAAAAACAAAAAAAACAAGGAATATACTTAACCAAGGATGTGAAAGACCTCTACAAGGAAAACTACAAAACACTGTTGAAAGAAATCATAGATGACACAAACAAACAGAAAACACACTCCATGCTCATGGATGGGTAGAATCAGTATTGTAAAAATGATCATACTGCCAAAAGCCACCTATAAATTCAATGCAGTTCTCATGACAATACCATCAGTCTTCACAGAACTAGAAAAAATCCTAATATTCATATGGAATCAAAAAAGAGCCCACATAGCCAAAGCAAGCCTAAGCAAAAAGGACAAATACGGAGTCATCACATTACTCAACTTCAACTATACTATAAGGCCCTAGTCACCAAAACAGCATGATACTGTATAAAAATAGGCACATAGACCAATGCAACAGACTAGAGAACCCAGAAATAAAGCCAATTGCTTACAGCCAACTGATCTTTGACAAAGTAAACAAAAACATGAGGTGAGAAAAGGACAGCCTATTCAACAAATGGTGCTGAGATAATTGGCAAGCCAAATGTAGAAGAATGAAACTGGATCCTCATCTCTCACCTTATACAAAAATCAACTCAAGATGAATCAAAGACTTAACTCTAAGACCTGAAACCATAAAGACTCCAGAAGATAACATCGGAAAAACTCTTCTAGACATTGGCTTAGGCAAAGACTTCATGACCAATAACCCAAAAGCAAATGCAACAAAAACAAAGATAAATAGATAGGATTTAATTAAACTAAAAAGCTTCTGCACAGCAAAAGAAATAATGAGCATGGTTAACAGACAACCCAGAGGGGGAGAAAATCTTCACAATCTATACACCTGACAAAGGACTAATATCCAGAATCCACAAAGAACTCAAACAAATAAGCAAGAAAAAATCAAACAATCCCATCAAAAACTGGGATAAGGACATGAATAGGCAGTTCTCAAAAGAAGACATAAAAATGGCCAACAAGCATATGGAAAAATGTTCAACACCACTAATTATTAGGGAAATGCAAATCAAAACCACAATGCAATACCATCTCACTCCTGCAAGAATGACCACAATAAAAAAAAAAAAAAGATGTTGGCATGGATGCAGTGAAAAGGGAACACTTTTACACACTGTTGGTGGTAATGTAAACAGGTACAACCTCTGGAAAACAGTGTGGAGATTCCCAAGAACTAAAAGTAGATCTACCATTTGATCCAGTAATCCCACTACTAGGTATCTACCCAGAGGAAAGGAAGTCATTATACAAAAAAGATACTTGCACACACATGTTCACTGCAGCACAATCTGCAATTTGAAAAATATGGAACCAGCCCAAACGTTCATCAATCAACGAGTGGATAAAGAAAATATGGTATATATATAATGGAATACTACGCAGCCATAAAAAGGAATGGAATAATGGCATTCACAGCAACCTGCATGGAATTGGAGACCATTAAAGTAACTCAGAAGTGGAAAACCAAACAGCATAGGTTCTCACTCATGCGTGGGAACTAAGCTATGAGGACGCAAAGGCATAAGAATGATACATCGGATTTTGGGGACTTGGGGAAAAGGGTGGGGGATGGTGAGGGATAAAAGACTACACATTGGGTACAGGGTACACTGCTCGGGTGATGGGCGCACCAAAATCTTAAAAATCACCCCTAAAGAATTTATGTAACCAACCACCACCCCAAAACCTATTGAAAACATTTTTTTTTAATTAAAAATAAATTTTTTAAAAAGAATCTTCTGTTGCAGCCCTCTCCAAGATCCATTGAGCCACGGTCACTCCACCGAGTTCTGTTCCTCACGTCTCATCTCTTAGGAGGAGTTTCTACCCATGAGTGTCTCAGTCCTTCCTAAAAATACACCCAAGTGGAGATGTGCCACTGAGCTGCAGGCTCTTAGAGTAAGACCACCGCACACCAGTGATGCTCCATCCCCCTTCCTCCCTTGGTGTTCTTCGTTCAGGGCACACTTTTAGACACTAGAATTTTGGCTGCACAATTAAGGCATTAAAAGGCTCAAAATAGCAGCAAACAAGTTGGCAATAATTATAACGTAATTGCTACACAATGTCTCATGGTGTATATAAAATCATTCACAGTTATTGCAGTATTCATTTGCACTCCCTTCAGTATTATGATGCTGTTTGAGTAGAACCATTTCCTGCCCTAACAGCCGCTTTACAGACTCAAGATTCAGAGGTATGGCATGTGTCAGCACATGTTACGTTTTTGGAATCCACATATATATCATATTCTTTTGATTTAATGTTGTTCCAACTATGAGATACAGCTGTAAGAGAAAAGTTTCAGATTAAGAAGAAAAAGCTTTACAGACTGATCAAAATTAGGAATCCCTAAATACTGAAAGCAAAATGAAACAAAGTAACCTGTATCTGGGCGGGTAGCATAATGAGAGGAACCACTCAGTAATTAACTTTCACTAAACATCCTTAGCAGAATACAACCTAAGATAACACAACTAAAGTAAACAACTCTTGAAACTTTTCAGTAATCAATTGTTGGTATTACATGGTTGCTATTCTGAGACTATTGCATGTGTATTGTGAAATAAAACAAATTATGTTGTTGTCATTGAAAAGTCATTCTTTTTAGCATTGGAAAAGGAAATATAGGTGTAATACCATTATGGTTAAGTTAAAATTCTGTAGTCCTGAATGTGAATCAGAATAATCTACATAAATTCAAGACATATTTTATCTTTAAGACACTATACATATTCCTTTACTCTGAAAAATGAAGAAAGCCAAGAAACAAAGACCAGCCCACTCGTACTAACCTCTTGTAGAACTCAAATTGAGCTTTCTAAGTAACAATTTGCACCAAAAGGAACCAGGACTCCTTGGATAAATGAATGATCCCAGTGCGAGGCAGGAGGTGTACATGGGGGGCCTGGGCCATCTTGTCATACAGAAAGCAAGGAAGCCTTCAAAGTCCTCTGAGTCCACCCCACCAGGACTCAACATCCAGCTTGAAGAGGCTCCCACTGGCCAAAGGTGAGAACAACTTGAGCAGCAATAAGAATAATAAGTCACTTTGGGAGGCCGAGACGGGCGGATCACGAGGTCAGGAGATGGAGACCATCCTGGCTAACACGGTGAAACCCCGTCTCTACTAAAAATACAAAAAAATTAGCCGGGCGTAGTGGCGGGCACCTGTAGTCCCAGCTACTCCGGAGGCTGAGGCAAGGAGAATGGCGTGAACCTGGGAGGCGGAGCTTGCAGTGAGCCGAGATGGCGCCACTGCACTCCAGCCTGGGTGATGGAGCGAGACTTGTCTCAAAAAAAAAAAAAAAAAGAATAATAAGTGCAACAGTCTGAGACATGCAAATGTGTTTAAATACACAAGTTCATAATAACACTAAAAATTTTTTTAAACTTAATTGGTCGCCATTGGGGGACACTAATAGACTACTTCATCATTTTTAAAACTATTAAACAAAAGCAAAGAATCAAACTATTATTTTATAAATTGCATCACAGGTAGCCAGTGAATGAGAGAAAGCCTCTTTGATAGAATTTTTCACAAATAAATGAGTTGGAAAGGATAGAATTAGAATACTGCCCCTTAGTTCCATATGAATTATTAAATATAGGCAATAATCACTCGTTACTACTATCATCTCTCAAAGAAAGACATCCTGATGATATGTCCCTTCTGATGGAAATGTGTAATATCATCTAGAAAATATTTTTTGTCCCAAAATTGAATCTGAGTCTGATGAAGCTTCTACATCTAAATACCAAGTTACAGGGAATACAGGGGCAGAGAAATACATGAAATAACACCAAAAAACTTAATAAGCAAGATCTAGACTGTAAAAAACTTTATAGGATAGACAAACAGGTTTTTTCAATAAATATGTTGCAAGGGAAATAAAAAGGGGAGAAACCTATTAGCTTAAGGAGAATTAAGCTAATAATTCACATGAACAAATTGCAATTTATTTACTTATTTGAATTCTCATTCAAAGTATAAAGATATTATGACACAATTGCAAAAATTTTATATTATAAAGAATTATTAATTTTTAGGGTATGATAATGATATGTTTTTAAAAGAGTCTTTATCTTTCAGAGACATAAACTGAATTATCTCTAATGATATAATGTCTGGGCTTTGTTTTTAAATAACCTGGAAGTAGTAAGAAAGCAAGTGAAAACAGATAAGTCTGGGTATTAACTGAATTTTTAAAATGGGCAATAGATACATAGGAATTCACTATACTATTTCCTCTAATTTTATATATGTTTGAAATTTTACAAAGTGTTTGAATACATATATTCAATAAAGTTAAGGAAAGTAGTTATTTGGGGAAAAATTAATTTATACCATGTCACATACCAAAATAAATTTCCGGTGAACAAAATAGTTAAATGTTTAAAAAGAATTTCATACAAAAAATGAAGACTACATAGATAAATAATTATTATTTCCTTGGTAGAAATTAATTTTCCATCTTAAAATCAATAAAATAAATCACACATTGGCCATAAAACATATTGGCCATAAAAATTTGAAATACATGTATCTTTAAAAACAAAAAGCTAGGAAAATATTGTACCATGATAGATTAATGGTTAATGTTATTTCTTTGTAAAAGGCACACCCAAATCAATAAGAAAAAAAATAACCTCAAGGAAAATGGGTATAAAAATGAAATTCATTCTCAACAAAGCAGACAATATGAATAGCTAATACACTTAAAATATTAATCTCCATAAGAATTAAGGAAATACAAATTAAAATAGAACAGATAATTCACAAATTTCCAATTTTATAATATTTAAAACTTATGTTGATGTTTTTATATAGACACTAACAGAATGCTGTTAGAAATACAAATCAGTAAATATTTTGTGTAGGGTAAGTTTGGCAATATACATTAAGAAACATTTTTTAGGCCAGGCACAGTGCTTCACGCCTGTAATCCCAGCACCTGGGGAGATCGAGGCAGGTGGATCACCTGAGGCCAGGAGTTTGAGACCAGCTGGACAGCACGGCGAAACCCCGTCTCCACAAAAATACAAAAATTAGCCAAGTGTGGTGACGTGCATCTGTAGTGTGCGCTCTCTTTAGACGCACTCTGTGCCTCAAAAAAAAAGAAAAAAGAAAGAAAGAAACTTTTTTTTAAGCAACCAAAAACTGTATATGCTCAGAGGCAATCATTCCAGAAATTCAAGGAAAGTGTAGCAGACTTATGCTAAAATGGCTGCAGCTCTGATCATTCCTCCCTGTCTACAGGCCCCTTCTCAAGGTAACTTTGCTTTGCCCCTCCTCCCATCAGAAGGTGGAGTCTGCTTCCCCTGTCCTTTGAATCTGGCTTTGGCCGTGGTACTTCCCTTGGCCAACCAGACTTGAGAAATGTGACATGAGCAGAGACTTAAAAAGTACTTGTGCATTCAAAAGAATAGAGCCATTTATGACAAACCCACAACCAATATCATACTGACTGGGCAAAAGCTGTAAGTATTCCTCTTGAAAACCAGCACAAGACAAGAATGACCTCTCTCAACACTCCTATTCAACATAGTAATGGAAGTTCTGGCCAGGGCAATCAGGCAAGAGAAAGAAACAAAGGGTATTCAAATAGGAAAAGAGGAAGTCAAACTGTCTCTGTTTGTAGATGACATGATCTTATATCTAGAAAACCCTATAGTCTCAACCCAAAAGCTTCTTAAGCTGATAAGCAACTTCAGCAAAGTGTCAGGATACAAAATCAATGTGCAAAAATCTCAAGTATTCCTGTACACCAACAGCAGTCAAGCAGAAAGCCAAATCATGAATGAACTCCCATTCACAATTGCTACAAAGAGAATAAAATATTCAGCAATATAGCTAACAAGGGAAGTGAAGGACCTCTTCGAGGATAACCACAAACCACTGCTTAAGGAAATCAGAGCAGACAGAAACAACTGGAAAAACATTCCATGCTCATGGAAAGGAAGAATCAATATCGTGAAAATGGCCATACTGCCCAAATTATAAATTCAATGGTATTTCCATTAAACTACCATTGACATTCTTCACAGAATTAGAAAAAACTATTTTAACATTCACAGGGCACCAAAAAAAGAGCCCGTATAGCCAAAACAATTCTAAGCAAAAAGAACAAAGCTGGGGGCATCAAACTACCTGACTTCAAACTATACAAGGCTACAGTAACCAAAACATCATTGTGCTGGTACAAAAACAGACGCATAGACCAATGGAACAGAATAGAGAACTCAGAAATAAGACCACACATATACAACCATCAGATCTTCAACAAACCTGACAAAAACAAGCAATGGGGAAAGGACTCCCTAGTCAGTAAATGGTGCTGGGAGAACTGGGTAGCCATATTCGGAAGATTGAAACTGGACCCCTTCCTTACACCTTATACAAAAATTAACTCAAGATGGATTAAAAACTTAAATGTAAAACCCAAAACTATAGAAACCCTAGAAGAAAATCTAGGCAATACCATTCAGGACATAGGCACAGGCAAAGATTTCACGATAAAAATATCAAAAGCAATTGCAACAGAAGCAAAAATTGACAAATGGGATTTAATTAAACTAAAGAACTCCTGAACCACAAAAGAAACTATCATCAGAGTGAACAGGCAACTTACACAATGGGAGAAAATTTTTGCAGTCTATCCATCTGACAAAGGTCTAATATCCAGAATCTACAAGGAACTTAAACAAATTTACAGGAAAAAACAGCCCATTAAAAAGTGTGCAAATGACATGAACAGACACTTCCCAAAAGAAGACATTTATGCAGCCAAAAAACATGAAAAAAAGCTCAGTATCATGGATCATTAGAGAAATGCAAATCAAAACCCCAGTGACATATCATCTCATGCCAGTCAGAATGGTGATTATTAAAAAGTCAAGAAACAACAGATGCTGTGAAGCTGTGGAGAAATAGGAATGCTTTTACACTCTTGGTGGGAATGTAAATTAGTTCAACCAGCATGGAAGACAGTGTGGCAATTCCTCAAAGGCCTAGAACCAGAAATACCATTTGACCCAGCAATACCATTACTGGGTATATACCCAAGGGAATATAAATCATTGTATCACAAAGATTCATGAACACATATGTTCAATGTGGCACTATTCACAATAGCAAAGACATGGAATCAACCCAATGCCCATAAATGATAGAATGGATAAAGGAAATGTGGTACATATACACCATGGAATATTATGTAGCCATAAAAAGGAATGAGATCATGTCCTTTGCAGGGACATGGATGGAGCTGGAAGCCATCATCCTCAGCAAACTAATGCAGGAACAGAAAACCAAACACTGAATGTTCTCATTTATTATAAGTGGGAGCTGAATGATGAGAATACATGGACACAGAGAGGGGAACAACACATACTGGGGCCTGTCGAGGGGGTGGGAGGTGAGGAGGGACAGCATTAGGAAAAATAGCTAATGCATGTGGGGGTTAATACCTAGGTGATGGGTTGATAGGTGCAGCAAACCACCATGGCACACATTTACCTATGCAACAAACCTGCACATCCTGCACATGGACCCCAGAACTTAAAGTAAAACTTAAAACATTGTTTCAAAAAGAAAATATTTTGCTAAGTGAAAGGAGCCAGTCATCAAAAACCACATACTATATGAATGGAAATTCATATGAAAGTCCCGAATAAGGAAATCTATAGAGACAGAAAGTAGATTCATGGTTGCTTAGTGATGGAATACAGGAACATGGGGACACAGAGAGGATAATAAGTAAAAACTATGGAATTTCTTCTTTGAAGTGAATAAAATGTTCTAAGATAGACTGTAGTGATGGTTACACGTATCTGTGAACACACTGAAAGCCATTGGATGGTGCACTTTGGGTGAATAGTGAGTATGTGAGCATAAGGAAAAATAGCTAACGTGTGCAGGGCTCAATACTCAGGTGAGAGGTTGACAGATGCAGCAAATCACCATGGCACATGTTTACCTACATAACAAACTTGCACATGCTGCATATGTACCTCAGAACTTAAAAAAAAAAATGGCTTGTGCAATGGGTCTTTCCCTCTCCTGCTGTTGGTGACCCTTCTGCCACCAGGAATATGCCTGGGCTAGATTCCTTAAGGATGAGAGAACAGGTGGAGAGAGTCCCAGGCATCTTAGTTTTCCCTGTTGTCCTAGACATGGGAGTTAGGCCATCCCAGATCATCCGGCCTTAGCAGAACCAGCACAGACCAGAAAAACAGATTCTTTGCCAATCTACAGAATCATGAAAAAGAGATGGCCCATCTCCTCCAGGAAAGCACAATTGTTATTTTAAGACATTATGTTTTGGGAAAATTTCTTAATAAAAGCTGAATTATGAAAATGATCATAAAAATGGACAATGTATATGTGAAAGATGTTCATTTTAGTATCATTTATGTTAATAAACTATAAACAACCTAAATGCCCAACAAGAAGGAATGGTTAATTAGATTAACAACTATAGATTTGAAGATCATAAAATCATGAAAAATCATGTTTTCAAAATATTTTGATGCTATTAAAAATGTTCACAATGGAAAATTAAATTTAAAAAGCAAATAATAGAAACATACGTAAAGTATGATTTTCAATTATACAAATGTGTATATGGGTTATATCACAAATGGAGATTGACCTGAAGACTTATTTTAAAAACCACTGTTTTAAAATTTGCACACAGTGTCTCACTTCTTCTCTGGGAAGACCTTCCCCAGTTTCTCTGGTGGTCTCTTTAACTTATGCAGTGTAAAGCAAGAGCAAATACGTAAATGCATTGAAGCAATCTACATGTGGAAGGTTCTGACTGGGATGTTCTGTTTAATAAATGTAAAACAGCTGCATTTTAAAACTATACCTCCAAAGATTGCTTTCTTTAGAGAATGTTTCTTCTATTATCCTGGATTTAAATGGCCATGTACCTTCAAATCATTGCTTGTCCTTAAAGAGATGTGATGTTATTCTGTGAGTTTTTTGCAAAAGGTGTAACTCCTGGATAGAAAAGCCTAATCTTCTCACGTGACATTGGAGGAGATCTGTAGATTAAGGTCTATGTTGAGTTTGATACAATAACTTAGACTTTGGAAAATGTTCTCTAAGACTAGTATAGCTAAGTCTTCCATCCTCATGGCCAGGTAGACTAGTCCCCTGCAGACCCCTGCATTGGGGTCTTCCATTCTCTGAAGGGAGTGGAAGTTCCTGCTGTCAATCTTTCTGGAAAAGGAGTTAACACTGAAATAGTAAATGAAAACTGAAGAGGGCAACTCTTGGGCTTTACTGGGGTGGAGAAATGTCCATTTCTTTTGAGGGTTGGGCTTAAAGTTGAACTTTAAGAATGGACACTTCTAGAAGCAACTGTAAGTTTCTTTCTGTGTTACATTTCTCTTCGGCCTTGCCTAAATTTCAGTAAATGATTCTAGACACACCACAGCCTGGTCTCAGCTGTGCATTGGGAAATTTTAAAAAGGCTGTCCCAAGGATTGGAGTGGAAGGCTGAAGGATGAGCAGTGTCCTGTCCCCCAAGCTGCAGTGGTGATGTCAGGAGTGTTCACCAGGGGGAGGACTAGGGGAGGAATCATCAAACTGGACAGGATACATGGGTGGCAGCAGATGCAGCCACATGGTATGCCCTGCAGGCAGGAGCCTGTTCTGAGCATTCTGGCAACTACATTTTTGGGGACTCAAGTTAGCATAATTGGACATTAAAAATGAAAGTTAAAGAAGAAAAAAACAGGTGAGCTTACTTTTTTGCCTTCGGCAAATTAGAAAAGAAAAAGCCCCAAGGCTGCCTGGATTAATAATTTAGGTGCAAATCTGTTAATATTAATGCAGGGGGAAAAAAAGACTAGAAGAAAATGCACCAACATCTTAAGTAACTTGGGTCAATTCTTAATGTCAGCTGGCTTTATTTACTTTTTTATACTTTCCACATTTTTGGAAAATTACTACAATGGTCATCAGAACAAGTGTTACTCTGTAAAGGCTTGTAAGCTGGCCGTCTCTCAGCATAGTGCACAGGTGTGTGAAGTACCCCTCCTGGTGCTGCTGTCTCATCCTCCTGCGTCAGAGATGGACCATCTCCTCCAGGAAAGCACATTCTGTATTCACCAAGATGTCATTTCTGTTTCTTATTTCTTTAATCTCTTTTCAAATACTCTCTTCCACGCTGCCACTCTTAGGTTCTATCAGGAAAACTTACATCTTAATAGAGGTCTAAGTTAAAGACCTGCAACTGTGAAGAGGCCAAAAGTGAGAAAGACAATTGGTGCTGTTTTGCCTTTCCCAGAAACAAAGAAATCATTTCACCCATTTAGGTCCCTTGCATATAATGGAAAAAAGAATCACCTTAAGTTTATATAATGCCAGCTTGCATCTGGACACACCGGTAGCTTGGCTGGCCCAGAGCACCTGCCTTTTCCTTTGGGGCACTCCTCAGAAGGAAATGACTGAGTCCCCAAATCCTCATAGAAACAAATGTGTGCATCCTTTATTTTCTCTGTTACATACCCAGAATGTGCAAACTAGTGAACTTGGGGAAGATGACACAAGAAGAGGGGGGATGTGTTCAGACAGGGGAAGTAATGTTCCTGAAGACAAACTCTGCCTACTTTGCAGCCTGACTGAGCAGAAATGTATCCAGCTCATAGCACAGATACCTCCACAACTGCTTCCCGAACAAATGGCAGCCTTTGTCAATCAACTATGGTGCTCTCTCACCAAACCCAGAACGGCCGCTTGGCCTTTCTAAACACATTACTTCAGGCAGCAGTGCTGGCCAACTGGGGTGGGCATGAGAGAGGAAAGTCTGCTATTTCTAGCCTAGGGCAGATGTGCTCCCTCAACTGCAGGGTACCTTGAAAAGAGAGTGTCTCGGAAGAGTCAAGAATGCCAGCAGGAAATGTTTGGCTTTGTGAGGACATGCAGCATCCTGAAGTCAGGCTGGCTCACGCTGAAAAGTGAATATGAGACAGCACACAGATAGGGAGGTATGAAGGTAGCCTTCATGAAGCGGTTAACAAATGCCAAACAGTTTGCATCTAATAAGCCCAGTGCATCTACATCCCAACGCTTAGAGATGGACAGTATCGGCTTCATTTTATAGATGAATGAACTGAAGCTCAGAAATTTTATGTCATTGCTCAAGGGGCATAGGGCTGAGGGGGATTTGAACCCAAGTTAGCTGGATTAGAAAACTCATGTACTTTCAATGATACTAAATAGCAGGCATCTAAAAGATAAATAGAGCATGATTGATGGGGCTCATGGATAGATCCATCTTACCCCAAATCACGTAATCTCTGAACAACTACACTGGGTCTAAGATAAGAGATCATTGTGTAGTTTGGCACTCAGAAGTGGGTTGCCTCATTCTGAGCAAAGAATCGAGTTTAATCCTTCAAATAGAAACTCTTATCTGGACTTGGTTAGATTGAGATTGTTACCAGCCACTTCAGTCTTGCCTTAATCACTGTGCAGCTCCTCTCCAGCTATTATCTATTAAGCCTCTCTCTTACTCACTGAATATTTCATACGTGAAGTAATGGAATGCTGAGCTGTGGGCTGTGTACTATCCTTTTGGTTTCCATTTAAATTTACAGCTTGCCAGTATGAAAAGAGTCCCGGGGCGCTAACTAAGGTGGTGATTATAGTGTCCATCAATTAGTTTGCGTTTCAGCACAATATTCACGGCCCCTTCCCACTCCCTCGTAACAAAGGGCTGTTTAACTCAACACATACACAAACACAAGCATTCTCCCAGGCATTTTTTACTGAGTTCCAGAATGCGTGTCTCCCAGATGTGCCTGCCACAATATGTTAGTTGTATTGGAAAAATGACCAGAAACATACTCTACGCTAATAAACTGCCAGAGTTTAGACCAGTCTTTCAATACAGGACTACTTTTTCACCACCCCACCTTAGAAATAATTATCTTGTTGCTATGTTGCATTCCACTTGACACTTAAAATTTGCAAGCTAGGGTATCTTTGATAGTTTTCCAAGTAATAACACTTTTACAGAATCCTCATTTCTAAATATAGAAACATTTTGTTTGCTTTGAAGATGATTATGCATGATAAGGAACAAGAAGCTGACAGTGGAGCCGACATAGGATTGCCTGGTACAATACAGGACAACCATTAAATTTGAATTTTAGATAAACAATGATTTATTCTGCGTGTATGTCCCATGTAATATTGGGACATACATTTAAAAATTATTCATTGTTCATCTGAAATTTGAATTTGCTGGATGTCTTGTATTTTTATTTTCTTTCTTTTCTTTCTTTTTTTTTTTTAGACAGAGTCTCACTCTGTCACCCAGGTTGGAATACAGTGGTGGGATCTTGGCTCACTGCAACCTCTGCGCCTCCTGGGTTCAACCTATTCTCCTGCCTCAGCCTCCCAAGTAGCTGGGACTACAGATGGGCACCTGCCACCACACATAACTAATTTTTGTATTTTTAGTAGAAACGGGGTTTCACCATGTTGGCTAGGCTGGTCTCGAAATCCTGACCTCAGGTGATCCACCTGCCTTGGCCTCCCCAAGTTCTGGGATTACAGGTGTGAGCCACCATGCCTGGCTGTATTTTTATTTTCTAAGTCTGGCAACTGCATGCAGACAGAGGAAAAGGAAGGGGGAATCTACAGGTTATAAATACTTGAAAGCTGATGTAATCATGCAGTCTATTAGAACAAATAAGCTCCCTACTCAGCAACTTCCATGGCCTTTAAAATATATTCATTCACTTCCTCCAAATATCTGTTCTTATTCTACTTGAAAATGATGACAATGCATAAACTAGTTGCTGAGTATCTTCTGGGAAGACTCTTTCATGAGATTCTAGGAATCCACAGTCTTACAGCCATCAGTCTGCCAGAAGACCTAACATAGAAATAAAACTCCTTGGTAATATAAAAGTTAAGGAAAATATTCTTCCAAATTGAAAATGAAGATTCATACTGCCTATGCAGCTCTAGCAAGTTTTCCAAGTTGATCTTCATTTTTTTCATAAAACCTGGTAGGAAACTATAAGTCCTAACTAATGTGTCCTCGTAACTTCTAAAGACAAGCAACTTATTTAAATAATAAACACGTTTATCAAAGGCTACCAAATATACAGTCTTGTGTTCAGAATTAAGGTAATAAGATGAAAAAAATAGTTTGGATGTAAAAACTTATGATAGAGAGATACAAAAATAGCTACTATAGAAAGCCCCAAATGCTTGCATTTTCTGAAAATCATGAATGAAGTACTAAGTGAGCTGCCAGCTAGAGGAAGGAATGAGCCAAACCTTTACCAGGTTCAAATCTGAGCCTAACCTTGAAGAGTATGATTTTAATATACAGGCAGCAAGCAGAGTTATGGACACAATATTTTAATTAATAATTAGATAACTGATATTAATGAATAATTTTGAGCTTATGAACAGTAGTGTGGTGACTGAAGCAGAAGGTACAAAGCACAGAGCTTGATAGCTGAGGAGGTTGGAAGAGTGGCTTACAGCCACATGATGGAGAGATTTTAATGCTAAGATTATGTACTGTGGCGATAAAAAACTATCAAAGATTTTCCAGGACAAGAATAGTCATGAGGTCTGTTGGTTTTTAGAAAGATAACCATAGAAAATAATGCAGAAGCTAGCCTACAGAGTTTAGAGGTCAGGACACTAGCTTAGGAGTATACTCATTGTTCAAGAGGCATGTTTATATCAAAGACAGAGCCACAGGAAAGACAGCCAGCAAAGAACACTGACAATGACTGGTCATGCAAAAACAGTAAGAAAAACCTGGAGGAACAGAAGGTGATGAAAGAGAAAATTCTACCAAGAAATTAGAGCTTTCAAGCAGGCAACTCTCAAGAAGAGGCGGTTGGATTTAGCAATAAAGCATCCCCCACAGAATGTTCAGAGAGCAATTTCAGACCAGCGATAAGGGCAAGGGCTTGGTTAACTTGGTTAAAGAGTGAATAGGAGCATTTCTGCTTCCAACATTATAACTGATAAAACACAACAAACATCCTTTTTAAATGCCTATCTCACTAGCAAAGAAGGGGAAAATCCTAGTAGCCAAAAGAGCCAAACAACAAAACAAACAAATTAATAAAGAAGCAGAAAACCAGGGAGGAAAGCAAATGCTGGGTCAGTAACTTCTAATGGAATTGTCCCATTCCAAGGGCCTAGAACCACTCTGGGAACAGGACACGAAGCCTCCACAAGGTGCAGAATGGAACTTAGATGCCCATAAAAACCCAAGGCCTTTGAAAGACTAGATGCTCCATGAAATAGTAGGTTAGAAAAAAAATTTCATCTGCAAAGGAAGACAGTATGAAAATTTACCTGTATCAGCTTCACCTCTGGTTAGGAAAACAAAGCTTCTCCATCCCCCAGCATGAATAGCCAGAGAAGATCCACAACAAATATTTTATGGGATTTTTAAAAATATTTAAAGTATACTTAATAAATATATTTAATACTTAAAGTATACTTAATAAATATATGTATACTTTTGTTGTTTATCTGAAAATCAAATTTAACTCTGTATTTTTATTTTCTAAATCTATCAAACCTACTTTCCCGCACTTCTCCTACCACCAATAATTTTAAAATACAGATCTATTCTATGTGAGTCTGGGGCTCACATTTACACAAACATTAGGGTTTGGAAAGCCAGAGCCAAAATACTAATTGTTGCCCTAATTTGGTAGCACCTCAGGGTGCATGGCAGGAGCAAATGCAAAGGAACAAACACCAACCAAACTCTCAGCAGTCAAATACACTTTCTCAACTTAAATTATGCCTAAGGAAACAGGCCACCAAGAAAAAGAGTTTGTAGAAATAAAAATCACAAGAGTAGACTCTCCAGAACTTCATATATTGGTATTTTCCAAAAAAAAAAAAAAAAAAAAAAAACCCAAGAAAATATAAAGAAGCAATCTTGAAAAAGAAACAAATTGGACTAATGGAAATTAAAATATAATCATTGAAATATAATGAAAATGGAGTTATCAAAGTTAAAAATTTAGTGGATGTTTTAAAAAGCAAATTGGACAGACTATGAAAGAGAGAATTAATAAACTGGAAGAAAACTTTTTAAAAGTTCATAAAATGTAGCAAATAGAACCAATGACATGAAAATATTGTTAAAAGTTTTAACAGAACAGGAAAATAAAAGAAAATTTAACATACATGCGATTAGAGTTCTAGAAGGCACAATATTTGAAAATATATTGACCAAAAAATGTCCTTGATGAAAACCATAAATTTTTAGATTCAGGAAATAGAAAAATGTCCCCTCTCTGAATTTTTCTCATCCTCACCTAAACATATCATAGCAACATTACAGGTCACCAAAGACAAATGTATAACCTTAAAATCAGCCAAAAGGAAAGCACCTTCAAAAATATATAGGTTAGAATGATACCTGCAAAGAAATTAAGATTCCGATGATAGCAGATCTCTCAAAAGCCATGAGAAAATAAACATAACTTACAATTTCATACCTAGCTGAATCCTCACTCAAGAATGAAGTCAAGGAGGTATATTTTCTGACAAAAATTTTAGAGTTTATTATGAATAGATTTTCACTGGAAGAATAACAATAGAAAGTCTGAAAAAATTGGTAAGCAAAGAAACTTTTAAATAGACAGGTAGATCTAATCAAGCATTTGCAGCACAAAGCAATATGACAGTGCTAAACTAGGGAAATACAAAAATGAGATAGAACTAAGATATTGTGCAACAATAAAGAGATTATAAGATATTTTTCACCAGGGAAGAGATAGTCATTAAATTAAGCACGCATATAAAAATGTAAAGGTAGTAAGATAATAGAGTCTTGTTTAAAAAAATAGGGGAAAGGGAATTAAAACAAAACACATAGTAATGAAGAATACATAAACTCTTAAAAACTAGGCTTAACACTTATAGATGGCACTACGTCCAAATGTTAAACTTCTCTCAATCAAAAGACTCCGAAAAAGTTTCCTTGGCTGGGGGCAGTGGCTCACGCCTATAATCCCAGCGCTTTAGGAGGCTGAGGTGGGCGGATCATGAGGTCAGGAGTTCGAGACCAGCTTGGCCAACATGGTGAGGCCCCATCTCTACTAAAAAATACAAAAATTAGCCAAGAGTGGTGGCAGGCACCTGTAACCCCAGCTACTCAGGAGGCTGAGGCAGGAGAATTGCTTGAACCCAGGGGCAGAAGTTGCACTGAGCTGAGATTTCACCACTGCGCTCCAGCCTGGGTGACAGAGTGAGACTCTATCTCAAAAAAAAAAAAAAAAGACTTATCTTTTAAAGTGTAACAAACAAGCACAGCAGTAACAATGTGGGAGAAGTACTTGCAATGTGTAATTGTTGCAAGAATGTAAGAGGTCTGCAAATTAGAATGAAAAAGATAATTAAACAGAAAAAATAAGATTAAAAGGAAGGAAAAAGCAATTCATAAAATAGGAAACATTAATGACCAACAGATATAAGACACAGCATGATCAATCTCAATCATAATGAAAACACTCTGTAAGGTACCATCTTATACCATCTACTAGGTTGGCAAAAATTAATAAATTCAGAGAATATCAATTGTTGGAAAGGATGTAGAGCAATGGGAAGTCCCACGTATTACTGGTGGGAGTATAAACTGATTCAGTAATTTGAGGAACAAATGGCAACCCCAATAAATTTGATAAGGCTTAATATCTACAATCCAGCAACTCTATTTCTAGGTATAGGCCCTTAAAAACTCTTGTTCACGTAGACAAGAAGACATGACGATAGCAACATTATCTGAAACAAGAAAAAAGTAGCTTATAATGATCATCAGTACGGATCTCTAAATTGCCTACTATGACACTATCTGGATTAGGGGTATTGTCCCAGCAGAAGAGGCTGCACTTTTCATAGTTTTCCAAACTTCCAGGTTTTAGGCAGCTTATGATTTTATTAACTGCAAACAGCTCACACTTTTACCTTCAGACTGTTTGATACCAAAGCAGTCTGACTGTCCCCAAATTCTACCAGGCTCTTCTGTTTGGTTCATAAAAGGAGAGAGAAACAGGAGGGGAACATCTTCCTGATGAAACCCTTTTGTAGGAGACCAGCCCATCAGTGCATCTCAAAGCCCTTGAGCTCAAATGTACCTCTGGAAAGGCTGTGCAGACCATCCAGGTATATACACTTTCCTAACAATGAGTCACTGCTTGCACCAAACTAATGCTAATATCTGCCCTGAACCCCTTGACAAGAAAGTTGTAAACAAACTAAATGACCATCAATAGGAGAGTGTAAAAATAAATGCGGAATGTCATAAGATATGACACAATTATCATGGACGAATCCCACCAACACAATTAGGAATGAAAATACTGAGATACCAAGTTACAGAAGAATACATACTATATAATATTGCTTGTATAAGGTTTAAAAATATAGAAAACAATGTGACATAATGATTAGCCATGCATATATATTTAGTCCCACTATAAATAATGTAAGGACATGATAATGATCAAATCCAAATTTAAGGTAGTGATTGTACCATTGGATATTTGAAGAAGTGAGATGTGACTGGGGATGGATACACAGGAACATCAATTTTACTAGTAATGTTTTATGTATTAAGCTAAATGGTGGTGCATGGGCCTTTACTATATTATTCTATACACTTTTTGTCCTAGTAAGTGTTTTAAATGAATGGATATGAAAAAGCAGAGTCAGCACAAGTCAATCTTGTTAAACAGGAAATTCACATGAGTAGGGAAGGTTTCTCTTAGGTTAGAGAGGTATAGGACCCTTTGAAGGTTACCCAAGTGGGATTCAAAAGAAGGGAGACAATCTCCACAGTGATCTGGAGTCATTCTAGAGGACTGAGATGCCTAAATAAAATGACATCTGGACTAGGGAGGTGAACTATAACAGTCTCCTTTTAAATAACGAAGCAAACTTCTGTACAACAAATAATGTATTCACTTTGCTCATTTTCTAATAAACTAAACAACCCCTATACACAGTATCACTTCACTTACAAATAAAACACTTTCTAGACTACCCAGGCAAAAACGTCAAAATGTAGGGTAAAGTCATATTGATATTCATTGTGTACACTTCTGGTTTCATTCATCAGATCTTTTGATAAATATTTGCCCTGTGAATGAATGAATAAATAGAATAAATGAAAATCTCTTAAAGAATTACTGTGCTTAAATGGCTCAAATTCACCTTTATTGAAACCAAAGCACAGCTTCCAACAAATATGAACAACTGCTGTAAGTCAAGCACTGTATTAGGCACTAGGGATGTGAAGACAGATTGTTTCCTAAGAATCCATGACATACTTTTATCATAACACTTTTTACCCCATATGCAAATAACTCTCCCCTTTTCCTGTGCCTTTTCAAAAACAAGAATTGTACTCAATTTCTCTCTTTATCCCCATTCAGCAAATATGCACAGCTATAGGTAGATAAAGTGACAATTAAACTGTAAAGTCAAATAGAAGCTCTTTGGAGGTTCTCTGGCATTCGGGAATCTTCCATAATTATGTGCATCTCTGTTCATATGGACGTCAGAAATTTGTTTTTAGCTGTAAGAGCAGCAAAGGTTAGCAATAAGACATTTCTCTGCTTTCTCATAGTAAAATGGTTCAGTTGTTTTCTTTACTTCCACTGTCTTATGGAAGTTCTCTATTCTTCCTTCAGGCAATAAGAAGATTCTTTATGAGAGAAAACAAACAGTTCCAATTTTATCTTAAGAGATATATTCCTTTTACCTTTCTCCACCATCTAATGGCTTCTTCCTCTGCAGCATCTGGTTCTGTATATTCTGGCCACCAAAAGCGAAGTTCCTAAATGTTGGACTGAAATCCTAGCTCACTGTAGGAAGCCAGCTAAGAGCTGAAAAGATTTTGGAAATAGGATTTCTGGAGCAGCCCAGAGTCAGGCACCAACTATCCTGTCCATAGTCATGTCCTGTTCCTGCCTGGCTGTGTCTGGCACCACAGAGTGGGAGCTGATGAAGGCAAGCACGTGGACACAGCTTCCTGCCAGGGCAGGAGCCACCCTCAGGCCATGGCCCAGAGAGATTGTTCTGGGAGGCTGTGGTTCATCCAGTTTAACCAGTTCAACTTAAGGGAACCCCTGTGCCTCAGCATGTAGGAACTAGAGGGAGTGGCAAGACTTCATGTCAGAGCTCTGCTTAGCAGAGCCACCTTGAGTTCAAACTCTTCCATGGCAGGCTCACAACTGGCTCTGTTGTGTAACTGGAACATCTATTATCCTATTATAGCAAAGTGCCTCTCTCCATTGAATGATCAATATATCTACCCTGGTGTCTTAGTTTATTTCATGTTCCTATAGAAGGATACCTTAGGCTGGGTAGTTTATTGAGAAAAGAGGTTTATTTGGCTCATGATTTTAGTGGCTGGATAGTACAAGATTGGGCAGCTGTGTCTAGTGAGGGCCTCTTGCT
The DNA here is from genome assembly GCF_000001405.40 of Homo sapiens. NCBI lineage: Eukaryota > Metazoa > Chordata > Mammalia > Primates > Hominidae > Homo > Homo sapiens. The sequence continues at coordinate 133,642,055 of NC_000002.12, forward strand.
GCTTCAATTCATGGCAGAAAAGGGAAAGGAAATAGCTGTGTGCAAAGAGATCACGTGGCAAGAGAGGACGCAAGAGAGAGAAACTGAGAAAGCCAGATTCTTTTAAACAACTTTCTCTTGAGCGAATGAATCTATTCCCACAAGAGCTGAAACTCACCCCCTGCAGGATGGCATTAATCTACTCATACAGGATCACCTCCATGACACAAACACCCCCCAGTAGGCACCACCTCCCAATACTGCACACTGGAGATCAAATTTCAACCTGAGTTTTTGCAGAGACAAGTAACATCCAAACCATAGCACCTGGTTTAACCTTTATTAGTAGATCAGCCCAAGTCATATTTTTACCATTTTAGCCAGATGAACATATAGAAAGCCTTGTCTTCAGAATTTGGCAGTCTCTACCTGTTTTTCTGCTGTAACAATTCACAGAAGAGTATGAATCAGTCAGCCAGATGGGAGGGGAAGGAAAATGTGGTTGATACACCCTAAAAAACTGGGGCTAGGGAGTTGAAATATTTATAACTAAAGGATGGTCTTCATAGAGTGAGACGAACATGTTTTGCAAGCAGGCTGAACGGTAAACATTCAAAACCAACATGCTCATAGCATTTCACACTGTCCCCTTGTAATATTGACAGGAAACACTACCTTCAGTGCAACCTCTATAAAGTTGAGATAATGTAGTGAGAAATCCAACTGCAGATGAACTAGATTCCTGGCTTCCAATAGCAGTTGGTTCAATCATTTATAGCAGTAAATAAATGTTATGAAAGTTCATGTAAAAACCATTATCTAAAGAGCTAAATATGAAAGGCTTGCATTATGGCTAGGCATGCATTTCTGGCAGAGGAAATAGAAGTTTGCTCACAATATCTTTTTTTAGATTACTTTGAGGAAGAATGCCATCATTGCAATAGTGCAGACCATAGCAAGTTTCATCTTTCTTTTTTTTTTTCTTTATGGAATGAGAAATGACATCAGTTTACATGTCATCTGAGAAGAAAGGAATTTATTTTGTTGAAAGGCATCCAAATCACTCTGTCTTTGGAAGCCTTTGTTACTGAAACAAACTTTATCATTGTTAATTGTCTGGCCATTAATGGGCCAGTTTGTTCATCAACAAGTCTGCACATTTATACATATTTTATTGACCTAGTAATTTTACCAATGTTATACAGCCATGAAAATCTGAAAGAAATATCAACATGTAAGTCTTCCTTACTCTAAACTCAGTAGGAAAGTGCCATGAAGAAAGGGAAAACTTTTAAGCTACATTTATATTGAATATCTGAAATTATCACAGCCCACCCCACAACTCTTCTCTGACTAGCAAACTTTCTCTTCCTCCTGTTTCCTATTGTAATAAGCTAATTTCAGCCACTTCTCCAAGCCAGGATTCCAAGAATCATCTGTGATTTCCCTCCTTCTAGCCCCTTCATCTGTTTGACATCCAGGCTATATCTTCTAATGCCTTAATTGTTCTCAAATATACCCCCATTGCCAATGCCCAGGTTCAGCTCTTTGTCATATTTAATCTAAATTAGTCTGACCAATCTCCCTACCTCCAATCATCCTATCTACAATCCATTTTCCATTTAACTCCACTATCACATTCAAAATCATTTTCAAGTTCCCTCAGCAAAGTGCCTTCATGTGGTACCCAAAACCCTCCTGACCTGAACCAGTCTTTCTACCTCCATCCTTTTCACTCATTTCTCCTGCTCACATTCTATATGCCCACCACAGTGAGACAGGTGCAATTCTTGAAAGTGCCATGTACTCTCTCATCTCTAAGCATTTATACCTTTGGCTTCCTCTACCTAGAAAACACTTCTTCCCAATTCCCCCGCCCTGCCTGAAACCTTTACCTCTTCAACTCCAACTTGTCTCTTAGGACTCAACTCCGGCATTAGTTCCACATGAAAGCCTTTTCTGACATGCCCCTGTCACTACATTTTGGCTAAGTGCCCTCTGTATGCTCTGTGAGTACTGTGATGGTTAATTTTATATATCATGTTGACAGGGCCATGAGGCACCCAGATAGTTAGTTATGCATTATTCTGGGTATGTCTGTGAGGATGTTCCTGGAAGAGATTAACATTTGAATTGGCAGGTTAGGTAAAGCAGATTGCCCTCATTAACAAGTGTGCCTCATCCAATCTATTGGAGGTCTGAATAGAACAAAAAGTTACATTAGGAGAAAAGCCTGAGTGTCTCTCAGCTGGGACATCAGTCTTCCCCTGCCTTCAGGCTCAGAGTGGAACTATACCATCAGTTCTTCAAGTTCTCCAACTTACTGACTCAAGATCTTGGGACTTAGCTACCATAATCATTTCCAATTCCATGAAACCTCTGAAATGATTTCATGAAATCATTTGCCTGCCATCTCATCCACATGCCACACACATGCCCATCTCCAAACCTTTGTCCAGACAGTTCACCCACGTTGGAATGGGTTCCTTCTTCCTCTGTAAATACTTCAGAACATTTCAGCTCTAGACAATATTTCTGGCTTCTGAATTTATGGCACTTTTTGCATATATTTCTCATATTACATTTATTTATAAACAGTGCCAGGTAATATCCTTTATATTTTAATTTTTGGGTTATTTAAGTTTTTATGGATGCACATCTAGTCCCCTTGCCAATTACACTACAAGCTCCTTGAAAACACAGACAAGGTACTATTTACAATTTTTTTTCTCCTCCAAACTTGCATAGTTCAGCACAGTATACATAACAGATAATCAATACATGTTATATCGTTTAACATTTGTTATATGACTAGGACAAGACTAATAACTAAAGAACACTGCACAATGTAACAAATATGTTTCACTTTCAAAAGAATAAATTATTTCAAATGAGATCACAAAAAAAATGAGAAATCTATGACCATGAACATAATTTACTGTAGGCTAGCACATAAATATAAAAGCTTGAGGAGTGGCAGCTGCAAAGGGAACTCCAATTATCCTGCCAGCAGTATGAATGCACTCAGCTGTAGGACAAGGCAGATGTCAATCAAAAGTGGAATTAAAACAAGATGTACACTTTCCAAGCCAATTTGTATGTATATTTAATCAAAGAACTCACAGTTCATATGGTAACAGTAAAAGCAAAAGAAAATTAAAGGAAAGCTAAAAAGAATACAAAATGCTAAATGTCAGAAATAAATCAACATGTCATTAACAAAATAATTGTAAATAAGTTAAACTCCTCTGGCAACCATCTCACATTGGATTATAAACAAAATTCAATTATATGGCTTATAAAAGGGATATACATTTTTAAAAAGTGACTCCCAAAGACCTGTTCATTCCACAAACATTTTGTAGCATACCTACTATATACCAACACCATGCTAAGTGATACAAAATTTAAATATTAAAATATAGATGTACAGTTGTACAAGGCATATACAAACAAAAAGGATGCAAGAGTCACAATATCAATATTAATGAAGCAGTACTACAATCAAGAAGCATTATCTAAAACAAAAAATCATTTCATTTATTTGTGTTTTCTTAATGAAGTATGCAAGTCACCAGAATCCTCACTGAAAGTGATAAATACGCCTATCTTATAGAGTTGTTGTAAGTATTAAATAATAAAATTCATCAAAAATACCTACATGAAGACCTGACACGTGGCACCTGCTCAAAAACTGTTGGTTGCTTTTAATATTTGCATTAGTAGTAATAAGAGTTACAAGCTATAATAATCACGGATATTATGCTTTAGATAACATAGCATAAAAGTATATAAAATAAAATATTAGAAATGCAAGGATAAATTTACAGAATCATAATAAGAAAAGAATGAATACATTTTACCATATCTCTTTTGGTTCTTAAGGCATCAAATGGAAAAAAGGAAGAAAGAGAGAGAGAGGGAAGGAGGGAGGGAGGAAGGAAAGAAGGACAGAATGGATGTAGGGAGGGAAAAAGAAATTATATCTAAATAATAATGATTGATTATATATGTTGCTCTATGTGTGTCTATGTATGTGTGTGTGTCTATGTGTATGTGTATAGGTATATAGGCATCTATAAATAATATGTAAACAAATCTTTTTATTCAAAAAGATAGAAATACAAAGAAATAGAAAAGGTACAGACAGATTAATGGATTAAAGCACAAAGAAATAATTTTGAAAACAGATAATGTAAACAATTTAAAAATAAAACCACTATCTTATTCCCACAGACCAATAAAAATAAACCCATGATAAGATCAAATTGTCAAAAGTTAAAGACAGAATTTTGAAGGTAGCAAGAAAATAGTGACTTGTCACATACAAGGGAAACTTTTATGAGACTATCAGAAGATTTTTCTACAAAAACTTTGCAAGTAAGAAGGAAATGGGGTGGTATATTCAAAGTACTGAAAGAAAAAAAACACCAGCCAACCAATAATAATATATCCAGCAAAACTTTCCTTCAAAAATAAAGGAGAGATAAAGATTTTCCCCAATAAACAAAAGCTGAGGGAGTTTGTTTTCATTAGACCTGATTTACAAGAAATGCTAAAGCGAGCTTTTCAGGTTAAAACAAAAAAACCCTAAGCAGCAACATGATAGCATAAGAAAGTATGGAACTCATGAGTAAAGGTAAGTAAATAGGAAAGTACAGAAAATTATATTACTTTAATGGTGGTGGGTAAATCACTTTTAATTCTAGCATGAAAGGCAATAGCTAAAATAATGATAGCCAAAAATATGATAAAAGATACATAATTGGAATAGTTATACATTGTGACAACCATAATATAACGTATGTAGGGAGGGAGAAGTCAAAGTACAGACTTTTTGTATGCAATTAAACTTTGTTATTATCACCTTAAAGTAGGCTTTTATAACTATAATATATTTTATGTTAGTCCCAAGGTAACCGCAAAAAAATACCTATGGAAGTTATAAAAAGGGAAAAGATAAAGGAATCAAAATATATCAGTACAAAAAAAATTGTAACAAAACACAAAAGAAGATAGCAAGAGAAGAAAAAAACAGATAAAAGAACTACAAGACTAACAGAGGAGGCCAAGGCAAGAGGATTGCTAAGGCCAGAAGCTCATGACTAGCCTGTGCAACATAGCAAGACCCCTCTTCTACAAAAAGTTTTAAATTCAGCTGGGCATGGTTGTGCATATCTGCAGTCCCAGCTACTTAAGAGGCTGAGGTGGGAGGATTGCTTGAGCCCAGGAATTAGATGCTGCAATGAGCTTTGGTCATGCCACTGCACTCCAGCCTGAGCAACAGAGCAAGACCGAAAAAAGAAAGGAAAGAAAGGAAAGAAAGGAAGGAAGGAAGAAAGAAAGGAAGGAAGGAAGGAAGGAAGGAAGGAAGGAAGGAAGGAAGAGAAAGAAAGGAAGAAAGAAAGAAAGAAAGAACGAAAGAAAGAAAGGGCAAGGGAAGGAAAGGAAAGGAAAGGAAAGGAAAGGAAAGGAAAGGAAAGGAAAGGAAAGGAAAGGAAAGGAGGGAGGGAGGGAGGAAGGGAGGGAAGAAGGAAGAAAGGGAGACAGATATAGAGAGGGAGAGAGAGAGAGAGGAGAGACAGAAAGATAGAAGGAAGGAAGGAAGAAAGGGAGAGAGAGAGGGAGAGAGAGAGGAAAGAAAGGAAGGAAGGAAGGAAGAAAGAAGGAAAGAAAAAGAAAGGAAGGAAGGAAGGAAGGAAGGAAGGAAGGAAGGAAAGAAAAGAAAAGAAAAAAGAAAAGAAAAAAAAGAAAAGAAAAAAGGGAGAGAACGGGAGGAGACGGGAAGGGCAGGGCAGGGCAGGGCAGGGCTAACAGAAAACAACTTACAAATGGCAATAGCAAATTTTTCCCTAACGATGATTACGTTAAATGCAAATGGATTAGACACCCCAATCAAAAGATATATAGTGTATGAAAAGACTTCAAAATAAGATCCAACTAAATGCTGTCTATAAGAAATTGATTTAAATTTAAGGTCACACATAGGCTGAAAGTCAAATGATGGAAAAAGTTATTCCATGCAAATGGTAACCAAAAGACAACAAAGGTGACTATATTTATATAAGTCAAAATGGACTTTAACTCCAAAACTGTCATAAAAAGCAAGGACATTTCATAATAAAAGGGCTAATCCACCAGGAATAGATAACAATCATGTTATCTATTATTATGATTGTTATCTATTAGATTATCTCTCTATCTCACATCAGATTAGCTAGATATATTAAAAAAAAACTGGCAAAACTGAAGGGAGAAATAGCAACACAATAATAGTAAGAAACTTCGACACCGCATTTTCAATAATCAACAAAACTTCCATATAAAAGATCCGTAAGGAATCAGAGGACTTAAATAATGCTATAAATCAAATGTATCTAACAGACATATACCAAATATTCCAAACAAAAGCAAAATACACACTTTTCTCAAGTGCATATGGATATTTCTCCAATATAAATGACATGTTCCCTCATAAAGCATTTCTTCACTAATTTATATAGACTGAAGTCATACCAAATATCTTTTCTGACCAAAACTGAATAAAACTACAAATCAACAGAAGAAAAAATTAAAAATTCATAATATGTAGAAATTAAACAACACACTCTTTAACAACTATTCAAAAAGAAATTAAAACAAAAATTAGAAAATACCTCAAGACAAATGAAAACACACACACAACATGCCAAAACTTATGTTGTGCAGCAAAAGCAATACTAAAAGGGAAGCTAATAATGCAATAAACGTTTATAATGTATTTAAAAAGAAGAAAAATCTCAAATAATCATCTAACTTTTTAAACCTAAGGGAATTAAAAAAAAAAAAGTCCAACTTTAGCAGAAGGAAGGAAGTAACAAAGATGAGAGCAAAAATAAACAAATAAATAATAGAAAATCAGTAAAAAAATCAACAAAACTAACAGTTATGTTTTGAAAAGATCAACAAAATTGACAAACCCTTAGATACACTAAGAAAAAGAGAAAGACTCAAATACATAAAATCAAAAATGAAAGAAGAGACATTGCAACTGATGCCACAGAAATAAAAAGGCTCATAAAGACGACTATGAACAACTATATGCCAACAAACTGGATAACTTAGAAAACATTAATAAATTCCTAGAAACATATAACCTATCAAGACGAAATTATGAAGAAATAGAAAGTCTAAACAGACCTATATCTAGTATGGAGAGTGAATCAGTAATCACAATCTCCTAACAAAGAAAAGTTCAGGACCAGATGACTGAACTGATGAATACTACCAAACTTTAAAGTATTAATTCCAAACTTTCTCAAACTCTTTCAAAAAACTGAAGAGGAAAGAATACTTCCAAACTGATTTTTATGAGGCCAGCATTACCCTGATACCAAAGCCAGAGAAAGACAACACAAAAAAAGAAAATTGCAGGCCACTATCCTTAATAAATATAAATGCAAAAGTCCTGAACAAAATACCAGCAAACCAAATCCAACAGCACATTAAAAAGATCATAGGCCATAACCAAGCGGGATTTATTTCTGGGATAAAAGGATGGTTGGTTCCACATACGAAAATCAATTAATGTGCTACACCACATTAACAGAATAAAGGATTAAAATCATATAATTATTTCAATAGATATAGAAAAAGCATTTGGCAAAATTCAACACCTCTTAATGATAAAACCTCTCAATGACTGGAAATAGAGGGAAATCACCTCAACATAATAAAGAACATGTGTGAAAAGCCCATGACCAACATCATAGTCACTGGTAAGCAGGAGCAAGACAAAATTTCCCATTCTCACTGCTTCTATTTAACTTAGTACTAGCCAGAGTAATTAAGCAAGAAAAAGAAACAAAAGGCATCTAAATTAGAAAGGAAGAAGTAAAATGGTCTCTTTTTGCAGATGACATGATCTTATATATTGGAAAGCCTAAAGACTCCACCAAAAAAAATAAATAAATAAAACTGTTAAAACTAATAAATGAATTTAGTAAAGTTATAAGATATAAAATCGATGTAAAAATAAATTGTGTTTCAATACACTAACAGCAAACTGTGTGAAAAGGAAATTAGAAAAGCAATCTCATTTACAATAGCACCGAAAAGAATAAAATACCTAGGAATAGACCTAAGGAGGTGAAAGAATTTTGTACATAAAATTACAAAATATCAATGAAAGAAATTGAATAGGATACAAACAAATGAAAAGATATCCTATGTTTATGGATTGGAAGACTTAATATTGTTTAAATGTTTATGGTACTCAAAGTGATCTACAGATTCAATCTAATAACTAAAAAAAAGTCAAATGGTACTTTTTACAAAAATAGAAAATACAATCAAAATACTCATAGAGAATATCAAAAGACCATGAATAGCCAAGTCAATATTGAGAAAGAACTAAGCTATAAGTATTACACTTCCAGATTTTAAAATATATTACAAAGCTATGATAACCAAAACAACATGATGCTGACATAAAGACAAACATATAGATCAATAGAACAGAACAGCCAGAAATAAATCCACACATATGGGGTCAACTGTTGTTTAATAAAGGTTCCAGGAGGCTGAGTGTGGTGGCTCATGCCTGTAATCCCAACACTTTGGGAGGCCGAGGCAGGTGGATTGCCTAAGGTCAGGAGTTTGAGACGAGTCTGGCCAACATGGCAAAACCCCATCTCTGGAGCGAGAAAAAAAAAAGAAAAATAGCCACACGTGGTGGTGGGCGCCTGTAATCCCAGCTACTCAGGAGGCTGAGGCAGGAGAATCACTCGAACCCAGGAAATGGAGACTGCAGTGCGCTGAGATTGCACCACTGCACTCCAGCCTGGGTGAGAGAGCAAGACTCTGTCTTAAATAAACAAACAAACAAAAAAAAGGTACCAGGAATACACAATCTAGAAAGACCATCTCCTCAACAAAAGGTGTTGGGAAAACTGGATATTCACAGGCAAAAGAATGAAATTGAATCCTTATTTTACCCTACACACAAACATCAACTTAAAATGGATTGAAGACTGAAACGTAAGACCTGAAACTGTAAAACTCCTAGATGAAAACATAGAGGAAATATGGCATTGGTCCTGACAATGATTTCATATGATACCAAAAATACAGGCAACAATAATAAAAATAGACAAGTTGGACTTCTGCATAACAAAACAATCAACAGAGTGAAAGGTAACCTGTATAATGTAAGAAAATATTTGCAAATCACATATTGGAAAAGGGGTTAATCTCCAAGATATGTGAGGGACTCCTGCTATTCAAGAGTAAAACAAACTAAAACTAATAACCTGACTAAAATATGGGCTAAGGACTTGGATAGACATTTCTCCAAAGAAGACATACACATGGCCATGAGGTATATGAAAAAGTGTTCAACATCACTAATCATCAGAGGAATTCAAATCAAAACCACAATGAGATATCACCTCATACTTTTCAGGATGGCTATTATTTTAAAAAATCAGCAAAAAGAAATCAAAAAATGTTAGTGAGGCTGTGGAGAAATAGAACCTTTGCACACTGTTGGTGAAAATGTGACATAATAAAGCCAATATAGAAAACAGTATGGAAGTTCCTCAAAAATCAAAAAATAGAACTACCATATGACCCAGCAATCCCACTTTTCTGTATTTATCCAAAAGAAATCAGGATCTCAAAGAGATATTAGCAGTCTCATGTGTATTACAGTACTATTAGGCAAGATGTAGAAGCAACTTATATATCCAATGACAGATGTATGAATAAAGAAAACATGTATACGCATTCAATGGAATATCATTCAGCCTGAATAAAAGGGAATCCTGCAATATGTGACAACATAGATGAACCTTGAGGACATTATCCTTTCAATGGTTGGGGTTTCTGTGAATTTACATGCTCTTCAAAATAACTGTGCACCTCCCTCCCCGTCTTAGGAGTTCATGGCCCACAGGCAGGAGCAACTACTGGAGACATTTTCAGAAATCAGGAGAATGAGAAATCTGAGTGGGAGAGCATGGCCTGAAGGAAATAGTCTCTTGATCTGACAAGTCCACAAGACTACTCAGGAATGGCTTAGTGACTCACCTTTTCACAAAAGTTGTGGAAGGCACCTGATAAGTATACAAAGTTTGGTTCTTATAGTCACATACTAAAATACAAAGATGGAGATTCACTCATGTAATTCCTAATCAGGAAAGACAGAATCGGGAATATCAAGTTCTCAAAATTTAATAGGGAAAAAATATGTATTACTTATTAAATATAGCAAGTGATAGTCCCAAGGCAACGGAAGAGGGTGTAGTGTGTTGAGTTAGATAGTTATTAATTCCTTAAGAAAGAACACAGAGTTCTCATAAACAATTTCCCACTGCCTCCAAATGTAGTCACGTACATAAATGCAGGAAGACTTACAAATAAAACAGTGGACAATGACAATTAAATGGAAAGCAGCAACGTATTGACGGAGAATTCATCCATTAAAAGCTTTTCCACTCAAAATGGGTTTCAGCCAGAAATGGTTTCTTCATTCCTCCCTGTAGTATGCATTCTTGGTAGCTACTTTCAGAACACTGCCAACATCATTACACATTTGCTTTATATAGCTGTCAAGCTGTTCTGCAGTTTCTCTCTGGCCAAAGAACTTTACAAAAACTACTGGGGGAATAAGAAGCACAGACAGGTCGTCTCTCAGCCTTGGAATCCATTGCCTGTCTAAATCTCTGTTGCTTCCAGTACAGTTGGAATAGGTAGCAACCTCAGCCAATTATTATTTTATCACTGAGTTTAGTTGACTGCATGAAGATGAACTGATGATCTACACTCAATTCTCTCTGTGTCATTTGTCAGCACTCACACTGACTTTGTTCTATCCCGGTAGATCGATTGACAAGTCCACCTCAAATTTTACCTTACCTTTCTGAACCTCAGTCTCCTAATCAATAATAGGGAAATGATGCAGATGAACACGAAATTAATGAGTTTTAAAAGTACCACATTCACATCAGGCTTTTCCAGGAGAAATTTCCTCACTTCTCTCTTGCTCTTATGTACCCAATGTTCCCAGTTTTAGGGATTAGTCCATGACCTGTCCTGAGGATCTGCCTGCAACTTGTGCATCCAACTCTAGTTTGAAGGCTTTTAAGTAAATTTGAATATTAGGGGCTGCCTTAAGAAAGCATTTTATCAGCTTCTTCAACACTCAAAACTCCACTTAATCTTCTCTTCTCTATTCTCTCCTTTACTCTGCCAATAATTGGAGCATATGCCTTCAATTCAAAGCATATTAAACAACATATTGCCAAGTTGCTCTATAATTGTTCTCAGATGCATGCCTCATTTCAAATAAATGGGAAGGTTCTTCAAAAGAAAAAAGAATATGTCTACTCCTTTTCTTCCCTACAGAGAAGCCTAGTTTCCTTCTGTAAACTTAGTGGGCACTCAGTAGATACTTGTTAACCCATCACCCCTTTTATAAAAGAAACCAGAGTTTTCAAAAATAAACATGAGTCTATCTCATCTTACCAAATCCATTTTAAATGTCCTTTCAAGATGACCCTATTACAAATCACCTTTAATTCATCAGTAAATTCAGATGGTTAAATAGAGGGCAGAAATTTCTGCAAATAATCTTTTTCCTAAAGCTACAAAACATTTTAAAGACTTGATTCAAGTGAACTCAGCAACCTCTAGGACCAGATCCTAGAGTTCTGTAAGCTGCTGCCCAAATGTCCACGGGCAGCGCCTGTGTTTAATTCAGCAAATAAAATGCTTCTGTGGAAATTAGCCTTTCTGTTGTTTTTGTCTACGGAGAAAAACAGAAATCAAAAGATCATAGACTTGAGAGATGACAGAAAATTCAGAAGATCAGGTAGTCTAGCCATCCACCTTCAGGGAAGTACAGTATTGTTATTATTACAATTTTACTAATCAAACTATTAAGACCCAGAATTATTTTTGAGAATTTGTTGAAGGTGAAATATTGGTGGGGTAAGGTATTTTAGGGGGAGTGACTAGACCCAAAGTTCTCTGGTTTTGGCATCCGACATCATTTTTACTACATCATATGCAAGTTCAATAAATTCCTCAGCTGGGCGCGCTGGCTCACATCTGTAATCTCAGCACTTTGGGAGGCCGAGGCAGGTGGATCACAAGGTCAGGAGTTCGAGACCAGCCTGGCCAATATGGTGAAACCCCATCTCTACTAAAAATATAAAATTATCTGGGTGTGATGGGCACCTATAATCCCAGCTACTTGGGAGGCTGAGGCAGGAGAATCACTTGAACCCAGGAGGCTGAGATTGCAGTGAGCCAAGATCGCACCACTGCACTCCAGCCTGGTTGACAAAGCGAGACTCTATCTCAAATAAATAAATAAATAAATAAATAAATAAATAAATCCCTCAAATCTGTAGACTAAGGATTATCAAGATGACATAAATAGAAGTTCCTATTCCCAACCTCTTCCCATTTCTGGATCAGGGGTAACGAGTTTCTGCTTTGCACCAAAGGCTCCACATCCATCCTTTGGCTCTCTCTGAAAAGGAAACTTTCTGTAGATTCTAGGCTATGTGGCTCGTGTCTTATCTTTTCCTAATGGTCCACTGGATTGTAAGTTTTTGGGGAAAATGACTATCGCATATTTGCAAAGCCATTCTAGCACCTCGCACAATACCAGCCACGTGGTTGGTACTTAATAGTTTTTGAATGAGTGACTGAGTGCTCCTATGATGGGTAATAGACATGAGGGATAGTTTGACAAGTGTAATTGGTGAAGGAACCACCTGCCATATTTCCCATCTTCTTTACATCGAAGAGCTTCCTAACTCGGCTGTTTTTGGATACTCTTGGAGATGCCATAACCTTTAACTGGGGTCTTGGGGAAAACTCATGACTGATAGCAGAAGCTGGAGGCTTGGCAATTCAACTGAGTTAACCACTCTAATTCAATCAAAGCTGCTGTTGGCTGAGAGCTTCAATTATAGGCAAACATTGACCATCATTCAATCATTTGGTTCTTTCCTTGGGTTCAACTCCTACATTGTGAAAGAGGAAATTAAAGGAAATTATTTACTTCCATAGCTAGTGACATCATGGCAATTTTATGAAGAAATAGTCTCCCAAATGCAGCAACTTCCTCAATATTTTGAGTGATTGCACTCTGCTGTGAAATTATTCACTTCTCCTAGTCTGCTCACTCTCCACACAAACACTACACACATGCTGATGTAGTCAACCAAGTAAGGCCAGGGTAGACATTTTTCCTAGAGATGAAATTATATTAAATCAATATAAGCCTTAAGGCCCATATTGAGAATTTGTTTCTGGTTTAGTTTCTCTTTTTTGATGTGGTTTCAAGTTAGAATGAAACACTAGACTAGGACCAAGGAGTGATATAGGATGTCAAGAGAGAACAGAGCCTCGTACATACTTAGGAGAGACTGAACTTTCCACCCTATGACTGAACACTCTCCATCAGCTTTACCTTAGACACCCACTGAGATCCAGTACAGGTCTGCGATAGATTCAGGAGCTGGCTTTAATGGGGCATCCCATCAATCAGGTTTTTAGGTCATGGAACCCTACCTTGCCCTTCCTTCTGATACCAGGGAGAAATCTGACCTCAAAGGGTACTAGGAGGGACCTTAAGTGTCTTATTTTAGATAATAGGCAATGCAACCAGTGGTTCTAACAGGGAGAATTGCACCACCAAAATTAAAAGCAGCTGCTGAAACTTAGTAGCAATAGATGTTGGCAGCAGAATTTCAAAGATTTCATTTATGAGGCACATATTATAGTTCTAATGGGCAGCTGAGCAGATGGAGGTCTGAAGGTACACGAGCCAAAAGAGCTTGTAGAGGCTCTGCCTGTGCACTCAAGGCCAGAGGGATGGTACCATAGCAGACAGAGTTCAGCAGCCAAAAGTAATAATCTAGGCTCTGAGATTATGTCATTCCCAGGGGATCCTTCAATTGCTAGCTTTCCTCCACTCTGTCAGATTTGCTGTTAGACATTTCTTCTTACGGATTTTCAAATGTTTTAATGTTATCTCCCTCTCCCTGTTCAAACACACAACATACACCTTAAAAGAAGAAAAAGAGAGCACATTAAAAGTTAATGGATGAAATGCTGCTATAGATTCTATAGTTAAACAGACCTGAGTTCAGCTCCTGACTCTACCACCAAGCTATTTGACCTTGGGCAAGTTATTCAACCTCTCAGAGCCTAAAATGCCTCGTGGAAAAACAAACAAACAAACAAAAAAAAAAAAAAACCATCTTTTGAGGAGAAAATTAGGCAAAAAACACAACATGGTAATGGTAAACACTAACACAGTAGCTATTATTATGATTTGCTGTTACAACAATGCCTGACACTCGCTAAGTGCTCCGTAAGTATTAACGGAATCCTGTTATAACAACTCATGTACCAGATCTGAATAATGGGACAGGAGACACTTTCCTAGTTCATGGGGGCTGGAGAGTGACTTCTAAGTGAGAAGAAAGAAGCCTAAAGTGGTCATGGGGGAAGAATAAAGATAAATTCCTAACCCCTCTCCTCCTGTCCCCACACACCACTTCCCTGCTTCAGAGCTTCCTCTCTTTCCAGACAGAGATGGCATTTGTAAGGCTCTTGTCTTGATGGAGTAAAGGATTATTATCAGCCAACAATCTAATTTCAAACTAAAATAAATGCACCAAGTGTGGGATTCTCTCCATTAGTTGGGATTCTATAAACAGAGAGGATTTTATTTCATTATTATTATTTTTTACTTTTCCGTAAGTTATTGAGGTACAGGTGGTATTTGATTACATAAGCTCTTTAGTGGTGATTTGTGAGATTTTGGGGCACATATCACCCAAGCAGTATACATTGCACCATATTTGTAGTCTTTTAATCCCCGTCCCCCTCCCACCCTTTCCCCTGAGTACCCAAAGTCCATTGTATCATTCTTATGTGTTTGCATCCTCATAGCTTAGCTCCCACATATCAATGAGAACATGCGATGTTTGGTTTTCCATTCCTGAGTGACTTCACTTAGAATACTAGTCTCCAAACTTCTCAACTGGAGATGTCTTTTATTTCTTAGATTCAAATTCTAACAAAGAAGGGATGTTTTGCCCACCCAATTCTCCCAATGCCACCACCACCATCACACAACAATTTTGTTTCCTTGGACATCAACACGAAACACCTCATTGTGTGCCCCAGTTCTCTTCCCCTCACCCATCTTGCCCATGCCCCTCTGTAACTAGGATCAAGGCTGGCAGCACAGCTGCTGGTCAAGGCTTCCACATGTGTGTTGGAGAGGAAGGGGAGGTGTTCAAACCATTGAAACTCGTTTAACATATTTTTTCACTAAATCAGAGGTAACAGTTACTGTCCAAGATGAAAGTACCCTTTTAGCATGCAACCTTTGCGAATATTTCACTAAATAAAAACTGTGCTTAATATCTTCCCTGACCATGGCCTTCTCTCCTCCTGTTCCTTAGGAAAACTGCCTGTAATTTCCAATGACTAATGGTGGACATCTACTTTCTCGGAAAAGTCAAAGAGACATTACAGCCAACAGTTTGAAGAACAAAAAAGCTTAGCAGGCCAAGACACAACAACAAATTAATGCTTTTCATGATGACTAGCAACCTTCACCTTGAATATATGTGATTAAAATAAGAACCTGAAGTTACTGTGCAATGCAGCCTCAGATTCTTTTATTGTGAGGGAATCACACGACCTGCGGGCGTCACGAACTGTGGGAAATGGTGGAGCGGGCTAGGAAAGGCTGAGGGAGAAGGTTCTCAAAAGCTCTGAGTCAGAGCTCAGCTATTTGGGGGATTTCATTCATCCCCCTGGGGGTTAGTAAAGCAGAAAAGACAACCAGTTCTGAACCCTGATGGTAAACAAGGGAAAGAACCCAAAACTCCGCAAGATTTTGATGGATAAAACAAGCCCTGGAAAGAACTACCTTAAAGAGCTGAAGAGTTCAAGATAAAGGGAGTATTCATAGGAAGGTATGGGCAAGGCTGAATCTATGACTCGGCTCATAGCCCTCCCCTAACAGAGTTCATCCACCCCAACCACCCCCAACGACCCCCACCCCCTAGTTTCATTTAGGCTAACATTGAAGGGTGCGAACACATCCTGGGCATCCCCAGCCAATGGGAAGGAAACACCTACTTAAGGTTAGAAATGGGCCGGGGAGAACTCACATGTGAGTAATGCAGGGTTGATTGTGGTCTCTGAGGCATCCCAGGCAATCCTCACCAATTTGAAAATACATCCTGTAAGCTTGTATTTAAGTTGCAATAGGAGCTGCAAAGTAGTGGTGTGTAAAATACGGTTCCTGACTACATGGAGATTATAATCTCATTAGGAAAACAGGTCATGTGAAATATCGAGAGGATGAAAAATAAAATGAAGGCAATTTGGCTCTGACTCATCCATACAAAGAAAGCAACTGGAATATCAGGGTGGAAAGATTGGCCCCCCTGCTGTCCTGGGAGTGGGCATTTCCAGCATCTACCACCCCTGGTATTTGTGTGTGATACAGAGAGTGGGCACACAACTCAGGCTTGGCCAGCCAAACACTCTCATCTGTTTCCGTATCGGGACCTACGGATGCAAAGGCTCAGGGACAGTCAGGCTCACTCACAGTGCCGACAGCAGGATTCTCAACCACTGTGATGTCCTGGTCTTACTGCCTTTGTCCAGAGATAATCCCTGTGCTTCCTGCTTCTGAGCCCCTGGGCTTGATTTGGCTCCTGTCTGTTTGCTGGTTCCCCAATATCCTGCTGATTCTCTGAGTCCTTGACTGTGGCTTCTTAAGCTGATTTCTGCTGCCTTGCAACCCGAAATACTGACTTTTGAGGTCATCTGCTTGTAGGAAACTCCTTGGTTTCTATTGTGTTATGAGCTTTTAAAAAATAAGAACTATGCTTACTATTTGCTTGACACTGACAGCTCCTCAGGAAGGGCATATTTAATTTTTAAAAATTTAAAGGCATCAGATGATGAATATCCTTTTTGTGTTTCTTTTTACCATGACCTGGCATATAGTAGATGTTAATTTTGGTATTAAAAATTAAATTCTACTTCTTCTGTTGGAATTGTTCAGTACCTAAGGCTAGTCACTTAACCTTCCTGAGCCTCAGTTTCCTCATTTGCAAACACAGAAAATAATTCCTCACTCGTTAGACTCTTGATGAAAACTGAGACATATTGAGAAATAATGGTCTTTTCAACAAATGGTGTTGAAAAAACTGGATATCCACATGCAAAAGAATAAAGCTGAACACTACCTACCTCACACCATCTACAAAAATTACCTCAAAATGGACCACAGATGTAAACATAAAAGCTAAAAGTATAAAACTTCCAGAAGAAACATAAGAGTATATCTTAATGACCTTGCACTAAGCGAAGAACTTTTATTTTTAGAAATAATAACAAAAACACAAGCAACAAAAGAAAAAGTTAGAGAAATTGGACTTAATTAAAATTTAAAATTTTGCCTGTCAAAGGATACCATCAAGAACATGAAAAGACAAGCTATAGAATGGGAGAATATATTTTCAAATCGCATATCTGAAAAGGGCTTAGTATTCAGAATATACTGGGATTCGGGGGAGAATGAAAGTGACTGCTAATGTGTACAAGGTTCCTTTCTGGAGTGATAAGAATGTTATAAAATTATACAGTGCTAATGTTTGCCAAACTCTGTGAAAATACTAAAAACCAGTGCATTATATCTTTTAAGTGGTATGTGACTGATACCTCAATAAACTTAATAAAAATTTAAATGAGAGTATATACATAATGGTGAACATACATAAAATATATGCATCTAACCATTGCATATATGTTTTAAAATGCATATTATATATGCATATTATACATATATAAGCCTTTTCGTGTGGTAAATGCTCAAAATATTTTAGATTTCTTTGTTTTATTGATAATGATTGATTGAGGCAGAAAGTATTGGAGATAGCACGACCAATGGAAGGAGGCTCAGGCTGGATTCCTCCTACCCAAAGCAATTGGACTAACACATGCTTTTGTAAGAATCCTCTCTATTTCTCACAGGAGCTGTAACTTGTGTCCACATGTGTCTCACCTGTATTCTCACCTGTCATCACTGTATTCCAAGGGCCCAAATGGTTCTTCCCTCCCTCGCCTTTTTCCCTTCAGTCAAAATGCACTTAAAATGCTGCTCATTCTCTTTCTTACCTGTTGGATTCTGACTTTCCTGTGGTCTCGCCACTCACTATTTTTTTTCCTATTGCTTATTTATGTAGACTGAATTTATCACAAAGTGTAATTATTGATATTCAAATTTTTTATGTAAAGCCAAGAGCATGTTTTCTTTATTTTGTGTGTGTGTGCATTTGCTTATCTGTTTTTCATGAAAACACAGCAAAAAGATTAGAATAACATACACCAATGTTACAAAACTATCTCGGGGTGATGGGATTGCATGCAATTTTTTAAAACCCTCTTTTATATACTTTGTGGTATTTTCAAAATTTTCAACAGAGAATCATGATTAAAAACACTTTATAAATAGGAAAGCATTACATACTGAAACATTATAAGTTTGCCCAAAGATGGATTATGAAGAGAACTATCTCCAAAGTCAGACTCCTCCAAAGACGTATTAGAACATTCGCTGGACGAAACATTGTGTGAGTCAGCTCGATGCACATGTTCCCTTTGCTGTGAGCCTCCCTGAGAAACTAGGATGGAATATGCCTCTGTCTATTTCAGCTCAAGGCAGCAGTCAAGTGTTTAATCTAGTTTGCGGATTTAACATGGAGATTTGCACCTTTGCTCATACGCCTTTTGAACTTTCCTTGGCACCTTCTGGTTGGATTCCTTCTAAGTGTAGAAAACCTGAATGATTTGTATCACCCAGTCGCCACGCATATATTTACAGGCTTGCAAAAAAAAAAAAAAATCCTAGTCTAGACAATAATTAAAGTCAGAAGTGTAGCTTAATTAAAAGATGTCTTTCCTGAGCCTCAGGGGACATTTCTAAACACTCATGACCAGCAGTGTTTACCCAGACTGTTCTCGGGGTGCACTTGGGGATATCCTCTTGGGCACAATCTCTTAGAGCAAGTGTGAGAAATGACGAGGATTGATGAGGGTGGTAGGTGTAGGTGGGTGCGAAGAAGATGAAAGAGAGATGTTTGCCTGAATGCATAAGGACAAATGACAAGGATCACTGTGGAGCATCATCAAGGAAGCAGAAATCAAATTTGATCAACTAGGAACCTGGAAAACTCTTAGACACAATATGCCCAGAAATCACAAAGCACCAACTCTAGAGGCTTTGTTTGCCATCAGATATATTTTGGTCAGCTTATGAAATGCTTTTTAAAAAATTAATACTAGCATTTAAAATGGAGAGATTTTGCCTAAAAATCAAAATTTTCAGCCTTCTTTTGAGTAACTGAAAAAAGTAAAACACAGAGTCAGTTTCTTTTCTGCAACAGTTGCTGGTGCTAAGCAACAGCTACATCCTTCAGATATTTAACAGGACACGCTCTCCAGTTCGCCCACACTCATGAATCCCTGCTATCGCTACCATAATGCGATCCAGTGGCAGTTCCATTATCATGCAGCTGATTTTGTTTTTCTCACTCCTAGCAGGCTTCCATTATTTATATCACCTGTATGGCCTTGGCAGCTATTTGAGTTTGAAGGTCTCCCAACCATCCCCCCATACCCAAGCCCTTTCCCCTGACCATGCTTTACCACAGTCTTGTTCATCTAGAATCCTCCTTGCTTTGTGTTCACTGGTGCCTTATTAGAAACGGATCAGGATTCAATCCTGGGCTACTTTATAAGCATTGTAATCTTCTGGGAGGATACAAAGACATAGAATAGATAAACATCTGGACATGGAGCCGGTAAACTAAGATTCAATTCCCACTTATAACTAGAACTAACTTATATTGTCAAAAAAAAAATGTGGGTTCAGATCCCAGATCCTTAATTTTCTAGTTTGAGATCTTGAGCAGTGTGCTTAACCTGTCTGAAGCTGTCTCCTTATCTGTGAATGTAAATATTTGTCCTGTCTGCCTCACGAGATTGTGGTAAAAACCAAAGAAGATATTCTAAGGAAGTGATTTGGACATTTCCTAAGACTAAATCAATTTAAGATAATTTTTGGCCAGATTATTAAATTACTTTGCATGGGTTGATGAAAAATCCACCTTACCAAGTTTTCCAAATGCTCTCTCTGAAAAAGCAAATAGTGTAATAATGTGGCTCTCAATATCTTTTTATCGTTTGCCCAACTCTGTGGGTTATCAAGTGTACAAAAGTGTTTTAAGTGTGTATATGGCCTTTCTCCCTAACTCTCTAGAAGACTCAATTAACTAAA
Source organism: Homo sapiens (assembly GCF_000001405.40). Lineage (NCBI taxonomy): Eukaryota > Metazoa > Chordata > Mammalia > Primates > Hominidae > Homo > Homo sapiens. Next base: position 133,662,405 of record NC_000002.12, read on the forward strand.
AATCTGTCTTCCCAGTGTCTACAATGCCCACTGCTTCAGGTTTCCATATGGAAGAAATATATGGCTTATAACATATTTCTGGTTTGTACTGTAAATACATATATACATTTAACTTGAATTAGTAGATACAACTATGGCATTTTGATTTACAGCACCTAAGAGAGAGTATAAAGAATTTGATCACAATACCATTAGGTTGGTGCAAAAGTAATTGCGGTTTTGAAAGTAATTCAGTGAAAGTGGCAAAACCGCAATTACTTTTGCACCAACCTAATAATTCTGAAATTAAAAATATTTTCTGAATATTAAAATAATAGGTATTTATTAAAAATAATTTGGTTATGGCTATAGTTACTGCTGTAGGTACAGGCATACCATGGAGATATTGCAGGTTGGGCTCCTGACCACTGCAGTAAACCGAATTTTGCAATAAAGGGAGTCACACAGATTTGTTGGTTTCCCAGTGCATATAGAAAGTGATGTTCACACTATGCTACAGTCTTTTAAGTGTGCAGTAGCATTATGTCTAAGAAACAATGTGTATATCTTAAAGATATTTGTTGCTTAAAAAAAATGCCGGGGCCGGGCGCGGTGGCTCACGCCTGTAATCCCAGCACTTTGGGAGGCCGAGGCGGGTGGATCATGAGGTCAGGAGATCGAGACCATCCTGGCTAACAAGGCGAAACCCCGTCTCTACTAAAAATACAAAAAATTAGCTGGGCGCGGTGGCGGGCGCCTGTAGTCCCAGCTACTCGGGAGGCTGAGGCAGGAGAATGGCGTGAACCCGGGAAGCGGAGCTTGCAGTGAGCCGAGATTGCGCCACTGCAGTCCGCAGTCCGGCCTGGGCGGCAGAGCGAGACTCCGTCTCAAAAAAAAAAAAAAAAAAAATGCCGGTTATGAGCTGTCAGCACGTTGTAATCTTTTTGCTGGTGGAGCATCTTGCCTTTATGTGGATGCCTATGGATTAATCAGGGTGGCGCTTTCTGAAGGCTGGGACGGTGGTGCCAATTTGTTAAAATAAGAAAAAAATAAAGTTTGACATTGACTGACTTTTCATGGAAGTTTTCTCTGCAACATGCAATGCTGTTGGATAGTTGAAGTCAATCCTCTCAAACCCTGCTGCTACTTTATCAACTAAGTTTATGAATATTCTAATCCTTTGTTGTCATTTCAACAATGTTCACTGCATCTTCACCAGGAGTAGACACCATCTCCAGAAATCACTTTCTTGGCTCATCTGTAAGAAGCAACTCCTCACCTGTTAGAGTTTTAACATGAGATTGCAGCAATTCAGTCACATCTTCAGGCTCCACTTCTAATTCCAGTTCTCTTGCTCTTTCTACCATATCTGCAGTTATTTTCTCCTTGGAGTCTCAAACCCCTCAAAGTCATCCATGAAGGTGAAATCAACTTCTTCCAAACTCCTGTTAATGATGATATTTTGACCTCCTCCCACGAATCACAAAAGTTCTTATTGGCATCTAGAATGGTGAATTCTTTCCAGTAAGTTTTCAATTTACTTTGCCCAGATCCATCACAGGATCTGTAAGACTGTCAATGGCAGCTTTAGTCTTACAAATTGTATTTCTTAAATAATAAGACTAGAAAGTTTAAATTACTTCTTCATCCCTGGACTACTGAATGGATGTTGTGTTAACAGACATGAAAGCAACATTAATCTCCTTGTACAACTCCTTTGGAGCTCTTGGGTGACCAGGTGCACTGGTGATGAGCAGCAATATTTTGAAAGTAATCTTTTTTTTTTTCTGAACAGGAGGTCTTAATGGTGGGCTTAAAATATTTAGTAAGTCATGCTATAAACAGATACACTGTCATTCAGACTTCATTATTTTATTTCTAGAGCATAGGCAGGGTAGATTTAGCATAATTCGTAAGGACCCTAGAAGTTTTGGAATATTAAATGAGCATTGGCTTCATCTTAAAGTGACTAGCTGCATTACATCCTAACAAGAGAGTCAGCCTGTCCTTCGAAGCTTTGAAGCCAGGCTTTGACTTCTCCTCTACAGCTTGAAAGTCCTAGATGATATCTTCTTCCAATATAAGGCTATTTCACCTAGATTGAAAATCTGTTCTTTTTGTTTTGTTTTGTTTTTAAGACAGAGTCTCGCTCTGTTGCCAGGCTGGAGTGCAGTGGTGCAATCTCGGCTCACTGCAAACTCCACCTCCTGGGTTCAAGCAATTCTACTGCCTCAGCCTCCGTAATAGCTGGGATTACAGGCGCACACCACCACACCCAGCTAATTCTTGTATTTTTAGTAGAGATGAGGTTTCACCATGTTGGCCAGGATGGTCTCAATCTCCTGACCTTGTGATCCACCTGCCTTGGCCTCCCAAAGTGCTGAGATTACATATGTGAGCCACCGCACCCAGCCGAAAATCTGTTATTTTGTATTGCCACCTTCACCACCTATCTTAGCTAGATCTTCTAGATAACTTGCAACTTCTACATCAGTACTTTCTGCTTCACTTTGCACTTTTATGTTATAGGGATAGCTTCTTTCTTTAAACCTCATGAACCAACCTCTGCTAGCTTCAAACATTTCTTCCACAGTTTTTTCATCCTCACCTCTGTCAGTTTCATAGAGTTGAGGAGAATTAAAGTCTTGTTCTAGATTAGGCTTTGGCTTAAGGAAATGTTATGGCTGGTTTGGTCTATCTTCAAGACCACTAAAACTTTCTCCATAACAGCAATGGAGCCTGTTTCACTTTTTGGTGTTATTCATTGTCCACTGGAGTAACACTTTTAATTTTCTTCAAGAACATTTCCTTTGCATTCACAACGTGGCTAACTGGAGCAAGAGGCCTAGCTTTCAGGCTGTCTCAGCTTTCAACATGCCTTTTTCACTAAGCTTAATCATTTCTAGCTTTTAATGTTAAGTAAGAGATGCATAATTCTTCCTTTCACTTGAACACTTTACAGCCATTGTACTGTTATTAATTGGCCTAATTTCAATACTGTTGTGTCTCAGGGAAGTGGGAAATCCAAGGATAGGGAGAGAGATGGGAGAATGGCAGGTTGGTGGAACAGTCAGAACACACACATTTTAACTTCACCTCCTATATGGGCATAGTCTGTGATACCTCAAAACAATTGCAATAGTAAGATTAAAAATCACAGATCACAGATCACCAAAGCAGATATATAAATAGTAATAATTTAAAAGTCTGAAATATTGTGAGAATTACCAAGATGTGACACAGAAACACAAAATGATCACATGCTGTTGGGAAAATGGCGCTGACAGACTTGCTTAATGCAGGGTTGTCACAAGTCTTCAACTGGGAAAAAACCACAATATCCGCGACGTGCGATAAAGCAAAGCACAATAAAACAAAGTATCCCTGTGTTTATTGTGGGTAAAAACTGTTAACATTCATTTTCAAAATCACTATTTTTCAAAATCACTATGTTAAATGGTAGTGTAATGTATTTCATCTTATGAATATAGCATTTTTGTTTATTTGATTCACAGTTGTTAATGGTAAATGGTGATTTGGTGAATGCTAAAGCTATGTTTTACTTATTATATGAATATGAATGTTTATTAATTAAAAACAAATTCAGCAATACAAAAATGTAAGATGAAAGTAAAAATTATCTTCTCATTTTAATGGAAGTACTTTCTAGCTTTTGTTTGTATGCAGATACATATATGTAGAGAAATACATTTTTAAAATGAATTCCTAATTCACTTACTTTTAGCCTACATTTACCACTTACTATATCATAGTCATTATTTCAATCAACTAGATCTACATCCTTTTTTTTTTTTTTTTTTTTTTGTTGTTGAGACTGAGTCTTTCTCTTGTCACCCAGACTGGAGTGCAGTGGCGCGATCTCGGCTCACTGCAACCTCTGCCTCCCAGGTTCAAGAGATTCTCCTGCCTCAGCCTCTCGAGTATCTGGGATTACAGGCAGCCACCACCATGCCCGGCTAATTTTTGTACTTTTAGTAGGGACGGGGTTTCAACATGTTGGCCAGGCTGGTCTCAAACTCCTGACCTCAGGTGATCCACCCACCTCAGCCTCCCGAAGTGCTGGGATTACAGGTGTGAGCCACCGTGCCCGGCCTTACATGAGTTTTTAATGGCTGCACACTATTCTATTCACTATTACTTATTTAACAGTCACCTACTGATGGACTTCAGATTATTTTCAATTTTTCACTAGTTTTTTATGTTTTACCATTAAAATAATGTTGTAATGAATAATTTTATAATCACACATTATTTCCTTTGAATAGATTAAATTATAATAGATTAAAATATTCTAAATTATAATAGAATAGATGATAATGGAATCGATTTAAATACTCTAACATCAATTGGTAAAATGCTTTCCATAAAAGTCACACAAATTGGCACTCCACCATCAAATTATGAGACAGCCTGTCTCATAGCAACCCACCTCATATCTGGTCAGAGTATTACAGCAAGATGCAGAGAAAGATATAAAATAGTATAGCATATAAGTCTGAGAGGGAGGCAACTGTCAATCTTGTTGCAGGATCTGTAAAAACCAGGGCTAAAGAGGAAGGACTTGAACTATTTGGTAGAACTGAAATGGAGAGGCATGCAATCTTAATTTCCTTCAAAATTTGGCCAAAACCTAGCTTCTTCATAGTTTCTTGAAAATATGTGATTGCTGCTAATTTAAGATTGAAAGCCTGATTAACATTCAGTCTCTTACCTTCCCATATTCTACCAACTTAGCCCAATTACCTATTGTGCTAATACCTGCTTCTCTTTGAAATGCAAAATCACAGTGAGACTAATGAAATGAGAACATGTTCCAAATATTGGATCATTTCCTGGTGATGATGTGACAATAGTGAACTCTGAAACTAGGGCTGATAACATCATCCTGAGTCATGGAAACTCTAAACATCAACCAGCCTCTCTCTTTCCTCTCATCCTTTATCCTCTTTCCACTCCATCTCTGCTGATTCAGCTTACAGGATGTCTGCTGTATCTGTCATACTCCCTCCACACCAACAAATTGGTTTGGGTCCTCCTCAGTCTCTGGTAGGATCATTGCCATAGTTTACTAACTGCATCCCCAGGTTGTTTTCCACTCAGACCTCGACAGGGCTGATTCCCTATCCTAACTAAAGCCCTTGCTGACTTTCTACTACAAACAGGACAAAGGTGATCCAAAGGTATGTTGGTCAAAGCAGAAGAGTAGAACTTACTTAAAATTTCATTTTCTTGATTTACAATTGTAAAATATTTGATATATGGCATATTGACATCTATTTACACCCTTGCCTTATGCCCCCAAATTGGTAAGGTTGACTGAACTCTAATATGTCCAATTAACTAGTTTCCTTCAATAGCATTTTTAATCATGTTTATTGAGATATAATTTATATGTAATAAAATTTTCCTTTTCAAAGAGCACAATTCAGTAGGCTTTAATATATTCACAGAGTTGTACTATCAGCACCACTATCTAATTCCAGAACATTTTGTCAACCCCAAAAAGAAAGCCCATACCCATTACCAGTTACTTCCCAGTATCCCTTTTCCCAGCCTCTAGAAACAATTGTCTACTTTATTTTTCTATGGATTTGCCTATTCTGAACATTTCACATGGAATTATACAATATGTGACCTCTTACATTTGGCTTTTTAAACTTAACATAATGTTTCCAAGGTTCATTCATGTGGTATATAAATCAGGGCTTCATTCCTTTATATGGCTAGATAATATTCTATTGTATGGATATACCACATTTCCTTTATCCATTTATCAAATGATTATCATTTGGGTTCTTTCCACTTCTGGGAAAGTATGCATAATGTTGCTATGAACATCCATGTACAAGTTTCATGTGGACATATATTTATTATTCTCTTGGAACTATATGTAGGAGTGGACCTGATGCATCATATGGAAACACTACGCTTAGCATTTTGAGGAACTGCCAAACTGTTTTAAAAGTGGCTACACAATTTACACAATTTTACATTCCCGCCAGCAATATATGAAGGTTCTAATTTCTTCATATCCTTGCTGATATTTCTTATTGTCCATCTTTTTTATCACAGCAATATTAGCGGGTGCAAAGTGGTATCTAATTTGGTTTTTGCTTGTGTTTCCCTAATAACTAATAATGTTGAGCATATTTTATGTATACTAGCCATTCGCATATCTTCTTTTGAGAAATGAATATTTGAACTGTTTGCTTGTTTTTTTTAACTGGTTTACTTGTCTTTTTATAGTTGAGTTATAAGCTTTCTCTAAATATTCTAGTTAAATAATATTCTTTTGTATTTTTATCCTACTTGGAGTTTATTGAGCTTCTTGGATATGTAGATGTATATCTTTCATCAAATGTGGCATGTTTTCAGCTGTTATTTCTTCAAATATTCTTTCTGCTCCTTCCTATCTTTCCTTTTTCTCAAACTCTCATAATGCGTATACTGGTATCCTCTTTCTCAAACTCTCATAGTGTGTATGTTGATATGAATGTCCCAGGGAAAAGCATCTTTGTACTTAAATTCTGAGTCAGATAAAATAAAGACAAGACCTGAGAGTGGGAGTTTGCAGGGAGCTAGCAGAAAGGTCAAATTATGACAATTTGGGGAGAATAAAGTTTTGTCCCTTCCAGTAGTTGCTAGGCTGGTTGAAATTCTATTTAACATTATAATCATTAAACAGTGATATTTGGTAATAGTAGTGACCTAGTAGTGACTAGGCTACTGGTTTGCACAACTACTATAATCACATATTCGTTTTCAAGCTGGGAAGAGGGGAATGAAAATAAGGCAAGTTAAATGCCACACAGCTCACTGTTCTTGCTGAGATTCAGCTAATCTTTCCCCGGAATAAATGCTCCTCAGATTGTTGCAAGCCTTTCTTTAATTTCCTGAGTTCTAGAAACATTGATTTTGGCCATTTTTGTCAGTGCTTTCTTGCTTTTTTGGAGAAGTAGATTTTCAGAGGTCTTTACTCCACCATTTCAGTAGTACTTCTTTTCCCCCCTATCATTCTTAGACACTAGAAATGGGGTTTAAGTGGTTTATTTTATCATGTATATTGTTGTCAGGTAAAATTTCTTGGGTGCTCCACCACTTGCCAGGTCCTCTTTCTTCAAAGGTATCTTTTTGAGTCCTCTAAAACTTAAAATATAAAATTAATTCTCAACTTATTTTTTATTATCAAAAAGTCACTACTATTACCAAATATCACTGTTCAATGACTATAATGTTACATAGAATTTCAACCTGACAGAATCCAAAGACTTGAAAATTTTAACCAAACATATGGCATGGGTGGAGCGTTGTCCAATTACGAGAGAAATATTCTATTATCTAAGATTTTTGTCCTAACAGCAAAAATTACTACCTTGTGTATACCTTCTTTATACTCTTCATCCCTGCAGAATTAGTTTTCTCCTACTTCTTCAAAACACTTATCTATAGACCCACAGATTTAGTGCTGATATTCAGCAACCTTCAGCAATGATCCAGAGATCTGTATGGATATCTCAGTCCAGATGAACAGACTGCACACAAAGTAGATTAATGCAATAGATTAACCAGCCACTAGGATGAAAACAAAACAGAAGATTCCTCAGTGAATGTACAATAACCAGAAAGGTAAATTGTATGTGGGATTATAATTGGAGGTTAAGAGCTAAAACATGGATTTTAGAAAGTCATGGTATCAAATATGGCTCTACCCCTTACCAGCTCTGTGACTTGGGGAAGCCACTTTACTAGGTAAAGCCTCTATTTCCTCTCTGCAAATAGAGGTAATGCCTGCTGCATTAGGATTTTGTGCAGAATAAATGGGATAATGCATGTGTAGCATACAGTGTAGTGCAGGGCTTATAATAAGCCCTCAGTAAATCATAGTGTTAGCTAGTAACCTGAATACTCCCATCCCTGAGCACACTGATTAACTTCAGCTGTATGAATATATTTCAGTTTTGAAAAAGAAGGTATGTTTCAAAGGTGAGATTATTGCCTATAAGTAGTCTCCATTTCCCACCTCAGAGATCTTTCTCAGGATAACTCATATACATGAATCTCCCTTGTGTGTACTACATGCTACCTTATTATAAACCACAGACTTCGAGAAAACATATATTCCATTCATGCATGCATAAATATAGCATCAACATTTATTGTGCATCTTGTGGCAGGCACTAATCTCAGCACTGGTGTAGGGTGATGAACAAGGTCCCTACCCTCATGGGGATAACCTTCCAGTAGATGATGCAGGCAGATTATAGGGACTCCATTTCATCATTAGAGACTCAAAAACCTAAGATTTTAAGCCAAATATTTCACTAACTCCCTCATAGCTTGAGCTCTGTTGCTATTCATATTTCATCCAGGAGGCCCCCTATAGTGGGATTTGAAAGTCAGAGTGAAAATCAGGAGTTAGGTGCTCAGTTTCTGCTGTTCCTGCCAGAGGTGTCAGGTTATCTGCAACATCTGTAGCAAAGGCCCTAATATCCTATCTCTAGCTTCACTTGTTTCAAGAAACAAAGATGAGGCCAGGCGCAGTGGCTCACGCCTGTAATCCCAGCACTTTGGGAGGCTGAGGAGGGTGGATCACGAGGTCAGGAGATCGACACCGTCCTGGCCAACATGGTGAAACCCCATCTCTACTAAAAATACAAAAAATTAGCTGGGCGTGGTGGCAGGTGCCTGTAGTCCCAGCTACTCGGGAGGCTGAGGCAGGGGAATGGCGAGAACCCAGGAGGCGGAGTTTGCAGCGAGCCAAGATCGTGCCATTGCACTCCAGCCTGGGCAACATAGCAAGACTCCGTCTCAAAAAAAAAAAAAAAAAAAAAAAAAGAAAGAAACAAAGATGCTTGTTTTGGTGGAGGAGATGAGAGCAGAGGCAATGTGATCCTGGAGGTAGTGGTGGTGGCATTAGTGCAACAGTGTGAATATCTGTCCCCTCCAAAACTCATATCGAAATAAACTCTTCAAAGTGGCTGTATTAAAAGGTGGAGCCTTTAAGAGGTGATTGAGTGATGAAGGTTCTGCCCTCATAAATGGATCAATTAATTCATGGATTAGTGGGTTAATTGGTTAATGGATTAATGGGTTATCATGAAAGTAGGACTGGTGGTTTTATAAGAAGAGGAGGAGAGACTTGAGCTCGCATGTTCAGGCCCCTCACTGTGTGATGCTCCACACCACCTCAGGACTCTGCAGAGTCTCCCCAGCAAAAGGCTGTCATCAGAGGCAGCCCCTCAACCTTGGACTTCCCAGACTCCATAACTATAAGGAATTTATAAATAAATCTATTTTATTTATAAATTACCCAGTTTCAGGTATTCTGGTATACACAACAACAACAACAACAACAACAAAATGGACTGAGACTATCAGCTTCCTGATATCCAGCTTTGTGATAGTGACAGAGACATAATTGTAAACATGCTGCCATGCCCTGTGCATTACTCTCAGAAGTTCTGCCTGCTCCCCCATTCCTTCTACAAGATTTTATATGCCTGCTCAAACCAGTACAAAATTCCTTTCTGCTTAAACTAGCTGAAACAGATGGTGCTGTTACTGAATCCTGACCAAAACAGAGAAACAAATAAGAAGGAGATAAACAAATAAATAAACACGATAGGTATTGATTGCAATAAATGCTATGAAGAAAGAGTGATGAAAGATGAGGAAAGATTTTTCAGATGGACTTCTTTCAAAAAGCTCCTTTGACAAGATGAATTTAAACAGAGACCTAAAGGAAAGGAGGAGCTAAGAGAAGAGTCAGGGAAAAAGACTTCTAGGTAAAGCAAACATCAGCAGCAAAGGCCCAAAGATGGGGAAGGGTTTGTTGATTTGACTCATAAGAGAGGAGAGCATCTTTGGAAATTTGGGACAAATGGCACACGATGAGGCTAGAAAACTATGCAAGGACCAGAACTTCTCAAAGTGTGGTCCAGGAACTGGTGCCAGTCTGTAAACTATTTGTTGCTGATCTGTGATAAGCACAAAAATTAAGAATAAATATTTAGAAGTTTTATAGCAATATGACATCACCATAACATTCATGCAACATTTCTATTATATTTAAAGAAACTATCAGTGCATAACGGATTAGAAATTTAAAACACAAAACAGGTTCTTCACCACAGATAGTTTGAGAAGCATTGTTCTATATGTTTAGCCTCTCAAACTTTTCCTTTAAAGAACCCAATAGTAAATGTTTTAGGCTTTTCAGGGCCATAGAGTCTCTGTTGCAACTACTCAGCCCTGCCATGGTAACACAAAAGCAGCCATAGATAATATATGAACAAATGGGTGTGGCTCTGTTTCCATAAAACTTTATTTACAAAAAAACACATGGTGGCAGATTTGGGCCTGTGATCTGTAGTTTGTCAACCCCTGTTCTAGGCCACAGGAAGGAGATTGGACTTGACTTTAAAGCCAACAAAACCACCTGATTAACTGAGGCCATCCTTTACTCTTGATCACCCCTCATTACTGCCTACACATATTCATAAAGTCTTTGTGTGACTGACTCAAAATCAGAAAGGACCTTGGAACTCCTCTCAGCTCTAATTCCATGTTCCTCTCATAGCAATCTTGTAAGTGAAGTTCCTGCTTACAGGACTTGTGTCCAAAGGCAGACTCCATTTTGTCTCTTACCTGCATCCCCCAAAATGATGATGACACCATATACTCTGTGTTAACCTGATGAGCCACTCAGAGCCCCACATGAGGTCACAGCCTTATGTTCTCCAGGACCTGGCCAATCAATCACAGGTTCATATAGTCCTCTGAGTCATTAAGTCACCTCCACTGCCCCATTTTCAGAGGTGTGCCATCCCACTTTTCTTTTTCTGCAAGGCTGTGCTTTTGTCCAAGTGAACCTCCGTGGCCATGGTACACCTCTGATGCTGTTATGTCTGAAATAGTTGCATTGGACAGGCAGCACACCACATATATAACCTTGTTTTTCTCTGGGCTCAAAACACAGCCACAGGCAGGAAAGCTTTCTGCGTTCACACATGTCTCTGTTGCATGGCACCCATTTCATAAACACAGCCCACCAAGCACACAGCAGAAAGCCTATTCCCTCCCACTCTGGAGCGTATACTACTGTGTGTGTGAGGAGGTGGACTCTTCCCAGCAGGTCTCTCACACAGAGGGTACAGAGCTGAGGCAGCTCTTTCTGAAATCTCTTTTATTTAAGGTTTCTTTCATTGACTCAGGACAAACTTAATGGGTAAAACTTTGCTGTTGCAAGTTTCCTTAAAATATCCCCTTCTGGGCCTACCACCGTTTATCTTGGCAGCAGGTAGCTTGGAGAATTTTGGAAAGTCTCAGCTTGGCATAGCCTCAGAGCTACTGGCACATTAAAGATTAATAAAGCACATTTAACTGAGCTCAGGACGCTGCAATGTGATCCTTCACCGTGAAATGTGCAAGATTCTTTGTTTGCAATGAACAAAATTGGAGCCAGAAAGGGCCTACCGTGACAAGCTAAGATAGGGAACAATCAGGAACTTTGTATGTCTTTCATTGATCAATTGATGGTTAGGAATCAATGCCCCTGCTCAGCCATACTCCAACTTAGCATTCTTAGGAATTTAAGATAGGTGTCTGAGTATGATCCAAGAGCTGGGTATTTACTGAACTTGCAGCACCACAGAAATCATGCAACTGCACCTGCCTCCTTAAAATATTAGAAAAGGATGATTCAGAGCGAATTCCCAAGTTAGCAGCTTCTCCAGTGAATATCAGAATAAAGCAAGGCATTTCCAAATATTTTGACTTTGCTTTAGTAAACCAGAATGCTTGGGTCTGGCTGAATATTAACCCAGGAAGAGGGAAAAAAGAAAAAAAAAAACACGATTGACATGCATAGTGTGCGGCTGGCTGCGGAATGAATCAGACAACATGAAAATTAAAATAAAAATTAATCAGGCATGTACATCATAACTGTTGGTTCCAAGGAGGAATTAATCTCCAGGCACCTGGATACACAGCAGCAAGTACTAGGCTAGGTCAGCAAAGGCAAACATTTAAAAATGTACCATCCTGAATTCTGGAAAGGCACTCGCAGACACCACGTGCCATGTAATGCCCTGTGTCTATTTACATAGTGAGTGTGATCCCTTCATGTCCTCCAGAAAAATCACAGGCAAACTCTGCACGCTGCAAATCAGAGCTCCAGACCAGAGCACTTAACACATTGGGTGCTTTCCTCTATACCAACATCAACATTCAAGGAACAAAAAAAAAAGAAGAGAAAATTCTGTCCTTACCGAGAAGGCATACCAGACAGGGATGCTGAATGTTTCACTTTAGCCCACTCATTGCTTTCTCTTTCATTCGATCAATGTTCTAATGCTATTGAGGAGAGTTCCTGGGGTTTTCGGATCTTCCTTCAAGAGTTTTAATCACTGGTTTCCCCAGGCCGGGTTTAACAAACACCGCTGTGTTCTGTCAACATTTGTATGCGGCACCACATTGGGCAACCAGCCAACACACAGAGTTTCAAGAGGCAAGGAGAGAAAACTGACACCCTGACAAACATGCTTCCCTCTTTTGTGTCCTGTAAGGTGGTGCTCAAAGTGTCATCTTTGATTCTGACGGGGGCTAAAGATAGCCTCTTTTTATGACTTTCTCTACTGCCCCCGAACGAATGCCTTGCTGGGCTGCTGGATCTGGGTTCCGCAAAGTTTGTTTTTTGTCTCACTGCCCTGAAGTTCGCCGCACAATCGCGTGGTTTGCCTCTCCACCAGCTGCACTTTAAATGTATTTTAATTGGCTGGAATGTCGAAAGAATCCATTTGGCAGTCGTTTACATGTGAAGCACGCCCAGGGCAGCTGAAAGAGGCCCCAGAAGCAGCCGATTACTTCATCAAAAGCTGCAGTTTGAATACCATTGACTCCTACATAACTACAGTGAACTCAATTCTATAGGCAAGAAGGAGTAATTAATAATTTGCTGAGAAAATTCTTCATTCATCTAAATGTCAAAAAAGCAAAGGAAAAAAAATCCCTGCAGACACAACAGTTCTTCTGAAAGGCTTGATTTATAGCCGCCAGTTCTACTCTTCACAAACATTGACTTTGTATAGCATTACAGGAGGGGTGTAATGCATAATTCGGTCTGCCTGAAAAGTTAATGTAAGTAATTTTCCTTTTGAATGATCCCCTGAGATACATCGTTCTATTACCTCTTTTTACATTAGCCATATGCTACAATAAATATTGTCAATACTTCTGGCATTTCCTCATTCTCTTTATTTTTCTTGGTTGGTTGCAATAATTAGTTTGTGGCCTCTGCTAGATCCAGCCACAAATAAATTCACCCGGAGTCAAAGTGGATAATCATCACCAAACAGAACTTGCAAGCCACACTGAAGTTTAAAACACTCTGAACAATAACAACAAAAAAAGTCCATTTAAACAGATTCTAACATCAAGCTGGTGGGGAGGGGAGCATACACATGCACGGATACGCATGTATGTCTCAAAAAATCAAATAATGATAAAAGAAGTCATAAGATATATAAAATAACAAATAAATGGAATTGTTTTCAAATGCTTCTTTACCATTGTTTTACTGAGAAGACTTTTCAAGAGCATAAATAAAGTAGGTTTACAGATTTAGAATCCCTGGGCATCTCAGGTAAGCCTGAGCTCACTCCTCATTAAGAACCTCTGGTTTAGACTCAGTATATCTAGTAGGATCTCAGCACCCCAAGGATGCGTCTCTCTGGAAAATGTGAGCCAATGAACATTGTCAGATTTGTTCTGATGCCTTTTCCTCACGTCAATAAAATTGTGGTTCATAACAAGATGGCACAAGAGAAAGAATGATGTATGCAAGTTGCTTGGGTGGATTTGTTGAACCACTCAGAGTCTAAAACCAGTACCCTGAGTGAACAGGCATCTTTAGCAGGAAAGCAGAGGAGCAGAAGACTGCGGGAAAAGATCAGGGTCAGCCCCATGTGTGTGCAACCTGCAGAGTCACCCACAGTCCTGTGCTTAAAAGGGACCTGTACTTGGATTAATGCTGTACTGGCACCATCTTCAAATTCTTAACTTCTGAACAAGGGGCCCCATGATTTCATTTTGCATCAGGCCTAACAAGTTACATAGCTGGTCCTGAGAGAGATAGTATATATCTAATCTGATGCAACACATGGCTGGAATTGAAAAGCACTGGGAGGAGCATACTAAGGGTGTGGGTGACAAATGCTTTCCCTACTTTTGTCTTGTGCAATGTCCTCCCTTAGATTTTGGAACCACTGAGATGGTTGAGAAGGATGATTTAGGAAGGGGGATCTCTCCAGCCAACACCAGAGGTGGGAGTGATCTGGTAGGTGGTAACTGCTGTGTCCCAAGCTAATGGCTCACTGTTTCTTGTGTGGCTATACTTCATCTGACTGGTTCAGGAAGATTTTTTGTTTCCCATACAGTCAGTTCCCCTCTGCCATTCTATGAGCAGAAAATTCCATGAATATAACCATCTTCTATTTTAAAATTATCCTAGAACCATGATTCAGGGTTTGCTGAAGTTAAATTTAGCCCCGAATTTCAAAGGCACTGCTGACTCACTGCTGTGAGGTCTGATAATTCTGAAATTACTACAATACTATAGAATGATTAGGCATGGGTCACCTTCTGCTTCTAAAGGTGTTCTCAAAGACCTGCACTTGCACCCAGACTTGATCTGCTCCAGCCTTTGCAGAAACCATACAGAGAATTTTCCCTCTCAGAAGAGAAGTTGGTCTCAGATGTCAAGAACTTCATGTTACTGGTATCTTGTATCTGTTAGCAGGACTGCTAATGTGCTCTGACACTGGTACTTAATAAGTAAAACAGATTAGCATTCTAGAAATAGAAGAGAATTTAGAGACTGGCTGATCCAAACTATTCTTATTTTTAAAAAGGGTAACTGAGGCAAGAAGTGATGCATGACTTCTCAGAAAGTTAATAAAACAATATGTCCAGGTTGCATACTTGCTTTTGTCACACATGTTCCTACTTTCAACTGCCCAAGTGATTCCCCATTCTGACTTGCCTAGTGACTCTGAGGTATTTTCCTGGCTCCAGTCTACTTTTATACTTCCAGAGGTATTTCAAGTGCCCAAGTTCTAATTCCTTGTCTTACCCTTATAAGCCACTTTCACACACAGTACTGAGCATGCTGCACCAAGAGGAAATCTATTGTTACACAGGACACATGGCTTAGCCATCATTGATCAAGGACACCTAAGAATTCTTAGATCCCAGGACAAAAACTCCTCTCTGCCACTTACAGACCTTTAGTATGCATCCTGGTAATCTTGTTACACAGGAGAGGCAGGTGTGAGCAGCTCACAATATCCAGGAAATAGCAAAGTGATCCCGTTTTTTGTTGTTGTTGTTGTTGTTTTGTTTTGTTTTGTTTTTGAGATGGAGTTTCACTCTTGTCACCCAGGCTGGAGTGCAATGGCACAATCTCGGCTCACTGCAACCTCCGCCTCCCGGGTTTAACCAATTCTCCTGCCTCAGCCTCCCGGGATTACAGTCCCCTGCCTCAGCTGGGATTATGGTGCTCGCCACCACGCCCAGGTAATTTTTTGTATTTTTAGTAGAGACAGGGTTTCGCCCTGTTGGGCAGGCTGGTCTTGAACTCCTGACCTCGTGATCCACCTGCCTCGGCCTCCCAAAGTGTTGGGATTACAGGCGTGAGCCACTGTGCCCGGCCAAAGTGATCCCATTTTAACTCCCTCCTGGAGCTTGTAAGCTTGTGCTGCCCTTCTTTATCCACCCTCGAGTTATAGCTATCAATAGGTCAGAGGTTCCTTGGATTGGGGCTGGCCAATAGGGCCCTGTATGGGCACAAAGCAAGAAATCATGTTCGGGTAATACAGAACAATCTATTAGAATAATCTGGTGGGTTCTGGAGGTCATAGAAACAACAGAGGTCAGAGCCAGGAAGGCAAAGTGAAGGGCGATGTATAGGAATGGGAAGGTCTTGCTGCTGCAGAGAAGCAAACCAAATTTCTAATTGTGGCTTTTCAGGCACTGACTCTGACCAGGCCTTAACTTTCTCACGAGTAGCATGAATACAGCTATGCTAACTATACCCAAGACTAACTTTGGGTGTGTACAGTGTGTACTCTTGACTTGCTCTCAATCATAGAAAATGCTGAAGTCATGGAAGCTCAGAGAGCACACAGGCTTATGTGACAAATCTCGGTCAGCTAAGCGGAGGGTCAGAATCCAAGAAGACAGATGGAGCCACAAAGTCCCAGCTTCCGGCAAACCAGAAGAGATGGCCAAATCATCGAGAAAACAGTCAAGAGCCCAGGCCACTTGAGTCCTCAGGAAATAAAGAAGCAAATCAAGGCAAACGGAGAGTGAATTGAGATACTGGTGTTCAAAAAACGCCAGCAAGAGGCTTCCGCATGGTGAAGCAGGAAGCTTGCTTATGACATGGCCAGCCTGTGGCTTAGCGATGTTGTTCAAGGGGAGTGTAAATTAAAAAAAAAAAAATTAGGAGAAAAGGCCAAAGCAGGACATTTGGTTGGTTACATTCAATGAGACTCTCCTTAATGGAGCCTATCTGAATGCCAGGCCTGCTCAGGATCACACAGCTAGTGAGAAAGGGTCTCAGCATGGGGCGGGGCATGAGTCTGCTGGGAAGCCATAACGAAGTTCCACAGACTGCAGGGCTTAGGCAACCAAAATTTATCTTCTCACAATGCTGGAGGCTAGAAATGTGAAATCAAGGTATCGGCAGTTTAGTTTCTTCTGAGGCCTCTCTCCTTGGCTTGCAGATGGCTGTCTTTTTCTCCGTGTCTTTTCATAGTGCCCTTCCCTGTGTGTGTCTGTTTCAATCTCCTCTTCTTATAAAAACACCAGTCATACAAGATTAAGGCCCGCCCATATGACTTCATTACCCTTTTTAAATCCTATCTCCAAATATAGTCACATTTTGAGGAAACAAGGGTTAGAGCTTCGATATATGAATCTGAGGGCATAATTCAGCCCATTAACAGGTGGTTTTCAGATCATCTGAGAACTGGCCAATATTTGTTCCTCTTACTGTATTGACAGACTGTGCTAAGAGCCTTGAGGGCCATTTCTAACTTACTCCAAAACCACCTTACTATTAGTCATTTACAGATGGGGAGACTTGGGCTTGGAGAGCTTAAGAAATTTGTTGGAGGATACAGAGCAGAGCCATTATGATTTCAGAGCCCAAGCTCTTAACCTGACATTTAGCTGCCTTTCTGGAAGCCAGGTATGTTGTTACATTTGATTAGCATGATTCCTAAAACACCTAGTTCCCAGAATCAGTATATCATGCTCTCTGAGCTCCTGGGACATGGCCATGATAGTTCCAACTTATCTAGCATGTATTGAGCATCTACGGAAGAGGCCAAACTTTTCTGCTTGCTGGTGATTTTGCCCAAAGATGACAAGGGTAGTCTCAGGGGTAAAGTAAATTGATCACTAAGTTTCAGAGAAAGATGAGCCCTAAAGAATTGAGCTAATGACTTCATCTCTACTGAGGAGCTTCCCATGGCTAGGAAGAGAGGCTGAAGGCTGATGGGAAAATTTTAGGTTGATGTTCAAAATTCTGGGACCTAAGGTATGCTTTCCTGATACAAGCCCTAGATGCTATAATTTAGAATCACACAAGAAGCCCTGGGCAAATAGAAGATCACATATGAGGAAGGAAGAGAGGGAAAGAAGGAAGGGAGGAAAAAAGGGAAGAAAAGGAGGAGACAAGGTAAAAAGCATTTGACTAACACCTGCCATGTGGCAGGTATTATTTTAGACACTACTTGTATTGCCTTTTTTAATCCTCACAAAATGCTATGCAGTCAATTTTATTTATCCTCATTTTACCAATGTATAAACTGAGGCTCAGATGAGTCAAAACTTTTGCTCACATTGTCACAGCCAGAAATTGACAAGGCCAAGATTTAAACTCTGCTCTATCTATGTTTTCCTTAAACCTCCCTGCCAACCCTTATTTTTCCTTAAACCTTCTTGCCAACTCTGAATTAAACAACACAAAGCAAGTAAGTAAGCAAGAAGCTTATGCTAGCAGCTGATTGGACCAGGCTGCATGACGTGGTCCCTTTAATGGCAGCCTCCTCTGCCACACAAGTCTGTTGCTTATGGAGGTCAACACCTCTGGGTGTGAAACCAGGACATTGATTTCAGAGTAGATTGGCTGCTGGTGAGGCAGTGCAATCCAGTATGAACTGAAGTGAGAAAGGTCAGAGAGACTGTCTGCTGATGGATAAGGGCACAGGGCTATTTCTCTGATAACAAAATAAATGGAGTTTATTGATGGGGTTCACTTACTTTATGCAAATGATTCTTCCCTGTGTATTTATTCCTTTGTCACATGGGGATTTGCCTTGGTAAAATATACCAGCTCCAACCACCAGGGAAAATAAATCTTACCAGCCATTCAGAAACCAGACTCCATATTCAGAGTTGGATGAGACAACTTTTTAGTGAAATCAGTGGGCTGCTGAGCTCCAGGGAATTCAGATGTTGTTTACCCAGTGAATAGACAATGATTTATGGCCAGAAAAGAGAGAGGGGGAGAGAGAAAGCAGAGAAAGACTCTAAATTGTATTTGTATTCAATGACAGTACTTTAAAACATCGATATTTAAACAGTTGTCAGAATATTAGGGCTCATTCAATAATTCACTAATATTTTATAAATCCACAGATGGTACACCATATACGGTGGTAGGTGCTGAAAACAAATATAGTTACAACTTTCACTTTATCTTGTCCACTGAAGAATTCATCAAAATAATGAAAGATAAATGAAATAATTGCTATGCAATTTTGAAATCCATTTTCAATGAGCAGTTCTTCCTAATTATTGTCACAAATAGGATCATAATGAGTGCTTGTATCCTCCAAAGACTGGATACTGATTAGTTGAGAAAGCAGTTCAATAGCATGCTTGAAAGCCAATTTGTGCACAGTGCTTTCTATGTAACAAGCCCTGTCCCAAGTGCCTTGGCTAGAATAGCTCTATGGAGATAGGTACCTTTATTACTGCCATTTTACAGACGGAAGAACTGAGGCACAATTGTTTATCTTCACTCACAATGACGTAAGTGGGAGAGCTTGTGTCAAACCCAGGCAGTCTAGCTCCTAAACACTGCTTATCCAGCCACTCACGACCACACACTGTCCTGGGCTGTATGGATTGAACGATTGTACACAGAGTTCTGGGTCTGTCTGGCTTCACTTTATTGCCCTGCCTGGTCTTCTGCTACTTTCTCCAGCAGTTATGGGTGTCCTCTCATCCTCTATATAGGACTATACAGATGCCTCGTTTCATAGAGATGTTCTAATATTTGTTTTTTTGTTTTGTTTTGCCCAGGAAGATGTTTTGCTAATGCATGTTGTGCAGATTGACTTTTTTGTCAAGGCTGAATACCTTCAAAAACAAAAAAGCGTTTGTCATCTTGAAATGATAAGATCACAATTATTTTTGATTGGCATTTTTTTGTCCACAGAACTTTACTTGGCTATTCACTGATAGTGTTGTTAATCCTTCCCAGAGACCAGGGCTTGGGAAAATAAAAACGACAGGCCTAGAGGTCACCATGCAGGGGAGGAGGAAGAAAGAAGTGAGAGATTCTGGGCCTAAATATCTCTCAAGTCTTGTTCTCAGGTTGACCAGCTGCCCAACCCATACCCCCATTCTATAATATATCTCCTTCCTACCAAAAAAGATACCCTTCCATTCAGGTGGAGGCAATGGTTTCCAGTGGAAGAATGGCAATCCTTACAGTCAGACACATCTAAAGTCTGCCTCTGCTCAGCCGTTTACTAGCTGCGTGACCTTGAGCAAGTGACTTGACCTCTCTGAGCCTCAGAGTCTTCAACTCAAAGAAAGGAAGGTAAAATGTGGCTTTGTAGGGAGTATAGAGATCATAAAATGTAAAAATGCCTGGCTTATTAGTGGTCCCTAGTTCATGTTAATTCCTTTCCCTTCCTTATCATCCCTGGATAAAAGCTACTAACACAAAGACAACTGGATCATTCTTACTCACAGACTTCTCAAGTACTCTGGCTTTGAATACATTATAACCAGACATTGAGGCTCCTACTAACATTATCTTTAGAAGCATAAACAAAATTGGTTGCTAAGAGAAGCCCTATGTAATGGTAAATAGCATCATTTAGTTGTTCTCTAGGGTTTCTGAATAACATGTAGCTGAATTTCAATTGCACCTGAAACCAGAAAACAACCAGCTTACCAGCCAATATGTTCCTCGGACTTACCCAGTGTAATAAACCTTTAAACTGACATAATAACAAGGGTATACATAATTATTTAATAGTTTTAATAATCATTTCAAAGAGAACTCTTACCCTATGCTTTTAAAGCAGCAAAAACAGTAATAGTTTCATACGTATGGTCACACTTGAAAAGTTAATCTTTCAAAGTCACCACATGTAAAGGGCATTTTTCTTATGCTCCCCATTGGCCATTTTTCAATGTCTTCCCTCGTTTTTACTTTTGTCCCTTTTCATTAAATTATGGAAAAGGCATTTAAGAAAAGCAGACTAGGACACTTCCCAGGGAAAAAAAAAGAAAGAAAGAAAATTTAAATGCAAGCCAAGCAAAGTTAAAAATAATTTTTGACTATACAAATACGATAAGTTTAGGAAATGGCAGTTTCAGGTCCAGCAAAGACATCTGGAAGAAATAAATAAATAAATAGTTTCTTATTTATCTGTTTTAACTCAGAAAATGGCTTGAACAATGTATGAGAAGAAGGAAAAAATTATAATAGCAATCGAGTACAGGAGTCTGGCAAGATGTGTGCAAAATGATGATATATGGGAACAAAAAACTTTCAAAGAGGAAATCAATAAATGACCAAAAGGGAAGCCATTTACTTCAAAGCCAAAGATCAAAATAGTGAGAAAGTAATTAGAGGATATTCTTCTAGGGCTGAGTCCCTTTATTCTTCACCTTTAGAAGAATACTGACCCAAATGCACATATGTTAGAAGCTTTTTATTTAACATTGATAGAACATCTTGGAAATGAACAATGGGGAGATAACAAAGGCTTTTGTCCCAAATGTCGTAGAGTTCCTGGTTTGGGGAACCTGTATAGAAATTACATCCACTTAGGAAAAAGCAAGATGGAAATAGTAAAGGCCTTGTGCTCTGAAGTGCCAGATGAGATTGTGGGGTTCACTTTAACCTACAGACTCAATTCTAACTCTATGTCTCATGTCAGGCTGTACATACTCAGTCCTCCAGCTACCCTTTGTTGCCTTGTTTTCTTTCCTTAATGCTTTGGGCTTCTTCACACAAGCATGCACACACACACACACACAGACACACACACCCCACAACAACCCCTGCCACACTTACCTCTGCCCCAGGGAGGGAATTCCGCATCATCCCAGCCCACAGTGAATTAGGCACCCTCTTTATCTGCAGTAAGTAGCAAATAGTAGAAAAACGTGCCTTCTGCTGGGATTTTCTCATGAATACATTTCCTCTGTCCATTTACAATTGATTATAAGCTCTTTAAGGTAAAGGGTGTAATCGTGTACCTCTTTGAATTCCAGATTTCTGTATCTTGCACAGGGAAAGTGAGCAGCAGCTCTCCACTGAGTGTATTGGTGCCCTTTCTGACATTAGGAGTCAGGTTAAAATCTGTTCCAACAAAAAGAAAAAAGCAGGTCCTTGAGGATTGTTTGTCTCGATCAGTCTCCAATGAGACTATGCCAAGGATGAGACCAGGAAAGATGCAATCACAGTGGACCATCAGTGGCCCAGGAGAGGGTCGGTTTCTTCATAGGATAGAACAGCTAACCTGAAGTCAGTATGCTGAGTCCCACCGTCTGATGTTGAGCAAGTGTTTTTAAACTTTTTTGTGTCTCGGTTTCCCCATTTGTAAAATGGGGATTGTAATAGTAATCAAAGTCAACAGTTACGGAGTGGTACTTAAGCCTTTAGCAAATAACAATTCATTCAGTCCTTAATAACAACACTATGAGGTAGGATCTAGTATTACTATTCAAATTTTACAGATAAGGAACCTGAGGTACAGAGAGGATACATTTCTTACACAAGTTGTTGGGAGGACAAAATGAGATGACTGTGTGAAGCAATCAGCACAGAGCTTGACTCCTAGTGTGAGCACATTGAGTTTGGGGCCATTATTATCATGATGATGATGATGATGATGGTCGCCATCTAGGGGCTCAGGCACCATGGACATGGCTTGGGCTCTTCGCTGTGTCACTGCTCTGCCTTACTCTGCCCAAATCTCTAGTTGGAATCTGCTTTTTTCTTTTTGTTGGAACAGATTTTAAGCTCACTGCTAATGTTAGAAAGGACACCAACATACTCAGTGGAGTGCTGTTGCTCACCTTCCCTGTGCAAGATACAGAATTCCGGAATTCAAAGAGGTACATGATTACACCCTTTACCTTAAAGAGCTTACAATCAATTGTAAATGGACAGAGGAAACGTATTCATGAGAAAATCCCAGCGGAAGGCACACTTTTCTATTATTTGCCACTTACCATGAATAAAGAGGATGCCTAATTCACCATGGGCTGGGATGATGGGGAATTCCATCCCTGCCCAAATCTCCAGTTGGATCAGAGGACAGGATGGACAGGCCAAAGCTTATCCCTTAAGGATGGGAGTGGAAGAGAACTGAGGCAACTCACGTGGCTTGATGCACACCTCAGCTTTATCCTGGAAGCTCCAAGACCCAAACATATACTCCACACTCCAGCCAAACTGGATTAGTTTTTCTCTTAAATGCCTTGTATTTCCCCATTGCCACTTCTCTGTTCTTTCTATGCCCTCTACCACTAATGCATTCTCTCCCAAATTCACTATCTGCCAATTATTTTAAGTGTCTTTCAAGTTTTACCACATCCACAAAGCTTTTCTTCCTTCTGCTAAGTGGATCAATGTAGTCATCTATTTATTCTTTCTGCAAACATTTATTGACATCTATTCTACTGGGTGGCAGGCACTTTGGGAGGCACTGGAGGTGATACAACTGAGAGAGCCTCAGTCTCTGCATTCAAGGGGAAAAGAAAAATAAATTATTAAATGTCATGCAATACGTGTAATGGACGGAATTTTTGAACAATATTGCTCCTTTCTTCCTTGGAAATTCATATTCCTCTCTTTGCATTTTTATGGAACTGAGAATATTCTCTCTGCTATAATAGTTATTTATGCTCCTCTACTATTCCCTGATGAGTATGTAAGCTGACTGAGGCCAGGGAACATGTGTTTTGCTCCAGGATTATCAGGGCAACCTCAAGCTCAGAATCTCCCTAGATGACAAACAGTGAAATATTTCTTGTATTGAGTCTTGAATACTTCCTTGCTGTAGATTATAGCAAGACACCATTTATAACAAGAACTCTGAGAAGCTAGTCATTAGGAAGAACAAAAACATGTTTCTTCATTGTCTTTCAGAGTCCTTTAATAGGCAACACTCAGCCAGCCCTTAGCCACACTGAGAGGCAGAGGAAGAAGCAGGGGGATTCAGAACTTCAGCTGCTTGAAAGCCATTGCTGTAGCAACATACAATCCACCATGACATATGGTTCTTTATTACCAGGTCTTACAGCCCTGAGGAATTGTATCTGCCAATGGGAGAATACTCACTTCAGAATTTTGGATGTAAATATTCAGTCCCTTGTGCTTTGCGTGTCATTGCTAATGGTATATAAAGAATGATCCAAGAGAAGTATAAATAATCATTTGGCTCTACAATGAAAAGAGCGGTTCTGACTATAACCAGCCAAAAATTAAATAGTGCAAACTTCAAACTCAAATCAGGAGGTTATCATCTGTATCCACCTCAGAAGGAAATTCTTACTGCCAGAGTACAGAATGAATTAAAAGAAAAATACTAGCCCATTTCTGCAATCCCATTTCAGCCAACAAGCTAGGCAGTTCTCAAATACAAGTGGGTTGTATTTATAAAGGTCTTTCATATGTTGAAGGTTCAGAACCCAATTTCTAGCAGAACAATAATGGCTATTCAGTTTCCAGAAATAAATCTTCCATAACAGATCCTTGAAAGTGTTTCAATGCGAATTTGGGATTCCAGTTCCAATTATAAAACACAGGGATAGGAGAACAATCTGGAAGGATTGACGTGGCTCATCAGGGTAGATGAGCTAGGTGTTCTCTTCTGTGGCAGATTGCAAAAATGGCCACAAACACCTCCCATTTCTAGATACTTGCCTCTTTGCAATGTGACTTAGTAGCTCTTCCTAAGGTGGAATGATAGAGTCAGTATCTTCCCCTCTTGAATCAAGTAGTGGAGCTATACCTTAACCTCTTGAATTTGGGCTTAGCCATTATGACTTGCTTTGGCCAAGGGGACAGTAGCAAACAAGATACAAGCAGAGACTTGAAAAGTGTTTGTACATTGGGACTTGCCCTCTCTAGCTACTCTTGGGAACCCTGTACGGCAAGTCTCATCTAAATGAGATCAAGCAAACAACAAGACATGTGAGTGAGTCTATCCTAGACCACCTGGCTATAGTTAAACCAGCAGCTAACTGCCAAGATCAGCTGAATATTCCAAGACCAGAAGAAATGGCCACAAACCCACAGAATCATAAGGAATAAGAAATGTTTGTTGTTTTAAGACACTAGGTTTTGGTGACATCACATGCCACAAAAGCTAATTGGCACATCTTCATCCCATGCTATCTGATCCATGTAAATCTCTCCCCAAGTTCTACATTTTGAGGAAGGGGACAACCTTCCCAGAACTTAAGTTAGACTCAGGACTCACAGTGCTGGACACATCTCCCTCTTCTGGATTTCTGAGGGTGACAGTTGCAGATAGAATGCGATGGGGAGAGCTGGGGCTCTGATAATTTTTGAAAGAGACCAATCCTCCACTCTGTCTTGTGCAGTAGCTGTGTTAGCATTGATGAGTGACTAGGGACTCCAGGATAGAGAATGGGAGCAGAAGGTATCCTAACCAAGATTATCCAACAGTGCCAAGAATTCCAAAGTGAAAGACTGGCATGGAAAAGTCTGCCTTTCCCATACCAACCCACTTAAATCCATTCAGCATCCATGAAACTACCTTCACACACACAAGGGAGGCTGTGGGTCCTATAAACAGGGACCCAGAATAGGTTCCACACACTAGAAAGGAGCGGATTAGTCTGGGTGTCAAATGAGCTCATTGCTATACCCGCCACTTAACTAAATCCTAGCCAAGCCCCTTACTCCCCATCATCTTGCTTAGACATCTGCTTTCCTGGTTGTGTACATTTTCTAGCACCAAATGAAGGGTTTTGTCCTTGGAATGGCAAATACTCAGCACACTGCTACCTCTCCCCATCTCCTATAATGACTGCTTTATGGCTAAATTAGTTCCTGCTAAGCCCAGTCTCCCATCACACTGCTCCAAGAATCTACTCACCAATCACTCAGGATTGAAACGTAAGCTGACCTCTACTTGCCATCTCTGTCTTGAAGCCATCTTGAGCTGCAAAGAACTCTGTTTCATCCACAATTATCTTGAACACTGTGTGTATCAATATTATTTTTATGCACTTTCCCATACCAAGTACATCATTTTGATGGGTAACATTAACTCTTTCTTTGGTTCTTTCTTTGCCCTGGCTTTTATTTTCTTTATTGTATCTCAACGACTTTTAATTTAAGTCACCTTATTTTATTTCATACGTCTTTAGAAGTTGCCATACATCTGTACTGGAACAAAGTGATGTGTAAATATACAAAGTATTTATGTGATTGCCTTTTTTTCCTTTGTGATCAGAAAGTAAGGATCACCCTGTGATTTTCCCGACCTCTCTAGTACATCATTATTTTGAATAATGATCTTTTGAATTCTGATCTTTTTCAACCAGCTTATGATTTAGCCCTCTCAATATCATGTTATCTGAAAATAGGGTATGTATGTCTTCCCTGAGTTCATCTAGGTCTATGATAAAAATCATCAAATGAGAAAGAAAACTTTGGCACACTACTAGAGATCGTCCAAACAACCTCAAATCATTCACCAGCTATGAATCTCCCTAACATTACAGAATCCAGCATTTCTATAATGATACTACAAGAATCTGTCAAACACCCACAAAAGAAGGAAGGGGGACATTCCACACATGGAGAAATACATGAGAAAAGAGCAGAGAAACATGACTTACTGCTAAAATGTACTTTTTCTGTATTATAAAATTAATATGAGTTTATGTAAAAAATAACTTTAATGTTTTTGGAACTCCACATTTAAAGGTGTTTTTAAAGGTGTACTTGTTTACCATTATTAGGAAGGTTAACTATTCTCGGATCTGTGTTCCCATAGAACTTGATTCATGAGCTCTATTTAGCAGTAGTAACAATTACTGTGGTTCACCAAATATTTCCCCTTCATTTCCTTCTGAATTCATGGTACAATTTCACTTCCCAGCCCCCTCTGAAGTTTGGCATGACCACTGTGACTTGCTTTGGCCCTGGAAATTTGAGTGTAAGTGTTATGCCATTCTGGCTGGGAACCCTTAAAACCTGATTTCTCTCTGCCATGGTTCCTTTGAAAGCACATGTTGAGATAGTGCCTCCATCAGCCTGGCTTCCTAGGTAGCTATCATTAGCGGAGCTGCTCTGCTGAACTACATTGAACTTACATGTGAATGAGAAGGTGTTGAGGTTTGCTACTGCAGCATAGCTTCTCCTATCCAAACCGATGCAAAGAGTTTGCCTGTGTGTGTGTGGACAAGAATGTGTGTCTGTATGAGGGTAGGGAGGATAAAGATGAATTTGGGTATTAGGGATACAACAGTGAATAAAACAGACAAATTTCCTTGACCTTACACTGTACGATAGAAAAGCAATAACCCTGCGACTTTTCCTGTCATGTGACTTAGAAATTTCATTATCAGTTTTATTTATAGTGGGATTTATCTAAAAAAGCCCAATGTTGGACAATGTCCTCTTCCCCTCAGCCAGGCAGGGGTAAGGAAAAGGCACTGTGTTATTCTCTGCCTTGAGTCTATCTATTCTAAAACATGCCCCTGGGGATAGGGGTCATCCACTCTTTCCTTAGCAACATCCAGGGCTGCTGCCATTTGCTCCACCCCGAATCCCTCTCCAACTAGCTTCCAGGTGATGCTGCCACTGCTGGTGGGTGGACTACACTTTGAGTAGCAAGGGTGTGGACTTCCCAGAGCTTCAACTAGAGTCCTGACACCCTTTGCTCAAGTTCTCAGAACAGCTGGGGCGGGAGTGGGATGAAAAGGAGGGCCAAGGTTGAAGGTCAGTTGGGGGTCTTCAGCTCAGATCTCCTTTTTGATGTGTGTTTCCCCCAGGGTACTGCAAGCATTTTGCTTCCTTTCATTTAAGTTGTACTCACCCTGATGGTTCATCTGAGTCAGTATTTTTCCAAAGCTCACATGTGGTTCTATGTGCAGCGCATTGTGGAGAACCGCTTCACTATTAGATGCTTTTTCCAAGTTTGGCAGAAAGTTTTTTCTTCAGAAGGTAAGGTGCTGAGGCCCCTTCAGATAGCGCCAATGATCAGTGGTCCCCCTATATGTAATATAGACTTGCCTTGCGTTTTTTGATTGGGGTAGGGATGGGGCCACCTCTCAGGAGTGACATTAACCTGTAAAAGGACCTACCCCTGTTGTCTCTTGGATGGGTTCGATTACGTTATTAGAGTTCATTTCTCTCCCATGGAGGGAGGGATTGCAAGTATCTCCTGCTATACAATGTACCTTTATTAGATTAAATCTAATATTTATTTTGTGAAATTCATGAATTTTTCAGAACAGATGTGGGTTTTGCTTGTATTAAACCTTCAGCTTCTGACTGTGATTAACAGCGTTTATCCCTTCCTCCTCATTGTCACATAATCATCCATTTGTTCCCAACAGATCTGGTCTGTGGGTTTACTTTTGTGATATTTAAGCCCTGAGATTTCAGGGTTTCAATCTTCCCTTTATTTACATCTCCAAGCCTTTAACTGGGTCATGAGAAGTCATGATCCATTTAACAAATAGTCTTGGCCACTGCTTGAGATGAGAGAAAGAAGGCAATGAAAATGTTTATTAAAATAAAAGAAAATGTAAGAATTTATCCACAGAAATGAGTTGTCCCTATCTCTAAAGCCCTTTTATGAAAACTGCAGGTTGCCACTGATCAGTAGGTCATAAAATTAATTTAGTCATTTGTGACAAGCAAATTCAGAGGACATAGAATAGAAAATATCAGCATTTCTCAGGCAAAAGGAATAACTGTTTATGAAATTGTGTTTCAGTCCTGTGCCTGCAAATATGTGTGAGTGTTTGCATGTGCCCCTGTGAGTCTGAGTGTAAACTGTGATATAAAACACTGAAAATCATTCATCTAAAAGGTCTTGGGTGATGTCAGGCATCCTAAAAAGTGTTGGAATGGCATTTTACCCTATCTTTCACCTCCCTGCTGACCACCTCCTTCCCCTCTGTCTTTCAACTTCTTTAGCATTTCACTATCTCCCCATAAAGCTGGTACTCATCCAAATAACAGAGCAAAACACATTAAGGCTGAATCTACATGAGGCTTTAGATTTCCATCAATCCAGTACTATCCAGTTTGGCTCAACGGACCTTTTCTTTGTCTAGCTAAAGAGTGTATTAAAGCTAACTAAAGACAAGTGAAGCTAACTCGCCAGCTGCCAATGGAGAAGCAGAAAGCGCTGCATGGAAAATTCCACTTATGGTTGTAGAAACAAACATTTTGAAGGCAAAATAGTATTATATACAGCTTGTGTAATTTTGTTTCAAAACACAGATCTTTTTTTTTTTTTACCATCAAAAATTTTAGCACTAATTAATCTAACAGAGCAATCCTGGGAATTTAACATCTATTTTCAGTCATTACTTTCCTGAATCTTTCTGTTCTTACCCCTGGAGGGCTTGTCAAATGAAAGCAGAAGGTTTGAAGGAAGAAAGCCAAAGTCAAAGTGAAATGATAAAGCTTGAGAGTGAATAGGGGAAGAGAAAAATGCACACATAGGGCAACTCCCAAAGGGATAGGAGAACACAAATTGTGGGAGAATGGGACTCCACCGGGGAAGAACAAAACACGTTCAGACCAGCTTCAAAGAATTCTTCATGGCTGGGCACAGTAGGAAAAGGTTAAAATAACATGAGCTTCCCTCAGTGAAACTCAAGAACAAAAAGACACTGAACAGGACCAGGGTTTTTTGCTGTCCCACACCTGTTCAGTACAGAAGGACCTGATAGACTCTGGGAATTGAATTCCTTGCAAGGAATAATTTACTTTCTTGGGTAAATTAATGATGAATATAGAAAGCATTTTTATTCAAGAGACTGTAACAGCCATGTGGGCAATTGTAATGTATAAAGGTAATGTGAAAGAGTGGAATTTATGAGATACATAGCTATATAAATTCCAGGTAATAGAATTGAAATAGACCATTTCCTAGATACACACCCATCAAATCTCAGGTCAAAGGCATATTTTGGCAAAGCTTACTGATGCCAACAAGCTTCAAAAGGTACACCAAACTCATTTATTACTCTCAAATCCCAGCTAACTTTTTAAGTGGCCCCACATTAGACTCAAATAAATTTTTCTCTGGTAAAAAGAACAGAATCAAAATTCAAATATGTAATTCTAATATTTTTTATTAAATAACTAAAAATATACATCATTTTATATTCTAAACCCTGACTTTCACAAACTAAGCTGTACACAAAACCCTTAATTCACAAATGGTACTTGACCTTTTAAGCAACAAATTTGTCAAATACCAAACTATTTATTTCCTGCTCTCAATCTCTGCTACATGTTACCAGGTCAGCCAATTCAACTCAATTCAACCAACATTTATGGAGTATACAATACAGTCATCTTTCATGATGACAGAATATCTCCATATTTTTTTAAACCATGTATTCAAACACATTTTAGATTTATAGAAAATTTTTAAAACTGTTTATAATTTATATCTTCTCTCTCTTTCTGTCTGTCTCTCTGTCTGGTTAGTCTTCCTAGAGGTTTATTAATCTTACTGTTTTTTTTCAAAGAAGTAGCTTTTGAATTTGTAAATCTTTCTTGTTTTTCTATGTTCAACTTTATAGATTTTGG
The DNA here is from genome assembly GCF_000001405.40 of Homo sapiens. NCBI lineage: Eukaryota > Metazoa > Chordata > Mammalia > Primates > Hominidae > Homo > Homo sapiens. The sequence continues at coordinate 133,692,544 of NC_000002.12, forward strand.
TTCTTGTATTTATTATTTCCTTCCTAATGTTTACTTCGAGTTTAATTTGTTCTTCTTTTTCTAATTTCCTAAGATGGAAGCTTGGATTACTGATTTGAAACCTTTCTTTTTTTCTAATACAGTTGCTCCCCACCTTTATCCACAGTTTCAATTTCTGAAGTTTCCGTTATTCTTGGTCAACTGTAGTCCAAAATATTAAATGGAAAATCCCAGAAATAAATAGTTCATAAGTTTCAACAATTCATAAGTTAAATTGTACACTGTTCCGAGTAGTAGAATGAAATCTTGCACCATTCTGCCCAGGATCAACCTTCTGTCCAGCATTTCCAGGCTGTATAAACCACCCTCCCATTAGTTACTTGGTAGCCATCTCATATATCAGATTGAAAAACCATAATACATATAGGGTTCATTACTATCCATACTTTCAGGTATCCACTATGAGTCTTAGAATGTAGCCCCTTTAGATAAGGGATGACTACTGTATAGGCATTTTAATGCTATAAGTTTTCCTCAAATACTGCTTTAGCTGCATACCACACATTTTAATATGTCACATTTTCATTGTTACTATTTTTGCTTTAGATGGTCAGTTATCTCCTCGTACATCTATTTATTTTTAAAAAATAAATTTTATTTTACTTATATTTTACTTCTAGGTTCTTTATTTGTGTGAATCTAGGTTCACACTTAGTGTCAGAATCTTTTGAGGCTTTTTTATAGAGTAGCTGTGCTGGCAATAACTTTCCTCTGCTTTTGTTGTTTTAAGAAAATCTTTGTTTCTCCTTATTTTTGAAAGATGTTTTCACTGGGAACAGAATTTTTTCTGGCAGTGGTATTTTTGTTGGTTTGTTTGCTGCTTTAAAATGCCATTTCATTGTCCTCTTATTTATTATAGTTCTAGTGATAAGCCTGCTGAATTGATCACTCTCCTTATTTCTTTCTAGATAATGTATCTTTTTTCTCTGACTGCCTTTAAGATTTTCCTTTTGTCTTTGGCTTTTAGCAGTTTGAATATAATATGCCTCAGTTTTAGAGGTTTTTTTTTCCTCTTAAGGGGGAAGGTTTTTAATCTTATTTCATACTCTATGGCCATTTTGGATCTGTGACTTGATGTTTGTCATTAATTTTTGAATATTATCAGCCAATATTTCTTTGAGCATTTCTTCTATCCCATTCTTTCTTTCATTCTGAGATTTCTATTATGCATGTGTTAAATTATTTTATATTGTCTCATAGCTTTTGTATGCTCTGCTCTGTTTTGTTCACTATTTTTTTCTCTTTGCATTTTATTTTCTTAGAACTCTCTCTAGTGTTGCTGTGAGCATGCAGTGAGGTTTGTGTGCAGCAAAAGCCTGCAAGCGGAGGAAGACCCTACCAATTGCTGTGGCTCTAAGGCCGTTACCCTCTCCAGGGCAAGCTTGACCTCTACCCATTTGCCAACATCCTAGCAGAACTGTTTTTACCAGTCAATGTCTGGTTGTTTCCATTCCGGGTAAGTCAGAGCTCTCATCTTATCTGTCCTGGTAGATAGCCCTTTCTTTGTGTATTTTGTGACAGTTTGTTGTGGCTTCATCTCTCCAAAGTTTTCAAAAACAGTTGTGAACTTGGCCAGGTGCGGTGGCTCACGCCTGTAATCCTAGCACTTTGGGAGGCCGAGGAAGGCAGATCACGAGGTCAGGAGTTCAAGACCAGCCTGGCCAATATGGTGAAACCTCATCTCTACTAAAAATACAAAAATTAGCCGGGCGTGGTGGCATATGCCTGTAGTCCCAGCTACTCAGGAGGCTGAGGCAGAAGAATCACTTGAACCTGGGAGCCAGAGGTTGCACTAAGCCAAGATCATGCTACAGCACTTCAGCCTGGGTGACAGAGTGAGACTCCATCTAAAACAACAACAACAATAACAACAATAACAAAAAAAAAAACCAGTTGTGAACTTGGCAGTTTGCCCCATTTTTTTCATTGCAAGGGAGTGGAACATTACCTTTTCCAGCTCTCTAAATCTCAAAATGTAAACCGGAAGTGTCCCTTATACCTCCTGAAGAAATTGAATACATAATTAGAACCTTCCCACATGAAAAATCTCCAAGCCCAGATGACACCCTCACTGAATTCTTCTAAACAGTAAAGACAAAATACGACAAATCTTATAAAAATTCTTCCAGATAATAGGAAAAGAAGTAACATTTCCCAATTTATTTTATTTTACAAGGCCAGAATAATCTTGATACCAAAACAGGACAAAGACATCTTACAAAACAAGATAATTACAGGTTCAACTCTTTCATGAACATAAATTTTAAAATTCTAAATAAAATCTTAGCCCTTCAAATATAGCGACATATTAAAATGACAATATATCATGACCACATATATAAAAGATAGCATATCTTGGGCTTATGTCAGGAATGCATGGCTAGTTTACATTCGAAAAATCAATCAGTGTGATTCTCCTCACTAAATGAATAAAGTAGATGAAACATATGACCAGCTCAATTAATACAGAAAAATTATCTTACAGTATGTGACATCTGTTCATAGTAAAAACTGTCTACAAACTAGAAACAGACGGAAGGCTTCTTTAACCTGATAAGGAATAGTTACCAAAACAAATTGAATTTATAGCAAACATCATACTTAATAGTGAAATACTTGAGAATTTTGAATCAAAAACAAAAGAAGGATGTCCATTTTTCACCACTTATTTCAGCATTATTCTCAAGATCTTGGACAGTGAAACAGGTTAGAAGAAGAAATAAATGGTATAATAATTAGAAACAAAAATGCTATGATTTATAAATGACATGATATTGTATGCAGAAAATCCAAATGATTCTACATATTAGCTATTAGAATGAATAAACGAATTTGGAAAGGTAATTGTATCTCTGCTTATTAGAAACAAATCACTCAAAATTTTTAAATTAGATTTAAAAATAATCCTATTTAAAGTAGCTTCAAAAACATCAAATACCTAAGAATAGACCTGAGGAAAGAGACACAAGATCCCTAATAGAAAGCCACCAATGATTAGTAATAGACATTAAGACATAAATAGAGGGATACATGTTAAAATGTTTTGCAAAGACATCATTTCTCCTCAAGTTGACCTAGAGTCAATACATTTTCAATAAAAATCCTAGGAGGGATTCTACAGTTTATATCAAAATTTTAAAGGCTAAGAATAGCCATCTTGAAGAAGGGGAGCAGAGTAATATGGCTTCACTATTAGTATTAAAACTTATTATAAAGTTACAGTAAAAAAGACAGGGGTGCAATGATCAGCAATGAGAGCAATGGAACAGAAAAGAAAATCACCAGCCAGACCCATTCCTATAGGGCTACCTGCTTTATGATAAAGTACTACCACAATGGAATGGGAAAAAAGATAGTATTTTCAATAACTGGTGCTTTATAAATTGGATATTCATGAGAGGAAAAAAAAGAAATCCTCTTCCCTACATCCATCATAAACAAAAATCAACCTCGGATTCTTCATAGAGATAAATGTAAACCATTAGAGATAAAAGAACAACTTCATGACTTTAGGATAGACAGAGATTTCTTAAATTGAATATACAAATACAGGTCAAAAAGAAAAAACTGACAAACTGAACTGCATTAAAATTAGGAACTTCTGCTTATAAAAAGATACCACTGAGAGAGTGAAATGTCAAGTTACAGATGAGAATCAGATATTTACAATAAATACAGCCAACAAAGAACTCATATCTAGAATATTGTTGTAGTTTCTATAATAAGAAAAAAGACATATCTATCTCATTATTTTAAATGGAGGAAAAAGAACACTTCTCAGAAATGTTAAATAACAGGCAAACTCTGTTTTTCTCAAGGAAAAAGGGTTTGATGGGTGAGCTTTGGAAATGGGTCATTATCCAGGCTCTTTTTGGCCTTCCCTCAGAATCTCTGAGCCTAAAGGCCATGTTCCTTCCCCTCTCTACTCTTGCCTCTTCCAATTAGCAAACTCACCCACCAGGATAGATCCTGCACCTTGAGAGGACGGAAGAGAAAGCTTTAAATGGTTAAATCTTAGGTCAAAGCCACAACCTCCAATCCTGCTTTACCAATTATAAATTGAGTATGTGACACCCTATCTTATGTCTGTGTCTTTTTCTCATTTGGTTTAGAATTCTCATTTTTCAAAACCCAACAGTAGTAAAGGGAGAGGAATTTGATGAGATGAGGTTAAATAAATTGAGAGGTTGAAGGGTGAGGGCATGGAGCACCTCGTTTGGAAGCAGCGGAGGAGGTGATCTCTAACCGCTGCCTCTGAGAAGTGCAGCTGGGGCATCAGGTCAGTCAGTGTTAATGCTGGGAGAAGAAGCTGCCACACCACACCTGTTGCCATCCTAGGAAAGAAACTGATAGTGGTGACTTTCTGTGAACTACTTCCTCTCCACCAAATTCTTTCCCAACTGGCTCTCTTGTTTTTCCAGGGGTTTAGGCAGCACAAATTTTAACAACTTTTTAAGAAAGCTTTTTGTAGTGGAATGGTACTTCCAAAAGTTGAGCTGGAATGTGAGGTTTTGCAAATTAATGATGTTGTAAGAAAAACAGACGTCCTCTTGATCAGATTGTATTGATCAGAATTTTGTTCGTCACAGTTCAACACTCCCTCATGTAATGCACAAATCTGCAGGATTTTCTAACATAAGTCAGCCAAGAAGATAATTGGTTTGGCCCCATTGTATACGCCAAGCACCTTATCAGACAAAACCAATAATTCTCCCATTTGTATGCAGATCAGAAAAGAAAAGGTATTCAAGAGATGTCTACATTATTATCTGAATAGAAAATACTGTAACAAGATATTTGTATTTTGGTATGCATTGCCAGTAGGTAGATTTTTATTATCATTATTATTTAGTGTATAGCATTTGGCTCAGAGATAAGCTTTCATTCAAAGGAATAATGCATACTATTTGCCTTTGTGATACAGGTGCTATCTGTGTTACATAAAAAGCTTTTTTTTTAATGTTGTTGTAAGCAACATGCTGTTTGTAACAGATGTCAGCTCAGAGCAGAATTGTAAACACTTTATGGCATGGTAATGCTGATATTCTGGACTGTTCAGGTATGGGATACAAAGATGGAGAACAGAAATATAGGAATAGCTCGAAGAAAAAGTTGGAGTGAAAATATTATTTTGCTGTTTCCTAGAAACTTTCAAAATCTGTCTCTTCAAATACATTAGGACTGAACCAATTTAATTCCTACCCATTTGACCTTTGAAGTTTCAGAGCAATGTTTCTATTTATATAAACACAATCACAAAGAAAAAGCCAATAACATCAATCCACCAAGTTTGAGAAAAATTTCTAATTATGAAAAATGTTTCCTTGAAGGATCAATTCCATGTCCAATTTATTAAAATTTCATTAAGCTGAGAAAATAATTATAAACAGCAAGACACAATTACATTCAGGGTAGTTACAAAAACTGTAATTTGATATTAAAATACTGAGCTTAATCATACATTCAAGTACATAATTTTTGAGATCCTAATGTGATTATCATTGCACCAACTGAATTTACTATTTCTAACAAAGTTACATAGAAGAATGGGGCAATTCCTTAACTTACAATAAGAAGACACTTTACTAATGAAGTATTTAAATATATCAACACTTTAAGTTGAGGCATGGGGACAGAGACTATCAAAGTTGTATTCTTAACATTCTTAATTATTCAAGATTACAATAGTGTTAGAACTAAAAAAGAGAACCCAAGATCCATTTAATATGGTGTTTTGAAAAGGCAGGTCACAAGTGATAAGTGGGTCCTAAGATCAGTTTACTGGATTATAATCAGTTTTATTTTATTATTTTTTTTTTTGAAATGGAGTTTCAGTCTTTTTGCCCAGGCTGGAGTGCAATGGCACAATCTTGGCTCACTGCAACCTTCATCTCCCAGGTTCAATCAATTCTCCTGCCTCAGCCTCCTAAGTAGCTGCGATTACAGGTGTGTGCTACCATACCCGGCTAATTTTTACATTTTCAGTAGAGATGAGGTTTCACATGTTGGCCAGGCTGGTCTCAAACTCCTGACCTCAGGTGATCTACCCACCTCGGCCTCCCAAAGTGCTGGGATTACAGGCACAAGCCACCGTGCCTGGCCTAATCAGTATTTTTTTAGATATTATTTTTAAACAGTATTTTTTAAATGAAATGGAAAATATCAGAATGATTCCATTTAACAAGGGTAAAAAATGTTTCATAATTTTCATGAGTGTGTGTCTATACTGGGCTGTGATATAAAATGTCCATCTTACTATGGATGATGGGCACAAACTTGGAAGTCATTGATCTAATCTAGCCTCAGGCTTCTAATGAGTAACACTATAAGTGTTCTCAGGGAAAAATAAATTAATAAGTATATAAGTAGAGTGTACATATCACTTTACGTTTGTGACTGCGAAATCTTGGGGCTTAAGGAATGATTTGACGTTATTATATTGCTAATTCATACTCTCTAACGGGATGATTGAACTGCAGGAAGTTGAGACTAGGGAAGATGTTGATTTATGCAGATTGGCAATATAGATAGATCAAACCCTGAGGATAATTATTCAGAATCAGTTATACTCTAGTAGAAGATTATTTTCCTTTTCCTCTTTCCAAATAAAAGAAATTTTCCAGATGCAAGTAGAATAATTAAAGAATTTTTCATGTTGCCCTTTGCGTTTTTTGAACCCTCAATGGAGGAGAGGGAAGAGCCTCTATCCCAGGAGAAAGCAGGAATCTCAGCTCTCACCATTCCAGAAGAGGGATCAGGAAGGCAATCTAGTAGTCCATGGGGCCCTGAGACACTCGGGATCAGAAGAAATCAGGAATTCCTTTCATGGGTTCCAGTGGTGCAGAAGCAAAGGCATGTCCAGGCTATCCCACGGAGAAAGAGCCAGGGGTCTTGTTCTATGAAGCCATATTAATTTCTTATTGCTGCCATAACCAATTACCACAATCCCAGTGGCTTAAAATAATACACGTTTATTATCTTGAAGTTCTGTAGGTTGCAAGCTGAACATGGATCTCACTAGGCTAAAGTCAAGGTGTCAAGAGAGCTGTGTTCCTCTCTCAACATCCTAGAGAGGAATCCAATTTCCTTGCCTTTTCCAGCTTCCAGAGGTTGCCCATATTTCTTGGTTCTGGGACCCTTCCAACTTCAAAGTCAGCAATGCTCCCTCCCTCTCAGATCTTTCTTCCACAGTCACATTTCCTTCCGTCTCTTCTATTCTGCATCTTCTTCCACTTCCGAGGCCCCTTGTAGTTGCATTTGTAATCACACCAGAAACCACCCGTACAATCCAGGATCGTCCCCCCATCTCAAAGTGCTTAATTTAATCACATCCACACAGTATATTTTTCCATGTAAGATAACATATTCACAGGTTCTTGGAACTAGGAAGTGGACATCTTTGGGGGTCCATTATACTGCCTTCTATAGGGGCTAACTGGAATGTGCTGTAGTCACAGCTATTACCACCAATGGTTGCTTTTCATGGGCCGAGCTACTCATGCATGAGTGAGCTGCCAGTTCTTTCCAATTATATCATGGAGAAGCAACCACCCCTTAAAATTTATACATAACATCTGCACTTACACACTACCATCCTCACATACTTCCTTAGAACATGCTTGCCTAAAACTAAATACAAACAGCTTTAAATTATTTCAAGGACAGTTGGAGATCCAAAGCAGGGAAAGTCTCATGACAACATGGCATCTGCTTGAAGGGTCTACTAGTATCATCTGAAAATGTGAGTCAGATTTCACTGACTTTCAGTGAAAAGAAAGTGAAAGTCAGAGAAGAGAAGTAATTGTCTATCATAGTGGTTTTTTTTTAAACTGTTTCATGAAGCAAGAGTCCTTTGAGATGCTACACACTCACACACGTGTGCACACGTGCATGTGCACACATACAGGCAAACAAGATTCTGTAATCATTCAGAAAAATGCTGAATACAGGCATACCTTCCTTTAATGTACTTTCCTTTATTTTTATATGTTGAAAGTTTGTGACCACCCTGCATGGAGCATGACTTTTGGCACCATTTTTCCAACGGCATGTGCTCACTTCATGTCTCCTTTTCACATTTTGGTAAGTCTCACAATATTTAGAAATTTTTTGTTAATATTATATGTGTTACGGTGATCTGTTTTTTGTTTGTTTGTTTAGATAGAGTCTCACTCTGTCACCCGGGCTGGAGTGCGGTGGTATGATCTTGGCTCACTGCAACCTCCCCCTCCCAGGTTCAAGCGATTCTCCTGCCTCAGCCTTCCAAGTAGCTGGGACTACAGGCACCTACCACCTTGCCCAGCTAATTTTTGTATTTTTAGTAGAGACGGTGTTTTACCATGTTAGCCAGGCTGGTATTGAACTCCTGACCTCGTGATCTGCCCGCCTTGGCCTCCCAAAGTGCTGAGATTACAGGCATGAGCCACCACACCCGACCTGTGGTTGGTGATTTTTAATGTTACTATTGTATTTGTTTTGATGTGCCATAAACTGCATCCATGGAAGTTGGCAAACTTAATAAATACTGTGTGTGCTCTGACTGCTCCACTGACTGGCCTTCCCCACATCTCTCTCCCTCTCCTCTGGCCTCCCTATTCCCTGAGACACAAAGTATTGAAATTAGGCCAATTAATAGTCCTACAGAGCCCTTTAAGTGTTCAAGTGAAAGGAAGAGTGGCACATCTCTGGCTTTAAATTGAAAGCTAGAAATGATTAAGCTTAGTGAGGAAGGCATGTCAAAAGCCAGGATAAGCCAAAAGCTGGAAACCATTATTATCAATAGGAAGAAAGTTTGGTTGAGTGGTCTGGATAGATGATAGATTAGGGTGCAGAAGCCATGTATATGTGGCTCGCCCTTTCCTCTCTCTTGGGGACCTGCCTGACTTCCACATGGGATACCCTGTGTTCTGCTCCTTCTCCTGACAGTTATACACGGGCAGACTCTGCCCCTGCTCAGGAGGCCTGCGGGTGCTCAGTGCTGCCTTTTAATGGGTGTGCACATTTGTTCAGTTCTGGATTTCTGCTTTTGGAAGTACACTATGGTCACGTGTGTAAGTCACATTCTCTCAGATATTCCAGTACTGATCTGTCCAGAGATGTTGTTTACCTCTAAGTGGTTCCAAACTGGGTCAGGCAAACTCACATTGAAAAACTCTGGGATCTTGGGGGCTCATCCAGGGAATCTTTGCAAGCTGATAACACCTTAGGCCTTGTTGGCTATTTATTAGGTGTTGGCATAGGCTTAGTCCTTTCATTACGTTTCTTCATATAATCTTCACAATAACTACATAAAGTTGGGATTATTATTGTTCCTATCTTAAGGTGAAGAAACTGATACTTAGAAAGGGAATAAGACAATGTGGACGACACCCTGATGAAATTACTATTTGAATAGGGAAGCACAGGAGGCATTCAGAGTTACAGCCTGGGTCTTGATCCCTTCCAAAAAGGCAAACAGAATGGAGACGAGATGTTGAAACAAGGGATCTCATACAAAGTGAGTGACCTATGCCAGCTAATTACTCTTGTTCTCTAGTGGTCCATGGGGTTCAGATTCCTGAAAGCTCTACTCTCCCTACCCCAAAACTTCTCTCTATCTCATATGCTTCAAACTTCAAGTTATGGCCCACCAGTGAGTCATGAAATCAACTTAGTGGGTCAAAGCCAAAATTTTTCTGAGGGAAAGGGAGTGGAGGAGTAAGAAGTAGAGAAGGGGAAAAGAGGAAATAGCATGGAAAAGTCAGTATTTTTATATTACTGTATAAGTAATATATATATTACTTATATATATTATATACGTTATATAAAATATGTTATATATTTTTTATATTTATATATATTTCATGTATAACATATTTTATATATAAGTAATATATTACTATATTACTTATATAAGAAAATATCAGAGTATATACCACATAAGACCATATTACATTGTTTAATGAAATGACTCTTTTTGGCTGTGTGTGTGTATGTGTGTGTAAACTGCATTTGCTTACTGCAGATCATGATCCACAAAGCTTTAAATCCATGGTTCCATCTTGTTTGGCTTACCATAAGCTTATTTTCATGGTATGAAGGATAGTTCTCACCTTGCTTAACGTTCTCCTCACTCGTCTCTTTTTCTTTTTTTTTTTTTGAGACGGAGTCTTGCTCTGTCGCCCAGGCTGGAGTGCAGTGGCGGGATCTCGGCTCACTGCAAGCTCCGCCTCCCGGGTTCACGCCATTCTCCTGCCTCAGCCTCCCAAGTAGCTGGGACTACAGGCGCCCGCCACTACGCCCGGCTAATTTTTTGTATTTTTAGTAGAGACGGGGTTTCACCGTTTTAGCCGGGATGGTCTCGATCTCCTGACCTCGTGATCCGCCCGCCTCGGCCTCCCAAAGTGCTGGGATTACAGGCGTGAGCCACCGCGCCCGGCCTCGTCTCTTTTTCTAAGCTATCTCTGGAGGAGGAAGGTGGGAGGGGGCCTGTGTGCATCAGAGAGGGAGTCTGGCAGAACGTGGAAACAGAAGGAGAAGAGGCGTATGGGGCCAAGTCAGGCAGGCCTTAAATAACTCATATGGATTTTGTTCTTAAAAGTAATGGGAAGCCCTGGGAGGCTTTTGATCAGGGAAGGGATGTGATTCCATTCATACTGGAAAATGATCCCTTTTTAATTGTTGTGTGGACAGTGAATGGTTGGGGCTGGAATGGAAACAGAGAAGTGGCAGCAGCAGTGAAGGTGAGAGACAGGTGGTGTGTTCTAAGTTAGCAGTAACTAAAATGGTGAGGAGGAGAGAGCCATGGTTTATGCACCAGCCCAGGTCTGCTCAGAGAATGAGAACCACTAGGGAATACGCATCATGAGGACTGCACCCTACACAGTGGACCAGCTAGTCACTTAGTCTAGGCAAGGCTGTTGTTTCCATGCCTGGTGCTAGAGCCCAAAGGCCACAGGGCATGCAGCTGGGAAAGGAGACTGTACATGAAGTGGAGGACAAGTGGGAACTAGCAAGGCTGAGCTGGAACCCACCAGAGAAGACTGGAGTCTGGGCTGTCTCCCCACCTCCAAGCCCTCAGCTCAGATGACAACAGCTTTCTGGGTAAGAAATGGGTACTCTTCGTCAGGATGCTCATATGTAGCTAACCCATGATTCAGAGAAGCTGAAGCAGAACGTTTGCAGGAGCTGGAGCTGTGGGCCCAGCATGGTCCCAAACCAACTAGGTGAGGTAGTAGATAAGCAACCGCATGCGTGCACTGCACCCACCTCCTGAGTATGTGAAGGAACAAACCGCCCCTTCGCTCCCTCTTCTAAATCTTACACAAAGTTTTTCTTGAAGCCTATGCTAAATAGGAACTACAAGGGGAAGGGAATTCTGGAAAATGTGTTTCTAGCTTAGCCATATTGACACGAAATGAATTCATCAGTGGGGTGTTTCCTTACGCACAGAAAAAGGGAACTTCTACTTTGAGCTTCCTGGGAAGAAAATAACTCTTGGAGGGAACTTGGCTAGACAATCCTGCAGTAAATAGCAACCCACAATCTCAGCACCTCAAACAGGTAACAGTTTATCTCTTGCTCACACAAAGTCCACCGTAGATCTCCGCAATTGTGCAGTACAGCCCTCTGCCAGGAGGTTACAGAGGCATCTGGATGCTTCTGCCTTGTGGATCCATCATCTCAACACACGGCCCCATGATAGCTACAATAGGGAAGAATAATGTACCTTGCATCCTTTAAGTCAAAATGTTCACTGCACTTCTGTTCACAGTACTTTGACATCACAGGGCATTTTGGAACAAGCTACAGAAATGAATTATTAAATGTTCAAAGGTTTATCAGCATTACCATCACCATCAATATTATAATGTAACATGTGCTGCAGACACTCTTGCCACTCAGATCACTCTCACTAGTGATAAAAAATAATGATTTACTGTGGATACAATGGTATATCCAAGGGTTCTGCTGCACCCATTGCCAATGTGGTATGATTTCTGTATTGCTACAGTGCTGGCCAAATAGCTTTTCTGCACCAGCCTGCCACACTGGAGCCTCCCCACTGTTGCGGACACCTCTAAAGTAAGGTGTTGAGAGAGTCTCATTAAATGCCAATCTGTTGCCTGGGGAAAAAAACTTTTTCATTGAGATTTTAACAATTTTAATATAAATTGAAATGATCCTAACAGAGATCAGAGTCTGTGTAGTGTTTTCAGACACCACTTCTAATACTAAATGTGTGTGGGTTTTTTCTGACAACAATCAGTTCCCCCAAAATTCTCTGACACCAACTGGGCATTCAAGAATTCAATTCAATTCAATTCTGACACCTAGAGTTAGCATAGACCCCACAGGTTATAAGTTCAGCCGCACAAGACTGCCCCACTTCAGATGGCAGCTGCAGATGGGGTGTTCAGGTTACCTACACTTCTATTGACTATAAATCCACGGGTTTCTATGACCCCATCTCAGGTCCAGTAATTCACTACAATGGTTCACAGAACTCAGGAAAGCACTTTCCTTATTAAGGATACAAAGAAATAACCAAATGAAGAACTTCATAGAGCAATGACTGAAGGTCCCCAAGTGCAGGAGGTGTATCCCCATGGAGTCAGGATGCACCAGCACATGAATATACATTTGCCACCCTGCAAGCTCCCTGAATCCCATTGTTCCAGGGTCTTTATGGAGCTTTCTTTATGCAGGCACAATTGATCAAATGATTGGCCATTGGTGGTTGAACTCAATCTCTAGCCCTTCTCCCCTCCTGGGAGGTTGAGGCATGGGGCTGGAAGTTCCAATAATGGCCTGCTCCTAATGACCATACCTAATAATGACGGGCTGTTTCTGGGACCAGCCCCCATTCTGGAACTATCTACCCACTCCACCCCCAACTCTCTACCATGAGTCATCTGATTAGCATACAAAGGACACTCTTATGGCTCAGATGTCTCCAAGGGTTTTAAGAGCTCTGTGCTGAGAGCCTAGGAGAAAGACCAAATGTTTGCTTTTCATTATGCCACAAGACTGCAGGTGTTATGACAGGGGCAGCACACTCTAGAGCTGGGGGCACTGCCCATACTACAAGGTGAGAGGACAGAGGAAAAGGACCACAGTGTGGGCTCGTGAGTGCTGAGGACCAAGGCATCCTCTGAGAAGTACCAGAAAGGCAAAGGGGATGACTGATGGTTGAGTGCAAAAGGATGTCCTGCCAAACACTACCTAGCATAGAAAAGCTGGGCTTCAATCCCTGTTGGACAGTAATTAGCCATGTGTGGAATATATCAAAACTGAGCCTAGCAGAACTAAGAAGTCCATGCATCTCAAACACCCCAGGTCCTTAAGGGAATAAAATATTGTAATCCAGTGTGTATTTCAACAGCAAGCTTATTTTGACTATTACTACTTTGAAGAACAAATAAGGAATATAATATAAACACTTATTTAAAATGACACAGGAAGTCAGGGAACATAATGAAAGTCTGAGGTGTCAGTGATGTGTGCATGACAGAGAAATAGAGAAAATTAGTCATCTGGAACTAGAGGACTATAAAGAACTTGGGCATTTGCTAATTGACTTCATTTTCCTGGGAGCCAGAAGACTCTAACTATTTAGGTGAGTGATATGGATAATTATCTCAAATTGAGTAACTAATTAGGTGCTTTCATTTTAAATGAAATACAGCCATGAAGGCACTCCAGGAGAATCAGGAAAATTATTGTTATAATTTTTTGTCGTCCTCAAGACTCTGAATAATAAGTGATAATGTCAAAATGATTAAAAACAAAAAAATCTTTAGAAGATGACACAAAGAAACTCCATAACACATGCACTATGTATTATGTACTGTTCAGTAGAAAGAAACGTGTTTCTCGGTTTTAGGTAAGCATTTTTCCTTTGGGATCAAGTATGTAGGAAGCATCCTTGTGCTTTGTTGCTTACTCGGAACACAGTGGGCCTCACAAGCACCTGCAGGGGCACATGATTCAAGGCTTTCTAAGAAGCATCTCTTTCCCAAAATGTCCCTCCTAGGCAGCACTTGGAATCCACTTATTACCCTCTACTGTCATCTCTAGGTGTATATTTAAAATCCAAGAACCTCTGGGATATGTGGGCTAAAGCCAGTTTTTAGACCCCTCAGAATGACCACAACCAGAGAAGGGATTAGATACCTTTAAGAAAAACAAGAGGGCCTCTTGGGACCTTTGATCCTGGCTTGCAAAACTGGTTCGCTGAAATAAATGCAAGTCCTGCTTCCTCTGCTCTGTTTCTTCCCTCTTGTAGCCTGAACCTACCACGCATTCCTCATCACTGGACTCTACCTCAGCACCTGTTCAATTCTGCATCTCCCTCATCCCTTGATCTTCAACTGTAGTCTGGTGGACTTGGTTCCAGCAGCATCTGCTACTGGTTTGATATTTCTGATGCAAATACATCATTGGTTCAAATTTGCTTTCCTTTTCACTCTCACAGAAGGCAGGCAACGCCAGTCACATGTGACCACATGAAGTTTCTTAGAATCTATGAAAAGTGATCCAGGCTGGATCAAGAGACTAAACAGGTGTGGAGGACCTGAGGTGTCTACCCTGTGCACCACACAGACCTGCCGACACTTTCCCATTATATTCATTTCTCATTCTACAATATGGGGTTTTGCCTTAACAAATAAATAATGACAATAATACCAAAGGAGCAGCTTTTATGGGGAATTGGGTCGCCAAAGACCAGGCCACCATATTTTCCAGTTCCAAGGGTGTCATTTTCCCCACAGTGTATGTGAACAGTGCTCTCTGGAGTTGTACAGTGCATAGCCTGTGCAGATATACACAGCCACCCTGACCAAGGGAATGAGATATTCGTCTTAGATTTAAATGTTGTTAACTAATTTTATTAATTTTTGAATCAAATGACACAAAACTCATTCTTATATTCTATGTAAACTAAGATGGCCTAGTATCAGCTTTGGGAGAACCCCTTTATAAACAACAAGCTGTTTAACCCCTGGGATTTAGCCTGGCTCTGTCACTAATACCTTCCAAGATCTTGAACATACTGCAGATTCATTGTATTCTGCTGATTAAAAAGATCCTCAAGCTTTTGATGATTATTTGATTATAACCCTACCATTCAGTTTATCCCAGAGAGATGAAATGTCTTGCCTAATGTCACGATATTTATTGGTGACTATGTCAGAACAAGAATCTAGGTCATCAGTATTCCAAAATCACTCCCACTAGATTCTGAGGTCTTGAGGTCAGCTGACTACTTCTGTATTTTGTTCATCAAGGAAAACGTACAGTTGTTAGAGTAAATTTGCTCATTAAATAAGAATAATATAAGATAATGTGCTAAAGCACTTGTAGATAATTAAGTCATATGCACATGTAGGGTAAAATTACTATCTCAGACATTGTTACGATTAGGCTCTGGTAGAAGTCCACCACTTAACAGATGTGCAATCATGAGCAAGTTACTTAACCTCTACATCTCAGTTTTCTCATATATAACAGAAAATCAAATAACAGAAATTTAGAACAGAATAAAAGTACTTACAACAGAGTGTGATGCACAGTATGTGCACAGTCAATGTTAGCTATTATCATCACTTTTCAAACATTAAGAAGGCCTAGGCAAAGCCTAAGAGTTAAATGTTGATTTATATAAGAACGAGTAAGGTCAATATCATATTGTCCCAGCTTTAGGTAATTTTATTTACTGAAACAGATTTAAATCTTACTTCAGTTCAAACCACTATTTCTTTGAGCATGTACCACTGAGCAGCCACTCAGAAAACTCACCACTTAATTGGGAAAACAAATGATTTATGTATAACAAATGCACTAAAAGACATAAATGCAAAGGCCTATGGCACAGAGGAGGAACTAACTAACCCAAAAGTCAAGATCTGTGATATTTATTTTGAAACAGATATATATGTGTGTGTGTGCATATGTATTATACTTATATATGTTTATATATATTATTTACATTATATATATATTATTTGTGCACATGGCTCCCTTTGCCAACAATGTCAACAATGTCTTTTCCTCCTTTCATCCATCTGTCAAAACCTTTTTAGGGTATACAAGGTGGCTCCAATGCTCTATATCCCCTATATAATAATATAGTATATTATTTACATTATATGTGTATATAAAGACATATATATAAATATACAGATATAAATTTATATGTAAGTATAAACATTATGTATATATACATATAAATCTATATATTATCCATATATATAGTACACATACACATACATACACACACATATACAAACATAGAGCCCAGATCTAAAAACAAAAATTTAAATTTATAAATCCATGCTGGTATTTTTCCATTACTTTAAACTCAAAGGTCAGTTGGGACAAGGACCTTGACTCTAACTATGCTTAGTTGTTTTACTTCACATTTACAGGGATTTTGTTTAAAATTTTTCTTTCTTTGAATAGCCTCAGAGTTGAGAAAAGCAATGACTTTTACACTTCCTATGATACTTTTGAATGTTAGTATTTAGTTATCCAGTTAATAAAAATCATTCTAAGTCCCCACTGAATGACCCTACTCTGAATACAATCCCTTGAATGAAAAATTTCAGAAACTATACCTTGAAATTATAGGACACATTCCCTCCTAAATATAGCATCTTAAATTGTGCCATGCTTCTCTTGCAGCTAAATATTCAATTCAGCAAGTATTTTCTTAAAATCCAAATTTACAAGATATTGTACTGGGTTTTATAGAGCTACCAAGATGCACAAGTTCCACTCAAGGAATACACGGGGTGGGGGAATGTATGAAGGGTGAACAGTTAACAGATCCAAGACAGAATGGGCTATGGACTGCAAGAGTATCAAGTATAAGAGCATTTACAGAGGAAAGTGCAATTGATTCTTACTTGGAGGGTCAGAGATAGCTTTGGGGATACAGGGCATGGGAGCCACCATATGGTACCCTAGAAGGGTTTTGAGATGTGGAAGACAGAAGGATAAGACATTGCTGACACTGCTGACAAAGGGAGCCATGTGCACAAAATCCTGGAGAGCAGGTGAGAGGGGAAGATGGAGAGTTCCACCTGCCAGATTATCGGTACACACAAATGGAGCCAGGACTTGGAGAGGTAACTGAAGCTCAATTATTGATCACTCTAGGAAACTTTTCTGATTCTTCTGGTCCTGGAAAGTTGTTACAAATGCTGAAAGCAATAGACTGATGTGGAGTCATATGCATTTGTGGGGTTCTGAGGGTTTGCAACCAAACAGACCTGGGCTTAAACCTCAGCTCCTTTCTTGAGGTATTTAATGTCTCTAAGACTTGATTTCTTCATCTGAAGAAATGGAATAATAATCATGGGGTTTTTATGAGATGTCATTGAGATGAGACATGAAAAGAAATTAACACAGCAGCCCCTATACAGTAAATACTCAGCAGATGATGAGAATGACAATAACAGCTATGATGATAGAAGAGGAGGAAGAGGAGAACAAAATGAGAAAAAGATTATTGAGAATGGGGTCAATGTTTGAATTCACTTTTAAGCTTGGTAAGGATGGGGAAAATGTTTGAATTCACTTTTAAGCTTGTTGGGAATGGGGACATTTGAATTCACTTTTATGTGAATGTTGCTTGCATGAATCAAGTGGGCCTGCCCTTTTTTCCATTGCTGGTGGGATAATACAAGCACTTATGTTAGCATAAAGCCTAGCATATTGTAGGCACTCAAACTGTTTATTGAATTAGATCAAAGAACAAATTCATCCCAGAGAAGCATATTTGTTTCTTATCTTCACCATTCTCGGAGAAATGAGAGGGAAACAAGTGTGAGTAGGAGAAAGCAGCCTGAAGAAGAAAATACAGACTAGGTAATTTGGGGTGCTTATTAGAAAAGCTACATGATAAGAATAATTACTAATTATGACAACCAAATTCATTATTTTTATGTCACAACTGGGGAAAAAATGTCAAGGTCAGTGAAAATCACAGAGCCGCAATGGAAAACCTGGCACCCTTGAGAGGTAATTGGGTGTTCTCACTGAGTTCCCTCTCATTAGATTTGATGTAATTGTTTTTAAAACATCAAGACATAATGACAAGCCTGTATTTCAATATAACCCTGACGCAATAATCAAAAGGGCATTTAAAATTCGCTGTACAATTACAGTCCCATTAAATCTAAGTTAACTGCCCATTTGAGTCACTCAATCTAATCTGTTACCTTGCAACAGGCACACAGCATGTTTCTATCATGACTGAATCATAACCAGACTTCACTCATGGCTCTGGGAAATATTCTGCAATAGCATCTTAACAGGAGCCTGGTGATGTGTACAGGCAATAACAGTTTGCCTGTGGATTCACTGGAAGCCAACTGCTCGTATTATCCCATCAGCAATGGGAAAAAGGGCAGGACCACTTGATTCATGGAAGCAACAGGCAGCCAGCTATAGGCTACTAGCTCTTCCAACTTAACCATGACATGGGGGAATCTGAAAGAATCACTTGTCTCTGCACTCAAAAAATTGACTGCAAGGCTCCCCCATCTTGCTGAGGATAACTTCTGTGGGATCAGCCAAAATGATCCCTATTTGCATTTCTCCACACATCACAATGAAAAAGACTTCAAAAGAATCCAAAATGGGTCTGGCCTCCCAGCATTGAAAACAGTTGTCCCTCCTGCACCCAGCGGTCCACCATAGTTATTGTGCATAAGGAGTCTTAGGAGGAAATAGCTTTGAAAAGACAGACATCAAGTGCTCCTTGGGGCAGGCAAGAGAAAGAAAAGATCCTGCAGGGAAGCAGCTGGCCCATCCAGCTGCAGGGGAAGCAATGTGATGGATGGCTTCAGCTGGGGACAATGAAGCGCCGTGAAGGATGACAGGCCTTTGTTTCCGGGTTTCTGCATCCTCTTTCTGACCTGCCCCCACTGACCTGTGTGCTGTGCGTATAGCAGCAACTCCCTGGCCCTCTGCAACTTAATGCCCAACACAATCACTTGTGCAAAGGGCCACTGCCTGCGGCCCCCCTCCCATTTCCACACAGTCCAGCCAGATGGTGACAGGGTTGAAGGTGAAATCCTAGACTACTGAGGACAAGGCTTCCAATCAGCAAACTCATTCCAGGATTAGCACAAATCAATTGCACACAAAGATAAAGGCTGGGGATGGGGATGGGGACTTGGCTTTCTCAGGAGGGGAGACCAAGAAATCATACTCAGGTGGTTACTTAAAGTGTAATTAATTTGTGTTCCCAGAGATATTTTCCAACTGAAAGTAGCAAAAAGGACAGCTATAACGGCTTGGTGAAATTTGGCATGTTCCTCCCACAACTGCAGAGCTCTGGTCAGTTTCGTGGTGTGGAGGGCAGGCCTAACTCCGCATTCCTGCTGCCATCTCACCCACTGTAGCCTCAGGGTCCTCGCCCATAAAATAGGTCAATACTCCTGTCCCTCCTTAGTCATGAGAACCTCATTGGAATAAGTGAACTTAAAAATACTGTGCAAACACGAGGGGGACTCATCCAATCACGTAAAATGCACAACATTTCACAAGACCTTGTAATCATTTGTGAACATCAAAGTCAGATAATAAGAAGAATATTAGCTATAATTTACTATACACCTACTTTGTGGTGAGCAACATGAAAAGTACTGGAAGTAAGCATTACTAAGCCTCGTGACCCTGCCAGAAAGCATTATTATTAACCTCATTTTACAGATAAGAAGATGCAGGCTCACAAGTACAAAATAACCTGCCCCAGGTCACACAGCTCATAAACAGGTGAGCTAGGTTTGAACCCAGTTCATCTGTCTGAAAGCGTGTGCTCCTCTCACCATATCATGCTGTCTCTCAGGTCCAGAGCCCCCGAAGTTGTCCTGGAGCCCAAGTTCAGGTTTACATGGAGCACAAAGACCTTCTGCCCAGAGCACCTGGACAGTGTCATGTCACCATTGATGCACGGATCCCCTCTCCCTATCCCTAACTCCATGCCCTCATCTCAGTGTCTCTGGATTACTCCTTAGGAGTGTCCCCTCCTCAGGAGTGTCCCCTCTCTACCTGAAGTTTCTACATTGAAAGCACACACAGCCTACCCCACAACAGGCAGGCCCAGTGATTCCATCTCTCCCAGTCACTTGGGTGTGGAAACCTAAGGTCATTGCCTGCTCTTCTCTCTCCTTCCACCTCCACTCCTGAATGACTCCCCATGCTCGGGTCAGGTCTTTATTATATTCCATCTGTAGTCACCATCATGGCTAGTCCTGTTTATCCTAGACATAGGTCTAACATCACTTCCTGAAGCACAGCTGGGACCCCATTGTGACCTTGCTCAGAAAACAGTCACAGCCATCATTTCCACAGTGAACTCTCTACTCTTCAAGAAGCATTCAAGACCCTTCTTGATTTCACATCACCCTACATCCTGAGATAACACCTCTAATTTTCCCATCCATGTATATTAATCTATGAGCAGAACCAGCTAGTCAGAATTCAACTGGGCAGGATATGGTAGGGCAAGGACTAGATACCAGATGGATAGTCAGTAGCTGAGGGGAGTCTGGCAACCATCTCGGAAGACATCTGGGCTGCAAGTGGCCTGGAGCAGACAGAGGGGGTCTTGCCAAAGCACGGACACCACAGACGGGACCCACAAGCCATATCTGATAAAAACAAGGTGCACTCATTCCCAGGCCTTCGAAAATTTGAATACCAGGCAGGATACTAGTGAGACAGAGGGGAAATAAGATGGGAACATGAGACTGGAATTTCAAGGTAGGAGTGGACCCAAAGAACCAGGGAACAGCCCAGGTATTCAAACAGGGATGATTCAGCAGCAAAGCAGCAGCAGTAAGGCTGATGCCAAGGGGTTAAGTAGCTGGCCTGGGAAGTCTTCAGTTTTCCTAACTTAGCAATATGGTACTCATGGTTTTGTTTGTTTTTTAATTACTGAAGTTAAAATTACTGTAGTAAATGACAGGCTTACTCTAACTCCCTCCCCTTGTCAGATTCCTAAGTGGAAAAGTGTACACTGAAATAGCAGTGGCGGATTCCCTCCATGATATGTGCAACCTAGCTTACCCCTACTTTTCATTTCTACTACGAGGAAAAATTTGAAAAATTTGCAATGTCCCTGAAACAAACAGAACTGAAATGCAAGTTTCACGATATGTATAGTTGATTTTGTTTCATGGTGTGATGGTTTCATAGTGTGATGGTTAATTATGTTTCATAGTGTGATGGTTAATATCCAGTGTCAACTTGATTGGATTGAAGGATGCAAAGTACTGTTGCCAGGTGTGTCTGTGAGGGTGTTGCCAAAAGGAAATTAAGATTTGAGTCAGTGGACTAGGAGAGGCAGACCCACCCTCAATCTGAGTGGGCACCATCTAATCAGCTGCCAGCCTGGTTAGGATAAAAGCAGGCAGAGGAACGTGGAAGGACTAAACTAGCTAAATCTTCTGGCCTCCGTCTTTCTCCCATGCTGGATGCTTCCTGCCCTCGAACATCAGACTCCAAGTTCTTCAGCTTTTGGACTCATGAACTTACAACAGTGATTGGCCAGGGACTCTGGGGCCTTTGGTCACAGACTGAAGGCTGCACGTACGGCTTCCCTATTTTTGAGGTTTTGGGACTCCGCCTGGCTTTCTGGCTCCTCCACTTGCAGGTGACCTATTGTGGGACTTCACTTTGTGACCCTGTGAGTCAATTCCCCTAATAAACTCCCCTTCATGTATTCATCTACCCTATTAGTTCTGTCCCTCTAGAGATCCCTGACTAATACACATAGTTTTCAAAGTTCCTGGCAATTATATGTTTTATTTTGCCCTAGTGGT
Organism: Homo sapiens; assembly: GCF_000001405.40. NCBI lineage: Eukaryota > Metazoa > Chordata > Mammalia > Primates > Hominidae > Homo > Homo sapiens. The sequence continues at coordinate 133,714,401 of NC_000002.12, forward strand.
GGGCTGTTACATGTCTACATTGGGGGCAGACGGCAATGGAGGAGGAATGATATAAACCCCTCCAATGGAGGGGAAGACACTGGGCTATATGCACCTCTCTCCTCCTCTCCCCTCTCCCACCACACTGCATAACTGCTAAAACAGTTATTCTTATTTCAGAATGTGGTTTCAGCTACTCTCAACAAATTCTTTTGCCACTGCTATAGACCTCAGAGTCACAGAGCCCTGCAGGCATTGTTAGGTACAAATTCCTGGGCCTGGTGGTATCAGAACTGCTTTGTTTGATAGTCTTGTGTTCAACATTGTCAAAACCAATAAGCTGACAGAGACAAAACCACCTTTAACAGAAATGACACCTTAAAAAGGCTTAATTATGGATATGATACAAGCGCTTCACTACTACCTCAAAGAATGAGACAGCTTGCAAGAGCTGTTTTTTTTTTTTTTTTTTTTTTTTTTCCAGAACTGATGTAAATTAGAACATTTCCTAAGACAGGTCAGCCTACAGTAATTTTCCCGTTGACTTGTCATAAAATCAGGGGACAAGTTCCCATATCACAATGCAGGGCAGATGACAACCCCTTGTAATTTCTCTCGGCTTTTCACATTTGTTCATTTATGGTGTGGAAAATCGTCAGTGTGTGGCTCAGTGTTTAAGTAGGCTGATGGGAATCCCTCCGACGGTAAACCTGGCATATAGTGGGTGCTTAATAACTATCTTTTGGTTGCCTCTATGAAAACTGAACAGTCCTTCTGGCTCCTCTGTTCTCAAATGCCCAGCAGATGCTTCCAATATTTCAGCCATTCCAGCAACTCCAGGAATCCCCCTATATGTACATTTTCCTGTCAAATTGGCATGAATGTAAAACTGGGGCTTGGGTCCATTTTAAACAAATATGAAAAAACTAAATACAGCTTCGTATCATATGCCTGCAACATATATCTATCAGGTTGCAGATCCAGTCATCATTTAAATATCCCTGCTGTGTTTGGGGAATGTGCTTCCTTGTGAGCCCTGCCTCCCTAAGGTAGAACCTAGAGACACGTACCTTTCCTAGCCTTGGACTTCAAAAACTAGATGCACTCAAGAGAGATGTCCATGTGAAAAGAGGGCAAGAAGACAGAACTGGGGGAGTGCTTTTCCAGCCAGCAGTGATGAAGAGATATCCTGATGGGTAACAACAGTGGAAGAGGCCCATGTTCGGTATCCAGCATCTGTACTGGGATGAGGTGTCTGTGCCTAAGGGTGGAGATAGTGGGGTTTTTACTGACCAGGCTCATGGGGTGATTTGGGCATTGCTTCTGATTACATAGTCTCCAAGCCCAATGATGGCACTTCCATAGATTCTGTGAACTCTTGAATTAACACATTCCACTTGTACCCTTTCCGCTTAAACTAGCTAAAGAAGGTTTTGGTGTTTCCAGTTAGGAATGCTGACTGCTACGTCTACATTGTGTTAAATGCCACAGTAGCTATGAGGATACACTGGCAAATAAGAAATGAATGAAGCTTCCAAGATTTCACAGGCTAGAGACAGGAACAGACTCCAGCACATCAATGTAATACAGTGTGATCAGAGCTATGAGGTAGGTACATACGAAGACACTGGGTACAGCAAAGCAGAGGGGAGGGAAAGCCTGCATGGGAGGGTCTTAGGTGTGCACACTCTACTGTACCTTGGCAATGGGCCCTGGCTATAATGCAGACAGACCCTCAGACCACAACTCTATGGAGGGTTTGGTCCCACCCAGCCCTGGAAGCCTAGGACATCAGACATCTTAATCCTATCACCTAGTAGGGCTGAAAATTATACATGAGCCTGGCCAGGGATGCACAGGTGCAGCCTCAACTGCTGGGCTCCCTCTATCTTACTGCTAATCAGATCTGCTATTGGACTTCCTTCCTGAAGCGACAGCCTTGGCATGGGAACACACACAACTACAGGAAACTCCGGTTGCTCAGGTGGGGCATGCAGGGCAAGTGGAATTGGCTAGCAAGGCCAGTTTTTAACTTCACGTGAAATGAGCCCTAGCCTGAACACTTTAGTGGGAAAAGGCCTAAATAGTCACATGGGGGTGGGGGCAGCACCTGAAGACAGCATGCTTTCAATACCATCCTCTTGAAAGGTATCAGGATATGCTACCCCAAAACATGGCTCTTGGGCATTTGGATTCTTTTAAGCTAAAGGCAATTGAAAATCAAAAGACATAAGAAAAGCTCTAAAAAACAGGGCACAAATTTTCCTTTTGTAAAGGAAATTTACTTTTGTAAAAGGTGTCTCCCTCTCCCATACCAGGAAAAGGAGGACTCTTAACAACTCTTATCAGTGGAGAAGACACTGACTTAAATGTGCAGAAAACACCTTGCTAAACAGCCCTTGTTGACCATACTTTTCCTGGTCACCTTCCCAAAACTTGCCTCCCCCACCCAGAAGCCCAAATCCCCTTTTCCTTTGTTTTAGCCCAAGACAACATACAAACTAAATTCTAACCACCCCTTGAAGTTCCTCATCTCTGGTGCATCCATGTGTCAGTATGATGCACATGCTAATAAAATTCTGTTTACTTTTCTCTTGTTAATCTTTCTTTAGCTAGTCTCATTATGGGGCACCAACCAGAGAACCTAAGATGAGTAGAGGATAATATTTTTTTTCTACACTCTCATGGTCTGACCATCAATGCTGCCATCATGTGTTTCATTCTGCTTCCTTAAACATCTTTTTACAATAATCTTAACAACCTTAGAATACCATGGGTTGTGTGGGCAGCACAGCAAGGAGCCAGGACATAGCAAAAAGGGAGCATCTAGGGATCAAGCCCAAACTGGAAGCAGAGCAGGAAAATTGGGTGTGAAGAGGCTGGACAGAAGGGCAGGAATCCATCCACATGTGGGATGAGCAGGGAATGTGAATGTGTTGAGCGGTATGGTCCCCAAGATCAGGTATGCTCAGAGCAAAAGCCCAATAGCTGTACAGCCTCAAACCACCACCTCATTCCTTCCCCCAGGTTGGATCTTCCTCCACATCCTCAATGCCTACAGGGCTTTTCTGGTCCTAAGCAGAGATCTGTCAGAACAGACCATAACAGCAATGTCTGACTTCTGAACTACTCTACCACTCAAAAGCCTGGCTATTGTTCTGCCCGTGGAATTGAACCTCCTGGTAACTGGTTTTGCTTAAACCACAAATGAACTGTGCTGGATAATGTGCCAGGAACAGCCTCCAAATTGTAATTGGTTCCCTAAAGTGCTGTCTTAGTTTGTTCAGGCTGCTACAAAAATATTATAAACTCGGTGGCTTAAACAACAAACATTTATTGCTCATAGTTCTGGAGACTGGGAAATCCAAGATCAAAACACTGATAAATCTGATGTCTGGCAAGGGCCCACTTCCTGGTTTATAGATCATTGTCTTCTCACTGTGTCTTCACAAGGCTGAATGGGTAAGAGAGCTCTCAGGCCTCGTTTATAAGGGCACTAATCTCATTCATAAAGGTCTCACTCTCATGACCTAATTAACTCCCACAGGCCCCACCTCCTAATACCATCACACTGGGAATTAGGTTTAAACATATGAATTTTCGGGGGACATAAACATTCAATCCATAACAAGTGCCCTCCCCTACAGTAGAGTAGGGTTTTCCAAAATGTGGTCCTCCAAGGCTAGACACCAGACTCCTCTAGGTTGTATGTGGATCTGAGGGGAAATAACACTGTATCACAATGAGAATGTTGTTCCCCGTCAATTCTCCTATAATTCCTTCTTACATCAAAAAGGTAGTCTTAGCCTGGCTTTGGTGTATCTTTCATGCCTCCCTCATAGTTATTAATCTCTCTTTATAACAAAATAACCAGCCTCAAGCTCAGGACTTCCACTGGCAGCAATAATTAGCTAAAAGGTAATAATATTGTTTTGTGTTCATACAAAGGAATATAAACCTTTATTATTACCTATTGACATTCATGACAGTGGTATTAACTTCCCTTTTAAAAATAAATAAATGAATTTGAGTTACAGCAAAAGTGAGTAAAATATTAAAAGAATTATAAGGTCATAGATATGGCAGAAATTGAGAAAAACCTCAAATAACAGAAGTTTCTTGATCACCCCCTAAGATCTGGATCCTCATCCCGCTCCCTATTCTCTCACTCAGGCATAGTTCCTGGGGGTCCCACTTTGGGGCAGCCAGCCAAAGTCAGGGCACTTTAAGTCATTGGTGTTTGATTCTTTTATCTTGTTCAAATGGTTTCCATTGATGTTTGTCTTTCACCCCATTTGCCCATTATGGGGCGAACTCCTTGAGGGCAAATCTGACATCTCTGTTTTCTTTCCAACTTGCTTGCAGCTGCCAGTGGCGGTACGAGGCGCACAGTGGGTGTTCGATAAACACCACTGATCGACATTCAACACTCAGGCAACACCAACATCCCAGCTCGTACCAGACACTGGAAAACTAGGTCATCTATTTGGCAGAGGCATCATGATTCATCAGGACAGGATCTGTGAATGGTGTAAATTAACCAAACACACACACACACACACACACACACACACAACTCAGCCTTTTGGAAAAATTACATCTTTGTTGCAAAGATGCCAGAATGTCTGAAAATGGCCAAAACCTGGGGATTTTCCATAGATTAGTCATGTGGTTTAAATAATTAGATTTGAAGGCCCAGTATGAGATTGCCCCCAGTGAAACAGGAGCAGGTTCCAGGCCAAGTTCAGTCATGTATAAAGAGAAGAAGCTCCTCAAACTGACAGCAATGAATTAAAAGAAGGAAGAAATCAAGAAATGACCTGTATCCTGGAGAGGAGAGAGAATGCGTGTGTTCTACAGGCTGGGGCTGGAGAGACATGTGCAGAAAACTCAGGCAATGTGGTGAATATATTTCCAATTTTACAGAAAGGGTCCAGTCTGTATCACAGGCATTTGGGTTATTTATTTTAATAACATTCTAAGTGAAAGACTTCTCTCTGATAATAGAATTTCTTTTTGTTTTTATGAATTCAAAAATGAAAAATAAGCTACAGCAAAAGAATCTAATTTCCTATAATAAGGTTTTGTTTTTAGTCACTTATAAATGCGAAATCATGGGGCCTTAGACACCAGAAGGCATATGCTGGTCATGGAAATGAAATAAGAAAAATAAAATAAAATCTTAGAAACCCACTCATAAATATTGACCTTCCCCTTTTCCCTACCTTCAGCTCCTACCTAAAACTTCACACGTGTGTGCCCACACACACACTCGCACACCCAGAGGAGAAATAACAATACTGGCTTTCAGAAGCTGTGTGGGACGGACTGTGAGCTGGCCTGTCCTCGAGATAGAACACATTTGTTCAATAAATTCTTCACCTCAGGGTGGAAGTCCATGGAATTCAACACTGCTGCCAAAAACACCCAAACTTAGAAGTGGTCTGGAATACCATGTGGTCCCAGGTACCCCACTAAGTCTGACAGTCATCGGGGGCCCTTCGACTAGGGCCATCAGAATTTTATACCAGATATTTTCTCAACAAGGTCAAACTCATCTTTCATGAGCAAAAGGCTATGGTTCTATGCAGGCTACAGAGTCCATGATACAACTTCTCAAAATCTATTCCATTTTATCAGTTTCACCCGAGCCACGTACCCCTTATCCTTTTTAGTATGTCTTTTTCTATAATATTCCCAAGGAATATTTGTGAATCTTTAGTTTCATCAATTCTCCCCAGGTTTTCTTGCTCCTGAAATAGCAAAGTTGGGACTCACACTTCCTATTGTACATATTTAAAATTGTCATCCTGAGCAGTGAGTCAATACTACTCCCCTACTTCTCTCCTAACATTTTTGCATCTCTCTGAGACTTCCATTCCATCTATTTCCAGGATATAACAATAATTTTGCAACCTCACCTTAGGAAGCCACATGTCTTCCTCAATATTAACTGCCAATCAGTCCTCCTGTTACCAGGGATAGGGGTCAGTTATGCAAATCAGGTCAGAGCTATGGTCCAGTGCTCTCTCATCCTTCTGTCAGATCACGCTTTCACCTCTTTTCCCTCCTCCTCCATGTTGCCTTCTTCCTCCTAGAGGACCTCTTGTCCCTACAGCAGTGGTCCCCAACCTTTTTGGCACCAGAGACCAGTTTCACGGAAGACAACTTTTCCACAGACCTGTGGTGGAGAGGGGATGGTTTCAGGATGATTCAAGCACATTACATTTATTGTGCAATTTATTTCTATTATTATTACATTATAATATATGATGAAATAATTATATAACTCACCATAATATAGAATCAGTGGAAGCCTGAGCTTGTGTTCCTGCAACTGGATGGTCCCATCTGGGAGTGATGGGAGACAGTGACAGATCATCAGGCATTAGATTCTCATAAGGACCTTGCATCCTAGATCCCTCACATGCACAGTTCAGAGAAGGGCTCATGCTCCTATGAGAATCTAATGCTGCCGCTGATCTGAAAGGAGGCAGGGCTCAGGTAGTAATTCGAGCAATCAGGAGCAGGTGTAAATACAGACGAAGCTTCGTTCACTTGCCCACCATTCACCTCCTGCTGTGCTGCCCAATTCCTAACAAGCCACAGACTGGTACCGATCTGTGGCCCAGGGATTGGGCACCCCTGCCCCACAGTACACTCAGCTCTGAACATGGTACATACACACACAAGGAAAACTTACCCTTGAGCCCCAGAAGCTAGACTAGATCTTTTATAGTAGTTTTTCTATTTTTCCCTGGATATACCCTTTATCTCTGTTTTCCACATGGGGACAATATTCATCCAGAAATGTTTATTCAACTAAGAAGTGTTTCTGGTAACATTTCCATTTGTGGACTCTAATTGCCCCGCAAAGGGGGTCACTGGAAGGACCGAAAGGAATATTAACATCCTGTGTGCTTATATTCACATTGTTTACATAGAGTGCACAGAAATAGTGTGAGTTTATAGGCTGCCAGACCTGGATTTGAATCCCAGCTCTACTGACCCTTCTAAGTTTCAATGACCTTGCCTGAAGAATGTAATGAATGTAATAGGAGCTGTTGCAAAAATAGTGAGTTCGTACAAGAATTAAACAAGGCAAGGTCCTTAGCACAGTGTCTGGATCATAATAAACTCTCAATAAATGCTAGCAGGATGTTAGTAGTGATAATTTTATAATTATTATAACTAGTAATAATAGCAGTATTATTATTCAATGTCAGAAGATCTGGTTTCCAAATTAGCTTTGTGAATAACTTATTTTCCTAGAACAACTCTCTGAATGTTATTTCCTCCTCTGCAATACAGCATGAAAGTTGCCATGGTCTGAGTGTTTTTGTCTTCCCAAAATTCATACATTGAAACTTAATCACCAATGTGATGGTATTAGGAGGTGGAGCCTTTGGAAGGTGATTAGGTCATGAGGGTGGAGCTCTTATGAATGGAATTAATGTCCTTGTAAAAGAGGCCCCAGAGAGCTCCCTTGCCCCTTTCACCATGTGAGGACACAGCAAGAAGCCACCATCTAGGAACCAGGAAGCTGTCCCTCATCAGACACTGAATCTGCTGGAGCCTTGATCTTGGACTTCCCAGCCTCCTGAACTGTGAAAAATAAATGTCTGCTGTTTTTAAGCCACTCAGTTTATAGTATTTTGTTATAGCAACTCAAACAGACCAAGACTGTGGATTCCAATTCTAACTCCTCCTCCTTCATTTATTAGTTAACAATGTTAAGTTACTACTGTAAGACTCAACTTCTTCATCTATAAAATGCAGATAGTAATAGCAACTACTCCATAGGGCCATTGTAATTATGAAATGAGTTGATACGTGTAAAATGTTTAAAATTGTCTGGCACATACTAAGTGCTCGACACATATTTTTAAAATCTATAAGAGGGTATACTGGCATCCATCACTTCCATCACTCTGGTTACAGAAAAAACATAAGATAATGTACAAAAAGTGTCCATCACACTGTCTGGCATAAGTAGTTCTGAAACCATGGTGTAACTTAGAATTACCTGAAGATATTTTAATAAATGTTAATGTCTTTGTCCCACCCCACAGCGTTTATATCAGCATCTCCGAGAGTGGGGCTGGGTTTTTTTAAAAAGCTTCCCCACATGATTTTAATATGCTGTCAGGGTTAGAAATCACTTGTCTAACAACTGGGGTAACTCAATAAGGAGTATTTATTATTAGGCCGGGTGCAGTGGTTCACGCCTGTAATCCCAGCACTTTGGGAGGCCAAGGCGGGCAGATCACCTGAGGTCAGGAGTTCGAGACCAGCCTGACCAACATGGAAAAACTCCATATCTACTAAAAACACAAAAAAATTAGCCAGGCATGGTGGCGCATGCCTGTAGTCTCAGCTACTCGGGAGGCTGAGGCAGGAGAATCGTGCGAACCAGGAGGCAGAGGTTGCAGTGAGCCGAGATCACACCATTGCACTCCAGCCTGGGCAACAGGAGTGAAACTCTGTCTCAAAAAAAAAAAAAAAAAGAAAGAAAGAAAAGAAGAAGTAGTTACTATTACTGTCTATCTATATACATATGTATCCAATCCTATAAAAAGAATAACCAAAAGGATCCCTGATTTATAAAAGGATTATGCACTTCATAAAAACATTCGGGAATTATTCTGCCTATATTCAAATTTTACCTCACCAACTATTCATTTACTAAGTCCAAGATGGCTGCCAGAGAACATTGAAAAACTGATAGACATAAAGTTTTAGGAGCCACAGACAAAGTATAGAGCCACTGAAATGCCTTGCACGTTGTCAGGCTCAATGGCTGTTAGCTAAACTGAGTTGACACTTTGATGTAAGTGAATAGGAAAGATAATTATCAAATGATACTATGACTTGAAACAAAATGCACAGATGCATGCATATGTGCACAGTCACACACATACATACACACATATGCATACACACACCCATCTCACTGCCTATCTTTTAATCACTGGAATTCTGCTTCCTTCATTTTTCTTTTCTGAACCCTTCTCATTGGCTCTTGACAGCATCACTATTGGCACACAAATAAACAACGTAGTGGAGAAGTCATACCACACCTTAAGTTCATAGCATATACGCCTGCTATCATTAGTCTCTCCTACAAAACACTACAAAAAATAATTCTCTTAGAAATGAAAACTTATGTTCACACAAAACCAAGTACACAAATGTTAATAACATTATTTATAATAACCAAAACATGAAAACAATCCAAATGTCCATCAACAGATGAACAGAGAAACGAAATGTGGTATAGCCACGCAATATAATGGTATTTGGCAATAAAAATGAAGTACCGACACATGATACATTGTGGGTGAATCTCAAAAACACCATGCTAAGTAAAAGAAGTTACACACAAAAGGTTGCATATTGTATGATTCCCTTTATACAAAATGTCCACAACAGGCAAATTCATAGAGACAAATAGCAGATTAGGGCTTGCCTAGATCGAGGGCAGTGGACAAGTAGGGGTGGTATGTACAAGGAGTGACTGCTAATGACTATGGGGTTTCTTTCTGGGGTGATGGAAGTATTCTAAAATTAGACAGCAATGATGGTTATTTAACTCAGTAAATATATTTAAAATCATTGAATTGTATACTTAAACAGGTAAGCTTTATTGTTAGTAAATTATATTTCAATAAAGCTGCTAAAAAGTGATGTTCCTGAAGATGACCCTGAGCTAACAACCACCACCAAAAAAAAAGATCTTAAAAATATTTTATATACTTGAGTTTTAAAGACAAAATACTATCCTTAGTATAATATTTATACTTTAGTAAAAATACTAAATATTAATTTATATTATTATTATATGTATTAGTATAATTTATACTCTTAGTATTTATACTTTAGTATATTTAGCATAAGTATAAAATATTATACTTTTTAGAAAAAATATTTAATATTTTAGCCTTTTAAATGATGTGGACACTGTTAATGGTGTCAACCTCATTTCCCAACAGTCAGAGGAATGAGGCTGATGGGCTTTGCAGAACACAAGTCACCTGCAGCCTCAATCTACTTTCAGAAAAGAAGACTCAGGTGTGGAAGTAAGGGCTAATATTTCCCAATAAAGTCCTACCTTCTGGTGTTCTCTGACTCCCACTAGGCCAGCCTGGGAGGGGAGCCTTTCCTCCGTGGGCAGAGGAAAGTCCCAGGAGACCCTGCATACTGGTAGATTCCATTAGAGTCTTCAGCTGACCTGCCAGTTCCAATGCCCTTTTAAAAATCTCTTAATACATCAGTGTAGTGTGGGGGAAAAAGAATCTCTTAGCAAAGTCTGTTATATTACCTGTCCAAAAGCCATTTATTCCTTCTACCCTAAGGTTCAGAATCCTAATTCTGGTTAGTTGCAAAGTGTACAACCTCAAAAAGTCCAGTTGAGGCTATAGTGGCAATGTGTATGACTTGCTTAAAAAAAAAAATTAGAGATGCTCTAGGAAAGGTGAGCCTCTTGGCTTTCCTCCTTGAGTGTGGTTGTGTGTAGTATTTTGAAACTATAAGGGAAATATTTCCTAAATGCTGAGGTTGGAAGAGCAGGACAATGGCAAGAGCCTAGATCCACAATGAGATCACCAAGCTGACGAATCAATTCTGGGGGTGCCTACCTTCTGACTTCCTGTTATATACCCTAATTAAATACTTTATCAGTCAATCCACTATCACGTGGGTGTCTATTATGTGCAATCAAAGGATCTTAACTGGTACATCTACCAACCTAAAGATGCATAGTTTCTTCTAGATCAGGGCTTTCTGATCACATCAGTCAGGATTAGGTTTGACTGTACATAAACACAACCTAAACAAGCAGAAGTGAAAGAAGTTAGGAGACAGAAACTCCAGAGCTCATATGATGGCTCTATCATTATCAAGAACTCACTTTAATATTTTTGCAATACTATCCCTTAAGCTGCTATACTCAAGATCACTTCATGGCCCAAGGTGGCTGTTGGAGCTCCAGCCATTATATTCACATTCAAAGACAAAGGAAGAGGAAAGTATGGAAGGACAATAGAAGAGAATCTGCCACAAGGAATCTTCTGGAAATGCCATCCAACAATCTGCTTATATCTCATTGACTAGGACTTGGTCCTGTCACATCTAATTGCAAAAACAAACAAATAAGCAAAGAGAAATGAATAAAAATGCTACACTTTAACTTCACCGCCCCCCGCCTCATTTTTTAACTTTCTGTTGTTTCTATTTATATCTCATACTGCGTATGTCTTAAAAAGTTATTGTAGTTATTATTTTTGATAGGTTCATCTTTTAGTCTTCCTACTCAAGATACGAGTAATTTACACACCACAATTACAATGTCATAATATTCTGTGTATTTCTGTGTACTTAGGATTACCAGTGAGTTTTGTACTTTCAGATGACTCTTTGTTGTTCATTAGTATCCTTTTCTTTCCAATTGAAGAACCCCCTTTAGCATTTCTTGTAGAACAGGCCTGGTGTCGATGAAATTCCTCAGGTTTGTTTGTCTGAGAAAGTCTTTATTTCTCCCTCGTGTTTGAAGGATATTTTTGCTAGATACAATATTCTAGGATAAAAGTTTTTCTTTTCTTTCAGCACTTTAAGTATGTCATGCCACTCTCTCCTGACCTGTAAGGTTTTCATGTGATCGCATCTTATTGCAAAGAAGACTGGGAAATGTCTTATAACTGGGCACGTTGTTGTGAGTTCCTATTTTTAAGAAAGAATGGAAAATGGATATTGCTAAGACAACTAACAACCTCTGTTACATATGGAGAGTATAAGTCCTTGCCTAATCTCAGTATACTCTTTCATTAACCAGAGTAACAGAAGATATTTTATGCTAAGGCTGCCCAAGGAAGTCAAGCTGGCAGACAATATGGTCAGTGCGTCAGTTATCTCCAATGTGACAAAATTCATGTGCTTTTTAAGATGACACTTTGAAAATGATTAACATGTTTTAAAATGAAATCTAAATCAAACTCTGGGGTTACATGGAAAGCAGTTTGAAAACTCAGGATGGTGGATCACCAATGGCACCTGTATTGTTCCAGAAGATTCTAGAACCACCCAGGAATAAGACACTAGGTACAACTTGTGACAAGAAGACCAATTAGAAGAAAGAATAGCACTGGGTTCCACAACCAGAACTCACCCCCAAAAATCAGTTTTTAAATGAGGAGCAACTGCCATGCTGACTTGTTTACAATATAGCTTTTTCTGAAGGAAAACTTAGGATACAGTATCTTCTGCTACCTTTGGTCAATTAGAATATAATGGGACTAAAGGACAAGCTACTTAAAAACAATTCTTACTGCCCCTTATCTGGGTGAACCACTGTTTCCTCATATCTGTGGCAACAAGGAAACAACATTTATTAAAAAAAAATGGATAATGGAATTGATAAAAGAGCGGGGCATTCAGTTCTGATTTCAGATATTACAGATCATCAAAACAGACCCATTTTTCTCTCAGATTAACTTTATATAAAATGAATGTTATACATTTGGACTCACAAAATAAATTTATGCTGATAAAAATCCTGAATTGTCTATTCAATGTCATGGAATTCCAAGATTTAATTGGAAAACTGGATTGTGCTGCTTAACAAATATCTGGAAACAGTTGCTAAAATTGTTTGAAAGCTACTATCTTATTCTGAAAGTGAAAGTCAGCTCAAACGTAGTTTGTACTTCTTAGTTCCAAGCCAGAAACATTAAAAATCAGCAGCGGTACAAATCTTGGAACTGGATGAAAACCTTACCCCCAGCCACATTCTAATTTACGAGTGGACATGACTACAGCATATCCCAGGCCATCTGCTTGGATTCTAAGAGCCTACCCCCACAAATCATCAGGACTGCACAATTTCATGCTGAATTGATAACAGGGATCTTCCCTCTCAATTCCCCACGTGAACACCCCAAAGAAGCAGATGTGAGTCTCTAAATCCACCCCTTCAAAGCCGTCTCTCCTCCTAATCCCACCTGCCAGGCTGGCCTTGCCCATGACAGCATCCTCTCAGGGCTTTCTCCCAGACTTAAAAATACGGACTCTTAGAAACCGCCCCCTTAACTTTTACATTGTCATATCTATTACTGTCTCATCCCTTGACTGCTGCTAAAGTTTCTCATGCTGCCAAATGCTCAAAAAGTGGTATTGTATCACAAGATGAAATTTTGCTTCTGTGCAGGCATGGAACCTGAATTTTCCTGGTGGCTTTCAGTCTTGCTTCATGAAGCTGCCTCATAGGCTGCTGTATGCCCAGACACCCTAGGAAGGGCTGTGAGACCCTCTCTTACTCCACAGCAGCAGCTCTTGGATTTGTCTTATGTATTGAGTATTCACACAGAAAGGCATTTGAACAAATGCACACACACATTTCGCTGTAAGAACTTTGGAATCCATTGTTCAATTCCTACCTATGAGTGAGAATATGCGGTGTTTGGTTTTCTGTTCTTGCAATAGTTTGCTCAGAAAGATGGTTTCCAGCTTCATCCATGTCCCTAGAAAGGACATGAACTCATCCCTTGTTATGGCTGCATAGTATTCCCTAGTATATATGTGCCACATTTTCTTAATCCAGCCTATCATTGATGGACATTTGGGTTGTTTCCAGGTCTCTGCTATTGTGAATAGTGCTGCAATCAGCATACATGTGCGTCTTTATAGCAGCATGATTTATAATCCTTTGGGTATATACCCAGGAATGGGATGGCTGGGTCGAATGGTATTTCTAGCTCTAGATCCTTGAGGAATTGCCACACTGTCTTCCACAATGGTTGAATAGTTTACAATCCCACCAACAGCGTAAAAGTGTTCCTATTTCTCCACATCCTCTCCAGCACCTGTTATTTCCTGACTTTTTAATGATCACCTTTCTAACTGGTATGAGACGGTATCTCATTGTGGTTTTGATTTGCACTTGGACACAGCGTGGGGAACATCACACACCAGGGCCTGTCATGGGGTGGGGGGAAGGGGGAGGAATAGCATTAGGAGATATACTTAATGTAAATGATGAGTTAATGGGTGCAGCACACCAACATGGCACATGTATACATATGTAACAAACCTGCACATTGTGCACATGTACCTGAGAGCTTGAAGTATTGAAAAAAAAAAAAAAGAACTTTGGAATCCACTGCTTGCTGAAGTGGCCTGCAGAAACCGCTTGAGGAACAGGGCACGAGTTTTTGCTCTTCCTGTTTTACAGAGAGTACCCAGCGTGCTCCCAGCTGTGGAAAACAATACGTCTCTCTTTTTGTCTTAGAACAAGAGGGGCCACCTGTTTCTCAACTCCTGACATTGAAAGAACAGTTCTGTGTTCATATTGTCCATAATCCAATGGTTGATTTTATGGACTTGGAGTAATATTCCAATGCAGTCTTTAATGTTTTGGAACTGAAGATTAATTTTTGGTATTTGGTCCTTAGGCGGAAACCTCTTGATCCTTCCAGCTGCATCTCTCATGACTATCTTGACCATAGTGATGTCTGTCTTCAGGACTGGCATTAGCAGCCAGGCACAGCCCCAGCATGCTGTCCCTTTTGGTGCTTACCATGCACTGCATTTGCATGGTGGTGGCTGTAGGGTATAAGATAAAGGCACCTGATAGCAATAACTTAAACATACCCTTAAAATGATGCTGTATAGCAGATGCACCAGAATGTGTGTTCCAAGCTAGGGAATCTGGGAGTGGCCAACCCAGAGGTGTGTTCCTTATCTATGATAAACCTCTGAGGCCCCAGCCAATCCTGTGGAACACAGGCTATACAGGAAAGTGAGGCCCTGAGGTTTGGGTTGGATGAAGGTTGCCAGGTGGATGTTGTTAGGGAGAGGGTGTTCAGTGAAAATGCTGCATATAAACTGCATGTTGTTTGTCAGTGGTTGCGGTTTTCCTGCCCAGCCCGCTGCCGCTGGACTGTAGGAACGAGGATATGTTGTCCAGTCCACCACCACTGGACTCTCTTTCCTATATTTAAGCTATAATTAAGCTCCCAATGAAACTCCACATCTTCTTTTGCTGGCTGTAGGTCTCTTCTTTGGCCTCTCAAACCTGGTCCCATCCCTATTGAGGTTAATAGGCGTTTGACTCTACAGCAGCCTTGCAGCACATCTTCCTGTACTAACTTCTACAGATGACTTTCAGAAGGCCATGCTTTTCTTTAAAAACTTTCTGCACTTCTTCATTTCCCAGGGGAGCAGCCATTTAGTGTAGCAATTGAGCCTATGAGCTCTGGTGTTGGACTGCCTGAGAACCCCACTTTGACACTTACCTGCTGTGTGACCTTGAACAAGTTGCATAACTTTGCTAAACCTCAGCTTCTTCAGCAGCAAAGTGCATATTCAAAATATCACCTACTTCATTGGGTGCTGTGAGAAGATAATGTACCAGGATAACTCAGCCCAGGTCTGGTAATGCTTGGTCTATATTAGTTATTACAGATTAAATGCATGCCTGCGTCTCTGCTAAAATATAAGCTTCCTAGCAGCTGTGTGGCTGGCACACAGTAGTACCCGATAATCATGTGCTACATAAATGAATGAACGGATCCATAAAGTCCAAGCTCTTCTGCTGAGTGTGGACTATCAGAAAGTGCATGGGCTTTTGCTGCCAGAGAGATACAGGTCGATATCCAGGTTTCCTCCATGGTGCCCGCCAGTTGCTTCTGATATGTGGCATCTGGGCTGCCTAGGATGTTGAATGATGAATGTAATGTGTTGTGGATGATTATGAGGATGGAATGGGGTTACTCTGTTGTGTCAGGGTGGACTTGAATGGAGTCTCCTCCTCCCCAGGGCAGGTCACCTGGGGCTCTGTGAGCTGGGCAGAGCTCACTCTGTGGTCCAGTAAACACAGGCTGCTTTGGGAAGGAAGCAAATGCGTTCTTAGCAGAACACAACCAGGGTTATAGTTCTGAGCGAATAGTGTGAAGCTCTGTGAATAGGGGGTCTGTGAAGAAAAGTCATCTTTGAGCTGTGAGGTTTGATGCATTTTAAAGATTTTTAGCCAAGAACAAGCTGCAACCAGTGTGGAAGTTCTCTCTTCGGCCCTCCCTACTCTCCAGAGGATCAGCGCTCACCCACTTTGCTCCAAGCCCTTGAAGCCCCTACACTGGATGCCCTTGAAACAGTGCTTCACTGTCCACATCCCATGGCAGCAGAAACTGCAAAGGAGCAGAGCCTCAGCATTAAGCAAATATCTATGTCTCAGAAACGTGTCAGAGGCAAGGGAGAACCTGGACCATGATGCTTGCTGAGGGAGAGTAGATGGTCCCAGAAGTCTGGTAGGGGAACCCTGAGGAGGAGAATTGGGATGAAATTCAGGGAGATGTGGAGAAAGCCTGTGGCAACTGTGGGAATGCTGCTCAGATCTTCCTCTGAGAATTGCTGTCCTGCTGTAAGAAAATGATTAGCTGAGCCAGGCAGAGTGGCTTACGCCTGTAATGCCAACGCTTTGGGAGGCTGAGGCGGCTGGATTACTTGAGGTCATGAGTTCGAGACCAACCTGGCCGACATAGTAAAACCTCGTCTCTACTAAAAATACAAAAAATTAGCTGGGCGTGGTGGTGGGTGCCTGTAATCCCAGCTACCAGGGAGGCTGAGGCAGGAGAATCGTTTGAACCCGGGAGGTGGAGGTTGCAGTGAGCTGAGATCACGCCATTGCACTCCAGCCTGGAGGACAAGAGCAAAAATCTGTCTCAAAAAAATAAAAAATAAAATGGTTAGCTGATGGCCTCCAACTGTTAGCATCTTCAGGGTTTGTCTCCGCTCCTGAGCCAAGGCCACACTCTTCCTGCTAAGCCACCAGCCAGTGAATAACAACAGCAAGGGAATGCAGATCTGACCATTACACCTAGTGCAGGACGCTTCTCATGGACATCTTTGCTCCAACCATATCTCCTGCATACTACAGGGCTGTCATAGATCAGTGCCTTCACATAAAATTGTATTTTTTCACTTTCATAAGAGAAGTCCAGAACTGGTATGATGGCTCCATGGTCAGCAGAGATCCAGGCACTGTGTACCTTTTTGCTCTGTAATTTTTATCTTGTAGTTCCCATTGATGAGATTACCCCACCTCATAAAATAGTCACTGCAGATATAGCCATCAAATCATGTTTTAGGCAGCAGAAAAGAGGAAAAGGCAAAAAAAAATGCTTTTTTACAACTACATTAAGCCTTTTCAAAGATCTATCCTGGGAGTCCCAGCCCACCCAAATCTTACCTCATCAGCCATTTTTTTGCTTCAAAAGAAGATGAGAAACGTAGTTTTCTAAGTGAATATGTTACTATACCCAGTGAAATAGAGGTTTTCTTATCAAGAAACAATGAGATAATAGTAATATTTATGCAACTAGCAGTCTTTGAACACCTTGCATTTAAGCTGGTGTAGTAATCAGGGTTCTCCAGAGAAACAGAACCAATAGGATGGATGGATGGGTGGATGGGTGGATGGATGGATGGATGGATGGATGGATAGATAGATAGATAGATAGATAGATAGATAGATAGATAGATAGATAGACGGACAGACAGACAGACAGGTAGATAGAGTGGGGACTTATTACGAGAATTGGCACAAGTGATTATGGAGTCTGAGAAGTCCCATCCCATGCCTTCCACAAACAGGAAACCAGGAAACCTGGGTGTAATTCGGTCTAAGTCTGAAGGCCTGAAAATCAGAGGAGCCAATGGTATAAGTTCCAGAGTCCAAAGGCCTAAGAACCTGAAATTCTGACATGTGAAGGCAGGAGACAATGGATGTCTGAGCTCCAGAAAACAAAGTGAATTTGTCTTTCCTCTGCCTTTTTGTTCTTTTCAGGCCATCAACAGATTGGGTGGTGCCTGCCCATATTGGTGAAGGCAGATCTTCTTTACTCAAATGCTAATCTCTTCTGGAAACACCCTCACAGACACACCAAGAAATAAAGTTTTACGAGCTATCTGGGTATCCCTTAAATCAGACAAGTTGACACATAAAATTAACCGTCATAGCTCACTGGTCACCCCAGGCCCAAGACTATGTTGACTGTGTGACTCCTGCACTATCTTCTCTAACTGCCAAATCCAACCCCTCATCCAAGTATCCAGGCATGCTTCACTTCCTCCATGAAGCCTTTCCTGACTACCCCAGACCAGAATGAACTTCCCTTTTCTGATGCCTGAGGGAAGTTATTCAGTTGACTACCATTTAACTTTTCATTTATTAGTCCTAGAAATAAGGGATTATCATTACCTCTCAAATCAACAGCACAGTGCTAGGCACAATTTTAGCTACAGCATGAACTATGTGCTAGATTAATTATAAACTATTTGTAACTCATTTTTTCTAAGTAAAATTTGAACTATTTTTCCCTTACATTGCACTTAAATGACATTTTCTTTATCATCTCGGAGTCCCATGAATTCTTCCTCCTGCTAATTCCCATTCAGTTGGCATTTCATCTCACCAATGGACTCTGTGAAACATGTCACCTGGAGCTTAGACTGTGTACATGCCCTCCATCCAAGCAGATGCCCTAATTAGACACAGATTTCTAACCTATCTTCTGGCAGGAGGCCGGTAGGTTTCATCTTGTGCCAAAAACTTCCAGCTGCTCCCTATTTCTACCTTTCCTCATCAGGAGAACCCTGATTCAAGGTAGGGAGGGCTAGAAGGCAGTGATGCTCCCAATCCCCCTTGCAGCCATAGATAGTCATATGACACAATCCTAGCCAATAAGATGTCTATGTGGCCTTGTGACACAGTCCTAGCCAATGAGATGTCTATGTGGCCATGTGACACAGTCCTACCCAATGAAATGTCTAGGTGGCCATGTGACACAGTCCTAGCCAATGAAATGTCTAGGTGGCCATGTGACACAGTCCTAGCCAATGAGACCTGATGTCATAGTGGAGTCACAGCCTAGGACTGGCTACCTTCCAAAACTTCACTTTATGTGAGAAAAATTAAACCCCTAAGTTTAGCAACCAGTGGCCAGGTTTCTGTAACCCTCAGCAGGAAGCCATCATAACTGATACCCTGGCTAGGAGGGTGTCCCAGCAGCCAAGCATTCTGATCAGGCAGGAAGTCGTTTGGACTGCAGCACTCTCCTCACACAGTCTTTCTATTCAGGCTTCTTGGAGCTCTGCTTTTTTCACTGGAATTTGTGGCTGTGCTGCTGTTGCCAGACCTTCCTCAGACTCTGTAATTTCTGTTCCCTTCAATCTGGCATAATGGATAATAAGTTTTCATTAGTGGTGCCCAAAATGTCAACGACTTACACATTCTCATAAAATCTCCAAATGAATGGAGAAAGAACGGTAAACCATGCCTCGTCTAGACTGTAATGAAGGGGAAGCTGCTGAAAATAAGATGCCGTCCAATTACTTTGTATTTACCAAGACTCACTTTTTAACCTCAGTGTGACATACTTTTGAAAATGGCTGTCATCTCATGATGCTTAATCCGATTTTGGTATGTTGAGAATAAAGCATAAATCTTTTGGCCTCACTAAATTCTGATAAATACTTTTTTGTTACATTTTCTTAATTATTGTAAGTAGCTGCTAAGAAGACAGAGCTGGCCCTTCAACTATCAGAAAAATCTCTTTATTAGCCAGCTTCCTGACCATATTTGGCTGAGTGAGGTGACCAATCAGGGGTCCCCATTTGCCTGGGAATGAGGGTTTGTAAGTATGCAGGACTCTAGTGTTAAAACCAGGAAATTCCAGGGTGGGTTGGTCACCCTACCATCCCAAGCCTCTGGAGCAAAAACCACGGAGCAAGCAGAAAGGGCCCATTGCTCCCCTAAACTACGATTCCCCCTCAGGCCCTTGTTTCCAATGTCTGTAGCAGTTATTTAATGAGTATTTTTAACAAGCCTGGGCCTCTGTTTCATCATTCATGTGCCAGCCACTTGGGATAGAATGGTGAGCAAGAGACGTGAGAACTTTGCCCTCCTAACATCAATTTCAGTAGGGGTGATTGATAATAAACAACCAAAAATTAATAAGAAACAAGATAACTCCAGAGTGGTAAGAATGATGAAGAAATACCATAATAGAAGAGGCGCATGCTGAAGAGGGCCAGCGACAGTAAAGTTGAGTGGATTTGGGGATTTAGGGACAGTAAAGTTGAGTGGATTTGGGAATGGAAGCAAAATTAGGGTGGGCTATGGTCATGGGTCAGGCACGGGGGCTGTTTCTCCTCACGCTGCCATGTTCTGGCACAAAAGTCCAAAGAATCTAAAATTTCTGAACGGGTATCTGGCCTTCCTATTTTGTCAGGGTATGAAGGCAGAATATATTTTATTTAAGAATTTGCTGACTGAGTACACACACACATCTATACATGTATATGTACACATGTATATATTTATGTGTGTATATACACAGGCATATGTGTGTGTACACACAGATATATACAAACACACACTTTGGAACAATAAGATTAACGGCTGGTTCTGTGGTTGTCTTCTAGCCTCAGAGATCCTTGAGGATTTGACCCTTGGTCAACATTGCTTCAGGGAATAGCAAAGCATTTGGAGAATGCCTGTACTGGTTCCAGAATGAATGAAAATCCAGCTGAGCACTGTGTGCCCTTCCAAGGACCTGAACCTCATTATTGAGACTTATTGAGAACTGAGGAGCCAGTATGGATGAGCAACAGCTGCAGCAGAAAACCCTCCCCACCATCTCTGCCATGCAAGTCAGACCCCTGGTAGTCCCTGAGGGGGTCCAGGGAAGCTGCCTCTGAGAGGGAGATTTGCATGCAGGAAGTTTCTGGAAGAGGGCTCCCAGGATCCACAATCCTGAAGGAGCAAAGGTAAGGAGATTCGATAGATGGAGAAAGTGCATTTTGACTCATTTGCAAAAGAGGCCTCAGCTGACCTGGGAGAGTGAGCGTGATGGTCCTTCAGAGATTTCCCATATTGAGGATGATTCCTGAAAGACAGTCAGCTGTAAGACATCAGCTGCCAACATGGCTGGGGAAGATGGGGGAAGGGAGGCAACAGGTGCCTTAGTTTTGCTGTGGAAGATCTGGGAAGAGCTCCCCAGAATCCACCTCAGAGGATATGTGACAAGCTACTTATAAATCTGAAGGGACCCCAAAGCTTATGGCTTTCTGTAGCTGAGATGCTCTCTACCTGCTAAGCTCTGTCTCTTGTGACCACCGTGTCATACCATGTTGTTGCCTGTCCTTGATGCCAGTAAAGCTGATTGGGGCTTGTGAATTTGAACCTCAGTCTGAACTCAAGGCCACTGCTACTGGACAACCCCCAGGAGCATTGCTGGACTTCACTGATGCTCCAGGCCCAGAGAGGTCAGTGGTTGGCCAGGAGGGTGAAACATACGAGGAGCTCAGTGCACGTCTCTCTGAGGAGGTTATAATAAGTGAATGTTCAAAGATTTCTGAAACAGGTCACAGAACACGTCGACCATAGAAGAAATGTTTGTTAAATTTGACTTCAGACCTTCCATTTATCAAAAACACTATTAAGAGAGTGAAAAGGCAAGCTTTCTCAGATAGACTGGGAGAAGATATTTACAAAACATGTGTCTAACAAGGAATGCATACTCAAAATATATCAAGAACTATAAATCAATAGGAAAAAGTGAGGCAATCCTTTTTTCTAAAAAATGGCGGAAAGATTTGATTGGTACTTTATATAAGAGGCAATCAGCCACTATGCATATGAAAAGATGCTCAACCTTGTTAGCAACAAAATGCAAATTAAAACCATAATGAGATACCTCTACACATCCACCAGAATGGCTAAAATTAAATAGTCAGTACCAAGTGCTGACAAGGATGTAAGATAATGGGAGCTCTCACATACTGCTAGTGGGATGGTAAATTGGCACAACCATTTTTGAAAAACTGTTTAGAAATATCACCTACTATAAACATATCCTTATCTTACAGCCCAATAATTCCACTCTTGATGTATAACCAGCAAATTCCCCATGCAGTGTTATTCATAAAGACCAAAACTAGAAACCAAATGTCCTTAGCAATGGAATGGATAAACTCTGGTATGTACACACAATGGAATATTACATAGCAAAACAACCAACTACTGTTATAAGAAACAACATGGATAGCTCTCACAGTCATTATATTGAACAGCAGAAACTACACAAAAAGGGATACAAATTATACGACTGCACTTAGATGAACTTCAGAAACAGGCACAAATGATCGATGGTAATAGAGTTCAAAATACCTTTTGGGGAGGGGGCAGATATTGACTGGCAGGAGCACAAGAGAGCCTTCTGGGGGTTGGAAATGCTTTCTGCTTGATCTGAGTGGCGGTTTTATGGGTGTATATGTATGTGAACATTCATCAGGCTGTATAGTTAAAATACGGGGCCATTTAGTGTATAATGTTGTACCTCCAAAAAGTGAATTGCTTTAATAATGATGATGATGATGCAGGAGGAGAAAGAGGAGGAGGAAGAGAGAAAGAGGGAGATGGAAGGAAAGTGAGGAAAAGGGAGAGGAAGAGGAAGAAAACAAAAAGAAGAGGAGAAGGGGGAGGAGGGAGAGAAGGACGAGGAAGAGAAGAAAGAGGAGGAGAACAAGCCATCACCATTTGTAAGGTCATCAGGAGGATTTCAGACACAGGAAACAGAACGTGACAACTGCCTGAAATGAGAACAAGCTTGGCATAGACAGCAACAGGAAGGCCAGATGCAGGCACCTGATGAAGCTAAAAAAAGGGGAGAGGGCTGCTCAAACAGGGCTTTATAGGTTATGGAAGAGTTTAGATTTTAAGGGCAATGGGAAGCAAATGGCCAGTTGTAAGCATGGGGGGTGCATATTACTTGATTTATGGCATTTTTCTAAAATAACCTTGGCTGCTGAGGGAAAAAAAGGGTTGTGCTATAAGGGGCAACAGTGCATGCAAGCAAGCAGACCATTCATGAGGCTGTTGGAGTTAAAAATAGTGACAGAAAAGGCTGTTAGAAGCAGAACTGGTAACAAAGATCAGGAGAAGCTACACTGTACATCTTTCATTTGCCAATCCAGACCTCCTCTCCATCCTTCTCACCCTGCTGTCTACCCCAGAGGGTGCTGTATGGATGCCTTCAATATGCCCCTGACCTTCTCACTCCTGGTTGGACACAGCAAATCAGAGGGCAGGAGAATGGCATGGACATTTGTCACCCCCAACTCCCTCCTGCTGCATTCCCACAGGTCAACTGAGGGTTATATCTCCTACGGGGCAGCCTTTTCCTACAGCTATGCAATCTGGGTTCTTGTAACTGCTCCCACTCTTGTCCCTTCAGCCTTGCCTACACCTTTGTAAAGATTCTCTTTCTTTAATTATCCCCTATTTCCCTACTTAAGTGTGTCATTTGCTTCCTGCTAAGAGACTGACCGATATATGAACTCCCTACAGTATTAAAACATAGACCAATGCTGAATGCAGCAGAATGACTCAGAGTTCAAGAAAAATATAATGTATCTGTCTCACACATGCCCCTTATAAAGCAAAGAATCTTCTAATGTATTTTTGATGGATTTCCATCCAAAATGGAAATGTTGCATTTGAAGTGGCAAGAGTTATCTGGAATATTTGTTTATGTGAAACATTTTATTCTAAGGCAAGGCTGAGTAAATGATTTCACTTACACACTTTAAAGGCCTCCTATGTTTATCCTCAATAGCAGGTCTCACAATTGAAATTATTTGTATTTTTTATGCCCATCTTCCTTCTTGGACTCTAAGCTTCATGAAGTCAGTCCACAGAAATGGTTCATGAAGAAATCTGTCTTACTGCCTGACATATCCTAAGACCTAGAACAATACTTGGGCATAGAATTTCATAAATGAATATTGTTGAATTATGGAACCGAAAGAAAAAAGGCTAAGAGGAAAGAGGAATGGGGATGGAATTTAGAACCAGAAAATGAGAATGGGGATCCCAGCGCCCCCAACTGCCATTAGGTATGTGTTCTTATACATCTAACTTCTCAGGGCTTTCATTTCCATATAGATGTATATAAAATTAGAATAAGAATCTCCTCTCTAATATTTTTGAGGATCAAATCAGATAATACTTATAAAAGTAAATGAAGCAGTAAATGAAGCCGCCGTCAACTATGAATATCATTATTATTATTATAATAAAGGCAGCATCAGTGAAGATGGGTCTAGGCTTGGTTTTTATGCAGCACACATCAGCTTTTGCAGGGCCTGGAAAGTTATTATGATTTTTACTATTTTCATTTAAGAATAATTCAGCTCAAGTGGCTGCAAACCTTGGAATCTGGTAATGTGCATCTAGGTGTTAAGGAATTCAGACAGCCGTGTACAAAACATGACAAGATAACATGTGCCTTATTCTCCGTGGTTCCTGAAGCAATAAAGCGAAGCAAGAGGCCAAAAGACACAATCATCTCAGGCAGCTGCAAGAGCATAGCGCACAGTCAGTGCACCTTAACTCTGTTACATCCAAAACACCACTTGATTGAGGCTGTGTAAGAAGCAGTAAGGTTGAACAAAACCCAAGAAGCAGCGAGTTGACAAAAACAGAGGATGAATCCAACAGTGGAGTCCAACCTCTTTTTAGTAACTCTGAAGCCAATAGCTTGTCTTGATGTTGCATATGACCATAATTCATGTCTAAATAAGAATAAGCCCTCTCAATTTTATATACACTCTTAAATGTGAGATTTTATATTTCATTAGTCAGTGTTCTCCAGAGAAACAGTACCAGTAGGGTGTACATAAATATATATAGAGAGAGATTTATTTTAAGGAATTGGCTTATGCAATTGTAGAGGCCAGCAAATCCAAAATCTGTAGGATGGGGCTGCAGGCTGGAGACTAGGAAAGGGCTGACATTTCAGTTCAAGTCCAAAGGTCATCTATTGGCAGAATTCTCTCTTGCTCTGGAGAGGTCAGTCTTTGTTCTTTTTAGGCTTTCCACTGATTGGATGAGGCCAGTCCTCACTATGAAGAGTAGTCCATGAATTTAAACATTAATCTCACATTTAAAAAAATCCCTCACAGAAGCCCACACAGAATAATGTTCAATCAGATATCTGGGCACTGTTAGATATTACATCTTACTATTATAAGTTATTTGTCTTATCTAACATTTGGCTCTTATAAATAACTCTATAATGAACAACCTCATACATAAGGTACCGCACACATTTTAGATTGTATCTTTAGGGCAAGTTACTAGAAATAGAATCATTTGGTCAAAAGCTATGCACATATTTAGCAAACAGTCATCCATAATGGTCATATCACTTTACAAGCTTACCAAAAATTGTTGAGCTCTTATTTCCTTTGGACACTTAAAATTATCAGAATTTCCCGGTGTCTTTAAAAATGTCTGCACTGCAGGTGAAAACCTGTACAATATTATCACTATATGTGTATTTATTTATCACCGAGGTTGAGCATTTTCTCAAATATTTAAATCAGAAATATTTGTGAATTGCCCATTCATATGTTTTGTCCAGTTTTCTTCTGGAAAGTTTGTCTTTTTCTCATTGGTTTTAAAGAGTTCTTTACATATAAAAAGCATTATTCCACCCTCTCATATTTGTTCTAAACATTCCTTTTTCTTTGTTCTTTACCATGTATACATTATACCATATGAAATTGCATTTTTTAATTTAAATTTTTTTGTAGAGATGGAGTCTCACTATGTTGCCCAGGCTGGTCTCGAACTCCTGGGCTCAAGCAATCCTCCTGCCTTGGCTTCCCAAAGTTGTGGGATTACAGATGTGAGCCACTGCACCTGGTCAGAAATTGCCTTTTTTAGGCAAAAAATAGTCTACCATTAGAAATGTCATTGGATTTAATCCAATAATTTTCTTTATGGTTTTCTAGTTCATGTAGTTAAATCTAACAATGTTTCCTTTATGATTTCTGCCTTTATAGGCTACAGTACTTGTTCATTTAGCATGCCTATACCAAATTATGTGTTAGAATATATTTTATTTCATTTAAATCTTTGTATGCCCAAACCAAATTATCTGTTGAAATATGCTTTTTTCAGTCAAAAACTTTTTACTATTTCAATCTTTATTTCGTTTCCAATATCCACCCTGATATCAAAAAGTTTTGATACTTGTCCAGTGCCCTTAAACTTCATGCTCTCACCAAATGCTAAATATGAATCCAAAACTACTATGTCCGTAGTCTCTCTCAAATTTGTTTATTCTGTTTTCATTATCTGCCACTACCCAAGTGCAGGTCTTCATCCTCTCTCATCTGGTCTATTACATACAGAACTGGGCAAACTATGGCCCTAGGGCCACATTTAGCTAGTTGCCTGTTTTTGTAAATAAAGTTTTATTGAAACAGCAGCACTCATACATTAATATATTGTCTGTGGCTGCTTTTGTGCTACAATGCAGTACTGAGTAGTTGCAACAAAGACCATATGACCCTCAAAGCCAAAAATAATTATTTTCTGGTCCTTACAGAAAATATTTGCCAATTACTGTTCTAGTTAAACAACCACCAACCAACCAACCACCTCACCTTCATTCACCACACCACAAAAAAGTACCATTTTAATATATCATTTTAAAACTTGGATCTAATATGTCACTTCCACAATAAAACCCATTTAATGGTTCACCATTGCTCACAGAATAAAGCACAAACTCTTAGCCTTGCATTCAAAGTCTGCCATCACTTTCCTACAGCTGACTTTTCCTGCTTACCCCTACCATGCTGGAGTGTTCATTTTTCCCAGAAAACACTGCACATTCATGTCCTGTATTAGTCCGTTTTCACACTGCTGATAAAGACATATTCAAGGCTGGGAAGAAAAAGAGGTTTAATTGGACTTACAGTTCCGCATGGCTGGGGAGGCCTCAGAATCACAGTGGGAGGCAAAAGGCATTTCTTACATGGTGTCAGCAAAAAAAAAAAGAAAGAAAAAAATGAGGAAGAAGCAAAAGCAGAAACCCCTGATAAACCAATCAGGTCTCATGGTACTTATTCACTATCACAAGCATAGCATGAGAAAGACCAGCCCCCGTGATTCAATTACCTCCCCTTGAGTCTCTCCCACAACACATGGGAATTCTGGGAGATACAATTCAAGTTGAGATTTGGGTGGGGACACAGCCAATCCATATCATTTGCCAACCCCTGGCCCCTCCAAATCTCATGTCCTCACATCTCAAAACCAGTCATGTCTTCCCAACAGCCCCCCAAATCTTAACTCTTTTCAGCACTAACCCAAAAGTCCAGAGTCCAAAGTCTCATCTAAGACAAGGCAAGTCCATTCTGCCTATGAGCCTGTAAAACCAAACGCAAGCTAGTTAATTCCTAGATACAATGGAGGTACAGGTATTTGGTAAGTACAGGCATTCCAAATGGGAGAAATTGGCCAAAACAAAGGGGTTACAGGGCCCATGCAAGTCTGAAATCCAGTGGGGCAGTCACATTTTAAAGCTCCAAAATGATCTCCTTTGACTCCAGGTCTCACATTCAACTCACACTGATGCAAGAGGTGGGTTCCCATGATCTTGGGCAGCTCTGCCCCTGTGGCTTTGCAGGGTAAAGCCTCCCTCCTGGCTGCTTTCACAGGCTGGTGTTTAGTGTCTCCGGCTTTTCCAGGTACACAGTGCAAGCTGTCAGTGGATCTACCATTCTGGGGTCTGGAGGATGGTGGCCCTCTTCTCACAGTTCCACTAGGCAGTGCCCCAGTAGGGACTCTGTGTGGGGGCTATGACCCCACATTTCCCTTCTGCACTGCCCTAGCAGAGGTTCTCCATGAGGGTCCCACCCTTGCAGAAAACTTTTGCCTGGGCATCTAGATGTTTCCATACCTCTTCTGAAATCTAGGTGGAGGTTCCCAAACCTCAATTCTTGACTTCTGTGCACCCACAGGCTCAACACCACATGGAAGCTGCCAAGGCTTGGGGCTTCCACCCTCTGAAGCCACAGCCCAAGCTCTACGTTGGTCCCTTTCAGCCACAGCTAGAGCAGCTGGGACACAGGGTACCAAGTCCCTAGGCTGCACGCAGCATAGGGACCCAGGGCCCAGCCCACAGAAACCCTTTTTCCTCCAGGGCCTCTGGGCCTGTGATGGGAGGGGCTTCCATGAAGGTCTCTGACATGGCCTAGAGACATTTTTCCCATGATCTTGGAGATTAACATTAGATTCCTTTTTACTTATGCAAATTTCTGCAGCTTTATTGAATTTCTCCCCCGGAAAATGGATTTTTCTTTTCTATTGCATAGTCAGGCTGCAAATTTTCCAAACTTTCATGCTCTGCTTCCCTTTTAAAACTGAATATCTTTAACAGTACCCAAGTCACCTCTTGAATGCTTTGCTGCTTAGAAATTTCTTCCACCAGATACCCTAAGTCATCTTTCTCAAGTTCAAATTTTCACAAATCTCTAGGGCAGGGGCAAAATGCCACCAGTCTCTTTGCTAAAACATAACAAGAGCCACCTTACTCCAGTTCCCAAAAAGTTCCTCATCTCCATCTGAGACCACCTCAGCCTGGACCTTATTGTCCATATCGCTATCAGCATCTCGAGCAAAGCCATTTAACAAGTCTCTAGGCAGTTCCAAATTTTCCCACATTTTCCTGTCTTCCTCTGAGCCCTCCAACTGTTCCAACCTTTGCCTGTTACCCAGTTCCAAAGTCACTTCCACATTTTTGGATATCTTTTCAGCAATGCCCCACTCTACTGGTACCAATTTACTGTATTAGTCCATGTTCACACGACTGATAAAGACAAACCCGAGGCTGGGAAGAAAAAGAGGTTTAATTGGACTTAAAGTTCCACATGGCTGGGGAGGCCTCAGAACCATGGCAGGAGGCAAAAGGCACTTCTTACACAGTGGCAGCAAGATAAAATGAGGAAGAAGCAAAAGCGGACATCCCTGATAAACCTATCAGATCCCGTGAAACTTATTCACTATCATGAGAATAGCATGGAAGAGACTGGCCCACATGATTCAATTACCTCCCCTTGGATCCTTCCCAACATGTGGGAATTCTGGGAGATACAATTTAAGTTGAGGTTTGGGTGGGGACACAGCCAAACCATATCATGTCCCATGCCACTGTGCCTTTTCTGATGCTATCTGCCCTTCCTCAGATATTCTTTCTTCTCCACTTGCTGAAATTCTGTCTATTCTTTAAGAGCATTCTCCAATGTTAGTATTTAAGTGAAGTTCTCCCTGATACCCCATGGATTGCCCTCATTACATTTTCCCAATCAGAATGAATTACTCCCACCTTTGGGATCTCGGGCACTGTTTGTAATCCTCTGCTAAGAGGTCTAAACATGGTCTAATTTATTTTATAATTTGCTGTGTACATGTCTCTCTTGGGTTGCTCCCCTCAACCAAAATTATTATCTCTTTGAACACAGATACTAAGATTTCTTCTTTGTTAAGTCTTCTAGTAGATAACCCAGTGTCTAGTATAGAATACATAAATGTAATATATTTGTATTTTATTTTATGCATTTATTTGTCATCTGTATTAGTCAGTTCTCATACTGCTAATAAAGACATAACCAAGACTGGATAATTTATAAAGAAAAAGAGGCTTAATGGACTCAGTTCCATGTGGCTGGAGAGGCCTCACAATCGTGGCAGAAGGCAAAGGGGAAGAAAGTCACATCTTATGCAGTGGTGGGCAAGAGAGTTTGTGTAGGGGAATTCCCATTTATAAAACCATCAGATCTCATGAGACTTATTCACTACCATGAGAACAGTATGGGGGAAACTACCCCCATGATTCATTTATCTCCACCAGGTGCCCCACTTGACGCATAGGGATTATTACAATTCAAGGTGAGATTTGGGTGGGGACACAGCAAAACCATATTTTCATACAATAGAAATATTCGTTTGGCATATTATTGGTACATTTATTTAGCTCTAACTTGGGACTAGACACTATACTAACTATATATACAATACCTCTAATCCTTACAAAAACATAAGTTACATATTATCCCTATTCTACAGTTGAAGAAATTGAGGCTTAAGGGGTTAACTGGTTTATATAAGAATACATAGTAGTTAATGATGCCACCTGAATTTCAATGCAAATCAATGTAACTCCATTATAAACTTCAAGAAATTGAATACCCTATTCATGATAAGCATCGAGTGTTTTTAAAACAAAGGAGAGTACACTCACAATAAGGGCATTTGCTATTTATCACTTTACTATGCCATCTCAGGGAATGAAAATAATCATTCTCTTTCCCATGTCCAAACAAGCACAAATACATGTATGCAATTTTGCTTTAAAAATTACACTAAAAACAGAATATTACATATTCTTATTTTGTATAATTGACTAGGAAATGTTTTATGGATTAATGAAATTGAGGGATGAGTAGCTACCAAATCTAGCCACAAAAGGAGACATTCTGGATCATAAAGCATATTTTATTCATCTTGACAGTTGTTTAATTTTAAGTATTTATGATGTTACTTTATAGTAAATATGTCTAAATCATGAAAGCTAGTTAATATGAGACCCAACTTTGGAAATTTGCTCAAGTTTCTGCCATTAAAGCTATATTTAAATGGATTTTGTCCTAAGAATTATGGGTTTTATATAGTAATGACATGAAAATTATCCATATTCTACTCTACGGTATAATGGCACTACTCCCACTGCTGCTACCATTACTATTACCAAGACAACTACACTTGATTTTATGTAAGTAAATCAACTAACATATCCCCTGTAAATCAACTAAATCAACTAACATATCCCCATATCATTTGAACTGAATATGAAAAATGCCACAGTAGGGAGTCTTTGTAATATAGAAAAAAAATACCCTTTGAGCTTACTTTAAAAAAATCATTATGTGGTATAGGTTTTGTACCCGAAAGAATTACACTTTCATATGTCAACAATGTTTTTGCTTTAAAAAGAAATCATTTTTTGATACAGTAAGTCTTCTTTATGTCTGGGGTAAGGGGAAGAGAAATAGGCTTTTAAGTGATTTAAATCTTAATAAAGACCACAGATCTGACTCTACCACCAGCTGTGAGGGGAACCAGTCTCCAGGTCAAACATACTGTGACATACTTACAAAAGAAAGCAGAGAACATAACCTTTGGCTTCCCTTAAAATCCTCCCATAAAGGACTTGGCATGATTTAGGGAGACACTGTGAGGAGTGGTCACAGCAGGTTCTGACCCCACTCATATCACGGGCAGTTGTAAGTCATATGAAACCTCTGAGTTTTGAATATCCCTCCACATTACTCATAATTTACATCTGGAATACCAATGAGGAGGACTCCAGAGTGTGGAAGAATTCTAATTTTTAAACATAGCAAAAATTAAAACTAAGAAAAGTCTTGAGATCACATTTCTAGCCTGTGGAGGAATGGAAGACAAGGAGAGGAAAGAAACAAGGACACTGGTGCTCCAGATTAACATCCTTTCACTGGGGAGTTTCTCTGCTCTAAAGCACCTTGGAATTTCCAATCAAAGTCCCTCCATCAACATCTTTAAAAAGCATCAAGAAGCTTTTCTTGGTCATTCATCACTGATTTGCGATGCAGGCAAATCCCACATCTTAGCCAAGGGATGGGGCCATGGAAGGCTTTTTGCTGTCCTCCAAGGGCTCTGAAGTAATTGCAGACTGTGTAGATTAAACTCTGTCCCTTCTGGAAGCCTACCTAACATGATAGAACATTCAGGGAACAGGCAGTGGCGAAATATGTGAGCTAGAACTGGATCGTCCCAGGCCAAACACAAAGCACACCCATAACATTCTCAGCAGTGATCTTCTTAACTTAAAAAAAAAAAAAAAAAAACTCCACTGTAGCATGTAGCTAGGCCAGAAGAACCATTTGGCCCACCTTCCCATTCTCAAGGGGCTTTTAAATGAAGACCTCCGAAGCCATCATCAAAGAAGGTTATACATATAATGAGTTACAGGGATATACCAACAGTATTCAAAGTGAAGATGATGATCATAGGCATTTAATTATTTGTCCACTGGCTGAACTACACCAACTTTAGTGAACAAATTGATGCATATAATAAATCCTATGATTATCTTTTGTGTTCAAAATTGTTATGTTTGTGTTAAATTTATATTTGTATTTAAATATTTCTTTTTCATTTAAACACTTTTAAAATTGCCATTTTTAATAATATGATTTTTAATTTACTAAAAACTTTAAATGCTAAAGAGTTGAGAGAGAAAGAATGAGAATGAAAGAGAAAGGGACCCACTTGTACATCTATGCAGACTCTTTCCATAGTATAGAATGACCTTTCTCCATCTCAGTGCCACAAACTCTATTTTTTCTTTTTTTTTTTTTTTATTATACTTTAAGTTCTGGGATACATGTGCAGAACGTGCAGGTTTGTTACACAGGTATACACATGCCATGGTAATTGCTGCACCCATCAACCCGTCATCTACATTAGGCATTTCTCCTAATGCTATCCCTCCCCTACCCCTTCACCCACTGACAAGCCCCAGTGTGTGATGTTCCCCTCCTTGTGTCCAGGTGTTCTCATAGTTCAACTCCCACTTATAAATGAGAACATGCAGTGTTTGGTTTTCTGTTCCTGTGTTAGTTTGCTGAGAATGATGGTTTCCAGCTTCATCCATGTCCCTGCAAAGGACAAAGCTTTTTTATGGCTGCATAGTATTCTATGGTATATATGTGCCACATTTTCTTTATCCAGTCTATCATTGATGGGCATTTGGGTTGGTTCCAAGTCTTTGCTATTGTGAATAGTGCCACAGTAAACATATGTGTGCATGTGTCTTTACAGTGGAATGATTTATAATCCTTTGGGTATATACCCACTAATGGGATTGCTGGGTCAAATGGTATTTCTGGTTCTAGATCCTTGAGGAATCACCACACTGTCTTCCACAATGGTTGAAGTAATTTACACTCCCACCAACAGTGTAAAAGCATTCCTATTTCTCCACATCCTCTCCAGCATCTGTTGCTTCCTGACTTTTTAATGATCACCATTCTAACTAGCATGAGAAAACTGAAACTGGACCCCTTCCTTACACCTTATACAAAAATTAACTCAAGGGGGATTAAAGACTTAAACGTAAGACCTAAAACCATAAAAACCATAAAAGAAAACCTAGGCAACACCATTCAGGACATAGGCATGGGCGAAGACTTCATGACTAAAACACCAAAAGCAATGGTAACAAAAGCCAAAATTGACAAATGGGATCTAATTACTCTAAAGAGCTTCTGCACAGCAAAAAATAAAATAAAATAAAATTAAAAAACACTATCATCAGAGTGAAAAGGGAACAGGCAACCTACAGAATGGAAGAAAAATTTTGCAATCTATTCATCTGACAAAGGGCTAATATCCAGAATCTACAAGGAACTTAAACAAATTTATAAGAAAAAAATAACCCCATCAAAAATGGGTAAAGGATGTGAACAGACACTTCTCAAAAGAAGACATTTATGCAGCCAAAAAACATGTGAAAAAAAGCTCATCATCACTGGTCATTAGGGAAATGCAAATCAAAACCACAAACTCTGTTTTAGCCTTCATGTAGTCCCTGTCCTCCTGTCTCTGAAACATACGACTTCTCCCTCCCTAGAATCCCCATAGTCCTTCAGCACTGTGACATTTAACTATTTTGATCCTTCAGTCAAGGAAACTTTGACTTTAGTGTTCACTCCTCCAAGTCCTATTATGCCTCAAGACTCAGCACAGGCTAATGTCCTCTAAGAACTCTTCCAAGACTCACCTCTCTTTGGCCACTCACCCCATTCAGTGCCCTCCCCCACACCATGTGCTCCTTTAGCATCCCGGACACTCCTATCTCTGCCCTTGCCACAGCAGAGAGAGGATCTGTTCATGTGTTGGTCTCACTGCATTGCGATCTGCGTTAGGCAAGGGATTCATCTGAAGTATCTTTCCCTCCCAGCAGCTAGCACAGTGCATGGCTGAGAGCTATAACTCAATATATGTTTGTTGAGCTTCATGAACTGCTTTGAATTCATTATCCCAATTTACTTCTTATCTCCCTTGTCAGTCTCTCTTCTCCACAAGAGTGGGTAAGATGTGTGTCTGATTGTCTGCCTATCTCTAACATTTGCTGCATATCAGGGCTTTATAAATATTTGTTGAATGACTGAATAAGTCTGTCCTGACCTTAGCCTTCCACCACAAATTACAATATGCAGTAGAAATGAGAACATGAAAATTCCATCTGTGAAAGTATTTTTTTATTTGCAACTGTTGTTTTTTAAATTCATTGTCAAGAGGATACTGTAGATTTCCTCTCTTTGGTTTCTGCCAGAAGAGAACACCTGCAGGGGCCTAGAAGGAAAATATACCTATGCTTAAGGGTGGGGAAGGAATGAAAGAACTTTCTAGAGGTTTTCAGCAAACTTCTGATTTGTAAATGTCTAGGCAAAGTCATCAATGAGAAGTAGTGTAGGTAGAGTAAAACAATCCCCAGTGTCCATTCATTCATTCATACAGTCATTCAACAAACATTTGTTGAGCATCTTCTCCAGACCAGGTGAGGCTCTGTGCTAGGTGTCAGGGAAACAAAGATTTGGGTTAACAGACAAACTTTGCCCTTTCAGATTTTAGCCGCTGCCGGGCACAGTGGCTCTTGCCTGTAATCCCTACACTTTGGGAGGCTGAGGTGGGCGGATCACTTGAGGTCAGGAGTTCAAGACCAGCTTGGCCAACATGGTCATTTTTAGTCTCAACTAAACATGGTCACTTTTGGTCTCCACTAAAAATACAAAAATTAGCCAGGCATGGTGGTGCATGCCTGTAGTCTCAGCTGAGGCATGAGAATTGCTTAAACCCAGGAGGTGGCAGTTGCAGTGAGCCGAGATCACGACACTGCACTCCAGTCTCAGTGACAAAGCGAGACGCTGTCTCAAAAAAAAAAAAAAAAAAGATTTTAGACCCTTCTGAAAACCTGACAGCAATTAAATCAACAACTCCAATGCTATGTGTTGTAAGTGGTATAAGCTGGGATCACAGTAAACACAGGATGTGAATGAAGCAAAAGTTTGCGTTATTTGCTCTGGTCATTCTGAATTGCTCTTTACTTGCTGAATGGGCAGGGCCATTGTGGTTGTGTGAGGCTGGTGATTCCCTCGTAAGATGCAGATAGCACTAAATCTGAGGGTGAACTCAGATGATGACCCTGGCACAAGAAAGAGGAGATCACAGAGTCTTGTCTACATTAGGATCTTGCATTCCCACGTGCACCGAGTACAGACCAGGTCCTCTCAGACTTTCACATGCGTATGAATTATCTGCAAATCCTGCTAAAAATGCAGCTTTTGATTCAGTGGGGTGGAGGAAGGGGCTTGGGAGTCTGCATTTCTAACAAGTTCCCAGGTGATGCTGAGGCTGATGCTGCAGGTTCGTGGACCACATTTTGAGTAGGAAGAACACAGAAGAAAGAGCACTATCTTGCAAAGCCTAACACACCTGCACGTCAAATCCTAACTCTAATATTTACTACCTGAATGGTTCTTTGTTAATTGCTTATGCTTCCTGATCCTCAGTTTGCAGCATTTGTAAAAGAGGATAATACAATCCAAATCATAAGGTTGCTGTGAGGATAAAATGAAAGTGTCTAGAATAGGAACTCATAATAATAATTACTAGCTATTACTCAGTGGGTTTTCATTCTTTCCTCAAATGTGTTTGGAAACTATCAGAATAATTTTAATCATTTTGAACTCAATGGAATCCTATTTACTTGTGGTCACTATTCTCTGTTTTTCTTTATGAGGGTCCATTGTCAGCTTGGGGTTTCTTTGTTATTCCCAACACCTCTCAATCTAATATCAGATGCTATTCATGAACTAGAAGGCTTGTTTATCTGGGTTATTAATGAAGTTGTTAAGTGAGGCTGGAGGGGGAAGACAGAGGCATCCCGCTCTCTACCGCTCCATAAATCACCACCCTGAATGGAGACGGCTTCTTCTGCTTCTCAGTTCCTATCATCCCACATATCTCAATGAATTTGAATGAATTTCATGATTAAAGTTTCATGAGATGCCACATCAAATATTCTCTAAATCTCAAGGTCTAATACTTCCACAGCACTTGCTTTTGTTTTCTCATCCTCCAGTTTTTACCACAAACAAAGCATGCAGGTGCACCTTGCAGGATAGGTTTTTTTTTTTTCCTTTAGACACCCTACCACTGATTCTCTGTAAAGCTGTTATCTCCTCAGTGTTGAGCAGCCCGCTTTCAGTCTCAGCTCCCCACCTGACAGGTGACCAGCTGGCTCTACATATGATGTATGTCTTTTACCTTGGTAATAAATCTGGCGACCATACATCTGACAACCTGCCCATGGCTCCAGACACCTGCATATTCATGCTCCTGGACCCAGGCTGGCATTTCCTCATCCTGCTCTCATACAGAAAACAACGACCTCCTCCACATACAGCTATCTGCTCCTAGAGCCACAAGAATGGCCTTGCTCTGATTCTAACTAACTGTCTTAGGTCAGACAAGTTACACAAATGTTACACAACAGAGAAATAGGCCTGTTTTCTTTTGCAAATGGAAATAGAAAGGATTCCTTGCCTAGAATCGCAAGGCTTTTCACCATGCAAATATATCTGCATGTTAATATCATCCAGTGAGCATTTTGGGGGTGTCTCTAAACTATTCAGTATCAAGAGAGTTAACAGCCATGTCCCTAAACTCTTAAAACACTAATGGGACCCTACAGAAAAGATCAAAGAGATTTCAGAAGAATGCTCATCTTTTTCCCCAGAAAAGAGAAGCGAATATAGAGGTAGGTCATTAGGTTTGCAGATTTGGTACAGCCTTCCTGAAAAAGAGATGTGTGACATGCAGAAAAGAGCTGGGATGCAGAATTGAGGCAGACAGTCAGTTTACAACCTTGAAAAGAAAGGGCTATTGACTAGGAATCTAAAGGCCAAAAATGCATGCTCTCTTTTGTCTAAATGTCCTCTTTTTCAGATCCCTAAATCACAAAGAGATACAAAATGGGAATTTTTCTAAAATTCGACAGTAATTTCCAACAGAAAGCATCTGGCTACTCCTTTTGCATTCTCACATGCATTCTCTTTTGCTCTCATCATAGCCACATGTGCAGGTACACACACGTGCGTGCACATACATACACATATTTCTCTGTTTTTTTCACAGTCATCTACACCTGTACTGCCCTATAAGGTAGCAGTAGCCACGAGTAACTCTGTCACTTAAATTTAAAATAAAAAATCATTTACTTGATCACACTAGCCATATTTCAATACCACATGTGCCAGTTGCTACTGCATTTAACAGCACAGATATACAGGTTGAGTATTCTTTATCTACAATGCTTGTAACCACAAGTGTTTCAGATTTCAGATTTTTTTTTGAGTTGAGAATATTTGCGTTATGTCTACTTACCAGTTGATCATCCAAATCCCAAAATTCAAAACACAGAATGCTCCAACGAGCATTTCCTGTGAAAGTCACATCAGTGCTCAAAAAGTTTCAAATTTTGGAGCATTTCAGATTTCAGATTTTCAGATTTGGTATGTTCAACTTGTAGAACATTTCAATCATTACAGAAAGTTCTACTGGCCAGTGTACACACCTGTATGGTTTGCACAATATGATAAACACTTAGGAGATATGTGTTAACTAATTGACTAAATGAATGTGTGACTACATATTGTAGTTTTTCCAAATGTAATTTTTTCCTTTTGTCTCTCTTCAACTTCTCCAAAAATTGCCTATTTGTTAAGCATAAATAAAGTTAAATTTCCTACCTCCCACCGTAGTACTCAGAGCTATCTTACTTGACATACATTTCATATTTTTTTTAAAAAAAACAAAAACTACTGAAAGAAAATATAGGAGAAGAATTACACAAATGTGAGATGGGGAGAATTTTCACACCAGAAAGGAAAAGACGCAGATTTGTCTACGTGTGAGTTGTAAGTTTCTAATAAGGTAAAAATATGAAAAGACCAACAAACATGCAGGGAACTGTATAGCATATGTGAGTGATAAGGGATTAAATCCTTAATATATAAGAAATGTAAAAATTCATTAAAAAACACCTAGTAGAAAAATAGACAAAAGATAAGAATAGCCAATTCACAGAATACAAATAGTCATTTTATTCATTAAAAAAGCCTAACCTTACTACTAATCAAAGAAATGCAATTAAAATAACAATAAGACATTTTTCACCTGCCAGTCTGATAAAGATTTTTAAATGCTCTCATAATTAGCACTAGCAAGGTTATGGGAAAATAGACACATCCAATCTTGATGTTCTGAATTGTAAATTAGTATGGCCTTTGGGGAAGGCACTTTGGCAGTTTCAACCAAAATTTTAAAGTGCATACATTTTCATCAGCAATTCCATGTCTAGAAATTTATCTGACAGCAATACTAAGGCAAATGCATAGAGATTTATGTACCTAGTAGTTTATTAAAGCATTGTTTATAAGAGTAAAAAACAGATACATCTAAAAGTCTATCAGCAGGTTATATGTATATAATAGAATATTGTGTAACTGGTATTTTTAAAAAGCAGTTTTATATACACAACTCAAATAATATATAACTCAAATAATATATTGTTCTGTCAAAAATACAAAACAGCAGGAGGCTGAGGCATGAGAATCACTTGAATCCAGGAGGCGGAGGTAGAAGTGAGCTGAGATCATGCCACCACACTCCAGCCTGGGGGATAAAGTGAGACTGTCTCCAAAAAAAAAAGAAATACAAAACAGAAAAAAATTTATGTACTGTCATCCTTATGTGTATTAACATACATATATACACAGAAGTGTAGATTGTATGCTCATTGAGGGCTTATCATGTGCCAATCTCTGTTCTAATGGCTTTATATAATTCATGTAATCTTCACACACATGATGTAGGTAACATTATTATGTCTGCTTGACATATAAGGAAACAGAAGCCTGGAGAGATCACTAGCACAAAATCACGTTGCTAATTAATGGCAGAATCAAGATTTGATTCCAGGGTCTGTCCACTTAACACTGCCAAGTAGTTGTGTACATGTTGGGTGAAGGGGGTGGGGAGAAACAGAGATAGAGAAAGAGGTACATTCTAAATTGTTAACCTTTATTACATCTGGGGAGGGGAACTGGACTTAGAGGTGTGGTTAGATAAGAATGTGCAAGTGAGTTTTAGTAAAAGCAGCAAGCAAGGAATTTTTCACTTATTACAATTTTGTAATATGTAAATTTTTATAACAAGCATTATCACTTTTGCACATAAAATATTTAAATCTGAAAAAACATTCTATTTCATTTTCTCCAAAGGATTAAGAAATATTGCTTTTTATTCTTAAAACTGAGAGAGTATAAATGTGATTGGTAACTTCTTGGATATCCAGGAATCTAGAGAGAGAGCATTCGTCTCCTGGTAAAGGCTGAAGATAAGTGGAGTCCTCTGGTTTCAGGAGACTTGTAAAACCCACCAGCACGCTGGCCAGGTGCCAAGCTCTGGAGCCAGTTGCCTGCACTGTGACTGTGACTTGTCCACCAAGCTGTCTGTCCTTGGGTCATGACTTGGCCACCCTAACCCTTGGTTTCCTCACCTGCATAAAGAAAATGATGATTGATCTCCCTCCACAGGCTTGGGGTGAGTTGGAATGTGGTCAAAGTTAAGGTTTTTATGGAATGTCTGGTGTATTTTTCATCTCAATTAACATTGGCTGCCATGCTCCTCATTGCCACTTCAAACTCTCATCACCACCCTCTCCTGGCAATTTGAAATCAAGATTGCAAGCTGATCTGAAATTATCTAAAGCAGCCAAAAGACTAGGACCACTAACTTGGCATGTGGGTATAAATGAGAGACAATGGCCAAGTAACTACCGATGAAAAGAATTAGAAGGCCCAGTATATGAACACAATGATCACCCCTTGAAATGCTACAGACATTTGCGTTCCAAGAAATCCAACCTATGTTCATCTGCTCTTAGAATAAAGGGATGGTTTTATTCAGAAAAGTGGTGTCTATCATCACTGTCCTATTTGCTCAGTGTCTTAGTTCATTCAGACTGCTATAGCAAAATATAGGTTGAGTATCCCTAATCCAAAATTTTAAAACCCAGAATGCTCCAAAATACAAACATTTTGATCTTTGACATGATGCTCAAAGGAAATACTTATTGGAGCATTTTAAATTTCAGGTTTTTGGATTAGATGCTCAATTAGTATCTTGTAAATATTCTAAAATTTAAAAAAAAATCTGAAATCCAAAACACCTCTAAGCATTTTGAATAAGAGATCCTCAACCTGTACTATAAAGTAAGTGGCTTATAAACAACAAACACTATTTCTATAGTTCCAGAGGCTGAGAAGTCCAAAATCAAGGTGTTGGCAGATTCACTGTCTGGTGAGGGCCCATTTCCTGGTTCATAGATGATGCCTTCTCACCAAGTCCTAACATGGTAGAAGAGAACAGGGAGCTCTATGAGGTCCCTTACATAAAGGCACTAATCCTGTTCATGAAGGCTTCACCCTCATGAGCTAGTTATCTCCCAAAGCCTTCACTTCTTTGTACTATTACATTGAGGATTAGGTTTCCACCTATAAAAACAGTTACACCACAGCACTCAGTAAGGATGAAAAGCTCCCAATAACCTTATAAGTCCTTCTCATATCCAAAGTTCTTGCTCTTGGTTCATAGCTCCTCCTTATACTTATAAGAAAAGAATATGTATTCAGGAAGTGCTCATGAAAGAGCCTGTGTTAAAAAAAAAAATGGAACAAAATTAAAAATAGCAGAAACTTCTTTTAAAGACAAGGGCTCAGAAGGGGCCCATCTAAAACTGAATTGCCATATGATTGAAATGTTATGATTTTGAGAATGGCTGTGTCAATAACCCAATGTCC
This sequence comes from Homo sapiens, assembly GCF_000001405.40. Taxonomy (NCBI): domain Eukaryota; kingdom Metazoa; phylum Chordata; class Mammalia; order Primates; family Hominidae; genus Homo; species Homo sapiens. The sequence continues at coordinate 133,755,258 of NC_000002.12, forward strand.
ATCTTGCTCCACATTGCTTCTGTGTGGGGACACATACATACATGTACAGACACACACATACATGCAGACACACATGCACATGCACAGCTTGCCTCCCACATTCTCAAAGACTGTCTTGAAATACAAGGCACAGCCAGGTTAATAAAACATACTTGAGGCTGTGTTATGTTTGTTCATTAAACTATAAAGCATTTTAAACCTCTAATTAATTCTAGGTAAATTAAAGGCATGACACAGCCATGGTACTATTGCAAGAGCATTGGTGCTATTACCTTACATTTTTTTACACTAAAGCACCCTGCTGAAAGGTTTAACAGCCATTCATATTTATAACGGCTTTCTAGATTTTTTTTTTTTTTTGCCTTCTCAGTTGTCAAAGCATTAACGAAGCTGGCTTTTGGGAAGAATTCCAATTCAGAGTTATTTTTCCATGAGGTACTTAAGACTCCACACAGCAGCTCGTGATTATGTTGGCAGTGGCTTTGCATAACTGTAGGTTTCCTGTAGTATAAATAAGTGAACAGCTAAGAATGCTAATGTTTTGCCTTGACCAAGAAAAAGCTCTCCATAAATGACAAGGAATCACCCTCACTGGACTATTTAAGTTTGAGTGTTTTTTTTTTTTTTCTCTAAAGGGGTAAGTTAAACCAAAACAATAGAGATAGGTCATCATATAATACATACTACTGCTTTGAGATCATTAAAGAAAAAAAAAGTTTTAAAATTGTTTAATTTCCGAAGTCCTTTCTAGTTGGCAAACTCAACTGGAGAAAAGCCATGAGAGTCACCGATGAACACCAATTCAGGCAGCAGCCAGTTGTAGCTAAATGCAGTCAAAGAAGGTCAGAGCCTTTGCCCTCTTGAGACTCAGATGGAAAGGGAAGAAAAGGAAGCCTGGGCTGGGAATGAGGACACCCAAGGAGGTTAAGAAGAAAAGACTACAGCAGAGAGAGCTTGGCAAGAAAGGAGCATGCAGTTGGGATTCCAAGCGGCAGCACCCAAGGGCAGCTTTGCTTCTCATCAACCATCACAGTAGAGAGCAGTGCGAGCCCCTCTGTGAGACAGGATCTTCAGGACTTTGCACAGAGCAGTGTGACTTTTGCTTCTTCCACATCCTCCAAGATTCTTAGCACAAAATGCTCACCAACTAACCTACTCCCTCTTCACTCTTCCCCTCACACTCTACAGTCCAGCGCTGTTTAGCTAAAGCCTGGTAAATGCCCTCTCTGAGTGCCTTGCAGTTATCACTGCCTCCCACCTTCTCTCACCTCCTGCCCTGCCCTTTTCCCTAATGAGGGCTCAGCCTTCCAGCCAGGGCAGCCTTCTCTCCAGGACAAGTGGACTGCCCTCCCTCGCTCTGCATTAGGTACCATAGCTCACAGGCCTGCCTTTCCACTTTCTGTGGTTTCTCACTTGTCCATCTTCCCCAGAAGAAAATGAGCTTCTCCAGGGTCACACCACGACTTAGTGTATTAGTCCGTTTTCATGCTGTTATGAAGAAATACCTGAGACTGAGTAATTTATAAAGGAAAGAAGTTTAATTGACTCACTGTTCTGCAGGGCTGGGGAGGCCTCAGAATCATGGTGGAATGGGAGGCAAACTCCTCTTTCCTCACATGACAGCAGGAAGGAGAAGAATTATAGACAAGTAAAGAAGGAAGCCCCCCATAAAACTATCAGATCTCATGAGAACCCACCCACCACCATGAGAACAGCACAGGGGAAACCACCCCCATGACCCAATCACCTCCCACTGGGTTCCTCCTATGCCACAGAGGGACCATGGGAACCACAATTAAAGATGACATTTGGGTGGGGACCCAGCCAAACCACGTCACTTAGATAATTTTTATCCTTGGAGCATGACCTGGTGCTAGCACACAGTGGACCCTTGGAAAAGAAAGAACAAATTAATGAATGTGATTTGTACTGCTTTTATTTATGTGTTATTCCATAATGAAATGGCAACATGAATTATATTAAGCAAATCATTTTTACTGATTATTTAAAAGGTTTTAAATCACTGTGATAACCTGGTAATAATCTAGATAATACAAAATAACATTATCATATTGATAACTTTATATTATATTATAGACAAAGTATTATTTTTATATAGTATAGGTTCACAAAGGAAGGTTTCACAATGAATGTTTTATAGTTCTACGCCATCTTCCCTAAATATCATTAAAATAATTAGTTTGAACAACCATGGTTATTTTTGCCAAGATAGTCAGTTTTTAAATTTTTTTTATAATAGACATGTCACTCATACACAAATGTGAAAAGAACAAAATAATGAGCCCCATGAACTCATCACCCAACAATTTTCAACTCACAACTAATCTTGTTTCATCTATACCCTCACCTAACCCTCTGCCAGCAAATCCCAGACATCACATAATTTCATCTATAAATATTTTAGTATATATCTCTAAAAGATAAGGATTTCTTTTAAAATACAATATCAATATTACACCTAAAAAATAATCATTTCTTAATATCAAATATCTAGTCAGTGTTCAAATTTCCAATTGAAACAGAAATTTTAATGATTTTCATAGTTTGCTTATTGAATCAGAATGCTAAAACATTCATACATTATGACTGATTGATTGATAAATTTCTTGACTTTCTTTCAATTCATAGATTTTCCCCTTCATCTCCCTTTCTTTCTTACAATTTATTTGTTGAAAAAAACAAGGATATTTATGTCACAGAACTTTCCAGTCTGTATTTTGCTATTCATGTGCTGTCTTTGAACATGATCCTCTGCCCACTGCACTTCCTGTAAATTGGTGGTTGCATTTAGAGGCTTGATCAGATTCAAGTTTCATCCATTGGCAAGACTACTTCAAAGATAGTTATGTGTTCTTTCGTCAAGAGGCACATAATGTCTGGTGGTCTCTTTTTGTGGAGTTAGTGGCCAGGATCCACTAATTCGTTAGCAGTTTCATAAGGGTGATATTCCAGTTCTATCATCTCTTCTTAACTTATTAGCTAGATACTTCTATAAATACAAATTTCCTATTATCAACTCATTTGGTTACTCAGCGGTACAGTTTATATAGAAAAGAAAAAATAAATATTTGATTCTTTCTTTTTAGTGTTCAAAATAATGAGTTGGTTCCTTAACACCAGACAATGGTGAACAATTAGCTGTTGTAGTTTTTCTCCCCTAGTGTCATTTTGAACTCATGGATTTAATTATATTTGATGAGTATCATCCATCCACTGCAGTTATTATCCTATTTAATGCACAAATTGTTTCATCTTTCACCAATGAAGCCTGGTTAAAATTGGCCCCTGAGTCTTTTTGATCTGACCCTAGTAGCCCAGGACAGACATTTTAAGATAAATTAACATATCCATGGAATAAAGACAATTTTGATGCAGATAAGCACCTCTGTTCTCTCTTAGATAGCATAGCTAGCAAAATACCATGCTACCCATTCAACTATGCTTGTTTCAGAGCTACCTTGAGGAATGCTCTAGGAAACAGATAACCCAGGGAATAGAGTCATGTCCTTTTATCTTTCAGATTATTCTCTAAGCACTCAGGAAATATGAGAATTTTTTTTATTAACTCTTATGAGGTTCACATTATTATTTTCTTAAGACCACAAAGCTTCATTTGACATGTTGTTTGGCTTGCAAGAGTATGTAACTACAGCAATCAATTTTATAATGGTTTCTGCTAGAAGTAAAAATAATGTAGGTAAGCCCCAAGTTCCAAAGGCAAGCAGGATTAATCAAGATCATCCAATGGGCTAGGCTTCTCTTTGCCTCCTTCTGTTTAGCAATGGTCAGCTTTCCCATCTCAGATGTATGACCCAGACATTACCAGACACTGTGGTTACCTTGATCCTAGGCATGCAACCTAGCAATGAGACAGCAACAAGAGGGTAAAGAACTCATTTCAGAAGGAAGTCAGGCCACCACTGGTAAGTATGGAATATCTATTCCTGATCATTTTTACTAATTGTGGAAGGCAATATTTGCCTACTATGGATTAAGGTGGGTTATAATTTGACAAAAAAACAGTGATTGGGAAGATCGATTTGGATGTTTCTTCCGGCTAATGTGGGGGTAATATTGTCTTGCTAGTTAAGCAAAAAGCACAAATATATGATCAGTCACTAAGCATTTTCTTGCTTCATTTTCATTCCCTTGTCTCACCATTTTTTTCTCATATGCAAGTTTTCATTCATTCATTCTTACAATAACTAATAATTGAACAACTTCTATATGCTAGGAACTGGGGATACATTGTGATGAACAGAATAGGCAAGATCCCTGCCTTCTGGGACTTTTTTTCTGGTTGGAAATAAAACAGCCAAACTATAAGTAAAAAATTAGACAAGCTAGTTGCAATAGTGACATATGCTATGAAGAAAAAAATAGGGTAAAGTGATAGATAGCCACCTTGGGGCTACCTTAAATGGCTGAAGAAAGTCGCAGATAAACTAGAATAGGGATCTGCAAACTTTTTTCTGTAAACAGTCAGATAGTAAATATTTTAGGTTTTGTGGACCAAATAATAGTCACAACGATTCAACTCTGCTACTGCAGCACAAATGGAACCATAGACAATATGAAAATGAATAGTCACAGCTGTGTTCCAATAAAACTTTATTACAAACCCAGGTGGATTTGACCTGTGGGCCACAGTTGGTTGACCTCTTGACTAGAAATCTATTTCATAGATGGCTTGATGGTCATAGTCAAGTGGCTCGGCTGTCTTTCCAGAACAGCTTTTGCAGATGTTCCAAAGCCAACCTATTACTCAAAGCACCTTGCAGAGAAAGTTGGAGGTCTTAAACAACACAGGCTTACTTGGCTCTATTTTCCCTACCCAAGTGTATAATAATTGAGGATTTAAGAGAGTGCCCTTAGGAAAAGAAAGAAGATAATTACCAATTGACTTGAGCTCTTTATTGCAATGATTGAGGCTCTCCCCTTTGGGAAGGCTGGAGGTGCCACCCAATGTGTGCACCCATTTAACAACACCTTGTCAAAAGCCTTTTGGAAATCCTAATAGTTTATGCCTACTGTCTCAAAAACCCTCTGCTTTCTACATTATCTCCTGCATTCTCTCTCTCTTTTTTCCCACCACATTTGTCAAATAAGATTTACCCTTTACGAAACCACAATGGCTAGTTTTTGTCAGTTCATATTTCTCCAGATGTTTTGTGATCTCATTCCTTCTTAATGTCTCTCAGATCTGCCTACCTCTGAGGTTAGGCTGGACGGTCTATAATTTCTCATCCCCTGCCACTCTATATGGGTCCCTGACTAAGCAACAGCCCTCTTTGGTGAGGTCAGCCAGAGAAAGTCCTACATATCGTAAACATGCCATGAGCTATTCAGCAATAACATTCAGTGGAGTTTGCTTTAGTTCAGAGGCCAGGGGGATTTGGCACAAAAAAAAATACACAAAAGGCTGTTCTGTTGGAGTAAGCTTGACAAAGTCAACTGCTAAAGAAAACTAGAGCCAGACTTTGGCATCTAGAAAGGGAAGAAAAGATATTCTCCCCATCCAGTTCTTTGAGGTGCCCAGAATAAGAAAATAGATATTATATGTGGTTGCCTGTGCTTTCATTAGGATTTTATTCTTCCCATTATTAAACCACAGTGTCAAAACCAAGTTCAGAGGCTGGGAAGAAGTAGAGAGGAGAGTAGGGGATAAAGAGAGGTTGATTATTATAATCCCAGCACTTTGGGAGGCCGAGATTGGCAGATCATGAGGTCAAGAGATCATCCTGGCCAACATGGCGAAACCCCATCTCTACTAAAAACACACACACAAAAAATTAGCCAGGCATGGTGGTGGGTACCTGTAATCCCAGCTACTTGGGAGGCTGAGGCAGAGAACTGCTCAAACCCGGAAGGCAGAGGATGCAGTGAGCTGAGATCATGCCACTGCACTCCAGCCTGGGTGACAGAGCGAAACTCTGTCTCAAAAAAAGAGAAAAAAAATTAACTGGGTGTGGTGGCGCACGTCTGTAGACCCAGCTACTCAGGAGCCTGAGGCAGGAGAATCACTTGAACCCAAGAAGAGGAGGTTGCAGTGAGCCGAGATCTCACCACTGCACTCCACCCTGGTGACAGAGTGAGACTCCATCTCAAAAGACAAAGAGAGGTTGGTTAATGGGCACAAAAACGCAGTTAGATAGAAGGAGTAAGTTCTAGTGTTTGATAGCACAGAAGGGTGACTATAGTTCACAAAAATTTGTTGTGTATTTAAAAATATCTAGAAGAGAAGATCTGGAATGTTCCCAAGACAAAGAAATGATACACGTTTGAGGTGACAGATATCCTAATTACCCTGATTTGGTCATTACACATTATATGTATGTATCAAAATATAACATGACCCCATAAATATGTACAATTATTATGTATCAATTAAAAATTATTTATAAGAGCCTAAGTTCAGCAATGACCTCACTCAGAAGTATGGGTTTACCTGCTGGAGGCATATCTTGCCCTATTCTCTGTGACCGGATCTGCCTCATCCATACAAACACTGATGTAAATGTACAAAATTCAGGGGTGAGGGTATATAGGAAACATGCAGTCCTTAGGGCTGTGCCATCATTTCGTTCCTGCTCACTGTTTCCCATTTTCATCTTCTTTCCTCTGAGATGCGAACCCAGCCTGACAACACCCTGTGGCTCCTAAAATTTGAATCAGATCTCCTTGCCCTTACAACCTTGGTTCTAAGCTTCACTTTCTTACCGTACACGACAGGGTTGTGGCTAAAGGGCCTTCTCACTTTCCAATCCAATCCTAGAGAGCAAGGCCAGCCAGGCCAGCCCCACCCAGTCTTTTTTACAGAATTGGAGCATTGGGAAAATCAGTTACCAGAAGTTCAAATATAAGAGCTCAGGGATGAGGGGAAATGTACAACCCTAAGTGGACCCAACTCTAGAAGGTTGCATCAAGTCCAAAGCTAAGAGCTTGAGCAGTGTCAAAGGGCATCAGTAAAATAGCTAGAAGTCTGCTTCAGGGAAGTAATCTAGTGTAAAGAAAACCCTAAGAGATAGGATTTCAAGGCTGGAAAACCATCCTCAGGTATACAGTGGCAGTAAGGTCAGAAAAGAATCATCAGCTGGACTGAGTGCTTACCAAGATGCAGCTGCCAAAATGGGGCTTCTTCCATTTTCCTGATCCATGGCCAGGTGGGTCCTTGAGAATACAGAGCAACAGGGAACAAATTGGAGCAGTCAGGAAATGACCTTTAGTCTTCCTTTGCCTTCCATTCAAATGATTGGAAATCTCCTTCTTGCTTTGGTGGCATGAAAAAGTTTGAAGTGTAAGGGTTTTCTTCCATGCTTGTGCCAAAGCGTTCAAGAGTAAGTAACACCACCTTCTGAGCCCTGGCCCAAACCAAACCAGTGAGGAGGTGGTACTCGGGGGTGGGGAGGGGGTGAGTGGGGAGCAGAATGGGGGCCATATGGACCAGCAGCCCCTTAACTGTTTTGAATGTTATTCTCAGCATTCGGTTTTCTCTTTAAGAAAGAAAGCATTTCCTTCCCAGATGTCAATCAGTGTGGAAGGAATGTGGGATGAAGAGTCTCTGTCAGGGGAGCGTGTGAAATAAGTGACTTCAGTGATAGAGACAAAGAGTTTCTCTCCAGTCATTAGCATTCTGGTCCTACAAACACCTCATGGTGTTGCAAGCAGCTGGCCCGGATTGAAAGTATAGCCTAGGGCCATGAAAAATATGTTGACCAATTCACACTAAAATTGAACCCACAAACAAACTCTGGCCCACACCACTAAGCAACAATAATTAAAGATGGCTTTTAAATGTGTAACCCCCATACCACCACCATGACCTGTAATGGAGTGCCAGTGTCTTTTGCTTCTAAGGAGGGACTTGGACATTGGGAAAAATCAAGTTGTTTATTGTCAGCAGCAAACAGAAGGGAGAGATTATTAGAACAAAGCCCGGCAGTGCCAATCAAAACCATACTTCTCTAGTCAAGAGTTCGGTTTTATTACATAATGGAAATGAGCCATGTTCAGCTTATTAACAGCACAGGATAGGGCTACAACACGTCACCCCAAAGCAGGATACAGACAAGCAGAAATGGCCTGGGACACATCATGTCTCTTTCCAGGCCTGTCTCCTGACAAGGACAAGATGACACATGTATGGGGGTGCTTTTCCAGGTGCCTGAGCTGCTGGCCGTTCTTCCAGAACCTTCTCAGGATTTGCCTATTTGGGGTGCCTTTGCTTCACACCCAGCTGGAAGGCAAAGTTACTCCAATCAAGTCATCCAACATGACATGGGAAAGACAGATGAGGGCTTCTCAACTCATTCGTCTCACAGAAAACATTTTTCACACAACCCTTCAATGACATAACCCAGAAAATGCTAAGTGGAAGAAAGGAGATATTAGCAGGCATTTTTGAATGTAATGATTAGGAGGAAATAAAACACCAAATTTGGAATAGGATAAATCTGGCTTCAAAGCATGGTATTCAATGTGGTTTTGAGCAAATGACTTCACTTTAAGCATGTTGTTTCTCCTCTTCTCTCCTGACTTTCCTCTTTTTCTTCTCTTTCGATAAGAACATTTTAGTGAACACCTTCTCAATACTGGGTTCATGTGTATATTGAGGAAAATAATAACTGCCGGGAAGACTGTTAGAAGAATTCAATTAGGAACTATACATAAAGCATGCCTAGCAGAGGAGGCATTTTGGGAACGGAAATTCCCAAACTTCTTTGTATAATAACAAAACATCAGTTAGCTGAATTGAATACTCAAGGAGTTCAGGAAAGAGCTTAATTCTTCATATTAGCCCTAGGTGGCCAGACATCTTTTTCTTTACATAGGAAACTTGAATATCCTTAGCATAAATGTGTGTGTTCTCTATGTGGGAGAGAAAGAGGAAGCTAAAACAGCTGAGCCTTCATAGGTAGGCAAAAGAGCAAGGACTTAGGCCATGGAATGTTGTTTGGGAAGCTGTCCTTTTGTGTTCAAAATCCTACTGGTTGAGAAGAGTCCTCCAATTCAGAGTTGAGAATTCCAGTTGATGATTTCTTTACAATCACCACCCACCAGATTCTAAAGACTCCTTTAGAAATTCCAGAGAAAATTTTTGCAATCTATCCATCTAACAAAAGGCTAATATCCAGAATCTACAAGGAACTTAAACAAATTTACAAGAAAAAAACAACCCCATCAAAAAGTGGGCAAAGGATATGAACAGACACTTCTCAAAAGAAGACATTTATGCAGCCAAAAAACATATTAAAAAAAAGTTCATCATCACTGGTCATTAGAGAAATGCAAATCAAAACCACAATGAGATATCATATCACGCCAGTTAGAATGGCAATCATTAAAAAGTCAAGAAACAACAGATGCTGGAGAGGGAGTGGAGAAATAGGAACACTTTTACACTGTTGGCGGGGTGTAAATTAGTTCAACCATTGTGGAAGACAGTGTGGCAATTCCTCAAGGATCTAGAACCAGAAATATCATTTGACCCAGCAATCGCATTACTGAGTATATTCCCAAAGGATTATAAATTGTTCTACTATAAAGACCCATGCACACATATGTTTATTGCAGCGCTATTCACAATAGCAAAGACTTGGAACCAACCCAAATGCCCATCAATGATAGTCTGGATAAAGAAAATGTAGCACATATATACCATGGAATACTGTGCAGCCATAAAAAAAAATGAGTTCATGTCCTTTGCAGGGACATGGATGAAGCTGGAAACCATCATTCTCAGCAAACTAACACAGGAACAGAAAACTAAACACCTCATGTTCTCACTCATAAGTGGGAGTTGAACAATGAGAAAACATGGACACAGGGAGGGGAACATCACACACTGGGGCCTCTCTGGGGGTGGAGGGCTAGGGGAGGAATAGCATTAGGAGAAATACCTAATGTAGATGATGGGTTGATGGGTGCAGCAAACCACCATGGCACATGTATACCTATGTAACGAACCTGCACGTTCTGCCCATGTATCCCAGAACTTAAGGTATAATAAAAAAAAAAGAAATTCCAGACTTGATTTCCTTACAATCACCAGCCACCGGATTCTAAAGACTCCTTTAGAAATTACTTGAATCAGCTGAACTTCCAGCAACAAGAAAGTCATAAATAATATTCACAGCTAGAAAGGACTTCAGAGATAACTGAAGGGATCTAGAAAACTAGATATTTGGTAGATAAAGAGACTGAGAACAAAAAAGGTGAGAGAACTAGTTCAGTGTCTCACAGCTAGTTACTGAAAGAACAAGAATTAGAAAGAAGGTTTCAGGACACCCAGTTTCCATTATGTCCTGTGACTTTAAGATTTCCTTAGGAAAACACACACACACATACACACACACAACCCTGGGCTTCCTCATGAAAGAAGGAGAGATTGGTATGGCAGAAAGGGCATAGGCCTAAACAATTCAGCCTATGGAATTCAAGCCCAACTCTGGCCAGCAGGATGAGTGACTTGGTACATGTAATATCACCCATGTGTACATCTGTGGTCAGGAGTCCCTTGTACAGCCGCTGAGAGCTCTGGATCCCTTCCCTGGCTCCAGATATTATAGGCATGTGACACTCCCCTAAAGAGCAATAGAACACCCAGGGTGTGCTTGGCTAACAAACTCACTTGGAGTTCTTTCCTCACTCTGTCCAAATAAAGGCAACTGCTCTCTGACCATCTTTTGTCAATAGCATTTTTGTGCTATCATCCGCAGGGTCACTGGTTGTTTGTTCTTGGACTGTATTCTGGGAAGCTTTTTTACTGCCACACTGAGCCTTTGCAATGAGCCTAGAAGAGCCTTTATCACACAGGATGCTTCAAAGAGGGGAAAAAAAAGGCAGGGTGGGGAGGGCAACAAGTGGGGAAAATTGCAATATTAAGCTGGCAGATGCCAAATTGTATAATGGCAAAACTGGAAAAATAGAATTGTGGTTTCCTTTGCTCCAAAATCCCCTGTTACTAAGGTAGAACAGAGCAGGTCAAAAGCTCAAATCTTTGTAGGCTAAAGCAAGAGTGAGTCTTTGGATGTAAAATTCTCTTTCTTGGCATAAATTCAACTCAACCAGTATGCACTAAGTGGCTACCTTAAGCTGAGCCAGACATTGTGTTAGGGACTGCAAGAGAGATAAAGGTGGGGATGCCCTATTCCTGCCTTCAAGATTATGGTCTGGTGAGATTGAGGTTAGGTGAAAACAGCATAGGAAGCTACTAATTATAATACCAAGCAGAACATAAATTATTCATTTAGTCATTTGTGAGTTATTTTATTCTACAGACATTTATTGGAGTATCTGCTATGTGTCAAGCACTGAGAATTTAAAGAATAAATAAGCCAGGATCTGAGCCTTCTAGGATTCATGGTCCCACTGGAAATGTGAATATGTCTATGCCATGAGACAGAGCCATGGGAATTCAGAGAAAGAATGACTTTCATTATGAGGTGGTGAGGCCAGCCCCCAAAGAGAGGTGGCATTTAAGGGAGGGCTTATACATTTCCTGACCCAGACCTGAAATCAGCTATGTCCCCAAGGGCATCTAAAGACATATTAATAGAGACAGAGGAAAGGTAATCCAAGTGAAGGAAGAGCATAAACAAAAGCTCAGAGGTAGGGAAACAAGAGACATGGTCAGGAAACAACTAGTGGGTCCACTTGGCCAGTACATGATAGGGTGTGCAGGAGAGAAGCAAAGCTGCAGGCAGGATTTCAGGTTAGGCCAGGCTGAGAAGCACATTTGGAATGACCTGGTAGATCAGAGAGGCCAGTGAAAATATCTAGATGCAAGTGGGACCTGACTAGTTCTAGGGGATCTGGCAGCAAAAACACGGCACATTTGCAGTCTATAGGAATCAGAAGCCAGGAGGTCAAGTTTGCTATAACTGTTGAAGTTCAGAGTAAAGAAGAACCCTAGTAGTCAAACTGTGGTCTTGAAATAGATTTTCCACTAAAAGAAATCAACAGTCCTTGGAGAGGTGGCTGGCTTCAAGACCAGAGCAGAAGATAAAGAAGATGAGTCTAGAATATCTTGTTACGTCAGATAACAAGGATGACTGGTTTTTGTACAAAGAACTCAGAGCCAACTTGGAGAAATGACCACAGGCCAAATGCAGGGAAATTCAAGTATCAAATCAGTAAATTAACTGTAGTAAATTGAAACACATCACATGTATTAAATCCATAATTTCACAGTGATTTTAAAAAGAAAGACACTGATTGGTCATTCCTGGAAGATGCTAGGAAACCAACTGATAAAGTGAGGGAAAGAACCATACATTTATCTTATCTTTCCTATGTGAAATGTACCAGTAAGAACCCAAATGTTAAATGAAGAGAACTTTATAGACATATTCCTGCCAGTAAATGAATAAGAAATGATAGAACTAGAATATCACCGTTTTGCTACTCTTTATGAATGAGTCTTTCTAAGCATCAATAACTATTAGAAGACAGACAAGTCCATGTTCTGTGCCTCCTATGCCACCATGAAGTGGTCTTGCCAAAAAATAACTTAATCTATAGATCAAATCTATAGGTCTACCAACCAATTTACATGAAATACAATGAACAATGGAATAGCTCTACTGACACCACAGGGATACAATTAGCAAGATTGAGGTTGTAGGGGAGAAATCTAAGGACAAAAGACCCAGTTTCTTTAACAAATATATTACAAGGGAAACAAAAAAAAATGGATAGAGAACCTATAGTTTAAGAGACACTTAAAAATGTTATCAACTCATCACAAATGTGATTTGATTTGGATCTTCGTCAAAATGAATTGTGAATAATAAAACCATTTATGAGATTTAGGTATATGATACTATTAAGAAACCAATATTTCCTTATTTGAGCTAAAAATAGTACATTTCAGTTATGTCTCTTAAAATTTCCTAATCTATTAAAAGTGTTTGTGAATAAAATAATGAGTAAGATTTGAGTCAATATTATACTAATGGGTGGGAATATAGAATTGACTATTCCTAAGCCTATGATGGGTGTGTGGGAGTTCATTAAACCATATACTTTTGTATGTGTTTTTAGTGTTTCACAATAAAAAGTTAGTAATGAAATCAAAACAATAATAAAGCAATGAAGGATTGAACAGGGAACTGGGGAGCAAGAGGCAAGGACAAATGCCAGAGACCTATCTGTGTAAGCCTGCGGGGAACCTGGCCTCTGGCAGAGCGCCCAGCTGAGGAGGTTCTCAGGTTCTGACAGCTCTTGGCTGTTTCTCTCCTCTTGCCTTGGCTCAAACTCTCCTTTGTTTGAATTTTCCTCCCTCTTTTTGAAAATCTTCCCACCTTTAACATTCTAATTAAGCTTCACCTCCTCATTGCAGTCTTTTCTGAGCACTGCCCCTCACCAGACATAGCAGACCATGCCCTCCCTGGAGCCCCAGCCACACTCACCATATCCTCCACCACCATGCCTACCTCTTCCTAATCTTTAAAGCCAAGGACTGTGTGGATGCATATTTGTATTCTCCAAGCCTAGCACAACGCTTGTCACACAATGGATGTTGAAATCGCTGAATGAAACAACGAGCGGGTGACTCTGATCCTTGGGTGCCCAGGGCAAGGGTGGAGCTATTCATAAAAGTAAGAAGCCTGAGAAGTTCAATTGAGGTGCATGATGCGTTTGGTTTCAGACATATGGAATCTAAAACTCATAGGACTCAAACACAGAAAGGGAAGTTAGAGCCAGATCTACATATTTTGATGTTTCCTTCACAGAGGAGATAATTTAAACCATTGGAAAGGATAAATACTTGATGACATTATTGAGGGCAGACTTGGGAACTAAGGGAACACAACCAAAGAAAAGCATTTTAAAAACAAAAGAGAAGAGAATTATACAAATTTATCTCAAAGGGGAGTGGTACAGGACAGAATTAAAGATGAGTATTCAGAGGAAGCAAGCTCTGCCAACCGACTGAACTGTGCCAGAAAAAGAGGCCTTTGGTGTCCTACAAGGCTCAAGAAATTGGGGCAGTGCAGTGAGTGGCAGCAGGCAGAAGGCTAGAAACCAGACTCAATGGTCAATGGAGTTGGAAATTGTCAAAAGGGAAGTGTAACTGTGACTCCCTTTTTATGAATAGCTGATGATAAAGAGATAAAGGTAGTAGCAGCATGGTATATTTTTTCCTGACATTGCAAGAGAGAGAGAACTATGATGAAAAACACTCCTGGGAGAGATGTGGTAAGAATGAGGAACTTATAACTTCCAACCTCTGAATATCTACGTTCATTGTTTTGCTTCCGTTTCTGATGGAATTAGTAAAATGCTATTGGTTCTTAGAGACAGGAACAAAAATATATAAAAATAAATAAGATTTATGTAGCAATTACTATGTGCCAGGTCATCCTATGTGTTTTACATCAGCCAGCTGTGTCCTCCCAGCTCAACCCTATGGGTATGGTTCTAGTATTGTCATCTCATGTTACAGATGAAGAAACCAAGGCACCAAGAGGTTAAGTAACTTGTGCAAGTTCAGCTTGTGAAAGGCAGATCTCGAACTTGAACCCAATGGTCTGGCTTCATTGTCTTTGTTCTTAACCACCACACCCTATATTCTCTAATGTGAGGTGAGGTCAGTTTTATTACAACCATTTTATAGAGGAGAAAACCAGTTCAGTGAAGACAAGTAACTTGCCAACCAGTCAGAGGCTGAGCCAAGATTCAAATCGACATCTTCTTGTGCCAAATCCAGGGTAGTTTCCATTACCTATTGTTACTTCTTGGTAAAGGAGACAAAGATGTCATCCATGAAGAGTGACAGAAGGTTCTTAGGGAACTGGGCACCTATATTTAAAATATTTTTAAAAACAAAAAAGCTTGAAAGAGCTTCTGTGAGTAATATGATAATAAATCAATAATAGGTACAATTTTGATGTATATGTTATAACCAAAAAGCATATTCCAACAGAAATGAAGAATCATTAATAAATATTTATCGAATAAATGAATGAATGAAACTGATAGAGACACCTCCTCTGCCTCCCTCCATTGGCTCCCAGAAACATCACCGAAAATAAGCTCTATCAATAGACAGGAGAGTTAGCATCTGTTGAAGGTTTTTATGTTCCCGGCACTGTGCCAGGCATATTACATACAAAATCTCATTTAATCTTTGTGACAATGCTATTAAGTACAATACTATTATTATTACACCAATTTTATGGAGATGAGATATATACTTTACCGAAGGAAACATGGCTAGTAAATTGGTGACCAAGTTTCAGGCCCTACCTTGGCAGGCTCCAGAGGTTGTGTTCTTAATCACTAAAGATGTCGGTCAGTGTTTGCCCTGTCCACGGGGTTCTAGAAGACCTGGCCCCCACCTTAAATATCTATGTCACAGCATTCCTATTGCATGAATCCCACCTAATCCTAGCCCCTAAAAATGACTGATGGCTTGGAAGTGGGCATTCAACCCACCTGTTTTTCTACTAGAGGCTGACCTCCTGCCTATGATTGGACATGAAAAGGTAAGCTGAAACAGTTAGATTTCTCTTGTGGGACATTAGATGTGAGCAACTGAGATACTTACTTAGCGGTTAGGAAGGAGAAATAAAGTTATATGAGCATGAGTTGGATTGAAGCAGAGAGCCCTTATGGGACTATGTACAAGCCAGCTGATGAAATGAGGAGAGAAAGTCCATGGAGTAAAACCAGAAGAGGATGGAATAGATGTGCAGAAAGTAACAGCAATGCCATGTGCAAAAGACCAAACAGTCCCTCCAGGAGTCCACAAAAAAGTAGATTTGTTATCTTACAGTCTTCTAGTTCTAGTTGCAGAGGTCTAGATGTTGTTCAGTTCATTTCTCTGGTAACTAGCCTTCCAGATGGCACCAATGATTCCCCTACCCTTATGGAACCTCTGCCCACAGGGCTGGTATGAATGATAGGTAGAATATGGCAGAAGCGATGATATGCTACTTTAAGGATTAGGTTATAAAAGACTGTTGGATTGGAAGACTAGACTTAGGTTGCAAAAGACTGTGGCTTCTGTCCTGAGTTCTCTCTTTTGAATTACTCACTTTGGGGCAGACAAGCTGCCATATCATGAGGACACTCAGGTGGTCTATGGAGAAGCTCACCTGGAGGAAAAGAAGTTTTCAGTCAACAGCCAGCAAGGAACTAAAGCCTTCCAACAACCCCATGAGTGGGTTTAGAAGCAAATTCTACTAGTTAAGCCTGAGATGATTGCTTGACAGCAACCTCATGAGAAAGCTGGAGCCAGAATTACCCTGTTAAGCTGCTCTTAGATTTCTGAACCACAGAAACTATAAGATAATAAATGTTCACTGTTTTTAAATTACTAAGTTTTCAGGTAATTTGTTACACAGCATTAGACAACTAATATACTTTTCTTAGCTCCTGGGAGATCTGTTTCATTTAATGCCCCATAAGCTTTGTTTCAAAAAGCATCCACTTCCCTCAACAAGTTTGAATATGCTTTTGTTTCTTCTGGTTGAAAGGACCAGACCCGAACCCATGCCACTACACTCAATCCTTGGGGATAACACTCCTTGGAGCCCAGACAACTCACCTTAATTCCCATCCCTGTTTTCATCCCATCTGTTCTGCTCAAGTAATTGCCTAGATTCATATTCTACTTTGTATCTGCATCCACTAGGTTCCAAGCCATTTGCCTAACTTTAAGCTACTGGCAGGCTGTGCACTTGACTCTTATCCCCTGAGCTGACTGTCCAGACACTCCCCTGGCCAGCTGGGATCCAACGCTTGCCTAACCTTCCAGTCTTATTTTTGAATCTCACAGGACTAACTTCAAATATGTCACCCTTGCCACCATTATCAAAGTCTCAGCCTTAAGGAACACTTATACTTTTTTCTCCAGATTGACGTTAAGGCTGCCTTATAGCAAGAACAGATCATGTTTTTTCCAATAGTGAATATGCCACTAAAATTCACTGGCATATTCACCACTGGACAAATCATTAGCAGTACTTGCTATAAGGCAGGCTTTGTGCTAGTTCTTGGGGATACAGAGATGACATAAGACACAACCCTGCTCATCAAGAAATGTTCAGTCTAGTTGGGGAAACAGGCATATAAGTGAATAATAATTTAACATGACAACTGCTCCCGTAGAGATATGTGCGCAGTGATAAGAGGATACAAAGGAGGTAGCAATTAATTCTGCCTAGAGAGTTCAATGAAAACTTCCATAGAGGTGGTGACATTAGGAGGCCTCAGGAAAACTAACAGGGAATCCTCTAATTAAAGAGCAGAGGAAGGGTTCCAGGCAAAGGGAGAAAAGTTTTGCATTAAATGAAAATAGAAAACTCCTTAGAGTTTACAATGGTTAGTTATTCAGAAAGTAGCTGTTTCATACATGGATTATTTAGACCAAGTAATTCTAAGAAACTATTTTATAGATACTCTCAACCTAACGAGAAATTTATCTTTTTGTTTTGTTTTGTTTTGTTTGAGACAGAGTCTCACTCTGTCATCCAGGCTGGAGTGCAGTGGTGTGATCTTGGCTCACTGCAACCTCCACCTCGCGAGTTCAAGCAATTCTTATGCCTCAGCCTCCCAAGTAGCTGGAATTACAGGCATGTGCCACCATGCCCGGCTAATTTTTTGTATTTTTAGTAGAGATGGGGTTTCATCATGTTTCCCAGGCTGGTCAGAAACTCCTGAGCCCAGGTGATCTGCCTGCCTTGGCCTCCCAAAGTGCTGGGATTACAGGTGTGAGCCACCGTGCTCGGCCTAGAAATTTATCTTATGGATAAATTTACATGAAGACAAAATATACACAAAGACATAAACACATAGATATCATTGCAACTTGTTTTCAATAGAGAAAGGAAAGACACAATCGAAATCCCCATTATTAGTGGATAGGTAGAAACAGATTATATACATTCATACGATGGAATTTAGGCAATTGCTGATAGAATAAGGCAACTCCATAGGTATAGCTGTAAATTATATTAAATGAACAAATGAGGTACAGAGCAGTGTGTGTAGTACACTACCATGTGTGAGTGTGTGTGTGTTTGCATTTCTGCTTATTCATTTATTCAACAAATATTATTTGAGCTCCTTTTAGATGCCCAGCACTATTCTGGAAGTTGGAGCTGAACAAGAAAAAAATGTAGGACATGGAGCTTACATTTCACTACATTCTATATGCATAGACTATCTTTGCAATGACAAAAAGAATCAGGTAGCCATTATTTCCTGGGACAGGTACACCACGAGGTTGAGGGACCAGAGTGTGATACTTCACTTTCACTCTGTTTATCTTTTGTTACTATTTGTTACTATGCTCAAGAATTTTCTAGGCCCCCTCCCTAACTTTTAATTAGAAAAACACAATAGCCATTTCATTTCATTAAACCTCTTCTATTAAGACAGATTTAATGCTCCTTCAAAGCACGCTCATTCAATCTTTTCTATACAGATAAACTCATGCCAAGAAATGATCCTGGAAATATATTTCAGACTGATGGTTTCTGGTCTGAGTTTATCTCAAGACTAGAGAAGGGTCAACTGTAATCAAAGTGTGTGATTTTTAAGAAGAAATTTCATCCTAAAGCCACAGAGAGAAATAAATTGATTTTTGTGATGGGCTCTGAGTTGGTTACTAACACAGAGTCCCTCATGTGAAAGAAATAACAGAGTTGGACATGATTAGTATCATTCTAGTACATTGCCACAACAGAACTTTACAAATGATTCCCAGCAACGAGTCAGAAAGAATATGCCAAGATTCACAGTAGCAGCCCTAATGGCTGGGTTTTGCAAAGGCTGAGGGTGTGTGGGGAGGGGCACTTGCTGAAATATTAGACATCATGTTTTCATTTGAGTCCTATGAGAACACCCATGCTCCCTCCTCCAGCTGATTAGCCTGCTGAAAATATATTACCTTCATCTCCAACCAACATAATTTACTAATAACATTGCAGATCAAGAACTAAGTTTAGGCATGTGTTTGGATTAGGTGTGATCTGTGATGACAAAGGCTCCAAACCAAGCACAAATAACAAGGATAGATTTATGCAGGCAAGGATGCTCATTGTGATTATTTATCACAGTGACATCATTTTGGTTGGGGGTGGGGAAAGGGGAAATGAGAATCTTGTGAACTGAGTTTCTGGACACATGGAACTGGTTCCAGCTGTCACAGAGGCAAGCACTGTTTAAGCGGCTCCCCTGTCCTTGTCAGGGTTCTCCTGACATCCTACATCATCCTGGCTGGCCCTGTCAGACATCTGTTTTAAACAGAGGCTGCCATTCAGACCTAGTCAGATGAGAGTCTTGTGATACCTATCCATGTCCCTCCAGAGCAAAATGAGGTCACTAAGTCCCTGGGAGTGTCACCTCTGTGCTTGGAGGCAACAATTCGACCTAACATTCCAGAATTTGAGGCTTTATCTGCCAGACTCCATTGAAATTCTGAGTTATACTGACTTCAATGTCTCTTTTTGTTCTCTTTTTACTGAGTTTTATGGGCAGCGGATTCCCCTCCCTGTTGGATATGAGGTGTTGTGGACTCTCTGGGCCAAAAACCACTCTTGGCCCAGAAGGCTCATATTTGGCTTTCAGACAAGCCTGGCAGACACCGCCAAGGAGTTGGCTCACGGCCTGCTCTACAGACTTTTTAAAGGAGTGGAACCAAAACAAGGAGACCTTAGAATGTAACAGCTAAACATTGCAAGTTCGCTTCACCTCATTCAAATGATGGGAGACATATTCCAGTCAACGTTAACTGCATACATCCATGTGTCGTGTACATACTCTAAGGGTCTGCAGCATTCTGGAATCCTGGATGTCTTCCCTGGATTTCACACAGCATCTGAAGCCTCCATAGAAGCACCCTCATGATAAGATGAACCTCAGTCTAGGAGAGGAGAGACTCGCTGGGCTCGAGCAGGTCAGTCAGTACTGACAGCAAAATCAGACCCAGGCTCTGCGTCAGGCATTCTGGGATGAGGCCGGCACAGGCATAAGGACGCGCACTTGAGACTCCTCTGTGCCTGTGCACTCCTGGAGGGTGTACAGGCATGAGACTCCTCACAATAAGCCTGCAGGAATAGGATATGGAAAATATCACTATTCCTCTTTTATCCAGGGAATCCCAGTTGGTGCACAAGTAATTGCGGTTTTGCCATTACAAGTAATTGCAAAAAACACAATTACTTGTGCACCAACTTAATACATACAAAAAAAGCTAAGAAGAAGAGATCAATGACTTAGTCAAAGCCCCAGAGCTAGAAACTCACAGAGGCGGGATTTGAACTTGCTCTCCTGGACCCAGAAGACCTGCTTATCCCAGTGGCCTTCCTGATTCTAGTGTTTGTAGAGCCGTTGAGTGTGTTTCTTATACACAGTGGTGTGTGAGCAACAAACTTGCACAATTACACTCACAAACCCAGGTACTGAATCTTTCATTTCCCACAAAGTCACTGATCATTTCACCACCTTTACTCTACCCAAAAAATCCCAGGGAAGAAAATAAGGAGAATTCAGAAAAGAGGGATTCAAAATAACTAATGAACAGAAAAGTTACGGAAGCTAGGATGGTTTCACTTTGAAATGGAGAAGGTTCCAATCATATAATAAATAATTCTCAATTAAATAAAGTGTCAAGACTTATCTCACCCAAAAGTGAGAGATGCCAAAAGCTCCCTCCAGTCCAAATTTCTTCCTTGAAGGATCTGCTACCAATGCTCCAAATTCCATTTTCTGGAGCCCACGATTGACATTCATTCGTGATACCTTATGAATCTTTTATACCTTGTCACAGATTCAAATCCACCACTCACAGATAGAATCGTGGCCCTAGAGAGTAAGGCCATGTGGAAAGAGGAGGCTGAGTAGATTCGCTTCAGACAGAAGAAGGCAGCAAGGCCTGGGGATGGAGGGCAGCTGAGAGCCAGCGGGAGGGCAGCAGGGGTGGGACAGGCCAATGGCAGTTGTGGCAGTAGCAAGGTGGTGGTGATGTCAGTGGGGACAGGGCAAGGGAGTTAGGTCACCGGGGCCAACACAGACCCTGTAGCATGTGGATGCTGCATACTTGGAGCGCAAGAAGACTATTCAGATGGAACTTGTGCCTTAATTTGACAGCACTCATTTTAACATACTTAAGAAAAATTATTGCCAGGAGAGCAATGCTGTTGTTTTACAGATTTTAGTGCTTTAAAACAAGGGTAGGTTTCTTAAAAAGTGATTTAGTGAAGAAGAAAAAAAGATAAACGTATTCTTTATTGCCACTGAACTGTATACTCAAACATGGTAAAGATAGTAAATTACATATGTATATTTACCTCAATACAAAAACAAATAAATAAAATCAATTTGATGGAAAATGCCAAGTTAAATTACAAGGGGTCCTCAGACATAACAAACATTGGGAAGGTGGCATCCAAATGATGGAAGTTTTGAAAACCCTTATTTAGATCCTCATATTTTCTCAGCCAACATTGATTTTGCTCCTGCTTTGTGCCAAGCACCATGTACCATACAGGGGTGCCCGCCCTCTAGTTTATAGTCTCAGGGTAGTGAGACCAGTAAATCATTACAAAAGAATATCCAATGGTCACTGTAGACACAAGGGGCAAGGGGCCCACCAGGCCCAGAGGACGCAGGGAAGCTGCCTAGAAGAGGAACTGTGGCATGAGTCTAGGAATTGGACACCACGGTTGAGGATGATGTTCCAAGCAGAGGATGCCCGCATCAAGCCTCAGGAGCACCTAAAAAGCAGGTGTTCCTTACAGCCTCCCCTGCCGCTGTGAGCCACTGATTCTGTGGAGTGTGCTTGAAGGGCACGGTAGATGGGCAGGAAGGCAAATGTGCAAATTTACCTGTCTGCCAAGCGGACCAGGTCCAACAGATAGTCAAAGTCCACAGATACTCTCTCTCAGTCGGTCTGATTTTAAGCCCCCCCACACAGCTCCAGCCCTTGAGCCTGGACTGTGACAATCCCCAGGTACCCTGAGGGCTGACCTTCAGATGTCCTGACCCCTGCCTTCCCAGTGTCCAGCGGCTTTTCTAGAATCACCAATTCCGACATTCCCAAAACTCCCCAAGCCTACTTCTAGATTGCTTTAATGTTTGATTACAACACAGTTTTTTGACCTTGACCTTGGACTGCATCAAAAATCTGATAACCCTCCTGATTGTGGCTTAAAAGTCAGGAGTCAAATTCCCTCCCTTAGCACTTCCTAAAAGTAGTGTGCAGCTGACCCACAAAATAACCCACTCTGGGTATAACAGCTGGTGGTTGATTTTCCTTTTCCAAAACCAATGCTCTTCATTTCAGAAACCCTGGAGAACCCGTACAATTAAAAAGTGCAATTAATTAGAATACTTAAAATCCACCAGCAGCTACATTCAAAACAGCAGCCACATGTAAAGCAGCAGCCACCTCTGATGCTGCTGCCGCCTCTGACTAGTCCACAGGGCACTGCCAGCTTAAAGTGATAGGCCCAGACAGCACCCAGGAGGCCACTAAAGGACCATGTGCGGCCTTGAGGTGCTGAAGGAAACAGCACGCTGTTATGGGCTGACTCATTTGGCAACGATGTAATTGGATACCTTTAATGAGCACCCAAATAAACTTTTAAAAATTTTTACAATCACGCCTTTCTCACCACTTAACCACCACTAACGATGTGTTTATTGTAAACTTTTTAAAAATTTTACAATCATGCCTTTCTTACCACTGGTTTTCAATATTTCTCCACCTTTAAAAAAGGAGAAAAGAAAAATAATCATGTAATAAAAATACTAAAAAGCTTATTTATGGACCTTTGCATCCCTTTTGCTCTTTGGTAGAAGAAAAAAAGGGGTAGGGGCCTCAAACAGTACCTGGTATGTAGTAAGTACTCAGTAAACACTAATGTTATAAGGTTATGTACACAAAGAATGAGAAAATATATTCGCTCCAAAGCTGAGATGAATATTTCCCTAAAGATGTTGGTAGGAGGCATTTGAATGATGACATTGATTATGTCTATCATAGCATTTTATAAAGATGATAATCATCTTTGCTTCACCTTCTTCACTTCTCAGAGAGTTTTCATTTATATTTTCTATTCCACAACCATACGATTGGGGACATCAGGTAATATTATTTCCATTTCACAGATGAAGAAACTAAGACCTAGAGGACAGGATGCATCATAGTCTTGTAGCTGGGTAAGGCAGAAGCCCTGGCTCTTTGTTGGCTCCTCTCTTGCACTTTACCTTCATTAACAATTGCACCCCTGGTTCTCAATTGCGACACTCCACACTGGTTTCCTAAATGTGAGCTACCGGGAAGAAACAAATTTGAAAAAAAAAATTACCCTGAATCTTGTATCTAAAAGAAATCTTTTTGAGACAGAGTCTCACCCTGTCACCCAGGATGGAGTGCAGTGGTACAATCTCAGCTTACTGCAACCTCCGCCTCCCAGGTTCAGGTGATTCTCCTTCCGCAGCCTCCCAAGTAGCTGGAATTATAGGTGCCTGCCACCACATTTGGCTAATTTTTCTATTTTTAGCAGAGACAGGGTTTCACCATGTTGGCCAGGCTGGTCTCGAACTCCTGACCTCAACTGATGTGCCTGCCTCGGCCTAGCAAAGTACTGGGATTACAGGTGTGAGCCACCACACCTGGCCAAGAGAATCGATTTTATAAAGAGCCACTGACCACTCAACCAATTCCTCAGTCCTGAGCAAGTGCTTTTATGTGTGAGGCATCATGCTTTTAAAAAGAGAGGGTTAGGAGGGAAAAACAAAACTCGACCATGATTTCGTCAATGGTGAGCAATAAATACTCCTAATTCTAAAAGTAAATTGGCCTCCTCTAGACAAGATAGTTTTTACCCTAAAGTTAGAATCTACTCTGGAAACCTCGTAACTTCAACAGGACATCTCCTCCCATCTGCTCTTTCCTTCATGGCTGAATCTTCAAGAAGTGCCAATTTTCTCCCAACACACACGTTCCCCAAAATGCCATCTACCCAGCCTTCATCAAACCATGCCTCTCTCCTCCATTTTACCAAATGTGAAATTCATTCATCCTCTGCCATTTTTCATGTTTCCTTTTAATCAGGTCAAAATGCAGCCTACTAGCAACAGGTACACTCTATACTTTGCCCTAAATTAAGTGACATATACTTCTGTATATCTTACCACATTTTCCTTGTAGAGGGTGATGTTTTCTCTCCTTAGAATGTAAATTCTCAAGGGCAGAAATCAGAGATTCATCTTTTCTTCAATGACTTTCTCATTTCTCTGCCCCAAAACATCTAATTCATTTGGAGATATCATCGATTCTCTCTCTCTTCCTCTCCTCATACTCTCCCATTGTAGTTATTTTCTCATCTAAAAACAACTTTATCTGGCATTTGTGAAGATAACAATTCAATAGGCAATTCCCACATATTGAATGAAATGAATGTAATAAAAAAGTACTAATAGTTTAATGATACTTTATATATTTAAAAGTAGTTTTGCAATTATGATCTTCTGTTTCACAAATTCCAGGTGCTGTTTCTGACCCAATTCCCTGTATCCAAAAGGGAAACCATAAAGGAAAGTGACTTTAATTGCTTAATCCATTCCAGCTGTTTAGGTATTACTCTAATCCACACCATTTTTTGGTATCACTTACTGGCCATTTTAAAAAATAAGTTCGAAATTCCATTTGCCCAAGTAGCAACATTATATTTCAGGATTAGAAGGTGAGGGGGAGGGAGGGGGACGAAAAAAATGGTCGCTGCTTTATTAAGAGTACTAATGCAGTAACTTCACTCTTTTCAGCTGAATTTTACCAATTTTCTGCTTGCTGTCTAATCATCTTATTGGGAATTTTAAAAACACAGAAAAGGTTTAAATTGTTCTATCCACCAACTGTTTCTAAAAGCTCTTAATTTAATCCTGGGAGGTACCTTTTCACACCAAGTAATCCTGCTGACAAGCTCCTTTGTATATTTTGTGAGCTGCTCTCATTCTTATAAATTGATGATGAATCTAAAACTATGGATACAGCGCTATCTAGCGGTAGGAATGGGTAGACCAGGAGCCTTGAAGCAAGTTGCTCCCAGTTGACTTTTGAGATCTGTCGTGTTTGCCTGCAGCTTGGCCAGGAAGCAAAAAGTAAGCCTCGTTGTTCTCGTGCATTGAAGTATACTACTATATTGTTAGAACATCTAATGATCAGCAAATTCTTAATGACAAGAGCTTCTTTTATCTGTCCACCCCCTATTAAGTCTGCCTCTCCTATTGTAGAGATGAGCCTTAAAGGTAGAGGTTGAGAGTTGGTCAGGAAAAGGCAAATAAGAATGGAAGAGGAGAAACTAGACCTTCCCAATGAGATATGGTAAGTTTGTGAACAAAAAACAATTTATGAACCAAAAAATGGTGTTCACCATATTCAGTATCCAGTACACATGGATTTTAAAGTGATGATGATGATGATAATGATGGTAATGATGTAATAACGGCGATGATGGTAATGACGGTGATAATGATGGTGGTGATAATGATGGTGATGGTGATAATGATGGTAACGATGTGTTTATTGTGATGGTGGCAATGATAGTAATGGTGACGGTGGTGATGATGATATGATGGTGACAATGTGTTAATGGTGATGGTGTTAACGGTGGTAATGATGATGATGCTGGTAATGACGATGATGGTGACAATGTGTTAATAGTAATGGTAGTAATGATGGTAATGGTGATGGTGATGATAATGGTGTTGGTGATGATGATGATGGTGACTATGTGTTAACAGTAATGGTGGTAATCATGGTAATGATAATGACGGTGATGATGGTGACAATGTGTTAATAGTGATGGTGGTAATGATGGTAATGATAATGATGGTGATGGTGATAACGATGGTGATGTATTAATGATGATGGTAATGATGGTGATGGTGATGGTGATGTATTAATGATGATGGTAATGATGGTAATGGTGATGGTGATAATGGTGATGGTGGTAATGATGGTGATGGTGATGGTGATAATGGTGATGGTGATGATGGTGAGGTGATGGTGATGTATTAATGACGATGGTAATGATGGTGATGGTGATGGTGATAATGGTGATGGTGGTAATGATGGTGATGGTGATGGTGGTAATGATGGTGATGGTGATGGTGGTAATGATGGTGATGATGATGGTGATGGTAGCGATGATGATGATGAGAGTTGATATTCGTGGAGTGCTTATTATGTCTCAAGTTCTATACACCCACAATAACTTATTAAACCACCCCAAAACCACCTGTAACTTCCAATTTGCTGTTGAAGAAATGGAGGCAGAAAACAGCCAAGTTATTTTCCCTGAATCACACAGCTAATCAGAAGGAGATGCCAGATGTGAACCAAGGCAATTCAAATCCAGAGGAAGTGCCCTTAATAATGATGATGACATTATTAATATTATTGATTATTCATAATGATGTTCAAAATAGTACTAATTTTTAAATTTAGAAAAACAACATTACTTCCAGAAGTAGTATCCCATCTCCAAAGTCAGAACAGACCAGAGCAACATAGCAACATCCAAGAGCCCATGGTCCACCTTTGCAGATCTTATTCTGTTTGGGCTGTTTGGTCTTCATTTCTCATTTATCCACACACACACATGCTGACACACATGCACACAGACAATCATGCTGTACCATGACTAACAGGCAATATGTTTGTGTTCCCCAAAGACAGAACAGCTTTGTTGTCAGGAGCTTCATGGGCTGATGCTACTGGAGCGGGAAGAGGCCTTGAAGACAACTTGGGTACAGTTTCCTCTCTATGTTTCAGAAGACAAAACAAAACTAAGAGATACAGTCATTTTTGCAAATTCAAATTGATTAAATGCTTGAGGATTATTAACCTAAAAATAATCGTGACAGTCATTTTAAGGGGAGAGGCACAGAGATGATCACATCCCAATCAAGTCCATCAAGAGGAATGTGGTCCAGTAGGGCAGAAGAGAGGTGATCAAATAACTCTAATGTCATAGAAGGAGGGACCAAGGACTATGATGATAATAATAACTACCAGTGTTAAATGTTCTCTTATGCCAAGCATGTTACAAATATTACAGCATTTGTGTGTGCAAAAACTCTGAGAAATTGATATGATTATCTGACTCATTTTATAGATAAGAGAGGTTAAGTTTCTTCCACCCATGTATCTATATATAATGAAAGGCAGAAGTAAGATTTTTAAGCCAGTTATTCTGGATAGCAAGATCGAGGGCTTCAAATCTATGAGAAAAGTACAGATTATTATCCAATACAAAGAGAAAACTAAGTCTGAGAGATCATGGAAGGCTTTGTGGAGGATGCATGCATGAGCTGGGTCATTAAAGATAAATAAGATAGTAAGATTTCAGCCAGTAAATGAGGTCAGAAGGGCACTCCAGGCAGAGGAAGAAGAATGAATTAGTTTCTTGTGTTTGCTGTAACAAATAACCAGATAGTGGATGTCTTTTAAAGAAAAACAGAAATTTATATTCTTACAGTTCTGGAGGCCAACAGTTTAAAAACAAGGTGTTGGCAGGGTCCTGCTCCTTCTAGAGGCTCTAACAGAGAATCTGTCCTTTCCTCTTCCAGCTTCTGGTAGCTGTCAGCATTCCTTGACTTGTGGTCGCACCACTCCAAATCTCTATCATATTGCCTCCTCCTCCTCCTCTGTCAAATCTCCCTATATTTCACTTCTACAAAACACTTGTTATTGAATTTAGGGCCCACCCAATAATACAAAATGATCTTCTTGACTCAAGTTCCTTAGTTACATCTGTAAAGTCCCTTCTTCAAAGTAATGTAGCATTCCCAGGTTGCAGAGAACAAGATGTGGTCATATCTTTGTGGGGTCACCATTCAGCCCACTATACATGAACAAGGGCAAGGGGAGCAAGAAAGCACATGACAAGTCTTGAGAACCAAAAGCAATATGATTGGGCTTCTGTAGATGAAGTGTAAAGCTGCAAAGGTTGGATGTGGCCAGGTTGTGAGGACCTTCCGTGCTGTGCTGAGGAGGGTACACTTTGCTGTATGAAAGGGAAACAACTGAAGACTTTTAGGCTGATGAGTGACATATTCACGATTATGCCTAAAGCATATCAAAGAGAATCTTGGAGTTAGTGGGGTCTCTAAGACATGTACATGGACACTAAAACTAATGAGCAAAACTAAGATGAGAAATAGAATACTTACAGGGTGTCAGAGTATGTTCTTATAAAATACTTATTAACTAAAAAGGGAAAACAAATTATTCTATATCAGGAAAACCTGGAAGTCCCCACCTTATCCAAGTGACCAAAGTTAACATCACCACCTCCAGGACATAGCCATGGCGTGCCTCCTCACTGATGCACTGAGGAGAACACAACATCACTTCTATGGCTGCCCAGACAAAAATGTAAAACCCGAGTCTAATCATATGGAAAGGATGAAAACAAACTGAAAGACAGCCTATAAAATAAAGCCCCTGTACTTCCCAAATTGTCAAGATCATGAAAGTCAAGGAAAAATGGAATAAATATCCCATGTTAAATGAGACCAAAGAAATATGATAACAAAATGCAAAATGTGATCCTGGATTGGATCCTACATGAGAAAAAAAAAAATTTTTTTCCATTTGCTCCAAGGACCCTTGGGAAACATAGATGAGGAAAATTAGACCCATTATGTTGGTGCAAAAGTAATTGCAGTTTTTGCCATTAAAATTGATGGCAAAAGTAATAGAATACTTACCCAAAGACATGTTAAGTGAAGACATGGACACAGATAACTCGCTTCCACAGTCCATGAACTTTCCAGTCTATCCTATGGTCACTCAATAGCTGTAAGTTTTATTTCTAGTTTTTAAAATTATTTCTATATTATCATCAGCTCACCCAAAGATGGGTTTATCTGTAGCAATAAGATGTCCTTAAGTAATGACTCTACCTCTGGTCTCAAGACTTCTGACGCCCATGGAAAATTCTGTGCTGCTAAACATAGCCATTAAATGACAAAACACCATGGAGTGAAACCCAGCAAGTTGGATGAATTTTCCATTTCTGTTCAAATCCATTGTCTAATGATGTTTCAAAAACGAAAACCCAGGCAATCAGTGGTTGCACTGTGGCAGTATCAGTTCTGGCAGAAAGGTTTATATTTTTGGATTTAAAAGTATTTCAAAGGGCACTGAATGTTTCAAAAACTCTGGGAAACTGGGGAAGAAGTTCTGGGTAACAAATGTCTATTCAGGAACTGAGTATAGAGCACTGATAGATGGCTTAGGTTTGGTGCCCAGTAAAGATAAAGGAATAAAAGGAAACCTTTAGCTTGCATTAGGCTTTATGGTGGGCAGCTAAAGCTTAATTGAAACACAGTGAGCTATAGTAAAAGATGTTTATCATATAATAAAAGCTTAATGAATAGGCATCACCATTGAGAGAGAAAAAGAAATAAAAGTAACTTTTCGTACTGACAGACCTACTGACTTTCAGATCTTTTTATTTTCCTGCAAGATGAGAATGTACGTTTGATTCTTGGTGTTGCTTCTTGTTTTTAAGTTGGGGCCCAACATTTTTATTAAATATGAGTGTCTCTGCCCCTGTCATGCCTTCACAATTTCCAATACTGAAATGTTCTCAACTGCTTGACATTTCATTTCACTCCCTTTTTTAATGAATTATTTTCCACTTAACAAAAGTACTTTGCCACTTTGCCACTTGTTAAAATATCAGATATGTATTGCCAAATATGGTTCTGCTGAACATTTTCATCTTTGACCTAAAAGATGAGAATAAAAAACAGGTTCATTGAACACAGGGAAATAGTAAATGCAGTGGGAATATCTTAACTATTCTCTGTCAAAATAAGCTGTGGTTTATAAGAAATCACTTTATATAACACATGAAATGCAGGAAAACTAAAACAATGTATGATAAAGGTTACCGTATGGTCAAAATGAAACTAAGATAAATATTGAGTAATAATATTAGCACAAACTGTGTGCCCATACATAATTCTAAGAAAAAATATATATATTACTATGCACATACTAGTTTATATATTTTTATATATTATATATATATATATAACTAACAATCTTCACAAACACTTTTTGAGGAATGTACTAATATACACTTGACCGGCACATGTAGGATGTACAATAAATTTAATTAAATGAATGAATAAGTGTAAACAGAGGCCAGATCACCTAGGGCCTGGTAGCCACAGTTTAGATTTTATTCCAAATGCACTGGGAAGCACTGGTGCAATTTGATAGTTATAAACAACCAGAATGGTAATTATTAAAAAGTCAGGAAACAACAGGTGCTGGCGAGGTTGTGGAGAAATAGGAAAGCTCTTACACTGTTGGTGGGAGCGTAAACTAGTTCAACCATTGTGGAAGACAGTATGGCAATTCCTCAAGGATCTAGAACCAGAAATATCATTTGACCCAGCAATCCCATTACTGGGTACATACCCAAAGAATTATAAAACATTCTACTATAAAGACACATGCACACATATGTTTATTGCAGCACTATTCACAATACCAAAGACTTGGGGCCAACCCAAATGTCCATCAATGATAGACTGGATAAAGAAAATGTGGCACATATACACCATGGAATACTATGCAGCCATAAAAAAGAATGAGTTCATGTCCTTTGCAGGGACATAGATGAAGCTGGAAGCCGTTATTCTCAGCAAACTAACACGGGAACAGAAAACCAGACACGGCATGTTCTCACTCATAAGTGGGAGCCGAACAATGAGAACACATGGACACAGGGAGGGGACAATCACACACTGGGGCCTGTTGGCGGTGGGTAGGGGGGTTAGGGGAGGGAGAGCATTAGGACAAATACTTAATGAATGTGGGGCTTAAAACCTAGATGACCAGTTGATAGGTGCAACAAACCACCATGGCACATGTATACCTATGCATGTTCTCCACATGTATCCCAGAACTTAAAAAAAAAAGAAAAATAAACAAATAAAAATAAATAAGTAAACAACTTATGTGCGGGTTATCTAATTGTTTCTTTGGCTTTCTTAACCTGATAGTGTCCTTGTGGGGCAAGGATCACCATTCCAATCAATAAGTATCAACCTTGGCTACATTTTGAAATCAGATGAGGAGCGAGGGGAGACATACTGCCATTCCACCTCCAAGAAATTCTGATATAACAGGTTTAGGCTGAGGCCTGGACAGGAAAACTTTAAGGACTGCCCAATGCTTCTCAAATCCAGCCACAATTAAACTCTGCTGATCTCAATAGTACTGACCGTATAACAGGGGTTCTGAAAATGCATGTAGCCTCATTACATGCTGCTGATTTGAGCCTTTGGCTCCATTTTGACATTGTGTGACACATAATAGGTACTCAGTCTATATGTGTTAACTGGCATCCTAGCAAATGTTTGATTAATGAATAAATTAATAAATAATTGATGATTTAGGCCAGGCGCGGTGGCTCACGCCTGTAATCCCAGCACTTTGGGAGGCCGAGGCGGGCGGATCACGAGGTCAGGAGATCGAGGCCATCCCGGCTAAAACGGTGAAACCCCGTCTCTACTAAAAATACAAAAAATTAGCCAGGCGTAGTGGCGGGCGCCTGTAGTCCCAGCTACTTGGGAGGCTGAGGCAGGAGAATGGCGTGAACCCGGGAGGCGGAGCTTGCAGTGAGCCGAGATCCCGCCACTGCACTCCAGCCTGGGCGACAGAGCGAGACTCCATCTCAAAAAAAAAAAAAAAAAAAAAAAAAAAAAAAAAAAAATAATTGATGATTTAACTAAAGTATAGAGG
This sequence comes from Homo sapiens, assembly GCF_000001405.40. Taxonomy (NCBI): domain Eukaryota; kingdom Metazoa; phylum Chordata; class Mammalia; order Primates; family Hominidae; genus Homo; species Homo sapiens. Next base: position 133,787,068 of record NC_000002.12, read on the forward strand.
AGTTTAGAGGTGGCAGAGGTCAGCATGGATTGGTTTAGATAGGCAGACATAAGCTGAGCCTGAGGTCAACTTCTCCTTGTTATAGAATGTTCTGGAATTCTGGAACATCTAGGCTGGAATGGGCCATAGGGAGCGTCCAGTTCAATGGTTCATAATATTTTCCTGCTCACAGACCCTTTAGAATTTGATGAAAGTTTTGAACACTCATCCCCTCCCCTCCAACCAAAAAGAAAACCATAGTTATGTATTCAATTTGAGCAGGTTCAGAAGGCTCCTGGACAATGGTTTCCCAAGCTAAATTCCTAAGGTCCAGCTCAACATGTCCCTTGATAGGAAATGCAACTGATGCCCAGAGACAGTGAGTGATTACTCAAAGCAGAAGCTGAGTCAGAAAGTAACTGGACTAGATCCTGGTCCTCTGATGCTGAATGTAGTTACCCATCTTCCTTTACATACCCACTGAGGATACAGTTAAGAGGATGAATTCATAGCTAATTATTTTGTGTTTTCTGCTCTATTCCCTTGATTTCTTAAACCTCACACACCATAAAATTCCAATAACTAATCTAATTCCACAGCTGGGCCGCTTCATTAAAAAGTGAAAATTGAAATTCTAGAACAACCAAGTCTTCCAAATCTGCCATATTTTCATGTGAACCTCTAAGAATAGAGTGGTGGGAAATGGCCTCACATAAATCAGAGAAACCCTGAAATGAGGTCCAGCCTGTGGTCAGTCCCCACCGCGGCCATCTCAACTGGTCCACATTTGTGAATACACACAGCTGAGGGCAAAAGTTGAATTCCATCCTCCCAGATGTCAGGATGAGTATCACCAAAAACAGCTGTGGCAGTCAGCTGGTCAGATGGTCAGGACAATATCTGGACTCAGAAAGCAATGGGGACAGATGAGATCAAAGGATTCATGGATTTTAGGAGTAGGAAAATAAACTGTTGTCTGCCTACCTGGCTAGGTGCAAGTCTTCTAGACTCACAGCAGAGTGAACTATTTAAGAAGGGCTGGTTAATCTTGAAGAAGGCTTATTAACCACCTAAATGAAAGTCGGGCTCATTTTTAACACGAAAAGGACACTGCAGAGCAGGTTCCCTGTGCACTGGTTACCAACTCACCTGAGTCCAGTGAGACAGAACATTTTCATACACAACAAGTTACATGAAGTAGGTTAGTACTTGCAGCAAAGGATAAGACAAGCCTAGGAGCCATTGTGTGCTGGCCCTGCAAGGCTCAAGAAGGCTTCCAGGGCAGACAGAGTCTCAATGCATGTGTCCCACTTGCACCACAGCTGAGTGCCCCAAAATGCTGCCTGTCGTGGTTGACAAACCTCAGGGGAGACAGGACTCATTAGGCAAGTCTTTGAAGGTCATCCTGCTTCCCAGCAAGACAGAAACAAAGCTTAGGCTATCCTGGGCATTCCTCCCTAACTCAAGATGTTACATTCCCTAGAAGAAATAGAAACAGCCCAGACTCTTTCAGGCAGTTCCCCTATCTCAGGATGATACATTCCCAACTCATTCTACAGTTATTCTGGAGAACTATGAGCAAGAAAGTAAGGAGATCTGGGTCAGTCCAAGGCCACTTGGAGAACTGTCCTGCAGACACAGATGCAATGTTTGAAGGATACAGAAGTGAATTCTCTAGCATCTGTTTCTTTCTCCTCCTCCTCTCTTCTGCTGCTCTTCTAGGAAGTCCTACCTGTTACCAGAAGTGAATTCTCTAGCATCTGTTTCTTTCTCCTCCTCCTCTCTTCTGCTGCTCTTCTAGGAGGTCCTACCTGTTACCAGCACCTCCTACAGAGACCAAGGAAAAGAAGGAAATCTGATTTAATTATTAGGTTGTCTGTGAGAGCCATGAGAAAGAATTTGTGCTTTCATCCAAATTGACACTTGAGAACCTCAGGTTTATCTGACTTGAGAATGTCAGATAAACATGTCTTCTCCTAGTTACTAACATATGCGTATGTGTATATGTGTATATATATTTCTGTAGATATGTATTTTAAATCACTGTGTATAGCATTAAGACTCAAAATACAAAATCAAATGGTCAGACTCATGGTCTATATGGTCCATCTTGCCCAGGAAAGGGTCCGTAGAGCATTGTGAAAGAACATGGCAGATGCCATATTAATAACTTTGTCTCCCAAATGCCCCTAACAACTCAGTTATGCCAGTAATTATCTATGATCTCCATTTACTATTTTCAAACCTATTTTTAAGTTTTTCAATTTATCATTTTCAACATGTGTGCCTTTTGAATAATTAGCTCCACAGATTTGTTGTCCTGTCTCACTTCCCTCATCACATGAAACTTGAGATTGGATTAATTAATAGTATACCATACTCAATATGCCAGGGAAACTCAATATAATGTTAAGTACTTATAGCCACTCTGCAAGGTGGACACGTGTCTCAGCTTACAACTAAGTATACCCTTCAATTGAAATAGCTGAGTTCCTAAACATGGCACTTAGACAAAGTGGAAATTTGTCATATGTTTTAAATATGAAAATTGTTTCTGCCAACTTGTTGACATATTTCCCTCCATCATGAATATCAAAAGGTTATGACAAGATTCAGGAAGAAGGGCAAGTGCAAGTGATGCATGGTCTAGCGGGAGACCAGCAAATGTGAATTACAACCACACTTCACCTCTCAGATTCAAAGCCCTATCCCATCACTCGGTAAATGTATGGTGCTTTACTAAGAGATGTTAAATAATGCACCCAAGACCCTGACATTTCTAAGCTTTCATCAATCCCCTACCATAGCCAGAGCCAACATCTCTCTACAGGCCTAAGGCATCCCAGGCAAGTCCTTGGCTTTGTAAACACTAGCTAGGGATTTGGGGCCAAAGCTCAGCTTGACGTCTACCTGGCAAGTTGCCTATGCATGCGAGATGTGAGGAGGGAACAGTTTGCCTAGATTAGAGGAGAGTCTCAGAAGCCTGCCCTGTGCCTGCTTCCCTCTCAGCCCTAACCCAGTTCCTTCCATCTTTGCAAGGGTAAGGTCATCGCACCAACTACATTAAAATGCACCATGAGGAAGAGAATTCCAAGAAAGCATTTACCCCTCATGGTTTCATGTAGATTTCCTGTTGTCCTCCTTCTTCTAAAATACCTCCCCTTGAGAGATGGCCTCACATGCATCCCTAAACATTGATTTTTGTCCTTAACCCATATCAGAGCCCTTCTCCATGATGAAGATCCTGGAGTGTGTAGCTCCTGGAAATGGGTAGTCACCAACAGTGACACTCCATATAAAGATTTGCAGTAGGGACCTGAAAATGAATAAAATTTGCTTCCCCCCAAACATGGCTAGTAGCTGTACTTTTAAAGCAGCCTTCACAGATAAAACAATTGGAGGGGTTGAGGAGCTTCCTGAGAACTAATTGTTTTACAGGTTTAAAATTAGTTTCCAGAAGGCACAGCAGAAATAAATAAATCAGCAAATTAGCCACAATCATAGATTTTTCAAATCCTGCGAATTGATATCTAGCCTTCAGGCTGAGAAGTATTCTGCAAAAAAAGCAGCCATTCTTATAATCTTCTTTGCATAAAGAGTCTGATTCATCCACAAATAATAACAGGTAGGCATTTTCAGTCTAATTTTCTCATCCATTGAAGAGAGTTCCAAAACCTTCCTTTTACCAAAGTGTTTCTCCCTGATATTTATCTGATGTGAATGTAATAGGCTAATTAATGTAGGCACCTGAAGGAGATCTCAAGGGCCGAAAATATCTGACATGTCTGAGGCTCCTGCTGGCTGCCCTGCCTGATAAGGATGCTAAGAGCATGTTAGCAACAAGCATCATTAGACATTCCTCACTTTGAGTCATTTTCATTCAGGCAGATGCAGAGGACCTTTCAGAAGGACAGACCACTGATTCCCTGTAATTTAAAGGAGAGAGCCACATTATACAGGTCTCTCATTTGAATTATATAAGACTCAGAGATAAGCATTTTCTCTCTGAGATAAGAGCAGAGGCCCATAATAGCCATAGAAGTATTTTCATGAAAGTGTTCTCATTTGCACACTTAGCAGCTGCTAGGAGAGACATGAGCAGCCGTCTGGGGTCTAAAGTGAACCAGACTCCCAAGCTTAAAGGAAAGACTTGAAGGCAGAGCCACTGGGAAGGCTGGCCACTTATTAGACACCGACATTAATTATGCTGTTAATCTCCAGTCTTAGACCTATTGGTTCCAGGATCCTGCTGAGACCCGAATGAAGCAGGATGGGAACATTCTTAAGTATGCAATGCAAAAGGAAGAGTCACAAATGTGAATCATTTAGGGTGACAACTTTTTCCTACTTGAAAACCAGAGCAGCTGGCGGAAAGGAAATTATTTTGAAATGACATCAGATGTGTGAGGCCATCCGACCCAGGAGAAAAGTAGCTTCCTCACGTGTGCACCAGTCAGGATTTCAGTGTGTCTCCTGAGTACTCGGGTACAGAGTTCCTGAGAGACCCTGAGGGTCCCAGTACCCAGCATCACAGCAGCATAGTTATGGAGAGGCCAAGTTATCCTCTTTCCTTTTCTTCCTTTTTTTCCTGTCTGCCCTCTAGTAGGAAAAGAACAGAGTTGACCCCTGACAAAATATAAAGAACAAGTGTGGGTACTGAAGGTGAGAAGAGCCTGCGAAAATATTGGCTAGGAGGCACCAATCAGAGATGGGTCCCCAGGAAATAATATGAAATGGACAAAAAGCAAGGAGAACTGGGGCATGGAGAGGAACTGAGTCCATGCACAGTATGGAAGAACACAAAGTGGGGAAGCCGAAGTCAGTCTTGATGTGCCAAGGGCAAGAGCAAGCAGGGACCCAAGAGCAAAGCATGGGGTGCAAACTAGAAATAACAGAAATAGATGCAAGAAACAACATGAGCAGAGGCAGAGAGAGAGACCTAGGCAATCAGAGAAACAGCAGGGAGGGCCAAGCCCCGTGTTCATGGAGACCTCATGCTGCTGTTCCCATACAGCATGTGAGAAGATAATACAAGATAATACAGCATGTGGGAAGATAATACAAGACAAGCTCGGGTGACTGCATAGAAATATCTAAAATCCCTAAACAATATGAGTGGAAAAGGTTGGGATTAAGAAGAAAGTTTTTCATTAGTCTGAACATTCATTCAACAGCTAAGCATTTTATGTTTTTACAAGGTGCTCCAACTTTAATTATCCTATTTGATTCTCATAAACAAGGGTGTATGTGAGAAGACAATTGTAATGGTTAATTTATGTGTCTACTTTCCTGGGTCACAAGTTGCCCAGATATTTGGTCAAACGCGTTTCTGTGAGGCTGTTTTTGCACGAGTAAAGGGGATTGGCTCCCTAGTGTAGGTGGGCCTTATCCCATCAGTTGAAGGCATGAATAGTAAGTACAAAAAGCCAACCCTCCCCCAGATAAGAGGGAATTTCTCCTGCCTGACTGTTTTCAAACCGGGTTATTGGTTTTTTTCCTTCTTCAGACTTGAACTGAAGAATTGGCTTTCCTGGATGAGCTTAGGATAAGATCATGGATAGGAGCCAGGCGTAGTGGCTCATATCTGTAATCCCAACACTTTGGGAGGCCGAGGTGGGTGGATCACCTGAGGTTAGGAATTTGAGACCAGCCTGACCAACATGGTGAAACCCTGTCTCTACTGAAAACACAAAACTAGATGGGCGTGGTGGTGGGCACTTGTAATCCCAGCTACTTGGGAGGCTGAGGCAGGAGAATTGCTTGAACTCAGGAGGCAGAGGTTGCAGTGAGCCGAGATTGTGCCATTGCACTCCAGCCTCGGCAACAAGATCAAAACTCGGTCTCCAAAAAAAAGAAAAAGAAAGAAAGGAAGAGTCACAGCTTTATTTTTTACTTAATAGACTTTACTTTGTAAAATAGCTTTAGATTTGCACAGAAATTAAACAGATAACAGAGTTCCCATACACACCACCACAAACTGCTTCCCCTATCATTAACATTTTACATTAGTATGATGCATTTGCTAAAAGGAATGAACCAATAATGACATATTATTATTAACTAAAACTTCAAACTTTATTCAGATTTTCTTAGTTTTTACCTAACTTCCTTTTTCTATTCCCAGAACTCATCCAGGATATCACATTACATTTTATTGTTGTGTCTCCTCAGGATTTTCTTGGCTTTGATGGTTTCTCAGACTGCTTTTTATGACCTGTGAGGAGTACTGGTCAGGTACACTGTACGATGCCCTTCTATAGAATTTTTTTCTGGTGTTTTCTCATGACACGGAATCTGCATTTTTGAGAAGATTACAGTTAAAATGCCATTTTCAGCACATCATATGAAGAGTACAAACTACTGACATAATTTATGGCTGCTGATGTTGACAATGATCATGTGGCTGACATAATGTTTGTCACCGTTCTTTACTGTACTTTTTCTTCCCTTTTCACATTGTACACTTTGAAAGGAAGTCACTGTGTGCAGCCCACACTCCAGGAGTAAAGCATTGTATCCCTCCACCTTTAGGGTGGAGTAGCTACATAATTTATTTGGAATTATTCTGTACAAGAGAATGGTCTCTTCTCCCCATTTACTAATGCATTTGATCTTTGATTTATATCAATATACGTGCAAATGGATAGTCATATTATATTCTGGGTTATAACCCAACACTATGTTATAATTTTGTGGCTCACATTGTTTCAGCTTTGGTGATTGGGAGGTTTTTCCGTTGGTTCCTGTGCCCCTTTGACATACTACATTAATGAGTTGTTTTTGTTTTGATCGCCTCCTTAATTTCTGATACTACAAGATGCTCAGGATTAACCACCTTGTGTATTTTCTGCCCCAGTCTTAGAATAAGCCATTTCTCCAAGGAGACCTGGTTCCTTTTTGCTACTGGGGTATTTCTTTTGGAATCTCTCAGCTGACAGAAGAAATAAATTTGTGTATATTACTATCTATAAAGATTTCTATGTGTAAACATTGGTATCTATATCAAGTTAAACATTATGGCTGACTAATGTCTCTAACTTTAATCCATTACCCTACCTGGATCATTCTAACCTCCTCCTCTTGCTTATCTGTAAATTCCCACAGCAACTATGAGAAACCTGGATCTCACCATCCAGCATCCATTTGTTTAATTGTTCACTTTCAGCATACATATATAGCAGTATCAGAATTGTTAACCTGTAACCCCATAAGAAACAACTTTATCAACTAAAGTACAGTGCTTATGTGCAATACCTTTTGTCTTTATTCTTAGACTCCACTCACTTCCAAAATTACTTAGGTCAGCACCTTTATCACCCCTCCCTTCAGTGAGGTTGTTTCATACATTTGCAACACAATCAGAATCCCTCGTCACACTACAGATTCTTTCCTAGAATCCCCTAACCACATACATTACTTCTTAATTGTATGCATTAAGGTTCACTCTTTATATTATAAAATTCTATGGGTTTGACAACTGTATAATGTCATATCCAACATTACAGTATCATACAGAATAGTTCACCCACCCCCGCAACAACAAAAGTCACCTGTGCTTCACCTATTTATCCCTCCCCCATTCCCCACTGGCAACTACTGATCTTTTTAACGTCTCTATAGTTTTGCCTTTTCCAGAGTGTCATATAGTTAGAATCTTACAGTTTGTCATCTTGTTAGACTGGCTTCTTTCACTTAGCAAAACACATTTAAGGTTTCCCAATGTCTTTTCATTGCTTGATATCTCATTTTTATTGATTAATAATATTCTATTTTATGGATATACCACAGTTTTTTATCTATTCACTTATTGAAGGTCATCTCGATCACTTCCAGTTTGGGGCAATTATAAATGAAGCTACTATAAACATTTGTGGGCAGGTTTTTTGGGGGACAAAATTTAATTCAGATAAATGCCTAGGATCAAGATTGTGGGATCACATGGTGAGACTATTTTTAGCTTTGTAATAAACTGCTAATCTATCTTCCAAAGCAGCTGTATTATTTCACATTCTCACCAGCAATGAATGAGTCTCTGTTGCTCCACATCCTCACCAGCATTTGGTATTGTCAGTTTTCTGGACTTTAGCCATTCTAATAGATACGTAGCAGTGTATCATTGTTGTTTTAGTTTGAAATTCCCTAACCACAAATGATATCAAACATAAGAGTTATTTGTATATTTTGAATAGAAGTCCTTTACCAGATGTGTGTTTTGCAAATATTTTCTTCCAGTTGGTGCTTTGTGATTTTATTCTCTTAACAGTGTCTTTAAAAAGAGCAAAGTTTTTAAATTTTAATAAAGTCCAACATCATTTTTTTCATGAATTGTGCTTTTTCTGTTGTATCTAAAAACTTAATGCCAAACTCAAAGCCATATAGATTTTCTCCAGACTATCTTCCAGAAGTTTTTAAATTTTGCTTTTTATATTTAGGTATATGGCTTATTTTAAATTAATTTTTGTGAAAGGTACAAAGTCTGTGTCTAGATTTGTTTGTTGTTCGTGGATGTCTAATTGTTCTAACATCATTTAGTGTTGAGTAAATGATTTCTTTTCTCCATTGAATTTCTTTGCTCCTTTGTCAAACAACAGTTGACTGTATTTGTGTGGCTCTATTTCTGGGCACTCTGTTCTCTTCTATTTATTTATGTATGTATTCTTTTGCAATACCATGCCATCCTAATTATTATAGCTTAATAGTAGGACTTGAAGTCAAATAGTATCAGTCCTCTTTGTTTTTTTTTTCAGCTTTATTGAGGTATAATTAACAAAAAAAACTGTATATATTCAAAGTGTATAACAGGATGTTTTGATATACACATATATTGTGCAATGGTTACCACAATTAAGCTAATTAACATACACATTACTTCACAGTCCTTTTTGTTTATGTATATGGTGTTAATACTTAAGATCAACTCTCTTAGCACATTCCAAGTATACAATAATTAACTATAGTCATAATGCTGTATATTAGCTCTCCAGAACTTATTCATCTTATAACCAAAAGTTTGTACCCTTTGGGGCAAATCTCCCCATTTTCCCTAACCACCAAACCCTGGTAGCTACCCTTCTACTCTCTGTTTAAAGTTCTACTTTTTCAGATTCCACATGTAAGTGAGATCATGCAGTATTTGTCTTTCTATGCCTGGCTTATTTTTCATAACATAATGTCCTCCAAGGTTCACCTGTATTATTGCAAATGACAAAAATTTGTTTTCTTTTTTGGGCTAAATAGTATTTTATATGTATATGGTATATGTGAGATACATATGTCTCACATTTTCTTTCTCCATTAATCCACTGATAGACATGTAAGTTGTTTTTATGTATTGGCTATTGTGAATAATGCTGCAATAAACATGAGAGTGCAAATAGCTCTTCAACATACTGATTTTGTATGTTTTGCATATATACCCACTTGTGGAATTACTAGATCATATGGTTTTTCTATTTTTAATTTTTTGATGACTCTCCATGCTGTTTGTCATAATATCTGTAACAATTTACATTCCCAACATTTAAGGGTTCCACATTCTCACCAGCACTTCTTATCTTTTGACTTTTTTCCACATTCTCACGAACACTTCTTATCTTTTGACTTTTTTATAACAACCATCTTAACAGGAGTGAGCTTATATCTTGTTTTGGCTTTAATTTGCATTTCCCTGATGATTAGTGATGCTGAGCACCTTTTTGTATACCTGTTAGCCATTGCTGTAAAATGAAAATGTCTACTAAGGTCCTTTGACCATTTTAAAATCGAAGCCTTTTTTCAGGTGGGGGTTTTGGTTTGGGTTTTTTTTTTTTTTTTTTTCCTATTGAGTTGCATGAGTTCCTTATATATTTTGGATATTTACCCTTTATTGGGTATATGTTTGCAAATATTTTCTTTCATTTGGTTTGTTGCCTTTTTGCTTTGATTATTGTCTTTGCCATGCAGAAGTTTGTTTATTTGATGTAGTCCCACTTGTTTAGTTTTGCTTTTGGTGTGTGTTTTTCACCATATTAAAAAAATCATTGCCAAGACCAATATCATGGAGCTTTTCCCCAGTTTTCTCATAGGAATTTTATAGTTTCAGATCTTATGTTCAAATCTTTAATTCATTTTGAGTTGATTGTTATATATAGTATAAGATAAAGATCCAATTTCACTTTTTTGCAAATGGACATCCAGTTTTCCTAACACTTTATTGGAGATACTATCCTTTCCCCCACTGTCTATTTTTGGAGACTTTGTAGACTATTAATTGACCATATATGTATGGGTTTATTTCTGGGCTCTCTATTCCATTTTTCTAAGTATATGAGTTTATGCCAGTACCATACTGTTTTGACTACTACAGCTCTGCAATATAATTTAAAGTCAAGAAGTGTGATGCCTCTAGCTTTGTTCTTCTTGCTCAAGATTGCTTTAGCTATTCAGGATCTTTTGTGGTTCCATATGAATTTTAGGATTTTTAAAATCTATTTCTGTAAAAAATGCCATTGAAATTTTGACAGGGATTGCATTGAATCTGTAGATGACTTAGGGTAGTGTGGATATTTTGACACAATACTGATTTTTCTGATATCTTTCCATTTGTGTCAGCTTCTATTTCTTTCATCAGTGGTTGATAATTTTAAGTACACAGATCTTTCATCAGCTTGATTAAATTTATTACTAAGTATCTTATCTCTGTGATACTATATAAATAATATTGTTCTTTTAAATGTGTTTTTCAGATTTTGTATTGTTAGTATCTAAAAATGCAACTCATTGATTTTTTTTTATCCTGCAACTTAATTTGTTTATTAGTTCTAACAGTTTTTTGGTAGTGTATTTAGGATTTTCTACAAATCGAATTATGTCAGCTGCAAACAGAGACCATTTTACTTCTTCCTTTCTGATTGGCATGGCTTTTATTTCTATTTCTTGCCTAATTGCTCTTACTAGGACTCCAGTACTATGTTGAATAGAAGTGATGAGAGTAGACATTCTTGTTATTGCTCTTAAAGGAAAAGCTTTCAACTTTTCACCATTGAGTATGATTCTATTTTTTCTCTTTAGTATTGTGTGGCTATTCTAGGCTTTTGCCTTTCTATATAAACTTTAGAAACCGTTTATCAATATCCACAAAATAGCTTTATTGGACTTTGACTGAAATTGCCTTAAATCCATAGATCAAATTGGAAAGAATTCACATCTTAATAACATAGAGTCTTCTAATCTACAACCACAGAATATTAATTTAGATCTTCTTTTATTTCTCATCAGGGTTTATAGTTTTCTTCATATTTTGAACATATTTTGTTTTATAACTATTTCTTCCTCTTTATTGGCACTAATGTAAATGATATTGTGTTTTGAAATTTCAAATTCCAGTTGTTCATTTTTGACATATAGGAAGTCAACTGACATTTGTTTATTAACCTTGTACCTTGTGACCTTTGCTATAATTGCTTATTCGTTCCAGGAGTATTTTGCTGCTGTTGTTGACTCTTTGGGGATTTTCTACGTAGACAGTAATGTCATCTATGAACAAAGACCATTTGATTTCTTCCTTCCCTATCTTTATGCATTTTATTTCCTTTTCTTGTTATATTACATTAGCTATGACTTCTGGTAGATGTTGAATTGAAGTGCTAACAGGGGACAACCTCTCCTTCTTCTCAATTTTAGTGTTAAAGCATCCAGTTTTTTACCACTAAGTATGTTAGAAGTAGTTTTTTATCAAGTTGAGAAAGTTCCCCTCTATCTCTACTTTGCTGAAATTTCTTATCAAGAATGGGTGTTGGATTTTGTCAAGAGCTTTTGCGGGATCGATTGATAAGAACATACGATTCTTCTTCTTTAGTCTGTTTATGTGGCAGATTAAAATAATTGATTCTTAATTTCGAATGTTGAACTTGCCTTGTGTGCCTGCCTGGAACAAATCCCAGTTGATTGTGACAATAATTATTTTTATACATGTTGGATTTGAGATTCTATGGCTTTTTCAACAGATCAGATAATAGTGACTAGTCTCATTCTTCCAGGTATTAGAATGTTCAGGTCAGTATTATTTAAAACTTTTTTTTCTTTTAGTATTACAATATTAAAACTTCAATTGTTCATTGTATCAGAAACTTCTTATCTCCCCAGTTTGTACCTGCCCCAGACTTAGAAGTCAGCAGTAGGGAGGAGAGGATTGGTAAGAAATGTTGTATTCTCCCCATCATTTCCTTCCTTACCCAGTAGCTGAAATTTGTAGCCACTCCTAGGTTGGACTGGGGGAGGGAGAAAAGGAAGAAAGTACAGTTTACATGGCTGAGGCAGTTGTGATGGGCCTGGAGATTTCTGGATATTTCACATTGAGCAATTGCTGATTCTTTCCCTAACGAGGCATTTCGAGGGTTCTCCAGAGAGCAAATTCCCTGCTAGGAGGTCTCATACCTGCAGGTCCCTTGCTATGGATTATATCTCCTCTGACAATCCACTTCTGATGCCCCCTCAGTCCCTGGGTCCCTGTGGTCCTTCCTCCCCTTGGGGTTGCCTCATTCCTCCTCATGGTCCCCTTGGGTAGGATCCTTTTTCAGGAGACTGCTGTGCTTCTCACCTAATTGGTCCACACCAGACCTGCAGGGAACATGTCTGTACACATCCTTGCCCCACCAAACTGCAGGGTGTTTCCAATGCAAACTTGACTTTCACTTAAGGGATGCAACTGTAAGTTTTATCAGGTATAATTTAGGTATCTTTTCTTATATCCCCTGATTTCAAGGGGAATACGAAAAGTTTTCCAAGCAGCTTTTTAAAGTTTGACTTAAGGTGAGGCAAAGCCTTTTACCCCACCTCATCTACTTTCAGTCAAGATCTGGGGTCTGCAGAAGGCATGCTGATGACTCTCTCATCATGAATTCCTAGCTCCCCCTTGCATGGCTTAGAGGTGTGTGATGAGCTAATGAAGGCAAATCCTTCTGTCATCATCTCCATTAAGTGAGTATCTCCTATCCCCAAACTGACACTCTCCAAACCTCAGAAGTAGGGGGTGGAGGAAAGACAATGAGAATCCAGAAATAGATGCTACAGGGCAGAGATGGTTTTTCCCTAAGGAAAGTGAATATTCCTACCATCGATCTTTCTAAAAAGAAGTCAGTTCTGTGGCAGGAAATGAAGAGTCCTAAAGTGGGACTTAGACTGGGGAAAGGGGAAAACTTTGCTCTCTGGGCTTCAGGGCTGTTAGGACTGGAACTTTACAGTGCAGACACCACAGAGGATATTAGGAAGGCCAGCAGCTGGGCCAAGGAGGGCCTTGCTCACCTGTGGAAAAGACGGTCTCTGTTTATAGACCCTCCAAGAGGGACCTCATCTGCTAAGAGCTCCTAGTGATGACTGAGTTGATGACCATTCTAAATACTGTATCTAAGCCTCCAATTATCAAAAATAACCTGACCTTGGCTGTGTGGTGGGGAAGCCAGAGAAAGAGCTACCCTTTGCTTGGAAAAAGATGGTAGCAAGGAAAGCAATAACCCCTCTCTGCCCACTGCCCCGTCATCTCAGGCCAGATGGGTGGTGGTAGCAGGAGGCACTGTGGAGGCAGCAGCAGCAAAGGCATGGCTGGGCAGCCCAAGAGGGGCCACAGCTGGGGACACAGCAGGCAGCAAGCTGTTTCTGAGGTCTCATGAGACAAGGCTGGGAAGGATTCTCAGGAATCACCCACAAAGGTGTGGCTGGCACGGAATCTTCTTCTGCATATAACTAATGGAAATGTGACCTCGTTTATGAGCAAATGTGGACCTACTAGTTACAGGAATAGAGGAGTCAGAAACTTTAGGCCAGAGTCAAGGACATAGTAAAAAACGATGTGGACTAGATTAAGTTTGAGATTTCCCCAGGGAAATCATTGTCAACTTCTGTCTACCTTTTCTATGGTGATTAGCAGTAAAGCTCTAAAAGAAAAAACAGCTTCTGCAGTGGTCTTTGGTGTGGCAATAAAAGGGAAAGGGAAAATTGAGGAGAGAGCATACCGGTATTCATCAGTTTTGCAGAGAAAAAGAATTCCAAGGGGTAGAGGAAGCAGCAACTTCATCACAGAAGAAAGGAAAGTAGCTGCCCTTAAGGCAGAGAAGGAGAGTGTGAAGAGGGCCAGGGCCTGAGGAGACATCCTATATCCTCCAAATAGAAGCAAAAGTGAACACCCTCACTCCTCCTCCAAAATTCTGAGTTTTGCAATCGAACACTTCAGAGTTAGTAATCTGCAGAGATTATTAGCTGTGTGGCTTTGGGTAGTTTCCCTCTGAGCCTCAGCTTCCTTATCTTTGAAATGCAGCTCACATTCTGTCTACCTACCATTGGATTATTCCAGAATTAAATGAGATAAAATACCTAAAACACACAGAACAACATGCACACTAAGCAAAAGGTAATTTTTAAAGAAAATCTTATTCTATTCAGTATGCCCTGGAGATAACATTTATTTCCACACAGTGCATTAATCCATGCTATTAATGAAGATCCTGAGATATCAACAAAGAGTTAGAAGCTTTAAAGTTCGGCACTTAAAGGAGCCTGAGCTGGGCATGGTGGTTCACGCCTGTAATCCCAGCACTTTGGGGGGCTGAGGCAGGTGGATCACTTGAGGTCAGGAGTTTGAGACCAGCCTGGCCAACATGGTGAAACCCCATCTCCACTAAAAATACAAAAATTAGCTGTGCATGGTGGAGGGCACCTGTAATCTCAGCTACTCAGGAGGCTGAGACAGAAGAATCACTTGAACCAGGGAGGTGGAGGTTGCAGTGAGCCAAGATCACACCACTGCACTCCAGCCTGGGCAACACAGTGAGACTCCGTCCCCTACCCCACCAACTGTAAAAAAAAAAAAAAAAAAAAAAAAGTCTGCTATAGATTTCCAGAAAACGCTCTTATTTTGGAGGTGTTTCAAATGGTGACAAATTATTTAACAGCCCTCTCACCAAGGGGTGGGTCTATGTGCCCCTCTCCTTGTGTCTTTGCAGGCTTATAGTTACTTGAACAAAGTCTCACGGAGGTGATGCTATATGTCTGTGAGGCTGGCACATCAAAGGCCATGCAGCTTCTGCCTACTTCTCTTGGGATACTCACTGTCGGGGAAGCCGGCCAACATGCAAGAAGCCCAGCTGTCCTGAAACCACCATGCTGGAGAGGCCACTCATAGGCAGCACTACAACAGCAGTAACAAGAACACTTGTGTAGAATATCTCATTTGCCTATAGTGGGGGATAGACTTAATGTGGCCTGATGAGTATTCTCATCAGACCATAATAAAAAATTGCCTGCAAGATTAAGAAACCCAAGAACCAAGTGTTTCCAGATTCTTCCCAGGTTTCCCTAACCCCCATTTGTTCAGTGAATTCAGAATCCAAAAAATAAAACAAGCCTCTTCTTCATCCCCATTTCTGTCACCTGCTCGACTGTTTTGACGTTGATGAGCAATAATTCTATGTTTCTCATGTTCCTCTAAGTGCGATGAGTGGCTCTCATCCTTCAAACCAGGACAGAGCACCTGTGCCCACGGCAGGTGGGACTGTCATCTGCAGGAGCCCTGCGGCCTGGCAGTCACAGGCCTCCCTGCATCAGCGCAGCAGTCCCTCTGTCAGCATCCTTCTGCATAGAAAAAGGATCATTGTAGGGAGAATTCATGAGCCACCAATTTGTCAATAGTCATGCCTTTGAAAGGAGGAGGGTGAGGGCGGGGAGAAGAAACACAAATCCCATTTTTTAATCCGCTGGGGTTTGATGTCTGTTTCACTGCTAAGATTTTTGAGAGATAGAGAGTGCCTGAGAAAAATACTATTGCAGAGGGAGAAGAGCGCGATCGGTTTCCATAGCAACTTCGCAGATAAGAGCAATGGTTCTACCCAGTCTGGAGGGAGTATTAAGACTGAAATGGGCTCAAAATAAGCACTTTTATGACTTTATCTTTTCCTTAAGTATTTAATTTTAATGTAACTTGCACTTGCTTGTTTCACATATTCTAACTCTTACCATGCGGAGTGATTCCCCATGATCACCTGTTTTTGGGGACCTCATGAAATGCAAAACTACACTTCGATACCTAATATATTATACTCTACTAAAAGAGAGGAGCATAAAATTTGCAGCGTAAGTGTATCTTAGGTAGTCTAGTCCGAAGAGTCAAAGTGACTTGCCTTGTCATTCTTGAATGAGTACTTGAAAGCTTAGTGTGCTCACTTCACCTACCTGAAAATGACTCAGTTGATAACTTCCTATTTCATGGACCCGTTGTGAAGAATGAGACAAAGTATGTTAAAAAGATTTGTAAAGTACAAAACACTGCCAATCTAAAGAGCAGAAGTAGTGGTAACAAGAGCAGCATCAGTAGTAGTAACAGTAGCAATATAATTATTAATATTGGCAGAACCAGCATCTAGGTCTCCTGAGTTTACCACTCATGCTGGTTTCTTTCTACCACTCCCCTCAATACTGAAGTCAAGTCCTCTTAATAAAACTTGAATGCCACAGAATCTACCCAACCAAAGACTTAGTTTATCCCAGTTAGAACTGCTCGGGGGTCAGACAAAGTGACAAAGAGTAAAAGAATCAAAGTACAGTAAGGTACTGCCCACCTCCCCTGCCATTTACTGTTCTCAGAATCTTTTCTGTTGTTATCAGTACTTAGCTCTACTCAAAGAGTGCTTTAAACATGGCAGCTGCTATGACCCAAGGAACGCAAAACAGAATGGGAGTGGGGCGGAGGGAGAAAGCAAATAGGGACGAACAAGAAGTAGAGGCTGCATGTGCACAGCCAATGCTGAACACACAAATTTTATATTTAAAAATATATAATTTATATATGTGCTATGTCTATAAATATATGTCTTTTGTTTTAGGTT
The DNA here is from genome assembly GCF_000001405.40 of Homo sapiens. Taxonomy (NCBI): domain Eukaryota; kingdom Metazoa; phylum Chordata; class Mammalia; order Primates; family Hominidae; genus Homo; species Homo sapiens. The sequence goes on from NC_000002.12 coordinate 133,803,900, forward strand.
TTTCCACTAGAATCCATACAATGTCGAACTTCAAAGTTATCACCATGGGAGGCTATGGTCTGAGGCTTGAACATTTCAGTGTTGCTATTTTAAAACTGACTTCAGAACTAAAAATTAAATTATGTTTCTTTAGAATTTAAAACTGATAATGACCAAAATGGTTATCTCTCGTATTCCTCAAATCATTCACCAAATGTGGCCTTGAACTACTTTTGATTGTTTACAGAAATCACATTCTTCCTTAACATATGAAAAGTCACCATCACTGAAGATTAGTAGAAACATGTGCTCTGAACGCAGCTAATTCCTACAGGAGCTTGAAACTGCCCTGGGCAATAAGTATATTATGGGAATAAATCCAAGTTGATTACTTTGAAGTACAGAAAGCTTATCTGGATGTAAAAGTCCCAGGATATTTGTGTTTAAAAATTAATTATACTACTTCATAGTAAGACCTCCACTCATTCACTTATTCATCAATTTGTTCATTCAACAAGTAATTTCTCTCTACTTTACTGGAATATATAAATAAGACTTATCTTTATGCTAATGATTTTCAAAGTTTTATGTTCATTCTCAACTTCTCCTTATATTTTAGGTCAATATTTCTATCTGCCTCTGCAATCTCCACCTTGATGTTCCGTAGACACTTCAGACTTTATATGTGAAACTTTACATATAGCCTCATCAACTTGGGGACAAAAAAGTTTCTTTTTTTCTTTTTTTGTTAATCAATGGAGTGTCAACCTGTTCTTATCAATAGGAAGTCGAAGTGCTCCCCTCTCTAAAGACCAGCATTTACCATGATTCTTGGAGATCCCGAGTGTATTTGTTAGTTCTCACACTGCTGTAAAGAAATACTTGAGACTTATAAGTCTCAAGTATTATAAGACTTATATGAAACTTATAAGTCTCAACCACTTATAAGAAAAGAGGTTTAATTGGCTCAGGGTTCTGCAGGCTGCACAGGAATGATAGTGGCCTCAGGGAGCTTTTACTCAAGGCAGAAGGCAAAGCAGGAGCAGGCATCCCACATGGTGAAAACAGGAACAAGGAGGTGCCACACACTTTCAAATGACCAGATCTTGCAAGAACTCACTGACTATCATGGTAAAAGCACCAAGGGGATGTACTAAACCATTCATGAGAAATCCACCTGCATGATGCAATCCCCTCTCACCAGGCCCCACCTCCAACACTGATAATAACAAATTGAACCCGAGATTTGAGTGGGGACGCATATCCCAACTATATTACTGAGGCCTTTGTCAGACCCAAGGGATCAATGTGGCTTCCAAATGCCAAGTAGAAAGAACTTGAAGATTTAATTTGCCCACCCTCACCCTTGCTTATCTGACACCCACAACACAAGTCAATCCCATCTAATTTGCAATCAAACCCACAGAATAAATGCTGATTCCACACAGGTCAGTGGTGATTTGCCTTGAGTCATGTTCTGGGACATCCTGATTGTGTGTTATGCACCAAAGTGGTGCTCTTGGCTTAAATTAGGGTTCCAGCCTGCCTTACCATGTCCTCCCATGTTCAACAAGTAGCTAAAACCAGAAAGCAGCCCAGCATGGCCTGCCAAAGTCTATTGGCCTCAGCCACTCTAGGCAGCCCAGACCCCTCTCTCGTGGTGTTTCTCTCCAATGTGCTGTCACTGTGTCCTTCACCACCCTCTCCTTTGTATTGAAGGAGCATCTTTAAATGCTGCTAGTATGTCAGTGCTCTGACCTACACATTTCCTCACTGCACTCAGAACTCAGGGTTTTGAGCACTTGCTCCATAGCAGGCACAATCATTCTGATAAATAAAACTGAATCACTACCATCAAGAAACCTAGAGTTCAGAGGATATGCTGATAACTTAAACAGAAAATAAACATGCTAGGCACTTCAGCAAAGAAGCTGCTGTGAAAGTGAGAGGAGGGACGTCTATGGTATTTCAACTACCTAAGAGTTTTCCTGAGGCCTGACTTTATTGCTCCTCTTTTGTTTCAAACCTTTAGGCTTGTGGTCTTTGAACAAAGCAATTGAGGAAAATGATCGGATACATCAGAGTCATTTCCTTAAACCAGCAAACTTGTAGGGATTCCTGTAGCATTCAGGAAAGGAAAACCATGCTGTGAGCTTGTTTTCCCCTTTCCTGGAGCCTTCCACATTCTCCTCCCTAGCTCCTTTCCTTTCCCTGTGAAATAATTTAATTGTATATGAGCAAAAATGGCTTGTCAAAACCTGGCACACATAGGGTTGATAGCTCCTGTGGGGGATTTGACATGGGCAAAGGAGCTACTGGTTAGACAGAGAGAGTGGATTAAATTTCTGTACCCATAAGCATCTTTGCATCAGCAAATTTTGAATTGTCAGCTGCCAGGTGGTAGAATGCTGGCTAACTGGGTGGAGGCAAACATCTGCAAAATGAACTTGATTCAAACGGACATGAGGTTGACACCATTTTAGAAAAAAAAAGTATCACTTTAATTTTTTCTCTATATGCTGAACCTGCTTCTTTGGTCACATTCAAATTTTTAGAACAAGGGAAGCTCAGGCCTGATACACATGCACAAATATATGCAGCCTCTCCCACAGCATCTTCAGAGATATCAGAAGATTGTATCCAACATCTTCAGGAAGGGGAGGAACACCAGCCCCATTCACCAAGACATGACAAGAGAAGCTCAGTACAAAACTACCATGTCCCGGGCCCTTACCATGGTTTGGGAAATATTGCAAGGATAAGGAAGGTGGTAGAAGATGGACAATCAGATTGGAGAAGAGTAAAATCAAAGACGCATCATAATAAGGCAATGTAGGCGGCTGATCATGGCATGTCATTTAAGAGACAACTTGACAAGAAATACTGCTCATCAACTGGATGCTGCTGAAGAGGGTAAATGGGATTTTCGTTGCATTGGATTGACTTCCTCATTAGAAAATAAAGACATGTGTCTACAAAACTGCCAGTACAGAGAAATATATGATCCAATTGTTGGAACCGCTGCATTGCCATGGGTTGGAATATCAAATTACTTAGCTGGTCACCTTGCAAGACCTTGAAAAAGCAATGAAGCGTATAGAAAAGCTTCTGAGAAAGGGAGGTGACAGCTATGACCTAGAAAAGGGTACAAAAAGAGAGAGGTGATCCTGTGGGGTCAATTCTCATTCAGTCTCTTATTCATCCAACAAACATTTCCTGACGTCTTACCAGGTCCCAGGCACTACAGATGGGAATACAAAAATGAACCAAGCCCTCAATGAAGGTACAAGCATAATTGCGTGTGCACGAAATGTGCAACTCTGTAAGGGAGAAAGCAGACCCATTAACATCCAGATGTATTGCAAATGTGAAAAGTGCCCTCACATGAGAATACACCTAAAGCAAAGGCATCAGAGACACAGGAACAGTTAATTCTGCCTTGAGAAGAGGAAAGGGGCATAGGTCTCTGATGATGTCGTGGACGGAAAAAAGTGACTTCAGTGCCAAGAAGGTTGGGGCAGTGGACTGAAAGGACCAAACTGGGAGGGCCCTTTGGGTGAATCCCTGGCATCCTCCCCACACATAGAAAAATGCTTTTTTCTCAACAGATTCCCAGTCAGAAGCACATCTGCCAGTCCTGCCTTTATGTTCATAGCTCTGCCTTCCAGCTGCAGCACAGCAGAAAACCTCAGGCTGACTGAGGGGATGGGGAGGTACCAGGCCAAAGCCACCTGGCCATCAGCTCTTGGGCAAGCTGGTGGCCAGAAAAGCCCACGCAGGGCCCTGTCCTGTGAGCACCATGCTGCAGTGGCTTGCAGGCTCTTGGTCACCTTCTTCATTCTTGTCCCTCAGTTTCTATAGACTGCCCCCCAAATTTGCTGTTTCCACAAACTTTGAGCAGCCCTCTGGCTATGTTTTCTGACTTTGGATTACTTAACTGTCTCTCGACTGCCTGCTATCTAGAATGGGGAGCAGCCCTTCCAGCATCCCAACAGTTCCCTTTGCTGGTTGCCAACCTCAACTCTGCTTAATAAAAAAGGGATTCTTCTGGGAGCGCAGCAGGAGAGCTATTATGCTACCTGCCTTTCCTCAGTCCTTCCAGATCCTCCTCTACTATCTGTACCAGACTCTCTGCTCCACGGGGGCTGACCTTATAGATCTGTTTATTTCAAGAAAAAATTCAGGATAAAATTCTTTCTAATAATTTTTTCTCCTGATAAACTCTTTCCCTCCCCTCTATGTAAGAAGATATAGTCTGCCCTGTGTTCAGTGCTTTAAGGAGAGCATGTACCAGAAAGGAAGTGCTTAGTGAATCTTAGAGGATTTCGATCACACGCAAGATGTTTTGGAGAAGCATTATTAAACAGAAGGTTTCCTTTTTCCCCAAGGCCTCTGGGGACAAGGGACCAGGAAGGTAATATGGAGCAAAGGAGCCAGTAGAGTGGGCTGAGCGGGACTTGAGGCTCTTCTAAGGGAGCAAATGATACTCAGCTGTATCCAATCATGAAGAAATGCAAACCCCGCATCACCTCTTCTTCCATTGTTCAAGAGCAGCCAGAAAGCTGACTCTTACATGAAATCTTCTGATTTTTCAAATGCTGACAACTAATTCAAAAGTTTTTGTACAACACTGTGCCAGCTAAATACAATGTATCTGTGGGCTGCCTTTGTCTTCCGGCCAGATTTAGCCTGTTGACCACAAGTTTGCCACCTTTACTTTAGAGAGGGATGAAATTCACACAGCAACATGGAGATCTAAAACCCGTCATTGGCCCCAACCCATCAGTATAGCCTGCTACAGAAACACTGCACAAGAGACATTTTCAGAAGGAAGGCAGGAAAGTGGTGGAATTTTATATCTGAAATGCTGCAGCTCAGAATAGACAGAAAGCACAGGACCGTAAAAAGACCCATTTCTTGCCGGGCGCAGTGGCTCACTCCTGTAATCCCAGCACTTTGGGAGGCTGAGGCAGGTGGAACACCTGAGGTCAGGAGTTCAAGACCAGCCTGGTCAACAAGAACAGGGAAGTAAGAATAGGAAGAAAGGCAAGGGAAGCAGTTGAGTGTGGTGCACGCCTGTGGTCCCAACTACTTGGGAGGCTGAGGCAGGAGGATTGCTTGAGTATGGGGTTTGAGGCCAGACTAAGAAATATAATATGATCCTATTTCAAAGACAAAGAAAGAAAAGAATTATGAGAAAAGAGACGTAAGAAAACAGAAGTGAAAAATGAGAATGCAAAAGGAAAGCAAGAAAAAGTAAGAAATGTAGGAAAGGAAAGGAAAGGGAAAAGAAAACCAGAAGGGTGAGGAAAAGAGAGAGAAGCAAAAAGAGGGAACAAAGTAGGAAAGAATAAAAAGTAAGAAAAAGGAGGCAAAAATGGGGGAGGGGGAAGGCAGTAAGAAAAGGAGAAAAGGAAATCTAGAAAGAATAGTAAGAAAGAAGTGAGAATGGGAACTGAGAACATGGAAAAGGATAAAGAAAGTGAGGAAGAGAAGCAAAAAGAGTGAAACAAAATAAGAAGCAAGAAAAAGGAAGTGAGAATTGGGAAGCCAAGAAAGGGAATGACAAAGGGGGAATGTGCAAAGGAATCTAGAAAGAGGAGAAGTGAGAATGGGAACTGAGAAAACAGAAATGATGAAAGGGAAATAAGGAAAGGGAAATGAGGAAGGGGAAGTAAAAACTGCAAGCAAGAAGGAAACTAAAATCAGGAAATAGGAAAGGGGGGCAAAAAAGAGATAACAGACAAAGGAAGCCAACAACGGAAGTAAGAAAAGGAAAGCAAGAAACAAGAAAATAGAGGAATAAAAAGGGAAGCATGAAAGAAGGAACAGGAAAAAGAAAAGAAAAGAAAAAAAGAAAAAAGAATAAAGGAACACAAAATAGGAAAGTAGAAAAGGAAAGCAAGAGAAAGGTAGTAAAGGAAGAAAGGGGTATGAAAAGGCAGGAAGCAAAATATGTAAGTAAAATAGAGACATAAGAAAGAGGAGTCAAATGGCTGACTCCTCTTTCATATGTCTCTATTTTATTTACACATTTGACCCAGCCATCCCATTACTGGGTATATACCCAAAGGATTATAAATCATGCTGCTATAAAGACACATGCACACTTATGTTTGTTGCGGCACTATTCACAATAGCAAAGACTTGGAACCAACCCGAATGTCCAACAATGATAGACTGGATTAAGAAAATGTGGCACATATACACCATGGAATACTATGCAGCCATAAAAAATGATGAGTTCATGTCCTTTGTAGGAACATGAATGAAGCTGGAAACCATCATTCTCAGCAAACTATCGCAAGGACAAAAAACCAAACACCGCATGTCCTCACTCATAGGTGGGAATTGAACAATGAGAACACATGGACACAGGAAGGGGAACATCACACACTGGGGACTGTTGTGGGGAGGGGGGAGTGGGGAGGGATAGCATTAGGAAATATACCTAATGCTAAATGACGAGTTAATGGGTGCAGCACACCAACATGGCACATGTATACATATGTAACAAACCTGCACGTTGTGCACATGTACCCTACAACTTAAAGTGTAATAATAATAATAAGAAGAAGAAGAAGAAGAAAGAGGAGTGAAAAAAAGGGAAACAAGAACGTGGGGACAAAATATGAAAGCAAAAAAAAGAGAGAGAGAGAAAAAAAAGGGGGCATGAGAAAGGGAAGCATGTGATGAGTAACCAGAAAGGGAAGTGAGAAACAGGAAGCAAGAAAGAAAAGCAAAATGGAGAACGAAGACAGAAAAAGGTAGCATCAGGAAAGCAACAGAAAAAAGCAGGCAAGGAAAGGGGAGAAAGAGAAAGTGTGGATGAAAAGGAAAGCAGGAAAAGCAAGTCAAAAAGAGGGAGCAAAATAGAAGAGTAAGACGGGGAACCAAGAATAAGGAAGTAAAAAATGAAAGCAAGAAAAGAGAAATGAGGAAAAAAAGCTAAAAAGAAAAATGAGAAAAGAGCAAGAAAGGGAAGGAAAAACAAGAGAAGGAAGCAAGAAAGGGAAGCTAGAAAAAAGAATCAAGAAACAGAAGTAAGAAAGAGAACCTAGAAAAGGAAAGCACAAAATAGAAAATGAGAAAAAGCAAGCAAGCAAAAAACAGTGAGAAAAGAGATGAAAAATTAAGACTAAGAGATGCAAGAATAGGGAAGCAAGATGGGAAAGTAGGAAATGGTAGTCAATAAAAGGGGGTGAGAAAGGAACTGAGAAAAGGGAAGCAAGACAAGGAAAGTGGAAGAGGGAAGTGAGAAAAAGGTGGTGAGAAAGGAAAATGAGAAAAGGGAGAAGGAGAACAAAAGTATAAAAAAGAACAAAAAAGAGGTGCAAGAAAAGTGAAGGAATAAAGGGGAAGAAAGACACTTTAGAATACAAGATATTTTTTAAGGAAGGAAAAAGAAAGGAGGTTAAAATGGGATCAATAGAAGGTAAGGAAAATAGGAAAGTAAGTAAGGAAGAAAAGAAAATGGGAAGAAAATAACGGAAGCAAGAAGTGAAAAATAAAGGAAAGGAAAGAGAAAACTGAAAATCAGAAAAAAATCAAAGTAGGAAATTAAAAAGAAAATCAAGAAAAGAAGAAGGAAGTAAGAAAAAAAGAAGCAATAAAAGTGGAATATAGAAGTAAGAAGAGGAACTGAAGAAAAAGAAAGGGAAGTGAGAAAAAAGTTAAAGAAAAGCAAAATAGAGAAGTGTGAGAGAGAAGCTTGAAAGGGAAGCAAGAAAAGGAAATGAGGAAAGTAAAGCAGGAAATGAGATAACGGAAGTAAGAAAGAGAAGGGAGAATAAGGAAGCAGAAAAAGGAAATCAAGTAAAGGGAAATAAGAAAGGAGAAGTAAAAATTACAATCAAGGAAAGAGAACCAAGGAAAGAGAAGCAAGGGATTAGAAGCAAAAAAAAAAAAAGTTAGAAAAGGGAAGATAGAATAGGGAAGCATGAAAGAATGGGAACAGGGAAATGGAAGCACGAAACTAGGGAAGTAAAATGGGAAGGAAGAAAAGGGAAGCCAGAAACTTGAAGCAAAGAAAAGAGGACGTGAAAAAAGGGAAGTGAGAAAGGGAAACAAGAGAAGCTAAAAGAACAAAGAGAAGTAAAATAACAAAGTAAGAATGGGAAGAAGGAACAGGGAAGCAAAAAATCAGGAGCAAGAAAAAGGAGGGAAGAAAAGAGAAATAAGAAAAGGGAAGCGATAAAGGGAAGTGAAAAAAGAAGAAAGCAGAAGCATGAAGAAAGATGCATGGAAGGGCAGCAGGAAGCAAGAAACAAAAGCCAGAAAGAAACAAGAAAAGGAGAGCAAGAAAGAGGAGCAAGCAAGAAAGGAAAGGGTTGCAAGAAAGGGGAGAAGAAAGGAAAGCAATAAAGGAAGTAACAAGAGGAAGGAAGAAAAGGAAAGCAAGAAAAGGGAAGACAAAGAGATAGGAAGGGAGGGAAGGAGAAAGGGAGGAACACTTTCAGATACACACAAGAAGGGTCAAGTGATGGCAGCCATTTACATACTCAGTTCTAAATGGGGGTTCTTCCCAAATTCATAGGTTATCTTGGCCTAAGCCCCACTACACAAGAAATTAGACAGAAATCAAAGCAGAGGAGAGAACAGAAGGAAAGACAAAAATGCTTTGCTTCCTGTGCTCAGGGCATTGTGAGGAATGGGCATGTGCTGGCAGGGGCCAAAGAGAAGTCTTGTTGAATAAAGTGGTTCTGTAATGAGAGCCTGATCTGGCAACTCCACAGAGTGAAATCTTTGTTTTCCAAAGCATGAAAGAATAAAGGAATTTATTATAGTCATTCATGTTTCTCCAGGTAGGTGATGCTCTGGTCATCTGCTCCATCTTCAGAAGATGCATAGGATCTGGCTACACTGGGCAAGCTTTGCAAGTAGATCATTTATTATTTACTCTAAAGCTGTGGTGGCTTATGGAGAGAAATTTGAAGGGTTCCAGAGGATATGCAAGATAGGTTTGGTATTATTTCTGCTCTAGCATTAAGCACTAAGCCACTCTCTACCACTAGCATCTACATGGAAAGAAATGAAAAACAAATCCAAAGAACCATTTTGCACAGTGCCCAAGCTCATAGCAAATGCCCCAAACATGTGAGTGGTATTAGATGGAATGTTGATCTCTTTCTAATTTCAAGATGCCATGCTGTCAAAGGACGTCAAAGAAACCAGCTGTGGTTTCTGGTAATCTCCCGAATGTTCTGCCTCACTGCTTTCTGGCTCTGGGAAATGAGGATACCATCTCTATCAACTGGAAGATGAGCCAACACACTATCTTCTGGTTACAATAGAAAAAAAAAGCATGAAAACTATCATTTCTTCAGCATAGCATAGAGATTTTTAATGACCTTAAGGATAAATGAGCATCTCGTACTCCCCTAAAATGCCAAAAATCTAACAGAGAATCTGTGGGTTACAGAGATCTGCTCAGTACTGAAGCAGTAGAGTATATGGGAAGGTGCCTTGGACTGGGATATGTTTTCCCTCTGCTTTGACAATAACTAAAGGTGAGTCATCAAGTTAGTCACTGAACTACATTGATTGTCAATTTCCTTGTCGGAAAAATGAAAGACCTTCTTGAGTTTAGGGTTCTCAAACTAACAGTCCTCAGACTGAATCTGGATAATAGAACTGCTGTGTCTGAGGCAAGTGCTGTCTCACACCAGATCTGCCTGGCTCTTGACCTGTTTGTTGATGCACACTGCTTGTGTACATCTTTCAGGCTGGTCAGTCTGAAGGTCCTTACTGTAACAATGCAGTACCTATTCCCACAAGTGGAAAACTAACAAGGTGCTACTCTCTCTTCCAATCTCCCTTCCACCTCTGATCTTCTTTCCTAATCTCCTTTGAGGGCTTTGCTTCTTCTATCCATCTCTTAAATGTTGGGGTCCTTTGGGATCCTCTTCATCCCAGTCTATACACCACACCCTGGGTGCTCATTTCAACTCAGTGCTCACAGGGCTGAGTGGTCATGACTCCCTTGACCCGCATGTTTAATCCTAATCTGTTCCTTTCCCTGGACATGAATTTCCAACTTTTCTTGGGCATCCCTACCTGGGTATTCCAAAAACACCTCAATCTCAACATGTCCGAAATTTAAACCACATGTTCTCTCTCTCTACCACTCCACATCTAGTTGCCCTCACTGTTACAGAAAAGGGGTCCCAATCCAGACCCCAAGAGAGGGTTCCTGGATCTCACACAAGAAAGAATTCAGAGTGAGTCCATAGAGTAAAGCGAAAGCAAGTTTATTAGGAAAGTGAAGGAATAAAAGAATGGCTACTCCATAGACAGAGTAGCCTCAGGGGCTACTTGTCGCCCATGTGTATGGTTATTTCTTGATGATATGCTAAACAAGGGGTGGGTTACTCATGCCTCCCCTTTTTAGACCATGTAGGGTAACTTTCTGACGCTGCCATGGCATTTGTAAACTGTCATGGCACTGGTGGGAGTGCAGCAGTGAGGATGGCCAGAGGTCACTCTCATGGCCATCTTAGTTTTGGTGGGATTTAGCTGGCTTCTTTACTGCAACCTGTTTTATCAGTAAGGTCTCTACGACCTGTACCTTGTGCCGACCTTCTGTCTCATCCTGCGACTTAGAATGCCTTAACTGTCTAGTAATGCAGCCCAGTAGGTTTCAGCCTTATTTTACTCAGCGCCTATTCAAGATGGAGTTGCTCTGGTTTATATGCCTCTGACATCACCACTGCTCCAACCTCTGAACTTTGTTATTTTAATGGTTGAAATAAAGCCAACACTTCTACCTCTCTATTCTCTGGCAAACTCCTCATCTGTCAGATATCAGCTTCAAAGAAGCTGTTGAAAGAAGAGCTCTTCTTGACCACCAAGACTATGCTTCTCTGTGCTCTCACTGTACCCTGGATTTTTTACCTCTTTCACAGCACGATTTGTGCAGTCATAATTTATTCATTTACCATGAGCTCCTTAAAGACGGGCACAATGTCTTCTTGTTCACTGTTGTTTCTTCTTTATCTAACACTGTACCTAGCCCAGTGAATAACTGTTGAATAGGAAAACCGAATTAAAAGATTGGAAGGCTTGAAGATGGCTGACTACAGGCATCCAGCACTCACCTTCTCCGCAAAGAATAACCAAAATAGTGAATAGATAATCACAATAATCACACTTTGAATAAAGCACTTAAGAGAGAACACTGGAATTCAACAGAGAAGGGACAGGAAACCCCTGAGGCAGGGAAGGAGAGGGAAGTAAGTGAGGTAGTTGGCTCAGCTGCAACTGGCTGGGAGCGGAGAGAGGCTCACCAGTGCAGGGAAAGGGTAAGAGAGAAATCCCCAGTGGTCCCCATTCCCACTGCAGAATCCTGCAACCATACCCACAGGAGAACCCTCTACCCTCGTGGCCCCAGAGACTAGCATAGGCAGCTGCCTGGAGACCACATGATGGCATTGCTCCAGACAGGAAACTCACCCTGGTTCCCATATACACTGAAGACCTAAGCAGCTATAGCAAGGTGCCATATGGAGAGGCCAGCCCTGACCAGACTGAATACTGCCTGGGGACCCAATATCCCCTGCATCTCCACACCCTGGAGCCCCAGTGACAGCCCCTGAATCTACTTGGAGGGCTTTAGCAGTGTGACATCAGTTGGACCCAGCAAAGCAGCAGGGTCCCCAGCACTCTAGCATACACAGCGTCATGCACCCCGGGAATGGGCAGTGCAGTGCCCTGGAGAGGCTGCCTCCAGGACAAAGAGAGCCAAAGTGAATGCTCCCCAGAGCCTGAAATCCACCTGCATATGGCTGCTGCCACTGACAATGACCCCATCCCCCTCGAGCAGCAGGGCCATCACACCCTTGCATGCACCCTGAAGACAGGCTTTCCCTGCTGCTGCCACTGCTGCTGGGGGCCAAAGCACATGCCACTGGCAATGACCCTGTCCCCCTCCAGCAGCAGGGTCACTGTGAACTTGCATGCACCCTGAGGACTGGCTTTCCCTGCTACTGCCACTGCTACTGGGGCCAAAGCACATGCCACTGGCAATGACCCTGTCCCCCTCCAGCATCAGGAACATGACACACTTGCATGTACCCTGGGGGCTGGATTTCCCTGCTGGTTCCTCTGCCACCACTGCTGGAGCTAAAGCATTTACTCAGAGCCTGAGACCTACCTGCCTATGGCTGCTGTCACTGCCAGAGACCCCACCCCATTCACTAAGCAGCAGGAGTGCCATGCACTTCTACACAGCCTGAGGACTGACTTTCCCTATTACTGCCACCAAAGTAGTCTGCTGGGGGGCCTGGGATCACCTCACCCTGCCCACCGCAGCCAGCACCCATGTGCACCACCAGGGGCCCTGAGGACAGGCCCTCCCAGCCTGTCACCACCCACCTAGTGCACAAGTGTGCTGCCTGGGGCCTGGGAGTAACCCCACCCCATTCACCATTGCTGGCATCTGTGCACTCCTTCCAGGGGCCTGAGGTCAGGACCACTCAGCCGCCACCACCACATTCAGCACCCATGCTCGTGGATCAGAAATATGAATATTGTTAAAATGACCATACTACCCAAAACAATCTAAAGATTCAATGCAATCTCTATCAAAACACCAATGACATTCTTCACAGAAATAGAAAAAACAACCTTAAAATTCACATGGAATCCAAAAAAGAACATGAATAGCCAAATCAATCTTGAGCAAAAAGAACAAATTTGGAGATATCATGCTATCTTACCTCAAAATATATTGCAAGGCTATAGTAGCTAAAATAGCATGATGTTGGTATAAAAATGGACACATAGACCGATAGAACAGAATAGAAAACCCAGAAATAAATCCATGTATTTAAACATAAGACTTGAAACTGTAAAACTACTAGAAGAAAGCATATGGAAAACCCTCTTGGACATTGGTCTAGGCAAAGATTTTATGGCTTAGATATAAAAAGCACAGGCAACAAAACCAAAAATAGACAAATGGAAATATAGAATATTAAACTAGAAAACTTCTGCACAGCAAAGTAAGGAATCAACTGAGTGAAACGACAACATGTTGAATTGGAGAAAATATCTGCAAACAATTCATCTAATGGGCAAATATCCAGAATATACAAGAAACTCAAACAACAGCAAAAAAAAAAAATAATAATAATCCAATCAAAAAGTGTGTAAAGTATATGAATAAACATTCCTCAAAAAAAGACATCCAAATGGTTGACAGGTATATTTTAAAAATGCTCAATATCACTAACCATCAATGAAAGCCAGATCAAAACCACAATGAGATATAATCATACCTCAGTTACAAGGACTACTTTAAGAAAATAATAAATAACAGATGCTGGCAAGGATGTGGAGAAAAGGGAAAGTTGGTGGGAATGTAAATTAGTATAACAATTAGAATGTAAATTAGGAAAACAGTATGGAGCTTCCTCAAAAAACTGAAACTAAACTACCATCAATTTCAGCAATCTCACTACTGGGTATTTATCCAAAGGAAAGGAAATCAGTGTATCAAAGGAATTCCTGCACCCTCATGTTTATTGTAGCACTAATCACAATCTCAAAGATATGAAATTAACATATGGGCCCATCAACAATGAACGAAGAAAGAAAATGTAGTATATATACACAATTGAATACTATTTGGCCATAAAAAAGAATAAAATTCTGTCATTTGCAGCAACATGGATACAACTGGAGATTATTATGTTAAATGAAATATTCCAGGCACATTCGAATATCACATGTTCTCACTTATATGTGGGAGCTAAAAAAGTTGATTTTTATGGAGATAGAGAGTAGAATGATAGACACCAGAGGCTGGGAAGGATGTGGATGTGGAGGTGTAGGAGGGGGATGAAGACAGGTAAGTTAATGGGTACAAACACAGTTCCACAGAAGAAATAAGTTCTAATATTTGATAGCAGAGTAAGGTGAGTATAGTTAACAATGTATTATATCTTTCAAAGCAGCTAGAAGAGAGGGCTTATTGTTACCAACACAAAGAAAGGATAAATACTTGAGATGACGGATACCCTGAGTCTCCTGACTTGATCATTACACATTCTATGGGTGTAACAAAATATCACGTATACCCCATAAATCTGTACAAATATTATGTGTCAATAAGAAAATTTTAAAGAAAGCCAAATTAATGACAGAAACTCATTCATCTTGCCTAAAAATGTATAATCAACCCCTGAGGATCCTTTATCTTCATTTTCTTCTCCTAAGTGTAGCTCATAAATCAATGATCTGCCATGATACATTCTTTTCCAGTTATTATCCAGTGATGTAATTTGTGCACTGAAGCAAAAACTGTTGTCTGTGTAGATTCTCTTGCACTTAAGTCACTGCCTCTCTGATAGCAGGCTGACCACTAAAATAGAAATGTTTATCTAGGAAGGGAGTAAAAGTTTACCAGTTAATTCAACATTGAGTAGATCTGGTAGAAATGAATTCCACAGGAAATTACACCTCCCTTGCTAGACAGGCCTTTCCGTGCCTGGTTACCATGCAGGATATGTTTCTGGCATGACTCAGAGTGGGTCCGTTTTGCACAATCGCAAAGAAGGGACCTTTATCTCTCTCATCTCTGCTGACCCTCAACGCTCATTGCCACTTCAAAAAACAGGCGTGGGCACCGTGCTCTGCGTGCATGATGACATATCTGCAATTCACCTGCATCCTCACCTTGACCTTGGCAACAGGATTAGGTGGTTGAGGTGAAGATTAATGAGACAATTATTTTTACAAGGAATATAAACAGCCTGGCTCTGCTGGGTTAACAGCATCCACAACATTCGTTGCTCCTAAGCATTAAGATTTTGCTCCTTGAATTCTGAGCAGTGGAAAGTCAATGTGAAGTATTATTTGATGTAATAACTTATGACAGAAAAAAGTAAATGAAGATAAGGATTGATATCGTTAGAACAAATGCTATTAACATTACAGTCTCTTGAAAAATAGAAGGGTAGAGTGGGAAAACCTCAGAACAAGGCCTTAGCTCTGATGTTCATACAAACCGTTTAAACACTCAAAGCCTCAGTTTCTTCATCTGTAAAATGGAAATATTCATTAAAAAGAAAGAAAATTGGTATTTAACATAAGAACCAGCTGCAGCCACTTTTATATAATTTAGAATTCAAATCTGGAGAGATCTCTTTTTGTATAAAATACCTCAATGAACTTCTTTGAGAATAAAAGGTAAAAACTTCCAGAGCATGGTATGGAAAGGGAAGCATTAAAAAAATTAAAAAGTGGGGAGAAAGGAATCATTTTGCACATCAATGTGAAAAATAAAATTAAGCCCCAAAGAAAGGGGTTGAGAATCATCAGAAGTGAGAGAAAGGAAAAACACAGACCAGATAGGCAGCAAGAAGGCCCTCACAACATGGCAGCAGGTAGATAAGAAATTCCCCACGGAGAAAACTGCTCAGTAGATTTCTATGAACAAGAACATCTGAATGGAATTGGAAGTGGTTTTCTGCCTGTGGTGTAATTACCTTCTATTTTCCCCAAAATATCAATAAAGTCTGCAACACACAACAGGTATGAGAGATGAATTGTCACGATGAAGAAAGGCTGCTGATGGGACAACAGGTAGGAGAGGCTCAAGCAATTCTGAGGACCGGGCAGTATCTTGGGAGCAGATGACAGTAGCATAGGCTGGTGAGGGGCTGTAAGCCTCCTTGAGGAGCCCAAAACGGAATTTGTCACCCCTCCATCCCCAGCGCCAAGCTTGTCTCCATTGGAAATTCACGGAACCACTGGGTGGACCTGCCTGCAACATACAGAAGGGAGACAGGAACCCTCTGATTTGGATATCCCAGTGGAAGGTGACACCACAAGTCTGGAGGGTCTGTGCACATCTCGGTCTCGTGGCTGTGCTGACCAACTTGCTGAGAAAGATATTCCCTTGCACAGTCTCCCAACCCCCTTTCAGGTGCAAGGGAATGGGCCTTGGGCCCAGCATACTTTCTTACCAAGAGGTAGAGTCCTCACAGCCTGAGCTGGGCTTGACGGAATATCTTTCCCTGTTTCAGACTCAATGCGTACCCCTTTGTTCTGCACAAGCATGTACATTATATGGCACCTGGCCAACCCCACTGCTATTTCTGTCCCCTTGGGCAGGGAATGGATGCTTCTGCTGCAGCACAAGATGAGTGCACACAGGCCAATGGGCCTTCATGGGCTGCTGGAGGGCCCCACTCACCATGGGGGACTGACGCCCTCTATTGAAGCTGCTCTTTATCTCTTCTCTATATGAGCAAAACATGTTCCATCCAGGGCTTGACTGCATTGTGTTTTCCTTGGCAACTCCAATACCGAGACACTGGAGGAAGAGTTCAGACTCCCATCCTGATAACAGGCAACAGATGCTACTCGATTGACACACCTTAGAGAGATGCACTGGGGACCACATAAAATAACAGATGTGGAAGTAATTAGCAAACTTTACAATAACATACAAAGTAAGGCACTCATGGAATAACAAGTGGATCTTTACATCTCAGGCTATAACCTACTCCTTCCCAGCAAATGTAAAGCAAGATTTGTAGCTCACTGGAGTTCATTTTAAAGAGCTATAGTAAGTTATATCTTACAGTTGTTACGATATTCAAACAACTTTACATGTGGCTTTCAACATATCCTATTAATCAAATAATCAGTGAGGATTTGTTATTATGTAACTGATATTATGGAGGGATTAATACATAAAAAGTATTAATACGTGGTCACTGAACACAGAGAAGTAAATCGACAGAAACTAAGAGGACAGAAAAAGAGTCTATGAAATCTGCTTTCCAAGCCCAACTCTAGCACAAACTAACCATAACCCTGAACAATCACTTAGCCTCTTTGGGCTACTTGTTTCAGCCATAAAATAATACATATGTTCACTCCATCCTATCTTCCTCAAAGCACTGTTAGAAGGAGAGAAATAATACACATGAAAACTCTTTAAAAACTCTGAAATACTCTGTAAAATAAGGCATCACTATCGCTATGAAGACTTTCTTTTGAAAAGAGTCTCGCTCTGTTGCCCAGGCTAGAGTGCAGTGGCACAATCTCGACTCACTGCAACCTCTGTCTCCTGGATTCAAGCGATTCTCCTGCCTCAGTCTCCCGTAGTAGATGGGATTACAGGCACCTGCCACCACGCCCAGCTAATATTTGTATTTTTAGTAGAGACGGGGTTGCACTATGTTGGCCAGGCTGGTCTCGAACTCCTGACCTCAAGCGATCCTCCTGCCTCAACCTCCCAAAGTGTTGGGATTACAGGCATAAGCCACTGCACCCAGCCGAAGACTTTCTTGAGTTTCATTTCTTTGCTGTTTTGTATGTTTGGTGTTAGGTGAACTCCACATCTCATCTGCATAAAATGTCTAGTCTCTTTAAAAATGCTCAGTGAATAAATCATTCACCCAGCATCTTCCAAGTGGGCTGGTTCTGCTTCCCTCCCATATGCTGGAGAACAGAAGGGCAGAGAGCAGCCTGGAGGGAGAAGTGATTCAGCTCAGGATCGCTCTGATTGTTTTTATGTGGGTAAGAAGTGGAACAGAATACAAAATACTGGAAAATATAACTGCACATGGGTTAGCATAGTGAGATTGCAGGGGTCTTCAATGTCTTTTTTATATCTTCAATGTCTCCTTTTTTATAGTTGTAATGCTCTTGTGCAATAAATAAATGCTCTTGTGCAATAAATAAGAATAAAAACCTTTATATATCCTTTGCAACACTTTGCAATTCACAGAGCATTTTCACATATGCCACTTGATTCTTACTACTGCTCCAGAAAGAGGGCACTGTTATTGACCCCATTTTATAGCTATGGAAACCGAGGCTTGGAGAGATAACACCAGCTCCAGGATCAATACATTCTTTGCATTACTGGCTCTACCTCCCAGATGAAAAGGAGATGCTGCTGTAGGAAAAACTAATAGGAGGAGGATGATTAAGCAAAAGGTTCCTCAGAAGATTGTTCTAGAAAGAACCAAATGAGGCTATGACTGAAGACATGACTGCTTCAGTCTCTGAAAGCAGAGAGACTAAGATTGCACTGATCTTCCCTGTGAGAAGCATTCCTTGAAGGTTCACGGACACACATGGGAGCAGCAGGCCTCTCGTCCCAAGAAGAGAGTCAAGCCCCAACAGGAATGGAGATGGGAGGGGTAGGTGGGAGAACTAGGCTTTCCCAGATAAAAGTTCCTGGGAGCCATAACATTTTGATTGTAACTTGTTGACTTTAAAATGGATCTAGATTTTATAGAAGAGACGGTTGCCCAAGAAAAGTTACCACGAACCAATAATATTAACAAGCTAGCCCAGCGCAGTGGTTTATCCCTGCAATCCCATTATTTTGGGAGGCTAAGGCAGGAGGATCATTTGAGCCTGGGAGACGAGGCTGGGCAACACAAGGAAACTCTCCATCTCTACAAAAAAAAACTTAAAAATTAGCTAGACATGGTGATGTGTACCTGTAGTCCCAGCTATTCAGGAGGCTGAGGCAGGAGGATCATTTGGGCCCAGGAGTTTGAGATTACAATGAGCCATGATCGCCCAACTGCACTCCTGCCTGGGAGACAGAGAGAGACCCCATCGCTAAAATAAAATAAAGTCAAACAAGCAGCACCTTCAAGGTCTACAGGTCTAAATAGCAGCAAGCACCTCACAACCAGGCCCATAGTGAGACTGAGGGAACAGAAAGGCTGGGCCATTCTGAGACACAAGACACAGAGCTAAGGCAGAGTTGCAAACTGACAGCCCCTAAACCAACCCCTACTCTTGGATGTGCTATTTAGAGTCCCTAGAGCTATCATAGATGTTGTTGTTATTTCAATGTGAATTCGTTGCCAGCATTTTAATACTGTGAAATTTAACATAAAAATCTCCATTTCTAACTTCTTTCGAAAGTAGCAAAAGCTCTGGCTTCCTGGGCCCAGGATTTCGACATGACAGCAATTCGCTGGAGCCTCAAAGGGTAGCGGTGCTCTCTCCTCCTCCCCGGGTACCTGCAGCCCATGGCCCTCATCTGTTTCATCTGGGTGGTTCCTGTATGCAGCTGAGTTTGGGACCTCTCCTCCAGTGCTGAAGCAACGATTTGGAGGATAAGCCAAGAAACACACAAGGCAGCTCCAAGGACCAAAGGTGACAACAGCCAGCAAACTGACATTGGCCATTGCCCAGACTTGCATTTCCTCAGTTCCTCCCTGGCCCTTCCTGCCGAAGACATGCAGATGTAAATGTTGACCCGCTCCCTTCCGGAGGAGCAGTAGGTACCAAATCATACCCATGGGGCAGGAGTGATGTCAGGGCCAGGCCTCAGGAATGGCTGCCAGGAAATCCCAAGCAGAAGCAATGAGCAGTCAGGGTCAAAAGCCATCAAGACCAAAGGCAAGCAGGAGCTGTGAGGGCTCGACTAGAGGAATAAATTCCCTTAACTTGGGGGATTTGCCTTTAGAAGGTTCTGCATCCCACTCACATGGGGGCACTCTCCTCCATAAAACCAAAAATGGAAGTCTCTGAAACTAGTGCCTAAGGATGGGGAAGGTGAGGTCCCCAACGAGCCTGCTGCCTCCATCAAACCCAGCTCCATGTGTCACTGAAGACCCTCAATCAACGTTATTCACAAAAGGGATTATTAGATCAAGTCTACACACTTGTCACAGGCTGCTGGAAGGGGTGTAAATTGGTGCGTCTCCAAGAGAGGGCAACTTGACCTTCACTGGCAAAACTGCCAAAGAATCTACGCTTTCACCCATGAGTCCAACTTCTTGGAATTTATTTTATAGGTACAACTACACAGGTACCAAATGGCATGTATACAGGTTTATCCACTGCAGTTCTGTTCACACCAGAAAAAGATTGGAAATAATCCAATGTTTCTCAAGAAATAGTTTGTGGTACAAAGAATGGAATACTATGTCATTTTTTAAAAGCAGTAAGAAAAAATGTGGTGTTTTCTATGTATACGGGGAAAAATTAAAAAATTAAGTGAAAAAAGTAAGGTACAGAACAGTATGTATAGTGTATTAACTTTCTATATGAAAGCAGGAAAAACAAAATCTTTACCCATGTTTGCTCCATTTGTTTTTTTGTTTGTTTTTCTTCTGAGACAGAGTCTCATTCTGTCACCCAGGCCAGAGTGCAGTGGCACGATCTCAGCTCACTGCAAGTCTGCTTCCCAGGTTCGAGCAATTCTTCTGCCTCAGCCTCTCAATTAGCTGGGATTACAGGTGCCCACCACCACTCCTGGATAAATTTTGTATTTTAGTAGAGACAGGGTTTTACCATCTTGGCCAGGCTGGTCTCAAACTCCCGACTCAGGTGATCCATCCAGCTTGGCCTCCCAAAGTGCTGGGATTATAGGCATGACACACCATGCCCAGCCTCCATTTGGCTTTCTAAAACTCTAGAAGGTCTTTCATGTATACATGAAAAAGGAATAAAAAAATGTTTACCTATGTGGGACACTGTTGGGCTATGAGATAGATGGACGCCAGGTGGGAGAAGGCCTGTCCCTTTATTGTTTGGCATTTTGAACCCTATGAATGGGTTATGACCTAAAACACGAACACATTTCTTCATAAATGTCAAGTCCAGAAGTGGAGGCATCACTGGGCCTGGACCCCGAGAACAGCACGGAGAGAGGCAGAGGGAACATGGTGGGACCTGACAATACAGCACTACTGTGTCTTCTCGAGACCTCATGGTTCTCAGGCATAAGAGCCACACGAGGTACCTGCTCTGAGACTCAGCATCAGTTCACTTGGATGTACCTGAAGGAAACACGAGGGCTTAGCAGGGAGTTTAACAAACTCCTGAGACACTGAACATACAAATGACCTTGGGTAGACCACATAAAAAAGTCAATAACTGACCCCCAACCTGCAGCAACCAGCACAAGAAACCAACCTATTATCTAGCTATAGATAGCCAGCCTGCTGTCTATAAGTCAGATTGCTATCTCTAGTTACTAGTCCAGGAATCCAAGCAATAAATCCTGTAACAGTTGGCCCAAAATGGCCAGGCCTTGATTAATAACTGACAGCTTCCCTAATTTTTGTCCCCACTTCCAAATTAAGGCCAACCAGAGAAAGTCAAATATACACCCCTAACAAATCACATAGGCTACTCTGCTTCTAGTTGGCCAGCCTGCAGCTTCCCCATGCCAGGAGCCCAATTGGCACACACCTGAAGCTTTCCCACTCTGCCTGCCTTTGAGTCTCTGTCAAAAAGTGACAGTGGCTGACACCCCTGCTATAGCAGGCTCTGAATAAATAGCCTTTGCCTGTTCGCATTTGGCTGGTCTTTATTAATTTCCACTTTCCTTTTGGACATCCCTGTTGTCCCCAGTTTGGAATATCACAATGAAAGAAGATGAAATTCCATAAGTGTTAAAATATAACTAATTATTTACATATACTGACATTAACACTCACACAAATAATTTCATCAAATTCAAGGAAAGCAGAAGAGATGGCATTGCAGGTGTTGTGTGTTTATGTAATAAATATAATTGGATGTGTAAAAAAGAGAATTTTCTTTTTATAATTTCATGTATATTTCTCATCCTATGACTCTCCCTCTCCTGAGGCTTCCAGACAACTGGTCTCAGAGATTCAGGGAGAAGTTAGCTCCCAACAGAGAAAAGTCAATACAGATTCTTGTTTGACTAAATGTTTGAAAGCCCAACATCATGCAGGAAAAAAAGGAGCACCTACATTTGTGTTAGCACATCCAGGATGAAGACTGGCAGACTCAGGGGACAGAATTTCCTCAGTGATTGTGGGAGAAAGGGAT
This sequence comes from Homo sapiens, assembly GCF_000001405.40. Classification (NCBI taxonomy): domain Eukaryota; kingdom Metazoa; phylum Chordata; class Mammalia; order Primates; family Hominidae; genus Homo; species Homo sapiens. Next base: position 133,825,671 of record NC_000002.12, read on the forward strand.
GTTGTGTTTAATCTCGGGGTCTTCATTTATTGTACTTCTCTGGAAGAGGTAGGCCATTTAGAAACACCCAAATGGATATGGAGGAGGCAGGGAGCTGTGTTGAAGCTCTAATCAACTATGTGACTTTACTTGGAAATAAGGTCTTTAAAGAGGTAACTGAGGTTAAATGAGATCATGAGGGTAGGCCCTAATTCAATAGCACTGGTATCCTTCTAAGAAGAGGAAGCGGTGCCAGGAGTGTGCCTGCAGAAAAGAGGCCGTGTGAGGACACAGCAAGAAGGAGGCCAAATGCAAGCCAAAAGAGAGGTCTCCCCAGAAACCAACCCTGCTGACACTTTGACCTTGGACTTCCAGCCCCCAGAACTGTGAGCAAATGAATTTCTGTTTTTTAAGTCTCCCGGTCTCTGGTATTTTGTTATGGCAGCCCGAGCTGACGAATATACCCCCAACGTCACCTTGGACCATGGCTGGGTGTGCTCTCCCAGCACCAGCAGCCCTAGTCAGCTTTGTGGGTTCCCCTGGCATAGTGTGCAGGGCCCCCGAGGTTGCCATTTGCCCCAGTGAGGGGACTTGGAGGTGCTGCAAGTCCTAGTGCCTCAGCAGAAGCCTGGGGTCCTTAAGGATGGGGGAAACTTAGAAACCAGATTCAAAAGGTGAGAGCCAATGTCTGTAGCAGTGATACCAACACATCAAACCATGTGGACACCTCATTGGTTCCACTTTCACATATACTAGTCCTGCTGCTCTGTACCAGTGGCCAGGGAGTCCCCAGAGGATGCCTGTGGATGCGAGGGCCCAGACTTCACTCCACTGCACTGAGCACCTAAGCAGCATCTCTCCCTGCACACACATGGGAGATATATTGTTAAAGAGAAGGGAAGCAGGCAGGGAGGGGCAGGAATAGGAAAGGCAGCATTTATCCTTAAAAAACACAATTACTCAGATAAATACCTGATTGGCTCAGGCTAAGATTCTAAATTGGACTACATTAAGTCCCTTCTGGGGCTTCCCACCTCCCATAGAAATGGTTGTCATAAGGGAAATCATATCAGTAACAGGCAAAATAAGAAAAACACATTTTTGGCAATCTGAGTGTCGTAAGAGTAATCCATTGCTCTGCTATATCTTTTATGAGCACGTATATCTATAAGTATGTGTACATACATATATTTTGTGTAAGACCATCTAGTGCCTTACAATCAAGCTATTCCTTCAAAGGAAGGATTGAATGCTGCCTAAATTTTAGAAGGGTATTATCTCTGATTTAAAATTGTTCAGGGAAGCCTCTGATGGCCCTTTTTCATTTGTATCCAAAGCATTTACCACCTGCTCACATGCCCCGATAGAATACAGCACAGGAATGCCACTCACCCCCTAACCTGGCAAAGCTTCTTCTCTCATCTCTGTCCCTTTCCTAACCCTTTACGGTGGAAAATCTCCCTCCACCCGGGGCCATAATGTCCATACACTGAAGACAAAGGAATGAAATCATTTACCCTATGATTTACCTTTTTCACAAACCCCTACACTATTACTAGATACAGAGACTATGAAGGCTCATGAACCTCACTGCAGGTCAAAGAAAACAGAGAGGCAAGACAGATTGGAGAGACAGCTTAGATTATCATGTTGCCATTTGGTTTTGCTTTCTCAAAGCAACTACACCCAGTTTACATCTGAGAAGCAATTAAAAACAAAACAAAACATAAATGTATTTTTAAAATAGGTTCTTGTCAACATTAAGCACTCAACAAAAATTGATGGGTTCCTGTGTTTCATGAAGGAGGGGGACAATCCCAGGACACCAGGCTTCGCCTCGGCAGGGTCTGCCCTGGGTTGGACCTCAGGAGGACACCAGTGTTCATGCCAAAGAGGTCGGTTACTGGAAGCACAACAGTAAAGTCCCAAGGTACTGGAAACTAAAGAGAGGTCTTCACATGGAACTGAGTGGGTGAGTGAAAGCCAGGACATCAGTAGGAGAACAGGATAATGGAGCAAGAAAATACAGGGATTCTAAAAAAGCAAGTAGAAATGGGCCAGGCGTGGTGGCTCACACCTGTAATCACAGCACTTTGCTCCCGAAGTGCCTTACAAGGTGGGCGGATCACCTAAGGTCAGGAGTTCAAGACCAGCCTGGCCAATACGATGAAACCCTGTCTCTACTAAAAATGCAAAAATTAGCCAGGCATGGTGGTGGGTGCCTGTAATCCCAGCTACTTGAGAAGCTGAGGCAGGAGAATAGCTTGAACACAAGAGACAGAGGTTACAGTGAGCTGAGATTGTGCCACTGCACTCCAGCCTGGGTGACAGAGTGGGACACCATCTCAAAAAAAGAAAGAAAATAGAAGAAAAGAATAGAGAAAAGAGAAAGGAAGGAAGGAAGGAAGGAAAGAAGGCAGGCAGGCAAGAAGCAAGCAAGCAAGCAAACAAATAGAAATGGAGGTAAAGTAGGGACAGAGGATGAGGGTGCACAGCAGGTCAAGGTGAGTGCAGGATGGATTTCATAGTCCCTGGGGCTTGTGGTGTTTCTGCTTTGTTTTTGCCTGGGTTGGTTCTTCCACCTTTGCTGGGATAGGACTTTCCAGTAGCCAGATGGTGCCATGAACTTACAGTCTCATGAGAACACAGAATGTGACCTGCAGGGTGAAAGTTAGCTCTGCAGGGTAGCACACACAGAGTACCTGAACAGCGGCACAGGTGATTTTAGGTAACCAGAAAAAGAGAGGGAGTCCAGGGAAGGCTTTGTGACGAGACGCTTGGGTGGGGCTGGAAAGACTTGAAAGACAGGAGCCAGTGGTCTCATGGCAACACTGCTTCTCATGACCTGGGAGAGGACTGAGGCTTTGCTAGGTGTCCTCAGCCAAGCTCAGAACTACGGTGGTCCTCTGACATCTCCTCCACAGAATAGCCCAAACCTGCTCTGTCCAATAAGGTAAACACTAGCCTCGTGTGCAATTGAAATTGAAATTCATTAAAATGTAATTAAATTTAAAACCCAGTTTCACAGGTGGCTAGATGCAACATTTTAGACAGCCCAGACGGTGAATATTTCCATCAGCATAAAAGCTCAATTGCATAGAACTGGTCCAAACAAAATATTTCGTTGTTGATGGCAATCCAGTAACTATCAGTTTGGGCTCAGAGTCTATTGAAACATTGGGTTGGGAAAATAAAAAAAAAAATCTTAATTTCTAAAAATCTTAAATATTTTAAATTACTAAATAATATCCTAAAAGAATATTCCAAGATATTTCAAGTCCAAAACTTGTGTGCTCACAAATTCAGGTACTACCTAATATTCTAAAGATTTCCAATGATTTTCCTTGATTCTTTTCTGCTAATGTGTATGACAAATAGGGGGAAAAAATCACGCTTCAAATGGTTTACAGGAATCACAAAAATAGCATCCTACACACCAAGGAAATTTTGAATATTTATACTTTTTTGTCTCCACCCACACAGTTACTTTGTGTAGAGAACACAGCTGTTCATTTGTAAATGATTCCTGATGTTTGGATGACCTCTGGGGTGGTCTGCAGACATCATCCCCACCAGCGATTCTAATGTTTTGATAGATATCTGAGTGGGTTCACTGATGAAGCAGGCAGAGCCATGCTGTGGCCCCAAATAAAGACCTACAATGTACCTTTCGTATTTAGCTTTCATAAATCAGCCAAAAAGGTTTCAAAACTTCCACCTTGGTGTTAGCAAACTACATAATAAAGAATGATAAATGACAACACAACTGTTCAGAAAGCCACCTGCATCTCATCAGTAGCATCAGAAACCAAGCCTTCAAAGAACAGACCTGCCTCACATTAAAGAAGAAAAGACAGAGGAAAAAATCCAGACAAATCTTTCACTCCATTGTCTGCTGACCTCCTTTAAAATTTTTCAAAAAAAAAAAAAATACTAACCTACCCAGTGACATTGTGACAACACATTCCATCCTCAGTCACTTTACAGGACTCCTCTGCAGTCCTTCAATCATTAGCTCTCTGGACTTATATGTTTCTTCCATGAATTAAATGATTTATCTTTTTGAATATGATTCTTTCCCCTTGGGAACACGCAGACTAATGATTGATTGTGAACTCTAGGTCTGGGTTAGCTGGGCATTTTTGTTGCAGCTCCCCAGTGAAAACAAGCGAAAAAAAAAAAATGGAGATACTTGGAATTCCCCACAGGATAGTGGTGATTATAAGTAGCTACCAGTTATTAATTGCTTACCACATGCCTGGCACTATGCTGAGCCCTTTTCATGTGTGCTCTCATTTAATCCTCCTGACAAACCCAGGGGAAAAGTGCCACTATTATCAACGTTTGGATGAGGAGGAAACTGAGGCACAAGAGGTGAAGTCATACAGTGGCAGAGCTAAACCCCAACCAAGTATGTCAGGTGCCAAGTCCAGTCTCTTTCCTACCAAACTGTACTAATCTCAGTGAAACTGGGAGATACTCCCTTCCCAGAGAAGAGGGGAGGGAAGAGAATGAAAGGAAACCAATCTGGATGCTCCCAAGGAGGCGTGGGAGAGTGCCTCCTTCGCATGTCAGCAGGGATGATGCCCGCCACAGTTTCAGGGTTTTCCTGTTTTTATACAATGTATCAAGTAGTTCACCTTTTGGTTAACCTGTTTCTCTTTCTCTATGGCTTAGAGAAATCAAAATGGATTTTATATTGTTTTGAAAACAACAGGATGGGAGAGAAAGGAAAATGCTGCATTCCCGCATGTTCTCACTTGTTTGTGGGTTCTAAAAATCAAAACAATCGAACTGATGGACATAGAGAGTAGAAGGAGGGTTACCAGACACTGGGAAGGGCAGAAGGTGTTGTGTGGGAGGGGATGGTTAATAGGTACAAAAAAAATAGATAAAGAATGAATAAGACTTACTATTTGATAGTACAATAGGGTGACTATAGTCAATAATAACTTCATTGTGTATTTTAAAATCACTTAAAGAATGTAATTGGATTATTTGTAATGCAAAGGATAAACGTTTGAGGGGATGGATATCCTATTCTCCATGATGTGCTTATTTCACATTGCATGTCTGCATCAAAACATCTCATATACCCCATAAATATGTATGCCTACTATGTACCCACAAAAATTATTTTAAAAAAGAAAAATATTGCATTCTCTACTGCACTTTCATAAAGGGAGGGTGGGCCATGTGCCAAAGGCATGCAGAAGAAAAGAGGAGTGGGAAGGAGTGAGCCCCTCAGAAAGGCCATGGGGTCCAGAGAAGCTGTGTAGACTCACACTTCCCAATGATATTCTTCTGGGTAGAGTGAATTTGCAACAGTGTCAGTATCTTATAGCTCAAGTCCACTTTAGTTGGTTGGTTGATTTCTTCAACTAACTTGCTGATACCTGCAATGCCACTATGCAGGCTTTCCATTTAGTGTAAGACTTTACTTGTTATTAAAATAAAAATATGGCAGGCAGGATACTAAGATTTTAGGCCAAGAATAGTGAAAGGACTAGCTGGTATGTCTGTGAATAGAAAGATCTAAAATAAAACAAACTTTGGTACAAACTTTGGCTCCACCACTTAACCAGTCTGTGATTTGGGGCAAGTTATTTAGTATTTTAGAGCTTCAATATTCTCATCTGTAACTGGGGATTTTACCTATACTTCAACAGTTTGAGAACTAATGAGCTAACATATTAAAAATTCCTGGTCCATAGTCATTGCTGTTATTGTTTTGGCAGGAAAAGAAATATGCATTAATTAAAAACCTACTATGCGCCATATGCTTTTACAAAAGTTTTCTTATTTAACCTTCACAGCAACCCATTTTCCTAGGAAAGATGGAGAATTACAGAGGTTGCATAATTTTCCTAAAAATCATAAAGCAAATTAGCGGTGGGAGCAAAATTCAAACCCATATTTTCACTTCTAGTTGAATGCTCCTTTCACTTTAGTATATAATCTATCAAGAAGGTAAAAAGTAAAAATAATAATAATAATAAGGCAAAATACTCCTTACTGTTGATCTTACCGAACTACACCATATATGCAGCCATCCTCTCTGCCTACATGGAGAAGTGATTCTACTACAGAAGCTCGGGTAAGCTCCATTTTGTCATGCTGCAGACTGGATGACCTCTTGAGTTTCTGTGCATCTCGTAGAACATCTGATAGCATGCCAGGCGGGCAGTATTGATTACATTATTACAGGATAACAAGCAGATCCATCGAGCAAGCGCCAGAGCTAATTAGGCCTGGTTTGCTATAGATTCAAGTTTTCTGGATAAGCAACTTGTGAATTGAATTAAACCAAGACGTGTGACATTTCTGGCTTCCATCTCTGGCTTCCTTGAGTCCTGAGAGTTGGCATGTTCTTTGAGATCCTTCTCTGGGAATTCTGGGTCATGAGCCAAAGAGCTGAAATGCCCAGTACCCATTACAATGACCTTCCCTGCTAACACAAGGAAGGAGGGGCAATAGTAGGAAAGAGACAGTGGGAGAAGGAAATTAATATTGATTGGATGCCAATCATGTGCTAGGCACTACGTTAGGTATTTAATATCTTTTATCTTTATGTACCATATGTAGTCATGTTTATGACACCCTTTTACATGGTAAGTTGCAACACTGGTATTTCTAAATTAGCCCTTGATCTTGTCAAATGAGTCTACTTTTGTCAAATGTGGAGGGGGGCTCAGAGTGTCTTTTAGCTGGGCTTTAGACAGGTCTGTCAATCTGGCAAGTTAGACCTGCCAGGAGCCCCTTTTTAGGCAAAGACTTTCAGAAACTTTCTAGAAAAGAATTCATGCTAAAGGGGTTGAGGCAGAACAGGCACGTGTTTGTTGAATAACTAGTAGCCATGCCCACCTCTTTCTTGCTAAAAGAACCCAGATATTAGTAGGGGTGTCAATATGCCTACCTGAAAATGTTTTCCCAGCCTTCCTTGAAAGTAGGAGTGGTCACCTCACTGAGTTCTGGCCAATAAGACATGAACAGAAATCTGTGGAGATTCTGGGAAAACATCCATTTTCCCAAGTGAAAGGGGAGAGATGGAAATGGTATAACCATCTCTTCTCCATCTTGCTTCTGCCTTACATATGGATACAATGTCTGGAGAAGCAGCAGCCACTTTGTGACTATGAGGCAGCAGTATGATGGAGGAAGAGCAAGCATGACCAAAGGGATGGCAGAGGAGTTGACCTGATATTATTGCTTCCCTCATTGGCACCAACACCTACCTACAGACTCCTCTGTATATGGCAAAATTAAATCCTTATTGGTTTAAGCTCCTATTACTGGGTTTTTCTATCAGACAATCCCAAGAAAGAAACATCAGACAGTAATGGTGGCAGAAATAAGCTTTTGGGGGAGCACATGTAAGACATTATTAGTCTGATGTCTTGTATCAGAAGATAGAAGCTAAAGACTATGCTGTCTGGTTTGTCTATTAATATGACCCCATTCTTCCTCCCAGGCCAGTAAGGACAATGAATGAGACCATCATCCAACTACAGAGTGCCTGCCATGTGCAGGGTAGCCAGTGGGCTAGCTGACTGTAAGGGAATCAAAGATTAGAAGGCATAGCAGCCCCCCAAAAGTTTATAAATATATTTATCCAAAAATAGCTAATAATGCAAAGCAAAACATTTGGAGAACTGGTAATAGTTACACAGAAAAAAGAAACACTAATGAAGGCTGAGCATGTCAAGGAAGAATCCATGAAGAAAGAATGAATAGTCCGAGTCTGATAAAAGTCAAAAGAATACCCCTCTACAAATCAAAATTTTTCTCTTGCAGTTTCTACTGTCCCAATACTTCCAAGCCAAGAGTGCAAAGGCCATGTTTGACTTTCCAAAATTTACCTGCCCCTCAGGGCTAACCCAGCAGGGGCAGGTGGGAGCCCTCCACGTGGGATCTGCAAAGAAAGAGCTAATGGCCTGGGTGGGCTGAGACCGTCCCCACCGCCCCCTCTCCCTGCCCCGTGAGGTACAAAGGCCCCGAAGGTCACACAGGGAACATACAGAGCCAGTTCACAGGCCTCCTGCTCTCCTCTGATGCGATAAAAAAAAAAAAAAAAAAAAAAAAAAAAAACTGGTCACGGGAGGAGAAAGGTGGGCCTCAATTCAAAGGGCACATAGGGCCAAGAGGAGGATGCTTTGTTTACTTAAGATGGAGAAGATGCGGGCATGCTCACTGCCAAGGAAAATGTGCTGATTCCAGAGGCAGACAAGTCCACACAAGAGGGAGAATTGATTGGAGGAGGATCCCTGAGGAGGCTGGAAGGTGCAGCCAGCAGCCTAGAGAAGGTCTGGCTTCAGACTAAGGAGGGGATGTCTGAGTAACTCCCTTGGAACAGGAAAGCAGCTCAGGTTGGCCCAGTCAGAGCCTCAGTGGTCAAGAGCAGGGGTTCTGGAGGCCAAAATTGCTGGGCTCAAATCCCTGGTCACCACTTCTAAACTAGGTGACCTTGGGCTCTGTTTTTTCATTCAGAAGGTAAAAATTCTATACTTCCATCGTGAATTGTCTTAAGTACTATAGAAAGCTTAGCCTGATAGCAAGAGTCTAATGTAAACCCTAGACGTGTCTGTTGGGTCCTACTCAGTAGCGATTTAAAAAAAAAAAAAATGAGGTAGATCTTTACACACACGCATGAAAAGATCTACAAGACAAACTTCTGAGTTTTTTAAACAGGAAATCACAAAGCGAAACATATATCCACTGTATAATTGTGATGGATCGAAAAGCATGATATACGTATAAATCTTTGAGCTCATCAGGATACAAAAAGAAATCTAATAAGACATTCAAGAATGCTAGGGAAACCAACTCATTTTGAAAGCAGATAAACAAAGGATAAAATCAAACATTTGTTCTTCTTCTCTCTATGCAAACTGTACTTTAAGTAACCAAAGAGTTGGTAAAGGGAAGCATCTTAGAATATTCCATCTAAAAGAGAAGAAATAACAGAATTTGAATATTATCATTTAGCAACCCCCAATAACAGGTCTGAACATGAAGCTTCAATAGGTGGCAGCATCACAAAAAGAAAGACGATTAGAAATTAGGCACCAGCTGATGGAAAACACACCACCTATGAAGGAATCCTACCAATAAATCACACCTGAATCTGGTCCCGCCTCTAGAGGTAGGTACCAATTCACAAGGAAAACAAGGACAGAAGATCATGTCAAATAGTAACACCAGGGAAATCCAGACTCTGGAAATCTCTTGGAACAGTCTTGTTTCTCAAAAACAAAACCACCTCCCGGCCCACAGCCAACCAACCAACCAACCAAATAAATAAATAAATAAATAAATAAATAAATAAATAAATGCAATGGAAAAGAAGAGGTGCCTAAAGATTAAAAGAGATTTTAAAAGTTATCCCCTCAATGTGCATAAACCACACATCGATCCTAATTCAAGCAAGCAAATTATTAAAAGAAATAATGAAATACTGGAGAAATTGCAATGCAAACTAAATATTGAACATATTTAAGAACGCTTGTTGATTTTTTCAGGTGCCTGCCTGTGGTTAGGGTCCCTGGAGGCAGACTCTGAGGTGAGAATTCATGTGCTAGTGATCTATTAAGGTAGTACCTCTGGAAAAACTGGTAAGAAAGTGAGGGAAAAAGAGAAAATCAGGCAAAGGTGCAATCTGAGGCAAAGTCCCAGCCTCAGCCTGATCCTACAGGGAGCTCTGCAGTGGAAATTACACTATAGGAATTGGCTCACCTGGAGGCAAAGGAGCTGACCTTTCATAGCCCGGCACCAGTACCTGGCTATGGGAGAAAGGTGGGACATGGAGGCACTTCTGGCTTTTGGTGGGTGTTCTACATTGCCTCTAGGGGAGCACAATCTTAATTTAAATCAGGAAAAACCAGCAATTTCCCCAAAACCTAGGGCCCTTTATGCAAATCAGCCCCTGGAGCAGGCAAGAAGTGGCCCAAGCTCACCAAAGGATTCTTGCAAATCTGAGCTAAAAGTGATATTTCTTTGAGTATTTTTATGGAAATCTTTCTAAAATGTTTCACATCACAGAACTAAAGCCAATGAAGAGAGTATATTGAATGCAATTTAAGCTCTTCTAAATGACTTAAGCTGACCTAAAATATGTTCCATAGAATATAAGTTTCAGAGAAAGCTACAGGAGCTACACAGAGGGGATTCTCTGGTCAAGTAAGTCTGGAAAAAGAGGACTCATCCTAAGTTAAGCAGGTGCTTTTATGACAGCACTTTTCACAGTTGGAAAATGGATACTGTAGATCTCCAGGAAGCAGGTTTCCCAAACCAATAATGGATGTCATTGACTCTAAGATGCAAATTGATTTTGCCATTTTAGCATCTCTGAAATCCAGATGCATCTTATAATACATCTGATGAGTCAGAGATAGGGCCAGATGTAGTGGCTCACACTTGTAATTCCAACACTTTGGGAAGCCAAGGTGGGAGGATCACTTGAATCCAGGAGTTTAAGGCCAGCCTAGGCAACATAGTGAGACCATGTCTCTGTAATTTTTTTTTAATTAACCAGGCACTGCAGTGTGCACTTGTCATCTCTGCTATTCAGGAGGCTGAGGCATGAGCCCAGGAGTTTGAGGCTACAGTGAGCTATGGTTTCACCACTGTACTCTAGCCTGAGTGTCAGAGCAAGATCCTGTCTCTAAAAAACAAAATAAAATAAAAATTAGAAATGCAGCAACTGCAAAACTTCAAAATTTCATGCCTTGAGTCCAAGTCCATTCTAAGCAAGTTCAGTACAAACAGAAAGGGAACTGAAACTGAAGGCCTGACATGTGCCCCACATCAGGCTTGGTTTTCAGAGTGGCTTCCACTAGATTCAGAGGGGCTATTCTCCCCTCCATAAGAAACTTGAAGTTCGTGTGATCTACCGGTGCCAGATGTGGAGAGAGAACCTAAGCTCCATGCCCACCTTAGTCCAGCACACAATCACCTCCCTAGGAAACATGCTTCTCCTGCCCAGCGCTGCTGCTGGAACGCACGCCTCAGCCTTCACGCATAGCCCACCAGTGGCCACAGGCAGCCTCTCGGCTGGGCCCGTGTAGTTTATGACTTAGTGAAGCTATCCAGTGACCGTGACTTCTGCTGCCTGCCAAATGTCCCTTTTCCTTCTGGATACCTTTTGTCCTGCTATACAGCTCATTGATTTTCGACTGCTGCAGGCTGAGTCACACACCCAAGTCTGCTAGGATACTGTGAATAAGTTCTCAGGCAAAGCCTGAGGTCATTCTCAGAGTCCTAGACTTGCTTGGGTCTCACAGTGTGACCAGTGGGGAGGCAGAGGCAGGAGTGCTGGGGCTGGGGCCAGGAGATCCGATCTCACTTTCAGGCTGGACCCTGAGGGGTGTCTATGTGTAGTCACCCAAAGCGGTATTATGAAGTTGGTCTTCATTCAGGCAGATGCTCCTGCGTAGGGTGCTCCTGTCCAGGGGTGGGGCTCAGTGGTAAGAAAATCCAGGCAATAGGGGATTCCCGAGGTCTTTCTGCGAAGTGCAGCAGAGTGCGAGTGGTCACGAGCTCAGCATCCACCCATAGCTGGAGAACCAGGGAGAATAGGAGGAGGAACCTCCAGCAGAGCAGGGACAGAGAACAGCCCCTAAAGGGTGCTAGGGGCTAAACAGCAGAGGCCACATCTTGTGTGTTGGGTCTGCTCAGCTGTTGCTCAGTAAGAAGCACACAAGTTTTAGGGTCTCTTCCATATGCAGGTGGAAATCCTAAAGGCCCACAGAGCCAAGCTAGTCCCCAGGGCATCAGGAGGAGGTCAGGTGACAGGAAGTAGCTGGAAGTATGAGCCCAGCTCCCAACACTCATGCCCAAGGCTTGCCAAACAAATTTTGAAAAGTACTCTGTTGGCCAAACACAATGGCTCTGGGAGTCAGCATCACCTAAGGCTGGCAGATTACAGATATGAGGACCCTAGGACACACCCTGAGGTGGCACAGGGGTGAGCCGCAGCCCTCGCTCAGGCTGTCCTCTGCTCCAGTGGGAGCCAGCCCGAGGCTGACTGCAGTCCTCCAGGAACAGGGCCTCTCCTCTGCTCGGGGCTGGCCTGGCACATGCACCCTACAGCATCCCCCCAGTGAGGAGTGTGATGACTGAGAGCTGTGCATCCCCAGCTTTCCCATCAGCCAGATGCCCATTCCTCATCCGGATGCTCAGCCAGAGGCTGCCTGAGACTCTCTGATCTGGATTTTAGTGTCGAGTTTCACTGGGGAATTGTCTCCCCTGAGATGATCCTGGAGTTGAAATGACAAGGAGGGAGATAGGATGAGACAGATGTTTGATTGAGTCATTTGACCCTCATCCAACTGGCAGAGCTCCCTTCAAAGAAACCCTGTGTTAACTCTCTTTTCTGCCCTTCTGCTCCAATGAAAGGAAGCACACAGACATCTATCTCCATTCACTCCTCCATCCAGGGCCAGGCAGATGGACCATCCTCATGTGCACTGCACAGAGCCTCTACTGCAGCCGGCTCCCTGCTCACACTTCCTGTGTGGCTGTAACACTCCCAGTAGCAAGGGCCTACCAGGCACATGGCATACATACTGCGCCTGCACTCACCTGTTACGTTAGGAAACAAACGTGGGTTACCACACACCAGGCACCGGTCTAAGTACATTATAAATATTAATGCATTTAATCCTCACCGTAATTCTCCAAGGCAGGGACTATGATTACCCCCATTTTACAAAAAAAGGAAACTGAGGCATAGAGAGGTAAAGTAATTTGCCCAAATTTCCTTAGAAGCCAAATCTTAACATGCTGTGACTCCTCATGGATGATCAACGAAATTGAAATCTTACAGACTGTGCATGTGAAAGAGGGAACTCACATGTGGGGTGCATATAACTACTTCCACGTTACTATAAGCAGAGCTAAGGTTGTGTGTAGAGCTTCTCATGGTAGGCAATGCTCAAAGGGATCGCACGTCTTTCCATGGGGTCTTGCCTATTTCATGAGAGTTCTGTAAGCCTTGAGTAGGAGTTTGCTTAAGGCAAGAGGCAGACCAGGTGACATCTTGAGGACTGTTTGAAAGGCTATTTATTGAAAATACTCTTTGTGCCAAGCACCCTCGTAAGCACTTTCCTTGTAGTACTTCATGTAAACTTCTCAAGAACCCAGCGAGACAAGCTTTTATTATGCCCATTTTAAAGCTAAGGAAACTGAGACTCGCAGGGGTCACATGACTTGTCCAGGGTCCCATCAACATGGTCCATCTGACTGAAGACTCCACGCTCCCAGCCCTTTGTGTTGACAGTGAGATGGTGAAGGAGAGGGATTTATTGCCCTTGTTGGCAAACATTAAATTCACTTATCAAACTGGTCAAGATGAAAAATAATAACAATTCTCAATTGTTTGAAAAAGTTTGAAGAAATAGTTACTCAAATCCTTCTTGGGAGAGTATAAAGTGGCGCACATTTTCTGGAGTGCAATTCAACATAAAAGCCCTTAAAAAGTGACTCCGTTTTAATTCTGTAATCTCATTTCTAGGCATTTTGCCTAAGAATATAATTGGACAATTATACGAACATATGTGCAAAGCCATTTGTTATAGATGTTATTTCAACAGCAAAAATCTAGGAAAAGCAACCAACAATAGGTGTTTGGTTAAACCATGTAAAGGGTGACAAAATGCTTACACAGCCATAGAAAATGGTGCTATAAACCAATTTACTGACAAGGAATGACACACATTTTTTTTTCCACTGAAATGTGCAGGTTACAGGCCAAAAATAAGCTTTCTCATTAAAAAAAAAAAAAAAAAAATCCTGGAAAACAACCTACCCAAAAATGCTAGTAATGTTTTTTTCTGGTTAGCAATATTTTAAATAATATTTTTTTCTCTTGCTTGGCTATATTTTCTGCTACAAAAATAATAATGGGTGGATCACCTGAGGTCAGGAGTTCAAGACCAGCCTGGCCAACATGTTGAAACCCCCTCTCTACAAAAATACAAAAATTAGCCTGGCATGAGCGTGGTTGACTGTAGTCCCAGTTACTCAGGAGACTGAGGTGGGAAAGTTGTTTGAACCCGGGAGGCCTCAGAGGTTGCAGGGAGCCGAGATCGTGCCATTATACTCCAGGGTGACAGGGCAAGACTACATCTCAAAAAGAAAAAAAGAAAGAAAGAAAAACAATAATTGTGCAGTTTTCTGAAAAATAAAATGTGTATTTTAAATGGGCCCTTAAGCATAGAAGGAGAAAATTGCTGACATGGTCTTAAGGAGTAAATAGCAGGGCTGTATGGCCTGAGTAGCACCAGGAAATCCCCTACCCCACACGAGCTAATTGCCACCAAGACGCCTCCTGGCTTGTAAGTCAAGTTCTGTGGATAATGGATAAGACTTAAAAAAAAAAAGACAAATTTACCCAGAAATCATGAAATTCTTAATATTTAACTAATCGTGAAACCAAATATAGCAAAAATAATTTGAGAGGTCTGTTGGGAGGCCCAGCCAACAGGGAGGGGGATCAGAGACAATGTCACCTGCAGAGTCTCAGGTCAAAGAACCAGTGCCCACCACGAGCAGACCAGTGGGAATCATCCTGCCTTCACCAGTCAGCCTGGGTTCTTAGGTGGCATCGGCACCTGTGAGGGGCCACAGCCCCACCCCAACCCCTTGGGAGCTCTGGGCTCTTGGCAGCTGACAGTGCTCACCTGGGGTGCCTGGGGGGGTTAAACTCCAAGAATGCCAAGATCCCAGGGAGCTTCCGGAGAAAGAGTTCATTTCATATATTGCCAGCAGAAATGTGAATGGTGGCAGCTTTTTTGCAAAGCTTTCTGCAAATATCTATCAAAATTAATGGCATCTGTGTCCCCCAGCCCAGCCGTTTTACTCTTGGAATCCTTCCCATAGAAATAACAGCACCAGCACAGGAACGTGCATCCCAGTGGGTTGGGTGCAACATTTAAAGTGTGTACAACAGCCATATTCCTAATTTCTAGATGTTTCGGGCCTTGGGATATCTGTAACAGTTAAAAAAAAAAAAAAAACTTGGAGGAGGGATGGTCATTCCAAGTTAGAAGTCAGGAAGGGCAGGAGGTCTACACATACAAGACAGGAAGCTTGGTGAACTGTGGGTTCAAGGAGCATGGTCCAAGCTAGGGGGAGGAGGGTTGGTCTTTTAAAATGCACCCAGATTTGTTTTAATCTGGTGTGATAAGACACAACGTATGGAAATAGCTGTCATGCAAGGAGAAATGTGTGTGTTCACAGATCCCCAGACAAAAGAGGCCCGGCACAACACACCACGCAGGGCCACATGAGAAGAACCAGCGTTGGTCAGGCGCAGAGGGAGCAAGGGGAAAACACGAGCACAAGCCCATATTGTGGTTTGCATGAGAAGGGACAGGTGAGGCAGCATGAATAGGCTGAGGATTGATTAGGTTAAATCATTTGGGGAGGCTCTGGGTTATAAGGGCTGTCCCAAGTCATCTAGTACCCGGCCCTGGAGTGATTATCAGTCCAGAGTGTAAAAGCCTGATAGAGAAGGCATGGGATACGGTCTCTGGATCGATTGTTTTGCCTATGAAAGGCACACTTGCAGAAGAGTTCCTTACTTTCTCTAGGAACTGGCTAGCTGGTAGGGAAATCTCTCCAGTGTCAGCAAGGCCCAGATGTCAAAACATTCAAATCAAAAGACATGTTTTTTTTTCTTTTTTGGAGACCGGGTCTCACTTTGTCGCAGAGGCAGGAGTGCAGTGGCACAATCATGGCTCAGTGCAGCTTTGAACTCCCAGGCTCAAGCTGTCCTCTCATCTCAGCTTCCAGGGTAGCTGGGACTACAGGTATGCACCACTATACCTAGCTAATTTATTTTAAGAGACAGGGGGTTTCACTATGTTGCCCAGGTGGGTCTTGAACTCCTGGTCTCAAGTAATTCTTTCACCTTGGCCTCCCAAAGTGCTAGGATTACAGGTGTGAGCCACCACACCCTGCCTAAAAGATATGCTTAATACAGTTGGCCAGGCCCCAGGCATTCAGTAGGTTCAGATGTCCCCAGCTAGGTCCAGAGAACCAGGTTGGCCAACCAATCAGCTTGCAGAGAATCATGACAAGGTCCCATCCAACAGGGAGGGCCAACTCTGCAAGGGGAGAGGAAAGCAGGAGTGAGGCTGGCTGACTTCTGAAGCATCGAATTGTGCATTGGAAACTCAGCAGCACACAGAAGAGACTCAGACTTCTGGGACCTTAACTTTAGGATTTGGGATTGTGAACTCATTCCAAGGCCCAACATGCCTAACAGAGGCCCAGTGGGACGTGATACCATTTTCTCTGAGGATTATATTTCTTTCTGGGTTTATCCTGCAAATAGAAACTGGAGTCTGATGAGTAACTGAGGCCCACATGGGAATAAAAGAAGCCAATAAGAGAGAGAGATACTTTTTCTTGCCCTTGTGCCAAAAGTAAATTCCAAAGACTTGGGTGGCCTCTGAGGCTCAGGGGTGGGTCAGGAAATGAAGCATGCTCTGAAGCGGAAGCCTGACTCCCAGTGACGTGTACACATATGAAGAAGGAATGGATCATTGCTTCCAGCCAAACACCACTCGCCTGCACTGCTCCCACCACATCTAGCTAGACCAGGCCTCCCTGGTGGGTAGAACTACCTCCATCAACTCCAATTATTCCTTCAACAGTAGAAATTAATATCGCTCAGATTTTAAAGGAAGGGAAACCAGACCAAGAGACACTCTATTCATGCCACTAGGTTGGGAACTTAATTGAGAGAAGGTATGTGTCTTCATCTCAGCCAAAAGCTGGATCTTCCTGAAAAGCACTTACAATACTTACATAGAAACAGATATTGATCTGGCTCTGTTATGTAACTGACATTTGTGAGGGTCAGGAAAAGAATGGGAATGGCTCCTTTGGGACAACAATAGCCTATTTAATGTGCACAAAAAATCTCTTATCTTCCAGGGCCATACATCTGCACACTGTCTCCATCTGCCATCCAATCTGGCCACCCAAATTGTTCCACTTAGCATGGAGAGTCCCTGGGGAGAGTCCCAGGACACAGTCCGAGGCAACACCTGGGTCCCCTCAGCCACTGATAAGTCCTTTGTATCTCTGGATGTTTCCTGAAAAGGCTGGATGCTTCCAGTTCAGAATCCCCGCCCCCACTCCCATCTAAGGAGATGTCATATAATTCCAGGTGAGCTGCTGTTGCCCAAATGTGTCTGTGCTGAGACTTCACTGTCTTCCTGCCCCTTCCTGCCACCTCACCCTGCTGGATACTCCATGCCCACCACTTGCTTATCAGAAGACCTATTTTCTCCATATGTCCCCAGTCCACACCTCTTGCCATAAAATGGCACAAATATGTAGCCCCAGACCATTATTGCCCAACAGAATGTGCTAATCCCCACCAACCAGACCCTCCCTTCTCAAAGAGAACAAAGGAACAGAGACACGGTCCCCAATGAGCGGGAATAATGTGCCCATCTAGAAGACAGAGCCCAGTTCTGCGGTTCTCCCTTCTCCTTCCCCAGGTATTGAGAAAGCTGCTGGAACAGAAAGCATTTGGTGCTCAGACTCTAAGCAACTCACAAATCCCCTGGGGATTATGTTAAAATGCAGATTCTGATGCAGTGGGTCTGGAGTGAGGCCCAAAATGATGCAAGTCCAACAAGCTCCCTGATGTTGCTGATGTTGCCAGTCCAGGGACCACACTTTGAGTAGCAAGGGCATAGAGAACATACCATTCTCGGCTTCAAATGCACACATGCACACACAGACATGCAAGCACAAACAACAGCAGCTTAAAATGGGACACTAAAAATGGCCTGTTTGTCTGTTTCTGAATTAGACTGCTTTGAAGATTGTTAAGTTCTCCACATGGCATCAAGCTGCACGCTGCTGTCATTTTGATAACATTTATAAACACATGTTTAAAAAAAAAAGTCTTTATCCTCATATTCAATTCAAAACACTTTTGACAGGGAGCAATGGAAACACCTAAGGGAAGGAGCATTCACTTTGGGCCACTAGGGAACTCCCCAGTGACTCAAGGCCTCAGGTGAAAGTGCTGATTTATGGATGTGGAATTGAACCTGAAGGGGCTCCAGAATAAGGGGAGGTGGCTGACACCACCCGGCAGCTCCGGAAAGCCCCGCGTCAGGCTGACAGCAGGCCCTGCCTTGTGCCCATGCAGTCGACTGCCCCCAGCAAACTCGCAGGGAGGGTGAAGGCCAAGGAGACCACCTGGATTTTGTTGGCAGTGGTTTGGGAGGATACATGTTAGAGAAATTTGCCAGAAAAAAAGACTGATGTGGAGTTGGGTGTTTGTTTTTTCTTTTTACCCCTGTTTTGCCTTAGGAAGAGAACCAATTGGAGTTAGTACTTGTTCACTGTCCTGTGGCTTTTGTAGGCCCTGGACATCCTACTCTTCTTATAGATGAAATACTTAGCTGATGTATGTATGATGACATCGCTGGGGAGATGTCACAGAGGGGTCCATGTCCTTACAAAGGCGGGTTGTTTTGTAGCTTCTTTCAAACTATTCAGCAGTCAATCTCTCCATTCGCAGAAGCCAGCCTCACCTTTAAAGCGTCAAGCCCCTTCCCAAACACCTCTCAAATCGCAAGTCACCTGGATCCTCAGAGGGCTACACGTCTCAGCCTGCCTGCACCACCCCAGAGGTCCCCAGTGGATGGAGAATGCCTAACTGCTTGCGGTACCCAGATCTCGGCTGAGATTTCTCCCCTCTGTCCTGCAACCTGAGCTGTGTGTGGTTTAGTCTAATTCCTTCCGAGTCTGTGCAGCCCTCGCTGGAACCGATTCTAAGCTATCTGGTGCCCTCTGCTGGACAACTGCAATCATGGCCAAAGTCCAGTTTCCCAGAGTCCCAGGGAAGCAGAGGAAACACCTCCCCAGATTATTTTAATTCTCTCCAATTCCAACCTGCCCCTATTTGCACTAAAAGGATTCCAGGTGTGTTATGAGGTTTGCATCATGTGGTGAGAAGAATTCAGGACTATGAACTAGCTCTAATTCAATTAAGCCCCGAGCTTTGTGTCCTAGGCAAATTACTCATGCTGTTTCCTCAGTTGTAAAAGAGCAATGACCAACTGCCTTGGAGGTTGGTTACCTGGATTAAATATGTTAATGGATGTAGAGCTCCTAAATGTAGCCAACCCCAAAGATGGGACACAATTTTATCTCTATGACTCTGTCATTCATGATGTTATTAAATTCAATCTAAAATTAAATCTGTCTATCATGATGACTGCACCACCTCAAAAAATACTGCTGTCACATGTGGGTCCATTTCTTCTTTCTGCCCTAGAATTGTGTCTGTGCGATAAAAAGGACTTTGTTCCACCCATATTCCAACCCCAATCTGCCTGTAGTAAAGACAGATGGCAGCTCAATGGTCTCTAGAATGATCATTCCTATGTTGCATTTGCCCAGAGGATGGGTGGTAAGAAGCACCCTGGACATTTTCCATCCTAGCCTGCCCCTCTAGGGGTGTGAATGTCCACCAGCCACTTAGAGGTCATATGGTTCTAGAAAGAACCTTTAGTGGTCCACAGCCATCCAGCCAGATGTTCAATGAGCTGTCAAATTATTGGAGCTTGAGCTCTCAGATGAAGTGTAAGAGTAGAAAGGTCATGAGGGTCCCAAAGATGCTGTGTCTATCTTATGCTACTATCCGCCTATATGAATTGACCTCTGAGCCTCCCAAGTGTTCCTCAATCTACACCTTGTAGGCGGTCTGCCTATGCCTGCTGCAGCCCTCCCCACCTCCAAGAGTTACCAGAGAGACTCTATAAGCTGGAAACAGTAAACTAAAGCTCAGAGATGTATGGCAGACTCACGTCCCTTTAGACACAACAGTAAACACCCCCCCGCCAAAAAAAAACATAACTCATTTTCTCAGCCACCTTTGCAGCTAGGGGTGAATATGTGATACGAATCTGGCTAATGGGAAGCAAGAGGAAGGTAATAGGTGAGAATGCTGGGTAAGTTCCATAAAAGGGAGCCGACTCAGCCAGTATGTTCCTTTCAGCCCTGGCCCATTCCCTTCCTCCTGCTAGAAATGCGAATGAGAGGGTTGGAGGTTGGCAGCCATCTCATGCCCATGAGACAAGCATGCACTAACGATCATGGAAGACAGCAGACAGAAGTAGCCTGCATCTCTGATGACATTGTGAAGCTGCTCTCCTAGTCCCAGACTGACTACATCCAGACTTCACATTATGCCAGAAAAACAAAACCTTTCATTGGAATAAGTCAATATTTTCTTAACATCTAGTACTTAGAGTTGAAAGTAAGTCCTAAGTGATACAGGATAGTTATTATTGAATAATCAACTGCCCAGTAAGTGATGGAGGAAGGAAGGACTTTTTTTCTCCTTTCTTCATCAGTGCTATTCTAGGTTCTGAATAGGAATATTTGGTACTTTGTCAGCATTCAGTATTTACCTACCAATTCTAAGCACAAAGAAGACAACAGAAATTGTCTGCATAACATCTAAATTCTATTTCCTGGATCCAATTTCACCTTTGTACTTTCCATGACAATTTAAGTCATGACAACTGAGTGAGATAAAATCTGTAAAAAGCTTTGCACAATGTGTGGCACATTTAATGTGTTCCTTATTTAGTGTAGGAAATGCATTCTGTGAACTGGAGATATAGCCAAATCTGTGCAGGAAAGGGATATTATCTGATTGGATTTCATAGAGATATGTTCCTGAAATCCCAACTTATTACATATTACTAAGAAGTATGGGTTTACTTAAACTATAGTGTAAATAAACTTGGATTAATAGAAATATATATTATAAAAGGCATACTAATTTTAAAAATTAAATTTGAAAAGTTACATGCTTATTTGGGAACTGATGGCTTGAACATAACCAGTGTGGCCCCCATGAGAGCAAGTATTGGTTGTCATTTACTGATAATCTCAAGGCATAACTTAGACTCCACCAAAGCGTGGCCCCCAGCAAGGGTGCGAAACTGTCCTTGGGGTCTTTACACACTAATGCGTGGTTCTTTCTGCCAATAAAGGACTTGGTGGCACATACTTCCAATAAAAGGCAGGTTACCCACAATGCAGGTAAGCCGGGAGGGTGGATACCAGGCTCAGGAGTAACTGGAGTGCTGGGGCATCCAAACACAGCTTGCTGGTCAGCACTGCTGTCTGTCTCCCCTTTTACACTGTGAAGCTGCTGCAGTGTGTCTGTCTGTCAAGACAGCCAGTTCTGGCTCCAGAGAGAGATTTTTGTTCATGGGCCTTTTGTTGTTGTTGTTGTTGTTCTTGGAGGTGGTTGAAGAGTTCCTCTGATTTCTCTCAGATAAAGAGCTGCCGACATTGCTTTACAGCTGCACTGGTGGCCGCCATTGCTAGGTCTAGAGAATGATTTCGTGCCTTTTACCACCCAGCTTGATCCTCTCTGCTGTGTTTCTTTGAGACAGATTCAGGCCCTTAACTTACACAGCTTTGTTTGGTTTTTTCCTGCCAGTCATCATGGGCTAAAGTGATTTTCTAGAATATGAAATAAATGGCAAAAAGAGAGGCAACAGAAAAATTAACAACCCTCTTTAGTGGAATACATTCAACTCAAGAGAGTTGAGGGTACAGGCTCATTGGCAGAGAGAGTTTGCATCATACAATGCCAGTCTCATTGTCTAAGAGTGTGCAGAACAATTTCTACTCTGTTTTTGAGCAAAAGTATACAAGAGCACTTAAAACATGGAGATAAATTTATAACAGTAAATTGCAATGGATTTTTCATACACGCACACATACATACATCTTCTTAGGGAAAAAGTTCAGAAACAACATAATAAATTAGTACAGTGCAGATTTTATTACACGGAATATATATATATACTGACTCCAAAAAGTTATTCATTCCTCTCCCTCTGTAACAAATAAATACTATGTTCTTTCTTTCAAAAACATTTGTTAAGGTCTTGTGCCAGGCCTATTGTTAGAAATTGGAAATTAAAAATGAATAAAACATAAATGCTACCCTCACCTGGCAGCAGCGTAGCACATTGGTTAAGACTCTGGAGACTGACTGCCAAGGTGGGAACAGCAGCTCTTCCATTTACGACACCTGTGGCTGCAGGCAATTACGTAACCTCTTTGAAACTCAGTATTCTCATCTGCAAAATGGGCATGATAATAATACCTACCTTATACGGTTGACATGAAGATTAAATGAGTTAATATTTGTCCTCACTTGGAAGAGTTAGGACATATTATGCATTTTTAAATAGGAAAAATAAAGGAGTATGTGGTTCAGGAGGAAAAAATAGGTATGTAACATGGTAACTCAAGCAACGTGAAAGTGCTGGGATAAACATGTATTCTGGAAGCCCAAAGAGGGAAGACACCAGCCCCTAACAGGGAGATCAGGAAGGGCTTCTTAGAGAAGATGAGTGACATGGTCCTAAAACTGCATCTTGCAGGATAAGCAGGAGTTTCCCGGAGGGACAGAGAAAGAAGCAGAGACTCTGGAATATCCAGGCACCTAATTTGGTTTGGGGTTTGGTTTTTTGTTTGTTTGTTTGTTTGTTTGTTTGCTTGTCTGGGAACTGACTCCACCTTCCTCCAGGTCCTTGCAGGCCCTACGAGAAGAGACAAGCCCCAACACAAGAGCCCCTTACTGGAGTAGAGCAGAGGTGCAGGGAGTCTCCCTTTTGAAACCTTGGCCCTGACTCCTCAGTCCTTGGACAATCAGCCATGCTCCCAGCTGTCATCACATCTCACACATGATTGGTATCACTGAGCCAATTTCAACCAGAAATGTGCTGCAATGGGATTCCCTGTGGAGGCATCGGAACAGCTGTGCTTTCTCTTAAGTCTGGAGGGCCCCATATTTAGAGAAGAGGAGAGCAGCTCCCAGGGAGGACTGGGGAGGGTGGGGTGGAGAAAGAAGGGCTCACAGTAAATTCCAGCCTCCGTTGGCTGTCTCTGAGATTCCTCCCAAAAAACCCAAGCCCAGCCTCAAAGAGAATCAGGTCTGGCCAGGCGCGGTGGCTCACACCTGTAATCCCAGCACTTTGGGAGGCCGAGGCAGGCGGATCACAAGGTCAGGAGACCGAGACCATCCTGGCTAACACGGTGAAACCCCGTCTCTACTAAAAATACAAAAAATTAGCCGGGCGTAGTGGCGGGCGACTGTAGTTCCAGCTACTCTGAAGGCTGAGGCAGGAGAATGGCGTGAACCCGGGAGGAGGAGCTTGCAGTGAGCCAAGATCGCACCACTGCACTCCAGCCTGGGCAATGGAGCGAGACTCCATCTCAAAAAGAGAGAGAGACAGAGACAGAGACAGAGACAGAGACAGAGACAGAGAGAGAGAACGAACCAGGTCTGATTTGTAGAGAAGAGTAAGGATCAGCACAAGCTCCCCTTTCACTCCACCCTCCTAGCTGTATGTGAATGTGTGAAGAGACTTTTCAGGCATTCAACAAAAGCAGGATCTCACTCATGAAATTCACATCCTGAAGCCTCACAGGTAGGAAGACTCCAGCCTTCTTCCTTTAAAGCTGAGTTTAAATGTAAGAACTCTTACGGGCAGCAGCCCTGGACTCACTCTCTCGCCTACCATCTTTCCCTTTTAGCCAAGTGGCTCCTGTAACAATCCTGGCGCCAATTAACTAATGTCCCAGAGGGGATATGAGGGAGGAGAGGCAGGGAAGGGCGTTAGAGAGGTAGGTCAGCAAAAAAAACAAAACAAAAGCCTGTACAACATTGCTTGATTTCATCTTCTAAAGACCAGCTCCCAGAGTTCATTAGTTGACACCCATCAGAAAGAAGCAATGCTGGATGAATAACAACATGTTCACCTGGAACTCGGTAATTATATAGCTGCAAGTTGGTACCTGCTAACTGTACTTAAGGAGCATTTTGCCTTGGGAGCTGGAGATTTATAGGATTCCCACACCTAGAGGGGCTATTTTACAGCTAACCTTATTCATGGAGTTCCCCAAATATCTGTACAACATGAACTCAACAACCATGGCACTAATACCTTGGTTCTGTGTAACCCTAGGTATCATGTGCCAACCCCAATAAACTCTTCTTATTCACACCTTGTCTGACATCAGTTGGGTGAGGAGAACCTCAGAGGAGATCGTAACTATCAGTGAAAGCAAAGTTATTAAATTCACACTAAAATCAAAATGGCGATATTGGCCCCATTCTGTGACCAATAACGTTTCTGAAACTATCTAATTTTTAGGTGTTATTTTTGTTTGTTTTGTTTGATTTTTCTTTTTTAGCAACAGGGTTTTGCCATATCGACCAGGCTAGTCTCAAACTCCTGGGCTCAAATGATCCTCCTGCCCTGGTCTCCCAAATCACTGGGATTACAGGCATGAGCTACTGTGCCCAGCCCCAGATTTTCCATCTGTACTGCCTCCTTTCTTCCCCTCCCCTGGTAACAAAAGGTGTGTTCCTAAAATACTCTGGTCAATACTAGTAAAGGGATTGATCTAATGGGGGAGAAGCCAGGAGAGCGTTCTTCCCAGGAGTTTTCTGACTAGATTTGGGAGAAGAAAGCTCTTTTCTTCTCTGATTGTGAAGACCCAAGCGTAGGAACTAAAGGCTTATGGAGCGGATGGCAGCCATATTCCTCCACCAGGTAGAAATGCTGAGCTGAAAAGATGAGAAACTCTTCCACTATAGAGAGAACCAGAGGCAAGAGATGAAGAAGCAAGGACCCCAGCAAGCCCTTACCTTGACTCTCCTCTTGCCTTAGATGAACATCAGCCCTAGAGTTTAACTTTGATAAACAATAAATTCAAACTTAAAAAAATTAACTTTTTAAACTTTAGTTTGAGTTGGATTGGGTTTCTGTCACTGGGTTTCTGTAGCTACAACAGTCTTGACTTCTATGATGACTCCAAAATGAATATGATTAGACTTCATAGAGATATGTTCCTGAAATCCTAACTTACTACATATTACTAAGAAATACGGGTTTAATTATTTAAACTATAGCATAAATAAACTTGGATTAATAGAAATACTTTATAAAAGGTATAATAATTTAAAAAATTAAATTTGGAAAGTTATATCTTATTTGGGAACTGCATGGCTTCAACATAACCAATAATAGGGGAGGGAAGGTAATTCTAGGCCAGAGATATAATTATAAAATGTTTAGTCTCGACCACTATACTAAAAACATGGGTTTTCAGTGCCATATATAACCTACCGATGATGGAAAAAGTGTAAAAAGACTTGTCGTGTCTTCTCATTGATTCGTATATTAGAACAAGCCAGGTTATCTTACAGTAACAACCCCCAAATTCAGTGGCTTAATGCAACAGAGAATTTTGAGCAAGCCGGGTGCTTCCTCAAGGCATCTTTCCCCCATGTTGTGGCTCAGGGCTCCCAGTTGCTTTAATCTTGCAGTTCTGTCCCTATACCAAAGCCTCCTCCATGATCACAGGCCTGAGGAAAGACAGAGAGAGAGTTGTGGGCTTTGTACTGCCTCTGCTCACAGATGACCAGAAGCAGGCACATGGCCTTGTCCACGTGCAAAGGGGTCCTGTCTTCCATAGGCCTGGAAGGGGAAAAGAACTGGATATGGTACTCATAATGTGGGAACTTGTAATATCTACCACATCATGCAGTGTATCTTTCCATAGCACAAAAGGGAGCTTAGCCAATACAAAAGCCAAGTACAGCTTAGAGGAGGACTGAACCAGGAGTGTTTTTTAATAGCCCAGACATATCATGTGCACATAATAAACAACAATCTCATTCCCATTCCCAAACATCTATTAAACACAGATCCATGATCTCATGGTTCTCAGCACAGGCCTTTTCAAGTTTTACTGTGATTGCCTCTACCCTTAGCAGGACTAAGATCAGCTGATGGATACAGATAAAAGGGGTATGTGTGAAAGATGACAGACTGTGAATTCATACATTAATAAAAACCAGAAATGGGAACAAAGACCAAACCGGCAGTGAAGGGTTCCCTATATCTGCCTTCTGATCTCATTCCACTCTCTCCAGCTCCATCTTCTACCCTCAAGAGTCTCTTGCTTTATCCCACTTCGATATTGCAGGCTAAAAGATAACATTGCTCAAAACCCTGAAAGATAAGGGCCCCAGGACTCCTCTTCCTGTGCCCATCTCATCCTCCAACCCCTCGTCTGTCCAGCACATGGTTTCTTTCACTCATACATACCAATACCTGAACACCTATTTTGTGCCAGGCACTGCAGCAGGAGCTTTATGTGTCATCTTATTTAATACCACAACATGTCAGGATGATACTCTTGTGCCCATTTTGCAGATGAGAAGACTGAGAATAACCTAGGCTAACTAGCTTCTGTTCGAGGCTACACATTAATAAATGGCAGTGCTAGAACCTGTACTCAGGTCTGAGGACTCCAGAGTCAGACTATGTTATATCTATTGTGCCTTCCTAATTGATATGGTTTGGCTGTGTCCCCACCCAAAGCTCACCTTGAATTGTAACTCCATAATGCCCATGTGTCCTGGGAGGAACCCAGTGGGGAAATGATTGAATTATGGGGGTGGGTCTTTCCTGCACTGTTCTCATGATAGTGAATGAGTCATGAGATCTGATGGTTTTAAAACTGTGAGTTTCCCTGTACAAGCTCTCCTCTCTTGTTTGCCACCATGAGATGTGCCCTTCACCTTCCACCATGATTGGGAGGGCTCCTCAGTCACGTGGAATTGAGAGTCCAGTAAACCTCTTTCTTTTGTAAATTGCCCAGTCTTGGGTATGTCTTTATCAGCAGCATGAGAACAGACTACTACAGTAAATTGGTACCAGTAGAGTGGGGTGCTGCTGAGAAGATAACTGAAAATGTGGAAGCGACTTTGGAACTGGGTAACAGGCAGAGGTTGGAATAGTTTGGAGAGCTCAGAAGACAGGAAAATGTGGGAAAGTTTGGAACTCCCTAAAGACTTGTTGAATGGCTTTGACCAAAATGCTGATAATGATATGGACAATGAAATTCAGGCTGAGGTGGTCTCAGATGGAGATGAGGAACTTGTTGGGAACTGGAGCAAAGGTGACTCTTGTTATGTTTTAGCAAAGAGACTGGCAGCATTTTGCCCCGGTCCTAGAGATTTGTGGCACTTTGAACTTAAGAGAGATGATTTAGGGTATCTGGCAGAAGAAATTTCTAAGCAGCAAAGCTTTCAAGAGGTGGCTTTGGTGCTGTTAAAGGCATTCAGTTTTAAAAGGGATACAGAGCATTAAAGGTTGGAAAATTTGCAGCCTGGCTATGCAACAGAAAAGAAAAACCCATTTTCTGAGGAGAAATTCAAGCTGGCTGCAGAAATTTGCATAAGTAACAAGGAGCCAAATGTTAATCCCCAAAACAACAGGGAAAATGTCTCCAGGGCATGTCAGAGGTCTTCACAGCAGCCCCTCCCATCACAGGCCTGGAGGCCTAGGAGGAAAAAGTGGTTTCATGGGCCAGGGCCAGGGTCCCTGTGCCGTGTGCAGCCTAGGGTCTAGTGCCCTGCATCCCGGGTGCTCCAGCCATGTTTGAAAGGGGTCAATGTAACGCTCAGGCCATGGCTTCAGAGACTGCAAGCACCAAGCCTTGGCAACTTCCATGTGCTGTTGAGTCTGCAAGTGCACAGAAGTCAAGAATTAAGGTTTGGGAACCTCCACCTAGATTTCAGCAGATGTATGGAAATGCCTGAATGTCCAGGCAGAAGTTTGCTGCAGGGGCAGGGTGCTCATGGAGAACCTCTTTTAGGGCAGTGTGGAACTGTAAGTTCCCAGCCATGTGGAACTGTAAGTCCGTTAAACCTCTTTCTTTTGTAAATTGCTCAGTCTCTGGTATGTCTTTATCAGCAGCATGAAAATGGACTCATACACTAATCATTGCTTTTGTTTTCATTTAGCAAGCATTCAGAGAATGCCTATAATATGTTCCATACAATCACAAGAATAAACAAGGCCAAGTACAGTGGCTCACTCCTGTAATCCCAGCACTTTTGGAGGCCAAGGCAGGAGGATCACTTCAGTGCAGGAGTTTGAGACCAGCCTGGGCAACATAGTGAGACCCCATCTCTACAAAAAAAATTTGTATAAATATTAGCCAGGTGTGGTGGCGTATGCCTGTAGTGTCCCAGTTACTCAGGAGGGTAAGGCAGGAAGACGGCTTGGGCCCAGGAGTTTGGGGTTACAATGAGCTATGATTACACCACAGCACTCCAGCTCCCATCTCTGAAGAAAAAAATATATATATGAAGACAGATCTGCCTTCAAGTTGCTCACAGTTTAAATCAATGCCTCACATGTGGTGGTAAAGATCTGCCTACAAGGCTTGGTATCCCAGAGGTTACAGGTGTAATCTCCCTGGAGGCATGAAGAAGGTTTCAGAGAGGAGCTGACATTGACTGTTCTGAGGAGGAAAACTTGGTGGCCAGAGGGTAGATAAGAGGGAGAATTTTCACTGTGCACCCTTTTGTGTCTTTTGGACATCAGGCCCCCAGTGGGATGATACCAGCATGTGGAGAGAGGGGTGAGAGGCCCCCAGTGAGAGGACATAGGTCACGCATGCTCTCTGCTGCCCACAGCTACCACCACACCCCAGCATTTGTGCAGCCCTTCATTTTCAGCCAGAAGGCCAGGCAGTTGGGACTTTGGCCAAGATTAAGTCTCTTCAAACAAGTGGCTGCTATGAAGATGTGGCCAAGAACACTAAGAAAGGATGAGAACAGCCCCTCCAGGGGCCTTGGGTGTCCTTCGAAGCTCCCATGTGAAAGCTATAAGAGTTGCCTTGAAGTAGAGGAAGACTGGCTCCAGAAACAGGAATAATCTAGTGCAGTGGTCTCAAGGTGTGGTGTCAAAAACCAGCAGCAGCATCACCCCCTGGAAATTTGTTAGAAATGCAGATTCTCAGGCTCCACTCCAGACCTACTGAATCAGAGACTCAGTATCAGTATTTAATCTATGGAGGAATTCTACTCTAGAAATGCTATTTCTCTCCCCCGAAGAAGAATGGGACCTTGAAGGACCTACTGGGACTAGTCATTCAACCTTGGTGTGGGCCTGCCCACTTCTCCGGGACCAGACTGGGCCACCTCCTGAGAACCACAGATGTGCCACGCCTTCAGGAACCCCATCACATGCTGTCCGAGGAGGAAGGAAGAGGGGTTGAGTGTGCTGACACACAGAGTAACAGGCTGTTTAGGAGAGAGGGTGGAAGAAGGTGAGTGTTCATTAGATACTGAAAAGAGAGGGAGATAAGGGGTCCCCCCTGGAGCAGAGACTGGAAAGCCACTCATGAGTGGTGCCAGGAGAGCACAACTGGACTCTGGGCAGGAGACAGAAAACTCAGGAATGCCCCACAACAGAGCAGTTAGACAACATAGGACTTAGTTTAGCATACTATTTCTTGAGCACCTACTGTGGGCTAGGCCCACAGGAAAGCAGAGACAAGGTTGAGATGTGGTAAGAATGTGGATGCAGCAGCCCGACTACCTGGGCTTGGATCCCCACCTCAGGTGGGCTCAGCCAGCAGTACCTGCAGAGCCAAGCCAGCTGTGTTCATAGGCAGCATCTGCTTTGTCTGGTCACAGCCTTACCTCTGTTGGCTGGTGCCTGGATCATCCTGGTTGTCATGATACTAGTGTTATAGCAATATCACCCCTGTTGTCACTTACTGGTAGAATGAACTTAAGTTTTTTAGCCTCTCCACATCTCCACTTCTTTATCTGTAAAATGGGAATAGTAACAATACCTACACCTCAAGGGTTATGAGGATTAAGTGAGTTATCATAAGGACTGTGCTTAGAACAGTGCCTGGGAGCCTAACGTGTTCTCGGTAAATATTAGCTATGATTATTCTTTTTCTCTCAAAGTGTTAACCATGCCTGAGAAAAAGCCAGCTTCCCAGAGTTCAGACAGAGTAGCCTGAGTTGCTAGAGGCAGAAGCTTGATTCCCATAGCGATTTAATTTCTGGGCTCGGCCCCCACCAAGTGCTTAGAGCAGCAGGAGGCAGCTGAATGACTATAGTCAGTGGGGTGGGGACAAGGGCCCCACTGGCCATCTCTAGCCAGGACAAAGCCATTGCACACATAGATGAGCTTGGTCTCCTCCAGATCACACAGGTGTTCTGGCCCGAGGGCTGGAACAGGCCGTTGGAGCTCATTCAAATGTGGAGAAATATTTAGATCCAATCAAAACCACTCCAGATTGTTGGCTCTTATTTTAGACAAATAGGATAAGCAAACTTGGCCTAAATGAGAAGTGGTAATAAATACCCTTTTTCTGTCTAATTATTCAAAGCCAAATGCTCTGAGTCTAAATGTCTCATGGGAAATGTCTGAAGGGTTTCTGGAGTATTTGGTTAATAACAAAAATTCTTTGTATTGCACAGACGTCTCACATATGTGTGATGCTCATGATATGGCACAGAGGAGAACAGGACGACTGGCCACAACCTCATACTAGACAGTTGGGAACCAAGGCCTGTGAGTGCTGGTGATTTGTCTGGAGGCTCCCAAATATTTCTGGAGAAAAGGGCATGAAATCTCAGTCTAGAAATGGACTCCCCCTCCTGTTCACTGACCAAGTGGAGCCCACCTTCAGCACACTGCTCCCCAACTCAGCCCACACAGACTTTCTAAAAGATGTTCACATGCATACCCAACCACACACATTAACAACCACTGTTGGGCTTCTCACAGCAAAGGTGGGAGACTCCTGCTCAGTCCTCTGCCATCGCCACCTCCCTTCAGCACAAACCATTGTTAAGTTGGTTCTACGCATGTTCTCATATCTTCTGGACACAAGAGAGATTTATGTACATGTCTCCTACATCCTAAAATGGGCATTTGGGGTTGAGAAAGAATAGAAATTTTTAAAATAAATATATTTAAAAGAACCACATGTGTCTCAATAGCAAGACAGTCAACTTCATAGACACACAGGATAATATGCACATATTAATATGAGAAACAAATTGATACGGTAACTTGCCATTTTTCAAGCAAGGAAGAAGGAAGAGATCACTTGCAACCATGAAGAAAGAACTGTGTAAAATATCCTGTATCATGCAGTAGCTGCAAACATGCCATACAGTCAATATATTGTGGGGCTCCAGAATATCAAAATAAGTTCTATATCCTAACTGGAAAAGAGGAAAGAAAAGTGAAAAGAAAGAAAAGAAAAGAAAAAAGAAAAGGAAGGGAAAGGAAGGGAAGAGAGAGAGAGAAAAGAAAGGAAGGAGAGAAAGAGAAAGAAAGGAAGAAAGAGAAAGAGAGAGACAGAGAAGGAAAGAAGGAGAGAGAGAAAGAAAGAAAGAAAGAAAGGGAAATGAAAAGAAACTTTCCATCCTGAACAGACATGAAATCAGCTGAAGGGCACTAAACAGACATGAAATCAGCTGAAATGCACTAAAGCACTTTAATCCTGTAACATTCTTTTATATTCAGGCCTAATAGACACTGCCACACTCTGTTAGTGACTTAGACCATGGGTCCCCAATCCCAGACCGTGGACCGCTGCTGGTCCATTGCTGTTAGATACTGGGCTGCACAGCAGGAGGTGAGCAGCAGGCGAGAAAGCATCACCACCTGAGCTCCACCTCCTGTCAGACCAGCAACAGCATTAGATTCATATAGAAGCTCGAACCCTATCATGAACAGCATGTGAGAGGGATCTAGGTCGCATGCTCCTTATGAGAATCTAATGCCTGATCATCTGAGGTGGAACAGTTTTATCCTGAAACTACCCCTGCCCCTCACCTGCCATCTGTGGAAAAATTGTCTCCCACAAAACCAGTCCCTGGTGCCAAAAAGGTTGGGGACTGCTGACTCAGACAATGATTTCATGAGTGGCACCTACTGTGTGTATCTTTATATTGGTGTTTCTCCCTTGAGGTGGAGAGGGAAGGGCCAAACAGTGACATGGCACATGTGTCACCATGAGCAATCCAACCAGGCATCCCACTACAGCCCACGGTGATAGCCTGAGAACAAGGAATGTGGCCAAGGACTATCAAATCATCCTTCCAAATATGTGTGACTTTCTTGGTCTTCTGATACTGCTCTGAACCCTAATGTAGGCCCTCCATCATCCCTCCATTCTGTCTCCAGCTTCCAGCCTTTCCCTCTTTTGTTCCTTTAAATAGAATTTGGCCAGATTAATTTTCTTACCCCCTAGAAAAGATATGTGCAAACCAGTGGTGTCAGCCAAGCTTCTCAGCCACAAGGAATCACCTGCCACCTTCAGCCACACTAACCATCTCCCCCTAGAATCTTCTCTACAGCCAGAATAGCTTGACTTGATGCCTCTAACTAATCCTCCTGGGAATTCCCTCCCCCTCCTCCCCACCTTTTCCAAGTTCTTCAAACTAACTCAAATTCCTTCACTTCCATAAAGTCTTCCCTGACTCTTCTAGTCTGAAGGGTTCTTCTTTCCCAACAGAATTTGCCATGGCTCTATTTGCCATGACAAGGAGAAATACAGTGCAAGAGAGTAAGGCCACTGTAGAGAGAGAAGCTAAGATAGGAGGTGTGGTTTTATGTCTAAGAACACTTCAATCTTTTCTGAAGTAGACTTATTTTTAAAAGTCAATGTTTATAAAATTCACCAGCCAGAATGGCTAAAAATTGTTTTTTTTTTAATTTTAAAAAATAACAAAACCAACGTTGGCAAGAATGTACAGCAACTAGAACTCTTTATTCTTCCTCTAGAGTACGCGCTATACTCACATACTACTAGCAGAAGGGTGAATTGGGGGAAAGAGAGGGAGAGAGGGGAGAGAGGGAAAGAGGGAGAGGGAGAGAGGGAGGAAGGGAGACAGAGGGAGAGACAGGGAGGGAGGGAGAGGGAGGGAGGGAGGGAGGGAGAGGGAGGGAGGGAGGGAGGGGGAGAGAGAGAGACAGAGAGAGAGAGAGAAAGAGATATGCTCCCAACTGGAGAATAAGTACAGAAGGAAAAATACAAAGACCATAAGTAACATCCTTAAGCACAGCGTGGGCTGGCTTCACGGCACACAAGCTGTGCAGTGACATAGGACCCCATACTTACAGGTTCCTGACCTTTGTTCAATGTTTTTAATTTTTGAACCTGGGTCCTGCATTTTCCTTTTACCCTGGGTCCTGCAAATTATGAAGCCAATCCTGTATGCCAGTTTATTGCCAATTCCCTAGTATCCGGAATCCAAAATTCTTCCAATAGATCTGGAGCAGGTCACTGAATTGAATAGTCTCAACCTCCAAAACACTGTTGGATGCCTTTTTCTGTAAACTAGAATAGCATCTGCCTTTCTTGCCCTAAAGTCCTAGAGAGGCCAGTTGATTTCAAAGCCCACGGTAGGTTAACTCAGGGTGGGGCATGAGAGGAGTCGGAGGAGCTGCTACCCACTGGGTCCTCTGAGTGTAGTTCCTGAATGAATTAGGAAAAGCTCTTGGTTCAGCTGGATACTAGAGGAGAGTATTGTTTTCCCCACTGTGCTGGCTACCACAGTTCTGGCTTCTTTTCCCTTCCAGGGGCAGACTGATAAATGTGAGAACAATTGGCCTGCCTATCTCAGCTTCTCCTTCTGCCCTCTAGGGAATGAGCTGCCCTAGGGGAGCTTGATTTCTGCTGTTCCTCCTGGGGCAGGGTCTGTCTAGCATGGGGAGGTTGGGCCTGCCCTTTCAAGCATCGTCAGTTGTTAGGGGCTGGGGAGAGGGATGATTATGCCTAATTCGGGGCACACTCACAGACCTAAAGCCATGCCCTCCATCCTGACTTCTATTGGTACTAAAGTAACATTTAGCTTCTATCTGCTTCTCCTTTGTCTTAGTCCCCAAAGCATTCAGAATCTGGGTTGGGAAAGAGGAGCTGACCAGGTTTCTGATCTTCTGGAAAATTACTGTGCTTTGCCTTCTCTTTAAAAACAGCAGCAGACTCTTGAGTAAGAGCACCTACGAAAGGTTCCATGACTATCCCCAAATCACAAAAACCAGCCTGCAAGTTGGCTTCTGCGTGCCTCAAGGCAGGAGGCCCTGCCCCTCAGAGAAAACCGTCTCCCACCAGACACTAATGAGCTTGCTTCTCCTCCCCTCTCTTCTCTCATGCAGCTGGCTGTCTTTGGAAAGAGGGATCCAACCTGTCTTTGCTGGGCAGCCAGGCCACCAAGGTTACTAACTCTCCTTCAGTCTTGGGAGTCCAACCACGTGAGCTTCTCGCCCAGAACATTATTTTCTGCTGAATTAAATCCAATTCCACTCCCTGCGTTGAACAGCTGACCCATCGCCTCTATTTTCTGCCTGAATTTTGCTCACAGCTCATCTGCTAAAGGCCCAGGAAATTTTCTGGGGTTATTTCACATGAAGGGAAGAGAGCTCTTATTTTCAACTGATAGAGAAAATTCCCAGGGGACACCTCAGTCAGCCAAACACTCCTGCTGACTTCGTGTAACCAGTCTGGTGGCTGCATTCAATTTCAATTAGCCCCAAGTAAACCCTCTCTTCTCATGTGACATGCAGCAATAATAACTTTTTTTCCTTCATATGCTATCAACCATCAGAGTTTCAAATATAAGCCATGCGTTTTTGTGGCTTGTTCATCTTTGGAGAACCTGTCCCTTGGTGACCAATTCTATCAAAGGGAACTTTCACCTGAGTAATTTCGTATCACCTTGTACTCATGCATTCATTCCTTATTTGCTTATTCACTCAACAAAGCACTAAGTAGATACTGGTTCCCCTAACCCTACCTATTCCTCCACTATCTTTTCTTTATGCTTTTCAATGCCTGGTTCATAGCCCATCTTCCAGAATGTCTTCCTTGATCAAATCCATCCTTCTCTGACCAGAGCCCTCTGATCTGATTGGTTCACTCAGTATTAACAGCTTAGTCTGAATCAAACCTTCTAGTCCTAACCCCCATGGCTCTCCACACACATATCTTAAGCTGTAATTGAGTCTAGTGTTTTTCAAATGTGGAGGACAAGTGGTGGTGAATCACGCTATTTTTGTTTTTCTTTTTTCTTTTTTTTGAGACAGAGTTTCACTCCTGTTGCTCAGGCTGGAGTACAATGGCGCAATCTTGGCTGACTGCAACCTCCACCTCCTGGGTTCAAGCAACTCTCCTGCCTCAGCCTCCCAAGTAGCTGGGATTACAGGCACCCACAACCACACCCAGCTAATTTTTTGTATTTTTAGTAGAGACGGCATTTCACCACGTTGGCCAGGCTGGTCTCGAACTCCTGACCTCAGGCGATCCACCCACCTCGGCCTCCGAAAGTGCTGGGATTACAGGCGTGAGCCACTGCGCCCGGCTTGAATCACACCCTTAAGAGAGCCATTTATAGTTTATAAAATAATACCCAATGTTATACTGTATTTCACATATTTGTATTGATTTTTACAACTCAAATTATAACAAGTATAGCTTGATAAAATATTCTTGAATTAGAGGGACACAACACACATGTAGTGATTCTCAATGGAGATGTGTCCCTGTGGGAGATCATCAGCCCCAGAGCTGAAGGGTCCAGTTTTTCTGTTAGTCTGCCTTAGAAGTATTAATCTTTGTCCCAGAAGAAGGTCCATGTTTTCTTTTTAAAAATTATCTATTGAATAGAGATGGGGTCACACTGTATTGCCCAGGCTGGAGGGCAGTGGTATGATCATAGCTCACTGCGGCCTCCATATCCTGCACTCAATCTTCCTGCTACAGCCTCCCAAGTACCTGGGATTACAGGTGGATACCACCATGCCTGGCTAATTTTTTATATTTTTTGTAGCGATGGGGTCTTCCTATGCTTCCCAGACTGGTCTCAAACTCCTGGGACTCAAGCTATGCTCCTGACTCAGCCTTCCAAGTCTCTGGGATTATAGGCGGAAGCTACCACACCCAACCAAAGCCCATGTTTCGTAAGACTTTGTCCTAACTCTTTTCCCTACCTGGTATACCCTCCCTCTGCCTCTATGTGATCCCACCTGTTCTTTTGCTTCTTATTCTTCTTCTTTTTGAGACAGGGCCTTGCTGGAGTGTGGTGGCGCAATCTTGACTCATTGCAACTTCCGCCTCCCAGGTTCAAGCGATTCTCTTGCCTCAGCCTCCTGAGTAGCTAGGATTACAGGCACCCACCACCACGTCTGGCTAATTTTTGTATTTTTAGTAGAGACGGGGTTTCCCCATGTTGGCCAGACTGGTCTCGAACTCCTTATCTCAGGATTCACCGTCTCAGCCTCCCAAAGTGCTGGGATTACAGGCATGAGCCACCGCACTGAGCCCCAACCTGTTCTTAATGAGCAATTCCAACTGCCATCTCATCCTGTAAGACTTTTCTGGTTCTTCCAGCTGGAAGTGGCTTTTTCTTCTGAATGCCCTGTAAGATGTCTCACTGGCACTAATTGTACTGTGGTAAATATTAACACATTTTTATCCACTCACCCTCCTAACAAGTTTACCGAAGGTAAAAAACAAACACAAGAGGTTTGACTTTTACTCCTGAACTCTAAGATACAACAAAACGCACTTCAATCTTTCTTTAAACCAAATTACATTGGTTCTAAGTCCTGCCACCCAGCAGGAGAAATGTTAAATTTCAGCCATCTGGGCTGCTTGCTCGTACCTCCCCTCTCACCACCACCATGAGACTACACAAGAATGCTGGCGTCGGGTTCAAGTCCAGGCTCCAGCCCATGCTGAGGTCCGAAGGGACTGAGTAGATGAATGGTAGACAGCTATAAGAACACTCAGAGGGGTGTAGGTAGGTGAAATATGGCTTTATTCAGCAACTCTCTTATACTGCTTTGTCTCAGCTGCTTGAGCCGGCTGCTCCCATGCACAGCTGCGTGGCCAGCTCTCCCTTCAGGGTCAGCAGCTTAACCCTCTCTCTGGGCATGAGTGTGCCTGTATAGTGTCAGCAGGGCAATTATATCTTACAGACAATAGTGGCTTAGAACCAAGTGATGAGCCTTCTCACGTTATGGCTACATGGCTGTGATAACAAGTGGAGTTATACACCGGGGCTCTAAACTCAGAGTCACACAGGATGTTTACCTTGGCCTATACCCACTTGGCCACAGCACAGCCATGTTCCTTACAACTGGGCTTATGTGGGACCAGAAAACATGGACAGGATCTCTTCCTTTGAGTAAGGTGGAGTCAGCTCAGCTGCTCACTGTCACCTGACCCATATGGTCAGGTTAAAGCACTGGGCTCCATCCCCTCCTGCCTATCCCCAATATCCAGTGCATAGCCTGCCCTCAGTGAGGCCTTTCCAGCTTCCATTAGGACAGATGTTTGTCTCTGCTGAACCCCATCTCTTCACCCCACATTTGACATTGACTGCCCTCTAGCCTCTGTCTTGGCATCTATTTGGTACACATTTACCCCTCGACATAGCCGCACCCCAATCTTCACAGGAAAAAAACATCTTCATCACATTTGCATCTCCAACCAGTGGCTAATGTAGTACTTATATATTAAGGTATTGAATGAGTGGTTAAACATCTCCTGTCCTTTCTTCCTCAAGACTGGAAGGACTTCCTGTAGAATTCAGCCTAAATATTTCTTTCTCAGGGAAGCTGCCCCTGATGAAAATAGGAGAGTTCCCTGACCCCCCACTTGCAGGATGTGCGAAAGGGGTGTGTTTCATCTGTTTGGCCACAGTGTGCACTCAAACCCCTTACAGGAGTGGGAGCATGCACACTGGCAGGTACAGGAGCCGGGATGAGTGCTCTTGGGCTCCAGCCCCATGGTAGCATCTAGGAGTGGGTGCCTACGACTCCCAAAGCCCCAGCGGGCATGCTACAGTGCTCTTTTAGTTCTGCCATCCACAGACAGCTTAAGTGTTAACCAGCTCAGTGCCCTCTTGGTACCCAGGTTCTTGTCCAACATCCAGGAAAACTGGGTCACACACAGACTTGAAAGATGGTGAATGCGGGGGTTTACTGAGTGGTGGAGATGGCTTTCAGTGGGATAGATGGGGAGCTGCAAAGGGGATGGAGCGGGAAGGTGACCTTACCCTGGAGTATGGCCATCCACCAGCAAATCTCCCTTCCAACCATCCCCAGCTGAACTCTTCTTGACGTTCAGATGCTTCTCTTTTCTCCTTCTCTGCTCTTTTGGCACTCTTCTGCTTTTCTGTTCATCTGTTCATGGAGACTGGGGTTTGGAATTTATATGCGTACAGGACAGGGGGCATGGCAGGCCAAAAGTCAACTTTTGGGTGCAAAAACAGGAATGCCTATTCCCATTTAGGGCCATGGGTTTCCAGGCTTGAGGGTGGTCTTTTGCTGGGAAAGCACCCTCTTCTACCCAGTACTTCCCTGTCTCCTGTCTGTATCATTATCAGACACTATCATACCATTCAGTAACTTTTCTTACCATTATCACAGCCATTTGTGTCATTATTTCCTCATGTTTGCCTGCATTGCCAGATGGCATATTCCCTGAGGGCAACGGTGGCCTCCCTTTTGGCTCACTCTCCATCTTTCCTGCCTAGAGAACTGTTACTCAGTAGCCATTCTAATGAATTTGACTTAAGAAAAATCTTGCTCACCTTACCATAGAGCTGTTTCTCTTCCAGCTATCTCTGTGTTTTTGAAGTGGTGAAGTATGCTGGAAGTCATGGGGTGATCATTCTCCCCTAAGGTAAAAGCAGACGCTCCTGCTTTGAGAAGCAACTAGTAAGAATCTAGGTCCTTGTCCATATTCCTCATCAACAAGGTCCTGAGCCACAGTCTGGGGACCCCACCTCGCTTTCATGCCTCAGATCCAGTTAGAAAAATCCTTCTTGCTTTCCAATGTTCCTTCTTCACGAGAGAGAGATCCATACAAACCTGAGAATAAATTAAAATTCCCTCAAATATCCAAATAAAAGCCCTTTATGGGCCATTTTCATTTGGGTCCTTTTTTCAATACTATTTTTTTTTAAATTAGTGAGACAGGGTCTTACTCTGTCACCCAGGCTGGAGTGCAGTGGCATGATCATGGCTCACTGAAGCGTTGACCTCCTGGGCTCAGGTGATCCTTCCACTTCAGCCTCCAGAAAGCTGAGACTACAGATGTCACTATGCCTGGCTAATTTTTTTTAATTTTTTGCAGAGATGGGATCTCATTATGTTGCCCAGACTGGTCTCAAACCCCTGGCCTCAGGCCATCCTCCCACCTCAGCCTTAAGTACAATTTCCTACCACTAAGGCATACAGCAATAGGGGATTTTAACATGTTTGGTTGAAAATAGCAAAGAACTCAATTTAATGTGTTGGACACTCAAGAGTTGACATCGAATACAGTAATTCTAAGTGAAAATGAGATTGATGACTTTTGTAAACTAGCCTATAGGACTGTGAAGAATCTGGTACCTAATGCTGATGAAAGATATGATATTTTAGCTATTTAAATCAGAAATGGGCCTCACATAAGTATCTTCTACTATCTGTCTAATACAGATCTGTGTAATCTAAACTGCATAATACAATAGCTACTAGCTACCTGTGGCTATTTAAATTCAAATCCAATTTTTAAAATTAAGTTTCTCAGTATCACTAGTCACAATTAAAGTGCTACCATACTGGACATTGCTACATAACATTTCTATTAATACAGAAAGTTCTATGGAACAGCTCTACTCTAGGTGCCTTGAACATACACCAAGTTGAAAAATTGTCTCAGCAGGAGGACTTGTGCTTACACAATAACCATTCCATAAATAAGCACTCTTTGTACTAAGTGCCAGATTCTGTTGCACCTGCTTCACATCAAGCATCTCAGTAAATCCTCACAACTTGGAAGGCTGGTAGTACATTACGACTCCCCTATGTTAGTCTGCTAGGGCTGTGAACAAAGTACCACAGACTGGGTGGTTTAAAAAACATAAATTTGTTTCCTTGCAGTTCTGGGGATTGGGGAAGTTCTAGGGAAGTTCAAGATCAATGTTTCTGCAGAGTTTATTTCTTCTAAAGACTCTTTCCTCAGCTTGTTGGTGGCTGTCTTCTCCCTATGTCCTCACGTGGTCCTTTTTCTGTGATTGTCTCTGATCTCACTTTCTTTCTTTATTTTGAGATGGAGTCTCACTGTCACCCAGGCTGGAGTGCAGTGGCTCAATCTCGGCTCACTGCAAGCTCCACCTCCCGGGTTCACGCCATTCT
Source organism: Homo sapiens (assembly GCF_000001405.40). NCBI lineage: Eukaryota > Metazoa > Chordata > Mammalia > Primates > Hominidae > Homo > Homo sapiens. The sequence goes on from NC_000002.12 coordinate 133,865,747, forward strand.
CCTGCCTCAGCCTCCCGAGTAGCTGGGACTACAGGCACCTGCCACCTCACCCGGCTAATTTTTTGTATTTTTAGTAGAAATGGGGTTTCACCGTGTTAGCCAGGATGGTCTCCATCTCCCGACCTCGTGATCCGCCTGCCGCAGCCTCCCAAAGTGCTGGGATTACAGGCGGATCTCACTTCTTCTTATAAGGACATTAGTCATAATGGATTCGGGTCCTACAAAGTAACCCAACTTACCTACCTCTTTAAAGACCCCCATCTCCAAATGCAGTCATATTTTTCTGAGCTACTGGGGGTTGGGACTTCAACATGAATTTTGAGGAGACAGTTTATCCCATAACACTCTCATTTTTGTAGATGAGGAAACAGACACAGAGAAATTAAACTTAGCAGTGCAACCCAAAAGATCCGAGTTTCCTGCATGCAACATTATAGTCTAATGATTCCTATCTATCATCTTGTGACCAAGAGCACCCATTTGAGAACTGGCTTGTAGAGAAGTAGATCTGAAGAAACTGACTTGCTCACTTAGGATCAAATCTGATCCATATCCCAGAGCATCAACTATACTCTAACCAGCTGAGTTAGCCACATACGGCTGGAGCTGGCAGTTCCCTGCCCTCCCTGACTTGATGCACCTGTGGCAGTGCATGCCTATACCATCCTAGAGTAAGCACATGAGACTTCCCACCAACATTCGTTGTCTGTCAGTTACCTCATAGGTTTAAACTGGCCATATCAGCAACTTTTGGTCAACATTTAGCATCTAAGTATAAACAAGGTAAGCATATACTGGATAGGATGGTACATTTAGTCACTCCATTTCTGAGAGTCTCCGGACCCATTTATTCTACCTACCACTGCTTTGTCCCTTGATGGGACCAATACTGCCAATGGGATTAGAGGTGGGTGAGCGTCAGGGCTACCTGACCATCACACCAGATTGCTTTGTTTCCTTAAAACCAGCAGTCGTCCAGTGCCGATAGAAAACAGAGCAATAAAACAAGTCAAATGACTGACTCCACTTACCCACATCCTTTTTCTCCCTCTTTGTCCACTTGACCCTTTTGGCATAAATGTCTCATGATGAGATGGGTTATAACTCCAAACCCACAGAGATGGTAATGTGAGTTATAAATTCCTCCCAGAACTGTGCCTGAGAGGGCGGCTTCCTGAAATGGGAATGAACAGCCATCTCACTGTTGTATATGCTCGGATTAAAACAATGCAGGAATGCCATTGTCATCTAGTGGGATTTTTTTGCCTTGACATATGCTAATTACCGAACCAATATGATGAGCAAAATAAAGCACCAAATTTATTATAAAAATAAAAGTAACATCCAGCCAATTCTGTTAACCATAGAAACTGGAGCAGGAAGAACATAGGCAATTGCAATTTACAGATAATTCCAAAGATTTTCACTAGCAAGTGACAGCAAATGAGCTCATTTTCAGAGGCTTTAAGGCCAATTCTAATGTAATAAACAGATAGGAATTGTGTGAATGCTACACACACACACACACACACACACACACACACTCCCAGCCTGACTTAGGAGGAACCAATGGAAAGCAGCCCAGATATCCATTCAGGCTTGATACGCTGCCACCAAGCCCTTACACTTCATGTTCATAAACTCACTGCTCATTCAAGACCTTTGGGCTTAATGCAAATTAATCAAACTGCCATGCAGCTCATTTGACTATTATCGAGGTTTTAAAATAATTGAGAGTGAAGGCAACTGATTAAACCCTTTCCAAGCTACTGTGGCAGTTTATGAATTATATAAGTTCCATATTAATGTGACTCCTCTGTGACTGCAGATTAGCTAGGGGATATTCATTAAGATGGAATAAAAAGGCAAGAGTAGCTGTAACAGCCTTTTGTTTCTTATTCCCTGACAGCTTTCCAGGGACCTCAATATGAAAGCATAAAAATAATATACTTTAATTTCTATAGCATTTTACAAATAGGATAATATATGTTTTTTATCCCATTTGATCTCCCCACTAATCCGGTGAGCTTGGCAAGGCTGGTGTTGCTCTCTTTGTCTTACGGGAAAAGAAACTAAAGGCTCAAGTAAGTTAAGTGCCTCACAGATAATAAGGGAGAGGATGTAGTCAAATACCCAGGCCTGCTGACTCCCAATCCAGTGTCTTTCCCACACGCCATGGTTTCTCTCCTTAAGAACCATGTTTCTCCCAAAACAGTTCCTTCATTCTTCCATCTTAGATGTCTAAAATTTCCAAAGAAAAAGCTTCATTACTTTGGCTTAAAGCAAAAGTTCCTGTATTAAAACAGAAGTATTTTCCCCAAGAGATAGAAGAAAAATATTTTCGCTGTACTCTCTTCTTACAACTCCATTAAAACCCATTAAAATGTTTTGCCCATTATACTGGTTTGGTACTTAGCATATTTCAATGCAAAACGTACATACAAAAAAGATCAAGAAAAAGACACCATTTTCAAAGAAGTAAAGAAACAAGCACAAGCCCAAAACATAAACTATGAAGCACACCTACCCAAAACTGTCAGATCTGAGGCTAGTTGAGGGAAGATGGTGAGAGCTAGACTTCATAGAATATGCAGATTTTCCCAAAAGCCAGAATCACTAGGGAAGAAATGACATCAACTTCCCATAAACGCTTCCAGAGATTTTTCAAAATAATGAGTACTTCGTAACTCATTTTATAAGGTCAGCATAATGTTGATATCAAAACCTGATAAGGGACATTACATGAAAATTATTTACTAAACTTACTCATGAATCCTAAACATAATGCTAGAATTCAAAAACCCACAACAAAATATGATCAAAAAGAATTTAACAATATATGAGAAACACAATACATTATGACTAGTTAATTCCAGAAATGCAAGGGTAGTTTAACATTTGAAACTAAAATGATTTATTGTAGTTACATAAAAAGAAAAAAATATTTTTTAAACAGGTGCAGAAAAAAGTTGTTAAAATTTAACACTTATTCATAACAAAATCTCAGCAAACTAGGAAGAAAGGTGAACTTCATAATATGATACACGCTATCTACAATAAGCCAATAATGCCTATCATGTTTAATGATCAAATGCTGAAACCTTTCCCTGTGAAACTGAGAATGAAACAAGATTGGAACTTATTAACTACTGTGCTAGACTAATATAATAAGCCCATTAGGTTTACATTGTACTGGATTAATCTAGTAAGTCCAGCCTAATAAGGCAAGAAAAAAGATTAGAAAGAAGAAAAACTACCATTATTTGCAGGAGACATAATTGTGTATATAGACATTCAAAATAAACTATAGATAAATTATTAGATTAATACATGGGCTTAGCAATTATGCTGGAAAAGTGGTCAACGTACGAAAAAATTATATTTCTACATGCTAGGAACAAATAATTAGAAAATTTTAATGTTTTAAATTATAAATGTTTTAAATTATAAAATTTAAATTTTAAATGTTTTAATTATACTATTTATAATGACATTGAAAAATCAAATGCCTAGGAAATAAATCTGACAGAATTACATGCATGATCTCTACAGAGAAAACTCTAAAACATTATTGAGAGAAACTAAATAAAACTGAAATAAGTTGAAATACTATGTTCCTGAATTAGAAGTTTCAATATTATAAATGTGTCAAATTCTCCCCAAAGTGATCTATAGATTCAATTCCAATCAAAATCTCAACAAGACTTATGCGTGTGTGTGTGTGTGTGTGTGTGTGTAATCTGACAAACTGTTTCTAAAACTGATACAGCAGTGTAAAGTACCAAGAATACCCACAACAAATTCAGACAAGAGCAAAAAAGAAATATTTACTTTTGAAGACGTCAAGACTTATAATAAAGCGACAGAATTACATCAGCATGGTACTCAGGCATGTTTATAGCAGCACAAATTCCAACTGGAAAAATACGGACCCCGCCCAATGCCCATCAATCAAGTGTATAAATATATATAGGTGTGTGTGTATATATACACACACACACACACACCATGGAATACTACTCAGCCATTAAAAGGAACAAAATAATGGCATTCACATCAACCTAGATGGAATTAGAGACCATTATGCTAAGTGAAGTAACTCAGGAATGGAAAACCAGACATCATATGTTACCTGTAAGTGTGAGCTAAGCTGTGAGGGCGCAAAGGCATAAGAATGATATGATGGACTTTGGGGACTCAAGGGAAAGGGTGGGAGCAGGGTGAGGGATAAAAGACTACATATTGGGTGCAGTGTTTACTGCTCAAGTGATAGGTGCACCAAAATCTCAGAAATCACCACTAAAGAACTTATCCATGTAACCAAATACCACCTGTTCCCGAAAACCTATTGGAAAAAAAAAAAAAGAATGTGCAAAGAAAAAAAACTATTTGGAGGAAGCACAACTGGCATGATAAAAAGTTAAAAATAAACTAAAAAACATCAGTGTGGTACTGGTGCAAGAAAATACAGTTAAAAAGAATGGAATAGAAATTTCAGAAACAGACCCATGCAGTATGGACACTTGATTCATGACACATGTGGCACTGAAAGCATGGGAAAAGATAGTCTTGTCAATAGGTATTGCTGATCAATTAGACAGCCATATTTAAAGACATAAAAATCTGATTCCTACCTCACACCATATGAAATACTTAATTCCACACAGATTGCATATCTACATATGAAATATAAATGATTAATCTTCTAAAAGATAATAAGGAGTAGAATATTTTTATGCCCTTGGCATAGATTTCTGAAAAGGACACAAAATCTACTAACATAAAGGAAAAGGTGATAAATTAGGCTAATTTAAAAATAAAAACTTGCATTCATCAAAAGATACTATTAGGAGTATGAAAAGACAGCCAAAGAATGGGAGATTTTTATAATATAAATAACTAGAAGGGACACATATCTAGACAATATGAAAACTCCTACCAATAAATAAGAAAAAGACAGACAAGCTTATACAGAAATAGGAAAGACATTTGAATAGGCACTTCACATAAATGAGTATCCAAATGACCAATCAACATGAAAATGTGGCCAGATTCATTAAAGAAAATGCATATTACAACTACAATAAGCTACCACTGGTATAACTTTTTTTTTTTTTTGAGACAGAGTCTCCGTTTGTCACCCAGGCTGGAGTGAAACAGCATGATCTCAGCTCAGCTCACTGCAACCTCCGCCGCTCAGGTTCAAGAGATTCTTCTGCCTCAGCCTCCTAAGTAGCTGGAATTACAGGCGCACACTGCCACACCCGGCTAATTTTTGTATTTTTAGTAGAGATGGAGTTTCACCATATTGGCCAGGCTGGTCTCGAACTCCTGACCTCGTGATCCACACTCCCTTGGCCTCCCAAAGTGCTGGGATTGCAGGCATGAGCCACCACGCCTAGCCTGGTATAATTTTTAACATGGTAGAATTAAAAAGCCAAACATAACCTACACAGAAGTGTAAACAAGAATGTAAAGCAATAGATGCAGGAGAAGCATTTGGCAAAATTAAACTCCCATTTATGATTTTAAAAAAATTTCCACAAACTAGGAATAGAAGGGAACTTTCTCAATCTCATAAAGGGCATCTATGAAAAATCCAACATCATATTTAATACTTAAAGACTAAGATCATTCCTATGAGATACAGAACAAGACAAGGATGTGTACTCTCACCACTTATATTTGACATTGTACTATAGGTTCTAACCAAGGTAGTTAGGCAGACACATGTTTTCAATTATTTTGGGTATATTCTTAGGAGTGGAATTGCTGGATCATATGACAATGCTACAGGTAACCTTTTGAAGAAAACTGCCAAATTGCTTTCCAAAAAGGCTGAACCATTTTACATTTCTACCACAATATATGGGGGTTCTGATTTCTCCACGTTTTTGTCAACTTATAATAGTCTGTTCTTATTATTACAATAGTCTATTATTCTAGCCATCTTAGTGTGTGTAAAGTGGTAACTCATTATAATTTGATTTGCATTTCCCTAGTGACTAATGTTTATAACTTTTCATGTGTTTATTGGACATCTGCATATCTTGTTTAGAGGAATATCTATTCAAATCCTTTGCCTTTTTTTGCGGGAGACCAGAGTTTTATTATTACTCAAATCAACCTCCCTAAGCATTCAGGGATCAGAGTTTTTAAGGATAATTTGATGGGTAGGGGAAGGCCAGTGAGTCAAAAGTGCTGATTGGTTGGGTTAAAGATGAAATCACGGGGAACTGAAGCTGTCATCTTGCACTGAGTCAGTTCCTGGATGAGGGCCACAAAATCTGACGAGCCAGTTTAATTGATCTGGGTGGTGCCAGCTGATCCATCAAGTGTAAATAAGGTCTGTAAAATATCTCAAGCACTGATCTGAGAAGCAGTTTTGGGAGGGTCAGAATCTCATAGTCTTATGGCTAATTTGTTAGTCCTACTAAGGCAGTCTAGTCCACAGGCAAGAAGGAGGTTTGTTTTGGAAGGACTATTATTGTCTTTTTTTGAGATGGAGCCTCGCTCTCTCACCCAGGCAGGAGCACGGTGTCACAATCTCAGCTCACTGCAGCTTCTGCCTTCTGGGTTCAAGCAATTCTCCTGCCTCAGCCCCCCGAGTAGCTGGATTACAGTCACCCACCGCAACGCTCGGCTAATTTTTGAATTTTTAGTAGAGACAGGGTTTCACTGTATCGGCCAGGCTGGTCTCAAACTCCTAACCTCAAATGATCGACACGCCTCTGTCTCCCAAAGTGCTGGGATTATAGGTGTGAGCCACCATGCCAAGCCCCTTGTCTTTGTTTTAAACTATAATAAACTTAGAAACTAAGTTCCTCCCTAAATTAGTTCAGCCTATGCCCAGGAATGAACAAGGACAGTTTGGTGGTTAGAAGTAAGATGGAGTTGTTTAGGTCAGATCTCTTTCAGTGTCTCAGTTATAATTTTGCAATGGCGGTTTCAATCCCTCCTTTTGGGTTTTATAGCACCTTGATCTTAAGGTGTTGGCTAATGAAGATAGAAAAGGAGTGAAGACCACTAACTTCCTCCTGCTGATCAGGGGCATAGTAGCAGTAGGTGTTGACCCCAAGGTGAGAGGAGTGGAACCACTTTGCAACCGTCTGAGTGTACTCACGCAGGCCTGGCTGAGGTTCCAAGTCTTGCATGGCAAAGGAATTAGTATTGTCATGTATAGTTTTAGTACTGCATTTAAGGGAACAGTGTATTATAAGGAAAATAATAAGTACTAGGGTAAGGAGTGAAATTCCCAGTTTTAAAAGTAAAGATTTGAAAGCATTAGTTTGGGGACTTGTAGCCCACAAAGAATTTAGAATTTAGTCCAAATTCCAAAAAATAAAAATAAAAAACCTCAAGAACAGCTAACAACAGTTATACTATAGCTATTCTTTTGAAGCATTATTTTTCTCTCTCCAGGCCCCATTTTTATTAAAAACAAATCATGATAGAACTGATTTGTTTACAAAATAAACTTTAGTCTTATTGTACTTGGCCTGCTTATTTACATAAAGCACAGCAAGAATAATTATTCTTCACATAGGCTTTTTAAATTGGCTTTGATGAAACTCTGTTCCATAATCAATCTCAGCCAAGACTTTTTTAAAGCCAAGCCCAGCCATGGGTTTGTACCCTCAAATACTATCAGTTGGGTAAATTCCTCTCCTCTTGAGGTCACAAGACAACTTGGGGCTCCTGGGCCTATTAGAAAGCGACGTTCCTTACTTACCACAGGTCAGGAACCTTCTACAGGGACTGTGTAGACAAGGTATGGGGCAAGATTTCCCAAGGGACTTCTATTGGCTCTACAAGTCAACCTTGATTCTTTAAGGAAAGCATGCCATTCCAGTCAAAGCCTTAGTAAGATAACCAGTTTCTCCAATTGTGTCTTGTTACAGAAGAAAACAAATTCTTATTGCACTTATGCAAATAAGTATACTGCCATAAGTTGAGAATATTCACAAATAGTTTCCAAATTCTGGAGAATTCTGGAGAAATCAGGTAGAGAGAAACAAATATGCTCCAAATTTTTTTCACAGGAGTATATTTTACTCAGTTGTTAAAAGCTATAAATAGCTCAAAAGAAAAGTTTTCCTGGCTCTGGAAAACAAAAAGGTTCAGCGAGGTTTTAACCATAGAAGTCAAAAAAATATTACTTTGGTTTTCTATTAGTTCAGTCCACTCAGTTAACTCCTGTTCTGCTTGATATTCATGAACACTTCAGGTTTCCATAAGAGTCCCAAAAGTTTTTTCTCTATTCTAATGTCATATTATCCAAAGTTATTAGAAATCTGCATTCAAGAGCACCTGTCAAAGTCCTACAGCTGATTACAAACCACCTTTTGAAGAGAATCAAAAGAAGACAACAATTGTCTGTGTATGACAAAAAGTCTTAGGGCAACCACCATTAAAGCCACAATTGACTAGGAATTTTGGTTACTTCTGTGGCATACAACTTTACAAAACAATTATAACTATTAACAATATACACTAAGTCACGTGAGAATTATAGGCATTTCCCGTAATTTTGGAACACATGCCAATAACATATTTATACAAATATAGCCCAAAGAAAGCTACACTATTTCATATTTGACAATGCTTCCTGTATGATTTTTATGCCAAATAAGCCAAATGTGTCATTTTTGGACTTTAGGGGATATAATATCTAAAAGATTAACTAGGTCAGAAAAAGACATACTTTGTAATTTGATTTTGGAACATTTGTTAAATATCAAAAGCTGTAAAACACTGGATACCACAAAATAGAATCCCAGGTAACCATTAGTCATTCATTTGGCCAAAATGATAACTCCAAAATTTTAAACAATGAAAACCTTTATTCTGATAGAGGACTTAACTTTCCAAACAACAAGACTCGATGAAGATAGCATGAGGCCAAATCAATCTGTCTCTTCTCTCTCCCCTCCATTTTGTGTGTGTGTGTGTGTGTGTGTGTGTGTGTGTGTGTGTGTGTGTGTGTGCATGTGTTTTACTCAAAAGGCAAACAAAAATCTTTCATTGTCTCTCAATATTACACAAAAATTTTTCAGAAGAGGAAACAAAAGTTCATGCTTGCACTAGTGCGTCTTTAATGCTAAAACTAGTTTTTAAATAAAATTTTATAAATCTATCCAGTTTTAAATTAGTTTGATCATAAGGTAAGATTTTCATAAACTTTTTAGAATGCTTTACAATTTTCCATTAAACAACAGATTAATTTTCTAAGCAAACCCTGTTATTCGGGCACTTGGGCCCAGATTCTGGACCTGCATCAGTGTGCTTTCATTTGAATGTTCGACCTACAGGAAAAAAAAAAAACTAAATAAATCTCCTTCAAATCTTAGCCAACTTGCTCATATCCACAGAACTTTCTGTACAAGGTCAACCCCTCATGAACCCTTTATTTTAACTTAAAACGGTCCTTTAACCCTCTAAACTAGGCACAAAAACACATTGTCTTCTTATAATCTTTTGCCAAAACACATTCTACTTTGCTTACACACCTTGTATGTAAAACTGTTTCTCCAGTCGTCTCAATTATATATTACAATGTTAACTCTTAGCAACTTTTATTTTTGGAGAAAAACCTGGTAAGTATGCGATTTTTAATTAAGTACTAGATATGAAGCCTAGGACATCAGAAGTGCAGATAAGGTCTTACTCTTCCTAGCATAGCTAGGGGGCATGGCTAACTCCATATATTCCCAGACCTTATCTAGAATCTCATGCTCCAAAGTAGGTAAACTGAATGGCTTTCAAAAGTCAAAGTAGTTTATGACCTTAAACCATTTAGCAAATCTGATATCTGACCTAAATTTAGGCCCAATATCTAAATTTTGAAGATAGTTTTATTTACCAATGATCATTAAAACTGTCTTTATTTCTGAAAGATTACTAAAGTCATATGAACAAAAGGCATTAGTGTTTCTATTTTTCTGACAAAATATGATTTAAGTGCTTATTTTCCTAAGCCAATTAATCAGAGCACTTTTATATATAAACATCATGTACACAACACATATAAATACACAGACAGAAGATCCAGTAGTTGTAAGATTTTTCATTTGCCAGTTTCTTAATTGGATGACTGGTTTCAGAGTGGAGCCCTTGGAGGAACAGGGCCAGGAAAGCATGCAGTTTCTAGGACCTAATGAGGCAAAACTGGAAGGCTAACACAGATCCCCAAAATTAAGGGTACCATTTTATACTGGATCCTGGATCCCCAATAAGGAGGGAAATACTACTGGAGAAGATAGTGCTGCGCTTCCACTGTGCATTTCATTGCAAGGCAACCCGAAGTCAATCAGCCCATTTTGTAATCAGCCCCATCCCCCATGCAAGTCTCATCTCTCAATGGGGATTGGGGATGTTTCCACACCTTCCAGATGGCCTAGAGCATGCTTCTCTGAACCAAGTGTGCAAAGAGCCGAGTATCCCTCCGTAACTGCCATTAGCCATCCCTTAAAGTATATTTCTTATCTAGTTATTACACACCAAGACTAAAAGCTCTCCCATAATGCAAAGCAATTTTGATACCCCCAAAAGTCAAAACCATCACAATGCAAAATAGAACAGAGTCTTAGATTTTGAGAGAGATCTATTTTCTTTCCATTCCTGGGGTTCCATGAGGAAAACAGAGGTTTTCCCAGAATGGGGTCTGTGGTGCCTCCTCTGTTTTTCCCCAGGCGTCTCAGGCTGTTAGTAATTATCTTAGGTTCTCTCACGTGGGCATCAACAGTGGCAAGAAGACAAAAACGGAGAAAAACAGTTCAGTCGACCAAGAAGAAACACTTTTCAGAAAAACATGATTCCAGAAGAAGAAAAAGATAGCCCTTTTAAATACATATAGTTTGGATATCTGTTTTTAATTAAGCTGATTTTAACCATAGAGTTCCTTTGTTTAAAAAAGAAATCTTTTTAAATTTTTTATTACCAAACTCTAGCCAGGACAGCCAATATTTCTGGCTTTTGAGTTCTATGACAGGTAACATCCCACACGAATATAGTAAGTTTTAACTAAGGTTATAACTTAACCATGGACACATAAGGTGTCTCAAAGAGATGGTAAGCAGTGTTTTTTTTTTTTGTTTCTGTTTTTTGTTTTTAACAAGATTTAGAATCTCCCCAAGGGTAGTTCAGAGCAAGGAAAATTCAAGATAGGAAATCAGAAGTTCTCCATGGCTGGACAGGGGGATGGGTAGAACTCTCAATAAATGGCAGTAACACAAATAACAAACCAGAAAGGAATCATTCAGAAGCCAAACATTGAACCTAGCCTGCCATTGTCAAAAGGCAAAGCCTTAGCTACTGAGCTACACAGCATTAAGCAGCTCCTATTGCTTTCCCCACAAGTCTAAAGCAGCCAATTTCAACCTTGCAAAGGCTTTCAACTGCTCAAAATAATTTTTAGGACTATGACATGAACCCCAAAATTCCCGTCCTCTGGATGGCAGAAACCAAGAGAAAGTATCCCCACACAGTCACAAGGTTATGCTCTTAAGGACACAAAACAAGACAGAGAAATTTCATCTAGTATTGATTTCAGGGACCTGTAGCAACATTTGTAAATGACCAGCCTTCCTGGCTGGCTTAAAAAGCAGGTTTATATGGGTCTTAAACCCATGTTTTATTCTGTGATATCCTTCTCTCCATTACATAACAACAAAGAAAGACAAATTATTAGCACAAAGTACACCAGATTTGCTACAGCCTAAGACTAGTCTCACAAATCCTTTTTTCTATTAATCAAACCCTTGAAGAAGAGACAAATAGTGACATTTACCATTTACACACACACATACTGACCAGAAATTTGGCTGGTAATCTTACCCTTTTTGCTGGCATACTGGGTTTCTGGGTTCCCTTTCTCTATACCTTCCAGAAGAAGAAAGTGGCTTTTGATGACTCTGCTCATTTCTGTGGGGGTCAAGCCACTGTATAAAATAAAATCACCCTTTTATGTTTTATAGAACCATAGGCAAGAGATTCTCAAGTTTGCAAGATGTTGCCCAACAGGTTGCATAGGGAACTGAATTAAGATTTTCCCATCTGAGCAAAATACACATAAAACAGATACTAGTCACCTTGTTCAGTACCCAGTATCAACCTGGCAAAGCTCAAACTTTCTCCTTGTTGGTCTCTATTGTTTTTCATCCACTCCAGGTGGGGAGGGTCACCTATGAATAGCAATTCACAATGGGTGGTCTCTGGGCAAGGCAAAGAGTGGATAGTCACCCTGAGACAGGCTTCTCGAGCTTTCTTCAGGGCTCACTGAATGTGATCAGACAAATAAGGAGGGTTCTCTGAGTTAGGCCTGCTGGACTTCTGTCAGCAATTCCTTCTGAGATCTCCTCCACATCCACAAACACATAAAAGATGAGACAGACAGAAGGCCTTCCAAATCAGATCCCTAACCAAGAACTCCAAGGTTATCCTTTCCAAACCATCTTCCTATTCTCCATCTGAGAAATCTCTCCAAAATCTTCCTGATTGAGAAGTCTCCCAAACCAAGACTCTTCCTACTAGTTAGGAAGAGGCAACCAAGACTCCCTAGGAGCCAAACTGAGACAGATACCCCATGGTGGAGCTACAGAAAGACACCCCACCATGGAGATACAGAACCAGGCAGGAGAAGAAAGGAGGTATTCACAGTGCCTAGGATACTCACCAACCCAGACACCCCACAATGGGGCTACAGACAGACACATGTGACAGGGCTACAGTTATGGGACATCTCCCAGGACTATTTCTCTATTGCAATTAAATCCACACACATTGGGTCAACAGCGCCCCACAAGTAAAGAGACTACCAGAGTCGGCACCCAGTACAAGAGAACTAGGCAACTGCTTGGGCTGGCCTCTGGATCCATCGCCGGAAGGGGGCTACTGAACCAAGGGCAGCTAGCCACAAGGCCAACACCAAATAAGCCCACAAATTTGTAAACTCCCAATGGGTTCACCTTGCCCGCTGCCTAGACAGAGCCAATTTATCAAGACGGAGTAATTGCAATAAAGTGTAATTCATGCAGAGCCAGCTGTGTGGGAGACCAGAGTTATCATTACTCAAATCACTCTCCCCTTTGTCCAATTTTTGTTGTTGAGTTGTAGGTGTGCTTCTTGTAGTCTGAATATAAGTCCCTTGTCCAGATATATAATATGCAAATATGTCTCCCATTCTGTGGGTTGGTTTTCACTTTCTTGAAACGAGTTCTTTGAAACACAAAAGTTTCTAATTTTGATGGAGTCTCATCTTTTTCTTTTGTTGCTTGTGCTTTTGTGTCATTTCTAAGAAGGTATTGCTTGATACAAGCTCACAAAAGTTTATTCCTGTGTGTTTTCTTATAAGAGTTTTATGGTTTTGACTCTTACTTTTAGCCTATGATCTATTCTGAATTAATTTTTTATTTGGTGTAAGGTAATTTTTGTCCCTTATTCTAATAATACATTGATTAATTTTTGTATTCTAAACATACCTTGCATTCCTGGGATAAATCCCAGTTGGTCCCAACGTATAAATTTCTTTTCATATTGCTGGAATGATTTGCTAGCATTTTATAGGGGATTTTTGGTCTATATAAGAGATGGTTTTTTTGGGTATGTTATCTTCATCTTGTTTTATAATGAGTTGAGAAGTATTCCCTTTTCTTCTATTTTTTTTTAAGACTTTGTGAAAGATAAGTGTTAGTTTTCCTTTAAATGGTTGGTAGAATTCACTAGTGAAACCATCTGGTCCTGAGCTTTTCTTTGGGGGAACATTTTTGATTACTAATTCAATCTCATTATTTGTTATAGATGTTCCATTGTTTCTTGAGTCAAGTTTTGGTAGTTTTGTTCTTTCAATGAATTTTTCTATTTTATCACAGTTTTCTAAAAATTTGTAGAAACTTTTAAGTTGCAATTTGTAAAATTTTAATTTTCAGAATTTTAATTTGCAAAATACTAATTTGCAATCATAGCTTTATAATCCTTTTTATTTCCATAAAGTCAGTAGTAATGCCCTCTTTCATTCCCAATTTTAGTAATTTGAGTCATCTTTTTTCTTCTTATTTTGTCTAGCCAAAGGTCTATTTTGTTCATCTTTTCAAAGAACCACTAGCATAAACAAGAAGGAAGATTTACTGACTCACATTGCAAGAATATCCAATGCGGAGAAGCTCTGGGTGAGTTAACTCAGCAGCTGAGATGTCAAGGAGAATCCAGGTTACTTCTGTGTGTCTGCCCTGTGATTATCTTGTTGGCTTAGTCCTTGCTTACCTCCTCCCCAAAGCTGCCACAACTGCAGGAATCTATGTGGATGTGATAGTGTCCAGTAGAATTAGAGTAAAAAAAATTAAGTCTCTCCTGCAGACCCTCCCTCACATTTTATTGCCAGAACTGAATTACATGATCACTCTTAATCCAATCTCTATGTGGATGAGACTATCATAATGGTCACAAATTCATTAGTACACTTACAGGAGGGAGACACCAGAACAAAATTATAACAAGGACGTCAATAGACACAGCCTGAAGTTGAAACAGTTAAACAAACGTAATGACTCTCATTCCTGGCAGTTTTTCATAATCTGCTTTATGAATTGAAAAAGGCTTTTCAAGACACCAATATTTCAATATCTCATGCTGGAAGAAACATTCAGCTAAAGTTCAGCAATTGAGATTCTTTTTCTTCATTCATATCAATAATGATATTTTTAGTTTAATAACATGCAAACTATAAGCTCAAATTTTTAAAAAGAAATTCAAATGGTAGAAACTTTTACTAAAACAAATAACATGAGAAGCAATTATCTTATATAAATATAAACTGCCTATATATATCATTACCTTTGGCCATCAATACTTTTGTCTAAATTAACCAAGTTAGTGTATCTATCACATTGGAAAACAAAAGAGCACAGTTTGGGAAGAAAGAAGAGTTCAGAAAGTTTATAGAGCTGAAAGGGACGCAGTGGTTGGGAGGAGGTACAGGGGATCCCTAGCAGCTCTTGGGTGGCAGGGCAATTCTTGGAGCCATGTGGGAGGGCCACGTGACAGCTGGGCAGATGATTTTCTGTATCCTTCCCTACTAAATGCACAGAAAGGCTCTTATAAAACACTCAAGGTCTGAACCAGAGTGTCTATTTAATATTGACGATATGGCCTTGGGCCCAAACTTGATGATAAAAAGATGAATACGACTCAGTCCCTGACCTCAAGCATTCAGTCTAATGGGAACGATGAACTCATAAAAAGCAATTTCGAGTGCAAGAACAGAGGTGTAATGGTATGAGATACAGCGATTGCCCAAAGCGGGGAGTGATTAATTCAGTGTGGAAAGTCAGAGACAACTCTAGAGAAAAAAAGTAAAAATCAAAGGACGTCTTCAAATTCACCAAGTATATGGCAGAGCAAAGGACTTTTCAGAAACTGAGAAGTTTGAAGTAGTGTGGCCCGCTTGGGGACCCATAAGATGACTGATGGTAACAGTGTGGCAGTGGGGAAAATAAAGCTGGAGGGGAAGCCAGGAACTAGACTTCAGAGGACCTTGCTTGACTCACAAGGGAGAATGAAGCTTATCCTATGGATGATGAGAGCCACTAAAATTTAATTAAAGAAATGTCCCAATTTGTGTTTTTAGAAATTGACCTTGAGGGTTTCATGTAGAACACATTGTCAAGATGGAAGGCCACAGGCTTATCAGGGGTATAATGCAGGTAACAGAGACCGGAGCCTGAACCAGGGAAGTAACAAGAAGAAATGAAAGTAGGACAATAGTCATTGACTGTCTTTGAGGGTTGATGGAAAGAAAGCAGTAAAATTAATATGCAGGTCTCTGGATGGAGAAGCTAGGTAGGTAGGATCCAGGATGTGAGCTCAGTCAAAGGCAGCTGAACTTGAGGTATCAGTGGGACACCTCACTGATGATGCATGTTTGGCAGCTGAGCTTAGATCTCATCCAGAAATAAGGATTTAGGAGTCTTGAGGGGGCATCTCCTGAAGCTATAGGAGAAGGTTTAATTGCCTGGGGAGAGGCGAGCAAATATGAAGGGAAAATAGAGGGGCCTTGCAATTCAGGAGTGAAGGAGTCAGTCCACAGAGGAGGCTGAGCAGGGACAGTTAGAGAGGTAGGAAGAGGGACAAGAAAAATCAGTGCATCCAAATCCAGTGGATAAAATAATCTCAGAAGGGAATAATCACCTCTGGAAAAAAAATTCAATGCAAATCAAAACCACAATGAGATACCATCTCACTCCAGTTAGAATAGCGATCATTACAAAATCAGGAAACAACAGATGCTGGAAAGGATGTGGAGAAAAAGGAATGCTTTTACACTGTTGGTGGGACTGTAAATTAGTTCAACCATTGTGGAAGACAGTGTGGCAATTCTTCAAGGATCTAGAACCATTTAATATAATACCGTTTGACCCAGCAATCACATTACTGGGTGTATACCCAAAGGATTATAAATCATTCTACTGTAAGGACACATGCACAGGTCTGTTTATTGCGGCACTGTTCACAATAGCAAAGACTTAGAACCAACCCAAATGCCCGTCAGTGATAGACTACATAAAGAAAATGTGGCACATATACACCATGGAGTACTATGCAGCCATAAAAAAGGATGAGTTCATGTCTTTTGCAGGGACATGAAGCTGGAAACCATCATTCTCAGCGAACTAACACAGGAACAGAAAACAAAACACCACATGTTCTCACTCATAAGTGGGAATTGAACAATGAGAACACATGGACACAGGGAGGGGAACATCACACACCAGGCCTGTCAGGCGGTGGGGAGCTGGTGGAGGGATAGCATTAGGAGGAATACCTGATGTAGATGATGGGTTGACGGGTGCAGCAAACCACCATGGCATGTGTATACCTATGTAACAAACCTGCACATTCTGCACATGTATCCCAGAACTTAAAGTATAACAATAAAAAAAAAGAATTAAATAGGAGGAAGGAGAAGAAGTGGAGAAGGAAGAAAAGGAGAAGGAGGAGCAGGAGGAAAAGAGGAGTAAGAAGAAAAAGAGAAAGAGGAGAGGATAGGGAAGAGAGGATGGGGAGGAAGAAGGAGAGGAAAATGTATTCATGCCACATCAGCAGAGAATGATCTGTACCTGTCTGGGAACACTGCTGCTGGTTTCTCTGTCTTTTTTCCAAAGAAGGATGGGAAGCAGTCAGATGAGGCCCATGAATCCAGGATGCTGGAGAGGTAGGCAGCAGAAGCCTGTGCCACTTCTGGTGACCCTTCCTCCCTCATCTACCTGACCTAGAACAAGAGGCACTTTCCCATTTAGCTCTGTGCACAGTCCAATCCCAAATGGAAATTTCTGGCCACTAAATATTAGCAACTTATAACCTACTAATGTTTCTGCCTCATGAGTAGTTATTTTCCTCTACTCTGAGGTTTTCGGAGGAAGAAACCTTGGACCCTCTGAGAAGCAACTTGGAAAGAAACCCAAGCAATTGCACTCACTGTGGTTTCACTCAGCCTTGGGCTGGAGACCAGAGACGGCCAGACCCCTACAGCCTGAAACCCAGCCTCTTACCCTGCTCCCGTAAAGTCTGAAGATGAACAATTCTGTTTCCAGATCTACACACAGCATATTCACCATGAGGATAAAATCGTGATCACCTCCACAGGAAACAGAAAACATGAAATTTTACCAAGAGCCAATTCAGTGCAGGGCGCTGAGCTGCAGCTATGCACCTGTTAGCTCATCGCATAGCCCCGTGAGATATATTGTTTCACGCTCATCAATGAAACTCAGATTTGCATCTTCCCTAATACTACTTGACTATTCATAAATGACAGAGACAGGGTTTGATACCCCATCTGCATGCTCCAAAGTCTGGCATTTTTCCCTCTCTGAATAAGCAGGCAGTTTCTATATTTTTTTATTTTAATGGTTCCCTGTACTTCAGATTCCAATATGCAGATAAGCTTTAGATAAGAAAGACATGTGTCCATGTAATGTTGTACACAAACTGAGTTTCTGTAGTCAGATATTTCAAGTCTATTAAATTTTATGACAAATCCTTTTTCTACATCAAAGAACCCTTTCGCAGAGCACAAAGCCAGTCCCTAATTTATCTATAGTTTCATATGGCTAGTGTCCTTAAAGTGGAGCTCGCTTCTGCCACTAAGGAAACTGAACACCCTGAAAAAACACCAAGTCCAAAGTTTCACTTTGCTCTCAGTGAGAGACAAAAGGCAAGCTGGGGAACCCCCGAGCAGCCCCGGAGGGACCCCAGTGCTCACATCTGGAGTCCGCAGGCATGTTCTTCACCCATGAGCCAGAAAGACCCTAATCCCTTCTCCTGGGCCCACTCTGTCTGGGCATAGCAGAGTTTGCTCCCATGCATTCTTGGAGCTTCTTGGGGAGGCCATAGAGCCTGGGTTGGCACAAAGTTACCCATTTTCCCCGGTTACCTGAATCTCTCCAGCAGAGACAGGTTCAGGGGGAAGCTGAGGCACATCCTTTGGATGTGGCCATGCAACTCCTCTGCCCATTCCGAACCTAACTTAAGCCTGTGGGTGGGCTTCTCCTTCCCTTACCCCACCCTGCTTCCCAGGAATCAAATAGGTGCATTCAAGGGCAATCACGGACCCCCACCCCCTCCCCATCTGCATCTCTCCTGAATTTATGAAGTTGGTACAAATTCCTACATACTGAAATGGACTAAGCCCAGGGTTACCTGAACAGAGGAGAGGCTGTCCTCCCTGAGTTGGACTTGAACTCTACAGAAGGTTCATCTTTGAGCTGGTCAGCTGTGTCATCTACCAAATATTGCCAGGTCTTCTTCTGGGCACGGGTATGATTGCACTTCTCTAGCCCCTTTAAATATAAGAATGGCCATGTAGCTTGCTTTGATCAATAAAATGTGAGCAGAAAGCAGGGCATGGTGGCATCATGCCTGTAATCCCAGCTACTCAGGAGGCTGAGGCAGGAGGATTGCTAGAACCCAGAATTTTGAGACCACTCTGAGCAACATAGCTAGACTGTCACTTCTTTAAAAACCTTTTTTTAATTAGCCAATGTGTACCTGTAATCCCAGCTACTTGAGAAGCAGAGGTGGGAGGACAGCTTGAGCCCAGCCTGGACAACATAGAAAGACCCCCATCTCATTCATAAATAAGTAAATCATGAGAAGTGATGTGTGTCATTTCTAGGTGGAGGCTTTAGGTGTCAGTATTGTGCTAGAAACAAATATTAAAATAAACCTCCTGTCAGCCTGGGTCCTGAAGACATAAGTTTGAACAGAGCTGCCAGAAAGTCCTCAGTGGACATGTAGTCAAAGCAGCAGCCATGGGGGTCCCTAGGAGGGGGACCTAGCAGAACTCCTAGAGAAGGGGAAGCTGGTCAAGGAGGATTCCCAGAAGAGGCTGTGCTGGTGCTGAGTGGGAGTGAAGGATGAGTGGGTGATGAGGACACACGGGGTGGGTGGTATAGAGTGGGAAGGAAGTGGTCTAGGAAAAGGAAGGAGAAAAGGAGGGAAGAGAGTAGAGTCCCCAGTACGGGCCACATAGCACCAAAGGCCTGGCAAACCCAACAGCTCCTTTCCTGGAAAAACTGCTACCACCTCAATTCTTACCAGAGAAAAGGAAAGAGCCTGGAGGTGGTGGGGGGAGAAACAATAGTCCAGGAGAATGAGAAAAACACAAAGTAGGTTTAAGGAAAAGACAACTAGAAAAAAAAGCCAGGAAATCTAATAAATTCAGACTAGAGGAGAAAATAAGAAATAAGGTACCCTACATACCGGCCCCCTAAAATGTCAAGCCCTCATCCCTGGAACGTGTAGAGGTGACCTTATTCGGAGAAAGGGTCTTTGCAGATGTGACGAAATTAAGGATTCGTGATGAGACCATTATCCTGTGGGCCCTACATCACTGCATAGGAGTGACGACAAAGCCATGTGACTTGAGAGGCAGAGGTTGGAACCACATGGCCACAAACCCAAGAACACCCAGTACTACCAGAAGCTGGAAGAGGCAGGAATAGATTCTCAGTAGAGACTCTGGTGGAACAGGGCCCTGCCAGCAGCTCGGTTTTGGACTTCTGGCTCCAGAACTGCGAAAGAAGACATTTCTATTGTTCTAAGCCACCCAGTTTGCATCATTTGTTACAGAAGCCCCAGGAAACTAACCCACAAGATGACAAGGAAAGATTCACCATTCTATTTGACAGTCACTCCCTAACCTTCCCTGCGTAGAATCCGACTTCCCCTCCCATCCTCCTTAGTCTCCTGCCTCGGGTGCTTTTGCCACTACTCACCCCTTTCCTTTCCTTCCTCCCAGCCAGGCCCCGCCCCAGTGCTCCAGGGCTGAGCTGGCTGGCTGGAAAGAGCTCCGGAGGTAGAGCTCCTTCTTTACCCTGTCCCCAGCCTCCTCCACACCTCTGGCTTCTGTGCCAGACAGAACTACTATTTGTTGGCCATGTTTCTCCACTTGAATGAATTCCAAGCCCTTGGAGGCAAAAGCCTATTACTACCCCCAAGTCTTTTGTTCAAAGCCAGGCTCAAAACAAAGATTCGAATGTATAAAAGGTAACTGATAAATATTGGCTAATTGATTAATAATTTTTAATTGGCTATTATTACTAATAACAACCATTGATAGAGGATTTACCAGCCACTATACTAGAAACATCAAAGAATCAGAATGATAGTAATGACCATTATAACTAATGAGCAGTTATCATGTGCCAAGTACTGTGCTAAGCACTAGAAGTGTATCATTTAATCCTCACCATCATATTATTATTATTATCTCCTTTTTATAAACGAATAAGCCAGGCTAAGAGAGATTACGGAACTTGCTTAGTGTCATCCAACTAGCAAGCCTCTGAGCAAAATTCAAGTCCAAATCAGACAGGCTTTCCAAGCTGTGCTCTAAGTAGGGTATTTTGGGGGTAAAAAAAAAAATCATACTCTTCTAGATGGTCATTTCCTTGGCCA
The DNA here is from genome assembly GCF_000001405.40 of Homo sapiens. NCBI lineage: Eukaryota > Metazoa > Chordata > Mammalia > Primates > Hominidae > Homo > Homo sapiens. Next base: position 133,886,699 of record NC_000002.12, read on the forward strand.
CTGTCTTAAAGCACCTCAGTTTCTCAAACATTCGGGGCCGTCCTTAAACAATGAGTCCAGGTTTACCAGTAAGATGTCTGAGAGTCACAATTCCAGGACCCGAAATCAACCTAATTGGCCACTGGGTGGCACCAAAAAGTGTGTTTGAGACACAGAAGCCAGCACGGCAGGGCGGTTTCCAGCTCTGTGGGATTCCTAAAGGTGAGCTGTGTGCAAAGGAGGAACCAGAACCACCCAGAAGGAATCAAGCCAAGGTTCAAAGAAACGGATTAGAGAACATGTTCCCTCGGGTGTCTGATGCTGATAGAAAAAGATAGCAGCAAATCCACATGCCTGTATGTCAGCTAGAAATCATAATCCTGAGGAATGCAGACTATTTAAATACATCTGTTTACCAGGAGCACAGAAATCCCTGCGGGTGCCCCAAGGAAGGAAAAATTACAGGCACCATTGCCAACAGCGAGGATGTCCAAACACCTTAACAAGTCCTTATTGAAACGGCAGCTCTTAAATGATTCAAATGCTTCTTAGCCAAAACGCATAGCAACAGCCATAAATAACACTATAATTAACATCACATGCAGAGCAAGGGAGACTTTGAAAATATTTCCTTTAACATCTCAAAGGAATCATAGATATGCTGCCCTGTAAATGAGGACATTGTCAAATTATTTATCTTGAGCCAGCTGCGAATTCTCCACGTTGTAAAACATCTGCAGATTGCTATGTGCTTAGTAGGAAGAAGGATAGCTGATGGGGCAGCTGCATTCGTGGAGACCTGGCTATGGTGCAAGTTGCCACGTCCTGCACCACTGTTACTCCAAGCGTGGGACCACCCAATGCTGCGCATTGCAAACTGTGTGCTGCCACTCCACAAGCAGACAAGTGCGGAATGTGAAGATGATCATTAGAAATGTGTATAGCAATTCGACATCGCCATAATATCCAGGGCCAGAATAACCTGTTCAACAGAGCTGGACCCATCAGGATGTTGCCAACTTGTTGGTGATTCGTTTATGGCAAGGGCTGTGAACTAGTCCTGCCAGGTAAGCACTTACCAGTCTGAAACAGATTAGAAATTCAGTCAAACGGGCCCTCCGCCATGGGAGTTTGAGAAACACAACCCTAGGAATGTAAGGCAGATGACTCCCACCTTGACCATCCAGTTCCACAGCCTTAGACAAGGAGTCTAGGAGCTATGGGTGTGGGCTTAGCAGACGGGAAGAAGGAGATGCAGTCTCCTCTATTAATTACCAGCTGTGTGGACTGAGGCATGTTACCTAAACTTCCAGGTCTGTACAAAAATGTAGTTTATAGTATGTGCTTCATAGAGAGGTTGTAAGAATAATAGGAAACAAGATGGGTGTGGTGAGACAGTGCTCAGATTGTTTTCATACCTCTTTCTCAATCTCTCCTTCAATCTCTCTATACATCTTGAGAGGGTTTTTAAAATAAAGCCTTCCTTACCCCCAAGGAAATAGCGTTCTCAATACCATCATGGGGTTCTTTATGCCCGAAGCATAAAGAACATCAAGTTCGCCTACGAAGGGAGGAGAGAATTCTAGAATAATGAACAAAAGAGAAAAGAGGTGGGGGGAAGGAGGTGAGGCGGAGAGTAAAAATGGAAGGAAGGATTGTTCTTGGACAAAAGGACAAAAAGAAGTCTTGAGGCCAGCACGGTGGCTCACGCCTGTAATCCCAGTACTTTGGGAGGTCAAGGCGGGCAGATTGCTTGAGCCCAGGAGTTCAAGACCAGCCTGGGCAACCTAGCAAGACCCTGTCTCAAAAAGCCAACCAACCAATGAACAAACAAAAAATCTTGAGACCTGACAGGAGAAGCAACAAAGGACAAGTGAAGTGCATGGAGGGCAGAGGGACAAGAGCTTGATGCCCATTCTAGAAGAAGGTTCTAGTAGAAGATAGCCATCACCCCAGAAGAACAGGAAGAGTGCACAGGCCTGGAGCTCCCAGGAGCAGTCTGGTGGAGTGCTCAGAGCCACAGGCACCCACCTCTCCTCACTTGCCCAGGGCTGTGCCAATATTCCTTCTTTCTGTTCTTGGGGAGACCTTGACTTTGGCAGCAGTGATACCCTGCGCAGATGAGGTGTTGTCCAGACACAGCACCCGCTGTCTCCATCTGATGCTGTCATTCAATAAATGATTGATAGCTAAATACCAACTATGTGTCAGGCACTGTTCCAACACTGGCGATCCAGCAGGCAACACAACGTGATCTCTGCTGCCGTGAAGTTCATCGTCTAGAGGCAATGGGGTAGAAAATGCCAAATAAATGACAATTCCCCCTACCGGGAACAGTGGCATACTGTACCTTGCTTCAGCATAGACACTGTGCTGTATGAATATTTAACACTACATTCCAGGGCAGGGCTTCTTATGCTGAGACCTGCAGAGAACATTCAGGGGAGTTCATGAACTCGGAGGGGTGAAAGAATTATGTATTTATTTTTATTCACCTCTAACTAAAATTTACCATTTCCTTCAAATATGAATGCAGAAAACCGCAGAGGTTCCCATGACTTTAAGAACTACAAATTAGAGATTTTGCATATCACATTACAACTGTTGCAGATTCGTTGAAATATTTATGCTCATGACTACTCCAAATTTATGGTAGTTCTGAGACCTGCCACCAGACCTTAATATTTAATGCGTTAATAAAGAAACACATGTATTATTACATCGCATGTATTTGTTTTTTAAAATTTTGATAGCTACTATATATTTCAGTATAATTGGTTTCCTCTTATGTATTTTTAATTCCTTTATAAACAGTATTCTGGGAAGGCATCTGTGGGTTTTACTAGCAGTCCAAAGGGGTCCAGGCACAGAAAAGATTAAGAACCTCCATTCTAGGGCCTGCTGTTGGTTAACATTTGAAGGGCTTAATCAGAGATTCACCATCACAGAACTGTTAGCACATGAAAGACTCCATTTAGGCACTCCCACCCCAGAGCACTGGCAGCTCTTCCAATCTGACTATCCTGATTCATGCTAGAGGGCTGAAAAGTTAGCAACAGGGATAATAAAAGCCATTTTTCACTGGTGACATGAGTGGTGCTCAACACGTGTAGAAAGGATGGAAATATTATCTAGGTGTACATACCCTTACATGAACAGGAATACAAGAAATTAGTAAGCCCAGCAGCTAAACCCTCTTGAGAGAAACACTAGGCCTGGCACTCTGATTTGACCCTGTGTTCTGATACTTGTAGCAGGATTCCAAGAGGACAGCTCAGCTATCTTGCCACTCTTGTTTATAATGGCACTTCACCTATTTCCAGTTGAAGCTTTCATGTAAGATATTATGGAAGCCCTTGAGAAACTGAGGCTGGAGCTTCCATAAACCAACAGAACAAGTGGGTCTGACCATTTCTGTGTGTGCTTTGCCACTCCATACTTGTCTGTGTGGCAGAATTCCTCCTGAGACCTGCTTTCCTTGTAGCATACTAGCTGGTAGCCTGGTGGTGGGGAGGAGATTGTGAAACTAAATGGAGACCGCCCAAATGAGAACATGCAGAGACTATTTATTCGGACCTTGCTAGAGCAAAGAAGGCAGCTTCCATCACTTGCATTTGGCAGAGACTCCAAGGTAGGCAGGGCAGTAGGAAAGCTTCAGAGTAGAAAAAAGCCAAGCTTCAGGGGCTCTCTGATTACCGGGAAGCTGGGGACAGGCTTGCTAGAAATGGGGCTTCCTATGGGGTGGGTTTGAGGAGCATATTTGACTCTCAACAGGGGCAAGAAATAGAGAAGTTAGCAGTCATTGAAGAAGCCCTGAGCACTCTGGGCCGATTGCTACAGAGGTGTTGGTTTGGCTCCCAGGACTGATTGCTGCAGAGGTTGTAGGTCAGGATCATATTGTCATATGTGGCTTGGCCATTGTATACTCAGTCTGTCAGGACCTACAGATCTCAGCTATGTCTTGCAGTGAGATGTTAAGGATGTCTACCAAAAATAACCTCAGAAAGGCCCAGATGGCAAAGATCCATTCACAAAAGGCATGCTTGTACAGAGGTATCTCAAGCCTAATAAAGGTCTTGGGTACCCTGTAGGGTAGTGTTGTGCCGGCTCCTCATCCTTGTATGTGGAGCAACTCTAGAGAATAAGCTTACTCCCCTGAGGTGATGCTGTGGTTGATGATAGCTCCTCTCACAGCTAACACTGGACACAGTGCCTGACCCATTGTAAGCACTTAGTAAAACATAGCTATTGGTTTTGGGGGATTTTTTATTTATTTATGAAGAGGTAGAATTTTGCCAAGGAAATAGAACCTATGTCAGTGCTTCTCAACCAGAAACAATTCTGTCCTCCAGAGAACATTTGCCAATGACTAGAGACAATTTTTTGATTGTCACAGCTGGGGCCCACGATGCTACTACATCTAGTGGGTAGAGGCCAGGGATGCTGCCAAACATCCGACAATGCACATCTTACAAAGTTCCCACGACAAAGAATTATCTAGTCCTAAATGTCAATCATGCCCAGGTTGCCTATCCATGGAGACGAATGGAGGAGGAAATGAATAACAGAAGGATTCTCTGGTGTCAGGACAGCATAGTGATCCAGAGAGTAAATCTGGATTAAGGGCGGGACTTGGACCCTGGCTCTGCAACTTCCTGATGAGCAGGACCAAGTTATTAATACTTAACTCCTCTAATAGCAATACGTCATTCATAGGATCTACTATGAACTGACCTAAGTCAGTTTTATCACACACGTTTCTTAGGTTCCTTCGGGTAGAATGGGTAACCTCAGAAGTTCAAGATGGGTGAGAGTTGGGGACCCTTTCTCTACAAGCTGGCTATCAGGTTAAAAAGGAAGGAAATTTCAAAATTTTGCCATGTATATAGACATGTATTAGCAACCAAACCCAAAAGGAATCACAGTACCTGTTCTGTAAGCTCCACAATGTCCCAGCTCTCTGCCCCTTGACTGCCTGAAGCCTCATTTGCATGGAAGAGTCCTAGGAGGCAGACAACACTGACAGCAAGGCAGGATTCTGCTAATGTTACAACTGGCATCCAACACCAGATCTTCTTGCTTACTCGTGGCTGGACACCAGGCAGGTAAAGGAGTTCGCCTCCTGAGTTATTTCCATGGACTCAGGCCATAGGTGTCTCTGGATCTTTATACCCAACTCATATAAGGGTAGAGAATATTTCTAAAATATTTTATCCAGACCAAATAAATATCTTCAAGATCTTTATCTCAACTTTGAAAACCCATTTCTAACGCTTGCCATGCTATTTAACAAGACACTGATTTCACCAGTCTAGAAATATTTCTGACATTCTCTAAGCTAATTGGCAATGTATCTGATGTTAATAGAAATGCATATAACAGATGCCTATTTTCGCCTTCAGGAGGTTTTTTGATTAGAATGCTAGCAGGCCACTCCTGCGTGTTCCACCCACATTAGACTAACAGCTGCACCTGGGCTGTGGCTTCACTGAAATCACGCACACCCAGGAACACATCATCTGGTTCAAAGACTCAAAGTAAATCACAGACACCATTAACAGAGCTGTGAAAGATACTCAGAGATCCCATGTGCAAAGCCCTTAGCACTGTTCCTGGCACACTAGTAAATATAGAATAAATGCTCGCTATTGCTGTAATTGCTTTTTTAGAAGCCCTTCTCCATCTCCTTGAAGAAAGGAAGGAAAATTTTAATATCTAAGGGTAGAATGGAAAAGGAAGGTTATAGCATTTGTTGAGCAACTCCTGGGTGCCAGGCATTTCATGTGCTTTGCGGCATTTAACTGACACAAACCCCTGGCAGGGGGCTGTGGTTATCACTGACTCCCATATGAGAAAGCCAAGCTCAGATGGCGTAAGGCCCACAGCCGATGGCGCCAGAGCCAAGACTGAAAGTCTTACATGGGAAAGTCTGATGCGGCAGCCCAGCCACCTCCCCAGCAATGTGCTTTTTCACTCTCAACGATTGGGAGATAGTAAAATTCAGAGGTGTCAGGAAGATCCAAGTCTCAGCAGAAGGCAGGTGGGCAGTACAAGGCACAGAGTCACGGCTGTAGACACAGCCAGGTCGCCTCAGGGGGCACAGGGCTGTGGTCTGACCAGAGAAAGCTAACTGGGTATTATCCCCTCAGGGTTGTCATGGGGTGAATTCTCCCAGAATGAGACTGCAAGTGGAATAAAATAAATGGGATGGGGAGTAAGTGACTTTTACACAACCCCACAGTCAGGCGTGGGCTATGACTCCATGAGTTTAAGACAGTCTTGATACTCTTCAGGCTATTTGGACTCTTGAAGTTTTTCCTGGGGTAAAGGGGCCCCAGTGCCCTCCAGCTGTCCTCTGCAGGCACCCAGAGCTGGTCAAAGGAGCCCAGAGGCTCTGGGCAGGGCTTCAAGGGTGTGTGCTCCACACTAGTCACTGCCAGCATCCAAAGGGGTTCATCTTCTGAAATCCAGTAAAACCCAGTCCTTCCCTGGCCCCAGTGAAGGGTCCCGACTGCCCCTGCCAGCCTGAATAACTCAGGCCTCCACCCCTGCCTCCCTTGTTCTGCTTCAGCAACTCTGGCCTCCAAAATCCCCACACACACTGCAGCCTCAAGCCTGCACAATTGCTGGTCTCTGCTTAGGACCCTGTTCCCTGGAGACTTTCCTCCCTCCATCCAGACCTCACCCCATATGTCACCTTCTCTGAGATATGTGGATTGCCCTTTTAAGAGTAGCACCTCTCATGCCTGTAATCCCAACACTTTGGGAGGCCAAGGCAGGAGGATCATTTGAACCACGGAGGTTGAGGCTGCAATGAGCCGCAGTCACATCACTGCCCTCAGCCTGGGTGAGTGACAGAGCAAGACCCTCTCTCTCAAAGAGAAAAGAAAGAGCACTGCGGCCCCTCTTCCTTTCACCTTGCCTCCCTTTTCCTCATCACTGCCCAACACCACATTGCACATATTCTTTGTGAATCCGTTCATTGTCTGCCTAAGACAGAAACGTAAGCTCCATGAGGAGAGGGACTTGCCTCTGTTTTGTTCACTGCTCTGTCTTCGGCGCCCAGTACAGAGTAGAGGTAAATAAATGCTTGCTGAATGAAGGAAGTGAGTTCATCAGTCAATCCACCAGTCAGCGCAGAATATACTCCCTAAGGCATTACCAGAAGTAAATCCAAGGACCACTTGGGTCAGAATTCCTTAGAGGACTTATACATGCAGATTCCTGGCTAGGAAGGAAATGGCATTTTCATGGTTCTGTGAAGGGAGGAGACCACCTCTCATATTGTCTTATGCCCAATTTCTGCCTCCAAAGAAAAAAGAAGTAAAAACTAAAAAGCAGAAATGAAATCCACAGCCAGCCAGCCCAGTGCCATGCCCTGGGCCTGGTAGCTAAAAATCAACCCCTGACTTAACTGCTTGTGTTATCTATAGATTCCAGACATTGTATGGAAAAGCACTGTGAAAATCCCTGTCCTGTTCTGTTCCGTTCTGATCACCGGTGCATGCAGCCCCTAGTCACGTACCCCCTGCTTGCTCAATCGATCACGGCCCTCTCACGCAGACCCCCTTAGAGTTGTAAGCCCTTAAAAGGAACAGGGATTGCTTACTAGGGGAGCTTGGTTTTTTGAGACATAAGTCTGCCAAAGCTCCTGTCAAATAAAGCCCTTTCCTTCCTCAACTCAGTGTCTGAGGGGTTTCATCTGCAGCTCATCCTACTACATTTCTTGGTTCTCTGACCGGGAAGTGAGGTGATTGGTGGATGGTCGAGGCAGCCCCTTAGTCGGCTTAGGCCTGCCCTGTGGAGCATCCCTGCAGGGGACTCCAGCCAGCTTTAGTGACATGAATCCTGAGAGCACTCCCAGGTAGGCAATTGCCTCAGTGGAATGCCTCACCAGAGAGTACACGGTAGGCCCCCCCACGGAGGATTAACAGTGGCTGAACACCAGGAAGAAATCGGCACCTGGAGTCCGGACATCTGGAACACGGTAAGACCAATCTTGGAACTTGCCCACTCTGAGTGGAAATGTGGCCTGATCACCCATGGCGTGCCTTAATCGGCACCTTGGTTTTGGTTTTGATTTTGACTAGATTTGCACTGTTTTGGTTTAGATTTCAGTATTGACTTTTGGATTTGAACTGTTTTGGATTTGATTTCGGTTCTGACTTGGCTCAAATTGCTTGATGAATGAGTAACTCCTTATCCATACTTTGGTTTTAGTGTGAACTGCTTGGTGAGTGAGTGACTTTTTGCCCCTTTTCCCCCTCTCTGTTTGTAGTTAAGAGTGTTGTTTTGTCTCCTGAGAGAGGAAAATGAGTAAAACACCAAGTAAGCCTACCCGATAGGAACTATGTTAAAGAATTTCAAGAAAGGATTCAATGGGGACTATGGAATCACTATGACACCTGGAAAGCTTAAGGCTTTGTGTGAGATAGATTGGCCAGCATTAGAGTTGGGATGGCCATCAGAAAGAAGCCTAGACAGGTCCCTATTTTCAAAGGTATGGCACAAAGTAACTGGTAAATTAGGACACCCAGATCAGTTTCCATACATAGATAGTGGGTTACAGCTGGTTTTAGACCCCCGACAGTGGTTAAGATGACAGGCAGCAGTAGTACTAGTGGCAAAGGGACAGGCAGCCAAGGAAGAAAGAGTAGCTCCACTCCCGCCGGTCCCTTCCCTAGGGGAAGAGGAAGGAGAGAGGAGAACAGCAGCATAAGCGGCTGGCAGAGGCAAGGAAAGACCAGCAGAGAGAAAAAGAGAGAGAGAGAGAAAGAGAGAAAGAGAGAGGGGAGGAAGAGAGAGGGGAGGAAGAGAGAGGGGAGGAAGAGAGAGGGGAGGAAGAGAGAGGGGAGGAAGAGAGAGGGGATGAAGTATTCAAAAAGAGAGAAAGAAAGGCAGAGAGAGGAACAGACAGACAAAAAGAAAGTCAAAGAGAGAGATAAAGTCAAAGAGAGAAAAAGAGATATACAAGCAGTTAAGAAAAAAAAGTGTACTCTATTCCTTTAAAAGCCATGGTAAATTTAGAACCTATAATTGATAATTAAAGGTCTTATCGGTGACCATGTAACACTCCAATACCACTTTGTTGTCAGTGTAAACAAGGGTGTAGCCTGAAAGCACTGAGGCCACTGACAACCCACAGCCCGTAGCCTTCCTATCAAAATTCCTTAACCCAGTAACCTGCGGATGGCCCAAATACATTCAATCTGTAGCAGCATCGGCTTTGCTAACAGAAAAAAGTAGAAAAATAACCTTTAAAGGAAACCTCATTGTGAGCACACCTCACCAGTTCAGAACTATCCAAAAAAAAAAAAAAAAAAGAGAGGGTTGGGGGTGGAGAATTTATGTCAAAAGAATGTTATATAGTAAATTCTTATCCGAAAATTAATTAACTGGTTGTTTAAAGAAAGGGATGTTTGCAGTAAGTCAGAAAGTTGATACATGTCGAAAAATTGTCTGTGAAAGTCGTGAAAGAAGAAAAAAATTTGTGTTATAAAAAAGGAATTTATGCAAGAAATGTTGTATAATTTAAAAGTAATTAGGCCTCCTGAATGTAAAACTATTGAAGAAACAGTTTATACATGTACAAGGTGTATAAGAAAAGTGAAATATACTTTTAGTAAAAGTATTATAAGGAGGTGTAAAAATGTGAATTTTTACCTACATTAAAAGGTTAAAAAAATTTGTTTTGAAGGTTTAAGCAAGTTTTAAGATGTTAATTGTAAAGGAAATTCTGTGTGTAAACATATTGGCTAAAGTTAAAGGGGTATCATCCAGTTTTTCTGTACATTAAAGTAAAAACACAACAGGTTTTCCTTAAAGCACTAACCTGCCCTTTAACAAAAATTATAAAAGGTTAAAAAGAGTCTATAAAAATCTTACCTTATGGTCAGACATTAAAAATTGAATAACTATGTCTACAAAGTTTTATTAAAACTAAGTTTAACATTAATAACACACTAATGTAAAGGCGAAATCTAGCTTATCTGGTATAAACACACAGGAAGCATTGTCAGATATAAAATGGTGTTTGGCTTTCTTTGGTCTAAAAACTAAAAAATAGGTGCTAAAGGAAATTTCTCAGTAAGAAGGTACCGAGGACTATAAAGTCCACTGCTGATGTCCCCACATTTAAAACAAAAGGTCAATTTCTTAGAAATTATATACTTTATCTTCCACTTTCCTTTCCCTCAAAACTAAAAGTCTTTTAGCACATGTACCACCCCTAGAATTTCCGGTAAACCAGCACCAGCCCAAAGACTATGTTCTCATCAAAGGGTGGAAAGAAGAAAAACTCGAGCCAGCCTGGGAAGGAACCTACCTTATGCTGCTAACCACCGAGACTTCTGTTTGTACAGAGAAAAAGGGATGGATTCATCACACCTGAGTCAAGAAAGCGCCACCCCCTCCAGTGTCTTGGGCCATAGTCCCAGGGGAAAACCCTACCAAACTAAAGCTAAGAAAAATTTAACTCTTTCATCTATTCTATTACTCTTTCTTCTTTCTTCACTCTATTGCTGACCATCTAGTTATTAACATAACCAAGTCGATTTCACCTCAAACTATTGCATTTAATGCTTGCCTTGTTATACCCTGTGGGGACTTGCCAAGTCAAAGACAGCTCTCTACTTCAGAAAAGTACCTCTGTCCCTCCTGACTCTCCTCAGACTGGGCATTAGTAAATTGGGACCATTTAATCTGGGGAGATTTTGATAAAGACCCCAGTGTCAACCAGGAGTCTTGCCCCCTGAATGTAGAGCTTTTATGCCGTAGTTGGTCCAATGTTCTGTGGACCACTAAAGAGCAAGGATGGACTGCCCCAACTGGTTTTTGTAATTTCCTAAAACCATACATTCATTTTACTAGAGGATCATAGAAGTTAAAGACTTAAACTTTGGCAATTAAGACAGGATACCAAGACGCAAATGCCTGGTTAGAATGGATCAAATATTCTGTCTGCACATTAAACAAAAGCAATTGTTATGCTTGTGCACATGGCAGGCCAGAGGCCCAGATTGTCCCCCTTCCACTAAGGTGGTCCTCCAGTCAACCAGGCGTGGGCTGCATGGTAGCTTTTTTCCAGGATTCTACAGCCTGGAGTAATAAGTCATGCCAAGCTCTCTCTGCTATATCCCAAAGTTCAGCACCCTGCGGGTCAGCCCCCAAGGGCCATCCAGTTTCCATCTCCCAACACTAAGTTCACTTTGTGTCTCTCACAACAAGGCGGAAATTTAGCATTCCTTGGAGACCTGAAGGGATGCGATGAGCTTAAGAACTTTCAAGAGCTTACCAGTAAGTCAGCCCTTGTTCATCCCCGAGCGGATGTGTGGTGGTATTGTGGGTGGACCTTTACTATATGAATCACTATCAATCTGTCTTACCAGAAGACATGGGTAGTGAGGATGAAAGTGAGAACTCCCACTAATGAGTAAAGTTCTCAAAGGGGGGTGATAAGGGAGGAGACCACCCCTCATATTGTCTTATGCCCAATTTCTGCCTCCAAAGAAAGAAGAAGTAAAAACTAAAAGGTAGAAATGAAATCCACAGACAGCCTGGTGCTGCGCCCTGGGCCTGGTAGTTAAAAATCAACCCCTGACTTAACTGCTTGTGTTATCTATAGATTCCAGACATTGTATGGAAAAGCATCATGAAAATCCCTGTCCTGTTCCTTTCTGTTCTGTTCTGATTACTGGTGCATGCAGCTCCCAGTCACGTACCCCCTGCTTGCTCAATCGATCATGACCCTCTCACTCAGACCCCCTTAGAGCTATAAGCCCTTAAAAGGGACAAGAGTTGCTCACTCAGGGAGCTCAGTTTTTTGAGATGTAAGTCTGCCAACACTCCTGGCTGAATAAAGCCCTTTCCTTCCTCAACTCTGTGTCTGAGGGGTTTTGTCTGCAGCTCGTCCCGCTACACTGTCATCAGCATCCACCCCCCACCACCCTACCCCTGCACCCACCCCCCACCCCGCCTGTATAGAGGCCTCCAGAGGAAGGCAAGAGGCAAGGTGAAGGGAATGACTGCTTGGCCACCCAGGAGGGTAGGTACTTGGCATAGGGTTCCCAGCCCTCCCCATCACCCCAGCCCATCCAGGTTCCCAGGCACCAAGCATGGCTAAGAAGCAGCAGAGCTGTCAGCCTTGCAGGGATACCTGTGAGCTCAGTATATGTGGCTCTCAGTAGCAAGCGTGGCAGACAGGATATATGAGGGCCCTCCCCAGTTTTCAGACACGGTCTAGCTCTTCTTTAATCTGCAACCCCTGGGAAGTGGGGGGTCTCTGGTACTGGCTGAGATTGAGGCTTAAAATCAGATTATTTTTAATAAGAAATAAAGATGTGATTTTTAAAATTGTTTTTACCACTAACCATAAAGTAGGTAAATTATATCATCATCTTAACCTTCTATAATATGCATTCTTTAGTTTCTCAGTAGTTTTAATATCTAATATTTATTCAGTATTAAATTCAAATTATATTCAAGAACTATTAAGTCATACTTTGAAACTCATTAAAATATATTCAAATGAAAATTGAAGTCAGACTGTTTCTGTCTCTGGAAACAGATTTAATTTGATTTAGAGAAAACAAATTGATAGAGAAGTCTCTTTAAATGCAGATTCCTGGGATCCATCCCAGGTCCACTGAATCAGAATCTGGTGGTAGAGGCTTGGTACTTGCATTCTTACCAGGCTCCACTCAGAATTCTCAGTTCTTTTCCCCCCAAACCTGTGAGGTTTGAGATGCCCTGCAATGTCTGCCCCTCAGGTAAGTGGGAATGTTAGAAGACCCAGAGTGGGAGGGTAAGAACTGGGCCCCCAGCCTCCCCATGCTCCAAGGTACTTGATAAGGACAGTGTACAGGAAGGACCTTGTCTCCGAGGCCTGCCAAGGCGGGCCAACAGCCGAACAAACCAAGTGGAGGTAGAGAGGCTCGAATTCACGAGGGAAAAAGGGATGGAGAAGAAACAAGAGGAAAAATATAGGGTTAACAAACAATGAAGGTTAATATTAGCTAAGAATGATGTCCAGGTTTCTTTAACACATTGTGGAAAGAGGAAAGAAAAGATAGAAGCTTCTTTTGAAATCAGGCAGGCCAAGAACTGGATGCAGTGAGCATTTCTGTGGATTCAAGCAAAGAACACGTGTCTATGATGGAGAGGACTAGGGCCTGAACCTTGGCCACTCACATTCTGTTTCTCCGGGATGATCACTGATCTGTGCCTAGGATTCCTCATCTATAAGAGGCATGTATCATTATCTGTGCTTTCCCCTTGAGATTTTGGAGGGGAGGCTGGTAGAGTCCATATATGAGAGAAAATTCCAACCAGGAATAATTCTTGCCCATGCTGGCACTCCAAAGGATGCAGCAGAAACAGCTCTAACCCTGGTCTGCTTCTTGTTGTTTGCCCATACCAAGTGCATGACCACTAAGACTTTGAATTTGCTCTAACCCTACCGGGACCAGTCTTTCTCTTCACCTCCACGTTGAACTTGCTGTCCTTTTTTTTTTCTTTTTTTGCCTGGAACATTCTTTCCATCTCCACATGCTACCTTCTCATCAATCAGGTCTAGGCTTGACTTTCACCACTTCAGAGAGACCTTCCCAGGCCTCCTTATCCGATATATTGCCTCCTCCCCTCCCCACTCTGTCACATCATCCTCTTTTTTCTTTGTCTTAGTACTTATCACTCTGAAATTATCTAATTTGTTCACAAGTGTGTTGCCCACACCTGAGCTGTCATGGGAGTTCCTTGAGGGCAGAAGCCTTTTCCTGTGAGCATATTCCCTGAAATAAAGGAGACATCCATAAATATCCAAGAATGAGTGAATTAATGACCTTCCTTGAGTTGCCTCTTGGTCCACCTGCTGTCTATTCTACTCTCAGTTCTTCTCCCCTTGATTCTTTTGGTCTTTTTATCTCTGCCCTTCCCCACTTTGTCCTCTAGGTCCCTGAGTCTGACTGTATTTCCCCAACACAATGCTGGAGTGGAAGGTTTTAGGCCCCTCCATTTCTCCTATAGGATATTGGCTTGAAATAATCCAGCCTGGGCAGGAATCATTGAAGTTAACCGACCATTCTCTCATAAAAGACCTAGTGCTGATGCATTATTAAGTAGACATCTCCTCATCAAAGAGGGCCTTCTGGCCACCCAGTTTGAGAAGGCAGGGAAGGGAGCATGGAAGGTAAAACCCCCTCCTGCTATATTAACCAACAGGCACTGGGGGTGAACGATGAGAGCCCAGAGATGAGAGCCCTCTGGAGTACTGAAAAAGAAGAAAATAAGATTGCTCTTAGGTAAACAGGAAACTGAGCAACCTTGGATCAGGGGTGCAAGCTTGGCCAAATCTCAGGTGGAGGCACAGCCATATCTAAAGGAAGGATCTCTCCTTCAAAGGAGTGGGTTGGCCCTGGAATTATGTAGATGTTTGTTTAGCCTCATTACTTGCCAAACATCTTGCCAAAAGATCTCCTTGCATTACCTCCTGTAATCCTCCCAACAGCCCTTTTCTTTGCTACTGTTGGTCTTATAAGAATGAGATTCCTAAACCCATGGGAATACGAACCATGTCTTTTGTTTCTCGTGATTCTTTTGCTTAATATTTTGTCCAAACATCACAGCACAGAATTCAGTTCTGGGAGGAAGAGCCATTGTTTATTTCCTCCACCCTGGGATTTTCCTTCCTTCTGAAAATATTCTCCTTCTTTATTAGCTTCTGTATCTACAGCAGCTACATAGCCCATTCCTTGCTCTATTTTAGATTCTTCTGTTCTGTGAGGAATGCCTCTGTTACATTTATTTGATGGCCATTACTTATTTCAAAGCAATAGAGCCTGGTGGCTGGGCAAATGAACTTTTGAAAATAAGAGACCCGCAAGGCACGGTGGCTCACACCTGTAATCTCAGCACTTTGGGAGGCTGAGGCAGAAGGATTTGAGCCCAGGAGTTCAAGATGAACCTAGGTAACATAGTGAGATCCTGTCTTTACAAATAAAAAGAAAAAAAACCAGCCGGGCTTGGTAGTCCATGTGGTCCCAGCTACTTGGGAAGGTGAAGTGGGAGGATCCTTTGAGCCCAGGAGGTCAAGGCTACATACAACCAGCCGTGATTGCACCACTGCACTCCAGCCAGGGAGACAGAGCAAGACCTTGTCTCAAAAAAAAAAAAAAAAATCACAACAACAACAAAAAACCGTATTTCATTTCAGGTGCTGCCACCAAATAGATACATGACATTGGGCAAGTTAACCTCTTTGTGCTGATTTCTGTCAGTGAAATGGGCTTAAAAATAGTTAACCTTAGGATTATTGTGAAAGTTATCATCAAGAGTTACAGTGTAAAGAGTAAATTATTATGAAGTGTTAAAATGTAATGAAAACACACAGAACAATATCTGGAAGGGGAAGTTAAGCTGGAGAGAATATTTGGGAAAGAAGATGGTAAATGCTGAGCAAATGATAGCTGGTAAGGTTTTTTGACTGCGAGTAAAAGAAATTGCATTTAGCTAATCAAAGCAAAAAAAAAAATGAAGTTCATCATAAAGATCCTGGGTCACTAATTAGCTCAAGGTAATAAGATCAATTTGGGGAGGGATGGGCCTACAGGGAACCCAGCCTTCATGCGGAACCTTATCCTGAGTGTTGTTGCTGGGGTGACCCAGCAGCAATGGCCTTCCATTCTGATTCTGGTCTCGGAAAATCTGGGTCATGTTTTTCCTTTGGGAGAAAGGAGAGTCAGCCTTGTGATGGATAGTTCCTCCAAGATTATATTGAATGGGATAGGAATTGAAATCTATTAATCTCATATTGCTGCTACGACAAATTACCACACACTTTAAACACCACGAATTTATTGTTTTACAGTTGTAGCATTCAGAAGTCCACAATCAATCTCAGTGGGCTAACATCAAGGCACTGGCAAGGCTGCATTCCTACAGGCTGCTATGAGAGCCTTACCTAACTTATGGTAGTCACAGAGTGTATCATATCACCTCTGCCAATATAGGGTAACCTAATCAATGGCATGATATCCCATCATATTCACAGGGCCTAGCCACATTCAACAGAAGGGGACTGTACACACCAGTTGTGTGTCTAAGATATGCCTTTTAGCAAGGTGGACAGACAGGTAATCAGATAGTGGGACAGCGTGGGAGGTGCTGTCACAAAGGTGTGTGAGAGACCTTCTGGACAACTATGAGTCAAAGTTCCTGCGAAAGAGGAAGAAAATGGGGTCCTGGGCAGAGCATAGGGGCATTCAGAAAGATGAATTCTGGGCTGTATTTTGAAGGATGAAGATTAATCTCTGATGGGAGCCATGCATGTAAACCAAGGGAAAACTAAATTCAGGTTTCTAGTTAAAAGGTTAATGCTTTAATTTAGACCACAGCTGAATCCCAGAAAAGCCAGAAATTAAATCCAGGCAGAATTAATCATTTAATCAGCCAGTCAGGCTACCTTGATTTGCTTTGGCAATTTAAGAGAGCTTAGTAGATAGTGCAATATGAACCCCATTTCTAAAGCTTGCTCCATCTTGAAATTCTTCTTAGCTGAGGATTTGTAGTGAATTCTCAGAGTCTGTTGGCTCTTTAAAAAAAAAAATGTCGTAAAGAAGCAGGCATATATGGAGTTGCTGGGAGGAAAAGTAGTCATAATATTGTCGAGATAGTATGGTGGTTGAATTCACCAATCAGCCAGTTGCCCTGGGCTTATTAGTTTCTTTTTAATCTTACACTGCAATATAGAACTGCAGGATGGCGTGAATTGCGAAAAAGAAAAGAAGCAGAGGAGGGAGGAAAAATGATTAAAGCACACACAAAATAGAAAGGGAGCAAGTGGAAAGCGGCCCCTGAAGTTCCAGCTGGCTAGTGGTGATTGATCACAGCTCCATTCGCTGTTAGATTTGTGGAGGTGGTGGGGTGGAGGCCCTGATTCTCTTGATATTCCTTTTTTCACCAGTTTTAGAGTTGGCTCAGTATAAACTAAGCCTAGAAATTTGGAATATTCAAAGATTTTATTTTTGTGTACATTTTTATCAAAGTAACTCATGCATTTCTTTAAAATCAGGTTTTACAGAGGGACTTTTAGTGAAAGACAGCAATTTCAGTTCAGTGGTTCCTGCCCTATCTACAAATAATGTATTTGTGTCTCTCAAATACACAAATACATTAGTCTGGATTTGCACATCAAAACTTCTATAATCATGTATTTGTGTCTCTTTGTGTATTAATTTGAGAGATCTCCTGACTTCCTTTAGTAGATCAGTTTCACTCACCTAAATTATCACACCAACCCTAACCCCAGTATAGTTTTATCACTATTTGTATCACAATTATTTAGTAATATACTATTATTTAGTGATCACTATTATGTAGTGACTATTATTTTGTCACTTTAGATGATATACTATAACCTTTGTTTTCTGTTCCATTGTCCATAAACACTTGTGCCTCTTTTTCTCCCTTTCACTGAAGGGATTTAGAAAAAAAAAAAAACTGGGATGTTGACAGGTGAAAATAGTTACACCAGATGTTCATAAATGGTTTGTAACAGAAGTGTTTCATGTGTAAATACATTTAAGACATCCTGGATAAATGAAATAGAACAAATTTCTCTATAATGGAGCAATTCAGAAGCTTTGAAGTGCAAATCCACAGTGTGAAACTTCTGAAGGATGCGTAGTGTATAGCGTTTCACAAACTTGATCATAGAAACATATTTGGTTGGTTACTTTCCTCCACAGAACATCTATTCACATTTTAGGGAAATGCTTCTAAAATAGTAGGGGAGGTAGTGTCCCGTTTCTTGTGATGTTAGGAGTACGAAAAATCTCCTTTTACTAAAACAGTGTACCCTTTTTGAGCACTTGCAACGTGCCTGTGCGGTACTGAGTGCTGGCACATAGCATCCTGTGAGCAATGTACTAATAGTATCTTCACTTTACAAATAGGAAGATCAAGACATAGAAATGGCAGATCATTTCGTCCAGCATCCCACAATTAGCTAAGTGGTCAAGTCAGGATTCTAATCACTTTAGAGCTCCCTAAATATACTATACTTCCTCTCCCACTGGCTATCGCACTGCCCAGAATGAGGGCATTACAAGGGCACTTTTTAAAGTAGTTACACATTTTAGCAGGCTTAGTCATTTCTATAATCATTATGCTGTCTCTATCTCTATACTATAATGCATCATACACCAACAGCACGTGCATCCATTATTTCAGTTGAGCCCTGTCAGACAGTAGAGCTGACAATGATACAGAGGTTAAGTGTCCTAAATCAAGCTAATTAACATATGCACTACCTCATATTTATCTTGTTGGGGGTAGAATACAATCTTAGTCCATTTTTGTGCTGCTATCACTGAATACCTGTCTGGGTAATTTATAAACAAAAGAAACTTACCTTTTCATAGTTCTGGAGGCTAGGAAGTCTGAGATAGAGGCACTGGCAAGTTCCCTTGTCTGATGAGAGCTGCTTTCCAAGATGGTACCTTGATGCTCTGTCCTCCAGAGGGGAGAAATGCTGAGCCCCTACACGGTAGAAGGTGGAAAGGCAAGGGGGCTGAATGCTGTATGAAGCCTCTTTTATAAAGGCCTTAATTCCATCACAAGGGAGAAGCCCTCATGGCCTAATTGCCTTCTAAAGGCCCCACCTGTTAACACTACCACATTGGCAACACCTGAATTTTGTAGGGAACACATTCAAATTATGGCAAACACTTAAAATCTACTTTTGTAGTAATTTTTAAGTATATAATATAGTGTTTTTAACTATAGTTACCATGTTGTATAATGGATCTCTTGACCTTATTCCTCCTAACTGAAATTTTATTTTCTTTGATCAACTTCTCCCCAATTTCCCCACCATTAGCCTCTGGTAACCACCATTCTAGTCTCTGCTTCTATGAGTTCAACTTTTTTAGATTCCACATACAAGAGAGATCATGTGGTATTAGTCTCTCTGTGTCTGGCTTGTTTCATTTAATACAGTGTCCTCCAGGTGTATCCATGTTGTCACAAATGACAGGATTTCCTTTTTTTTTAAAGGCTGAATAGTATTCCATCGTGTGTGTGTGTGTGTGTGTGTGTGTGTGTGTGTGTGTGTGTATGTATGTATATACACCACATTTTCTTTATCCATCCATCAGTTAATGGACATTTAGGCTGATTCTATAATTTGGCTATTGAAAAAATGCTGCAATTAATATAGAAATGTACATATTTCTTCAACATACCAATTTCATTTCCTCTGTAACTCCAAATTTCTATTTCTCATATATCTGTTAATTGTTTCTTTGTAGCTGATGGTGCTCTCACTAGCAACCCAGTTAACTTCCTGGTGAATGCTCTGCCATGCATGCTCTATAAATTAGAGCTCCATTGTTATTTTCAAATACTTGATATGCAAAAGACAGCTCGCATTTGAATTCTATTTGCCTTGTTACAAAATAAAATTTAACATAGCATTTGTCAATAAAAAATAGCTATTAAAGTCTTTAAATATAACTCTTACAAATGTTTGAATGATTGTAAAAAATGGTTTTAAATATTTTATCATCCCTGTGTGAAACTCTGTTTTCAATGATGATGATCAAGAATTTGAGGAGAGTTCATTAAAAAGTCAATTAGAATTGGCTTGTACCCATTTCAGCATAAAACCCAACATACAAAGCCTATGTTGAATCCCACTTCCACTAGAGATATAGAAAGTCAAGAGAGAATATTGCACCCACCCTAACAGCAAGAATAAACCAGATAATCTAAAAAATCATAATTTTTAAAAGCCTGTAAGAAACCTAATGAACCAAAATTGAAAAAAATGACAAAAACCTCCCAGGAGAGAGGAGACCCCACAACTGCTTTTATCTTTGGCTGCACAGTGAGTGGAAGAAGCTGCTGCCATGGATACAGATAAGAAAAAAACAGCTGAAATTTTAGTGCAATTGTAAAGGGAGAGTATAGCTTGCATGATCATTTAGAATCCCCAGGAATCTCAGACACCAGGGGAGTCTCCACTTTACCCACCAACTCTTTTCTACAGGCTTTCACTGAGTGCTCACAGAAAGATCAGGAGAGCAAGACAGAAACCCCAAGACACAGATGTTCAGAGCTTCTCAAGTCTGAGCAGGTGAACTGAAGGAAATCCCACAGGCACTTTGGTCATGGTGATTATAAGGCAGCAACTCTCTACCACTGGGGGAGGAACAGGTGAGCTGAGTGCACAGTGAGGCACGGTGCATGGAGTCTGCTGAAGTCCAAAGGCTGAGGGGAGAACTGAGAAACTCCATTGGCTTTCTGGACATTACATTGCACACTAGACAACAGCCATCTGCTACTGGGGAGATGCTGGAGAGCTGAGAGAAACATCCCCTCTTCTCCAGGTACAAGTGTGCCAAGCCTGCTGGAGTCTAAGAAGAACTACAGGAAACCCCACAGACACTATGGTCCTTACCTAATAAGGTAAAGACCATCTACCTATTGGGGGAGGGGCCAGAGAGCTAAGAAAGACATCTCACTCCAAACCCAAGTGCACAGGTATTGCTGAAGTCCAGGGGCAGAACAAGAATATTAAGAGAAACCCCCAGCTACTCCATGCCTTTCACTGAGTATGTGACAGCTCTCCTAAGAGCTGAGACAGGCATGAAGCAAAGGCAAACCGGGCTGGCTAAAGTACTAGGGCAGGAAAGAAGGACTGATCAACTCCCTCAGGCACTCATACCTCAAGTTCTGATTTCTCCATTGAACAATGTGAAGCCTGTGGTGAATTGAATCTAACTAAATCAACAACAATTTCAGACCTAGATCAATTAGACTAAATTATCTCAAAAATTCTAGTGTAAAAATAAGCTTATGGCCTTCCAGAATAAAAATGCCTGCCCTTTTCTGGATATGAATATTATTTTCTTCTGACTCTACTGTTCATTTATAATTAATCAAAAATTATAAGGCACATGAGCAAGTTAAGCAAATGATCTTCCTCAAGAGAGAAAACAGCAGATAGAACCAGAGCCACAGAATTATTGTAATTATCATATGGGGACTGTAAAATAATTACAATGTATAAAAGGATTGGGTGGAAAAGTGAGCAAAATCTCTGGACAGGTGGACAATTTCAGAGCCAAATGAAGATGCTAGAAATGAAAAATACTTTATCGATAAAGAATTTTAACACATTGTTAGCACACAAGACACAGAAAAGGAAAGAACCGTGAAAGTGAAGACAATTTGTATCTCAGCACTCTACTTGCATTCAAGATATCTGATACATTTAAAACAGCCAAACAAACACAAACGTTGAGTTCTAGGAAAAATTTAAATGACCTAGAATTTTCTAAAATATATGAAATTCCATCAACGCAAGATGGAATAAGCTCTGAAAACCCAAAGAAGAATGAATTCAAAGAAATACCAGTAAAAGCACCCATAGACACATCAGAATCAAACAGATGAATTCCAAACATAAAGGGAAAATCTGGAAAATTGGCAGAGAAAACAAGAGAGATTACATACAGGGGAGCAACATAGAAATTACAGCTTCTCACTGGAAACAATGGAGACCAGGAGACAGTGAAATGACATTTTAAAGTGTTGAAAGGAAAAAAAAATCAATCTAGAATTCTATGCCAGTGAAATCTTTTCCAAAAATGAAACCAGCCAAAATAAACATATTTTCAGGAAAACAAAAGTGAAGGAAATTGCCTCAAGCAGATCTCTACTACCAGGAAATACTCAAATAAGTTATTTAGGCCAAAAGGAAACAATATTAGACACCCAGTTCCTTAGGAAAGAATGAGAACTCTGGAAAGAGAAAGCATGTTAGCAAATATAAAAGACATTAAAACACACACACACACACACACACACACACACAAGCATACATAAATATTTTAAAGACCATTGGTTTCTAAAAGTAAAACTAAAAACAATGTAGTTACTTTACATTGTTCTGACATATTTAGAAGTAAGCTGTATGACAAGAGTATAGAGGGTAGGAGAAAGGCAATTAAAATATATTAAGAGTTTTATATTGTTTGTGAAGTAGTAAAATAATTTTTGTTGCCGATGTGATAAATTAGAGATGCATATAGTAATATCTATATAAAAATGACAGACATAAAAGCAACTAATGATAACTAACAGAAAATAACACAAAAATTAATATCTAAAAATACTTAATTCACACATAAAAGAGGCAGAAAAGGAGGAACAAAAAAACAAAAAGCAGGTGGAATAAAACACAAATACATCAGCAAGTATGTATTGGTTTAAAAAGGAAGACCAAAGTATATGTTTTTGACAAGGAATACATTTTAAACATAAAAACACAGAAAAGTTGAAAGTAAAAGGATGGAAAATGGAACAACATACACCACTCAAACACTAATTATGAGAAATCCGCCATGACTATGTTATATAACAGAAAGGAGACTTCAGCACAGAGAGTATTTCATACTGAGATAAAGACAGGTATTTCATAATGATAAATGAATTACGTGATGAAGAAAACATAAACATTTTAAATGTGACAGAACAAAAGAAAAATATAGATAAGTTCATCATTATTTTGGGTTTAATTTCCTCTGCCTTTTCTTGCTTCTTAAAGTACAAGCTTTGAGCATTGATTTTACAACGAATGTAAAATCAATATTTTGAAGAATTGAATACCACTCTCTCAGCAGTTGATAGCACAACTAGATTTTAAAAAATTTAAACAAGATAGAGAAGATATAACTCGACTTAATTGAAAGTACTAGAGCATGAAGCCCAACAACAGAAAAGGACTGAGTAATCTTCTGAAGTGCGCACAAAACATTCACCAAGGTGGACTATTTTCTGGATCATAAAACAAGTCTCCAAACATCTCAAAGATCAGAAATCATACAGAATACACTCTCTGACCACAGCAGTATTAAATTAGACATCAATAACAATACAATATTTTAATATGATTTTCTGCAATGATGGAAATATCTGTGCTGCCCAAGGTAGTAGTCTGGTAGTCATATCCACATGTGACTATTGAAGACTTGAAGTTTAGCTAGATCATCTTAGCAACTGAGTTTTTAATTTTAATTCATTGTAATTTTAATTTGAATATCCACATATAGCCAGTGGCTACTGTATTAAACAGCACAAATCTAGACAATTGCTAGATAATCAGAAATTAAACAGCACATTTCTAATAACTCATTACATATGTGTGTGTATGTATATATATCACCAGGTAATATATATGTGTGTGTCTGTGTATATATATATATATATAAAATAGAACAAATCTAGACAATCTCTAGATTATATATATGTGTGTGTATACAAATATATATAAAATAAACAGAACAAATCTAGAACATCTCTAGATATTTGGAAATTAAATAGCACATTTCTAATAGCTCATTACAGATGTGTGTGTCTATATAAACATATATACATATATGTACATACATATATAAATATACATATATACACATCACAAGGGAAATTAGAAAATATGAACAGAATGATAATAAAACATATCATTTTGCAATTCGTGTGATACAGATAAAGCAGTACTTAGAGGGAACTTCATAGTCATAAATGTCTGTATTTAAGAGGAGGAAGGTTGTAAAATCAATGCTCAAAGCTTGTACTTTAAGGAGCAAGAAAAGGCAGAGCAAATTAAACCCCAAAAAAGAAAAGGAAACACAATAAAATTAGAGCCAAATCAGGGAAAACAGAAAACAATAGAGAAAATCAACGAACCTAAAGTCCTTGAAAAGATCAATAAGGTTGCTGAACCTCTAGCATCGAGAAAAAAGGGGAAGAAGCAGCCAAGATGGCCGAATAGGAACAGCTCCGGTCTACAGCTCCCAGCGTGAGTGACACAGAAGACGGGTGATTTCTGCATTTCCATCTGAGGTACCGGGTTCATCTCACTAGGGAGTGCCAGACAGTGGGCGCAGGCCAGTGGGTGCACGCACCATGCGCGAGCCGAAGCAGGGTGAGGCATTGCCTCACCTGGGAAGCGCAAGGGGTCAGGGAGTTCCCTTTCTGAGTCAAAGAAAGGGGTGACGGATGCACCTGGAAAATCGGGTCACTCCCACCCGAATATTGCGCTTTTCAGACCGGCTTAAAAAACGGTGCACCACGGGACTATATCCCACACCTGGCTTGGAGGGTCCTACGCCCACGGAGTCTCGCTGATTGCTAGCACAGCAGTCTGAGATCAAACTGCAAGGCAGCAGCGAGGCTGGGGGAGGGGCGCCCGCCATTGCCCAGGCTTGCTTAGGTAAACGAAGCAGCCTGGAAGCTCGAACTGGGTGGAGCCCACCACAGCTCAAGGAGGCCTGCCTGCCTCTGTAGGCTCCACCTCTGGGGGCAGGGCACAGACAAACAAAAAGACAGCAGTAACCTCTGAAGACTTAAATGTCCCTGTCTGACAGCTTTGAAGAGAGCAGTGGTTCTCCCAGCATGCAGCTGGAGATCTGAGAATGGGCAGACTGCCTCCTCAAGTGGGTCCCTGACCCCTGCCCCCCGAGCAGCCTAACTGGGAGGCACCCCCCAGCAGGGGCACACTGACACCTCACACGGCAGGGTATTCCAACAGACCTGCAGCTGAGGGTCCTGTCTGTTAGAAGGAAAACTAACAAACAGAAAGGATATCCACACCGAAAACCCATCTGTACATCACCATCATCAAAGACCAAAAGTAGATAAAACCACAAAGATGGGGAAAAAACAGAACAGAAAAACTGGAAACTCTAAAACGCAGAGCACCTCTCCTCCTCCAAAGGAACGCAGTTCCTCACCAGCAATGGAACAAAGCTGGATGGAGAATGACTTTGACAAGCTGAGAGAAGAAGGCTTCAGACGATCAAATTACTCTGAGCTACAGGAGGACATTCAAACCAAAGGCAAAGAAGTTGAAAACTTTGAAAAAAATTTAGAAGAATGTATAACTAGAATAACCAATACAGAGAAGTGCTTAAAGGAGCTGATGGAGCTGAAAACCAAGGCTCGAGAACTACGTGAAGAATACAGAAGCCTCAGGAGCCGATGCGATCAACTGGAAGAAAGGGTATCAGCAATGGAAGATGAAATGAATGAAATGAAGCGAGAAGGGAAGTTTAGAGAAAAAAGAATAAAAAGAAATGAGCAAAGCCTCCAAGAAATATGGGACTATGTGAAAAGACCAAATCTACGTCTGATTGGTGTACCTGAAAGTGATGGGGAGAATGGAACCAAGTTGGAAAACACTCTGCAGGATATTATCCAGGAGAACTTCCCCAATCTAGCAAGGCAGGCCAACGTTCAGATTCAGGAAATACAGAGAACGCCACAAAGATACTCCTCGAGAAGAGCAACTCCAAGACACATAATTGTCAGATTCACCAAAGTTGAAATGAAGGAAAAAATGTTAAGGGCAGCCAGAGAGAAAGGTCGGGTTACCCTCAAAGGGAAGCCCATCAGACTAACAGCGGATCTCTCTGCAGAAACCCTACAAGCCAGAAGAGAGTGGGGGCCAATATTCAACATTCTTAAAGACAAGAATTTTCAACCCAGAATTTCATATCCAGCCAAACTAAGCTTCATAAGTGAAGGAGAAATAAAATACTTTACAGACAAGCAAATGCTGAGAGATTTTGTCACCACCAAGCCTGCCCTAAAAGAGCTCCTGAAGGAAGCACTAAACATGGAAAGGAACAACCGGTACCAGCCGCTGCAAAATCATACCAAAATGTAAAGACCATCAAGACTAGGAAGAAACTGCATCAACTAACGAGCAAAATCACCAGCTAACATCATAATGACAGGATCAAATTCACACATAACAATATTAACTTTAAATGTAAATGGACTAAATTCTCCAATTAAAAGACACAGACTGGCAAGTTGGATAAAGAGTCAAGACCCATCAGTGTGCTGTATTCAGGAAACCTATCTCACGTGCAGAGACACACATAGGCTCAAAATAAAAGGATGGAGGAAGATCTACCAAGCAAATGGAAAACTAAAAAAGTCAGGGGTTGCAATCCTAGTCTCTGATAAAACAGACTTTAAACCAACAAAGATCAAAAGAGACAAAGAAGGCCATTACATAATGGTAAAGGGATCAATTCAACAAGAGGAGCTAACTATCCTAAATATATATGCACCCAATCCAGGAGCACCCAGATTCATAAAGCAAGTCCTGAGTGACCTACAAAGAGACTTAAACTCCCACACATTAATAATGGGAGACTTTAACACCCCACTGTCAACATTAGACAGATCAACGAGACAGAAAGTCAACAAGGATACCCAGGAATTGAACTCAGCTCTGCACCAAGCAGACCTAATAGACATCTACAGAACTCTCCACCCCAAATCAACAGAATATACATTTTTTTCAGCACCACACCACACCTATTCCAAAATTGACCACATACTTGGAAGTAAAGCTCTCCTCAGCAAATGTAAAAGAACAGAAATTATAACAAACTATCTCTCAGACCACAGTGCAATCAAACTAGAACTCAGGATTAAGAATCTCACTCAAAGCCGCTCAACTACATGGAAACTGAACAACCTGCTCCTGAATGACTACTGGCTACATAACAAAATGAAGGCAGAAATAAAGATGTTCTTTGAAACCAACGAGAACAAAGACACAACATACCAGAATCTCTGGGACACATTCAAAGCAGTGTGTAGAGGGAAATTTATAGCACTAAATGCCCACAAGAGAAAGCAGGAAAGATCCAAAATTGACACCCTAACATCACAATTAAAAGAACTAGAAAAGAAAGAGCAAACACATTCAAAAGCTATCAGAAGGCAAGAAATAACTAAAATCAGAGCAGAACTGAAGGAAATAGAGACACAAAAAACCCTTCAAAAAATCAATGAATCCAGGAGCTGGTTTTTTGAAAGGATCAACAAAATTGATAGACCACTAGCAAGACTAATAAAGAAAAAAAGAGAGAAGAATCAAATAGACACAATAAAAAATGATAAAGGGGATATCACCACTGATCTCACAGAAATACAAACTACCATCAGAGAATACTACAAACACCTCTATGCAAATAAACTAGAAAATCTAGAAGAAATGGATACATTCCTCGACACATACACTCTCCCAGGACTAAACCAGGAAGAAGTTGAATCTCTGAATAGACCAATAACAGGAGCTGAAATTGTGGCAATAATCAATAGTTTACCAACCAAAAAGAGTCCAGGACCAGATGGATTCACAGCCGAATTCTACCAGAGGTACAAGGAGGAACTGGTACCATTCCTTCTGAAACTATTCCAATCAATAGAAAAAGAGGGAATCCTCCCTAACTCATTTTATGAGGCCAGCATAATTCTGATACCAAAGCCGGGCAGAGACACAACCAAAAAAGAGAATTTTAGACCAATATCCTTGATGACATTGATGCAAAAATCCTCAATAAAATACTGGCAAACCAAATCCAGCAGCACATCAAAAAGCTTATCCACCATGATCAAGTGGGCTTCATCCCTGGGATGCAAGGCTGGTTCAATATACGCAAATCAATAAATGTAATCCAGCATATAAACAGAGCCAAAGACAAAAACCACATGATTATCTCAATAGATGCAGAAAAAGCCTTTGACAAAATTCAACAACCCTTCATGCTAAAAACTCTCAATAAATTAGGTATTGATGGGACGTATTTCAAAATAATAAGAGCTATCTATGACAAACCCACAGCCAATATCATACTGAATGGGCAAAAACTGGAAGCATTCCCTTTGAAAACTGGCACAAGACAGGGATGCCCTCTCTCACCACTCCTATTCAACGTAGTGTTAGTTCTGGCCAGGGCAATCAGGCAGGAGAAGGAAATAAAGGGTATTCAATTAGGAAAAGAGGAAGTCAAATTGTCCCTGTTTGCAGACGACATGATTGTTTATCTAGAAAACCCCATCGTCTCAGCCCAAAATCTCCTTAAGCTGATAAGCAACTTCAGCAAAGTCTCATGATACAAAATCAATGTACAAAAATCACAAGCATTCTTATACACCAACAACAGACAAACAGAGAGCCAAATCATGAGTGAATTCCCATTCACAATTGCTTCAAAGATAATAAAATACCTAGGAATCCAACTTACAAGGGATGTGAAGGACCTCTTCAAGGAGAACTACAAACCACTGCTCAAGGAAATAAAAGAGGATACAAACAAATGGAAGAACATTCCATGCTCATGGGTAGGAAGAATCAATATCGTGAAAATGGCCATACTGCCCAAGGTAATTTACAGATTCAATGCCATCCCCATCAAGCTACCAATGACTTTCTTCACAGAATTGGAAAAAACTACTTTAAAGTTCATATGGAACCAAAAAAGAGCCCGCATCGCCAAGTCAATCCTAAGCCAAAAGAACAAAGCTGGAGGCATCACACTACCTGACTTCAAACTATACTACAAGGCTACAGTAACCAAAACAGCATGGTACTGGTACCAAAACAGAGATATAGATCAATGGAACAGAACAGAGCCCTCAGAAATAATGCCGCATATCTACAACTATCTGATCTTTGACAAACCTGAGAAAAACAAGCAATGGGGAAAGGATTCCCTATTTAATAAATGGTGCTGGGAAAACTGGCTAGCCATATGTAGAAAGCTGAAACTGGATCCCTTCCTTACACCTTATACAAAAATCAATTCAAGATGGATTAAAGATTTAAACGTTAGACCTAAAACCATAAAAACCCTAGAAGAAAACCTAGGCATTACCATTCAGGACATAGGCATGGGCAAGGACTTCATGTCCAAAACACCAAAAGCAATGGCAACAAAAGCCAAAATTGACAAATGGGATCTAATTAAACTAAAGAGCTTCTGCACAGCAAAAGAAACTACCATCAGAGTGAACAGGCAACCTACAAAATGGGAGAAAATTTTCGCAACCTACTCATCTGACAAAGGGCTAATATCCAGAATCTACAATGAACTCAAACAAATTTACAAGAAAAAAACAACCCCATCAAAAAGTGGGCGAAGGACATGAACAGACACTTCTCAAAAGAAGACATTTATGCAGCCAAAAGACACATGAAAAAATGCTCATCATCACTGGCCATCAGAGAAATGCAAATCAAAACCACTAGGAGATATCATCTCACACCAGTTAGAATGGCAATCATTAAAAATTCAGGAAACAACAGGTGCTGGAGAGGATGTGGAGAAATAGGAACACTTTTACACTGTTGGTGGGACTGTAAACTAGTTCAACCATTGTGGAAGTCAGTGTGGCGATTCCTCAGGGATCTAGAACTAGAAATACCATTTGACCCAGCCATCCCATTACTGGGTATATACCCAAAGGACTATAAATCATGCTGCTATAAAGACACATGCACACGTATGTTTATAGCGGCACTATTCACAATAGCAAAGAATTGGAACCAACCCAAATGTCCAACAATGATAGACTGGATTAAGAAAATGTGGCACATATACACCATGGAATACTATGCAGCCATAAAAAATGATGAGTTCATATCCTTTGTAGGGACATGGATGAAATTGGCAATCATCATTCTCAGTAAACTATCGCAAGAACAAAAAACCAAACACCGTATATTCTCACTCATAGGTGGGAATTGAACAATGAGATCACATGGACACATGAAGGGGAATACCACACTCTGGGGACTGTGGTGGGGTGGGGGGAGGGGGGAGGGATAGCATTGGGAGATATACCTAAGGCTAGATGACGAGTTAGTGGGTGCAGCGCACCAGCATGGCACATGTATACATATGTAACTAACCTGCACAATGTGCACATGTACACTAAAACTTAAAGTATAATAAAAAAAAGAGAAAAAATAAATAAATAAATAGATAAATAATAAAAAAGGAGAAAACACAAATTGCTATTATCAGCAATGTAAGAGGGGACAAAATTACAGATTCTGTAGACATTAAAATGACAATAAGGGCATATATACTATGAACAGTTTTGTATTAATGAAGTTGACAAGTCAGATAACATGGACATAGTTTTTGAAAAGCACAAGTTACCCAAACTGACACAACAAAAAAGAAAAATATATAAATAGCCTTATATCCATTAAATGGTTTTATTTGTAAGAGTAGTACTGAGACAGCCAGGTGGGAAGGGGTCCCATGAGAAACTCCAACCAGCCTGCACACTGGGAGGGATGTGCACTGGTGGGGAGCCTTGGGAAGTTCGCACTGTTTGCAGCAAGGAGGAGCCTGGCCCCTCCTCTTCCTGGGTGGAACGTGGAATTCAATCTGCGAGGCAGGAAGCACACCAGCAGCATTCTGGCTTTGTAGAGGGTCTCTGTTTCCCTTATCCCCCTGCCTTTTTGCCCAATAAATTCCATTTATTCTCACCCTTCAAATTGCATGCGAGGCTAATTTTTCATGACTGTGTGACAAGGACCCATCTTTAGCTGAACTAAGGAGAGAGTCCTGCAACAGTACAAATTCAATATTTAATATCTCCTACAATACATGATTTTTTTCTTGTAAATTATACTATATATAAAAAGGATTTTTTTCACCAAGCCTTATCTAAATATTCCAGAATACTCTGCTGTTTGTTGCAGTGTGCCGTGCAAATGTTACACTTTTCTCCGTGAGCCATAGCATGAAAACACTGGGAGGCATTTCTCTACCTGGAGTTGAAGTGGAGATGAAGGGAATGGGGAGAAAGATAGGTTTGGGCAGCACAATGAACAAAGATGTGAAGAGATGTCTATGTCATGGGGTTGTTGCCAAGATTACAATGAAGAAATCATGCATCTAATGCTCTTGGCACAATGCCTGCTTCATAGCAGGTGCTCAATAAATATTATTCCCCCTCCTCTCTAGGGCACCATTATTTGAGGGAAGTGGGGGTTTTGTCTTTCTGTATAGAAATCTATGTTGTTTCTTCCATGCTTTTATTTTCTATAAAGGACAGTTGGAATACTCAAGAGATCCAGTATTGGCTGCTCTTCAGAAATGAGCGAATTTATAAAAAAGAATATTCTGAGTCTTCATAGTGATGTCCTTAAACTGTATGCAAATAAGGAATTCAGCACTTATTAATTGATCTTTCTGCAATTATGTAATTTGTGAAAGAGGTGGTATTCCTACAAAACGAAATACTTTGTCATAATTCAGATGACAGTAGGGAGCTTTTCGGAACTATAAAAGGACTTCCTTCTAGACAATAGCCAAATAATTAAAATACTAATGTTAGAAATTCATTTGCTTTCTGAGATACCGCATGTTCAAGAAGATTAAATTTTTTCTTCCAAATAATCCTTAAGACTTTGCCTCTCAAAATAATTTAGGAAGAGTATGTCAATGTTTGATAAAAATGCCTGTCAAGGCAGTTTTAAGCCACTAAAACCTAAATAAAAGGTTATTTTTTAAACAGTACTACTGTTTTAGACTTGGGTAATTATCAACATAATTCCCTGGGTGTTATTTCATGCTTTGAATGGGAGGTCTGGAAAGCTAGGCTTCTTTTTTGGTCATAATGTATTCTGTATTTCTCCAACATTCAACTTTTAAATTGTTTTTTAATGTTTGAAGACATTTATGGAGCATGACAATACATCATGTCAAACACATTCCCACATTTCATTTTCACAGCACTCCTAATCCCCATTTTACAGATGGTTGCATCATGGGGTAACAGCGTGGTTGGTTTATTTACACACAGGGCCCACACCTGACAGAAAACTGAGCTGAGATTGCACACAGCAGTCTGCTGCAAAGCCACAACATGCCTGCCATTTAATTCCATGATCAAGGGAAAGCAATCAACAGAGACCAATAGATTTTTGCATTTCAACCTTGGAGTTGAAGACATTTTGGCCATTCCTCCACTTAGTCCTGGGCAAAGCTCATCTCTATCCTAACCCGTAGCTTTACATTTAACCCTGATGTTGATTTTACAAAATGGAAAATGGAGATTTGGAAACAGCTTCCCACAGAGAACAACGTTATTGCCATTAAGACTACTTATCTATACTTTTCCAATAGGTTAATATTTATCTGCAGTTATCTGTGACTTCATTATAGAAGCCTCTAGTATACACTTGAGTCATACCACTCCTTTGAGTGACCATATGTTGGGGACCAGACACTTTACATAGAGTTCTCTAATTATTACACTGACACTATAACATAGTTATCATTTTTCCATTTTACTAATGAGTTAACCAAGACTCAGAGAGGCTAAATAATAATGAAAACAATCATAAGTTAACATTTAGTAAGCACTCACTAGGTAGCAAGCACTGTGCAAAGTACTGTGTATACAATAATGCAAACAATGAGAAAAATTAACATTTAGTAAGCACCCACTAGGTAGCAAGTACTGTGCAAAGTACTGTGTATACAATAATGAAAACAATAATAAGAAAAGTTAACATTTAGTAAGCACCTACTAGGTAGCAAGTACTGTGCAAAGTACTGTGTATACAATAATGAAAACAATAATAAGAAAAGTTAACATTTAGTAAGCACCCACTAGGTAGCAAGTACTGTACAAAGTACTGTGTGTACACTTTATAAACAATATCTCTCATTTCCTCTTTAGAACAACACCAGGAGATTGATGCTGTTATTATCCCATCTCACAGACAGAAGTTAGAGAAGAAAAGAAACTTGCCCAAGGTCACATAGTTAGTGAGTACCAGAACAGGGACTTGGACACAGGTCAGATTGACAGCAAAGTCCATGCTCCATCATTCCACTTGACAGGCCACCTTCTCTAGAGTTTGGATTCCAACCGAAGTCTAACTACAAAGCATATACACACTCCACTGCCATGTTTCCTAGCAATAAATACCAATCGCACGGAGTCACTCACACAGATGATTTGAACAGCTCAACTAATTCCATCTGCCTTGTCCTATAATAACCCCATCTAGACAACAACCTTGAGTATTGGGAGCATAAGCTTGTTTGTCAGACCCATTTCTACCCTGCCTCTTATGGGCTGGGTGACCTTGCAGATGGTACTCAACTTGTTTGAGCCCTCATTCTGTGATTCCTTAAATGAGAAAATAATAATACTCACCTTGGAAGATAGTTGTAGGAATTAGATGAGAAAATATTGGGGAACTTGTGTGGCATTTTGGTAGGTGAATATACACAGCAGCTATTATTCTAAGATATTACATATGCAATAAGGATTAGATATATCAAAAGGCATATTTAGGAGCAGAATACCACCCATGCTTTCAATCATGCTCGTGCCTTTACCTAGCTGCATGACCTGGGATAAATTACATGAGGTTTCTTGGGATTAGGTTATTTATTGATAAGATAAGAACTAGATTTTCCAGTTGCCTTCAAACACTAGTATTTGATAATGCTACCAATGTGTATGAAATTGCTTTGTAATGTGTGAATTACTATAAAATGTGCCCTATTATGATCACCAGGGCCACCTTTTTTATGATGGAGTTGGGAAAGAGAACAGTGGAAATGATACTTATTGAAGGGACTGCACTGACTCCTCTGTGTGTCTTATGCCATTTCTTCCTGGCATTCTCCCTAAGAGGTTGGTATTTTATGCATATTACAAAAGCTTTAAAACAAATGTTATAAAAGAACCCAAGATTCAAAGACATAGAATGAATTATCTAAGTTCACCCTGCTAGACAAGAGAGGATAGCTCTCAAATTCACACCCATCTGTCAAAACTTCATGTACCACCCTGGAAGGGACCTCTGAAGACTTGCCAAACTCACCAGAAACTTGAGGAACCAAAAAAAATGGATCTCGAGGCCCAAACAGGTCCCTCACCATGGGCGGGGATTTTCATACCTTGCACCTTTCCATGTGTCCCGGCCATGGGGGCCGAAGGAACCACTGGGGAAAGAAAAGGGATATGGGAATTGGGAATCTCCGCTACCCACCTCAGGTAACCGAAAAGGCATCACCCCAAGCTGCAGTAAGCAGGAGCACCCACAGAAAAAGGAGAGTGAAAATATTCTTTGAAAGAATTTGCTAGCTGGGCTCAGTGGAAATACTCGCGCCTGTAATTCCAGCACTTTGGAAGGCCAAGGCGGGCGGAACACTTGAGGTCAGGAGTATGAGACTAGCCTGGGCAACATGGTGAAACTCCGTCTCTGCTAAAAATACAAAAATTAGCCGCGCATCATGGTGGGCGCCTGTAATCCCAGCTACTCGGGAGGCTGAGGCAGGAGAATCGCTTGAACCCGGGAGGCAGAGGTTGCAGTGAGCTGAGATCGCACCACTGCACTCCAGCCTGGGTGACAGAGCAAGTCTTAGTCTCAAAAAAAAAAAAAAAAAAAAATAGAATTTGCTATTTCCTCCCAAAATCAGGGATGCTGTCATTTAGGAAATTTTAAAAAATAATTTTCAATTTAGTATTGTACCAATTTTGAATTATATATGAAGGATATCATAATTTTAAAATTTGTGATTTAAAAATATGTGGGAGTGGGGGGGCACTGTAATCCTTTTTTTATAGACTTTATTTTTTAAAGCAGTTTTAGATTCACAGCAAAATTGAGCAGAAGGTACAGAGAATTCCCCTATACTTCTTACCTCCACACATGCATAGCCTCCCCATTATCAACATCCCCCACCACAGTGGTGCATTTTTACAATTGCTGAACCTACTCTGAAACATTATCACCCGAAGTCCATGGTTTACATTATGATTCATTCTTGTGTTGTACATTCTATGGGTTTGGAGAAATCTGTAATGATACATATCCATAGTTATAGCATCATACAGAGTATTTTCACTGCCTAAAAATCCTCAGAGCTCCACCTGTTCATCCCCCCGTCAACCCCTGACAACCACTGATCTTTTTCCTATCTGAATAGTTTTTCCTTTTCCAGGGTGTCATATACAGACGGTCCCCAACTTATGATGGTTTGGCTTACTGTTTTTCAACTTTAGCACTGTGCGAAAGTGATATGCATTCAGTAGAATCTGTACTTCAAATTGTCAATTCTGATCTTTTCCTGGGCTGGCAATACATGATAGGAGACTCTCTGTTGCTGCTCTTGCCATACTAGAAAACAGCAGTGAGCAGTAGCTCCCAGTCAGCCACGCCGCCATGAGGGTAAACAATTGATGCTCTAAAGTGTACTGTCTTGCCAGCGTTTTTTGGGTGTTGTGTCTGTGATTTCCCATCCCATCATGTCTAACAAAAACAGCCATCTTTGACTTAGGATATTTTCAATTTACAATGGGTTTATTGGGAAGTATCCTATAGTAAGTAGAGGAGCATCTGTAGTTGGTATCACACAGTATGTAGCCTTTTCAGATTGGCTTCTTTCACTTAGTAATATGCATTTAAATTTCCTCCATGTCTTTTCATGGCTTGACAGCTTATTTCTTTTTAGCACTGAATAGTTTTCTATTGTCTGGATGCACCAGAGTTTATTTACCCATTCACCTGCCGAAGGACATCTTGGTTGCCTTTGAGTTTGGGCAACTATGAATAAAGCTGCTATAAACATCCATGTTCACGTTTTTGTGTGGACATAAGTTTTCAACTCTTTTGTGTAAACACCAAGTAGCATGATTGCTGGATCATATGGTAAGAGCATGTTTAGTTTTGTAAGAAATTGCCAAACTGTCTTCCAAAGTGATGTACCATTTTGTATTTCCACCAGCGATGAATGAGAGTTCCTGTTGCTCCACATCCTTGTCAGCATTTGGTTTTATCAGCATTCTGGATTTTGGCCATTCTAATAGGTGCATAGTGATATCTCTTTGTCATTTTAATTTTCATTTCCATGATAACATAAAATGTAGACCATCTTTTCATAGGCTTATTCTCCAACTGAATATATCCTTTGGTAAGTTGTCTGTTAAGGTCTTTTACCTACTATTTAACCAAATTGTTTGTATTCTTATTGTTGAGTTTTAAGAGTTTTCTTGTATATTTTGTATAATTGTTATTTATCAGATATGTCTTTTGCAGATATTTTCTCCCAGTCTGTGGCTTGTCTTCTCATTCCCTTGACACTGCAAACTTTTTAATTCTTAAAGCAGTGAAGGTCATAGCTCAGCCTAAACACTATCTCCACTATGCCTGAGGCTAGGAGACTACAAAGAAAATATCGCTAACATTGATGACTCCCATTAATGTTCTCCAGGTATCAAATGTGTTACCAAAACAACTACCTGAAATTTAGATACTATGCCAATAGCTGCCCAGCAGTAATAATACACACAGTTAACCTTGACCATCTTATCTCAAATGTGCTTCTATAAGAGCTTTGGGAGCAACATGTGAGCAGACAGCTGACTCGAGTGAAGAATCTTGCTATGGAATTACCATTACATTATATCAGGAGTTTAATCTGAGCCCTAGGCCAGACCCTAGGATTACAGGTTAGGAAACTCTGAAGATTAATTCTGTTTGGCAAATAAGCATTCATATTCTTTCTTTATAATATTTATCAGGTGACCATCATGTATATGATACAATATGAGTTATGAAGACATATAAATTTCTCAAGCTAATTAAAATCTTGTAGGAACTATATGGCATGTGTATAATACAAATTGCCTCTCAGCTGAGACAGACAATAAATCTTGAGAATCATTGTGGTTTAATGTATCTTTAATATATTATATTAAAGAGAGACCTTAAAGTTTATTGCATCTAATCATCCTCCCAAAACAAAGATCAGAAAAGCCCAGAATAGAATTCTGGTTCCAATTTATTTGTCTTTGTGATCTTAGACAAATTACTTGTCAGCCTTAGGACTTTGTCTTATAAAAAATAAGTACCTTAGACTTCTGGTTATTTGCTTATCTGGCTGATGGAACACACATGTATGTCTCTACTTTCTCCTGAAACCTTTCTAAAATTATAGCAATTAATTTTTTGTCCATAAGAAACAAGAGAATTAGAGAGAGAAAAATCGTGGGTAAAAAATGCTATTAAGTAGAACGAAACTTCTTTCAGTGGCCAAGCTTGGAAACTAATTCACAGGCTGGAACCCTAAAGAGCCTCAAAATTGGGAGGACACGGCACTGCTAAAAATAGGGAAATAGAATGGGACAGAAAAGAGAAGCGTTGGTCAAGAAGGAGATAAACCCCAAGGTTTCCTCCTCAGCCACATGCAGTTAGACTGTGGCCTTCCTTTGCAATAGCAGAAGACAGGAAGAGAAATTGAATCAAGGGAGTCCAAACACCAGGAGTAGCAAAAGATGGGCTGCTGTCTTAAAAAGAAAGAAATTATGCAAAAGTCTGCTTTTTGGATGGTGAAGCCCCCTAAATCCCCTCGTAATGGGCAGAATAAGTGTTGCCCCCAAATGTTCACATTCTAATCCTCAGAACCTGTGAACACAGGGCTGCAAGTGTTTACATAGCAAAGAGGAATTAAGGGACCAGGTGGAATTGAGGTTGTTAATCCATTGACATTATAATAGGAAGATTGTGCTATTTTGTCCAGTGAGCTCAATGTAATCACGAAGGCCCACAAAAGTTGAAGAGGGAGGCACAGTCGGTCAGAGAATGTGACCACAGTGATGCAATGATGATGGCTTTCAAGAAGGATGAAGGGGACTGTGAGTCAAGGAATGTGGTGGCCTCTACAAGCTAGAAAAGGCAAGGAAATGGATTCTGCCCTGGAGTATCCAGGAAAGAACACAACGGATATCTTGATTTTAGCCCAGGGCAACCCATGTGGGACTTCAACTCTCTAGAACCCTAAGATGGTAAGTCTGCACTGTTTAAGCTGTCAAATTTGTAGTAATTGGTTACAGAAGTAACAGAAAACTAATACAACCCCTTACAAAGCAATAATGTACAGCAAGTATATCATTCCAATGCATTGACTATATAGTTATTCATTTGCTATATATATTTTAAATATTGTCTAAAACATTTTTAAGGGGCTACTTCCTCATGAACCTCTATTGTACACTTAAAAAGTAACTTGTAAGGAATAAATGTAAGTGATGGCAATGTCGTCTTGCTTAGTTAATGGTAAAGTTAACATCCTGCCTTCATTTGATTGCTTTCTAAGACAGTGGCCACTTTGACAACAGAAGTACTCAACTGCATGCACACACATATGCTTCACATGTATGTGAACACGTATCACAAACACTTATTGCAGCATATCTGTGTTAACTCACTTCACTTATGTTAATAAAACATCTTGAAATACTCCTAAGGTCATTAGTTTCTGTGTAAGGTCAAAGTCCATGGCCAGCTTATTTACTGTAGCTAGTTATAAAGGCAACAACTTAAATTTGAGCTATGAGATCTTTCAAAACAAGAAATACAATGTGTTTTATAAGAAATTCTATTTCTACTCTAACCCATATTAGGAAACATTGATTATCTTAATTATTGCCACTCTTCAGGGAGTTGGAAACAGACTTAATATTATGCTTTCACTAAAGCGTAATTAAAGGATTTTTTTCTCTAGCTGATATTATAAATACTAGCATTTGTTCTAAGAATTACTTCTGAAAAGAAATTTTACAAATTGCAATAAAATTTTCTTTCTGTATAGATGTGAATGAATGATTTAACTTAATTTCATTTTTACTTGATTTCAAACCCTTCTTGCATGCTTTCATTAAATAACTAAATTTTATCCAAATGAGAACTAGTATCTCCAATTCTATCTTTGCATCTCATGAACACGTGTTCTTTTGTTAGGTCAACTGAACCACCTGGTGCTGAATATTTAAACTGAAGAGAATCTCTGGCATCTGGCATTCACTATCAGGCTGTCTGCATCTGGCTTAGCCATGATCTTTGTATATTTATGTTTAGTCTCTTCACTGACATTTTATAGAGATAAAAAATGTGGGACAAACTAGAAAAAAAGGATGAACAAAGTAAAGCAACAATGATGTGATATGGCAGAATTTTTACAGTAGCTGGTGAAAAAATGCAGAATTAAATAGAAAGTTTTAGAAAGCATTTTAAAGCTCAAGAACATATATTTTAGAATTCAGTATGATACAAAATAATTCCTTATTTTATAAAGAATATCATAGGTCAGACTAGATATCAAATTCGGGTTATCTTTTCAAAGAAATTATTCATTCAGTCTGATGTTAAGCAAACCCTTGAGTGTTGGTTTTGGGGATTTTTATGGAGCAGATAATATTAGGGATTTTGGGGATGGTGATCAACAGTAAAATAGAAAATATTACTCCTGTTCTTACCCAGCTATGAAAGATAAAATAGTTGAACTCCACAGCTAGAGAATATTAAGACAACAAAAGTTGGTTTTCCTGCTATATAGTAAACAAAAGGACATTATCAATTGTATCCAGAAAAATATATGGGAAGCAATTGGGTAAATGTAACTGAAATAATCATAATGGAAATGAAAATGTGGTAGCTTGTATTATTTGAAAATCTGGAAGGGCCACCATATCCTATAGAATTGAGTCAAAATTGAGAATTATTCATTAATTTAAAATATCCATCAGTCAATGAATGGATAATGAAAATATGGCAAAAATACACAGTGGAATACTATTCAGCCATAAAAAAATGAAATCCTGTCATTTGCAGCAATATGGATGGAACTGGAGGTCATTATGTTAAATGAAGTAAGCCAGGCACAGAAAGACACATATGGCATGTTCTCATTCATATATGAGAGCTAAAAAAGTTGATCTCATGGAGGTAGAGAGTAGAATGATAGTTACCAGAGGCTGAAAAATGTGTGTGTGTGTGTGTGTGTGTGTGTGTGTGTGTGTGTGTGTGTGTTGGTGGGGTGTTGCTAGGGGATGAAAAGAGGTGGGTTGGTGAGAACTAACATACAGTTAAAGAAAAGGAATAAGTTCTAATATTTAATAGCAGAGTAGGTAGATTATAGTTAACAACAATGTATTGTATATTTCAAAATAGCCAGAAGAGAGGATTTGAAATGTTTCCAACACACAGAAATGATAAGTCCTCGAGGTGATGAATACCCTAAACCCTGATTTCATCATTACACATTCTATGCATGTAATAAAATATCACACCTACCCCATAAATATGCATAAAATTATGTATCAGTAAAAGAATTTAAAACTTAAAAGTAGCAAAAATGCCTTTGGGAGGCCGAGGTGGGCGGATCATGAGGTCAGGAGATCGAGACCATCCTGGCTAACACGGTGAAAACTCGTCTCTCCTAAAGATACAAAAAAATTAGCTGGGCATGGTGGTGAGCACCTGTAGTCCCAGCTACTCGGGAGGCTGAGGCAGGAGAATGGTATGAACCCGGGAGGCGGAGCTTGCAGTGAGCCGAGATCGCACCACTGCACTCCAGCATGGGTGACACAGCGAGACTCCGTCTCAAAAAAAAAAAAAGTAGAAAAATGCCATGAAGTGGTAAAATTACAAATACTTCAAAGACTGAAATTAATTGTAGCATAATTCTACAATTGAAGCATAACAAATTTTTTTAATTTTACGTTTAAAATTACCAAAATATTGTTCTTATAAATATTTGATAACTATTATTAAATGTATAAGGTATATCTATTCATATGATTATTATGAAGATGTGTAAATTTACATAAAGCATATGTCAAGCACAGTGTTTCACACATAAAAAGCCTTTGATAAATGACAGCTATTAATAGCCATCTATTCATCAAACTCCCAAATAAATGTATATCTAAGTTCTGACCCAACCTTCCATTGACAGAGACCTTGATCCTTCACTAGGTCATCCATTCCTTTATTGGATAAGTCTAATACTTACAAAAACAATTGTTGTGTCCAGTCAAAATCTGCATTCCAACTTTTGACTATTGGTATCATTTTTGTCTGTTGGAGCAACATAGAACACCTACTTTGACTTATACATGGCAACCCTTTAAACATTTCTAAACAGCTACCTCCTCTTCCTCAGAGACTTCTGTCTCTTGACCATCATCTTCAGAAAGTTGAGCCTGGAAATGACCACATGGACCACATTAGTGTGGCCAAGGCAAAGTTAAGACTTGGCCACTTGGAAATTTACTATTATGATTATCCCACCCTTATTCAGGGCACTGTAGCTGGAGCTTAAGTCATGTACTTGGAACATTTTGCTTTGCAAATATGAGACACTTAGTTAGCTTGAGTTGAAAGGGAAGATATGAGGATCTATTAGGTTATTAGAATACAGTGATACTCAAGGAAGAGAAATGCAACTGAGCCATAGGAACATGTAGACAGGAGTCTCTTTCCATCTCTCATGTCCACCCCTCTCTCCAAAGACTAGATTCCTCTGCCACCCCAGTGGTGGGGGACATGGCTGCCTATAAATCCAAAGCTTTACTTCTTAGAGTCCAGGCTTTCGAAGACAGTCCAGCTTACCATTCTTGGTTCTGATTTTAAAATAAACAGAACAGATCCTTATTCTTAAGTTGAGTATCAGTTTCTGGACCTATCAACTGTGGCCAGGAACCAGGTCATGTTGTGACGTCAGTGCTTTTTTGCAACCATCTGGACAAGGGAAGGGGCAACTTCTAGAAAAGGTGAACTAAGCACACAGATCTGCAAGTGTTCACTACAGAATACATTGTTTTAGTTTTTAGTTTTTGACTAGCAGTTAATTGAACTTCAGTGTAATCTCATGTATTCTGTTCACACTTGTCTCAGTATCTCCCTGAACCTATGACATCATTTATACCTAGTGAATTTTAGCACATCTTTGCAGCCTATTAAAATTTTGTGTCACAACTTCTCATCCAATATGCATTACTAATGCCCTCTAATTGTCTG
Source organism: Homo sapiens (assembly GCF_000001405.40). NCBI lineage: Eukaryota > Metazoa > Chordata > Mammalia > Primates > Hominidae > Homo > Homo sapiens. Next base: position 133,928,382 of record NC_000002.12, read on the forward strand.
TCTGAAGTCTGGCTTTCACATCTTCATGAGTGGATGATAAAATGAAGACGATCACAGGCAGAACCTTATTGCAGTCCACCAGATACTTCTTTTAGGATTGACATGGATCCATTATTAAACACCTGGGGGATACAATCATTCAATCAGCCGTGATGGCTTAGAAATGAGTCTTTCCAGAAGCGCATGGATCTAAGTGTCAGCAACACTGAGGTTAGAAAATTCATCATCTCCACATCCCATGGGCAGAACCTATTTGGGGAGTAGTGTTCCTGCAAGATCAAAAAAGAGGAATTCTTAGAGAGCGACCTGTAACGCTATTTTTCCATTCAAACAGGAGGTAGTGCCTGAAATACTGTCACATTGTGTAGATCATTATCCCAACAAATTATTTTTCTTGTGAAAACAGAGCTTATAGAGAAGTTTCCCAAAAGCACCAGTCCGACAGCAAGGACAAAGGCTCAAAAGTCCCAAATGAAAGGAGTTGGGCAGGCACTCTCAGTACGATCTGCAGATGCTGGCCCCAGGATAGGCACTCATCTAAGCCATTTTCACCCTGTGCCTTCAGATACCTTTAGGACTCAAAAGCAGTCACACTTGGAACACTCTGATTTTCCTGAATATTTTCTCAACTGGCTTAGCTGGTACCATCTCGTTTTCTAGGTACTTTTCAGTTTTTTAACTAGTGTGTCAAATTAAACCTCATTGTGTTACCAGGGGACTGAATGAACGATGCCATCCATAAACTGTTACGTTTCTAAAAAGTGCACAAATTTTGATGCTAACCAATCAGTTTATTCATTTATCTGGAGCATTTAATTTGTGTTGAGCATTGGGGATAAGTCAATTCACAAAACAGTCTCTGACTTCTTGGAACTTAAAAAACCCTGTACTTCAGCCAAACAAAGCTGCTCACTGACCAATGAGCCTTCCAACACTTTCTTGATCTCCTCCATTCCCCCCAAACTCAGAGTTCTTTCCACATCTTGGTCTCCTATTTAATCCCATCTCATTTCTCAAAGAAGTTAAAACAGAATTACCATTTGACCCAGCAAAACCATTATTGGGTATATATCCAAAAGAAAACAAGCCTTTCTACCAAAAAGACACATGCACTCACATGTTCATTGCAGCACTTTCACAATAGCAAACACATGGAATCAACCCATCAGTGGTGGACTGGGTAAAGAAAATGTGGTACATATACACTACGGACTACTATGCAGCCATAAAAAGAATGAAATTATGTTCTTTGCAGCAACATGGATGTAGCTGGAGGCCATTATCCTAAGTGAATTAATGCAGAAACAGAAAACCAAGTACTGCACGTTCTCACTCATAAATGGGAGCTAAATATTGGGTACCCATGGATATAAAGATGGCAACAATAGAAACTGGGGACTCCTAGAGGAGGGAGAGAATAAGGGGGTCAAGGGTTGAAAAACTAATCATTGGGTACTATGCTCAGTACCTGGGTGATGGAATCATTTGTACCCCCAAACCTAAGCATCATGTGATATACCAAGGTAACAAATCTGTGCATGTACTCCCTGAATAGGAAATAAAAGTTGAGAAAAAATTAATTAATTCATTTATTAATTAAATCTATCCCAAAGGGTACCTTCACCTCCACGAAGGCTCCCTGACCCACCCTGCAGTGATCTTTCTGCTGTCTGAGCTCTTGCAGCTGAATCATTTATACCACACACAAGCAGCTAGCAGCTACATTTGAGAGAAAGAGATGAGCTTTAGAGTGAGACAGATACATGTTGAGATACTGCCTTGGCCACTTACTAGATTGTATGTTCATAGGTTATTAGGTATTCCTGAACCACATCTGCAAACTGAGGATGATAATGCCAATTTCATAGAAAAGTTGTGAGGAATAATTTATTCCAAATAGCATATAGCATATTCTGTTTTGGTCCATTCCTGTTGTCATAATGAAATACTTTACACTGGGAAATATATAAATAATAGAAATCGATTTCTCACAGTTCTGGGGCCTGGGAAGTCCAAGACCCATGTGCCTGGTGAGGGTTCACTCTCTGTTTCCAAGATGGCACCATGTTGCTGCATCTTCTGGAAGGGACAAATGCTGTGTCCTCATATGGTGGAAGGAATGAAGGGCCAGGCAGCTCTCCAAAGCCTCTTTTATAAGGACACTAATCTCATCTATGTGGGTGGAGGCCGCATTACTTAGTCACTTCCCAAAAGGCTTCACCTCCTAAAACTACCACAGGCCAGGTGCGGTGGCTCACACCTGTAATCCCCACACTTTGGGAGGCCGAGGCAGACGGATCACGAAGTCAGGAGTTCAAGACCAGCCTGGACAACATAGTGAAACCCCGTCTCTACTAAAAATACAAAAATTAGCCAGGCACAATGGTACATGCCTGTAGGTTGCAGTGAGCCAAGATCGCACCACTGCACTCCAGCTTGGGCAACCGAGTGACACTTCGTCACAAAAAAAAAAAAAAAAAAAAACCTACCACAATGGAGTTTAAGTTTCAACATGAATTTTGGAGGGACACAAACCTTCAGACCACAGCATATTCTTCCATCCAAATGTCTAGTTTTCTAACAGCAGTGTAGTGAAAAGAGCATGGTGGCTCTACACTTCATGGTTTTGCTTCCTTAGAAACATCACCCATGGTGAAACCCCGTCTCTACTAAAAATACAAAAATTAGCCGGGCGTGGTGGCGCATGCTTATAATCTCAGCTACTCAGGAGGTTGAGGCAGGAGAATCGCTTGAACCCGGGAGGCAGAGGCTGCAGTGAGCCAAGGTCGTGCCATTGCAGTCTAGCCTGGGCGACAGAGCGAGACTCCATCTCAAAAAAAAAGAAAAGAAGAAAAGAGAAAAGAAAAGAAAATAAATATCACCCAATATCTGTCTCAGTTTTCTGAAAGGCAAAATGGAGATAATAATTAATTTTTACATCAAAAGGTTGTTGTGAAGAGGAATTGAGTTAATGTACAGAGAAGTCCTTTATGAGCTATAAATCACAGAACACATGGCAGACTATCCATCTTCATGAATCCTATGTAGGTTTCCTCACTTTCAACTCGATTGGGCTCAATTGTTTCTCTCCTATGCCTCTCCTTTTTCTAAAGTGTGCAGAAACAGTCAGCAATCCTGACCACTGAACACATCACACACACACACACACACACACACACACACACACACACACATTTCCCTGTTCATATTCTGCTTTATAAACTTTCTTATGAAATATAACATTCATGCAAAAGGTGCACAAAACTTAATAAAGCTTGATGAGTTTTTACAAAGTTTATAAACAGCCACTTAGATGAATGACAAAACATTACCAGCAACCCACCTCAATCACCGTACCCACCCAAAGTTAGCCATTACGTTGACTTCCATAAACAAAGACTGGTTTTGCCTACATTTTTGTGCTTAATATAAACATAATCATACAGTATAAAGTCATATGTGTCAGGCTTATTTAACTCAACATTAACATCTGAAAACTTACCCTTTGTTGCATGTAGCAATGGTTCATTTTTTTTAACTACTTTATAGTATTTATTGTATAAATATGCCAAAGTTCATGTATTCATTTTTTGTTGATGAACACATGTTGTTCCAGTTTGGAACTATTTCAGATAATACAATGAACATTCTTGTATATTTTGGGTGCACTGTGCATGCATTTCTATTGGGTATATAGCCAGGAGTGCAATTGCTGCCTCATAGGATACGTATATGGCTAGTCGAGTCTTCCAAACATTTTTTCAAAGTGGTTGTACCAATGTACACTCCTGCTGGCAATGAATGACAGTTCACTTGTTCCATACCCTCACTGATATTTTGTATTATCCATCTTCTTTGTTTGGCTATTCCAATGAATGAGTAGTAGTGTCATATTGTGATTTCAATCTACATTCCTTGATGATGAGGTTAAACATGCTCTCACATTTATTGACCATTTGGATATCCTCTTTCATGAAATGACTATTTAAGTCATTTGCCTATTTTTATATTGCATTATTTAATTTTTCTCAATGATTTTCAGTTCTTTATATATTCTGGATATGAGTCTTTTTATATTTATTAACAATATACTCAATATTGTGTGGCTTATGTTTTCACTCTAATGGTGTCTTTTAATGAATAGGAAATTTCTAACTTTAATGTAGTCCAAGTGAACATTTTATAACTAGTACATTTTATATCCGAATTAAGAAAATTTTGTCTACCTGAGATAATAAATATATCTTCTGTGGGTTTTTTTTTTCCTAAAAGCATTTATTTGTTTAACTTTTGCCTATAGATCTACAATCTGACTGGAATTGACTTGTGTAAGATAAAGATTCATTTTTCCCATGTGGATATCCAAATAACAGCACCATTTGTTAAAAAGGTCATCCTTTCTACCCTATACAGCAGTATCACTTTTGTAAAATATCAGATAACTATAGAGATGTGGACTCTCTGTTCTGTTCCACTGGTCTTTTTATCTATTGTTATGCAAACTTCAATCTCTCTTAATTTCAATAGCTTTGTGATATGTCTCAATATCTGAGAGTGTAAGTCCTCAAAATAATCTTTCTTTTTATAAATAATCTCCTTGACTATGTTTTGCCGTTTGCATTCTTATATGAATTTTAGAATCAGCTTGTCAATTTCTACACAAAACCTGCTGAGATTTTAATCAGGATTGTGTTTAATCTAAAGATTAGTTTGGAGACAATTTACATCCTGACCATTTTAATTCTAAACCACAAAAATGGGGGGGGTGGAATCTCTCTATATTTAGGCTCCTAAAATTTCTCTTGGCAAAGTTTTATAGTTTTCAGTGTAAAGGTCTTAAATGTCTATCATTAAATACATTTCTAGATTTGAAAGTTTTTATGCTAATGTAAATCATATCTTTTTAATTTTAATTTTAATTTTATTTGCATTTTTGTTGCCAATATATAAAAATGCAATTGATTTCATACATTGATCTTGGATCCAACAACCATGCCAAATTTACTTATAAATTCTAGTAGTTGTCTCTAGATTCTATTTTAGATTTTCTATGTACAATTATGTTGTCCATGAAGAGTGACAGTTTTATTTCACCCTTTTCCAAACTGTCTTTTCAAAATTTCTTTTTATAGCCTTATTGCCTTGGTTAAGACTTCCATTTTTCTTTTAATAGAAGTAGCAAGTATCCATATCACGCTCCTAAGCATAGGAAGAAAGTTTTCAATAATTCACCATCAAATTGACTTCCTGGTTTGCTAAGAGTTTTTATCATGAATTAATATTGTGTTTTATCAAATGTGTTTTTGTAATCATTAAGAAAATTTTATTTATCTCCACTTTTCTGCAAATATGGTGAACTATATTGTTTATTCATAATAAATCATCATTAGCATTTCTGAAATAAACTTCATTTTATTGTGATACCTTCTCCATTTACATATCAAAGAATTCTATTTGCTAATATATTATTTAGAATTTACATATATATAATTCATGCTACAAATTTGTCTGTAATTTTCCTTTCTTACAATTTCCTTAAGTAATTTACCTATCAAGATTATGCTGGTCCTATAGAAAGTCTAGGAAGGCTACCGTCTGTTTTATATTCTGGAAGAGTATATAAAAATTGGAGTTATCACTTGCTTTAATATTTGCTACAAATCACCAAAGAAACCACCCAGACCAGGAGTATACTTTGCACAGAGGCTTTAAATAAAACATTTAAATTCTTTAGTAGACATATAATACTCTAATTGCTCTTTCTTATTGTGTCAATTTTGGTAAGCTATGTTTTTCAAGGAATTTCATTCACTGAAATTGGCATAACATTATTTGTGATATCTTTTTCTCTTTTAAATGTCTATAGCATCTATACTAATGTCTCCTTATTTGTTACTGGAATTGGTAATTTGCTCTCTTTTTTACATCAGTCTTGTCATAGTTTTATCAATTTAATGTGTCTTTTTCAAGAAATTAGGTTTTTTTCTTTATTGCATTAATATTTGTTTTCTACTTATCTTTTTTCTGCTTTTATTTTTACTATTAACTTCCTACTACTTTCTTTGGACTAATTTTTTGTGTGTGGTGATATTTAAAATTATGTTTCGTTTTGAGGTGAAAACTTGAATTATTGATATGTAGCATTTAATTCTTTTCTAATATATACATTTGAGAATATAAATTTTCCTCTAGGCATTGCAGGAATTCTCCTAGTTTTTGCTAATCTGATGATATATTTATTTCACCATCCTATTTGAAAAATATTTTTATTATTATAGAACTCTAGGTTGGCAGTTATTTCCTTGAGCATCATTTATCTGTTTTCTACATGTTTTGATATGCCATGTCTCCACTATCATTTAGTTCAAAATATCTTCTAATTTTTATTGTGTTTCCTTCTTTGATTCATGAGTTATTTGTAATTTAATAGCTTACTTTTAAAGCAGTTGGTGATTTTCTGGTTAGCTTTTGTTACAGATTTCTAGCATAATTCTACTGTGCTCAAAGAGCATATTCTAAATGATTTCACTCCTTTGAAATATATTTCAGCTTGCTTTATGACACAGCATGTGCTAAACTCTAGTAAACCTTCCATAAGCATTTGGAAAACACAATGCATTTTGTCATTGTTGGATGTAGTGTTCTATATCAGACATTTAGAATGTCCTTAATTTTTCTTTTTCTTTTTTTTTTTTTGCTATTATAAGAAATTACACAATATACATCTTACTGTATATATAACTTTTTGTCCCTGTTGAATTAATTCATTGTCTTAAATTCTCAGGAGTGGCATTACTAGGTCCAAGGGTTAAAAATGTCTTTTTGTCTTTTCCTATTTATACAATATTGCTAACAAAAGTATTGTATCTAATTACAATGTCAGTCATGGTGCATGAAATCACCAAATTTCCCACAGTGTAGAGGGTTGTAATTGTTTTATTAATAGAGTGGATAGTAAATTGTAACTCAAAGTTAACAGTAATTTCCATGCCTTTGATAACTAGACAAGATAAACATTTTTCTAGGTATTCATTTGCTATTTCAATTTTCTCTCATATAAATTGCCTATTCATCTGTTTAACAATCTACTGGGATGTTGATAATTTTGGAATGAGTTTGAATGAATAATTTCATAATATCGGCAATTTGTCTTTGGCTTACATATATGATGCAAATGTTTTCCCAATCTATTATCTTTTTAATTTTAGCTTTACTGTTTTTCACCATACAATCATGTTCAATTTGTGAAGATTGGAATCTCTTACTTTGTTGCCGGCTACTTAAAACTCTAACAATGTTTCATTCTTTTTCAACTGTATATTTCTTTATTTTCTTCTCCTAAATTTTGGTTAATGTATGGTACAGAGCAGGACTGTCCAGTAGGGATATAGTGTGAGCCACAAATGTGATTTAAATTTTTCTATTAGTTAATTCAAAAAGTAAAAAGAAACAGGTACAAATAATTTTAATTATATACTTTAACCCAGTATCCAAAAATACAGGCATACTTTGCTTTGCATGGTTCCAATATGCATAAATTCCAGTTACCACCACTTAATTAAATAACACTAATCTTCCAACAACATGGTTCAAATTTCAGTTACTGTGGTATATTAACTCTGGTATATTAACTGTACATTATGCTTAACTGTACTTTATTGCATACAGTTAATATACAGTTTTACTTTATTGCATAAAGTAAAAACTTTGCTGCTAGACTTTCAGTCCACAAATCACTACGTAAACAACACGTGTGCATCAATAGCAGTGACCAGTCATGCCATTTCTTTTGAAGTCTATCAGCGATTGGTCACTATGCATCTGTTATTCAGTCCAGGCGCAGACAGTGAAGCATGCATGGAGTTGTGTTGATTCCTTGTCTCCCAGTGGTAAACTCACGTGACATTTTACAGAAATGAATAATCTAAGGAGGGAATGGCCAACAAAGATGGAAGTGCAGCAAAGAAACAAAAAGTGATATTGTTGGAAGTGAATGTAGGCGTGATCAGAAGATGGATCACTGTAGGGATTGTTGACACTACTGCTGTTCGAGAGTCTCAAGACACGCAGCCAGAGGAACTTAGTGAAGGCAAATGCATGGACATAAATGTGGAACATGACTGTCCCAAAAACGATACTGTCCCAGAAACAATGATAACCCAGAGGAAGGGACACCAGCAAAAAACTTATATTGGGTCAGGAGCTGTGGCTCATGCTTATGATCTCAGCACTTTGGGAGGCCGATGCAGGCAGATTGCTTGAGTCCAGGAATTCAAGACCAGCCTAGGTGACATGGCAAAACCCTATCTCTATAAAAAATACAAAAATTATTTTGGCATGGTTGTGTGCACCTGTAGTCCCAGCTACCAGGGTGGCTGAGGTCAGGGAACAATCTTTTGAGCCAGGGAGTTTGAGGCTGCAGTGAGTCATGATCGAGCCACTGCACTCCAGCCTGGATGACAGAGTGAGGCCCTGTCCCAACAAAAAACCCAAAAAACGAAACAAAACTTCTCATTGAAGAAACTCTCGGATTTCACAACATTGGGAAAGCAAGGAGAAAATGTTGGAAGCTGATCTTAGGAAGTAATATGACAATTTGGCAAAGCTTAGAAAAGATGCTCTCTCCACAATACAAGTTATAGGACAAGAAGAAGGAAGCACTGTTCAAACTACTCACAAAGAAGAAAAGAAGTACTTTAACTCTCGATGTTTCCATTATTTGAAATTACTGTGTACTAAATAGGTTCATTTTACCACTTTTAAATTTCTGCGTATATTTATGGCTGACAGTAAGAATGTTTAAAGTTTAGACAAAAATGTTTTAAAGGTTGCATAATAATCATAATTTTCACCCATTGTTAATTAAAATCACTTGTATCATTTCAGCTTGCAGGATCATTTTCATGGTTCTACACCAACAGGCAAAGCAAGGACTGCCTCTATTATCATTATAACATGTAACCAATATAAAAGTTTGGGGATATATTACATCCTTTTTTTCACATTAAGTCATTGAAATGTGGTGTATACTTACAGAACAGCTTAATTCAGACTAGCCACATTTCAAATGCTAACAGCTGCATCATAGGCTAGTGGCTATGCTATTTGGAAGCCCAAATCTAGAGTGTCTTTTCTCTTTAAATTAGAGATGAAAAGTGTTGGTGTTGGTGGGAATACAAGTATCTGCCTGGAAATTCTCTTGTCCAAATAAACAACAGTTTAATATAGGGAACAATACAGAGATGCACTTTATCCCTCTGTAGGTAGTAATGAAGGAACTGACATTACTTCAGCTCCCTCTGGAAAAGCGGCTGAGAAAATAAGCCTTAAATTGTTCTCATAAACTCACTGGAATTAGCCTTGTTGGAACGATAAGAGACAAGAAAGAAGAACTAGTCAGTCTTCCTATGAAAACACTGACTATTTCGTTCACAATGGGAGCTGAAGCAGCTTGGCTCATGTGAGCTCCAGGGAGATTTTTCAGAGCTTTTGGGTTAACACGTCATCTCTGAAATATATCACACAAGTTCTCAGGGCCGCTCAAGGGTAAGTAATCTACACGGAGTTTTGAAAATACTTTTGCCAGTTAGAGGAGTCAGCAAACTATTTATTTGATTTCTTCCTCAGCCTCCCATTCTGGGAATTCCCAACGGCCTAATAGCAATGGCAACAACACCTGCTTGCCTGTCAGTTTGCAGGCATCTTTCTTACCAATATTCCCCAAATGATTACCCTGCCTAAAATCCTAATGTCTCCAGATTTTTCTTGGGTGAACAAGATTATAATGTTTCTACATTCTTGTCTCAGCTCTACCTGAAAATTGGCCCATAAATATTTGTACACAGTTAAGTCTTAAGTTAGATATGTGTGTGTTTGTGTGTGTGTGCACACACGTGCACACGATCATGCTGCTATGCCTAAGAAATTCTTCATTCCTTAGGAAAAGAATATAGTGAAGTGTTAAAAGCACAATCTTCAAAGGCAAACCAAATTAGCTCAAATTTCAGTACTATCACTTACTAGCTATATAATGTTGAACATGTGTTACTTAATCTTTTTGTGCCTCAGTTTCTTTATCTATAAAATGGGAATAGTACCACCAACATTATATAGTTTATATGGGGATTAAATGAGATAATATATGTAAAATGCTTAGTCAATGTCTGCCACACTGTAAATGCTAAAATAGTAGCCATTCTTTATTAGTATTGTCTTTATTTTGCTATTATGTTATTATTACAACTTTTGCCTAAAAAGAGCCTTGCGTCTGTTGCCTTTAGTCCTCTCTTTGAGTGGAACACATAACAAAGGAAAAAGAATCCAGCTTCAAAAGTGGCATTAAGGAGTAAAGGTTTTCTTGGACAAAAGGGATGCTGGCAAAAGGCTATACAGCATCCCAATAGTCTGCAAAACTCAAAAGTCCTCTTCACAACAAATTTCCCACTCGTCCCTCTCAGAACAAATCCCTCCTGCCTCTCCGCAAAGCTCCATACCAGCATCTTCACTTACCTACTTTCTGCTCTTTGACTCCTGCCTTCCACATATTTTTATTTTTATTTCACTTATTTTTTGGCTCATTGGTAGCTTCATATGTGCAATTCCTCAGGGATATAGAACTAGAAATACCATTTGACCCGGCAATCCCATTACTGGGTATATACCCAAAGGATTATAAATCATGCTGCCTTAAAGACACATGCACATGTATGTTTATTGCGGCACTACTCACAATAGCAAAGACTTGGAACCAACCCAAATGTCCAACAATGATAGACTGGATTAAGAAAATGTGGCACATAGACACCATGGAATACTATGCAGCCATAAAAAATGATGAGTTCATGTCCTTTGTAGGGACATGGATGAAGCTGGAAACCACCATTCTCAGCAAACTGTTGCAAGGACAAAAAACCAAACACCGCATGTTCTCACTCATAGGTAGGAATTGAACGATAAGGACACATGGACACAGGAAGGGGAACATCACACGCCGGGACCTGTTGTCAGGTGGGGGGAGAGGGGAGGGATAGCATTTGGAGATATACCTAATGTTAAATGACGAGCTACTGGGTGCTGCACACCAACATGGCACACGTATACATATGTAACAAACCTGCACGTTGTGCACATGTGCCCTAAAACTTAAAGTATAATTTTAAAAAAAAAGAAAATTTTAAAGACATAAAAAGTAATTTATCTTTCTCCCATCTATATCCCCAGTTATCCAGATCCCCAGAAGTAACCACTGTAACGAGATATTCTATATACAGATAGCAGATAGAAACTCACACACACATACACACACACACACACACACACCATTTTACACCACTGCAATTTGCTTTTACATTTAATAAAACTTGGAGATCGTACCATATTAGTATCTATAGAGTTGCCTCCTTCTCCTTAACGCACTGCATTGTTTTCCATTGGATAAATAAGCCATAATTTATTTATCTATTTCCACATTAATAGACATTTAAATTGTTTTACTATTTTGTTATCATAAAAATTGCTGCAATAAGTAACTGTTCATATATGATTTTATACATCTGTAAATTTCTAGAAATTTAATCATTGGATCAAAGGGAAGGTGAATTTTTAATTTTTGTAGATTTAGCCAAATTGTCCTACATGTAGGTTATGCTGACTTAGCCTCCTCTTAGTAAGGTTAGAGTGTTAGCTTTCTTACACAGGTTAAGTTTTCTAACATTTTCCATGCCCTTTCTTATGCAGAGTAATCTCAGCCTCTTCAATTCTGTATCTCCAGCCATATATCCTGATGGAAGAATGTTTCTGTCTCTTCTACATTTTCCCCCAGTTAAATAGCTGTAAACTACCTGAGACATCCATGCTGTCTTCTGTCCCATAACCTCCAGCCCTCAACCCTTCTTTTCTTCCTCCATGATACTCCTGGGGCCTGCATTGTCTGGGGTCAGCTTGCCTGGGGCTGGGAAACCTGGAATTGGCCTGCCTGAAAGCAAACAGCTAGGTTCAGGGTGAGACACCCATCCCCCATCCAGAGTGTGAAGCACCTGCCAAGGGAGGCAGATGATGTCAATCAAATCCTTTTCCTTTGTGATTTTTCCAGATACCCTTGACTAAATCATGGCACATGTGTACATGAGAATACCATACACCCCCAAAAGTGAATAAATTACAACTCTATGCATCAACATAGATGGATCTCAGGAACATATGTCCAGCATAAAAGCAAGTCACAGAAAATACGTGCAAGCAGAATACCATGACATTGAGTTCTGAAATGAGCAGACTAAATTTTTACAAATACAGGTATGCATGGTAAAACTGCACAAATTGTAAGAGAATGAAAAACACAAAATTCAGGATCATGGTATCCTGAGGGTAAGTGAAGAAGGTGGGCTAATGTGATCAGGGAGGGTCACACGGAAGCCTCCCAAGGTATGGTAATTTTCTACTGCATAAGTTGCATGGTGACTTCCTAAGTGTCCATTTTATTATTCTTAATTATTTCTATGCTATTTATATTGTGTTATACATACCAACTATTTTATAATATGTTTTCATAAAAAGCTACAAAAGAAGTAGGAACTAGAAAGATGGTCATGATATATTAAGTAAGAAAAAAACAGATAAAATTGTGCATATGACATGATTCTGCTTTGGTTTAAAACACACACACACACACACACACACACTCCATATTGATATTCACCAAATGATAATAATGGTTATCTAGGTTGTGGAATTATAATTTTTAAAAAACTTTTCTTATCTTTCTGACATATATTTCCCAATTTTTCAACAATGACTTTTTTTACTTTTGTAATGAGAAAATATGATTAAATATTTTTTTAAAAATCATATGCTAAGTGCTACCACTAGGCAGTTACATATAGCTACCACTTACTGAACTTCCTCTGAGCCAGGTTCTCAGCCAAGGGCATTACATGTATTTTGTAATTGGAAGTATTATTTTTATTTCATAGAGGAGAAACCAGAAGGCCAGAGAGGTTAAATAACTCACTCAAAATCAGATAGAGAATGGTAGAGCCAGGACTCAAATCCATCTGTCTTCCTATCAAGCATGTGCTCTTAACCAAGCTTCTATGCAACATTCAATAGCCTACAGAAGCCCGAAGGAGCCATACAGTGTCAAGAAGGGTTAAGGGTTTGCTTTACTTTTTAAGCTAATAAGCCAGACTGTTATTTTTCTTGAATGTTGGCAGAAGTCACAAGACCCCTCGGTCAGAGGCAAAAGTCTTTAGTAGTCACAGCCCAGTAACAGCATGAACATGCTGTTGGTTTGTATCTGTTCCTCATGCCCCCAAGTCCCACAGGGACAACACAGTGGGGGTGTAGACGAATGCATGCACCCAAGAAGGATTGTGTTGCAAGAAAGGAACACTGAACATAGGAGACTCACTGCTTTTATAGGAAGCAGATGCAAGCCTGCTCTTTGTGAGAGAGGTTACTTCATCCTGCAACATTGCTCCCTGCAAACACGATTCTGAGAAAGGTCTTAGGAAAGAGATGCATGGCCTTGAATTCTTGGCATATCCTGCAAAAATGTGCAGGGCCCATGGCAGACTGTGCTCCAGCATATAGTCAAGATTCTTTGAGCTGCAAATTACAAAAACCCAGCTTAAACTTAATTAAACAAAAGGAAGAATGACAAAAAATGTATTGACCATGAAACTCCTGTCTCTCTCTCTGACTCTCTGTGTGTGTGTGTGTGTGTGTGTGTGTGTGTGTGTGTGTGTGTCTCTCTCACTGTCTCTCTCTCTCTCTCTCTCTCTCCTCCTATCCTCTATGTGGTCTCCATTCATGGACAGGCACTCCCCTGTGATCATAAGAAAGCTACCTGTAGCACCAACCCCAATGGAGCATAACAGGCCTTTTCTCACTCCTCAAATAGAAGTCCTAGAACCAAGTCTCAATGGCTATGTCTGGCCTGGATTGGGTCATATGTCCATCCTAAACCAAGCCTTGGGACCAGGGGATAAAGCACTGTAATCGCCCATCCATGGGTTACCTGCCCCCTTCTGGAAGCAGGATTGGGATCAGTCCCACCCCAATCATGTAGACTGAGAGTGGTATTTTCTTCCCCACAGAATCAGAATACTGGTAACAGAAGATAAGGCAGTCAATGCTCAGCAGACAAAACAAACACTGTGCTGTGCCCAGAGAGAGATTATCTCTAAAACATCACATACAACAAACAGTGAGCTGGTTGGACTGACAAGATGAAATGCGATGGATTCCAGTAAGATTTGCAAAGTTCCATAAAGCTCAGTGGTAGTTCTGTGGCTGACTGCTGGCACTCCCAGTGACTTCTGACAGTTGAGGCAGTTATCAAAAGCCTGGAACAGCTTGACTGCACCCAATTGCAGTGTGCATGGGGATTAGCCAATACAGAAAGAGGGAAAAAAAAGAAAAAGAACAAGGAAACCTTTCCTCCGAGCTAATCAGTATATAATTGATTTCAATGTCCTCCTTCAATCTGATGCATCTTTTTTTCTGAACTCACCTAAAATTAAGAACCAGAACCAGGAGCAATATTTTAATATAGTCATATCCAAAGGAAAAATCCATTTGCAAGGAAATATCCGAAGTTCCCAGTGTTGCTATTGTTAGCACACAATGTTTCAGATGAGAAGGGAGTGTATCTTCATAGTGGGTTGGGGATTCTGGGATATAAGTTGTAGAACCAAAAAGATTGCAGCACTCTCAATGTGTGGCCTGAGTCAGGGCTTTTTAGAAGAAAAACCAATTCTCCTTCGCAGCCGCCTCCACCACCACCCTTTTCTATTTTCAATGAAGTTGTCTTTAAATCTGTTGCAACTATAACAATGACAGATGAGAGTTACCATTTTTCAGTGGCTCCACCTCACAGAAGAGGTGATGACTAAGAACATCAGTCACAAGCACAGTCTATCCTAGCAAAATGCCCTCGATAAAGGGTGATTCAGTAGAGGCTGGGGCACAGCATCTATGAGTATGTGAGAGAAGGGCTCATAGGTACAGAGTGGCCGCCCCAAAAACAGTTGTTGATTTGAGCTAAATTCCCTAAACAGCCCTGCTCTCTCATTTCTACCACGGGATGCTACTTCTCTTACTTCCACCAATCCACTGAGTAAAAATAGAAAATTGTCATTTCAGGAACTAAGCTTTGTAATTAAAGAGAATGTGTTGGCCAGAGGAAACCGATCCCAGACCTCACAGGCATTATTGCCTGTTCAGCATCCTGCGTCTCATCTCCTCTTCTCACTGCCTGAAGCCTAATTAACAGAATCCGTGCCATTATGCCTAGCTCTCTGATCTTTATTATCATGAATGCTCTTTCCAAAGAAATTCTCATCCTAGAGCAAGAGTTCCTGGAGGGCAAGGACTGGGTACTGGTTATCTCTTGCTGCATAATGAGTAACTCCAAAACACAGCAACTTAAAACAGAAACATTTATTTTCTCATAGATTCTGAGGGTCAGGAATCCTGGAGGTTTAGCTGGGTGCCTCTGGCTGAGTCTCTCCCAAGGCTGCAAAGTGTCAAACAGGACTACAGTCATCTCAAGGTTCAACACTTGAAGAAACCAAGCTCCCCAGCAGGGCTATTAGTAGGAACTAGGTCTTCAGTTCTGGAGATATCAGTTCGTTTTCTCTGGATCTATTCTTCAGGCAGCTTGCAGTATGGCAGCTGGCTTCCCTCCGAACCAGCCAGAGATAGAATGAGCAAAAGGAAAGCCACAGTCTAATTGTAATCTGATATTGGAGGTGACATCCCATCACTTTTGCCATATTCTGTTTGCCATATTCTGTTTGCTCCATCACTAGAGCCAGCCCATATTCAAATGGAGAGCATTCACAAGGTCAAGAATACCAGGAGGTGCAGCTCATGAGGGCCTTTGAGGCTGCCTACTACCAACCACTTCTCATTCACACACCTGTTCCTGGTACCTAATAGAGGAACAGGCAAATGGTAAGCTTGACAAAGACTTGTTGTGCCATATTTAATCCAGTCCAAAAGACTCACCAAGTCACATCAACTAGAGTGGAACACATACAAGGAATAGACAAAGAACAGTGTGGTGGGTATGAATTTCATTCCACCAACTCAAGTGTGCAAGAAATACAAAATTTTCTATAACGCCTTAGAATTGTTATTTGAGCCCTCTTCTTGCTAGGGTGACAAAAATGTAATCTCAGTCCCTGGGAATTCAGTCCTTTGTCCAGGGTAGTTCACCAGTTCAAGAGAGAGTACTTAGTACCAGGTCATGGGGGAAAAAGGGGAGGGCATCTCCTAAGCCTCAGTTACAGGTGTTGGCTAAAATGTGCCTCACCCCATTTGCTCCTCTATCACCTGTCCACATGCTGAGACTCCTGTCCATGTGAACCTTTCAGGGCTGCACTTCTCTGTGCTATTTAAGACCCATTGTGAAGTTTCTGGGCCAGAATAGGACATAAGAGTCTCAGTCAGGCTCTCCATGGCCCATTTGCTAGATGTCCTGCTCATACATTGCCCACCTAGCCTCTTGCAGCCTTCCGGAACTATGGCCAAGGATGATGGCTGCCAAACTTCTCTGTTCTCTAGCCCTCCAACTCCTCTGCAGTGACATGGGCTCCAAGGACCTGCCTTTGAAGCAGTTTGCACCATGGCCCTCTCAGGCCTGTTGACTTTTCTGCTCTTCTTGCTGCTTCTCTGTCTCTCTCTCTCTCTCTCCTCCTTACTCTGAGCCTGCCCTCGGCCCAGAGGACGTTTCTGTAGTCCAAGAGCAGGAAAGTAGGGACAGAAGCTCTTCTGTGTTGACCTGGAGCATTCCCCTCAGAGGCACTCCCACTTCCACCATCTTCATGCTTTCCTATTACACCTCACCCCACCCAGGGCACCTCACTGCTTCCCATCATGGGCCAGGCTCCAGAAACAGGAAGCCAGTGACTAGCAGGTTACCCCGCCTTTTCAAGCTCCTCCCCAAGGCAATGAACACAGATGGGAATCTAGCCAGCAGAGGAAGGAGGGGTAATAAGGAGGGAAGTGGGAATTATTAGAGGGGTTTTATTTAAATGGTGAAGCTTTCAATAAATATAATTTTTTCCAAAGGCAAATCATTTGCACCAAGCCAGAAGCCTAGAAAATGTTTAACACTAAAAAAGAAAGGACACCACATGGGGTCAAAGAACACATACGAAGATGTAAGTCATGCTAGTTACATGGACAGGTGGGAAATGGGAAGGGAGGAAAAGAAGGGCTATGTTCATCTCTCTGTCTGGTGACTTCCTCGCCCTCTCTCCCCACTGTCTGGGTCTCACTTTACCTGGGCCCTGGCATGCTGCCTTGGCCCACTCCTGCCATCAGGAAGAAGCTGCTGGGCCCTGGGAGCTCCTGAGCCCTCTCTGCATGATTTGGGCACACACCTGGGGAGGTGCATAGTCTCCACTTGCTCCAGCAGGAAGGGAAGCCTGCGGGGACCCATGCCACACTGAAAAACGTGGCCCTCTAGAAGGAGGTTGGGAATCTCAGGAAGTGGCGGGTGCATTATCTTTCGTGCAAAAATAGCACGCTAGTAATAAAAAAAAACAACACAAGACTTGAATTATTTAACTGCTTTACTCTCTTCAAGTTTCTCCTTAATTCTCACATTCAAAAGTTAGCTATTACTAATTCTATTTAACTGTAAAGAAATTGAGATCAGCAAGACAGGGATTTGGTATTTGAGTTAAGATATTCTGATTCTAGTATCAGTGACCTTTCCACTACAATATGGCAAAGTGGATGTGTCTAAGTAGAAGAGAATACAAATCTGAACGATTTTCTGGACTGGTATAAGCAATCAATTTACTTTATTCTTTTCTTCAATAGAGCGTCTTGACTGAGAGAAAAAAAAAAAAGGACGATTTTTTACTTCTCCATTTTGTTCCAAATATAAAGAAAGGTGATGCCAGCAGGAAAGATTAGAATGTTCACATGAGATTTCTGTTTGCTTGCTTTCTTTTTTCTTTTTAATAAAAACTGGTAATTGAAGGTGCCAAAGAAAATCTTAGAGGTATTTCTGTGGCTGAATTTGTTCATCTGAGCATACTGCCAATTAACTCAATTGGTAGAGCATCCAGGGAGCAAAGTTTCCCAGGCCAGGTGAGGCAAAGTCAGCTTTAGACAACAGGGGAAGCAGCTTGGGATACAATTTCCTTCCCTCACAAGAAAGTCAACTCTTTAAAAGCACCAGGTTGATCGTGAGCTATTTGGCATCTTTATTCAGTTTACGAAGGCCAGTCCTGCTCACACTGCCCTGTTCTATGGCTGAGGCACTCTGGACAGAAAGATAGACCTGCTTTAGAAGAAGGATTTTCTTGCTAACTAGAGGTTCCCTAAGTGGGAGCTGATTTTTTTTTTTTTGCAAACCGGACAATGACTCCATAAATATACCAAGCAGTGGCTGAAGACAGAATATTTACCATTTCTCCATGTTTTGCTCTATAATTTCTGAAGTATATATAGACACTATTATGAATTAATAAAATACAAATTCACTTAAAAGCATTCTCTAGTTCATAATAGTGTTTGGTCTTATGTACTTGGGCAATAAAATGATGCTTTTAATAGAAAAGTAAAAGTTTTATCCTTTGAGAAGACAGTAATAATGGTTTACATTATAAAAGAAACTTAACCCTCAGAAATGCTGGGAATCATTGATGCAAGTTACCCAGATGATCCATGCTCAAAACATCTTGGAAACAAAAAGATTAAAACTGATCTTGGAATATTCCCCAAGCTGATCTACAAATCAATGCATTCCTTGTCAAAATCCCAGCTGGCTTTTTTTTTTTTTTGCATAAACTGACAAAGTTATCCTAAAATTCATACAGAAATGCAAGGAATCCAAAATAGCCAAAACAATCTTGAAAAGGAAGAGCAAAGTTGGAGGACTCACACTTCCCAATTTCAAAACCTACTACAAAGTTTCAGTGATTAAGATTGTGTGGTACTGGCATAAGGATAGACATATAGATCAGTGGAATAGAACTGAGAATCCAGAAATAAATCTTCACATTTACAGTCAATTGATTTTTACGAAGGGTGTGAAGAATGGGGAAAGAATAGTCTTTTCAACAAATGGTACTGGGACAACTGTCTATTCACATGCAAGAGGATTTTTGGACCCCTACCTCACACTATATATAAAAATGAAGTCAAAATGGATAATATACCTAAACATAAAAGCTAAAACTGTAAAACTCTTAGAAAAAAACATAGAAGTACATCTTTGTAGCCTTGGATTAGGCAATGGTTTCTTAGATTGGTCATCAAAAGCACAAGCAACAAAAGAAAAAATAGGCAAATGGGATATCATCAAGGTTACAAACTGTTTTCACTTCCAAAAACACCATCAAAAAGGTGAAAAAACAACCCACAGAATGAGAGGACATATTTGCATAATATATACTGTCTGATAGGAAACTAGAATTCAGAATATATAAAGAACACTTACAACTTAACCCAAAAAGCAAATAACCTAATTTTTAAATGGGCAAAGGATTTGATAGACATTTCTTCAGAGAAGACATTGTACAGATAGCTAATGAGTACAAGAAAAAATAGTCAACATCATTAGCGTTGAAGGAAATGCAAATCAAAACCACAATGAAGGACCACCTTATACTCACTAGGACAACCAGAATCAAAAAGACAGACAATAACAAGTGTTAGCAAGAATGTCGAGAAATGGAAACCTTCATACATTGCTGGTAGGATTGCAAACAGCATAGCTGCTTTGGAAAGCAGTTTGCCAGTCCTTCAAAATGTTAAATGCAGTTATCCTATGACCCAGAAATTTCATGCTGAGGTATGTACCCAAGCAAAAGCACATATCCTCGCAAAACTCATACACAAATCTTCATAATATCATTAACTATAATAGTCAAAAAGTGGAAATAACCGAAACATTCATCAACTGAGGAAAAGATAAACCAAATATGGTATATACATATAATGGACTGCTATTAGGCAATAAAAAGAAATGAAGCACTGATGCATGCTAAAACATTAATGAACCTTTAAAACAGTATTGCAAGTGAAAGAAGCCAGTCACAAAAGGCCACATTTTGCCTTACTACACTTTTATGCAATGTCAGGAATAGACAAATTCATAAAGATAGAGAATAGATTAGTGGTTATCAAGGGCTGGGGCTGACTGCTAATGGATATGAGATGTCGCCTGGGGTGATGAAAATGCTGAAATTTGGTAGTGGTAGTGGCTGCATAATTCTGTAAATATACCAAAAATTACTAAGTTGTGCAGAGGTGAGCAAACATTTTCTGTGAAGGATCAGTTAGTAGATATTTTAGGCTGTTGGGCCCATATGATCTTGTTAGACCTACTCTGCCATTGTAGAAACAAAAGCAGCCATAGACGATATGTAAATGAGTGTGCATGGTTGTGTTTAAATAAAACTTTATTTACAACAGGCAGCATCTTCACCCTCACAGGTATAGTTTGCCAAACCTTACTGTAGACAATGAAAGCTTTTGAGGCAGGGGCCATGCTTTATTCATTTCTATGTCTCTAATGGCCTAGCCAGTAGGGAGAACTCAATATATGCTTACTTGAACTAGACAGAAATGCCCTTGCACCATCTCCCACTCTTGCACGAAGGAAAGTACTAGCATTTCCCATTCCTCTCAGCCTTTGGCAGCACCTAGGGCTGTAGTGACCAGCTGTATGCTGGTTGGCTGCAGAAGAAGTCCTGTCACCACAGACAGCTGAGCCTAACATTGCAAAGAAGGGGACAGAAATAGAATAAGTTCAAGTGCTAAAGATTAAAACATGGAGCCCATTTAACACTTGAATTGCCTCATTCCTCAAAGAGCAGAGCTGTGGTCTAAGTGTCTCAAGAACTACCCTGCCTAGAGCTGTAATCTTAGTGCAGACACAAGCACCCCTAACAGATCTATCACATCAAGAGGAAACAGAGTCTGTGGTTCTTGTCTGAGAAAGGGCTTCAACCTACTGTTCTAAACCTAGTTAATAAGGCTCTGCTACAGTCTTTACCTATAAAGCTCATCTGCAATATTTGTTCAACTTCTCCAAGGAGGGAGCATGGATAAATTATAGCATTTGCCATCCTGACTTAATGGGGTTGCTTCAAATTGTGCATGTTCTAAAACTATTTGCTCCAGCACAGGCTAAAAAGGGAGATGGAGTGATGAGATTTGTATTGCATTCAGGGCAGTGAGGGAAAATATGCCCTATTTTCCCTCTCTGGGTTTTCCCTGTGATGGACAATGGGGATGCTCCATTGATCATTTCTGCTCTTATGCATTCGCAGGTCTCAGCTGTCCCCAAATAACAGCCCTGCTGCCCTCCCTTTGGGAAAACATCACAGCGTGAGCAACAAGGACAAGCTTTGAGCTTTCTTCCAGTGGTGGGGATAGATATGTCTTCCATACCCTCTGGCCTATTTAGAGCTTAGTGACCTAAGTACATTGGCTTATTATAGACACGGTTGAAGCTGGAAATAATTACAGATATATAACTACTCATTTCTATAACACTGTATTCCAGTTGCTGGATACTCAAGTGGAGAATATGATGGGAGATGTAATAAAGGGAGCATGTTAAGGAGTCTTCTAGGCAGCAGCACATGTCAGATAGAAAAGATGTTACAAGCTATGCTTCTTTTCTTTGCATGAGGCTAATTTATATGTTTATAATGAGAAACAGAGTATGAGGTTTGGAAGATATACTTATTCAGTATATTGATCTGTGTGTTTTTATTGTCTTTTTAAAGTTTCAGACATCAGAGGGAAAAACCATCAAGTCTATTACTCATTGAGCTAGAAGGGACATGAGAAGTACCTGTTTCTGGTATCCTTTATATAGCCCCCTGGGAGCAAAGATAAATAGATCACAAGCTGACAACTGGAACCAAAAAGGCTGTCTTAGTTTCAGATGAGTACGCACAACTCAGTAACTCTTCATGGCTGTGATGCTCTAAAATCACCAACTGGACTCCTTGCTGCATCCCAGTGGACAGCATTTCAGAAAATGGTACTTAGGGGATCAGGTAAGTAGAAAGCATGGACACAGGGATAGAGTTTCCCCATCGAAGCTGTTAAGTGCCTTGCAAATATTTTTACTTATAGAATTCCCAGCTTCAAAAAAAAAACCATGTCATTATGGGAATTTGCCTCAAAAAATTAAAAACAAAAGGCTGTGTGATGTGGTTAGGCTTTGTGTCCCCACCCAAATCTCATCTTGATTTGTAATCCCCATAATCCCCACATGTCAAGGGAGAGACCAGGTGGAGGTAATTGAATCAGAGGGCAGTTTCCCTCACGCTGTTCTTGTGATAGTGAGTGAGTTCTCACAAGGTCTGATGGTTTTATAAGGGGCTCTTCCCTGCTTCGCTCAGCACTTCTCCTTCCTGCTGCCTATGAAGAAGGTCTCTTGCTTCCTCTTTGCTTTCCACCATAATTGTAAGTTTCCTGAGGCCTCCCCAGCCATGCTAAGCTGTGAGTCAATTAAACCTCTTTCATTTATAAATTACCCAGGCTCAGGAAGTTCTTTAGAGTAGTATGAAAATGGACTAATACACTGTGTCATTAGGACACTTTCAGTTGCAAGAAAGTGAACTTACTGAGAAGTTTAAACTATAAGTTATCAGTTCATATAACAAGAAGACTAGAGGTAGGAAGGGGACTAGGCATGCTGCATTACAGTCACAGCTTCGTAGCTCTGCAATTCCTTCCATTACCTCCTGTGCTGGCTTCATCCATAGGCTTGTAGTAAGGTAATGACAGCTAGTCAATCCATCCTCTGGCAATCTCAGAATTCAAAGAGCATAGGTCCAATATGCAAATGCCTATCAGGCCTCTAATTTATCCCTATTTAATTTGTTCATATTATTGGCCAAAGCAAGTCACCTTGCCAAGCCCAGAGTCCAATATGGGAGACAATGCACAAGAGCATGAATACTGAGAGACACGGTCCCTTGGGGGCCATGAATGGAAAAGTCTACCAATGAGGCCATAGTCACATCTCACTTCCCCTCCTGACCCCCAAAATTTGTCATCTTGTAGTCTCATCTGGCCCTGATCCTGTGTCCCAGTTCTGCTCATGGTGCTTTTGCCATCTTCAGTGAACTATCACCTTTAGCAGCTTTCTCTATATCCACAACCTAGCCCACAGATAACTTACAAAAGCAGCAACACCATGTTCTCTTCAGTCCAGGACTTTTTTTTTTCAGATTCTACCTCCTTCATTTTTCTTTGAAGTTTTCCTCTCTCATCTGCTTATCCTTCTTTCTATCTGTAAATGTTACCATGTCACCCTTTCTGCCTAGCCTCTTCCAAATGACAACTGCTACTTAGAACAAGCTGCTTGATTTTTATTATGGGGCTTCAACCCAAATTCTGCCCTTTAGATTGCCTTTTTTATTTCTATGCATCAAAGACGACCTGTAAGTGATGCCTACCCTGGACTCCATCTGGGCGTCTGGGTCCAACACCCTTGACTGCTTGCTGAGGACAGCACTCAGGCATCTATATTTGACTCATGGTCTTGAGTCCTTGACTTGGAACTCATTTGCGACCCCAGTTCCTCTAGGAACTCCTCCTCCCTCCAAAAGACTTGAGTTCCATCCTGAAGCCCAGCCCAGAAGTGAAGATTTTGCTATAGACTGACACACTCCCCCAGTACTAAGATGCCCAACATCCCAGATGCTGGACCCCATCACTTTCCACTGTCTTCTTAGGACACCCTGACACTTCATGTATGGACAAGACACTCAAAACAGCTTAAGCAGGAGATGGAGATTCATGGGATCACGTAATCAAACCATAGGAAACGGAAACTCGTCTCCAAAATGGACACAGGAACTGGAACAGAGCCAGGCCTGCTTTCCAGCCCTGCCTCTCACCGTGGCTGTTTATAAATGTCAGCTTCACCTTCACTCTCTAAAGACAGTTTCCTCCAGTGGCAGGAACCATGGCCACTGATGGCTCTAGAATCTCCAGTGGGTATGAATTTCAACAGCTGAATAAAAAGCCCTTAGGTTTCTACCAGAGCACATGATTTTATGCCAAACCACTTAGCAATAGAGAGACAAGAAAGACAGAGGCTTATAGCGAGAAAGAAAAGAAACTTTCTATCTGAGGAATGTGAACCTCCTTTAAATTATCAGGCCCAGTGAGGCATGAGAATGAGGCTACAGTCACATCCCACTTCCCCTCCTGAGCTAAATAATCATCTCTTGAATTTGCTTGCTATGTGGACTCTAGGCCTTTTCTCACAAGTAGCTCAAAATTAACCTAATGACACCACATGATAGATATCATTAGGTCATAATCTATATGTCAACAATGTATAGGCAATAACTAATGAATGACATTTCTGTAAACCAAAGAGAATTCCTGACAAGCAACTTTGTATCATCCCCCTACGTATCCCCTTGCTTTTGCCTTTAAAAACCTGCTGGTAACAAAGGCCAAACAGAGCTCCTATCCAAGATCACTTGGGCCTGAATCTTCTGAGCAGCTGTCCTCATCTTGGCCCAAATAAACTCTTTACTTACATTAATTTTGCCTCAGTTTCTTCCTTTAGGTTGACAGTAGCTTCTTTAATAACATTTTTTTAAATTTCTTTTCCCACACTGTTTTGACCTGTAGAAGACAAGGGAGAACAGAAACAGGAAGGTGAATAACAAGCAGGTGAAGCCCACAGGACATCCGGGTCCTGGGCAAACAAGCCCACGGGGCCTCGATGCACTCTTTACGGGGTTCACAGGTGGTGGGGCAAGACCCATGAAGCTGTCTCCACCTTGAGAAGGCTTGGGAGATGCTTTTACACCCTTGTTTGGGTGCATAAATCCAAAAGCCCTTATCCATGACCTTTGGAATCAGATGAGTTTAAGCACTTTTCAGATTTTTAAAACAAAATACAGGGTAGTATACAAGATATACTCCTCATGGAGTATAGAACAGCCCCCATAGTCAAATTCATTAAACACTTTATGGTTAAAATATATACATATTCACACTTTTTAGGATAATTAATGTTTATATAGACACTCCTGTTAGTTTAGGTCAGGTCAGGTTTTGCTACTAAATGCATAATATAAAAAAAAAAGTTGGTTTTCAGAGTTTGGAGATTTAAGAATGATGGTTAAGAGATTGTGGGTCTACACAAGAGATGTTGAAAGTGATAACTAAAAGCCTGGACTATTGGTTCCCAGGGTTAGAGACCAACTCTGACCAGAGCTGGAGTCTGTGAGTGATTGAGCCTTGTGCCTGCTCCTGTGTCCCGTGCCCCTACCGCCAGCCACGCCTCCCCATTCGGAGCACTGCAGAGCAACCTTTCCCCATACTTCCCACCTCACTGCTACCATCTGTCTAAGAACCTACTTGCAAAAAGGAACTGAAACCAGCCCAACTGTCCCACAGAACTGATGTTTATGGTCTTTTTTTATTAAACTTAGATTTTATTTTATTAAACTTTTGATTGCTTCCTTACCCCTTTCTAATTATTTCCTCTTCACAATTCCCACCACTCTACCCACCACAGGCAGCTACATTCTTTCCCTGCTATATAAACCACCAATTTTAGTTGGTTGGAGGGACAAATATAAGACTTACCTCCCAGCTCCTCAGCTGTAGCACCCAAAAAAGCCTTCTTCCCTGGCAATACTTGTCTCAGTGATTGGCTTTCTGTACAGTAAGCAATGAAACCTAGATCAGACCCCTGGCATGTTAGTAATAGAACCTACATTTACAATTGTGAATCTGAAATAATCAAAAGGATCAGAATCCAGTTTTAAAGAGTTTATTCACACAAAAATCTGAAAATATCCATCCTAAAAACATGGACTCCAGAGTAACGGGGTCAGTGCACCAGAGGTAAAAGTTCTTGCTTATACAGGCAGAAAACAAAGAAATTTAGTAGGATTATAACATTTTCTATACAAGACTGGTTTATGAGTTACAACTTAGTTACAGTTTGTTGTCCTTTCCATACAGCTTATTTTCATTTCCTTTCCAATTTAAAAGAGTGTACTTAACATTCCATCTTAGGCAATGAAATAATGAAGTCTTTATGTGAGAAAAGTAAGAGAGAAGTTAATCCATAATGACAATCAACATAGAAAATAAGTCTTCCCTGGGGCTCTTTAGTCATTTACAACATTTTACTAACCCGTGTAGGTAAGGAAAAGAGCTAATCTATAATCAGAGAAACAAAGGTTATAGCTCCCTGTTTACCTGAGTCAGGTCCCATAATCACATTCTCTTGAGGCTCAGAATATTTTAAGATTCCAACAGCTTAAATTTTGAATTACTTATTTTGAAATAGTGGATCACTCACCTCCTGGTAAGAAGCCATCAGTCTCACTACCACCTGGCCCTACATTTCTGTTTCCCTAGATCATTACAGGATGTCCACAACCACAGTTCTTTTCTCTCCACCTGGACTCTCGCCCTCACAAAGTTCTGAACATCTCATAATAGAACCCAAATTCCTACCCCTTCAAACTATTTCACTGTGACTTCTGAAACTCATGGCCTATCATCAGCAAAATACCATCTGTCCTTAACCTTTCTCTGAATGTTCATTTCCAGTATGAAAGAGGAGAGCCTTATCTTCTTCTCTGAGTGTTTCCTTCTATTTCTTGCTCTGCTGAAGCCAGGCTCTTCCCTGAGGACACTTCTACCCACCCAACACCCCCACACAGCCCCCTCAAGATTTGTTTTATCTCACTCCTCTGCTACCACTGAGTTTGTGAGTGGGAAGTTGTCCCACTTCTCATTGCTATTTTCAGAACTCCATTCCTCCCCTATAAACTGTTATGATAATATTTATAATAAGAAATACATATTTGGTCTTCACCTCCTTTTCTTGAAACACAGCTCCTAAGACTCTTGGAGTCTCCAAAGTGATGGTCTTTTTGTATGCTAATGAGATGACTGGTGGCTGGAGGCTCCTGGGTAGCCTCAGGGTGGGGCTAGCTGTCCAGGAAACCAACCACATCATGAGAAGTTTGAAACGTTCAACCCCAACCCTGGAGGTGGCTCCAGGGAGGAGACAGGCTGAAGGTCAAATTGCTCACCAACGTTCAATGGTTTAGTCAATCATGCATGTGTAATGAAGCCTCCATAAAAAAAACACAAAAAAACAAACAAAAAAAAAAGAAACAGGATTTAGAGAGCTCGTAGGTTGCTGAAAGTGTGAAGGTTCTGAGAAAGGGCACAGAAGCTCTGCCCCTCCCCCCTTACCTTGCCCTATATACCTCTTCATCTTGCCATTAATCTATATCCTTTGTAATATCCTTTATACTAGAAGGGTAAACATAAGTAAAGAGTTTCCCTGAGTTCTGTGATCTGCCATAGCAAATCAACCCCTAAGGGGGTCTTGGGAATGCCCAATTTATAGCCTGTTGGTCAGCAGCACAGGTCTCAACTCGGGACTTACAACTGGCATCTGGAGTAGAGGGCAGTCTTGTGGGATGGAGCCCTCAATCTGTGGGATCTGATACTGTCTCCAGGTAGGTAGTGTCAGAATTGAATTAAATTGGAGGATGCCCAGCTGATGTCTGCTGAAGAACTGGTTTGGGGTTGGGAGAAACTCCTGTACATTTTGGTGCCTAGAGGTGAAATATTCTGTGTTGAGTATTGAGTGAGTGTGTAAAAATAGGAAAAAACAGTTTGGTTCTTCCTATCTTTTCCATAAACCACCCCCACACACAGCTTCTGTGAAGCTTATGCACTGTTCAATCTCTCTGTTGCTCCTTTTTGTAGGAGACACTTAAAGGTCTCCAAGCGACTCTGCTCCGTTTCCCTCTCTCTCCCTCTAAGACCACTCTTGTACTAACACTTGATGATTTCAGTATTCATGCAGATGACACCTCGAGGGTCTTTATCTCTCAGTTTCTTGATCTTCTCATCTCCAATTATTTTGTCCACCCTACCTCTGCTCTCCCCGACCTTATTCTATGGCATTGCCACTTATTGCCCTCCTTCACAATCTGTGTTTCACATATCCTATTTTCCAAACATCATCTTTTATCTCCCCAGCTTACTCCCCCTGTACTGGAATACCAATGATTCTTAGCCCACACTAGGATGTTTATCACTGCCATCATTGCGCTGTCCACTTGTACCCTAAGCTTTCTTATTAGGCTCTGTGGTCCATTGTTATCATCAGTCCTTTGAAGACACCATCAACTCCTTTGCTCCTCTCTTCCTCTGTCACAGTCACCTGGCAGAAAACCCAGCCCTGGTTAAATCTGACTTTCTGCCTGTGCCACACCCACACAACTGAAAGTGTCCAGAGAAAAAGCATGCAGCTAGGACGACTTGTCTCCATGTAAACTCATGACAAAAACCTCCAGCGTGCCTGTAGTGCTGTTTGTCCCTCCAACCACATTCCCTCAGTCAATTCACACCCCTGCTCCATGATGAGTAATTCACACCCTCTCTCTTCTCAAATTGCCCACCCTCTTCCCATTCCTACTCTCCACCAAAGACCTTCCCTTTTATGTCACAGAGAAAATAGGAACAAGCCAAAAAGAACTTTCATGTGCTTCCGTGTGTTTTTCTCACCTTCGCTTGCTCATACTCACGTTCTCCTTCATTCCATGTGGTCTCTCATTTCAGCTTTCCTCTGGGTGTTTAGTCCAAACTTTTCCTTCTGAAGATCATCAGTCTCATCTCACTTTTTCTCACTACCAGGAGTTCCACTAGTCACCCCACAGGGGTAGCTTCAGCCCCCGAGACCACCTGACTTGTTTCTCAGGGCTCCGACGCCAAATTTCCAGTATGAAAAATCTGACTGGCCCAGTTCAGGTCACAGGTTCACTCCAGTCAATCAGCTGTGGCCATCGAGGAGGGTTGCATTGCACCAGAAAGCCTTAGAAAGAGGCCGTGCTCTGAAAGGGGGATGTAGGGCAGTAGGAAATATAGGACAACAACTAGCCAAAAACAAATAAAACAAAAAACTCCTCCAAAAGTCTGTCTTCCACTGGGGAAAACTACATAAATACAACATAGCACATAAAAATTTAGAGAACAAAGCTTTTCAGAAACTACTGGGAACAAAGAGATATCATTACAAAAGGCATCTGAGGAAAGCATAGCTATAATGTATTTTGGTCTGTGTTCCCTAGACCGTGTCTCAGAGCCCAGAACTGGCCCTATTGATCTTTATAATCCAGTATATTACATGGTAGCTAGCATTCAATATTTGCTGGATTGAACAGAATCCCCTGGAAGATAATGAAAAAATAAATGACAGCATGATGGGCACTGCAATTCTGCTTATCTATAAAAAGAAAGAATTCAGGTTTTCCTGGAGAATTGAACTTTTCTCTAGCACTGAATATTATAAGCGATTGTGAAGAGAAATCTTTATTTGGGTGACATTTGGTCACATAATGGACAATGCCCTCATCTCAGGCTTTGCAAAAGATTCAGAAATGCCTTTCAACTGTCTGTTTCTTATATTATCTCTCTAAAAGCCAAGGACATAACACTACCTCATAACTCCAGGGTGGCATTTCCATGGAGAGATGAGCTAATCCAGCAGAGCAGGCTGTTTTCTGACCAAATCCAGAAATAGAGCTGAGGAATCCCGGAGACGTGGCTATGAGCCATGGCGGGGGGGGGTGGCTGGGAGGCAGAAAGGTATGTCCAAATCACCTGGAAGAATTTTTCAAGATACGAATCTTCCCTCCAGAGTGACTCTAAAATTACCTGGGTCTCTGAAATAAAGGTAAAGAGGAGACCAGAAGATTACTGGCATATATGTTTTGAAAAATACCACTATCTCCCCCATCCCTCCCCCTTACTCTCTTGAATACCAATGACCTTGAGGGATGCCTGTGTTTGATAAGTCTTTCTCAAATATCAGTATGTATTTTATGTATGCATATATGTATGCATTTATATGCCATCTCATTCCAGAAAGGATGGCAGATGGCTCACAAGGATACATAAAATACAAAAAAGAAGCATAAAAAATAGAAACAAAATGCCAAAGAGGAAAAAAAAAGTTGGAAATTCAAATGCTAGTAGCCCTAAGTGCACTTTCACGAAGTTCAGCTGGTGTGAATTCAAGAAAGGCTGTGCTCACTGAGAAGAGACACCAAGCCAGGCGTTCAGGGAGCATGAGCTCCAGGCACTGGAACATCCGCTGGAGAAGCTGACCATTTGTCACCAGGACGAAGACTTCTGACTTAAGTTCTCACCGGATGGAAGCAACCTTACCTGAAAGGGAGGTGGATGACAAGGGTCCCATTTTGTAAAATTTGAGTTATGGAAGGATCCCCAAGGGAGGGCCTGGACAGGACAGCACTTGGAACTTAAGGAGTTCGCAGGGAAGGTAGAGTATTACTAAGTCTTATTATTACCTCCCCTCCTTCCTAGAGAGAGGTCCCAGGTTGAGTCACCTGGAATTCAGGTGCCTTTTATACTCAGCTTCCATCTGACCAGGAACTGAATTACAGATTAGATGTCTAGATCTTCCAAATCCTGTTTCTATTTAATTAAGGCTGTCTTCCCATACATACAACAATTTATACTTGGAGCATGGCCAGGCATTTATATAAGACCCCGTGATAGGACTGAAAGCACTGGCACTGTATGGAGGGTGGTGGGGTGTCAGGTGGAGGTGGGCAGAAGATCACCTGATTCCACTCCAGGATAGTAACGAGTACAGCTCGTTTTACTGACAACTTTTAAGGTGCTGGGTGCCTTAAATGCATTATCTCATTTAAGCATTTCATCCACCACCTTAGGAGCATTCTATCATCATCTTCATTGTGCAGATGAGGAGATTGAGGCTCAGAGAGATTACATGTCTCACCCAGAACAGTTCACTTCCTAAGCTGTTGAGGCAGGAAGCAAGCCCAGCAGTCAGGCTGGTGAAGCAAGGCCACACGGGGCAGGCAAGAGTGGATGTGGACTCTAGTTCATGGAGCCCATGTCTTTAACAACCAGCCTTTGGTTATTCTCTGAAGCCCAGTGAACTCAGTTCTTTTGAACCAGTGAAAAAGTAGACTCCCTGGAAAGAAATATTTTTCCAATTTCCCTTTCAAACACTGAGTCCTCAGTGAAGTCAAAGTAAAATTTCTGCTAATAATTTAGCAGTTGTCCTGATTTGTCTTGGCTAACGGTGAAGAGTAGGGAAGGTAGAGATGGGATCGATGAGATGTCATTCTTGGGGTAACAGAGTCATACCATCTAGTCCTGAATTCTTCAAAACCGTTTTTTAACCCATGCCTTTTGAGGAATTTTTTGTCCATCACCCTAAGAATTATTGATGTGCAAGAATCTGTTTTCTTTGACATATTCCTCACAGTCAGGAAGATTTTATTCTTCATTATTTTATCCAGTTAGAAATTACAAAAAGCCTTTTTCGGCTTGTTTTCCAAATATTCATTTTGTTACAATTTAAATCGAGTTTTAAATCTACCCATGCCCACTCTGAGAGACCCCACCCTCCCAACACCTTTGAGGGTCCCTGAGTGCTACTAGGAACTTCCTTCTGAACATATTTTTTTCTGAAATGCTGACTAGAGTTCAAGAGCAAATTCAAGAGGTCAGAAAACTGGTTTCTGCCTCAGCCCTGGGTTTTACAAATTCTCATATACCTCACTGGATCAGCAAAATCACCTGATCTGCACAAATTTGGACACATCAATTCCTTTCAATGTCTTAAAAATGATATTCCCAGATATTTTCCTTATGTTTCTTTTCTTTCTGTCTTTTTTTTTTTTTTTTTTTTTTTTTGAGACAGAGTCTCGCTCTGTCACCAGACTGGAGTGCAGTGGCATGGTCTTAGCTCACTGAAACCTCCGCCTCCCAGGTTCAAGTGATTGTCTTGCCTCAGCCTCCTGAGTAGCTCGGACTACAGGAGCGTGCCGCCATGCCCAGCTAATTTTTGTATTTTTAGTAGAGATGGGATTTCACCATGTTGGCCAGGATGGGCTGGATCTCTTGACCTCATGATCTGCCCACCTCAGCCTCCCAAAGTGCTGGGATTATAGGCATGAGCCACTGCACCCAGCCTCTTTTTTCTTTTTCTTTTCCATTTTTTTTTTTTTTTTTTTTTTTTTTGAGACAAGGTATCATTCTGTTGCTCAGGCTGTAGTGCACTGGTGCAATCATGGCTCATTGCAGCTTCAACCTCCTGGGCTCAAGCAAGCCTCCCACTTCAATCCCATGAGGGGCTGGGACTACAGGCACTCCCACCACACCTGGCTAATTTTTCAATTTTTTGTAGAGAAGGGGTCTTCCTTTGTTGCCCAGGCTGGTCTCAAACTCCTAGACTCACGCGATCTGCCTGCCTTGGCCTCCCAAAGTGCTGAGATTACAAGCGGGAGCCACTGCATCCGGCCTCATGTTTCTTTTACTTTGATGAACAAAATTATAGGGTATGTTCCCAGTGCTTATATAGGATTTTATCTGACACTTAGGCCATAAGCACATAACAAGTAGTTAACCTTTGAGGTTTCTAAGGCAAATGTGTGGTGTGTGCATACATGTGTAATCCTGAACTCACACAGGCTACTGAGGAGTTTTTGTTTAGATCCTCCATTCATCATTAAATGGGACAGAATGGTGTTTCTCACAGCTTTCAATTCTGGGGATTTTAAACCACAGGTTTGCAGTTCCTTGCAGGTTTAATTAGTTACTCTAAGTAGTGGTGCTGTTCTCTAAATGTACAGTTGGATCCTGAAACACTCATCTTTTGATTAACCTTGCAGCCCTTAGGCTGGAGCAGCTCCTGCACTGGGACTTTTAAGGAATGCCTTTTCCTAATGATGGACAGAAGGATATCCAAGGACAGGCACAGGTACAGGCTTTGGAGCCAGGAGACCTGCCTTTGTTTTATGTAACATTTTATTCTGAAATAATTTAAGACTCACAAGAAGTTGCAAAAACTGTACAGAGTTCCCATGTACCCTTCACTCAGCTTCCCCCAATGGCAAAGCATAAACACAGGATATCAACAGACCTGCTTTCACTAGCAAACACTTACTGAGCACATAGACAATGTGCAGGAACTGTTCTATGGGCTTTAAAGTGATAACTCCTTTAATCCTCACAGCAAGCCTTTGGGATAGACATAGTAACCTCCATTTTACAGCTGAGGAAACCAAGGCACAAAGAGATTAGATAAATTGCCCTTGGCCAAAATTCAACCCAGACTACCTGGCCCTGAAACCTATGCTTTGAAGCACTACACTACCTGGGTTTTTTCTATGCGACCTTGGCTAAGTTACTTGTACCATCTTCTGTTTACTTACAAAAATTAAGTTGTTTTGAATATTTTTTTTCTAAATTAGGAATAAAGTACCACCTACAGGGTCCCATATTCAGTGGATTGTTCTTCCCTTGTACTCATGCCTCCATTCAGTGGATGACTATCGAAAAGCACTAGAAAACGAACTAATTTTCTAGTTTTCTAATTTCCACGAATGGTGCAAATCAGTCACTAGTCAAGCAGCATTTGCACTGAGGTTTACACTGGAATAAAGCAGTCATGGCTATGCTTGGATATTTCAGCCACAGCGCTGTCTGATTCTAAAATTTCAGATCTTTCAGATAGTTATCTGAAGAAATGGCAAATGGCTATAATCTGCTGACTGCAAAAATTCAGGATATATAGAATGAAATTAACAAACTAAAAGCAAGAAAGCTCTCAAACGTATTCAAACAAAAAGGATGAAAATCGATTTTACTCCCATAGTTAGGTCTAATGATAAGAATAGATGCCAACTATGTATTACATGTCTGCAATGTGCCAAGCTCTTTATAGTCTCTCTAATCCTCACAATTTACATAAAGCACTACCCTATTCGAAGAGGAGGAAGCTGAAGAGCTATCTACTCTTCCTACCAAGAGGAAGGAATTATCGGGAAAGAATCCAAGTGACAATGGCATCCTTTCCCAACTCTGTCATCTGCTCACCTCAAGAAAACCAAGAATGAGCTAACAATGCAAGGTAAAGCGAATTAGGGAGAAAGTTAGCTCCCTTGCTAATTAGGAGGTATTCCTGACCAGTCTCCTAGGTCCCTTCCAGAATGTATATCATGATGTAAATGGTGACCAGTAAGTTCATTAAATCTTCTTGATTCTTTAGTCTAGCTTTCTCAGCCACTCCCTCTCCACTCTTGCCTGAGTTCAGGAGGAAGGAGTACAAACTGGATCAGCACAGATTTACTAATGAGGGTGCATTGAGCAGAGAGTATGTATTCCATGCTTTATTTCAAGGAGACAGGAAGAGCTCTAACACTTGTTTGGTTGGTTAACTGAAATATGTATCCAAAGGTGGTCTACAGTAAATGAAATCAAAATGCCACAACTTCTTAGTGTACTATAAAGGCAAGTATTCAAAGACCTAAGGAGATTAAAATGCTAGAATGTATTGATCATGCAAGACCTGCTCATCCATTCTGGAAGGGTCCAGAGGACACATCCTTTGCCAAGGCTGTGATAAATTCATGAGGTGACCCCTCCCTCAGCATCCTTGAAGAGCTCAGTGCTCGTTCATCTCTGTAGATCAGATATCAGGGCATCGACTATGATTGAATTAAGATTCCTGAATGCAATGAAGGTGATAGGACTCTAGGGTGGCAGGGACCAAGTGACATCAGAACCAAAGCAATAATAAAAATAGTCTGATTCACAGAAATTGTTGGCATTGACTAAGTTGATCATACTGTCCCTAGAAATAAAGTAGATAGGTAGTCTATTAAGTCTTCTGTATCTGTGTGAATGGAAAAGCTCTAAGTCTAGTGATCAGAAGTTCTGGATTAAGTCACCAAATGACAGAGTCATAGCCTCTCAATCAGTTCCCAGACTTGAACTGATTCACCAACATAGAGTTTGTGAATCCTTGAAGAAGGACCCTGCCATACCGTGAAAAATGTATAAGTGTGTATCTCCCTCCCAATCTTTCCCAAAAGATCCATGGCCATTTGCTAGGGTGGTTGTACCTTGGGGAAGGAGTAACTATTAGACTTTCTCAGGAATTATGGGATGCTGGCCCTGAACTAGCACTAATTCCCGAATGCGTAAAATGTTACTGCAATCCACCAATCAGAGTAGGCATTTATGAAGGTCAAATGATTAATGCAGTTTGGGTTTGGTTCCATCTCACAGTAGGCCCAGTGGGGCCTGAAATCATCCTATGGTCATTTCCCAAGTTCTGGGGTGCATTCGTTAGCATGGACATTCTGAGCAGAATCCCCACATTGGTTCCCTAACCTGCAGAGGAGCATGAGCTATCATGGTAGGAAAGACCAAGTGGAAATCACTAGTACTGTTCTCTACCTGGAAAAATAGTAAACCAAAGGCAAAACCACATTCCCGTAAAGATTAGTGTCACCAGCGAGAACTTGAAAGATTGAGGGATGGTGATTACCACCCCATCCCCATATAACTGGCCTATAATAGTTGGCCTGTGTAGAAGACAGAGGGAGCTTGTAGAATGACAGTGGATTATCCTGAAGTTAAGTAGGTGCTGACTTCAAAGGCAGCTGCTCTTCCAGATGCAGCTGTTGTTGGAACAAAGCAATACATCCACTGTATGCATGCGGCTTGTATGTCACCTTTTATGTAGCTATTGATCCAACAAATGCCTATTAATAAGACCATCAGAAGCTCTTTTCTTTCAGTTGGCAATGCCAGCAATATACCTTCACTGTTCTACCTCAAGGCTAGGGAAACTCTCCAGCTCCATGCCATAATCTAGCCCATAGGGACACCACCACATTTCCATGCCATAGGACACCACACTGGTCCATTACATTGATGAGGTGATGCTGATCAGACCTAATAAGCAACCATTTTAGGCACATTGAAACAATATTTGCATCAGGGTAAGAGAAATAAACTCCACAAAAACCTTAAGAAAATTTCATGATCTATCTCTTTCAAGGTAAAGGACAAGTTGCTACATTGGGCCCATCTTACCTAGGAAAGAGGCACAATGCATAGTGGGTTTCTTTGGATTTTGTAGGCAACATCTGCCCATTTGCCAAGTGACCCCAAAATCTGCCAGTTTGAGATGATCCCAGAAAAGTGAAGGCTTTGAAGCAGGTTCAGGCTGCAATGCAAGTTGTTCTACCACTTTGACCATATAACCCACAGATATAACCACGCATGAAGAGTCAGTAGCTGATAGTGATGACATATGGAGACTTTGGTAGGCAATATGTGTGAATTATAATGCAGACTCTTCAGATTTGGGAACAAAGCCATGCTATCCTCTGCAGATAACCACAATCCCTTTGAGAAATAACAACAGCTTTTGTCTTGCTACTGGGCCTTAGTAGAGGCAAAATGACCATAGGACCCCAAGTTATTATCTGACCTGAGCTACCCAGCATAAACTGGGGTTGCCTGACCCATCAAGCCATAAATGTCAGCATTCACAGCAGCACTCCATCATCAAATGAAAGTGGTATACATGAGATCAGGCTTGAGCAGGTCTTGAGGACACAGATTGAATGAGGATGTAGCCCAGATCCCCAAGGTCTCTATTTCTGCTACTCTGACTTCTCTCTTTTCACCTATACCTCTAGCCTCCTGAGGAGTTCCCTAAAACCAGTTTATTGAGCAGGAGAAAGAGAAAGCTTTGTGCATGGTTTACAGATGGTTCTGCACATGAAAGTGGATGGCTGCAGCACTGCAGCTCCACATGGGGATGACCGGGACAGTCATAAAGGGGAATACTCCTAATAAGTAGAACTTGGAGTAGGTGCTGATTGTTCATGTTTCTTAGGGGATATGGCCAGAAGCATGGGTCTAAACTGCTTCATGGGCTGCTCATGGTTTGGCTGGATTGTCAGGGACTTAGAAAGAACAAGACTGAAAAATGAATGGAAAGGAGATCTAGGAAGAGGTATGTGGATGCACCACTCCGCATGGAAATGGGGTGTGAAGATGTTCGTACCTCACGTACAAGCTTACTAAAGGGTGATTTCATCAGGGGAGAAATTTAACAATCAAGTGGATAGGATGACCCATTCTGTGGATACCACTCGGCCTGTTTCCCCAGCCACTCCTGTCATTGGCCAATGGACTCATGAATAAAGTAGCCCTATGGCTCTGGAACACGGACTGCTATTCACCAAGGCCAGTCTGGTTTCAGCCACGCTGACTGTTGAATCTGCCAACAGAAAGACCAACACTGAGCACTTGATATGGCCCCATTCCTCAGGAGGACTGTGGCAGGTTGATCACCTTGGATTGCTTCCATTATGGAAGACAGAATAATTTGTTCTTAGCCACTTATTCTGTTTATGAATTTGCATTTTCTGCCTGCAAGGCTTCTCCCAAGACTACTATCTATAGACTTACACAGTGCCTTACCTACCTTCCTGTTATCCCAAACAGCCTTGTATATGATATGACCAAGGAACTCACTTCACAGAAAATGAAGTACAACAATCAGCCCATATATCTGGAACTCATGGAATTCACTGATCATATGATGCTCCCCATAAACCTGAAACAGCTAGCTTGGCAGGATGATGAAATGGCCTTGTAAAGAT
This sequence comes from Homo sapiens, assembly GCF_000001405.40. Lineage (NCBI taxonomy): Eukaryota > Metazoa > Chordata > Mammalia > Primates > Hominidae > Homo > Homo sapiens. The sequence continues at coordinate 133,965,905 of NC_000002.12, forward strand.
TCTATTACAGCATTAGGTAGGTGGCAGAACATTAAAGGAGTGGGCCAATATCTTCTAGGAAGCAGCAAATGCAGCCAATCAGTATCTGATATTTGGTGCTATTTCTCCTGTAGCCAGGAAGCACAGGTTTGCAAATCAAGTGCTGAGAATGGGAGGGGCTCCCCTCACTACTCACCTAGTGATCCATTGGCAACATTGTGCTTCCTGTCCCCTCAATTTTGGGTTCTACTGGGCTAGTGGTCTTCGTTCTGAAGGGAGAATTTCTAATAGCACAACAATGATTTCATTGAACTGGAATTGGAAACTTCCATCTGGCCATTTTGGGATCCCTTGTGCCTGTGAATCAATAGGCCGAAAAGGGGTTTGCTGAATACACTGAGGGAATCACTCCTGCCTGTCATGACAAAATTGAGTTGCTGCCACATAAAGGGCATAGGGGGATGTATGTTTGGAATGGACATATGTTAGTATTCTCATGCCCTGTGATTAAATTCAACAATCTAGTTGAGGCAGGACTAGCAATGCCCATACCAGCAATGAAGGTCTGGGTCATCCACTGGGCAAGGAGCCATGACCAGCTTAGGTGTTTGGCGAAGGGAAGGAAAGTGGAATGGATAGTAAAAGAAGGTAGATAAAAATACTAGCTACGACCCTGTGGCCAGTTGCATAGAGGACTGTAGCAGCCATGAATATTTATTCCTTGTTTAGATATTAATGTTTATATATGTATTAGCTAAATACTTGTTTCTTTCCCTCTCTCTTCTCCTTATCATATATAAAAATATGCTAATAGATGTTAACCGTATATTTCAGTATTTAAGGTAGGATATAAAAGTGGGGGCATGAACTTCCCAGAAGAAGAATGAACATTACCCAAAGACAAAAAAAGGACTATATATCTTCTTTTGGAGACAGATTTAGGGTGTTTCTGTTTGTACATCAGATGGTTGTATCATGTCTTTATTTGGAGATTAAGTCTGGTTTCAGGAGATGTGTATGAGTGACAAGTGATCAAGAAGAGGACTGTAGCGGCTTTGTAATATATCAGCTTGGTTAGGCTGAACTACAGTTCCTAGAATTTCCTTTCCTGTACGTTTCTGGTTAAGGTGGACCACAAGAGAGATTCTTGTGGAAATTTTGTGAGCATAGGGAAGCAGCAGGTGTTTTGTGGTGGGGTGGGGGTTGGTTTGTTTTTGAGAGAGGGTCTCACTCCATCACCCAGGCTGGAGTACAGAGGTGCCATCACAGTTCACTACAGCCTCAATCTCCTTGGCTCAAGCAATCCTGCTGCCTCAACCTCCCAGGTAGCTGGCTCTATAAGCGTGCACCCCCACACCTGGCTAATTTTCTGTTTTGTAGAGACGAGGTCTTGCCATGTTGCCAGGCTATTCTCAAACTCCTGACCTCAAGTGATCCTCCTACCACGGCCTCATGAAGTGCTGAGATTACACATGTGAGCCTCCATGCCCAGCCAGCAGGTGTTTCATAGCTCACACATGTTCACATGTATCTGCCAGCTCACTCATAGGTGTGAGGGAGTGGTCAGGCCTGCGACTGCTCTGCCTTCTCTAGATCCTTCTTCAGCCACTGCAACTCCTGCCGAGGTGTCTTTCACACTTGATAAGGAGCCTCAGCTTCTATAGGACATCCATGTCCCCCACCCACCCCAGCCAGAGACAATGGGGACTGACAGGGGGCTCAGCTCATCCTGTGGGCTCCGGCTTGTTCTTTCCAGCCTGTTCTTACTCTGTTTTACTTCATATATATATACAATGTGTTGCAGGGATTCAGCCTTACCAAAAATTATAGGAACTGTCTCACTCTATAAATACATAGTATAATAATATTAAATTATATACACACCTATTTATATAAATTCGTTGCAGGGATTTGACCTTACCAATAGTAGAAACTCTCTAAATATAAATATACAATATTATATATAATATACATATATAATTGGTTGCAGGGATTGTGTGTGTGTGTGTGTGTGTGTGCCCCAGTAGTTCTGCTTCTCTGAATCCTGACTGATACATGGCCCAAAGTGTTGGAGACTTGTGACCACCAGGCACATGTTCCATGAGCCTTTAAAGAGCTCCCATCCCATCCCATCCTGGGCAGCTGCCGTTGTAAACTTCAGCTTTGTGTCTGAAGGAGGAACCTTCGTGCCTTCATGGTTTCTTTTCCTTCTAAACTGATCCTTTTCTCCCATTGCACATCTCAGGGAGGAGTTTATATAGGGATTATCCCAGAGCAAGAAATGCTTGAGGAAAAGAGAAGTGGCTGCTGAGATCCTTGTATCATAACGCCTTGTCTGGAGTAATCACACATCAGCTGTATTCCGCAAGAACCCAAGATTCTTCCCTATCTCTGCATATTTTGGAAGGATGTGATTTCCTGCTCATTCTCAGTGAACCATGAACCCTCTCCAGCCTTTCCCCCAAGAAGCACATTTTCCCATCACGTGAAATGGCACATCACATATCTGCTCTGATGCAAGACACTCTGTGAGCTCCCATTCTAGAAACCTCAGTCCTGCAATCTCTTGTTTCTATTGCTTTCTCTTTGCAGTTGACCTGACCTTTCCAGGAGGGCGAATAACAGTTTCTCCCCTACCTTTAACCATACTAACTTCACATTTTTATGTCCCACAGCTATTTGTTCTACTGTGACTCAGGAGCAGAGATGGAGATGGAAGCTCCCCTTCAGCAGAGAAAGGCTCACTTCCTCTCCTTTCCCCACACCCCTACTTCCCCTATTCCCCATACCCCAGCCACCCCCAACCCTGGGTGTTCGCAGTGGGGAATGATGGGAACCCCCTATACCCGCCAGGCCATTTCTGCAACTCTGAGTTCCTCAAAACTTCTCCTTCTTCTTGGAAAATGCTACCACTGAGGCATGACTAGGGGGTCCTGGGGCTCAGTGATCCTCACTGCAAACTGCAGCCAACCCCAAAGCAGCTTGAGAGACTGACTGAGAGACAGGCAGAGGCAGGAGGCAAGGTGAGACCAAAGCCAAGAGCTCTATTTGGAAGCTGAATTCTTAATACCAACTTGCTTAGCATCCAAGAGCCATTAAAAATACTCCAACTTCTCACGGATAAAGAAGTACATATTAGAATGTCCATTTCAGCATTCTTTAGAATACTAAAACTGCCCAACAATGGGAATGTTCAATCGCAGAACATTGAGTAGCTATGAAGAATCATGCTTCCGCTATTTTTAGTAAAAACAGAAGTGCCCACACAATGCTAAATCTTTTTTAAGAGCAAGTGGCATATAAGCCCATTTGTTTGTTTGCTCTAAAATTTGAATTACTGACTATGCCCAGAAACAACAACAAAAAAGTCTCAAGCTGTTAGCAGAGATTTCTTCTGGGGAGTGAATTGGAGTACAGGAAATATTTCTGAATCCTTTGATTTAGTTACAATCCTTTGATTTAGTTACAATTACAATTATTTTTGTAATTAGAAAATAAGAATTTTTAAAAGTCATATTTTTGAAGTCTGGTAAATGACAGAAAAATGTTCATAATAAAAGGTGAATTTTTAACATGACACAGAATGTATAAAAGCTAAAAACACCACAAAATATTGCTTCAAAAAAAGACACTGAAAAGAAGGAAATCCTTCAATATGAAAATATTGATATTTTCTGGGTGTTAAGATTACAGGTAACTTATGTCCTTCAGGATATCTTTTATATTCTCAGAAATTCTAAATTGTGAATTAATTTTTTAATAAAAAAATAGACATTATCACTTTTTTTATAGCCAGCCTTTATATTAGTATCCTGTGACATGCTAGGCCAGAGCAGCTGCACGGGACTCACATTTTCTTTTTATTTTCCCCAAACGGAGATTCTCTGTGGGGATTTTTCTCACAGATGCTGCAATAGCTGTATTCCTGTGAAGAATGTTACAGAACAAAACTTGGGCCACCACTGAATGGATATCCTAAACACCCCGGCTTGATCACCACACATTCTATGCATGTACCCAAATATCACACGCACCTCAATATACAAATATACAAATACAATACACATTGTACAAATACAATATATTGTACAAAACACAATGTGCAAGTATGAAAGTATTCAAATATTATGTATCAATTAAAGATTCTTCAATCAAAATAAAAAATAAAAACTCGGACATCTCCTACCCTAGAATCGGCTCTACAGGACCCCCGTGCTCCCGGTTGCCCCACCACATCCACTGTGTGTGTTCTCTCTCAGCCACTGCCTCCAGCTTGTGAAGACTGGTTATGAATTAACCTTCCTCCTAAAAGACTTTTTGTACTCAATTCTCTAACCCATATCTGCTGTCAAGCACCATTTCTTTCATTTGCCCATAATAAAAATTGAGCAGAGATTATTTAACTCACTGCTAAAAGAACCTGTTCAATAGCAGGACCAGAACCAGACATCCAGCTCCATTATTCTCACAGTATTCAAGCTCCTAGTGACTGCCAGTCATTGTTGACACTAAGGATGACAAGCCACATTGGCATAGTCCTTGTCCTTTGGGTGCTCAAACCAGGCAGGTTAGGAAAGAGGACCAGGAAGGAGGAACAAACAGGCTTAAAAGGAATGAGTTTCGGCAGTCGTGAAGCTAATGAACAAAGGAAAAACCATGGCCATTGCCATAGAGATAGAGAGAAAACGTAAGAGAACAGCAGTTCTGGAAAGCCAGGCCCAAGCTTGACCATTTTCTGAGGGCTAGGGTTCTCAAAGTGTGTTCCCCAGACCAGCTGCTGCAGCATCTCCTGGGGTCTCATAAGAAATGCACAATCTTGGGTCTGGGCCCCCACCCCAGACCTCCTGGGTATCCACAACTCTGGTGGGGACCCAGTCATCTGCATTTTAATACATCCTTGTCCTCCTTCTCCCTCTTAATCCCCCTACCTCCGAGTGATGCGAATTGCTGAAGCTGCAGGACTACTGATCTTAAGTTAAGTGAGTGGCAGAACATGAATAACTCGGGGAGGCAAACACAGCAGGAAACCTGGCATGGACGAGTCACCGGAGCCTCCTGGAAAGACCAGAAAAGGGGTCCCTAACAGATGATCACCCAACATAAGCTCCCAAAACTGCCCTGTTTCAGTTCCAAGTTAGGATTGAGGGCTGTTTACGAGATGCCAGTTCCAAATGTAAGTTAAATGACTATTCAAACACTGGGGGAGAACTCGCGCCCTTATTTCAGCTATTCCAAGGAGTGCTGTGTGAGAGGAAATCACCCAACAACCACCAAATTCCATGAGTCTAGAGAATCATGTAAATACGACGCTACACAGGTGTTAGGATGTGATAAGTGCCTTATTAGAGATTTGCACAATGCCACAGAGAACATAGGAAGCAATCATTGCTGCTGGCTGCAGATAGTTGGAAGGAGGTTTTGCCAAACAGACAACATTTCATCTGGAGCTTGAATTTCAAGTAGAATTTGCCAGCTAGGGAAAAGAGCAGGAGCAAAAGTCGGAGGTCAGAAAGACCTCCTGGAAGGGGAGAAGGATGGGAAGGCACTCAGTGTGGGGGCCAGAGAGCCCCATTGCCAGGCTGAGGAAGATCCGTTTCATTTTGTAGGAAGGGGAACTCATGGGAAGTTTTGAAGCAGAGGAATGGTGTAGTGAAACTGACAAATAGAAAGATCACTTTGTATGGGTGGAAAAAGGAGATTGGAGAGGTGGCCAATTGGAGAGATTGGGATTCCGAGTGATTTCTAATTTTCATTTACAGTCACAAGTTGCTTAACTATGGGCATACATTCCATTCTGAGAAATGCATCATTAGACAATTTTATTGTGTGAACATCATAGAGTGTACTCACACAAACCTAGGTGGCATAGCCTGGTACACACCTAGGCTATATGGTATCCTATTGCTCCTAGGCTACAGATCTAGATCTGTATAGCAGGTTATTGCACTGATTATTGTAGGCAATTGTGTCACAATGGTATTTATGTATCTAAACATATCAAAACATAGAAAAGGTACAGCACAAATATGATACTCTCATCTTATGAGTCCACTATCATACATTTTGGTCTCTCCTGACCAAAATGTTGTTATGTGGCTCTTGACTGTATTTGTGCTTTTTTTCTACCAGGAATGTGTTCTACTCAGCACTTCCTTTGCAATAATGAAGTACAACTGTGAAGAGAAGGAGCCACACAGGACAGGGACACCCTGGAGATGAGAATTAAGAAATGAGAAGAGCAGGGTATACGCCCTCAAGTGGAAGCGCTGGCAAGCAGGAGGGACTGTTTGTCCTCTGAGACAGGAAAGAAGGGGCTAAGAATTCATGAAACACAAATGTGTGAAGTCAAAGAGAAGTGGGATCATCTCTACCAGAGGTCTCCATTTTCTCAATAATGAAGATATCAACATTGTGGCCTGAGAATGCAGGGTCAGGGCTAAGGGTGGGAATTTGAGAAGTGCCACCAAGGTTTGGAACAAACAGCAGCTAATACCCCCAGGGTGTGTGTTCTTTGTCAGGCACTGTGCATACATACTCATTGAATCCTCACAACACCACCAGGAGATCAATGCTATCATTATCATACCCATTCCACAGAAGAGAAAACTGAGGCACAGTGCGATTACAGTGACGTAGGTGGTGAGTGGCAAAGCTGTGATTTGAGCCCAAGCAGTCACCAACCAATGTGAGAATTCAGAGAAGGAATACCCCAGGAATGGGTAAAAGATCCTGAAGTAGTATTGAAAGCTCAGCTGAGTTTAAAAGCCATGTGTTTTCTGTGGAGTCCATCAGAAGGCTTGCCCTTGCCCACACCTACAGAGAGAACCTTAGAAGAAATATCGCATGTTTCTGAAGGGAAGACTAGAAGTCTAAAAGGGCCACCTCAAAATGTTGGTGAGCGTTGCATTCACAAAGGGCGACCTGGGCTCTGACATCAAGTGGGAAAGCCTCTGTTGGAGGGTGCATGGAGAATGCCAACTATGGGCCAGCAGGCGCCCTGTTGAGCCTAAGGTCCTGCATCCCCGTAAATCAGGGATGCTGCAGGGGGAAGAGGGCGGCTTCCCAGCCACCGAGTCTTTGCCTCATCCGACTGTGGAACTGGAAGTTCTTCAAGTATTTGGGGGAAGAGCAGCTGCCAACAAAGCTGAATCAAAGGACCTAAAAATAGTTCAAGAAAACACAAAGACAGAATGTGCAATTCAGATGATTTGGGAAACCGAGCCAAACTTAGAAAAACTACAAGATGGGTGGTGAGCGAGGAGACAGCCCTTTGCCTCACTCTCTGGCAATAATTACACCCCTAATTACTGTCTATTTGCTTAGCAGAACTCTCTCCCACTGTTTCTTCGTGGTGAAAACTCTCTTGGGTCTTTACTGTACGTCAAAGCATCCAGATCAGGTAAGCAAACCTGTCTAGTGGCATGCTCACAGCAAACCAAATCCTAGCACAGAGAGACGGGTCCCTACACCATTCCCTACTATCCATGGGATGGGTCCGCCTTACATGCAGGTGAAATAATTGTGAAATCTTAAGTGTCTCTAAAACGTGCCCAGCCCCCTGGTCCTTACATATGACATTTTGAGGTGGTCAGGGGAAATCCAGCCGAAATTTTGGTCCATTAGGATGCATTTGCCTGCCACATCAGAAAACCCTCCAAAACAGTGACTTCGCCCGTAAGAACATTTTTTAAAGTGTAATTTAGGAAAAAGTAGTTCCAAGGTCAGTTCAGTAGTTCCACATCATCAGGGCATCAGTCAGTGCAACTGGCAGGGAGGGGTGGCACAGGACCTTCCTCAGTGTCTCCCAACAGATTATGTAGAGAGACTCCTTTGCTGCTCAGGCTGATGTCTTGATGCCCTGCTCTTTCCAGAGGAAAGTAATGTGCTTCCCGCAGAGGGCTTCTGTTAGCCTCCCATGCCTTTTCTAGATTCTGAGAGCAACTGCTCTCCTTGGCTCACAGCCCCTTCTTCCATCTTCCAAGTGCCTCACTGCAGCCTCTGCTCCCATCATCACATCTCACACCCTCTCCTTCTGATTCTCCTGCCTCGCTCCTATAAGGACCCTGTGGCTACATTAGGTCCACCCAGACCATCCAGGACAATCTCCTCAACTCAAGATCCTTAAGCTCAGCATATCTGCAAAGTTCCCTTTGCCATGCAGGATAACATAGTCACAGGTTCTGGGCATTAGGATATGGACATCCTTGGGAGCCATTATCCAGCCAATCACAGGCCCTCTTCGCCTATGTTCTCACTGACTCTAAGGAAATAAGTCACTCCCCCTAAAGATTTCTGTCAGGTATTTCTGGAAAGTTCCAGATGTGTTCTTGAAACATCCCTTTAGGCTACCCTATAACAGTTGCCATTTTCCCTTTAATTTGGTCACTATGGTACCACTGATGGAGCAAACCTAAAATTGGGGCTCAGCTTGGGGAGGTTCTTGGCTTCACTTAGGAAGGAAGCGAGAGTAAGCTGACAGCGAAGGAAAGCAAGTTGACTAGGACAACAGTGTGCAGCAAAAAGGCTGCTCCATAGACAGAGCAGAGCTGTCCCTTAGGCAGAGTGGCACTCATGGATTGAGGGCTGGCTATATTTATACCCACTCTTAATTATATGCTAAATAAGGGGAGGATTACTCATGAACTTTCTGGAAATGGGGCCAGGAGTTCTCAGAACCATATACAGTAACTTTCAGGCATTGCCATGGCATTTGTAAACTGTCATGGTGCTGGTGGGAGTGTCTTATGCAAATATATTTTAATTTCTAGCCCTAGTTGGTTTGGGCCTGCTTCTTTGCTACATCCTATTTTGATGAACAGGGTTGTGAAAACTAGTCCTGCTGATGTCCTGCCTCACTATGGTGATGCCTCTTGAGAGTGTGAATTGATCAGGTGTTCTCCAGAGAAACACTGGTAGATACACATACACAGATGCACATATTGATACATAAGTACATATATAAAAGAGATTTGTTATAAGGAATTGAGTCACAAGATTACGGAGGTTGACAAATATAAAATCTACATAGCCTATGTCCAAAGACTGGAATATTCTATAGAACCAGGAACAGCTGATGTCTAAGTTCAAAGGCAGTCAGGCAAAAAAACCTCTCTTACTTGGGGGAAGGTCAGCCTTTTGTTATATTCAGGCCTTGAACTGATTGTACAAGGCCCACCCATATCAGGGAGAGCAATCTGCTTTACCCAGTCTACTGATTCAAATGTTCATCTCACCCAAAAACACTCTCACAGACACACCCAGAATCATGTTTGACCAACTATCTGGGTACTCTGTGGCCCAGCCAAGTTGACACATGAAATTCACTGTCACATAGGGCCAGTGGCAGAGGTGGTGGTTGCACTGCTCAGACCCAGCTGAGCCCCACTGGAGCAGGTGTCACTGAGCACTGACATGGTTGCTGGTGCCCACTGCAGCCTGCACTGCAGGTGCCCAGAGGCCTAGCACCATCACCCATCACTGCACAGTCAAACACACCCCCTGGAAACAGGAGGCTGAGGTGGTACAGCCTGAGGTCCCAGTAAGAATGCAGGCACATAGTTTGCATTGTTTGCACCACACCATTTACTGTGGCTGCCTTCCCTGACAGAGGGCATGCACCACGACCTACCTCACCTTTATCCCCTTCCCCACTCTTCCCCACTCTTTGAAACAAACTGATGCACTTCAACTTTCTCTTCCATTAACACAAGCTCTCTCCCCACCCCAGCCCCTTATTTTCCACATAAACAGCCCCTGCGGCAGGTACCTCGCGTGTCCTCTTCCCCCATCAGCCTTCCACCTGGTCAGGCAAGCTTGAACCCTTTGATGAGTTACAATTCAAAATTTAAACCCAAACCAGAACCCAATTTCAGAAGCCTGCTGAAAAATCTCAAAAGTCTTCAAAACAAAACCAATGAGTCACCAGTGTCCTGAGACTCTGCAAGCAGAGAAGCAGCAAGAAGTTTAGGGGATGTGGGATATGACTGAGGGCCTCAAATTGTATGAGATAAGCCCTGTCTATTTCCTGGCTGAAAGTTTTCTTGAGAATAATCCAGTTTCCATGCTGCCACCTTCAGAACCTGTCCTTGGACAGCCTTTCTAGTCCTGAGCTGCCCTTGAATCCCAAAGATGCTGCAGCCAGGATTCCTCTCCCTTCCCCCTTGATAAAGGGCAAAGCAGTGGAATAAGACGGTGGCTCTCCTCAGCCTGGCTTGCCAATCAGGCCAGCTGATCTGGACAGATGCAGACTTTCCAAGGCCTTAGGAGAAAGCATACATATTTCATGGGAACCTAATCTAGTTGAGCATGTGGAGGTTGGGGACAAAAAAACCTAGCAGGTGTTTCCCTCCCTGCTGGGCAGGCAGGACCGGCACTGTGCAGGTGGTGAGCTGGAAACAGAGCTTGAAGGCCCCAAGAGGGAGCCTGATCTTCTTAGGCCCAGCCCATGGAGGCAAGGGGACTGTAGAGTCATTGATCAGGCTTCAGGTTCAGGGAGCACAAGCTGCTCAGGGGGTCTTGATAAAAACCCTTTCAGCAGAGTCAGAAAAGGAGGTGACTTTCAGCTGTGTCCCAAGAGGCTCCTGCACAGCAGTACTAGGTCGTAGCTAAGAGCACACTTTGGAATCAGATAGTCCTGGGTCTTAGTTCCCATTCTGCCCTATCTTAGGAGGAAGAACTGAGCTGGTTAATTTATCTCTGAGTTACAATTCTTTATCTATAAAGACCTCTGTTATATGCTATTATGAAGTCAATGACAGCATCATTAACAGCTCTGCTGTGTCTGGCTTCTATCTTTCTATTCTGTCTTCCCAGTATGTGGCTTCAATTTTCAAGGTCACCTAATGGTCCAAGATGCCCTTCAAGCTTCCAAATTCCAGGCTAGAAGGAGGAGAAAAGTCAAAATGGCAAAACAAGGAGGCTTCTCTCAGATTAGTCAGCTCCTTCTAAGCAGCCTTCCCTGCCCACACAGTACACACTCTGCTTCTCTTTCACACATGGCCACACCAGGCTGGGTGAGTGTCTGGGAAATCATCCTGTAGGTGCTTTTATTAAACTGAGTTCATGCTCACCCCTTCTAAATTAATTTGGGCATCTGTTACTAAGGAAGAGAGAAAAATGAAGTCTGCTTCAAGAGCCTCTATCCTCCCAAGTCCCCTTCTAGGGCTTTCCCCATCACAGGCATCTCTTCTCTCAATGAGGACCACAGGCAGGCATCCCTAGGGCAGGACTTTGGCTAGGGCACAAAATGTAAGGAGGGGCTCACACTCAGTTTCCTGCAACTGCTGGCCCTGCCCTTGCGTAAAGCTGAGCTTGAGTGCCTCCTTACATTTTGCATCCCAGGCACCTTGCTTATCTCATCCTAGTCCATTCTTGCCTTAGCGTTGCAAAACACTAACCCCTCTGTCCCCTTTACCACATTGTGCAGGGCAATTTCTTCCCATGACATCTGGTTTTCCAAAATGGGGAAACCTCCTATGTGAGCGTCGAAATTTAGATCAGTTTGGGATTCACCAATGCCCTCAGACCTCTGCATTGTCTGGGGTCTGAAGACCCTGCAGAACACATAGGCTGCACCCTCACAGCCACAGGACCCTGCCCCTCTGAGAGCAGGCAAACAGGTCTGGATGGCCAGTCTGGAGGCCACTTTACTGGGAAGGGCAAAGCCAGTCAGCCTTGTGGCACAACTTCTCATTGCTTTGGGTTTCACAACTCCTGCGGCAGAAGAAAGAAAGGGCTGCAGCTGGCACTGTTCCCCTAGCCCCCACCCCTGCCTGAGTTCTTCCAGGAACACACCAACCGTGCTAACACTTGAGTTTCACAAACCAGCTGGCCTGAAACAAGATTGGATACATGTGGGTTTCATACACAACGGGTTAATTTCTAGTCCAATTATAATAATGGTAATAATTGGCCACACTCGGGGGAGCTGGCAATTACCACTATTTTTAACCTGCATCACTAAGGCAAATGGTTTTATGTTTAGCTGGTTCTCAGAGGGCTGAGTTTTCTCCAGCTGGGAAAACTATAGCAGAGTCACTGCCCATCCCTGTTTCCTTTGAGGTTCTTCTTCCAACATGGTATCACCTGCAAGTCCCAGGCTCATGGGACCACCAGCCCGTTCCTCCCTTTATGCCCTCCCTTCCCAACTAGGTTCTCCAAATCAGCAGAGATTCGATTCATCACATCCCCATGTGTGGATACCCAGTGGCTCTTGAACCCTGATCGCCTATCTTACCCCACCATTCCCAAAGGAAATGTGTATTTCTAGTTTTATTTTGACAATTCTCTCTGAACCCAGGGTGGGCCTCCTGGCTCTGGGTGGTATCATCATGGGCTTGGCCTGTCTCGCAGCCTCTGCAGAGAGAGGTGCTGTTGGTGGGACACAAGGAGGGCTGTACCTACTGGGAAGCAGGAGGGAGGGGACAAGGCAAAGAAACACTCCCCACCTCTCATCTCTTGCCCCATGGAGAGATTCCTGGCAAATAACCTGGAAAGAGTCAAGAGCAGACAAAAGCTCTGGGGAAGCATGACCCCTGCTTTGCACTGTTTCTTTCTGTGGCACCCACTCATGCCGGTCTTCTCTCTCCCCATCTATATGGTAAGCCCATCAAGGCAGAGCCTGTATATTTTCCTGTTGTCACCCAGCAGTGTCTGATACCATAAGCACTTGTTAAATGAACAAATAGAATTGGGCATTTCTATAGCCTGGATATGTTCAGTCCTCACCAACCCGGGGTTCAAGTAAAGTCACACTAATGTTAATAATTGTCCCCTGGTCACATTACCAGTTATTCTGGTCCATTGCAAAAGTCTCCCCTCCCACCAGGAGAATTGAGGGATCCTCCAAGAGGTGTTTTCAATGCCCTCCAACCAGTCCAAGTCATCGTTGGGTGGCACAGCTGTTATTGGATAGTTGGTGACTCTGCTGTCACCTCTGCCATGAGGCTCCTCGGCCCACCCTTGACGTCATTGCTATGGAAGTGGCTGAGCTGGAGCTGTGCTGATGGTGCCACCATCGATTGCTGCTTTCAAGGCTGCTTTGTCCCCTGAGGTTCAGATCCTACTGGTTCTTCCTCCCTGGCTGGTGACAGAAGAGCAACCCCTGATGGAGTGAGAACAAACACGCTCACCTGTTGGGGGCAGGTTGCTGGGACTCCCAAAACATCACAGAGTTTGATAAGTTAATTCTTAAATCCAGTGGCTGGGTCAGGGCAGCAAGTTCAACACCACTGCCCACTCCTCTGTTCCAAATGCAGCCAGATCCTTCTTCATTTAGGATTAATTAAGGGGGATATAACTTCGCGATTACTACATAGCAGAGTACCACAAACTTAGCGGCTGTTATCCTGAGCAAATAGCACAGGACTGGCCTACACTAGGTGTCACATGAGGTTCCGTTTGGCCCCACAGTCTCACAACATCAATCAGCTCACAGTCCTGTGGCTCAGTGGTGCAGGTGGGCTCAACTGGGTTCTCCGCTGAGTCTCACTCACTGAAGTCACGGTATCCACCGGGTTGGGCTCTTGTCTGGAGGCTCTGAGGACGGATCTACTTCCACTCACTCGAGTGGGTGGCAGGACTTAGTTCCTTGGGGCTGTGGGACTGAGGTCCCTGTTTCCTTGATGGCTGTCAGCAGGGGCTGCTGTCAGTTCCTCAATGCCAACAGCCTTGCCTTCATGGGGCGCCTCCATCCTCAAGCAAGCAACAGCGGGTCGAATTCCCCTCGTGCTTTCACTTTCTCTGCCTTCCTCTTCCACCAGCAACTGGAGAAAGCTCTGGCTTTAAGGCTCGTGTGATTAGATCAGGCCCATCTGGGTACTCGTTAAGATCAATGTTGCCATATAACACAATCACAGGTGTGTGGTCTCATCGTATTCACAGGCTTCAGGGGTTAGGATGAGATACTGGGGGTAGGGAGTGGACACTTTACAGATTCTGCCTGCCGTGGGGGCCGCCACCCAGCCCTTCATCATTGCATCTTTCAGACCCCTTTCCCCTCCCCCCATCTTTCACATCTGAATAGGCCTGAACCCTGAAGGTGGATGATATCAAGGAGACCTCATTGCAGTCTTAATGACCAATGGATTCTTCAGAGAAGGGTGCCATACGGTGCAGCTCTCTGGATGTGTCTGAATCTCTCTGGCCAGGTTGGGCCCTGTGTAGCACCTGGCTTGGGCCCATCCCGTGCTGAGTGCTTTACATTTGTCATCTCCGACAATCCTAACTGCCCTCTTGAGCAGGTGTTGCTGTCCCTGATGGTGAGATGAAGAAGCAAAAGCCCAGAAGGGTAAAGTAGGGAGTTCAAGTCCACTCTGCTAAGAAGAGGTAGAGCCAGTATTTGAACTCAGATATGACTGATTTTTTTTTTTGCATTTTATTTTATTTATTTATTTATTTATTTATTTATTTATTTATTTATTTATTTTTGAGAAGGAGTCTTGCTCTGTTGCCCAGGCTGGAGTGCAGTGGCGCCACCTTGGCTCACTGCAAGCTCTGCCTCCCAGGTTCATGCCATTCTCCTGCCTCAGCCTCCCGAGTAGCTGGGACTACAGGTGCCCGCCACCATGCCCAGGTAATTTTTTTGTATTTTTAGTAGATACGGGGTTTCACCGTGTTAGCCAGGATGGTCTTGATCTCCTGACCTCGTGATCCACCCGCTTCAGCCTCCCAAAGTGCTGGGATTACAGGCTTGAGCCACAGTGCCTGGCCTTTTTTTTTTTTTTTTTTTTGCATTTTAAAGTGTAATGTCCCTCTCAATATTTTATTATGAAAATATTTAAACATACAGAAGACATTAAAATAGTAAACTGAGCACTGGTGCGCTTTTGATTTCAACAGTTGTTAATATTTTCCCATATGTGCTTTCCCCTCTCTGTCTCTCTGTGTATATCTATACATGCATATGTTTATAAAAATATTTTTTGCCAAACCGTTTGAAATTAAGGTGAAGACCCCAGGATGCATCACGCCTAAATTTTCCTGCATACATCTCCTATGAATAAAGGTCAACCTCTCACAGAACCATAATACACCACATCTAAGAAAATTGCAAGCAATCCACAACACCCTCTAGTATCCAGTCCATATTCAGTTTTCCCTAAATGTCCCAAGAGTGTCTTTTATGGCTGTTTTTGTTGTGTTGTGTTTTGCCACACACAGATTGCCATGTTCTGCCCCTCCATGTCAGAGCAAGACAGGTGGGCTGGAGGTGAGACAAGAAGGAAGGCCCAGGGCTGGGCTTGGTGGCTCATGCCTGTAATCCCAGCACTTTGGGAGGCAGAGGCGGGTGGATCATCTGAGGCCAGGAGTTCGAGACCAGCCTGGCCAATGTGGTGAAACCCTGTCTCTACTAAAAATACAACAATTAGCTGGGTATGGTGGGGGGCACCTGTACTCCCAGCTACTCAGGAGGCTGAGGTGGGAGAATTGCTTGAACCTGGGAGGCAGGGGCTGCAGTGAGCCAAGATCGTGCCACTGCACTCCAGCCTGGGCAACAAGAGCAAGACTCCATCTCAAAAAAACAAAAAAAAAAAAAAAGAAGAAGAAGGAAGACCCAGCACCAGTAGGCAATGAGTGGGTCCTGGGAGTTCTCTCTGCTGGGCCTTTAGGCTATTTAGGCTCTGGGGAAGGAAAGCTCACATCACTAGGCCTCTGTGTCCATAGAAAAGGGTTGGAGAAAGAACCTCCTCCTTGAGGCCCTTAGTGATACCTTTGGTCGCTGACCTCCTGAGCTGACAGCTCCGACTCTCTGTCACTCTGTGGTTGCCACAGATCTGGACATGGCCATGCCCTGTCCCTGACGCTGGGCTGAGTTAGCGTTTCTGTGTATCCCTTTCATTCTGCATGCCGGCCTCCACCTCTGCATGCCGGTCCTTCTTCACCTCTGATTGATTGTCATTTATTACTAAACACAGGCTTGGAAGGAACGGTGCCTATGAGTGCCAGGTAGGGGCACTGTCCCCAAGGATCAGGTAGGACATAGGCTGGGAGCCCAGCAGGTGTGAATTAATGACCAAAGGAGCCAATGAACAGAGGAAGCTTGAACATGCCCAAGAAAGCCAAGCTCCTTGAGGGCAAGGTCTGTGTTTCCTAATACTGTGCTAGTCCCCGGCACAGAGGGGCCCCAGGCAGAACTTTAGTGACAATTAAGTCAGTAATTAGCAAAATTGGCTGTACAGGAAAATCATCTGGGAAGTGTTAAATCAATGCTGATTCCAACGGCATCCCTCCACATTCTTAATTAATTGGTCTATGGCAGGATATTGGTTTTAGCTTTTTAACTCTCCAGGTGATTCAAATAGGCTTGGTTGAGATCAATTATGTTAAATACATGAATAAAAATATGCAGCACAGAAAGACATCGTCTTACCTGCCTATTTGAGCCTCTGCGTAGCGTAACAGTCTTCCCACAGCAATTAGGAGAAAGTCCAAAGCCCTTTGCACAGCCACCAAGGCCCTGTATACACGTCCTCCCCCCTGCGCCCTTGACTCGGGCCCACTGGGCCTTCTGCAAGCACCTGTGTTGTGCTGTGGTGCTTCCTCCAGCCAGGCCCTGCACCTGCTCTCTCCCTGGCACACCCTTTGCCTCACTATCTTTGCACAGCCAACTCATAGTCTATTGCCCTTTGTGCTCCCCAGAAGCCATTCAGATCTTAGTTCAGACTGGGTCAAGTCCAATCTTCCAACTCCCATAGCACCAGCTGCCCCAGAGGCCCTTACCACGATTTGAATGTTTGTGCACTATTTGTTGAATGTCTGTTCTCCTTACAGAACTTGTGGCTCCACCAAGGGAGAGGCCAGGACCTGCCCCTTCACTGTCATGATGCTGGCATTCCTCATAGTGCCTGCACAGAGGAATTCAACAACTCTGTGAAATGAATGACTGTTGAAACAATGAAAGTAATATTGCTCATGGAGTCGAAAGCTCCAGGCTCAAACGCTTGCTGTTGAAACTAAGTGGCTGTGCAACCTGAGGAGAGCTTCTTAATCTTTCTGAGTCTTCCTTTTCCTCTCTTAAGGCTATTGTGAGGACTAAAAATGACAACTACGGCCAGGTGTGGTGGCTCACGCCTGTAATCCCAGCACTTTCGGAGGCCAAGACAGGTGGATTGCTTGAGGCCAGGAGTTCAAGACCAGCCTGGCCAACATGGCGAAACCTTGTCTCTATTAAAAATTAAAAAATTAGCTGGGCGTGATGGTGCACACCTGTAGTCCCAGCTACTCAGGAGGCTGAGGTGGGAGAATCGCTTGAACCTGGGAGGCAGAGGTTGCAATCTGAGCTGAGATTGTGCCACTGCACTCCAGCCTGGGCGACAGAGTGAGACTCTGTCCCTAAAAATAAAAATAAAAATAAAAATAAATTTTTAAACAATGACAACTTACATAAAGCATGGTGTTGGTCTACTCTTTTGTTGCTATAACGAAATACCTGAGGCTGGGTAATTTATAAAGAAAACAGTTTTGTTTGTTTGTTTGTTTGTTTTTTAAGATAGGGTCTAGCTCTGTTTTCCAAGGTAGAATGCAGTGGTGCAATCTCAGCTCACTGCAGCCTCTGCCTCCTGGGCTCAAGTGATTCTCCCACCTCAGCCTTCTGAGTTAGCTGGGACTACAGGTGTGCACCACCATACTTGGCTAATTTTTGCTAGCCAGGCTCAAGTGATCCATCTTGGGCTGAAGTGATTCATCTGCCTTGGCCTCCCAAAGTGCTGGGATTACAGGTGTGAGCCACTGTGCCTGGCCAAGAAAAGAGGTTTAATTGGCTCACAGTTCGGCAGGCTTTACAGGAAGCATGGTGCTGGCATCTGCTGCTGGTGAGGCCTCAGGAAGCTTCCAATCATGGCCCATGACCGAAACACCTCCCACTGGCCCCACATTCAACACCAGGAATCACATTTTAGCATGAGATTTGGAGGGGACAGAACATGCAGACTATATCAGGCATTCACTCTAGGGCCTGCCAAATACCAAAATGTCTGTCAATGTTAGTTTTCTTTCTATTCCTTCAAGGAATGCTTATAATCCCCAGCAGGAGTGGAGTGAACATGTCGATTCTGTCTCACACACACAGCACATGGATGCCTGTGCAGGGAGGAAGGAAAAATACCTTCAGACTGAGCTGGTTTGGAGAGACAGCAGCAGCAGCATCTCCCTAGAGCATCCTTCTCCCCATGGAACTCACCCCAGGTGAGCCAGCCAGTCACCCAGCCCAGAACAGTGCTACAACGACGGGTTCGACCCTGTGGCTCTGAGGCCCCGATTTCTTTCTTTATTCTAGAAGCAACATATTTCCTTTCTTTATTCTAGTAGCTGAATTCTAAGATCACTCCCACGTTCCCACCCCATTATATATGTCTTGTAGAATCCCCTCCCCTTGAGCGTGGCTAGCATAGTTACTCCCTTGATGGGGTTATTTTATATAAGACTCTGTCATAGCTGACTGGAGAGAGAATCTCCTACTGGCTTTGGAGAAGGAAGTCACCATGCTATGAGGAGTCCACAAGGCCAGACCCTGAGGGCGGCCTCCAGGAGTTGAGTGTCAGCCTCAGTTGGCAAACAGCAAGAACATAGGGACAGACCTCAGTCCTACAACCATAAAGAAGTAAATTTCATCAGCAACTCAAAAGGGATTGGAAGAGGACCATGAGCTTCACATGAGAACACAGCTTGGCCAACACGTTGATTTCAGACTTGTGAGACCCTACACAGAGAATCTGGTTGGACCATGCCCAGATGTCTGCCCCACAAAACTGCAAGATAATAAATAGACATTGTTTTAACCTGCTAAGCTGTGGTAATTTACTACAGAGCAATAGAAAACAAATATGTGTGCTCATAAAAAATAATTAATATAGGAATTTAGGCATAAATAATTCTCCCATATCACTATCACCAACAGACACTATTGTTTTTCCTGTTTCTGGTGAGGCCAGATATTGTTATGTTTGCAGTTTTTTTTTTAACATGGTAGTAGTCATACTGTATAAACACTTTTCTAATTAATTTTAATTAGCTCTACAGCTAAAACATTTTACAAGCTATAACATATTTTTATAAACTTCATTTTTAATGACTGCATAATAGCCCATTGAGAAGCTATGTCATCGTTTACTTAACCTTCCTCTGTGGTGTGACTTTCAGTTGCTTCTAGATTTTACTCTTCTAACTCAACAGTTAATGCTTTTGTGGGATAAAATTTCCCTTCATATTTAGGATTATTCCTTTAGGTTAACTCTCAGGCCTACTAGTCCTCTGATTCACACTGTCTTTTTAATTTTTCCCAATCTATTACATATTTTCTAAATTTTGTACACCATTCATATGTCATGTGTATCATATCAAAGAGCCTAGAGAAAATTTTCCTCTGTGTGTTCCTCACTGGGTGGTTACAATGGAGAAATTACAGGGCAGGACTAGCATTAGGGTGAGGAGAGCAAGGCACTCAGGCGCAAAACTTAAGGGGGCACCAATATCCTCAGTGATCAAGAGAAGTAATATTGTCACGTAACTGTATTAGCTTTTTAGGGCTACTACTGTAATGAAGTACAGTATTCTCTCTTATCCATGGGGAAATGCATTCCAAAACCCCCAGCAGATGCCTGAAACCACAGACGGAGATAGTACTGAACCCAAAGACACAGTTTTATCCTATACATACATAACTATGATAAAGTTTAATTTATAAATTAGGCACAGTAAGAGATTAACAATAGTATTCAAATAGAATAATTATAACAATATACTGTAACAAAAGCTATGTGAATATGGTCTTTCTTTATCTCTCTCAGTATCTTACTGTACTACACTCACCCCTCTTCTTGTGATGATGGGAGATGATGCAATGCCTACATGATGTGAATGGAGGTGAATGATCCAGGCATTGTGACATAGCATCGGGCCACTCCTGAGTTTCTGATGATGTCGGAAGGGAGGATCATCTGCCTCAGTTGATTCTGGATCCTCAAGCCATGATGATGTCCACGGTTGAATGTCAGGAGCAGACGACGTCAATGACAAAGGGATGTTCCATGTCCGGGGCAGGACAGCACAAGATTTCATCATGCTCCTCAGAATGGTGTGCAATTTAAAACTTTTGAAGTGTTTATTCCTGGAATTTTCCAAGTTGACTACAGAACTGAACCCTCAGAAAGCAAAACCTTGGGTAAGAGGGGACTATTCTATCACAAGCTCAGTAGCTTAAAACAACAGACATTTATTCTGCCACAGTTCTAGAGGCTATGCATCAGAAATCAAGGTGTCAGCAGGACCGTGCTCCCTCTGAAGGCCCAAGAAAGAACCCTTCCTTGCCTCTCCTAGCTCTGCTGGCTGCTGGCTGTCCTTGGTGCTCCTTGGCTTGTAGCTGCATCACTCCAATTGCTGCCTCACTCCAATTGCTGCCTCTGTCTTCACATTGACCACCTTCCCCTTGGGTCTCTGTGTGTTCACACAACCTCCTAATAAGGACTGCAGTCTTTGGATTTAGACTCCACTCTAATCTAGAATGACTTCATCACAACCAATTACATCTGCAAAGACTCTATTTCCAAATAAGCTCACATTTTGAGGTTTGGAGAGGACATGAATTTTGGAGAGATACTATTCAACTCAATAGAGGAATCTTTTTTAAAAAAAATCAAAATCAATGCAAAAAATCCATAAGGAACAAAATTTCAAAATTCTAAATAAAGACAGAATCCACCCCTGCAGAAGCATGACTCACCTCATTGGCCTCTCGCTAGCCCCAGCCTTGGCTTCAATGAGATAAGCTCTTTAAAAAGCCTCCAGGACAGTGTTGGGTAGCTATTAATAGAAAGACACGGTAAATGTTGGTTGCTTTCTCTTCCTTGTCCATATCTTTATGGGTTTAATCAATTTCTTCTATCTCTTTGCTTTATATATATTTTCATGAGGGACTCTTATCTATTTCTGGAGTTTGGACACTCCAGGTGTCAACAAACATGTTTGTGGCCCACTTTGCATCAATTTGGTCATAAAGGACTGGTAAACAAGCACTGCTGGAAATGCTTCTTTTTCCCCTTGTATCAGCCGTTCATACTGAGATGACTCTATTCTTAATGGAAAAAAAATCCACTCCTAGAAAACAGATGGAGCCAGTGCTTTATGCCAGGTGAGATCTGATTGCTACCAGTGAATATCAGAGACAGAATCAACACCAATGGGGACAAGAAGAAGCCTCCCCAGGGCTCCAACCCCCTGCAGAATCCTAGCAAAACAGACCTGTTAACAAAAGCCCTTCTTAACATTCCGGTCGTTTGTGCTGTAAACTTGGAAAGGTTTCCAGAATTTCCAGAAGCGCCTACCTCTACCTTTACAGAAAAATACACAATCTCTGCTTGTATGTTGGTTTCTCAGCAAGAGAACATAAGAAATTGCGCAGCCTGGGCTGCAGTGATTCAAAAAGTAGGTCATACATATCCTTGAATCCGATTACTGAGGCCAACGGCTGGCAGAGGACAGGACAGCAAGCAGGTTCTACATGGTTTATTTTTCTTTCCTTTCCGGAGTCATAGATACAAAAAGGACTGAAGTCTTCAAGTTTCTCTCACCCTGAAAAAAGAAAGGGCAGAGAATTCAATATTATTAATATCTACGGATTTTTTTAGTATATAAAGAGTTGTGTGCACTTTCTAAATGTAATTTCTGTGAAATCAAACTGACAAGGTTGATAATGAATCATCCTTGGTTTTGAAACTAGGAAAGTCTGAGAGAGACATGTGACCCGCTCAGCGTGTCCCCACCCATATGGGTGATCATGCCATCAAACACTGGAATTCTCCATCTGGTTCAGGGGCTACATGAAAAGTAGCAGTTATAGTAGAGTCAGACCCTACAAATGACTATTCTTCCTGAGGAGTCAAAGACTTAAAATTGTTCTATATCACAAGTGTTTAAGATGGGCATAGCCATCACCCATGCAATTCCCCTTCTAGAAATGTGCCCCAAGGAAGCAATCAATAATGCGCTCAAAACTTTAATCTGTAAAGCTGTTTATAGCAGTGTTCTAAATAATAGTGGAAAATGGGAAAAAATACCCCAAATAAGTGGTGGTTAAATAAATTAAAATATACTTATTGTTAAAGTATCCCCGGTTTTCCAGCCTTCTGTAATTACCCAAATGCATAATATTCCAATAAAACAACTGAACTACCCATTCTTTATGAGGCAGGGATTTTTGAGTATTTCTAAAAATTCACAGGGAGTAGCTGTCACCTCTGGTGTTCATGTTGTTTTTGGCTTCTCATGTCTTTTGGCCACATTTTTATCCCCTTTCTAGTTTACCAGCAACATGGAAACAGTCCCCTTCATTAATTTCTCAAGGCATCACTTAGATGTGTAATTAAAACTTCTATCTCCAAGTCAGACCTCAGTATTCCTAAATCCATCTCTCATACTTTAAGTTGCTTCTGTTAACAGTGGCAAATCGTACGGGTCTGCAGCAACTCAATTCTTGCCTCTTCAGAGGAAATAGTTCATCAAAGGGGCATAAAGCTGAGTGAGAGACTGAGGCAAGTTTTAGAGCAGGAGTGAAAGTTTATTAAAAAGTTATAGAGCAGGAATGAAAGGAATGAAGTACACTTGGAAGAGGGCCAAGCAGGTGACCTGAGAGATTCGAGTGCCCTGTTTGACCATTGACTTGGGGTTTTATAGCTTCCATGCTTCCGACATTTTGCATCTCTCCTCCTTTGAGTTTCCCTTGAGGCAGGCTGTGCACATGCGCAGTAGCCTGCCAGCACACATGCGCAGTAGCCTGCCAGCGCCTGGGAGGGGCTGCATGCGCAGTGTGTTTACTGAAGTTGTGCACATGCTTATCTGAGGCATTCTCCCCTTGCCAGTGGAGCGTTCCTATAGGAAGGTCACACACCCGTTAAGTGCCGCCATTTTGCCTTTTAGGCATTCCTGGGCCCTCTCGCCCAACTTCTAAGATCTTATTGGGAGGCTGATCACCAGCTTTAGCTGTTTTCTATCTATTGGGAGACTGCCTTTCCCTGGCACCAGCTACAACCAATTATTATTTTAGCGAGACAATTTAACAACCACCTGACCATCACCTGATGGTTGCCTAGCATTCTTGTGGAGGTGTTGGGGGGCCTCTCCTGCCCTGCTCCTGCTTGCCTGGATACCTGCTTAAACACTTCTTGCTAGTCATCTCGCCTGTTTGTCCTGGCCCACCTCCCCTTGGTAGACTACACTCTTACATGTATCTAAGTTCTTCTCAAGTGCCTGGGTCCTAGGCCTGTAATCCCTGACTCACAGTCCCCACAGGAAGCCAAAACTCTACAACCACCAGAACGACTCTGACATCTCCTTTTTTTTTTTTTTTTTTTTTTGAGATGGAGGCTCGCTTCTTCACCCAGGCTGGAGTGCAATGGCGTGATCTTGGCTCACTGCAACCTCCGCCTCCCAGGTTCAGGCAATTATCCTGCCTCAACCTCCCCAGTAGCTGGGGTTACAGGCATGTGCCACCATGCCTGGCTAATTTTTGTATTTCTAGTAGAGATGGGGTTTCACTATATTGGCCAGGCTGGTCTCGAACTCCTGACCTCAAGTGATCCACCACCTCAGTCTCCCAAAGTGCTGGGATTACAGGTGTGAGCCACCGCACCTTGCCTGCCATCTCCCTTTTTGTCTCAAACTATGGCCCTAATGCAGGCATTGGTCCCTGCCTTTGCGTATTCAAAAGGCCCATAGAAGTGTTTCTTTGATCCCAGTAACAACAACAATGAAAAGTCTCCCTAAAATGAAGTTTGCCACCACCACACCCTAGAGAAACCAAGACAAACTGCCAAAAGGTTTTAAAATAGCAATTTATTTTCCTTCCCACCACACATTTAATTGAATTCCTCAGAGCCATTAAAAGTCATGTTGTAGAAAAGTATTTAATGACATGGAAACAGTGCTCATGGCATATGGATAAGTGACAAAAAAAGACCTATCTAAAAGTACGTGCAGTAGAATCCAAATTATATAAAAATTCTGTATATATTTGATTATGAAAAGAGGGGAAGATTTGGAAACATTGTTGTGTTTTCCTATTTTACCATCCTACATCCATCTGCCTCAGGGCAAGGCATTGTTACAGATGCCAAGAGAAAGAATTGCTGTTTCGTTGTTGACATTCACAATAGGATTTTACCCGAGATAGGCCTGAAAGCTGGGAACTGGTGACAATGGACCAGTCAATACATCAGCGGCTTTGCTTAAGAGATTGGAGGGAAGATAAATGGAGAAAGAGTGGGGAAGATGTTCCGGGAGAAGAAACTGTGTCCCAAGAGCTCACGGGACCACTGAGGTAGACAGGACTTGAACCTACTCTCCCCTTGGGGCTCAGGGAAAGAACTGCTGTGCAAAGCACCCTGTGACACATGACCTGACCCCAGCTTGGCTAAAAAGGCAGAAAGTCACTGCTGATTGGCATAAGCATCATGGGCAGGGACCCTGAGCTAAGACCTGGACAGGGGACAGCCTATGTGGACCAACTGGGTCAGGGCAAGTGGAAGACATGGAAGAAACCCAGGGTCTACAGTACCCATGGGAGTTAGGAGAAGACCCTAGGTAGCAGGGGGAGGCCCCTGGATTCTGAACAAGCTGAGGGAGAGAACAGGACACATGTCAGCAGTCCACAGATGCCTGGGAAAATGCCAGCAGAATGTCTAAAGATGAGACCAGGCTAGCTGTATCTCAGCAACAGCAGGCAGCACCCCTGGAGGTGCCAGCACAAGGCAGGGGTCCATCTAGCCATGTGGACATGTAAGGATCATCCCCTGATCTCCCAAATGTCATTATGAGAAGAGATGCGTGAGACAGGCAGGGAAAGAATCTAAAAGCCTGAGCAATTGTCCCAAGAAGATGACGTTAAATCTAAAAAGACTATAAATTGTGGGCTTGGATTAAGCTTAAACTCAACTGAGCTAAATTGAGGCGCTCTTCTAGCAATCCCTCAGAGCAGATGAGATAGGGGTCAGGAGGGGGCACTGGTTCAGAGGGTCCGATTCATTATACAGCAGTAATTCTCAGACTTTGGTGTGCATTAGAATCACCTAGAGAGCTTATTTGATCACAGATTGCTGGGCTAACCCCTAGAATTTCTGATTCCCAGAAGATCTGAGGTGGGACCTGAGAATTTGCATTTCTAACAAGTCCCAAATGATGCCAATGCTGCTGGTTCAGGGATGACACCTTGAGAACCACGGTTCTAGAGTTAAAGAACTATAATAACTGCCTTATCTCCACCAAGCTAAATGGAGTGATGTTGAGGCTTCTCCATCTATCGATCTGTCTCTGATCAGAAGCGCATATACCAAATGGCAGCTGTGGGTCTAATTAGATCGTAGGATGATGAATGACTCATATTTTTTATTTTGTGCATTCTAGTTACCTAAAATGAGCATGTATTACTTTGAAAATCTGAAGAAACGTATATGACAGAATTGTTACCCAAAAAGATAAAGAGACTTGCTAGCTGGGATCCAGCGAACAACAGCCCAAGGAAATGAGACTGACTCAACAGCCAGACTCTCACCTTCCTTACAGACCTGGGTTGGTCCTTCCAGTCCCTGAACCTTTTGCTGTAGATGTTTTACAATGAAGACCAGTCCTTTTTATATACAAAGAAAGTAGCCACAAAATGTGTATGATTTGAGAAATAAGGAAAATCCCACAGGTCCTTAAATATCTCCCTTACCCACCTGCTATAGTGTGTGAAAAATTCCTCAACAGGCTAATTCCTAAAGGACTTTAGAAGATGTGCATTGTCACCCCAGCCTCTATGTTATCTGGTAGGGACATTGTTAACTTTCCAACCAGGGAAAGCTGTGATGTAATGCAACATCTTCATTGACCTCAGGTCTCTAAGAGTGAGCAGGAATCTAAGGGGTTGGGACAAGTGACAGGCAGATTTTGATGGCAGGTTCAATATCAGAAGTTCCAGGTCACGTGATCCAGCCTGGAGGAAAGAGGGAGCCCAGCTGTGTGCATCCAGAGGTCAGCCCAGGAAAGGGGACCTGGAGAGAGGGAGCTAAGACAGACTTACATAAATAACATGAAGATTGAGAGCCTGCAGGCCCCAGCCTGGCAACAGGGCTGCCAGGTTGCACTGCAGCTCCAAGCTGGCCCTGCCGTGCCTCCTCCGGACAGTGACCCTGCACAGGAGCTTGACAGGGGGCCTGCCTCAAAGGCCAAATGTCCAATACAGGTGGAAATCATACATTTCACACTCAATGGCACTTTAAAAACAGCTCAACTACTTGTATAAAATTGTCTTCTGGGACATCTTATTTTCCAAAGACAAAATTTTCTGGACAAGAATTGGTACTGGGAGCCCAAGTCTGGCTCATAATGAAACTCAGAGACTGCGTAGATTCCTTTTAAAAAGAAATCTCAAGTCTTGCAGAGATCCGGCTTACCTCCTGAAAAAGGTGCGGCAAGCACCTACACCCCGTTATTTCCTATCTACTGCCTTGTTTATAAAAATCACTCAAATATAGTTTTTCTGAATTCTGTTCTGGGAATGTCCCAGGCTTAGAGTCCAGGCAGGCTGACTTATAGTTCTGTGCCAACCAAAAAGCTCCATATATTTAGAGGTATGGACATCCATCTTCTTGGCAATAACACTCTGCTGAGGAAAACAAATCAGGAAACAGATCCTTCAGTGGGCAATGTTAACCAGCTGTGGAGTAGTGCTCTTGAATTCTGCCACAGGCCTGACAATCCATGGCCTCTGTATACAAGGGGACACATACCGTTGCACCTAGTAGCACAGACCAGCCAGCCAACCCTGGAGCATGTGTCTGTTCCCTGGTTATTCTCCTTACTTGGTTGTGACTCAATCATGAATGCCTAGCACTATCCCTGGTGCATGATAGGATATTAAAGTTTGTTGAATGAATGAATTAATGATTTATCAAATATGTAATAATTTATAATGGCATTGACTATGTATCCAACAGTATGCTAAGCAATCTAGATTTTATTATTTAATCTAATCACCTGTACAAACCATTTTACAGATAAGAAATGGGAGGAGGAAGAATGAATCAGAAAAGAAAAGAGGAAAGAAGGATCAAGGGAGGGAATGGGAGGGCAGCCAAGGGGAGGAGAAGAATAAAAGAGAAAGAGGATAGAAGGAGAGAGGAAAGAAGAGAGGGGTGGGATAGAATAGAGAGGAGAAGGGGAAGGTGGGGAAGGGAGTGATGAGGACAGGCGAGATGGGAAGAAAGGGACTAGAATGAGAGAGGGAGAGAGCTAGGGAGGGAGGGATTTAGAGACAGACCAACTGGTACCTACAAGTAGCTTTTTCCTAAGGGAAGCCCCGGTCCAGCAGAAGGAGCTGAGGACTGCAGTGGAGCCAGCAGAGCACACCATCTGGAGGGGCTGACAGAGGAGCCTGGTGCAACAGCAAGACAGGAACTGGCAGCAAGGATCTGACAAGAGCAACCTGCTGGCCAGGCCCTGGCAAAAGAACTCTTGATGTGAGCCAGATATTAAAACCTAGCAGGCAGGCTTGATAAGTCTGTCAGCAAGTACTGAAGCTGGAGACGTTGGATTAGAAACCAGAGACAGGACTCTAATCCAAGGTTACAAACAGGGACCTAGACACAGAGCACAGGGCAGGAATCCAGTTACAGAACAGAAGCACAGGGGAGGCCCAGGCAGGACGCCTCCAGTTGGATTGAGGGAAGGTATTTAATGTGTTATAGCAAAGTTTTCGCATATTTGTTTGTTTTTAAAGCAAGGACTTTATTGTATTGGGTGGGGGGCAAATAGTAGTCATAACAAAATAAAATTAAGCAATACAAAATACAACAAAGTAAAACTCATTAAATTGCATTACCTAGGAATAAGCCTTATTAATGTTTGTAGATTTCATTTCTAATAACTCTGAGCACATATACAGAGAAAAACACACAGATGGACCCTCAGACACACAACTAGATTTTACTAACTGGTATTTTTTAAGTATTAAGATTAAGTTTAAAATGTACTTAAATTTGTGGCCCAAATTTTTACTTCCTCATGTTTTGTAAAACCGCAAGCAAAAAATAGGATTTCAAGTCATCCCAGACTATGATACTGCCTTAAGGTACACAGCAGAAGCAACTGAAGTTTCTCTCTGGAGGACCTACCTTCTGCCCAGCCCCCAGAGAATTCCTACAGATAAAGTTCCAAGGAGCAGCTTAGAATTTAACATCATAAAATACCCAAGAAAACAAGGTGCCATGTTTGAGAATAAGCCAAAACAAGAAAGGGTGGAAACATCATGAAACATTTTAGATTTAGAATTATTCAGAAACATTATTTAAAATTATGTTCACTATGCTTGGCTGGGAGCTGTGGCTCACTCCTGTAATTACAGCACTTTGGGAGGCCGAGGCAGGTGGATCACCCAAGGTCAGGAGTTCAAGACCAACCTGGCCAACATGGTGAAACCCGTCTCTACTAAAAATACAAAAAATAAGTCAGGCAGGCACCTATAATTCCAGCTACTCAGGAGTCTGAGGCAGGAGAATCACTTGAACCGGTGAGGCAGAAGTTGCAGTAAGCCAAGATCGTACCACTGCACTCCAGCCTGGGCAGCAGAGTGAGACTCTGCCTCAAAAAATAAAAATAAAAATAAAATTATGTTTACCATGCTTAAAGAAATAGAGGGGACGCTTGAAAATGAACAGGGAACTAAAAATATGAAGTGTGCCCAACCATTTCAAAAAGAACCAAACAAAACTTCTGGAAGTTTTTTAAAAAACTAATAATTGAGATTAAAACCTTAATGATTGACTGCAAAGCAGATTAGTCATAGCTGAAGAGACACATAGTGAACTAGAAATGAGGACTAAAGAGATTATTAAAATTAGCCACAAATAGATGAAGAGATGGAAAAATACCAAAAAGAAGTCAAGAGGCATGAACGATGGAGTAGGAAGGTACAACACATTATGGTCAGAATTCCAGAAAGAAGAGAAGGAGAACTAGGCAGAAGCAATCTTTGAAAAAAAAAAATAATAATAAGAGGTAAGCATTTTCTAGAACAGATTAAGTACTCTAATCCACAGATTTCAATCAGAATTCCAGAAAGAAGAGAAGGAGAACCAGGCAGAAGCAATCTTTGAATAAAAAATAAGAGGTAAGCATTTTCTAGAACGGATTAAGTACTCTAATCCAAAGATTTCAGAAGAAAGAGGATAGAGAAATACATTCTGAGATACATCATAATCAAACTAGAAAATACCAAAACAAAGAGCAGATTATAAAAGTAGCCAGGAAGGAAAGATAAATTACTATCAAAGGAAGAAAAATTGTGTTACAAGACTCTTCTCAATGTAAACCAGAATACAGTGGGATAACATCTTCAACAATGGAAATTAGTACTTATTTGTGTCTATGATGTACCCAGAAGTGCTTTACTTACATTAACCCGTTTAATCTTCAAAATCACAATGAGGTAGGCATTACTATTATGCACATTTTACACACAAGAAAACTGAACCAGAAAGCTTAACTAATTTTCCCACACAGCTAGTAAATGTCAGAGTCAGAATTCAAACCAAGTTGGCCTTGTTTCAGAGACTATGCTCTTAACTACTACCGTCAACTAACTCTCTGTGCTGAGAGAAATCATGTCAGCCTGAATTTTTTTCCAAAGTATCTTTCTATAACGAGGCCTCAGTTTCCTCTTTCAGTAATGACAGACTATATAATTCAATTAAAAATTTTAATCTGTAATTTAAAACCTTCCCACAAGGAAAACTTCAGGCCCAGATGGACTCACTAACAAATTCTACCAAATATTTAAGAAAAAAATAAAGCCAATATTATACAAACTCTACGGCGGGGTGGGAGAAGAACATCCCAAATTCCCTTTTTGAGGCAAAAATAATCCTGATACACAAAATGACCAAAAAAATGGTAAGAAAGCAAAATTATAAATCAATCTCACTCATGCACATAGATGCAAAATTTTTTATCAAAGTATTAGCAAATCAAATCCACAAGGGCAATTTGGCAAAATCTGTGCAATTAAAAAGGCATTTACCCTGTGGCCTGGCAACCCTAATTCTGGGAATTCATCTCACAGATTTAACTACCCTTGTAGAAATTGACCAGTGTTCACTACAATATAGAGTACTCATTACATCATTGTTTGTATTAGAAAGATTGGAGACAACCCAAGTTTCCAACAATAAAGCTCTCATTAAACAAATTATTATACATCCATACAATGGAATATTGTTATACAAAAATGAATGATGACAATCCTATATATTGATGTGAAAGATCACTGAGATATACTGTTAAGTTTAAAAACTCAAAGTACAGAAGTGTTTGCATTATGCTGACTGTTGTATGTGAAAGTAGAAAAATAAGAATTCATATTCATAGTTCTGTGAATACTAAGAAATATCAGATGATTACATAAGTCTTCTATGGGGCGAGGTGGTAGTCAGTAGTGGGAGAAAGAATTTTTGATTGAATTTTCACCTCATATATTGTATTTTGAAACATGGGAGTATACTACAAAACCAAATAAATAAATATCAGAAAATAATAATGTCTTATGAAGAGAAAGTAAAACAAGATACAATGCAAACATATGACAGAAATATCATAAAAGGAAAGAAGGGCATAATTGGAATGATGATGGCCCAAGGTCCTGCATTGTTTGGGATGGAAAGCAAACATATTGGTTAACTTTAGAAGTTAAGCATTAATGTTATAATTTACTTAATTGATATATAGGATTCTAATAACATGGGCTTGAAATATATAAAGCAAAGTTTGACAGAACTACTAGGAGAAATAAAAATTTTTCCATCATAGTGGGAGATTTTAAGATGCCTATCTAAGAAATGTATGGTTTCAAGACAAAATTTAATCTTTTATTAAATTAAAAAATAAGGATATAGAAAATTTGAACAACATAATAAACAGTCTTGGTTTAATAGCCATGTATATATATCTGGAATCAATAATCAGAGAGAACAGATGAGGTGCAAATGAAGTATTTGTAAAAATTGACTTTGTACCAGGCCATAAAATAAATCTCAGTAAATTTCAAACCACTGGTAACATCAGACTTTGTTTTTACTACTACACTATCAATACAGAAGCTCACAACTGAAACATGTACTACATTATAACATTTTTAAAAATTAATTCAAATCTTGGTTGGGCACAGTGGCTGATGCCTGTAATCCCAGCACTTTGGGAAGCCAAGGCAGGCGGATCACCTCAGGTCAGGAACTGGAGACCAGCCTGGCCAACATGGTGAAACCCGTCTCTACTAAAAATACAAAAATTAGCTGGGCGTGGTGGCACACACCTGTAATTCCAGCTACCCGGGAGGCTGAAGCAGGAGAATTGCTTGAACCCAGGAGATGGAGGTTGCAGTGAGCCAAGATCTTGCCACTGCACTCTAGCCTGGGTGACAGAGACTCCATCTAATTAAAAAAAAAAAAAAAAAAAAAAGTTCCAATCTTAAACCGTAGAAAGATACTCTAACTCGTATTATGAGGCAAACATAACTTTAATTTGAAAACAGAACAAAGACATTATTAGAAAGTAACATTACAGTCTAACCTCATTCATGAATATCATGCAAAATCCCTACACGAACTATTGTGCTTTTTCTATTGGCAAAGCAGGAGGGGCTAGAAATTGAAGTAGTAGAGATACTGAGACCAGAATAAAAGATGGCACAGAAACAGCAGTGGTCTCAAGGAAAAGGGCCACCAGAGCTCCTGCTTGGCATTAGAGGACTTTAGCTCTGTTTTGCAACAGTTCTGGGTCTGAGCACCAAATGCAATTTCCACAAGTGTATGTTGGGGGACAGAGAGAGAGTCCTCCCCTTTCTACTAGAAAATCAACGTGGCTATAAAATTATTGTCACACTCTTTACCTCAGAACTTTCTGGGTATTATCTCACTGTGTTTTTACATGTGTTGATCCACTTGTTTTGGTGTTTTTGCTTTTTTTTTTTTTTTTTCTAAAGGCATCTCCACTTGTCTCTTGGTTTACTGGAATTTTACCACAAAGTAGTTGATTTATTCGCTTCTAGAATGGCTCTAAAGTAATTATTCCCTGCTTTTTTTATGTTTGATAATTGCTGATGTTTTGTTTTATTTCATGCTTTCTCTCATAATTATAGACATTGCTCCATTGACTATATTGTTGCTGTGGAAAGTCTCGTAATAATCTGACCCTTGTTCAAAAGACTTGCTTATTCTGCATGATGACCTAAAGAATGCCTATCTTTTTCTTTCTCCAATAAATTTAAAAGGATACATTTCAGAGTCTATCATCTGGACCAATTTTATTCTACAATATAGTTTGTCTTTTACATCAAAGTCAGGTATTCATTCCAGAGAAATTTTTCTTCTATGAAATCTTTTAACAACTTTTCTATTCATTGAGTTCTTTACTTCATGTTTATCAACATTTGATTATTATTATCTCTATTCCATAGCTGTTATCATCTTTTTCTGTATTTCTTTTATTCTCTTTTATAAATCATCTAAGTTTTGGCCAGGTGTGGTGGCTCATGCCTGTAATCCCAGCACTTTAAGAGGCCAAGTAGGGCAAATTGCTTGAGTACAGGAGTTCAAGACCAGCCTGGGCAACATGGCAAAACCTCCTCTCAAAAAACAAATACGAAAAAATAAGCCAGGTGTGGTGGTGCATGCCTGTGGTCCCAGCTATTCAGGAGGCTGAGGTGGGAAGATCACCTGAGCCTGAGAGGTGGAGGTTGCGGTGAGCAACCTGGGTGACAGAATGAGACCTTGTCTCAAAATTAAGTAAATAAATCACTTAAGTTTTTTTGTTTTGTTTTTTTTGAGACAGGGTCTCACTCTGTCACCCAGGCTGGAGTGCAGTGGTGTGATCATGGCTCACTTGCAGCCTCAAAACCCTGGGTCAGGCTATCCTCCCACCTCAGCCGTCTGAGTAGCTAGGACTACAGGTGTATGCCACCACGCCCAGCTAATTTTTGTATTTTTTGTAGAGACCGGGTTTTGCCATGTTGCCCAGGCTTGTCTTGAATTCCTGTGGTCCACCTGTGTCAGCCTCCCAAGGTGCTAGGATTACAGGCATGAGCCACCACACCCAGCCTCTGTTTAACAAAATTATCTTTAGCTTTTCCTGAATTTCAATGATTACATTTTCAGCCATGATTATTCTATTCCTTTCTGTTTTTAGTTAATTACTTTTATAGTGATAGTGTTTTATTCCTCGTTTTCTTTCCTTAGCTTTGCAACCTCCAATTCCACCTCATTCAGATATTTTATCATCTAATTTCTGAGCTCCTTTAAAGATCTAATCAAATTCTTCTTAAATTGTTGTGTAGCATGAAATACAGTCAGCCCTCTATATCCACCTGCTTGATATCTCAGATTCAACCAATGTCCAATCAAAAATATCCAGAAAAAAAATTTTAAAAGATAAATCATACCAGTTTTAAAAATACAGTATAACAACTATGTATTTACATAACATTTATGTTGGTATTATTAAAATCTAGAGATGATTTAAAGTACTTGGGAGGACATGAGTAGGTTATATGCAAATTCTACATTATTTTATATATGGGACTTGAGCAGGTTATAAAATACAGTATTTATGATTGCTTTATTTTATTACATTTTAATCAATTTGTAATTACATATTTAATCATTTTATTGTTATTGCATATTTAATCAATGTGTGTATATATATCTATATCTGTCTTAGTCCATTTTGTGCTGCTCATAAAAATATTGCATATTTATAAAGCAGATAAATTTATTTGGTGCTTGGTTTTAGAGTCTGGGGAGTCCAAGCCCATGGTGCCAGCATCTGGTGAGGGCCTTCCTGCTGATTTATCCCATGATGGAAGGTAGAAGGGCAAGCAAGTGGGAGGGACAGAGATAGGAAATTGGGCCACACTTACCCCTTTTATCAGGAACCCACTCCCATGATAACTCACCCGCTCCAGTGGATAATGGCATTAATCAACCCATGATAGCAGAACCCTCAGGATCTAATCACCTCTTAAAGGTCTCACTTCTTAATATTATTACACTGGCAATTACATTTCAACATGAGTTTTGGAGAGGATGCTTAAACCATAATAATATCTGTATGTCAACATATAAAGTATAATATACAAATATATAAATTTTATGTAAAAATACAAAAAGGTACATGCCAAAATGTTAATTCTGGTGTTCTCTAAAAGAATAATTCTCACTTTCTGCTTTATATCTGTCTACATTTCATAAAATTTCTACAATAAACATGTATATTTTTCAAGGCATCCTATTGTTTTATTTTATTTTATTGGTTTTATTTATAGCCTGCCTTTTTCCAAAATGTATCTGATGTTCTTTTCAGCAGAAGAAATACATAACAAAGTTAATGAAATAGAAAATCAGGACCAAGGGGAAAACAAAGAAAATAAATAAGGAAAATTGAGAGAAACAAAGGAGCTGCAAGGATGACCTGATTCTGTAGAAAAATACGTTGCTGCCATGTCCCTGCCATGTCCAGCCTGGATGGGCCCAAAGTCCTGTTGTAGGTCTGTGGGTTCCAGCAGGGGAAAAGGAAGTCAGATGGGAGGTGAAGCAGAGACTGGACGTACATCTACCCTAGAGCTGAAGGGTTATTTCTTCACATATCCCAGCCCAGAAGCAGAACATGTAGCCTGTCATAAAGAAGCTGCTGTTTACACCTAGAACCAGCCTAGCCACTACCATCAAAAAAACATCTACAGGCTGGGTGTGGTGGCTCACACCTGTAATCCCAGCACTTTGGGAGGACAGCACAGGAGAATCACTTGAGCCCAGCAGTTTGAGACCAGCCTGGGAAACATAGCAAGACCCTGTCTCTACAAATTTTTAAAAATTAGCTGGGCATAGTGACGTGCGCCTGTAGTCCCAGCTACTTGGGAGGCTGAGGTAAGAGGTTCACTTGAGCCCGGGAATTCAAGGCTGCAGTGAGCTATGATTGCGCCACTGCACTCCAGCCTGAGTAACAGGGGAACTTTGTCTCCAAAAAAAAAGGGAAAAAGAAGAAACATCTGCAAATGTGCTTATGGGATGATTTAAACAAACCAACATTTGGAACATTAAATTGGATATTAAAATTAAAAGCTAACATGAAGTCAATTCTGAAATTGGCTAATTGCTGTCCTCTGCAGGAAGAGGGCTTTCACATGCCCGTTCACAGTGTCTGAGGGAGACTGCCATCCAGGGCTGCAGGCTGGACAGGCGACCCAGCTGCACTTCCTGCCTAGATTGCTCTTTGTTTGATGCTGCCCCATTTTTGTTAAGCGTGGCAGAGTCCATTTCATCAGCTACTGCCTGCCCAGCCCCAATCCTAATGCCTCTTCATTGTCTTCTGGATAAAATACAAACTCCACAAACTGATGTTCAAAGCTCTCAACAATCAGGTCACACCCTGTCCACATATATTAATTCCAACTCAAATTAGCAAAGATGTACTCAGCCTAACAGTTGAGGGTGCTTGACTGCATAAACTTCCCCTTAAAACCCGACTGTCTAGCAGGAGAGACAGATATATAAACCAAACTTGTAATACAGTGTGGAATGGCATTTATAATGGAACTCAAATAATGGAATAACTTATTATTTTGTATTGGCTGAGTGGCTACAGAAAATCCTAAAAGGTCTTGGAGTCACCTGAGCTGGCTCTTGGAGTAGAAAGAGGAATTTTGCCAGTGGTGAAACTAAGGAAGGCTGTTGAGAAAACAGTGAAAAGGTATGAATGAACATTTTATTTTCAGAGAACCTAGAGCAATCCAGAGCTGCTGGAGAATAACTGGGATATTTCACTGCAAAACTCTAATGGCATGAATGGCATTGCCATTCATATAGAAATACAATGTGAATGGCACCCCATCCTACCATGCTGCACAGCACTGGCCCTCAGTCATCAATGTGGGACTGACTGAACACATGATTAGAAAAATGGGCTTGGGCTAGGAGGGACTTTGAATTCTGTAAGATTTATACTTTATTCTGTGAAAATTAAGAGAGCTATCAGGAATTTTAAAGCCTTGGAGTGACTCCATCACGTATGAGTATTCAAAGAGATGTGTATTTATTTTAGCTACTTCTGCATATCAAAAAGATATTTATTTTTAAAAATCACTCCTATTTTTATTTTTTTTTGAGACTGAGTCTCACTCTGTCACCCAAGCTGGAGTGCAGTGGTGCAATCTCGGCTCATTGCAACCTCCGCCTCCTGGGTTCAAGCAATTCTCCTGCCTCAGCTTCCCAAGTAGGTGGGATTACAGGTGGCACGTGCCACCACACCTGGCTAATTTTTGTATTTTTATTAGAGACAGCGTTTCACCATGTTGCCCAGGCTGGTCTTGAACTGACCTCAAGTGATCCGCCTGCCTCTGCCTCCCAAAGTGCTGAGCTTACAGGTGTGAGCCACCATGCCTGGTCAAAAGGTCAGTTTGCAAGTAGTAAGGAAAATAATGTGAGGAGAAGGAGAGAGAGAGACTGAGACTAGGGTTCAGTTAGGAAGAGATTGCAATTGTTCTGACCAGGGACTGTGAGGGCCTTGAGCAGCACGGTGGCAGGGGAATCAAGGCATTGAGATATATGAGGTTTTCCAAGATAGGTTCCAGTGAAATTAGTAACTCATTGATGTGGGTGGTGAGGGAGAAAGAGTCAACAAGTTCAGGAATTGGGTGACTAGGTGGGTGGGAATGGTGATCACCAAGACAACAAATTCCAGGTAGCAGCTGTTTTACAGGGAAAGATGATGAATCCCATCTCAGGTATGTACATTTAAGAGGCTTATAAAACATTAGGATAACCAGAGATAAAGGTCTGGGACTCATTAGCCAAGTTCTGGCTCAAAATAAAAATAGGAGAATTGTTACTCTGTAGATGGTAATTGAAAGTCATGGAACTATGTCTCTAGCTTTCAGTGATGATGTGGACAGTTGCAATGGGTCATCACACTCACTATAACAACTCGGAAAAGCATAAATAAGCTAAATGAGTAAATGACATCAGAGAGTTGTGGAAGCAAAGAAGTCTAAAGGAACAGAGTGCTGGTGAAGGAGGCCCTCCTAGGTGAAAAGAGGTCAGAGGCTGCTCTCCTCCCTAGAGGGGTCTGCTGAGTATGTGGAGAATCCAGCCTGCCATAGGCACAGGGACTTTACAAAAATGAGGAGAAACTAGCTGAGCTTAGAACAACCTGTGGGCTGGCAAGACTGATTGGAATCTGTAAGAGCTTGAAATGCAGAGCTAATTCTCTATGTCCACCACAACTGCTGGCCATGCAGTCACAGCAGTGAGAGAAGCTGGACCAGGCTGGAGAGAGGAAACACCCACAGCATGAGGAGCTCAGAGTCCAGAGCCCTGCTAGAGGCAGGGCCTAGAACCGACACAGGATGGAACCTTGGCCCTTATTTCTCACCATATGCAAAAATTAATTTGAGATGGCTATGTGAAATGTGAAAGCTGCAATTTATTTTTTTAATTGATAAATTGAACTTGGTCAAAGTGAAAGACTTTTGTCCATGAAAAGATACCATTAAAAGAATTAAAAGATAAGCTGAGAGAAAATATTCACCATAAATATATATAATATATATATACACACATATATGATATAACTTGTGTCCAAAATATGTAAAGAACTCTTAGAAATCAGTAACAGAAACCATACTGCCCAATTAACACAATATGCCAAAGACTTGAGAAGGCATTTCACAAAAAAAGCTATCCAGGTGACCAAAAAGCTTATAGGAAGATGCTTAAAATTGATCAGGGAAATGCAAAGAAAACCCACAAAGAGATGCTACTATATTATCACCAGAATGAGCTAAAATAAAAAAGACTGAGTACTGCAAGCATTGGTTAGAATGTGGAGCCATTAGAATTCTCATAAACACCTGTTATGAGTGTAAAATGGTAAAAGCACTTTTGGAAACTATTTAGCACTTCCTTAAAAATGTAAACATAAGCTTTCTGTATGGTCTAGCAATTGGATTCCAACATATAAAGATATAGAAAATATATATCCACAAAAGGCTTATAAAGGGTTTTTTATAAAAATTTTATTTATAATGACCAAAAACTGAAAACATTCTCCAGCAAAAGGAAAATGGATAAACAAACTGCAATGTATTCATGCAATGGAATACTAAATGGTAGAGGAAAAAAACAAACTGTGGATCTATGCATCAATGTAGTAGAAACTCAAAAACAACATATTAGATGAAAGAGGTAAGTAAGACAGACCTGGCACGATGGCTCACGCCTGTAATCCCAGCACTTTGGAAGGCCGAGGCAGGTGGAATACCTGAGGTCAGGAGTTCAAGACCAGCCATGGCCAACATGGTGAAATCCAGTCTCTACTAAAAATACAAAAATTAGCCAGGCATGGTGGTGGGAGTCTGTAATCCCAGCTACTTGGGAGGCTGAGGCAGGAGAATCACTTGAACTCAGGAGGTGGAGGTTGCAGTGAGCCAAGATAATCCCACTGCACTCCATCCTGGGCAACAAAGTGAGACTCCGTCTCAGGAAAAAAAAAAAAATGAAGAAGTAAGACATAAAATAATACTGACTGTATAATTCATTTTATATGAAATCCCAAAACATGAAAAACTAATATATGATGTTAGAAGGAAGAAGAGGGGCTACCTTTGGGTAGAGAGGGAAGAGTGGGCCTTTACAGGAAGCAGCACAACAAAACTCCCTGAGCGGATGGAAATATTCTTGATTTTGATCTTGTTAGTTATACAGGTATGTAAATATGCAAAAAGTCATCAAGCTGTACACTTATGATTCATGCATTTTCCTGCAGTTAAATTATACTTCCAGATGTTATCCCCTGAAAAGGACACATCACCTATGCAGTATTCTGGCAGAGAATGCAGAATATAATCAATCTAATCACTAGGAAATATCAGGGAAACATAAAACAAGGAACTTTCTATTTTAAAAACATGTAAATATTGTAAAATACAAAGAAAGGCTGTGAAAAAGTTCCAGATTAAAGGAGGCTGTGGAGACGTGACAGCTAAAAACAATACCTGACCCTACATTGAATCATACACCAGAAGGGAAGAATGCTATACATGATATTATTAGAACAACTGAAAAAACTGGAATATAGACAATAAGTTAGATAACATTATTCTATCAATCAGTGGAAATTTATGAAGGTGACAATTGCACTGTAATTATGTGACAGATTACTCCTATTCTTGGAATACATACCCTACAGAATTGAGAGGTGAAGGTCCATAATGTATATAATTTGCCTTCCAATGACTCAAAGGTGAACAATAAAAAATACATATAAGATGAGGCCAGGCACAGTGGCTCACTCCTGTAATCCCAGCACTTTGGAAGGCCAAGGCAGGAGGAGTTTCAGACCAGCCTGGCCAATATAGTAACACCTTAACTTTACAAAAAATTCAAAAATTAGCCAGGCATGGTGGTACACACCTATAGTCCAAGCTGTTTGGTAGGCTGAAGTGGGAGGATCACATGAGCCCAGCTGAGGCTGCAGTGAGCCATGATCACACCACTGCACTCCAGCCTGGGTGACACGGCAAGACCCTGTCTGAAAAAATAATAATAAATAATAAATAAATAACTAAAATAAGATATATCAGGTAGGATTTCTTTTCATTGTAGTATTTTTAATTTTACAAATTTTTGTAAATTTGAAATTATTTCCAAGTAAAGTTTTTTCAAAAACCAAAAACATTTTTTAAATGCTTATATTGAGAAAACAGCACACTATAGATCACTGTTTATTAAATGATCATCCCAAATTAACAGTTGTTATTTCTGAAGGGTTATGAGGACTATGAGGTGATGGGGGTAAACATTAAATTTTTCTATATTATTTGACATTTTCCTACTTTCAATATTATTGGGGGAAAGAGATTTATTTTATTTTATTTTATTTTATTTATTTTTGAGACGGAGTCTCACACTGTTGCCCAGGCTGGAGTGCAGTGGTGCGATCTCGGCTCACTGCAACCTCTGACTCCTGGCTTCAAGTAATTCTCCTGACTCAGCCTCCTGAGTAGCTGGGATTACAGACGCCCACCACCACGCCTGGCTAATTTTTTGTATTTTTAGTAGAGACAGAGTTTCACTATGTTGGCCAAGCTGGTCTCAAACTCCTGACCTCATGACCAGCCCACCTCAGCCTCCTGAAGTGCTGGGATTACAGGCGTGAGCCACCGCGCCCAGCCTATTTTAATTTTTAAGTACAAAACAACCATCAAAATGTGACTTTATTTATTTTTTTTTTTTGGTAGTTCAGGCTGACATTTTCCTACTTTCAATATTATTGGGGGAAAGAGATTATTTTAATTTTTTAAGTACAAAACAACCATCAAAATGTGACTTGTTTGTTTGTTTGAAGTTCAGGCTTGGACCAAAAGGCAAAACTTAAAACATCTAAGTCCTCTGAAACCTTTAAGGTTCAGGTCAAATGTCACCTGCTCCAGAAAGCCTTCCAATTTAGAAAAGGGTCTTTTGGTTAGGTGCAAGCTTACCTAATAAGTATCAGAAGTGAATATATTGGCCAATGGAATACACGAAAGCTTTGAACAAGCAAAACCTAAAAAGGGAGAAGCTACAGCTAGGCTGCGGGTACAACTGGGACTATGGAATAAAAGGTCCCCAGACGCTCCATCTCCTAACTCTGTCTTCAC
This sequence comes from Homo sapiens, assembly GCF_000001405.40. Taxonomy (NCBI): domain Eukaryota; kingdom Metazoa; phylum Chordata; class Mammalia; order Primates; family Hominidae; genus Homo; species Homo sapiens. The sequence continues at coordinate 134,006,589 of NC_000002.12, forward strand.
TTAGGATACATTCTTTCTCACTGAAGCCCATTTTATTCCATGAAAGTTGTCAGAATCAAAATGGAGTCACTTGTCTTAAAAATTCTGACATACAGAGACAAGGAAGGTCACGAAGGGAGGTTCTCAACCATGAAAGCCTGATGACAAGAACTATCACAAAAGACTCTGCAAAAACCACAACCTTGCACAAAGGACATCGCAACCTTACACAAAAAAATACTCCTGCTAGGACATCTGCCCACCAACTACCTGTCCAACCTAGGTCTGGTGTCACTCTTGTTATTAATCCTTGTAGCCAAAGATAATATCTCAAAACTATTATGTAATCTTCCTCATTTTTCCTTTAAAATTCTTTGTCTTCCTTTATCTCCCTGAAAGTGCACATAGTTTTCCATAGCACGCATCTCCCCATTGCAATGCCTATTCCCAAATATAATTTTCTTTTAGAAAGTCTCCCTCTCTGTTGTTTAGATTGGCACATCCATGTGGCAGGAAATATGGCTGCCTACAGCTCCTGAGAACTTTGCCTCTTAAAATGTGCAGTCCTAGGAAGAAACAGAACCTCTTAATTTTATTCTGAAATATCTCAGAGAAGGAAGCAAATTGGTCAAGTTAGGATCAGCCTCCTTCCCTAGACCCATCAACTAAAGCCAGAGAGTATGGATCAGCTTGAATGCTGTTCCCACCACTGGACCAAGAGTTGAAGCTGTATACAGACATGGAAATTCCTTCAGAAAAAACAGACAAAGAAGGAAATATTTTACTCTCCCGTAATTCTTAGTTTCCAGCTTTCATATCACCTTCAACTAGTGGCACAGCTACTTGTGTGCTTGCCATAAATCTTCAGTAGACTGTAAGTTCCTTGGGAGTAGGAACTGTATCCTTTACTCAGTGGATATTTAGAGAATATTTAGAGAATATTTAGAGGATATTTAGAGAATAGCACAGTGCTTTCCACATACTATATGAACTATAAGCTCCAAATGGAAAGAGATTTAGCCACCATTTTCAATGAAACTTGAACCATGCCTGGGACATGGTAGGCACTCAAAAAATATTTGTTGAGTAAAGAAATAATATATAAGGCTGGGCACAATGGCTCATGCCTATAATCCTACCACTTTGGGATGCTGAGGCAGGAGGATCGCTTGAGCCCAGGAGTTCGAGACCAGCCTCCCTGCAACATGGCAAAGCCGCGTTTCTAAAAAAAAAAAAAAATTAGCCAGGCATGGTGGTAAACACTCGTAGTCCCAGCTACTCAGGAGACTGAGGTGGGAGAATCCATTGAGCCTGGGAAGTCAAGGCTGTAGTGAGCCATGATTGTGCCACTGCACTCCAATCTGGGAAACAGAATGAGACTGTGTCTCAAGGAGAGAGGGAAGGGAAAGGAAGGAAAGGGAAGGGAAGGGAAGGGAAGCAGGGAGGGAGGGAGGGAGAAGGAAGGAAGGAAGGAAGGAAGGGAGGGAGGGAGGGAGGGAGGGAGGGAGGGAGGGAGGGAGGAAGGAAGGAAGGAAGGAAGGAAGGAAGGAAGGAAGGAAGGAAGGAAATATAATCAATCTATACAAGATGGATGGACGGATGGACAGATATTTTCCTCTAGTAAAGGTAAATTTGTCCTTCGGGAAACCAAGGCATGCTTTCTGAGCTTACTAGGCTGGGTTGGAGAAGCTGACTTTGGCCATCAAATAAGCACAGTTAGCTAACTTAACATTTGGGGTGATCTGTCCCCGGTCTTGGCTTCATTACCTGTAGCCTATTCATTGAAACCTTGGGATTGTGAGTGAAACAGAGGCTAAATCAGTCTTCTACAGCTTTGCCTCTGTGGAAGATGAAAAGATACCTAAAAACCCAGCTTAGGAACGTTGATGTATAGCTGGGCACGGTGGTTCATGCCTGGAATTCCAGCATTTTGGGAGGCCCAGGCGGCCAGATCACTTGAGGTCAGGAGTTCGAGACCAGCTTGGCCAATGTGGTGAAACCCTGTCTCTACTAAAAATACAGAAATTAGCTGGGCATGGTGGCACGCTCCTGTTATCCCAGCTACTTGGGAGGCTGAGGCACAAGAATCGCTTGAACCCGGGAGCCGGAGTTTGCAGTGAGCTGAAATCATGCCACTACATTCCAACCTGGGCAACAGAGAGAGACTCTGTCTCAAAAAAAAAAAAAAAAGAAAAAGAAAAAAAAGAAAGGTTGACATATGTATGTATGTATCTAATCAGCAAATGCTTGGATACCTACCACGGGCCCAGTGCTATTCAAAGTTTGGGGGCCTGATAGGAAACAAGACAGAAATAAATGTGTTAGTGTTGTAAAGGAAAAGAGCAAAGTGCTACCAAGGTTCATAACCAAAAGATCCATGTGGAAAGCTATTTCTTTAGCCTTGAGGTCAGGAAGGCTCCTGGAAGAACTGACATCCTAAGCTCAGACTTGAAGGGATAAACAAAGATTAACTAAGTAAAGAGCCTGGAGGCAGAAGAGCTCCAGGCAGAAGGCATGCAAGCCCACAGCTTGGAACTTAAGAGGAACTTAAAAATAATCGAGTAAGTGGTCAAGACTTATCTGTAAGGATGTTTCTTGTGGTATTATTTATGGAGAATGAAAAATAAAAACAACCCAGGCATCCACAAACAGAGAAATGATTAAATAAAGCTGTGTGATATGATGATAGAACCAACAAGCCATTAAAAATAATAGTGCAGTTGACAATGCTCAAAGTATATTACATTTTTAAAACAGGATGCAAATTTTGCTATGTCTATATTACATTTTTTGTATGCATTGAATGTTCAGGCTGATTACCCCAAAATTCTACCTGTAGTTATATCTGGGTCGTGGAAGGAATGACAGATAATCATTTTCTACTTTGTGCTTTTCAGTATTTTCCCAAAAAACATTTGTTTTACAATGACCATATAGCACTTCTGTTGTGGAAAAAAAAATTTAAGGAAGAAGCAGACTTGCTTTTTCAGTCCATCGCTCAGTGTATTCTCCCGGCTGGAAAGCATCAGCGAGGCCGACAAAGGCCCTGGGGGTTGTGCAGCTTAGCGAATCCACCCCCTCAGGTCCTGCATTCAGAGCTACCTGGGCCTGTGACTTGGCTGCCCCTGCCTCCTCTTGCATAGGAGTTTTCCTCCCTCAGGAAGGTTTATTTTGCCTTCATTACACAAATGCTGCTGCTCTGAAAGGAGCTTCACTCTGGGGCTTGACGGCGCTGGGGACACGGGAGAAGGAGCCACAGCTTCACTCTGGGGCTTGACGGCGCTGGGGACACGGGAGAAGGAGCCACAGCTTCACTCTGGGGCTTGACGGCGCTGGGGACACGGGAGAAGGAGCCACAGCTTCACTCTGGGGCTTGACGGCGCTGGGGACACGGGAGAAGGAGCCACAGCTTCACTCTGGGGCTTGACGGCGCTGGGGACACGGGAGAAGGAGCCACAGCTTCACTCTGGGGCTTGACGGCGCTGGGGACACGGGAGAAGGAGCCACACTGCTCTTAGCAAGTAGCGCAGGGAAAGCCCGCTCGCTCCTGGCGGCCTCAGCACCAGAAACAGGCACGCCTGAGGTTGTTTGTGAGGGATACGGAGCTGCTGCTTCCCAGCCAACCATTGCCACCTGCCCACCAGATGCAGAAGCAGCCACCTCTGCCCAAAAACAATGGACTCCTTCCAACATGGGAAGACTCCACGAGTGAGGCAGGAAGAGGAGAGGAAGCACTTCTGTGAACTTGAGCACAAGCATTTCACGGTTTCAAGCATTGGTCTCAGCCTTGGCCACAAGCTGGAATCACTTGGAGAGCTTTCGAAAATACTGATACCTTGCTTCCTTCACCAATTACTTTAATTAAAAATGGCTGCAGCTGTAAGAACCCTTGTCTGATATATTTGCAACTATGCTCCCATTTACAAATGTACCTTCTAATGCTCAGTTGTCAGATTCCAATGCAAAGGTGGCGTGGACTCCCTTTGTGTGGGTGGGGTTTGTGGGTAGTGGTGAAGGACTGATAACAGAAAAATGCCTTCAAGTGTACTGATTTATTAATAAACATTAGGTGTTTGTTTAAAAAAAAGAAAAAGAAAATACTGATGCCTCGGGGCCATGCGCAGAGATCACAGTTTCACCTGTGTGGACAGTGACCTGAGCATGGGGGTCTGAGGAGCTTTCATTCTCTCTTCCAAGCTCTATTCCTGCACTGCATATTCCCTATAAGACATTCCCTAAGCAAGAATGCCCTTCCCATGCCATGTCCTGCCACCCTCTCTCCTTTCTTTTAAACCAGTGCTGAAATTCCATCTTCAAGAAGAACTGGAGCTCAGGCCATGTGGTCTAATGCAGTTCTCTCGTGCTTCATTTCTTCACTCACTCAAATGGAAATGGGCCACAGCTTTCCTGCACTTGCAGGCCTCCTCTCCCTAAGAGACACCAGCAGCAGCCAACAGTGGCCCCTCCTCAGAGTCTGAGTTTTAACTCCTCCAAGCTTCTAAGTTTTAGAAGGAGTTTCCAGCCCTATGTCTTTGTTCACGCAGTCCTGGAAGTAGAAGCTGCTTTCTACAGTCACTACCTCCTTGATACCTCGGTACTGAGCAGGGGTCAGCAAACCTCTCTGGCAAAGAGCTAGATAGATAATCGATATTTTAGAATTTGGAAGCCATATAATCTCTGTTGAGACTATTTAACTCTGTTGTGACAGCACAAAAGCAGACATAAACCATATGTAAACAAATGAGCATGGCTGTGTTCTAATAAAGCTTCATTTACAAAAACAGGCGCAGGCCGGATTTGGCCCACGGGTCATAGTTTGCGGACCCCTGCCTTCTGGTTATCTTTCTACCTTTCCAGTTACCTCGTTAACAACTTTGGACCTAATTAATAATTCTGTAGATTGAATTGTCTATGTTTAAATAACTGTAGTTATTTCTGTCCCTTAACTGGGCTCTGTCTGATACCGTTTCTCTGATGTATTTTTATTAGGGGGAGTGAAAATTTTTAAGTGATCTCTTCAATGCTTCTGTATTGTTTGAATTTTTCATAAGCACATACTTTCCAAAAACGTGTTCTCCTTTAATAAGCACTTAGTACTGCCTTTTCTCTTCTTTAGCAGCAAGGGGAGACTATACGTTAAATATTTCATTTCATTTAAATATTCCCTCTGAGCATGGAATAGTTGTAGTCTTCTCAGAAATACTACTGATTATTCCATATTGAATTTTTGTGTGTGTATATATATATAAGCAAAAGAATAAGAGCTGCATTGCCAACCACAGGGTGGTTGTGAAAAACAAGTTAGATAATGGATGGAAAAATGTTTTGAGATGTTAAAAGTGCCTCGCTGATAGGAAGAGGTGGAAGGAATCACCCCTTTTAGCCTTCCTGTTACAGGCTCTTAACATACTTTAGGGAAAATATTTAATCTACTGTTTTCTGGTCTTTAAGTGCATTTCTCTTATAAGCAGATATTCGTTGTGTGTTTTTAACGAGTCACCTGATTATGAGTATGCAAGATCACAAGCAGGGGCCCCAACTCCACCTACCGCAGGCCAGCGCCGTGGTCCACAGAGCCCTTGGTAAATGCCTTGGCATTGAGAGTTGGCAGGAGACCAGGCCCCCCAAGAGAATCCGCTCCCATGGAAGCATTGCCTTTCAGTGTAATACTTGCTAGAGACTTAACATGGAGAAGGAGGAAATTTATATTATCCCTACAGCAGAAGTTATCTAGGGTCTATGACCTTGGTTGGACAAAAATACTGAAGTTAAGCACTTCCTTCTGATATTAAAGTAGGCAACTATGTAAGCTGTAGCTGTGGCTTTCTCAGCAACAGAAACCACAGATTTTTTTTTAATATCATATTACAGTTGTTGTATCTGGAAATATGTTATCTATGCTCACCACTACTTCAAACTATATGGTGGCCATTAGACCCACTTCTAGATCTTTTTATGTAAAGTGTTAATAACAAAGTGCATATGTTGTTCTATCTCAAATTTGTTTCTTTTTATATTTTGATAACTGTATTTCAATGTCATGTTTGCTTTGTAAACCTATGTATTTTATTTTCTGCATGGAAAGGGATCTGTATGTTTACCAGGCTGCCAAAGGGCGACATGGCACATAAAAAGTTAAGATTGAGGCGGGCAGATCATCTGAGGTCAAGAGTTGGGAGACCAGCCTGGCCAACATGGTGAAACCTCGTCTCTACTAAAAATACAAAAAAAAATTAACAGTGTGGTGGCACATGCCTGTAGTCCCAGCCACTCAGGGAGGCTGAGGCAGGAGAATCACTTGAATCCAAGAGGTGGAGGTTGCAGTGAGCCAAGATCACGCCACTGCACTCCAGCCTGGGCGACAGGGAGACTGCATGTCAAAAAAAAAAAAAAAAAAAAGATTAAGAGCCCTCACCCCAGAATAGTAAATATATTCTCCCAAGGCGTTCGGTTGTTTTTGTTTCCTAATCTGTATCCTGATCCTCACTGGTTCTTCTCTCTTCACTCCCAGATTCTCATATACACCCCTCTTTTCTCACCCCTTTCCACTATACAGAGCAATTCACCTCAGCTACCTGGTCAGGGCAAAATGAGGGTCTCTTCTGTCACACAGCTCATCTTCCTTTGAAGGTGGTTTGCAGATTATGTTTTTTCCCTTGAAGACCTTGGGGTCTTAGCCACTCTATCATGGGCTTATTAAACTTCTCAAGAATAATTTTGATGAATTGTTATAGAAAAGCCTGGTGTCTGTTGTAAGACCTCAGACACAAGGCTTTGAGGAAGACTTTGTTATTAACTAAAAAGCCTCATACAGGAAGGAACAAAGCAAGCACATGCAATGCAGAATCTCTACTACTTGTACACCCAGTTCCTTGACTGGCCTTTCTAGACACATGATTTAAATCTAGAAATACAACAGTGGATTGATTCTTTTAGGTACACTGAATTAAGAAGCAAGCTGAGCATAGCAAAATATTATAATATGGCAAGACGTTCTGTGATGTTCTCTTAAAATAGAGCCTAGGTTAGTAATTTCTAAAGAGCTGTTTGTAAAGCCCACTTATAAGTGACTTTTGAAAAGGGTCACACTATTTGTTCAAGCCAAGTAAAAGATGATTCTTACTTGTTTTCCAAGTTCTGAATCAACAGTATCTGTGACATGCAGCTTTTTTGTTGGGGGATGAGGAGGGCAGGCAGATTTCTTCTATAGAATGTTATCTCTCCATCTTAGCACACCAAGTTTACAGTGCTCTCTTTGAATAACACAGGGAAAAGTCATATAGTAATCATCTATCAGGTCAAGGACATTCAGTATGAGAGGAAGCATTTTTTCCTGGCAAGTGATAACAAGCTACAAGAGCAAGCAAAGATCATTAAGAAATATACAGGACATACTAAAACCCAATGGCCTCCCAGTCCACAATATGAGGCCTGAGATATCTGGCCTGCATCTCTGTGCAGTTCTTTAGGACTTCCTTACAGTCTGCACTACATCTATAGTAGATGCCAAAAGTGATACCTCTTGATTTTGCCCTCATACTTAAAAGATATTTTCACTGTGTACAGAATTATAATTTGGCAGCTGTTTTCTTCCACCACATTGAGGAGATGTTTTTTTGCCCTCCATGTTTGCTGTTGAGAAGTCAGCTGTCAGTCTACCTGCATCTCCTTTGATAGTGATCTGTCTTTGCTCTTGGTCTGCTTTTAAGTAGTTTCTTTGTCATTAGTTTTCTGTAGATGTGAGTTTCTTTCCTTTCTTTTTAATCTTGAGATGATTTGTTGTATTTCTTGAATCAGTCGATTGGTATCTTTCATCAGTTGGGCAATAGTCTCAAGAATTACCTTCTACAACATTGCCTCCATCACATTCTCCATCTCCTCTATTTCTGGAAGTCCAGTTACATGTGTGTTAGACCTTATCATTCTATCCTCCATGTATCTTAATTATTTTTTCATATTTACCATCTCCCTGTCTCTTTATGCTGCCTTCTGTACTTTTTTTCTCACTGAGATTTTGGCCTGAAAATTATTCATTCCTGTGTTGGCTCCTCAGTGCTTTTAAGAATATTTTTAAATTATATTTTGTGTAACATTTCTGGTGGTTTTCATTGGTATGATTGTTTTAAATATTTAGTCAAGCACATTCCAAGAAACTGATGTCTATGGTTGAAATTTGATGAGTAAAGCCACTTACATGTTGAAAAATTTTCCACTAAAATGGGAACTTTGGCCTATAAAATTTTTGGAGTTCTTAAATATGTAAATATCTTTTCGATCTAAGACTAAAGACCTTAGAATTTTATAAACTGTTGCATTCTTTTATACTTCCAACTACTTTACTACTGTTACTGACATTTACCATTACATCCAGTTGAGCTTCGAACATTTTCTACAGCTTTGTCTGACTTAAAGTCACAATCTATGATATCATCCTACCAATGGAAAGTAAACTAATGTCTTTATGTGTGCCTGTATGTATTTATACTAGATTATTTAGTAATAGTTTATATTAACTTATATCAAAAATCTTATTCCTAGAAAAAATAATTGCCGTATTTCCTTTAATTGACAATAAATAAATTTCAAAATAGCAGTACCAATATTAATACAAACAGTGATCCTACTCAGTGAAGCTCAATAGAGTAATTGCTTCTTTTTTACCCTTAGAACACATCTCAGTAAGAATGGCAGTCCCGTTAATTTGTATTCTGGTGTATTCCCAGAACTCTTTGTATTCGTGCCCAATAATAGTTGTCAATAAATATTGTTGAATGAATGAATTTTAAAGTCACTCATTATCCCACATTCTTTGTTGCTTTTTAAAATACTTATCTGAAGTTTTCTATAGTCTCATTATTTCCCTTTATTTTTCAACAAAGGTGTTGACATTCTGACAGATGGTAGTTCTAAGTTTTCAAAAGAGAGTAGCTTTGACTACTATTGATAGTATTTTCTCAGTAGCAATATTCAGCTAGTACAGTAGAGTAGAAATTAGTCCTGTCCCACCACTTTAAGAGATATGTGGAAAGTCATTTATAAGAGTTTAGGCACCTCTGGGCCATCCACAATTAGTAAATGCAGGGTCATATCTGAAGAGTCATAAACATAAGATCCTGATATGCAAACCAATTGTGCATTCTACTGTTCAATTTCTAGTCATATTAGACATTGAATATTCAGTTAAAATTTGACTTTATGGAATTCTGATCTGATATTAGAATTTTTATATTATCTGTATACCTTTTCTGAACTAATTTTCCTCTTTTTGTAAAGAGCAATAAATATTCTCTTACCTAAAAAATTATATAAAATATTATTATCCTAAAGTTTATAGTTCATAAATCAAAATCATTCTTCTAATTTGTGTTATTTTGGATCAGCACCAGTTAAAGTCTTTAATTTTCCTTTTGCTCATTTTACAGAGAATCGTAGTGTCTTGGAATTCCATGTGATAACCAAGGAAGGATACATGTAAACACAAGTTATTATGACTGTGTATGAGAGTATTACTTCATAGAGTATATCAGGAATATATTCTTAGGAATCTTACTTTTTTTGAGACAGAGTCTCACGCAGTTGCTCAGGCTGGAATACAGTGGTGGCATGATCACAGCTCATCACAGCCTTGACCTTCCCAGGGTGAGGTGATCCTCCCACCTCAGCCTCCTGAGTAGCTGGGACTATAGGCATGCACCACCACATGCAGCTAATTAGGAATCTTATTTTAAATTAAAGGCAGTCCTAGTATGGAATGCCAAAAATTTTTTTTTTTGAGACTGAGTCTCACTCTCGCCAGGCTGGAGTACAGTGGCGCGATCTCGGTTCACTGGAACCTCCACCTCCCGGGTTCAAGCAATTCTCCTGCCTCAGCCTCCTGAGTAGCTGGGACTATAGGCACGTGCTACCACACCCAGCTAATTTTTGTATTTTTAGTGGACATGGGATTTCACCATGTTGGCCAGGATGGTCTTGATCTCTTGACCTCGTGATCCGCCCACCTCGGCCTCCCAAAGTACTGGGATTGCAGTTGTGAACCACAGCGCCGGCCATGGAATGCCACATTCTAAGAAGCCTTTAAACAAATATGTTTAGTACTATAATATCATGTAAGTTTAGACTTCTAAAAGCAAATTAAGAATATTAGGAAATATAACAAAATATAACCAGATAAAATACATTGCTTAATAAACAGATATTAGAAAAATGTGACAGTATTACACCTTAAAATTTTACTCAGAACAAGAGAAAGAACTACATATAAATAAAAACCATTGCTTAAGAGGAAATGTGCAAAGCCTACACAGGAAAAATTTTAAACGTTCTTAAAAGCACAATAGCAAAAGGTTGTAAACAAGCAAGATCTTGCAATGAGATCAATTGAAGAGGTCACTGTAGCCACAGGACGGAGTACTATATGGCTAAAGAAAGAATGTGGAGGCTCTCTATATATGACAAAGAAAAATCTACAGGTTAAATAGTAAGTGAAGAAAGCAAAGTATCTAACAGTGCCTTTACAATGCTACTTTTTATATGAGAAAAAGCAGAGAAATAAGAATAAATATTCATACTTCCTTGTATTTGCAAAAAAGAAACAATAAGATAATAAACATAAAATTAATACAAATGATTACCTCTGGGGAACAAACTGGAGTGGATGAAAACAGGAGTGAGTGCAAAAGTTTTAGTGCATACCTTTTTGTATTGTTTTGATTTTATTTAACCGTGAAACTGTATTACCTATTCAAATAAAATAAAATTTATATAAAATGTTCTAGTGGAAACATTTCTCTAGATGCACATATTTATTAGATTATTAGAGTTTGCCTAGCACCAATTCACAAAAGACACCATTTCTTACCATTGCAACTAGCATAACACAATTACAATACATTCCAATTGAAATCCCATCTTGCATTACATTTGCATAAAGCAATCGCTCTTTCCCTATGGAGAAAAAACAGCAAATCACATTCTTAATATTACAGTAAAGTGTTAAATTTATCATTTTTATTATATAAATGTTTTTAACCACTTTTTGAAGTTGAAAAGGGATTGTATACAAAGGTCTCCATGTTTGAAAAATATATTTTAGAGAAACAAGATCTACAAATGACTTTTTAAACCAAAAAAAAAAAAACAGCTCCATACCATATTTTTGCTATTTCTAGAACATGGACTTTTTATTCTGTGGCTTGTGTTCTCTTATTAACAGATCAAAATCTTTTAAATAGATGACCAACCTGGAGAAATAGAATTCTTGTTTTTAAAGCAGTTTAATTCATAATTTTTAGTTTTATGTAAAAAAAGTCCTCACATTTTTCACGGTTACAAAAGTACACAGAAGTTAGGGAAATGTTTTCAAGCAGAAGTACTTTATAGCTTTATCAATGGAAGCTTCATATTCAAAACATATATTTTTAATTCTTTGCCTGGGAAGTGTTCCAAGTAGTCAGTCATTATCGAGACCCTGAAATCACAAAATACTAATTTTATTCAGTATTCAAAAATATCTGTGTTGTTTTGCTGAATGTTTGTGTCCAGGAAATTTGCTATGATTCAGTATTCCACTGTGGTCATTCCTAGAAGAATGTCAGGCTGTACTTTTGCCACCAAGCCATGGGTTGGTTTATGTCAGTCCTGTGAAGCTCAAGGGGCCTCTTTGTGACCACGCTGATGGATATGCAGCATCTTGCTCAGCACTGTGCCAGCTCTGTTTCTGTCTGGAGGACTTCACCCACCACTGCTCCAAGATGATATATTTGTAGTGAGACCATAAAGGGGCCACTCACCACCATCAGTAAGTACATAAACACAACTGCAGCACTAACTTTTTTTCCAGTGCAGTTGCTGAGCTTAGAGTACTGGTAACTAACCCATTTTCTGGAGTATTGTGTAAAGATGAGTAAGAGTGCAGGTGTGCCATGGCTCACGCCTTTAATCCCAGCACTTTGGGATGCCGAGGCAGGTGGATCACCTGAGGTGGGGAGTTCGAGGCCAGCCTGACCAACATGGAGAAACCCTGTCTCTACTAAAAAAAATAATAATAATAATTAGCCGGGCGTAGTGGTGCATGCCTGTAACCCCAGCTACTCAGGAGGCTGAGGCAAGAGAATTGCTTGAACCTAGGAGAGGGAGGTTGCAGTGAACCAGGATTGCACCATTGCACTCCAGCCTGGGCAACAAGAGCGAAAATCCATCTCAACAAACAAAAGTGCAAGTGAGCAAGAGCGCACAGACACCGGGAACTGAGGGACACGGCAAGGGGCCAAAAGAAAGGGTCTTTTTGGCAGACACAGCTAATTGCCATGACGGTTAATAATCTGATGGGAATATTTATTAAAACCTAGAATTTTTCAGTCCATGCTCCAAGTCCTAAGGCCACTGGGCCTGCATCTCCTAAGGATTGTTTATGGCTTCTTTGTGAGCTTCACTCATGCAAATGGATACCACAATACAATCCCCTTCCTGCTTGCATAGGGGTCAGCAAAATGTTTTCTGTAAAGGACCAGATGGTAAATATTTTAGGCTCTGTTGGCCAGATCATCTCTGTTGCAAATACTCAACTCTGCCATAGACAACACAAAAACAGTAGAAATGGCTGTGTACTAATAAAATTTTATGTACTAATGAAACCATCATTGCAATTGGCTGTTATTTGAATTTCACGTAATTTTCACATTCATGAAACAGTCATTTTTTGACAACCATTTAAAAGTGGGAAAATCATTCTTTGCTTACAGGCCATACAAATACAGCTGGCAGGCCAGGTTTGACCTGCTGGCGTTGTTTGCCAACTGCTATTCTAGGTGTTGGACAAAAACAGCTGGAAGGTAAGCTAAAACCCCCCTGGGCCATCCCCTTACAATTTTATTTAAACTGAGCTTTCTGGCTACAGAACTACATGTCATTATGATCATTAATAAGGTTTTGGGACCCTTCAAGTCTTCATTGAAAAGTCCACTTAATTCTAGCTTAATGTCATAATTGTTGCTCTCTACCTTGCAAAAGCTTTCAAGCTTATGGGTTCTACGGTCGGATTTAATGTTTAAGCTATTATATAAAAAATGGTAAAACTTGTCCCGTAGCATTTGAGATTTAATCTGAGTCTGTGTTGAGGAATATATGTTTGGACCAATGTTTTGGCAAAGTAATCCTGTCTGCTTTCTTGTAGAACAATGGTTCTCAAAATGTAGTCTCCAGATCAATAATATTAGCATCACCTGGGCACTTTCTAGAAATGCAAATTCTTCAGCCCCAGACTTGCTGCATGAAAAACTGGAAGTGGGGCTGAGAAATCTGTGCTTTAACAAAAGTCCTCCAAGTGATCCTGATGTGCATTAAAGTTTGAAACAACTGATAGAGGGAAAAGTCTTGGACTTTCCAAAAAATAATCACATTACAAATAGGACATGGGGTTACCACTTGATAAGAGAAGGTCAATGCGTTCAATTTGCCAGTGGGTGAAGGGCTTCTGACACCAGCTTCTCTGCATTACAAGCAGAGAACTCTATGTGATAACAAGCTGCAGTAATGGAAAATCCAGGCACGCACAGGCAGTTCTGATTTGTTCCACTTCTCCACTTTCCCAGGTGTCTCCTCCAACTGATGTATTGACTGGTAGAGGGGACTTAGGAATCATAGGATGCCTATATGGGCATAAACAAGTTGTAAACAGGGTGAAGGAAGCAACATGCTGTTTTCCTGATGGCCTCTTTCTAATCAGGGGCCTCATTCTTTTAGTTATATGGTTGTTTTATGGTTGGCAAGTGGCAAGAGGAAATAGATGGTCCTTGAGAGAAGCAGCTTTAGCAGCTGCAACAACTCAAGCAATTCCCTGACTAAGCTCATCCATGTAATTGATGTGGGCTATTGGTCATGGTGGAAAAGGTAAGAGGAATTATGAATGGGAATGTACTGGTGAGGAAAAATAATGTATTGGCCAGATAAACAACAGAGACCTGAGTTGGAATCCTGGAGACGATGATATTAGAATTAGGAATTATAGAATGAACAAAGCTGGCATACCCATTAAGGTGGCATAAGTTCTCAGCCAAACAGTAGGCTACCAGTCTGCCATCAGAGTTAAATGTCCTGACTGCTTTACCACGTATCTAGAGGTACATGGACTCTGGGCTAGAACTAAGACACCCTGTTTAAGGAGGTTTATTCACGAAGGGCTTCGTGCCTTTTATGCTTATTGTAAACATAAGTATTAAGACATCAAAGTGACCACATAGGAAATGTGACTTTGGTTTTAGCAGGAAGTGCTCTAAGCTAATTCTCATTAGGGCAGCTACCCACAGACAGATAGGACTTCTGCAAGAGGCAAATCTGGATAGTCCTTGTGGCTTAGTCATTGTTAGTTTTCCACTCAAGATGGTCCAGGTAGGAAGACCTGATCAGTCTATACCATGTTCAACTTGCAGTCCATTGCTGCAATTAATGTGCAAAGTAAATCTCAATTCAAAACACACACAGGTCAAGAAGAGATGTTCTTCGTGAAATGTTCAGGGATGGCTTGAGGCCAGGAAACTGTGCAGAAGCATACTCCGGTGGGCATACGGGGAGTGAACCTGCTGAAAGGCTTTTTCAGGCCCCTTAGAAGGCTTCTTCTTCAATGTTGACTCAAATTTGCAGACTTTCTAGGGTATTTGTGTGGGAAGCACTTGAGCATTTTGTCTCTCATATAAGTTTCTCCTCCCACTTCCACCTTACCTCCATCTGCTCAAGATAAATCTTCTTCAGGTTTCCCTACATTATGGCCCATCAAAAAGAAGGCGTAATTGTGAGTCCTCCTGGTTGTACTTGTTCCATATTTTAACAAACTTTCTAACCAGGCAATCTAATGGATTAGCAAAAACTAAACAATGCTGGAAAGCCCTATTAAATCCTTGGACCAGGAAGTGCCCCCATGGTCAACAGATTCAGGCCAGGGATGAAAACAGGACGCTCAAATGTTTTATAAAGTCTTATAGAAAAGATATTGTAGCCAGGTGCGGTGGCTCACGCCTGTAATCTCAACACTTTGGGAGGCCGAGGTGGGCAGATTACTTGAGGTCATGAGTTCAAGACCAGCCTGGCCAACATGGTGAAACCTCGTCTCTACTAAAAATACAAAAATTAGCCCCACATGGTGGTGTACACCTGTAATCCCAGCTACCTGAAAGGCTGAGGCACAGAAATCCCTTGAATCCAGGATGCGGAGGTTGCAGTGATCTAAGATCATGACACTGCACTCCATCCTGGGCAATAGAGTGAGATTCTGTCTCAAAAAAAAAAGAAAAGAAAAGAAAAGAAAAAAGAAAAGATATTGTAAGTGGAAATAGGTGACACAGAGAATAGACAGACAAAGGGCAGGCTTCATTTATGACCTAGAATTGAAATGACAAAGCCTTTCAAACTGAAACTGTTCAGGTCCAGAGACAACTGAGTCAGCCCCAGACAGCAAAGAGGAGTTCAGAAGAGGAACTGAAAGTTAGATGGCAGGAGGCTTCACTGTGTGCCCCTAGTCCTTATGATGCCAGTCCTCTTCACTGGCCTCGAGGGCCACATGGACACAGATCCTGCAGACTACACCAAATTGATAAAGAAAGCCATACCAGCTGTTCAGGTGTTCGGGTAAACTCCGTCATTCACTAAAATCAAGCATCAAATGGAAGGGGGAAGCACATAATATCCAAAAGTAAGTGGTCCAACTCGCCAGTCTTGTTAAGACCTTAAAGGAAGGGTCAGACAACTTTTCTGCAAAGGATCAGACAGTAAATATGTCAGGCTTTGTGGGCCGTGCTGTCTCTTTCACAGCTGCTCAACTCTGCCCTTGTGGCAAGAAAGCAGGTGTAAAATAAGTGGGGCTATGTTCCAACAATACTGATGTGAATTTCATATAGTTTTGACATGTCAGGAAATGTTACTCTTCTGTTGATTTTTTTAAAAAATGTAAAAGCTGGCCAGGTGTGGTGGGTCAGGCCTGTAATCCCAGCACTTTGGGAGGCCAAGGCGGGCGGATCACCTGAGGTCAGGAGTTTGAGACCAGCCTGGCCAACATGGTGAAACTTCATCTCTATTAAAAATATAAAAATTAGCCAGGTGTGGTGGCAGACGCCTGTAATCCCAGCTACTTGGTAGGCTGAGGTGGGAGAATCGCTTGAACTCAGGAGGCAGAGGCTGCCCTGAGCCAAGGTTGCACCACTGCACTCCATCCTGGGCGACAGAGCGAGACTCAATTAAAAAAAGTCTAAAAGCCATTTTAGCTTATGTGCTGTACAAAAACAGATGGCAGCTAGATTTAGCCCATGGGGGTATGTTTGCTGACCCCTGCCTTAAAGATACAGTACCATCATTGTTTTAGATATCCTCACGTGGAACTAAAGTAATACTTAATCCATTATTTTATGTAATATCCACTAAGTAAGGTATATACAATGATCAACATTTTTTAGAGAAGGAGAAACCAAGGTTCACACAAATTCATTAATATTCTCAAGATTAGGTTCCACAGCTAGTCAGTGTCAATACCAGGGATCTCTGCTTTTTCCTGTGTACCTTTCCTTAATGATTTTTTTTTTCTTGAGACAGAGTCTTGCTCTGTCATCCAGGCTGGAGTGCAGTGGCATGATCTCGGCTCACTGCAACCTCTGCCTCCCAGGTTCAAGTGATTCTCCTGCTTCAACCTCCTGAGTAGCTGGGACTATAGGTGTGCACCACCATGCCTGGCTAATTTTTTTGTATTTTTAGTAGAGATGGGGTTTCAACATGTTGGCCAGGCTGGTCTTGAACTCCTGACCTAGGTGATCTGCCTGCCTCGGCCTCCCAAAGTGCTGAGATTACAGGCATAAGCCTGAAAATTCTAAAAGCAAACACATATTGAGCATTCAACATGTGCCAGATGCTGCTCTACATGCTCTAGACCAGCGTTTCTCAACCAGGGCCAAAAGTGGGTATTTGGCAATGTCTGGAGATATTTCTGGTTGTCACAGTGCTGGGGAAGGACTGCCTACTCACTGGAATGTAGTAGGTAGAAGCCAGGAGTGCTGCTAAACATCCTGCAGTGTACAGGACAGACCCCATCACAAGGAATAATCCAGCCCAAACACCTATCACACAGAGGTTAGGAAACCCTGTTCTAGATGTATTATCTCATTTAACCCTCACAGCAACCCTAAGAGGTAAGTATGGTTATTTCCCATTTAACAAGCTGAAAGTCATCCCTTTCCATTCCAAAACTCATTTCTCCAATTTTGGAGAGAACTATTTTTAAATCTTACTGTACATATTCTTTTTGCCTTAAACACTGAGCTGAATAATTAAACTCAAACATTTATTCAGTGCTTTTAAACTCACAGAGAACTTTCCATCTATATTATCTTGTCTTCACTACAAGCCTGTAGCCAATGTCCTATTATTATCACGCACCTCACCCCCATTTGGCAAACATGACACTGAGACTCTAAAAGAGATGATGACTTGCCGAAAGTCACAAAACTGGTACATGGTGGAACTGGGGCTGACCCCAGGTCTTCTGAGTCATCCTCTCGTTTTCCTTCCACTTAGGCATGCTGGTTCACCTTGTGTTGAGAACACAGGGTCTCCTTCTGCCCGTGCTTTATTCTGCACAGGGTCTAGGTGGGCTACAAAGCCATGTAGCGTGGTTCTGCTCCCAGAACATTCTGAGCACTGTTTTCTATGCATGGGGCATTTGTTAAGTGTAATGTCTCAGGTCCTCCTTCCTTCATAGTCTTGCAGCCAGCATGCTTGTCTTCAGCAGCCTCCACACACACCCTCCAATCCCTTTTAATTCAGGCTCCTAGTCTGCTTCAAGACAGAAAGCTATTTGGACTGATCAAAGTCATACCTAATATGAGACTTAGCAGGATCTCAGGGAGGGCCTGAAAGGTGATCTTTTGAGTAAGGGCATGAGCTTCTGTGCAGGGTCTTCAGTGAGCCACCCTGTAGCTGAGTATGCAGGATGAAGACAGCAAAGTCTTCTCCATAGAATTTCCTAGGTTTCTACAAACCCCATGCTATATTTTGTTTAGCTGCCTGTTTCCCCATGGAAACACTAGGAACCCCTGATAGAATTAGACTCAGAGGTGGGAAATTTTCGTCGGCTTTCATTGTGAGGGTCAAAGGCTTACCCTGGGAATGCTCTCTGTGGCCTTGGGCGGCCACGGCAACAGAGATACACTTCATTTGTTGCTCCTCAAGAACCTGCCACCTTTCCCAAGACAGTCCCCACAGCCTGCCTAGATTTAAAAAGACTTCTCTCTATCTGACAAACTCCCTTCTTCTCTATCAATGATCTTCTTGTAGAGGCAGAGGTCTCCCTATGAAAAACTGATACAGAACCCAGATAGTCCAGGGCTTAGGTATGAATGGCTGTGCTTCTGACTATAACTACTGATTAGATGAAATAATGTGTGTAAAGTGCTCAGTACCATCCTGGACATTTAATAAATGCTAGTTGTTATTATTATTCCTGCTTTTACTATTTTATCACTTGCTATTGAACAGACAATGGTCTATAACTATTGTCAGTAACTCCATTTTAGGGAAGAGCTTTGTGATGGAAGTTATCTTCTGATTCATTTTTTTCAGCTCAGTTGTAAATAGATAGATTAGCTGAATAAGGTTCCTTAAAATTCAATATAATATAATATATAGTAAGAACTAGCATTACATGTTTTCTATGTACCAGGAACTTTTCTAAGTGCTTTACATGGGTTAATTTACTAAACCTGCAAGTTACTAAGAAGTAAGCACTATTACTATCCCCATTTTACAGATAAGAAAACAGAGGCACAAATTTACTTAATTAGTGAGTTGTGCAGTTACGATCACACTTGCTATTTCATCTGCCTGGAACATCCTCCTTTTATTTACAAATCTTATCCCTCTTATTCCCTACTCTCAATTGAAACCTCTTTTTATTTTTATTTATTTATTTATTTATTTACTTGAGAGGCAGTTTCGCTCTTGTCACCCAGGCTGGACTGCAGTGGCGCGATTTCAACTCACTGCAACCTCCACCTCTCAGATTCAAGCAGTTCTCCTGCCTCAGCCTCCTGAGTAGCCGGGACTGCAGGTGCCTGCCACCACTCCTGGCTAATTTTTGTACTTTTAGTAGAGACAAGGTTTCACTATGTTGGCCAGGCTGGTCTTGAACTCCTGACCTCAGGTGATCCACCCGCCTCGGTCTCCCAAAGTGCTGGCATTACAGGTGTGAGCCACCATGCCCGGCCCTCAGTTGAAATCTTACTGACATTTCGAGGAATATTTCTGGCAGCAACTCTCCCAGGAGACCTATTCTGATCTTCCTGACTCAGTGGTTTCCCTCCCTCCTACAAATCCTCCAGAACTGTCTTCCTGCTCCTGCCCTGTGCCCCGAACCTGACTCTGCCTGATCACATGGCAATTTGTGATCTTGTCTGTATTCTACAGCAGAGCATTTCAAACTGCAGGTGTGAAACCCACTAAAGCACACTAACTGAAAGAAGTTATTGGGTCTTGACCAGCATTTTCAAAAATAAGTAAGTAGAATAGAAAAGAATATCAGAGTGTGTTCCATGGAGTAAGAGCAAGTATTTGTTTCACGAAAATTTTCAAGCAGTTGTGTGTGTGTGTGTGTGTGTGTGCGCACGCGTGCACGCACGTGTGTGTGCACTGAGGTTGCAACATAAAAGATATTTCTAATGGGGATTTATTTTTAATGGGTACAGAGTTTAATTTTTCACATTGAAAGAGTTATGGAGATCTGTTGTACATGAATATACTCAACACTACTGAACTGTACACTTAAAATGGTTAAGATAATAAATTTTATGTTATATTTCACACAAATAAATATAATTTTTAAGAAAAGAATTTTTACTGTGAATCACGGCCTGAAAAGTTGGAGAAACACTGTTCCACTGGATTGAGGTTATTTTACTGCATAGAACATGTGTGATGTATCTTTTCATTCTAAGCAGCACACACCTGGCAGCACCAGCTCAGCATAAACGCCTTAAATGTCCTTTGAACTGAATACATCTCTCATTAAAAAGCAACATGTAAGTGCCCATCATATGTGATCCATGTACACATACACATACATGCCATGCACCTCCACTCTTCCACCCCTCCCCAAACACACAACCCAGTCATGCTCCCTCCAGCACCATAGTTAAAGCCACTACAGAGTCTCCTATGCCTGGCAAATACTGGGGAAGGAGAACGAGGAGATCCAGGGTGGGACATAGGAACGGAAAACAGATTTCTGGCCCTTGACAAAGTCCCTGCATTGCCTGATGGCAACCTGCCCCCTCTCTGAGTGAGGATCCTCTCCCCACAGCCCTCAACCCCCAGTGTGTGCTGGGCAGCGTTCCTTACTCTACAGCTTCACAGGAAGCTGTGCTGTCTCAATGAGGAAAGTTTAGCCTCCCGAAGTGTGGGAGCACTCCCTGAAGGCAGACACCATAGCTCCTCCGAGGAGAAGACCCTGTTGCCTGCCTTTCTGCCTGCATAGCTGAGAATAGACAAACAGCTGTGGCTACAA
The DNA here is from genome assembly GCF_000001405.40 of Homo sapiens. Taxonomy (NCBI): domain Eukaryota; kingdom Metazoa; phylum Chordata; class Mammalia; order Primates; family Hominidae; genus Homo; species Homo sapiens. The sequence continues at coordinate 134,027,101 of NC_000002.12, forward strand.
AGTCCTTGGGGGATCTCATGGGAACTAAAACCATACGTGAAATCAGAGAATGAATCCCCCTCCCATCCCCTCAGCAAGAGATTGCTGGCACAGGAAGAAATCCTTACTGCTTCCCTAACAGGTGTGGGGACACCTGGCCCAGGATCTGGGCTAAGGGCCCAAAAGCAGTCGTGCTTATTCTTTGTGTTGCCACCAAGGGGTGAGTGGTGGTTCTGGGACAGGCACTATCCCTTCACACAGGCCCAGGCAAGCCTGGGAGGACTGGGCAGGGTGGGGAAGGGGGATGCTGTCCTGACATCGTCGTGCAGAGCAACAGAAAATAATACTCCTCATCGTGGGATGGGGTCAGTGCCTGGATCAATGTTCTACTTAGGGAGAAATTGTACTAGATTAACACAGACTAGAGAGATCGTAGTATCTGAGTGACTCCGTGTTTGTATTTTGTGTATTTGAGTCAATAGCCCCAGAACAACAAAAAGAATCGTCTTTGTGAATAAATCTCTCACTGATAGGAAGAGCTCTAAAGGGACCCAAGTAAAGAGCCAAGACCCCCAAGGGCTGTCCTGCCCTGCCTAGTTCTGGGGAGAGGGAGCTGGGGGCGGAGGACAGAGGGAGGGAAACTGAGGCCAGGCCGACCTCTGGGCCAGGGCGGTGGGCCTCTCCTAGCGTGGGGGGTTGAAGGGGCTTCTCCCTGGGGCTGCAGCTGCACCCCTGCAGGGGCGCCTTTCCTACTACGCTGCAGGGAGACGGCGTTCCCCGGAGTTGGGGAGGGAAGTGCGTTGTAGCCCCAGATTCTCTTTCACAGGAGGCTGAGCTGAGGGGGACCGGGCGAGGAGCAGGGCGTCACCCACTGCGAAGGGCTAACTCCGTGCCTTTCTCTGGGTAGCCACAAACCCAACACCCAGTCAGACCAACCACAGTTCCCAAACGGCTTCCTTCCATGCAGCTCCCTTCCGTTCCCGCCCCTGCCCTGCCCTTCAGGGAAGCCGGGAGTGGCGGCTGGGCAGTGGCCTTCCCGCGTGCCCACATCCAGGCGGAGTGGAGCGGCGCTCACGGGCAGGGCCAGGCGTCCAGTGGTGTCCCAGGGGACGCGGGGTGGGAAGCGACCCAAGGCTCTAAGGGGAATGGACAGGGGAGGGCGCCGACCTCACAGGGACGCCTGGGGAACACATCGGAGCCACACCTCTACCTCCTAACTCTACAGGAAGGGATCTTGCAGGGAGCAGGAGCACCCGGTGGCACATGCCTTTTGGGAGAAGGGAAGTGAATTCGCTGTTCTCACTTTTTCAGAGCTGTGAAAAAGTCTGTCTGGCTTCTGACCCAGAGAATCTTACCTTTTTTGTCTTTTGAAGAGAAGGGCGCTTAATGAAGAAAAAAAAAAGCTGTCATCTTCTAAACAAGAGGAACAATTATTTTTCCAGCTTTTTTCTCTTGGAAAGAAATTTACTTCCTGTTCGTAGTTCATTCCTTCCCTCTTACACGCATGCGTTCATTGAGGAGGACTCTTCCCAGTCGCCTCCTTGCCCAGCCTGCTAACTGCTAGAAACCAACAAGGGCATACCAGGGTCTGACTTGGGAAGAGTTGCCAATCCATCCAGGAGGGCCCAGTGAAAGCAAACATTCCGAAGGTAGGTAGCCATGATGGAGGGCAGCCCCCAGAACATGAGCAGACCTCCCCTGCAGGAATCCTCTCCCTGTGGGGAGGGAGCAACGAATCAAATCTCAGCTCCCTGGGGGATATCTGACACCCCCACCTGTGGGATTGTGCCATCCCCAGCCTCAGATAACACATGAACACACACAAAGAGAGCCCCAACTCCAAGCTTTCAGAGAAGTGACATTTTAGCATTCTTGAAAGATGAAGCAGATGTTGCTCAGGGAAAGAAGGCAAGGAAGGATGATCTAGGCAAAGGGACAGGTCTATACAAAGGACAGTGGCTTGAGAACGTGTAATGCATTTAACTGACCTTCTGGAGGGCAGTTGAGTTAGAGAGGATGCAGGGGGTACCCAGACAGAGTGATGAGAAGAGACTGAGCAAGTAGGGTCAAGTCCCACGTGGGCTTGAGAAGCGAAGGAATCGCTTCAGCTCTAAATTAGCTCGGATGTATTTGCAGCAAGTTAATTTTCCCTGTTTGGATAATATTAAGTATTCAGCTGCCAGACAGTGGGGTGGGGAGAACTTTCAACAATACTAAAAGAAACCCATACCTTGATAATTTACTTTGCTATCTGATGAGCATGAAATTAATTTCCATATTAGCACATTATGTGGAGATAAGACACAGATAATACAAATTACAAAAGACACGTAGGTCTCTTACTAAATTTCTGAGGAATACAGTGTGTGCATTAGTCTGAAGCCAGGGAACCTAACGCGAGAGAGATTTGCAGGGAGCAGCAGTACAGAGATGGATTACCCGGAGAAATAGGTTTGGCTCTGGTGCTGATGTTTTCTTTTCCTCTGTGAATGGAAAAAGATAAGACATTTCTTATAAAATGTAACCATTTCTGGCATGCTTTCCCCCAATTCCTCACACATGCACACTCCCCAAGTGCTGCCAGACACAGAGGCCAGCTCTCAGCAGGACAACGGAAGTTCATTATCCAGCCATGTAGGGCTCTCCAACCCAGGCCCCCACGATCCTTGCAGAGGAATTGTGCAAATCCAGGGGGAAATGCCAGTTTCCAGTCCTCTCCGGCTTGGCTCTGTGTTCTGTCAGTCCAGCTTTGAATGATGAATTGATGAATTTCCCATTCGGCCTAAGGCTCTGAGACACCATCACCACTGAGCCTAATCCTAATGCGTTTTTAACTTTTTCCCCTTTTTAACCAGGCTCCAAGGAGAAAAGATTGCTTTGAAAATACTCCCTGGACAGGCTCACAGACAGCCAGAAGGATGAATGCCACTTTATTTGAAAGACTGAAGGCACTGGGGGTAAAAGAGTTGTTAGAAACAACCAGCATGGGCTTCAGACCCCCATGGCTGTGGCCAAGGCCAGCTTGTAGCACCCTCAGGACTGCTTGTGGCCTGCCTGGCCCTCTCTACATAGAGAGGAGGATGTTTAGCAGGTATATAGCATGTGAGCTGTCCTATTCTGGAAAGAATGGAGACAAGGGCCAGGACTCGGTTGGCCATGACCTTGCTGTATGACCTTGGGCAAGTCACTGAATCTTCCTTTTTCCTCCCCCGTTCAATGAGGAGGTTGAGCTACATGATCTCTAATATCCCTGTGAATGTTAATGTTTATTATTTCTATTATTCTATTGATTAAAAGCCATGTCATGTTTTTGCCTTATGGTGGACATGGTGGTGGGCCTTCCAGATAACCCTTTAATGAAGACCTTGTTGACCAGCAGTTGAGAATGTCATCGGGAAAAATGGCCTCTGCTGCAGAGGGCTGCCTGACCAGATGGATGTGGGTGTCAAGGCTTGGACCTTTCACCTCTACTTGTTACTATGCCAAAGGGTGTTCTAGCTCCACAACTCCTCACGCAGTTGCCAAGGCTGTCATTGGGCCTCAACTTCTCTCCCTGCCCAATCCTGCTTCAGCCCCTTCCTCCCATGAAAGCTTCGCCTTAACAAGTAGCCTGCATATTACCCTACTTCTCAGAGTTAGCTTCCTAGGAAGCCCAGCCTGACACACCCATTTCCATAGACTCATACAATTTTGAGCCTCCAACTTTTCCTTCCCCAGCCTAGTCTTCCTCCATTGCCATTTTACAAACAGAGAAATAACAGCTCAGAGAATGACTTACCAAGTTCACTCTGTCGGCAGAACTAGGGCTATATCTTCAGTTCTCTGAGTCTCGGCCATGTCCTCTATCCATCATACCTCACTGCTTTCCCCAACCTATCTCATCTTCCTTGCATAGTGCAGAGAGACATGTAGGCAGAGATAGATCGACTCATCCATCCATCTCCACTGCAAGGGACGTAATAAGCAAAGGCATGAATTCATGAGTTATTTGCTGCCTCTACTTTAAATAGATAAGCCATCAGTTTTCATTTGGGGATTTTTTTTTAACCTCTCTGCAAGGCTGTATCACAAAGACACTACAAGCTCTGGATTAGGAACTAGGAAGCTTGGGTTTTCATCTCAGCTCCTCACTCTCACATTGCAAAAATGCTGCAGCTTGCTATTAGGCTCTTTCAGATGTGAAGGCTGATTGCTCTGGGCCTCCACTGAGGGTAGAGAGGAGAGTTAATCATGGAATAATAACCGGTGATGATGGTTATGTAAGATGTTATCATTGGGGGAGCTGGGTGAAAGGTACACAGGAACTCTCTGTGTTATTTTTGCAACTTCTTGGAATCTAAAAATATTTAAAGAGGAGAAGGTTTAAAACAATAATAAAACTAACCAGTGATGGTCTCACTTATTCTAACAGAGGGTAGATAACTTTAGAAGCAGTAAAGGGAAACAAACAGGCAGGTTATGTGACATATTCGGATCAGACTACCCAGTAAATATACTCAATGTCATTCGGTGGCATGAATGATGAAGAAGTGTGTCGCACCAGGCTTGCATTTTTTAAAGACGTGCTCTGCAACCAAAAACCCTAAGAACTGACAGTCTTAAAGCCAAAGCCCTGAAAAATGTTTGCTACAGCACCTACTTCCCTATTCAGGTTAAATCCTCCCAGGTGAGTTTCACCTGTGGTTTCACCCACAGCCAGAGCTGCCATCCACTGGGTCTGACCAACTAACTCCCTCATTTTGCAGGCAAAAAAACCTGAAAGCTCAGAAGGTAAACAACTTGTCCAGATTGCGCACAGAGTGGCTGATTTAGTAGAGGCAAACAATTCCAAGTTAGAAACAGACAGCTGACCAGCGGTCCATGGAGCATCCTGTGCTGCTTCAAGGGTCCAGAGTGGGGAAGCAGCTGGGACCCTCGGCCTCAGTGGAATGGCATCAGGGGCCCTACTTCCAGCCAGCAGGCTCCAGCTACGAGCACATGAGAAGCACAGTCCTGCTGGTTGTCTGGGGCAGTCTCCTGGGAAGCCACACACTGGGAAAAGATCCTGAAGGCAGGCACTGTCCACAAATCACTCAAGAATTGAACATTTTTTCATTTTGAAATGAAACTGCATTTGAGGGTACTGCCAACTATAAATCAAATGTTGCCTTTTGAAAAAAGGAAAGGAAAAGAAAGTAATCAACTAAATGGAGACTGTTGCCTCCTATCACAACGTCTTGCAATTAAAGGTCCATTTCTTCTCTAAGTTCTCCTTTTCTCCTAGGAAAATTGAATGTTTTTCTAGTTATGAGACGAGAATGCTAACCAAAATTGTTGCCAGTTCAAAATGTGTTATCTTAGTGGTGTTTAATGTCCAAGAAAAAAACAATTAGCTCTCTTCCATGTTTCAAAGCCCAAAATCGTAAGAGGACAGTTTGAAGTTTTATGCATGGCACTGGATATTTTGAGGGTAGTGTATTTTAATTACTTTTTAATTGAAGTATACTTTATATATAATAAAGTGTGCAAGACTGGTAAATTTGTATATATTGTATACTTGGTAACCACAACCCTGACCAAGATAGAGAACGTTTCCAGCACTCTAGAAGATTCCTAGAGTATAAAAATATTTAAATCACCATTAAATATCATGCAACTTGGAGCATCCAACCTTTGTCACCTGGGTAGCCAGCCCATCTCAGCTCTGGGAAAGTCTACCCCTGGTAGCCCGCTGAGATAGGAGGAACAATTTATCCTGAAGACAGGTGAAAGATGTTGAGGCTCACTTTTCCAGAACTGCCCACCTTCAACCCTACCTTTTCAAAGTAGGCTCATACCCTGAGAATCTTTTCCTGACAAGGTAAAATAAGTCTTAAAACAAAGGAAAAGAGAGTAAGTGGAGAGTGAGGATGGCAATGAATTTGAAGCTTATGGAAAACCTAGAGTTGGGGGCAGGGGAAAGGTAACAATGAAACCTGAGAGAGTCAACTTGTAAATTATGGTTTTCAATAAGGAATGATGTGTATAAGCTTGTTTTATAGATACTGAGTGGTAGAAACATTGGTCTTAAGGCTGAAGAAAGATGCCCCTGGTGATTGAGATCCCTAAACTGAGGTTTGCAGAGAGCTGCCTTTTCGCTCTTCTTGATTTTCTAGTCAAGTGCCAAGTTTTCAGCTTTTGTTATGTTTTTTCCAGTGGGAAATTCCTTTCAACTCTAAAGTCAAGATTTAATAACATATGAAACTGCTGCCAACCCAGGATTTTGGACCTGATTCACCAATCTTCTGGGACACATTTTAAAATCCTTCTACCTAGAAGGTTTTCTCTGCAAGGTACATACCACCCTACTCTCCAAATTAGAAACTTACTTGTATCTTCCAAAATTCAAATCCGCGTTCAAAAAAGAGGTGCAATAGCTTTCCCCACCTCCTGAGAGCACAGCCTTGGGTCCTACCCACTGTTCAACCCAGGGCCTGATTAACTGATGAACTGTGCCGAGCTGTACTGAAGACAGTTTAAATGAGACAGTTGACTCCAGGTAATGTATCAGGACCTTTAGAACTGGATTGGATTAGTACCCCATGTAGTGACTATAATAAATAGATAATAAATAGAAGGTATCATTTCTCAGAGGATCCAATTTTCTCTTTGTAACCTGTTGACTTATTTAGGCCCCCTTTCTATCTGCCATAAGTGAAAATTTTGAGGAAATAGCAACTCCCTGTGAGCTCAGGACTTCCATTTTCTTTTCCTGCAAGTTGAGGTTTGAGTCAGCTGATTTCAACAAGATTGGAAGCTTGTGTGTATGCATAGCAGGGGTTCCCAACTGAGCCTCAATTGAAGTCCGGCTCCTGCTGTGGAACTAGTGGGCTCTGGTCGAATTTCTGTTTGCATTAAGCTGATGTATAGAGAAGCGTTCTGGCATCAGGAGAGAGAAAGGACGATTTTGTGCACAGATGCCAGAAAAGAGGAAACCCACCTTGGTCTAAAGGTCTCCTTTTTCCCCCCACCATTTATTTATACCTTCCTTCTTAGGATGTTTTTCTGATTACAATACATAAATATCACCTGTTTGTTGTAAATAATTCAAACATCTTACAAAAATGTAATAAGTACTTTTCTATCTTTTTATACTTTTTAAAATGTTTTGTAGATACGGGGTCTCACTATGTTGCCCAGGCTGATCTCAGCTTCCTGATAACAAGTGATCCTCCCATCTCAGCCTCCCAAAGTGCTGGGATTACAGGCATGAGTCATGTGCCTGGCCATAAATACTTTTTAAAATATAAAATATAATAAAGTATATTCACCATTTTAAGATAATCAATATTAATATTTTGGTGACTATTTTCACAAACATCTCTTTATGCATACAAGTACACATCTATGTAATTTTTAAGAAGTAGGATCTAATATGAATGATATTTTTCCCTGTGAACCTTTCCCTAACTTTCTCTGTCCTCACTCATATCAGCACTCCACAACTATCTCCATTTTCCCCAAGGAACCTATGTGTCTTAGCCAAAACGCAGAGCCTGAGACAAGGGTTTGCATTTGCATGCAGGTCATTTATTGGAGAAGTGACCCAAGGAACAAGGGCGAGGGACTGAAAAGAGTAAAGCAGAGAAGGAAGGAAGGCCACTACAAGGGTGCTTTATTGAACTGGCCACCACCATGGTAACTGGGGCTTAGTCTCCCTGGGACCTTCCAAGGAGCTGTGTGTAATGCACCTCAAAATTGTCTGCCTGTGGGAAGGAATACAGAAGCACTGATTTATTCCCTAACTTCTGTCTCCCATTGGTCAAGGATTGCCACATAAGGTATTCATTTCCTCTTACTTCTATAGATTGTGCATGAGTGAGTGAGTGCCAGACTGGTTTAGCAGTCATCTTACAGAGCAGTTTCAGAGAGGTCTCCACGCAGAAGGTGAGACATGAAGTGCTACCAAGGGAAGGTGCTGGAAAGCCACACCGGTGTGACGCTGGTCACTGCAGCAGTGGCCATAGTAGAAGGTGAGTTGAAGAAGTGTAAGTTATGAGGCATGAGAGGTGTTCAATACAATCAATTACAAGGTCTTTACTGGGGGAGGTCAGTGGAAATTTCTATGAGAGACACTACGGGAGAGTTATTGGAACAAGCTACAGTCGTCCTGCTGCAACTGGACTCAATACCACAGTGGATGTGCATCATTTCTTTAACCTGCACACATTTGACTCCCCTCACTCTCAGCCAGACTTTTACTCTTCATCCCTGCTGAGTTGGAGCTTTGGTTCCCTTGGCCACAGTTAGGCAGTTGTGGTTACTGCCATGGCCCATTTACAGTTTCCTCTTGGCATGAAGCACCAGTGTCCTCTCATTCCAGACATGTTATTTTCTTAACCCTGCTGGGGAGTAGAAACCCAACTTCTCATAGTAATTAGGCTCAATTATCCCCACCAATATTGTTTTTTATGGTCCACTGGCTCAAGGGATCTAAGATGACTAGGCAGTAGCTGTAACTTCAAGTTCAACAGAACCCACCTGGTACAAGCATGCCTCCACCTTTTAGAGAGCCTCCAATCCAATAGAGCCTAGGGTTTCAGTGTGGAAAATATTAATTCCTCCAGTGGGTCACTGGGAATAATGGTGAGAGTGGCTACTCCTTATTTCATGCCTTGGTTCCAGGATCCATGTACTCTAGCTACAGGGGACGCAGACCATATAAGGGCCATTGGCTCAATGCATATATTAATAACAATCCTGAAAGCTACATGCCAAACCCACAAGGTGCTGTCCCCAAGATAATACCTTAAAAGAGTCTCTCATAGGTCCTTCCATCCTTGTATTGGGCTGCCAACTTCCAGATGATGTGCTAAATGGTAGAACCAGAGATTCCTATAGCCACGTATGCAGTAGCACACCTCTTTGCTATCAAATGGGTCTCTGACCGGAGGCAATGTTATATAGGCTCTGTGCTGAAAAATCAGGCACTCTCTTGGCCCTTGGATGGCAACGCTGACAGCCAGGGATAAGAATCTCATATCCAGAGTAGGCATTAATTCTGATAAGAACAAATTGCTGCTTCCACCAGGATTGAAGGGATCTGAAAAAAATCCACCTCCCACCAGGTAGTTGGCTGGTTTCCTAGAGCAATATTTTCACATCCAGAGCTTGGCTGTGTTCTCTTTGGCTAGAAGTCTGGGCATTTATCAGTGGCAGTGGCTAGATCAGCCTTGATGAAAAGAAGTTTGTGCTGCTGGGCCCAAGTGTGTAGCCTTGTTTCTGGCCAATGTGGCATTCAGGGGCTCATTGCACAAGCCCCGAGATGGCCAAGGAACAATGGGAGCTGATGTTCATATGAAGGGAACTCCTCTGTAGTAGAAGCCCTCTGGTGAGCATGAACATTACACTCAAATATCATTATATGCTGTGCCCACTCCCATAGGCCCTCCCAAATGCCTCATCTCCTAACTTCTTGACACATCTCTCAGTCTTGTTCCTCTCATGCCTGGACACCCAGAAAACCACTTACCACTGCCAGGAGTTGATGTGTAGCCATACTTAAGGCCATCTCTGCTTCCATACAAATTAAGAATCACCGTACTGCTTGCAGCTCTTCCCATAATGAGGAATTCTCTTCTTACTGTCCTACAGGGCACCCCTAAGTGGGGCTACAGTACAGAGGGGTCCATTTTCAGTTAGCACTGAAATATTGAGTTTATCCCTCAGCGAACTCCACACAGGCATCCTTATCCATTGTGGATACTTCTAGCACCATGTTAGGTCTTCTGACCTAAGTGGCAGCAAAGCCTACACCAGAGCCTAGAACCGCTGCAGAGCCTTCCCAAAACTGATGGGATTCTGAGTCACCCAATAAAAGGGTTAGAGCAAAATTCCCAAATGCATTCAATGCAACCTCCCAAATTGAAAGAGCCACACCAAATACAGTGCCTCCCAGTAACAGGAGATGTAAGAAACAATACATTGTTCTTTACCTTGGAGGCACTGTTCCTCACATGCCCTAGACCTTTCGGTCACTTCACTGATGCATTGGGTGCCAGAAGTTGTTACCAACTCACCACCACAAACAAAGTTCTTCCCACTGTTTGGACAGTGAATGAAGCAGTTCCACCATAACATCTTGAGGTTCTGCTTCCTATGGTCACTTCTGGAACCAAGTATATTAGCCTCGATTTTCCCCAGAAGTCAGAGCCTGAGACCAGGTCTTGCATGCGGGGAATTTATTTTGGGAAATGATCATAGGGAACAAGAATGGAGAACTGGGAAGAGCAACCTAAGAAAGGAAGAAAAAGTAACTCTTAAATTATTGAGCTCACCACCACAGTAGGTAACTAGGGCTAATCCTACTTGGGATACTATATTCATTTCCTGGGGGTGCTGTAATGAATCACCACAAACTTAGTGGCTTAAAACAATAAAAACTTTTTCTCCCACAATTCTGGAGGCTAGACAGCTGAAATCAAGGTGTCGGCAGGGCCACGGTCCCACTAAAGGATCTGGAAAGGAATCCTTCTCTGCCTCTTCCAGCTCCTGGTAGCTGTCAGCATTCCTTGGCTTCTGTCTGCATCTCTCTCTGCTCCATCTTCACATCAGCTTCTCTTCTCTGTGTCTTGTCTTCTCCTCTTCTATCTCAAATTTCCTCCTGTCTCTCTCTTGAAAAATACTTGTCAACCTGCCTTCCAAGAAATGTGAAAAGAAGTTCTTTAGAGAGAAAAAAATATATAGGTTAGAAATTTGGATCTACATAGAAAAGGAGAGCATCAAAGAAGGAATAAATGAAGGTAAAATAAAAACTGAGTTTTCATTCTCAATTTATCTAATAGGTAACAGTTTGTTCAAAATAATATCAAGTATCAGCAATGTATTTGATTATGCATGGTTATGTGTAAGTAAAATGGGTGACAACAATTGCTGCAAGGGATGAGTGGGAGGAATTCAAATTATTTTATTATAAGATACTCACACTACCTGTGAAGTGGTATAGTGTTATTTGAAAGTGGGCTTCAATTAGTTGTAAGTAATGCATATTGCAAACTTTGGGCAGCCACTAAAAAATGTTTTAAAAAATAAGTATAACTGATATGCTAAGAAAGGAGAGAAAATGGAATCATATAAAACACTCAATTACAACCAAAAGCAGGAAAAGAATGGAAGACAAAAGTAGGAACAAAGAACAAGGGCAACAAATAGAAAACAGTAACAAATACGGGTAGATATTAATCCAAATATATCAACAACCACTTTGAACATCAATGGTCTAAATGCACAAATTAAGACAGAGATTGTAAGAGAAGGCCAGGCACAGTAGCTCATGCCTGTAATCCCAGCACTTTGGGAGACCAAGACAGATGGATTGCTTGAGCCTAGGAGTTTAAGACCAGCCTGGGCAGCATATGGAGACCCCATCTCTACAAAATTTTTAAAGTAGGTGGGCACAGTGGCACATCTCTGTGGTCCCAGCTACTCAGGAGGCTGAAGTGGAAGGATGACCTGAGCCTGAAATGTTGAGGCTTCAGTGAGCCATGATCACACCACTGCACTCCAGCCTGGGTGACAGAGTGAGGTCCTGTCTCAAAAAAAAAAAAAAATAGAGAGAGAAAGATTGTCAGAGTAGATGAAAAAACAAGGCCCTACTATATATTTTCTACAAAAAAAACTCATTTTAAATGTAAGTCTACTGTACTTGTCCATTCTCACACTGCTATAAAGAACTACCTGAGACTGAGTAGTTTACGAAGAAAAGAGGTTTAGTTGACTCACAGTTCCACAGGCTGTACAGGGGGCATAACTGACAAGGCCTCAGGAAATCTACAGTCATGGCAGAAGGGGAAGCAAGCACATGTTACCATGGTGGAGCAGGAGAGAGAGTGAGGGAAGGGGGGAGTGCTACATACTTTCAAACAACCAGTTCTCATGAGAAGTCACTATCACAAGAAGAGCAAGGGGCAAATCTACCCCGATGATCCAATTACTTCCTACCAGGTCCCTACCTCAACACTGGGGATTATAATTCAACATGAAATTTGGGTGGGGCCACAGAGCCAAACTACATCATTCCACCTTTGGCCCCTCCCAAATCTTGTGTCCTTCTCACATTTCAAACATAATCATGCCTTTTCAACAGTCCCCCAGTGTCTTAACTCATTCCTGCATTAACTCCAAAGTTCAAGTCCAAAGTCTCATTTGAGACAAGGCAAGTCCCTTCTGCCTATGAGCCTGTAAAGTCAAAAACAAATTAGTTACTTCTAAGATACAATGAGGGTAGAGGTATTGGGTAAATACAGGATGCAGGCATGGGCAAATACAGGATGCAGGCACTGGTAAATATTACCTTTCCAAAAGAGAGAAATCCACCTAAACAAAGGGTCTACAGGCCCCATGCAAATCTGAAACCCAGCAAGGCAGTCATTAAATCTTAAGGCTCCAAAATAATCTCCTTTGACTCCATGTCTCACATCCAAGCCACACTGATGCAAGGGATGGGCTCCCAAGGACTTGGGCACTTCTGTGCCTGTGGCTCTGCAAGGTACAGCCCCCACAGCTTCTTTCACAGGCTGGTGTTGAGTGCCTGAGGCTTTTCCAGGTGCATGGTGCAAGCTGTCAGTTGATCCACTCTTCTGGAGTCTGGAGGATGGTGGCCCTCTTCTCACAGCTCTTTTAGGCAGTGTCCCAGTGAGTACTCGGTGTGGGGGCTCCAACCCTACATTTCCCCTCTGCACTGCACTAGTAGAGGTTCTCCATGAAGGCTCTACCCCTGCAGAAGACTTCTGCCTGGATATTTGGGTGTTTCCACACATTCCTTGAAATCTAGGTGGAGTCTCCAAAACCTCAACTCTTGCCTTCTGTGCACCTGCAGGCCCAATACCATGTGGAAGTCACTGAGGATTGGGACTTACACCCTCTGAAGTAGCAGCCCAAGCTGTACCTTTGCCCCTTTTAGCCACAGCTGGAGCTGGAGCAGCTGGGACACAGGGTGCTATGTCCTGAGGCTGCACAGAGCAGTGGGGCCTTCAGCCTGGCCCACAAAACCATTTTTCCTCCCTGGGCCTCCAAGCCTGTGATGGGAGGAGCTGCTGTGAAGGTCTCTGAAATGCCCTGGAGGCATTTTCACCACTATCTTGGCTATTAACATTTGATTCTCCTTTACTTATGCAAATTTTTGCAGACTTGAATTCCTCCCCAGAAAATAGGTTTTTCTTTTCTGCCACATGGTCAGCTGCAAATTTTCCAAACTTTTACTCTCTGCTTCCCTTGTAAATATAAGTTCTAGTTTCAGTTCATTTCTTTGCTTATGCAAATGAGAATAGGCTTTTAGAAGCAGCGAGACCACATCCTGAATGCTTTGCTGCTTAGAAATTTCTTCTGCCAGATACCCTAACTCACCTCTCTCAAGTTCAAAGTTCCACAGATCTCTAGAGCAGAGTCACAATACTCCCAGTCTCTTTGCTAAAGCATAGCAAGAGTGAACTTTACTCCAGTTCCCAATAAGTTCCTCATCTCCATCTGAGACAACCTCAGCCTGAACTTCATTGTCCATATCACTGTCAGCATTTTGGTCACAACCATTCAAAATGTCTAGGAAGTTCCAAACCTTCCCTCATCTTCCTGACTTCTTCTGAGCCCTCTAAAATGTTCCAACCTCTGCCCATAACCCAGTTCCAAAGTCATTTCCACATTTTCAAGTATCTTTATAGCAATGGACCACTTCTCTGGTACCAATTTCTGTATTAGTCTGTTCTCACATTGCTATAAATAACTACCTGAGACTGAGTAGTTTATGAAGAAAAGAGGTTAACTAACTCACAGTTCCACAGGCTGAACAGGACGCATGGCTGGGAGGCCTCAGGAAACTTACAATCATGGCAGAAGGGGAAGGGGAAGCAAACACGTCTTACCATGGTGAAGCAGGAGAGACAGTGAGGGAAGGGGGAAGTGCTACACACTTTCAAACAACTAGATCTCATGAGAACTCACTCACTATCATGAGAATAGCAAGGCGGAAATCTGCAGCTTGATCCAATCACCTCCCACCAGGTCCCTCCCTCAACATTGGGGATCGAAATTCAACATGAGATTTGGGTGGGGACACAGAGCCAAACCATATCAGCTACATATAGATTAAAACAAATGGATGGAGAAAGATACACCAAGCTAACATCAATCAAAAGCAAGCAGAAAAGCATTAGTAGCTATATTAATTTCAGACAAAGTAGTCTTCAAAGCAAGGAAAGTTATCAGAGATAAAGAGAGGCACTACATAGGATAAAGGGGTCAGTTCTCCAAGTGGACATAACAATCCTTAATATGTATGTACCTAACAACGAAGCATAAAAATACACCAACCAAAAATGGATCCACTACAAGGAGAAATAAATGAATCCATTATTATAGGTGGAGATTTCAACACCCCTCTATCAGAAATGGATCAATCCAGCAGGCAGAAAATTAGGAAAAACATAATTGAACTCAACAACATTATCACTCAACAACATTGTCACTCAGCTGAATATAATCAACATCTACAGACATTTCATCCAACAACAGTAAAATACACATTTTTCTCAAGTTCATATGAAACATCCACCAAAATAGACAACATCCTGGACTGTAAAACGTACTTCAACAGTTTTAAAAGAATAGAAATCATGCAATGTCTGCTCTCAGACACAATGGAATTAAACTAAAAATTAACAACACAAAGAACAATCACAAACTAGATGGAGATAAACAAGACACTTCTAAATAACACATGGGTCAAGAAGTAAATCTCAAGAGAAATTTTAAAATGTTTATAACAAATTCAAAATTAATATGCAACAAAATGTGTGGGATGCAATAAAAGCAGTGTTTACAGAGAAATTTGTAGCATTGAATACAGATATTACAACAGAAAAAATATAAAATCAATAATATCATCTTTTACTAGGAAACTAGAAAAAGAAGAACATATTAAATCAAAAGTAGTCAGAAGAAAAGCAATGACAGAAATTAGAGCAAAAATAAAGGAAGTGAAAAACAGAAAATCAGCAGAGAAAATCTATGAAGCAAAAATTTGGTTCTTTCAAAAGACAGATAAAATTAGTAAGTCTCTAGCCAGGCTAACTAAGAAAAAAGAAAGGACACAAATTATTAATATCAGAAATGAAATAAGAGACATTGGTACAGATTCCATGGACATTAAAAGATAATGAACAACACTATGAATAACTGTATGCCCACAAATTTGGTAACCAGATGAAACAGACTAATTCCTTGAAAGATGCAATCTGCCAAGACTCACAGAAGCAGAAACAGAATAGGCCCATATCTATTAAAGAAATTCAATCAATAATTAATAATCTTCCAATACAGAAAGCATGAGACCAGAGAGGTTCACTGGTGAATTCTATCAAATGCTTAAGGAAGAAATTATAGCAATTCTCTTCAATCTTTTTCAGCAGATAGAAGTAGAGGGAATCCTTGCTAACTCATTCTATGAGGCCAGCATCCCCCTAATACCAAAACCAGACAAAAACATTACAAAAAAAGAAAATCACAGGTATTTCTCATCAACATAGATGCAAAATCCTCAACAAAATATTACTAGACCAAATCCAACAATATATAAAAAAATTATACATCATGACAGTAGAATTTATCCTGGGTTTGCAAAGCAGTTTTAACATTTGAAAATCAATTGATATAATATATCACATCAACAAGGTAAAGAAGGATAAAAACAAGGAACAGCTCCAGTCTACAGATCACAGCATGAGCAATGCAGAAGATGGGTGATTTCTGCGTTTCCAACTGAGATACCGGGTTTATCTCACTGGGGAGAGCCAGACAGAGGGTACAGGACAGTGGGTGCAGTGCACCGTGCATAAGCCAAAGCAGGGCAAGGCATCACCTCACCTGGGAAGCACAAGGGGTCAGGGAATTCCCTTTCCTAGTCAAAGAAAGGGGTGACAGATGGCACCTGGAAAATCGGGTCACTCCCACCCTAATACTGCGCTTTTCCAACGGGCTTAACAAATGGCACACCAGGAGATTATATCCCACACATGGCTTGGAGGGTCCTATGCCCAAGGAGACTCACTCATTGCAAGCACAGCAGTCTGAGATCAAACTGCAAGGCGGCAGCGAGCCTGGGGGAGGGGCACTCGCCATTGCCCAGGCTTGAGTAGGTAAACAAAGCAGCCAGGAAGCTCAAAATGGGTGGAGCCCACCGCAGCTCAAGGAGGCCTGCCTGCCTCTGTAGGCTGCACCTCTGGGGGCAGGGCATAGCCAAACCAAAGGCAGCAATAACCTCTGCAGACTTAAATGTCCCTGTCTGACAGCTTTGAAGAGAGTAGTTGTTCTCCCAGCATGCGGCGTGAGATCTGAGAATGGGCAGACTGCCTCCTCAAGTGGGTCCCTGACCCCCAAGTAGCCTAACTGGGAGGCAACCCCCAGTAGGGACGGACTGACACCTCAAACGGCCAGGAACTCCTCTGAGACAAAACTTCCAGAGGAACGATCAGGCAGCAGCATTTGCGGTTCACCAAAATCTGCTGTTCTGCAGCCACCACTGCTGATACTGAGGCAAAAAGGGTGTGGAGTGGACCTCCAGCAAACTCCGACAGACCTGCAGCTGAGGGTCCTGACTGTTAGAAGGAAAACTAACAAACAGAAAGGACATCCACACCAAAAACCCATCTGTACGTCACCATCATCAAAGACCAAAGGTAGATAAAACCACAAAGATGGGGAAAAAACAGAGCAGAAAAACCTGAAACTCTAAAAATCAGAGCGCCCCTCCTTTTACAAAGGAACACAGCTCCTCACCAGCAATGGAACAAAGCTGGATGGAGAATGACTTTGACGAGTTGAGAGAGGAAGGCTTCAGAAGATCAAACTGCTCCAAGCTAAAGGAGGAAGTTCAAACCCAAGGCAAAGAAGTTAAAAACCTTGAAAAAAAATTAGAGAAATGGCTAACTAGAATAACCAATGCAGAGAAGGCCTTAAAGGACCTGATGGGGCTGAAAACCATGGCACGAGAACTATGTGACAAATACACAAGCCTCAGTAGCCGAAGCGATCAACTGGAAGAAAGGGTATCAGCGATGGAAGACAAAATGAATGAAATGAAGTGAGAAGAGAAGTTTAGAGAAAAAAGAATAAAAAGAAACAAACAAAGCCTCCAAGAAATATGGGACTATGTGAAAAGACCAAATCTACATCTGATTGGTGTACCTGAAAGTGACGGGGAGAATGGAACCAAGTTGGAAAACACTCTGCAGGATATTATCCAGGAGAACTTCCCCAATCTAGCAAGGCAGGCCAACATTCACATTCAGGAAATACAGAGAATGCCACAAAGATACTCCTCGAGAAGAGCAACTCCAAGACACATAATTGTCAGATTCACCAAAGTTGAAATGAAGGAAAAAATGTTAGGGCAGCCAGAGAGAACTGTTGGGTTACCCAAAAAGGGAAGCCCATCAGACTAACAGGTGATCTCTCGGCAGAAACTCTACAAGCCAGAAGAGAGTGGGGACCAATATTCAACATTCTTAAAGACAAGAATTTTCAACCCAGAATTTCATATCCAGCCAAACTAAGCTTCATAAGTGAAGGAGAAATAAAATACTTTACAGACAAGCAAATGCTGAGAGATTTTGTCTCCACCAGCCTGCCCTAAAAGAGCTCCTGAAGGAAGCACTAAACATGGAAAGGAGCAACTGGTACCAGCCACTGCAAAAACATGCCAAATTGTAAAGACCATCGAGGTTAGGAAGAAACTGCATCAACTAATGAGCAAAATAACCAGCTAACATCATAATGACAGGATCAAATTCACACATAACAATATTAACTTAAATGTAAATGGACTAAATGCTCCAATTAAAAGACTCAGACTGGCAAATTGGATAAACAGTCAAGACCCATCAGTGTGCTGTATTCAGGAAATCCATCTCACATGCAGAGACACACATAGGCTCAAAATAAAGGGACGGAGGAAGATCTACCAAGCAAATGGAAAACAAAAAAAGGCAGGGGTTACACTCCCAGTCTCAGATGAAACAGACTTTAAACCAACAAAGATCAAAAGAGACAAAGAAGGCCATGACATAATGGTAAAGGGATCAATTCAACAAGAAGAGCTAACTCTCCTAAATATAGATGCACCCAACACAGGAGCACCCAGATTCATAAAGCAAGTTCTTACTGACCTACAAAGAGACTTAGACTCCCACACAATAATAATGGGAGACTTCAACACCACACTGTCAACATTAGACAGATCAATAAGACCAAAAGTTAACAAGGATATCCAGAAATTGAACTCGGCTCTGCACCAAGCGGACCTAATAGACATCTACAGAACTCTCCACCCCAAATCAACAGAATATACATTCTTTTCAGCACCACACCACACCTATTCCAAAATTGATCACATAGTTGGAAGTGAAGCACTCCCCAGCAAATGTAAAAGAACAGAAATTATAACAAACTGTCTCTCAGACCAAGTACAATCAAACTAGAACTCAGGATTAAGAAACTCACTCGAAACCACTCAACTACATGGAAACTGAACAAACTGCTCCTGAATGACTACTGGGTAAATAATGAAATGAAGGCAGAAATGAAGATGTTCTTTGAAACCAACGGGAACAAAGACACGACATACCAGAATCTCTGGGACACATTCAAAGCAGTGTGTAGAGGGAAATTTATAGCACTAAATGCCCACAAGAGAAAGCAGGAAAGATCCAAAATTGACACCCTAACATCACAATTAAAAGAACTAGAGAAGCAAGAGCGAACACATTCAAAAGCTATCAGAAGGCAAGAAATAACTAAGATCAGAGGAGAACTGAAGGAAATAGAGACACAAAAAGCCCTTCAAAAAATCAATGAATCCAGGAGCTGGATTTTTGAAAAGATCAACAAAATTGATAGACCACTGGCAACACTAATAAAGAAGAAAAGAGAGAAGAATCAAATAGACGCAATAAAAAATGATAAAGGGGATATCACCACCGATCCCACAGAAATACAAACTACCATCAGAGAATACTATAAACACCTCCACGCAAATGAACTAGAAAATCTAGAAGAAATGGATAAATTCCTGGACACATACACCCTCCCAAAACTAAACCAGGAAGAAGCTGAATCTCTGAATAGACCAATAACAGGCTCTGAAGTTGAGGCAATAATTAATAGCTTACCAACCAAAAAAAGTCCAGGACCAGATGGATTCACAGCCAAATTCTACCAGAGGTACAAGGAGGAGCTGGTACCATTCCTTCTGAAACTATTCCAATCAATAGAAAAAGAGGGGACCCTCTCTAACTCATTTTATGAGGCCAGCATCATCCTGATACCAAAGCCTGGCAGAGACACAACAAACAAAGAGAATTTTAGACCAATATCCTTGATGAACATTGATGCAAAAATCCTCAATAAAATACTGACAAACCGAATCCAGCAGCACATCAAAAAGCTTATCCACCATGATCAAGTGGGCTTCATCCCTGGGATGCAAGGCTGGTTCAACATACAAAAATCAATAAACATAATCCAGCATATAAACAGAACCAAAGACAAAAACCACATGATTATCTCAACAGATGCAGAAAAGGCCTTTGACAAAATTCAACAACCCTTCATGCTAAAAACTCTCAATAAATTAGGTATTGATGGGATGTATCTCAAAATAATAAGAGCTATCTATGACAAACCCACAGACAATATGGTCCTGAATGGACAAAAACTGGAAGCATTCCCTTTGAAAACTGGCACAAGACAGGGATGCCCTCTCTCACCACTCCTATTCAACATAGTGTTGGAAGTTCTGGCCAGGGCAATCAGGCAGGAGAAGGAAATAAAGGGTATTCAATTAGGAAAAGAGGAAGTCAAATTGTCCCTGTTTGCAGATGACATGACTGTATATCTAGAAAACCCCATCGTCGCAGCCCAAAATCTCCTTAAGCTGATAAGCAACTTTCAGCAAAGTCTCAGGATACAAAATCAATGTGCAAAAATCACAAGCATTCTTATACACCAATAACAGACAAACAGAGAGCCAAATCATGAGTGAACTCCCATTCACAACTTCTTCAAAGAGAATAAAATACCTAGGAATCCAACTTACAAGGGATGTGAAGGACCTCTTCAAGGAGAACTACAAACCACTGCTCAATGAAATAAAAGAGGATACAAACAAATGGAAGAACATTCCATGCTCATGGGTAGGAAGAATCAATATCATGAAAATGGCCATACTGCCCAAGGTAATTTATAGATTCAATGCCATCCCCATCAAGTTACCAATGACTTTCTTCACAGAATTGGAAAAAAGTACTTTAAAGTTCATATGGAACCAAAAAAGAGCCTGCATTGCCAAGTCAATCCTAAGCCAAAAGAACAAAGCTGGAGGCATCACGCTACCTGACTTCAAACTACACTACAAGGCTACAGTAACCAAAACAGCATGGTACTGGTACCAAAACAGAGATGTAGATCAATGGAACAGAACAGAGGCCTCAGAAATAATGCCACATATCTACAACTATCTGATCTTTGACAAACCTGAGAAAAACAAGAAATGGGGAAAGGATTCCCTATTTAATAAATGGTGCTGGGAAAACTGGCTAGCCATATGTAGAAAGCTGAAACTGGATCCCTTCCTTACACCTTATACAAAAATTAATTCAAGATGGATTAAAGACTTAAATGTTAGACCTAAAACCATAAAAACCCTAGAAGAAAACCCAGGCAATACCATTCAGGACATAGGCATGGGCAAGGACTTCATGTCTAAAACACCAAAAGCAATGGCAACAGAAGCCAAAATTGACAAATGGGATCTAATGAAACTAAAGAGCTTCTGCACAGCAAAGGAAACTGCCATCAGAGTGAACAGGCAATCTACAGAATGGGAAAAAATTTTTGCAACCTACTCATCTGACAAAGGGCTAATATCCAGAATCTACAATGAACTCAAACAAATTTACAAGAAAAAAACAAACAACCCCATCAAAAAGTGGGCGAAGGATATGAACAGACACTTCTCACAAGAAGACATTTATGCAGCCAAAAGACACATGAAAAAATGCTCATCATCTTTGGCCACCAGAGAAATGCAAATCAAAACCACAATGAGATACGATCTCACACCAGTCAGAATGGCGATCATTAAAAAGTCAGGGAACAACAGGTGCTGGAGAGGATGTGGAGAAATAGGAACACTTTTACACCGTTGGTGGGACTGGAAACTAGTTCAACCACTGTGGAAGTCAGTGTGGCGATTCCTCAGGGATCTAGAACTAGAAATACCATTTGACCCAGCCATCCCATTACTGGGTATATACCCAAAGGATTACAAAACATGCTGCTATAAAGACACATGCACACGTATGTTTATTGCGGCACTATTCACAATAGCAAAGACTTCGAACCAACCCAAATGTCCAACAATGATAGACTGGATTAAGAAAATGTGGCACATATACACCGTGGAATACTATGCAGCCATAAAAAATGATGAGTTCATGTCCTTTGTAGGGACATGGATGAAACTGGAAACCATCATTCTCAGCAAACTGTTGCAAGGACAAAAAACCAAACACCGCATATTCTCACTCATAGGTGGGAATTGAACAATGAGAACACATGGACACAGGACAGGGAACATCACACACCAGGGATTGTTGTGGGGTGGGGGGAGGGGGGAGGGATAGCATTAGGAGATATACCTAATGCTAAATGCGAGTTAATGGGTGCAGCACACCAGCATGGCACAGGTATACATATGTAACAAACCTGAACTTTGTGCACATGTACCCAAAAACTTAAAGCATAATAATAATAAAATAAAATAAAATTTTAAAAAGAAGGAAAAAATGTGATTATATCAATAGATGCAGATAAAGAATTTGACAAATCCAACACCCCTTCATGATTTAAAAAAAAACTCAATAAACTAGGAATAGAGGAAATTTCTCAACTTGATAAAGAATATCTACAAAAAACCAACTGCTAAAATCCTACTTAATGGTGAGAAACTGTAAGCTTTCCCAATAAGATCAAGAACAAGGCAAGCATGTCTCCCCTTACCACTCCTTTCAGAATTGTACTGGAAGTCTTAACTAATGCAATCAGACAAGAAAATTAAGTAAGAGGTTTACTGATGGAGAAGGAAAAAATAAAACTTTCACAGATGATATGACTCTGTGTAAAGAAAATCTGATAGAATTGACAAACATCTCCTGGAACTAATGGGTAATTATAGCAAGGTTGCAAGATACAAGGTTAATATACAAAAGTCCATTTTTTCTATATACCAGCAATTAACAAGTAAAATTTGAAATTCAAAGCACAATGGCATTTATATTAATAGTCCAAAAAATGAAATACTTAGGTATAAATCTAACAAAGCATATGCAAGACCTATATGAGGAAAACCACAGAAATCAAAGAACTAAATAAATGGAAAGATGTTCCATACTCATAGATAGGAAGACACAATATTGTCAACATGTCAATTTTTCTCAGTTTGATCTATATATTCAATGCAATGCCTATCAAAATCCCAATAAATTATTTTGTGAATATCAACAGATCTAAAGTTTGTATATAGAAGCAAAAGATCCAGAATTTCCAACACAATATTAAAGGAGAAGAACAAAGTTAGAGGAGTGATGCTGTATACTTCAAAAGGTATGATAAAGCTATACTAATGAAGACAGTTTGGCATTGGAGAAAGGATAGACAAATAGATCAATGGAGCAGAATAGGGAGCCCGGAAATAGGCTCACATAAAAATAGTCAACTGATCTTTGACCAAGGAACAAGGGAAATATGATAAGAAAAGATGAAGCCAGGCACAGTGGCTCATGCCTGTAATCCCAACATTTTTGGAGGCTAGAGTAGAAGGATCACTTAAGCCCAGGAGTTTGAGACTAGGCTGGGTAACATAGGGAAAACTCCTCTCTACAAAAAATTAGCCAGGTGTGGTGGTGTGCACCTGTTGTCCCAGCTACTTGGGAGGCTGAGGTGGGAGGATCGCTTGAGCCTGGGAGGTCAAGGCTGCAGCGAGCTATGACTGTGCCACTGTACTCCAGCCTGGGCAACAGAGTGAGACCCTGCTTCAAAAATAAAATAAAATTAATTAATTAAATAAAAGATAATATTTTTAACAAATAGTGTTGGAGCAACTGGACATCTACATGCAAACAGTAATGAACCTAGGCACAGATTTTAGACTCTTCACAAAAATTTACCCAAAATGGATCACAGACCTAACTGTAAAACTATATGTAAAAACTATAAAACTCCTGAAAGATAGCATAGGAAAAAATCAAGATGACCTTAGGTTTGGCAGTGACATTTTAGATATGATATCAAAGTCATGATTCACGTTAGAAATAATTGATGTTAGACTTCCCTAAAATTAAAAACTTCTGTTCTTTGAAAGATACTGTCAAGAGAATGAAAACACAAGTCAGAAACGGGGAGAAATATTTGCAAAAGACATATCTAATAAATAACTGTTATCCACAATGTACAAAAAACTCTGAAACCTCAGCAATAAGAAAACAAACAACCAGACTAAAAAATGGGTCAAAGATCTTAATAGCCACCTCACCAAAGAAGATAAATATAGATGGCAAATAGACATATGCAAAGATATCACACATCATGTGTCATCAGGGAATTGCCAATTAAAACAACAATGAGATGCCACTACTAGATGTGTAGTGGCGTCTAGTAGGTGTAGACACCACCACACCTACTAGAATGGCTAAAATCCAGAACACCAACAATAGCAAATTCTGGCAAGGATATGGAGCAACAGGAATTCTTATGCATTGCTGGTGGAAACACAAAATGGTATAGCCCCTTTGAATTCAGTTTGGCACCCAAAACTAAATATACTCTTATCATATGAGCCAGTAATTATTCTGCTTGGTATTAACCCAGAGAAGTTGAAAACTTATGTCCACACAAAAACCTGGACACAGATGCTTACAACAGCTTTATTCATAATTGCTAAAACTTAGAAGCATCCAGGTTGTCCTTCTGTAGGTGAATGAATACATAAACTCTAGTACATCTGGGCAATGGAATATCACTCAGCACTGAAAAGAAATGAGCTATCAAGCCATGAAAAAACATGGGGGAAACTTAAATGCAAGTTATTAAGTGAAAGAAGCCAATCTGAAAAGGCTACGTGCCATAGGATTCCAACCACATGATGTTCTGGAAAAGGCAAAGCAATGGACACAGGAAAAAATCAGGGCAGGGAGGAATGAATAGGCACAGCACAGAAACTTGTTAGGACAGTGAAACCACACTGTGTGATACTATTATAGTGGATACATCTCATTACACATTTGTAAAAATTCACAGAATATGTAAGGTTCACCAAGAGTGAACCTTAATGAAAACTCTGGACTTGGGGTGAGAATGATGTGTCAATGTAGGTTCACCGGTTTTTCCAAAGTACCACTCTGGTGGTAGCGTGTTGATAATGGGGAGACTGTGCATGTGTGAGGGTAGGGGGTATATTGGATATCTCTGTACTTTCTTCTCAATTTTACTGTGACCCTAAAACTGCTCCAAAAAAAATAGCCTTAGAAAAAGATACTTGTCATTGGATTTAGAACCCACCTGGATAATCCAGGATAATCTCATCTCAAAATCCTGAATTTAATCACATCGGCAAAGACTCTTTTTCCAAAAGTAATAACATTTGTATGTTCTAGAGATTTAACATAGATCCCTTTGGGGAGCCTTTTTTTGGCCTAGCACAGACACTTCAGGAGTTTTATAGAGCACACCTCAAAATTGCCCACTTGAGGGAAGGAACAGGCAAGAGTTAATCCACCAGTTCCCAAGCCCCATTGTTCAATGCTTGCCACATGGGTGTTTCCCACCTTGAGCTCCCAGGTTGGTATGCATGTGTGAATGTACATAGGACCCAGCAGGCATCCACACAGTGGCATCAGAAATCCTAAGTGAAAGTGGGCAGTGCAGCTGAGAGGTGGTATTGTCAACTTACCTCCCTGAAGCCGGTAGCTGCAGCAAAGCTTGGCTGGCATAAGAGGAAGACTGAAGTACAGGCAACAACAGAAAAAATAGAAACATTTGCA
Organism: Homo sapiens; assembly: GCF_000001405.40. Taxonomy (NCBI): domain Eukaryota; kingdom Metazoa; phylum Chordata; class Mammalia; order Primates; family Hominidae; genus Homo; species Homo sapiens. Next base: position 134,052,183 of record NC_000002.12, read on the forward strand.
TTAGTCCATTCTCGCATTGGTATAAGGAACTACCTGAGACTGGGTAATTTATGAAGACAAGAGATTTAATTGACTCACAGTTCTGCAGGCTGTACAGGAAGCGTGGTTGGGGAGGCCTCAGGAAACTTACCATCTTGGGAGAAGGCAAAGGGGAAGCAGGCACATATTCACATGGTGAAGCAGGAGAGAGCAAGCTAAAGGGGAAGTGCCACACACTTTTAAACAACCAGATCTTAGGAGAACTCTATCACGAGACAGCGCTAGGGTGCTAATGGTGCTAAACCATTACAAACCACCCCATGATCCAATCACCTCCCACCAGGCCCCACATCCAACACTGGGGATTACAATTCAACATGAAATTTGGGTGGGGACACAGAGCCAAATGATACCAACATTAGAGTACATCAAAATGTAAAACCTCTGTTCATCAAGGGACACAATCAACAGATGAAGAGACATCCTACAGAATGAAAAAATATATTTTCAAATCACGTATCTGATAAGTGGTTAATATCCAGAACACTATATAAAGAATATGCATTAGTTTGCTAAGGTTGCCATAATAAAGAACCACAGTGACTTAAATAACAGAAATGTATTTTCTCCCAATGCTGGAGGCTAGAAGTCTAAGATTAAGGTGCTGGCAAGACTGATTTCATTAGAGGTCTCTCTCTTTGCCTCATGGATGGCCACCTTCTCCCTAGAACTTCACATAGTCTTCCTTCTGTGTCAGTCTATGTGCTAGTGTCTTCTTCTTATAAAGACACCAGTGCCCACCCTAACGTCCTCATTTTAATTTAATTACCTCTTTAAAGGTCCTATCTACAAATGTAGTCACATACTGAGGTACTGGGGGTAAGGAATTCAACATATGAATTTGGGGGAAACACAATTTAACCCATAACAGAAGTCCTGCAACTCACCACCAACAAAACACACAAACACAGAGATAGGCACACATGTACACACACCCAAGAATAAAAAATGGGCAAAGGAATTGAATAGACATTTCTCCAAAAAAACCTATAGAAATGGCCAACAAACACATGAAAAGATGCTCAACCTCACTAATCATTAGGGAAATGCAAGTTCAAATCACAGTAAAATATCACCTCACAACCACTAGTAGAACTACTATTTTTTTTTTAAAAAAAAACCCAGAAAATAACAAGTATCGTTAAGGATGTGGAGAAATTGGAACACTTGTGCATTTTTCTTGGGAACGTAAAATGGCACAGCTGCTATGGAAAATGATATGGCGGTTCCTCAAAAAATGAAAAATAGAATTATGATATTATTCAGCAATTCCACTTCTGGGTATAGACCCAAAAGAATTGAAAGCAAGGACAAGAAGAGATATTTGGCCGGGAGCAGTGGCTCATGCCTGTAATCCCAGTACTTTGGGAGGCTGAGATGGGCAGATCACGAGGTCAGGAGATTGAGACCATCCTGGCTAACAGGGTGAAACCCCACCTCCACTAAAAATACAAAAAATTAGCCGGGTGTGGTGGCAGGTGCCTGTAATCCCAGCTACTTGGGAGGCTGAGGCAGGAGAATGGCGTGAATCCAGGAGGCGGAGCTTGCAGTGAGCTGAGATTGCGCCACTGCACTCCAGCCTGGGCAACAGGGCGAGACTCTGTCTCAAAAAAAAACAAAAAAAAAGAGATATTTGTACACCCATGTTCATAGCAGCATTCCTTACAATATCCAAAAAGTGAAAGCAATTCAAGTACCACTGATGGATGGATAGATAAAATGTGATATAGACATACAATGGAATATCATTCAGCCTTAAAAGGAAGGAAATTCTGACCATGGTACAACATGGATGAAACTTGAGGACATGACGCTAAGTGAAAGAAGCCAGTCACAGAAAAACAAATACAATATTGTATGATTCCACTCATATGAGGTAGCTGGGGTAGGCAAATTCACAGAGACAGAAAATAGAGTGGTGGTTGATGGGGGTTGGGAGTAAGGAGAATGAGGAGTTGGTGTTTAGTAGAGCTATGGTAATTGTCTTTCAGTTTGAGAAGATGAAAAAAGTTCTGGAGATAGATAGTGGTGGTGGTTGCACAGCAATGTGCTAATGCCACTGAACTATAGGCTGAAAAATGATTCAGAAGGTAAATTTCACATTATGTGTATGTTGCCATAATTTTTAAAAATTAACCAATTTTTAAAGTTAACTGAATAAATATGAGGCATATTAACAACAACAGCAACAAAAAAAGAAAAGTTTAAATATTTAAAGAGTTTTCTTCTGAGCCAATATGAGTGACCATGGCCCAGGAACAGTCTTAAGAGGTTCTGAGAAGGCATGCCCGAGGCGATCGGGTTACAGCTTGGTTTTATACATTTTAGGGAGACTGAAATTACAGGCAAAGACATAAATCAATACATATAAGGTATATATTGGTTCATCCTGAAAGGGCAGGACATCCCAAAGGAGGCAGAGCAGGAGAGGTGGATTCAAAGATTTTCTGTTTGGCAATTGGTTGAAAGGCAGCTTTGCAGGGCCATTTAAAAATATGTCAAAGAAATATATTTTGGGGTAAAATATTCTTATTTTCTTCAAGATATCCTTTCTGTCATGTGATGCTATACCAGAGTCAGGTTGAAATTTGGGATCCTATTGTCATAAAGAGTCTGTTTTGTCAGTCCTATGACTTCATATTTTAACGTTAATGCTGGTCAGTTGTGCCTAAGCTCCAAAAGGGAAGGGATATAACAAGGCTTGTGCAACCTCCCTTCCCATCGTAGCTGGGAATTTAGTTTTTCAGGCTTCCCTTGGCCCAAAGGGGGTCCATTTGGTTGGTTTGGCTTAGCATTTTGTTTTTGGTTTATAGGCAGGACCCAAAATGGTGTGTGATACCATTTTAATAACCTACGTTATGTCCTTCCCTTCTATTACTTTATACTAACAAAATCATATAAAGACCATCTGATACTTGAGGCCAGGAGTTCAAGACCAGCCTGGGCAACATAGACCCCATCTCTACTAAAAATGAAAAAAATAGCTGGGCATGTTGCTACATGCCTATAGTCCCAGCTACTCAGGAGGCTGAGGCCAGAGGAACACCTGAACCCAAGAGTTTGAGGCTGCAGTGAGCTATGATTGCAACCAGTGCTTTCCAGCCTGGGCAACAGAGCAAGACTCTGTCTCTAAAAAAAAAAAAAAGTGTGAAACCCTTACACATACACATATACTAAAATATATTTTAAAATATTAAAATATATTGTTGTATAAAAGGGAATTACATTTCTAAGCATTTCTATGTCTTTAGTTTGCAACCCAAATCCCTCTAAGTCATCTGAAATAAATCTAATTCATTCTTTGCAATGTCTGCATTTTATTCCACAGTATGGATATAACATCATTTATTCGTACAATATCTTCTCTTGCTTGAAATTCAGTTTATTTCCAGTCTTTAAATACTAAAACTGAACACACATTGTTATGCATATTTCTGATGGCTTAGTGTTAAACTCTGTAGAGAGAGTAGTTCAAGGCTGAAAATCATAAGGATTTTGTGGGTCCAGATTCAAGCAGTGATGCTTTGGGCCTTGATGATAAGATGCAAGAACTTACCGTAAAATACCATGCCTCCTTGTTATCTGAGGCCACAGGCAGCTGAAGGTTGAAGGAATACTAAGCCACACAGAGAGCATTATCTCAGAAGTCACCAGCAGCAGAAGTAGGATGTGAGCAGACATGTCCCTGAGCACAGATGAGGCCCCTCTGGAGACTCCCAGAAATCACTGGGGGAGATTCTGCCCAGGCTTGGAGTCTCCACAATTGTTCCACCATGATTTGTGCCATCAGGTTGTTGCAGCTTGGGGACATCTGGGCTGAACAGGGAAGCTTCCCGTGTTCAAGGTAATGATGATGTGTAGTGGTGATGCACATCTTTGCTCTGATGAATTCAAGGGATTCATTACTAAGAAAATCATCATGGGGTTCTACATTTTTCAGGGCAAGCTAGAGAATTGCATAAGCAGCTTTATTTCTCTTCAACACTAAGAGTAGAATAAATCTGGCAGGAGAGGACACTGGGGATATAAATGGCAAGTGTCAGAATGATAAAAGATTCCATAAAGCATGTGGTATGAATAACAGGGAGAGAAAAGAATTTGGAAATTTTATTCATTTCCCCTCCCTCTCGCTGAATCTTAATTCTCCACTTTATTACCAGTCATTTAACATTAAATTCCTGAGGGACTTCCAATGAAGGAACTCTGTCCATATAATCCTGCCCAGGGACCCACTCCACCCAAGTACATCAATTGTCTGGGTTTATTCTTAAGCTCACAATATAGTTAAATGGCCAGAAGAAGAATGGTTAAGTGTTCATTCCGAGAACTCTCTCTGCATTATTGCTAAGTCATTTGCATAATAATTTCCACCAATCTGTATGCTGTTTCACCTGATTCTACTCATGCATTCACACATAATTGCAATATTTTAGATATCTTTAAAACTCAGAGGAAGGAGAAAAAGACAGGGCAGAGTGAGAGAGAAAAATAACTTATTGCGAGATGGCCACAGATTTTCCTGCCCCACCATCTGCTCTGCTGTTTTTGCTGCATCCTTTCAATGTGAAGTTTGCACACATCCCCAGAGCTCTGTGAAGTTTGCACATAAAGTTCATTCTCCCCTGCCAAGCTGTCAAGCCAAACCCCAACCTCCCCCTTAAATTTGATTTCCTGTTGCCCGCTACTACCAACTCTCCTTGGCCTCTCCCCTAAATCTCCTTGAGTTTCCTTGAGTCTAAGTTTCATACTTGCTGTATGAAGACAACATCATCATCGATGTTGTCTTCTCTCTTCTAATCAAGCCTCTTATTCCTTCCAGATCCAGCTCAAGCCCAAGAACGTAAACTGCCCATAGGGAGAGACTTTTTTGTCTATTCTGTTCACTGTTATATCCCCACAATTACTGACACATGGTAGCTGCTAAATCAATATTTGCTAAATGAATGAAAAGTTAAGCCTACTCCTGACTCTTAGCCCATTTTACCACCTGCCAACTATGGTGATATCTGTAGCTCTTATCACCTGCACTTGCATCTTTCCTTATTCACTCCCTAATCTAATCAGACAACTGTGCCCATTTTTTTCATCTCATCTCCAGTAGACTGAAGCATTCTGTAGGATAAGGATCTCTTCCAATTCACTTTTCTTTGAGCCACCATCCACATCCACATCATTCAGTTATGCTGTCAACTGAGTATTTTAATTTTAAATTCTTCAGCATCAACAATGTGATAAATCTGTTTGTCAGTTTTCATCCTCTGCCACCCCCAAGTACAGGGGATAGTTCATTTGAAATCTCTAATCAAGCATCCACACACCACCAGCATTCAGCCAACATTATATTCAATCAACTAACTCCCAAGAGCTTAAGGGATGCTTGAAATTATTTTTCATCACTGAAATGCATATTGATCAAGGTATGTGGATTGCCTACAAATATTGTTCAAGCACTTTTGCCATTGCTTGAACAAATCATCAGCATCTTTCTCTTGGAAAACTACAACAGCTTCCTAACTCGTTTCCCTGACCCCTCTTTCTTGTGCAGTCTTGCCACACCTCCGAGTTCAACCTAGTCTTCACTACGCAAAATGATATTTATAAACATAGAGCTAATCGTTCACACACTCTCTTAAAGCTCTTCAGTGGCCTCTGTGCAATGCACAGCAACTGAAGAGTTCAAGGCCACTGAGGATTCATCGCTTGTATATCTCTCTGGCCTTATCTTTCAACATCTACCACCTTCGCTCCCCATCCCCTCACCACACACACACACACACACACACACACACACACACACACATACACACACCATCATTTTACTGCACGTGCACTTAGTTCACACTATCGTGTAAACCAAATCTGGGGACTCAAACAAATGCAGTTTCCCACTTTATCTGCATTTGTGAATGAGAAATGGTGACTTGTGTCTAAGCCTCTATGAGTCCAAGTCCCTCATCTATGAAGAAAAATAATTCTCTCATTGCTAATTTTCTCAGCAGAGATTTCAGTGTATCCATTGGGGGTTATATAACTTTCATTTCTTTTTATAACTTTTATTTTAGGTTCAGAGGTAAATGTGCAGGTTTGTTATATAGGTAAATTGCATGTCATGGGGGTTTGATGTACAGATTATTTCATCACCGGGCTAATAAGCACAGTATCTGACACACAGTTTCCTGCTCCTTTCCCTACTCCCACCCTCAATCCTCAAGTAGGCCCGTATGTTGTTCCTTTCTTTGTGTCCATGTGTTTTCAATATTTAGCTCCCATCTCTCAGTAAGAACATGCCGTATTTGACTCTCTGTTCCTGCATTAGTTTGCTTAGGATTATGGCCTCCATCTCCATCCATGTTGCTGCAAAGGACATGATCTCATTCTTTTTTATGGCTACATAGTATTTCATGATGTATATGTACCACATTTTCTCTATCCAATTCACCGTTGATGGACACGTCGCTTGATTCCATGTCTTCGTTGTTGTGAATAGTGCTGCAACAACTTAATGGTTGCATTAATAAGGCATTAATGATGGTTGCATTATGCAAGCATAATGGTTGCATGTGTCTTTATGGTAAAACAATTTATATTTTGAGGGGTATACACCCAATATTGGGATTGTTGGGTTGAATGGTACTTCTGTTGTAAGTTGTTTGAGAAATTGCCACACTACTTTCCAAATACTTCCATTTCTTAAAAGCTGGAAAATAAGATGACTAGAAAAACAGAATTGTTGAGCAGAGGGAAAGGCTAAGCACTGACTCTATGTATCTTTGCTTTGTTATAAAAGTCTTTTCAGTCTTGGGATACAGAATAATATACAAATCAGAAGATGAGCTCTGAACCATGTCATCCAGAGCCACATCCTGCCTCCATCACATACTCTAGTGACTCTTTGAGCAAGTTATTTAATTCCTCAGGGACTCAATTTCTGGATTTGTTAAATGATAACAGTAACAGCACTTATCTGGATTTTTATGAGAGTTAAATAAATTAATGCTTGTAAAATACTTAGCATAATGCCTGGCATGAAGTGAGGACTCAGTAAAGGTTTCATTATTATACTGCAATTTGTAAACCAAAGGTCACCATATTGATTCCTTGATGGTATTATCATGGGAGAGGGTGATGGAGTGTGGTTGAATGAACATTGTCCCAGAGACCTAGTTTCTAGTCTCTGCTCTTCCACTCACTAATTGTGTGGCATTTGTTGAGGCTCATCCTAACGGTAGTACTTGATTTTCCCAATAAGAGTGTTGAACGAAGCAAAGTTATTCAAATTTTAGCAATAAAACCCTCTTTCTAATGATATATATACATATATATGATTATACATATTTTTACATGTATATGTGTGTGTGTATATATTTGTGTATATATATAATTTTGCATAGTGAAGATTGGGTTGGACTTGGAGGTGGGGCAAGATTGCACAAGAAGGGGTGGGGGTGGTCAGGGAAATGAGTTAGGAAGCTGTTGCAGTTTTCCAAGAGAGAGATGCTGATGTGCCTGAACAATATTTTTATTTTTATTTATTGTTTATTTTATTTTATTTTGTAAGTTCCAGGATACATGTGAAGGATGTGCAGGTTTGCTACATAGGTAAGCATGTGCCATGGTGGTTTGCTGCACCTATCAACCCACCACCTAGGTATTAAGCCCAGCATGCATTAGCTCTTTTTCCTAATGCGCTTCCCCCTTGCCCTCCCCTGACAGGGCCCAGTGTGTGTTGTTCCTCTCCCTGTGTCCATGTGTTCTCGTTGAACAATATCTTTAGGCAATCCACATACCTTGATCATTATATATAATATATATAATGGCAATCCACATACCTTGATGATTGTATATAATATATTTTATAAAATATATATTTTATATATGTAAAATAGATATTATATAATCATATATAAAATAGATATTATATAATCATATATTATATAAAATAGATATATATTACATATGAATGAATATATATCATATATAATTATATGTAAATAAATGCACATTATATATAATTTATATAAATTATATAAAATATGTATTACTGGGGGGGGTGGAGCCAAGATGGCCGAATAGGAACAGCTCCAGTCTACAGCTCCCAGAGTGAGCGACGCAGAAGACAGGTGATTTCTGCATTTCCAACTGAGGTACCAGGTTCATCTCACTGGGGACTGTCAGACTGAGGGTGCAGGACAGTGGGTGCAGCGCACTGAGCATGAGCCGAAGCGGGGCAAGGCATCGCCTCACCCAGGAAGCATAAGGGGTCAGGGAATTCCCTTTCCTAGTCAAAGAAAGGGGTGACAGATGGCACCTGGAAAATCGGGTCACTCCCACCCTAACACTGTGCTTTTCCGATGGTCTGAGCAAACGGCACACCAAGAGATTATATCCTGCACCTGGCTCAGAGGGTCCTACAACACATGGAGCCTTGCTTATTGCTAGCACAGCAGTCTGAGATCAAACTGCAAGGCGGCAGCAAGGCTGGGGGAGGAGTGCCCGCCATTGCCGAGGCTTGAGTAAGTAAACAAAGCGGCCTGGAAGCTCGAACTTGGTGGAGTCCACCTTAGCTCAAGGAGGCCTGCCTGACTCTGTAGACTCCACCTCTGCAAGCAGGGCATAGCCAAACAAAAGGCAACAGAAATCTCTGCAGACTTAAATGTCCCTGTCTGACAGCTTTGAAGAGAGTAGTGGTTCTCCCAGCATGCAGCTTGAGATCTGAGAACGGACAGCCTGCCTCTTCAAGTGGGTCCCTGTCCCCTGAGTAGCCTAACTGGGAGGCATGCCCCAGTAGGGGCAGACTGACACCTCACACGACCAGGTACTCCTCTGAGACAAAACTTCCAGAGGAACGATCAGGCAGCAACATTTGCTGTTCACCAATATCTGCTGTTCAGCAGCCTCCGCTGCTGATACCCAGGCAAACAGGGTCTGGAGTGGACCTCCAGCAAACTCCAACAGACCTGGAGCTCAGGGTAACGAGTGTTAAAAGCAAAACTAACAAACAGAAAGGATATCCACACCAAAACCACATCTGTACGTCACCATCATCAAAGACCAAAGGTAGATAAAACCACAAAGGCGGGGAAAAAACAGAGCAGAAAAACTGGAAACTCTAAAAATCAGAGCACCTCTCCTCCTCCAAAGGAACACAGCTTCTCACCAGCAACGGAACAAAGCTGGACGGAGAATGACTTTGACGAGTTGAGAGAAGAAGGCTTCAGAAGATCAAGATTACTCTGAGCTAAAGGAGGAAGTTCAAACCCATGGCAAAGAAGTTAAAAACCTTGAAAAAAAATTACACAAATGGCTAACTAGAATAACCAGCGCAGAGAAGACCTTAAAGGACGTGATGGAGCTGAAAACCATGGCATGAGAACTATGTGACACGAATGCACAAGCCTCAGTAGCTGATTTGATCAACTGGAAAAAAGGGTACCAGTGATGAGAGATGAAATGAATGAAATGAAGTGAGAAGAGAAGTTTAGAGAAAAAAGAATAAAAAGAAACAAACACAGCCTCCAAGAAATATGGTACTATGTGCAAAGACCACATCTACAACTGATTGTTGTACATGAAAGTGACGGGGAGAATGGAACCAAGTTGGAAAACACTCTGCAGGATATTATCCAGGAGAACTTCCCCAATCTAGCAAGACAGGCCAACATTCACATTCAAGAAATACAGAGAATGCCACAAAGATACTCCTCGAGAAGAGCAACTCCAAGACACATAATTGTCAGATTCACCAAAGTTGAAATGAAGGAAAAAATGTTAAGGGCAGCCAGAGAGAAATGTCGGGTTACCCAAAAAGGGAAGCCCGTCAGACTAACAGGTGATCTCTCGGCAGAAACTCTACAAGCCAGAAGAGAGTGGGGGCCAATATTCAACATTCTTAAAGACAAGAATTTTCAACCCAGAATTTCATATCCAGCCAAACTAAGCTTCATAAGTGAAGGAGAAATAAAATCCTTTACAGACAAGCAAATCCTGAGAGCTTTTGTCTCCACCAGGTCTGCCCTAAAAGAGCTCCTGAAGGAAGCACTCAACATGGAAAGGAACAACCAGTACCAGCCACTGCAAAAACATGCCAAATTGTAAAGACCATCGAGGTTAGGAAGAAACTGCATCAACTAACGAGCAAAATAACCAGCTAACATCATAATGACAGGATCAAATTCACACATAACAATATTAATCTTAAATGTAAATGGGTTAAATTCTCCAATTAAAAGACACAGACTGGCAAATTGGATAAACAGTCAAGACCCATCAGTGTGCTGTATTCAGGAAACCCATCTCACATGCAGAGACACACATAGGCTCAAAATAAAGGGATGGAGGAAGATCTACCAAGCAAATGGAAAACAAAAAAGGGCAGGGGTTGCACTCCTAGTCTCGGATGAAACAGACTTTAAACCAACAAAGATCAAAAGAGACAAAGAAGGCCATGACATAATGGTAAAGGGATCAATTCAACAAGAAGAGCTAACTATCCTAAATATAGATGCACCCAATACAGGAGGACCCAGATTCATAAAGCAAGTCCTTAGAGACCTATAAAGAGACTTAGACTCCCACACAATAATAATGGGAGAGTTTAACACCCCACTGTCAACGTTAGACAGATCAACGAGACAGAAAGTTAACAAGGCTATCCAGGAATTGACCTCAGCTCTGCACCATGCAGACCTAATAGACATCTACAGAACTCTCCACCCCAAATCAACAGAATATACATTCTTTTCAGCACCACACCACACCTATTCCAAAATTGACCACACAGTTGGAAGTAAAGCACTCCTCAGCAAATGTAAAAGAATAGAAATTATAACAAACTGTCTCTCAGACCAAGTACAATCAAACTAGAACTCAGGATTAAGAAACTCACTCAAAACCACTCAACTACGTGGAAACTGAACAACCTGCTCCTGAATGACTACTGGGTAAATAACGAAATGAAGGCAGAAATAAAGATGTTTTTTGAAACCAGTGAGAACAAAGACACAACATACCAGAATCTCTGGGACACATTCAAAGCAGTGTATAGAGAGAAATTTATAGCAATAAATACCCACAAGAGAAAACAGAAAAGATCTAAAATTGACAACCTAACATCACAATTAAAAGAACTAGAGAAGTGCTCTCCCTCTCCCTCTCCCTCTCCCTCTCCCGTCTCCCTCTCCCATCTCCCTCTCCCCAGGGTCTCCCTCTCCCTCTCTTTCCGCGGTCTCCCTCCGATGCCGAGCTGAAGCTGGACTGTACTGCTGCCATCTCGGCTCACTGCAACCTCCTGCCTGATTCTCCTGCCTCAGCCTGCCGAGTGCCTGCCATTGCGGGCGCACGCCGCCACACCTGACTGGTTTTCGTGTTTTTTTGGGGGAGACGGGGTTTCGCTGTGTTGGCCGGGCAGGTGTCCAGCTCCTAACCGCGAGTGATCCACCAGCCTCGGCCTCCGGAGGTGCCCGGATTGCAGACAGAGCCTCGTTCACTCAGTGCTCAATGGTGCCCAGGCTGGAGTGCAGTGGCGTGATCTCTGCTCGCTACGGCCTCCACCTCCCAGCCGCCTGCCTTGGCCTCCCAAAATGCCAAGATTGCAGCCTCTGCCTGGCCGCCACCCCGTCTGGGAGGTGAGGAGCGTCTCTGCCTGCCCGCCCATCGTCTGGGATGTGAGGAGCCCCTCTGCCTGGCTGCCCAGTCTGGAAAGTGGGGAGCGTCTCTGCCCAGCCGCCATCCCATCTGGGAAGTGAGGAGCACCTCTTCCCGGCCGCCCATCGTCTGGGATGTGGGGAGCGCCTCTGCCCCGCCGCCCCATCTGGGATGTGAGGAGCACCTCTGCCCGGCCGCGACCCCGTCTGGGAGGTGAGGACCGTCTCTGCCCGGCCGCCCCGTCTGAGAAGTGAGGAGACCCTCCGCCCGGCAGCCACCCCTTCTGGGAAGTGAGGAGCATCTCCACCCGGCAGCCACCCCGTCCGGGAGGGAGGTGGGGGTCAGCCCCCGCCAGGCCAGCCACCCCGTCCGGGAGGGAGGTGGGGGGGTCAGCCCCCCGCCCGGCCAGCCGCCCCATCTGGGAGGGAGGTGGGGGGGTCAGCCCCCAGCCCGGTCAGCCGCCCTGTCCGGGAGGGAGGTGGGGGGGTCAGCCCCCACCCGGCCAGCTGCCCCGTCCGGGAGGTGAGGGACGCCTCTGCCCGGCCGCCCCTACTGGGAAGTGAGGAGCCTCTCTGCCCGGCCACCACCCCGTCTGGGAGGTGTACCCAACAGCTCATTGAGAACGGGCCATGATGATAATGGCGGTTTTGTGGAATAGGAAGGGGGGAAAGGTGGGGAAAAGATTGAGAAATCGGATGGTTGCCGTGTCTATGTGTAGAAAGAGGTAGACATGGGAGACTTTTCATTTTGTTCTGTACTAAGAAAAATTCTTCTGTCTTGGGATCCTGTTGATCTTTGACCTTACCCCCAGCCCTGTGCTCTCTGAAACAAGTGCTGTGTCCACTCAGGGTTGAATGGATTAAGGGCGGTGCAAGATGTGCTTTGTTAAACAGATGCTTGAAGGCAGCATGCTCGTTAAGAGTCATCACCACTCCCTAATCTCAAGTACCCAGGGACACAAACACTGTGGAAGGCCCCAGGGTCCTCTGCCTAGGAAAACCAGAGACCTTTGTTCACTTGTTTATCTGCTGACCTTCCCTCCACTATTGTCCTGTGACCCTGCCAAATCCCCCTCTGATCACCCAAGAACGATCAATAAAAAAAAAAAAAAAATGAAAAAAAAAAAAGAACTAGAGAAGCTAGAGCAAACACATTCAAAAGCTGGCAGAAGGCAAGAAATAACTAAGATCAGGGCAGAACTGAAGGAAATAGAGACACAAAAAAACCCTTCAAAAAATCAATGAATCCAGGAGCTGGTTTTTTGAAAAGATCAACAGAATTGATAGACCACTAGCAATACTAATAAAGAAGAAAAGAGAGAAGAATCAAATAGACGCAATAAAAAATGATAAAGGGGATATCATCACCGATCCCACAGAAATACAAACTACCATAGGAGAATACTGTAAACACCTCTACACAAATGAACTAGAAAATCTAGGAGAAATGGATAAATTCCTCGACACATACACCCTCCCAAGACTAAACCAGGAAGAAGCTGAATCTCTGAATAGACCAATAACAGGCTCTGAAGTTGAGGCAATAATTAATAGCTTACCAACCAAAAAAAGTCCAGGACCAGATGGATTCACAGCCAAATTCTACGAGAGGTACAAGGAGGAGCTGGTACCATTCCTTCTGAAACTATTCCAATCAATAGAAAAAGAGGGAACTCTCCCTAACTCATTTTATGAGGCCAGCATCATCCTGATACCAAAGCCTGGCAGAGACACAACAAAGAGAATTTTAGACCAATATCCCTGGTAAACATCGATGCAAAAATCCTCAATAAAATACTGACAAACCAAATCCAGCAGCACATCAAAAAGCTTATCCACCGTGATCAAGTGGGCCTCATCCCTGGGATGCAAGGCTGGTTCAACATACAAAAATCAATAAACATAATGCAGCATATAAACAGAATCAAAGACAAAAACCACATGATTATCTCAACAGATGCAGAAAAGGCCTTTGACAAAATTCAACAACCCTTCATGCTAAAAACTCTCAATACATTAGGTATTGATGGGACACATCTCAAAATAATAAGAGCTATCTATGACAAACCGACAGCCAATATCATCCTGAATGGACAAAAACTGGAAGCGTTCCCATTGAAAACTGGCACAAGAGAGGGATACCCTCTCTCACCACTCCTATTCAACATAGTGTTGGAAGTTCTGGCCAGGGCAATAAGGCAGGAGAAGGAAATAAAGGGTATTCTATTAGGAAAAGAGGAAGTCAAATTGTCAAATTGTCCCTGTTTGCAGATGACATGATTGTACATCTAGAAAACCCCATCATCTCAGCCCAAAATCTCCTTAAGCTGATAGGCAACTTCAGCAAAGTCTCAGGATACAAAATCAATGTGCAAAAATCACAAACATTCTTATACACCAATAACAGACAAACAGAGAGCCAAATCATGAGTAAACTCCCATTCACAACTTCTTCAAAGGGAATAAAATACCTAGGAATCCAACTTACAAGGGATGTGAAGGACCTCTTCAAGGAGAACTAACAAACCACTGCTCAATGAAATAAAAGAGGATACAAACAAATGGAAGAACATTCCATGCTCATGGATAGGAAGAATCAATATTGTGAAAATGGCCATACTGCCCAAGGTAACTTATAGATTCAATGCCATCTCCATCAAGCTACCAATGACTTTCTTCACAGAATTGGAAAAAACTACTTTAAAGTTCATATGGAACCAAAAAAGAGCCTGCATTGCCAAATCAGTCCTAAGCCAAAAGAACAAAGCTGGAGGCATCACGCTACCTGACTTCAAACTATACTACAAGGCTACAGTAACCAAAACATCATGGTACTGGTACCAAAACAGAGATATAGACCAATGGAACAGAACAGAGACCTCAGAAATAATGCCACATATTTACAACTATCTGGTCTTTGACAAATCTGACAAAAACAAGAAATGGGGAAAGGATTCCCTATTTAATAAATGGTGCTGGGAAAAGAAACTACCTTCAGAGTGAACAGGCAACCTACAGAATGGGAGAAAATTTTTGCAACTTACTCATCTGACAAAGGGCTGATATCCAGAATCTACAAAGAACTCAAACAAATTTACAAGAAAAAAACAAACAACGCCATCAAAAAGTGGGCAAAGGATATGAACATACACTTCTCAAAAGAAGACATTTATGCAGCCAAAAGACACATGAAAAAATGCTCATCATCACTGGCCATCAGAGAAATGCAAATCAAAACCACAATGAGATACCATCTCACACCAGTTAGAATGGCGATCATTAAAAAGTCAGGAAACAACAGGTGCTGGAGAGCATGTGGAGAAATAGGAACACTTTTACACTGTTGGTGGGACTGGAAACTAGTTCAACCACTGTGGAAGTCAGTGTGGCGATTCCTCAGGGATCTAGAACTAGAAATACCATTTGACCCAGCCATCCCATTACTGGGTATATACCCAAAGGATTGTAAATCATGCTGCTATAAAGACACATGCACACGTACGTTTATTGCGGCACTATTCACAATAGCAAAGACTTCGAACCAACCCAAATGTCCAACAAGGATAGACTGGATTAAGAAAATGTGGCATGTATACACCATGGAATACTATGCAGCCATAAAAAATGATGAGTTCGTGTCCTTTGTAGGGACATGGATGAAACTGGAAACCATCATTCTCAGCAAACTGTCCCAAGGACAAAAAACCAAACACCGCATGTTCTCACTCATAGGTGGGAATTGAACAATGAGAACACATGGACACAGGAAGGGGAACATCACACACCGGGGACTGTTGTGGGGTGGTGGGAGGGGGGAGGGATAGCATTAGGAGATATACCCAATGCTAAATGATGAGTTAATGGGTGCAGCACACCAACATGGCACATGTATACATATGTAACAAACCTGCACATTGTGCACATGTACCCTAAAACTTAAAGTATAATAAAAAATAAAAATAAAAATAAAAAATAAATAAATAAATAAAAATGAAAATAAAATATATATTATATATTATATATTATATTATACATAGTGATCAAAGTATGTGGATTGCCTAAATATATTGTTTTAGCAATGAAACCCTGTTTCTAATTATATATATTAGATATATATATCTAATTAGGTATCTAATATATATGTCATTGCTAAAATACATTGTTAAATATACATATATTTAACACTATCAGTACAGAAGATAGATAAAAGTGTTGCTGGTTTAATTGAAGCAGGGCTTGAGCCCCAGCTCTGGGGCTTTCATCTTCCTCCTAATTATTCCCACCCAAACCCTCTGAGATAATATGGACAACCCTAAGTCTCGTAGGTGAGATCACTGGATTACATGACTTTTGAGGACTTTTAATTTAGGAATGACTTTCCCTTTCAAAAGTAGTTTCAAAAGTTCAAGCCATATAGTAAATACACAATAAATATTAACTATTATCACAGTTGATGATGATATAGGAACATCCTGACTGGCCGCTTTGTTCATGTATATATTCAACAAGTAATTTTTGGACAGCCTAGTATGTGTTCAGATGCTTGACTAGTCCTGGATCATTTGAAGCCTACTGTCATTCTAACACAAGAATGGTAGGCCTCTCCATGGCTACTAGCAGTCACAGGTTAGTATTAATAATAGACCTAATACAGTGACAGACACCTGCAGAAATCAACCCCAATCCAGGCTCATTCCACAGCCACCTTCTTAACCAGTCTCCCGCAACTGGTTATTTGCTTTTTCAAGAACAGCATTGTAAGAGGTAACACTGAGTAAATACCCTGAGTTGTCAACCAAGGAGCCTCCCAGATGAGTCAGTCTGAGAATAAGTCAACCCTGGGTGTCCAAGATAGCATAGGAGGTTGCAGTGACCCAAGTTTGTGCCACTCCACTCCAGCTTGGGTGACAGACCAAAACTCTGTCTCAAAAAAGAAAGAAGAAAGAAAGAGAGAAAGAAAGGAAGGAAGAAAGGAAGAAAAAGAAAGAAAGAAAGAAAGAAAGAAAGAAAGAAAGAAAGAAAGAAAGAAAGAAAGAAAGAAAGGAGAGAGAGAGAAAGGGAAATGGAAAGGAAGGAAGGGAAAGGGAAAAGGAAAGGGAAAGGGAAAGAGGGGAAGGGAAGGGAAGGAAAAGAGAAAAAATAAAAGGAAAGAAAAGAAAAAAAGCCCTTGTATACATCAGGGAACAGAGAAAAGAAAGTCGGGGATACCTTTGGTAATGGGATTGTTAAGAGACAACAGAAATCCCCTAGACCATCATGATGAGTGTCAGTAGCAAGCTGGGAGAGATTTTTAGAAACAAGAATAAATCTTTGGGTCCCAATTTCCAACCAGTCCCACACACTTGGAGTTTCTCCCTTTACTTCCAACCTTATAGGATTGGGTGGTGGTTTATTAGGAATGCCAGTGGCAGCCAGGCATGGTGGCTCACACCTGTAACCCTAGCACTTTGAGAGGCCAAGGCAGGCGTATCACCTGAGGTCAGGAGTTTGAGACCAGCCTGGCCAACACAGTGAAACCTTTTCTCTACTAAAATACAAAAATTAGCCAGGCATGGTGGTGCACGCCTATAGTCCCAGCTGCTTGGAAGGCCGAGGCAGGAGAATCACTTGATCCTGGGAGGCAGAGGTTGCAGTGAGCTGAGATAGCACCACTGCACTCCAGCCGAGCAACAGAGTGAGACTCTGTCTCAAAAAAAAAAGAATGCCAGTGGCATTCCCTTACAGATGCCCTCGCCACCAAATGTCACTGTGTCTTCCCACAACTGTTGTCTACTCCTCATCTACCGCCACATAGACCTGTGCCCTTTTCACTGCTGTTCTTCAAAGAATTCACCTCTACAGGGGCAGCCATGGTGAGGGCTTTGGCAGTCTGATCCCACAGAGAACAGGCATACTGGGCTCTCTCTCAAATTCATCCTAGTGCTATGGACTAAATTGTATCCTCCCCAAAATTCATATGTTGAAGCCCTAACCCTTCATGTGACTGTACAATCATGCACTGCTTAGCAATGGGGATACATTCTGAGAAACGCATCACCAGGAAGTTTTATCATAGTGACATTGCAGAGTGTGCTTACACAAACCTAGA
Organism: Homo sapiens; assembly: GCF_000001405.40. Lineage (NCBI taxonomy): Eukaryota > Metazoa > Chordata > Mammalia > Primates > Hominidae > Homo > Homo sapiens. Next base: position 134,069,952 of record NC_000002.12, read on the forward strand.
TGGCATAGCCTACTAAAGTATAGCATTATAATGTGAGACTACCATTGCATATGTTGTTCATTATTGACCAAACCATTGTTATGAGGCACATGTCTGTATTTGGAAATGAGGAGGCCTTCAGAAGGTAATTAAGATTAAATGAGACCATAAGGGTGGGGGCCTGAACTGACAGGATTAGTGCCCTTATAAGAAGAGACACCAGAGAGCTGACCCTCTTCCTTCCCGCACACATACCAAGGAAAGGCCACGTGAGGATGCAACAAGAAGGCAGCCATCTGCAAGCCAAGAAGAGAACCCTCACCTGAAACCAAGCCCTGCTGGCCCCTTGATCTTGGACTTCTCAGCCTCCAGAACTGTGAGAAAATAAATGTCTGTTGTTTAAACCATGCACTCTGTGGTATTTTGTTATGTTGCCTGAGCAGACCAGCATAGAGATCTTTGGTTTTAAGGGATGTCTCACATCCGGTTTTGGGCTATTGAGCTGCCTAAGGAAACATTATCATCCTCTGGACAGAGGCTTCATGCTGGCAATCAAAACCAGCTTTGTTCCACTCTATAACTCTCTGGAAATGTCTGAATCCATTCTGGCAATGTGCTTATTCCTTTGCAATGCGCCAACTGGAGCTTCAAAAGCCTTCTTGAGATCAAGCTTTTGAAAATGTGGCTTGGTGTATGAATGACCGTCAGCGAACGTCGCTCTCCATCCCTGCCAACTGATTCAGCCTGCATAGGCTCCTCCACTCTGCTGGGGCCAGGAGGTTGGGCAGAGGAATGTGGCTTCCAGCAAAACAAACCACATTGAAAAATATATAGTCATGCAGATACATACATAGATAGCCTGGTTATAACAACAATGAATGCTTATTATAGAAAAATTGAAAAAAATAATTTAAGTATGAAGAAGAAAATTTAAATTACCCATAATCCCACCGCTTAGGTGCACTTCCTTCCAGTCATGTGTGAGTGTGTGTGTGTGTGTGTGTGTGTGTGTGTGTGTGTGTGTACAGAATTGGGATCATACCATATATATGTATATATATATATATATATCCTCCTTTGTCATTTAACTTCATTTATCATGGATGTATTGTCAAGTCATTAAGTGTTCTTAAAAAAAATACTGTTTTTGTGGCATTTTCCATGTGTGACCTTTACCTAAGTGCATGAATCTATTCATGTAAAAATGCCAAAGGGAAAGGGGCTGATGGCAGCTTGATTTCCGCGTGCTCTGAACTCCTTAGCAGTGATTGCCATTTACCAAGGTGGGCTACCCAGAGAAATGGTGGGATCTTTTTTTTCTCTAGAAGAATTTCAGAATGAAAAGTCCCCTCCAGTGGGGGCTGCAGCTTTTAAAAAAGTTTCTCAGGCATGCCAGTCATCTGGGGTCATAACCAGTCACCTTAGGTTTTTACTCCTTCCCTCACCCTGCCATCAAGATACAGCCCTGGGAGGATGCTGACAAACAAGTGCGCTTGTCTCTTACCTGCAGGCCAGTGCCTAAAATCCTAGACTTTCAGGTCCACCTCTTTCCACCCCCTGGGGGAGAACACAGAGACCTAGAGAGTGGAGGCAGTGGCTTGTGAGGGGCAGCCCTGAGACAGGAACGCAGGCCTAGGCCCTCATGCTTGCTCCTTTCTCTCCTTTTATTATAATGAAGTTTTTTTTCAGGCATACAAAAAAGTATAATCCAAGAAGATAAATACTTTGTTTCCCCCACTCAACTTCAGAAATAAAAATATCTCTGAACTTCCTCAGTTCCCCTTCCCATTTCTCACCCTTCCTCCTCACCTCCCCCTAAATAGTGACCACAGTCCCAAGTTTTTGGTCTTCATGCCACAGAAATTTTCATATCTTTATTGCATATGCATACAAAAAATCATATTTTTTTTAAATTGAGATGTAGTTTCACTCTTGTCACCCAGGCTGTCACCCAGGCTGGAGTGCAATGGCACAATCTCATCTCACTGCAACCGCCACCTCCCAAGTTCAAGCAATTCTCCCGCCTCAGCCTCCCGCGCACCTGGAATTGCAAGTGTGCACCACCACATCTGGCTAATTTTTGTATTTTTGGTAGAGACGAGGGGTGTCACCATGTTGGCCAGGCTGGTCTCGAACTCCTGACCTCAGGTGATTCGCCTGCCTCAGCCTCCTGAAGTGCTGGGATTACAAGCATGAGCCACCATGCCCGGCTGAAATTATATGTTTTCACATTTTAAACTACATATACTTGCTATCATACTTTGGGACCCTTTTGCAACTTTTTTTGTTTCACTCAATGCTTTTAAAGATTCACCTACATTTTAACATCAAGAATATTCCAGACTATGAACGTGTCACAATATATTTACCTATTCTCAGGTTTGTGAACATTTAGGACATGTTTTACCACCACAGAGGCACAGCAATGAATATTCTTGCACAAGAATATTGTACCTAATTTTTCCTGGGCTGAGCTCACTAAGCTAAGTAGCCTGTGATCGTGAGCTGTTCCCCAGATATGCATAGATTCTGGGTACAGTTCTGCAGTTACTAAATTTGTGTTATGCCATCCTGGAGAGGGTGGAAAGGAAACAGCAGTAGTGGAATGAATGAGTTGGACCCAGAACAACTTGGCAGGTGGAAATACATGTAGGAAAACCCCTGCTGAAAATAGAAGAGGGAAAAAAAATTCCAGGAGAAACTGTGCTCCCAACTCCCCCTGTGATCAATTCCCAAACTCCTTTCCTGGAGGAGCTCTGAGGCCTGTAGGAGATAGAAGGTCATATACTCAGACATTTATTGATTGAAAAAAGGTGAAGTCTAACTCTTTCTTTGTCTTTTTGATCATTAAATGAAAAATGTTATAGATGCTAAAGTTCTTCTGAAACATTTGACTAATTGCCTGAATTAGGAACAATTTTTTTTTATCATTGCCTCAAGTTTTTTAATAGCTGTTTTTTAAGAGAATATTCTTGAAGAATTCAAGCAACACCATCAAGTAACATTTATTCATTTGAAGTTTTATCCTCTCTTTCTGTTTTTAAGATCCTCTGAAAAAGCTTAATGTTTATCCCTCCAATTTTGGCCTGCTTTAGCAAGTGCCAAAATTTTTGCCCTGAGTTTTTTTTTTTTTTTTAACAAAGCTGAAATTAACACTGCTCTCTTGACCCAGCTACAAAAGCTCTTCCTTTACGTAATGACTTTCACCCATATGGGAAGGAAGCTTATGAGTCTATCACCAGCCACGGAAAATGAAATTTTCTAAATCTCAATGAAATAATGTCTGTCTTTGGCCTTTCTTAACTAAAAGAGTGAAGGATTTAGACACAAAGAAAACAGATAGTTGAAATCTGGGCACCTTGCCTTCCCAGAATGTGCTTGCTCCAAAGTAGGTCAGACTGTATTGCTACAAATCTTAACAATTCTTTTTAATACTTTCACTCATTACATTTGAGGGCTTGGAGGGAGAATAATTCCTTCAATTAATTAAAGAAAAATTACAGTAGTGAAAGAAAGGCTCCAGAAGTGCCAAGGATCTCTATCTCTAACCCCGGTGAGTTCATCAACATTAAAATTACTATCAAAAGAATCACTGGTAGTGACGCAATTATTATACCATTGATGCTTCCATGGCCTGCCATGGTTGACTGCGGACATTCATTCTCCCTCCTCGTGTCTGAGCTGACGCAGCTTCAGGAGAGGCCAAGACCAAGCTGCAAGAAGAGAAAACTGGAATGAACCCGACCTCTCTCAGGTTGACATCCCTCTCCAGGGGTGTCCAGGGATGGTGTTTTTTAAGCCCAGAATTCAGGAGAAACTTCCTAGAAGGCACAGATTTTGATGGAGGTGTGTGGGGTGATGCAAATATCCTGGAAGCTTGCATATTCTAAGTCCCTGGGGGCATATTGTTTCTGAATCCAAATCCTTTTTTTTTTTTTTTTGGCCCCTCCTATACTTCTTCCTTAACCACAGAGGGATACAGGTGCACCTAAAAGCAACCTTGCCAGGAAGTAAACGGTACAATTTAGTCACAGAATCAAAATGTTGCCAGTTTATTTTATTTTATTTTATTTTATTTTATTTTATTTTATTTTATTTTATTATTTTTTTGGTGAGGCAGAGTCTCACTCTGTCGCCCACCCTGGAGTGTAGTGGCATAATCACAGCTCACTGCAGCGTCAACTTCCCAGGCTCAAGCTAAATTTTCTATCTAATTGCGTATTTCTGACTTCAAAATCTTTTAAACTCCTTTTCTAAATCATCACAAGCCAGCAAAATGTGCTGGGCTTTAAGGGATTTTTCAAAGACCTCTAGCTTATTCTCCTAGCACATCTGAGTCTCTGCAAGAAATTATCCCAGAAAGATGACTCTTCATTAAGCTATCCAGAAACAAAATTTTCCAGTGTTCCCCCAATTAACCAATCTAGGACAACACAGATACCATCAACAAATTCTGTCTTCTATGTATCTAAAAGATAGAGGCCTTATTTCAGCCCTCACTGGGAGGGAAATATTGTTCTCATATTATTATTTATGTCCCTAATGTTACTTTCTTAACCGTAGTTATCAGCTATTACCAAAAATATACTGCATAAGAAGCAATCTGGAAACTCAATGGTATAACAAATGTATTCGTTCTTCCTCAGGTATTTGTGTTGTTAGAGATTTGATGAACCTGGGTTGACCTCAGCTAGTTTGGCATTCAAGCCGTGGGTTGAGACGAGGTCTACTCTACTTGTCTCTCATTCTCCTCAGATCAGCAGCTTCCAGAGGTCTGGTCTTCCTGTGTGGGGAAAAGCACAAGCACAAATGAACAAGCCCAACCCCACTGGTAGATGTAAAGCCTACGTCTGCTTCACACCCACTAACATTCCTTTGGCCAAAGCAAATCACACGGCCAAACCTAACATCAATGGAGCCAAACAATAAACCCTACTGTCCGTGGTGGAACCACAAACTCACATGACAAGAGTGTGCGCTGAAGGGCAAGTGGGAAAAATAATGTAATCTACCACCCAAATATTTTCTATTTTAAGCTAAAGCTATAGTTATTACCATGTTTGGAACGTTAGAAGACCCCACAGAGAATCAGATAAGCTTCTGAATTTCCCCATTACTGGGTATATACCCAAAGGAAAAAAAGTTATTCTAGAAAAAAGATACATGCACATGTATGTTCATCACAGCATCATTCACAATAGCAAAGACATGGAATCAACCTAGGTACCCATCAGTGGTGAACTGGATCAAGAAAATGTGGTACCTATTGATATGGTTTGACTCTGTGTCCCCATCCAAATCTCATATTGGATTGTAATCCCCAGTGTTGGAGGTAGGGCCTGGTAGGAGGTAATTGCATCACAGGATACTTGGAGTGTCGCTTTGCCAGCCAGAAACCTCTGTGGCCAGTGTCGCCTTTACCCTAGTTTTTACTTAGGGCCACTGGGCTTGTTCCACCCCCTTGGCCTGGCAGGCTGCACTCAGCTAGCACTACTGGCCCAAATCTCATGCCTGCCAAGGGCAAGCCAGGCATGGAGCAGCGAGGGGTGTGTGAGCGAGTGAGCAAGGGGTGTGTGAGCAAGCAAGTATGGGGTCTGGCCACTAAACACAGCCAGGCATGCAGGCTGCAGTGGGGTGGGCAGCTCCAAGTGCCAGCACTGACACTGGCTCTCTGTGAAGCTGCAGCTGGACCAGGCGTACCACAAGCAGCTTCCACTGCTGGCACCAGGGAATGTGGTGGTGCCTGGAGGCTTGGAGACACCAGGAACTGCAGAGCCTCAAAAAGGTTGTCACAGTCCTGGCTCGGGGAGCTCCTAGATCTGGGCTCCCCAAAGGGCCACAGCTCTTCTCTCTTTCTCTCTTCTCTCCTTGTCACCCACAATGTGGCAAGCAAGGGATGTGTTTCAGCCCTGTTTGTGTTACAGATCTTTAAGCCCTGCCATTCAGCAGGTCTCAACTTCTTGTCCTGTGTCCAGGAAGAATGAGGTGCACAGACAAGGATAGGATGAGCAACGCGAAAAGGAGTTTTACTGAGAGACAAACAGCTCAAAGGAGACCCTCAGGCAGGTCATCCCGACGAATGTTCAGCTCGTAGCAGACAGGAGACCCTGCAGTAGGTAGCTCCTCTCCACAGGCAGGTCATCCCATCATCTCTTCAAGTCTGGCTGAGTCTGGGCTTTTATGGGCTTCAGAGAAGAGGAAGTGTGTGCTGATTCGTTCATGGATGGCCATGGGCAGGCTCAGAAAATGCATCATAAGTTCACATTCTGGTCCATCAGTCCAGCCCCCAGGCTTCAGGTTGTCTCTGGCTTGAAGGTGGGGCTTCACCCAGGACCCACCCCTTTCCACCCAGAAGTCTGTCTGCTTTCTGCTGTTGCTCAGGCTGTTTGTGTTGAGGGGCACCTGCAGGCCCCTGTGGAGCCTCCCTCAGCACCTTCTCAGCCTCCCTCCCATGCTTGTCAGTGCCCAAAGTCTGGAGGGGGCTGAGGCAGCAGAGGGCTGGTGTGTTAGCACTGCCCCAAGTGTGGGCACACCCAGCCAGGTTGCAACAGCACCCAGACTCATCCTCAACTTTGCTCTGAGATCAGAGCAGGCACCGGGAGTGGGGAGAGGCCAGGCAGCAGGAGCAAGCACTTCTGAGCCTGTGGGTATAAGGAGGGCTTCCCAGACCCCCCAAGAATGCAGAGATGCCCAGGTCTGCATCTGCAGCTCTGCCTGAGGTGCATGAGGCTCCTGCCCCTTCAACTCAGGAGGGGGCGGGGCTTCCACCTGTTCCTAGCTCCCACCGGCTCCATGGAGCATGCAGCCCCAGCCCTGCCTCCCCCACTGCAGCCAGCATCATGGCAGTGGTCACTCCAGGTGGGCCACTGCTGCCATCAATTAGATCATGGGAACAGTTTTTAATGGTTTAGCACCATCCCCCTAGCGCTATCTTGTGGTGGAGTTCTCATGAGATCTGGTTGTTTAAAAGTGTGCAGCACCTCCCTGCCCGCCTCCTACTCTGGCCATGTAAGATGGGCCTGCTTCCCCTTCATCTTTCACCATGATTGTGAGTTTCCCGAGGCATCTTCATCCATGCTTCCTGTACAGCCTGTGGAACTGTGAGTCAATTGAACCTCTTTTCTTTACAAATTACCCAGTCTCAGGTATTTCTTTATTGCAGTGCAAGAACAGGCTAATACACATATACACCATGGAATACTATGCAGCCATAAAAAGAATGAAATCATACCCTTTGCAGCAACATGGATGCAGCTGGAGGCCGTTATCCTAAGTGAATTAATGCAGGAACAGAAAACCAAACACTACATGTTCTCACTCATAAATGGGAACTAAACATTGAGTGCTCATGGACATAAAGACGGGAACAATAAACACTGGAGACTACTCGAAGGGGGAGAGCTGGAAGGGGGTAAGGGCTGAAAAACACCTATTGGGTAGGTACTATGCTCACTCTGTGGTGGTGGGACCATTCGTACCCCAAACCTCAGCATCAGGCAATATATTCATTTAAGAAACTTGCATGTTTACCCTATGAATCCGAAACAAAAGTTGAAATTATTATTATTTTTAAAAATTTAAAAAAAAGCTTCTGGCCGGTTGTGGTGGTTCACGCCTGTAATCCTAACACTGTGGGAGACTGAGGTCTGGTGTTTGAGACCAGCCTGGCCAACATGGCGAAACCCCGTCTCTACTAAAAATACAAAAATTAGCTGGGTGTGATGGCAGTTGCCTATAATCCCGGCTACTCGGGAGGCTGAGGCAGGAGAATCGTTTGAACCCAGGGGAGCGGAGGTTGCAGTGAGCCGAGATCGCGCCACTTCACTCCAGCCTGGGGGAAAGAGCAAAACTCCATCTCAAAAAAAGAAAAGCTTCTGGGTTTCAATGTTGGCTCCTTCACTAGGTGGCTAGGTAACTTTGGGCAGATTATTTATGTTTCTCAGGCCTAAGTCCCTGAGTGTGTAAAATGAGAGAAATAAGCCTGCTTTACATGACCGCTGGGATGACTAAATGAGACAGTATAGAGATCTTAGCATAGGGTGTTGTGCATAGAAAATGGGCTCAATAAATAGTAGCTGTTAATAACAGCTATTCAACAGACATTTGTTGGAAACTTTCTACATTTGTTTGAAAATGCTAGGAATTTTTCTAGGCTGTCATGATATAAAGATAACTAGTACAGTCCCCGAAACAGGTATTTGGTAACTAGGCGTCCATGGGCAGGAGGCACCCAACCAGCCCAGAGTGTCAGGAAAAGCCCCTAGCAGAGATGATATAGCCAGAGTCTTAGAAAATGAATGTGAATTTTCCAGAGAGGTGGGGAATTTGCCAGACACTGGGAGAGGCAGGGAGGGCATTTCAGCCAGAGGAACAGCCAAAAAGAATCTGGTGTGCTCAGAGGAGACATTCCGTGGGTACATAGTGGAGAGGAAGATAAGCTGGAGGAGTGAGAAGGGCTAGGGGACAAGTTTAGTTATCATAATCATTTTTTGCTAAGGAGTTGGATTGTATCCCAAAGGCCATTAGCCAACTAATACTGTTCAAATTGGAATCAGTCATTTAATTGCATCATCTCCAAACTACATTAGTGCTACACAGTGTCATTTAAACTCCTGTGACACAGAGAGGTCTGGAGTCTGTTGGAAATGAGACCTTCAGTCACAGCTGCTAAGAGAAAAACAGGAACCTTGGCTGCACTTTCAGCCTCACACAATTCAGCAAACGTTTAATGGAACCTCTTTCTGTGTCCAGCACAAGTATTTGGCACTTGGGATAGAGGGTTGGAGTGGAGTGAAAAGTGTGAACAGAGGCAATCTCTGCTCCTAGAAGCTCCAGCATAAGGGTTGGGTTCCAGCAAAAGGCAAAGCATGTCTCATAAAAGTGCTGTATCTGTGGCATGTGCCCTGCCTTCACCCCTCAGCCTGTCCTGTCTCAGACCATGTCCTCTTTCAGGTTATATTTCCTGGACAGTAAACAGGGCTCACCTCCACTGAGCAGGATAGGCTTTTCTGGGTGCTACTCAATGTTGGTCCTCCCTCTCCTGCTTCATCCCCATGGTTTTCTTGAGGAAAGAAGACAGGGTCAGCAGGGGAGGGTGGAGGGTTGAGAGTGAAAGGAGGCTTGGATTCACTGCACCTCGCCTTTCCTGCAGGGGAACAATTAAACAGCTTGTAAAGCCCAATTCTGTATCTCATGGGCATTGAAGAAAGGGATTTTAAAAAGCTGATTCTAGGCATTAATTAGTAATGAGTTTCTGCTACATTTTTTAAAGTTGTACTTGTCACACCATTCAGTGGTCATTATCCCTTTTTAATGAATCCACAAGGTTAGTTTTACGATTGGCAAGAAATTCAGAGTTTCAGGAGAGACTCTGTATGTTAGAGAGCTCCTCAGGCCAAGGTCATTCTTTCTAACAAGTGGATAAGCAGCCTCCTTTCTAGGGTGCTCCAGCCTCATGGGGACCCCTTGTGGGGCAGCATCCTTCACCTGAATGCTACCCCTCCAGATGCTTCCAACCTTCAGGCCCCAGCCCGATCTGCTTCCATCCGAGGTCACCCAGTCCTTTCATACCATGATAGACTCCAACGCTGAATGCCTGGGCCTCTAAGCAAGTGCTCCTCTCAGTTCCTCTTATGAGTGTTGGGTGCCACCTCATCTTTCCCCAAGACATTAGAAGCCAAAGGTCAGAGACGCCTTTTCAGACCTTCCTGTTGCCCTAGCTCAGAGCCAGTGGGTGGGATCCACCTTCACTTGATAAAGATGATTTCTGAGCCAACTCCCAGCAGGAGGGTTCTGTAGGCAGGCTCTGCCCTGTCATGGGTCAAGCAGGACCCAATTTTCTATTTCTATTCATTTCTTGTTGCAGCTGTAATAACATACCACAAACGTGGTGGCTGAAAACCACCCAGAGATTGATAATCTCACCCTTCTGAAGGTTGGAAGGCTGATACAGGTCTCACTGGGCTAATACCAAGGTGTCAGTAGGTTGCATTTCTTCTGGAGGCCATAAGGGAGAACCCTTCTTCTTGCCTTTTCCAGCTTCTAGAGGCTTCCTGCATGTCGTGGCCTCAGCCTCTTCCATCTTCAAGCCGGCAGTGGGTGGCCGAGGCTTTCTCACAAGGCAGCACTCTGGTACCGATGCTTCTCCCTTCCTCTGCCACATTTAACAACCCTGTGATCATGTTGAGACTGCCAGGATAATCCAGGACCACCTCGTTTTCTTCAGGTTAGCTCATTAACAATCTCATTCCATCTGCTCCCTTCATTCCCCCTTCCATGTAACATAACATTCACAGGCTCCTGGGACCAGGACGGGGACGCGTGTGTGGGCCATGATTATGCTTACCACAGTAATCGAGGTGAAGGAGATATGCAAAAACAAACAAACAAACAAAAACCCATTTCCCCAGCTTGTTTAGTGGGACAGACGCAACCAGAGAGAGCCCCACTAGGCGGAATGCTCCCAAACAGGAAGGGAAAAGGATTTACTGTTATAGAAACATTTCATTTCCTCCACTTAACTTCTTTTATCCTCCCAGGATTTGAAGTTGCCAAAAAGGTGGGAGCTTTTCCTTTGTTTATGGCTGTGACTTTGACATGTTAATGACAGGGGACTTTGCTAGCCTTGAAAGAGTGGGGAGGACCGAAGAGACAGCTTGCTTTCTTCCATCTGCCATGGGCCTATCGGAGCCATCATTTCACCTCGCTTTGTGGAGGTTTTCTTCATGTATTCCATGAGGATGAGGCCATCTGCTTTCCTGTCTGTAATTAGTTGCACACTTGTGCTTCTGCTGCTATTGCACTATGTTATTATGTTTGGGTTTTTAAAAGTATGATGTGCGCCTCCCTTACTTGAATCAAGACTCCCTCAGAGAATGGTGCATGTTTTCAGTGCCTGAGAGAGGGCGTCTGATGGTAAGGGAACCTCTGGGGGTTGTTCTGAATCCTTGAGCAGCAGTCAGACTGCAGTCTTACTCTTACCTCCTGGGAAGACGCAGTCACAGTCAACAGGGAAACATCTTGCCATCAATTACGAAAGCCTCATGCAAGCTGCTTGGCTTTGTAATTCAGGAGACTATGGAAGGCCTGCTAGTTGTCCAGAGCAGGAGATACAGACCAGAAGGGGAAAATGGGATCCTGAGTGTGAGTCATTCTCACCATTTTGTCCTCAAAGAGAAAAAAAGTGCTGGTGGTGGGTGCCAAGTAGAGGAATAAACAGGTTCTAACATCAAGGGCAGGAGAAGAGAGGGGTTGAGGATGTAGCAGCATGGGAAAATAGTTGGTAAGACAATAGTTGATGGGAGAATGAACAGGTTTAAAAGTTAGATTAAAAAAAAGAGCAGCAACTACTTTTGCCTGCCTTGTCTGGTGTTGCATGGTCTTGTCAAGAGTTTTTCATCACAGTCCTGTCAACAAATTAACTGGTAGGAAAAAAAAAATGAAAAAGCTTTCCTTTTAGAGAATGTGCTCACAGAAAGCAACTGTTCCCCCCAAGGACTTGCCCCAGTTCCATCTCTGCATCTGGAGGGAGAGAGGGAGTCAGAGCGTGTGGCCTGGTGCTCTCCAAGAGGGACGTTCTCTGGCAGTGTGGGAGCCACACTTCAGGCAGCACCTGGTCTGTACGTGTCTTGGTGGGACAGCTGATGTAGGGACTCACCCTAGTTCCCTCCTGGATCCTGCTGCCCTGCCACTTTTTGGTGAAAAGGCAGGGGAGACGCAAACTGAGAAGTCAGAGCTCATCTGTATCAATACACCTTAGCACGAGAGCTGCTAGGAGCAGTCACGGCTTCTATGAGTGAGTCATTTTATTTTTGAATAGATAACATAGTCACATAGTGTAAAATTGCAAAGGAATGAGAGAGTACACAGTGAAAAGGTTTCCTTCCACCCTTGACTCCAGACACCTAATTCCTTCACTGGAACCAACTAATGTAGTTAATTTCTTGCACACCCTGCCAGAAGTATTTAATGCGTATATAAGCAAACATACATAAGTTTCCGCTCCCCTTCTTTTAAAATTTAATTGTATTATTTTAAAGGGAATTTCTTCTTTAGGTCAGTTTTAGATGCATGGCAAAATTGAGCAGAAGGCACAGAGACTTCCCATATACTCTCTGCCCCATACACCGACAGCCTCCATGCTTATCAACATCCCTCACCAGAGTGGTACATGCTGTTACAGTCAATGAACCTACACTGATGCCACATTACCACCCAAAATCCATAGTTTACATTAGGGACACTCTTACTGTTGAACACTGTAGATATTTGGGAAAATATATAATGACATGTATCCAGCATTGCATAGGTATCACTGCCCCAAAAGTCCCTGTACTGTGCCTTTTCATCCCTCCGTACCCCAACCCCTGGCAATCACTGATCTTTCTACTGTCTCTGTGGTTTTGCCTTTTCACAAATGTCACGTAGCTGGACTTCTACAATATGTAGCCTTTTCAGGTTGGCTTCTTTCATTTAGTAATATGCATTTTAAGTTTTCTCTGTGTCTTTTTTTGACTTGACAGCTCATTTCTTTTCGGTGCTGAATAATACTCCATTGTCTGGATGTACCAGAGTTTATCTATTCACTTACTGAAGGGTGTCATGGTTGCATCTAAGTTTTGGCAATTATGAATAAAGCTGCCATCAGTATCCACGTGCAGGTTTTTGTGTAGACATAGGTTTTCAACTCGTTTGGGTCAATATCAAGGAGTGTGATTTCTGAATCACGTTGCCTCCCTCACCCCCTTTTATCCATATACAATGTTCTGCATCTTGCTTTTTTGTTATATTTTAGAGATCATTCCATATTATCTCCAATGAACTCTTTATGTCAGTAAAAAAAAATTGCATGGAAAGGATTATGCATCTAAGCTTATGACAACAAGAACACTTTTATCTTTGATAGCCATTTGATGAGACATGGTCATGAAAGATGAAAAAACCCATTGGAAAAAAAAACCCTGTTGAGGAAAACCTATTGTATAAATAGTTCATTAAATTTAAATGGGGGAGTTGGGGAGGGAAACATCGTGGAAGCAAGAACATCATCATGGGGCACAGGGGACAAGCACACTGTGTGACTGAAGGAACAAAGGATCTAGAGTCAGAAGCTGGTTCAAACTCTGGCTCCTTCTCTTGCTATGCAACCTTAGACAAGTCACTCTTGGACCTAGATCCTCAGTTTTCTCACCTATAAAACAGCACCAATAAAAAATGCCTATTTCACTAGTTTTTGGAAGAATCCAGTGAGACAATGCAAGAGACAGAAGTCTTTGTAAAACATTAAGTGCTAGATGGATATATTCACTCTCTTGGCAATATTGCCGTGTGCCGGCTGTGAACCACAGGGTTCCAGGCCCTGGATGCTGGGTGGAAAGCTGACGCGACCCCATGCCCTACGGAGCTTATATTCTCAGGGTGTGGGCAGGATAAACGAATAAGCAAAGAAGAGAGTTTGAAAGATAGTGCTAAGAAGGAAATAACACACAGAGAGGTGAGTAAGTGGTCAGATGGGTGCCCAAGTGAGACAGGGAGGTCAGAAGTGTGGCCTGCTCAAGGGGTTCCCATAGAGCTGGTCGCCACCCAAGGCAATGAAGGAAGGGTGTCGAGGCCAGATATAAATTATTTGTGCCCAGTAGTGCCAGGGGCATGGCAGCCTTGAGAGGAAAGTTGGCAGACGGCTGGGTCGTTTTCTCCTTTTTCCAACTGAAGCTCCTCCCCCCAGCCTTTTTCTCTTCCCTGAGGCTTGTCTGGGGCTGGTGGCACCAAGCAAGGCAGTGGAGGCTGTGGCTGGTGTAACATGATTCTCATCCATGCACAGATCCAGAACAGGAGCCCGAAGGAGGTCAGAGGTAGCAGGGAGCCCAGTCAGCTACGTGCCTTCCTTCCACACTGCCTCCACAGCTGGGCCAAGCTGTTTGTTTGGATTGTAGAGTGATTTTTTATTTTCTGCTAACACCGCAAAGCAGCACATTTGTGCATGTTTATGTGTGAAATGGTATGCATTTAAAATGAAACAAACTTTTATATAAATGTACAAAGTTACAGAACTGTATTTCTAAGCTTTCGCTGTACTTCCAAGTGCAGTGAGAGCAAAACAGCTTCTCAGATTCACCCTTCATTCAAAAGAAAGCTTGAAGCCACCCAGGGGAGGCAAGAATGGGCCTGGGATGTCTCAAGCTTCAGGAAGAGAAACCAAGAGGGACTCATCTGAGCTCCTATTGCAAATGCCCCAGAGGTAACTGAAAGGCTCCCAGCCTAAATCCAAGTTTATCCCAGGCCACCTTGTGAATAATAGAGGTAATAGTTATCCTCCACTAAGGAAACACTATGTGCAGAGTACACAGGTTAAGTATGTTCTGTGCATCTCTAATTCTCACAACACACCCAGGTTGGTGCTCCACAGGTGGGTCTCAGGGACTGGTAGGCAAGGGGTAGAAACCAAAATGAAAACCTGTACCATCCTCTGGAGAAAGCCTTGATTTAAATAAAGTTTTATGACCCAACTAAGGACACAAGCTAGCCCGGCTGGGATCCCAACACGGGTGTACCTGGTTCTAGATACAGCATCTCTCAACCCATAGCAGTGCATTTGGGCCACCATTTCCACCCACAAGTCACCAGAATCCTCAGGTTGCTGGTCTTAGGGACCCCTGAGAGGCTGCTCGGGGATCCCACTAAAGACCACCAGGCAGACCCAGTTTCCTAAGCAGTGTCTGTAACCTAACGATGATGGTGAGAAGTTCCCGGGTAACCTCTGACTGTGCTTTGCAGCATGCAGGGAGGCCTGGCCCCATGTCTATTATTTCTGCCTTCTGTCTACCTTCCACTGATCAGTTTTAGCAAGATTGGAGACCAGGATAGAAATCTGTTCTGATTTATTCTTTCTCACTAACCTTCTATCAAAAATTACCTATTCCAGGCCAGGTGCAATAGCTCACGCCTGTAATCCCAGCACTTTGGGAGGCCGAGGACAGCGGATCACCTGAGGTCAGGAGTTTGAGACCAGCCTGGCCAACATGGAAAAACCCCATCTCTACTCAAAAATACAAAAATTAGCTGGGCATGGAGGCACTTGCCTGTAATCCCAGCTACTTGGGAGGCTGAGACAGGAGAATCGCTTGAACTCAGGAGGCGGAGGTTGCAGTAAGCCAAGATCTTACCACTGCACTCCAGCACTCTAGTCTGGGCAACAGAGCAAGACTCCGTCTCAACAACAGCAATAACAAAAATTGCCTATCCCAAAGATAGGTTAGCGGTTGCCTAGGGCTGGGGGAATGGGGAAGAAGGAGGAGTGACCACTGATGGGTACAAGGTTTCTTTTGGGTTGCTGAAAATATTTTGGAATTAGATAGTAGTGATTGTTGTACAGCACTGCGGATATATTAAAAACCACTGAAATGTACACCTTATATTAATGAGTTGTGTGGTGTGTCAGTTACACCTCAAAAAAACTGTTAACAGAACATTACTTGTTTCATTTCCCATCTTTTCATGGCTATTAGGTGATTAGATGTGGTGGGTTTTAAATACGTCTATAAATACTTTGGTTCTTTTCCACTGAAGAGATGGAACTTAGTAACGCTCCCCTTGAGTATGGTCTGGACTTAGTAACTTTTATCCTAACAATCGCATGTGCCAGGCTAGGGGTGGTGGCTTATACCTGTAATCCCAACAGTTTGGGTGGCCAAGGCAGAAGGACCACTTGAGCCCAGGAGTTCAAGACCAGCATGACCAACATAGGAAGACCCTGTATCTACAAAACCCACAAAAATTAGCTGTGTAGTCTTGGCTCCTGAGGAGGCTGAGGTAGGAGGATCACTAGTGCCCAGGATATCAAGGCTACTGTGAGCTATAATTATGCCACTGCACCCCGGCATGGGTGATAGTCCAAATAATAATAATAATAGCATTTGCTGGCCGGGCATGGTGGCTCACGCCTATAATCCCAGCACTTTGGGAGGCCGAGGCGGGCAGATCACAAGGTCAGGAGATCGAGACCATCCTGGCTAACACGGTGAAACCCCGTATCTACTAAACAAAATACAAAAAATTAGCTGGGGTGAGGTGGTGGACGCCTGTAGTCCCAGGAGGCTGAGGCAGGAGAATGGCGTGAACCCAGGAGGCGGAGCTTGCAGTGAGCGGAGATCGTGCCACTGCACTCCAGCCTGGGGGACAGAGCAAGACTCTGTCTCAAAATAAATAAATAAATAAATAAATTATAAATAACAATAATAGCATTTGCTAGTAGTCAGAAAGTATAACTCCCAATAGCAGGCATTGCAGCTTCCCCCTTGCTTCTCTTCCTTGGATCACTCATCCTTGAAGGAACCCAGCAGCCATGTTGTGAGGACACTCAGACAGCCCCCTGGAGAGCACATGTGGTGAGGAACTGAGGCCTGCTACCAAAAGCCACCAGAATGATCCATCTTAGAAGCAGATCCTCCAACCACAGTCAAGCCTACATGTGACCGCACCTCGGCCAGGATCTTCATCTTCATGAGAGACCCTCAGCTAGAACCACCAGCTAATTTGCTCCCAAATTCCTAAGCTGCAGAAACTGTAAGATGATACATGTTTATTATCTTAAGCCACTAAATTTTGGGTTAATCTGTTAGGCAGCATTAGCTAACATAAGATACAGTAAAATACATGATTAGATAACAATCTGTTAGATCGTATTGGTAACAATGAGCTAATCTGTGGTAAAGTTTTGATAAACACTGGTGGGTGATGCTTTTTCCTTCCAAAATAATGCCTTTCTATTTTAACAGAGTAACCTACCTAGAGCTGCAGTGCCCCAATTCGAAAGCACTGTGACAATGGTGAATATTTCCGACTGTTGGTAGGCATGTAGGGAGGTTATTTTTGATCTAGGGCTGGGGAGTTTCTGTGACTTTCTAATTATGCCATGCAGCCAGCTGCCTGTTCTTCCTACGAATGTGTCTGCACTCATTCCTCAGGTGGTCTAGAGAGACAATTCCTGTCAGAGGCAACACGGGCAGGGACTCGATAATGTTACCAGCCTCCAAGTGGCAGGAAAACACTCCTTTCTCTCTAGGGTTCCCATTCCCCTTTCTTTTCATGGCACCACCTCCTTTGACTATCTGGTCTCCCGCAGGCAAAGGTCAGCCACTCTGTCCTTTACGTCCTTCACTCACAGGTCTTTCCATTCTGGGTAAGTTATGCCTTTGCAGCCTGCTGACTTTTTCTTTTTGTCATGTCTTCTGTCTTCTTTGACATTTGTTGCTGCTACGGCCCTTTGGAAAGCCTGGAATTCTACTAATAATGTCCTGAAAACTGGGGATTGGCATGTAAGAGTGCTAAAGTTTTCACAGCAGGGACTTCGGAGTGTCTTTATGCTTGTGTGAAACAAGTAAAGAAGTGCACACACACAGCACACCACCCACAAAACAACAAAAAGGTGAGTGTAATGGCTACCCAGGGTCTGCCTCCCCAGCCACAAGCCTGGGCGAGATGTCAGGCTTTGACTCTACACCTTCCTCCACACAGAGGTGACTCCTCCCACCCAGACTGAGGGCTGTTAATAGGTAACCAACACCAAAATCATTTACAAAGGATTAATAGTAATCTCTCAAGCACACAATATCTCCTTTGCTATAATCATTACCTTTGAGTATTTCATTTCTCCATCTGCTTTGAGAATGTTTGAGAATTTTCTTTGTCTTTCACTATCAATGTAAACAATTGCTTGGGATCCCCAGGTACTTACTCCAAGTTTTGCATTTTGTGGTTTCACTGCTGTTTCTGTTTCAGAGACCAAGAGCTACTAGTGGCCCAGGAATTCCCAAACTGGGCTGGGGTGCCTCAGAGCACTGTAGGGAACTCACAATGGCAGTGGGAATATTTTAAATTTTTGAGGGAAATGCGGCAATACTTGACATTGACAGATACCTCATGAACTGAGGTAGTTCAGAGTTCAGCATTAAACCCAACTATATTCTTTACAATAATATCCTCTCTTTTCAAAGCTGAATTTTTGGTGGTTATTGTGGTAAAAGGGAAGTGTCAACCCAAATTCAACATGGAGCAGAAATGAGGGTGGCAGTGTCCAATCTAATTCCAAAGTTTGAGAAACTGTGCAGTGTGCAACAGGTACACATATCCTCTTGGTGAGTAATGGTGAGTATTTAAGAATGAAATAATAATATTCGTTTTTGGCTGGGCGTGTGGCTCATGCCTGTAATCCCAGCACTTTGGGAGGCCGAGGCAGGTGGATCACCTGAGGTCAGGAGTTCGAGACCAGGCTGGCCAACATGGTGAAACCCTGTCTCTACTAAAAATACAAAAAAAAAAAAAAAAATAGCTGGGCATAGTGGCACACATCTGTTATCCCAGCTACTTGGGAGGCTGAGATAGGAGAATTGCTTGGACCCGAGAGGTGGAGGTTGCATTGAGCTGAGATTGCCCCAGTGTACTCCAGCCTGGGCGACGAGCGAGACTCTGTCTCAAATAATAATAATAATAATAATAATAATAATAATAATAGTTTTTGTTTCAATTTATATACTTTGTTTACAAAAGGCTAGAATTATTAGGACATAAATATCCCTTAAGTGGTTTAGACCCAACTACTCAATAAATGGAATTGCTAGGTATTTCTTTTGGCCTCAGGACACTATTAAAAAATGTCTGCTGCACTAAGAGAGCAGTGAACTGAGGAAGTTTGGGGACCTCTGTTGTGGCCCCTTGTGACCTGTTCCCACCCCATCCATCTCTAGCGCTCCCCTGCTCCCCCATTCTATGCCTTTCCATGGGGCACTGGGTGCTGTTCACCAGGCTTGCCGTGCCTCCTCAGCCCTAGGACTTCACATGCGCTCTTGACTCCATTGGGAATGGTCTTCCTTCTCCTCCATATACACTCAATCACGTGTAATGCCTGTAACTGCACCCATCACCTTGAATTGTATTGACGTGGTTGTAGATTTGTTTTCTCACTAGACTGTGAGCTTCTTGAGAATAAGGAACAGATCCGATTTACCTCAGTGTACATACCCAGAATTGCAGAAAAAGCACTATGTGTGTTACTAGAAGCTGTCTAGAATTCTGCTGGTTATGTACTGCCTCTTACCTTCTCTTCCACAGACACTCCTATTCTCTCCAACCGCCATTGCATCCGTGATACTGACAGTACAGAGACCAACCATGGAGCACGTGGTCTTCCTTCCTCCTGAAATTATTCCTTTGACAGGAAGTTGCCTATGGACTGGGACCTGGAGATTTTGCTTGGGATGCTCTGGCCTCACTTCAGGAAGAGTTCTAGAGCAGGGTACCAGGCCAGACACTTCTGGTTTCAAGAAACAGAGACTCCTAAAGGAAGCAAGGAAGATTGTTGTGTTGTGTTGTGTTGTGTTTTGGTTGGTTGGTTGGAAACCCAATGTTATGCTTCTTCAGGAGCAAGCATATGCCAGAAACAGCATCCATACCAGGATCCCTCAGCAACTGGGCTTCACAGAGCCTGGGACTCCGGTCAGGAGCTCAGAGCTTGCTCTGAATCCAAGGCAATACTGCTGCCCAGGTCACAGTGAACTTCACCCCAAGGCTCCATAGTCAGTGTGACAAGTTTTTCACTCCTCTCTCTAAGGTGCTTCCATTACCAATTTACCACATTCTCACCTTAGCCCTAGTTCAAAGTCCAAACAGAAGGAATCTGATTGGCCCAGGTGATCAGTGAAGTCTGTTAGCACAGGCTAAGAGATTTCCACCTGGCCAACTCCTGGCTGTGCTTAAGTCAGGTGTCTGCTTCTCATCCAATGAGCTGAGGTTCAGAAAAGAGGCTCAGAGGCACCAGTGTGATGACTCACTGGAAGAAAGTCCTCATCGGGAATGGGAGTGCAGCAAATACACTGAGGACTTTCCTCTCTGGTCCCCCACGCTTTTTACTGCTGTGTAGCATTAATTAGCTGTTTTCTCAACAACGGTACTTGTTTTATAACAGGATCCTTATTTGTCATCCTGAAATTGTCAGTTACAGTTTATGCTCTGATAATGTTCAGATATCCAGTTATAGAGCTATCAGTATCAAGCTCATTATTTAATGTATTAACAACAAAATGACACTCTGTTTCCTTGAGCAAGTCTCTTTCTCTCTTGCGAGCTTAGTTGAATTGCCTATGAATGTGAGCACAAAAATGCTTTATTTGCCCAAAGAGAGGGGAGGGACTAGTTCACCTCTTTAGGTACTGTCTCATACCCAGAATCTAGAATTCTATAGTGATTTATGAACTTAGAGTTTCCAGACCACTGAATCAGGATCTATGTGCAAGATAAATGAATCAATGAGGTAGAAAAAGAGAGCTTCTTAATTTGAGCAATGAAACCCATTAAATAAAGGAAAACTTTTAATTGGTATGTCCAAAAATTGAGGACTTTGTCCTTGGCCTACATCGGTAGCTATTTTGCATGTGTGTAGGCCAGGCCTGAATCTCCAGTGAAACCCTCCCTGAATCCAGGCTCATTCCCAGGGCTGACTTTCAACCCCAAAGATGGATTTTTCCCTACATCTCCCATGAATCTGTGGTGTCAACCACACCATGGCCTCTGCCACTGAGTTATTTGTTGTCTTGAACCATTTATTCACAAATTTCACTTTTTTTTTTTTTTTTTTTTTTTTTTTTGAGACGGAGTCTCGCTCTGTCGCCCAGGCTGGAGTGCAGTGGCGCGATCTCGGCTCACTGCAAGCTCCGCCTCCCGGGTTCACGCCATTCTCCTGCCTCAGCCTCCCGAGCAGCTGGGACTACAGGCGCCCGGCACCACGCCCGGCTAATTTTTTTGTATTTTTAGTAGAGACGGGGTTTCACCGTGTTAGCCAGGATGGTCTCGATCTCCTGACCTCGTGATCCGCCCGCCTCGGCCTCCCAAAGTGCTGGGATTACAGGCGTGAGCCACCGCGCCCGGCCACAAATTTCACTTTCATCTGAACTGCTTCTCTCTCCTAGACCTTCTTTCTTTTGCAGCATTTAAGCCCTGTTCCAACTGGCTCTTTTGCCTGAACTTATACACATAATCAACCCTCGTCCAAAAAATAAATCCCCTTCCTTGGACCCTGCATGATCTCCTAGCTTTCACTCCAGGCTTTATACCCAAGCTTAAGGAAGAAGTGGTCTGTACTCAGAGTTCCCATTTCCTCCACTTCCCACCTCCAACTTGAGACAGGGAGACTTCTGCCCCCACACACTCCTGACCCTGCCTTTACCAGTGTTACCAGGATTCTCCTAATATCCACCTAGAACGTCCCCATCTTTAGGCCTGACATGTCTGGCCCTGTCCTTAGCATCTGACCTCAAGGATTCCTCCCTCCTCCCTGGAACCTGTGAGCATCAAAATCACGGGTGATTTTGTGAACTTTAGTGAGCGTCAAAATCACCTGGAAGGGCTTATTCAGACAAAGTGTGCCAGGCTCCACCTTGGAGTTTCTGACTGAGAGGTCTGGTTTGGGATGCTGGAGTGTGCATTGCTAATGAGTTCCCTGACGATGCCCATGCTGCTGGTCTGCAGACGACACACTCACACACATTGCTGGGGGTGATTTTGCACCACTCCCCTTTGAACATTTCGCAGTGTCTCGAGACATTCTGGGTTGTCACAGCTGGAGGGAGAGGCAAGGGAGCGGGGAGATGCTACTGAAATCTGATAAGTAGGAAGCAGGGGACAGCCCCATCCCCCCGTGGCCAACAAAGAATTATCTGACCCAAAATACCAATGGTGCTGAGGTTGAGAAACCCTGCCTCAAAGATCTCTTCCTTGGCTGTCTAGTCTCTGATATCTTCTTCTTGTCCCTCTGTCATCCCCATGGCCTTATAGTCCCACCTGTCCTCACTTGTTTATTTCCACTGTCCCTTCTTGGTTCCGACTTCATAACCTCCCATATGCATTACTTACTACAATAGCTTCTTTTTATTTACTTACTTTTTAGTGCTTATGTTTCATTATTTTTTCCTTCTTTTTTTTTTTTTTTTTGAGACAGGGTCTGTGTCTGTCACCCATGCTGGAGTGCAGAGGCACCGTCATAGCTCACTGTAAACTTGCACTCCCAGGCTCAAGTGATCCTCCCACCTCAGCCTCCCAAATGGCTGGTACTACAGGTGCATGCCACCACATCTGGCTAATTTATTTTTTTTATTATTTTTTTCTGTAGAGATGGGGTCTTACTGTGTTGTCCAGGTTTGTTTTGAACTCTTTGTATCAAGGGATCCTCCTGCCTTGGCCTCCCAAAGTGCTAGGATTATAGCTTGAGCCACCGTGCCTGGCCTACAATAGCTTCTTAAATGAACTTTTGGATGACAAGGTCATCCCTCCTAAGTCAACATAAACTCTCTGAGCATGTGGCTTCCCTAGTTAAAAGCCATCAATGCTTCCCCTCCTCACCCAGTGCCTTCATGAGATCCTGGACCCTTGGGACTCACAAGCCTCTGTGAGCTGCCTCTTGCTGGCCTCACCCGTCTGGCCTGCCCCACTGCCCTCCCCACATAGCACACTTCTGCCTTCCGAAGCTGCTTATAATTGCTGCTTTCTGTCTCCAGATAACATATTGTGTTCTCCTCCACCTAGAAAGCCCTTTCTTCATCTCTGCCTGGCGAATTATTTTCCCAACCTTTAAGACTCAACTCAAGTTGAAACCTCCTCCAAAGAGCCTTCCCTGACCCTCCTTGTCTGCTAACTTAGCTGCTCCAACTGTGGGTCTCACAGAGCCCCTTGCTGATATCTGTGCTCATCTATCCTAACACTTATCACCCTGGAGGTGCAAGAGAGCCCAGCGCTAAACACACAGACTCTGAGCTGAAATTTCAGCGTTTGAATCCCAGCTCTGATGTTTACTAGCTGTGTGACCTTGGATAATGCACTTAATGGTCTGTGCCTCAGTTTCTTTATCTGTAAAATGGGGTTGATGAGTGCCTACCTTATTAGATTGTGAAGACCGGATGAGTTAATATACAAAGAAAGCACTTAGAACAGGGCTTGGCAATTAATAAGCAGTTTAATAGAGTTGGTCATTGTTATTATTATTACTGACTTGTCTGTTTACCTCACTGGGTTGTAAGCTCTGTGAAGATAGCAGTATGTTTTTGATTTCTGTATCCGCTCGTCCACAGTAAGCATTTAATAAATGTAAGTTAGATTTGTAAATCTCCTTCCCTTCTTTTCTTGCTGTCTGCCTGACACCATTTATTCATTAAACAAATGTTTACTGAGCACTTTATATATGAGTCATTATTGTCCACGCCCTTGGTTTCTAGGAGCATAATACAGTGCCTGGGGCACTGAATTAAGACTTGAAAAAAACGGGCCAGCCATGGTGGCTCATACCTGTAATCCTAGCACTTCGGAGGCCACGGCAGGAGGATCACCTGAGGTCAGGAGTTCGAGACCAGCCTGGCCAACATGGTGAAAACCCCGCTCTACCAAAAATACAAAAAAGTAGCTGGGCGTGGTGGTGCACACATGTAGTCCCAGCTACTTGGGAGGCTGAGGCATGAGAATCACTTGAACCTAGGAGGCGGAGGTTGCAGTCAACCGAGATCACACCACCGCACTCCAGCCTGGGTGACAGAGCAAGCCTCTGTCTCAAAAAAAAAAAAAAAAGAGTTGAAAAAAACTTGAGTTCTGGACACCCCTTAAGAGGCCTTACACATTAGATAAGGATAATAGTGTCTTTCACCCTCCTCTGTCTCCATAATGTTGTGACGCTATCATGAAATAATGAATTTATAGAAAGTATAGGACAATCATCAAATGTAAAAATATTTATTTTCCCAACCCACCTTATTTCTTTTTAATGACTCTGGAACAAAGGCATTGGTCTGACCTATGATTATTTGCATATTGCTCTTCACAGATGAGTTGTAGAAAATGTTAAGTGAGAAACAAATGTGCTGAGGCTGTGAGAAGTGAGAAAGCTAAGGGAACAGCTTCATTGTACAGAATCATGCAGTCAGCAATCAGCAGTTTCCAAGGTGTGTTTCAAACAACACTTATTCCAGGTGATGGTAACAAGTACTGGGATGCGGAAGGGAGTTACCTATAGTTAAGTAAATCTGGGAAATACTGGGTTAAACAAATCTAAACCAATGTCTTTGTGGTAGGACTTCTCAGAGTCTTTAATAAGCTAATGTACACCATGAATCTCCAAGAGGGGGACCTCAGATGTAGGCAGGGTGCAGAATTTTCTAAAGTTATTGACTTTAGAAGCTTTTTCCATTAAATGTCTTGAGAAACAAGTGTTCCATAGAACACAGTTTAGACATGCACCATAGAAAACACTGTTTCAGGCCATCTTTCTTACCTACAGACATTGAAAGTGAGATCCAGATAAATTAAACAACTTCCTCCAAATGACACCGTTGATAGAAGTCTGATTATTAGGCTAGGGATTTTTCCAAACAACCACACTAATTCCATTCTTTTCCATACTCTCAGAAAACAGAGGCCTGAGGGTTCTGACTTGGTTTCCAAATGGTTTTCAACTATGAATACCAGAATCTCAAGAAAACTCAAAGTAAAATTGCGAAGAAAATAGATAAAAGTAGATTTCATTGTCTTTCCATTTAGATATTGAATGATCTCCTCCCTTCTCTGAAATTCTCAGTTCAAACTATCCTTCAAGTCCCCTGCTTTCAATACCTAGTATCTGAGAAGAGCTTAAACAATGCTTGTTGAGCATTGATTCTGCCATATTTCTCCTGTCAGCAGGGAATCACCTCTCTCCCCCACATTCCCATCACACATTATCTGCACTATTCAATGGTAATTTTCATAATCTTTCTTATAACTTTTATACACATTCTCTTTCCAGCACTAAATTATAAAATAATAGAAGAAAGAGTCTATGTCCTATTCAGTCTCATAAGCTGATTTTCAAAACTATGTCCCAGGGAAAGAGCTACCATAATCATTTAAACTTTATTGTAAATTAATGAATCATTTCTCATGCTCTATCAGCCTGGACAAATTAGGTTTATGCTGCAGTAACAAACAGCCCCCAAATTTTTGTGATTTAACCCAATAAAAGTTTCTCATACATGTTACATATCTCACAATGAGTCAGCAGAGGGCTCTGCTCCACACAGTCACTCAGGACCCAGGCTCATCATGGTGGCTTGACCAATGACCTCCTCAGTTGCTGCAGCTAGAGAAAAGAGTGCTAGAGATCTCACACTGGATGTATCATGCCTTGGCCGAGAAGCAACACAAGTCACTTCCGCTCACAGCCCATTGGTTAGAACTAGTTATGTGGTCCTTCCCAAATGTTGTGGGGCAGAGAAGTCTAATTATCTCAAGTGACCAGAAGGAAAGGAAAATTGGATGTGGGTGAACCACAGAAGTCTCTACCATGCAATGGGTTTGTAAAAATTAAGCTTTCTTTTTAATAGTGGTATGATAGGCATTGAGAACTTAACAGATGCTTGAAATAACTTTTTATTGATGAATGGATTGAAAGTTAGAGATATTTAAAGTAACAGAAAGCGTTAAATGAATAGAGCACAATATCAGAATTCTAAACCAATTTTGTCCCTAATCTATGACACTGGCAAATTTGATCACCATGCTAGACCTTAGTTCTCTCACCTGTAAAAATTAGAGATTATTATATAATTTCTAATGTACCTTCTAATCCAAATATTCTAGTATTCTATGGTGGGGTAGGGGCCATTCATCCCAAGAATTACTCTCTCTTTCTCCATAAGAGAGGTCCTGTCAACAAAGGACCCACCATACTCAGCAGAATTATGTTTTTAACACAAGCTGTGTGTTGTCCAAATAAATGGAGAAGCCACAGAGGAGAGAATAGCTTAGACAGAAAGGATCCAGAAATAGCCTTTCATTTCAAGCCAGAGTCAAGAAGGAGCCTTAAGCAGACTGGAGATGTCCACTTTTGTTTTGGGAAATACCAAAGTTGTCTCTTCGATCAAAGAAGATTTTAAAAGAAGCAAAAAAATTCTTTCATGTTCTCTGAGCTGCTCTTGGGCCTGAGCCCAAACACTGTTGTAACTGAGACATAGGGACATTTGGTAGTGTTATGTTCTTATTTGGCCCAGTGCAACTCTTTATTTATTAAAGCCTTGGGGCTGTTCAGGCCAGGGTTCAGTGTATTAGTTTATGTAGTTTGCCTCCCTAGACAGAAGAGAAATTTGAAAACCCCCAGCTTTAGGGTGACCCAGTTTGAGCTGAGATATTAACTCTGAAGCTTTTTCTTTCTCTTTTCTTCTTACGCTGTAAAAGGTATTTGGGGCCATGCTAGCAAAAGGTCAGGATTCAACACCTCATTTCTCCCCTTACCAATGCCTCTCTCCTCCTTCACTATCCCTACATGAATTGTATTCTTTTTTGTTTATTTGTTTTTCTGAGATGGAGTCTCACTCTGTTGCCCAGGCTGGAGTGCAGTGGTGTGATCTCGGCTCACTGCAACCTCCGCCTCCCAGATTCAAGCAATTCTCCTACCTCAGCCTCCCGAGTAGCTGGGATTACAGGCACATGCCACCACGCCCAGCTAATTTTTGTATTTTTAGTAGAGCTGGGGGTTCACCATGTTGGTCAGGCTGGTCTCGAACTCCAGACCTTGTGATCCGCCCGCCTCAGCCTCCCAAAGTAATCCCACGCCTGGGATTACAGGCGTGAGCCACCGCGCCTGGCCATGAATTGTATTCTTGATGTAATTCGGCCCACCAATATTTCTTGAATACTAGTAATATGCAAACCATGTGCTATTGTGAACTGAGAAGACCCCAGTCCCTGTGTGCATAGGGCTAGGAAAGTCCTGGGGAGACAAACATGAAAACAAACCACTCCAGGAGTGTGGCAGGTGCAGGACTGGACGTACGTACAACAGGGTGGGGAGGTGTGGGTGCACATCACACTGCTTGAGGGGCTCACAGGGAGATTTCTGAGAAAGAGTCCTTAACCTGAGGCCTGAAAAATCAATAGAAGTTTACCAGAGGAAGGTTCTGGGGAAGGGTGTGGGAACAAGGGTGTCCCAGCCTTAGCCTAGGCCAAAGCACAATAAAATAAAATAACATTCCATGCTTACAGAACTTCAGATAATTTCAGTTGGTTGAGCGTGGAATGAATAAGAGGTGCAGAGGTGAGAAGGGAGCTAGATCATTGCGGACCTTGTTCTCTCAAAATAATTCAAGCAATAGTTTTTCTCAAGGGTGGTTGGAGATTGGATTTTGGAAGGACAAAGTGTCTCCTGAGGTCCTAAAGTGAATTTTAACTGTGTCAACCAGGTCTCAACAGGAAACAGCACATTTGCATTAGGATATTTCAAGGATGTGTTTATTTACAAAGGGACTATGAATAGAGGCATAGGAAAACCACAAGGGAAAGTGCAGAGGTTAGCGCCAGAGGCAGAGGAGGTACCACCACTCTGAAGGCTGAAGGGATGAGGGGAGGGAATCATTATGGGAACTCAAAAGGGGAAAGTAGTATAGAAGAGAGTTGTGTAGGGGCACAGCCAGGGAGAGATCAGGAAAATAAATCCCCCAACCTCCATCCTCCTGTCCCTCCAATATTCTGCCAAATCTCTTGGTAGGTTCAACCCAACAAGAAACTGGAACCTATTGACATTGTCCCTAAAGAGCACTAGGACTGGAGAGACAAATGGAAGATACCCAGCAATTTACTGCTGGCTCTGTTGACACTGTTGCTAGCGATGAGGGAGATATTTATGGTTAGGACTCTGTCCATCATGCTCACAGCATTCTCCTCTTCTTCATGGTCTTTTACTTCACATCCCAGGCAATGTTGCCCTATCCTATCCTTCCAGGCAGCTGGAATGTACTCTATGGGATGTGAAACACAAAATGCACCAGACAACTAAAGAGATTATTTTATTCAGGCTATTGCAATAGAGAGAACACTCATGAGTGAGGAACGCTAAAGAGCAAGTAGGGAGTTTGGGGTTTTATAGAGGTAGGTAAACAAGAAAATCATGAGGATGCGTGGAGGCAGGTCTTACCTATCGCATGTGGAGGAGGATGATTCTTTGTTGTTAATCATTTCCCAGAATACAAAACAGTGGGGAGATTTCTTAACTGTCACTGTTTCCTGTGAGGACAGGGCTCAGATAAAGTTTAACATTCCCAGTTCCTCCTTCAGTTCAAAACAAGTGAATATTATTCCTCACTGAACAACTCAGAAGTGATCATAAGCCCTCTGGTGTGGCGCAAAGCAGGGTCTAAGAAACAGTTTCTCAGGGGCTCTTGTTGGCATTGTTCTTGTAAAATTAGTTGAACCATCTGTTGACAGGCGGTGGCAAAGATCAGTTCTTTTCAAGTCCTGGATATCAGGCATCTTACATTTAAAAAGACAGATATTTAATGTAAAAGATTGCATTAAACTAAAGAGCTAGGAGTTGAAACCGGACAGTAAATAGTCTGACAGATGCCAGGAGGTCAGTGGAGGAAAATCTTTCGCTTACACAACACCATTCATTGGGTTTCTTGAAGTTAGGACGTCAATACTCTGGTGATATTGTCCACAGTCTTGGTTGCTTCCCATATAAGAGCATGCATGACCTGAGCATTTTGCTGGACTTCCTTCTTTAATGGCCCAAACAGCAGCCAGACAGCAGCGTGTCCAGGGAAAAGTTCAGCCCATGAATAATCTGTTGCAATGATGAATCCTTTGAGGTTTACATCAAGTTGTTGGACCTCAGCTCTCAGGGCTTCTTAGGATCCTAGAGAAAAGAGCCAGAGCAAGGCAACTTGGAGTTTCAATAGATAGGAATTTGAGTAATCAAGTTTTTGTTCTTCATGATACCAGCTCAGGTGGGAGGGATGAAAACTGGGAAACTTAGCATGGAGTGTTGTAGCTAGATATTGAAAGAAACTGGAAGAACTGAATATTTGGTGTGGACTGACAATTTGGGCAAGGTAACAGGATCCAGTCCAGTTGCGAGTAGGTACCACGAGAGTTTTTTTTTTTTTACACCTGATAGGGAGGGAACAAAGACAACTAAATATCTACCAGAAAGATAGATTGTGCATATCCATGAAGTATCTGCAATTTACATAAAGGTGCAAAATAGCTCAAAAGGAATGAAGAGGGCTAAAATCTGATAACTGGGAAAGATTTACTCTGGGAAATGACTTTCCATTGATACACAGAATTTCTCTCTACAGTCACCGTTTTCTTGATCAAAAATATTCTCAAAGAAAGATTATCCTTCAACACAAAATAATAGTGGTCTCATTACATTTAGCCTGATTATTTATATAAATGCAGCAAGAAGAGTATAATTTACCATATATAGGTCTTCTTAAGTTTGCCTTAATGAAAGTGTTCATAAGGAATCTCAGATTGGACTTTTAAAAGCCATTTAAGTTTAGGAAACCAAGAGCCAAGAACTTATCACCAGATCTCACCTGCAGTACCTATAGATTTCAGTGAATTCCACACTTCTTCAGGTTCCCAAAATATCTTCACATTTCTGAACCTCCCAGGAAATAACTTGTCTTACTCAACTGAAATGCTAGGAATCCTACAAGCCAAATAGAGGACAGTTTTCCCAAGAGGGCTCTGTAAGCACTGGCTCCATAAAGTCAGCCTTTGTTCCTTAAAAGTGCTTGGTCATATCTAATTAAATAAGCATCATTCTCAAATATGACATTCCAGGCAAAGACACAATTGCATAAGCAAGGTTTCCAATTATGTCCTGCTAACAACGAAGACCTCATTATTGAACCTATTCAAATAGTTACAGTGCTGTGAAAAGAAAATACTTAATAGTTCCTGAATTCTGGAGAGATTAGAAAGGGAGGAAAAGATAAATGTTTCATTTCTGTTTATAAAAGCATAATCAACTAAGTTGTTATGAGTTATAGACAGCTTAAGAGAAAAGACAGCTTAGAGGGTTCCTAAAATATAAATAATATAAATATAAATATAAATAACATAAAAATTATAAATAATAAAAAATAAAGCATTAATATAGCAATAATAGGCCGGGTGGCTCATGCCTGTAATCCCAGCATTTTGGGAGGCTGAGGCAGGTGGATCACGAGGTCAGGAGTCAAGACCAGCCTGGCCAATATGGTGACACTCATAGTAGTCACTACTAAAAATACAAAAAAAAATTAGCCGGGCATGGTGGCGCGTGTCTATAGTCCCTGCTACTTGGGAGACTGAGGCAGAAGAATTGCTTGAATCCAGGAGATGGAGGTTGCAGTGAGCCGAGATCGTGCCACTGCACTCCAGCCTGGGCAATAAAGCAAGACTCTTGTCTCAAAAAAAAAAAAAAGCAACACTATTCACCAAGAACCTCAATCATCCCCCATCAGTTCATTCAGTACTATGTGATTAATCCTTGCTCCTTTCAATGTTGGGTTAGCAATCTCATGAACCTATTAGTTTTTTAACTGAAATCCTGAAAATTCTGACTCAGTCCACTGATAAGGATATATGGCCTCTAAGTTGTTTAACCAAGGCCTTCAGAAGCCTGCACCCAACGTCCCTCACAACATTGTTTCCACAGGGCTCTGAGATTGTCCTTTGTTGAAGAAAAACCACTCAGACCTGTGGCTGATTGCAAGACCCCTCAGGGAGGCATCAGAGTAAAGCAAAACTTATCTGTAGATGACAAGATTTAAACTGGTTGTGTTTAATTTATTTAAAAAAACACCTGTGGTATCTACTTGCAAACTGGACTGGATCCTGTTACCTTGCCCAAATTGTCATTTTTTCAAAAATGAAAAAAGCCTGAGGAAAGTTTATTATAAGAATAATGTAACTGACGAGAAAGTTTGTTTGTTTCTATGGCGTGCAAAACAAAATAAAGCCAATCCAAAACACGTTTTAGATAAAATATCCGTAAACATAGTGATTAATCCTACTTTCAAGGAAGAGTGGATATTATATCTAGTTTGTGAAAGTGGATGAACATAATTTTTACAGAGAAAAATTTCTTTGGCTGATCGCGGTGGCTCACACCTGTAATGCCAGCACTTTGGGAGGCCAAGGCAGGTGGATCACCTGAAATCAGAAGTTCGAGGCCAGCCCCGCCAACACGGTGAAACCCCATCTCTACTAAAAATACAAAAATTAGCTGGGCGTGGTGGCAGATGCCTCTAATCCCAGCTACTTGGGAAGCTGAGGCAGGAGAATCACTTGAATCTGGGAGGCAGAGATTGCAGTGAGCCGAGATTATGCCACTGCACTCCAGCCTGGGTGACACAGTGAGACTCCGTCTCGAAAAAAAAAAAAATTCTTCAGATATGGCATAAAATAATCCTGAGACATGATACACCATGAATATTAAGTGCATAGTTAGAATATATCAAAAATATGTGGAAAAGATCAAGTTCAGGAATTCAGTAAGTCTGGAGTAAGTCCTAAACATCTGTAAACTAATAAAACTCCATAGGCAAGTGATATGAATTCCAACTTGAAAACCACTGGTCTAAAAGATGCTAGATTCAAATTAAAGAAGTAAAGTTCTGACCAAGTTAACATTGATAAAAAGTAAATGAAATGATGACTGCTAACACCATACTGTTGCTGTCTAATATCAGGCAAAATAGTACCAGGACTCTGGGAAATAGAAATATATCGTGGACAGAGAGGGCATTGACAATTCTCTAGAAACTTCCCATATAGCCTATAATTTCAAAATATTTATAGTAACAACATTTAACTGATACAAATTTAACCTAGGAAAGGTTATGCTTCTTTTCTGATTTGCCAATGCTTTCCATGGACTTCATCAATAGTAACATATCAAATAAACCTAATTATTTCTAGACCCTTCCTTTTTTACAAGGTAAAAGAGCAAATCTCTTGTGATTTTTTTAGGGGCCCTCTCAAAAATCTGAAAGACAGTCTTAGGTATAAAAAATATCATTTAGGATTCAATTTAGGAATGGCAAAATATCAAAAGCTGTCAGGAGATTTGAGCATTGATCAAGATATGATCATGGATTACTGAGAACAATACTTGGCTATCAATTTCATCAAAGTGATGATAACAGCTTTAAGAAATAAATGTAGGAGGTAACATGATGGTGAAGAACCTTAACTCAGCTCTTTCAAAAGTGAGAACACTTTGTTCTCTTAAATAATCAAGGACATGACAAAGTCAACAAAAGCACAGTACGTTTCACAGTACTCAGAATCTTTGTTATCTAGGCAGATTACACAGAAGGTAAGAATAATTGCTTTTATAATTTCTTATTAAGAGCAGACCAATAATAGAAGAAAATTTTGTCATTTGAGCAAAATTCTCTCAAAATATAGTTTGAGAGAATCAAACTATAGTTTTGCATCAGTACAATCCCTGCTACTAAAGATCTTTTTGAAAATCTTACAAATAAATCACAAACCACAGCCAGCTTTGACCACAGCAAACAAAATTCCATTTCTGCAAACTTTCTACAACTTTCTATATCCATTTGTGTTTTGTCCAAAACTTTCCTCTGTCTCATTTGGAACAACCAGTCATTTTACTTTAGAACAAAACTACTCTCTTTTTCACTTAACAAAAGCACATCCCCTTTAGTTCAACTTCTGAAAGTGGCAAAACAAACACACAACAACAACAAAAAACACGCTTATTAACAGACCAAAAGGTATAGCCTCTCCATGTCATACATGGGAACTTCAGGAATATGCTATCTATATAAATATTTATTTATTCCTAAGCCAATCATTATAGAGGACCTTTAAGAGATTTTATAATATAATGCCATCCAGAGGTAGGAAAATGTTACAAACTCACTGACATGTATACACTGTACATACAGATACAGATAGAGAGCTTATAGCTTCAATTTTAAAATTTTAGCCATGGGATCGGGCACAGGGACTCACGCCTGTAATCCCAGTACTTTGGGAGGCCAAGGCGGGCAGATCACTTGAGCTCAGGAGTTCAAGACCAGCCTGGGCAACATGGCAAGACCTCGTCTCTACAAAAAACACAAAAAACAGCTGGGCATGGTGGTGCATGCCTGTAGTCCCAGGTACTTAGGAGGCTGAGGTGGAAAGATCACTTGAACCCAAGAGGTTGAAGCTGCAGTGAGCTGTGGTCACTCCACTGCACTCCCACCTGGGTGACAGAGACCCTGTCTCAAAAAATAAAATAAAATTTTAGCCATGGGTCAAGCATAAATATAGATATAAAACTCATTGTTTTCTTAATTGATTTAATCTCAAAAAGACAAATACACAAACAGAAAAGAGTAACAAAGCAGATTGTCCTGCCTCCCCCAGCAGAGACAGGATCTCCATAAGCTGTCGACACATTTACAGAGGTTACAAATGGTTGGACCATAAAACCAAAAGAAGCTGGCAGTAGAAATCATGCAAGTATTCAAAAACAATCAAAATCCAATTTTTACCACACCATCAATGGACAAGAGTCTCAAACCCAAACTTGAGAGGCAGACTCACCATCAGGTCCTCCAGCCAGTGGTCAGGGGAGCAAACCCGAGAACCGGAGGACCCAAGGGAAAGGCTCAGACCTGAGTCATGGCCCCAAACTGTCAAAGACAAAATGAACTGAACAATAAAGGAGATGACTGAATTCAGTCTATTGCAACAGGGAAAACATGCTTTAGTGAAGAATCTCAAAGAAAAGGAAGTGGATCTGGGGTTTCATAAAATCAGGCAAATAAAGGAATTGTCAGGAAGAATGGAGGTAAGTCTTATCTATTGGTAGAGGGGAGGGTTATTTGCAGCAAGCAGTTTTGTGGAACACAAAGGGGTAAGGGATTTCAGAAAACAAAAGAATAGGAGGATTTCTTACCTGTTCCTGTTTTCCTGGAGTACAGGGGTCAGGAAAAGTTTAGTATTGTTGAGAGCTTATCAAGTAACTAAATGTAAACCATGATCATTATGGTTATTTTAGTGACTTTCAAGTTGGCATCATTCCACAGTGATTATTGTAATTTACTGTAAAATCATAGTTAGAAATTTTTTTTTTTTTGAGACAGTGTCTTACTCTGTCACCCAGGCTGGAGTGCATTGGCATGATCTCGGCTCACTGCAACCTCTGCCTCCTGGGTTCAAGCGATTCTCCTGCCTCAGCCTCCCGAGTAGCTGGGACTACAGGCTCCTGCCACCACGCCTGGCTAATTTTTTGTATTTTCATAGAGACAGGGTTTTGCCATGTTGCCCAGGGTGGTCTTGAACTCCTGAGCTCAGGCGATGTGCCCGCCTCAGCCTCCCAAAGTGCTAGAATTATAGGTGTGAGCCACCATGCCCGGTCTTAAAAATTTTTTTTACCATAGAAGTCAAACACTAAAGTTTACAAATGATTATCTTTTAAAATATTCCTTCAGACAGAGTCAGTGACATTCCTATTCCCTTGAGGGGGTCATGTGGAAAGGAAGAAGTTGTACAAAAGCATCTACAAACAGTGTTGCAACTTCAGGGCACCAAGAGTTCCAGACAGTGTACATTGAGGTGGCTTCAAGGAAAGGGGTGGCTGGAGAGGTAGTCAAGGACAGGATGGGGAGGGACATCTGGGCCTCTCACACAAATTAGAACCCAGTCTGCAGGGAGGTGGAAAGGGCTTAGAGTTAGGAGTGCAATGCCATTTTGCTAGGAGACTGAGCAGCAGGGCCAAGCTCTCTGGGTTTGGATCTAGACTTTGCCACCATGGCTCTGTAATCTTGAACAAGTTACTTAACCAGAGTTTTCTTCCATTGTAAAATGATGTTAATAGCATCTATTTCAGAGGAGTGTTGTGACACTGTAGTTAAAATGAGCAGAATTATACCTGGTATGTAGAATTAGCCATGACTACTACTAGAACTTCAGTCATTGTTACCTTTTTGTGCTTTCTTGGCTAAGTGTTGCTGCCTGGGAGCTCTGACACCAGTGGGCCTCCAATATTCCCTTATAGGAGTGACTGAGTAACATCAATCTGGTTGGAAGTTGTGGAGGTAGGTAAAGGTTCCACTTGATACCATATCTGCATAGCTATTCAGGCAAGAGTGACTAAAGTTAACTGATCAAATAAAATAATGAGGTTCTGGAGGTTAGGGTGTGGTTAAGGTCTTGCTAATGCTACACGTATTGTGTGTGGGGGAGGGCAGGAAATGAGACTGACTAAGATCTATGGCAATGGCTAACACTATACAGCTCTAGGAAAGTTCCTTTTACATCAGTATCTACTTAGTGCTCCTGCTTAAACCTCTGCTCTACAATGAAAGCAGGGAACTAAAGTAAGATGGATGGGGAGAAGCACCAATGGTCTAAATATGTCTGAGACTTGAAATGCAGAGGAAGTTACAAAGCCATGGCAAAGGTTGAGTTTGTTTGTTAAAATATATGATGTGTTTCAGCACACGTATGTTTATTGCAGCACTATTTACAATAGCAAAGACTTGGAACCAACCAAATGCCCATCAATGATAGACTGGATTAAGAAAATGTGGCACATATACACCATGGAATACTATGCAGCCATAAAAAAGAATGACTTCATGTCCTTTGCAGGGACATGGATGAAGCTGGAAGCCATCATTCTCAGCAAACTAACACAGGAACAGAAAAACAAACACAGCATGTTTTCACTCATAAATGAGGGTTAACAATGAGAATGCATGGATACAGGGCGGGGAACATCACACACTGGGGCCTGTTGGGAGGAGTGGGGAAAGGGGAGGGAAAGCATTAGGACAAATACCTAATGCATGTGTGGCTTAAAACCTAGATGATGGGTTGATAGATGCAGCAAACCACCATGGCACATGTATATCTGTGTAACAAACCTGCACATTGTTCACATGTATCCCAGAACTTAAAGTAAAATAAAATATATATGTATATGATACATTTCATCAAAACATGAGAAATTAAAAGAACAGCATCTCAGCTTCCTCATAAGTTTGCACACACAGGAGTAGATTTTAAGATTCTTGTTTGTCTCAGGGATTGTTCTAACCTTCATTAGGAATGCCAACTTGATTTGCTACTAGTTCCCAGCCCAGCTGAGCTGGGGAGTTTTTTTAGAGCATGAGGTCTCTCATATTGCTGTGCAAGTGTCTGCTGGCTGCAGACACAGGTCCCCAGCATGGTTCAAAGCCAATTTCTGTCCCCCACCTCACTCAAGAATGGCACTGTGGGGGCATTTGTCATGGCCTGAGAACAGGGCAGCAGGGACTGCTACCATCCTTTGATGTCGTGCAAGCAAAATACCCATTGTTTTTCCATTATTGAATATCTATTCTTTTCCCATAAGTTTGAAGTCATAGCTTAAAACATTAGAATGAAATATTACCCCCACCCCACCCCTTCAGCTGGATAGAGGACAAAGAGAACACAGAAACCTGAACACTCATGGCAGAAACATCCACAGAAAAATGCCTCTGTTTCCAAATTAATTTGGGTAGTGTCACCATTTGCTTTGCTATTATGTCAAGCCTTGCTTCCAGGGGCAGAAAGGTTTTACACAAATAGATCGTTAGTACTGTAGGGAGTTGAAGTTTACTCAATCACTACAAGAGCCACGGCTTTCAGAGCTTCTGACCATGACCCAGTGTAAGAAATACACTTTTATTATGACCCAATGCACACATCCATAACTGAAGCAAAACTTCCATGGTATAAGTACTCCCACCTTGGCTCATTACTAGCTATCAACCTCATGTCACAGAATCACTGAACATGAGTTGGGAAGAGGTGTGTACAATCAGCTGTCAGCACACAACTGCTACACACACACACACACACACACAATAACAACAATGATTAAGAAACTGCTGAACAGAAGGTGTTGCAAATAACATATTTTGGGAAACTATCTAAATCGCAGAGCTTGTAAATCAGGGGGAAGAGTCTATGTGTAATACCTGAATGTTTTCTTTGCAGAAGTCTGTTGGAAGCCTATTTCAGCAAAACATCCTCTCTTGTAAGTTAATCTTCTGTTCGTAATATTCTAAGAAAGGTGGTTCCTCTATTTTATTTATTTATTGATCTTATTTTACTTTATTTTTTGAGACAGAGTCTCACTCTGTTGCCCAGGCTGGAGCGCAATGGCGTGATCTCGGCTGGTCCAACATTCGCCTCCCGGGTTCAAGCGATTCTCCTGTCTCAGCCTCCTGACTAGCTGGGATTACAGGAGCACGCCACTAGGCCCGGCTAAATTTTGTATTTTTAGTAGAGATGGGGTTTCACCCTGTTGGTCAGGCTGGTCTCTAACTCCTGACCTCATGATTCACCCACCTCGGCCTCCCAAAGTGCTGGGATTACAGGCGTGAGCCACCGCGCCCAGCCTCCTCTATTTTAATCTCTGCCTTCTTTGATTCCTCTGTCAGAAACATTGTGCTTCAGCCAGATGATATTTTCTTTGGAAGCAGTTTTTATAAAACAGTAAAAATTAAGTCCGATACACTATAAAATGAAAGGTGAAGGGTGTGTGTGTGTGTGTAAATTCACATGACTCCAGGTATTCTAAACAATTGAATGATCATTAGTAGTTTTCCCTTAAGCCTTAAAATTATTTTGGAAATAAAAGAATCATATTGCTACATAACAAACCGCCCTAAAAGTCAATGGCATTCAACAATAAGCATTTATTTCTCACACAATTGAGGATTAGCTGCAGGGACCATCTGCCTACTCTTGTCTGTGGAGCAGTTGGGGGCCCCACTCTGAGCTGGGTTTGGTTTGGGCAGCTTTGTTTCAGATACCCCAAATCCATCTCTTGGGACCACAGGGCTAGACTGAAGAAACCATGCTGCTTATAACAATGGAAACGTTCAAGAGAGCAGGAGGAAATTGTAAAGATCCCTGGAGGGCATCACTTTTGTGTCTTTCTATTAGCCAAAGCAAGTCACTCCCTATCTCCTACCACAGTGAGAGGGCAGTGCAAAATTACACGGCAAAGGTAATTGTTCCAAGGAGAAGGGAAGAATTGGGGCTTGTGGAAGGCTGAATAATGCACTCCAAAAATCTCTACATCCTAATCTCTGGAACCTGTGAATTTACTTTAGGTTTGCAAAAGAGATTAAATTAAGGATGGGGAGATTATCCTGGATTTTCTGGATGGGCCCAGTGTAATCCCAAGGGTCCTTCTAAGAGGGAGACAGGAGATCAGAGTTAGAAGTAGTACGTGGGGTGACAGAAGCAGGAAGAAAAGGCAACATGATGTGAGGTCATGAGCCAAGGAATGAGAACAGCCTGCAGAAGATGGAAAAGGCAAGGAAGCAGAATCTTCTCTGAAGCTTCAAGAATGAATGCAGCCCTGCCAACACCTTGATTTCAGGCTTCTGATATCCAGAAATATAAGAGAATAAGTTTTTTGTTGCCTTAAATGTAAACCAAATAGTATCCACTAGGTTTGTGGTAATTTTGTTACCGTAGCAATAGAAAACTAGTACAGATTGTGGTATCAGGAAGTGGGGTGCTGTTGCAACAAATGCCTGCACATGTGGAAGTGGAACTGGAATTGGGTAGAAAGGCCTAGTTTGCACTGAACAGACTGTTGGTAGAAAAATGGATGTTAAAGACTCTGCCGGTGAGGACTCCGGAGGAAATGAGGAACATTATTGGAAACTAGAGGAAAGGGGATCCTGTAACACAGTGTGTCCGGAATTGGTGGGTTCTTGGTCTCACTGACTTCAAGAATGAAGCCGTGGACCCTCGCGGTGAGCGTTACAGTTCTTAAAGGCAGCATGTCCGGAGTTTGTTCCTTCTGATGTTCGGATGCGTTCAGAGTTTCTTCCTTCTGGTGGGTTGGTGGTCTCGCTGGCTCACGAGTGAAGCTGCAAACCTTCGCAGTGAGTGTTACAGCTCTTCAGGCAGCACGTCTGGAGTTGTTCGTTCCTCCCGGTGGGTTCGTGGTCTCGCTGGCTTCGGGAGTGAAGCTGCAGACCTTCGTGGTGAATGTTACAGCTCATAAAGGTAGCGTGGACCCAAAGTCTGAGCAGCAGCAAGATTTATTGAAAAGTGCAAAAAAACAAAGCTCTCACAGTGTGGAAGAAGACCTGAGCGGGTTGCCACTGCTGGCTCAGGCACCCTGCTTTTATTGTCCTATCTGGCCCCACCCACATCCTGCTGATTGGTCCATTTTACAGAGAGCCGAGTGGTCTGTTTTGACAGGGCGCTGATTGGTGCATTTACAATCCCTGAGCTAGACCCAAAAGTTCTCCACGTCCCCACTAGATTAGCTAGATACAGAGTGTGGACACAAAGGTTCTCCAAGTCCCCACCAGAGTAGCTAGATACAGAGTGTCGATTGGTGCATTCACAAACCCTGAGCTAGACACAGGGTGCTGAATGGTGTGTTTACAAACCTTGAGCTAGATACAGAGTGCTGATTGGTGTATTTACAATCCCTTAGTTAGACATAAAGGTTCTCCAAGTCCCCACCAGAGTCAGAAACCCAGCTGGCTTCACCCAGTGGATCCTGCAGCGGGGCGGCAGGTGGAGCTGCCTGCCAGTCCTGCGCTGTGCACCCGCACTCCTTAGCCCTTGGGTGGTGGATGGGACTGGGTGCCGTGGAGCAGGGGGCTGCGCTCGTCGGGGAGGCTGGGGCCACACAGGAGTCCACAGAGGAGGGGGAGGCTCAGGCATGGTGGACTGCAGGTCCCGAGCCCTGCCCCCCAGGGAGGCAGCTAAGGCCGGGCGAGAAATCGAGTGCAGCGCTGGTGGGCCGGCACTGCTGGGGTACCCAGCACACCCTCTGCAGCCTCTGGCCCAGGTGCTAAGCCCCTCATTGCCCAGGGCCAGCAGGGCCGGCCTGCCGGCAGCTCGGGAGTGCGGGCCGCCAAGCCCACGCCCACCCAGAACTCTAGCTGGCCCGCAAGCTCCACGGGCAGCCCTGGTTCCCGCTAGCGCCTCTCCCTCCACACCTCCCCGCAAGCTGAGGGAGCCGGCTTAGGCCTCGGCCAGCCCACGAAGGGGCTCCCACAGTGCAGCGGCGGGCTGAAGTGCTCCTCAAGTGCTGCCAAAGTGGGAGCCCAGGCAGAGGAGGCGCCGAGAGCGAGCGAGGGCTGTGAGGGCTGCCAGCACGCTGTCACCTCTCAGTAGTGGCAGGAAGGGTTAGCAGAACCATGTTATATATTTATGTGGAATGAGGAACTTGTCAACCACGTACTTGGGTATTTAGCTGAGGATAGCGCCAAGCAAAGTATTGAAGGTACAACCTGGCTTATTCTTTTATAACTTACAGCAAATGTCAGAAGAAGGAGATAAATTGAGGAAAGGACTGCTGAGCTAAAGGAACCAGGATTTAATGATTTTGTAAATTCTCAGCCTGTCCAGATTACAAAAAAGGATAAAATTAGGAGATTTACTGTCAGGAAAGTGTGTTCTAGAGAGAAAGCCACAAGTATGGCTTTTTTTTTTTTTTTTTTTCTTGAGACAGTATCTTACTCTGTGGCCCAGGCTGGATTGCCATGGTGCAATCATGGCTCACTGCATTCTCAAACACCTGGGCTCAAGCGATACTCCTGCCTCAGCCACCCAAGTAGCTGGGACTACAGGCACATGCCACCATGCCCAGTTACTTTAAAAATTTTTTTTGTAGAGATGATGTCTCACTATGTTGCCCAGGCTGATCTTGAGCTCCTGATCTCAAGTGATCTTCCTGCCTCAGCTTCTCAAAGTGCTAGAATTATAGGCGTAAGCCACCACACCTGGCCTGGACAACATTTTGCTAGTGTCTGAGAAGAAACAAAATGTCACAGTATTCTGTCACACAGAGAGCTCTTTGAAGAGATTAAGTACATGACTCATGGATTCTTTCAGCCATCTCATGGGACTATCTAGGAAAGATCTGTGGAAGAGCCTCTTATCTAATGGAGTGAATCCCTGTGACATACATAGGAGACCCACAAGATTCTTGATGATGTTATACTAGCAGCAACACTGCCAGCTTAGCCAGAAAGGGACAAAAAGAAGACAAAAATTTTAAAAGGTTGTTGGACTCCCAAAATTATACAGACAGGAAACAGGCTGATAAAACTACTTAGATGGGCCAGGCACGATGGCTCATGCCCGTAATCCCAGCATTGTGGGAGGCCGTGGTGGGTGGATTGCTTGAGGTCAGGAGTTCAAGACCAGCCTGGATAACATGGTAAAACCCTGCCTCTACTAAAAATACAAAAATTAGCTGGGCATGGTGGTGCATGCCTGTAGTCCCAGCTACTCAGGAGGCTGAGGCAGGAGAATCGCTTGAACCCAGGAGGTGGAGGTTCAGTGCACTGAGATCATGCCACTGCACTCCAGCCTGCATGACAAAGCGAGACTCCATCTCAAAAACAAAAACAAACAAACAAGAAAAAAACGTACTTGGATGAAAACATGTGCACTCTTCATGAAAAAGGAAGTATGATTCAGAGGCTAGAGCTTCAGGCTCAAAGTGTTGAGCCAGGCCGGGCGCGGTGGCTCACGCCTGTAATCCCAGCACTTTGGGAGGCCGAGGCGGGCGGATCACGAGGTCAGGAGATCGAGACCATCCCGGCTAAAACGGTGAAACCCCGTCTCTACTAAAAATACAAAAAATTAGCCGGGCGTAGTGGCGGGCGCCTGTAGTCCCAGCTACTTGGGAGGCTGAGGCAGGAGAATGGCGTGAACCCGGGAGGCGGAGCTTGCAGTGAGCCGAGATCCCGCCACTGCACTCCAGCCTGGGTGACAGAGCGAGACTCCGTCTCAAAAAAAAAAAAAAAAAAAAAAAAAAAGTGTTGAGCCAAGAGCCACAGAGGATTAATCTCAGTTTTTGAAATGGAGTTTTCACAGTTGGATTTCAAAATTGCTTGGGACTGGAGACTCCTTTCTTCCTTCCATTTTCGCCTTCTTGAATACGAATGTCTGTAAGTGTTATCCTGTGCCTGTCTCACTAGTGTATTTTAGGAGTAGATAACTTATTTTCTAGTTTTATGGGTCCACTGACAGAGAGGAATTTTTCCCCAAGATGGATCGTACTCAGAGTCTTACCCATTTTTTATTTAGATAATTTAGATGAATAAATTTGGGGTTTTTGAAATAGTAATATTCAAAGAGAATTTGAACTTTGAATTGATGTTATGATAGGTTGAGACTTTTGGGGATATTGAGAAGGGGCGAATGTAGCTTGACATGGAATGGATGTGAATCTTTGGGATTCAGAGGGCAGATGGTGGTAAGCTAAATAATGATCCCCCAAAGATGTTCCCAACATAATCCCTGGATCTTGTGAACATTACTTTATATGGCAAAAAAGGACTTTGCACATGGTTGCCAAGGGTCTTAAAATGGGGAGATTATCCTGGATTATCTAGGCAGACCCTAAATATATCACAAGAATCCTTATAAGAGGGCAAGAAGGGCCAGGTGCAGTGGCTCATGCCTGTAATCCCAGCACTTTGGGAGGCTGAGGCAGGTGGATCACGAAGTCAGGAGTTTGAGACCAGCCTGGCCAACATAGTGAAACCCCATCTCTACTAAAATTACAAAAAGTTAGCCAAGTGTGGCAGCACGCACCTGTAATCCCAGCTACTCAGGAGGCTGAGACAGGAAAATTGCTTGTACCCAGGAGGCAGAGAGATTGCAGTGAGCCGAGACTGCTCCATTGCATTCCAGCCTGGGCTGGACTCTGTGAGACTCTGACAAAAAAAAAAAAAAAAAAAATGCAGGAAGAGAGCCAAAATGTGATGACAAAAGCAGAGATTTGGCCGGGCACAGTGGCTCATGCCTGTAATCCCAGCACTTTGGGAGGTGGAGGTGGCAGATCACCTAAGGTCAGGAGTTCAAGACCAGCCTGGCCAACATGGTAAAACCCCATCTCTACAAAAATACAGAAATTAGCCGGGCATGATGGTGGGTGCCTGTAATCCCAGCTACTCAGAAGGCTGAGGCAGAATTGCTTGAACCTGGCAGGCAGAGGTTGCAGTGAGCTGAGATTGCACCACTGCACTCTAGCCTGGGCGACAGAGCAAAACTCCATCTCAAAAAAAAAAAAAGGCAGAGATTGGAGAGATGCTGCCTGGATCCAGTGAGTACCACAGCTCTAGAAATTAGAAGAAGCAAGGAATAGATTCTCCCTTATGGTCTCCAGAAAAGACTTAGGTCTGCTGACAATTTTTATTCCTTTAGACTCATTCT
This sequence comes from Homo sapiens, assembly GCF_000001405.40. Lineage (NCBI taxonomy): Eukaryota > Metazoa > Chordata > Mammalia > Primates > Hominidae > Homo > Homo sapiens. The sequence goes on from NC_000002.12 coordinate 134,112,972, forward strand.
AGACTTCTGACTTCCAGAATTGTGAAATAATGAATTTGTCTTATTTTTAGTTGTTATGTTTGAAGTAATTTGCTACAGCAGCAATTGAGAACTAATACAGGGTCATTAATACAATCTTCTGTAGAAATAAACCTTGCTCCCCTGTTTTTACATATAAAAATTATCTTAAGCATTATCATTATTTTTAAAATAGGCAGTTTGTGAACATTTGACATTCTCAAATGTGAGTTGACCTTGTACTGGACCAATCTGTCTTCCAAAAGAAAGCATCTTTAAGTTAAAAATAAAAGTCAGTGAGTAATTGGATTGGAAATGCAGAAACGTTTATTATAAGCAACAGTAACAACAGTTAGTTGAAAGGTTATGTGTGATGGAATAACAACTATTAATATGAGAGTATTGGAAGTCACTGAAGGGGATTTTGTAGTTACAAGTGCCCCCTCCCCCCTCCTCAGTCTTGCTGGAGAGAGGCTGGGGAGTCCACATCATAAACATAGAAACAGTGGGGAAGGAGAGAGGAGAAAGGGAAGAGCTGGAGATCTATGGAACTAGATGCTCTGGAGCAACTGTACCATGTGATCAGTGCAGCTTATATAGAAAGGGAAAGGGGACTTAAAAAATGTATTGCTGTAAGTTATGTACATGTATTTGGATTCTCCTCCAAGTTTGCAAGAAATACAGGGTGAGAATACAAACTGTTTGGAAATTTCTTCTGATTGTTGGAAGGAAGATACATAGTATATATCAGTGGTATTATCTGGGGTCCTTCCTCAAAGGTTACTTGATCATTTAGAAATGTGTTTAGGCTATAGGTGTTAGAAAAGTGGAATAATAATACCATAACAAGTGGGAATTTGTTTCCCTCATTTAACAACAAGCCTGGAGCTACAGAGTTGTAGCGGAATGGTTCTTCAAAGACCCAGGCTCCTTTCATCTTTCCGTACTGCATTATCCAAGTGGCCTTTCAGTTTAGGCTTATACCTTGAGTTTGAAAGATAGCTGTTACAGTTCCAGACTTCATGACCTCATTCAAAGGCAGCAAGTCCAGGGGTGTCCAGGGTAAGCACTTAGCATCTCCTGCATTTGTTTTTAAAGGAAACAAAATATCTTTCCCAGAATCCCTTGGTGGACTTTCCTTTGGCCAGAACTGGGTCGCATGCTGCCTCATCCCCTTGCACTACTAGAGTAGAGCCTGAGGAAGCAAATATCTGGTTTTGCAGACTCCAAAGTAGGATGTAGCAAAGGAAATTGGACTTGCAGTGGCTTTAGGTTGACCGTCCAATGGTGTCTGTCACAAGTATACCCACTCTCTCTTTTACTGGAAGGGCTTGAGGCCAACGCATTTGGAAACTGAGCAAGGGCCACATTTTTTGTTAAGAGGTCTGTCCTCCAGAGAAAAGCCACTACAGAGCTCTCCAAAAATGCTGGCATTCCCCTCACCAGTGGATTCCTCAGCGCTGAGGTGAATATGTTTCTTCTGGGGCATTTTAGAGAACATAGCATTGAGGTAGATAAGTAGGTAACACTTGATACATCTATTAGAGCATTTTCTTAAATTCTTGAATTCTCCCTCCACATAGCAAGGTATCCCTGGCATCTCACTTTCATAAATATAACTTAGCATAGACCTAAAAAGCTCAGACTCTGGAACCAGGTATCTGATTTGAATCCCAGCTGTACCACTTACAAGCTGCATGTGGAAAGTTGTTTAACCTATATATGCCTCAGTTTTCCCTTTTATAAATGAGGATGATACTACCTGTCTCATAGGTTTATTATTATGATTAGATAATTTGATGTATGACAGCACTTTGAAAAGTGCTTGGCACTTAGTAGGGGTTACGTGTATGCCAACTAGCATTATTGTTTACACCAGTCCTCATAAGTCTAGATTTCAGCAGCCAACAAAGCAGATGATTAATACTACTCCCAACTGCCCAAGTGAACACATTGAGTCTAGAACTTTGCTAATGCCTCCATATCAATACATTCAGCCTCATCTAAGGCTATGTTCTTCCTTCCTTGGTCTAGCATTCTCAGAATTTCTCTCCACATGTATTCCCCAGATTTTTGCTTTTATAAATTAGCAGAATCTCACACCTCCTGTGATGGGTAAGTCTTTTCCTTCAGAGTTTGCCTTTCCAATTGGCCTTTTGAGGTGTGCTGGGCTTTCTAGTGAGAGAAAATGAGGAGTATTTGGCACAGGGCATAAAGTTTCAAGGCAACACCCTCAAGCCAGGTCATTAGAGGATCTCAGTCAAAGCAACAAGAACCTCATGACTGCCTTTATTTGGCAAAGGAAGCCAACATAAGGCCTGAGGGGTGTGGAGTACATCAAATTAAGTCATCTAAATTGTCCTATGTAACTCCATGCAATCCTCAGGGTCCTAATGAGTTCTAATCAATGCTTTTGGTTTCAAATAAGAGAGTGGTTAGGCTATGAATGCAAGTGACTTTGTAATTCAGCAATCCAAACGATTAATAGTTGAGTTTTTTTTTCACTTATTTTGGCCTCCACCTGCTAAAAATCAAAAGGTTTTCTGCTTGTCTGTTTCAGAAGTCATAGAAAAGCCCTGGTTTATAGGTACCTTGAGCTGAGAATGTAAGAGTTTCAGCTCATAATTCTCTTTTTTAAAGCTGTTCAGGCTGGGTGCAGTGGCTCATGCCTGTAATCCCAGCACTTTGGGAGGCCAAGGCGGGTGGATCACGAGGTCGGGAGATGGAGACTATCCTGGCTAACATGGTGAAACTCTGTCTCTATTAAAAATACAAAAAATTAGCCAGGCATGGTGGCATGCACCTGTAGTCCCAGCTACTCAGGAGGCTGAGGCAGGAGAATTGCTTGAACCCAGGAGGCAGAGGTTGCAGTGAGCCGAGAGCACGTCACTGCACTCCAACCTGGGTGACAGAGCAAGACTGTCTCAAAAAAAAAAAAAAAGCTATTCAGCTCCATAAAAAACAACCACCTTACTCTCACAGTCTTATTGTGAGAGTCTTTTTCCTAAGTGTTTTTTTGTTGTTGTTTGTTTTTTTTTTTTTTGAGACAGAGTCTTGTTCTGGAATGCAGTGGCCTGATCTCGGCTCACTGCAAGCTCCGCCTCCCAGGTTCATGCCATTCTCCTGTCTCAGCCTCCCAAATAGCTGGGACTACAGGCGCCTGCCACCATGCCCGGCTAATGTTTTGTATTTTTAGTAGAGATGGGGTTTCACCATGTTAGCCAGGATGTTCTCAATTTCCTGACCTTGTGATCCGCCCGCCTCGGCCTCCCAAAGTGCTGGGATTACAGGTGTGAGTCACCGCACCCAGCCTATTCCTAAGTCTTATTGCTCAGTTGTCACTTGGTTACCCAAAAGTTTGATTTCAATGGGTACTTCATTGTAGATGTATACAGTTGATAACAAACTTTTGCCACTGTATACCACAGGCTGCCTGCATCAAAGACCTTTAAAGAAGCCAAGTTTTCAACCCTCAACCTTAATCAGACTAGATAACCTATCCCTGATTTCATCTATTTCCCTTAGGGTCTACGCCTGTTAATTCAAATGTCTGTATCAGTCAGGCTACTTAACCACAAGCAACAGAAAGTTACTGTGACTAATTAAGGAAGATCACTTGAGCCCAGGGGTTCAAGACCAGCCTAGGCAAAATAGAGAGACCCCCATCTCTGTAAAATAATTAAAAAGTTAGCTGGGTATGATGGCCTGCACCTGTAGTCCCAGCTACTTGGGAGGCTGAGGTGGGAGGATCACTTGAGCCTAGAAGGTCGAGGCTGCCAGTGAGCTGTGATCATGCCACTGCACTCCAGCCTGGGCAAAAGAGTGAGAATCTGTCTCAAAAAAAGAGGAAAGAAGAAAGAAGAAGAAGACGGAGGCCAGAGGAATGCACGTAGAAAGAACTCCTAAAATCTGGCAAGGTGAAGATGCTGTCACCTGGATCACTATCTGCCAGGCATCACAGCTTACATCATCCACATTATGGCATCAGCCACTGGGCACTACCACTAGCAATGCTGCCCTAAAAATTTGGTCAGCACCTTTACCATCAGAGGTTTTACCTTGTACCAAGATTACATAGTGGATAATTCCTCAAGCCATTAGAGCTCAGGTCCAGGGCAGAAAAACAATTTCATTTGTTTATTTCACAGACACCAGTTCCAAGACTGAACCACATGGGTCTCAGCTTTATAAGGTTTACATACATAATTGTTATTTTGTTGCTATAATTTTCATGCAATTTGAATAGGTCAAGAAACCTGGTCTATGTAGGGTACCTTAAATATCCCCTTTAATATTTACTGTATTATTCACAGTACTTTCTGCATGGATCTTCCTTTCTTCCTGGTTATCTGGGGTGAGAAGCATGGTGTAATAGAAAGGTTCTGGGCTTTGGAGTCAGGCAAACTTTGGATTCAATCCTGGCTGTGATCCTTATCAACAGTGCCTATCTGTAAGTATATTACTTACCTTTACTAAGTCTTGGCTTCTTTTTCTATGAAATACGTATAGTAAAATCTACTCCATGAATTGTTAAAATGTAATTCACATACAGCTTAGTAAGAGATGCTGAGAAACAATATATAGTTGGCCCTCTGTAAGCATGGATTTGGAGGATCCTAAATCCTCAGATTCAATCAATCACAGATCGAAATCCGCAGATATGGAGGGCTGACTATACTTGATTATATGTAAAAAGCTGTGTTTACTATGCTTATAATTGAGCAATTATTTAAAGTACTATATATGTGACAGACAAATGAAAAGAAATGAAGCAATACAGTTAGAGTAGACTTAGCAATACCAACAAACACTGTTGCATTGTTGTGAAATAGTCCTAAATATCTTTCTTTTTCTAACCTGACACCCATTGTTTGCAAGTGGTGAAAATGCTAAAAATGAATCTCTGTTCACCAGGAATGCACGACCTTGGCCATCAGCTGCCAGGGCTTTCACTATTGAAATCCTGCTATGTTATTTTCTTCCTAAGCTTGTAATGAACGGTCTCTTGAGAGGATGTGATGAAATATACAGCTGCATCCTAATAAGCATCCTTATGTCCATAAACAGTATCCTTTAGCAATTAATAATAAAAATTGTAATCTTAACTGTGGGGAAAACAACTTAGATAGTATTACTTTTTCTTAAACGCATGGCAAGTATATGATTTATATAAATAAATAGACTATGTAATACAAATATGGAAAATGTATATTTGTGTATACAAACGAATTTACTTAATTTCTCTATATACACATATACTTTTTATAAAAAATATCCTGAAACAAAAACCATCTGTAATATCCTCTATAGCAGTGGGTTCATAAAGTTGAAATGATTGATGCCTTTCAGAAATCTCTAGGCAACCAGGTGGTATCATTATTAACCACCCGTGGGAACTTGACTTCAAATCCAATCTATTATGATTAGAATCTACATGATCTGTATCCAGTACAGCAAGTCCCGGCCACCAGATGTCACCATTCTTCTATTTCCCTCCTGGTGCTTGGGGAGAGCTAAAGATACTATTTTCTCTCAAGGGACTGAGGGAAATACGTGCCTCAGAACATTACTGGGATTTCACCAAAAGGTCTTTTCTTAGTCATCCTGGCCTTGCAGATTTCCCTGTGGTTTTTGAGTATCTTGACTCGACAGTTTCTAACAGCTGAGGAGCCAAGTGGCTGATAATTTGGGGCTTATCTGGTCAGGAAGTGCTAGAGCCATTTCCTCCAGCTAAACTTGAAGACAGGATTGACATAAGGTGCCCAAAGCCCAGAGCTTGCTCAGTGCAGGAGAGGCTATGGATATGCCCTATTAAAAGGTCCTGGGGTCAGGAGACCTCAACCAGCTATGAGCTCACTTACAAAATGAAGGAAAGGGACTGAATCATTCCTAGGGTCTAAAAATTCCATGATCCTCGTTTGTAAATGCCTCTGGTGGGGAGGGTGCGTAGTAGGGTGGGGGCGAGCTAAGTCCAAGAAATAAGACCCCAGAGAGGACAACGAAGTAGGGGTGAAGTCCTGCAGGGCAGATGAGGGGAAACTGAACATGAATCCTTATGAGGTCTGGATGTAGTGACTGGTTATGGGGTCTGGAAATTGCTGGGGTTATGGTCTTGTGGATTCTACCACTAGCTCAATAGCCCACTCTTCCTCCATTCCAGATACTACTTAACAAGAAACTATAATGCTTATCGATGTAAATGTATGGCATTCTCTCTCCTGGGGCTTGGTTGGATTTAATCTCTCATGTCAGTCAATGTTCTTTGTGGTGCCTTCAGGGCACGGGATGTGTTTTATTTGTGAATTTACAACAGTGCAGTTTTCAGCTAGCTCGTCCAGAGTGTTCCTAAAATCCGGGAGTGGGAGCAGGGCAGAGAAGAAAGAATGGATTTCATTTATAAGTGCCACATATCCCTAAGTATTTCACATATATTTCATATCATCTTCACAATAACCTCATGAAGCAGCATTTGTTATGCTCATAAAGATGAATTCAAATGGTTAAGTGGCTTGCCCAAGGTCACAAAAACCAAATGGCAGTATACCTACTGCTTTGTGTAATGCGTTCTACGAAAGAGGAAACTGAGCCTCAGGGCGTTTTGTTAAAGTTGCCTGCACCTCTAAGATGGTTGAGACCACAGTCTCCCCATCAGTGGGCTTCGCTGCTGGAAGGCCCCTTGTCCTTTGGGGCTTGGACTGCACCACTCCGGAGGATGCATCGTCATATCAATATTTGCACACTGCCCCTGACCTTGTTAGGATATTATTTATGGCCGCGATCAGAAGGTCCCGCTCGCTCCTTTCTCTCCCCTTGGGCTGCGGAACAGAGTGGCTGGGAGAAGTCCTCCTAGACAGGGTTGAGAGTTTGCCGACGGCCCCTGAGAAGCTGGGGCGTTCCGAATTGGCTGAGCGCGCGGCCGGGGGCGGGGAGTTTGCCAAACGTCCCCGGCCGGAATTTCTGCCTTCTAGAGCCGCGAGCCCAGAAGCGGGGAGAAGTTGGTGAGGTTGGCTAGGGGAAGGTTGCCAGAAATTGAGGACGGACTCCCGCCCTGGTCGACTGAGCTCCCACAGGAGCGCCTCTGCTGCGTCTCGGGGCTGAGTGTGGACGCGCCGCGCGCGGCCCCGCCAGGGCTGGTAGTTTGCAGACCGTCCCTGCCGCGGCCCGCTCGGCGGCGGCCCTGCGGCTCCCGCGGCGGCGGCCCCGGGCGCGATCCAGCCCAGGTAGCCGCGCCGCAGGCTCGGGGCGTCGCGACCTCGCGCCTCGGGCCGCGTGGGCACGGCGGCCGGCGGGTGCTCCCGGCTGCTGCTGCTGCCCAACAAGGAGGTAAGAGCTGCCGGATCCGGGTGATCGCGTCGGAGGGAGCTCGTCATCCCCGCGGGGTGATGCGCGCAGAGGGGACCGCGGGGGGCACGGGGAACCAGGCGCGGGCGAGGAGAGCCCGCACCGGGGTCGGCGCGGTCGGGGGCTTCCTTCCGTCGCTCCTCTGCCGCCTGCGTGGGTGCCCCGGCCCCGGCCGCTCTGCAGGACGCCGGAGTGGAGCCGGGAGACGCGCCTTGAGAAGCCCACCTGCCCCGGGCAGCCCCTCCCAGGGGAGGCTGAACCCCCCCCGCCCCGTGACGAGGGGGCTTGTTGGCATTCCTAGGGACAGTCCAAAGGAAGCTCTGGTTGCGCGGGCTGGAGGCGAGCGGCGGGGGATGGCAGATGGGCGCTCGGACCGCGGAGGAGCCCGGTGGGGGTCACGCCGCAGGCGTGGGCCGGGCCGGGCCGGGGTCCTCGGGACCCAGGCGCACTGGGCGGGCTCGGCCAGGGGCCAGTGGGGAGGAAGGAAGAAGGAGGGAGGCTGGCCCCGAGCCCCTAGGGAGGAGGGATGCGGCGGGCTGGCGCTCCGGGCCAGAGGATCCAGGAGGCCCGGGGGCGCCCCGGCTGTTAGGGGACGGCCCGCGGGTCCGTGATCCCGCCGGCGCGCTCAGCCCTGCTGCCGGGTCTGGGAGGCTGCAGGGAGCGCAGAGCCCACACCCGCGCACACACTCCCCGAGAGCATGCTCAGTGCGGCCCTGGGAACTTCCTGCCGAGTCGTGAGCCGCCCCGGCCCACTCCCGGCCCTCAGCTCGCAAAGTTGGGGGCGGCGGGGCTAGGGAGACGTGGGCGCCGCTCTCGCCTGTGGCTCTTTCGCGCCCCTGGCCCCTGCCTCGCCTCAGTTGAGCTACGCGCACTGCTCTCCCCGGCTGCCCTCACAGCCGGGATTGGGGGCGTGGGTGTTAGCCCCTGCTCCCCGTGGCGGGGTGGCCAGAGGCCTGGAGCGCGGCTCTCAGCCTGGTGGACCCGCGCGCGGTGCGCCCGCTTGGTGCCCGGACCTGGCGCGGCGAGCAGGCAGGGTGCAAGGGGGTGTGTGAGCCCAGGGACGCTCGCGCATACACTTGCTGTCACACACAAAGCCGCGGTTTTGTAGCCGCCGCGCGGAAGAGCCGAAGAGGGAAGGGGGTGGCGCTTGCATTGTCCAGAGGCGTTTGGAGCGCAGAGGGGGTGCTTGGCTCCTCAGGGCTGCGGGAACCGGGCGATGTGGATGGATTTGGTATAGGGCCCGGCCCTCCTGGGACCGACTGCCAGGCCTGGCCCCGGGCGGCCGCCGCTATCTGCACCTGGCTCTGGCGGCCCAGTTAGGGAAGATGAGTACTTCTGGGTCTGTGACGTTGGGAAGGGGCAAACTCAGTTGTGTGTGGGGTTCGGGTGGATGGCAACATCGCACTTGTAAACATACCCAGACCAAAGTGTTAGAGGTATCTCATTCTAAGGAGATGCGAGTGGGAAGCTGGGTCGTTGAACTGACCCCCACCCCCAGTTTATTGTCAGGACCTGATCAACTTGGTTTTTACTCCAAGAGACTCCCCAGCGTTAATCTCTGTGTCATGCACATCCTAAGCCTTACGGCTGCATCAGAACTCCCTTGTCTGTACCGAGAAAATCACTGAACAGTTTTTCATGAAGGGCAAAGCATCTGAGATTTGTGGTGAATGAATTTTCACCCTCCTCCCCCCGTCCTCACTGCTTTCCTATAAATTATTTTTGTTGCTATTGTTCAGGGCTGAGATGGGCATCCTCAGATTTATCTGGCAGTAAAGATTAGAGCAAAGCTCTCCTGTCTTTTTTTTTTTAAAGATGGAGTTTTGCTCTTGTTGCCCAGGCTGGAGTGCAATGGTGCGATCTCGGCTCACTGCAGCCTCAGCTTTCCGGGTTCAAGAGATTCTCCTGCCTCAACCTCTCAAGTAGCTGGGATTACAGGCGCCCGTCACCACACCCGGCTAATTTTTAATTTTTAGTAGAGACGAGGTTTCACCATATTGGCCAGGCTGGTCGCGAACTCCTGACCTCCGGTGATCCAGCTGCCTCGGCCTCCCAAAGTGCTGGGATTACAGGCGTGACCCACCGTGCCCGGCCTAGCGCAAAGCTCTCCTTTCTAGAGAGCTTTTTAGTTTTTTCCAGTTTAGTTTTTTTCTCTTGCCCTCCTCCATCACCCTGCTTTTAAATGCTCATTTAAATGCCCATGTTGTCAGCCTTACCTGGAGAGGCCCTGAAAAGCAAGGTGATGGAGGAGGGGCAAGAGGGTGACTGTTTCACCCTTTGTAGGGGCTGGGAGAAGAGGAGAAGGAAGTTGCTCTGTCTGGCATTTGCCTCTGCTGGGGTGGCTCCAACTGGATATAGGGTTTGGGCTTTTTCTTTCATCTCCTCCTTTGTTTCAGCCTGCCTTCTTCACTCTGGGACACTCGTGACTGGAGTCATTAGGAGAAAGGAATCTGCAGTCCTGGTTTGGAGCTTTGCAGGGTTTGCACCTGCACAAGCAGCCACCAGTTGGTTTTAAGGTGAACTGCAATGGCAGGAGGGGTGGAGGGCTCTGCCCAGATCTGCCGGTGGCAACCGTATGCTCCAACTGCTGCTGCAGAGCAGCTCATGGGCTTTTGGATCTCCTCAGCAGTGTGCATTTCAAGTGCTTTGTGTTTGGAAGTGTGAATATAGTACTCATTTATATATATTCCCACATCTGTATACATTCTTATAAAGAGGTGTGTGCATATGTACATGCATATGCCATGTTCTTTGGTAGAATCTGGAAGCTGGAAGGGACCTCAAGAGATCACAGGAATTCACATAATCTCTCCTCCCATTCAATTTTTTTTGTTTTAAAATAAGCAACTTACCTTCTGCCCAGCTGTCCTCCAAAAGCATTGAAATGCTAGACTCCCCTGTTACCCTAGCTGACGGGGAGGCCTTTGGAAGTATGAGTTCCCAGGAACCATTCTAGTTGTCACTCTGACATTTGACACAACTTTTCCCTAATGTTCCATGTGTCTCAGGATCTAAGTCACTACAGAGACATCCCTGGATTAATTTTGGCAGGGGATGGGCAGTGACTAGTGTACCCTGCAGAGATGTGTAGAAAACTGCAGAGCAGTCATCTGTAAGATCTGGGTTGGAAAGTTTATGTCCTCTCCTTCCCAGGGTCATACAGACAGGTGACTGCTCTGCTCTTTCTCAAGAGGCTTTAAGCGCAGTAGGGACTCACTGTCTTCCTTCCTCCTTGTGTGTCATGGGCTCCTGGCCCTAGGAGGCATGGAGGAGGAGTGGTTGGGGGTGGCATTCTGTGTTGATGCTGTTATAACAGGCCTCAGGAAAGTGTGTGCTGTTAGCTTTGTCTCTGGGGGTTTCGTATGGTGAGTTTCAAAGTTTGGGGAAGGCTCCTGGTGTCAGGTGAACAGGTTGATGGGTAGTTTTGATTACTGTAATTCAGATGATACTTGAGAAAAGGGAGGAAATAATTTTATACGGGGGGATTGCTATCTGGGTGACAATTGGGTGATAGGGTGAGAAATAAATAAGCATTTGGGACTTGTCAGTGCAGGTTTTACCAGGCTGCCTTTAAAGTTAATAATTGCTTTGAAGTATGGAATCACTCTTAGTAGCCAGAAGATGGCTACACTTTCAAATTTCTCTTTGAAATTAAGTAATGATCTCTCCAACCCTTAAAGTCTCTAATCTAAGCCATATCCCTATACTGTTTTACATCCTATGTCAACATCCACATTTGTGACTGATGCTGGCTGCTGATGAGCATTTTTCCAGCATCTGCCATGTGCTGTGCACTGGGCTGGTGCTGGGTATAAAGATGTCCTCCTAAATTATCTCACTTTTAATTTAGCAGACCTTCTCTTACTGTGTGTTAATACAAACTAATAGCTCTTGGAAAGCTGCCAAGGTGGGTCCCAGGAGCCTTAGCACTGTAACCACGTTCTCAGCTAGAGGAGTTTGGACTCGAGCTGTGTGTTTGCCCATTTGGACTGTTGTATTTATTTTTTTCATTGCCACAATTAAGTGCATCCTTCCCTGACTTTGTCATATCTGCAGGGCTATGTGTGTGCATGGGAGGGGTTGGAGGAATCACTTTATTTGTTCAAAATCCCACAGTTCTCTTGTCTAAACATACAATCTTCTGGAATGGGAACAGGGCTTTCCTCTCGGGACTCTGCCCAGTCTTAAAAATCAGGACAGGCAAGGGTTATAAGCTACTGTGGCTTGGTTTGGTGGGAGCAGTTTGTCTTGTAAACTAGCACTCTCTCTTTGTCACCTTCACTGCCAGGCTGGCATTAATGCCTGCTGGACCTTGACCCTTGCTCAGGTGGCTCCCTGCAATGGCTAAGGAATATTTCTCCACTCTATTTCCTGACAAAGTGAACTCAGGAGTGAGTTACACCCAAGTACTTCTGTTACTAGTAAGAGTTAACTACTGGTGCTTGCAATAGGTTTACTTTTTAAAATGTCAGCACTTCAAGGTTATCCCTAGAATAATAACAGCCTCACTTATTTGCATCCCTTTGTGATTTTTGTGGCTGGCCCTTGAGGGAACATGTGCCACCCACCCACTCCTGTTTGAACTTCACGCTTTAAAGTTGTAGTTCGGTGCACAGACTTCTTATAAGTCCTGTCATGCTGGTAAAATGTTTTTTAAAAATTATTATTATAAATATCCTACACAGAAAAGTCTTCCACTCTATTAGTTTTGGGTCTTTTCCATGTCTGGGTCCCCTCATGGGAGTGTGTTATGTTGGTGATCATCGTAGAGATTTTATTATATGTCTTGGTGGAGAAACATCAAGAAAGGGTAGACAAGAAAATAGGAATGATGGCGATGAAAAAAATCCACCTTCTCCGATTGGCATTATTGCAAATGCTTCTTTTGTACTACAGGTATTTCACTCAACAATGAGGTAGATTCTGTTGTTATTCCAAGTTTATACATGGAGAGACCATAACATCATGAGGTCAGGAAATCTAGCTAAGGTTACAAACAGCTACTCAGTGGCAGAGCAAGGATTTGAAGCCAGGTGGTCTAGATCCAGAGCCAGTGTGGGTTGGGCTGTGAGTAGTGGTTAAGGCTGGTGAGTATGCCCTGTACTAGCCAGCACCTTCTTTCCAACCTAAGCCGAGAGGGCTTCATAGATACCCAGGGGCACTGCAGGGAGGGCCCTCCTCTTTCTAGCTGAGGTCACCGAGGTGCAGAGAGGTGGAGGGACTTTCTCAAAGTCTCACCAGCAGGCAGCAGTGGCAAAGCTGGACCTCACATCTCCTCTGTGGTCCCACAGGAACAATTGGTAACAGTTGATAACGGGTGCCTGCCTGCTTTGTTTATAGCAATGATACAGGAAGAGAATTGATGGCCACTGGGCATCTGTTCCTCACTGGAGCCCACTGTGTGCTCACACCCAGCTTCACCTTGGAATGTGGTAGGGAGCAGGTTGGTGTGGCCCAGTTCCCTCCTACCATCCCCAGCTGGGAGAATCTAAGTGACGTATATCCTTTGGAATGAGGGGTTCCCTTTCTCATGTCACCTTTTAAGTTTGACATGATAAGAATCCAGTCTGGGCTGGATTTTACATTTCACTCTTATTAATTCTCTGTGTTTTAGGGCTCCTGGCTCCTCTCAGCATTGATTTCCTTTCTTTAGGAGCATGGGGTAGGTGAGGAGTGACCTGGAAGAGGTATCAGGACCATTCCTTAACATTTCTGATAATCGGTGCCTGTGAAGACATTCCCGCAGTGTCTGCGGAGTCCTAGAAAGAGAGCAGAGGCCACACAAAATGCTTTTCTGAACCCAAGATCGCCATACTTTGTGGAATCTTCCCATTGGACATAGCAGTGAGCACCCGTTTCCTTTCCTGCCCTCACCTGTTCCTGATTCGGAATGCTTCTGCCAAATAAATAGTCACTGGCTACCCAAGGAGTTTAAAGTCTAAGCCTGGTCAATGCACACCCAGAAGAGTTAAGTTCAGTGATAAAGGGAAATGTAGATGAACATACTAATTCAGCCCATGTGACCACTTTGGGCCTCAGCTGTTAGGTTGAGAAGTAAGAGGGGATTGAATGCGCTCCAAAGATCCGTTCAGTTCCTAATGTTGCTTAATTCTATACATGTGGCAAAAGGCTTGTAACATAAATTAAATGAAATTCCCTTATTAAATTAAAAAGAAGGTTGAGAACACATTCAGGTTGTTTTTGCCCTGGCCAGTAGACTCTCTTTAGCAGGCAGCCGAAAAGCTTAACTAAGAAGAATCAGCCCTTTATTGTTACTCTCTTTGGGGATGTTTATCTTTGTATGTTTAGAAATAAAAAACCTTGGTCCTTACTTTCAGCCCTGAAATAACCTGCTTTCCTTTAGTGAAGCTATTTTTTCCCTTGGGAAATTGAGATTCAAAGAGTAGAGAAGATGACCAGGCTCATAGCCTTCTGTGGTTCCTCGCACAGTGCCCTGGGGACGTGGCTAGGTGTTTACACACTGCCACAAGCAGGGCCAAATTCTGTCTACACATTCAGTGTGTAACTACTACCTTTCAACATAAGGAAGTTTGGTATCAGTCTTCTTGCAGCTGCTTTTTTTTTTTTTAAACCATCTTATTTTCACCTCCAGTTTGTTATTTACAAGCATCCATGCCGGTGAGGAGTTTTCTGAATGACCGATTCTTTCTTGGATGCAAAGAGAAAGTACCATCTCTGCCTCATGCTCTGTGTGATTTCTCTGTTTTCCTTTGGCACCTTTCTTAGTATTTGTTTGGTATACTTCCTTCGTCCCCTTTCCTGTAATTTTTTAGAGCACCTAGTTAGAGGCCCCACGTGGTGAGGATATGGCAGGGAAGGGGAGTTTCCCTCTATTCCCTTCCCCCCAGTAATCTTCATCATGCGGTGTCCCCAGTCCTGTGTAAGACCTTTGCAAACACAGCTTCAAGCCCCTCTGTTCATCTTGATTGCCTTCCCTCTGTAAAAAAGTTCTAGTCTCTGTGACTAAGAATGTTAACATTCTTCCTTTATTTGATTTTTAGCTATTATGCTTGGTGGGTTTAAAGATGACATTGTTATTGGGCAGTCTTCACTGTACATTACACACAAATGTAATTCTCCTGGGTAAATACGATCAACTTTTAGAGGTTCACCATTCCTCCTTTGCAATTCTTATGTCCAGTGAGCTCCTTCAAGGAAAAGGTTTCCCCCCCCCCCAGGCTTGTTCCAACCCCCCCAAAACAAAAAAAGAAACATGTAGGTCCAATAAAGAAAGGAGTGTCATGGAGCTCTCATGGGTACAGGCTGGAAGCTCCAGGCCTGGCGTGCTGGAGTCACGAGATGAGCTGTCCAGGCAGCATGGCATCGTGAGTGAACTCCGACCGTGGCAGGTGAGGCTTCTGCACTTAGCTGGCTGTCTTCATGTGGGCCGATTCTGTGGTTAGTGATTCTGATTTCTCATCTGAAAAGTGGTGCATCACTTAGCCCCTCCCACACTTGGAGGGTTCTACTAGTGTGCCTGCGTGGCTGGGTTCTGCACACTCAGCTACTTTAGTTTCTTTAGTCTATCCTTAAAAAGATTCCTAGGTGTGTTCCTGATTTTGAGGTTCCGTTTGGTCATTATGCTCTTTCAGAGTTCATCTTTTAAAATCAGTCTGTGGACATTTTTTTTTTCCTCTTAGCACAGTTTATGGTCTCATGCAGGTCAACAAATTGGGACTCTGAATGTGAGTGTGTGTGTCCACACACCACTAGGGCTTATTACCTTATTGTCAATGTTATCTTAAGAAAAAGTGGAGGCTGGGTGCAGTGGCTCATGCCTGTAATCCCAGCACTCTCAGAGGCTGAGATGGAAGGATTGCTTGAGCCCAGGAGTTTGAGACCAGCCTGAGCAACAAAGCAAGACTCCTGCCTCTACAAAGAAAAAAAAAAAAGAGAGAAAGAGAAGGAGAGAATGAAAGAAAAGAAAAAGAAAAGAAAGAGAGAGAGAGAAAGAAGAAAGAGGGAGTGATCAGAGAGCTGCAGGTTTGGAGTAGCCATCAGTTAAAGGAAGTCTGCAGAAAGTTTCTGTGAAAGGATTTTGTTACTATGGCCTTTCCCCTAGTACCAGCTTGTTAAGTAGTATAGGTAGGGGATCCTTGGTAATACTGTGTATTAAGATTTTATTGTTCTTCCTGTAAAGTGTTTTTCATGATAATGAGTTGCTTATTCTATGATAGTGCCTTTTCTCTATTTCTGTAAGCAGAATCAAATACAACTTTCAAGTTTTATTAGTTCTTTTTTTTTTAGAGACAGGGTCTTTCTCTGTCACCCAGGCTAGAGTGCAGTGGTGCAATCATAGCTCACTGTAACCTCCAACTCCTGGGCTGAAGTGATTCTCTTGCCTCAGCTTCTTGAGTAGCTAGGGCTACAGGCATGTGTCACCACGCCTGGCTAAATTTTTAAAAAAAATTTTAGTTTTTGGAGAGACACGAGTCTTACTATGTTGCTCAAGCTGGTCTCGAAGTCCTGGCCTCAAGCGATCCTACTGCCTTAGTCTCTCAAAATGCCTTAGTCTCTCTTAGTGCTCACAGTTGTGAGCCACCGTGTCTGGACAGCTTTCCATTTTTTGATGCCATGTCTGGTTAATACTCTTTAAGTTTCCGAGTTTCTTCCTCCTAGTTCAGTGGTTTCAAGTGTGACTGTTCTATTTCCTCACTGTCAGTCTCTAATAGAAATACTACAAGATTACTTCTATTGCTGCTGTAACAGCCACAAACTTAGCAGCTAAAGCCACACACATTTATTCTCTTTGAATTCTGTAGGTCAGAGGTCCCTTATGGGTCTCACTGGCCGAGATCAAGGTGTCTATTCCTTTCTGGAGGCTTGAAGGGAGAATCGGTCTCCTTGCCTTTTCTAGCTTCTAGAGGCTGCCCGTGTTCCTAGGCTCATGCCCCCTTCTCCAGTTTCAATGCCAGCAATGTCCAGCTGAGTCCTTGTCTCTCTGCCATCACACTGATACTCTCACCAAGCTGGGAAAAGTTCTCTGCTTTTCAGGATTGATGTGATTAGATTAGACCAAGCAGGTTAATGCAGCGTAATCTCCCATCTACAGGTACTTGATATAATGCCATCTCCCTGTAAGGCAACATAAGCACAGGTTCCGGGGATTAGTATATGATGAACATCTTTGGGGGCCCCTTTTCTGCCTACCACAGTCCTCAAAACTCCAAATAAGGAACTGGTTCTTTGCTCTTTATGTAAAGGAACTATTTTTCTTTGCAAAGAAGGTTTACTGTTATAGGATCTGTTCTTCTCCCCTTTGAACATATTCAAATCAACTATTTGCCAAAATATTGGTATTTAAATAAGGTTTGAGGTCTGCTAAGGCCAGATGTTGAGCTGAGTACTTTTTTTTTTTTTTTACTTTTTTTACTTGTTCTGGCTGAGCTGAGTACTTTTTTTACTTGTTCTGGCTTATGTAATTGTGAGCCATCCTACTGAGAGGTGACAATGTGCTAGCAGCCCTCGCTCGCTCTCAGCACCTCCTCGGCCTCAGCGTCCACTCTGGCCACCGTTGAGCAGCCCTTCAGCCCGCCGCTGCACTGTGGGAGCCCCTCTCTGGGCTGGCTGAGACCGCAGCCGGCTCCCTCTGCTTGCGGGGAGGTGTGGAGGGAGAGGCGCAGGCGGGAACCAGGGCTGCAGCACTCACAGGCCAGCGCAAGTTCCAGGTGGGCGTGGGCTCCGCGGGCCCCGCACTCGGAGCGGCCGGCTGGGGCAGTGAGGGGCTTAGCACCCGTGCCAGCAGCTGCGGAGGAGCGCCGGGTCCCCCAGCACTGCCGGCCCGTCCGCACCAGGCTGGAATTCTCGCCTGGCCTCAGCCATCTTCCCGCGGGGCAGGGCTGGGGATCTGCAGCCCGCCATGCTGGAGCCCGCCCCGCCCCACACCGCCCCACACCGCCCCACACCGCCCCACACCGCCCCACACCGCCCCACACCGCCCCACACCCTGGCGGTGGGCTCCCGAGTGGCCTGAGCCTCCCCAGTAGCCCCAGCCTCCCCTACGGGCACCACCCCTTGCTCTGCTGCGCCGGGTCCCATTGACTGCCCAAGGGCTGAGGAATGCAGGCGCGGGGCGTGGGATTGGTGGGCAGCTCTGCCTGCGGCCCTGGCACAGATCCACTAGGCGAAGCTAGCTGGGCTTCTGAGTCAAGTGAGGACTTGGAGAACTTTTATGTCTAGCTGGAGGATTGTGTATGCACCAATCAGCACTCTGTGTCTGGCTCCGGGGTTTGTGGATGCACCAATCAGCACTTTGTATCTAGCTGATCTGGTGGGGACTTGGAGAACTTTTATGTCTAGCTAGAGGGTTGTAAATGCACCAATCAGCACTCTGTGTCTAGCTAAAGGTTTGTAAATGCACCAATCAATGCCCTGTGTCTAGCTAATCTAGTGGGGACTTGGAGAACTTTTGTGTCTAGCTAAAGGATTGTAAAAATGCACCAATCAGCACTCTGTGTCTAACTCAAGGTTTGTAAACGCACCAAGCAGTGCTCTGTGTCTAGCTAATCTAGTGGGGACTTGGAGAACTTTTGTGTCTAGCTAAAGGATTGTAAATGCACCAATCAGCACTCTGTCAAAATGGACCAATCAGCCCTCTGTAAAATGGGCCAATCAGCAGGATGTGGGTGGGGCCAGATAAGGGAATAAAAGCAGGCTGCCTGAGCTGGCACTGGCAACCCCCTGGGGTCCCCTTCCATAGTGTGGAAGCTTTGTTCTTTTGCTCTTTGCAATAAATTTTGCTGCTGGTCACTCTTTGGGTCCACACTGCCTTTATGTGCTGTAACACTCACTGGGAAGGTCTGCAGCTTCACTCCTGAGGCCAGCGAGCTCACAAACCCACCAGAAGGAAGAGACTCCGAACATGTCCGAACATCAGAAGGAACAAACTCCGGTCACGCTGCCTTTAAGAACCGTCACACTCACCGCGAGGGTCCGCGGCTTCATTCTTGAAGTCAATGAGACCAAGAACCCACCAATTCGGGCCACACTACTATTACAGTGGGGAAACCGAGGTGCAAAGGAAACTTGCCCAGGGTCACACAGCCAGAACTGGCAGAGCCAGGGTACAAAAGGCTGAATTCCCGAAATTAGTATTCTTTTCACTCTGCTTTTCTGCCTTACAAGCGATAAGGCAAAAACACAGTGAGAAATGGTAATGGAAAACGTTAAAATAATGTAAAACCTCTCTGCTTCTGCCAGGGTGATGATGATACACGATAAATATTTGCCTGTGGTAGATTGATTTTTTTTTTTTTTTTTTTTTTTTTTTTTACTATTGGCCTCTGTTAATGGCCTCCCTGAACTCCCTGTATCCACTATCCACACTCTTTGCCCTATAACTTTGCAGGTTCTCTTCCTCCTTCCTTCTTCCCCCACCCTGGTCCCCCGCCCCCTTTTGGCTATGTGACTTGCTTTGGCCAGTGGGATGTTAGCACATGCTGTGTATAAACAGAGTTGTAAAAAGAGGCTGTTTCTGATATCCTTTTACAGGACTGGGCTTGCACCTTCAGACCCCGCCACCTCCATGAGATCGTGCCCAGGCTAGCCCAGTGGAGGGGGCCAGGTTTGTGCTTGCCGATTTCATCATAGACCAGCCAATGCCATCTGACCTGTCAGCTGTGTGCTGTCTCCTGAGCAGGTCTAGGTCGGCCAGGGTTACCTGAATCACCCACTGGCTGACCTGTAGAGATGTGTAAATCATCCATGGTTGTTGTAAGCCACTGAGTTTGGGGTAAGTTTGCTATAGAGCAGTGGTTAACTGATGCACAGCTCGTATCAGATGTTTGAATAGTGTAGAAAGTAATTTTAGTGTCCTTTTAAAAATCTTTTTGTTAGTTACTTGTAACTAATATTCTTTTAAGATTGTACTTAAGTTCAAGAACTTGGCCATTGTATCTGCCCCTTTTTCCCTTTTTAGAAAACCATTAAAATCCTTTATATTTTTACCAATTACACTCAGAAACAGACTAGTTTTCCTTTCTGAAACTGTTTATCTTGTAATATGGTGGCTTTTGACCCCACCCTGGAGTAAGAAATACATGCTGAATCAGAGCTCACATATGGAAGTAGGTAACAGTAAGAAAAGTTTCATAAAAAGTACTTAACCTTTATCGTGGCCTCTGGTGTTTTCTATTTTGTCCTATTTCATTGTCTTAAAAAATTTTGGTCAGAGGTCAGGCGGCACGTGACTGGCTGCCTATTTTGTAAATAAAGTTTTATTGGCACATACCCAATCCCATTTGTTCTTCTGTTGTTTATGGCTACTTTCACACTACAATGGCAGAGGCCAGTGGTTGTGACTGATAAGAGATGACCTGGCCTACAAAGTCTCAAGTATTTACTCTCTGGCCCGAGAAGAAAAAGTTTTCTGACCTTTGCACTGAATGGATTTCATAACCCATCAGTTAGTTGTGACCTTCTGTTTGGAAGACCCTGTTCAAGTGACCCTTTGGTCTCCTCATACCCTTGTAGAAATGACAGTGAACACATGTGGCAGATGTGAAAACTCACCCTTCTCTGTTTACTTGGAATCAACAATTAGGTCCTTGCCATCTAACATTACACCCGATTGGCTTATATAGGAAACTTTTCAAGCATTTCTAAATTGTTTCATTATAAGTAGTGTTATGCCCCCCCTTCTTAATTTATTTTTAAATAAGGCTTTCTAGTGGAAACTAACTGGAATTAAAATGGGCACAAATTCCATTCAAGTGCTAGTTATTTATTCATTAGATCCCGGCAGTGCCTTTTTTGGTGATATAATGGAGTCCATTAGTGGGAAAGGCAAAGAAACAGTGATCCTAGCTTCTCTTACACCACCTTTCTGGCAGCTGGGCCTTATTGCCACATTTCTGAATTAGGGTGGTATTATATCTGAGCAGAATAAAATTTAGAGACATTAAATCATGGACTTCTGTGGTTGAAAAGACTTTGGAATTTTTTTAAAACTCAGATTTAATTGGCTCCTTAAAGGCCAAATTTCTCCAATACCTTCATTTTTCCAAGCCTGTCAAGAAAGGACAACATTGTTATTTATGTTGCATGGCTCATGGGATTGATGAGAAAGAGCTGAGGCAGAAAAACTTCAGAGGGATCTGGATATGTCTTTGTAGAATCTGAAATGCCAGGTGAAGGATGGTCCCTGGCCCATTTATTTATTGTCAGTGAGAATGGAATCAAAATAAATGAGCTTAAACTACAGCATGAAGAGCTTAGGTAAAATCTGAGAAAAATCCCCCAAATAGGGTCCTTTTATTGACATTAGAATAGGTTATCCTGTAATCTTAATAGATTCATTGCACACATCAAGTCAATATGTAGAGAAACTGGGTTGCAGCAGAGAAAGGTTTAATCAAAGGGCCACCGAATGAGAGGGGAGGAAACCTCAAATCCATCTCTCTGAGGAGTTTGGGTTAGAGTTTTTAAGGGTTTTGGAAAGGGGCAGGCTTGGCGGTTGTTGATTGGTCGAAAAATGCAGGGTGAACATGGGACAGGGAGGTGAACCACCTGCATTCTCATGCTGATCCGTTCCTCTGTGGGGGTCTTCAAACTGGTTGTTGGCATTCAGGGTCTGAAAACATTTTAAGCCATCCTTTAAAAAAAAGACCTTATGATACTACTGTCAGAGATCCTGTCTATAGGAACAATGGGGATGCAAATCAATTCCTAAACTGTCTTAGGACCCCAATATCAGAAATCCTACTCATAGGAACAATGGGGATGCAAATGGCCACTATCTAGTGCTATGTGACTTTTAGCAACAGGGAAGCGGGCCAAGGTGCAGCCTGACTAGTGCTTCATTGTAACCATATTTCAGTCCAGAACCTGGCATGCAATTCTTATCAACCCTGTGGGGATGGTTTCACTCCTAAGCGTTTTTGATGTTAGCTGCTGCCCTTTGTTCAGATGGATGGCTGTCCTTCTAGGTGGTTGGATGCCTTTAATTAATAAAGATTCTTCTGGGTGCTAGCAACAGAAACCTGCCAGACCTTGCTTCAGTGGAAGGAGAGAACTCACATTAGGAACACAGGAATAGGGTCCAGGAGCCCCCTGCAGCCTGGGATCGAGGCTCTAGGAACCCCACAAATCCTTGTTGCTCTCCTTTCTGCTTCCATGTGTCTGGCTGCTTAATTCTCCTCCCTGCCTATTCTGCTTTTCCTGTCCCAAGGGCAGAACTCTGAGTAAGGGGATTTGTTACAGGGTGTAAGCCACACAATAAGGCTGATCTTTCTTTTGTAATGCCAGTTCTGGTTTTCCCTCAGTGCCCAGCTTGAGATCACCCAGGGGTGGGCAGGGCGTGGTACCTGGAGAGAGGACTCTGGTCTAGTCCCAGGCCCTACAATGTTATTGGGGGCATATCAGCAATTTGGGGGGGCAATTTTGATTGTCAGTGATTGAGGAGAGCTACTAGCATTTATTGGTTGGGGACCAGGGATGCTAAACATCTGTAATGGGTAGCACAGTTGTGTATCACAAAATGTTTCCTGTTACCCACTAGACAATCATGGACAAGCAAAATCTGAACCTAGACCTAACTTAGGTATAAGCAAATAATCGTTGCACATTTTAAGTAAACATCGACGTTTCCAGTTAATGAAGAAAGGTTGTGCTTTCTTTTGTTAGGAAATTTACCATTTTGGAAACTCATGTTACCTGTAGAATTAGCACATCACCTGTATCAGTCCATCTTTGTAGCTGACATGACACATTTTAAAAATTTCACATTAAAATGAAGGCATCTAATGGCTCCATTATGTCTTTTAGAGTGGTCTGGCCCAGCTAATTGCATATTGAAATACATTAGATTTGTCATAAATTACTTTCCTTTATTGTCTTTTCTGTCAATCTTAGGACATTAAATGTATATGTTTGAAATTGTGTTTAGGTAGGTTATCTGAGCATTTGGTTCAGATAGTAAAGAGAGTGTTATAAGTTCACTGTAAGCCCCAGGGGCTTTGGGACTGATAGGGTTTAGAACATTGCACTAGGGGAAATGAATTGTAAAGTAATGTTTTTTCTCTAGACTAATGATTCAGCTGAATTAATACTTTTAATGTGAAGCATTTTTAAAGAAAGCAAACCAGCCTGGTGCGGTGGCTCACACCTGTAATCCCAGCACTTTGGGAGGCAGAGGCGGGCGGATCACGAGGTCAAGAGATTGAGACCATCCTGGCCAACATGGTGAAACCCTGTCTCTACTAAAAATACAAAAATTAGCTGGGCATAGTGGTACGTGCCTGTAGTCCCAGCTACTTGGGAGGCAGAGGCAGGAGAATTGCTTGAACCCGGGAGATGGAGGTTGCAGTGAGCCGAGATCGCGCCACTGCACTCTAGCCTGGCAACAGAGTGAGACTCCATCTCAAAAAAAAAAAAAAAAAAAAAAAAGAAACCTTGGCCCACATGTGGGGTATAGCAGAAATAGAGATATTGGTCCCATAGTGCTCCTCCCCGAGCCACAGCCATGGGTGGTGGACTGTCCTTGTTGTACAACCTCCACCCTCCCATGCATACAGGTAGTTTTTGGCTCTTGCTGGGCCATGGCTCCCGTGTAGGTCTCTGCATTATTCTGGAAAAACTGCAGGAATGGAAGGTAAAATTAGGTTGTCACATGAGTTTCATAACTGCACAAGGTTTCAGGGAAACCTGTGAACTTGCATGGGAAAATATTACACTTTCATTTTCCCTAACTTCTAGCCAAAATTTGGCAATTCTTTCACTTTGGAAGGTTGGACATAAGTCACAGTAGTATTAGTGCTGTTTGTGACTTTGTCACCAATAGAAATCTAATATTTTCATGTCACATTAGAGATGATTAACAGGTGTGTTGAAATACCAGTATTCATCACCACTTTGAAATTACGGTGGTTGTTGCACCTGTTGCTAGATAGTATTATTTAATGTGTTAAGATACAAGCTGCAGGTATTGCCATTTACCAATTAAAAAAAAAATTGGGGGGCCAGACGCGGTGGCTCATGCCTGTAATACCAGCACTTTGGGAGGCCGAGGTGGGCGGACCACTTGAGGCCAGGAGTTTGAGACCAGCATGGCCAACATGGCAAAATCCTGTCTCTTACCAAAAATAAAAAATTAGCTGAGCGTGGTGGCGGGTGCCTGTAATCCCAGCTACTAGGGTGGCTGAGGCAGGAGAATCACTTGAATCCCAGAGGCAAAGGTTGCAGTGAGCTGAGATTGCACCACTGCACTCCAGCCTGGGCAACAGGGTGAGACTCTGTCTCAAAATACATGAATAAATAAAATAAATAAATAAATATAAAAAATATTTTGGTAACAGTATTTCAATATCATTGATTTCCTCTGCAGTCCTGTGTATTTTATTTTATGCATTAAAAAAGTCTTTCTGAGAAGGAGTCCATAGGCTGCCCCTAGTTTGCCAAGGGGTACAGTAGAATTGTGGTGTGTTCTAGACCCTGCACACCCACTGCTCCCCTTTCCCTCCTCTTCATCAAGAGTTGACCTCCTCCTGACTTGGGCTTTCTCCAAGGCTGTCAGGTGCGTTTGTAGAGTGGGTGTGGGCTTATCTCCAACTTTTTATCTTAGACCTGGTCAAAGAATTGAGCTCTATTCTTGGCTCACTGGTTTATCATATCCAGGGAGGCAAGTTTGTCAGAACGTTCCTCTAGCAAGGCCATATCTGTCACTACAAGGTATGTGATTCATTTAAAGCCAAATGTCCTAATTATCTGAATCCTAAACAGAAGTCTGATTTCAGCTTCAGTTTCAGTTTTTCAAGTGGAGAAAACCCACAGACATTCTGCAGGAAAATGCCCTAAATACACATTAACCCCCTGTTTTCCTCTTGGTATGCTTTAAGGTTATATCATCGACAACAGCACTCTAAGAAATAGGTCTCTGCCCAAGAAATATGTTGTGCACATGGTTGCCAGGGGTGTTTTCCTGTTGGCGTATGGCTTTGGACAGAGGGGCATCCCCTAGGAATTGGGGCTTGGCTTGGAGGTAGTCAGCGCCATAGGAATGCACTTCCTCTTGGCTTCCCGCTTGCCACTCAGTGAGTCCAGCCCAGAGGGTGCTCTGCCGCTGCTGTACCTGGATTTCTGAGAGTGGAGTCAGCCCTTTTCTGTTTCTGGAAACTTCTCTTGATAGGAAATGACTCTGTCCACAGAAGAGCTTATTGTACTGCACCTCGTCAGGCTGCAGACTTGAAGTCATTGCTGTGCTGCCATGGGCATCTCTTTCCACTTGTAGCTATATTTAGAGCATGAAAATGCTGAACATTTCCTTCCTGTTTCTTTAGAAGTCAGAGCGGGGAGGGATTTCTTGTATTCAACACAAATCCCTCGGATAACCATATGAAAAGATAATGGGAATAATAATTTTTCGTTCTTTGTTTAAAAAAATATTAACGCTGAAGCTTGGACTAGAATAGTCTCTATTTTTTTTTTCTGCTTCATTTTTCTATGTTATTGGTCAGTTTTATTATTGAGGCAGTTACATTACATTATATTCTTACTGTTTAAAGATAATGTATTTGTATTTAACAAGTTTATCAATGAAGGGATAGCATCTCGCCTTTCTTTTCTTTTTTTTTTTTGCAAATGGAAATAGCAAAGTTATGTTGCTTTCTGAGTCACTGATTGATATTACAGATTTGTGTTCAAGATTGTTGGCACAATTAGGCCTGTTTTTTTTTTTTTTGTTTTGAGACAGAGTCTTGCTCTCTTGCCCAGGCTAGAGGGCAGTGGCGCTGGTCACTGGTCACTGGTCTCAAACTCGTGGGATCAAGTGATCTTCCCACCTCAGCCTCCCAAAGTCCTGGGATTATAGAGGTGAGTCTGACCTAGGCCTAATTTTTAAAGTGAGATACCTAACATAATTTTATTAAGAAGCTGTTCTTCTATCATTGCCCTTTTTTTTTTGGCTTGAGAAAGCAAGAAATTCACCAAATTTACTCGCTAAGAGTTAGTGATTCAGTCTGTAGGATCTCTGACCACTCCCCTCCCCCACTCTGAACCACATTCACTCAGACTGTTTCATATTTTAATCCTACTTTGTGGAGAGCATAAATAAAGTCCAGAAGGTCTAAAGTGTAGGAGTTAAAGTACCCATGTGTGGTCCATCTTCTGGTCAGATGGATGACAGAATTAATTGTGCAGCTGCTGGACACGGATAGATCCCATTACCATTTTATAGACCATATCACAGTAGAAAGTGGAAAATATAGGTCCTGTCTTCAACTTGACAACCAAAAGGTGAGGACCTCACACATGCAGATGAATACTTTCTCTCTGAGAACAGACCTTTTGGGCATGGTAGCTGGTGTACTGGGAATACTGGGTCCTCCTGTTACCGTGTCTTGTGCACACTGTCTAATGTCATGCTTGGGATAACCATGTATATTAGCTTCCCTTATTTTCACCGGACAAACGTGAAACTTATGAGGGAAAGTGAAGTATGTTGTCTGGGGTGACTCACATAATAAGCAAGGTGGTCATATAATTTATCATCCAAATCAGGATGCTTTTGAGAGTGAAGAGGGGTGCTATTGATGATTATGCTGGGATAACAGGCATAAAAGGGGATATATGGTCCCCCTACTGATAAGGTACAGATTGGGGGTTAAATGCAGGTCTCTGATCTTAAATTGTGCCTACTTTCCATTACATGCTGTTAGATCAGGCCACTCTGTCTGCAAATGAATTGGTAAGGCACAGATGGAAGAACCTTCTGAAGATGAGTTCTGCTCTAAGAATACAGCCGAAGAGAAATTCTCTAAGGCTAGGCGAAAGGTTTTTTTGGCCAGAGAAATGTCTACTAGAGATCTTCTTTCATGTAAAAACATGGAAAGGGTTTTGTTGGAAAGACAGTTTCTTCCTTCATAAAAATGGTTTTCCATTGTTTGTTTAAAAGAATGGGTCTGCTTTAGCATTTATAAGAAAGACGGAGTAAGAGTCACAGAATCTCATATCCAGGGCAAACATCTTCATAGCCTGTGGCTGTTAAGATCCAGAATGGTAGATGAATTCTTTAATAGTAAGGTGTGTAGATACAAATTTACTACTCTTGTTTTTAGCACTCTGGCCGTGGCTGCTATCAATGAGGCAATTTTGTGTATGGTATAATCTTACTCTGAGATGTTAAGGTAAAAATCCCAGCCCTCAAATACACTGCTTTGCCACACTGGGGCTTGTGACAAGCCTTTGTACCTCTGTGAGCTTCAGACACAGGCATGCAAACACACCCAGCGGAGGCTCAGACATGAAGACAGATGAAGCGCAGGGTTCTTATAAATGATATTACAGCCCAGCCATGAAAAGGAATGAAAAACCTCGCACAGTATCGCAGGAATTATTTGTTCGCAGTGTCATGTTCTCTTGCAGCCTTCTAAGCCAGCTGAGGTGCAAAATCAAAAGTTTCATAACAGAGTGGTTCTGTAAATACCAAAGACTGTAAAACAGCCCTGCTAGATTACCACTTGTCATCAGGTAAGCAGTGCCAGAGGATGACATGCCATCCACAGGCCAGGCCACTGCTGGCAACCCAGAGCAAGCAGAGGGAGGGGTGCTGGTTATGCACTTGCTGGCCATTCGAGAACAGCTTTTAGTTGAGAGTTGTTATGTGGCCTTCCTTCTACACCCAGGTTTAGGGAGGACCTGCCTTCTGACTCTTGGAACACCTGTAAAAGCATGAATCCTAAAGTAGGTAAAGTGAAACTTGCTGGTGATGAAGAAAAAGTCCTTCCTCCATCAGGAGTGACCAGCAGGACCTGGAGAGGCACTTGGGGGCTCACGGCCTGCACCTGCCCCACTGGGTTGTGTGAGCCACTCCCTGAAGAGGACAATGATCTCTGGCTGTCTTTATGAATGGTCAGCTCTCCCCCTGGAAATAGGAGAACCACTGGCTACAAAACAGGGAGAAAAAGAAAAAAGAGAGGCATGAGAAGGCAAAGCCAACAGAGAAGGAGGCGGCCTGGGTGTGGGAGCTGTGGCCGTTCCACCGTGGGAAAGGAGAGATGGGACGATGTGGAGCAGCTGTGCTGCTGTGGGCGCCACAAGTCTGCTTAGAATGGGGGACAAGGCACTGGCTGGCAAGTCAGGAGATCTGGGGACTGACGCTTTCCCTGCCACTTTGTGAGCCTCTGTGTCTTCCACAAAAGTGGGCGAGTTGGGTCAGATGTTATCCAGCGTGACTGCCAGCTCTAAAAGTCTTTAATGCCGAGCCAATGAGCCATTCTTGTAGGGCTTACCAGTGTGACTCAGTAAACATTTGATGAGTACTTTATATCAGAAACAGGGCACAAAGGTTAATATAACACCTGTGCCCACATCCAGGGTGGGGCCATGTCATAAGCAGTCCCATTGCTCCAATAATCGGAGAATAGCTAACTTGTACCAGGCAGTGTTCTGGATACTTTCCATTGATTTATCTATTCATGAAATACATTAGCAAAATGAATTAGCAGGAAAAAAAAGTGCTAGCTGGGCACTACTGTTCTGATTAGAGAGAGGAGGAAACTAAGGCACGGAGAGGTTAAGTAATTTGCCCCAGGTTTCGTAGCTAACAAGTGAAGGAGCCAGAATTTCAACCTAGGGAACCTAGCTCCAGAACCCACACTGTGTGGCTGCTGTGGAGGTGCTATGGTTTGAATATTCCCTCCTAAACAAATGTTGTGATTTAACTGCCATTGTAGCAGAATGAAGAAGTGAGGCCTTTAAAAACGGGAAGATCATGAGGGCACTGCCCTGATGAAGAGATAATGCTGTTATCCAGGGAATGGGTTAGTTATTGAGAGAGTTATCTAGGGTTCCTGATAGAAAGGATGTGTTCAGCCCACTTCCCTCTCGGTCTCACATGCTTTTCTACCATGTTCTGACACAGCAAGAAGACCCTCACCAGATGCCAAGCACCACACTCTTAGATTTCTCAGCCTCCAGAACCATAAGCCAAATAAACTTCTATTTTTATAAATAACCTAGTCTGTGGTATTGTTATAGCAGAAAAATGGACTGATATGGGGGGATGTGGTGGTCACATGTTTTTGTCTGCCTCCATTGATGGGCAGCAACCTTGTCTGTCTTATTAGCTATTATATTCCTATTGCTTAGCCTAATGTAGGCTCTTGGGACATTTTTGTTGAATAGATAGATGGATAGTTGGATGGGTAAGTGGATGGATAGATGGGTGGGTGGATGAATGGGTGGGTGGGTGGGTGGCTGGATGGGTAGATGAATGGGTAGATGGAGGAAATAAACAAGGTCTTCGGGGAGCTTACAGCCTAATGAGGAAAACAGACTCACACTAATGTCAGTGAGTTGCAGGCAGGGAGGGGGCTTAGTCCAATCTAGGGCATCAGAAAAGGCTTCCTTGAGGTGGTGGTGGCTGAACTGAGCCTTGAAAGATATGCGGAATTTGGAAGAATGGGATGGGAAAGACATTGCCAGCAGGGGCCATGTGGTTCAACTCCAGCATTGCTGGCAGCAGTCAGCATTCCCAGAGCCTAGAGGACAGAGCAGGAGCTGCTGGGGATGGGGCGAGGTCAGGAAAAGCCTTCCTTTGGAATGCATTTGGACTTGCTCCTGAGAGCAGTGGAGAGCACCTGAAAGGTGCATGGCTTGGGCAGATTTGGTTTTCAGATGGTCTGTTCTGCTTGCAGTGTGAAAAGGAGGGAATAGGAGCAAGCCTGGCTCAGGAGGTGGGGTGGCAGGGCAGGGTACCTCAGTGGTCCCCAAGGGAGAGCAGGGGAACTTGAAGTGGAGCGAGTGAGGAGAGGTGGCTGAGGAGTGCAAGGGGAGGCTGACGCTTAATTCTGGTCTTGCATAGTTCAGGGCCTCCTGAGGTTACTGACGCATTGCCCAGGTGTTCCCATGTGAGTGCAAAGCTGTGCTGAGCCTGAGAGGGGAAAGGTGGGCCCTGTGGTTTAGGTGTTGTTGGCATTGATGGTGGTTAAAGTCAGGAGACCAGATGATACCACCCCGAAAAGAGTGTTAACCTGGAAGAGCCAATTCTTGGAAAATTTCTGCATTTACAGGCTGAGCCAAAGAGAACCAATGGCCAGAAAGGCCCGGCCCCGCCTGAGTGGAGCAGGCCTATGGGTTTTATGGGACAGATCATTTTGACCATAGTGACAACACTGGAGCCCTCACAGTGTGCTGGGGACATTTGTGAGCACTCAGGTAGTTCTGATTCATCATACAAATCCAGTGAGGTAAGTGTTACTCGGATCTCCATTTTACAGATGAGTGAACTGAGGCACAGAGGGGCAAAACCAATAATTATCTGAGGTCACATGCTTCACATGACCAAAGGGCACTGGGGAGCCAAGGCCTTCTGCGTTTTTATTGGTTTTGGCAAGTTGCAAATCCCATGGAATGAATCAGAAGCTGAGAAGGGAAGGAAGGTGTTGGGGCTGTCTTGACAGAGGAAGAAATGTCAGGGAAGTGTTTGTTTTGTTTGTTTTTTGTTTTTTAACTCTTTTTTTGTGGAGAAGGGGCGGGATAAAGACAAGGTCTCACTGTGTTGCCCAGGCTGGTTTCAAACTCCTGGCCTCAATTGATCCTCCTGCCTTGACCTCCCAAAGTGTTAGGATTACATGTGTGAACCACTGCACCTGGTCCTGTTTTGGTTTTTTTCAAGAGTGATAGAATTGCTCAAAGGTTTAGAGAGCCTGTTCCGAGATTTTAGAGATACAGGCCGGAGGGGGCATGGGGGTGGGAGGACAAATGTGAGACAGGCCCTCCTCAAGGAGGCTGGGAGAGCACCAAAGGGAGGCAGGGCTGTTTCTGAATTGGAATGGTAGCGGATGACTCACTGACATGGAATACACAGAATAGGTGAACCCGCAGAGACAGGAAGCTGATTAGTGTTGCTGGGGGCAGGGGCATGGGGAGAATGCTTGATGGATCTGGGTTTTATTTGGTGGGGGGATGGTGATATAAATGTTTTGGAACTAGATAGAGGTGATGGTCACACAACATGATGAACATACTCAATGCCGCTAAGTTTGTTTACTGTTAAAGACTGATTCTGTGTTTTGTGGATTTTATTAATATCTCAATTTGAGAAAGCACTGGAGAGGGCAGAAGTGGGCAGGGAGTGAAGTGGGTTGTATCTCTGGCCCCTGCTTGCTGCCTATTTTGTAACAGGGAGCTTTGTTTTCATGATCTTCCCAACTCCTGACATGTTCTTGTTTCCTAGGATGTAGGATTCACTGTGAGCTGAAACCGCGCTCGGCGCATCCTGGATGCCTGGGAAGCGTTGGAATGAATGAAGGAATGGTTGAGTGGATGGATGAGGAACATCAGGCAGGCGCCTGGAAATAGAGGGGTGGAAGGGTGGTGCTGGGCTGGAATGGTTGGCTGAGGATAAAGGGAAATGGAGCTGGCTGAAGACAAGAAAAATCCTAGTTACTGTGTTAGAAGACCTGTGGAAGAGGAGGGTGTGCAGTAACCTGGTAACAATGTTTATGTGGTTACTGTGTATTCATTTAATCTTTCTGGTACTATTGAACCGCCTGAATGCAGAAGAGAAGGCAGACTATGAAATGAAGGCACAGTTTTCTGTTACCACGTAAGGATTTTGCTGGGTAATTATTACAGTGAGAAGATAGGGATGTGGGGGAGAAGAAGACATTGTAACAAGTTCAGGGAGGTGAGGGAATTTAGGAGGGAAAGGCTATGCTGGGGGAGGAAATGGAAAGAAGTGATTCTGGGATGCTCAGGGAGGAAGAGCAGGCCATCAGCCTTGGGAGTAGAGGCCAGGACAAGGTGTGTCAGGGATGCCGGTTGAAGATGAAGCTCACTGGGCTCCAAGCAACCACTGTGTGGCATCAAGGTCACTGGATTAGTCTGTTCTTGCACTGCTCTAAAGAAATACTTGAGACTGGGTAATTTATAAAGAAAAGAGGTTTAATTGGCTTACAGTTTCACAGGCTGTGAGGAAGCATGATGCTGGCCATCTGCTCGGCTTCTGGGGAGGTACAAGGAAACTCACCATCATGGCAGAAGGTGAAGGGAAGCCAGCACTTCCCATGGCCAGAGCAGGAGGAAGAGAGAGGCGGGAGGTGCTACATGCTTTTAAACAACAATATCTCACAATAACTTACTCACTGTCAGGAGAATAGCACCTAGGGGATGGTGCTAACCCATTCATGAGAACTCCGCCCCCCTGATCCAATTAGCTCCCACCAGGCCCCACCTCCAACACTGGGGATTACAATTCTACATGAGATTCAGGCAGGAACACAGATCCAAACCATATCACGCACTAAGTTCGAACATTTGGTGCTCAGTATAATCCTTTGGGGAATGGGAAGAAAATGTAAAAGCTTTAATTTATATATATTTTCTTCCCTAAAAAGTAAGGTCTTAAACTGTACTCATATTTATAAGTTGGCAGTAGTACATGTTTTTAATTTTAAAATAAGTCATATATATTAGGGATGCATGCTCATTTTTGACTGGTGAGCTATGGGACCAAAATCATTTTGGAAGGTACTGGCTTGGACGGCTGCTGGGTGAGTCCTTTGGAGTGATGATGTCATGATGTGGGAAACGGGCCTTATGGCTTGTGGAAACAGATGCCCTGTGTTCTGACCAAACAAGGGGTCTCCTCCAATACGGACAGGCATGAGGTCACGCTGGCCTGCTTGGTTCTTTCTAAATTCATTCTGCTGTGCAGACCACCTTTTAAAAGTGATCACAAACCATTTGCTGAATACTTGTGGAACTTGAATCCTCACCAATGTCTCCATTTTCTGGAATCCATCCCAACCCCCACCTTGGTCTTTTGGAAAATTGGGCTGTTTGCTCTTTTTTTCCCCTCCTCTCTGACTTCTTGGATATGCATTGATGTTTTCCCCTTCCTTCCAAGGAATTATAACCAAAGTAAGGTGTGTGTGTGTCTCTCTCTCTGTGTGTGTGTGTGTGTGTGTGTGTGTGTGTTTAAAGAACCTGGAATGCGGGCTGGGCGCGGTGGCTCACGCCTGTAATCCCAGCACTTTGGGAGGCTGAGGCAGGCAGATCACGAAGTCAGGAGATTGAGACCATCCTGGCTAACATGGTGAAACCCCATCTCTACTAAAAATACAAAAAATTAGCTGGGCATGGTGGCAGGCCCCTGTAGTCCTACCTACTTGGGAGGCCGAGGCAGGAGAATTGCTTGAATTCAGGAGGTGGAGCCTGTAGTGAGCCGAGGTTGTGCCACTGCACTCCAGCCTGGGCGACAGAGCGAGACTCCGTCTCAAAAAAAGAGAACCTGGGATGCAATTTTCCTGAGCCTTGACATTTGAACTGAAAATAACTAACAAGATCCGAGGAGTGAGGGGCAGGAAAAAGAGTGAGGCCCTGAGACAGGTTGACCTGCCTTCTAATTCTGACTCTGCTCTTTATAGCTGTGTGCCTCTGGGCAAGTTGCTTAACCTCTCTGATTTCCAGTTTTATTTTAAAGTTGAAGAGGTGCTAATCTATCTGGTGAGGTTGTGGGAAAAATTAATGAAACACATGAAAGTCCCTTAAACTTGCTAGGACTTACTAAATGCCAGTTCTGTCTCCTTCCTAACACCTTCCCCCAACCCCCAATCTCTTCACGCTCACTCTTGTACATTTCCACCCTGCTGGAAAACAAAGATGAGAACAAAATGTGCATTGCTGAGACTTACTGTTAGACTGTTTTTTAAGGTGTCCTTGATTTTGGTTAGCCTGGTCTTTTCTCTGTGATCTCTCTCATGAGTTCTTTACTCCAGTCTTTATTCTGCTTTAAGGAGAGTTTTGGGCATTCTTAGTTAAGTGTGGTGTTTGGCTGATGTTGAAATAACTCATTCATTATGAGCCTCCCCATCCCCATTAAATGCCTTAATTTCATAGGAGACAAAAAATTTAAGAAATAATGCCATTGTATACCTCCTACCCCATTGCATATATTAAGTAAAAGGAAATGAGTCTTGAGAACATTGAGAATGAAAACGTTTGAGTAGGCCAGGTGCGGTGGCTCATGTCTGTAATCCCATCATGTTGGGAGGCCCAGGTGGGAGGATTGCTTCAGCCCAGGAGTTCCAGACCAGCCTGGGCAACATAGTGAGACCTCGTCTCTACAAAAAAAATACAAAAATTAGCCAGGTGTGGTGTCATGAGCCTATAGTGCTAGTTACTTGGGAGGCTGAGGTGGTAGTGTCTTTTGAGCCCAGGAGGTTGAGGCTGCAGTGAGCTATGATAGCACCACTGCACTCCAGCCTGTGCAACACAGCAGGACCCTATTTAAAAAAAAAAAATTGATTAGGCTCATTTGAAAAGCTCTCTGGTAGTTATGGAATGAGAACCTTACTGTTTGAAGATAATGCTGCTGTTGTTTCTAATGGATGTGAGAGGGCCTGGGGAACCTCCCTAACCTGTTTGCTGCTTTACATAGACCAGGGCTTCCTGGATCGCTGGGTACCGGCATTGGCAGCTGGGTTTCTTTCAGCCCTGGGGACTGGCCACCGCTCTTCCGCAGCCATGTGCCTGCATGCTGGGTCTGAGGATGCCATTCTCTTCTGCATTTCATTGGAGTGTTGTATTACTTCATGAATGGAAGGAATTTAAAAAGTCACTCTGGAGTCATTAGAAAAGTATGGCTATGAAGAAAAGTAGGTCTTTGAGTTTCTTAGCTTAGTCTGTTGCTAGTATAAGTGGGTGTGGTGGTCCCTTTCCACTCGAAGAAAATATTTTATTGTTTAGTTAAAAAAAAACCCTTTTAATTTATAACTGGAATTTCAACATGAATGTTAATGTAGTTTGGGTTCCTGCTCTCTCTCGCTCTCTTTCTTTTTTCCTGAGAGAGTGATTTTGTACCATCAGACTGTTTTGAAGTTCTTAGTCATTTTGTTTCTTTATTAGTAAAATGGGATAATGGTACAGCATGGATGTGAGCATTAGAATACTGTGATTTGGGAAAAGAACCCAGTGCTGTAACGGAAGTCTAATAGCTGCTCAGTACATAGTAAATGCTATTTCAAATTTAGATTAAAGAAAAAACATGTTCACGGTCTATGCAGGCAGTGTAGCTCTATATGAAAAGGAACCTATTGATTAAATACTTAGAAAGTTTCAAAAAGCCCCCTTTTAAATCCTAAGATATTGGCATTCATGTGATGGATGTCTTGAGGCAGATAACACAGTTGAATCTTTTTAGTGGAAGAAACACAGATCTTTTCACATGAAGTTGTACTTGAAAAATATTGCCATAATTAAAATATACAGTGTAGTTATCAGGAAATGTACATTTTTTTGTATCTTGAAGGAGCCTTACAGAGTTAATAAAAAAAAAAAAAAAGAAAAGAAAAAAAAGGAACAGCCTCTAATGGAAATTAGCATGTGATTGAAGTTGTTTTTGTTTTGTTGTCCTCTTTCCTTCTGTCTGAGGTCTTACACCCGGTAATAGAATCAGCGTTGGGATGAGCAAGTCCTATGACTGTGTTCACTGATGGCATCCTGTCCTCCTCCTTCCACGTCTATGCCTGGCAGTCCGTAAGCTTGGATGGGAAAAAAATAGACGCTGAGTTCTAACTGAAATTTGGCATTTTCTTCCATTGTGAATATAGGGAACAAACCAAAGTAATATTAGAAATACCTTGACCTTTGTCATTAATAAATCCATATCGCACTACAGTTGTTGCAGAGATCTCTAAATATTTTTTACACTCATCACTACTTAAAAATGGTGGTACAGAATAAAACCATTTTTAGATCTTGTTACTTGGTGTAACTTAATGAAGAAGCACTCATACCGTATCACAATGGAAAAATATTGTGATAACTAAATCTAATTTGTTTGCCTTGTAATCTTTGGTGTTTTATTTCATGCATTTAAAAATGTTATTTTGAGGAAACATCCACGGGCTTCATCAGATTGCTGGGGGAGTCCAGAGCATGCAAAAGTTAAGACACCTGCTCTGTCGCCTCTGGTCTAAATTTTATCCTGACTGATAATGCAGTGGTCCTCAACCCTTGCTGCCCATTGGAATCACCTGGGGGAGTTTTAAGAATTCTAGCACTCTGGCCATACCCCAGACTAATTAACTGCAGATCTCAGGATTCCCCTGGTGATTGCCCTTGGTTCCAGGGGATTCCAGTGTGCAGTGAAAGTTGAGAACCATTGGTCTAAGTGTTCATACAAACTAACCTTCTTCCCTCTCTTCTTCCTTTCTGATTCTTTAAATAAGAAATTAAGTTTCATGCTTATGATAGAAAATTCAAACTGTGCAGGAGAGCATGGCTCTCTCACCTTTCCAGAAAAAACTATTGCTGACAAGTTTTGTGCATAAACAATCATTGTAGACATCACACATCCATACATTATCCACGATGAGATTATACTATACATGTTATACACATGGACACACTGTATGCAGTTTTTCACTTCTATCGTAGAGAACTTTCTGAGCTAGCTGTTGTTCCTTGAAATTAAGTTCTCTTTCTTAGGTTTTTTTTTTTTTTTTTTTTTGAGACAGAGTCTCTGTCACCCAGGCTGGAGTGCAGTAGTGTGATCTCGGCTCACCGCAACCTCTGCCTCCCTGGTTCAGGTGATTCTCCTGCCTCAGCCTCCCGAGTAGCTGGAATTACAGGAGCCTGCCACCACACCTAGCTAATTTTTGTTTTTGTACTTTTAGTAGAGGCTTGGTTTCGCCATGTTGGCCATGCTGGTCTGGAACTCCTGACTTCAGGTGATCTGCCCACCTCGGCCTTCCAAAGTGCTGGGATTACAGCCGTGAGCCACCGTGCCCAGCCTGGTGTTTATGATTTGCCTGGGGAGCTTTATCCCTCCAGGCTTAATTTAGGAGTAACTTGGAGACCATGGATCCTATTTCCCTCTTTTAAGAAATAGTGCAATGGGAAGGAAAGAACAGCCGTGAGGTCAGGCCCAGGCAAGTTGCTTATCCATCTGTGAATCTTTTTGCTCATCTGTTAGGTGGAGATAAAGAAAGCTTCCTTACAGGGCTGTTGTGCAATGTACAAGATCAGTGACAGGCAGCTATTACCATTATCCTCCATGTGGATTCTACTCCCCAGAGAAGCTGAAATGTTTTATAGGCCCCCCAGAGATTTTTCCACTAGCAAGCATGTGATAGAAAGCAAGGGTGAGTAAAAAAAAAAAAATCCCTGTGCATCTACTACAGACAGAATTTAGAGGCTCTACACCCATGTCTTGGGATTGCCACGGTTATCTGGTTGGATTTGGAGTTGGGTTCAAGGCCACACAGATGTTGAATGAGCCTTGTGAGCTCTTCTTTATTAACCTAGTACTTATACCAGGTTAATAAACTCTTGGAAATGCCCCCACATGCTTATAGACCCACATCTGTGCATTTCATCTCAATTGCGAAAGCAATTACATTGAAAATGAGAGTTGGTATCAGAGCTCCTGGCAGGAAACAATTCACCTCAGATGGTTTGAATGAAGCCTAATGAAAGGAATAATTATAGAGGTTGAGGGATCCACCAAGGCACTAACAGCAGTGGAAAAGCCCTATCACCTCTAAGGCTGAGGGGCCTGGGGAGGAAGTAGAGTTACTGGAGTGCAGTGAGACCTGGAACAGTGGAGGAGGAGCTGCCCAGAAGGAGCTATAGTCAAGGAAGAAGGTTACCCAAAGATGTGGCACCCAGTGAGAGAGGGAGCCAGAGAGAAATACCCAGACCTCTCTCTTCCTTCCTCCAGTTCCCCACTGGGTGCCTGATTGGCTGAACCAATGTGAAGCCAGCAGGCAGGGAAGCCAGGTGTATACAGGGGTCAGCTGGTTGGAGGGTGAGAATGGGTGGGGGTGAGGCCAAGAGAATCACCAGATAACAGGCAGGGAGGCTGTCAGATGTCAGCACTGTGAGGCTCCTGGCAGAATGCTGAGCACTTAGGTGCTAGATGTAAATGTTCCCTTTCCCTGGCCTCCTAGCGTCTTGATAGTAGTGTGTTTACCCCTATCAGCAAGGCCATTGAGACAGAAGGAGGAATACTAAAAAGCAAACCCTCTGGATCATGATGCTATATTTTCCTGAGCTCTGGCTCTCCTGGTGTCCAGCAGAGAAGTTCTCCATGTAAATTGTCCCCTGGTTTCTGCTCCCTATGCCCAGAAGCAGTCTAATTCACAGCCCATAGGTGCCCCTGGGCAGGCAAGACAGCCATGACACCAAGCAAGGAGATATTATTAATAATTGGGAGGCCCCCTCCCTTGCTTCTTCTGACACCAGTGCCTGGAGATTTCCTCTCATCCCCTGTGGTAGATAGAGGACCACGCTTGTGCTGGGTTTGCTCCATCAGCCACTCTGCAGGTTGGGCCTCTCAGAGATTAAGAGAAGAGTGGCTACCTCCATAATTTGAGCCTTTCAGTGTATTTAAAAAGTGAAAAAGTACATAGGGTTAGAAACACCATAGACAGTTTTAAATATTTACATTGAAGACCTGGATGCTTTTTAACACAAGGAAACATAATAGAATACAGTTATGCTTTTCACAAGATAATAATAGGAGTCACAAAAATATGGAGACATAGCACATTATAGGTGTGGCCTGGTAATGAATATATGTTCAAAGTTATGTGACGAATGTCTTCTGCTTTCAATCCCATTGTTTGGATCTCTGTGAGGCTCCAGGACTCCATTGGGAGAGAGGATCAGAAGTCTGAATCTGAGGCTGTTGTGACTTGGGCTGGTGCCAAATCTGCACCCCACCCCTGCATGTTCTGTACACTTGGATTCCCCTTGCCTCTAGGCCTTCTCAGTCCCAGGTTTGGAAAGATTCAAGGTTGGGGCATGCCTGCATTTTGCATAATTATGCAGCCCATAGAGGTGAGTGAGTGACATCCCACTCACCGCCATGGGACCTCACTCACGCCCTGTGGGACCCACTCACTGCCATGGGACCTCACTCACGCCCTATGGGACCCGCTTACCGCCATGGGACCTCACTCACGCCCTATGGGAGCCGCCCACTGCCATGGGACCTCACTCACTCATGCCCTGTGGGACCCACTCACTGCCATGGGACCTCACTCACCCATGCCCTGTGGGACCCACTCACCGCCATGGGACCTCACTCACCCATGCCCTGTGGGACCCACTCACCGCCATGGGACCTCACTCACCCATGCCCTGTGGGACCCACTCACCGCCATGGGACCTCACTCACTCACGCCCTATGGGAGCCGCCCACTGCCATGGGACCTCACTCACTCATGCCCTGTGGGACCCACTCACTGCCATGGGACCTCACTCACTCATGCCCTGTGGGACCCACTCACTGCCATGGGACCTCACTCACGCCCTATGGGACCTGCTTACCGCCATGGGACCTCACTCACGCCCTATGGGAGCCTCCCACTGCCATGGGACCTCACTCATGCCCTGTGGGACCCACTCACTGCCATGGGACCTCACTCACCCATGCCCTGTGGGACCCACTCACCGCCATGGGACCTCACTCACTCATCCACTGTGGGACCCGCCCACCACCTTGGGACCTCACTCACTCATGCCCTATGGGAGCCTCCCACTGCCATGGGACCTCACTCACGCCCTATGGGACCCGCTTACCGCCATGGGACCTCACTCACGCCCTGTGGGACCCGCCCACCGCCATGGGACCTCACTCACGCCCTGTGGGACCCGCCCACCGCCATGGGACCTCACTCACTCAAGCCCTATGGGACCCGCCCACTGCCATGAGACCTCACTCACTCATGCCCTATGGGACCTGGTTACTGCCGTGGGACCTCACTCATGCCCTATGGGACCCGCCCACTGCCATGGGACCTCACTCACTCATCCCCTCTGGGACCCGCCCACCGCCATGGGACCTCACTCACTCATCCCCTCTGGGACCCACCCACCACCATGGGACCTCATTCACTCACACCCTATGGGACCTGCCCACCGCCATGGGAACTCACTCACACCCTATGGGACCCGCTTACCACCATGGGACCCGCTTACCACCATGGGACCTCACGCCCTATGGGACCTGCTTACCACCATGGGACCCGCTTATCACTCACGCCCTATGGGACCCGCCCACCGCCATGGGACCTCACTCACGCCCTATGGGACCCGCCCACCGCCATGGGACCTCACTCACGCCCTATGGGACCCGCCCACCGCCATGGGACCTCACTCACGCCCTATGGGACCCGTCCACTGCCATGGGACCTCACTCACTCATCCCCTGTGGGACCCACTCACTGCCATGGGACCTCAGTCACTCACAGCTCTTCTTTCTGTTGCCAAATGTTGCACTGCCAATCTTCCCCAAAGGAAATAAAGGAAGTAAATGTAAAATCAATGTCTTTTTAATTTTTTACAAAATAATGAACTATCTGTTGAAAAAATTGGGAAGCCAGAGACTTCACTAATGAACGTGGTAACTATGTTTGTCTCCAAGTTATGTGCAAATGTGACTGAGTTTATCTTCTTAGTTTTAAAAGAAAAGTATGAATCGTTCTCTGACTTTAGCTGTATATCAGCAGTGCATTAATGAAATAGGGCAGTGCTTTGGCAACCTCAGTTGCGTAAGGAAGTCCAAAGGAACTTGTCAAAAGGGGAGATCTCTAAGCATACCCTTTCCAGGCATGGAGTCCACTTTTTTTTTTTTTTTTTTTTTTGAGATGGAATCTCACTCTGTCGCCCAGGCTGGAGTGCAGTGGTGTGATCTTGGCTCACTGCAACCTCCACCTCCTGAGTTCAAGCAGTTCTCCTGTCTCAGCCTCCCAAGTAGCTGGGACTATAGGCATGTGCCACCACGCCCGGCTAATTTTTTTGTATTTTTAGTAGAGATGGGTTAGTAGAGATGGGCTTTCACCATATTGGTCAGGCTGGTCTCGAACTCCTGACCCCAAATGATCTGCCTGCCTCAGCCTCCCAGAGTGTTGGGATTACTGGCGTGAGCCACCACGCCGGGCCAGAGTCCACATTTTTAATCAAGGCCCCAAGTGGTTAAAAAAATAACTTAAGGAGCACTGTGACATGGGAATATTGATCCCCTTAAGCCCTTTTTAAAGTGCTGAGGCTTAATCAGGAGACCCTTGGTCTTCTTTCTTTTTTTTTATTATTAAATTGGAATTGTAAAATTCCTCCTGGACCTTCTCCTGACTAACTGTTTTAATCCCTGTACCTCAGGCTGCCTGTCATTGGCAGGACAAATGCACAAGAACTGATTTCCCTGGAGAGGGTTCTTGGTGTCACATGGTGGGAGATGCTGTCTTGTTTAAAAACAAAGAAATAAAACCCTTCATTGAACTCGATGGTCTCCCTGAAGAGGCTGGAAACGTAATCCAGTGGTGTCTGTTTGTTTCCAGCCCATGTTGTTATTAATCCTGTTACAAATGATAATGCTTTGCCTTTACAGGCTTGCTGTCTCGGAGGAGTTTTCTGTATTGCCTGCTAGGCCCTGCTGGGTGATTAAGCCACTCACTCAGAGTCTTACAGGCCACTCGAGGACGATTTCCTTATAGCAGACGACTGACTATACTTCTCGAGCAGTGTTTGCTGAGTGACATATTAACTCTTGCTTATGGTTCCTTGGGAGGAGAAGGCCCTAATGCTATGAGGGTTAAGGCCCAGAGACATGGGCTTCTCCGCTCCACTCTCTCCCTCCCTTCCCTCATCATTAGAAGTTTCTCGGCCCCTTCCATAGGGGCAACGGCAGGGCTGTAGCTCTTTGTTCTTATGCCCTATTTTATTTTATTTTTTTATCCTATGGAAAAAAAATACCCAGAGCCCCGCAAAACAAGAGGTACTTAATTTAATACTTTTGTAAATAAGAGCCATAGCATTTTCACCCACCAGGTGTTATTAATAGTTTCCACTTATAATACATAGACTTTGTGGCCAATTAAGGCAGCAGGTAATGAGGAGGAATTTGGGAGAAACGAATATGGGTCAGGGAACGGATGGCACGCAGGAAAGAGCTTCAGAGGGGCACTTGGCCCTCTCCACCTATCTCAGATGAAGTCTTTCAAAACTCTGAAATGGGTGTGGACTTTTTCACAACTGTTGCAATACGAGAGGCTGCGACTTATTTATATAAGGAAATGGCCCTGCTCCCACCCACTCCTCCCCTTCTGTGTCCTCCTCCATATCCTGCCAGGCCTATCCATGCTGTGTTCAGACATGCAGGTCAGAGGGCACAGGCAAGCCCCGTTTTGGGGAAGTCCTGATTAGACCTGTCACGGGAGACAAGAAACTCAGTGGTTCCGCCCGTCCAGGTGTCCCCATTGCCTGCACGGAGCTGTCAGTGGTTTTGATTCTCAGGCTGTGTAAGCTGGTGGTAAGCCTCCATTATCTACCCCACAACACTCTTTTTATTTGAAGTCAGAGGACACTGACCACACCCCTGAGACTCTAAATCTCATCCAAGGAAATGGCCTCTCCAAGATCCATACCGTTTTACCAAGCCATAGGTGGGAGTTTTCTAGAAACACGAGCCATCCTGACAACTGTGCTGTCTGACTCTCTCTAATGAGCTGTGAGGCGATCAAGTTAATTAAAGAGAAACTCTGCTTGTTAAAATTCAAGCTAGAAGCATCTTTTTGTATCTGAGTTTGAATCTGGTCAGTGTTCTTGAGGGCACCACCGTGAGGTGTCTTGGTCATCTGTGACCTTTCCTGGAGGATAATGACATCCCTTCTAAACAAAGAACAGACTTTTTCATCAATGCTAACTCTTAGGAATAACAGAGGCTCAGTGACCGCCCTGTGTTTTGGGTCAGTCCTGCAGAAGAGGGAGAACTCTCCTGGGCGCTTATTCACATTGTCTGATGGCAGGTGGATGGGGTGGGTTAGGACGCGCAAACTTTGTTCATGGTCAGGAGTTTGGCACATGTGAAACAGTCCCTAGGAGAGTGCTCTCTTTCCCCACCGCCCAGAATTCCTGTGTCTTGGACATCTCTGCTGCCACCACCCTGGCCCAGGCTCCTGCCATTTCTGGCCTGGAAGATGCCGTGTCCTTTGCTTCCATTCTCACTTCCCTGTCTGCACGGCATCCACATTGAGCTTCTGAAAATGCAAAGCAGATCATTGAGGTCCATCTGCTTCTCCATTCTCCTGCAGAGTGACGAAGTGGTTGAGAGCTTGGTTTCTGAAGTTGGTCTGATTGTGTTTCAGTCCTTAACTAGGTCTGACTTGGAGCAGCTGAATTGAATTGTGTCCTCATCTGTAAAGTGGCATGCTGATAGGAGTGGAATCTACTTGTTGGAATGTTGTAAGGATTACCTTTTTATATGGAGCACTTAGGACAGGGCCTGGCACATAGTAAGTACTGGAAAAAATGTTGGTTGTTATTTTTATTGTCAATATTCTACTAAAATTCAGGGCCATCCTTTTTAAGCTTAGATGCCAACACAGACTCTTGGTCATACCTCTGGCCCAGGTGACATCTCCAGCTTCATTTTCACTTGTCCTCCTGCCTCCCTCTGTTTCTAGCCACACTGGCTCTTTCAGGATCTCCAAAGTACCATGCTCTCCCCAGCTCCAGGGCCTTTGCACATGGTGTTCTTTTTCTGAGAAAGCTTCCTTCCTTCCCTCTTTTTCTGGCCAACTCCTGCCTCTTCCTATCTGCACTTAAATGTCCTTTCCTTCCGCAGGGAGGCCTCCCTGGACCCCTCAGCTGAGAGCAGATCCCCATTATTCTCTGCTGCTCTCCCCGCCGTTCTTTTCTTCATAGTAGTTGCCACAGTTTGTAATTCTGTATTCATCCGTAGGCTTGCTTGATTTATATCTTCAAGCTCTCCTATACTTTATGCTCCAGGAAGCCTAGGACGTCCAGCAGCACACAACGCAGGCCTGGCCTCTACTGCTCCCTAACTGTGAGATGAATGAATGCTGCTCCCCCAGCTCAGCTTGTGCGCTTCTGCACAGGCCGCCGGTCTGTGCATGAGATCTTGTTTATTTGCATACAGAGACCCTTCCGAATACATTTCTAGGTCACAGGTTCTCAAACCGTAGTGTGCATCAGAAACACCTGGAGGGGATCATGGAGTGCCAAAAAGGAAATGAAGGCTGGAAGAAAAGTGCAAAACATGGCTTGTTATGGGCTGTCCAGATAAGTTCGTCCAGGTCTCTGTCTGTTTGGCCTGTGTCATTCTTCTTAGGTCTGTGTGAGGTTGTTAACGACTCCTGCCTCTTTTGTTGCCCAGGTGGTAAAATCTAGGGGCTAGAAAGGACTGAGCTACAGGATCCCCCAGGAGAAGAATGTTTTAAAAGAGTTCCTTATAGAGGCCCAAAGCAAGGATCCCAGTGGTTTGGTTGTAGCTAAATTTAGAGTAGTTGGTGGCTGCTCCTTCTGCCACTCATTCCTCTAGACATGCTCCTTGTAAGGCACTCTTGAGTTGGCTCCCTGTGCCCCTTTTACCTGACGAGAGCCACGAGAGAGCTCTCAGGTTTACCAGTAGCCCCGGAACAAGTAGTCCGTTTCGAGGGCTGTGATCCCCTCCCTCCACATCACAGCCTTCACGACATTCCTCATGGGTTTCAGGGGCTTTGCATGGGCCCTGAGCAACTCCTCATCTCTCTTGTGTTATGGAGGGAGACGGTGGTGTGGCCAGAGTGCAACTGGGACGTTGGACTCGGACACATCCAGGTTTGATGCAGCATGCCTTCAGGTAGCTCGCTTCTTGTCAGGGTTTCTCGTTCTATAAATTGGGAATGATGATATCTAGGTAAGCTTATG
Organism: Homo sapiens; assembly: GCF_000001405.40. Classification (NCBI taxonomy): domain Eukaryota; kingdom Metazoa; phylum Chordata; class Mammalia; order Primates; family Hominidae; genus Homo; species Homo sapiens. The sequence continues at coordinate 134,156,985 of NC_000002.12, forward strand.
GTGTAGGGATTAAGCAGAGCCTCCAGATATGGAGGAACCAAAATCATCATCTAAGTCTTGCTAGTCTTTGGCATTTTACTGTTAATATAAGCAAGTGATTGATTCTTACTAAGCCTCAGCATCCTCCATCATATTGGGTTTAGAATGGTACTTACTTCGTAGGGTTCTTGGGAAGATAAAATACTTATAAAACTGCTAAAATCCAAATCAAATCTGTAGTTAATAGTATCATGCCAATGTTAATTTTTTTGTTTTGACAGATATATCATGGTTTTGTAAGATGTTAACTTTAGGGGAAGCTGGCCAAAGAGCATACGGGGACTCTGTACTATCTTTGCAACTTTTCTGCAAATTTAAAATGATTCAAAAATGAAAGCTTATTTTTTAAAAAAGCTTGTGAAACATTTGCAAAGTGCTTGGGGGTTTAGTAAGCCCTTAGTAAATGGTGACCATTACTAGTGTTACTAACAAAACCATGGTTACTACTATTGATATTTTGAAGGGTCATTATAACCAATGTGTTGTCTAGCTCAGTGGTCCCCAACCTTTTTGGCACCAGGGACTGGTTGCATGGAAGACAAGTCTTCCATGGACTGGTGGTTGTGGGGGATGGTGGTTTTGGGATGATTCAAGTACGTTACATCTATTGTGTACTTTATTTCTATTATTACATTGTAATATATAATGAAAAAATACACAACTCACCATAATGTAGAATCAGTGGGAGCCCTGAGCTTGTTTTCCTGCAACTAGATGGTCTCATCTGGGGGTGATGGGAGACAGTGACAGATCATCAGGCATTAGATTATCATAAGGGGCACACAGCCTAGATCCTGCCAGGTACGTGGACAACCAGAGGGTGAGCAAGGCAGAGAGGGTCTTCATTGAGCAGCAGTACAGTTCTCAGAATACTTGAAGTGGGTAGCTTCTATCCACAGGCAGGGTGTCCTGACAAGTCTGTTCAGTTCTCAGCTGAGGGGAGACCCACAGTGGGTAGCTTGTCTCTGCGGACAGGTTGTTCTGATATCTGGCCGAGTCTGGCTGAGTCCAGCATTTTTATGGGCTTCAGAAGGAAGGAAGCGTGTGCTGATTGGTCCATGGGCGGCCATGGGCAGGCCAGAAAAAGCACCATAAGTTATCACTCTGGTAGGTGGAACTGGCAGCCTGGCCCCCAGGCCTCAGGCCATCCCTGGCGTGAAGGTGGGGTTTTACCTTCCATCCCTGGCGTGAAGGTGGGGACCTGCCCCTTTTTGCCTGGGAGTATGTCTGCCTCCTCCCAGTGTCCATGGCACCTAAATTGTGCCAAGGGGCGCCTGCAGGCCCATACCGAGCCACCCTCACCCCCTCTAAGCGCCCCCTTGGCTTCCCTCCTGTGTTCATTGGTGCCCAAAGTCTGGAGGGGTGGCAGAGGGCTGGCATGTCAGCGCTGCCCCAAGTGTGCTTATACGTGGCCAGGTTGCGACAGTGCCTAGGACTTGGCCTCGACTTTGCTCTGAAATCAGAGCTGGTGCCGGGAGCCGAGAGTGTCTAGGCAGCGAGAGCAGGCCCTTCCAAGCCTGTGGGGGCTGGGGGTGCTAACTGGACCCCCAAGAATGCAGGGATGCCCGGGTCCACAGCCATGGCTGGGTGGCTGCAGCTGCATCCAGGAGGTCAGGGCTCCTGCCCCACCAATTCGGAAGGGGGAGGGGCTCTTGCCTGTTCCCGTCTCCCGCTGGCTGCCCTGTCCCACCTGTGCCTCCCCTGCTACAGCAGCGGCTGCTCCATATGGGCCCCCACTGCCATCACTACTACTGTCTCCCCAAATGGATCCCCCCAAAGAGCTTTTAGAGTTTTATTCTTACCCCTTCTCTTCCCCTTTATCTGCCCTTCACTGTCTGAATCTGGGCTGTCTCACATGATAACCACTAGGCACATGTGGCTATTGAGCTCTTGAAATGCTGCGAATCTGAATTGAGGTAGACTATAAATGTAAAATACACACCAAATTCTAAATATGAAGAAAAGAATGTAAACTATTTCATACATGTTTCAATGTTGATTACATGTTTTACATGGTGATATTTTGTGTATATTACGTTACATAAAATACATTTTAAAAATTAAGTTTACCTGTTTCTATTTATCTTTTATGTGGCTACCAGAACATTTAAAATTACATCTGTGGCTTGCATTACATTTCTTCTGGAGAACACTGGTCTAAATTCGTGTGTGTGTGTGTGTGTGTGTGTGTGTGTGTGTGTGGTCCCTGTATTCCCAACATAGTGTCCTGTAAAAGGCCCCAGGATTCATCCATCCCTTCCCTTCTCGCTTCCCTTCCTCTTTTTTTTTCTTCCCTTCTCTTTGCTTGCAATGTGTCTGCTAAGTGAATCTCTGGAGGAGAGAATGTTAAAGCATTTGAACGGTGACAAGATTGCTCAGACAGAAGGTTTCTAGTGCTTTATACCAGTCCAAAGAGTTAAGACGGTTGTGTTTTCTCTGATTACAAGTGAACAGCAAACATCTGTCGAGGAGTTTTTACAGGGTATTTGTACTTTCACATGATCTAATTTTACTATCTTCATAAGTAGTATGAGGCTGGGCATGGTGGCTAACGCCTGCAATCCCAGTACCTTGGGAGGCTTTTGGGAGGCTGAGGCAGGTGGATTACTTGAGGCCAGGAGTTTGAGACCAGCCTGGCCAACATGGGGAAACCCTGTATCTACTAAAAATTAGTTGAGCATGGTGGCACAGCCTATAGTCCCAGCTGCTGCCCCTCTCCACTCCCGCCCCAGAGGTGGAGGTTGCAGTGAGTGGAGACTGTGCTGGAAAGGCATTGCCTCAATAGTGGGGGTATGATAAGGACTCCTAGAAGTTAAGCACTACTTTAGCTCCTCTTCTCTCCTTACTCCCTAGAAGATTCAGTTGCTGGCGTGGCATATCTCTTTAAAAGTTCCTTATGGGATTCTAACATCCTTTTCCCAAGTCTGCCCTGAAAATGAGCTCTCTGGAGAAGGGTGGTGGTGCCATGTATCCTAAACTGCATCAGAGTCCTTTGGGGAGAGAAAATGTAGATTCCTCAGCTGGCTGCTGCTGTGCTTTCCTAGGAAGGGGGATGGGTTTACACCAGACAAGTCAATCAGCATATTTGCCTGACTGGTGTGGTGGAGCCTGGGGTAAGTGGTAATACGGTTTCCACTTTTTAATTTTTTTATTATTATTATTGTTTTTGAGATGGAGTCTCGTTCTGTTGTCCAGGCTGGAGTGCAGTGGCGCAATCTCGGCTCACTGCAAGCTCCGCTTCCCAGGTTCATGCCACTCTCCTGCATCAGCCTCCCGAGCAGCCGGGACTACAGGCGCCTGCCACCAGGCCCGGCTAATTTTTGTATTTTTAATAGAGACAGGGTTTCATCTTGTTAGCCAGGATGGTCTCGACCTCCTGACCTCGTGATCCGCCTGCCTCGGCCTCCCAAAGTGCTGGGATTGCAGGCCACTGCGCCTGGCCTGGTTTCCACTTTTGCAAAATGCAGGCTGGCTCACCCAAACTGCTCATGGGGGATGTGAAGGCTGGGTGCAGCTGTTGGTGTAGGTTAAGGATTGGGTGCGGGTATTGTATGAACACATCTGGTCCTCCACTTCCCCCACCAGAACATGATGCTGGTTTGTTGTGTGTAAGGGGTCATTCTTTCTTCTAGGGGTTAGCAAAAGGACAAAGGGTGGAGAGTAGCTACAGGTGTAGGTGCTGTGTAGGGTTTACATCCTGGCTTCCCTTGTCAGCTGTGACTTTATGCAGGTTACTTTAACCCTCTGTGCTTAGTTCCTTCATCTGCAAGTGGAGATAATAAGGGTAGCCCCTGAAAGGGGTTGTGGGGAAAGTTGCATGCAGTTCTTCGGAAGCATCTGGCTGGCTAGTGAGCATTGGGTAATGGTCCAGCTGCTCTGCCATGATCATTAGTGTTATCTGACACTTCTGGTGAACTTCAGGCTAGGATCTGCCAGGACGATCTAAGCAGACTTAATAGTTTTAGCAGAGAACATCTGTGAGCCCCGCGGCAGGCTCTGGCTTGAAGAAGTTAGGACAGCTGAAGGTGGTGGAAGGAGGTGAAGAAGCTTGGAGACAGGGAGGCCACCTGCACTATTTGCCAGTGGTTGTGCGTTTGCAGCTCTTTACAGGATATATAAGCCCTTGTGAAGGACAGACGTTGTCACCATGGATTCCAATAAGGCTTTCTTAGCCTGCCTCAGGAGGGAATGACTGTCCTTGCATTGATAACTGAGCAGGACCCGGGGAAGATCCTGTTGAGCTGGAGCCAGGCCAGTGTGTTGCCAAGGCCGTGGGGCTAGCCTTGGGGGCTGGGTTGGGCCTGGGAGCAACGGGAAGGAAGTGAAGTCATTTTTCAGCTTTGTGTTATCAGACCATTGCCTAGAAGACATATTTCTGGTGGGAGCCTTGTTACCTGGTAACTCATTCAACTTCTGAATGCTGGCCTCTTGCCCTCATCTTGTCTCCCCTCCTGCAGGATCTCCCAGGGCCCTGGACTCTGGCTGGCAGGAGGCAGAAGCCTGGGCCGCTAGGAAGAGGGGAGTAGGAGCCTCAGGATTGTCTTCTGCTCTGACTTCCCTTCAGTTTTCAAAAAATCCTGGTGTGGTCTGGAAGAATAGAGTTTATTTTTCCTTCTAGTAAGGGTGTGATCTTGGCTGGGGGCTTTTCATGGGGTTGTCATATTTTATCTACTTGTTTGCATATCGAGTTCAATCTGGATTTTTCTCTCAGCACTTCCGGCTCTCCTTTTGTTAGAATAGTTTCATAGATTTATTTTTTTTTAAATGAGTAATAGTACCAGTGTATTTTTCTTTCTAGAAGGACCTTGCTAAACATGTGTAAAATAGGAGTAGATATGAATATTTGGAGATTGGTGAAGTGATAAGAATGAGAATACACATGTTTGGCCGGGCGCAGTGGCTCATGACTGTAATCCCTGCACTTTGGGAGGCTGAGGCGGGCAGATCACATGAGGTTAGGAGTTTGAGACCAGCCTGGCCAACATGGTGAAACCCTGGCTGTCCTTTAAAAAAAAAATTAGCTGGTCATGGTGGTGCACGCCTGTAACTCCAACTGCTTGGGAGGCTGAGGCAGGAGAATTACTTGAATCCAGGAAGTGGAGGTTGCAGTGAGTCGAGATCACGCCACTGCAGTGCAGCCTGGGTGACAGAGCAGGACTCCATGTCAAAAAAAAACAAAAACAAAATACACCTGCTCTCCTTAAAGAAATGGTTCTCCTTGCAGCTCACCATGTAATTTTCTTGTACTCATGGTGTTAGGACCTTTTGCTGAAGACTGGCGGGTTGTCAGCTGAAACTCTGGGCCTGATTTAGGGACTTCCCTTAAAGAATATGACCAGAAGGAGATGGCAGTGAGGCAAGCAAGGAGTCCAAAGGTGTGTCTTTCTTTTCTAGTTGTTAGGGTTTTAATGGAATTAAAACCATATTTAGTAAATGCTACTAATTGAGCTGCTGACTATGTACTGGGAACTTTAGGTATATTCTCTCATTTAGTCCTTAGACGAATCCTTTGAGGTTATTGATCTCCTTTTACCATTGAGGGTAATACAGCTAAGTGATGAGTGACTTCACTAAGGTCCCACAGTTAGGATCTGAACAGAGTTGGGATTTCAACCCAGGTTCGTTCTGTCCTCCCAACCATGTTATTTCCACTGTGTTACATTGTCCCCTTAAGGAGACTTACTGATATTAGGAGGAGGGGTAGAAATAACATGTTTGGGATGCCTACTATGCACCAGACATGATGCTAAGTGCTTCACCATTATTTCTTTAACACCAATGACCATGTGGGGTAGGTGCTGTTATTACTGCAATTTCACAGAAGATGAAACCGAGGTTTAGAGATGTTAAGTGCCTTGCAAACTGTGTATTGAAGTGGGATGACCTTAGTGGTCTGAGAATCTACTGTTGGAATAATGAACTTAGGAGCATGAATAGAAACTGTATTTTCAGTGGATTGTCAAATATTTGTGGAGTGTCGGTGTTGCTGAAGATTCTGTGTCTGAAATACTCTTCAGAGACACCAAGAAGTGTAAGACGTGCCCTGCTCTTGAGGAGTTGACAGTCTGCTTAGGAGAGTTACTACACCCAGGAAGGAAAGTTTCCCAGAGGAGATGTTTGAGTTATGCAAGGGTAAGGTGGGCTTGGAAGGGGGATGTATTGGGGACAGGGAAAATAACCTAGCTACGATATGGAGAAAAGGTAGATTTCTTAGTTAGAGCAGACCTTCCTGATTCTGGAGGGCCTTGGGGGCCAGGGTTTGATCTTAGAGATGTTGGTACCTAAGACGCCTTATTGAAGGCCCTGCTTTTAGTGAGTAGGGGCTGGAGTAAGGGTGTTCCGGACGGTTCACCTGGCAGGTGTGCAGGATGAAATCAGGGGAGGGGCATGAGGATGGAGAAAGGCCCACCAGGTTAGAAAGCTGGTGTAAGCTACTGAGTAGGAGACAGTTAAGACAGGGACGCTTGTCAGAGTTAGCAATTCGACTGGCTGTGGTTCTTAAGCAAAGGTGAGTAATGTTGAGAAAAAAGGCAGACATCTTACTGATGTGATTGAGTTGGATGCTCAGAGGAGAGAGGTACATTTGTCCAGGACTGGATGATTGTCAGAGGCTCTAAGAGGAACATGTGAGTTTATTTTCCCCCAGAAGGATGGATTTGCATTTGTTATTAGAAAATTCTCCACTTTGGTTTCTTGTCTTAGCTCTACACAGTTCCCATTCATTACCTTAACATTGTACTGAGAGAGACCCAGGTCTGACCTGTATAGCAGTTTGAGTCGAGGGGCTGTCAAAGGGGTTGCCAAAGTCATCTAAAGGACTTGGCAACAGAAGTAGCATTATGACTTGGATCCACTTCTTTATAGACCAATATTGGCAGCCATGAAGGCTGGCTTGTCCTGGGTGCGGAATTCAGTTTTAGTGGCTGAATGCACAGACAGCAGGAAGAGAGAATAGGGGACAATGAACAACAGAGAGAGAAGAAATGCAGTGTGTAGGGAACCTGCAGGTGGTAACAGTTGAAACTCATATCAATGATCTTGCCTATTTACCACTCCATGTGCCTCACTCTGGCTGTTCTAATCCAGCAGTAACCAGTATTGTATTCTAGGGTCCTTCCCCAAATTGGAGCTACCCCCAGAATTTCTCAGGCTTTTAATTCCTGAAAATCTTTTAAACTAAAACTTCTAGGTCAGTTGTCCCCAGGGGAACTGAGGCTGTTTTCTAGCCTGCTGTCATTGTCAGCAAAAGCTTGTCTACATGCTAATTATTCCAACTTTCAGTGAAGCAATTCAGTGAGTGATCAGTAGGAAATAAGCTTTGAGAGTTGGTTGGTTTCCTAGCATTGTCCTCTTTAATAAATAGAAATGAGACCAAATTTGGGGACCTCATCTTGCCAAGGAAGAATTGTAGAGGTTAACCTCTCATGTGGAGAGGGCCTTGATTAGGATGCACCTCAGAGGTGGGCCTGTGTGGGTGGTTCTGCTTGTCTGTGGGGCTTGCTCTTGGGTGCTTCCTGAGGTGTGGTTGCACAGGGTGGTTATTCCTGAATGCAAGGGCTTACTATGATTTTCTCTTAGTGCCTCTCATTTCTGATGCTTTCTGTCCTATGAGGTCAGTCTACTTACTAGTTAGTATTCTATATTAATAAGTATGCCAAATGACTTAACTCCTCCAGAAATGTTATTCGTTAAAAGATGAGATGTGCTGAGACAAGAGGATCGCTTGAGTCCGGAAGGTTGAGGCTGTTGTGTGCTATAATTGGGCCTGTGAATAGCCACTCTGTTCCAGCCTGGGCAACATAGTGACACCCGTCTCAAAAAAAAAAAACCAAACCAAACAAAGCAAAACAAAACAACAACAACAAAAAAACAAAACAAACGTGAGTATGGCCACATTTAGCCTGACAGTCCCTTAATTCTGTGGTAAGGAGGCTGTGTCCTCCAGCACGGTGTTGGTAGGGTATAAGATGAAAAGATGCTGCCCTGAGATAACTCTCCACCAGGGCTGTGTGGTAGAACTTTCTGTGGTGATGGAAGTGTTCTGTATCTGTGCTATCCAGTATGGTAGCCATTAGTCAACTGGCTTTTGAGCACTTAAAATATGGCTAGAGCATCTGAGGAATGAAATCTTAAAATTTTCTTTAGGTTGAAATAACCACACGTCATAAGTGGCTTCCTTGGTGGGCATCGCTGCTCTAGCTGATGGCCAGAGATGACTGATTGCTCTATTTAGCCACAGAGCTAGGATGTAAGTCCTAGTGGGGCTGGCTCATTTGTGAGTGGAGATTTAAGACATGGATACTCTAATGCACATTAGAAAATTTAATATATTGCATGGGATTGTGAGGTTGTTTCATGTTGGAATTCAAAGAAGACTTTGGTGAGTTGGAGCTGGAAGTGGGAAGGGAAGTTTTTTTTAGAGGAAGATGGCATGCTCATAGCATTCAGGTCTTCTAAAAAAATTATCCAGGGCCGGGCGCGGTGGCTCATGCCTGTAATCTCAGCACTTTGGGAAGCTGAGGCAGGTGGATCATGAGGTCAGGAGATCGACACCATCCTGGCTAACAGGGTGAAACCCCATCTCTCCTAAAAATACAAAAAATTAGCCAGTCATGGTGGCGGGCGCCTGTAGTCCCAGCTACTCGGGAGGCTGAGGCAGGAGAATGGCGTGAACCCGGGAGGCGGAGCTTGCAGTGAGCTGAGATGGTGCCACTGCACTCCAGCCTGGGCGACAGAGCGAAACTCTGTCTCAAAAAAAAAAAATTCTAGGGAGCCAGCAATGTTCTGTAACTCATGTTCTAGGGAAGCAGTGTGATATGGAAGACTCCAGGCTTGGGAGCCTGGCAGATGTGTGTTAAGATGGGGATCAACTATGCAAGATAGTTAGCTTTCTGAATCTCAGTTTCTTCTCCTGTAAGGTATGAAAAATAGTACCTCAAAGAGGTACAGCTATGTTTGATAACTTGCCTGAGGCTCCTAGTGTCTCGGCACATAGCAGGTTCTCACTATAGGCATTATTAAGGGGAATAGGATTGGCATGTAGACACAAAGGTCCCTGAAGATCTAAAACTGCATAAGACTGGGTTCTTGCTCCTTTCCTTCATAGCCTCTGATGAGGGAGACTGTCTTTTCACACGTATTGAGCCAGGAGTGCTGAGATGATCGCAGAGACAGTTGAGAGAAGACAAGGAGAAAGGTGTGAAGAGCCTGAGTGATACACAGAGGGACCCTTGGAAATGTAAGAACTATAGTGTGATAAATCATGTCTCTGGTCAACAGTAAGGGCACAAGTTTATTCGTGCATAGTGCAGTCTTCAGAATTCTGACTTTTATTCTCTTCCTCTCCCCGAGGAGTATTAAAACTGGAGTTTACAGCTTAAACATTCTGGGTTTCTGGGCATTTATTTACATCACACCTTGGACACTTTCTGGAGCCAATTCCATTGTTTCCTTATGTGGGCTTTCTGTTGACTTGAACACATGAGGTCGATTTAGTATATTACAAGAACTGAACTTCATCTTTCAGACATTAATGTTGCCTTTCTTGTCTGGCATTAAGTGCGAGATTAATCAAAAACAAGGGAAATTAATAACATGTTGGTATTCACAATTCATCAGGAGACCTCATAGCAGGTATGAAATTAACTTCTCTGAATTAATACACACCTCAACAAATTAAAGGTATAAAAAAGGTTTTATTTAATATTTAGGAAATGTCTCTGAATGTTTCCTACTTTGGTAATTAGTTAAGTTAGATGTTGGGTGGTGATGGGACAATGCACAATAGATGAGGTCACCTCAGGACCCGTAGAAAGCTTTAAATCAACTGTTTTTTTTCTTTATAGGGAATTCACTTAGATAAATGAGATAAAACCAGATGGTTGATACAGACTTGTCTCTTGTCAATTGAAAAAGGTTTGCCCAAAGACTTGCAGTTTTGATCTCTATTAACTACAAATTTGATCCTGGGTTCTGTGTTTCCTTGTTATGACATATGGTAAGATGGGTCTCAAAGGATACATTACGAGGAACACATTATGGAAACTAACAGGGAGTTATAAGTCTCTATTACAACATTAGCTGAGGTTGATAAAGGACAAGCTTTTGTTACTGATTTGTTCCTGTAATTACATCAGAAATAACAGGCAGCAGTCACCTTCCATTAGGGGCGGGAGGGAAGGATCCTTACTATTTAAGTGATCACATAAGGTGCTGAATGAATCATCCTCAGCCTCATCATGAGGAATTAAAAATAGAACAGTTGACATCATCCTATAGCAGGTTTCTAAGGGACAGAAAAATGCCAGATAGTTTAAGGAAAAGAGCTGTCTGAAGTAATGGCCCAGCCCACATGTTTACAGCGTGTTGGCAGTGGTTCTCCAACTTCAGCATGCATCCAAGAATCACCTGGAGGCCTTGTTAAAACAGCGCTGGCCCCATCCCAGAGTTTCCGATTGAGTGGGCCTGTGGCAGGGTCTTAGATTTTTGCATTCATACCTTCCCAGGTGATGATGTTGCCGGTTCGGGGTCTACACTTTGAGAACCACTGCGCTAAAGGAAAGAAACACAAGTAGCTTGGGGATGGTTTAGAAAACAGAATTTTAAGATTAATACCCTGGTGCTTGTTAAAATTTTGATGACAATACCAAATTTCATTTGTTATGGTGTGCAAGTCTTGTAAAGGGAATCTGTTCTTTGTGATACTGCAAATGAACATTAAAAATGGTTGCAAACCTACATAAGTGGTCTCCCAGCATGGTTTCATCATGTCTTGGTTAAAATTTTGGATAAGCTTTGGCTACAACTATTATCTCTGTAATCCAAGTTAGTGATGGATTCAGAAGTTTGGCTATTTTTTTCTCAACTGTAAATCAAACATGCTGTACCTGGGGACCATTTGTAGGACAGCAGTCATTTTAACTAAGGGCATTCCAAGTTGCAAGCCATTAAATCATCCTTGTCACACCTGTCTGACAAAGTAGCTATCAGCAAAATAACTGTCAGGTAGCATCAGGCACCACCTGCTCCTATGGTTCCAGGCTTCGCAGTGGTTCTAGAACTGCCTGTTTATAATCCTATTAATTTATTGTTGCATTAAAGCAACAGCAACCAGAGTAATCATAATTGCTAACATTTGTGGAAGGCGCACTGACCCTGGTGCCACACACAGACTGTGTCTCCCTTGCCTTGGCTGTGAATCCCCATTTTCATAATGAGGCCCCATGACGACCTCTGTTTTAGACACAAAAAGATGGGGGGTTGGAGATCACTTGGTTGCTGTCACACAGTTTGACAGCTGGAGCTTTGTATTTGAGCCCAGGCAGTATTAGTGAGTTGGGACAGATTTTGATTTTATTGTATTTGGGGGACACTTTTCATGGAGACTTGATGAGAGGCCTCATTGAAATGGAAAGATGAGAGAAAGTTTTGAGTTGAGTGAATCTAAACCTATTTAAGGTTACCATTTAATATGTTCTGGCGTCAAAGACCAACCTAGATCTATGAAACTGGGCTTCACAGTATGGTGAATTTAGCTGCTCTGCCCATGTGGATGAAAGCCACGTGAAGCTAGTATTGTAATTGTAGGGCTCTTTTCTATGTGATTATCTGATGCATGACAAGGAAGATTGAAAGACTTAAAGTTTATAAATGTGGTCATGATTTGTTTCTAGTGCATATCAGTTGGTCTTATTTGAAATACTTTCTCTAGGCATAAAGGAGTTTAAGGCAGAACCATAGACACTCTTTACTTTGATGTTCTCAGCCACCTTTGTCTTAGATGTGGAAAAAGATAGGGAAATCCGTGGTTGTTTTTGGTATTCAGGATTCTGAGATTCTTCTACTGGGAGAGACGTCGTCCATAGGGAATAAGAGAAAGAAATGCTTGAGGTTGACCCCTTGAGAAGGGATCAACCTGACAGGTTCCAGTGCTGAGGGTCATAAGTGGGTGGGGAGATGTGAGACCTGCAGGTCTGGAATTGCCCACCTTTGTCCTGTGCCATTGGATCCTGGGTGGGCACCACACAGCTGGGCCCCCTGCACCTGTATTGGCTTGTCATGGCTTACCTTTAGAAATACTTTGGGGGAGGGCAAAGAGACAATGCAGGTTTCTGGTAGAATGCTGTGGTAGAGTAAGAATGTATCAAGTAGGTTATTTTGTTTGTAGGGCATTTATAACTTTCATCCAAAAAATAAAATGAAAGGAATAAATGTTGGTTGAAAATGGGATTTCAAGGCCGGGCGCAGTGGCTTATGCCTGTAATCCCAGCACTTTGGGAGGCCGAGGCAGGAGGCTCACTTGAGCTTAGGGGTTTGAGACCAGCCTGGGCAATATAGTGAAACCTCATCTCCATAATTTAAAAATACACACACACACACACACACACACAGACACACACACACACACACACACACACATATATAAAAGATTGAATTGTACTTCCATGATATCCATCTACAAATGCTTTCACAGCTGAGTTATAATTAAGAAAGGGAAGAAAATTACAGCATAATCCCAAGAAGAAATTGAGGGAGCCAATTAATCTCCAAAAATTACTTTGGGTGAAATCTTGATGAATGCTGTGGTGGTATACAGCACCTGATGTGAAAATCAGGAAGGAGAAAGGACTTCTTCAATATTTTCTTTATCTATAGACACAGCTTGAAATGTCTATAAATTTCTATTAATGTTATGTACTTGGCTCTGCAGGAAATGATATTTAAGATTAGTTGAAAAAAAGGTTTTGCTGATGGTAGAATTTAAGGGCCTTTTGGTTTCTTGGTGACCAGGTGTTTTGCAAATGAACAGAGAGCCAAGGGTGGCGCAGTAGTTTTCAGGTGACTCAGGAGGTAGCTTGTCTGATTCTTAAGGTAAAATCGAGATTTGAAAGCATTGGTGAAGTAAAGGATAATAAACTACTTCTTTATATCATGAACTTTTTTTTGAATCTTACAGTTTCATTACTGGTATGATTCATAAGTCACCTGCCACCCATGGACAGTACTCATAAGGAAAATTGCCATATGATGCACCAACTAGGTGTTTATGAAAACATAAAAGATTAAAAGCACTGAAACTAAGTTGGTATCATTTAGGCCCGAGGCATGTGGGTATATATTCCATTAGCCTACACCACTACTCATGAATGAAGTGCTCTTGATCTGACCAAGATGCTGAGGATTGTTTTCTAGAAACAAATCTTGACTGCACTTACTAGAGTTACAGCTTTTTCCGTATCACGATAATCCATTTTCAAAACCCATTCCTTCACCTCAAGGCTGTCTCAGACACATGCTAGTTTAAAAGGGGTCACTGGCGTGGAATCAATTCTTTCCAACTGTCCATCCTTTAGTAAACATTTATTGAGCCCAGACTGTTTCATAGAGATGGTGGATTTGTAATGACTGTGGGTTGAGCCTGTTCTCCTAAGTTGCCCAAGTGTACAAACCTCTGTTACTGCTCAGGGCTTGTTGACACAGACAAAAATGCTAATACTTTATGCGGTTTGCAGGAATTGGCTTCGTTTGGATTAAAAATAATGAAACTCTTCCAGAAACTTTTCAGATGATTATACAGTATGCTCTTCCATGAAGTCCTTAAGAATAAGTTAGTATTAAGACAACAGTCAGCTTGAAGGTGGATCTGTCCCTCCCTCCCTTACTGAGGTCTTTCTCAGTTTTACAATTTTCTGCTCATACAGTCCATGAACATCAGAAACATACTATACATGTCTTTTAATGGACATATTTTTCCCTGGTTTCTTTTTTATAAAGGAGTTTTGTAGAGGGAAAATAGCCAATCAGAAGCACATAGTAGATATAGATCTCTACTCTTTTTTTTTTTTCTTTTTTTTGAGACGGAATATTGCTCTGTCACCCAGGCTGGAGTGCAATGGTGCAATTTCGGCTCACTGTAACCTCTGCCTCCTGGGTCCAAGTGATTTCTCATGCCTCAGCCTCCCTGAGTAACTGGGATTACAGGCACGTACCATCACACCAAGCTAATTTTTGTATTTTTAGTAGAGATAGGGTTTTGCCATGTTGGCCAGGCTGGTTTTAAACTCCTGACCTCAGGTGATCTGCCTGCCTTAGCCTCCCAAAGTGCTGGGATTCCATGCATGAGCCACTGTGTCCGGCCGAGATATATTTCCAAAATGGCTTTTTATTGCTTCTTTTGGTTTTATTCTTCAGGGAGAAACAGCTACAAGGAATCTATTTGAAAAAACAGGCTTGTAATTGAATTGGGTTTATTTCATACTATAAACTCCTGAGTTTTTTTTGTAATGGTGCTATTTTTAAAATTGTGCATATATATTTGGGACTGTGTGTATATATTAATGTAGGCTAGTCCGGAAAGCATTAGGATTGGTAAGAGCTTTGGTTTAATGCCTCCTGAGACCTGGGACAAGAAGCAGTTTTGTGCAGAGGCTCTGTCTTTGCCAAGTGTCACCTTACTCCCGCTGAACTAATAATGGATGGATTTGGATCCTAACAAGTGAGATAATAATTTTTAGACAAATGCCTCTGGGTGTCGAAGTGATAGGGCCGCCCACCTAGCTATTTTTAAGTATCTTTTTTTGGGAGACGATCTTAAAGGCAGTTGGGCTCCAAAAAAACGGAGAACCAAAGTTCATACAATCTCTTTGTCAGCCTGTTTGCAATGGATCAAGTCCTTTAAGAGGAGGAACTTAAAACCGTCCTTGTCCTTGTGATTTCAGAAGTGATTCCTATTCTAAAGTGGACATTGGAGGAGGCTCTGTTAAGCCATGTAAGTACTATAGTAAGCAGATACTCACCTGGGCTAAGCAGAGAGCTGGGGTATTTGCTCTTGTCGGGGAGAGGGCCAAGTTATGTAGAGTAGTCCCATGTTATGCTTTGGGGCCATCAAAATACACTTTGGCACTCTGGTCCCAAAGAGCAAGGGGGTGGCTCTCTTGGTACCACCCATAATCCTGAGGGGACATCTCTGGCTATCTGGTGAAGGCCTGGTAGAATTTTTTCAGAGTAATTGGACAAGATTATTTTATGTGTATAGAATTAGTGAAGTGACTGGAGCAGAAGGCTATTTTTTACTTCATTCAATCATTATCAGTACAAATTTATTGAGCTTGACCATGGCCACTTAATTCTTATGTAGAAAGGCTGGCCCTTTAGAGCAGCCCAACCTGGGCCCAGCACACACATCATCATGGTGTCAGTGGAAGGAAGCCCACTGAACTGGAGCGTGTGACTCCTAAGGACAGTATAGTCTCTGAACTGTGTCTGTATTGAGGAACCATTGCTCCAAGATGTGTATTTTCTTAAGTCCTCAATTCTGAGCATATTTTATGGAGGAAGGAATTTCCTAAGTACTCCCTTTTTTTTTTTTAATTAATTATTTTTCAGATGGAGTCTTGCTCTGTCTCCCAGGCTGGAGTGCAGTGGCACGATCTCAGCTCACTGCAAGCTCCGCCTCCTTGGTTCATGCCATTCTCCTGCATCAGCCTCCCAAGTAGCTGGGACTGCAGGTGCCCACCACCACGCCCAGCTAATTTTTTGTATTTTTAGTAGAGACGGGTTTTCACCGTGTTAGCCAGGATGGTCTCGATCTCCTGACCTCGTGATTCTCCCGCCTCGACCTCCCAAAGTGCTGGGATTACAGGTGTGAGCCACCATGCCCAGCCAGTACTTCTTATTTTACCCATCTGAATTGTTTGTAGCACTTAAACCCACTGCCTAAGGGGCAGACCCTTGAGAAGTTAGCTTGGTAAATCAGATGTTCACCTTGGAGCAGAACATTTATATTTCACAGGCTGATAGGAATTGGGTGTCAAGGTTATGGGGTCAACAGAATGAAACATTAAACATTCCTAATTCTTGTTTCTTTTATGTATGTGGGTCTTTGAACACACTTTGTCTCTGACAACATCACAGGAGGAAAAACACCCCAGCATCCCACAACTAGATGAATGTCTTGACGTGAATAAAAGCATTAACGTTAGAGCTAGGAAATCGTGTGACCACATGATTTCTATCTAAGGCTTCTCTCTAGCTGTCACCTTGAGAGTTTGTCCCACTGGGAGAAACCGGAGAAACAGAAAATATGTCCTTTGGAAACTCAAAGGGATTTTTAATCTCTAAAAACATGAGATTTTTGTCTCAAATACAAGCATATTTAATCCATCCTTTCATGTCCCCCATATATACATCCCACACCCTGCTTAATAGGAATGTGACTTCATTTTAGGGACTGGACAACTGAACAATCTGTCTTCCAGGGTCTGTTTCCCCTGAAACTGGTTTAGTGCTGCCAGGTAGGGAAGTCTGCTCTTCAAGGGTTGCCAGGTGGGGCAGCTGGGGATAGTAGGCTGGCACTGGGGAGGGTGGAGCTGGGTCTGTCAGCCCTGCCACCCATTGCTGTGGTTTATGCTCTGGGAAAGATGGTCATCTTCCTGCATGTACTGTGCTGCGATTCTCACGCCAGTATCTGCACCCCCTTGTTCTCAGCTCTGCACCATGTGGGTTTGACAGCCTTCATGAGGCAGGCAGACGTGTTGGCGTCATGTGGGACTCCTCGGCTGTGTCTTTCTGCCACTAAATATGTTGTCGCTTTCCCCCTCCAGCATGTCATATACCTAGCTGCCTTTGGAGAGGCCTCTTGGCGCTCTCAGGAATAACTACCGAAAGAGCAGCTGTCTGTCAGCCTCCTCCAGAGCCGTCGGCTTGGGCTGTTGTCAACCTGTTGTTGGAGGAGTTCCCAGAGCAGCAGACTTAACTGCCATTGACATTTATAACTCGAAAGCCATATCACAGATGACTTTACATTCTTTGTAATCCTTTAAATAGCCTTCAGCGTATAAAGCACGTGGCCTCTACACGCTTTCTCCACCTTAGAGAGTGAGGAAATAGTTGGATCATCCTGAAGGTGGTGAAGTGGCTCACTGTTCTCCCCCACCCAGGTTATAAATCATCATCTCTCTTCTGACTTAGGTAGGAAGAAGTTGTCCTGGCTTTATGCTTAGATTTATGTGAGATCATACGAAGTCAGTTTAGACTGGGGAAGAGCATTAGCTTCTAAGCCCAAATGAGCCTTTACCTCTAGCAGCCACAGAGCCTGTGATAAGAGGGTGTCCCTGGGAATTGGATGTCAGGAAACGTTTCTCACATGGCCAGTGGATCTTGTGTCTGGTCATTTATGTCCTAGTTTCTAAGACAGCCTGTTTTTACATCTCATTTCTTAAGACATAACTGGAAGAGAAAGATGCCATGTTCCTGGTACAAGTAAAAATGAAAGCCACCTCAGTGGATCTGAGAAACACATACTGCCAAAGAAAGTAGAGAAAGGGCAGAATTGGAATGGATTTAGTTACTGTGGGTCTGTCTAGACATTATTTGAGGGCTAGCGCTGGCTTCACTCACCTCTATGCCATGCGTGGCTAGTGCCAGTGGCTGGCACATAGCAGCATATGAGCTGAATGAGTATAAAGCAGTCTAATTTTTAGGCAGTAAAAGTTTTGTTTCATTTTATTTTTACCTGGGTAGCACAGACATTGAAATGTGTTAATCAACAAATGCAGAGTATGAGATTAAAAACTAATGACATTTTCCTGTTGGCATCAAAGACGAATAATTTGAGACAAGTCATGGGAACTAGATGGCAAGTCTTAAACATGATAAAATAAAGCACCTTCATTGTCTCTGCTCAGATTTCTTCCTGTGCTTCCCAGGATGTTGGTCAGTCATATCTTATAAAAGGCCAATGCCTGATCTTGGCTGGGGTGCATAGCTTGCCTAGCGTTGGGCAGAAATAGGCCTCTTGAGCCGCTTGATGGTGACCATGGGCTTTGGCAAGATTGTTAGCTGAGGAATGTTGTCACCTCTTCTGGGTGCTTTGCCTGTGATGCATGTCAGTATCTCATCTCAGTCCTCATTCTCAGAGCCTGGGAAGTGGCTCAGAATCCCCACGGTTGCACTCTAGATACCACTGCCCATTGACAGAGTGGCGAGGTGGGTGAAACCTTGCTTTCCTCCTGGCCCATGGGCAGGGTGGGGCTGTGGGCCAGCCCATATCTCCCTACCAGGGAGTATGTGTCCGGGTGTGTGGAGCAGCAGAGCAGTGTTCCTTCACCTGCAGTGTCCAGTTCTGCTGCATCTAATCAGGATTCTGGTTCATGGCAAGAGATTTTCATGTTTCTTTGTCTTTCCCTAGAAAATGTCTAAATATTTTAAATATTTCAAATATCCACACAAGTACAGAGAGTGAATAGGGCAGGCTCTTATGTACCTACCCCTCCATATTCCCTGCCTTTCTGATCTTGCTGCTAATATGTCTTATTAACTTTGGAAGATATTTGCTTTGGCTTGTGTTAAAATTACTGTTATTTTGTCCCTGGAAGTTCTGAAATGTGTGGTTGGCCTGGGACTCAGACCCATCAGGAACTCTAGTGTACCTCCTGTCTGAGGAAGGTTGGCACTACCTGGATCCACCCTTAGCTACGGGTTCCTTTGTTGTTAGGTCACTGCCATCTATTTCCCCTCTTAATTCAGTTTCAAGGAGCCATGAGTGTGTGAGAGAGAATCCCCTTCCTCTTTCCTCCCTCCTCTTCCGGCTAGTTCAGGACTCCCCTGTGATGGGGTAATTCAGTGGGTCCCACTTGGCGGAGCTGATGCTGTCTCCACATCCTGTTCCCTTCCCATAATACTTCATCATAGTTGATGCCACTTTGTGAATAATTTCTCTTTTCTCTCCAAGCCAGGTTTGGGATTTCTCCATGTGTGTCCACCTCCCTGGAAGAAAGGGGTGGAGGCCGCTTTACTTTGTCTTTGGGGTTGAGAGTGATGGATAGATGGCATCTGTCAGGCAGGTGGAGGTGCTTCCTCAGGTTAATTAATGTGGGTAGGACCCACAGACAGGTTTCTCCTTCTTTCTTTTAACTGGCTATTTTCTGGGAGCAGGGTCCTGGATTATTTTATGATAGCTTACAATCATGTTGTTTTATGACTAGTCATCCATTTAACTGTTTGTTTTGGCCAGATCCTCAGGATGGCTTATAGGAATTGGTGCCCATGGCTAGCACGTTGGAGGGGCTGGGGAAGGTTAAGACTACTGTTTACAGAGAGAGGTACCACCTTGAGAGGAAGGCTGAAGGGGGTTGCTGGGCCAGAACATGGAGGAGAGCCTCCTGAGAGTAAAGCAGGAAGGATTGGGAAGGGGGTGTGGAGGCCTTGGGAATTGGCTGAAGAGTTTTGGGACTCTGGGAAGGAGGAAAAATAGTTCTTAAAAATTCTAGGCTGGACACAGTGGTTCACGCCTGTAATCCCAGCACTTTGGGAGGCCGGGGTGGGGTGGATTGCGAGGTCAGGAGTTCGAGAACAGCCTGGCCAACGTGGTGAAACCCCTTCTCTGTTAAAAATACAAAAATTACCTGGGTGTGCTGGCATATGCCTGTAATTCTAGCTACTCAGGGAGGCTGAGGCAGGAGAATCGCTTGAACCCAGGAAACGGAGGTTGCAGTGAGCCGAGATCACACCACTGCACTCCAGCCTGGGTGACAGAGGGAGACTCTGTCTTAAAAAAAAAAAAAAAAAAAAAAATTCTAAACCATCAAGAACTGATAAGAATAAACGACTAGAAAAATGACATTTAAAAAGTCTATAATACAAGCCCCTAATTTTATTAGATTCAAAGACATAATATTACCTTAGCAAATTGCTATAAAAGTTTCTAGAACACTTACACTCAATTTCAGTATTGATCATAGAGCAGAAACAAATACTTGGTGGACTGGCAGTGTGCTGCAGGCTCCCCTTGGAGTGGCACTGACCTTTGAGAGGTGGGTCTCAGCTCTTTTCTGCCTTTGGATGCCTGGAGGCCCACCTTGACCTCCAAGGGTCTTGGTTTTTAGGCTATAGGATGAAAGTGGTGGTTTAACAGGTCACTGGTCTCCCGACAGGACATGTGGGACCAGGAACAGGTGCTTGTTTCTGAGCCTTTGCCCAAGTGGGTTCCCCTTAGGGCTCCTTCTGGAAGGGACATGCTGCAGTTATCTCATATACCCCCTCAGCCACCATGACCAGATATCTGACCCACTCATTTGAAAGGCACGTGTCCTGTGATAGGGACCTCCTGTAACAAATGAACCCGTGTGTGTGTGTGTGTGTATGTATCTCTATTTATAGTAATCTTGCATCTAGTGTAAGTTTTTTCTTGTTCATAGTTTTAGGTTGATAAACAGTTCTATGGGATGGGAGGGAATGACCTCTTTAAAGAACTTCTGTAGCAACCCAGGCTTTAGGCCTTGACTTTTTGAAAACAGGTTCTCTAGGTCATCCTGCTGTAACTGTCATTCCAGCCCACAGGCCTGGGGGGATCTGATGGAGGAGCCAGCATGGAGGTTTTTAGGGCCGGGTCTGGCTGTGGTTAGCGTCACTTTCTACTCGCATTCCATTGCCAAGAACACAGTCACCTGGTCACCCCTGGCAGGGAAGCGAGGTCCAGCTGTGTGCCCAGGAAGATGACAAGAGTGCGGATTTCAGTGAGTAGCTGGCATTCCTCTCGCCTGCCCTTTCCCGTTCTTCTGATTCACTGATCAGAATCTTACTCACTATTGCATTCTTCTGTCCAAATGAACTGATTTATTAATCTATTACGCCTGGGCATGATGATGGTCAGGCATGAAATTTTTATGCACTGGAGTAAGAAACAATGGAAAGCAGAGAATGGAAGTTGCCTCAGAATTAATGGCCAGTGCTCATGCAGGCTCGCAGTCAGCAGCACGGAATGGCCGATGCTGACAATGAGAGTGAATTGGCGATGTGCCATAGGCTGCATTTGGATTTTGTTTAAAAAGTCAAGGTATTTATGAGTTGAGAGTAGTGCTCGGTTCTCAAAAAGTACACAGCACTTAAGCAGAGGGAAACTGCATAGGTGTATCGGTGTGAGGCCAATTGGTAGCCCATGATGAAATGTGGCAGAGGTAATGTAATGTGATTTAAAAAACTTAAATAGCTGTAATATTTGCATAAGTGTGCTTTTTTTCTTCGTGCAGTGGTGAATTAAAGACAAAACCAGTTTTGTTTTGTTTTGTTTTTTTCTCTCAAAAAAAAAAGAGGTGAGATTTTGGGAGTGAGTTTGGGAGAGATTCTAGGCAGGAAACTTTTAGGCTGTAAAAACATCTAAAACTAAAACTTCTAAAAATTGCTTCTAGAGCCAGTGTTTCATAGGGCATGAATCAGGAAAACTAGACTAGGCATTTCTAACAGATTCTAATACAGATAATTGCATATTTAGGTGATGAAAGAGGAGAGTTACCAGACTGTTACAGCAACCTAGAGATTTGTAACCTCAGGAAGATGTCCACCCCCAGGACTGTGGAGGCAGGGTGGTGGGGGTGGCAGCTGATGGAAAGGGCATTGGGTCCTTTGGAGAGAGCTGTCTCCCTAGAGAAGGTTATCCCACCCAGCAAATGGAGTTGGGAGAGAGACCCAGGCACCTTCCCCTCCCAGCTTCTGATGGTACCTCCCACAGGCCAGCACTACTAGAAACCAGGTGGCAAGGGAGCTTGGGAAATGTAGTTTCCTGTGATATTTGTAAAAGGACAAAGTATGCAGAGAATGGATTTGAGAGCAAAAAGGCAGATGGCTGTGGCACAAGGATTATAACGTTGGTGCAAAGGAAGATAAGTCGAGGAGTAAGAGATTGCTCTAGGGAAAGAACTTGAATTCTTGATTCCCTTCCCCCGTGCCACATTCCTTTGTGGCTTTGTTAACACCTGTGTCCTCTCTTCATGTTTCTGTCATGCTCTTTACACTGCATGATATTTACATATTTGACTCCCTGTTAATAACTAACATTTACTGAATGTTTCCTGTGTGCTTTATCTGCATTAATTCATTGACTCATCAAAGCCATCTGTGAAGGCAGGTATAGTCCATCTTCATTATTCTCAGATTTCTGTATTTGTGAATTTGTGTCCTCATTAATACTTATTTGTAACCCTGAAATCAATACTCTGCACTTTCCTGGTCATTCATGGACATACAGAGTAGAAGATTTGAGTTGCCTGGTGTCCATGTTCCCAGCTGCGGATGAACAAGGCCTTCTTGCTTCAGCTCTTATATTGCAAATAAGTGTTCTTCTTCTACCTGGTTAGTACCGTGTTTATCCTTTTTTTGTGCCTTTTTTTAAAAAAGTGATTTTACTGCTTAAAATGGCCCCCAAGCATAGTGCTGAGGGGTTGTCTAGTGTTATTAAGCACAAGAAGGCTGGAGAAGGCTGCGATGTATCTTAGGGAGAAAATACGTTTGCTAGATAAGCTTCATGCAGGCGTAAGTTGTAGTAGTGTTGGCTGTGATTTCAGTGTTAAAGAATCAGTAACATAAGGTGTCGTCAAACACACACATCAACTATGCATTGATCAGTTGGTGAAAATGTTGTGACCAGGGGCTCGCGGGTACCCAACCCTGTATCTTCTCTAGGAGCAATGTTTCAGGATTCACTAATTCAGTGTTTGCAGAGACTTTATAGAACAAGACCATTCTGGGCACTGCAAGTTGGCTGTCCTATTATCAGCTTATAGAGACTGAGGCAAGTAGAAGTCTAGAAGTTGTCCAGGGTCACCCGTAGGATCGGAACCCAGGCAGTCTGGTCCCCAACCCTTTATTCTTCCCTGTTCTGCTTTCTTGCCCTTCATATCTGCTTCATGCTCTTTTACACTTCTGAATCTGTCAGAGGCATTTGAACGAGAGTAACTCCATCTTAAATAGGGGCTAAATATGAGAGTGAGACCTGCCGGGCTGCATTTCCAGGAGGCAGGGCATTCTTAGTTCACAGGATGAGGTAGGAGGTTGGCACAAGATACAGGTCACAAAGACCTTGCTGGTAAAGCAGGATGCAATAAAGAAGCTGGCCAAATCCCACCAAAACCAAGATGGTGATGAAAGGGACCTCTGGTCATCCTCACTGCTCACTACAGGCGAATAATAATGCATTGCATGCTAAAAGACTCCCAGCAGCACCGTGACAATTTACAAATGCCATGGCAATGCCCAGAAGTTATCCTATATGGTCTAAAAGGGAGAGGAACCTTCAGTTCCAGGAGCTCCCCACCCCTTTCCCAGAAAATATTTCACTACTTGTTTAGTATATAATCAAGAAATAACTGTAAGTATACTCAGTCCAGCAGCCCATGCTGCCGCTCTGCCTGTGGAGTAGCCATTCTTTTGTTTCTTCTCTAATGAACTTGTTTTCACTTTATGGACTCACTCTGAATTCCTTCTTGTGGGAAATCCAAGAACCCTCTCTTGGGGTCTGTATTGGGACCTCTTTCCAGTAACAAATCTGCTGCGGATGCTGCTGGAACCAACTCTAGGGCTATTTTTAATACTCAAATTCCTCTTGGTAAAGTCAACAGGTACCACTGGTTTACCAGGATGTTTGTAATCCTGGTGTAAAACCATGTATTTCATAGGATCAGTTCACACAGCAACGCTATGAAGCATGTGTTACCTTTCATTTCAGAAATAAAAACTGAGGTCTTGGAAGGCTGTGATTTGCTTAGGGTTCCATGATTAGAAAGCGGCAGAATGTGCCTCCAAATGCCTCACTCTTGTTACCATACCAAGGCTGGCTCAGGACTAGGCTCTGTGAGGACCGCACTCCTGCCCTCACCACGGTTCTCATCTGCCGCTTCTGTTCTACTTTGACCTGACCTGGAGAAAGCACATAATGTTAGAACTGTGTGTAAAATAAGAGATTCCAAGAAGGAGACCAGGAATGTTTTCTTTAGGGGCCAGGAGTTTTTTCTGTAAAATGCCCATTTCCATGTTTACAGAAAATCTTTTATAGGGTGGAATAACCTTGGAAAGATGTTAATTTGTTTTTCTTTTCAAGGGGCACATTTTTGAAAGAAAACAAAGGGAAGATAATTTGAAAGAGCTGCAGATACTTTCTCAGCGATACCCTGTCTCGCCTAAACATTTGTTCTCATTTCTTCTCTAGTTTCCTTTGTGTGTTTAAGTGTATTTATTTGAATAATAGATATACATGTTAAGAATTCAAAAGGTACTTTGAAGCCTTCCACCCCAGAAGTAAGCAATGTACCTGATTTCTTGTGTACTCTTCCAAAGATGTTCTAACAGTGAC
Source organism: Homo sapiens (assembly GCF_000001405.40). Taxonomy (NCBI): domain Eukaryota; kingdom Metazoa; phylum Chordata; class Mammalia; order Primates; family Hominidae; genus Homo; species Homo sapiens. The sequence continues at coordinate 134,181,145 of NC_000002.12, forward strand.
TCTCAACCAGGGACAATTTTGTTCTCCATGGTCATTTTTACATCTTGGTGGAGGTTGGGAGAGTGTTACTGGCAGCTTCCAGTAGGTAGAGTCCAGGGATGCTGCTAAACATCCTACAATGCACAGGACGGTCCCCACAGCCAGGAATTATCCAGCGTAAATAGTAGTGTTGAGGTTGAGAAACCCTGCTCTACACTCATGTAAACCGGAAGGGCTTACGTGTGTCCACAAGAGCTTTTGTGCCTAAACTTGTTTTTCTTGTGTGGTTGGGAGGTTTTTGTTGGTGTGGTTCCTTTTGTCTCCTGAGGGTGGGGCAACGGAAAAGGTCCTCCCCAGGTGCAGCTGTTGTGAGGGGACACATTGTCTGTAGAGACTGAAAACAATCTGACCTCAGCCAGTCTGTTTTTTTCTTTTCTTTTTTTTTATTACAATGCATGTGCAGTTCTAAGCTGGTGATAAAATACTTCCTGAAAAATCTTTGGTTTGTCTAAATTCTAAATAATTGCTACTGTCACTAATTACATATGTATAGATAAACACATATATATTTATATATACACCTCAGATTAGTACACTTCTTACACCTTAATTATTGCATGCCACATGAAAGCTAATTTGGAGAACTCCCTATTACACAGTTGGTCCCAATGCACATGGACTCAGCTCCACACTTCGCCTTGAGTAAATTCCTGTTTAGAATTGTTGGAGCTTCCTCTAGGTGCAGTTCACATCTCTAACCCTTATGGTACAATATGCTCTTGTGTTTAGAGATTTGTAATAAAAAATGATAGCACAATTTAAGGTGAAGAAACAGAACTTGAGTTTCTTCACTTCCCTCATTGTGTGTGATCACTAGGAGATTTTATGTGTGATTAAAATGTAAAACGGTGAAGAAGTGAACTGTGAGTATAACATCTGGTTAAGTGCATATGGTATGCTTTGGTAGTTCATAGAAGAAATATAATATTGAGGCTCAGAAATAACTTTAAAATTGACACTCTTTCTAAATAGTTGTTTTCAAAACTAAAGAATGATTCAAAAGGATGTTATGATTATTGATCATTACATGATTATTAGAAATAATTTTGTATGGAGGAGGGAATTTCAATTAGTGATCTGACCTGTTGTCATCTATGATAGCTATATGCCATACATAGGATGGTTGAGATCTTTAAGAGAAATGAGTGAGAGAATGAAAGCAGGCCCAATAAAACAATATGTTATTTCTGTTGATCTGTGGCATCTGTCCGCAGGAAACTGGTGCTCTTTTAAATGCTACATAGAATTGAAATTCTGACCCATGATGGTCTTTGTGAGAGTAGACCAAACTCTACCCTTCATCCTCAGTATTTTAAGACTTTGTGTTGATTGATACATTTACACAAAGAACAGTGCACACATCATTGGTATGCAGCATGATTTACAACCAAACACACCTGTGTTAGGAGTACCTAGGTGGAGAAACAAAACATGCACAGCCCTGGAAGCTCCTCGTGTTCCCGTTTCCGGTCACTGTCACCGCCACCCCATCACAAGCGTACTTAATCACTGCATTGACTTCTAACAGCACAGGTCAGTTTCACCTGTTTTTCTTTGTTACATAAATGGAATTATATAGTGCATGTTAGAAGATTAGTTTTTTTTTTTTTTTTTTTTTTTTGAGACAGAGTCTCCCTTTGTCGCCCAGGCTAGAGTGCAGTGGCCTGATCTCAGCTCACTGCAAGCTCCGCCTCCAGGGTTCACGCCATTCTCTTGCCTCAGCCTCCCGAGTAGCTGTGACTACAGGCGCCCACCATCACACCTGGCTAATTTTGTTTTTGTATTTTTAGTAGAGACAGGGTTTCACCGTGTTAGCCAGGATGGTCTCGATCTCCTGACCTCGTGATCCACCCGCCTCGGCCTCCCAAAGTGCTGGGATTACAGGCGTGAGCCACCGCACCTGGCCATAAGATTAATTTTTAACCAATTTCTTGGTTTTGATTCTAACTGTTGATATTTGAAATATTCCCAAATGTGGCAATTAAACAAACTGGGCAATTTTCAGTGGTAGAGTCACAAAAATTCCTTGTTCCATGCATGGGTTCACTAATCATAATATTGTTCTTCAAGGTAGTAAAATTAATACGGTTGCTTTCATAATGAAGAAAACAACATAATTACGTCACTCGTTGGGCTTTAGAACTTTATTTGGAAGGAAGATAATATAGAAATTAGATTTGTGTTCATGTATGGATTGACGCAATCAAGTTCATTTGAAGCTAGAGTAACTTACAAGCTTAAGATGTGACCAGTGAGCTGGGTACACTGTATAGAAACTTATCATTGGATTTGAGTTGGAAACAATAGCATTGCAGTGCAATCTTACTACATCAGTATATTATATTCTGAATACCATTTTCTGAGTAGTAGTAGTCTTGTCTATAGAAACTGAATGGATAGCCTGTTTAATAGTTGAAGTTTGGGCCAGGAGGAGCTGAAATTGCCCTTCATGCCATGGGGAAATGGAGCACTCAGTTTGAAGGCCCTTTGTAATGTGGAACTGTTAAATTCACTTTAAACTATTATTTTTAAAAAATAGGCTGTCTGCAGCCATCATCCATGGTGAGGATTTGTATTCTCCTTCTTGGATCTGTCACGGGCTGGCTCGCTCATGTTGAGCAAGGCGGCCAAGTTTGGAGCTTGATGTGGCTTCCATTGAGGTGTTACGTGGGCAGCAGGCCATGCGGGACATGAAAAACGTTTGCCATGCAGTTTCTGTTGGTCCCAGCCGAGACGAAAATGAACAGTTCTAGCAAAATTGCTAAGTCAGGGATGTTTGTCTCTGTAAAGTTGCTTTTTTAGCTCACTTAATTTTTTTTGTCTGTGAAAGCCTTTCTCTTTTTTAATTCTCCCCTTCAGTGGTTTCTAGCCATCGTCTCTAATTAAAATAAAGAATCTTAGCTTTATTTTTTGAAACTTATTTGTACCCACTTTCTAAATCTGCCTTTATTTTTTGCATTTTCCAGCCTCTGATGATGGAGAAATAATGGTTGCAAATAAAAACCAGTTCAGGAGGAAACTGTATCTGAGACGGGAAATGGATCATGTTGCTTGTGAGTTTCAGGGCTCTTCAAAGTCAGCCTTTGAGGACAGGAGAGTCCTGAGTCCTACTTGGCATTTCAGGCCCCTGCCCACTTTGGCCTCTCTAGACTTTCCTTGGCCTCTCCCTGCCTGTCTTTACATTCCAGCCTGCAGGGAAGGGTACCCTTGAGTGTGACTGGTGCTAGTTCTGCTCTGGGCATGTGCTCTTCTCTCTGCTGGGGATGCCTTCCCCACCATCTTCTCTTTGTCCTTCAAGGCTCCTTCCAGAAGCTAGAACTGATTCCTTTTTAGAGAAGTCTTCCTTCATCCTCTTGGATCATATGGGAGATGTTTCTTCTGTGTTCTTGCGATACTGTGTGCATATCATGCACTGCCGCATTTGCACACTGCTGTGAACCCAGGATCCACAATGGTGCTTGGCACGTAGTAGAGCCTCAACAGATACTTGTTGTAGTAGGGTACAGACACATCAGTAGATAATTATAAAATATAATTACTGATGTGTCTGTACCCTACTACATTTTGAGAGCAGAGAACATGACTGAGCAGAGAGCAGAGAGCATGACTGTTCACATATTCAGTGCCTGACAAAGGTGCTCAGAAATGTCTGCATCTCCATGCAAGGCTGGCCAGAGCGGGGACATTTCAGAGGCAAGGGAGACTTTTCTTTGCTCTGCAGTCATTTATTTTATTTCAATAGTTTGGGGGAACAGGTGGTTTTTGGCTACATGAATAAATTTTTTAGTGGTGACTTCTGAGATCTTGGTGCACCTGTCCCTTGAGCAGTATATGCCAAGTGAAGTAACTCAGGGATGGAAAACCACATATTATACGTTCTCACTTATAAGTGGGAACTAAGCTGTGAGGATGCAAAGGCATAAGAATGATATGATGGACTTTGGGGACTCTGGGGGAAGGGTGGGAGTGGGTGAGGGACAGAAGACTGCATATTGGATACAGTGTACTCTGTAGTCATTTATATTAAGTCTTGAGTCCTTAAGAGCAGAGCCTCATCCTGCAGCCCTGTGGTCATCGAGGGAATTCCAGAATGCTGAAGGATAAGAACTATGCCTTTCAATCCCCTATCTTTACCCCTCTTGTTTTCCAAATGGGAATGGCTTTGTATATATGAAGGTGCTGATGAAAGTGTTCGTGTCTCAGAGAAAATGCTTGACGTTGAGCTGATTACTTTGCTGATTGCTGATGCAGGAAAACATCAGTAAAAAAGAAACTTAAAAGTGGGTTATGTAAAGGCAGTGTTAATTATCATCCTTTAAAGGAGCTAATTGCCATTTTTACGTGATTACTGTGCAGCCAACAAGGGCCCTGTATGTTGCATATCTTGTTTCATTTCTGCAGTAATTTTGATATAAGTGCTTAACTGATTCAGGTACTGGGCCCCTAGATTCATATCAGTGATATTTTTTTCAGTTCCCAGAAAAAGAAATTAAACAACAGAATAGAGCTTTCCCAATTTTAAGACCATCTTTCCCTAACCTGCTCAATTTTTGGGCAATTGCTTATCTGCCAGTGAGTACCAACGAGTGGCAAAATGAATAACCAAGGAAAAATCCAGACCTTGTAGGGAAGAGGAGAGATGGAATGTTTTCTGCATTCTTTGGAGATGCAGAGGCTGCTGTCCACAGCATGGTTCTGTTTCCCCGAGTCCAATTGCTCCTGGTTCAGAAGAAGAGAATCCATGTTGCAGGATCGCCTGGTGTTCTGCTGAGAGCCTGTGATATTTGGGTTCTGCTGTCCTCATGAGGATGAGGAACCGTAGATTATGAATAGAGGCACCTGTGTGGGGCTTGGGGCTCGGGGCTCACATAGCATGACTTACTGTTTGCAACTTGAGGGAAAGAAAGCAAGAGAGAAGACTGATCCCAAATTGTCAGAAGACAGATTCCTCAATCCTGCCTGTCTCCCCAAATGGGAAAGAGCAGTTCAATGTGGAAGGGTCCAGTTAAAGCCCAGTTATGATTTTAGCCTAGAATGTGTCAGCCTTTTGTGTAGTGAGAGTTACTCTGGATGGAACACACTGTGCTGTCCTAGTGATGGGGGAGATTTTGCCCAATCTAACGGGCAGAGAGGAGGTGTATAAAGACTGAGCAGCCAGAGGGGATAGTCAAGGAAAAAGGAGCCCTGGAGTCGTTTCTTTTTTTTTTTTTACTTGGAATTTCTGCCCACCCATTTACTGGCAAAGAGGATTTGAGATGTCAGTGCCACTTACCTCAGATTTAGAGAAATTCATCAATTAAGGAGCACTTGTTGGCCTTTTTGCATACATGTTGGGTTGTCAAATGATTTTGTAGGGAGTCCATGTCTTCCTAGGGTCAGAATCGGAGCACGTTAATTGGAGCAGTTGGCTGAGTCTGATGGATGATGTTGCCTTCTGGGCTTAGCAGGTGACAGGATGTGAACCAGGTGTGCCTTGTCCCTGCCAGCTGGTGTGGATAGCATGGATGCCCAGGATTGTGGATCGTGACTTTACTCTGTATAACCGAGTCAGTGATGGCATCATCAAAGTCATTCATTCCTTCATTTGACATGCATTGATTGAGGTCCTACTCTGCACTCAGAATTGTTGTAGCCACTGGAGGTACAGTGATGAATAAAGGCAGAGGAAGAAACAGGTAAATCTGATGTCAGGTGGAGATTCAGGCTGTGAAGAAAAACCAAGTAGGGCAGGAGATAGTGCCGCGTGGGGAGCTATTCTAGGTTGGGTGGTCCAGGAGGCTGCTTGAAGGAGTGATGTTTGAGCAGAGTGCCAAGGCAGTATCCAAGGTGAAGAAAGTTCCGTGAGGAAGAGAGGGTACCTGCAGGGGCCTTGAGGCAGGAACAAACTTGACCTAGCTTGAGGGCCGTGTGGGTGGAGTAAAGGGAGCCAGGGGCCGAGTGTGGAGGGCAAGTAGTGCCCGTATATGGAAAGCCTTGCTGGGCAGGGCTCAGAATTTGGGTTCCATCATGATTATGATGGACGTGTGTGAAGAATTTTGAGCAGGAGGAGGTCCTGAGTTGATTGGATTTGTTTTTACAAGGATCATTCCGCTTGCATGGAGAATTGTCTGTAAGGGGCAAGAATAGAAGCAGATATCAGCTAGGAAGGTATGACAATCTTCCAGTGGAAGTGATAGTGACATGGACTCAGGTGAGGGGAGGGAGGTAATGATAAGGGGTTGGATGTATCCGTTGAGAATGAATTGGCCCCTCTCTGACTTTATCTCCTGCTACCTTCCCTATGATTTATTTCACTCCAGCCACACACGTTGTCTTTTACTTCCCCCAGATCTTTACTTGCTCTGTTTCTTTGAACTCTTACCATTTCTTGAAGTTATACACACATGTGCATGTACATGCACACACATGTATGTTTGCCCATTCCTTCTTTGTCTCTCCTTCTGGCATGTAAGTGTCATGAGGGCAGGCAGGGACTTTGTCAACTTTGTTGCTATGTCCCGAGTGTCTAGAATGTTGCTGCAGGCAGCAAATGTTCAAAATATTGATCGGATAAGTGAATGAAATTGAAAGGCCACCCACTGATCTCATTATATAATTTTTATTTGAAAAATTTCCACCGTGACTGCCTGAGGTTTTAATTGCTACACTAAACACACTGAAAACTTCAAACTGTATTATCAATTTAATAAAAATGAAGAAGTATTGAACACTTTAAGTAATAGGGAAAAATAAGGGAGAGGAGGTTTGTGTCAGCCGTGGAGAGATTCCGCCTGTGGTGAAAGAGACGGTGCTGAAAAGGAAAAACTTTGAACCTCTTCATTTATTGCAGTGAAATTTGTCACTTTTATTCACATCCAGTACCATCTAGCTGCTAATTTGTGTTTTTGTTGGAAAAGACTTTCAGGGAAATAGTTAACCTCCCTCAGTGCTGTGTTCTCAAAATTAGTTCTCCTGAGCTGCAGTCAAAGCTGGATAATTTTGCCATCAAAAAGCACACATTCTTCCCTAAGGAAATCGGCATGAGGCCATTCTGAGGTTGGAGAATGGGAGCAAGTGAGGATAGAGAGTAGTGGCTGTCCAAGGGCCCTCAAGGGTAGGCAGCCATAAGGCACAGCTTTTCCTGTAGACTTGTGGCTAAGGGACAGCCTCTAGGGATGGAGGAGCTTTTTCTTTGAATCCTGGCCCCTCTGCCATGTGGCCTTGCACAAGTCCCTTAACCACTTTATGCCTCAGTGCTCTCATCTGCAAAGTGGGAATGATACAGTACCTATCCTATGAGGTTGCTGTGATGATTGAGTTAATACATGTGGAAGGTCTTAGAACCATGTCTGGGGTAGTAAGTACTTAAAACATTTTAGCTGTTACTAAAAGGAAGAAGATTGTTGGTCATTAACAGTTGGCATAAATATTGGCAGGTAAAAGTTGTGTTATTTGGACCTGAGTGTTGAACTGGTGTGTAGCACTTGAATTAACTGGAAAAAGGAGGTGGTGGGGGTGTGTTCTGACACCTCCTAGTATACTACAATATAATTCTATTGTAACCACCCAGAGTTAGTGCAGACCCCATCAGTTAAAGGGTATGGTTCCCAAAAGGCTGTTCCCACTTCAGATGCCCACTGTAAGTGGGACTTCCAGGCCATTCACCCTTTTGACTGACTGGTTACAATCCAAGGGGTTCCCATGGCCTTCTTAGGTTTGATAATTTACTAGAATGAATCTCAGAACTCAGGAAAGCACTATATTTTCAACTATGGTTTTATTATAAAGGGTCTAAGTGAAGGTCAGTCAAATGAAGAGACACATGGGCTGATGTCTGGGAGGGTCGCGAATGCAGAGCTCCTGTGTCTTGTCCCTTGGAACTAGGGTGTGTCACCTGCCTGGCACGTTGATGTGTTTACCAACCAAAAAGCTCCAGTGAGCCTGGTGTCCAGTTTCTATTGGGGTTTCGTTACATAGGCAGGATTGATTGAGTACAACCACATGGCCAATGATTCAATTTCCAGTCCCCTCCTTTCCCCTCTCTGGATTGGGCTGGCTTAGAGCCCTGATCCTCTAATTGCATGGTTGGTTTTTCTGGTGACCAGACTCCAGCCTGAGTCATCTCATCTTAGTGTAAACTCAGGTGTGATCCAAGGGGTTTATCAAAAATAAATACACTCCTACTACAGCAGGTAGTCCAAGGATTTTGAACCATCCCTCTTCCCAACCAGGGGCAAAGGCCAGTCAGATTCTTTACTGTACAATAGGGAAATTATATGTGAGATAGCAAAATATAAGATGGTGGCCTGGGAAGGGCTTCTTGGGAGAAGTGGGCCCAGCTCTTTTCTCATGTTGGTGCTGCTGCTCTAATCCAATGTCAGGTTGGGTTTCTGGTTATGCAATAACATATGACTAACCTCATGGCTCTAGTTTTTTTTTGTTTTTTTTTTTTTTTTTTAAGACAGAGTCTCGCTCTGTTGCCAGGCTGAAGTGCAATGGCGTGATCTTGGCTCACTGCAACCTCTGCCTCCTGGGTTCAAGCGATTCTCCTGCCTCAGCCTCCCGAGCAGCTGGGACTACAGGTGCCTGCCAGCATGCCCAGCTAATTTTTATATTTTTACTAGAAACAGGTTTTCACCATGTTGGCCAGGATGGTCTCCATCTCCTGACCTCCTGATCCACCCACCTCGGCCTCCCAAAGTGCTGGGATTACAAGCATGAGACACTGTGCCTGGCCTCTTTTCCTTTTCTTTAGAATAACTTTATTTAGTCTCATGGCAATTAAGTTGTCTTCTGGAATTTTATGGTGACCTTTTACTAAATATACCACAAATACTGCTTTTCTGAATTTGAGTCTTTGGAGAATGTGGTTTTAAAACTTTTCTGTGACATTCTTTGGGAATCCACTGAGTTGCTGGTTATAAGGTATCTTTCTGGCTTTCAGATATGCCCTTCTGAATAAATGCACCCCAACTTTGGATGGACATGGGGTGCTGGCTTGTGGATGGGCAGGCTGTCTTTCTGCTTTATGCATCTGAAGTTCTTGGCCACTGAAGACTTGCAATCTGGTGATGGGCAGGCTTGTGGTAAGATTTTTTTGTGGTCTTCCCTGCTATCTCAGTTATTAGTGAACAGTCACCTGATTTTCCCATGTTTGATTTTTGTAGCAAGTGTGGTTTCTGTAGTTCATTTCTTTGATTTGCTGTTTTTCTCTTGCTACTGCAGACTTCTCACTTTCATGAATTTCACAGTACATGTTTGTCCCTGCAATTAAAGATTGAATGTTCCCGGGAGTATTTTCATTTTATCTGAAGAGTTTGTAGTCCCAGCTCCCTTCCCCACCACCCAACCCCACAACAACAAAAATTGTGTAGACTAGCATTACTCCAAAGGACTTGATGAGGATTTGATTGGAGCCCAAGTGGCTGGAGCACCCTAACTAGTTACAAAGCTCAAAGGAGGCCCTTTGTTTTCAAATCTCCTCTCCTTTGTTTTTGTTTTTTTCAGACAGTCTCTCTTTGCCCAGGCTGGAGTGCCGTGGCATGATCCATGGAACACTGCAGCCTCAACCTCCCCAGGCTCAGGTGATACTCCCACGTCAGCCTCCCGAGTAGCTAGGACTACAGGTGCATGCCACCATGGCTGGCTAATTTATGTATTTTTTTTAATAGAGATGGGGTTTTGCCATGTTGCCCAGGCTGGTCTTGAGCTCCTGTGCTCAAGTGATCTGCCCGTCTCGGCCTCCCAGAGTGCTGGGATTACAAGTGTGAGCCAGTGCACCCAGTCAGCTATTTAAAAAAATTTTTTTAGAGACAGAATCTTGCCAAGTTGCCCAGGCTGGTCTCCAATTCCTGGGCTCAGCCCATCCCCCTGCTTTGGAACGTTTCATGTTCCCAAGCCGAAACTGTGTCCCTCCCCGCCAGTCCCTGGCACCGTCTGTTCTTTTTCTGTATTATGTGCCTGGCACATAGTACGCACCCAGTACCTGTTGTGATTGTGATTTTTATTAGTAATAGTTGGTCGTACCTAATTGGCATGTGCTGTTTTAAAGTGACAATAAAACGTACACGACAAACTTTGAGAGCATGGGGTATTGTCATGGTTTGAATGTGTCCTCCAAAGTTCATGTGTTGGAAACATCCCAGTGCAATACTGTTTACAGGTGAGAACTTTAAGAGGTGATTAAGTCATGCAGACTCAACCCTCCTGAATAGATGAATGAGGTTATCGCGGGAGCGCGTGGGTTATCGCGGGAGCGCGTTCCTGATGAAAGGGTGGGTTCGCCCCCTCCCCCTACCCCCCCCACCAGCAGGTTCCAGATGGAAGGGTGGGTTCGCGCCGTCTTTCGCCTCCTCCTCCTCCTCCTCCTTGCGGGAGCGGGTTCCTGATAGGAGGGTGGGTTCGCGCCCTCCTCCTTCTGGCGCAAGTGGGTTTCTCATGGGAGGGTGGGTTCGCACCCTCTTCCTTCTCGCGCGAGCGGGTTCCTGATGGGAGGGTGGGTTCTCGCCCTCCTCCTCCTCCTCTTTCTCCTGGCGTGAGCGGGTTCCTGATGGGAGGGTGGGTTCGCGCCCTCCTCCTCCTCCTCCTCCTTGCGCTAGCAGGTTCCTGATGGTAGGGTGGTTTCGTGCCCTCCTCCTCCTCGCGCGAGCGGGTTCCTGATGGGTGGGTGGATTCGCGCCCTCCTCCTCCTGCTCGCGCCAGCGGCTTCCTGATGGGTGGGTGAGTTCACGCCCTCTTTCTCCTGCTCACGCCAGCGGCTTCCTGATGGAAGGGTGGATTCGTGCCCTCCTTCTCCTCCTGCTCGCGCCAGCGGGTTCCTGATGGTAGGGTGGGTTCGCGCCCTCCTCCTCGCGTGAGCGGGTTCCTGATTGAAGGGTGGGTTCGCGCCTTCCTCTTCCTCCTGGCGCGAGCGGGTTCCTGATGGAAGGGTGGGTTTGCGCGCTCCTCGCGCGAGCGGGTTCCTGATGGAAGGGTGGGTTCGCGCCCTCCTCGCGCTAGTGGGTTCCTGATGAAAAGGTGGGTTCACGCCTTTTTTCTTCTGCTTGCGCGAGCGGGTTCCTGATGAAAGGGTGGGTTTGGCTCCCTTCTTTTCTCTTCCTCCTCCTTTTCTCTTCCTCCTCCCATGAGTGTGCTCTTGCATCGTGGAGTGACTTGGCAAGAATGCCCTCAAATGCAGGCCCCTTGAACTTGGGCTTTCGCAGCCTCCAGACCTGCAAGAAATAAATCTCTGTTCTTTACTTGTCTCAGGTATTCTGTCATAGCAGCACAAATTGGAATGAAACAGGTATGTAGGCATCCTTATATCTTGCTAGCTATATCTTGCTAGTTTTGGGGATGTAAATCAGTACAATTTTACTGAAAGAAACATGGGATATCACTGCTACACAAGCCTAAAAATCCTCGTATTATTGTATCAGATAATTCCTTTGCTCTAAGGAAATATACAGAGGTATGATATACAAATGTAGGAGTGAAAGACTATTGCATTACTTTTTAAAATTTTTTTATTTTTTTATTTTTATTTTTATTACTTTTTTAAATAGAAAAATTGAACAAATTAAATGCCTAGTACTGTGGGATTATTTAAGTAAAACATGCAATTACTACTTAGCTTTTAAATTGTGGTAAAATATTTATCATGGGAAAATGTTTAAAATCTGTTGTGATATAAAAGGCTGTAAGAAAGCAAGCATAAATATAAGTGTATTTTTGTGATATATGTGTATGGATGATATACCATATATGGGAATATATATGGAACATACTAAAATTTTACCATCTGTAGGGAGTGGAATGATGAATGATGTTTAAAAAAATTTTTCTTTGTGGTTTTCCAGTATTTAATAAATTTTTTGTGATTGAGCAAGTATTTTGGTCTATTAGAAAAAAACAGTAATTTCACTTGGAAAAGTGATATTTTGATTGGCTCTGTGAGGTTACTTTATTTTTATTTTTATTTTTTATTTTTTTTTTTTTTTGAGACAAGGTCTCGCTATGTTACCCAGGCTAGAGTACAGTGATGCAGTCATGACTCACTGCAGCCTTGAATTCCCAGATTCAAGCAATTCTCCTACCTCAGCCTCCCAAGCAGCTGGGACTACAGGGACATGCCAACATGCCTAGCTACTTTATTTTGTAGAGATGGGGTCTCCCTGTGTTGCATGGGCTCATCTTAAACTCTTGGACTCAAGCAGTCCTCCCACTTCAGCCTCCTGAATATCTGGGATTATAGACATGTACCACATCCAGCTGTTACATGAGGTTAAAAGAGAACGATCCCCAGGGGGAGAACCTGGCAAAATGGGCCTGTTTATAGGGGTCCCCACCACCCAGTGGCTAGCTGGCTCTTCACACAGCAGCTGCCCTTGTGCCCAGGCGGTGGTGGACATGCCCCCTAAGCCCTCCTTCCTAGCCCTCTTGGGAGTCCCAACCTGAATGTGAGTGAGCCCCTCTGAGTTTTTTGACATCAGAGGAAACAGGGCAATCTCCCCTCTCTTACATACCCCAAATCTTTGTGTGTGTGTGTGTGTGTGTGTGTGTGTGTGTGTGTGTGTGTGTGTGTGTGTTTTGACAAGTTTCTAGCCCAGGCCCTGTGGGGTTTGCTGGGAGAGTGTTTTAATCAATCGCGATGAAAGTTGGCTTCTGCTAGATCCCATTTTTGGATCCCATTTTCCAGGCCTGTTAAATCTTCCTGGCACGCCTAACTCAAGACATTTATGTCCTTGTACTTTTGTGCATAAAATCTTAGAATGAGTAAAAATAAACTTGCCTGCTGCTCAGAATTGACCCTGAGCGATATATCTTCCGCTGGACACTGGTGCCAGATGGTATTGCACCTCCTACTGGGTTAATGAACAGGCATTTGCCGAAAACCTTGAATTGCTCTTGAATCATTCCATGCACTTTCAATACAAAACTCTGCCAGTGGCAATTTGCATTTGTTTCTTTTTCTCTCCATCTTTCTATTTTAGGAAGGAGAAAGAGGTGACTTTCTGGAATAATTTCCTGTGAATGAATTGAATTAGTTTTATTGCTAGTATTGTTATAAATCTGTATCCCTAAATAACTATGTTGTGCCAACTTGGGGGCACAGAGTAAATTTCTTCTCGGAGCTATCTGCAATGATGGCTTTAAAATACACTTCAACTTCTGCATTAGGTGGTGCAGGATGCTTATATATTAGTTTGTGGGGGTGGGGGCAGAAAAAATGGTCCTTGTGGCTTTAATACTACTGCTGTTACAGTTTTCCACATGTATTCTTGATCCTTTATTCTTACTACAACCTTGGACAGTTACAAGGGGGCGGAGGGTGGAATATTACCTCTAAGTCTACTTATTAGTCAGTATCTTGAAGATGAGATACGTCTGTGTGCTTTTCAGTAATAATAAGTGTTCGAATCAATCTAATCTTTTGCTCACACTCTAGGAAACAGATGATAGGGGGTGTTTAGAGTCCTTGAGTTTTGGTCCTGCTAGCGTGCATTCTCTCCCTCCCCCGGGAGGTCTAGATACTTCAAGGTAGATATAGAGAGTACTGTCTTGCTTCTGTCATTGAACCAGATTGTGAAATAATGCCCCCTTCACCAGGACTTTGGAGAGACAGGAGTGTTCTCCAAATCTGCCCTCACTTCATGTACTGTTCAAGGCCCTGGTGGAATATCTTCCATGAGCATTTGCGCCCCTTCTTGATATTTGGTATTTTGTGGTTCAGGTGGTTCATGTTGCTGTAAGAACCTCACTTCTGGAAGCTGATAATGCAGTTGAAGTTGGGTGCTCTTTTACTAATATCTAGTCTTTTCTCTGTAGTCTGAGTGGATTGTTCAGACTTAAAAGGTCCAGCAGCATTTTATTTGTGACTGGCTGTGAAAGTCACATACCTATTTTATTTTTATGGCCTCTGATCTCAAATATCCCCCAGAACACAGTCGGCATCCATATAATGCATAGTGGAGGTTGTTAACCTCCAGGACTGAAACACCATTTGGAATATTCCTGTGAACAGTTTGGATTCCTTCAGGTTCCTAAACCAATGGCTCATTTCTCACCCACCTAAGAGGGTGACTTGAATCTGAATTAGCAGGTACTGTGTTAGACTTCAAACCTTATTAGTCATAAACAAATTTAATACTCCTTTACATTTTTAACTCAGAAAAAAGATTCAAGTGTGAATTTTCTGTTTCTAGACAAGGATTTATCTTCTCAAAAGTTCTGAAATCGCCTTTCAGTTTTAGTCTAGGCATTCTGTTGAACAATTCTTATGTTTTTATCTGCTTAAGTTGGAGTATACTTTCCTAGAATTATCCTAGAAATGATAAGAAAGATCTAAAGCTTTAAATTCTGGAGTCTGAAATATCCCATAATACCCTGTTTTTATCTCCCATATCGGCTGCAGCAGGTGGTTTCATAATTTATGTACGTAGGTTTCCGTTTGCTTCACTAGGCTACTTGTGGATGAGTGTCCTTTGGCCTTACTCATTTTTTAATTCCTAGTACCTACTGCATTAAGTGAATCTCATTGTAAAGTTCACCTAGCGCCTTTTTAACGTCTATAATCTTTTCTGTGTTTGATGTCTGGTGTGCGTGAGCCTGTGTTTTAGGAAGAACTTGGAAAAACTTCTTAATGGCTGGGTAATCTTATTTTCCGTAGTGGATTTTATTTGTGACAATTGTATTAAGAAATGGACTTTATTCTGTGTGCTGTGCTGGAGAATGTACTGGAAGACCAGAGGGGTCTAGGCTTTGCAGTGCCTATAACTGGCTTGTGATCTCCAGCAAGTCACTTAATATATCTGAGTGTCTAGAACAAATGGTCTAGAAAACCCCATTCCAAAAATTCCAGGGTAAAAAGTCAGGATGATCCTCATGAAACTAAAAGCAACTTTTTCCCCAACATATTATTCAAGGTGTAGTTCCCTGGAGGCTCCTCTGTAGCACTCTGGACATGGTGCTCTTCGGAAGTTGAATTTGCTCATTGCCTCTGTTGTTTCTTAACCATTAGTTAGACATTTAGTCTCTATGCCAAGCTGTAAACAAGTTAGCAGAAGTGGAAATTTTTGTGGAGCATAGAATTAATTGGTTTGGATATGCCTGTGCTTGGGAATTTACCTATTGTTGGTGTTTGAAAGTATATTTTTCCC
The DNA here is from genome assembly GCF_000001405.40 of Homo sapiens. Taxonomy (NCBI): domain Eukaryota; kingdom Metazoa; phylum Chordata; class Mammalia; order Primates; family Hominidae; genus Homo; species Homo sapiens. The sequence goes on from NC_000002.12 coordinate 134,196,300, forward strand.
CTTTCTTTGAAACGATTTTAGGCCGTTGCTTCTGGTACTCAAGTACCAGTATGGAGGGTCTGAATGTGTGGTATATGGCCTTTTCTTTCAGATCTTAAGGCTTAAAAAAAAAAAAAACTATGGATCCAAGGGAGCTTTTTAAAACACTCTTTAAAATACGTGTTTTGTTTTCTATTTAATGTAGGATTCATTTTCAAAGCAAAGTGATCATTTAAAAATATGACAGCCCAGATTTGTTAATGAGCTAGCAAATGGTTGCTGTTAAGTGCAAAATTGTTTTCCCATAAGGTTCAACTCCTAATGATAGTCGATGCTTGTAAGTGACATGGATCTTTAGCTCCGCTTTTATAGTTTAGAGCAAGCTTGTCCAGACTGCGGGCCACCTGTGGCCCAGGACGGCTTTGAATGCGGCCCAACACAAATTTGTAAAGTTTCTTAAAAAATGGAATTTTTTTTTAGCTCATCAGGTTTCCTTACTGTTAGTGTATTTTATGTGTGGCCCAAGACAGTTCTTCTAGTGCGGCCCTTTGGTGAAGCCAAAACATTGGCTGCCCCTAGTTTAAAGGCTATGTCTCCTATCTCATATTTTAATAGGCTAAGTTGTACTAGTTTAACAGGAATATGTGTGTTTGATTTACAAGGGGATTTCCTAAAGTTGTGGCCTCTGCCTTTGAATTTTCAACTACTTTAAAAAATACTCTTAAGGACAACCTTAACACAGTTCAATGATTTCTTAATTAGTTCATCAAATATTTATTGAGTTTTTACTGTGCCAGGTACTGGGATGTATGTGGTGGATGGTATGGGGGGTGGTCAGGGATACAAAGATGAAAAACTGCTTCTGCCTTTAGGAACTCTGCAGATTGGTGGGTTGGCAGGTATGTATGCCCCAATATACTTCAGTCAATATTTCAAAGTCTTCCAAGCCCTTAGGAGTTGGAACATTTTTACGTTTGAACTTGACCGTGATGTTGTGGAATTTTCTAGCTCAGGAAGGGCCTTCTAGGCAGGAGAAACAGCATTAGCATTACGAGGTGATGCTAGACCTGTTCCAGAAATTGAGTAATTTATATGAGAGAGTCTGGTAGAAAATTCAATTCAAAAGGTCGGTTGAGACATTGAGTGACTGGAAAAGCAAAGCTTGTATTTTCAGGTGGATCTAGCACTTAAAAATTGGGATTTGAGATTAAAGAGAGATTTCTTGAACCTCCTGGTATAACTTGCTATCCTTTGGAGTCAAAGACGATGATGTCGGCCATCTTGTTAGGCTAAGGAGGAAAAGGAAAGTATGAAGGATTTGCTTCTTGATCAGTAGTTCTTAGTCATGTTCCATGTAGGACGGAAAATCTTTGTATTAAGGAACATGTTCAGCTGCTGTAACAGAAACCTCAAACAATACTGATTTAAACAAGACAGTTTAGTTTCCTTTTACTTTAAAGTCAGCTAGAATGGCATTTCTGCCTGCTAAAGTTATAGGGGGCTGGGCTCCTTCCTTCTGGTTGCCCTGCCACCCCCAGTGTTGCTCTCCTTTGTATGCCCTGAAATAAAGGAGAAAAAAAGGGTAGGAGGAAGGGCAAGGAGGAATGATAACCCAGAGGTTGGGTAGATTTTTTTCTACTCCTGTTCCACTTGGCAAAATATAATCACTCTGCCACTCAGCTGCAAGAGATAATTATACTCTGTAGTGAGATACTCTGCAAAATTCCTGCTCCTATGGAAGAAAGGGAGAATAGCTTTGGGGGAGCAATAAGGATCCAGTATATCCCATTTGGGCCTTGTCATCTGTACCAGAAGCTACTGGTAACTAGAAATGAATTTTTAAGCCTGTATAGCCAAGAAGGGTAGCAATAGTCCTTCTTCTTCTGGTTCTTCATATTGAAAAATGAAACTGATTTTATAAGCTGTGTCTGCCTCTGCTAGCTCAGTGAGCCTGTTCACCAGCCCTCAGTTGCCCTCCCTGAACTTTGCCATCATAGGCAACCCATGTGCACTGTGGAAGGTGCACTTTCCTTGCTGTCAAGCTCTGTGTAGCTCTGAAGATCACCAGCATTCTGATCCAGTGTTCTTCAGACTAGCAAGCAGCTTCAGAATTACCAAGCAAGGAGCAGGAAGTTGGCTGGGAGATGCCTTTTACCCTTGAGTCTAGCTGGGTGTGTGAGGCTTGGCTGTTTTGGCCCATCTGGTCTCCATCCAAGGTGGCTGAGTTAAGATCTTTTGGGCATTGTGCTACAAAGCAGCTTGTCAAGCTGGAATTCCGTTGGTGTAGGGGAGCATAGTCAACCTACTCTGTCCATGTTCCTTATGGCAGCTGCCCCCAAACCTGCCTAGTGGTCAAAACTACCTGGAGAAGACTAATGGGTTCCTATGATATATTGTAGTGGATCAAGTAGTGCACGTTCTCAGGGAGGTGCCCAGGAGTGGACTTTTAAGCAAACACCTTCTCAGGTCTGATCATGGGCCCACTTTGGGAACCACTGCTTTGCATTCTTCATCTTACTACTTATAACTTTTGGTAACTGCATCATGTTTCCCTTCCTTTGAGGGGTTTATATTACAGCTTAACTTGTAAATATTAGGTATTTAGTTGTTTCTGACACTCAGCAAGTATAAAAGAGGCCAAAGTTTATTTTTTGAATGAATGGTATTTGTGTGTTGTTACATAGCTCCCTTGAAATGTATTCTTGTGGCACATTGTCTTAAAACATTTTGGTTAACAGAAGGTAAAAATTAGCCCACCAGGAAATGCTGCATTTCCATTTCAGAAAAACTAAATGCTTCCATATTTTCCAGAGTTGATGATAGATTTGAAAGTAAACATTAAACTCCATTCTGGACTTGGTATGTTAAGCTGCTATTTCTTGGGGAAATCTCATGTATATAATTTGACTAAATTCTTGGAGTAACTGTCTTCCCTTCCTTTCTTAATTGCACATCTTTGCCTCTCCTACTCCTCTGATAAGAGGGCAGTGTGTTTTCCTGTTCCGTGATGTGACTCAGAAGCATGTACATATATCCCAGAAGACAGCCTCCCGGGATGGAGCTGAAGTCTCGGAGGGAGTCCTGGCAGAGGGTGCAAGCTTTGGGACCAGCTGTGGACTGAAAGCTGTTCTTTGTGTCACCTGTGGACTCTCAGTTCTCTGGTGGAGGCTGAAATTTTAGGGCTGGCTGCTGGCTGCAACTGTATTTTGCTTGCCTGCTCCTTTTTTTTTTTTCTTCTAAAAACAGTGGCCTGAACCTCCTTCCACTATTTGTTCTGTGAGGATGGAGCATTAAATCCCTGCTTAGAAAACAGTGATCTTTGCCTTGTTCTATCGGCTGCTCCAACAGCTCTCTGTCAGTATTCCATGATTTTTTTCTCTGACTTTTGGATGACTTGAATACTCATTTTGTGGGTTCATTCTCCTAGTTGTTTAGAATCATTTGCTTTTTCTTTGTTTCCTTTATTATTTGAACCTTCAACTGTGGGAAGCTTACCGAAAAGTGTTTTGCTTGGGAAATGCTCCCCCTGCATATGGCTACTATCCATTGTTGCTCATGAGTTCTGTTGGAGTTTGAGGGAAGCAGATACTGATTGGTGCTCTGTATGTGGAGGTTGTGCAAATGGCAAGAATGAACATGCTTCTTGCCTGCAAGAAGCTTCAGTGGTCCAGTGAAAAAATAAAACCCACAAACAGTCTTAAAATCATTGATTAGAGGTACAATTTTGGTAAACACCTGAGAATTTTTCTCTGTCTCAGGTAAAGGATGTCATGTTGAAATGAGGAATTAATTACGTGCAGATAGTAAGTCTTTTATTTGGCAATGAGGACTATTTTAGCTGGTGTCCCTGCCTCCCTACCCCGCCCCCCAATCCCCCCATTCCCCCCCTGCCCCGCCAAGGCTGAGAAAGTCACAGCTTTTGGGAAGTATTCCAGAAATATCTGACTGACTGACCTTGGTAAGGACACCATAGTGGTCACGCTTGAGGGGTTTAAACAGATTTTCTGCCAAGGGAATATAGTCTCTAGCCTGAATACTTCAGACAGGGATGTCTGCAAGTCCCCTGACATCTTCCTTCCTTTGTAGATTCTTCTGGAAATTTCTCTCATGTCTGCAGTGATGCTGCCTTCACAGGAGCACAGCTGTTCTTCCTGGCTGATGGCAGTTGTTGCCAATTAATGGTGTTACAAGTCTCTTTTTCTTCTTTTCTCTGTTGAGCCTCTTTGTCCTTCACTCCCTAAATGTAATCAGAGAAACCCTATTTGGTGTAGACTGAGTGTCTTTCTATATAACCTCTATTAGCATTAGCCTTTCTCCATTTATTCACTCATTCAAGGAATAGTTGAGCACTTAGTGTGCCCTAAACTCTGTTTTAATCACGAAGTATGGAGTGAGCAAAACAGATGAGTTCTCTGCTTCTGTGGAGCCTATGTTCTGGTAAACGAAATAAACAGGATTTGCTGGGCATGGTGGCTCAAGTCTGTGATCCTAGCGTCTTGGGAGGCCAAGATGGAAGGATCACTTGAGGACAGGCATTCAAGACCACCCTGGGCAACATGGTGACACTCCGTCTCTACAAAAATAAAAATAAAAAAAATTAGCCCAGTGTTGTGGTATGCACCTGTAGTCCCAGCTATTCAGAAGGCTGAGGCAGGAGGATTGCTTGGTCTTGCTCTGTCTCCTGATTGCTATGTGACACGATCATAGCTCACTGCAGCCTTGAACTCCTGGGCTCAAGCCATCTTCCTGCCTCAGCCTCCTGAGTAGCTGGGACTACAGGTGTGTGCCACTACTCCCTGCTTGTCTTGTGTTTAATCATTCAAATACCTTTATTAAGGATGCCCTCTGTGCTTGATCTTACTTCGGGGGCTATTTCCTAAAAATATAATCTGGAGAGGCTGTGGTCTTTGCCCTCTGGAGGGCCGCTTTGGTTTAGTTGAGACAGGTTGGGCTGTGAACCAATAGCTATAGTCGAGTGTTAAATAAGGCAAAAGTAGGTCCAGGGGTTGGTAGGAGCAGGAAGAACTATCTTTTGTTCTCTTTGAGCTGGTGGACTGGAGTATGGGGTTGGGATATTGTAATCCTCTTATGCTTTGGCCATAATAAATTATTTTTCTGTATCTTTTCTATTTAAAAAGCCTTTTTCTTTTCATACTGTTTGACATTAGGGAACCAGTAGATGGGAGGGAAGATGGGATAATGGGGGTGTGGGGAGTGAGTAATTAGATTCCCCTTCAGCAGTCTCAGAAAAGAAGTCAGCATCTTCCACAGCACCGGGTCAGCTTGTGATGGTTCCAGACAGGGTGAAACAATTTTTATGATTTGTCTTCAGATCCTTTTCTCCTTTCACCTTCGGGGCGACCTGTGCTTGTCAGATCCTCCACGGCAGTTGTTATTGTCAAGTGAGGTAACAGTGGCACAATGCTAATGAGAAGGCAGAATGGTTGTCCAGGGTGGCCTTGGTGGCCGCCAGGCGCCAGCATCTTTATCAGCTCTGACATGCTGCTCAGAAGGCCAGCTCTCTGGGCCAAGCGCTGCTTTTTTTTTTTTTTTTTTTTTTTTTTTAATTGAGAGGAGTGACTATCCCTCCAAAAGCTGCTGATTAGCACTCTGGCTTGAAAGGCTCCATGCTAATATGTAGTTTGCTACAAAGATGCCAGGGTTTGGTATGGTCACTAAATTATTTTCCCTTCTCTGATAATTGGCTGGTTGATACTAATGAAGAGATGCAACTATTTTCATTATATTATTATTGAATACCCTTGAAACCACCCACCCCAAGAACTTGGACTTATCAGTAACTCATATCTATCTATGACATCCTCTCTTCTTCCATCCTCTGCCACCTGACCCAGCAGCCACTATTCAAAACTTCATTTTCTTGTTCAGCTTCTCTGTCTTTTGCCGACTGCTATGGTCTGAATGTTTGTGTCCCTCCAAAATTCATATGTTGAAATCTAATCCCCAACCTGATAGTGTTAAGAGGTGTGGGGCCTTTCAGGCCTCTGATTAAATCAGAGGGAGGAGCCCTTGTGAATGGGGTTCATGCCCTTATAAAAGAAGCTGCAGGGATTTTGTTTGCTCCTTCTGCCATTTGAGTACACAGCTAGAAATGGCATCTATGAAGCAGACAGTAGGCCCTTACCAGATGCCAAATTTGTTGGCGCCTTGATCTTGGATGTTCCAGCCTCCAGAGCTATGAGCAGTAAATTTCTGTTGTTCACAAATTGCGCAGTCTAAAGTGTTTCGTTTTACTAGGCTGAACAGACTGAGGCACTGGCCCAGGGTTTAGCATTCAGAAGTGTTGCCCCAGGCATCAGCCTCTGGCTGCCAGCCTCTACAGCCCAGCTCACTTTGTGGGGATGGGTGGGGTAGGAATGTCCTTAGGGACTTGTGAGATAAGCAGTGTCTTCAGAGCATGTTTTAGCCAGGATCTTTTTAAAGACATTCTTTAATCCTATACGGCCAATTGTCTCCTTTTAACCACTATTTTCTAATGCTATCTTTACCGTGCAGAATGCAAGTCACAGATAATGTAACCCAACAACAAACACAATTCTCCCCCAAAAAATCAATGCAATTTCCTAACTGTAATGTAAAAGGAAAAAAAAAGGAAAGTCATGCGGAGTCAAACAGGCATTTCATCATGTAAATGCGTGGGCCCACCTGTCCTAAGACAAAATGAAATAGCCAGATCTTTGTACCTGTTGGCAAAATCACCTATAAATGCAACATCTCCAAATACAGGATTTATTTGGTGACTCATATTACAGGAGTGGCTCTATCATCAATAATATAACTTTTTTTATGGTTAATAACTTGTAAAGTTCAGAACAGAAAGTATGTTCTTAGCTCATTATACATGGTAGTTGTATTCTGGGACAATTTTAAATGTGTTAAAACTATGCAAAAATTAGGTTATCCCCATAGGTTTTCCTGACCAGTGGGGTCTTAGTGTGCACAGAAGGTCAGAAACCCCTGGGTGCTCATTTACAATGCAGATTTTAGTCCCATCCTTGAGATTCAGCAAGTGTGAGGTAGGGCTTTGGAATCTGCATTTTTAATGAGCACCCCAGGTTATCCCAGTGCAGTTAGTGGGTCCAAGGATAAGTGGTTTTTCACTTAAGCTAAGGATCAGTCACAGGATGACTAATCAGATTTTTGGTGAGGCTTGGTAAGGAACATTTCTAGTGCCATTGATTTTTACATTAAATGTTTTTTTTCCCCAAAAGCTCAGGTGATGGGACATTCTGAAATCCTAGCACTCCCTAGGGTTTTCTAGGGCATGAGGGTGTGCGGAGGCTGAATGGAAGAGAGGACGGGGCTGATCGGGTCTCCATACACAACTCCTTGGTGCTTGTGACCTTGAGCAAGTCACTCCACCAGAGCCACGTTGTGACTCTTGGGGGCCCAAGACTGGGTTTAGTAGACCTCTTCCTCCATTTAAAATAAAAAATTATATTTTCATGACTGTGTCCAGGATGAATTGTATTCATTTTTTCCTTCTGACTTTAAAAGAAAGAAAATTCTCATGGGCCCCTAAAAGTTTGGTGGGCCTTTAGGCACTTGTTTAAGTTGGCCTCACACCTCTCTGGACATTCATTTCTTCACCTGAAAAATGTGATGGTAGCTACTTTGCAGGTATGTTGTGGGGATTTGATCTGATGGGAGTAATTCCCTCTGAGTACTTACTACCTGGCACAAGCTAGGAGTTATCATACATGGGCAAAGAGAAAGCATTCCATTTAACAGTGACCCTTTGTACAGGTACTTATAAAAGGATCAGATCTGTCTAATCACTGTGTAATTTTTCTTAATTAACCATGCTGTTTACATGGAGATTCTTTTCCCTCCTAATCTTCATTCTTATTCATGCTAGCGCTCATTTCATGCATCCTGGTGATTCCCACCATCTGTAGGGTTTGACAGCTCTCCCACCCTTTGGGAGGATGGTGCAGTCACGTATTCATCTATTAAAGGAGAATGAATGGAGATGCACTGGGCCTTACTGCTGTTGGATTTCTTAATCTCAGTACGAGAAATTCTAATTTCTGCCTAAGTCCCTGTTCTGTACTGTGCCCCTTTCTTCCTTGGCTAATGAAATTAGCCAAGTCTCTCAAGTTGACTTGAGAGACTCAAAAGAAAACTTGGTAGTTAGCAAGTGGTGTGATGTCCTGGGGTTAAGTGAGGGCGTTGGCTAGCCAGAACTATGATGGAGCAGAAACAAGATGTCATGGAAGGTAAGAGAGCTGGCCAGTTGGTAGAGGGGAGAATTGGGCACATAAAAAGAAAAAACAGATGCTGGGAGAGGGAGTGAGAATGAAGGGCAGTACCCCAGGAAGGAGATTTTGGTCTCTTTCCTGTAGGAACCCAGGAAATCACTATTCCTTAAAACCAAGGAGATTGACTAACACTGTACCTTTTTAAGAGGACTTGATATTGCTCTTCAATTGTAAAACCATTCAGTCAGCTTGTGAACAGGTATCTCTCTGGGGATACTATGGGAAAAGCCCTGCCCTCAGTGAGCATATAGTTTGCTGGAGGGGAGTCACACTCCATCGACAAACAATTAAGACTGCTTCAGGTCTTCCAAAGTGTTCTGAAAAGACAAAGACAGGCAGGAAAAAAGGGTGGTGAGTGGTTGCTTTTGGTAGGCTAGGGTGATAACTGAAAAGTTGCAGGTGAGGCTTCAGGGAAGGAAAGGATGATAATACATAGACCTGCAGGAAGAGTGTTTACAGCAGAAGGAGCAGCAAGTGCAACGGCCATGGGTCAGGAACAAGCTTCGGCATGTTCAGGAGAGGACAGAAGGCCAGAGTTGTGTGCATGGCATGTGAGTAAGAAAGAGAGTAGGAGAGAGGTCAAGGGGTAGGCAGTGGCCAGACCATGTAGGTAATGGTCCAGTTTGGAGTTTGCTTGTAGCCAGAAGCCCCTGATAATTTTATACCTGTGAGTGACATCCTCTGACATTTACACTTCAGAAAGATGGCTTTTAGCCCTGCGGAGGGTGGGGCTAGAGCAGGCAGGAAGACGAGCTAGGAGCCTATTGCTATAATGTGGGTGGGAGGTGAGGGTAGCTTGGAATGAGATTGAAATAGTGGAGATAGTGAAAATAGATTTGGGGTACATTTTGGAGGCAGAGCTGGTAGATACTGATGGATTAAATATGAGGGGTGGGAAGGAGTGAAGAGAACGTACACATGAGGGCTTAAGGGTCTTGCTGGAGCAGCCGGAGTGGGAGATGCTGTTTGCTGAGCTGCTTTGTGCGTCTGTCAGAAAGCAGCGGCTCTCTTTCGGGCCTGCTAAGCTGGGGATACATACTAAACACTGAAGTGGAGCTCATGAGTGGCACATGGATGTTTGGATCTGGACCTTGTTCAGTTGAGGGGTCAAGGATAGATACATGAATTTGAGAGCCTCCACTTACAGTTGGCATTTGCAGTCGTGGGACAGGGTACACTTGCTGAGGGAGAGAATATGGATAGAGAAGAGATTTGAGGACAGAGCCCAGGGGTGTCCCAACAAGGTGAGTTCTGGGAGAGAAGTCAGCTGGGGAATTGCTTCAGTGTCCTGAAGGCAGATCAATGAGAAGGAGCAGTTCTATAAATAGAAATCCCTGCAGAGATGTTAGAAAACCAGCATTACAGCATGCCAAGAGATAGAATAGTGATTAATAACTGCTTAAAAGTGTATGTTCTGCCACTGGAATGCTAGGAAAGCTACCCAAAAAGGCTGTTCCTAATTGAGGAATATGGTTCTTAAATGTTTACATTGCCTTATATTTGTGATAGGGATTATTGGCTTTGTGAGCAAAGCTCTTTGACATTTGTGGATGGAGTGTACTCATTATTGAGAGGAATTTTCTGAAATGAATGTCAGTTCCTTTTTTCCCCTAAGCTTTGCTTTGAATTACTATACAGTTTACTTAAGAAACCTGTGATCAGCGAGAGGAAAGAGAAGTGATTTCTGAAGCTTCTAATGGCCACTTCCTGCTGAGTCTTAGCATTCTATCCTGTCAAGTATGCTAATGGGAGAAGGAGCAACATCTCTGGATACAAAGGATCGCCAGGATGCTGATGTGAATAGTAGGGGTGAGCTAGCTCTGTCCTCATGCCCAGACCTTGTCCTGATCTGTAGCACACATTTGAGAGACAGGAGCTGTATTAATTGCCTATTGCTGCTGTAACAAATTATTACACTTAGTGGCTTAAAAGAACATGTTTATTTTATGGTTCTGGAGGTAAGAAATCTGAAACGGCTCTGTAGTAGGCTAACACCCTCCAGGTGTTAGGCTGTAACTCCTGAAACGTGGATGTAGCCTTATGTGGAATAAGGGTCTTTGCAGATGTGATTAAGCACCTTGAGATAGGGCAATTATCGTGGATTGTCAAGATGGGCCCTAAATGCCACCTCAAATGTTCTCCTCACAGAGATGCAGAGGAGGATTACTCAGAAGAGAAGGCAGTGTGACCACAGAAGTAGGAATTAGCATGCTGTGGCCACAAGCCAAAAAATACATGCAGCCACCAGAAGCTGGAAGAGGCAAGGAACCGACTGTCCCTAGAGCCTCTGGAGGGAGCACGGCCCTGTCCTGCCTACCCCTTCGCTTCTACCCAGTGATACCAATTTCAGACATCTGGAGTCTGGAACTGTGAGAGAAGAGTTTTCTGTTGTTTTAAGCCACTAAGTATAGGTAATTATTAATGACAATTTGTTATAGCAGCAATAGGGAACCAATACAGAGTCTCACTGGGCTAATCCAGTGTCAGCAGGACTGTGTTCCTTTCAGGAGGCTCTTAGAATCTGTTTTCTTGACTCTTCCAGCTTCTAGAGTCTGTCCACATTCCTTCACTCATGGCTTCTTATGTCTTCAAGCCAGTCTTTGACACTTTTTAGATAGTGATTCTTCTGCTTCCCTCTTCCGCATTTAAGGACGCTGTGATTGCATTAGACCCACCTTGATAATTATCTTAAGGTCAGCTGATTAGCTACCTTAACTCCATCTGCATCCTTAATTGCCCTTTGCCATGTAAGGTGTAACATACTCAGATTCTGGGGCTATGACAGAGACATCTTTAGGAGCTGTTATTTTGCCTTAAAAAGGAGGCAATTATTTAAGTATATAAGGTGAATAGTTAGGTCTTTCTCTCCAGGAAACCTAACTTGTCATTCAGCGGTTACCATGCATGGGTATCTTCTTCCAATTGCCTGAGCCAGCCAGACTTTCATGTTTGAGCATTCAGATTGGGCTTTATTTCTCAAGGCATGTGGCAAACCTCACAATGACACTGAAAGGTTAAAAAAAAAAAAAAGAAAAATACAGTTGCTTACCAGAGATACTGATCGTTTACTTCTGCTAGGATCAGAAGAGATTTTAAGAGCTTAGTGGCAAATCCTGACCTTGGAAAGCCCTGCCTTACCAGGGGTCTTGTGCAGAGGTGTTATTGAGATCAGACACCAGGTTGCAGTGATATGTATCATTTGTGCTCTTGCCATCTACCGCCCCCTGCCTGCCACCAAGCCAACCTCAGGAGGTCTTTGCCCAGAGGCTTGGCAAGATGACTTTCCACAACTCAGGGAGGTTTTAAGGAGAGGGATTAGCATTGACTCTGATACCTTGTTGGTTTGTGTGTCATAACTTAAAGGTCCATGCTTCTCAGCTGGCCAGTGGTCACACCTGATTGGAAGGTGAAAAGACTTTGCGTTCTACTTCCAAAAGTTTTCACATTTGTCACACTGTCCTAACCCTATCAGCTTTGTTGCTATCATTGTAGTGAGGCCTGCCTAGGGATGATAAGTGAAGGATCCCCAAGGACACATTAAGACAGCACATAGAATCAGAGTTTTCAGACTCTTGGCCGAACTTTTTTTTTTTTTAAGCAGACCAGTATTTTCCAAACTTTGGACTTAGTTTCCACCATATTCACGTTACCACCTATACTTGTTACTTAACATATTTTCTTCAGTTTATCCTGCATCAACTCATTTATTTTAATTTGGTCTCATTCTAATTGACAGCATATAGCAGCTTATGAATTTGATGTGCGTATGCATGTTGCAACAAATACTTAACTATTAGTATGTATGCTACGGTGTAAATGTACCACACTCAGAAAAAACCTTATTAGACCATCCTGACTGTTTAGGAAGCTTGGTGCCCAAGGGAAATAGTCTTTGACCATCAGCCAGAATTTGGTTAGTTTCAGCAGATAAGAGAGTAGCTGGTAAGCTACTTAGGAACATTTTAAGTAGAATATGTGAGAAATGAGGATAGGATATGCCTTTATTCCCAGCAGGCAAAAACATGCATTTATTTACTATAGTTGTTATAATATAAATAACATAGATGCATATGTATACCAGAAACATGGTCTTTATCCCATTTGTGGATAAAAGCTAAGGAAGAACTTGTATTACTTATGTATGAAATGCCCAAGGGAACAGAGCCTAGACAAGTTCTGAAACTTAATATCTAGGGAATGTAAACATTTAATAAAACATTACCTTACCCACCTATGTGGCCTTTCTTGGCTGGACTTCTAAAAAATTTTGTTTTTATACCATATTCTTTGTTTTAGGAAAGCATTATCTTACTCCCAGCCTCTGGGGAAAATAAATAACCGAGAGAATCAATAAGGAGATGCCCCAGTGTTGTGGTCAGTGTCTGTTTTTCCCCAGTGTTCTGGGAGCAGGGTTTCCTGGTGTTCTGTTACATCAGCATGAAGGAGGCCTTGTGCATGGGAAGACCCAGACCTCACTTCCCCTGTGTCACTTGCAGTCACTTGTCTTCCTCTTTTGTTTTTGTGTATTTACCGGGGATGAGGAGGTGGATGGGCAGAGGGATTGTATATAGAACTGGCTTATTTTTTTTTTATTTTTTTTTTTTTTTTTATTTTTTTTTTTATTTTTTAATTATTATTATTATTATACTCTAAGTTTTAGGGTACATGTGCACATTGTGCAGGTTAGTTACATATGTATACATGTGCCATGCTGGTGCGCTGCACCCACTAACGTGTCATCTAGCATTAGGTATATCTCCCAATGCTATCCCTCCCCACTCCCCCGACCCCACCACAGTCCCCAGAGTGTGATATTCCCCTTCCTGTGTCCATGTGATCTCATTGTTCAATTCCCACCTATGAGTGAGAATATGTGGTGTTTGGTTTTTTGTTCTTGCGATAGTTTACTGAGAATGATGGTTTCCAATTTCATCCATGTCCCTACAAAGGACATGAACTCATCATTTTTTATGGCTGCATAGTATTCCATGGTGTATATGTGCCACATTTTCTTAATCCAGTCTATCATTGTTGGACATTTGGGTTGGTTCCAAGTCTTTGCTATTGTGAATAATGCCGCAATAAACATACGTGTGCATGTGTCTTTATAGCAGCATGATTTATAGTCATTTGGGTATATACCCAGTAATGGGATGGCTGGGTCAAATGGTATTTCTAGTTCTAGATCCCTGAGGAATCGCCACACTGACTTCCACAATGGTTGAACTAGTTTACAGTCCCACCAACAGTGTAAAAGTGTTCCTATTTCTCCACATCCTCTCCAGCACCTGTTGTTTCCTGACTTTTTAATGATTGCCATTCTAACTGGTGTGAGATGATATCTCATAGTGGTTTTGATTTGCATTTCTCTGATGGCCAGTGATGATGAGCATTTTTTCATGTGTTTTTTGGCTGCATAAATGTCTTCTTTTGAGAAGTGTCTGTTCATGTCCTTCGCCCACTTTTTGATGGGGTTGTTTGTTTTTTTCTTGTAAATTTGTTTGAGTTCATTGTAGATTCTGGATATTAGCCCTTTGTCAGATGAGTAGGTTGCGAAAATTTTCTCCCATGTTGTAGGTTGCCTGTTCACTCTGATGGTAGTTTCTTTTGCGGTGCAGAAGCTCTTTAGTTTAATTAGATCCCATTTGTCAATTTTGGCTTTTGTTGCCATTGCTTTTGGTGTTTTGGACATGAAGTCCTTGCCCACGCCTATGTCCTGAATGGTAATGCCTAGGTTTTCTTCTAGGGTTTTTATGGTTTTAGGTCTAACGTTTAAATCTTTAATCCATCTTGAATTGATTTTTGTATAAGGTGTAAGGAAGGGATCCAGTTTCAGCTTTCTACATATGGCTAGCCAGTTTTCCCAGCACCATTTATTAAATAGGGAATCCTTTCCCCATTGCTTGTTTTTCTCAGGTTTGTCAAAGATCAGATAGTTGTGGATATGCGGCATTATTTCTGAGGGCTCTGTTCTGTTCCATTGATCTATATCTCTGTTTTGGTACCAGTACCATGCTGTTTTGGTTACTGTAGCCTTGTAGTATAGTTTGAAGTCAGGTAGTGTGATGCCTCCAGCTTTGTTCTTTTGGCTTAGGATTGACTTGGCGATGCGGGCTCTTTTTTGGTTCCATATGAACTTTAAAGTAGTTTTTTCCAATTCTGTGAAGAAAGTCATTGGTAGCTTGATGGGGATGGCATTGAATCTGTAAATTACCTTGGGCAGTATGGCCATTTTCACGATATTGATTCTTCCTACCCATGAGCATGGAATGTTCTTCCATTTGTTTGTGTCCTCTTTTATTTCCTTGAGCAGTGGTTTGTAGTTCTCCTTGAAGAGGTCCTTCACATCCCTTGTAAGTTGGATTCCTAGGTATTTTATTCTCTTTGAAGCAATTGTGAATGGGAGTTCACTCATGATTTGGCTCTCTGTTTGTCTGTTGTTGGTGTATAAGAATGCTTGTGATTTTTGTACATTGATTTTGTATCCTGAGACTTTGCTGAAGTTGCTTATCAGCTTAAGGAGATTTTGGGCTGAGACGATGGGGTTTTCTAGATAAACAATCATGTCGTCTGCAAACAGGGACAATTTGACTTCCTCTTTTCCTAATTGAATACCCTTTATTTCCTTCTCCTGCCTGATTGCCCTGGCCAGAACTTCCAACACTATGTTGAATAGGAGCGGTGAGAGAGGGCATCCCTGTCTTGTACCAGTTTTCAAAGGGAATGCTTCCAGTTTTTGCCCATTCAGTATGATATTGGCTGTGGGTTTGTCATAGATAGCTCTTATTATTTTGAAATACGTCCCATCAATACCTAATTTAATGAGAGTTTTTAGCATGAAGGGTTGTTGAATTTTGTCAAAGGCTTTTTCTGCATCTATTGAGATAATCATGTGGTTTTTGTCTTTGGCTCTGTTTATATGCTGGATTACATTTATTGATTTGCGTATATTGAACCAGCCTTGCATCCCAGGGATGAAGCCCACTTGATCATGGTGGATAAGCTTTTTGATGTGCTGCTGGATTCGGTTTGCCAGTATTTTATTGAGGATTTTTGCATCAATGTTCATCAAGGATATTGGTCTAAAATTCTCTTTTTTGGTTGTGTCTCTGCCCGGCTTTGGTATCAGAATGATGCTGGCCTCATAAAATGAGTTAGGGAGGATTCCCTCTTTTTCTATTGATTGGAATAGTTTCAGAAGGAATGGTACCAGTTCCTCCTTGTACCTCTGGTAGAATTCGGCTGTGAATCCATCTGGTCCTGGACTCTTTTTGGTTGGTAAACTATTGATTATTGCCACAATTTCAGAGCCTGTTATTGGTCTATTCAGAGATTCAACTTCTTCCTGGTTTAGTCTTGGGAGAGTGTATGTGTCGAGGAATGTATCCATTTCTTCTAGATTTTCTAGTTTATTTGCGTAGAGGTGTTTGTAGTATTCTCTGATGGTAGTTTGTATTTCTGTGGGATCGGTGGTGATATCCCCTTTATCATTTTTTATTGTGTCTATTTGATTCTTCTCTCTTTTTTTCTTTATTAGTCTTGCTAGCGGTCTATCAATTTTGTTGATCCTTTCAAAAAACCAGCTCCTGGATTCATTGATTTTTTGAAGGGTTTTTTGTGTCTCTATTTCCTTCAGTTCTGCTCTGATTTTAGTTATTTCTTGCCTTCTGCTAGCTTTTGAATGTGTTTGCTCTTGCTTTTCTAGTTCTTTTAATTGTGATGTTAGGGTGTCAATTTTGGATCTTTCCTGCTTTCTCTTGTAGGCATTTAGTGCTATAAATTTCCCTCTACACACTGCTTTGAATGCGTCCCAGAGATTCTGGTATGTGGTGTCTTTGTTCTCGTTGGTTTCAAAGAACATCTTTATTTCTGCCTTCATTTCGTTATGTACCCAGTAGTCATTCAGGAGCAGGTTGTTCAGTTTCCATGTAGTTGAGCGGCTTTGAGTGAGATTCTTAATCCTGAGTTCTAGTTTGATTGCACTGTGGTCTGAGAGATAAGAACTGGCTTATTTTTAACATAACAACATAAAACCCCGTAAAATGATCAACTTGATCTTTGGGTTGCCTCTTGCCCAGCCTTGGGAAAATGTTAAATCAGAGCTCTCTGGAAATTTGGGACAGCTCCAACTTCCTGAAAAATCAAGAATCGAGTTTTCCATGGAAAATGGTGGGAAGAGGTTGGATTTCCCCATACTTTCAGTCTGTTTCCCTCTTCTTCATTGTATTCTTGCACTTCTCCAGAGATAATCCTCTATTATTCAGTTCCAGTGTATCCAACTATTATCTTCCAGAGAGAGGGAAGATATCAGTAAGACCTTGAGACTTGCTTGTCTCCTGAGTGATGGCGTAAGTGAGCCAGCTTGAATGCCGAGCTTCACTGGGCATAGAATGCTGATTTGCTGAAGTTGATGCGTGTGGGAAAATGTTTGTCTCATCTTCTCCTTGACATTGAAATACTGTTTTGCTGTTTGGAAGAGTCAGGTCTGCATAGGCCTTTTGGATATTTGCATTTTATTTTCAGGAAGTCTTTGCTGCTGACTTGGGTAAAAGCATCACTTTGCATGCCCCTCACTTCATTTTCTTAGAGGAAAGAAAGGCAGCCAGATGACAGGCTGGTAACAAATTGGACTATTGGGCTGAATTTGCAGGTTGATAAATAGGTGGCCCAGGTGGTGAAATGAAGTGAAGTTGTGTTCAATCAGATACTGGACTGGCTTTGCAAACGTATTAAACACAGCCAGGTGAGGGAGACTTGGGAGCCCCCCCGCCCCCCACTGCTGCCTTTTAAATCTCATGTTCTAAAATGAAGAGGGTCAGTGTCAAAAATTCTGTTTCTCAAAATACTTGTGACACCAAATGTGGGTGTTTTTTTCCCCTCACACCAATGAATTATCCAACTCTCCAGGTAATAACTGGATGTCCTACAATTCAATTCTGACACTACCGGGAGTTATTGCATACCCTACAAGTTTAGGGCTCAGTCCCACAAAACTGCCCCCACTTCAGACACCAGTCACAAGTCCCATGTTGTTACCTGTACTTCTGACCAATTGGCTGTATATTGAGGGGTTCCTACAACCCCCTCTTCAATTTGATAATTTTCTACAATGGCTCACAAAACTCAGAAACATTTACTTATATTTGCTGGTTTGTTGGAAAGGATATTACCAAGGATACAAATGTTCAGGTGAAGAAGTACATTTGATGAGGTCCAGAAGGGTCCTAAACACAGGAGCCTCTGTCCTTGTGGAGTTGGGGTATGCCACCTTCTTGGCGCATGGTTGTGTTCAGCAACCTGGAAGTTCCCTGAACCCTGTCATGTGGGACTTCATGGAGGCCTCATTATGTAGGGACGATCGATTAAATCAATGTCCACCCTTTCTTCCCTCCCCAGAGATTTTAGGGGTGGGACTGAAAGTTCCAATCCTCTAGTCATACAGTGGTCTTTGTGGTAGCCAGTCCCATCCCGAAGCTATTTAGGGACCTCAGCCACCAGTCAATAGCATACAAAAAGACATTTCTCCCCACCCCACCCTATATTCCTAATACAAAGCTCCCTAAGGCCTTCATAATTTCCCAAGTGATAGGATGAGAAGAGTGTCTTTTGTTATAATATTTGGTCTTACTCCCTAGTTCCCTTCCAAAGAGCTTCCAAGACCCTTGAAAGCTCTATAGCTAGCTTGTCCAACCCATGGCCCAAGGGCTGGCTGCCTTTCTTTCCTCTAAGAAAATGAAGTGAGGGGCATGCAAAGTGATGCTTTTACCCAAGTCAGCAGCAAAGACTTCCTGAAAATAAAATGCAGGAGTGTTCAATCTTTTGGCTTCCCTCGACCACATTGGAAGAAGAATTGTCTTGGGCCACACATAAAATACACTAACGATAGTTGATGAGCTACAAAAATTGCAAAACCAATCTATGTTTTAAGAAAGTTTATCAGTTTGTTTTGGGCCGCATTCAAAGCTGTCCTTGGCTGCATTTAGCCCTTGGGCCATGGGTTGGACAAGCTAGCTATAGAGCTTTCAAGGGTCTTGGAAGCTCTTTGGAAGGGAACTAGGGAGTAAGACCAAATATTATAACAAAAGATACTCTTCTCATCCTATCACTTGGGAAATTATGAAGGCCTTAGGGAGCTTTGTATTAGGAATATAGGGTGGGGTGGGGAGGAACAAATATTTATGTCGCAACCTAACAGCCAACGAACATTTTAAGTCATTGAGGTAACTTAGTAAGCAAACCAGTACCCTTGATTTTAGTTTTAACTTTCTGATATGTATTATATCAGAAAAATACACATCCCACATGTAGAGCTTGATGAGTTTCAAATGGACACCCACCTAACCACCAGATACACAGAGCATTCTCAGCCTTCAGAAGCCCCCTCATGTCCTCTCTTCCAGCTTCTACCTCTACAATCCCCACGCCTCAATCCTGACTGTTTTAGCACTCTGTATAAACTCATAAAATGGAAACTATTTTATGTTTGCTTTCTTTTGCTCAGTATTATGTTTGTGAAATTCATGTATATTGTTGCATGTAATCATTCTCATTGCTGTATAGTATTCCATTGTGTGCATATACCAAAATTTATTGATCCACCCATTCTACCGTAGATGGGCATTTAGATAATTTCCAGTTTTCAGCTACTAGGATTAGTGCTTCTGGAAACATTCTAGTATATGATATACACATTGCCATTGAATGGTGAACATAGGTACACATTACAGTTGACTCTTGTCTTAGGCTGTTAGGTGTTGCTATAATACAACACCTGGGACTGGATAGCTTATAAAGAAAAGAGGTTTGTTTGTTTTTTTAGCTCACAGTTCTGGAGGCTGGGAAGTTCAAGACTGGGTGGCTACATCTGCTCAGCTTTTGGCGAGGGCCTCATGCTGCATCAAGACGTGGTGGAAAAATGGAAGAGGAACAGGCATGTGTGGAGAGGGACCAAACATGAGAAGGGATTTGGCTTTATTAACAACCTGCTCTCAAGGAAGCTTATCCATTCTCAAGAGATTGAGAACTCAGTCACTCTCTTGATACTGCATTAATCCTATTCATGAGGGATCCGGCTCCATGACCCAAACACATTGCAACTGAAGTCAGCTAAACTTCCTTGTAAGTTTCAGCCAGTAAATCCATATCCAAACCATAGCAAGTATATACTTAGAAGTGGGATTTTGGGATCATGGGGGTACACATGTTTAGCAATATGAGATACTGCCAGTTTTCCTAAGCAGTTGTATCAATATATAATTGTACCAGCAGTGCATGAGAGCTTCCTTCACTCACATCCTCTCCATGGTTGGTATTTGTCTTTTTCACCTTAGCCATTCTGGTGAGTATGTAGTGGAATTAGTCTGTGGTTTTAATCCCATCCTTTATTTTTGATTCTGAAGGACTTGGTTATCTGCTTGGTGCTTTTAATGGACTCTAATCTCCACTGTCTTTAGACGGTGACCTTAGAAAGGCATTATTATTAACTTTTCAGAAAGGCTGATGTGTTCCATTAGATTCCATCATCTCTCAGTGGTTCTGTAAGAAGCTGGTAAAGTCGGTGTCTTGTACTGAATTATATTCTGCTCTCACCATATGTTTGGTTTGTTGCAGTG
Source organism: Homo sapiens (assembly GCF_000001405.40). Lineage (NCBI taxonomy): Eukaryota > Metazoa > Chordata > Mammalia > Primates > Hominidae > Homo > Homo sapiens. The sequence continues at coordinate 134,216,173 of NC_000002.12, forward strand.
AGATCAGCAGAAATAAGGAACCAAGTCCAAATGAGGCGAGCTTAATTTGAGCTAGCAGAATTTATTAGTATTAAACCGGGACACTTATAGTTCTATACAGGGCCAGTCAGTGGGTGAAAGATGGCTAAGTCTGAAGCTTGTTCATGTTGTCGTCCTATGAGACCGAACTTGATTTTCAGGTTTTGAGTGGGAAATTCCCATGTTGTGATCCGATATACTTCCAGGGTAGAGAATGAAGAAGAATGAAGGTGAAGTAGTTTAAAACCACTTGACAACTGAAAGCACAGCCATTGTGTTTCTTCCTTACCATGGAGTCCAGGTTTTTCTGTTTGTTGAGGCAATTTCAGGATCTACAGAATTTACTGTGAAAATCTTGAAGGAAAATGAAAGCTTGACTAGGAAATAGGGCTGGCACAGGAAGCATACTAAAGAAACCCAGGTTGCCCTGTGTGATGGCGAAATGTGATTCATCCTCGAGCTGTGTTCCTGAGACAGTTCACACCTGACATAGGAAGGTGATTAATGAAGATGAATTTGGTATCAATTTTTATGCTGCTACTTTTGCCATTTCTGCTCTACCTCTAGGGGTGATTATTGTGGTTTCTCAGGTGCCCAGTGAATGAAGCAGGTGAGAGTGGGATCCTGAGCGGGCTGGGGAGATGTGACTATTGCTGTGCTTGAGAGTTAAGAGCCATAGGAATAGATTGGCGCTCTAGTCTGCACATGACAGGAATCTGGCTTAGCATAGGGACCCTTTTGTCAGAAAATAAAGCCATGATGGGCTTGGCAGAAGACTATCTTTAGTAAGATAACGGAATGCTGTTTCCTAGGGCTGTGGTGGCCAGTTTCTCATAAACTATCTCTGTGGATTGTAGATGGAGGTTGTTCCAGGAGGCTGGCAGGATCCTTAGGGGCCCCATGTTGACCATACCTAGCATGGTGTTGGGTAAAAATTTGTTAAATGAAATGTGGTTTTTGGGTATGATTTTCATAACTTACGCTATTGCTGGTATTGCAAATGTGACTTGAGCAGAAGGGATGAGTGGGGTCTGAGGGAGAGAGAGTGGTGTGTGTGTGTGTGTGTGTGTGTGTGTGTGTAAAATATACCAAATGTGTTTTTGTAGCTGAAAGGAAGGAAATACATCTTTTTTGAGCACTTACAAGGGTCTGGGCTGTGCCAAACCTTTGGACTTTCATGTTAAATTAACTCATTCAATCTTATTTGAGTTTTCATTGTATGTATGTGAAACTGAGGCTCACGGGGCTTAATCTGCTAGACCAGAGTTACCTGAGAAAGCAGGTGTGGGTAGCTGAGAACTGAACTTGAAAGCCACCGTCAAGAGGAAATACATCATGGAAAGACACTGCATTGGCTGCCAGTGCAGCAATTAACCTCAGTAGGAACATTCATTAAAGTCCTTCATTTAAGAAGTATGATTGACTTTGGGTGATTTCCCAAATAGATGGCTGTAAATAAGGTTGGTTTTGTTACCTGGGCTTTTTCATTTTAGAAGACAAGCCCTGGGGCTCACCTCCTGCTGTGGATTTCTGACTTACAGTTAGAAAAAATAAGACTGGGCTCTTATTTGGTCCTCTTCTGAGAGAAAAGGACTGTTTAGTTCCACCAGATGAGTCCCTGAGGGCAGAAGACCATGTCTTTTGTATGCTAGATGTGAGTACAGTACTAGATGTTTAAAGATGTTCTTATGCCTTGCCCTTTCCTTAAAGGATTTGACATCTTCACCAAAAATTGAGATTCTTTGAGAGCTGGTTCATGTGACAGATGATGTACATAGGGGGAGAATAAGACAGGTGATTAATAAACACTGCTGTTACTATTACTGGCTGGCAGAAGGTGTCAGTGGAAATGAGAAGCAGGTTCTTGGTCCTACTCTTCCACTTTCCTTTTCAAGAAAGCTTAAGTGAGTCACAGTGGTATAGATGAGGGTGATGATGAATCTACACTAACTTAATCACTTGCAAAATTCAGAAATACTTTGTGCAAATGCCCCCACAGCAGATCTTGATGTATCTCGACTTGTTGCAACACCATGTTTAAGAACTGTGGTTCTCAGTCTGACACAGAACAAAGACTCATAACCCCAGCCTCCTAGGAACTTCACTATCATAAATTAGGCTGTTCATTAATTCAACGTATCAGTTAACTGTTACCACATGACACCCTGTCCCAAAACTTAATGGCTTAAAACAGTAAGCCTTCATTGGTGTTCACTAGTCTGTGGGTGAGTTGGGTCGTTCTTTTAGTCTTAGCTGGGTTCACTACTGATGCAGGGGGCAGGGTGAGGGGTCAGGCTGCTGGTCTCAGCTGGGCTTTCTTATGTATTTGAGGGGTAGGCTGGCTGGATCTGGTCTAGGATGGGTTCCACGGGGCTCCCTTCCACATGGTCTGCCGTCCTGTGGCAGGCTAGCCCAGGCCATCTGCTTGGTTCTAAGAAGGAAGTAGAAGCATGCAGTACCTTTGGAGGCCCAGGTTGGGACCTGGTGTACTGTGACTTCTGCATTTTATCAGCCAAAGCAAGGTGCAAGACTAGCCCAGATTCAAAGGGTAAGGATATAGACTTGTTGATGGGAGTTGCTGTTGAGTCTTATTGCAAGGGGAATGGGATACAGGGAGACTCTTAATTGGGACTATTCATTCGATTAGCCTGCCACATCCTTTCTTTTATTCATTGATTCTGTTATACTTCACGTGGTTCCTTAAGCAATGCTTCATTCTGTTGTTCCATTCTTTACTAATTAAAACTTCTTAAAGGCTGTGTATCATTTACTGTCCATAGTCTCTGGGAAAGCCACAGAGATGAGTAAGATCCCAGTCCTACTTTGCAGAAGTTGATAAGCAAAGGGCCAGGGGAGATGGACATGTCAGTGGCCAGTAATTAGAGAATTTGAGGAAGCCCAGGGAGGTGTGAGTGCGGTGGAGTGGGCTGGGAACCCAGAGGAAGTAGCAGCGAGCCACCTGTCGGGGTGCAGCGGCTTCATCAAGGAGGAGCTCAGTCACCCAGGAGCAGGAAATGGCTGAGCGAGAAAGCAAGAAGAGAGCACATGTGGCAGGTGCAGAGGGGCCCAAGGTGGGCAACAAGGCTTGTGTAGCTGCTTCTGCAGTGCACAGTTTACTGTAGGGGTGGGAGTGGCAGGAGACAAGGCTGGAAAAGCCCACCTGGGCCAGGTGGGAAAACCTGCTGTGAGAGCTAAGGGGCTCAGATGTTTTTGATGGCTAAGAAGGAAGTTAACAGGATTCTTCTCTCTCCCATGCCGGTGACTCATCTACTTTAACGAACAGACAGTTCAATTATTGCACCCTAATGCTTTTTCCTCACCAGAATGAGGAAGCCGGGATAGTATAGTTGTGTGAATTCCAAACTGTCCTGAGGTGCCCCGGAGTGCCACAGCAAAGTCACAAGGCTGGCATGGGATATTTTAAAACTTTGAGGAAACACAGAGAGACATCTGTCAGGCACCACTTAACCATCACTACTAAGTTGTTGGGACCTAACTACTCAGTAAATGGAGCTTTTATGAGTTCTTTTAGGAGATCCTGAAAAAATTACGGAATCACAAAAACACAGTAAAGTGGGAGTGTTTGAATTTGGGAACTTCTGGTGAAGTTGTTAGGAGTATTGGTTTCAAATCTTGTTCCTGCCTCCTGTCCCTTGAGCGAGAGAGTTACTTTCTTGAACTTTCTTGACCTGTTTCCTCTGTGAAGTGGAGATGGCACTACTCCCTTACTTGGTTGAGTTATTGAGAGGAACAACTGAATTCATAGGAGTAAAGGAATTTAAATGGAGCTTGGCACAGCATAAATACTAATATTAGCATTATTAAGTAATGCCACAGTACCTGGGCTGTTGCAAGTTCATTATCTTGTGAAGGCAGCAAATGCATGACATACGTACCCCTGTTCTTGGAAGGAGGACCAGCAGAGTAGTTGAGGAGGCTCAGAATGGTAAGTAGGACTTTATATTCTGCATGAAATTACAGTGTAATAGTGTTGCATAGCTGTATGCTCTTCGATGGAAAACTAGTTCTTCGCCAGCCTCTCATTTCAGGAGACTGCATTTCCAAATGCAGCTCTAGTTTCAGAGTAGTGTCCTTGGGCACATTCACTCCGTTTTTCTTTCCCATGTATCCCCCACCCCGACCAAATGAAATGACCTGTCTCTGCCATAAATGGCTCAGATAAAAGGCACACAAGATGGTGTCTCTGCCTTGTTTCCTGCACTAATGGAAAGGAGCAGGATGGCCCAATAATAGTTGTTGGGGTTGGTGGGGGGATGTCTCCCGCCAGTGCCAGGAAATCTGCTCCACACACCAGGAAGGCTTCAGTCTGTAATTAAGAGCTGATTTGTGATGGCTTAGCCAGCCCATTGTGCCCCATCTACATTTGGTCTCCTCTCTGTTTTCCTTAAGAGGGCCTCAGATTACACTGGGTTAGATTTTCTGTCCTTAGTGCGTATGTGTATGTGTATGCACGCTGCTGCTGTTTTTTGCTTTCTGTAGCAGGGATCAGCCTTCTCCCCTCCTCACCCTCCTCTTTCCTTTGCTCTAGTCTGTGTGCTCGCTCTTGTCCAGGGAACTTCCTTTTTTATCTTCACGTATGTTACTGACTCCTCACTCTGACTTATAGCAGGCAGTTAGCTGTGGCCTCATTGCTCATTCTGATGGTGTTCTTTTTGGATTCTGCCAAATCTCTTTCGCATTTGTTTTTCACCTCAGTACTCCACGCTGTCAGCAGTTCAGCAAGCCCTTTCCAAGCTAATTTTCCCCCATTTACTTTTTAATTAGTTTTCTTCTCCTGCTTCTCCACCCCCTTGTCCTGCAGTTTTTTGTGGATAACAGTTGAGAGCCCCACTCTTTCTTATGTGATTTTTAAGAAAATGTGGGTGTTGACAAAAAGAGTCAAACTCTGTAAAATATTTGAAGAGATTTATTCCGAGCCAAGTATGAGTGACCATGGCCCGTGACACAGCCCTCGGGAGGTCCTGAGAACATGTGCCGAAGGTGGTTGGGGTACAGCTTGGTTTTATGTATTTTAGGAAGGCAGGAGACATCAATCAAATACATTTAAGGAATGCATTGGTTTGGTTTAGAAAGGCAGGACAACTCAGAGTGGGGACTTCCAGGCTATAGGTAAATTTAAACATTTTCTGGTTGACAATTGGTTGAGTTTATCTAAAGACCTGGGATTAATGGAAAGAAATATTCAGGTTAAGGTAAAGGATTGTGGAGACCAAGTTTTCTTGTGCCGAAGAATCTTTCAGCAGACTTCAGAGAGAGAGAGAGAAAGAGAGAGCAGGTTGTAAAATGTTGCTTATCTGACCTAAAAGGATGCCTGGCTCTTAGTTGATTATCTCCTGGGAAAGAAGGAAGGAAGGAAAACAAAGCGGAAAGGGGATTCTCTATAGAATGTGGATTTTTCCCACAAGAGACTTTGCAGGACGATTTCAAGGTATGGCAAGGAAATATATTTTGGGGTAAAACTTTTTTATTTTCTTGCTTGTTATGCCAGAGTCAGAGTGGAAAGTTAAGTCACTATATACAGCATCAAATAAAACCCATCTGGTGAGAATCTAGGCCCAGGGACAAACGCAGAAAAGGTGGGCACGTAAGATTGTAAGGTCCGGTTTGAGGAATAAAATTAGGACCTTTCAGACAGGAATTTGGGCAAGATAAAAAATCAGAGCTTAGTCCTCAGTCCCCCACTCTTAGCCAAAAATCATTCCACAGAAGGCCAACAGCAGCAGGTCCCATGGCTCTAGGAACGCTCATTCCTGGAGTTGTCTGATCTGGTCATTTGTCCAGGTCCCACGGTGCTAGAAAGGCTTGTTCCTCTGATTTGATGGTAATAGTTTTAAATATTAGCGATTTGGATAATGGGGAGAGGACATGCTCTGACCTGAGGTAGTAGCCAATTCTTTAAGAGGTGAGATGGAGTCAGGCCTAGGGTTTAGTCTAAAACAATCCTGGATCAGATCTATTTTCTGAGCTATCATGATCTGGGTCTTTAATTGTGCCTTTCCTTCTGCTGTATCTGGCATAACATTTACAAGGAATGTCTAATGTTAATATAGTAACAAATATCATAAAGATAGTGAAGATGTGGGCGTCCAGGGCTATAGGTAGAATCTGAGGGCAGTAAACAACCCAATCAGCCAGAAAAAAAAACCCCTGCGTGCATCATTATATTCTTTGATTAGACTTACAATGTGTTTACCCTCCTTATTAAGGGTTATTTGAATTCTATGATATATCTTACTTGAAAATTGTGGGACCAACATTTAATTAGAATTTAATAAATTTAATTTCTTTTCCAGCCAATTTATCTCCATAGGTATAGTATCCTGAGGAGGGTATAAATTAAATGCAAAAAGTGCCTGGTCCTTGGTGTTTAAATTGTTATAGACTTGTTAACAGTAGACAAATCTATTTTTCCCATCACTTTTGTATTGCACCATATACTAGTATTTGGGAGAGAAAAGCTTTTGTCACAGGAGAAGTCATATAATTCTGCAGTGTTATTTTTTCCTCCGCAGGACTCCCTATGGCTGAGGGCTTTAAGAGTCAAAAGACTTAGAGCCAATTAATTGTTCTAGGCCATATAGGAATGGATGTGGACAGGCATGCATTACTTCTTAAAATTATTAAGTAAAAACTGACAATAAAACCAAAAGGCAAAGTTAAAAGACTGACTTATTTTTAACTTTTTTGTGTTAAGCTACTGTAAGCTTGGTTTCTGTTAGACTTACAGCAATTAGCTATACAAAACATAAGCATTGTTCTGAAAAATAATTAAAAATATGTATATTATATATCTATATCTATATTTATCTTCACAACTTATAATTGGGAGTATTATAACCAAGAGGCTTTGTTACAAAGTATTTTATCCTGTTAGTAAATATTTTCCCTTAATTTTATAGTAAGCAGAAAATTTTTATGGCTGGGGTGGATGCAAAAGTGACACATCATAGTTTAGAAGGCAACTGAACTTGTTTTACCAGCTGTTTAGGCATTTTTTGTACCCCCTTCTTGATTTGGAGGGTTTGATCTTGTCCTAATTTTATTCCTCAAACCGGACCTTACAATCTTACGTACCCACCTTTTCTGCATTTGTCCCTGGGCGTAGAGCAGGGTAGCTCCTATAGTTTTAGCAACAGAGCATTAGCAGTGAAACAGATCCGGGGCCAGTGGGATGCCAAATGAGGGAGATCCTTATCTCTAGTCTTCAGAATACCATGATTTTTGTTTTCTTGGAAGTAAAACATTTATATTTTGACAGTTATAAGAGTAATTTGTATGTTAGAACCGAAAAAGGAACCTCTTCCATTAGGGCACCAACTAAAAATGTGAAGAAAAATTATAATCTGCTACTTTCTAGAGGATTATTGTAGCCAAGAAATAATGCTTTAATCTGCACTCAAAAAATTAGGGCTGAAATCTAGTATTAAGTGTTACGTTTTACCCTCGAAACAGTTTTTAAGCTACCTTTTTTTATTAAAGAGAATATTATAGCAAGGCCAATTTATGTGCAAGGTTAGTTTTAGCCTTATTATGCTTGCCTGATGAATACTTATATAAAATGCAGCAAGAAATTTTTTGACTGGCCATATAGACTCCTTTTAAAGTTGGTTTTGCTGAAGCTTTACCTAAAAATAGGCTATTTTAGTTTCAGTCTTGGTAAAATAACCAGTGTCTCCAATTGTTTAAAAAACTGTTATTGAACTTATACAGACAACTATATTGTCATAAAATTACAATCTGAATTTTGGAGAACTCAGGTAAATTTGCTTACAAAAACATACTTTACCCAAATAACTTAAAAGAAAAAGATTTTCTTGACTCTTCTTTAACCAGAGCAGCAGCTTTTAAAACAAGATGTTTGTTTAACTTGGAAATGCCATTTACAAACTGAACATGGGTTTGAGCAATGCTCGTCATGGCATTTATTTATTGTTCCCAAGGTTGTGGGTTTGTCTTGACATTTGGGGTTTTATTCATCTGTCATCTTGCTTAGTGATAGATACAATATGGGTCCTATTAGCAGGCGTTTCATGATCTGTGGGAAGTTTCCAGAGCGGTACTTGGTATCTTCCATAAGTATTAGTCAGAAAGGATTTGTGTAAAGTGCTATGAATGAGTGATAACCTGTGTCTTTAAAGTATGTCTTCTGGAAGACAGGGAGGGAGCTTCCTTTTATAAATGAGATTGGGATATAGTCAATGAAACACCTAAAATGTTAAACCTTTAGTATCCGTGAATTTTGAGGGAGAAGAGTGTTTATAGCTTTTACTTAAACACTGTGGCCCCCAAATATTAGGATCTCCGGCCTGGGTTATTTAGAAAGCCCTTGAGAGATTTGAAATGATAATGAGTGATCTGAAAGAAAAGGATAGGAACACACACCTGTTTCTTTTAAGAATAAAGCCTAGGCACTTGGAGTTACACCAGTCTAGGTCTCCAAAACTATGACATCCAAAAAAAGCTATGGTAGAGAGTTTTCTGCCTGTACCAATTCTTACCTCTTAGGGTTGATTGCTAATAGACCGTTAGACGCTTAATGGAATAAAAGACAAAGATCACTGGGTGCCTTAGGAATTTCCAATCTAGGCCAGGCATGGAGGCTCATACCTGTTATCCCAGCACTTTGGGAGGCCAAGGTGGGAGGATCACTTAAGCCCAGGAGTTCAAGACCAGCCAGGGAAACATGGGGAAACCCCATCTCTACAAAAAATACAAAAAATTAGCCAGGTGTGGTGTTGTGCACCTGTAGTCCCAGCTACTTGGGAGGCTGAGGTGGAGGATTGCTTGAGCCTGGGAGGCGGAGGCTTCAGTGAGCTATGATCTTACTGCAAGCCAGCCTGGGTGACAGAGTGAGACCCTGTCTCACAAAAAAAAAAAAAAAAAAAAAAAAATGCGGTGGAAATCGGGGGGGAATTTCCAATCTCAAGGCACCGCATCAGGCTCTGTCCTCTGTGACAAGAGCTCTGCTAACTCAAGGAATGTGGTGTCCACTGCAAGGAACAAAGGTGGTTATGGGTTCCCACTGGTGCTCCTAGATCCTTTGTTCTCAAGGGTGGGCCAAAAACTGGCAGTTTCAGCAACACCTGGGAGCTTGTTAGAAATGCAGTCTCCTTAGGCCTGCTGATTCAGAATCTGGATGACCAGATCCTCACACGAGTCACACAAGAGTGATGTTCAAGGAGCAGTTATAGGCTCAGCCTGTTTCATGGGCAGCAGTGGTGGCCACATCTTAGAGGGATTGTGTTGTGGGCATGGTCTTGCCGTGTTTTAGTTTAAGTTCTGATTTTCTATCATTTTTTTGATAAATTCTAATACAAAGTGATCTAGTTATATATCCATATGTCAGTATGTGATTTGGTTTTTTACCTTTCTGTGGGTATTCACGTTCAAGTGTATAGATCAGGAAAAGAATTCTTTATTATCTTCCATGAGGTCTCAGGATGGGAAGATAACAGTGCCTGTTGTATACAGTCATTATAGGACATGCTGGAGATAGAAGCAGTAAGACACTGCTTCTACATTTGATAAGTCTGGTCCAGGGAGATAAATATGTAAAGGGAAAACTTTATCTCAATAAACTACATCTCGTGATAGCATAAGGGACCAGAGAGAATAGCCTGTAGTTCTTTATCCCACTGCTGGGGTGTCACTAACAGTGTACTAGGATAGATGGACAACTTTATATGATAAAGACAGTTTTAGAGCTTTACGAGACTTTTGACCTCTTCTGGGAGCTGTCCTGATTCCTCTTCAAACCGAATGATAGCACCTTTTGTGTGTTAAGTAGCCTAAACAGTCATTTGTTTAGTTACCACCTGCTGGTGTGTAGCCTTAGGAGAAGAGTGTTTACTGTTGAGTGGTTGTTCTGCTCTGCCCCTTGGCTAAGGATTCCTGCTTTCCATTAAATGGAATGACTACCCTCTCTTTTTGTCTTTGAACTCAAATGGAAGTCATGTTATCTTTACATCTTTAAAGCTTTTCCTTCCAAATTGCCTAGTTGATGCATGGTCACTAATCCTTGTAGTAGAATTAACCCTAATTGAAGATTTAGCAGGTGGATTTTGGCTCTCATAATGCAAGATGTCTTAAGAATTTTGCAGAAGAGAGATGCAATAACCATATAACATATCTCCTTTTTGTCCATAAGTATGGAACAAAGACTATGTGGGAAACCAGAGTGTTTGCAATCAGCCTATTGCCTTTTCTTAAAAACTAGAAGTTCTTTTTCTATATTTCTCTCTGCTTGCTTTTACTGTATTCTTTTTCTATGTTTCTACTTGCTTTTACATACTCCTTTGCTTTGGTGTCATAAACTTGGGATGAAATTGTATAGTTATTTACTAGCTAGGTGGGTTTTGGAAGTTCATTCTCTGAACCACACATGTAAAATGGGAAGCAAATATTTCAAGATGATGTTAAGAATGAAACGAGCTAGTGTAGACAGAAAGTCTGGTAGAGTTCATGCAGTCATTTACTTGATTTGAGCCCCTAGCGCCTAGCAGGCACAGTTCCTGGGAACTGTATGCTAGGCAGTGTGTTGAAATATGCTTACAGATAAAAACGGACATGCCCTGCTCTTATGGGGTTTATGGTTCTTTAGTACATGACTAAAACACCAGCAGGGGCTGGGCAGGTCACACAGGCATGTAAAGCAGCCTGCATGGGTTCTGTGGCAAATTGGAAAGCCATGCCCCAATTCTTCATTCCTGCCGAAGTCTTCTCACAGGAAAATGGTTCTGTGGTACCAGATAGTCCTATTTTTTTTTTTTTTTTGGAAAGGCCAGAAACTCAGATTTTTATGTGAAATCTCCATTTTTCAAATGTTGGTAACTAATAAACTTCCTAACCTCTGACTTCTAGTTTAGCATCAAATACCAAGGGTATATCCTTATCAATGAGTGTAACTGGTGTTGTGTTCTCTCTGGCCCATCAATGATAACACAAAGAATGGCTCCCATCTGCCATCCCATACTCTTTCCCACTGAAAAGAGACATCCTTGGGCTCTGTATTTCAGGGCTTTGCCTCTTCTCTCCTTGTGAATTATGGACTGCAACAGTGAGAAACTTGACCCTGGGGTGGCTCCTTGTCTTTGGGGAAACAAATAGTTTAAAAGGCCCATACTGGATTGAGCTCTGGGTATTGTCTTCTTACTACTCTGTTTTGGTTGCTCCTTCCTCTTGAGGCCAAAGATGAGAATCTGCAGTGGTAAGCTTCAGAGACTAGCTATTCCTGGCAGGTAGGACTTGACTTTTTACTCATTCACTGCAGAGTTTAGCATGTATGAGCACTCAAATACTGAGCTACAAATTATTGCCTAAAACAAATAAAAAATAATACCTCTCAAACCTCTTTGTTAGTATGGGTATAGGCTGTATTCTGGAAAAGGTAAACACTAACACATATCTACTTACCTTTGAATTGCATTGCCCATTCCTGGGTGTGACCTTGGGAGGGAAAACTTTCTCAAGAAGGGAAGGCTCTTGGTTTACTCTAGGATCCTCTTCAGCTGTGATTTTCTTAGCATCTTGTATGGACTCAAAAGAGTTCTGGTTCGTGGCAGGTAGGGACCATTGTATTCTTCAGACCGTTCATGAGCTTTGGAGTGGCAGCTGGTGGTGGTAATGAGATGGTTTTGGCAATAGCTCTGGGGCAGAACAGGTGGAATGAGCCACATTATTTTACCTAGACAGGGCTGGTTGGCAGGCTTTTCACTCACCTGCCAGACATTAGGTAGACAGAATGCACCCTTGTTTAAATACTCGAGACAGTGAGAAAATATCAAGACTCAAGGAGATGATTTCCATATGAGAATTTTACCACAAAATGGGACAAATTTTTACAGAAGGAGCAATCTTTTTGATAAAAGAGGAAAGGTGGGGATCCTCTTGTCGTCATTTTAAGGCATAGTTTCAGAAGGTCACAGCATTTGTGTGAGACCAGTCACAGGAACAATGTGTGTTGGTGATGAGTGTGTGACTGTGTGTGTTTAGGAAGGTAGAAAAGAATGGGTGCAGTGGAAAGTAAGGTGTTTCTTGGAAGGGGAAAGTGACAGATTTCACAGGAAAGTTGAGAGTTGTTCTTAGCATTGTAGATGCTTAAATGCTTAGAGTCTGCCCTTGGCAAATTATAGGGTAAGAAAAGCCCTGATAAAAATCCTTATATTTACTTTTGGTGCCCTAGTTGCCTAAAAGGTCCTCTAGCCAGAGAATAAACAAGTGTTTTTCTCCCGGATAAATATCTGACATTTTCCAGATGTTTTTGACTCTAGTACAAATGCCATTTATTGATTTATGGCCTCTCAACTTCACCCCTTTTTCTTGCTCTGTGAAAATGGATCTGGGCCTCTTGAATATTTTTCCTTTGCAGCTGGTACAATGTTAAGCTTTTCCAGTAGAGGGCGCTGGAGAAACATTGCAGAAGGCAGAGAGTTTTGCTTCCTGCTTTCCAGTGGTTTCTGGGAAGGCTCTTCCAGAGTGTGTCCTCTCTGGTGACCTTCTTTTATGATGTGTGGTGGCCAGCAGCTTCCTCTGGCACCCCCTTGGGGTGTCTTGTAGCGGAGTGTTGCCAGTGTGCTACCTCCCTGTGATCAGCTTTCCTGCACCATAGAGGGCACCACAGTGACTTTTCTGCCATCTAGTGAGTTGTAGTTGTGTCTTCTCCAACAAAGTCAGGGTCTCAGTCCCCCACCTGGTTATTTTCATGGATGTTTCATCTTCTTCATGGGTGTTTTCTCAGTCTGAGGGATAGTGGTTACTCCTTATATCTGGCCTTTCTGTATGATCTAGAGTTCCTTGCATTACTTCTTACTAGTCAACATCTTGTTAGCAGAATCCCAGGTTGTAGTTAATAATTGTTTATGTTAAGCTTTTCCTGTTCAAATTAGTATGTTTTCCATCTGCTCATTGAACCCTAACTGATAGAACAAACCTTACAAAAAAAATATCAGGAAAAATTGTGGAAGACTCAGAAATGGGCAAAACAGATTAAAATCTAATGCAACCTTCTAGGTTATCTGTGTCTTTCATTTTCTTTGGACTGATTTACATTTTGGCAAGTTATAGGAAAGTGATAGTAATGGAAATGGTTCTTGTTCATAGAATGGCACATGAATTTTGCCCAGTAGAGGTATTATTGATCCCTCCCAAAAAGCATTTTATATATTAACAGATCGGCATTCCTGATTGCCTACACACATGTGTGTTTCGTTTTCTTTGGACCTGTTTTAACATCTTTCTGGTTCCTGTATTAATTAATCAGCTAAATAAGATCTTTGCCGTGTTTATTTTATATTTGTAAAAGTCATAGTTTTATGTTTTAAAATATTCTATAACTGATAAGGAGCTTACAGGATATGCCCATATATGTTAAAAATGCCACAGAAAATGGAGATATGATTTGTTAGAAAGATGATTTAAATGCATTTTAATGCTTTATAACTGGACAGACATGGATGAAATCATCTTATGAACTAAAAAGAAAAAGTATCACTATTATGTATCGAAAACAGAACATTCATAACATACCCACAGAATGGGAGAAAATATTTGCAAATAATATCTGGTAAGAGACCCGTATTTAGAATATGTAAATAACTCCTACAACTCAGTGACAAAGACAGATGAGCCAATTAATAAATGAGCAAAGGATCTGAACAGATATTTCCCCCAAAAGAAAAACAAATAATCAGTAAGTACATGAAAAGATAAGATGCTCACTCTCTTTAGTCAGCAGGAAAATGGAAATCAAAACCACAATGAAATAGCACTTTACATCTGTTAGGATGGCTGTCATCAAAAAGACAGATGGGAAAGATGGGGGAAGTGAAGGATAGGGAGAGATTTACTAAAACAGCAGCCCCCAAACTTTTTGGCACCAGGGACTGGTTTCATGGCGGATAATTTTTCCACGGATGAAGGGGTTGTTTTGGGATGAAACTGTTCCACCTCAGATCATCAGGCATTAGATTCTCATAAGGAGTGTGCCACCTGGATCCCTCACATGCACAGTTCACAACAGGGTTTGTGCTCCTATGAGAATCTAATGCAACCGCTGATATGACAGGAGGTGGAGCTCAGGTGGTAATGCTCACTTGCTGGCTGCTTGCCTCCTGCTGTGTGGCCCAGTTCCTAACAGGCCAAGGACTGGTACTGGTCCACTGCCTGGGGGTTGGGGACCCCTGTGTTAAAGGATACCAAATTACAGCTAGATAGGTGAAATAAGTTCTAGTGTTTCATACCACTGTAGGATGACTATAGTTAGCCATGATATATAGTTTCAAATAGGATATTGAACCTTGCCAACACAAATTGTAAATGTTTGAGATGATGGCTATGCAATTACCCTAATCTGCTCTTTATACATTCTATGTATTAAAACATCACTATGTACCCCTTGACTATGTACAATTATTTGTCAATTTAAAAAATTGTTAAAGAGACAAATAAGTGTTGGCAAGAATATGGTGAAATTGGAACCTTCATACACTGGTGGTAGGAATGTAAAATGGTGTAGCTACTGTGGAAAACATTTTAGCAGTTCCTCAAAATGTTAAATACAGAGTTATCATATGACCCAGTAATTCTACTCGTAGGTATATACTCAAGGGGAATGAAAACACACACACACACACACACACCCATCAAGTCATACACAAACGCTCATAGCAGTTTTATTCATAATAGTATCAATTGATGAATAGATCAACAAAATGTGATGCATCTATTCAATGGAATATTGTTTGGCTGTAAACAAAATGAAGCACTGATATGTGCTACAACATTGGACCTTGTGAAAGAAAGCTGTCAAAGAACACTGCATATTATGATTCTATTTATATCAAGTGTCCAGAATAGGCATATCTATAGAGACACCAAAGTAGAATGAGTGCTTGCTTAGAGCTGGAGTGGGGAGGAGGAGGGGTTAGGAGGTGGTAGCTAAAGGGTGTGGGTTTCTTTTGGGTATGATAAAATGTTATATGAAATTCTCTACAGCCACACTACCTTGAATGTGTCCAATCTGTTCTGATATTGGAAGCTAAGCAGAGTTGAGCCTGGTTGGCACTTATATGGGAGAAAAGTTATAAAGCTGATTGTTGTAATGCTTGTACAACTCTGAGCCCAGTAAAAACCATTATATTGTATATTTTAAGTTGGTTAATTGTATGGTATGTGAATTATATTTCAGTAAACTGTTACAAAAAGGGTTTATAACCTAGACAAATAATTATCAAATAAACTGCATTCCTCTGTGGTGGGTGGTAAATGCTTCCTGTGTAGCAATGTACAAATTCCTATGTCAAGATCTTCATAGGCTGTCTTGATGTCTTCTCATGTGGAATTCTTCCTTTCACTTTGGAACACCATTTCTTAAAGAGATTATGGCAAAGTGAAATAATTAGTTGCTTGATTTATTGATGGATGATTTCCCTCATTCACCCTCTGGAGTTCTTTTAATAGAAATGTTAGAAACCCAGACCCTCTAGAACCTGTGGGGAGCAGCTTGGTTGAGTAGCTCTCTACCCACTGGAGGTATTTGGGGAAAGATCACTGGGTTTGTGGCTGGCTGTGAAAATGATCAGACCAGGGCGGGGCCAAGTGGCTGACATGGCTGAGTAGTGGCTGGTCCTTCTTGCCTGCTGTGCCGAGTTGTCTGTCCCCTGGTACTTTACACCCAGTGAGTTGAGGAAGAAGGAATTACCTCTCTAGACAAAGATCGTTCTGTCTGCAATATATGATATAGTACTATTGCTCTGTGGAAGCTTCAGGCAGCCATCCTCCCTCACAAACCAGCTCCTCCATTTTCCTGTCTTGGTGAATGACATGTCACCTTTTCCTCAGCTGCCCAAGCTGGAAGCCTAGTGGTCATTCTATACTCCTCCTCCTCCTCCTCGTCTTCCCTCATTCCTTCCAGTTAGTCATTGCCCACTGTCCTGCTGATTTGACCTCTTAAGTATTTCTAGCATTTGGTTTCTTATTATGACTGGACTGCCACTACCCTGTTCAGGCCTTTATTGGACTCATTTCTCACCCGGATTTTCATGAGCCACCCTTCAAACCCATCCTCTACACAGCAGCCAATATCAAATATGGTGGCCTCAGCACTGTTAAATGTCTTCAGTGATTTACCTGCCATTTGGTGGTGGTTCTTACTCAACAGGGGAGGAGTTTCAGATCATCTAGGAACCAGAACCCTTTTCAAAGTATTTAGGTGTATATCCTATTCTGGACCCATTAGCTGAAGAGGGGCCTTGGGAAAGGGCTTCTACATCTTGAAAAATCTCCCCAAACAGGATGATACCCAATAAGTAATGCTTAGAAAACAATTTATTTTGAAATAATTTCACAGGAAGTTGTAAAAACAGTACAAAGAGACCCACGGACCCATCCTTCCCCAGATTTCATGCTCTGTTACAATACCAAACCAGGAAGTTGATACTAACAGGTTACTGTTAATAGACCACAGACCTATGTAATGTTTTTTTAATGCCCATTTTTCTTGTTAGGTTGGAGTGTGGCACTTCCTGCTAACCTGAGATGTTAGATTATTTCTTAACTGGTGCACATTTTCATTTAAGAATGGCATGGGTCTTCTTGATTCTGTGGGTGGTGGTTGTTATGGTGTGTTATGGTGTGTCTTCTTGTATGTACATGTGTGTGAGATATTGGTGGCAATTACCAGTTTTTCCTTGCAGAGTGAATTATATCCCCAAAGAGTTTGCCAAGAATACATTTGAGTAATGTAATTCTGTCTAGTGACCTAAGGTCATAACTTTCTTAAGTTAAAAAGTTAAAACTGCCACAACAGGTTTTATGCTAGAAGAATAGTATAGACATTGATTCTTCTTGAATCCAAGATTCAGTTAGCTTAAAATGATGTCATCGTGAGTTGTTTTCCAGGTATGTGTAAATCTGACTTTGTTTTTTGTAGATTGTAAAATATAAGGGTACAGGGCTGGTTCTGTGTTTTATTTTGTTTTCTGTACTTGTTTTATTCATAAGTCTAAAATATAGTGTCTACCAGGGAATGGCTCTATGCAATGAATCACAGTGTAGTTTTGCTTTGAGAGATGGGGTATTACTATGGGTCATAATGAATTCAGTGGAATGGATTTCAGACTTTTAGGTGCTGACCCAGAAAATTCTTTGAAGTAGCAATCTTTACCAATGCTAGGAATTGGGCTAGTCTGCTTTGCTTCCTCATCAAAACTGATGGACAAGATAGAAAATGCCTTTTTATCAGTTACAGTAACATTTTGCTGACACTTGGTGCATTTTTTTTATGTGTTTCACACAGATATGCTTACATCCTTTGAGAAAAGGAACTGAAGGGAAGAAAGAAAACCACAACTGCTTTAGAATAAAACTAGGTCAGCAAAGGCAGATCTTAATGTATTTAGATCAGGCAGAAGGCTAGGTCCTTCCACCTTACTCACAGAGGCCTCTGGGGCTCATTGTAGGAGTCATGAGACTTCTCCAGTAACTCTCATCAAGGATCGGTCACTAGACTAGGCCCTTTGCAAATTTAAACCCTGCAGGTAGACATTTTACAGATAAGGAAACTGGATCTTCATTTCTGTAACTTCAAGAGGGCACAGGGCTGGCTTATGTCAGTGCAGAGATTTTAATCTGAATCTAATTCCCAAGCCTCTCTGCCACACCAGATTGCCTCTCTATTCATGCACAACACTCTAGGTTTGACTCTGGCTCTCTTGAATAATTCCGAAGCAGACTTCTAAGAGAGGATTGCAAAGGCCAACTTCTTTCACAGCTGAGAAGCTGCCTTCTGAGGTGTATCTCTGAGTGGAGAAATCAGAACGCTAGATGCTATGTCCTTTCATGATGGGTAATAATCTCATTAGAGCAGGGAGACTTTGTGGTCTAAAGAGAGAAGGAAACAGTCAGTTGAAAGTTGCTCATGTGTTTCATTTTTCTGTGTTTCTCATACTTTGTTATTGATGTGATGAAGTAGTTGGGGGCTGAGAAGGAAGCCGGGGATTGGGGGCAGGGGTTGGTGGGAGTCAAGACTTACAGGTTCTTCCAAGAGACTCCTAGAGCAGTGATGCCTATAGTTTGCAAGGGCACCACCAGCAGCCATCTTTATTAACCAAGGGGGCTACAAGGACTTTTCCCAACAGATATTAAGTAGTTAGTTCACAGAAAGATTTGAATCTCTTCCTTCAAGAAGTTTGAGTCTCAACAGGGAGCAGATCATAAAGCTAAAAGTCAAATGTATGTATATATCAAGAATTATAAGACTATGGGGGTCCATACATAAGACACAGCAATGTGGCTCTGTCCTTCAACTAGGGTGACCAACGGGGACAAGTTTGTTCACCCTACCTTGACAGTCTTTGTGGCCCTGGGCAAGTCACTTAGGCTTTCTGGATTCTGAGGCCTGCTTCTCTCTCACCAGGTGCTTTTAAATTCCCTTCGTTTCTTGGGATTAGCAATAAGGTGTGACTAAGTCACAAGCTTGTGTTGGGTGGTGAATGAGGGCTGGAAGCCAGTGCTCAGAATCCTTTGAAAGTGATTAGCAGAAGTCAATATTTGAGAACAATACCAGCTGCTGTTTAGAAAGTCCAGAATAGTTGAGCAATTAGGATAAAGTAACAGACACCTGTCATGAGGTGGACTGAGCAGGTGAGTGAGATTGTAAACTGCCTTCAATTCAAGGTCTTGTATATTTGCCTCAGTCTTTTTATAAGACTCCCCAGCTTCAAGTGCTTAGGGTGGTGGTTGTAAGGAAGGTTGCAGATGCGTTTTATTTGGACCACCAGAATTTTTTTTTTAATCTAAATTAGCACCAGCATTTAAGAATACACAGATTTGACCAAAACTCTGGGTTTCTGGCTTCTTTGGAAAATTGGAAGATCTAGCTAACCCAGGCTGTCTTAGCTCAAGTTGTCTGGTGGTTAGAGCTGAGAAGTGGCTGCCCTATCAGAGGGGTGCCTGGTCTTTGGTTCAACACAGCCCCTGTCTCCCCTGCCATGCTCCCCGACCTCATACCTGTTTCTCTTCCCTCAGTACCCTTCTACCCACTTATCTGCCTGGGAAGGTGGTTATCTTAGATCAATAGTTCTCAACTCTGACTGCACCTTAGAGTCTCTTGGGATTGCTTTAAATTATACTGCTTTCCTGGCCCTGTGTAGACCAATTGAATTATGATCTTGGGGAGGGCTACCATTTGTATTTAAAACGTCTTCCAACATGATCGTGATACCCAGTGAGGGTTGAGAAACGAGTACCTCAGCTTGATCCTTGGGTGGGTTTTGATGGAGAGAGAGAAGAGCCACAGAGCAGAGGAATTGAGGAAAATAACCTAACCCAATCGACAGGGCCGGTAACACCATGAGCTAAATGTTAACTGAACACCCTGGGAAAAATCAGGGCACTTTAAAAAAATGAATATCCAAATGGTGTATTCATGGCACGTTTTGCTAAGGTATTAATAAACTCTCCCCACCCCAGATCCTGCTGTACTGCTGTAGGGATTTAAATCATTGTAATAATAATAGGGGTTTTTTTTTTTTGCATGGAGTGATTATAGAAGTATTTTTAATGGGCTTATAAATCTAGTGGTCATGAGAGGCAAGTGACATAGATTTAGTGTATTTGAGGCAAGGGATAAAAGGGGAGGGGGCACAGTCAAATTAGCTTTGGTTTTCTGTTTTGCATAATGACTTCATTCATCTATAATTCTCACTGTAACTCAGTTTCTGTCTTGCTCCCCCTCCCCTTCCTACCACGATCACATTCTAGGCTGTGAGTGTCATCATTCTGAAGTAGTGAAAACATCCAAGTAGCTGGAAAATACAGACCTGTTTTTCTCAGTTAAGTTGAAAATGGAAGAGCCTCAGACACCACCTATTTCTGCTGCTTAATTTTATGGGCATACAAAACCAAAGTTTTGAGATGTGGCTTGTTCAAAGCTCTGCCCCTAGCCCTGTAACTCTGCGCAGTGTTCAGAGTTGTTCTTCACGGGTCCCATGACTGCAGAGAAAGCTTGGAGCTTGCAGGCAGTGGTTCCAGGAACTTCTTTTTCTTCACCTTTTATTCCTGGTGTTTAGCCTGGACCTTGAGATTAGTTGGAGAGATATGAAGGGATGAGACCCAGTTTAGGCCACAGGATCTCCATGAAACCTCTTGAGGCTTCTCTGCAGCCCAAAAGAGTCTCTGATATGGTTTGGCTGTGTCCCCACCCAAATCTCATCTTAGTAGTTCCCATAATCCACATGTGTCGTGGGAGGTAATTTAATCACAGAGACGGTTACCCTTATGCTGTTCTCATGATAGTGAGTTCTTACAAGATCTAATGGTTTTATAGGGACCTTCCCCCCCCTTTTGCTTGGCACTTCTTGCTGCCACCATGTGAAGAAGGACATGTTTGCTTCCCCTTCCCTGAGGCCTTGGCAGCCATGCTGAACTGTGAGTCAAACCTCTTTCCTTTATAAATTACCCAGTCTCGGGTATGTCTTTATTAGCAGTGTGAGAACAGACTAATACAGGGACACGCCAATAGGGCCCCTGATTTCAGCATGTTCTGGCTGCTCTGTGGGAGTGGTGGTGGGTGTGTGCATGGTTGGAGGATGTTTCTAAGTGCAGGGACTCTGTCTTGTACCCTCAGTGTTTTCTCCTCAAAACTTTAGCATCATTGGGAGCACCCAGTAAGCCCCTTCCATGAATATTTGTCTGATGAGGTTGCAACTCTCTAGTTGGCCTCTTATCACCCTTTTATATAGTTTTCATCCTGTGGAAGATACTCTAATGTCACTTTAATATAATTGCAAGAGAAAAATAGTAAGATTTGATATCTTTCTAAACTAACAAATGTGCTAGTAATCTCTCCTTTTCCTCAGGATAGCCTTTGCAAGTTTGAGGTAGGTAGGATAGGTAGGTTATGTAGAAGGAGTATATGTGTGTGTGTGTGTGTGTGTGTGTGCGCGTGTGTGTGAATTTTTACCCTCTTGGTCTGTACTTGGCTGCTGAGCCCTAAAAGAATTGTTTTGCTCACTGCCTAAATTTTACTTGTGCCTCCTAATGTCTCTGAAATTAAGTCCCTCGTGTGAGACTTCCCACTCAGCCATTCTGGATTCTACTCTCTGTCATGGGAGGCAAGACACCTCCTAGCAGAGATGCTCCACTGGCTGGGGGAAGGATATAAGTAAATGTTTGCAGAATAATCTGGGAAGTTTTCTTTTTAAATTTCCAGATATAAACCAAACCTGCAATGACAAAAGCAGTACTGGGGGAGGAGGATAAAGGAGAAACTGCTTTTTGAAACATTCCCCAGGTGGGAATTCATAATACCTACCTGGCTCATTTGAAAATAGCTGACTAGCAGAGTTTCCTGGATGAAATGGGGCAGAAAGCCTATCACTCAAAGGAACTCAACTTATATAAATGATTTAATTCTTTTTTTTTTTTTTTTGAGATGGAGTCTTGCTCTGTCGCCCAGGTTGGAGTGCAGTTTTTGTTTTTGTTTTTTTTTTTTTTGAGATGGAGTCTTGCTCTGTCGCCCAGGTTGGAGTGCAGTTTTTGTTTTTGTTTTTTTTTTTTTTGAGATGGAGTCTTGCTCTGTCACTCAGGTTGGAGTGCAGTGGTGCGATCTTGGCTCACCGCAGCCTCTGCCTCCTGGGTTCAAGCAATTCTCCTGCCTCAGCCTCCTGAGTAGCTGGGATTACAGACGTGTGCTACCACGCTCAGCTAATTTTTGTATTTTTAGTAGAGATGGTGTTTCACCATGTTGGCCAGGCTGATCTCCAACTCCTGACCTTGTGATCCGCCCACCTTGACCTCCCAAAGTGCTGGGATTACAGGCGTGAGCCACTGCGCCCGGCCTCCTTTTTTTCTTTTTCTAGACTTGTTCCATTTATTCATTTCATAAGTTTGGAGACCTTCTAAGCGTGAAGCTCTCTGAGAGGTACTGAGGCACTAGAGAACACTGATTAAAGAGCCTGATGCCCAGTCTACAACAGCTGTACTACCTGGTAGCTGTGTGACATTGAACAGATTGCTTAGTTCTTTGTGCCTCAATTTTCCCTACTCTGAATGGAGATGGTTAGTACATACTTCACAGGCTTAGAGTAAGCATTGGAAGAGAGAAAGTCTGTTAAGGATCACGGTCCATAATTGTTAGATTTTCTTATAGTGGTAATTAAGATCATCTTACCTTCATAGAGCATAAAGTTAGGTGGAAACATAAAGGAGAGGTTCAGAGGAGAAGCAATGTGATAGCAAATGACACATGTGGCCTTTGACCTTATCTGTGCTTTCCCCATCTCATCATGTCTTGTTTATGTATCCTTGTCAGGAGTTCAGCTATAAGACTTTTCTGGGATCATCCCACAAATCTGTATTACATCCTGTTTAGGAAAGATGTGGTGTCATTGTGCGATGCTTCCACGCAGTTCTGAGATATATAAGGCTGTTGCCCTGATGAAATATGGCCCTAGGCCAAGCGTGGTGGCTCACTCCTATAATCCCAGCACTTTGGGAGGCTGAGATGGGCAGATCAGCTGAGGTCAGGAGTTCAAGACCAGCCTGGCCAACATGGTGAAACCCTGTCTGTACTAAAAATACAAAATTAGCCAGGCATGGTGGTGCATGCCTGTAATCCCAGCTACTGGGGAGGCTGAGGTGGGAGAATCGCTGGAACCCAGGAGGTGGAGGTTGCGGTGAGCCGAGATCATGCCACTACTGTATTCCAGCCTGGGCGACAAGAGTGAAACTCTGTCTCAAAAACAAACAACAACAAAAAAAGAAATATTGCCCTAAACGTGTTTTATTTATTTATTTATTTTTGTTTTGAGACAGAGTCTTGCTCTGTCACCCAGGCTGGAGTGCAGTGGCGCCATCTCACCTCACTGCAACGTCTGACTCTCAGCTTCAAGCAATTCTCCTGCCTCAGCCTCCCGAGTAGCTGGGACTACAGGCACATGCCACCACACCTGGCTAATTTTTTGTATTTTTCGTAGAGGCAGGGGTTCACCGTGTTAGCCAGGATGGTCTCGATCTCCTGACCTCATGATCCACCCACCTCAGCCTCCCAAAGTGCTGGGATTACAGGCGTGAGCCACCACGCCCAGCCCTGTTCTTTTCTGCTCTATATATCTTGGGGTTTCCCCCTCAGTATTATCAATTACTTTTTGGGGCTGTCACCTTTGTTGGGGAGCTCCCTCATTCTTCTTAAATTCCTAATCTGATTACTACTAGAATAGAACCAAAGGTTACCAGAGAAACCAAATAACCAGACTTGTTAAATCAATAACCTTGATTTATGCAAATCACTTAATAGTCTGAGCTGTCTTGAGGAAAGACTGTTGACATCCTTCTTACCTACCCTCTGACTCCCTCTTCCACTTCTAATGACCCTGTGATGACATTGAGCCCGCCTGGGTAGTCTAGACTCTTTTTCCCCTTTTAAGGTCAGCTGATTAACCTTAATTCCATCTAATACCTTGATTTCCCTTTGCCATGTATGTCCTGGGGATGAGGATGTGGATGGATCTAGGGGGGCCGGTATTCTGCCTACCATAGCTATCTTGCTCTTTTTGTTTATAATTATGATATGTTCCAAAAAGGAGTAAAACGTAATACAAGAAGATAAAAATACATTTACCATTAAGTAAGAAAAAAGACAAGGAGAAGAGAATAAGAAAATGAGTCAGGAGTGGGATTTATACAAAAAATTAGTGAGTCCACTTTACTTCCTGGAAGTGGATGGTGAGCTTTTCTTGCCAGCCTTCTTGAAGAGGGAAGCACTGTCAGTTATGTTGTAGTGTGTCGATCTAGTAAAATCCAACTGGTTGTTCAGATACCTAGATGAATATTCTTGATATGAAGATGAAAAAAAAATTTCTTCCAAAGTCTTCATGGATACATAAAGTGTATAATGAGCAAAACCTTTGACATGTTTACAGTAAACCCAATGGTGTGTTTCACCTGGCCTTTCTCTTCTTTTGTTTACTGCTTTATATTTAAGGTCAAATACTCATTCTTTGAAGATCTCTTGTAAGACATGTGGTCCAGGGTCAGGCCAGGCCAAATGTGGGAATTTGGAACAGCTGGAGCAGTGATTCCCATCTGGTGGCTCTCATCCCCTAGGGATTTTTGAGGGTGCCCTGAGCTTTCATTCTAAAATGAAAGTGTTTTTTTTTTTTTTTACTATTTGTATGTTTGAAGGACATAAAGTATGTATTTACGTATATAATCTCTGATCTCCCCTTAAGACGGAAGAGTGAAAGCCTACCAGTATTTATTAAGAGCTTGGATATGGTGGTTAGTTGTAGTCGGAAGAGTGATCTGCACTAGCAGTCTGTGAGGTTTTGGACCATTATATGTTACATTATAATAAAAAAAATTTATGTTCTTAATGGAGTGTTGTTTAAAGACAGGATGCATTAGGAAAAGTTAAATTGAAGTATAAATTATTGAGGAGTATATGAGAATTCTGTTGATTTTCCTCATGCTATTTTCCCTGTAGTCAAAAGTTGCATTCATCTGAAATCTTTTGGCATATCTGATAGTATTTTTTAAAAAATCAATATTTAGAAATAGAAAATATTATGACTGTTATAGTCATTTTGTCTTTTAATTTATTAGGACTAAAGATTCATACACCTGCAGTGTGTTATTTGTGGAGAAATGCTTTCAAATAGCTGCTGGAAAACCATCTGTCTTAGCCTGATATTTAGAAACACAACTGGAAAAAATATATAAAAATAAACTTTCAAGGTATTGGAGATGGCAGTTAATCACAACCTTCCTCCCTTCTGGATTCTGAACTAGAGGAAACAGAAGAAGCTAGACAAAAATTAAAATACAGTACCAGTTTTATTAGTGTAAAGTGAAGTTGGGAGATGTGTTTTGGATGTAAGACTTCCTTATCCACCCTAAATGTAATCTTCATAGCCACCCAGGTGATGGCTGAGCATCTGTGGGTGGGCTCTGCCCATATAACCCGTGGGAGCAGGAACAGAGAGTGTGTCCAGCAGCCTGTTCAAGCTGAAATCCTGTCCTTCCCGCTCTGGGAGAACTGTGAGTACCCCAAAGAAGGAGCAGACATAATTCCCCACTATGGTTTCTTCCTGGGAAATGGGGTGAACATTCTGCCGGAAAACATGTTCAAAGGAAGCAATGAGTTCTCTTATAAACTCTTTGATTTGTTTTGAAGTCCAGATGTAAGAAATGCAAACATGGGACATTTTGTCTAATTGGGGGTTGTAAGTAGATTGCTCTCTGTTTTGAATATGCATTTGGTCCCCACACCAAATATGTACTAACAAGTATATAAATTCAGAATGAATTTTATTGACAAATTATACTTTTTTACCGACATAATTAAGTTAAATGCTGTGTATTACAGGTTAAATGGGCAAATGGTAATTTGCCATTAATCATTTGGAACATTAGCAAAGATAGTATCAAAATGAACTTCATAAACTTTCAATACCTTGTTTCAGAAATGGATTATGACTTTAATATCCTATCTTTCTCATATATATGTAAACACTGAGAAATGACTGAAAAGTTCCTAAGGGGTGGGAGTGTGAGTGTGTATGAGTGAGAGAGATCATATATTACTGTTAAAAGCCTCACAGGTCATACATAAGAGGTTGGGCAAAGCCGACCTAGAGCAATGGATGGATTGTGTATCCCTTAAGTCATCATTCAGATACAATTTCTTTCAACCAAACTTTGAAAGACTTTCAGGGGCTATGAAGTCACTGAAGTACCCTGGAAAATATCGGAATTAGAATCATTTCCAGAAACTTTTAACTATTGGTTGAAATACTCTTATGCAGAATGAAGGGACCTAATGAGCATGCTTATCTCAGTTGAAGGCTATTTCACTTTGAAGTCAACTGGGAAAGTACTTGTGATTGCAAAGCACTTGTTCTAAAGAGAGCACTTTGGATTATAAAACAACAAAAACTCAAACCCCCATGATGTTGAACTTTGAGCAGTGCAAGGTGTGTGTTGGGTAGCTGCATAAGGCGCTTTGCTGTGTGGAATTACTGCTTTATCAGAGTTAGATGTTTGGAAAACATGTATCCAAACTGTGTCTTCATTTTTAACCTGATGGATCAAAATGTTTGCTTTTTGTCAGCAACTAGAAAGTAGGACCAGTTGTCCTATAAGGACTCCTAGTTCACAGTGATTAAACTATGCCATTTATGTATATAATGCTCATCTCAGCTGGATATGTGTCAGTAGGATGTACATCCAGCTTATTCAAAAGTAATATAAGTTCTGTACGTGTTATGAAAAGGAGAATTGTGCCATGTTCTCTGTTATCCTCCACTGGAAATTAGGATCTGATCTGCCCCTGCTCTTACTATCCTAGATAAGGTAAAAAGCAGTGCTTCTCATGTGAAAACAAGTAACCTTGCAGTCTGGTTATAAACACCAATTGATTCTATTGTTTTGGGATTGGGCCTAAGATTCTGCATTTTTAACAACCTGCCAGATCATTTCAGTGCTACCTTTCCACAGATGAGAGTTCGAGTAGCAATGTTATAGAGGTGCTAGTTGCTAAAAGCATTGTAGACATCGAGGCTTTTGGGCTAGCCTCAAATCATTTCTCATCTTTGGAGCCAAATGCCCAGGAGAGGTTAATAAAAGCTGTATTAGTTCAGCATTATTCTCTACAAGTCCTTCCATAGTGTGGGATGATCTAACAAGGCTCTGTGGTAGACTAGCTATTGAAAGTCTGGCTACTCAGGCAGGGCATTGGCCTAAGACCAGTTTGTGATTCCTTTAAGGAGAAAACAAGCCTACCTTGGCAGATGAATTATCTAGTAAGCCAGTGACTCTACATTTGTGGGGTGGGAGAAGAGCAGAGAGCTTACCTCTTAAAATTCTAGAATGGATCACATTTTGGGTTTCACTAGATAGGGCCAATAGAGTTGTTATAGAATGTCTTTTAAATGTTCTCATGCCTGGCTGTGTATTAAAATCATCTAAGCAGCTTAAAATAAAAATACCTCTGCTTGGGCCACACCTGAGACAAAGTAAATCAAAATCTTTGGGTGTGATAGCTGGGCATCTCTATTTTTTAAAGAGCAGTCCAGGTGATTCTATGTACATCATAGTTGGGAGGTCCTGGTTTAGTCAGTCCTAAGCTCTGAGGGCAAGAAACTCTCCTGAGAAGCTCCATTTTTAACTTGAGCTGGTTTATCATTTGTGCAAACTGAGGGTTTGTGACCAGAAACCAGTCAGGCTGACCCAAGTTATTTGCAGTGTTTGGGAGAGTTGACCTTGGTGTATACATTAAGGAACTAGTGAACTTATCAGCCAGCATCTAACCAATGATTTCTTCCCTAAGAAAATTCAGACCTTGACTTTTATGACTCTGGGTCTGTTAAAGCTTAGGGCTGTGCGATTGAGTGGCTTGACTACTGTAACTTTATTTTAGAAGTGATGAGAACTTCTTTATAAGGTTAAGTTGGATAAGCCTGAGTGGTCACTTCAGATTGTGCATGTGTGTGCACACATATGTATTTCTTCACTGCTTAGCTAGTTCATTTTTTTAACCAAATCAGATTTGGGGAGGACTGTCCCTTTTCTGCAAATAGGGCAGCTGGAACACTCCTGGGGTAGGCCAGTACCCAGCCGGTGCTCCTCCCGAGGTGGAGGAGAGGGGTACTAGGGGTCGGGGTAATTGGGCTGGAGGGCTTAGGAAGCATTTGGAAATAATGAGCTTTATCTTGAAGGCATTACCCATATTTTTGAAATAAGTGTGGTGATTTTTGTGATTGTGATTTTCTTTATTACTGGGGCCATTTTGGCCTGTTGTCATTCTTGGTTTTTTTTCTAGATGTAGAGTGTTGCCAGAAGTCTGATCCTCAGAGAAAAGGTGCATTTTACACTTATTATAAAATTTCTTTGTGGCTTTACTGTCCTTTGAGAGTGGAAGCAAATCTTTTGAGTATTTTCATTCAACATTAAGGAGACCTACCTGACAAATTGACATGCTGTGTGATCTTTTCACAGATGATTCTTTCTTTCTTCTTAGAGAGTCATTATCAACCTATCTTAAAGCCTGTTCATGGTTTCCTGGGCCGGATGCCAGGTGACAATCCTAGCGTTTTTTGTTTTTTTTTTTAATGGCTGTCTGATGAAGCATCATCCAGATTTGGTCTTGCTCAAAGCCTTCTTCCCTGTGCTCATTGATTTATGGACCAGGTCTTTGGAGCAGAGGCCCAGTGCCTTAATACTCATTAGTAAATTGGGCACAGCTAGCCTAGGAATGAGATTCTCAGTCAGTGCCCAGACAGCACTGAGAGATGTGGAGAAAATGAGACTCATTTATCAGTCACCTTGAGACAGCATCAGCAGTCGGCCACCTTCCTTCACTCTGAGGCCTTCCACAGCCTCAGCACAGGCTTCTGAGCCTGCTGGTCTTGAGGGGTGGTGATGGACTCCCAGGTTCACCTTGGTCTGCTTCTCTCTCACTCTGCATTCTAGTTACATGGGCAGAACCTGTCTGAGCATCTTCCAGTGGGTGAGTAAGATCCTGTTGATTGGTAAGGCAGTCCCTCTCAACCGAGGCAGTTTTGGCAGTGTTGAGAGACATTTTTCGATTGTCACAACCCTCTAGTTATAGAGGGTTATTGGAGGGCTCTAATGGCATCTAGTGGCTAGAGGCCAGCAATGCTGTTAAACCTCTAATAGCTTCCCACAACAAAAAAATTATTCAGACCCATATGTCAGTTGTGCAAAGATTGAGAAACATTGGATTAAAGTGATTTATTTCATTTTTCAGGGACCCGTGCTTTGTTTTGGTTTAGTAGTTGTTTTCAGAATTATTATTATTTTTGAGGCAGCGTCTTGCTCTGTCGCCTAGGCTGGAGTGCAGTGGCGCGATCTCGGCTCACTGCAAGCTCCGTCTCCCGGGTTCACGCCATTCTCCTGCCTCAGCCTCCCGAGTAGCTGGGACTGCAGGCGCCTGCCACCACGCCCGGCTAATTTTTTGTATTTTTAGGAGAGACGGGGTTTCACCGTGTTAGCCAGGATGGTCTCGACCTCCCAACCTCGTGATCCGCCCCCTCGGCCTCCCAAAGTGCGGATTACAGGCGTGAGCCACAGCGCCCAGCCCCTCAGAATTCTTGGAGTTACCGCTGTTGCCTTTTTTTGTTGTTAGGAAATTCTCTCAACTGTGAATATCGTATGGGCCTAGTGAATGAAACTCATAGAACATGTGAAGATCTTATCTGCTCCAGCAACCACAGCTTCCTTCTCACTCTTGTCCTCTTTCCCTTTTGTCCACCTGCCAGTAATGTGCACATCCAAGAGACTAAGTCAGGATAAAATCATCAAATGTTGGTTTTCTCTTACCCCACCCACGCCCTCTAGTGGCCTGTTTTGCCTCTAAAGCTGCTTTGCCTGTCCCTTCCTCCTCTGCTTCTCCTTTTAACACCAACTGTATTTAGGTGAAGACTACCCCCATCTCCTTTCCATCTGTCTTCTTTATACCTGTGAATGTCAGAGAACAGCTGGGGTAGGTGTGGCAGAACCTGGGAATAGAGAGGGCAGGAAGAAGAGTGCATGTTCTGGACCCAGATTCACCAGCCCTGTTACAGTGTTTGGAAATTTATTTTGCTATTGATGCCAGATATGGAGCCCTGAACTCCACTGAGTGGATGGTATAACTGCAAGACAAATATGCACTTCAGGTGGGTGGCATTGGAGGTTTTCCTTTCTCTGCCCACAGGAAAAATGCAAGTGTAGTGTAATGAATTAAAACTCTGGGTACAGGACTGTCTTGCTTTGATCACTTCAAATGTAAGAGGGGATGGGCTGTTTAAAACCCAGATATTCAAAGAGTATTCCCAAGATAGCAAAGGTGTGTTGTTTTTAGCAGGTGTATTTCAGCTAGTTAATTAAAATAAGACTAGTTTAGCCACTTCCAAAGGGAACAGACTGTTTTCATTTAGAATGTGTTTTTCCTGTTTATAAAAAAAAAAAAAAAAAAAAGGACCCAGGTCCTGAAAGTGAAAGGTCTCTGTTCATACCTATTTCTTGGGCAGCACCCTGCCTGCTCCTGAGCTCCTTTGCTTCCTAGAGCTAGAAGAGAGTTGGTGGCATCACAGCTGTCAGGGATTCACAGTTGAGCTTTTGGGCACCTGCTGAGTGGGCTCTATCAGGTTGGTGGCACTGGGCCATCTGGGGGAGTGAATGACCTCAGAGCTTCTTCCCAGGAATTTGGATTTATTTTAGAAGAGAAAGCTGCTTTGCCTGTCCCTTCTCCTCCTCTGCTTCTCCTTTTAACACCAACTGTATTTAGATGAAGACTGCCCCCCACCACCGTCCCCGTTCCATCTGTCTTTCTTACACCAGTAATCCTGTAAATGTGTATTTTTCTCCCTTTCATGTGTTGATTCAACCCTTGAGGTTGGTGGGACATTGCATTAGACTCACGGCTTCTTAATAGTACTGGACTTTGGTTTCTGTTTTGTGTTCCATACGGAGAGGTCTCTTCCTTTCTGAGTTTCCGCATGCAGCTGGTAGACTCAGCTTGGTTTGGCGGAGGCCATGTAGTATTAGGCAGGAATTGGGGTGCTGGTTTGATTCTAACTGGAAAACATAATATTTTCTGGCCTCAGGGTCTTCCTCTGTAAATTGAGGGTTTGCATTTGATATTTTCCTAAGCAAAACCAGACGTTGTCTTCCAGTCTGTAAAAAGGTATTTTATACATTTTAATTTATCATATTTCCTGTTAAAGTTGATTGTTAGACCAGGGAGATGTGGTTCTGTGGTGAGCACAAAACCAGGAGTTTGGTAAGAGGTTGTGCAGTCAATGCAAGGTTAGCACCCAGTTGATTTCTGCACTGTGTTTTGGTTCACGGTAGAAGCAGTCCATATTCATCCAATTATGAATGGGAGTGGCTATCATTTTAAAGAATAACTTACCAAGCACTCTAAGTTGCTTTTAATGTAAATTGAGATGGAGGCTGAAAAGAGAAGTAGTAGAAATTGTTTCAAAGTTGAATTATTAACATCTAAAGACAGTTGTCACTTAAAATATGGGAGTCAGGCAAGCAGCCTTGGAACTTCAAGATATGTGACCAACTCTCATCTGGCATTTAATTAGGGTAGTGCTTTTTTGTCATACAATTTCATGTGAATAGATACCTGGGCCTGAATTAAAAAAAAAAAAAAACAAAAAAAAAACGTAAACTAGACCACTACTGAGCATTAGTTTTGTGACCAATAAGGTGGAAATTTGAAGTTCAAACTTCAGTGTATGGAGGTAGCCAGGGCAGTTTTGCTGAGTCTCTGCGATATAAATTGATACGTATATTGATTGTCTCTAGTATCTTAGGATTTGGCATGTCAAACTTTTTTTGAAAAATGTTTAAAAACATCTTAAACAAAACCAAAAGTCAAATGAAACATTTGTGGAACCTCTGGAACATCTCTGTGAATGAATCTTTGATGTTCTTTGGAGCACAGTTTGAGAACCAATAACTCAGTTGCTCACCCCTACTCCTGTGGCTCTAACAGTGTTCTGTGTTTCTAGAACTTTCTCCATGTTATACATGTGGAAACTGAGATGGACACACTTAGGATCACACAATGCCAATGGTAGAACAAGCTGCAGATCAGAGATTTTCAGGTTTTTGATGCAAGGTTCTCTCAGTTCCTCCTTGTCACCCTTTCAGGTCTTATTTTCTGTGATCTTCTCAGCATAACAGTGACAATACAAGTGGCCTCCAAGAAAGGTTCCCGGGTATTTTCCCCTCCATCCCTTGTCTTAGACATATTTTGTTTCTGTAATCTCACTGCCCTGCCCCCCTAGAATTTTCTTCTGGAGTGTTTTTTTGCAGTTTTCTTCTCTGTTAATACCTGACTACCATCACATCCACTTTAGTTTAACCCTGCCTCTTCAAGGGTTTTACTACTAAGGGTAAAATCTTGTAAAAGGTAAGGTGCAAATGTATTGTCAGAATGCCCAGGTTCTGTGGCTCATACCAGAAGGAGGTCTTGGAGGTCTTTGCTAATTTGCATTTCTTCACCTCATTTCCACCATCCTGTCCTTCCATCTAGCAAATACTTAATGACCACCCTCTGTGTGCAAGGCATGGCCATTGCCGGCATTTCTTGTCTTTGGGGGCCTCACAGACCCCATAGGCGAGATGAAACGGGATTGTCCTATAGAGCAAGGAAGGAGCACGAACTGCTATGAGTTACGAGTACTCTATGGAAGGGGAGCTTTCCTCAGTCTAGGGAGCCCCTGGAGGCTTTATGCAGGAAGGAGGTGGGGTGAGATTGGAGGCTGGAGATGTGGGTGGGATTTTCCAAGGAAATTGGGTGGACACAGTGACTTAGGATTTCTTGAAGGTTACTGTACAGGATGAAGCTAAATGTAGGCTCCTTAGCCACCATTTAATGATGACTATGAAGTAGCTCAGGTGGTACACAGTGAGGACAGAGAGGTCTGGGAACCACTAAGTTAGAGCAGCGCTGTCCTATGTGAATGTGTGAATGTGGCGCATGGGATGGTATTGTCCTGCAGGGCTATTTGAAGAGACCAAATCTCTGCTTGGGGCTGGCATTGCTTCTGAAGGGATGGGCATTTCTGCCTTTGTTTATCCTCTGAGGAGGCAGGCCCTTGTGTCAGAAATAGGGCCTCCAGGGATGTTGGATGGCCACCTGGAGGAACTGCTTCATTGGTCTCGTTCTCACTCCATTGGAACTGGGCTGCTGCTCAGTGTTCTCAGGTGGGTTGAGAAATTGGCATTTGCCAGACAAGGTGGGCCAGGAGCCTTCTGAAGCCAGGCTCCTGGCCAGGAGCCTGTAAGGTTGATCCAGAGGTTATAAGAGCGGTCATATGTGGTGAACTGGAAGTAGATCACTGTGGTTTCCTTCTGTTGCTAGGCCCATGGCCAGCCCTTAGTTCCTGCCCTGGTCTTGGCTGTGCTAGGCCCATGACACTCATCTGCCTGCTCTAAGCCAAACTCCTCCTTTTCCCCATAGCTTTAGAGGTGGGCTTGCTTTCTTTTTTCTTTTTTTTTTTTAACAGTTTTTTTTTTGAGATATGATACACATATCATACCATCCTCCTATTTAAACGTATACAACTCCATGGCTTTTGGTATGTCCACAGAATTATGCTCCTATCACCACAATTTTAGAACCTTTTTGTTACCCCCTAGAAAAACCCTATACACCTTAGCTATCACCTCTCATTTCCTCCATTCTCCATACCCCAGCCCTAAGCAAGTACTAATGTATTTTCTGCCTTTACAGATTTGCCTATTCTAGACATTTAATATCAATGGAATCATGCAATATGTGTTTTTTTGTTACTTTTTTTGCTTAGTATAATGTTCTTAAGAGTCATCTATGTGTAGCATAATCAGTTCATTCCTTTTTATAGCCAGATAATATTTAATTGCATGGATATGGCAGTTTTGTTTCCATTTCCTCAGTTGATGCACATTAGGCTGGTTTTACTTTTGTTTATTATGGATAATGCTGCTGAGTATGGATACTGCTGCTGAGTACTTCTGTGTACAAGTTTTTGTGTAGACACGTATTTTCATTTCTCTTGGGAGAGTTCCTAGAAGCAGAATTGTTTGGATCATACAGTAACTCCATGTTTAACTATTTGAGGTACTGCCAGATTATTTCCCACACTGGCTGCGCCATTTGATATTCCCACCAGTGGTAGATGAGGGTTCCAATTTCTCCACATCTTCACCAACACTTGTTCTTATCTGTATGTCCTTATGAGTGTGAAGTTAGTATCTCATTGTGGTTTTGATTTGCATTTCCTCTAATGACTAATGATGTTGAGCATCTTTTCATGTGCTTTTTTTTTCTTTCTTTCAGGAGAATTGACACATTTCTTTGCCAGAGATCTCTAACCATCTTTATAAAGGTTGAAGATGATTTTGTTGTGTTGAGGCGTCAGTGGGAAGGAACAAGGTGATTGCTACTCTTTTAGAAAGTAGGAGGATAGAGGGGATGCATATTGAGGTGGCTAATTCTGCAAACAGACTTGGTGCAAACTTTTTTCTGGAAGTGAATTGATGAAGTCACGGCCATGAGCTGACATTACTCTGGTTGGCAACAAGGTCTTCTGAGATCCACTGTATAGTCCCACTGTGCCCATTGGATGACTTAGCTAGAGGACACAGCCGTTAGAAGGTCTGGAGGTAGGCATCTTCTTAGCTCCAGCAACAACTTCTTGATCACTGTTAGTCTAGGGCTTCCTCATTAATTGTCTGGTCATTCCTGATGATCTTCATTGTCATTTTGTGGCACCAAGACTATGAGGATGGCTGTTCATTTTCCTCCTCATTGTCCACCTGTTACTGTGAGAGATAGGGGTGTCTCCTGAATAATGCTTTTGAAAAGTCTTAAGTTCTGTCATCTTAATAGGAATTGTAGAGATGCATTCTGTGATTCTCTGTGTGTGCTGTGTGTATACTGATATTGTTTCTATTATTTCAAGCTCTAAGTACCACTGGAGAAGAGAAGTTTCCTGGCACTTCTATAGTCACTTAAAATCTGGGCCCTCACTAATCAGAACTGTACTCTGAACTCCGCATAGCTAGGGATTTTCACTTCAAATTTGCATGTCTCTGAACTGGGATAATTTTACCTAGGCTGAGATTTTTTGGCCATCTCTTTGCGCCTCTGATACACCATCTGGATGTGTCTGACCTTCTCCAAGGCAAGGGCAGAGAAGAAGCCTTCTACCTTCTAAGGAAGCTATTGTTCAGTTCCTAGCCCTTGATCTTTCCTTTGTTTTAACTCCATAGCTTGAGCAGCCTATTCAGTAGGGTTAATTGAGGAAGTAGAGTGGGGTTTCCTGTCTGAAAGTGGACAGCTAATTCCTACCAGTGATTCGGGCTCTTTACTAAAATAGTGAAAGAAAAATCACCTTTTTTGATGTAGCACCTCATTGGCTTGCTCTAGGAAAATTCCTTCAGCCCTGGTTCAAAATTAAGTAATGAGTAATGAGTATGGGTTATCAAAAAAAAAAAAAGCCAATTCCCTTGGAGCTAGGTGCAGCACCTAGTTCGTAATGTGGCTGTCAGAGTGTAATTCTGATGGGGTGGAAACTCCATCTTGTTCACTGTTCAGTCACCAGGGCCTGATGGCCGCTCATGCTCAATATAGACTTGGCGCGGAGCGGAGTGGAGGAAGGAAAGAGGGCAGGTGCTAGTTGGCTGGCCTGCAGTTAGAAGGGCTGAATAAAGTGCTGTAGTGCCCTAGGCGACATATTCATTTAGCAGATACTTTATTGTGCCACTGTGGTCAGTGCCTTTCTCTGAGAAGGTGTGTGTGTGGGGAGGGGCTCCCTAAAGGATGTCATAGAGTCCCACATAGAAACTTTGAACAATCCAAGGTAGACAGGTGTTTTTAACTCATAATACTCCTTTATTCCCTGTTTTAAAAATTTTTTTAAATTTGATACAATAATTATACATAATAATGGAGTACCATGTGAGATTCAATCCACATATACATTGTGAAATGATCAAATTAGGATAGTTAGCATGCACATCACCCCCAAATAATTATTACTTTTGTGGTGAGAACACTTAAAATTGTCTCTTTTAGAAATATACGTTATTATTAACCATAGTCACCTTGCTGTGCAATAGAACACCAGAACTTATTCCTCCTAAATGTAACTTTTTACCCATTGACCACTCCCTCCTCATCCCCCTCTCTCCTCCCCACCCCTGGTAACCACTGTTCTGTTATCTCCTATGATAGCAACTTTTTAGCTTCTGCATGTGAGATTGTACGGTAGTTGCCTTTCTGTGCCTGGATTATTTCATTTAGCATAATGTCCTTCGGGTATATCCCTGTTGCTGCAAAAGACAGGATTTCTCTCTCTTTTTCTGGTTGAATAGTATTCCATTGTCAGAGAAGTGTTGTAAGACTAGGAAAGGAACACTGCAGGCTGGAGCCCTGGGGAAAGTGGTCTGAGGCAGGTGGTGGGACTAGAGCTGGGGTCTGGCAAACAGGCTGGGTTTGATTGTCAGCATAATAGAGAGCACTCATGTGCCAGCTGGGTGGGAGGAGCAGCCGAGTGAAGAAGGGGAAGCCTCTCAGGAAGCATGTGCAGGGTTTATGGTAATGAGCAGACCAGCAGGTACGTAGTGGGAGAGGGGTGTGATGGGGCAGAGGAACTTACGTTATGATAGTACAAGACAGAGGTTGAGCCTCATTTTAATAGGCATTGTGGTGGGTGTTGAATAGTGATGGAATGTATGGGTCTGGAATCAGGCTGCCTGGTCAAGGGCTCTGAAACATGAGTGTGCATCAGAATCACCTCGAGGCTTGTTAAAGGATAGGCTGTGGACCACATCTCCTCAGTTGCTGATTCAGTGGGTGTGGGTGGGGCCTGAGAATTCACATTTCTCACTGGTGATGCTGCTGTTACTGAGTTTGGGACCACATTTGGAGAACCACTGGTCTAGAATTGAGAGGTTGGCAAACCTTCTCTGTTAAGAGGTAGATAGTAAATATTTTAGGCCTTCTGGGCTACAAAGAGTATCTGTTACATATTTTTTATTGCTTTTCATGACCCATTAAGCATATATATATCATTCTCTGCCATATACAAACAGGCTGTTGGGGGAGTGAGGATGATGTAGGGAAGGTGGGGCATGGTTTAATAACCCCTGGGCCATGCCTAGATGATCAGTCCTCTGCCACATAGCTGGCTGACCTTTGCCAAGTTAATCACCTTTTACCTTTATTTTCTCATGTTTCTAATAAAACAGAGACGATAATATTCATACTTCTTACCATATAGAACTTCTGAGGATTCAGTGAGCAAAGCCACAAAAGATGGTATGTCACAATATCTGGGATATAGCTAGAATTTATAATTTATTTTTACTCTGTTGATAGGCAATGGGAAAACAGTAAGAGGCAGACCAACAGTGATCCAGGGCTCTGAAAGCTAATTGCTTCAAGATCCTGCTACCATTTTCTTTTGGGCCGCTTGCAAAGAAGAATCCTTTGACTGAAGCATGTATGTACACTCTGAAGTACAGCCTGGGTTAGTCTCTTATAAGGGATCGGATCATTGCTCAGCCTCTCCCTTGAGTGGCACTTAGAAAATGGCGCTATTCGTAAGCTGACTGGTATTGGGCCCAGGACTCTGGCTGAAGGGGTGGGCATGCTGGTAACCATTTGCAACCTATGCTCAGGTCCTACTTGTTGGGAAGCCCTGATTGAGAAGAGTGGCCTGGTCTGTGCTGGCATTAGATAGGATCTGGCTGCATTAATATTGAAACTACTCTGCCTTTTAATGTCTCATTTTGCCTCATGGTGGGAGTGAAAGTGAGAACCACAGAAAATCTGCCTGCCAGGTGTTCCACATTTCTTGTGCTACAGCATGCAAGTGAGCAGTGAGGTGTACCTTTTCCTCATGTAGCTGGGAAAGCAATACCCCTGCTTGTACCTCTGGCATATCTTCTCTGTGCTGGTGCACCTAGAGAGGTTGCCTGGTGGCCCTGAGAGAGCCATCTCATCACTAAACACTGATGGTGAAAGCTGGCCATGCTCAAATAAGATGTAGCAATCTACCTCTTCTTTGTCTAGTTACCCCCAAGGGGGCATCCACTTTCTTGCTCACCTCACCAGTTGCATGTTCTAGTCCTTGCCAGAAGCACATAATAATGACTTTGTAAGCTTAAGTTACAGGCACACAAAAGGGCCTGATGGTGATATGACTCCACCCTCCCCGTTTTTGCTGACATTCCGCCAAATATCCTTCTGTCTCCTCCCCACCTTGCAAAACAAACTTCCTGTTTTGAATTTGGTCCAGGCTGGAACAGCCCCACTACACCTGTTAACACACGCAGACGCACACTTCCCCCTTCATAATTGCTTAGCTTCTTGTTGCCTAGCCAGATTTCCCCTCAGCTTACAGTTCCTGAATCATAAGATATTGAACCAGCAAATTTAAGAGTTGACATTTTACTTAGAGGTATTCAAGTGAAAACATGGCTTCTGGTTTATTTTGCTGTATTGTGCCATGACCACTTGGCTAATTCTTCTCCTCCTTCACAGCAGAATGGAAGTGAGGAAAGGCAACCAGCTGACACAGGAGCCAGAGTGAGACCAGCAGACTCTCACACTCAACCTACACCATGAATTTGTGTCTATCTTCTACGCGTTAAGAGCCAAGGACAGGTGAAGTTGCCAGAGAGCAATGGCTCTCTTCACTCCGTGGAAGTTGTCCTCTCAGAAGCTGGGCTTTTTCCTGGTGACTTTTGGCTTCATTTGGGGTATGATGCTTCTGCACTTTACCATCCAGCAGCGAACTCAGCCTGAAAGCAGCTCCATGCTGCGCGAGCAGATCCTGGACCTCAGCAAAAGGTACATCAAGGCACTGGCAGAAGAAAACAGGAATGTGGTGGATGGGCCATACGCTGGAGTCATGACAGCTTATGGTAAGCACTGTTTCTGGGACCTCTCCATTAAAGTGTGCCTTGGCCTTGAAATGGCCCTAGAAGCTCCCAGATATGGTCTTGTCATGGACTGAATGTCCTTTGCCACTGCCTTCATAAGCAGTGAATTGCACACAGAGAGGCATCTTTAGGAAATTAAAGCAATGCCATTTTGGGGGTTCTGAGCTGGTGTATGCAGACACACTTTCCCCTGGAGTCAGTGGGTTAGTATAGTTAGGGCTCTATTGGTTGTGTTTGCAGCTAGCTCCTTCTCCCTGAACACATTTCAGGAACCATGTGATCTCATGTGGGAGTGAGTTCAGGGAATGCTGAAAAATATTCTCATCTTTCCCTAAACAAAACTTAATTAAGGCTGGTGGGGGTGAGGTGAAGAGGATGGGGAGGAATGTTCTATGGAAGCCAGTAAACTTAGAGCCAATTGTGTTCCTCCCTCCAGCCAATAAATATGACACTGGCACTTGCATGCTGGTGAGTTTTAACCTTTGGCTTCTTGAGGTTATGTTGCTCTTCTTCTTGCCCTTGTCTCTAACTGCCCTCACTTTGAAAGGAATCTTTGTGTACTTGTTGCTTTTTCTTTAAAGAATTTTTTTCAGAATTCTTTTTGAAATCAGAAAGAGTAAAAAAATACACATATGGGATGTAACTTATTTTTCTTTTATGTTTAATATAGAAAAAGTTGGAAGCTGTAGACAAGCAAAAAAAGAAAAAAATTACACATAAGTCTACTACTCCAGGCAATAACCACAATTAACATTTCAGTGTGTATTTTTCTGATACTTTGCATACACACACAAATATATATATACATATATATACATATATACATATATATACACATATATACACATATATATATACACACACATATATATATACATACACATACACACACAAATACTTGGAAAAAAATTGCAAATGGAATTTAGATCATGCTGTGTTTTGCAGAGCAGACTTGGTCTGTAGAAGATGACCTGTTGTTGAGTGACAAGAGTCTGATCATTGAATTGAGGTTTCAGTGGTCTCACTGAAGTGGTCTCCCTGATAGTATAGATGAGATGCAAGAATGGGGTTAGGTGAGGTGGAGAAAGTGGAGTTGTGTTTTGTGACCCACTCAAGGAAGGTGCCCTGAAGTATGCCGATTTCAAATCGTGATTCCCAAAAATGTGCAGCAACAGTTCAGTTCAGTGCAGGTTGAGTTCAGACACAGGAAATCATACTCAGTTATACATGTGCTTCTTTCTTTCCAAAAGGGGAAAAAAACTTGTTTTTAAAAAAGTATGTAAAATTTTATACACACGTATGTGTATGTGTGTGTGTGTATGTGTATATATTAGAAGATGCTTACTTCTGAGGAACATTTTAGAAATTCTTTTCTAGTTCTTACTATGTAAATAATCACACTCTGCATTTAATCTGTTAAAAGTGTCTGTAGGCATTGGCTTTTAATATATCTAAAAAAATGGTACCTTTTTTGAACTGATGGATTTAAAAAATGAG
Organism: Homo sapiens; assembly: GCF_000001405.40. Lineage (NCBI taxonomy): Eukaryota > Metazoa > Chordata > Mammalia > Primates > Hominidae > Homo > Homo sapiens. Next base: position 134,256,160 of record NC_000002.12, read on the forward strand.
ATTCCACTGTGGGAGCTTACACTGAAAAGTAACTAGGTAGTTTTTCCTAGAGTTGCATTTTAAAATTGCTCATTGACTCACATTTGTGTAACATTTCCAGAGTAGTTTAGATAAACCAACAGAAAATAAAGCTGATTGTCACCATTAGTGTTACCAATGTATATGACACAGCAGGTAACACAGGTGCAGTTTTAAAGTTTCTGGTTGTATGCATTTCATGTTACAGCTTTGAAGGGAAAGAGTTACAGCTCAGTGGTAATTTTCTCTTGTTTCTCTCAGTCTGTCAAACCTTTTCCATGGGCAAGAAGAAGCCCCACAAATAGCAAATTTATAGGCTTTAAATTTCTGCAGTTGTTTTGGCTGTTTGTATTTCTTGTGTATTGATGAAAATCTCATAGGGAAGGCTTCCCCACATTTTAAAGGACAATAATTTGGTCTTAGCTTTTCAGCCTCACAGAAATATTATTTTTTAAGTTACAAAAAAATCCCAGAATAGGCTGTTAGAATTTCAGCCACCTTATATGCCTGTAATCATAAGACTTTGCATCTCAAAGAAACTATAGAAATTATTTATTCCAACTTACTTTCGTAGATGAACCTTAGCAAAATAATTTGTCTTTTTCTCAAAAACAACAAAGAAACAATCAAACAGGTCACATCAGCAACTCTAACTGACACTGCTAGTTTTCTCTTTCATCGAATCAACTTTAACGTATCAAAGTGGTTTTGGGAGCTGAGTTTCTGGAATTTTTATTGGACTTGTATGTATGTGCTTGAGGTACTGGGGGGTTATCACATGGTGAGATCCTACTAAGACAGTGTCTCATTTGGTGCTGTTGACTTTTGGTCTAAATAGGTCTTGATTGTGGTAGGATTTCAGCAGCATCTCAGGGGTCTCTACCCACTAGATGCCAGTAACAGCTCCCTAGTTGTGACAATCAAAATGTCTTTAGATATGTGATAATTATCCCCTTCCTGCCACCTTGGAGAACTGTACTAAGAGTGGAAGCCACAAACGCTATCTGACATCATCTTTTTAAGGATGTTATCAAGCAGATAACTGGTTTTAGTTTTTTTGTTTGTTTGTTTCTGAGATGGAGTCTTGCGTTGTTGCCCAGGCTGGAGTGCAGTGGTGTGATCTTGGCTCACTGCAACACCCACCTCCTGGGTTCAAGCCTCAGCCTCCAGAGTAGCTGGGATTACAGGCGCACACCACCACGCCTGCCTAATTTTTGTGTTTTTAGTAGATACGGGGTTTCACCATGTTGGCCAGGCTGGTCTCAAACACCTGACCTCAGATGATCTGCCCGCCTCAGCCTCCCAAAGTGCTGGGATTACAGGTGTGAGCCGCTGTGCCTGGCCTGGTTTTAGTTATTTCAAACTTGAAAGCCTAGTGTTCCCCCTGGTTTCCAGTTCTGGCACCAACAATTTGGATTGAACAAGAGGATTGTACTAGGGATTAGTTAGTATAGTCCAGGGCCAGTCCTAGAAGCTGGAGAGCCATTCTGATGATATATGCTTCCCTTGGAATCTGTCAGTATCAGTAACATTGTGTGACATGCAGGCAGCTCTGGTAGTTAATGTCACATGCTGGTGCAGAGACTGTAGGATTCTCAATGGTATAGCTGGGCTGGCAGAACAGTGATGTGGATGCATAGGCCATTAGTTTGCAGTCTCTTTTTTTTTTTTTTTTTTTGCCATAAATGCAGCCTATGTGCAGTGCATTGCCTACACATCTGCTTTGAGAGTGAAGAGTTGATCCTGTATGGCTAGGATTTGTGTCTGGTTTAAATGAATCCAGCAAAAAGAAGAAAAAAATTCCTTCTTTATCTCATCCCCATATTGGTATAATCAGAGGCTTTTAGGATAAATGGGTATACAGTAGGTATTTGAGGGATTGTAGTAGCTGATTTTAGATGATTGCTGATTTATTAGAATTTCTGGTTAGAGATTCCAAGGCAGCAGGGCTCGGTGAACTATGACCTATGCGCCAAATTCAGGACCTTTGATTGTGTAAATAGTTTTATTGGAACACCTCCACTCCCATTTGTTTGTAACAAATGCAATAACAGATAAACACGGTAATTCCAGTATTTATTTCATAAAACATCTGAAACATTCTGAATCCATCAATCAGCAGTCACCATGGTTATTCTAAATACTCATCTGATCAAGTTCCTTATTGATTCAACTATTTCCCAGGACTCCCATGGTCTAAGGCAGAGTCAGCAAACCATGGCCTACGGGCCAAGTCTTCCTTGGTACCTGTGTTTGTAAAGAAAGCCATGCCCATTTAATTATATGCTGTCTATGGCTGCTTTTGCACTATAGTGGCAGAGTTGAGTAGTTGTCATACAGACTGCAAAGCCTAAATATTTACTGTCTGGTTCTTTACCAAAAATGTTTATCAGTCTCTGACCTAGATAGTCTCTGGGTGAGTCTCTCTCTCTACTGGATTTTGTGTGTGTGTGTGTGTCCCAAGTCTCTTTCACGCCTGTGTTTGGATTCGCTCACGACATCTTCATAAGGTGCACACATAAAATGTAGCATTTCTCTGCCCTCTGAAAATGCTTCTTCTAAGTGGCAGGTCGAGAGTTGTAGTGGTTAGGAGCATGGGTTTGGAGCCAACTGGTTTGTCTTTGCCACATCCTGTCTGCATGGCTTAGGCCCTAGAAGCACAAAACTGCTTTAAAGTGGGGTGTCAGTGCCTCTCACCAAGGACTGTGAGACATGAGCAAAGTGCTGTGTGTCAGGTGCCTGACATTGTGTGCTTGTTGTTGGCTGTTAGTGTGACTTGTGACTAGTACTCAAACAATAATAGAACTTGAAGAGTATCTTCCCTTCCCCAACCCATCCTTGTTTTGGTGATTTGAAAAGAGACTTCTGAACTTCTTTGGGATTTGGCAACTCCAAAGTGATACTCAGAACTCCCGGGCAGCCCGTGTGGAACATTCAGTGCGTTTGTTCTTGGAGTGTGGAGGGCTTTTCTGTGTATTAACTCTGTCAGTCCAGAGAGGAGTGTGTTGGCTTTTGCCTCCCAGGCAAGTGTAGAGCCAGAGCCCTCTGCAGGTCAGCCCCATCTGCATCTCCCAGCCAGTGTGGCAGGGGCCATGCCTGCCAGTGACGTCTCGGGAATTGTGTCATGGATGGTGCCACTCACCCGAGTCAATGCTATTCTTGTTTCTGAGGTGAATTGATCTCTGTCTCCAGCAGCCTGACCCAAATTCTGATCCCTAGTGATCACCTCTTATCTAACAGGACAAACCCGGTCCACTTGTGTTCTCTAATGAACAGTAATGGAAATCTGAGGCAAGGTGACATTTCCCCTTATGGTCCATCCACACGTTGTTAACCCTGGCTTCTCTGGGCTGGGGTACTGTCCTAGAAAAGCTGCCAGCTCAGGCTCAAGCAGCTGTGGGCTCCCAGCTTCTCTCTGCCGACCCCCATCCCACTTTGCCTGCTGCCTGTTTCCTCCTTGACCTCCAGGTTCTGTGTGCCTGTTCTTCCCTACGTTCTGCCTGTCTCCTGGTTCCCTGAGCTTTTTAGTCCTGGACTGGCCCTTTGGCTTCTGTCTTTCAAGCCTGGTCCTTCAGGAAATGTCTGTCATTGGCTGGAATATCCCCCACATTTTGTGCATACAGTGAGAAACAGATGGACAAAGGCCCTGCTCTCATAGATGCTTTGTTATCTTTGGAAGGGAGAAATAATAAGCAAGAGAAAGTCAGATAGCAGTACATTCCAGGAAGAAAAATGGTGATAGGGTTTAAAATATCTGAGGGGCTACTTTGCACTAGAAGGTCACCTCTCTGGAGGTATCTTTTAACCAGAATGACACACGGAGCAGCCAGGTACAGTGGAAAGAGAGAGGTGGAGGCAGAGCATGCCAAGGAGAAGGCACGGCGTATGCTAGGTCCTAAGGCCTACTCCAGGGTAGAAGGGAGGCCACTGTAGCTAGAACGAAGCAAGCAAGCAGTGGCATGGAAGGTGTTGAGGCAGTGAGAAGCCGGCAGCTTATGCAGAGCCCTGTAGGCTATGACTTCTGGTATCAATATGGATGTTCTTATGCAGAAACCAGATGTTGACCTCACCCTATAGTTCACTGCTTTCTCTATGGGAGGAAGGAAGTTTTTTCCTTAAGGAGGCACACACGCCGGTTGGAGAACCAGCATAGGGCTTTTGGTTGCTGGTTGGGGGCAGTGGAGAGGTAACTGCTTTGGACTTCCGATTGGCCCTCATTGGCTTGGGATGCTATGTCTAAGATGTTAATACCATTTAGGGCTGCCGAAGATTGCTCTGAAAGGTTAGCAGCTGCCCTGTGTTGCAGATCCAGATAACGTTCTGAGATTCGAATGAGAGCTTTTGCAAGTGTTTCCTTCCACCTCTCTTGTGAAAAAGGAACAAAAACAGGTTGGATTTCATTAAAGATGCAAGCATGTAAAGGGTTTTTTAGTTTGTTTTGTTTTTCCACTTTTTTTTTGTGTCTCTCTTCCTACAAATAGGGAAATATGGTCAAGGAATAGGAATGGTTTCTTTTTTCTTTTTCTTTTTTTTTTTTTTTTGAGGGCTGGGACTGTTGTGGGATAATGTGGAAAACCACTGTTGCCAAAGTAGAAATCCCCTGCCCTTGAGGGAAATACACTGTTCTTGAAGTGAAAATGGTAGGGAAAAAAATAGCTGGGCTGTTCAGTGTGTCTGAGAAGGCTTTTAGTTACTGTATGGTGACGTGGCTGGTGTGATTAAAGAAAGGGCTTTCTGCTTTAAAAAGCTTGGAACCTAAAAATGGGCCTCTCTGTGGCTTGGGACTTTTCCAGCCATCCTGTGGTAGAGTCCAGCCTGCCCAGTATCCTCATCAAAGCCAGGCCAAGTTCACAAGCACGCCCAGGCCAGTCAAAAGGTCTGAGGAAGACCTCAGAAATGTTTTAGACAGGAGGAGTAAACTCAGAATAAGGGGCTCATTCTTCTACCCCTCAGTCATTAAGACCCTTTCTTTCATGCAGCACCACTACTTCAAGTCTGGATTGAGGAGGGATTGCACGCACATGTGTGAGGTTGGAGTCTCAATCTCAATGTGATTGTCATTGCCATGTTCAAACGATGAGGCTTAGAATGTCCCTTGTCTTACCTGATGGTCATAGCTCTCTATGACCCTCTGCTTCTTCCCAGCTGTGTCCTGGTGCTCTTTTGCTGTCAGAAGTGCTTGAGCAGACCTCTTGCTGCTGTGGACACCCTAAAAAGCTCCGCACCCCCTCAAGTCTACTAAGGCATGGTGGCTCTCTTCTAGGACAAGACTGTTGGGTGGTGGCTGAGCATTCGCCTGTCTTTGAGCGTCTGCATTTGCTCTCCCCCACCCCTTCCTCTCTTCCTTCTTTGTTTGTAAATAAAGTTGGTTAGAACACAGCCATGCGCATTCCATTCTGTTTCAGAGAAGTTAGCCTTCCCTCCTTCACAGGAGGGCCCAAACCCACTGTTACTCTCATTCTTTATAACACTCAAGCTACTTAGCATCAAGTATTTGTTGTATGAGCTGATCATGTGTCTCTCCCACTTACAATGTAAGTTCTGAAAGAGGAGGGACTTTGGTCTGTTTTGTTCCCCACTGTGCCCCAGAGCTTAGTACCTTTTGCCTGGCACATAGTAAGAGCCATGAATGAATAGCAGCAGCCCCTGGTGAAACTCTGTGATGCTCTGTGTGGTACAGTTACAGCTGGGACTCATTTGAAAATCACAGTAATGTTTTTAGTGAAGCAGGAAATGAGAAGAAATTCCCTATGGGCTCTGCATCTAAGAGGCTCCAAGTAGCTCTTATGCATGATCCTAACATGGGAACCATTGTTTATTCTGGAAGGTAGTTAGTGTTTCTGTTGGGCGGATGGAACACATTGTGTTCCTTACTGATGTGTGACCTTGAACAAGTCACCGATCATCTTAAAGCTTACTTCCTCTTTTGTAAAACAGACAATATAATATCATTTAACCTCATAGGCTTGTTGTAAGGATTACAAATGACAAAGTTTATTAAGGCACTTAGATTAATTTAGATTATTCTTGTTCTTTTTTTTTGGTGTTGTTTTTGTTTTATTTTGTTTTGTTTTGTTTTGGAGATAGAGTCTTGCTCTGTCACCAAGGCTGAAGTACAGTAGTGTGATCAGGCTCTAGCAACCTCCCCCTCCCAGACTCAAGCCTTATGCCCACCTCAGCCTCCAGAGTAGCTGGGACTATAGGCATGTGCCACCACACTAGGCTAATTTAAAACAAAAGTTTTTTTCTGAAGATGGAGTCTCACTGTATTGCCCAGGCTGGTCTCAAACTCCTGGCCTCAAGTGATCCTCCCATCTCAGCCTCCAGAGTAGCTGGGACTATAGGCATGTGCCACCACACTAGGCTAATTTAAAACAAAAGTTTTTTTTCTAAAGATGGAATCTCACTGTATTGCCCAGGCTGGTCTCAAACTCCTGGCCTCAAGCGATCCTCCCACCTCAGCCTTCCAAAGTGCTGGGATTACAGGTGTGAGCCACTGTGCCCAACCAGCGCTTAATTAAAATGCATTCATTCCTATTAGTAATCACTAACTCTGGCTTGAATGTACCTGCATCTGTTACCACCCAGGCATAACTGTTCATGTAGATCTGACGTTGTTCATTTGTTTGAACACAGGGCTTCAGCAACCTGTTTATGTAGCTATTCTTAGCATTTACAGGGGTAGAGCCTGACCAGACATGAGAGGAAATATGCTCTGTTTCAGAAGAGGTCAGGCTTGCCACCACCCTACTAAACTAGGAGATGTGGTTGTCATTGCCCTGTTCAAAAGATACAGTTTTCTTCTGTGGGCTGTAAGATAAGCTGGGTATGGCCAAGTTCACCTTTGGATCTAACCAGGGCATTGGTGGTGGTGGTGTTTCTGGCATGGTACAGCAAGCAGGAAGCAGTAGTGTGCGAGGCCACCCTTTCCAAGAAGGTGCGGGCCCTGGCATCAGGTGGGGGACAATGGATAACAATAGGCTTGACCTCTCAGCACTTCTCTGATTCCTTATCTTTTCTATAAAAAAGGCTAAAATTCTTGGTTCCTATTCCCTGCAGCTGGCTACATGTTAGGAAAATTCAAAGAATAGCTTAAGAACTCTATTCAGGTTCCATAAAGCACTTAATATCATCAACAGGCCTAGAAAGGATCTTTTACCAGATTTCGATGCATGGAAACTTCCTCAATAGTAATGACACCCTCTGCAACACCTTAGGAAAAACATTCGCTTCTGGGCACAAGTTCTGGTGAAAGCTTAAATCTGTAGTTCTAACCCAGAAGAGAAGGCTAGTCAGTGTTGCTGAGCATCTGAGCTGCTCTTTGACTTTGGTGATAATTGTTTTATGCCCTTTTCTGTCCAGAATCTGCTGACTGGGACAACTGCAGGGTGGAAGCCACCTTTTTGTCAGTTCAGGAGCAGGCAAATTATCTAACATGTGGCTTTAAAATTCAAATGAGATAAGGCAGTAAGGGTCACTAAGATGTTTCTGGTGGGTATTGCCTTACATGACTTTAGGGTACTGGTGGCACTATCTTTGATTCTTAAGAGTACAATTCATTGTACTATGTATATATATTTAAAATAACACTTAATGCCTTTGTGACTTTGAAAATAATGTGAATTTTTATGTAAAATTAAAGCATATGAGGAAGTATGGAGAAGAATAAAGAATAAATACACTCTTTACCTCTAAATGCAGATCTTACCAGATAAAATTGATTTCCCTTTAGTTCTTTAAAAAAAAAAAGTGATACGTACATGTGTGTATATGTGTATATATGTACATGAATATATGCTTTTTTAAAAATTAAGATACTGCATTTCCTTATGCCATTAGGTTTTTTTTTTTTTTTTTTTTTTGAGATGGAGTTTCACTCTTGTTGCCCAGGCTGAAGTGCAATGGCACGATCTCGGCTCGCCGCAATCTCCGCCTCCCAGGTTCAAGCGATTCTCCTGCCTCAGCCTCCTTAGTAGCTGGGATTACAGGCATGTGCCACCATGCCCAGTTAATTTTGTATTTTTAGTAGAGACGGGGTTTCTCCATGTTGGTCAGGCTGGTCTCAAACTCCCGACCTCAGGTGATCGGTCCCCCTCGGCCTCCCAAAGTGCTGGGATTACAGGCATGAGCCACCGCACCCGGCCAGCCATTAAGTATTTTTGATGACTGTATACTTTTCGTTTTTTATCCATCCACTTAACAAATATTTATTGAACTCCTGATATTAATAGCTAGTGGCTGTAAACAGAGATGACAAGCAGACTTGGTCTCTGCCCTCCCTAAGTTTACAGTCTAGTGATTTATTCTATCTTATGAATGGCTGACATAATGTAATTTAATCTTTTTATTTTGTGTTTGGGTAATTTCCAGTTCTTATCTGTAATAACGCTATTTTATAAATAACACTGCTTTGAATGTCCTTGTACATAATAAATGGACTGTATTTGGGTCATTACTGTAACTCTATTATCTTTCTGTGGAAAGATCACTCTAAAATTAATTTAAAAATATATAATTGATGAAACTTGACATTCCTGACAGTCAATGGAAATAAGAGGTTGAGGTTAATTCTTTTTTCAATAGCACCTTCCTTTCTCATTAACGCCCTGTCTTTGCCAGTTTCTCCAGAGCAGCAAGTGAAGCTGCTCTGTGGCTCTGTTGTTCATGCTCTGCCTCTCGGGCAGCCATGGTGAAAGGGATTTGATTCATGAGCAGGCACAGATGTAAATAATTTTTGGCATTTCAGATGTAAGACCTTGCTCATTGCGTAGTTGGTTCTGTGCCATAGTATCATGGCGGCCGTACCTTCACAGTAGATCTCAACCTTGGCTGTGCCCTAATCCTTGACGGACTCTGCAGATCCGGATTTAGTGTGTTGAAGATGCAACCTGGTAACTGACTGCACAAAGTGAGTCTGATGCACAGCAGGGCTAAGAACCACTGCTTTAGAAGCATGTTCCAGGAAAAATGGGGTGGTGGACAGCATAGCTCCCAAGCATGGCCATTTTTGATAATTCCTCAAATACGGATTGATTTTGATGATCTGGGAAATGAAGGTTTACCACCCAGTCTCACAGCATTAGCTGATAGATCTATAAACCTTATTCCACCAGCAGGGCCCTCCTTTTTACTGAGATCCCATCTCCTTGAATTCCAGAGATGGAGAAAAGTGTGACTTGCAGTTATAGCTCCTTGGCTGTCTGCTCAAGGATGTGTCTGTCAGGCCCTTCCAATCACTTCTTACCCATCAATACCATGGCTTCCTGGAAATGAAAACTTAACAGAAGCTGTCAAATAACCTGTTCCAATGCAGTTTAATCGACCTTACCATTTATCAAAGAATGCTGGCATGATAGAAACCAAAGCCTGCTTTCCCCAGAGAGACATTTTAAATGTTTTTCAACTACTTTGATCTCGTCTTCATCATGTACAGTAAGTTTTAGGAATGCAGAATTGCAGTAGTAATGTTGGGATTAAATTTTTATTGCAAAGGCTTTGAAGCACAAACAAAATTTTAAAAGCTCATTAGTAATTGAAAATGATAATCTTGTTGAGGACGCATTTTATGGCTATAATAACTATAAGACGCAATGAAATATTAAAATATACTAGAATTTGGAGTAATATTTTTCTATTTTTATTAAACTATAGAAATTATTTGTACAGTTGTATTGAACAAAAGGGTTACCATTAGGATTAAAACACAAATGGTCTGGGCGCGGTGGCTCATGCCTGTAATCCGAGCATTTTGGGAGGCTGAGGCTGGTGGATCACAAGGTCAGGAGTTTGAGACCAGCCTGACCAAGATGGTGAAACCCCATCTCTACTAAAAATACAAAAATTAGCTGGGTGTGGTGGCACCTGTAATCCCAGCTACTCAGGAGGCTGAGGCAGGAGAACTGCTTGAACCCAGGAGGCAGATGCAGTGAGCTGAAATCGTGCCACTGCACTCCAGCCTTGGCCACAGAGCAAGACTCCATCTCAAAAAAAAAAAAAAAAAGATTAAAACACAAAAATACTGTTATTTCTTTATTTTATTTTATTTTTGTTTATTTGAGATGGAGTATTGCTCTGGCTCTGTTACCCAGGCTGGAGTGCAGCGGTGCAATCTTGGCTCACTGCAACCTCCACCTCCCAGGTTCAAGCGATTCTCCTGCCTCAGCTTTCCGAGTAGTTGGGACTACAGGCACACGCCACCATGCCCAGCTATTTTTTGTATTTTTTGGAGAGACGGAGTTTCACCATGTTGGTCAGGCCGGTCTCTAACTCCTGACCTCAGGTGATCCGCCTGCCTCGGCCTCCCAAAGTGCTAGGATTACAGGCGTGAGCCGCCGCGCCAGCCTGTTATTTCTTTAAAGTTGTGATAAAACTGTTAACAGTTTTTGGAGGTTTAACAGTAAAATACAAAGGTGCAAAATAATTTCATTGCCCGGAAAGGTATAATTTATTGAGCCTTATTTGTGAGAGTACTATAGTTTGTTTCACTCATTCATTTGTTCACTTACGTAACACATGCTTAATGTGCCTAGCACTGTATAATGATACAGATATGGGCTTGGCGTCATCTCTGTCATTGTGTTTTTTATTAACAACATCCTTAATCTTGGGTTGGCTGCTTTGAAATGGTGACTCAGGTAGCTGCTTGAGTTGAAAATGAACTTTTTTCTTTCATATTGGGAGAGAAAACATGCCTACCTAGGTAAAGTGCTTAGAGAATTCAAGGTTTTTAGTAGGCTTATATTCCGTCTTCATTTTAAGGGAGAAGATAAAGAAAGAGTCTTAATTTTAAAAAAATCTTGGATCACTTGATGTATCTGGTAGTCTCCAGTGTCAGCTGGTGGATGTTTAGTGATACTGGGTCGGGTGGACAGAGTTACCACAGGACAGGGACATGAGTGAGTCTTAAGAGTGATTGGTATATGTTGTTACACAAACACATGGCAAAATCCCAGAGGTTATTCCCTAACAAGTAGATTCAGGGGGAGCAAGTCAGAGATGCTTGCTGGTGGACAGGTCCATTGTAGTTCTTAAGAGGTGGTGAAGCATGGTGGGTAAGAGCCATCAGCCCTGGAACCAGACTGGGTTTGAGTCCTGGATCTGTAATCACCTCTGCTAAGTTATTTAGCCTCTCTGTGCTGTGATTTATTCATTTGTTAAGAGGGGCATAGGGATGATCACATGCTCCTCAGACTGTCTTGGTAGGATTAAATGAATTAGTTCATGTAAAGTGCTCAGCACACTGCCTGGCATATAGAAAGTTCAATAAGTGGAGGAGGTTATATTGGGGTGGCCGTGGTGATGGTGATCCCTCCTCCTCATTATGAATCCCCTTTTACACTCCATGTCACACAGTCACAGAAGGTCAATCTTTGGCAGATGGGGTCAACAAGAGATAGTAGGTCAGTTGTATTTACTGGTCACTGTAATTTGAGAATTGAGGGAGAATATCTTCTTAATTGTAAGTATGACAACTTCATATCCTACCTAGAGTATACTCCACTAATAACTATCACCAATAACAATGGATTGAGGGACTGTGTCCAGTAGTCTGATGAGAGCCCATCAGCATTGGCTCATGTTCTGTTAGCTCCCCCATAGGGAGGAAGGCAGACTTCTCTCACTGCAACTTTCTGTTGTATTTGTAGCAGTCCCTCCAGTGAATGGAAGTCACACATGATGCAGGTTCATTCAGTAGGCATTTCCTATCCTGTAACCTCTCTATCACAGTTCTCTCTCCATGTCTCCACAGAGGGGCAGTGGGGAATACAGAGGGGTTGAGAGAATGCACCTAATTCAGCGGTTGTCAAATCAGGGCAGTTTTGTCCCTCCAAAGGATATTTAGCAGTGTCTGGAGACGTTTTTGATTGCCACACCTGGATAATTGCTGTTGTCATTCAGGGAGTAGAGACCAGGGATGCTGCTAAGCATCTTACAATGCAAGGACAGTCACCACGACAAAGAATTACCCGGCCCAAAGTGTCAGTAGTGCCGAGGTTGAGAAATCCTGAGTTAAGTCACACTAGAGGGCCAGGGCTTCTGTGCTTGGCCAACTACAATTACCGGTGATAGTTAAATGCTATTCTAGATTGTATTCGGATTCTAGCTGGCTGATGACACAGGCTCTAGGCAAAGAGGCTGAAATGGGGGAGATTGATCTTTTATATCTGAAGAGTATTTCTTTATACTGAACATTGCCACTTCTCACTGGCACGACTGCCCCCTTCTGTGTGACTGGCCTCTGGCACTCTTCAGAACTCTGGAGAGCCAGTTGATGCATTAGACTTAGTGACAGAACAGGTGACTGACTCCCGCTGTCTGTGCCAACTAATGATGTGCCTGTGACAAACTGAGTCATGCTGACCGTGGGACTGCAGACCGCAGAGGAGAGTGCTCTCATGACCCCTTGGATAAAGCAGTGAAGCTTTGCATCACCTGAGGAGAGAGTTCTTTGGGAAGGATGAGAACATTTTCCAGTGAAAGGTTTTATTTTACTTATATATTTAACAGGCAGTTATGCAGTGCTTATTATGTGCCAGCCAGTATTCAAAACACCTTATAAATATTAACTCTTTAACTCCTCTTGACAACCTCAAAGCTGAAGTGTTGTTCATGTCCCTCTTTTACAGGTAAGGAAACAGGAATGCCAGAGGTAGGACTCAAACCTAGGAACTCTGGCTCCAAAGTCAGGCCCTTAACCACTGTGTTATGGATGAAAGACTCTGAACTTCACCCTTGGTTTCTTTTTTCTACCCAGGTTCTTGACTTCTGATTGGTCCCATTGAGATGTCAGGGAATTAAGCAGTCCTGAGGCAAGCCCTCATTTTATCAGCTCATTATTTAATATCTGTGAACCTCAGTTTTCTTATCTGTAAAACGGAGTCACATCTACCTCATGGGGAGGATGTGAAGATAAAACAGTTGTCCATTTTGCATTGCTGTAAAAAATACCTGAGCCTGGGTAATTTATAAAGAAAAGAGGTTTATTTGGCTCAAGATTCTGCAGCTGTACAAGAAGCACAGCACCAGCATCTGCTTCTGGTTCATGAGGCATAATGGAACAGGCTGGTGCACCTTTGTTGAGATTCGCTGGCTGTGATCTGTGCTGTTTATGTGAGCATGTGTGTTTATTTCATGGCCAGATTACCGCATCTGCTCAGGGACAAGTTTGCTCTGTTTTTAGGAGAATGGAAGATGGCACCTTCCCGTTTGTCTTAACTCAGGGCTTTTCTCAGTCCTGCTACCCACACTGTGCACTTTTCCCCTGGCCCACTCCCAATTCAGAAATGGGTCTGGATTCTATTTCTGTGGATGGTTATGCAGTCACCCATCTGCTTTTCTGACACATACAAGTCAGTATATCTTTCTGTGATTATGAATTTTTAGAGGAGAGAGTCTAAGCTTATCTTTTCTTTTTTCTTTGAATATCTTGTCTACAAATAGTAAATGCATCCATAGGGGTGAAGAAGGAGTTCCTGTAATTTTTCCAGAGGGAAGTGCAGTACTCTTTAATGTGTAGTCAGATGTGTGAGAAAGGGAACCAACTCTTAAATGTAAGAACGATGAGAGTATATCCCCAGCATCTAGAATAATATCTGGCACATAGTAGTAGCTTAATAAATATTTGTGAGCAAATGAATGAGACTAATCTTTATTTTAAATATTTCCTAAATCTGATTATAGTCAACTCTGGGTTACCTAGCAGACCTGAAAATCTGGAGCTGTAGCTTTTATGAAGTGTTAGTGTATGTAACTAACAGAATTAAACACTTTTTAAAAAACTGGGACATGCTAGAGTATGCAACACGAAAAATAACAAACTTGATCCAGAGGCTACTTTGGGATCTTGCTGCACCCTTGGGGTGTCAAGCTTTGTGTGAGAAACTATGGTGCTGTAAGGAGGAGGAATTCAGTGTAGTGCTATAGCAGGATGCTAAATAACAAGGAGTTTTCTCTCTTGACCAAGTAGCTGGAAATAGTTATACCATGTTACTTATTGCCAGACTTGCATTCCACGACAGACTGATGTATTTAGTAGGATCTGGGCCAGTTGAAGACGGCCCTTGTCATCTTTCAGATGTGGTTTGACAGATCTTTTGTATCACTTCAGAAACATTTGAGAAGTTTTGTTCTCCACGATAAAGAGAGAGCAAGCCAGACAGATATGTAGAGGCCATAGAATTTTAAAATTGTCTGCACTTTCTTTTACAGATCTGAAGAAAACCCTTGCTGTGTTATTAGATAACATTTTGCAGCGCATTGGCAAGTTGGAGTCGAAGGTGGACAATCTTGTTGTCAATGGCACCGGAACAAACTCAACCAACTCCACTACAGCTGTTCCCAGCTTGGTTGCACTTGAGAAAATTAATGTGGCAGGTAAAAATAGCAATTCTCTGCCCTGATATGGAGTCACACCCTGCTTTGGACCAAGAAGAGAATAAAGGAGAGCAGTGGTTCTTACTGGAACCTGCATAATATAAATTCTATAAACTTGGCATGGCCATTGTAAAGATAAGTCTAAATTTATTTTTTAATAGCAGATGTTAAAATGCTTTTTATAGTTTTATCATGATGCATAATATTTGGTGGTTTGTGTGACACATTTGCTCTTAATGAGCTCCTGGAATTCACTTGTAAAGAGAAGATTCATGGCATAGATTAAATGAAATACAGAGGTTATTTGAGAAGCTTGTGCCTTTTAGAGTTCTTCCTCCTCCGTACTCCCATCAGACAATTTTGAAAGTCTGTTACGTATAATAGGTTCTCTCCTCCCTGTTGTTAAAAAAGAGCCACCATTGCCGAAAATGCCTCCTATGTATATATGGAGAAATAGAAATTCTGGAAATGGCTTTTAGGAGATAACCCCTGCCTAGTCGTAGGCAGATTCTGTAGCCACTCATGTACACCACCATGCGGTTCCCACTGGGAGGCATTTTGTTTGGCTCCTTCTGGAAACTGGAATATTGGATGAGACAAGGAAAATTGACTAAAAACAACACCCAGATTATACGCTGCATGTTGTTGCCTGCAGCTCACATTAGAACCCCCCCATCCCCGCAACTCCCCCACCATCACACTGCTCTGAGGTCAGCCCCTGGGTCTTTGTGCTTGAACCAGGACTGCTCTTGTTAGGGTGACCACGATTTTCTGGGGACCCAGGACAAAGTGAAGAGCCTGAGGATTAGGATTCAGTGCTTTGGGTGAATGGTTGTGAACAAGCTGTCTATACTTTTGGTGGGTGGTAGCCAAACTCTGGTTAATAGATAAAGTAAGTAACTAGGTTACTTTTGACATCAGTTCCTGCTTTAAAAAAAAATCTTGTTTCATATACTTTTAAGCTTATTTTCCTTTCCCTTTTGCTTGTAAAAATTCACACACTTAAGTGGGAGAGATTCTTTACCTTTCCCACCTCCCAGCGTCAAAACATTTAATTGTTTTACATTATGCAAGGTGGTTGTTATTACCTTTTTTAATGTTCTTTGCCCTTTAGCAAATTTTAAATTGCAAAATATATTTCTAATAATTCAAAGTATTCAACCAAACAAAGGTATTAAAAATAACTTTTAATTACAACACAGAGGCAGTGTCATCTAGGCCGTAAATCCTGTCTTCCTTGCAGTTTCCAACAGCTTCTGTAATTAGACAAGAGAACCTCCCACTGTGTTTAGCTGCTTTTTAATAACTGGAACCATGCCTCTTCAGTCTCCACTTGCCACCCCTGTACCCTGTAGAAAATGCTACTGGAAAGGCCCTATGTGGTTTCATCACTGTTCTGTGTCATATTTCTGGAGGTGGGATGGAGTGTTCTGCCTTTAACTTTGCTGTTCTCCACTGCCTCTGAAGTCCTGTGGCTTGTGAGCCTCTATAAACACATCTGCTGTCATTCTTTCCCCCATCGTGGCATCTTGCTGCCTCTGGCTGTCCTGTTTGTTGCAAGGCTCACAAGGACTTTGCTACCTGGGCTTTAAGCCACAGAGCACAGGGTCGTGGGTACACCTCTAAGAAGGAAATGGGAAGGACTTGGTGACTACTTTCAAACGAAGTCTGGAAATATACCAGCCGTATGTATTGAGCTAGTGTACCGCTTAACAAGCATCATGTTCTCTAAGCCAATGGCTCTGAGCGGGACTCCTTTAAATGTGCCACTGGTGCTGTGTTTTTAATAATATTTAAAGAACCAGAGTGTTGTGTTTTGTTTTTTTTTTCCTTTTTGGGCAATGGGAGCAAATTTAGAGTTACACATTTAATGATTAACCTCATTTGCATGTCTTTGCATCTCTCGGGTATGTGTGGGACACAGTCCATACCATCATAATTTTTACTGGCTAATTAGGAAAAGAATACACATGCATAAAATGACACAAACCATGGTTGCTGTAAAGTGGGGGTGACTCAGAAAAAAATTGGGAGGCAGGGAAGGAGAGGAAACTAACATTTAGTAGCTGTCCAGTAAATACAAGTTCCTCTGCCTGACCCTCCAATGTACATGATTTTACTTAATCTTCTTAGCATCTCTGAGAAGGGTTTTCACAGGTTTTGTTGAGTTTAAGTACTTGGGAGTGGGTGACTGTTGGTACTGGAGTCCCCTGAGCTCAGCTTCAGATCTGCTAGTGCTATGTAGAGAAGAGATTCTGAGTGTTAACTCCATCTCTCCTTCCATTTGTAAATTATCATAAAGGCATGTGTCTGTAAAAAGATGCTACCATTTTCTTACCTAGAAGAGAGCTGCCAGTTTCCTAGATTTAATCATCTGTCTCATTAAGGATTTCTCTGTCTCAGTGTCTGCTCTCAGGCTAATGTTTGTAAAAGCTGGCCCGTGTATGTGTGTGTGTGTCTGTGTGTGTGTGCGCGCGCGCGTGCGCGTGCATGCATGCAGAGGCATCCCTTTCATAGACACTGTCTTGGCCAAAGTGGATATAGATATGCTGGACAGCCTTCTTCATTTCCCCCAGAAGGTGGGGGGGGGTCCTTTATATCTTGTCAGTCAACTACATATTTTTAAAAAACGATTTGCCATGTCTATAGAGTACCAGAAAGAAGGACAAGGACTTAAGTGAACAGTTCTCATTTATGAGCAGCCCTTCCTTGCTTTTCTGCCCTCTCTCTGATCCATAACCATGCTGATGTCTTCAGACCCCTCTGTCAACCCAAGAATGGCTCCTGAGCTGTGAGAGTTCAGTTTTATGGGGTTCCAATCCTCGCCAAGTAAAGTTTTTCTCTCTCCCTTCCTGAATGGAGACATGCGGTAATTGCTCAGAAATGTTCTCCCTGGTGTGTCTTTACAGCTGACTCTGGTGTCTTATTGCTCACTGATGTTTCTGATTGCTTATTGTTGTGTCTTATTGCTTGCTAATATATCTTCTGGTTGGCTATAAACTGTCTCTAAATTGGGTACCATAGCAATTGAAGAAGGATTCCCTAAATTTATTTTCTTTAGGGGGATAGCTCTGTGTGTGTGTGTGTGTGTGTGTCTGTGTGTCTCCTTATTTTTTCTCTCTAGCTGTGTTCTGTGTAGCTTTTATCCAGTATGGCTTATCTTCACAAATTTATCACCGAGGGTTTTTTAATGTGAAAGTAAATTTGCCCCTAGGGAAATTTAGGTGGAAATGAGCTTTATTAAAATCAAGAAATCAGATTGAACTGGATTTTTGAGCTCTGTTTGTCTTGTTGAAGAGAAAGGGGACTCAAAGGAATGAAAAAGCAGATTTTTAAAATCCCCACCCTTCCACCAATCACACAGTAAATTAATTTCTCCATATTCACTTTCTGAAAGGGCTTGAAGGGCCTTCGTCAAAATTCTCTCCTTTTAGAATGATGCTTTGAATTTTAGAAAGACCCATTCTGTCTTTCTCTAGTTTTGTGATCTTAAGTGAGGAAGTGGAGCGAATAGGATTGGATCTGTGGTTCTTTGTCATGTACCTGAAATGGGGAAAAGGTAAAAAGTATACATATCTGATCATGAAAATGCTTGCCTTCTAAGGACTGAATGTCTGATATATCTTTGTTCTGCCCATAGTGTCTTGATTGTAGCCTTACCTGTTGAAGATAATTCAGTAAATATTGCTCACATGGATTGGTTTCTATTGGAGGGAACAGCATTTGGTTTCACCACCTGGAAGAGTTTCTTCTTATAGTTCTTCTTCTCAATTTACATTTGTGGTGATTTGCCTAGAAGTCGGACTTGGTATTTCGTTTCCCTAGTTCTCAGACCTTAGCAGACACCGCCTAAGAAGTGGGACTGCCTTTTTTGTTGGTCAGGACTGAACTTCCCATCAATGGTTATGGGATGTGGAGGCTTCATAGGATGTGATAGTTACAATCCTAGATGTGATAGTTACAATCCTAGATTGTGATACTTTAGAGGACAAGAACATTGTGTAGCTCTCTACGGGGTAGTGTATGTATGTGCATGTGTACACATTTATTTATACTCTCAATAAAGAGTTGTCATTCAAGGTCAGCTGAATAACTGGCCAGTGCTGACTGTTCCTTAAAAGCCAAAACCATAATGATAGCATCCAAGTGGTGTTGTGATGACTTAATAATTGCAAGGTCACTTGGGAAGCAGAACCACAAAATCAAAGGTACAGGTATAACTCAAGCGACAGTTTCCTGGTATTTAATCCAAGTTGAACTTACAGCAACCCTGCATTTTTTCCAAAGTGGGGAGCGATATGCAACACTTTCTAGTATTTGGGGTTGAAGTGCAATGTATTTGAATTTGGAAGCTGTTCTTAAAAACAGCAACCATTATTATTATTCTTACCATTTGAAAGTTGAAAATGAAAAATGTCCCTGCTGAGTTCCAGGGCTTGCATTTGGAAGTGCAATTTCCCCCTCTTTGTGCTGCTAATGGACCTTGAAATTTAGTTGTACCTGTGCTCTTTCCTTGTATGTGTACCCATGTCATCAGTTTGTGTTGAAGTAGCACCTGAAGTGTCCCAGCTCCACCCCTGGGCAGTGGCTCAGCAGATGACTTTCCCAGGGTCAGATACTGGTATGTCAGTGAGATCCCAGATGCTACTGAGAGACGGGAGAGAGATGAGATTGCAGGTGGCTTCCTATTAAGTTGAGCAAGAAGCAAATATGTTCTGTCTATCTACCTGTCACTTTCTGTTTTGTTATTTGCAATGGTAACAATAAATATGTGGACCCTTGTCAGAAGCTATTCTTTTGGTATCTTTACAGAAAAATGCTTGTCTTTGTTGGTATGGTTTTCACTTTGTGTGGTCAAGGATATTTTGTTTTTATTTAGAAGAAGAAAGACAGTTCAGAAGTGATGGTGATCTTTGAGGAAGTGAATTTATAGCAGTGATTAACAGCTGTGGGCGATTTTGCCCCCAGGGGACACATGTCAATGTCAGGACACATTTTGGTTTTCACAAATGAAGAGGTGCTATTTCCTTTTTTTTTTTTTTTTTTTTTTTTTGAGACAGTCTCGCTCTGTTGCTCAGGCCAGAATGCAGTGGCACTATCACAGCTCTTTGCAGCCTCGACCTTCCATGTCCCCACCCCCTGCCGCCTCAGCCTTCTGAGTAGCTGGGACTACAGGCAATGTGCCATCATGCCCGGCAAATTCTTTTTTCTTATTTTTTGTAGAGAATGGGGTCTTGCTATGTTGCCCAGGCTGGTTGGGCTCCTAGGCTCAAACGATCCTCCCACCTCAGCCTCCCAAAGTGCTGGGATTACAAGCATGAGCCACTGTGACTGGCCTATTTATTTCTAATAGATGAGGACAAGAGATGCTGCAAAAAGCATCCTACAATATATAAGACACTGCCCATAATAGAAGTATCCAGCCCCAAATGTCAATTGTGGCAGGTTTGTGAAATTCCGATCTATGAGATACTGTTAGAATCTGGTGCCAGCAGATATTTTCACCTATGGTTAGTGCAGAAAGACGCCTGAGACGCTGAAGTTTCCTGATTGCCAGCTGAGACCTAAAGTTCCTTTCCCTTTTCCTAGCAAGGCTGTTCACAAGCCCCCCCACCCCCGCCGCCCGCCAATCTCCACCTCATTTAGCTTTGCCACTGGTCTTGGAGGCCTCCAAGGAAAGAGATTTTAGAAACTCCCAGAAGACTATTTTAGGATCCTGCCCTTAAGGAACTCCTTTCCTGGCCCACAGTGTGCTTTTGGCAATGTACATTTTACTTCTGCTTCTATAGAAGGTAATTATTTCTTCTCGTGAAAGGACCACTAATTCCGGATAACAATGGTACAAAGTAGTCTTAGAGAATGGGTTTAAATTGCAGAATGTTTTAGAAGAAATTCTTTGTTATTTTAAGCAAAGTATATAATTATCAAGATATGAGAGAGTAAATTAAATAAGTTAAAGAAAACAAGACAGGTCCCCAAAGATCTACTTTACATCAGAAAATACCCTTGACAGCATACTTGGAGCAATATTGAAGAAAATGAGACTAGAGAGTTAATTGGGATTTGTGATGCATTTTCAATGTTAAATGAAGGAGTTTCTATTTTGTTCCCTGGGCCGTGGCAGTTGATGAGAGGTTTAAAGTAGGAGGATGAATAGGTGTGAGGTCTGTATTTCCAGAGAATAATTATGGGCCATGTGGAGTGAAATGCATATGAATGGGTGAGAGAGACTGCATTTAATCTTCAGTTAGGAGGAGAATGCCCTGGGTTAGAGATGTTCCTATGGCCCAGGGAGAAAGAATTTGAGACCCACGTTAGGGTGAAGCTGGTGTTATGGGGACACGGACAGACCGTGGGACAGGGCAAGGGAGAATTTGTCATAATTATTTCCAAGGGTGTAGCTTGAAGGATAGCTGGGTGACTCATTATTGAGGAAACAACCCAGCAGAGAGACAAGGTTCCATGAGGACTGTAGCCACAAGCCATTTGTTTCAGAATATCGGTTTAAAGGCAGTTGAAACTTTGATGCTAGTGTTGAGGGGATGAGGGACAATGAAAGGCAGCATCTGTGGAACCAGACTGGCTCGGTTCAAATACTGGCTCCACCACTTCATAGCAGTGTGACTTTGGGTAAGTTTCTTAGCCTTCCTCTGGCTGAGTTTCCCCATTTGTAAAATGGGGGAAATAATAGTAGTGTCCATTTCACAGTATTGTTAGGAGGTATATTAGTCCATTTTTACAGTGCTATAAAGATACTACCTGAGACTGGGTAATTTATAAAGAAAGGAGGTTTAACTGACTCAGAGTTCCACATGGCTGGGGAGGCATCAGGAAACTTGAATCATAGTGGAAGGGGAAGGAAGGCACGTCTTACATGGCGACAGGAGAGAGCGAGCGAGAGAGCAAGGAAGTGCCACACTTTAAAATCATCTGCTCTCCTGAGAACTCACTACCATGAGAACAGCATGAGGGAAACTGCCCCCATAATCCATTCACCTCCCACCAGCTCCCTCCCCTGACATGGGATTAAAATTTGAGATGAGATTTGGGTAGGGACACAGAGCCAAACCATGTCAGGAGGATTAGGTGAGACCAATAACGTTCTTAGAAACATGCTTGGCATAAAGTCAGTACTGTATGAGCATTTGTTAATTACAGTTTAAAAGTTACATATTTGGAATATTGACATAAAAATGGAACACTGTAGTGACTTCTTATTTGGATATCACCACTAATAGTGAAATTAATATGTGTATAGTGCTTTATAGATTAGAAAATAATTTTGTATATAGTGTTTCACTGGAACACTTTAAATTTGAAGTTCCCAAATTGATCTTTTTGTGCCTCTGTTATCAATATTTAGCTCATCACGAAATTCATGTTTTGTCAATAATCTCTTGGTTGCAAGAGGCCAACCACTTAGCTTATATTAACTTAAACTAAAAGGGAACTTGGGGCTCATGTCATTTGAAAGTTTGTGGGATGCTGTTGAGAGGTTCAGACATGGGAGCCATCTTTAAGAACCTCAGCTGTGTCCTCTCAGGTATTGGATACTGTCAGAAGCCATTTCTTTTGGTATGTTTACCGAAAATTCTTCTCATTGTTGGTATAGTTTTCACTTTGTGTTGTCAAGAGGGTTTTGCTTTTTATCATTAAGAAGAAAATACAGTTCAGAAGTGATGCTGTCCTTCAAGGCTATGTTAATATGTTCTGTCTTTTATTTTGCCTTCATTCTTAGGCCATCTTTGCATGGTGAGGGCAGAGATGGATGGTCCCAAGGAGGCTCTAGGTTTTAGTTTTCAGTCCCAGACGGCTGTGCTGCTTTCCAGGAAGTTTTGGCAACTCTCTAGAGCAGGGTCATGATTGGCTTGGCTTGGCCTCTATGCCTATTCATGATCCAGTCAGAGTGACCAGTATCATGTTCCATCCTGATTGGCTAGGCCTGGGTCACATGGGTCACCCCTGGGAATTCATGGTATAGGAGAGGGTCCCTGAAGAGATTTCAGATGAGCAGATAAAATGCATATGGCTACTAGAGACCCTGGTCATGTCATGGTTTGGCTTTCTGGAGCTATCCTAAACCTGACTCAAGCTTTTCTCTCCCTGAGTGTTTGGAGGGCAAAGCCTCAGGACTGCTAAATTTCTGCCTCCATTTTAAGCACTACTGTGGCCAAATGTGCCTCAGCCCCACTTGGAACGAGCCCAAACCCCTGCCTGCAGTTTATTCATGCTCTTACACACTTAACATGTTTTTGTCCACAGCCTGGCATGCTTCTGTTGTTCTGGCTGACTCTTCTTTACCACTTTTTTCAAGTCTCATTTGAAGCTCTGTCTCCCTAAGACTTGCTTGATGCCCCTCACATCCCAGAGGTTTGTGATGTCCTTGCCTTGTGTTCCTACCATGTGTGTCCTTGGACTTTTCCACTCTTTGCTTGTCTTCACAGCCAGTCTGTAAGCTCCTCAAAGGCATGGGTGGGATCTCATATTTTTCTTTTCAGTTCAGTGCTGAGCTTGGAGTCTGGCAAATCACAGGTTTTTATCAATAAATGTCCAGCTGGGTACATTCCTCCCTCTCCTAAACACAACTCCTGCCGGTCAGGCACTGTGTCCTAGAACCTTTGCCATGACGCTGATGGCCATGCTTTCACTTCTAGATCACCATTTCTGCCACTTATGTGCTTTGACAGGTCCCTGAATCCTTTTGGAATTCCCAGAAGCACCTGGAAAGTTTACTGCTAAATTGTTAAGACCGGAAGAGCCTTTGTTTCACTTCACTTTTGAAAACTGAGATTCCATAATAAGAATTTATTTTGTGTTTCTTGGTGGCTAATTATAAACCTGTAAGTAGGATTAAAAAAATTCAGGCCACCTCCACTACCTGAGAGGTTGCTTTGAATGAATAGTTCTTGCAGAAAAGAAACAGGGACCCAGAATTTCTAATTCTGTTGGACTAATTACTGACCCTTCAAGGAATACATGGCTTGTTTCATTTCGAAAAGTGAGACTATATATATCCCTGTCGGGAATAATGTTCCTCCCCAGCCACTTGATGGGGGAACTCAGTAACATACACTGCAGGGCTGTCCTGGGGACCTTGAAAGTGCGTCTACTCAGGGTTGTTCTTTGTATTGGTGATAGGACATGCTGAAATTAGACTTGTTTGTTTTAATCAGAAGGTGACAGATCCCACTTGCTTAATTTGGCTTAATGAGGTATGTGTATACAGTTGTGATATCAGCTTACATATGGTATTGATTCAATAGACATTCC
The DNA here is from genome assembly GCF_000001405.40 of Homo sapiens. NCBI lineage: Eukaryota > Metazoa > Chordata > Mammalia > Primates > Hominidae > Homo > Homo sapiens. The sequence continues at coordinate 134,279,821 of NC_000002.12, forward strand.
ACAGCTACAGCATAGCATATGCTTCCTCAGATAGTCCCTTGTCTGTGCTGTTTCATCCTTTACCTGTTTTCACTGACAAGTATTTCAACAAACTCACTGTAGAGCCTGAGATCTTAAAATTTAAAAAAATACTTGGAATAAAGCTGATTTGGTGAGACATGGAAGAGAGGTATCTGACTCCATGTTTTTGAAAAGGTTTTGTAGGTTTGAAGATTTCTGGGGTTTTGAGAGATTTTCCTTTAAGCTGTGCTTTTGGCTTTGCATATCCACAGCTTCTAAAATTAGGCAGCCTAAATAAAAATCAGTTGCTAGTTTTTGTTTTTCCTTTCTCGCTTACATCCCAGAAAAAGGAGAGAAAGCAATGCGGGGTGAAGATGGTTTGAAATTCTTTGGGTTTAGAAATGACAGAAAGAGGGATTCAATTAGGGGTGTGACTGAACTGCCCTACAGTTCAGGACAGCAGAAATAATCTTCATCTCACAGCCTCCTTCTTCTGTACTTCTTTTACCCTTGAACATTCAGCAAGTCTCACGTGTGGGATCACAAACCCCAAATCTGCTTATGTCAAGCAGAGGGCCCATGGCGTGGACAGAGTCACCCGAGGACGACATGTCTGGGATTGACAGAGCATTATAAACTGCATTTTGATTTGCATTGTCAGAGTTGGACAGCTGCACTCTTAGCTGGTTTTAAGCTGTCTTGAAGTTTCATGTTGGAGAGGTTTTCTAGTCAACGTTTACTGTGGAAACTTTCCTTTACCTTGGTGCAGCTAGAGATGGGCTCTTGAACCAGAGAAAAGTGGACACCCAGTGAAGGACTTGTGCTAATGTTTTCCCCCTTCGGGGGACTTGATTAAACAGCAGCCACATGATTATGGGACCCTGGATAAACCCAGTCAGTTTCCTCATTGATAAAATGAGGATAAGAGCCTGTACCATGGTATTGTTGCTAGGAGTATGAGTTAACACATGGAACACACTCAAGGTGCTGGGCACAAAATAAGAGCTCCGTAAGCTTTGGCTATTGCCTCATACGCTTCTTAAGTGTCCAACTCAGGTTTTCACTCCTGGGCCAGGCATGTAGCAGATGGTCAGTGCTTAATGGGCATGTAAACTACCCATTCCCAATGTTGCATTTTATACAGAAAACCGGACCTTGTGAAAGGGCTGTCCAGAAGCTACTTGGCAGTCACAGCCTGGACCTGGTCTTTGGCATCAGACATTTTTGAGCAGAACTCTGGGTCCACTTACATACTTGCTGTTAGCATTTTATTATACTTAACCATTGCTGACCCTCCGATTCATGCTCTGTGCAATGGCGGTAGTGACACCAACACTGTCCTCATGGTGAGGATGCAATGAGATGATGCATATTGAGATCCTGGTCCAACATCTTCCTGTGACCTACCTACTGACCTTGCCCTCTGTGATTAATACCGTGTTACAAAGCAGTGGTCACAAACATAACGTGGCAAACACTGATGTATCTTTTATCCAACCTATGCGGACAGCATGATGCCAGGTCTGTGTCAGGCATCGGAAATGCAGCTGGGTAGGAAACTAGGGCTCCTTTTGGGAATGTTGAGTTCACCATCTACCGGAGGAGAATGACTGAAAGTATTGGTTGCGCTCATGTCTTTTTTGACCCTCAACTTGTAGATGCATTCACCCTAGTCCAAGAAAACCTATTGGCTTTGCCTGACCTTTTGGCCTTAGAAATGACCTTCAAACACTATAGCCATCTCAGGATAGGGATAGCAATGATGTACAGGAACTGGCACAGAAGGAATTTTCTCCTGTCACAAGGCAGAAGTTGTATGGCTCCTGTGCTACTTGTCACAGCAAACTTAAGCAGATCCAGAAACTGCCTGACCCTTTACTGTACCTTCCCACTCCAAAATGGGGAGGGGAACTCCTGTGCGGGAGTGCTCAGCTCTCAAGGGAAGACAGTCATTAACCTGTCTAAACTCTATGTTAATAGAACCTTCTCGATAATTGCTTTCATTAAGTGTGGTTAATGTGAACAGTACAAGTTATAGCAAGATTTGCAGAAGAACAAAGTAAATATTTAAGACTTTATTTCAGGATGCAGTTGGGTCGAGGCAAGGAGAAGATTAGTAGAAGCTGTATCTGATGGTATCTGAGGTTGAAACACAGTGAACCTCTTGGCAGAAGTGCCAGTCATTTCTCATCAGTGGTTCACAGAATCCTAACTCTGGGGAGGCAGATGGGTGTCTCCTGGAGATGGTTGTGTGTTCAGGTTTTCTCCTTTCGCTTCTGGCCTCTGTCAGACATGAATGACATGGTGATGAAGATAAACTGCCTTCCCTGTACTGCCCAGGAATGCAATGAGGATTAAGAAGGTGGCTTTTAGCCTGTGTCTATGCCACATGGGGAGGATGGTTGCTCCCTGAGGGCAGAAGGCCATTATTAGCAACTGAGTTGGCCAGGAGTGTGTGCCATGCCGGGCTGGGTGTACGGAGCTGTCAAGCCAGGCACCTGGGGATTAATTTAGCATGGGTTTTCATGCCCCCGGGCTACCAGTGACCATACAGCCATCATCTCTACCTTTGAGTTGATGTGTATAACTGAATAATAGTGCTGTGTTTTCAAAAGGAAAGGCTTAAAAAACAGTGCTTCTGTAGTACAAGGAGGGATGCTCTGCTGAAAATCTGGAAATTACAGCTAAGCAAAAAGATGAAAATACAAAGTAGCTGTTATTCTACCACCCAGAGATCGATTTGTTTCTTTACTAACAGATACGGCAAGTGCCTGTTCTGTGCCAGGCACTGTCTAGGCACTGGAGATAGTGATGAGCAAAACCATCTCTTCTTTCTGGAGATGACACTCCAGCAGTGAAGGCAGATAGGAAACAAATACATAAACACATCTGGTGAAAAATGCTTGAGGAACAGCAAAGTAGGGTAAGAAATTAGCGAAGGAAGTGGGTGCTGTTTCAGGTTTGAGGCTTGTCAAGAAAGCCTCTCTGAAGAAGAGAGATTGAGCAGAGACCCATATTATTGAGTGAGGGAGGCCTGGGGTTCTCCAGCTAGCTGCCAGCAGGATCAGTCTGTACAACAGCCCAGGGCACATTCTTCCTGGGTGCATTTAAGAACCACTGTTGGGCCCTTTTAATTCTAATACAGAAGGTGGCCTATTAAAACCAAAACCGAAAAAAAAAAAAAGGACCCTTTACTGTATCATCTGTCATTTATGTTTCTGCTAGGCTCAAACTAGACTTTTGAGAGAGCAGTGTTGGAACCACAGAAAGGTCTGGATGTGTTAACGCATTGGTTCAGCATGTGATGAGACTTGTGTGCGCAGTACAGACTCAGGCTGCTGGGGTTCAAGTCTGAGTTCCACAGTGGTGCAACTGTGGTGAAGTCATTTAGAGAGGTTAAGTCTCAGTTCTCTCATCTGTACAGCAGAAACTAGCTCATGGGGCCACATGAGAAAGTGTCTGTGGAGGGAGGGCTGGCACATGGTTAAGTGCTCAGGAAATACTGGCTGTTGCTATAATTAACAAAATGTGGTTTTGGCAAATGGTTTTAAGAGGGTCTGTATGTGCCTTTGTTCCATAAGTTTTTAACCAAAACTAAGGAGCCTCGAAAATTATGTTAGAGGCACCAAATGGGGAGCAGGTTCTAGTCATTCATCAAAGAAGGGGCTAAATAAAATCAAGATTTAACAGAAGGATCACACATTTGAGGTAGGGTTTGGAGTTTCAGTCATGAAGTCGGTGCACAGTTTATATAGGGTTCAACTTCTTGTCTGTAGGTGCCTGTCTCTATTCACATTTAAAGCCATTGTTGAGGAATGTAGTATCTTTTTTTTTTTTTTTTTTTTTTTTTTTTACAGAAACTCTTCTCAGTTTGGAGAATGTGGGTGTGTGGCTTTGAGGCTTCAGAATCCCACCGTGAAGTTGTCATTGGTCTTCATGGTTATTTATGAGGCTTGACTTAAGCTGGGTCCTGTTCTTAACAGGAGAACGATACAGCTTCCCCCGGCCGCTGGGTTCTCTTTCTGTGATGCAAGGATACATCGCTGCACTAGGCTCTCTGAGAAATTTGTGACTGGCTAGCAATTAGAGTTGAGAATGTAAACTGGCCACAGATTGAGGAATTCCAGGCTAGAGACTGTGAGCCCTAGTGAAGAAATGTAGGGTCAGGGCTCAGGAGGCTGGGATTAAGCCCACTGCTGACAGAATTGATGCTGAGACCTTCAGCACATCACATTATCTTTGTTTCCTCTTTCAGATCCAGAGATTCATGAGCTTTTATAAGTGGAAAAGATTTAGATGTTCTAACATTTCCTCCAAATGGGAGATTGCAACTTTCCAAAATCCTTGGTGGATGGTTCTCCAGATTTATCTCAACAGTTCTAGTGCTGGAACTTTTAGCTGCCATACTGTTGAACTTTAGTGGGCCACATTTACATAGCCTGTGTCAGGGGTCAACAAACTGTGGCCCATGGGCCAAATTAGTCCACTGCCTAAATTTATAAATAAAGTTTTATTAGAACACAACCTTGCCCATTTGTTTACTTACTGTCTGTGGCTGCTTTCATGCTACAGCTGCAGAATTTAGTGGTTGTACAGGAGACCATAAGGCCCACAAAATTGAAAATATTTCCTATCTGGCTTTTTACAGAAAAAGTTTGCCAACCCCTGGCCTAAATGAATGGTGCTGTCTGGAATGCAGTACATAGTCTGCATGCAACCCTGTGTGCTAAACATATTAGATTTGTAAAGTGTTCATAAAATAGAGCAAAAAAAAAAAGCCACTGTTTATGGAGAGATCGCTGTGTCCCAGACACAAATAATAACTTTAAAATACTTTATTAGTTCTTTCCTCAGAGCAAACCTGCAGAACAGTTATCTCAATTTAAGAGGATCAGGGTAGGATATGATGTGTAATCTACCCAAAATGGTGGCAGTCTGAGCCAGGGTTCAGATCCTGGCTGGTGCATCTCTAATGTGCCCATTTAATCTGCCACTGCTGGGACAATCGCATTTTATTGTGCATCACACCAGAAGGTCACGTGTGGCATTTTTAAAGATGAAAATAGTTTAAGGCTCAAGAGTGGAAGGTAATCTAAGAGTCCACACCTTTCTGGCCATTTGGATATTGTTGTAAATGTTTCAGGTGTTAAGCATACTTAATTTTGTGAGTTTTGATTTTTTGTTTTGGTCTTCTTTTTGTTATTGTGTATTGATTGCCCTTTGATTTTCTTCTTTACCGTTATATATTTTAAATGAGGTAATTGTCTCTAGAGAAATATCTAGAATTGTTTTCCAATTCTTTTTCTGATTTAAAAATTAAAAACACTTTTTATAATGCTTGATAAGGCCAAGTTATGTAGGAAATTTGGAAAATACAGAAAAGAATAAGGAAAAAAAAGTCTTGTAATCCTGTTTTCTAGAGCACTGTCAATGACAGCTTTTTTTTTCTGTGTGTATATTGCATAAAGATTATAATTGTACTCTTTGTTTTAAAGTCTTGATTTTTAAGGGAGCATTCTCTTTATTCTTCAAAAGCTTTATTTTTAAATAACTACATAATAACTAGGTTCTCAATTTTTGTTTTTCCTTTTTTCTACTACAAAGATCATTGTGGTGAACATAAATCTTTGCATTATTCTCTTGGGAGAGTTTCTTAGAAACAGAATGGCTAGGTCAAAGGGCATAAGCCCTTTTTAAGTTTAGTATTTATTTCTGTCAAATTAGTACATGTATATAATTTTAAAAGTATAAATTTAAAGGTCAAATAGTATAAGACTGTAACCAGTCTGTCTTCTGCTATATACTTCATTCCTCCTTACCCCTGACTTTTGTTCTGGAAACACAAATACTTCTAACTCTTGTTTCTTCCAGTAATATATTTTCATATTTCTCCATAACATGTTTATGTTGCTTTTTTCTTATCTTGCATTTTTTTGAGGTTATCTACTGATTTTCTGTTATGGAAGATGGGAATTTAGCTCTCTGACACTGCCACCATTGCCAGCAACCCCTCCGCTACATGGCTCCTCTCTGTTTTCCAGAATCAGAATGTCCTAAATATTTGCTGGGGTCAAATTTAGTGGTCAGTGCTTACTTTATAAGGACACTGCTTAGCCACTTACTAAAATAAAATAAGGTGATAGTAAATTGCCATTCTGATACATCTTTCTGTTTTTCCCAGCGTTAATAATTTACTTCTTATGTTTGCATTGTTTTGATTAATTAGGACAATATTTACTAATTATCTTCTGTGTGCCAAGCCACACATCAGTGAACAAAACAAAAAAAAATTCTTACCCTTACCAAAATTCAGCCCTAAACATTCCATCAGAGAACCCTTCTTACTGTGGCCCACAGATCAAATAGTTTACCATGCTTTTATTCAGTAGTCGTCTTCCTGATGCTTTCTGCCCTCCTGTGACAGGCTGGCCTGGCTGCATCCTGGGCCTGCTGTACAGTTGTCGTAGGACTGTTTCCAAAGCCCCTTTTCCCCTTTGGTGCTGGGTCTTTTATTTCTTAGATTCCACATTTTCCCCTTTGTTGGTTTCTTGCCTCATCCTGTAATAGTTTTCTGAGAGAAGAAGGTAAATGGAGGGGAAATCATGAGATTTCTTTTTCTTTTTTTTTTTAAGATGGAGTCTCGCTCTATTGCCTAGGCTGGAGTATAGTGGCGCAGTCTCTGCTCACTGCAACTTCTGCCTCCTGGGTTCAAGCAGTTTTCCTGCCTCAGCCTCCCAAGTAGCTGAGATTACAGGCACCCAGCTAATTTTTGTATTTTTAGTAGAGACGGGGTTTTACCATGTTGGCCAGGCTAGTCTTGAACTCCTGACCTCAGGTGATCTGCCTGCCTCGCCCTCCCAAAGTGCTGAGATTATAGGTGAGCCACCGCGCCCAACTGAGGTTTCTTGAATTTTGGAAAATGTCTTTATTCTGCCTTCCCACTTGAATGATACATTCGTTGCATATAAAATTCTAGGTTTGAACATGTTTTTCCCTAAACAATGTGAAGATCTTGTTCCTTTGACCTCTGCTTTTCAGAGTCATTTTTGCAAAGTCCAGAGGCATTATCACACCTAGATGTGACTTTTGGCCTTCTGGAAGCTGGTGGGATTTGCTTCTACCTTGTGTTCAGATGTTTCCTGTGCCTGGTGTGGACCACATTTCATCCTTTTTCTGACTCTTCTGTGACATCTTTCTTGTCTGGGAAATTTTTGTGAACTGTTTATTGAGTAGTCTCATCTCCCTACAGTCTTTCTTCTAGAACTCACTGGGTGGATTGTGCACATTGGGGCTCTATTCCTACCCCTTCTCTCATATCACTTTTCTCTCATCTTATCCTTCCTGTTCATCTTATGGCTGTATTTTCTGTAAGATTTTCACAACTTTACATCCAGCTCGTCTCCTGAATTTAATTCTTCTATTTTAGTCTTCTTTCCAAGAGTTGTTGTTCTCTCAAGGTCTTTTAAAAAACAAAAATCCTATTCTTGCTCTGATTTCATGAATCAATATTCTTCGCTCATCTGTGAGGTATTATATTTAAAAATATTGTTAAATCATTTTCTGTTGTATGTATCATCTGAGAGTTTTTCTTTTTCAGTTTGAGTTCACTTTTCTTTCTTTGGTGTGAGAATGTTTTCTCACATATCTGGTAATCTGTAGTGCTGGTTTCATATTTGAGGGTGAGGTTGGCTGTGAGTGAGGGCTGGCAGCTGCTGGGCCACCTCCTAGGGAACCATAGATGACGTTGGACCCTAAATGTCTATTTCAGTCTTTTCTCTTCTGCTTAGTTTCCTCATAGATGGATCCTTCAGCCTTCTGCCCAGGGGCTGCCAGAACTTTGCTTCATAGCTAGAGACCAAGACCTTTTAAAATTTGTAGTAGAGACCTCACTTCCTTTTCCCTACCCTATCCACTGTTGTGAATCTAGAGCCTTTTTTGTTCAATCTCTCTAGAGAGTAAGCCTTTGCTATTTATAACTGGAAGGCTCTAGTATAAGCATCTTAAGACTTGATAGACATTACAAGTTATACTCTGATCAATAATGTATGAATATTCCTGTCTTACATCCTCTGTGTAAATACTTGGTATTTTCCTTTGAAAAATTCACCAGTGTAATAAATGGAAAATGATATTTTACATATGTTTCTTTGATTGTTAGAGAGGTTGTTTTCCATATGTTTTATGGGATTTGTATATTTTGTGAATTTTCTGTCCATGTCTTTCTTTGGTTTTTATTCTCAAGTGCTTACTGAATTTTGAATTCTCTTGCTGGTGTCTGGAAGCAAAGGCCTCCTTTATTTTTGCTGGTTTGGCATGATTTTGTCTCCTGACATGGCTCTGGTAGTTTCTTGTGAGGGTGGAGGCACCTGAAACACTTTATCAGGCACATGATAGACATTGCCTATCAAATGGCTCAACATCAGTTCCACAAAAAACCTAAATGGCCATTCAAGACCTGTTTCTGCCTGTTTCAAGTTCCATATAGGAATTAGATCAGTAGTTGGCAAATGACGGCCTGTGCGCCAAAATCTAGCCCAGTCTGTAAATAAAGTCATGCTGGAACACAGCTGTGCTCCTTTGTTGATGTGTTGCCGTGTTGCCTGTGGCTGCTTTCACATCACAATATCAGAAATTGAGTAGTTGATACAGAGACTACGTGGACAGCAAATCTAGAATATTTACCATCTAGCTCTTTAAAAAAAAAAAAAAAATTCAACCCCTGAAGTAGATGTTTGTTTGTTTGGTGCTTGATACCATGTAAGTATTTGCAAAGGCTTATGGAAATTGATGGTTCATTGTTCTTATGAATAAAAACTAATAAGCATGAATGTCATGCCTTTTGCAAAAACCAATAAATGACAGTGGCAGTCATCTTCCTTCAAATGATGTATGTGAGTGTAATACCTCTGTCAGCCTATCTTCCTGTGAATTCCCCCGATAACTGGTTTCCAGAAATATTGCTGTTGTAGCCATGCTCTCCCCTGACAGCCACCCATTCCCCTTCCCACTCTTCTCCCTCTCCCCTACTCCCACACCTTCTGGAAATATCAGATGTACAAAATGGGCTTCACTTGCTCAAACCTCTCATTGTCACTGTTTTCACAGCATTGTAAAACACATTACATTAAAAAACAAACCAGCTGGTGGAAGCCAGTGGTTAGCACCTAGAAGGTGAAAGACTTGGCGCATGTTTAAACTGCCAGTCTTTTTTGGGTGCCCTTCATCTCCCTTGTCTCTAGGGCCCCATTATTTTTCCTGTGGCTTCTCTACGTCCCCCTGTGTGGCCATCACTTCCATCCTCTTCAAGACCCAGACTTACTCCTCAAGGTCTCTGCTTGCCCTATAGGTTGGGCACCGCAGTGTGCCAGTCTCTCCTCTTCCCACATGCCCTTTGCTCGGCAGGACTGCTCTTCTACTCCATGGACCTGTCTTGTTCCCTCTGACTTTGAGAAGGCAACCATTGCTGGGCTGCATGCTCTTGGGGAACGCTTTTCTCTTCCAGGGTGCCGATCTCTCTTCTGTGGCCCTTCCTAAGTCCTTGCCAATACTGCCCCTTGGTAGTGGCCCGGGCACAAAGCCATCAGCCAGCTGCTTCCTGCCAGTCTCCCATGTGCTACCTGAGTCAGCGGAACACTGTGTGTTGTGTGCATGTAGATGTTGAGGGACTTTGGTGTGGTTGCAGGGTTCTGCCGAAAGTTGTCAGCGTAGCAGGCCTGACATAGCTGTCTTTAGAAAGGTCTGCTTGCAAGACTAACCATGGACTAGCATCTGAGAATTTGGATCTTGGAAATCCAGTTTCCTACCATATGCTGATAAGAGTGACTGACTATGCTTCAACCATGTGTACAAATAATATGGTTTATGCTGAACACCTGCATTCCTTCTGGGAGTCTGGAATCTTGGCACATGTTAGGTACAGTGACCAACACTCAGTAAGACACAGAGTCTCTAAAGACCTTCCTTGGTAGACCACATTTGTCGTCACAGCTCGTTGCTGGAGGAATTAAGCATGCCCTATATGACTCCGCTGGGAGAGGATTCTTGGAAGCTTGTGCCTGGTCTCTGGACATTGCCCCATGCACCTTTTTCCTTTCCTGATTTTTGCTTTGTATCTTTTTGCTATAATAAATCTGAACTGTTAGTACATATTCATGAGTATGTACTGTGAGTATATATGCTGAGTGCTATGAGTCCTCCTAGCAAATCATAGAACTTGGGAGTGGTCCTGGGAACCCACCCCTGACACAAGGACTTCTCAGAGCTGGAGAGCTTTCCAGGTCATGCAGATTCAAGGCAGACTGTGAGGTATTTGATAGTCCTACTCGTGTGTTCTCATGTGCATCCCATCTTTCCAAAAGTGCACACTTGAAACAGATGATTTTGAGAAGAGCTGCTTCTACCAACTTGATCTTGGCCACTTGTTGTATTGTTGTGCGTTCTTAGTTTTTCTACTTTTACCATTTCTGGCCAGAGCTGTCACTTTTAAAAATTACTCCGTTGATGTTGCCTAGCAAGAGCCACTCAGCTCTTTGTGGGGAATTAAAGTAGATTATAGGTTGAGGCCAGTTGCACTTACTGTGCTGCAAATTGGGGACTGATGATCTAGTCATCCTCTTCCTTTCTTACACACTTCCTTCCTGTGTCTTTTCCACATGCAAACTTGAGGTATGGCTTCCTGTCTTTAGTCATTTCATATAGTTTGGTTTGTGCTATCTTTGGTCATAGAAATTGTTCTTCTAAAACCTCTCCAGATCATCCTTCATTTCTGTGTTGGACATGCATCCTCCATGGCTGGTTTTACTTTACAAGGGGTGCTCCCCCTGAAAACAGCACTGGCAGGATGGCCATGCACAGTTGATTGCTGTGACAGAGGGGCTTGCTGATCCTGTGGCTTTATCTCTATCTGGTGTCTGCTATGAGTAGAGAAACATGGGAGAGATTGAGCTGCAAAGCAAAGCCAGTTTATCCAGTGCTTTACAGTTGTGGTTTAAAAAAAATTTACAAAGCATGGTGGAATAATTCTCTCAGATGAGCCATGCAGAGGGAATCCACTTGATCAGATTGGCTATATGGAGTTGGAGGATCAATTATGTGACTCAGTAAGTGCTTATTGCGTGTCTTCTAGGTGCCAGAAACGTAATGCAAAACAAAATACACAAAAATACCTCACTTCAGAGAGCTTATATTCTAGCAAAGGAGACTGGCCATAGACAGTTTACATGTAATGTCAAGGAGTGAGAAATCTTATTTAGAAAACACACACACACACACAAAACATAAAGCAAGGTTAAAAGAGAAAATTGCCTGGGAAAGAGGTTGAAGGTGTGTAGTGGACTAAATGTTTGTGTCCTCTCCAAATACATATGTTGAGATCCTAACCCCCAAGGCGATGGTGTTAAATGGTCTGGGGCCTTTGGGAGGTGATTAGGTTTTGAGGGGAGAGCCCTCATGAATGAGATTATTGCCCTTAGAAGAAGACACCAGAGCTTGTTTTTTCTCTCTGTTCTTGTCTGTGAGGATACAAGGAGAAGATAGCTATTAGCTAACCAGGAAGAGGGTCCTCACCAGACACGGAATCTTCCCACATGTTGATCTTAGAATTTTAGTCTCCAGAATTATGAGAAATAAAAGTCTGTGGTAATTTGTTATAGCAGCCCAGACTAAGACAAGGTACGTTTAGGATGGGGAAGGCCTCTGAAGGAGTGATGTTTGAACCAATATATAAATGAAGTGAGCCACTACCTGGAAAAGCATTCATGACAAGGAACAGCAGGGAGAGAGTCCAGGACTTGAGAAGTTCCTTAGCACGTTCATAGGGCGAAGTAAGGTCAGTGTGGCTGGCGTGCAGTGAATGAGGGCAAGAGACATATGGACTCAGGTTGAGAGCCCTGTAAGGCAAGTTAGGGTCACTTATTTGATACTGTGAGAATATATTTAAGTGTGATAACAGCTGCTATGACTACTTGCTTAGTCAGTTTTCCCTAGAAGCTTTTAAAGTTTGGGCCCTGCTAGAATCTTTTGATGTTTTACATTTGGTGATCACTCAAGTGGCGTTAGGTATAGTGCTTCGTCTCTCCCTTTATATCGGCAGTCATAGAATCTGGTTCATTCTGGAACTTTCCGTGACTGTTTCTCTAGAAGGTGTCCGTCTCAGATTCATTAACTCAGTGGTTCTGTCAGGCCTGGTTGGCATATATGATTATACCATTTTTTTTTTGTTTAGAGATGGGCATTTCTAATTTTTAAAAGGGTTGGGCCCACTGATAATTTTAAAATAAAAGGAAACATTTCTTTATCTTGCAAGGCAAATGTTGCCTAATTTAGTGAATATCAATTTAGTGAATGTCATAGCAGTAGTGTGTGGTTTTCAGATTGCGTCTGGGTCCTCAGAACTGAGTGTACCTCAGGGAAGGTATTTACTGTTAATAGCAATTGGAATTGAGAGACAGGAAAACACATTCTGAGACCCAATGCCTTTTACTCAGTGCTGACTCTGCTTCACATATAGCATCTCATTTAATCCTCGCAAGTCTCTCCTCTTCTGGAGGAGGTCAGTGAAGGTCAAAGAGGAGTGGTTTGATTCGGGTCCCTCAGTTCACAGGTGGAACAACTCTCTTCAATCCGACAGGGTGCATTGGGTAAAAGGAGAACTGCTTTCTGTTGCCGGGTCTGCTGCTAACGGAAGGTTTAAACGTGGGGATAAAGCCAGGTTCTGGTTTCTTTCTTTTTGAAATTAGGAGCTTTGGATTTTCCTTAAGGTCTTCAACTTCTGTGATTTTAATACAATTCAGGTTTATTTTCTGCTATCCCTCACCTTTGCTCTGCCAGTCATTACTAGGTGTGGTGGTGTTTTGTTTGTCTTGTTTGTTTTTCCTGTTAGGATCTACCTTCATCTGTGTTCTATGCCATGGGCCACACCTGGTGTTAACACTCCGAGCAAGGGGTAGCTCTTGTAACCAGTGGCTGTGCTGTAGACTCTCAACGACATACAGAGGATCTTTATCAAAGCGTGTTATGTGACTTGCTGCTCTTGCAGCTCTTTGAAACCCCCTGCAGTTGAGCCACATACCTGTGATAAGAATAAGCAGGTACTCAGAAGGCCAGGCTTCAAGGTGGGGTCTCCAAACAGATAACAGATGGAGGTCATGGACCTTCACAGATGTGTGCCTGGCATAGGGCAAATGCATTGTTGTCACTGGGAAAAATAGCTAGCAAGCATGCCTCCAGGGAGTGTGGGTCCTTAACACATGAAAGGCACCTTCACACATGAAAGGTAGCCTATTCTCATTTCATTACAATTCATTTTGGGTATCACTGTGCACCCTTGCTTCTCTTGCATGCTTTTATAACATGTATATGATAATAAGCATTACTACTCAGTGAATAGAAAATACGAAAATTGAAAATGGATGGTAGATTCATTAAATTGGAAATGAATACATTATCAGTGGGTACTTGTTTCCAGGCACTAGGCTGGTTACTTGTGCTGTGATTTTAGTATACGTATGCGAGGGAAATAACATTTAAGCCCACAGATGTTAAGAGTAAGTGCTTTGCTCCGTTCCTTTTCTTCCCTCTTTTACGTATGTGCCTCTGTATTCTTCCTCCCTTCCTTTTCTTATTCCTCCCCCACTTCTTTGCTTTATTTTTTTATTTTTATTTTTTTGAGACAGGGTCAAACTCTGTCACCTAGGCTGGAGTGTAGTGGTGCGATCTGGGTTCACTGCAACCTCTGCCCACCAGGCTCAAGTGATCCTCCCACCTCAGCCTCCTGAGTAGCTGGAGCTATAGGTATACACCACCATGCCTGGCTAATTTTTTGTATTTTTCGTAGAGATGAGATTTCACCATGTTGCCCAGGCTGGTCTCAAACTCCTGAGCTCAAGCGATCTACCTGTCTCGGCCTCCGAAAGTGCTTCCTTGCTTTAAATTGAAGAAAAGCCAAGCTGGAAAACTATAGATTTTGATAGCAGCCAAACCCCTTGAGTCTGCAGTTGGCTGACACCATGATGTGTGATGGCTCCCAGGTCTGCGACTATGGCTTTGCTAGCATGAAATGAGACCATCTCCTCTCCTCATACAGAAGTGTGTGGAGGATGTGAAACAGAGTAGGGAGGTAGGAGGGCTGGACCACATCCTAGGCAGGTAACTTGCCCCCTTTGTTCGTTGGCTTCCCAGACTCCTCGTAGTTGTTTTAGGTGGATCTAGAAAAGATTGCCTCATGGAGCACTGCATGTTCAGTGTAAAGATGTGTCACTTTTCTTACAGCCTCAAATCTTTTGCCTCTGAGTGAGGAGGCAAATGGAGGAGAGAGAAGTTTTATTCTACCTTCCAGGGTGGCTATTCTGCACTGTTTTAGGCATCATCAGGTAAATAAGGCATCCATTGTTCTCTGCGGTTTAGCCCCATAGACCTGTTAAGTCATGGGAAGATCTCTGCACTGGCAGTAAAGTAACTTTTTGTTTTCAGTGTTTTTATTTTTATTTTCATGTTTCCAAGTCTTAATATAAGGTCTTAACGTAGGGGCTTTTTGGAGCTGCTGGGTGATTTTGCCTCACAAACCACTAAGACTAAGTATTCGGGGTATGATGTTCATATTTCTGAGACAAATTTAGAAATACATACAGTCTAACCAAGGATTTTTGTTCCAGGTATATACCACTGCAGGTCAAGTTCTGTGTAAGGGGATTTGTAGTTGTGAATGCCAAGGGCTTGGTTTTATAGAAGGTAGGTGTAAAAAATAGAGGTTCCTCTTCAAAGACTTTCCTCCCCGTCTAATTAAGAATAAATAGTAACTTCTCTTAGAAGCAAAATTTATTCAAAGACCTGTGCTAACATTCTTAAATATCTGCTAGCCGTAATAAAGAAATCAATGTACTTTATGTTCTTAGCTCCCACAATTTAGCCTAAATATTTGCTTATAAGTATGTTTATACTGGTCCAAGCAAGCATTAGGTCATAGTCTGTTCCTCTTCCTTATTTAAATGTGTTTTTACCTTTCTCAGCATTTCACAAGTTACTTCCTCTTTCCTTTGTTCTCCTCTGCCTTTGCCTCTTTTAAAATGTTCTAAGTTGCTAGCCAATCAGGACAAATACAGAATGTGAGGTCCTGTTCCAGCCAATGGAAACTGGACACAGCAGTAAGGTGGACGCGTCAACTTATAAATGACCCTGCCTCCTTTGTTCGGTGTACTATCGTGGCAAAACTGCTGGCAAGTGTACCCTTTCTGTAGAAAGTAAAAATGGCCTTGCTAAGGAAATTAAATTTATGTTCAAGTGCTATTTCTTTATTGCACCGAGGAACAAGCATTTCTAACAGTAGGTTTTAGTATATAGTTTAGATGTTCCTTATGTTGATTGACATTTGATGGCTCTTCAGTGGTTCGAAGATGCCAGAAAAGAACAATGAGAATGGCCAGAAAAATCTAGAAACTATGGTGAAAGTACTTACAAGTTGAATATAGCCATAATAGAACTGGATTGTGCTAGAAGTGACTAAGGTTGGCAGTGGAATTGGGAGCTTAGTAGGCCCAATCAACTGTGTGGCTTTCTTCACTTAGGCAGGGAAAATGTGGTATCTTAGGATCCTCTTGCAGTAATTTCCAAACATAAGAGCTGCGAAATAAGTTATAATTGGAAAAAAATCTTCAATGATGTTGAAAATATTTTTCCCTCTGGATTAGCCTTCTCTTTTATTCTCAGTCATAATTTTAGTAGGGAGTTTTGTTGTCACTTTAAGGGTATTCATTCCATTTCGACTTGTCACCCAGATTCTCTTCGAGGATGACAAGAACAGCCAGTAGTGGCTGGCTTGTGGCTCTTCTGTGCTGTTGCTGGCTGCAGCCAAACAGGAAAGGGCTGTTCGGAGTTTCTATTGGAACCATCAGGAATACTGTTTGGTCAGCTTTGCTACCTGACAGGAATGGTTTTGGGAAGCTTGAATTATACCAAGTTGCAGTCTGTTTCAGTTCAGCCTCTTGCCTTAATATAACAGATACTCCCCTGTCTTAATCTAAACAGTGCTTAAGGGTGGGGAGATGGGTTCGGTGGATTTACAGCATTCCTTCTGAACCCTAAGAATCTGTGGTTTTATTATTTGTAGTGCAACCCAAAAATAACTACAATTTTTATTTGGGAGGTGGAAATTAGAGGTAAAATTCTTTGGAAGGGAAGAGGATTTCATCTAGGAGTGTTTGGCAGCCTCATGCAAACATGTTTGTTCTTATTTGAATTTTGACTCTTGAAATACTGTGATCTTGGCGGTTTAGGCCAAGAGGTGGGGTAAAGAGGAGGATGGGAAACAGACTAAACTCATGGAATTTCATGTAGCTGGGTAGGCCAAGTCGACTCTAGTTTAGTTACCATGTTTTCTTTGTGGCTGTGTCAGAGAATTGGGGATGGACACATGGAATTTAAAAAATAACACACAATTTTAAAAGTTATTACCACCATATAAAACTAGCTGGACCTGGGAGTCAGTTTCTGGAATTTATGGGCATTAAAGAAATGCCGAATATTAAATTACTTGGTTTGGTATCGAGGGAGTGGCTGCCTGGCTCTTAACAGTTTTTGTGAATTTCCTGTTCTTTTTATCCTTGGCTTCAAGTTTTTATTGATGGAAGGTTAAATATTCTTTTTTTTTCCTTTGTAGCATATGACTAAACCTATGGTTCTTTTGCTTCCTCTTTTTTTCCCCTTGTCTTGTTTTTCCCTTTCACCCCAGGAATTAATTATAGTACTTGAAAGAAAACCACTTTCCTTAGTCTTATAAAGTACATAAGAGACAGTAAAAAATAGAAAATCTTTTTATACAACTGACCTTGTTTCTGCAGACATTGTAATCTATTCCACTTAACCTCTCTTTCTTCTGTTATTTTACTTTGTTAAGATAGACTTGACATTTGATTAGGAAAAAAAATATGCATTCAAATGTTATGAGATATAGAATCCAAAAAAGGGAAGATTGCAGAAATTTAAAATAAATGTAAAAGATTACAAGGTAATACAATGAATAAGTTCATACTATGAAATGACACAACTTTGATGACATGGAAAAATTCCTAGACACAATCTGTACTGACTCAAAATCATCTGAAGGTGGGGTGGAGTGGCTCATACCTGTAATTCTAGCACTTTGGGAGGCAGAGGCGGGAGGAGTGCTTGAAACCAAGAGTTTAAGATCAGCCTGGGCAACACAGTGAGACCCCATTATCTACAAAAAATAAAATTAGCTGGGTGTGGTGACACACACTTGTGGTCCTAGCTACTTGGGAGGCTGAGGTGGGAGAATCACTTGAGCCCAGGAGATTAAGATTGCAGTGAGCCTTGATTGTGCCCCTACAGTCCAGCTTGGGCAACAGACTGAGACCTGGTCTCAAAAAAAAAAAAAAAAAAAAATCATCTGAATAGCTCAATAACAAAGAATTTGAACTAATAATTAGAACTTTTCCTACAAAGAAAAACCCATGCTCAGATGGCTTCACTGGTGAATTCTTTTAGGTATGTTAAGAGGAAATGACACTGATTCTTCACAGATTCTTCCATGAAATATAGAAGGAGGGAATACCTTGCAATTCATTCTGCCAGTAACACCCTGTTACCAAAGCTAGACAAAGACATCACAAGTGAACAACAGACCATGAACTCCTATAAACACTGACACAAATTCTTAAAATATTAGAACCCCAAATTTGGCAACATATGAAAAGGGTTATATATAATGAACAATTGGAATTTATTCTAGAAACACAAGGTTGGTTTAACATTCAGAAATCTATTAATATAATACTCCATAATAGAACAAAGGTCAGAAATCATGTTACCTTAATATAAGCAGAAAAGCATTTGAGAAAATCTGATTCATGAAAGCAATTCTCAACAAACTAGGAAAAACATACAGGTTAACATCATACTTACTAGAAAAGAACTGTTTAATTTTTTTTTTCTCCTAAGATTAGGAAAATGGCAAGGCTGTTCACTCTTGCCACTTCTATTCAATAATATATTTGTTAACTGTTGAAGTTAAGTGATGGGTAGAAGGGATTTGTTGTATCATTCTCTGTATCCTTGTGTATGTTTCAAATTTTTTTCTGATAAAAATTGAGGAAAACAAATATAGGTTAAAAAAATAAGTCTACTAGATCCTTAAGTTTTGTTCTGTTTTCTGTTTAGCTAAATTGAGGTTCTAAAACCAGTTATTTTCTTTTAGAGTATGAACGTGTATTTCTTTGGGTTAATGTTGAATTATTTGTATAAATAATAGAGAAAAATATTATCTCTGTATTATTATTTTTGAAACAGGATCTCACTCTGTCTCCCAGGCTGGAGTGCAATAGCGTACTCTTGGCTCACTGCCACCTCCGCCTCCTGGGTTCAAGCAATTCTCCTACCTCAGCCTCCCAAGTAGCTGAGATTACAGACATATGCTACCATACCTGGCTCATTTTTTTGTATTTTTTGTAGAGACGATGTTTCACCATGTTGGCCAGGCTCGTCTTGAACTCCCGACCTCAAGTGATCTACCTGCCTCGGCCTCCCAAAGTACTGGGATTACAAGCGTGAGCCACCATGCCTGGCCTATCTCTGTATTATTTATCACCAAATAAAAATTATGGTGTTTATAAAAAATGTAGAGTTAGAACACTATTTCTTTTCATAATAAGTTATGTCACTTATATTTTTTCCACTCCTAAGAATGATCAGCAAATCAGAGGAGCTGTTAGGGCAGTTAGACACCATGCGGATCATATTCTGTTGTAACAAATCCTTGTTTATCATAATTCAACATCAACTAAATATAGTTGTGAATTTCCAGATGTTGGAAGGTGTTTTCAATAAATTTGGTACTGCAGATGGTTTGGGTGGTCTCCTGGAGTCTCTTTTGATTAGATGTGATCAGAAGTATACTTGAGAGCTTAGTCTAGGATAGGAATTGGAGAAGAGGTAGTTCATAATGGTGATGGTTGAGTGTGTTTATGTAGGCAGGAACCATGGGTTGGGATTGGGGCTGGTTGAGTGTTCTGTATGAAAGACGATTCCAGGCAGGAAGCATGAAAGCAATTTAAGACTGTACCTTCCCTCTGAATGAAAAAGTCAAAAGAAGAATGGAAGAAGAAGGAAGTCACATTTAGAAGATAAGAATTCTTCTGCTTTCTTGTGAAAGTTAGTGTCCCATTTGAGAATAATATTCTTACCTAGATCTTCCCAATTGTACTTTTCCTTCTTGCCCAAAAACACTTGCCCATCGTTTCTTCTTCTTCCCTAGAATTTATATCTTTCCAAGCGTCAATACCACTATCATCATCTGTAGTCCACAAAATCTCTGTCAATTCTGTGAGCCAGTGTTATTCTGGAGCATACAAAAGCAGACTGACACATGGCCACTGACTTTGTGGAAGTTGGTCTCACTGGCTTTGCAGTCTTTGTAGGTATGTGCATTTCTGCACACAAACAAATTCCAATTAGAGGATGGTCAAAGCCAACACCAGATTTTTAGTTTTAGATTGTTCAGTATAGACTAAAAATTTTATAGGTGTTCACAGGCACCCTGGAAGTACCTGTGCGAGCTGGAGTACTCTTGTGAAGTTTCACAGATAGAGGAGAGCTTGAGCTAGGCCTGCAGGTAAGGTAGGGTTTGGAATGCTAATTGCAACCTTCATCAAGTTGAATAAATTGAAGTGAGATTTGTATTTAAGGTTTTGTAGCTTTTTTGTTTTTTAAAATGCAGTGTGTCTGAATCAGGATCTTCTTTATTTCAGCAAGATGAACTACAAGTGTTGGTAAAGGTAGTTAAAATCCCCTCTTCTGATTTCATAGTGGTAGAGCCCAAACCCAGTATCTAATATTTATCCCCTGTCCCCTCTTTTATTCCTCATGAATTTTTTCAGATTGGATGTGTACAGACTCCATTCAAAAATTTTAAAAAGTTCCCATTTCAAAGCTGGTTTCCTTTAATCCCATAGTCCATGTCCAAAGGCCTCTTGTTGCAGTTCTCTCTTCCTGTAGCAAACACCCACCCTTGGATCTTCCCTGGAACACACAAACCTTGCTGCTGCTTAAGAAATTCCTCCCTGGCTTTCCAGTTGACTTGCACTCACCTTGAATATAACTCTCTGAATACCTGTAAGCTCATATCATGAAATTTTGTCATATCATTATAGAAAGCTTTAGTGATTACTCTTTGATCTGCAGCCCTGTTGCAGAGGTTGCTGTTATATTCATTTCTATGTTCTAGTGAGCAGAACAGAAGTAAAGTGAAGATTAATTCCTTACACTGTTGGTTGTTCAGTATAACTTTTGCAAGAAGCAACCATTCTCTGACCCTTGGGTTTATTAGCACTGCATGATGCTGGAAAATAATAAATTCCTGATTACCTTTCAGATTTCCCTCATTTAGACCATCTTCTCTTTTCAGTACTTACACTGGCACTTACTGTGTAAGACAGAGCCAGGTCCTGCAGATAGGCTGAAAAATCAAGATGGCATGTTGTAAATCTGAAGTCGGGTGATTTCTGTCGAAGCCTACAGACAGGATTAGGAATGAAATCACAGCCTGCCTTCTGCTGAATGTCTTGAGGGTGAATTATTTCCTAGTACTAGTGACTCTTTCTGCACATGTGCGGTTAACCTTAATGGAGTAAAGGCTGTTTTTTAAACCTCTCTTCAGCTTTGGGCCCAACACTATACACAATTAACTAGTTCACTGCAAATAGGAGACACCTAAATGCACTCAGTGACAGAGAAGAACACTTTACCAACAGTTTGTACTTAAGTCCAAGATTACAATTTCCAAGATGAAGATTAAACTTTAGTTTTATGCACTTTTGTAACCAAACTAAAGAGATGGACCCTTTAGCACTGCCAGCCCACAATGAAATGTAATATTGGAAGTCACTGAAGGTGTTATTTGAGGTGCTTTAGGTTGCATGTGAGCTTGTTGTAGAGTAAGTTCCAGTGAAGGTCGTTGGCAAAGGGTTAGTTGTTAAAGATTAGCAAAGGAAAATTGTCCTTCATCTGTGTGCTTAAGTCACAGAGAAAGCACACATTTAAGCAACTTAGCTTAATTTTCATACCCTGCACAGCCCAGTTCTTAAGTATACAACCTGATGAGTTTTAATAAATGTATATATCTATAAAATCACCACAGGCAAGATAAGGAACATATTCATCACCCCAGAATGTTCCCCCATGCCTCTTTCCATTCAGTCTGCATCCCCCATAGGCACTCTCTACTCTGATTTCAATCACCATAGGTTAATTTTGCCTGTTCTTGAGCATCATCAAAATGAAATCTTACAGTATGAACATTTTTGCAGAGTCCGGCCTCTTTTTCTCAGCATAGCGTTTTCAAGATTGATCCATGGTGCTGCATATGTCAATAGTTTATTCTTTTTAAAAAATCGCAGAGCAGTACTTTGTTGTATGAACATACCATAATTGGTTTATCTGTTTTCCTGATAATGAGCATGTGAGTCATTTCCAGTTGTGAGCTGTTATGAATAATGCTGCTAGAGACACATGAGCCTGTCTTTTTTTCTAAGTAGTAGATTCTATTGCTCTGAAGTTACTCATAACATTCTTTTATTATTCTTTTAACATCTATAGGAATTATAGTGATATCCCTCTTTCATTCTTAATATTACTCATTTATGTTTTCTTTTTCTTGATCCCTCTTGCCAGAGGTTTATAAATCTTATTCATCTTTTTAAAGAACCTACTTTTTTTTGGTTAATTTTTCTCTGTTTAGGATTAAATCAGAGAGGCAGAACTGCCAAGAGAGGCGTGTGTCTATTAAGGGATTTGTCAAAGGGGTTTGACCTTACACAGCTCTGGAAGCTGGTTTAACATTTTCTGTAACGCTGTTGCTTTTATGTCTGATGATGGAGTTGGCATCCACAGGGCAGGCAGCTAGGAAGGGAAGATAAACGGTAACTGGAGGAGAATAAGGACGTGCTGGAACACATGAGTATGAGCTGGAGCTCATAATTACAAAGCAACACTCATGTCAGTTCGCTTTTGGTTTTGGCTTGATTTTGCCTCCAGCCTTGGAGTATGGATATTCCTGCACAAGCTGGGACCCTTTGTCTCAAAATGAAAGAGACCTGGGGGATGCAAGTCTTCACTATTCCACTTCCTAGATACCAAAAAAATTCTTAAATAGTAAGACCAAAGAACTGTATAGGGTAGGGGTTGACAAACTTCTTATGTAAAGCCGGACTTTTTATGTCAGCCAAGTATTAAATATTTTTAGCTTTGCAAACCGTATGGTCTGTGATCTGTTGCAGTGATTTAACTCTGTCATTGTACTACAAGAGCAACACTGGACAATATGTAAATGATTGGCTTGGGCATATTCCAATAAGACTTTATTTACAAAAACAGGCAGTGGGCCAGATTTGGCTTAAGGGCTTTAGTTTGCCATCCCTTGTTACAGAGATTGTAATATATTTTCTTATCACGGTATAGTTAGAGTTAATATTATACATTTCATGTTTAATGCATATTGATTCACCATCCTTTGTACTATTGTTGTTCAATGTCTTACATCTATAAAGGCCTTAAATCTCACTATGCCCTAATATGATTTTTATATTTAGCAGTCAATTGTCTGATAAAGAAATGAAGAGAAGGAAAACACTATAGTGTTTTATATTTAGCCCCATATTAATATTTCTGATTCTCTTAATCCCTTCTGTAGTTCCAAGTTACCATCTAATGTCCTTTCCCTTTCAACCTAGAGCTTCTTTTATTATTTCTTGCCATACAGGTCTGCTGGGGGTGAAATCTTTATTCATTTATCTTAAAAAGGCTTTTTTTGGTAGGGGCTGGCATTTTTCAAAGACATAAATATAGAATTCTGAGCTGACAGTAAGTTTTCTCTCAGCATTTAAGAAATGCTGTGTGTGTGTGTGTGTGTGTGTGTGTGTGTGTGTGTGTGTGTGTGTGTGTGTGTTTTCCAGCCTCCTTCTTCTGACGAGATGTCAGGTGACATTGCCATCTTTGTTCCCTTTTATGTAATGTGTCTTGTTTTTCTCTGTCTGCTTTCAACATTTTCTCTTTCTCATTTGCTTTTAGCAGTTTGATTATAATAAATGTGATTGTCTTTATCTTGTGGTTCACTGAATTGCTGGATCTGAAGTTAATGTTCCTCAACATATTTGGGAAGTTGTCAGCCATTATTTCTTCGAATATTTTTTGTCTCTTTTCTCTTTTCTACCTCTGGGCATCCGTTTACACAAAGGTTCGCCTACATGATGTTCTCCACAGGTCATGGAGACTCTATGTGTTTTATTTGTCTTAGTCTTGAATGTCTCTGTTTTTAGGTTAAGTAATTTCCTTTTTTGTTTTTCAAATTTACTGATCTTTTATTCACTGATGACCGTTTTTCCTTTGTCTTTAATCTTATTTATAATAACCGCTTTAAATTCTTTGTTAGTTCTCCAACAGTTGCGTCATCTTGTTTTTGTTGACTGTTTTTCTTGCCTTGTTCACGTTTTCCTGTTTCTCCACATGTTTAATAATTCTTTATTATGTATTGGACATGACAAGGATATGCTATAGAGTGTCTGGGTTCGGTAAACTTCCTCTGAAGAGTACTGATTTTTTTTCTAGTAGGCAGTTAAATTACTGACTTACTGCCTTGAACTTAAGAAGACTTGCTTTTATGATTTGTTAGGGTGTGTCTGTTTCCATTTTTTTCCCTAGTCTTGGACCATCTGAAGTCCTGGGCCTGATGTGAGGCCCTTCTGGGGTTTCATGGAAAGCCTGAAATGTTGACCCTTTGACTTTTTGGGGTTTAAACTGTGGCTGCCCTGCAGTGAGCAGCAGCTGAAGTCTTGTGAATACTTTGAACTTTTATTGGAGCCTCCCTCACAAATGCTTAGTTTTAGGGTCGCTCAAGAAGTTTAAGGTAGTTTATATACAGACTTTGGGGTTCTCCTCTTTGGGCTCCCTCTTTTTGGGAATATGCTACCTTAATTTTTCACTACTATGCAAAACTTCATTCTATGAAACCTCAAGCCAGTGAGACTGTAGCCTTTTGTTTGCTACCTTCCAGACTTGATAGTCCCCTCTGGGGCACAGCCATATAAATGTGAGTCTTATTCAGTGTAGTTTCCAGAAAGAATTTAAGGATCAAATCCCTTCTAGTTTCTGCTCACTTTCCCTCACTCTTTAGTGTCATATTGTAAGTGTTATCTGTGGGAAGATTGTTCCAATACAAGCTTCTCTGCTATTGCCAATGCATAGTTTCTCTGCTTTGTTTTTAAAGAATCCTAGGTTAACTGTTATGTGGATCTTACACAGGTAGTGTAGTTTAGCAGCGTGCTCTGGGCTGGGAAGCTGTCTGAATTATCTGTTACCACAGTGCTGCCTTCCCCCTGGTTTTGGTATGCATGCTAGCTCTTTTCTGTTAGGTACAATATACAATAACCACCATTTCTAGGTTGGCAAGGACCGTATGTATTTAACAGTTGCTCTCCTATCCGGATGCCATGGCTGGAGGGTAAGCAAGGGACTGCACTTTATTCTGGATACTGGGATGGTGAATGGGTTTTCAGGTAGTAATCCCACCACCTGAGGATCAGTGCCTTCTAAGAGCTAACTCAAAAACCAAATATTCATCTGGGAACAGACTACTTGCTGAAACGAACAAATTCCCAGGCAGTTGAAAACCTTTGTGTTTCCTACTGGGAATAACCTGCATTCACAAATTCATTAGCCTTTTATGTGGAGTTGATGAATAGCATTCCAGGATTATAAGAATACTTGTAACATCCCAGAATATGCACATTAGTCTCTTAACTTTACAAGCAGAGTATTGGTATCCAAATTTACATGGTCTTAACACAAAGCATGTTCTTTTCTACATGAAGGAATACCTGCTAAGGGCCGGGAGAAGTTCTAAGGAATTAAGTTGTAAGATAGCCTGATTTTTTGTTTTTTAACATGTCTTGCTATGTTGCCCAGGCTGGTCTCAACCTACTGGGCACAAGCAGTCTTCCTGCCTCAGCCTTCTCAGTAGGTGGGACTGTAGGCATGCACTACTGCACCTGGCACAATCTGGTTTTTAAGAGGCATCCTAGCCAAGGACATTACCTAGCAGGCTTGGCATGTATATTTTATGCCAATGGCTTGTAGGTTTCATATCACTCTGGATCAGTCACAGTAGACTTACAATTTAAATAGCTTTTAGCCTTTCTTCAAACCGTACCCAAGAATTTGTTGTGCTTGTGGGTGTTTGAAATATTCTGGCTTTCAGCTTCTTTTATACATTCTCTCTGTCCTACTTTCTCTAGGACCAAAACCTTATTATCAAGGTGTCATCTCAATTCTGCATTATCTTGCAATTTATTTTTCTGTTTAAAAAAGTAAGGTAAGAGACCACAACCAAGCAACCAAAACAAAATGAAAACCTCAGTTTATGCGAGACGGTGAAAACAAAAATTTTTCTTGATCTCCTGTTAAGAGAATAGTCGAAGCACTTCCGCCTTGCCTCTAGATGTCTGGCTGGCCAGATAGAATCCCTGTTTCTAACCAACAGCTATAAGACGCTTGTGACAAGTGATTCAGAAAGTGGGCATTGTGTGATATGAAGAGCACACACCTATTTTGGGCAATTTATACTATCTTAAAACAGCCCAAGGATATAGCTAGCCTTCTCTCAGTTATTGATTCCATATTTCTTTTCTTCTTCAGTTGCAAAAAGGAAATACAAATATACACACATAAACTACATGTATGGCTTTGCTTTTCATTTTTAACAAAATCCAAACTCAAGACACCTTTGACAGTTTGATAAGAACAGGCAGAAATCTATGAACTGTGCTTAACATGGAACCCTGTTTTAGAAGAAAAATCAAACCTCTCTTTGAGAGGTTGAAGTGAGATATGGGTGCTCTGTGTTGCAAGGGCATGTCACTGTTACAGTAAGTTATCTGTGTAACACCCTTTCCTTCTTCTAGTAAACTGCATGTGAGAAGAGGGGACTTGGCAAAAGCTTGGCACTATTTTGTTTATTGGAAAAGGAGAATCGTTATAAATATCACCTTAGGCCCCCAACTCGAGAATATAATACAGTTTTGCAAGTATCTTGAATTTTTAATGTCTCCCACCTATTTCTCAGTATATTTTCTTAAATCAAAATTGACAGCTGAGGTTGTCTCAGTATGTTAGCATTATATCTTATTCTTTTAAATGTATGTATAGAAACTTTTTTTTCTGGGAATATATCTGTATAACTTTTTGTTTGTTTTGATGTATAAAACTAGCATTCTCCTAGTTTATTTCCTATTAGGCCCATTTGTTGTAACTAAGTACATATATGATACCCACGTGGAATATTTCATATCCTTTACATCATTACTTAAAATACTAAGGAACATTTTGTTGCAGAAGAAATGATAGCAAAAATTAAATATAAACTTACAGAAAATGGTATTTACATAGAAATGAATACATGCAGAGTTTTGCATTAAAAAGCACTCTAATTATCCAAACTATATTACAAACTCAGTTTTGTCTTCCAGTCTCAAAGCTGCTAGAATATATATAGCATACACTGTTTTGCTATTATATTCATTGAAAAAGATCTAAAGCATTTTTGTCGTTGACTATACCTCATACCCCACCAAGCATTGTGACAAAATTAATTAGGGACGGACAAGACAGGCACAGAGAATATACAATAGGACGAGTATATTGTACAAATAGATTAAATGATCTAATGAGAGCTAGTGTGTGATGTTTCAGTGTGGTGCAGGCAATCTCTCCTTCTCATGGCTTTATCTTTTTCAAAATCCCATATTTTACTTCGGAAGTTTGTCCTGAGGGTGAATGAGGCTATAAATGAGTGCCAGGTACAGTACCTGGAGCCAGGGTGACTCAGATGTTAGAAGGCTTTGCTGACTCTGTTTTTTGAGTGAAGAAACTCCTGAAGGTTAAGTAACCTGCTCAGCTTATGTGATTAATAAAAGGCAGAGAGATAATCCCAGCTGAGATCTCTTACAAGACAAAGCCCCTGCCTTTTCCAGGGCATAGTCATGACATTTTCTACCTTTTTCATTGCTGAGGTTCAGTGTGGTCAAGGACTTTAAAAGACCGGGACATGCGGGTGCTACTCTCTGCTGATACATTTCAGTGTCAGTTCCAGGAGCAGGCCTCTTCCTAATGAGGAGGCATCTTGCATGGTGGCCAGATAGTATCTTACGAGAGGGTTGATCTACTGTTTGGAGATTTAGAGAACACAGATTTTTATAGCTTTGTAACTTTAGAGGCCGATGGGATGACGGCATTTTGGAATATGTTTAATTAATTTTCATTAATTTAATGAAAATGGATGTTAAAGAGACTATTTAAGAAAAGCATTAGAAGCTGCTGTTAATCAAAGAAGGGGGCTTGAGCATTCTTAATTTGTTCTGAAGACCTTGTGTCAGAAAAACACCCCTGACTTCCTTACTAATGAAAGACAGTTTTCAACTCCGGGGCCATTTACAATGTTAGATATAAACTCTATTCAACTGTAAAGATTTTATACAGTAATATCTTTTAAATTACACATGGTCACATTTTTATCCACAAAATGTGACTTTCATTCCCCTTTTCCTCTGGATGTCACCTTTTTTTCAAAATGTTGTTTCTCCACTCAAAGAACATTAGTTACTTCCCCTGGCCATTGTACTGAAACTCCGCAAGTGTTTTCAGTTGCCTTCCGGTTTCCTGCTGTGATAACAGTGATAAATTATGTTCTGAGGCTGGAATTCATGATTCTGTGGCAGGCCGTGTCAGCATACCTTTCCAACCGTATTTCTTACTACCCTACCCTGAGTCCCCTGCTTTAACCAAATTGTCCCGCTCTGCTCTCCTGTGCCCTCTCAGACAGAGATGATTGATTGGTTATGCCTACCCACTGTGGGTAGATTTGCTGTCCTGGTAAAACACTCTAATTGTTGAAACATAACATAAAATCCATTTTCCATCTCTGGCCGTTCCTTTTCCTCAGTGTTATTTCACCTTTTATTCTATTGATTCCCAGCTGTGGCTGCCTTTTAGAATCACTTGAGGTTGGGAGAGCATTAAAAAAGGGGGTAGCAGAACCACTGCCTGGGGCCACTCAAATAAGAATGCCTGGAGGGTGAGGCACATTCTTAAAAGGTCCCCAAGAAATGTTTAAATGTGCAGATAGGGCTAGGAATGGCTAACTTGTGACCTTAGCCAAGTTACTTAATCTGCCTGGGCCTCAGTGTCTTCTGTAGTAGAATGAAGGATAATAGTACTTATTATTGTGAGGCTCAATCGAGTAATCGGTGTACATAAGATACAGTGGTGTTACTAGTAGATGCTCAGTCTGTTGGCTACCATCATTATTACGCTGTTCTTCAGTGTACTCATCTTTCCTTTTCTCTCCTGTCTACTTCTACTTTAGAGCTCAACTCAAATCCCATTTTTCCAGTGGTTACTTAAGGTTTAAACTAAGTTGCTGCAACAAAGAGACCCAAAAATTCAGGGTTGAAATGAGACAGAGGATGGTTTCTCTTGTCACACGATAATCCAGTAGTGAGCAGTCCAGACCAATAGAATGGCTCTTCTCTGCACTGACATTCAGGGCTCCACATTCTTCCCATTTTGCTGGCTCATCGCATGTCCCATCTACTAGCCCATGGAAAGTGTATATGGCATTGGGCTGTTAATTGCCTTTTCTGGTGAGCAAGTTTTGGGTTCTAAGCATATTTAAGGCTCCCTCAAGGTGAATAATGTTTTGTGTTTCTCTTTGCTTCCCAGGAAGGTACTGAAATCATGACAAATGCTCTAATTTAGGTGCAGTATTTGTTGAATGAGTCAATGTCAGAACTTTTCTGGTTTTTGTAACAGCTTTATTGAGATAATTTACATACCACACATTTCACATATTTAAAGTGTTTGATTTGAGGCTTTTAGGGCCGAGTATGGTGGCTTATGCCTGTAATCCCAGCACTTTGGAAGGCTGAGATGGGAGGATGGCTTGAGCTCAAGAGTTTGAGACCAGCCTGGGCAACATAGCAAGACCTCATCTCTACAAAAAATGAAAATAATTAGTTCGATGTGGCTTTCAGTATATTCAGTTGTGCAACCACCACAATAGTCAGTGTTAGAATATTTTCATCACCTCAAAAAGAAACACCATATCACCTCTCCTCCCTTTCCTCAACCCTAAACAACCACGAATTCACTCTCTCTCTAGATTTGCCTATAGGTTCTGAACATTTCATGTAAATGGAATCTCATATGTGGCCTGTGTGACTGGTTGCTTTCATCTAGCATAATGTTTTCAAGGTTCATCTGTGAAGCATGGATTAGCACCTCATTCCTTTTAATGGCTGAATAATATTCCATTTTATGGATATACCATATTTGGTCTGTTAATTGGATGATGGGTGTTTGTATTGTTTCCAAATTTTGGCTGTTATGAATAAGGCTATTATGAATGTTTACATACAAATTTTTGTGTAGTTATGTTTTTATTCTTTCATAGTGTAAACCAAGGAGTAGAATTGTTGACTCAGATGATAAGTCTGTTTAACTTTTTAAGGACTGCTAGACTGTTTTCCAAAGCAGCTACACTATTTTATATTTCTACTAGTTGAGGGTTCTACTTTCTTTACATCCTTGGCAACACTTGTTATTGTCTGAATTTTTATTATAACTATTTTAGTTGATGTGAAGTCGTACCTCATTGTGCTCTTGATTTCCATTTCCCTGATGACTAATGATGATAAGCTCTGCCTACTTTTGTCAGTAGCAATTATTTAACCCCAGCTGTGTTCTTCCTATCATGTGTGTGCTCCTAGGTGTGTGAATAACCTTTTCCCTGGCTGACCATTTCTAGTAGCAGCACCGTGGGGCTTATCAGAATGGAGGGTTGGTGTATATATGATGTTGTGGCTGTGTGTATGTATAGCATTCTTATATAACTGTTTTTCATACTGAGAATCTCAGTCCTAGGTCCCCTTTTTAATACTAATTTACCAAAAAAAGGAAAAATCTTAATGCTGGCTTAACAGCTTAATTCGACAATTCTGCCATAAAATAGATTAAATAAATGACAGAGGGTATGACAAAAGGAGGTATGAAGAATCTGGAGTTATTTGGCTGAATTGTGATTTGAAATTTTATGACATTATCTTGGCAGTGTGTTTTCATAGTCATCACAACTTTATTCTTTTTATACATTAGTTCTATTCTTGAAAAGCTATACATAGAGAACCCATATATATACACTGAATTTGATTTTCTTGTTGAGTTCCATTATGTCCATAGTATTTGTACACAGGCAGTACTGTAGCTTCTGGTTTTTATACAGCAAGTCCATGAGGCCCTTGGAGGTGCTTCTTCAAGAGGGAATAAGAATTTGTTAATTGTGTTCACTCTTGAAATTTCCCATGCAGAACATGAAGATGATGATGTGCATTTCAACAGTGTTGTGGAAATAATCTTGACTCAGAAGGCAAATGCCTCGTTGAACATGCAGAGTGCTTTGCATATGGAAGGTGCTAGTGGATTTTGTTTAATCCATAAATGAGGAAGGCACTTCATCTCACTAGGCCTTACTGTTATGAATCAGGAAAACTAGAGGGTTGAATGGTGTGGTTTCAGAAGTCCCTTGCAGCTCTAAAATTATTTTATGCAATGATGATTCTATTTTCAACTTAGATTAAAAAACAAAACAAAAATGATATATAAACAAGTATTTTCAAAGATCCCAGTATACACCTCTGGGGGTCCATGAGTGAGTCTTGCCTGTTTCCCATGTCTTGACTTCTCAATTGCTTTGTTGGGGAGGGAACTTCCTATTGCTGTGGGGCCCTGGTTCTGGAATTCATGTACATGACTTAGTTACAGAAATCAAATTACTTTTTTTATGGTGCAAAAGTAAAGCATTCCTAAATGAATATTTGCCAAGCTGAGTGACTGGTGAGGTCATTTTCAATGGGAGACTATATTCCATCATGGCTGGCTTCAGTCTGATTTATTGCCATCCACTCCTGAAGCCAAGCCAGCTGATGGAGGTGCTGGCAAGAGCTGTGTCTCCAAGCCCATTGTGGAGATTGAGTCGGTTCCCAGCCATGGCTGAGCAGCCAGGCCAGTGGCACGCTCATTTGGCTGCACTTTGCAGGGGCCATCTGATAAGCATGGCCACATGTTCATATCAGGTGTGCCAAGAGAAATGCTACCTTGTCTGACACAAAATAGAATTGCTGGAGAACTTTATCTTTTGAGAGAAAATATCTTTAGAGTGTCATTGCCCTGAATGGAGCCCTTGCTCGTGAAGTTGATAATCTTAGGGTCGGCAAAACAACTGGGTAAGGAGATTGAATCAGTTTCCTGTAACTTCCTGGGGTCAACAGATACTCATGTTCTTTGAGGTTTCTGAGAGTTTTTATAAACCTACTTTTTCTTCTATTTTTTTCTTTCCTTTTTTTAACCTTTAAAATGGCAATGGCGATGGATTTAGATGCCCTTAATCTATCAGATGCCTGTCCAGAACTAGATAAAAAGTTAATGGACCTGTGTTCTACAGGTTGTTAAAAACAAGTGTCATCTCAAACAACACCTGTCATCTTTGCTATATAGAATTAGTGTATGGAAAAGTGAGCCTTAATAAAGGCTCACTTCCTAATATGGTCAGCCATTGCTCTGAAAGAACTGTCTTCTGTGTGAGCTCGCATGCAAACTCCTGTCTCTCTCTCTCTCTTGCATCCACTCTCCTCCATTCCACTTCCTCACTTTATCATCCTCGCCTAGGAACAGGTAGTTGAGATTCTTACACATGGTACCACCTTTAAGCATTGGCAGAAGTGAGATTAGCCCCTGACTTCCAGCCTCTTTGTTTTTGAGATTCTTTTTGTAACCATATTTCCAGATCTCCTTTGTTCAGCAGTGAGGAGTGGTTATTAAAAACTTTGTTTGTAGTAAGTGAATGTTTTATGATGCCGCGTAGTTGATAGTTGGTGATACTTAAAAAGAAATGGACGATAGCATCTTTATATACGTATAAATATTGATCCTAGGCAATTAGAAGATGCAAGTAGCCTTGTGTGACACCCAAGGCACCTAGCATCTGATTTATACAAGCAGTGGGACAGTTAACAAATGATTCATTAAGATTTTCTCCAGGCCGGGTACAGTGGCTTATGCCTGTAATCCCAGCACTTTGGGAGGCTGTGGCAGATGGATCGATTGAGGCCAGGAGTTCGAGACCAGCCTGGCCAACATGGCGAAACCACATTTCTACTAAAAATGCAAAAACTAACCAGTCACAATGGCACACACCTGTAGTTCCAGCTACTTGGGAGGCTGATGCAGGAGAATTGCTTGAACCTGGGAGGCTGAGGTTGTGCCACTGCACTCCAACCTAGGTGACAGAGCCAGACTTTGTCTCAAAACAAAAAACAAAACAACAAAAAAAAATCTCTCATACAACCATAAACCTCTCTTTTTTGAATACCAGTAAGATGTGACTGTCAGTAATTCACATGGGGGCTAGGCCATGTCCCTTCTCCCAGCATCAGGAATGACTTGTCTCCCACTACTGCAGCTTCCTGCTGTTTTCCTCAGCTGTGTGGCATGTGCAGTCCAGAACTCGGACTCCTTGGGTCAGTGACTCCAAGTAAGGCTCTCCCACTGCTTTTTATCTGTGGCACTTTCTTTCCTCTTCAGTTCTCTGGAACTTGGGCACTCCATTTCTTCATTGCATTTGTTCCTTCCGTTATTAAACAAGATGGGGTCTCCAGTGTGCTGGGCATATATCCTGGGAGTACCGACGGGTAGAGGAGGCTTCGTTGCCGGGTACTTCATTCACTGTTGTGTGTGGTTTCCCTTCCTCCCACGTGTGCCAGCCCCCAGAAGGCAGGGCTGAGTCTTACAAGGATGCAGTGTTGGCATTTCAGCACGTGGCAGGCAGCAGATGCCCAGTGAAGGTGGGCTAAATTAGGAGGTCAGTGCTGAGGATTTTAAAGGCTTTCCTTTTCAGACTGTCAGATGAGGTAACCATCTTCCTTTTTTCTAAAACGGGATAATGTATGTGATGTATCAAGGCAAGTTATCCCCCATCCATTTCTTTTCCTGTCCTGTATTACGCTATTTCTATTCTCACCGTTCCTTTGAGACCGCCGTACCAACTTCTCCTGCCCTGACTCTCCCCTTTTTCCTTCCTTGCTCTGAGGCCACAGACAGCAAGAAATAAACACACACACACACACACACACACACACACACACACACACACACACACACACACATATCTGTCTGGTTTCATATTTCTTTGTCCCTTTCGCTTCTTAATATGAATGTGAAATGCCATTGTTTCCCTCTGTACACGTCTCTCTCGATACGTGTGTGTCTGTTGGGACTGTCAGGGAGAATCTGTCTCCACGCCTCACAGGAACACCCCCGCTGCGTGTATTTGTGACATCTCGTGCTGCTTCTGCTCCTGCAGTGTGTATGTTCCTCCTGAATCTTAAGCATTTTTGATGGCAGGAAAAGTGTTTGTTCACTTAGATTAAACCCATATTCGAACACCCACTACATCGTATGGGCACAAGTGACTGATAAAGCAACAGAATTTTTACACCTGTGTAATCTGCCTTCTGTGTAGATACCTGGTTGCCAGTGCCATAGGATCATACAGAGGTGAAGTTTTGGGGGAAAGATGTTGCAACCTGGGCTGGTGTAAGGGTAACGGATTAAACCGAATCCTAAACAGAGCTGAGCTTCATTGCTTACACTTAAAATTTTTATTTTCCCTTGCCCTTTCAACATTTAAAAAAAATGGCATGGGGAAAGCTTGGGATAAACAGTAGGCAGAGCTTTCAAGTTACATATCTTGGCAGGATCTTTCTTCTTTTTTCTTTTTATGCCCTCACTTTTTATTTTATTTCAACTTGTATGACATGGACTCTTTATAATAAAAGTTTGTTACATGAGTAAACTATGTGATGCTGAGGCTTGAGGTCCCGTGGATACCGTCACCCAGGCTATAAGCATAGTACCCACCTCCCTCTTTTGAAGAGAGCTTGTGTATAGTAAGCTCAGTTTCCTCTGGAAAGCAGTAACTTTAACCTTTTTTGGCTCAAAGTTTTGTTTCTTAACCAAACTTAAATGAGAGACATTTCCACAGGTAGGAAGGTCCTCCATGGACAAAAACTAATAAAAATGTTTATAGAATTTTGGTCATTTGATAGAAACAAAATGAGGAGCCATCCTCTGAAAAGGAGCTGAAAGTCCTTATGAGCTATGGTGTGATGGAAAGTCTTGGTCAGGTTATTCCCGGTCAGGTTTGGGAGCAGTTCTGCCCCATGCTGGGAAGGCTGGGACTCCCAGTTTCTCCCAGTCACAGATTCCCTCTACCTGAGAACCTTGAGCACTCTTAAGCCAATGCCTCTGGAAGCCCCTTATCTATTCATACCCATCACTGTGTAACTAAATAAAGGAGAGAAAATTCGTGTATAAGAACATGGAGTTGCAGAGGAGACTGTCGAATTAGCTGACAAACCACCAGTTTGAGGAAGAGGAAAGGCCCTGGCCTGGTGGGAGTCTCTGCTCAGTCTAGTTCTCCCTGAGCCCAGGAGTCAGGCCCGTTGGGCAGAGGGGAACATGCCTATGTTTATTCAGTCAGATGGCACTTAGTGTCTGGAGATCCAGCAGGAAGACATAACCTTCCTATAGGTTCCTCATGTGCTAGGAGGGGAGATGGACTGCCATAAAGGAATAACGTGATCACTCTCTGCAGTAGGAGAGACATGAGCAGGAGGCCAGGGAAGCCCAGAGGAGGACAGGATTCCTAACAAAATCCTGACTAGGCTTGGGAAGGAAGAACTAAGGACTGTTGTTTTAGCTGAAGAAAGAGGAAGGGGCTTTAACTGGGCAGAGGAAGAGTGGTGGCCTGGAAGGACTGAGGAGAAGGACGTTCCAGGGAGAGGAAGGCCCGCAGGGAGCCTTGAAAGAAGTCAGTCCAGCAGGCTTTGGCAGAAACGAGGGGCCTTGCTTTGGGAATCTCCTAGCATAGCAACAGGGGGGTCTGTGCCTGATTCTGTAAATAACATTTTATTGGAACACAGCCCATCCATTCGTTCAGCTGTTATCTGTGGCTGCTTTTTCATGACAACAGCAGAGTTGAGTAGCTGAGAAAGGGACCTTGTGGCTCACAGAGCCTTAAATATTTACTCTCTGTTTCTTTACAAAAAAAGTTTGCTGACCCTTAACTTTATTCTTTGAAATTCTTAATGAATGGACCCACACTGTCAGCCCTGGGGCGTTGCTTGCAGGCCTTCATGCACCTGTTAGTTTATTTTCTCATTCAGTGATCCTGCTTCACCCTGCCCTACCACACCACCATGTCAGTAGCCTCTAGATGGCAGTGAATATTTCAGGAGTAGAATAGTATCTGTGGTGTAAAGGGGGTGGCATTTCCCCACCAAGTACCCCCTAAAATGTCTGATTACCAACCCCAGGCTCTCATAGACTGTGCCTAATTTTGTGGAACCTCTGCTGCTGCTCATTTGCTTGGCCAAAACCCCCCATCATGCCAAGTAAGCATTGACAAGCAAAATCAGAATGAAAAATAGTGATAGGAATAATGGTCATTGCAAAATACTATTCTTTGGTGAGGCATTCCATTTGTTTAGGGCTTCTGGAGCTGGCAGCTAGAAGGAGAGCCCCACCTCAAGTCTGCATCTATTTCAAAAACACAGAATGCTTTTCCAGAAGTGTCTGTGCATTTGAAATGCTGCTTTCCCAGATATAGCAAGTAAAAGTTGTGTGGAATTACATAGCAAATGCCAACTTTTAAGCACCTGCTGTGGTCCGTGGTATCTGCCATTGGGCCTGCCAGGCCAGCCTCTTGATGGTTAGTAAGAGCTGGATGAAATAGAGGCGGAGTCATTCCCATTTTACAGATCATGCAACAGGGGCTCTGACAAGCCAAGTAACCTCCATTTTAACTAGTAAGAGACCCATGAGAAATAGGGTATTTATTTTTATGCTCTAGTTATTCTTAGCAGGTAGAGGGCTTGTTGAAATACTTGAATCAAGAGGTCAAGAATTTTGGTGACACACTATCAAAATAACTGGTTTTCAAGGGGCAGGTAAAATCCTCCTTAGCACTAACTTCTGTCTCAGTCCCAGCAGCCACTGAGTTATCATTTCAATACCCCTGTGAAATAATACTGCAGTTTGGAATCTAATTTTTGATTAATGCTTTCTTTAGAAAACTATCGGCAGTAGGTAATGATATTTTCCAGACATTTCTGGAAAATATAGTAGCTCTGAAAAGAGAAGCATATAGGTTTAGGGTTGTCTTGTTTTCCGACTAAAATGGTCATTCCTACATAACAGTGTGATCATAATCTTCCCCTCCATAACATTATTCTGCCGTGTTCTTAGGGTAAAGATCAGGGTACTTATTGTGGCATTTGAAGCCTTTCCTGTTGTTGCATCTCCTGTCTGTCCTGAGTACCTCACACTTCTTTCTGTTTGAGACCACCTCAGTTCCTTGAACGGCATCGTTAGATTGTCCCTTTGGCTGGCTCACTCCTACTTTGTCTTCACATCTTGGCTAAGATGTCACTGGATGCAGGAGGCCTTCTTGGAGCTTTGGAGAGTGGGTTGGGTATCTTGCCTTGCCCAGCCCTGCCATAATGCCTGTTATACTGTTGTTACATTGTTCATTGTTCATTTATTTGTATGTTCTCCACCATTAGACCGTAAGCTTCATTTAATTTTTTTTAAATCGACATAATTACACATATTTATAGGGCACTTAGTGATATGATGTTGTGATACATAAAATGTACGGTGATCAGATTAGGGTAATTAGCATATTCATAATCTCAAACATTTCTCATTTCTTTATAGCTAGACAGGAGGAATAAGCTCTGGTGTTCTATGGCACTGTAGGATGACTCTAGTTCACAATAATACATGGTTTTAAATAGCTAGGAGGAGCATATTGAATGTTTCTATCAGAAAGAAATGACCCTTAGCTTCTCAAAGGCATTTGTTTTCGTTTTGACCCTACAGTTACAAGGAATAGGAACCCATTCAAGCTAGCTAATATAAAAGGAGTTTATTGTGAGGAAGTATTTAAAACAATAAGGAGAACTTTATGGAAATCTAAGGACTGGGTCTGTAAGAAGCTGTATCCCATGGATGCAGGGCAGGAGTTCCTTAGGATGGTGTAGATACGTCTCATGGCTCTCTGTGCACCAGCTCTATTCACACCTCTCTGGCCTGTTGGCTTTCTCAGTTCATGCAGTTGTCTTCACGAGGTCTGTTCATGGCCCCAGCTTGCCCACATAGCCTAGAATGTCCCTACCAGTGCTGGAGGACCCTCCTAATCACATGGCTTTATTTCCTGCTCCCTGCTTGTTTGGTTTCTTAGTTTCCCTATTGCTGATTTCTAAGTAAGCGCTCTGGTTGGCTTGGCTCACTTTTTTAAGCCGGGCCACACATGTTGTCATAGGTCTCTGGCCAGCCTGTAGTTGGGCTGTCCTCAGGTCAGTCATCACTCTGGACCAGTTAGATATATTGGAGCTGGAGGGGCTCCATGTATCAGAGCATGGCTGCCAACAGAGACCTTTCTTTTTTGGTTTCTCTCCCTACCTCTTGGCTTACAAGAATGTTAGGCTTGTGTTTTATAGATCTCATTGTATCCTTTGTTGTTTTTCATTCTTCACAGATATCATTAACGGAGCTCAAGAAAAATGTGTATTGCCTCCTATGGACGGCTACCCTCACTGTGAGGGAAAGATCAAGGTAAGGCAGAGGCAAGCATCATCCCCAATCTGCACAAACACCCCTTCTTTTTCCCTTCTCTTCCTTTTCCTCCTCAGTGACACAAATGGGTGAGTGAGCCCTTGACATGGATCATTTATGGGGTGCCTCCATCCTGCCGGCTTTGTCTGTGGCTATGACAACCCTGCTATGCCTATGTCAGCCATGTGGGGTTGGTCAACAGTGGCTCTCACTGGTCAGCATGAGAGAGCCTGGGCCATTTCAGGCACCTGCTGAGTCTTTGAAGCTGACTTCCCCTCTCTGTTTCCCAGCCTCCAGCAAGTGATCCTTGAAGGACCAATGACAAGGAACTGCTGTTATTTAGTGTCCAACTCCCCACCATCTCAGTCCCCAGGCTCCTGCTCTGAAGCCTCCAGACTGTGGTTTAAGTGTCACATTTGTATTTGTGGTTGAGTACTGAGAGACACTTGGCTGCTATTTTACTTGGCTGCTTTTTTTTCCAGAAATCCTATTTGTATGGCCTGCCCCTGGGGAGACCACTCCCTGCTCAGTAGTTTTCAGAGAACAGTGTCCATTCAGGGATGTAGTTAGGACAGTGGGACCAACCCCAGAAGCATTTGGGTGGTATCCATGTGGGCCGTCCGTCAACGCTCGTCCGTGCCCTCCTTCACGCACTGTATTTCAGGTACCATGCTGTGGGCTGTTGGAACTGGAGTTCCTGGAGGGGGTGTAGATATCAGAGTCCCATTAGGCACTTGATCTTGATAAAAATCCCTAAGCCACCGCCTCTCCTGGGCTTTATTGCCTGCTGTACCACGACCTTACTCTCCACTCTAAGCGCTTCTGCTGAGGCCTAACGTAAGCCAGTGTCTTCCTGTTAATCGTCCAAGTAGGTGAGCTGCACACCTGGCTATCTTGACCTCGGCTCAGTGACCCTGTCACTCAGTTCTTTAGGCCACAGCTTGAGCCATTCACTCCATCTTCACCATTCTATCCTCGCCTTCCCTGTCAGCAGATGTGGAGGGCCTGTGAATGGGCTGCTCAGAGATGTTCTTCTTGTTTCAGTGGATGAAAGACATGTGGCGTTCAGATCCCTGCTACGCAGACTATGGAGTGGATGGATCCACCTGCTCTTTTTTTATTTACCTCAGTGAGGTGAGTAGCTTTCTGTGGCTCCTGGGGGTAGATGTGACTGGTTGGACTGTTCTGTAGCTGAGTCTGAAATTTGAAAAGCTTGAAAACGTGTGGTATTTTTATGTGGAGGACCTATGGTTCCGTCCTTCATTACTCTCCCTACCTCTCCAGGAATGATGTTTTTCTTTTCTCCTTGAGGGAAAAATAAGCGGAGTTAGTTAGCTATTTCCTTTTTTTCTAGCTTTTCTTTAAATTGTAGTAAAATAGACGTGAGATTTGCCATCTTAACCATTTTCAAATGTGTATAGTTCAGTGGCATTAAGTATATTCACATCATTGTGCAACCATCACCACTGTCCCTCTCTAGAATTCCTTGTATCTTGCAAAACTGAACCTCTAGACTCATTAAACACTAACTCCCCCTTAAGACCCTGCTTTCAGTTATTTTGGAAATATACCCAGAAGTGAAATTGATGGATCATATGGTAACTGTATTGTTAATTTTGGGGGGAATTGCCATACCATTTTGTAAAGCAGCTGCCCCATTTTATACCAACAGTGTGCAAGCATTTTAATGTCTTCATATTCTCACCTACACTTGT
The DNA here is from genome assembly GCF_000001405.40 of Homo sapiens. NCBI lineage: Eukaryota > Metazoa > Chordata > Mammalia > Primates > Hominidae > Homo > Homo sapiens. The sequence continues at coordinate 134,319,321 of NC_000002.12, forward strand.
TATTTTCTGGTTTTGTTTTTTGAATAATACAAATTATTTAGAGAAAGGAGGATCATTCAGCTTGGGTTAGGTATAAAGAGAGTCAATATCAGGAAATCTCCTGGGTTTGTCAAGAAGAGATGCCACATGATCAGAATCTTGAGAAAAAAAAATGTTATAAGTAAGTTAGGTAAATGAAAGACAAAAGTGTATTCAAGGCAGAGAAACAACATAGGGAAAGTTATGGTATCAGTTGCACAGTGGGAGTGATGGGACAATGGACATAGGCAGGGGCTACCACTTGGGAAGTATGGAATACTCTACCAAAACCTGGGAATGTGGGTAGACCTTCTGGTTGCTGATAGGCTTTATCTTCAGGTCCTCTATGCCATCAACATACTCATCCATGCTGTGGTGGAATTCAATGTAGCTGAAGCTCCTGCTCTCTGTGTAGCTATTTTTGGAATTCTCCCAGTGACACTTGAGTACATTGGGTGCATTCTGGGTCCGTACATATGCATGTCTATAGCAGTCATCCCAGTTGTCATTAGCATGTGTATGCTCAATTTGGTAACCTGAGATTTAGATGAACATGTGAGAGCTCTTATCTTTTAGAGCACTTCTTTTTCTCTCATGAGGACATCACATCTGTACTCTTGAACGTGGGTAGTGATGTTTTATGAGTTCCCACCAGTAGATGTTCTTCCTGTGTACAAGCAGCCTGCATAGGATCAAAGCAGGGCCAAGAGCAGGCTCCAGATCTTTAGAGAGGTTGCCATCTCAGTCACCAGAGCCACCCTATTCAGATTCAGTGTTTGAGTCACTGCTTGTAGAGGGATCAGTGTGTGGATCTGAATAGCAGAGTCTATGTCCTCCTCCTCCTTTTAAAGACCAGGAAGCATTTACTGGTTTATTATAACAGAAACAACTCAGAAACAGCCAGAGGGAAGAGATGCGTAAGGCTAGGTTTGGGAGGGAAGTAACTAAAAGATAGTTACATTTACGTTCCTTTTTTCCCTAAATCTGAGCATCATTTTCATTTGTACCCTTGAATTTAAATAGCAGCTTTTGTATTTTTTTTTTTAACGGTTGCAGAGAACTTTATGGGCCACTTGAATTTTTTACAGACTTTAAGGATATCCATTTCACCTAGAACCTCTTGGGAATCAAAACCGGCTGGCTTCCCCTTTATGGACTGGGGGAGGAAGGGGTTGGAGCAGAGTAGGCAGCTTTGGGGTCTTGTGAAACAGGTTCTGGCCAATTCTGAGGTCATGCCTCCACAGACCCTCTGCTGCCCTTTCTTTTTATTCTGTCCCCCGTTTTTGTTTGCTGTTGCTGTTGTTATTTGACCAATAATAACAGCTGGTGATGCCATGCAGGAAGGAGAACACCTTCATTTTTGAGGCTAAATAAAATATTCTTGCCATAGTTTTCCTTTTGTGGGATTCAGATGCCTCTCTTTTCTTTGCCATAGGGTGATGGGGATAGAGGCCAAACAGTATTGCTAATAGGGCATGTGGCCCTGATTCTGTGGGGTTTGCCCCTCTCTCAGACTATTACTTCTTTTGCCTGGGTGCATTCAAGTTACACTTTTTGGGGGTTCCAACCGGGCTCCATGATTTTTTGGGGGAAGGGGGACAAGGTTGTTCCATTGCCATCATGAAAACCCCAGAGCTAACGATAGTTAAAATACCTCTTGGAAATGAACAGCTCTGAGAGTTGGGTGTGTGAGGCTCCTCATTAGCAGGCTGCTGGCAAATTGACTTGATAGCATTTATATGAGTTTCTGGCTTCCGGCTTGGGTGGCTTGTGGCCTGCCTTCTCATTTCCTTCTCCAGAGGAGTAAAGCCTGGGGCCATGCGTGAACCTTCACTCTAGTTGAAAAGTCAATTAGAAGTACCTCTCCTGCCCTGAGGAAAAGGTTCCTCATTTAGTTTAATTTTCAAAAGTTTTATTCCCCTTTCTACTTGAAAGAATTTAGCCAGAGTCTGACCAAGCTCCATGATTGACAAGCTGGGCTAATTTCATGCCTTCCTAAGCCTTTGCATGTTGGGGTATGCTGCTGAGGCAGAGGATTTTACATTCCCATACTTACATCTCCTTGGAAGGCATGGAGAGTGATCCAAATGGAAGAGACTGCAGTTATTTGTGACTTCTTTCCCTCCCTTTGTCACACTTCACCCCTGCTCCCAGTGAAGTATATGGCTAAGCTGAGAGAAAAGTGAGGTTCTGGGGAAGGGAAGTAGAGAGGAATACGGGATGAAGAGACATGATGGATCACATATCACTTGCTATCTGAGGCTGAGTATTTCATTTTGGAACGAGCAACTACGTTTTCTCTTCCTGAGGTGTGAAATACGCTTCATTAGCTCATACCACTCTCTTCTTATGCAGATATCGGGTGGTCTTTTTGTTGCTTGGCTGAATTCTGTTCAGTGAGCAGTTATTGAATTCATTGTCAACAATTAATGAAAACACATTTTCTTGACACCACGTTATGTGTTAATCATTGTAAAAGCAACAGGAAGAAAGGATGCAGGTAACTGAACCAGGAGAATGGGTGGAGATAACTAGGGACCCCTTCTTACAAGTTTTAATCTGAATATAACCCTGAACCTCAGGGCTTTTCTATGTTATCATAGCATTGTAATAAGTACCCTGTGAGAGTTGAAGGAGAATGTCACCAATATGGTCCCTTCAATAGGAATAATATCTTAGAGTCACACCTGACATCAGCTTCTGTTTCTGCTGCTTTCTCAGCTCTATGAGGTCACTTAACCTTTTGTGCCTAGGATTCTTCCTTTATGAAATAATAGGAATGTACTTAGAGTACAACCCGGCAGATAAAAGACACTCAATAAGCATAACTGACACTTCCGTGGTTTTAAATGTTGTGATCTTTTTGGAATAGTTGTGGGGTGTCACTTTGCCTTGGACATTATATGTGGGAACATTGTTCCATTTTAGAATTAGAATCAATTTCTGGTTCTCATTTACCAGTGTAATGCAATTTTAGATCCTTTGACTTCTGGTAATATAGAAATTCAGCTGTTTCCCTTAATGCCTATTTTTAAATTGACAACGTTTGTATGTATTCATGGTATACAACTTGGTGTTTTGATATGGGTCTGCATTGTGGAATGGCTAAATCAAGCTAATTAACATGTGCATTACTTCACATACATATTTATTTGTGGTGAGAGTATTTTCCCTTGATTGGTCATTTCTGGACATGATACTTGGGTTTGCACTGGAATTAGCTGCACGTATGGACCCAGTGCACCCTACCATTGTTAATGTGAGATTAGTAGAGATGTTTTGTAAAACCGATTAATTCCTTTTTAGTATTTTTAAAATCCTGGACAATATCTGTGGCTTTGTAGGAGCTGTTGGTTCACTTGTGTGGTTTTATTCTTTCCTGCTGTCTTGAAACTTTCCTTATTCTGTTATTTAAGTTAACTCTGAAACCTGCGTTTTTATTTCCTGTATCATCTAGGTTTCTCTTGCAACTGGGGAGATGATTGAGAGAGACATCTTCATTTGAGTTGTTAATGTGATCAACACATGCACCAGTGACTTTTATTCTATTCCTAATCCTTATTGAAAGAGCCAGTTCTTGTTTTGATCTATGTTTAACATCAGAGCTTTAACAGATGCCAAAAGGACATGAAGTAAAATGTCTCTTGTATAGTCAGTCACTAGTGGAATTGGAGCATTTAGATTCAGACCTGTCTTAAGAGATGGTACTCTTCCTTCATTTTTCTTTCTTAGGGTTGTCTCAGTTCACCAGCTTCCGCTGAGTTATGGGATTAGAAACTTCTGTTAGTACTTTCACCCTCACCAACTTGTAGTCTATGGATCTTTTTTGGTTAAATCCCAGGAAGAAAAGCCATCAATATTTTTCCTTAAAATACCCCCACAGCTGTTTGTTATATGTCTGACGCTGTACTAGAGATGGTAGAGATAAAAGCTGAGTGGTTGCCTTTCTTTAGAGGTGGGACTTTGGGGCAGACAAGAGAAGAATGAAAGACTATTGATGCTCCACTGTACCAGACACCTCAAATACAGAATAACTCCATTTTATTTAAGTGACTTCAGCATCTGAGGATTTTAATATCCACAGGGGTCTTGAAACCAGTCCCCAACAGATACTGTGGGTCAGCTATACACAATCTTATTTAAACCTCTTGCCAACTCTAAAGAGTAATGGAGAGCCAAGTCATAGATAGCTCAGAGAGGTCAAGTCGCTTATCCCCAAAGTCCTGCACTTTTTGTTCCTGCTGTCTCCTTTATGATGAAGGAAAACGGATCTTAGGTAGCTAACTTGCAGCCATTGACTTTGCATTCAGTTGTATGGTTAAATCCACTTGTGATGGGAAAATGGCTCTAATTTAGCTAACTTGAATGAATAGATCTTCATTGCTAGTTGTCTAATACTCCATAATTTCGATACCCTACGCCTCCAAAAAAACACAAACTCTCTTGCTGCCATAACTCATGAAAACCAGGTGTCAGCCATTCCAAGTGGTAGGAATGAGCAAATGATTCATTAGGCAGCCTTGTATTTCCAGAACATCAGGCAGTTCATTTTCTGTATCTGTTTTCGTGAGCCATGTAACTACTCCCATTACAGAGACAGGGCCCTATAAAGTAATTACTCTGAATGTCATTGTTTCAGGTATATTAACTTAACCATCTGCAGAGCCTTTTACTGCTATCAGCTTTTACAAAATTTAGAATGAATTTCTTCATCTCTGTTGATATTATGTTGATAGATGATACTGATGTATTTGACACTGGCACTTTTTTTTCTTTTTAAACAGTTGTTACAGAACCTAGGAAGCATCATACCTTTCCAGAGTTCCTAATTTGTTTATGCTTTTCTTGTATGCACTTCTGTTGCCATTGCAAGTAGAGTTGCTCTGAAATAATCAAATTGCCCAGTGATTGATTGCTAGATCTTAGGATGTGTGCAAGCTATTGCTTCAAATGCCAATTTGGACTAGATGCATGAGAGTGTGTCTATGACTCTTTCACAAAGGAGCAAAAGAAGCAGTTTCATGCCTTACTTGTCAATCTAGTTCTTATATTTCATAAACAACAGACGTAAAGGTCTTTGCTTCTTTCTGTTCTCCCTTGGCAGTATGTAAAACTAATATTGGCTGAGCATGTAATTAACCTTGAGTTTAAATTCAGCATACTTAATCCCTTGATTAATGCTAAGATTAATGCCCAACAGGAAAGGTTGAAAGCTTAAATGTTTGTGAATGCGAGCATGAAATGAAATCCTAATAACCAGTACAATGATTTGGATTTATGAGCTGTGTTGGCTGCTAAAGATAACTTGGAAATGGTGTTGCACAGACTAATTTGTCAAAGTGGGCAGTGATAAAGAATAGACTGCTTAGGTTACAGGACAAAACCTGAATGTAAAAACAACTAACGTTTTGGGGTGGGTCAGGGAGTACTTTAAAAATATCACCGGATTGTTGCCCGAGAATACCAACACACACCCTTCAAATGTTCAGCCATTTGAAATGGGAAATTCCTTTTCCTCAAGATAATATTTCTGGGCAGTAAAGGAGGTGGCAGAGATTTATGATCATGTTCTTTTCACCTTCTCTGTTCAGCCTTTATTGGTATCTTTTTCATCTGTATATATTTGTTGCTCTTACTACCTGAGTTCTAAGACATCCTTAGTAAAAGAATTTAAAAAAAAAAAAATCCTGAGTTTACAGAACAGTATTTGTTAGTCAGCCTAACTGATCTGTTAGTTTCTCCCTTTAGCCCCTCACCCACTAAAGTTCTTAGCAACACTTCCTGTTTATGAATGTTATATACCACAACATTTATATTTAGACTTCTTGTTCTGGCCTCCACTCTACAAAAATCAGAAGGGCAAAGGACAAGACTTGCCAAAACCCAAATCAACACTTCTTTGACTGCTTCTTGGAACACATGTGGCAGGATGGGGCTTCAATGCTGTCATCTCCAATTTGTTTTTTATACACATTTAAATATCGTCTCATGTAATTTCTATTGTATGACCCTAAAAATACTTTTAAAATTATGTTTTAAACTTTTTAATATGCAAAATTTCCAGCATGTACTACAAAAGAGTTTAACAAACTCCTGTGTGCCCGTGATCCATATTCAACAATTGTCAATCCATAGCCGGTCTCATTTCATTTATAACCTCCTCTGCTTCATTATTTTAGGACAAATCTCAAGCATCATATCATCTGTTTCAATGTGTATCTCTAAAAGAGACTTTTAAAACATACTGTACAACTATTCTCATTATAACTGCTAATACTATTTCACACCTGAAAATTAACATAATTCCTTCACATCAGATTAGTATTCACATTTTCAGGCCATTGTATAAATTAAAGTTTATTTATTTGAACTGGGTTTCCAGTAAGGACCCTAAATTGCAATTGTTGATGTCTCCTAAATCTCTCTTCATTTTAGGTTCTCTTCCGTCTCTTACTTTTCCTCCTTCTAATTTTTTGTTAGAGAAACTGCTTCATTGCCTTAGAGTTTGTCTTACTCTGAATTTTGGTTACAGCCCATGTTGTTGCATAACCTGGCTCTTTGCCCCCTTGTATTTCCAGTAAAGTGATAGCTAGCTCTGAGGTTTGATCAGAATAGTGCCTAATATTGTTTGTGCAAGTTATTTCATGGATAATGGTATTATATACTTGAGTTGGGAGGCACATAATGCCTGATTTCTCTTTCTCTCTCTCTCTCTTTTTTTTTTTTTTTTGATGTTAGCAATCATTGATCAGTGCCCAGGTTCATTAATTCATTAAAGGTACCTTCTTAATATATCAGGAATACTTCTGTGCAGAGATGTGACTCTTCATCAGGTATGTGATCACCCTAAGAGGAAATTCATAGAAGAAACCATTTATTTCCCAGTTCATTTCCTAGAATTTCCAGCTTTTCTTCTTTTTGCTTGCTTGCTTTTTGTTTTTTATTATCGTTATGTAGTAATGGATTAAAACATTTGAACAATCCATTGCAGTTATTTTCTTACTGATTGTCAAGTTGCCCCGCTTTGGCCAGTGAGGACCTATTCATACTGCTTTCTCAGACCTTTTGACATGACCATGGTAGTTTGTAATAGTTTTCTTGTTCTGTGGTATGCCAAGATCTTCCAGATTCATCTCATACAGTTCCTGCCCTAGGCCTGGAACCAGCATCTCTAAGAACCATCTTGCTCCCCCGGCCTGCATACCACCCCAGTTTCCTTAGAAATAATGCTTAGGGGCCACAACCTGAGTGCCAAGAGCATTAATTGCTATTGATTTTTTTCTGGCTGCTGGAGATGTAACAATGAATAAACACTCCTCATTATGGTTGTGTTATGTAAGGAGAGATAGCTAGCAACATCAAAAAAGTAAGATGTATCATCTAGATTGTAGTGCATGCCTGGGGAGAAATACTAAAGAGAGGGCAAGAAGTACTTATGAGAAGTGATGGTGTCAGTTTTGGATAGAGTGGTCAGGATAGGCCCTACTGAGAAGGTGAGAAAATGATGTTGGACCATATTTGAAGAAAGTGAGGGAGTAAGAAGTGCAGATATCTGACAGGTGTTTAGCAGGCAGTGGGAAGAGAAGTGCAGTCGCCCTGGAGTGACCATTAACACCTAATGTTAACAACAAGTACAAGCAAAGTCATCTCCACAGAGAGTTTTGTCTGTTTTGTTCTCACGTACAATGATGTCTGGCACATGGGTTTATTGAATGAATGGTTCTATCTGAAGCATTTTTTAAAATTGGCTATAGTTTTTTGTTTTGAGTGGGTAACTTCTAGCTCTAACCCTTCCGATCTTAAAAAAAATGTTGTAAACTTTGTAACATTAAAATCCGCTAAGACATTTGAGTTGAGACATGAAGCAGGGGCGTTTTGAGCACTGATTAACACATTTAATATACAGTAGTCCTCTCTTATCCATGAGGGATATATTTTAAGACCCAGTGGTACCTGAAACTGAGGGTGGTACCGAACCCTCCATATACTATACTTTTTTCTTCTTCACAATGTTATGGCTTCTCTTTGGCATATCTGAATTGCCAGCATCATTACTCTTGAGCTTTGGGGCTGCTATTAAGCAAAATGAGGGTTTATTGAACACAGGCACTGAGATACTGAGACAGTTGATCTGGTAACATAAAGGCTACTAAGTGACTAATGTGAGTGGGTTGTGTCTATATCATGGATCCCCTGGACAAAGGAGCTGTTCCAGCCCTGGGCATGATGGAGCAGGAATCACAAGGTTTCATCAGCTACTAAGAGCATTGCGCAATTTAAAACTTTTGAATTGTTTATTTCTGGAATTTTTTATTTAATATTTTCAGACTGCAGTTGACTGTGGGTAGCTGAAATATTAGAAAGTGAAGCCGTGGATAAGAGAGGACTACTGTAATGCTCTGTAATATTATGAGAACATACAAGGGCTCAGATAGACTGTTAGAATGGAATGAGCCAATTGTATTAGAAGGCACAGCTTTCTTGCCCATTTTTTATTTTCATTGTCACTTAGCATAATTGCACATTAAACACAAAAAAAGAGCTATATCATTGTTGCCTAAAATATGACTACCTCTTAAAATTGAGTGACTTTAGTTGTCAAAATGTCCTTATGTGGATACAGACCAGTTGGGACCAGTTTTGCCAGCATCCAGTGGGAGCTGTGCCTAGTGAGAGTTGCTATAGAAAGTATCTCTATGCATTATCTGTTTGGTTGGCTACAGAGGAATTTATTTGCTGCTTCTCATGTATAAGGGAAAATTGGCCTTTCTCCTCTTAGAGCAATTTGGGATGGATTATTGAAAGTGTCTTATCCTCTTGTTAGAACCCCACTGGTTTTGTGGCACACTGAACACTTACTACAACATCCCTTTAAATTCTGCACCCCCCCTCACCCCTGATATGCTGAGCAGAACTCTCATGGATCCCTCTGGCCCTGTACTCTGTCTCTTGCAGGTAGCCAGTTCTGTACTTTGTGTTAATAATATTCCTCCCTGTCTTGTCAGGGGGCAGCAGTACAGTGTTAGAGGAAACACACAAGACCTGATTTGCTGTCTGGATCCCACCACTTCCCTATGTGGCTTTGAGCTTTCCCTTGAGTTTTCAGTCTGGTTTCTCCTCATTGAGGTCAAGATAAAGTCTGCTTTGCCTCCCTCAGTGTATTATTGAACGGTTCCAATAAAATGAGAACAGTAAAGCGCCGCGTAAGTGGAAAAGAGTATCATTATCATGAGTCTCTTTAGTGCCCAAGTCATGCTTTTTGATTTATTCATTCACTACTTAACAAATACTAATTGGACATTACCTGTGTGCCAGGTACTGCTTTCAGGACTGGAGATAGAGTGAGAACCAGACAGATGAGGTTTCTGTCCTCAAGGAGCTTGCATGCAGATGGGGCAGCAAACAATAAAATCAGTATATAAAAGAATTGCCTCAAGGGTTGAATACTCTGAGGAAAAATAAACTAGGGAGGATGCAGAGTGGCCAGGTCAGTGGGTCAGGGAAGGCTTCTGTAAGGAGAAGTTTGAGCATAGTGTGGAAGGAAGTAAGGGAGTGAGGCATGGAACACTCTAGAAGGAAGAGGGTTTCAAGTAGAAGGAAGAGCAAATGCAGATGCCCTGAGCTGTAGGGTTACCAGATAAAATACATTACAGCCAATGAAGTTTGAATTTCAGGTAAACAATGAGTTTTTTCAAATATAAGTATGTGACAAACGCTGTGTGGGACATACTTATACTAAAACAAAAACTGTTGTTTGTCTACGGTTAAAATGTAATTGAGTGCCCTGTTTCTTTTCCCTAAATCTGGCAACCCCACTGAGGTAGGAATGAACTTGCATGTTCTTGGGACTTGCAAGGAGGTTGGCTTATGTAGGGCAGGGTGAATGAGGCAAACAGTGTAGGAGTTGAAGTCAGATTCTATAAGATCTTGGTATAAATTCTGGGTTTTATTCTGAGAGCAAGGAGAAGCCATTGCAGCATTTGAGTATGTGTAGAATGTGATCCAATTTTGGCGTTTCGTTTGCTCTTGCTACATAGAACAAATGGTAGGAGCAAGAGTTGGAAGCAGAATTGTTGCTACATTCGTTAACCATACAGTACTGCCACGCAGCGGGAGTATAATCACTTTAAAGGATTTCATACAGAAGACCTAGGCGATGATACTCCAATATTGAAGACTGGACTGTGTTTTTGGGACTGTAGGAACCAAAAGTTTAGCCAATGTGCTTCAAATAGTGATTGAGCATATCAGCTCTGGGGCAAGACAGGTGGCATTTCCATCTTTAGCTGTATCTAGTCTGTGCTTCGGCGTCTTCATCTAGCATGATAATTAGCCTTTCTCAAGAGGTTATTTGAAAAGACCAAATGAGATGACCTGTGTAAAGGGCTTATCCTCATGCTTGGCTCCTAGTACATCGCAACTTTTATTCTTTGTCTCTCCCAGCCCACTCCCCCTACACAGCTCTTCAGATAAGGAGTCGGACCAAAATATTAATCAACTCAGGTGTTGGTGCAGAGAACTAGCCTAGAAAGCTGAACCACTTACCACTTACATGAGTAGACATCCTTTACCATCTGCATTTTATCATTAAAACTTTAGAAAGTAGAGGAATCGGGAGTTGGCATGTGGTAGAGAGAAGTGCAGGGGGCTTACTTTTTTTTAGTGTATCCCTTAATGAGTAACTTCACTGGATGTCATCAGTATAACAAATGTGTGTATGTTTATGTATGCATGTATATATAAGCGTAATCAGTGTGTCAAATGAATATTTAGATATATAGTCAACTGTATTGATTTGATATATGACCAACTAGCCTAACAGGATGACATAAATTCTATCTTTCAGATCTTATAGGATAATAAAATTAAGAGGGTTACCTGATCCAACTCTAAAGTAGATGAGAAAACTTGAAAGCCAAATGGTTTAAAATTACATGCCTAGTTATTTGCAGAGTTGGGCATAGAGTCCATTTTGACTGATCCCAGATTCAGTTATCTTTCCCCACTGAAATAGGTCTCTTATCCCTCACTAAGCTTGGCCTAAAGGTAACTCTAATGTATCCTGGTCAGAGAGGCAACAAATTTCAGTTGTCACTCAGCCCTGCCACTCACTAGAGAAGTTATAGTGGCAAATTCACATTAAGCCTTGACTTCATCCCATGTAACATGTTGCTAGTACCCGTGTTATAAGGCCCTATGGGGAATTAAATTGTGTAGTGTGTGTGTGTGTGTGTGTGTGTGTGTGTTACGAAGCCCAACATATTCTAAGCCTTCATACATGATGGTATGCTTATGTAACTCCTTTAAAAATTATTCTCTTAATGTTCATTGTGAAATGTATAATATGTAGATTAGCAAAAAGAAAATGAAAAGCACCCAGAACACCATCATCCAGAGATGATCTCAGACTTCTCGTATGCATTTCTCTCATTTAGTTTTGATTATACTTAAATCATCTGAAAAATACAGCATGAAATCCTGTGTGTTGGTGACCCATTAGAACAGAATACTTCACATTAATCATGAAAGAAAAAGCCATAACACAGACTAATCATTATTCTTTCAAAAGAATAGAACATTACTACTAAGAGTTTTGCCATATTATATCTAACAACATGCATATATACATTGGATTTATTAGTTTTCACAGTAGCTTTATTACTTTTTCTTTCCATCTTTAAACTCCAACTTGAGCTGTCTTATGTATCTGCCAGCAACTTTTTTCCCCTTAATATAATGAATTGTCCATCCTACAGACCTTAGAAATAAGTCTGACCAGATTAGACTTCTAGGGACTCAGAGAATGCTTTGATTCACAATGTTCATGTTTAAGCTGCAAAACCCTTTTTGTTCAAAGAAGTTTAAATCACTATGAGGAGGAATGTCAAAAAAACAAATTGTTGTATTTTATATCTCCTTGTTCAAGAAAAGGGATTTTATAGGGTCCTTTCCATGGAATGTGCATTGATGTTCTAAAGTTTTAGCCTGGCTGGTCTTTGTTTGTTTTTGTTTTCTCTTCATTTTGTGGCCTGAGGCTAGTGAGCTAAAAAGATTAGTTCATGTCAGAGTTTGCTTTCCAATTGAAGGTTACTGGAGGAATGCTTCTCCTCAATCGATTGTTGTGTGCGTGTTGCCGTGAGCTCAGACAGTTTTAATTTCTTAGACTTATGGTGGTAAATTGTAGGCTACTTTTAAGACTGTCCAGTCCCTTCCCTGGCAGAGGGCTTGAGGGAGGTCTTTCCCAGGCCATAAAAGCTGGGTAGAGATGGCGTTGACGGCAGGGGGTTGGTGGGGGGAGGCAGGGTACCCAGTGTGTCTCCATACTGAGGGGAAATATAAAATCATGTCCCAGGGAGAGAGTACCAGGAGCCACAGTTGAGAAAGTGTGAAGGAAGGTGGTCATAGACAGCTGTAGGACGCTAGGGCTCTGAGAGCCAAGAGTAGAAGAGCTATTGAGAATGACTTGAAATAGAACCATTTTCAGGTCAAGAAGGTGGTGGGTAGGATTCCAACTTACAAGGGACGTGAAGGACCTCTTCAAGGAGAACTACAAACCACTGCTCAATGAAATAAGAGAGGATACAAACAAATGGAAGAACATTCCATGCTCATGGGTAGGAAGAATCAATATCATGAAAAGGAAGAATCAATATCATGAAAATGGCCGTACTGCCCAAGGTAATTTATAGATTCAATGCCATCCCCATCAAGCTACCAATGACTTTCTTCACAGAATTGGAAAAAATTACTTTAAAGTTCATATGGAACCAAAAAAGAGCCTGCATCACCAAGTCAATCCTAAGCCAAAAGAACAAAGCTGGAGGCATCACGCTACCTGACTTCAAACTATACTACAAGGCTACAGTAACCAAAACAGCATGGTACTGGTACCAAAACAGAGATCTAGATCAATGGAACAGAACAGAGCCCTCAGAAATAATGCCACATATCTACAACTATCTGATCTTTGACAAACCTGAGAAAAACAAGCAATGGGGAAAGGATTCCCTATTTAATAAATGGTGCTGGGAAAACTGGCTAGCCATATGTAGAAAGCTGAAACTGGATCCCTTCCTTACACCTTATACAAAAATTAATTCAAGATGGATTAAAGACTTAAATGTTAGACCTAAAACCATAAAATCCCTAGAAGAAAACCTAGGCATTACCATTCAAGACATAGGCATGGGTAAGGACTTCATGTCTAAAATACCAAAAGCAATGGCAACAAAAGCCAAAATTGACAAAGGGGATCTAATTAAACTAAAGAACTTCTGCACAGCAAAAGAAACTACCATCAGAGTGAACAGGCAACCTACGAAATGGGAGAAAATTTTCACAACCTACTCATCTGACAAAGGGCTAATATCCAGAATCTACAATGAACTCAAACAAATTTACAAGAAAAAAACAACCCCATCAAAAAGTGGGCGAAGGACATGAACAGGCACTTCTCAAAAGAAGACATTTATGCAGCCAAAAAACACATGAAAAAATGCTCACCATCACTGGCCATCAGAGAAATGCAAATCAAAACCACAATGAGATACCATCTCCTACCAGTTAGAATGGCAATCATTAAAAAGTCAGGAAACAACAGGTGCTGTAGAGGATGTGGAGAAATAGGAACACTTTTACACTGTTGGTGGGACTGGAAACTAGTTCAACCATTGTGGAAGTCAGTGTGGCGATTCCTCAGGGATCTAGAACTAGAAATACCATTTGACCCAGCCATCCCATTACTGGGTATATAACCAAAGGACTATAAATCATGCTGCTATAAAGACACATGACATGTATGTTTATAGCGGCACTATTCACAATAGCAAAGACTTGGAACCAACCCAAATGTCCAACAATGATAGACTGGACTAAGAAAATGTGGCACATATACACCGTGGAATACTATGCAGCCATAAAAAATGATGAGTTCATGTCCTTTGTAGGGACATGGATGAAATTGGAAATCATCATTCTCAGTAAACTATTGCAAGGACACAAAACCAAACACCGCATGTTCTCACTCATAGGTGGGAATTGAACAATGAGAACACATGGACACAGGAAGGGGAACATCACACTCTGGGGACTGTTGTGGGGTGGGGGGAGGGGGGAGGGATAGCATTAGGAGATATATCTAATGCTAAATGATGAGTTAATGGGTGCAGCACACCAGCATGGCACATGTATACATATGTACCTAACCTGCACATTGTGCACATGTACCCTAAAACTTAAAGTATAATAATAATAAAAATAAAAAAAAAGAAGGTGGTGGGGCTCACCTTGGGGTCCAGCTTTATTGGTAGCATCCTCTACTGGTGGGTTAAGCTTGTTAAAGGACCCTGGACAGATCAAAAGAAAACAAAGTTAGGGATTAGGAAGTTGTTACTAGCCTTCAGCAAGATTTTCCTTGAATGTTATTAATGGTGTTCTTATTTAGGAAAATGTTGCTCATTTGAGAGCTGTTTGTTTCAGTACTTGGAGTTATTGCCAATGCTGGCTTTCTTCCAATCCTGGTAATCCTCCGAGGTTTCCCAGAGAAAGAAATGCTTTGTTTTGTTTTTCCCTTCTCCCCATGGGATAATTGGTTTATGTATAATTTAATTATTTTGTTAACCAGTTATCCTATCACAGCATACAAAAACAACCTTAAAAACCCACCTTCCCGCTCTGTGCTAAGATGTTCATAATTGATTTTCCCACCATTACGAGTGCATGTATAACAGCAAAATTTCTTGCTAAAAGCTAAATTGGATTGACTCTATATTTTATATTTTCAGGAGTGCCCTTGGAGCCTTAGGGAGTAATACCCAGTGATTTAGAATAAGAAGAACTAAGATAAATGATCAGTTTCAAAGAGGCATTACAGTCTTCAGGCTTCTGTAGGGAAGTCATCTTTTTAAAAATCACCTGGGACTGTATTTTCATCACAGTGAATCTTGAAAGATTCTTCTTGCAGTGGCAGAGTGAGGAGAGAACTTTATGAGTATCTGGTCTCGCTCATGTCTCTCCTCTTAGTTGATTTTCTTTAGTCTTGTTTCATCTTTCCCCATCATGCTATTCCTGGGAAAACTTCATCCTGGTGGGTGGCTGGTAAATTTGGTTATTTACTTGGTGTAAGGTGTATTTCAAATCTCTACTTTCCTTGCTCATCCTTTTTTTTTTTTTTTTTTTTTTTGCAGGGTTGGGGGTGGGATGGGGTGAGGTTAAAGATCTCACAATCAAGTCTACAATCCATTTGAAGTCTTCATGTTATAAATATGCTTTATTGAGTCCATTAGCACAAATCTAATTGGAGCTAAATAATTCAATCTGGCCTAAGAATACAAGGTACAGATGTGCATAATGCTACTGAGACCAGCTTAGGCTTCATCCACTTGCAGGCTTTTTCTCTGCTGTTTTTCCTCATTTTTCTCATTTGTGGAGCTGCAGATATTGCCTTTCATGGTCATGTTGTTGTCAGATCCCAGTAATTAGACTGTAGGCCTCCAAGGCAAGTTGGTCTTTTCTTTTTTATGAGTAAAAACCATTTTAGCTTTCCTTGTGGGGAATCCTTTTGAGTCTCTGAATCATTCACAAATATGGTAAGGTCTAATTTTATCCCGTAAGAAGATAAGAGAATATTTCACTTTTCCTATTCAGAGATTCCGCCCTCTCCCCAAGCTTTGCTTCTCTCTGCTTATTGCTTTGGGATCATCTGCAGTGGCAGATGGCTTTATGCAAATCAGGCCAATTACTTTGGTTATAGTAAAGATCACCTTGCATTATGAGTAACTTCCAGATTAAGTAAAACTGACATGTTTCTTTGAAAACTTACCCAGACTGAGAGGGCACACTGTCTTGTGCTGACCCATGAGGCTATAGCTCCACACGTCTCTGCTATCTTAGTGACCCCTTTAAGGACATTCCCTCACTCTATTGCTCATTAAATTTTATAGATCTACCTGGCCATAGAAAAATTATTTTCAATGCCTGTTAGCCATATTTCATAATCTCATTCTTTATTAGTAAACGGGTGATAATGCTGTCTTCAAATTTTATGGCTAGTTTTGACAGAGAACAGACACCAATATAACTTTAATGCATTTCTCATTTTTTTGCTAGAAATTAAGTTGCCTAATAGTCTTTGATAACCTTTGCTGAAATAATTTCTATAGAATCAAGTTCTTTTTTCCTTTCTCTTTCCTCCTCCCCTCAATTTCTAAACCTTATTCATTGACAGAACAATCCATCTTCCAGATTGGCTCTCACAAGATCATCAAGGTTTTTTTTTTTTCTCCTCCTTTCATTTCTTTCTCAGATAGGTTTTACCACCTTATTTCTTGAGATAGTGTGAAGCAAATAGCTAGAAAATGAGGGAAACCTTGACCAATTAGCCCTAAGCTATCAGTGGCATTCCTAACTCAGATAAAGGATTGAGTTCTGTGGCTCCAATGCCATTCCCTTTCCTTTCCAGATATGCCACAGCAGATAAGGATCTTTCCTGTCCATTTGCTAAAGGGTCACAGAGACACCTTACATTCTCATTCCCCAGTGGCAATGTTTCAGTCTTTTAACTTTCTGCCATTAGACTGCCTTTCCTTCTGGTACAGAGATGTGAGGCTTAAATGACTAAGGAATTAATTGCTGTAAAGTACTTCGAAGGACAGATGTAAAGTATAATCTCTTCCTTCTGACCTTTGCTGCTGATTGTTTCATCTGAGAGGGCACTTGTATCTGGAATACTAGCTAAAAGCATGGGAATTTGGCTAATAATAAAAATAGCACATATTAATATAGTGCTAGTTGTGTGCCAGGAGCTGTTCTCGGTGCTTTTTATGTATATTAATTCATTATAGATGAAGCTGCATATTTAGTGTCACTGATGCTTTTTAGGTTGAAAATTGGTGTCCTCATTTACCTTGGAGAGCAAAAAATCCCTACGAAGAAGCTGATCATAATTCATTGGTAAGTGATTTTGGAAAACTCTTTCTAGACTTGTGCATTTAGGTCAGATGCCAAGTGATACATGTGGAATCTTCTAGAAATGCCAACTATAACCTGAAATAGTGTTACACTGAAAAACTTCTGTATTCGTCTCTGTGGAAGTCTAAGTGACTAAATCAGTCAACCATTAGCATAGGTTTGTTTACTGAGCAATTCTCTGAGGGTTCCTGAATGATAGGCTACTGATATGAGTAAGACCTGGTACGAGCTGTGGAGGCCCTTAGTGATCTAATAAGGCTGATGGCAAATAATGACCATCTCTGTCACAAATGCTGTAATATAGGCCTGTGGGAATTAATGAGGAAGAGGTCATTTTAGTCTGCAAGGTTCAGGGTAGATTGAATAGTGAAGATGACATTGGGGCCGAATTTAAATGATGAGTGAGTTTATATAAGGTCAAGGAGAAAAGGGTATCTCTCGTGTGGGAAAATGAGAGCATAGCAGTTTCAGGGAGGAGAGCATGCACGCATGGTTCAGTTGGCCAAGGCCATAGGTGACTGGATGAGCTAGGCTGAAGGTGAAATTGGGAAGGTAGGAAGGGGACTGTGAAAGTACTTGTTGCCACATTAAAAGCTTAAGTCTTTACTCTTTAGACCATAGATCACTAAACTTCTACAAAATACCCAGATAGTAAATAGTTTCATCTTTGCAGGCCATATTGGTCTCATTGCAGCTCCTCAGTTCTGCCATTGTAGCGCAGAGAGCAGCTGTATATGATATGTAAATGAAGGGGCATGGCTGAGTTCCAGTAAAATTTTATGCACAAAAACAAGCTGTGAGGATTTAGCCCAAGGGCTGTAGTTTGCTGTTCCATGCTGTAAACCACAGGAGTCGTAGGATATTGTTTAGTCAAGAAGGGAAATGAAACTGGATGTGGCGGCTCATGCCTGTAATTTCAGCACTTTAGGAGGCTGAGGCAGGAGGATTGCTTGAGGCCAGCCATTTGAGACCAGCCTGGGCAATACAGCAGGACCCCATCACTACAAAAAATTTAAAAACTAGCTGAGCGTGGTGGCGAGTGCCTATAGTTTCAGCTACTTGGAAGGCTGAGGTGACAAGAGGATCGCTTGAGCGCAAGTTCAAGGCTCCAGTGAGCTGTGATTATGCCACTGCATTCCAGTCTGGGTGGGAGTGTGAGACCCTATCTCAAAGGGGGATAAAGAAGGAAAAGAGATGAGTGTTCAGAATGAGCTATGGTGATTACTGAAAAGGTGGACTCAGCATGTTTGAGATGTTCTATGAAATAAATACTGGTTATTATGTTTCTCTATTATTCCAATCACTCGTTGTATCCAGCTATATTATCCAGAGCATTAGGAAAAATATTCTTCCTGGCTTTTAATTTATTCTGTTTGGAATTTTAAATTGTTCTCACTCATGGCAGAAAAGTAGTATTCTTGGCTCTTTAAATTCCTTAGAAAACAATGAATTTTTGTTTGGACTGGGACAAAACCAGAAGATGAGCATTTATTTCCCTATTTAACTCTGTGGACAGAAAGAGGCTTTCTGGCAACTTCCACGTTGTCAAACAGCCTGCTAAGAATTGACTTCAGTTTTCTTAGAAGTCTGCTGTCCTGTGGTAGATCCAAGTGGAACAGTAAATTTGAGTGCTGAGAATTTCAAGGTACATCAACCATACTCATTATAAAAACTGCATTTTAACATAGCTCAGGGCTTTGTAATGCCTGTGCTGCTTTTCTCAATTTCTAATTTTTTAATGATGTCCCTTTGGGCAGATCAGCAGTCAGCAGCCTTGGCTTCAGTTTGCAATCCTGGGACCTTAAAGTCAAAGCTGCAGCAGACAAGACTTACTTTTGAAGCTCTCAATTTAATTGACTAACCCTTTTAAGTTTTCAGATGTCACATCATGAAAACTATTATGCTTTCTGACTTTTTATCTTCTATTCATTTTATTAAATTTCTGTTGCTAGGCGGAAATTCGTACAGATTTTAATATTCTCTACAGTATGATGAAAAAGCATGAAGAATTCCGGTGGATGAGACTACGGATCCGGCGAATGGCTGACGCATGGATCCAAGCAATCAAGTCCCTGGCAGAAAAGCAGAACCTTGAAAAGAGAAAGCGGAAGAAAGTGAGTTTCTTATTAATTCAGTGCAGTTAGATGCCAGCTTTCTTTTAAAATTTGATTTTGCTTGGAAACAAGACTAAGAGAAATGTCATATCTCAAATGATATTCTCTCAGGGTGAATCTGCTCAGTCTCTTGTACAGCTGTTTTTGGGTTGTCCTTTCCCCACTTACAATGCTCCCACTTAGCAGGGTCTGGCACAAGTTTCTTGGGTGAAGCCAAGCAGAATATCTGCCTGTAAGACTTTTCCTTTGAACCTGTCTTTGTCAGGGTATCAGGAAACTTTCCCCCATTTCCTTACCTGAATCCAACCTTCGAGAGCTTCCTATTATATCATCATGAAAATTTTGTATTTTTGTTGTTTTTCATCCCTGGCTTTTGGATAGCCAGTGAGTTTCATTGTTACTCTGTCTGGTTGGTGCTTCTGCTTATGCCCGTAGGGGAGAGAGAGAGAGAAATTTGATTAAATTTGAGCCAGTTTCTTTCTAGTTTATGAGGACAGGCTTGGAAAACCTCTCGAATACCCCTGGGCTTAGAAGACTTTATGCCCTGTTAGCTATAGATTTGATGGTCTGGCTTTAGATTAACTGTTCTGTTCTGATTTCAGAACTGAGCAAAGTGAGTAATTTGCTCCCACATCTAAAAAACTTAAAAATGAGTTTGGTATTCCTAATCCAACTAATTTGATATGTTTGAAAAAGAAAATAAAGATACATTTACAGGATCCCAAGTCACAGTTTGATAGGTCAGTTTTGCCTAGATCTCTTGAATTTGTGAGACAACAGGACCACACATTCTGTCACCAAATGGTTGTGTATGGAAGAGCATGTGTTCAGATGTGCAGGTGGGCTGTAAAAAGAAATAAAGAATTTTTCTGTATATTCCTGTGGAGTAACCTCGAGGATATATTGTTAGGTGAAGAAAAGTAGAGAATAGTTTACATTATTTTTGAGAGAGAGAGGGAATTTATATCTATGTATACATAAAGATATATACAGATACATATATTTGCTTCTTGCTGTTAGTTTGAAAACGTATTTTTCTTATTTTGATAAACTAAAATTAAAAATAAAGGAGATGGTGATGATGGTTGCACAATAATGTGAATGTGCTTCATGCTACTGAACTGTATACATTAAAATAGTAAATTTTATGTTAGGTGAATTTTACTGCAATAAGGAAAAAAATGGTCCAATTATTAAGGGGAGTTGGGATTAGCATGGAGGCAACAGAAACTACCATAGAAACTAGACTTCTGAATATATCTGACTTTGTAGATTTGATGCTGGAATCATTTTATGTAAGTGTTAAACAAAATGTTATTACCAAAAACTAAAAATTAAAAGGAATATAAAACAAATGAACTGACTATATATCCATCCAGTTTTGATGGAAGCGCACAGAAAAAGACTGTTCTTAGTGACTTCAGAACACAGTAAACTGTACACTTCTGATGGGATATCACAAAGGATAAAAACTGTAAAAACATCTTAAAACCATTTTTATTAATCATGTAATATGTGGTAGCATTGATATTCTCATTCTGAATCCATTGTGAACATTGGAGTAAAGCAGATGAGTAATTATGTTAGTGTCTTTGAGAAGTGGGATTTGCAGTGTGGAAGAGAAGAATTAATGGATGGTAGGATTGGTGATGTTATGTAAAAACACTATGACCTTGAGTTTGAATTGGAAGCACCAGTCTAAACTCATGATTTGTTTTATCTTTGAGGAAGAACAAATTTCCTAGCTAGGGCCACTATCAGGCCTATAAATAGTAATAAAATTGAGTCCCTTAAGCCCCACACTTTAGTCTCTAAATGCTGTTTCTACTAAGTGGTATAAGAGGTTCTTGGAAAAATGGCTTATTAAGGTCCAAGACAGAAGTTGTACCTGTTGAGCCTACAACAGTCTTGTCAGGCACATCTGTCTACCCATGTGCAGAGAAGCTGTCAAAGAAGACTAGGATCGTGTCAAAAGAACTTAGGAGCCAGCTTGGATAGCCTACCACAGGCCTAGATGGGACAATTGGATAGTCAGTGAGAGGAATATCCACAATATTTTGAAGCATATCAAATATGCTTTGATGTCATAATGATTTTTTAAATTAAAAATCCTCATAGATCATCATTAGAGTAGGCTAAAGAACAAGTTTATTATTCTGAAAAACTGGCAAATGAAGAGAAAGAATCAAGTATTTACCAGGCTCCTTCTTTACAAACCTTAGAGTTACCTCAGGGTGACCAAATGGTTGATGAGGGGTAGTTTCTCTTTATAGAGAGGTATTATTCCAGCTAATAAACAAAGAAGGAATGGTAAAATATCATCATTTTGCAGTCCGTAATGGATTAATGGATCTAGCTAGTGACCATCCAGGACTGCTAACATCCCAAGACAGAGACACCTGTACATTGTTTTCTATGAGGCCAAGAGACATATGAGGCAATTATTACGTATGCTCTCTGACTCTTGAATCACACAGGTGCATTTAGAAAAAATAAAGGGCAGTTGAAGAAGTATGAATATTAACTGGATATCAGATGATGTTAAGGAATTACTAGGTTTTTTAGGGATAATAGTGATGTTCAAGTTATATTTTTCAAGTGAAGGTTTGTTCCTTTTAGGGATACATACCGAAATATTTACAGATGAAAGGATATGTCTAGAATTTGTTTTGAGATAATCTAGAGGGGTTGGGAGAAAATGGGGGTATAGATTAAATATGCATTAATAATTGTTGAAGCTACACAGTAATTACTTTGGCATTGACTATATTGTCATGTTTGCCTTTCCATGTGTTTGAAATTTTCCATGGTAAGAGGTTAGAAGTATTTTAGCTGTAGATAAAAGACCAATAGTGTTAGAAAATACTGTCCTGTCTTACCTTCCTTTAATCCCGATTTTACAAATACACTGTGCTTTTAAAAGGTGGAATTATCTGTCCATACCTTGTACTCATAGCCATACCAAGGGCTGCAGTGATTTTGTTTCTCTAAAACCACAATGAAAAATGATTTCCTTCCTTTGTACCTTCTAGAAAAACAGCATTCCCCACCCTTTGATTTTGTTAGGATGTAAACATGACTTTGGGATTGGTCAATCATTTCTTGGCGCATTACTGTGCCTTTTGTATGTGGTTCAGTGTGAATCAGTATATGCCTCTTTGTTTTCCAGGTCCTCGTTCACCTGGGACTCCTGACCAAGGAATCTGGATTTAAGATTGCAGAGACAGCTTTCAGTGGTGGCCCTCTTGGTGAATTAGTTCAATGGAGTGATTTAATTACATCTCTGTACTTACTGGGCCATGACATTAGGATTTCAGCTTCACTGGCTGAGCTCAAGGAGTAAGGAGATTACTTTTCAATTTTAAAATCAGAATACAAAAAAGAAATTGTAAACTCTTAAAGTATTACCTCTATTAGTGTATAATTTTTTGTCGAGGAAAATGAAAGTGATAATTCACTAAACAGGAGATAAGAAGATTATTTTCAGGAGCTAAATACATACACTGTGAAAAGGATAATATGTTTTCATTGTCGCTGAAGGCTCCAGAGGCTTCATAAATGAATGCCAGAAAATTCAAACTAAGGAGCTTATTCTTTGCTATTACAGGTGCTTCCAACATCTGGAGCACAAAACATTATTGACTTTCCTAATTCCCTGTCTCTTGCTGAAATTCATACCACTGCCTACTCAACATCAATCTTGCTAAATCTTGAAACAGGGCAGGTTCCTGTTTGTAATTCAATTTGGATAGAATAAATTTCCTGAAAGCCCTGAGCTGATCCTTTTTCAATTAGCCAACTTTCAGCTGAGTCTGTTAACTCTACTTGGGTTTTTCATTTCACTGAAATTTGCTTCTAGCTCCAGCCCTCCTGTAATCCCTTCTATATTGGCATAGCTGGCTGAGCAGGGACGCTTCCATCCCCTGCAGTCACTTAGGATTACTGCCCATGGAGACTTCCCACCCAACAGTCAAGTTGCCATGTTGCTATATGTCGTATATTTCCAGAAGGAATACCTTGAATGAACATTCTAGAGCTCATTGAGATGAGAGACATGTTAAAACAATATATGGTGGCTCCCAGCACTTC
Source organism: Homo sapiens (assembly GCF_000001405.40). Lineage (NCBI taxonomy): Eukaryota > Metazoa > Chordata > Mammalia > Primates > Hominidae > Homo > Homo sapiens. The sequence goes on from NC_000002.12 coordinate 134,342,510, forward strand.
GGGAGGCCAAGGTAGGTAGATCACTTGAGGCCAGGGGTTCAAGAACAACCTGGCCAACATGGTGAGACCCTGTCTGTACTAAAAATACAAGAATTAACCGGGTGTGGTGGCCCATGCCTGTAGTCCCATCTACTCGAGAGGCAGAGGCTGCAGTGAGCCGAGATCATGCCACTGCACTCCAGCCTGAGTGACAGAGCAAGTCTCTGTCTTAAAAAAAAAAAAAAAAAATTGGATACACAACCTACAAAGTGGCTGCATTTATACAGTTAGCAGTCACTCATCTGGTGTCTTCTGTAGGCTAGTTTTGGTGTCGGGCATACAGAGATGGCCAGCTTGTGGTCAAAGATCTTGCTGCCAATCTTTTGATAATTACAACTAATATATTAAAAATAATTACACAAATTCCAATTCTATTGGTGCTAATTGAGGTGTACGTGGATGCTAGAATGTAAGCACTGGGATTGCAGAAAACTGAGTATCGTTTGTCACTGTGTAGTGGGCACCTAGATAGTGCCTAGCAAGTAATGAGTACTCACATAACTATTTATAGAATGAATGAGTGAAGGAATAAATAGGTGAATGAATGAGTGGGTAGGTAAATAAATGGAGTGCTGTGGTAGAACCAGGGACAAGTACTGCCTGGGGAGGTCAGGAAAGACATGTTAGGGATTTATCAGTCAGAGACTGAATTTGATGGTCAAGGGAAAATTTGTTCAGTATGTCCTCACTTAACATCGTTGATAGGTTCTTGGAAACTAGGACTATAAATGAAATTATGTAAAATGAAACCAATTTTTTTCATCAACATTATAACCAGTGATTTGAAGGAAATGACTTTATTGGAGGGCCTGCTATCTGTTGTTTTGTTTAAAGTCCCAGTTTTCAGGAACCTATTGATGATGTTAAGTGAGGACTTAATTCTAGTAGTCTTTATGCACACTGGGGTCAGGGCTAGATGTGTTTTGTTTAAGAAGATAATTGTGGAAGCAGTATAGAGCAGTGGTCTTTAAATATATCTGTACGTTAGAACCACCTGGAGATCTTTGTATTTATTTCTTAATTTTGGGGGATCTTTTAAAAATCCCATAGACCATGCCATAGGCTAATTAGATCACAACCCTTGGGGGTAGGACACAGCCATAAGTATTTTGTGATGCCTCCAGGTAATTTCATTATACAGACAAGTTTGGGAAACACTGAACATGGGGTGGACCAGAGATCAGCAAACTATGGCTCAGCAGGCCAAATCAGCCCTCTGTCTTTTTTTGTAAATACAGTTTCATGGGAACACAGCCATGCCTATTGTTTACGTATCATATATAGCTGTCTTCATTCCACAACGGGAGAATGGGCCAGTTGTGACTGAAAATGTATGGCCTGCAAAGATGAAGATAATCACTGTCTGGCCCTTAACAGAAAGGGTTTTCTGACTCTTGGGAGGAAACTGGTTCTGCAGAACCTAGTTCTTTCATAAACAGGGGAGAGGAAGAAGGGTGGCTGATGTGGTGGTAGTACAGAGCTGTCAAGCAGAGTCCTGTTTGTGACTCTCGTCCTTTGAAGCAGGATATCCATAATTTGGTGAAGGATTATCATGGGGTGTTGCAGATAAGCAACAGTGGTGACTGATTAGTGAGTGGATGGCAGTAGGGTTAGCACTGACTCGTTCCTACACATGAAGTTGGCCTACCAATCAAGTACATCGTCACGCTCTGAGCGCAAGTATGGTTTTGTGTGGATGGATGCATGGGTGGGGGAAAGGGTGATTAAAAAAAACTGTAAACCATAGTGCTAGTTCTGTAATATGGTCAAGCGAGGAGGAAAAATTTGACATAAGAGAAAAAGTTAAGGAACAGTATGAGGCAGGTAGAAAGAAGTTAATACTATAGAGGCTAGAAATTGAAGACATTTAGAAAAAGGGGAGGGGAAGGTTAGTAAGGGTGCTAAGCGGTAAGAACAGGCTCTGGGGGAGAAAACTAAGTTATTGAGTATCTAGTATTCATTAGGCACTTTCTTTTCAATATCTCATTGTGAAGAACCCCTGAGAGACTGGTATCCAATGTTCTTTGTATCCAGTCCTTGTTTTCTGGAAGATGAGCAAAGAGATTGAGAGAGGTTAGGTAACTTGTTTAAGGTCTCACAGCTGCTACATAGTGGTGATGGAGTCAGACCCATATCTTCCTTGATTTCAAAGACTGTGTTTATATGCCACCATTTGCTTTTGCAAGAGTCAGAATCAGGGTACTGGGTTGGCCTTAATGGATGGAAATAATTTATATAGGTAGCAGATTTGAAAGGGCCATGCTGTCATCTCTAAAAAGGATTTTTGGGGTGGCATTTGCCCATTAAAGTTGCCAAGTTTATTACCTTTTAAGTAAATGATTTTTCTCTTTTTTCTCCCCTCTCTTTTGCCGTTTCTCTAGAATCATGAAGAAGGTTGTAGGAAACCGATCTGGCTGCCCAACTGTAGGAGACAGAATTGTTGAGCTCATTTACATTGATATTGTAGGACTTGCTCAATTCAAGAAAACTCTTGGACCATCCTGGGTTCATTACCAGTAAGTGCTACATGGTGTTCTGACTTAAGGTTTTTTTTCCCCTCCTTAACAAAGGTTGCATGGTTGTGGGTAGAAAAAGCTTATCAAATAGTATCTTTTCAGCTGTATGGAGTGTTGCTCATTCGTAATTGAAATTCAGATTCTCAGTGACTTTGTACTTTCTATGGCTATTCGTTATTTTCATTGGTTTCTTAGAAAACAAGTGTCAACCTCCTTTCTACCTTGACTAATGTTAATACTTAGCCTTCCTCTCAGTATGCGTATGCCAGTGTCATCTATTTAATCAAATAACAATTTTGATAAAATATGTACAGTGTCATTTCTTGTGTTCCGTGGGTTTTAGATCATGATTCGCTTTTCTTACCCTTTACCTCATCAGTATTCTTGTCATTCCTGGAAGGGAAATCTGGGAATACGTTATCTGAATGCTGGGGTCTTGCACTTTTTAAGATAAGCCCATTAAGATTAGTATGTCTGTGGTACATGTGTACTCTGTGCAGTCTTTATTATTTAGTAGAGTAGCTCAGTGTTTGCCTGAGTGTGGGTTTGGGACCACGATTTAATATTTGAAATGCTTTTACCTGGTATACAAACATGGCACTAAATCACAATGAATTACATAACGAAATTTATTAATTTTTCAATTTTCTTTCAGTCTTTTTGAGAAAAGGTGTAGTTTGATGCTACTCTGTGTCCGACACTACTTTTAACACATGCATTTTTAACAATGTGAGAGTAGCTGTGAGTCTCAGCATTCAGCAGGCAAAAGTATCTATTCTGAATTGTAAAATATTTCCTAAAGGTTATATGCTTTTTTTTGTTGTTATCTTGCATTTATGGCAGTCAATACTGGGTTTTATTTATGGTCTTTAAAAGTTTCCTTTAAAAAATCAATTTTAAAAGGTGAATAAACTTAAATATATTTAACAATGTAAATGGCACATAAATATAAAAAAAGCAAAACTAAAAACTTGCTGCGGGCCAAGATAGTGCTCTACCTTTTGCATGAGGTGTTTTTCTGGTTTTTGGCTTGTTTCTTGAAATCTTGACCCAAGTAGAGCTGTTGTTTTCTACCATTTTGTAAACGGCAGACATCTGATAAATGTGCAAAGGAATCTACACGGTATAGGCTTCCCTTGACTCACATATCCTCGCTGTTAAGAAGAGTTCTTTGGATGGAAAAATATTCTCAGTGGTACTGTTTAGGTGAATTAAAAAAGGATAATTTTGTTATTAAAATGGTCACCGTTGATTGGTATTTGATTTCTTGTTGGATGAAAAGGCACCATCTCAGAGGGGGTTTTATGGATGAGTGTAATGTTTATCTGCCTTTCTTTAATAAATCATCTATGTTAGTGATATTACCTGGCAGGAGGTCTGTTAGTGCTTTAGCTCTGCAGTCTTTGTGGTATGGTGAAGCAAAGATTCCATTAAAAGCCTACTCAGATCCTCTTGGAAGTTTCTAGCTGATTTCTTTCCCTTTTAAAAATTAGAAATTGTCAGGGAAAATTCAAAATTTTCCCTTTTAAAAATCAGAAATTTAATGGAATGTATTCCATTAAATGTATTGCTGTTATCTGATCTTTCAATTAGGAACAAACCCTTGAGGCCAGTTGGTCTTGGAAAAATAATTGTAAATTTTGTCCAATTTACGTAGGGACCTAGGAAATTCAATTAAACATATATTAAATGCCTACACACAACTAGTATTCTGCTAGGTACTGCAAAGCTCATACGCATTTTACTTCCTACAAGGCCTTTGTTGAAGGACATACAAGAAAGTAAACTGCAAGTAGTCCAAGATATGCCATGTTTTATGTCAAACACCAGATTAGAAATTAGGGCATGGCAAGGAGCTCCTGAACATCCATTTCATAGTAGTGTGGCTGAGAGCAAAGAGAAGTTTCTAGGAGGTATTTGGCATGGCTGCTGCGATCGCTGTTACGGGAAGGCGAGCTGCCTTGGGCATCAAAACAAACATCTTTTTAAGTCATTAGTCGGCCTATGATGCTCCAGACACAGAGACATTAGAGGGAAGACATAAATATTAGCAGCACATTATAAAAATAGTTGCAAAACACACAGATGCAGGATGTGATTGAAGAAGGAAAACTATAATGTCAAACCTTCCATGTCATAGACCAAGTCCAGTGTCCTGTCTGTGCTTTGTAAATTAAACCTAGATAAGCTAGAAAAGCAATTCCCAAGCCAAAGCCTCAAGTAAAAGGATGTCGAATTATAAATTTCTGAGAGACATCCGATCATTCCATTCCTCTTTCAGGAAGAGCCCAGTGCCGCATAGCTTACATCTAGGCGCTGTGCAAAGTCCGGGCTTTCAGGAGTTAGGCCCTTAGCAGACAACTTTACTCATCAGGATTTGTTTTAATTGCCCAAATCAAAAATAACAATAATAAAACTTCAAAGTTAAAAATGTCACTAGCCAAAGCTAGAGAAGAGTATATCGTTAGCATTTTATATCCATGAGTTCCACATCAACGGATCAACCGCAGACCAAAAATATCTGAAGGAAAAAGATAACAATACAATAATAAAAATACAAATATGATATTAGGCATTATAAGTAATCTAGAGATGATTTAAATATGAGAGGATGTGCGTAGGTTATGTGAAAGTACTATACCACTTTATATAAGGGACTTGAGTATCCTTGGATTTTGGTGTCCACAGGGGTCCTGGAACAAATCCACCAGATACCAAAGATGGCTGTAGACTGTTGGAGTCAATTGCCAATAAATGGAAGAAGCTGAGCCTTCAAGCCAAGGCTCCACATGACCACAGTGGCCCATTTCTCCCTGCTTTGCCTGCACAGAGTGCTGTAATCTTTGACTCACAAAGTAGTGCTGGTGAATCCCAGCTCTGGTTCTCTGGTAGGAGTGGAGCATTCCCCAGCCCCACAAATCAGCGTGGGTCCTGTCCTCTCCTCCCACTTTTTGCAGTGACCTGCAGAGCTGCCACCGTTAACACTGCCAGCTTTTGCAGAAGAATATATAGTGGCTCAAACCACTTCCTTGTACATCTTTTTTTAAACGGAAAAATATAAGTTAAGAAATGGGTATGTTTTATTAAGAAGTGGAAAGGGATGCTCTGAGCTATTCAAAGAGCAACAAAAACAAACACTGATCAGTTCCTTGGGTCCCTAGCTTTCTTTTTTCGGGACTGTGGGCTTTATTTCTGCCCACCTATCGGCCACGAGGCCAATGACATATCTTTGATGATACTGTGAAAACTCCCACTGTGATGAGAGCATATTCCGTGAGAGCCACACAAGAATCTAAGACAGGGAAATTCCTCCTGTAGTTAGCTTGTATTTGACTTGTGGTGGTGGCCTGCCTGCCTTTCTTTTCTTCACTTCCTGGCCTTGACGAATGGTAGTGATCTCTAATGACAAAACTAGCACACAGAAATGAAAATTTTTGAGTATACTTCCTAAAAAGTCCATTCTCATGTTTGGATTTTTTCCCCCTGAATCATACATTGAAGTGAAAATAAAAGTTGAAAGAATGCTTTTCTGATAGTAGGAAAAAACTGAGCCAGATTTTTAGAAGTCATTGCCATCATCTGATTCTAAAATGTGGGTTTCAATCTTTACTTTTATGCTTCTTAGTCTTCTAAAAGTTATTCAGAAGTTATTACTGATACATAATAGAAAATAGAGCTGCTTTTATTGGCCATCCTCAAGTTTAATTTACATCAAATATTTTGAAAGTCAGTGATGAAATATTATCAAAATCAATAAATTTTGTTTTAGGATTGATTCCTTTCTTCCAACTGGTTGCTCTTCGTGCACTCTAGAGCAGTGGTCAGAAAACCTTCTGAAAAGAGCCAGCCAGTAAACATTGTAAGCTTTTTGAGCCGTATATGCATCGCTGCAGCTACTTAGCTGTGCTGTTGCAGGATGAAAGCAGCCATAGAGAATAGGTCAACAACAGGGTGTGGCTGCATTCAAGTACAATTTTTATTTTCGAACATGAAAATTGGAATTTTATGTAATTTGTACATGTCACAAAATATTTTTTAAAAACCATTTAAGAATGTAAATATTATTCTAAGCTCACAGACCGTACAAAAATAGGCGGTAGACCAGATTTGGCCCTGTTTTATGGCTTTGGTGGAATAGTAAACAAAACATTTTCACTTGTATCTTCAAGTTCTAGGAGAAAGCAAATAAAGTTCTATTACTATCAGATATATAAAAAAATACCATTGCCTACTGAATGAGATTCTAAGCTTAATGTAAAGTCAAATACTCCAATTGATGAAAATGTTGAATGATTGCTCCTAGAGATAACACGTGTCATATGCTTTAAGCAGAATAAGACCTCTATAGATGGTAGCTCTGTTTCTTTGGCATCAGTTGATTAGACACCTACTGTGTGCTCAGCTCTGGCTAGGTGCTGGGGGTACAGCATTGAACATGGCAGTCCCCAGTTCAAGCTTTCATAGAACTTTTTATTTTGCTGGTAGTTGAATGATCTTCTGTAATTAGTTACCCGATCTGAAGCAAATCGTATCTGCTGTGTGATGTCTCAGACTCTAAAGTGACACAAGTAGATGTTCGGTACACAAGCTATTGTAAAACATCACAATTCTTGTCTGGTCCTGCTTCTATTTAAAAGGATTTACCTATTTTTAGTAGTCTTGAAGGAAGGGTTAGAGCTTTTACCTTTTCAACTTTGGGGGCAAGTATGTAGTGTTCAACACATTGCTTTTTTCTTTCAGGTGCATGCTCCGAGTCCTTGATTCATTTGGTACTGAACCCGAATTTAATCATGCAAATTATGCCCAATCGAAAGGCCACAAGACCCCTTGGGGAAAATGGAATCTGAACCCTCAGCAGTTTTATACCATGTTCCGTGAGTATTCCTGTTTCATGTATGCTTTCCAGAATGCCACCAAAGATAGATGGGAAAATTAGCCGCCATCTATTTTGGGTTATGATTCTCAGGACCATTAGCTGTAGAAGTGTGTGCTGTTGAACCTTTTCCTTGGGAATTACTGAATTTGTTTTTTTGTTTTTGTTTTTTAGTTGAAATCGAAAGGCCACATGAATATTTTTTGAAAAGCCTTGAAAATGTTCTGGAGAAAAAATGTTCAATACAAAGTATCTTTAGAAACTATTTGGGAAAGGACTTTGCAGTTACTTTAGATTGGCAGGCACTAAACACATTTTATGCCACATGGATGCTATTTAGGGTACACTTTGTCACTAATGAGAGGTGAAGTCTTTCATGCAGATCTATTTTCCACATAATTAAACCTTAATTATTTAAGCATCAAACTTTTTAAAGAAAAAAATAGCTTTTAAAAATGGAGCTGTTTTAAACTCAGTTTTGTATTTTACTGATTTTTTTCAATCCTAGGCCCAGAATGAAATTTTACCTTCTCTTGCTGACTTGGTATCATTGTTTTCAGCAGCAGTGATTATTTCATGAGCCGATATAGTAAGAACAGCACACCAAATGATGATGAATTAACTGACCACAGATGCTAGGCTCTTAGACATTTTCTGTTTCTATAGGATTATTTTCCCACTTTTACCATTTCTTCCTGCTGCTTTCTGTTTACTTGGCACTGGCCTCATTTCTAATTAGCTGAGGACTGTGAACTCAAAAAACCACATTTGATAGTGTTAGTACCAAAAACGAATTTATTTTATAAGTCAGTAGTCCTTAGTAATGAGATGAAGTCCTATTCCAGAAGTGAAAGGCCACATGAGATAATTTGGTTGATGAGAGAATTCCTATTTTCTAAAATTATCAGGATAATTTTAATCCAGAGGTTTCCACTTTATAACTTCTGAGATGAATCTGTTTGCTTTGTGGAAACAAGACCCAAAAGACCCCTTCCTGATCTTCTTCCCATGTGGTTGCCCCTCCCCCTTGTACACAGCTACCTGAAGGTGACCCCTGTCTCACACTCACTAAATGTAACAGCACATGCATTGGACTAATCTTTGGGTGTTAGGCATGAAAAGGGAGAATTAAGAATGGAGAGTAATTTTAAAAATCAACTCATCCTTAAGTGTTCTATTAAGCTCAGATTTGTGAAAGTGTGTTGTATGCTTCATAAACATTATTGTTCATGGAGCTGTATCATCCTGCTATTACACACCGTCCCTGGGGCACAGTTCATGGAGCAAATTGATTTTTGGCACGTTAGATAACAGATGGCTTTCAGTATGGTGAGGATGCTCAGAGTTTGCCTCTGGTTTGACTTTGCTGTGTAACTTTGAGGGATGGGATGAGATGGCACAGAATAGCCTAAGAAGTGACCTATGTGTTAAACCAAGTGAAATAAAACATTAACTGTGTTCAAAGTGACTAAAACCGCTGGGTGATATGGCAGGCGTGTGCCCTACAAGAGATAGAGTTTCCAGGGAGTAGAGAAGAGAGGTTTCTTTTTTCCTAGAAAACATAAAGTTCTATTTTAGAATATTGGAATTCAGAGTCCTGCAAACCTATTTTGTTCTCCATGGATGGAGAATTTCAGCAGTATTGGTTGATTAAATTGAAAGAAATTCACTGCTTAAAATGTAACTGAAGACAAAAACATGGATTAATTTCTATTAATCTGGGAAGGGAATAAGTTTCCTAACCATGACTCAGAATTCAGCAGAAATCAGGGAAAATTGATATGCTTGACTATATTTTAAAAAAAGAAGAACCTGTATGGCAAAACAACAACCAGTAACATCATAAGCAAATCATGTCACAGAGGGCTAAATTACTAACATAGACCCTTATATATACATACATACATATAAAAATTGAGAAGAAAAAGTTCCATGTTCCAACGGAAAAATGGGAAAAGGCTATTAACAGTTTAGAGGAAAGAGAAATTTACTGCTCTGAACATATGGAAAGATGTTAACCTCACTCACAGTAAGAGAAATGCATTTTTAAACTGCACCAAGATACCATGCCCCATGTACAGAATGGCAGAAATGCAAAAGTTAAACAGCATAGCTATTCTGATGGTGCAGTGAGCAAAACCAGCCCTCTTCAACCCTAGTGGTTAGAATGCAGCATGGTACTACCCCAGTGGGGATGGCGTTTGTCAGGATCTAGCAAAACCGCCTCTGCATTTTCTTTCTTCAACTAAGCACCTCATATATATGAATCTATCCCAAAGATAATGAGCAAAATCAAGATGTGGCATGTGCTCAAGGGCATTTAGTGCAGCACTAGTTGTAATAGGAAGCAACAAGAAACAACCCAAGTAATCATCATAGGGGACTGAGTGAATAATATGGTCCATTAATAGAGTGAAGTACTACATAGCTATAAAAAGAAATGAGGAAGGCTTTCATTCTAGGAGGGGCATGTCTAGGATATTTTAAGTGATAAGAGCCAACGTGCAGGACAATGTAGAGCTACTCCCTTTTATATATGTCAGATACAAAGGAAGAGTGTGTGTGGTCATGTTAGTATATATGAATGAACTTATGTTTCCAAAAGAAACAATGAAAGGATAAATAAACTAATAAAAATGATTGCCATTGGATAAAGTGATTCCCATTGGATAAAGTTATCCAGGGATGGGGCTAGAAGGGTGATGTCTCTTAATGTTCCCTATTTTGACTTTAGGACCATGTAAATGTTTTACCTAATTTAAAAAGAGAAATACTCCAAGGAATTCAAAGTAGGATCTCGAAAAAGTGTTTGCACATTCATGTTCACTGCAGTAGTATTCCTAATAGCCATGAGATAGAAGCAACCCAAATGTCCATCCACACAAGTGGATAAAGAAAATGTAGTGTACATATATATGGAATATTATTTAGCCTTAAAAAGGAAGGAAATCCTGTCATATGCTACAACATGGATGAACCTCAAGCATATTATGCTAAGCGAAATAAGCTAGTCACAAAAGGATGAATACCATATGATTCCACTCGTAAAGTATCTAAGGTAGTCAAAATCATAGAAGCAGAAAGCGGAAAGGTGGTTACCAAGTTGGGAGGAGGAATTAGTGTTTAATGGCTATGGGGTTTCAGTATTACAAGATGAAAAAGTTCTGAAGATCTCTTGCATAACAGTGTGAATATACTTAACACTACTGAACACTTAAAAAAGGTTAAGATGGTAACTTTAGTGTTATTTGTTTTTTACCACAATAAAAATTCAAATAAAAAAGAAAAGCATTCACTAAAAATTGAAAACAGATAGAGACAAACCTAGCTGTACACGTGAGGTTGGTGTTAACCTCTCATACAGAGAAGATTATTACTTAAGTGGCTTTAAAAGACAATCTTTTGACTATACAGTTGTAGTGGGAAATATTTATATTGTTACTTGAAACTGTTATGGGTATGTTGTAGGAACCACGATGTTTAGTATACAAAAAGAGGAGAGTACCTAAAGATTCTAGATTCCGGAATGATACACCAACCAAGAAAACTCCACAAAGTGTAGTGGGTCACCTTCGCAAATTGCTAGGATACTACCTCATTACTGTAAAAAGTAAAGTGAAAGAATTCAGCTTTGATCATGCCTTTCTAGCACAAATTGTATTTGAAGATAATCAAATAGTTGATGAGAGAAAGTCATTAATTATGGAGAAATCACAACTAATACATGCAAAAGGAATGAATTAGAAAATGAGCGTTATAAAACTCCTGATGAGACAGCAGAGCAAAACAGTCATCATCAGTGGTCGCTAAATCCATCAAGTAACAGGTTGATGGAAAACTTTCTCATGGACGAGGCTGACTTGAATGGAGGAAATATGGAAATGAATAGAGAAATAAAGCAGTTTGATACCTTTATCCTATTGAGATGTGCCTGAGCTGGAAAATTTGCAACAACAAAAAAAAAAAATAGTTCCTACACTCTGTTTTCCAGCGCCTGCCCACAGTGAACTTGGATGCATGCTTGCAAGAGGGTCCCTTTCTTCCCATGTGACAAAGGCCTGGAGTCCAGTCCAGCTAGGTCCTTCCCATAGAGCCCTCCATTCCTTTACCTTTTGGGTCAATGTGGCTATTTTAGTGGTCTGAAGAGAAATACCGTTCCTTTGAATATCAAAACTTCTATTTATTTCTTGTTAATTTTTCAAAAGTGAAACAAATACTAGTGCTTAATATATGAGCTGGATAGTAATCATTATATAATTTCTGTATAAATATGCACATATACTGAGGATGTACTCAGGTTCCTGTGTGCTTAGATTGTGTTCTACTGATGGAATGCACAGTTTGGAGACTGCAGAAATAGAGTGCTATACTTGAGGAACAAAGTCTTCAGGACTAGCTGCCTTATAGTAAGATGTAGCAGTATTGTGGTTCATGTGCAGACAGAGAGCGTGGGGAAGGCCAGTCCAAACGAACCCAGTGGGAAGATAAAGAAAAATACACCATTGGGATGCATCTTGAGGAACAGTGAAATGAAATACGCTGGACCGGAATGTGTTTGCGTTCTTAAATATTCATGGTACACGTCTCACTTTAAGGCTCCTTCTGTTTCTCCTCTAACTCGTTTCCTAAGTTGGTGGGGTTTCTACAAATTGAAGAACCTTGCATTTCTGTATTATTTTGCCCCCAGTCTCAGAGGTTCACTGGCACCATCGTCGTCAGGTGTTCTCTTTGCAGTTAGGCATTTTAGGTGGTGTCCACATAAACTATTCCTGACACCTTCCTAAGCAGCTTCTGGAGGGACTGGTGGCCAGACAATACTAAGGCCATTTGATTAGATCTATTAAGTGTTGGGTTTTCCCCAGGAATCTGGTAAGTCTGGTTGTTCCTCCTTCTAGGCCCCCATTCCTGCTCACTCCTTCTGTCCGCATGCTAAAATGACCTCTGAACTAGGCACTAAGGCTTTCCAACCACAAAAACCAGCTCTTGAAAGCTCAGCTTGGATCAGGCTGTTTCTCCTCAGAGACTGCAGTGCCTTCCTTTTGTCCATGGGATCATTTTCAAACTCCACAGCAAAGTATTCAAGACCTTAGGCTCTCTGGCCTCAACTCCCGACCATATTCCTCCCCAGGTCCTGGCCCCGGTCTCACCAAACAGCCTGCTGGTCCCTGAGAAGCAAAATTTAATTTTTTCTTTAAAACTCTATGTAAGTGACTTCCTCCAATTTTCCAATCAAATTTATAAAGAAATGTAACCCAATTACAAAAACAGGGAAAGACTTCCTCCCACTGAAAAAGGCTCCCCTAACCCTGGTGTAACTTTTATCTTTTTCACAAGTGTAGTTTTACATACTTGTCACATACGTACTAAAATTTTGTGTTTCCTTTTTTCCACTTAATATATCATCTTTTTTTTTCCTTCAAGACTCTACTCAGATTTGAAAACCATTGTGTCCAAGACTCTTCTACACGCAAGTGGCTAGTTCCTAAGTCATAGTTATTTGGGGATGCTTTTGTTATTTCTTGTTGAGACTTAACTGATGCTTTTTTTATGGTTGCCAGGTACCTGGCTTGGCTTATATTTACGTATTATTTAACTGTGCATACGGCTTGTTTTAAATTTCTGAAGGCAATCTTTTATTTTTGACAGTCTCAAACAAGGTGCATTATATCTCAGTAAATAAATGCAAGAAATCTGCCCGCACAGAAAAATAAGAGCGAAGGCATTTGCCTTTACCATTTAGAAGAGAAAGCTCTAAAATTGATGACTTGCACTGTAAATTTTCCGGTATTTGGATAGCTCTAATTATCTGCACCACACCCACATTTACAACTTCGTCTGGCTTGTATAAAAACATTGGCAGTGGTAAATCATCTTTATCTAATTGAGTTTTTTCCTCTCTTTCCCTAGAGTTGATGGCTGAAAGTAGCAATAGCAGGCATTACAAGATACCCCATCCCTGGTTTCAGATCTCAGACCTTATTTTTATATCCTACAAAAATTTCAATAACCTTTGAAATCAGTTCTGCTTAACAGCCTCACTTTTCATATCATTACCATAGAGCATTTACTACATTGCCTGAGCAAACTATGTTTGTATAGTTTTATTTATTTTATTTTATTTTATTTATGCGTGTATGTGTTAAGTACCTGCAACATTTTGGCTATCATTCACAATGTGAAGACACACAAGAATTTGCCTTCTGGGTGCTCACATTCTGTATAGTCAAGACTAGAGAATATTCAGCATTTCTTGGTACTTGTGGAAATTTGGAGCAGAAAAGACAGGAAGCTATAACAAAGTGGAGAGAAGAGCAGATGGGGGATTCTGGAGGTGTTTAGAACTTTCCCATTTCACCTTCCACTTCTTTGATTTTTTTTTTCTTTTTACCCCCTCCTCCTCTTTCCCAAATCCTTGTAAGGTGCTCCTTAGTAAAGGCTACAGAGCTGACTAAGCCTAAGTATTTTCTTGTTCCTTATGAGCGTCAGTTTAGGAGTTAGATTGGAATCTTTATTTGGTTGTCGATTTTATCCACTGAACAGTGTGTGTTTCCTGACCATCTGTGGGATGTCTAAGTCTCTGTTCTCCAGAAGCTTACTTTCGGTGGAGTCAGGAGGTACGCAAAAATAAGACTTTCTCATACTTCCACTTTAAAAATTACAGACCCAGGTGAATGGAGTAGGGAAAATTTGAATGCAGAGGTGGGGAACATCCTAGTTGTGGCAACTAGAGGCAAGTTTTCCCAGGGTCCTCAAAACCCTGTCGCTTACTACGCGGCTTTTTGCTCATTTCTCTCTACTTCCTTGCTGTTTCTTGAGTAGAATAGGCACACTCCCCCTCAGGACCTTTGCATTGGTTGTCCCATCTCCTGGAACATTCTTCTTTTAGACTTCCCCATCTCCTCCTTCAGGTTTTTAATTCAAATATCATTTCAGTGAGACTGACTGTGACCTCCTCTTTTAAAATGCAACTCCTTCCTTCCCCAACTTTCTCCTCCCCTTCCCTGCTTTATTTTCCTCCATGACTTTATTGCTACCCAGTATTTATGTTTCACTTATTTTTATTTTCTTTTTCCTTCCCTGGAATCTGAGACATATAATGGCAGGAATTTTAGCTGCTTTGTTTATTGCTGGAACTCTAACATCCTGAAGAGTGGCTGGCACATAGTAGGCATTCAGAAAGTCTTTTATTGATAGAATTAAACTAGAATGAACAATATTGCCTATTATGTTTTTAATCCATGCAACAATGTAGGGAAGGAGACTGTTGTACAAATTTAAGATTGTAGAAACTTCTTTAGGCCAGTGGCCTCATCTTACTTTCTTGTGTCTTCCCAGGGAACTTACTCACATTTTTGGGCTTTCAAGTGGCATTCAGACCATAATGATTGTCAGTATCATTGATATTCCAACCCTGAATTTCTCCCAGGATTTGGGGCTCACAGCCATTTTTATTTGCATGATCAAATTGAATGATGGCTTGCAGATCAAAAATTTTGCCTGGCAAAACAGGAATTTTAGAACCAAGTCAATTCCCATTCATGCAGATAATAAGCCTGTTGGCTGTAGCAAAGGATCAGTTAACTTCCATGTACAATTTTATTTTTAGGACATGATAACCAAAGGAGTTATTTGTGATTGAAACTTCCATTTTGGCCTTTAACTTGAATCAGGAGGGCTCTTGCCTTTAAGTTCTGTGCAGACCACTGAGGATTAGGATCAGCCTCGTGGTTCCTTCAGTCTGAGTCTCAGCTTTCAGGAGTGTTACTCTTCTAAGGAGTCCATTCCCTCTTAAATTGCTTTTTGACACTTGAAAATTTTACCCTGAGGTGCCTTTTGTCAACAATTTAGGCGCTCATCTTCTCAGCTCAACTTATATTACAGTTTCCCTAGCCTGCATCCCAGCCTTCTCTCTTGAAGAAACTAGTATCACCACCATTTGGAAAAAAAAAAAAATCAGTTTTTGTAAAATTTGAAGCATAACATTACTATGTATAGTTTTTTAATCCAGATTTCTTGTGTGACATAACTATTTTTCAATGAATTTTTTTCTACCGTCGGTTTTATCAGGATCAGCAAAAACGGCATGAATATGATGACAATCAGTATTCTTCTTCAGTATTTTAAATGATGTTTTCAGCCATACAAAAAAATAGAAGAAATGTTACTAGAAACCCACAAATCTAGATTCTACAATTAACCATTTACTGTATCAATCTATATGCCCCAGTCCTCTCTCTATCCATCACTCCACCTTTTTTTTTTTTTGGATGCATAAAAGAACTCTCTGATGCTTCAGCTTCACATCATTAACTATAATTCAATATTTTGAGGGGAAAAATGATCCACAAGCTTAGAAAAAAAGTCCAGTAATAGTGGTTATTTCTAGGTGATGAAAATGTAACTTATTTTTTCTCATATCTTTATTATCTGAAAAAAGTTTTAATCTGAGGATATATTTCTGTTATAATGAGGAAAACCAATAAATCCATTTGTATTTAGGAAAAGGAAAAGCGTGTTTATTGCAGAAGTCTTAGCAAAAAGTGAGAAGGCCTGGACTCACAAATACAAAAAGGAAAGGATGAGTTGATGGATTTTTGAGAAACTAATATCCCTGGGACTACACCGACTGTGAGGGCTAAGGAATGGGCCCAGGCTGGCGCTGGGGTTTCTTCTCTTGGTGACCAGGAGATGTGAAGATACATTACATTCTTAGAGATGTTTGGGACTTACTGGTAGAAAAAACAGACCTCAGAGATTTATGCAGTTGAAAGAAAGGTCAACTCGACTTAGTATGCATTTTGAATTATAGTTTAAAAGATGATATTATGACTGCTTGGTAGATATAGTGTATGCTTCATTTATTAAGTAGCTGGTAAGCTCCTTGAGGGCAGAAACTCATCTTTATATTGTAGTTTGTCAATACTTATCATATAAGCTGGTTTGTAGAAATGCTCCAAAACATTTGTCATTGAGTGAATTATTCAAGCTAAGCTAATAGTATTTCTTAGAAGTAGTTATCATCATACTCTGCTCAGGGACCACATCAAGCTGATTTGTAATCATTTGTAAATAGGTGCTTCCAAAGTGCTTAAAATAGTGTTTCTCTTAATAAGAGACATTTTGTTCTAAATTGTCTTAAAATCATTGCTAATGTTTGGCAAATCTCCTGCAGTTTTTTAGCATGTGAAAAAATCTGTGTGGTCCCACATACATATGGCACAAGATACTCAAGAAACTGAGGTGACATTGCGTATGTATTCTAGATCACTCTTGTGTATTTTGCTCTACCTTAGAACATTATTTTCCTCTGAAGCATGGTTTACCACTGCTGTTCACAGGGTCCAGAAAATTATTTGGACTATGAGGCTGTGTATTAGAGTGACTTAAGGAGCTGATGCCCTGAAAGCAGCCAATCTGGCTCTGAATCCCAGTGTTGCCATTTCCTAGCATGTAGACTTGGGTAGTTAAACCAAAACTCTGTTTTCTTATCTGTACAAACATGTTACACGGTTATGAGGTTAAAATGGAAGAGTCACTATAATGCGCTTAGCACAGAACTTGGCATGTAGTCAGAACTCAAAATACCAGCCATCCTTTTTAAAAATCACATTTGTTTATCTTCTGGGATGGAGGGATTACTAAAAGTACAGGATTTCCTGCATCCCGTTTATGATGAGATTTGTTTGATTTACCTTAAAATGTAAATACCTTCTCTTTGAAACCCTCCCAACACAATGAAAGTCTCTGTTCCCTTCCTAAGGCAGAGCAAAAAAGAAAGGTTGGCCTGAAGTTTGAACTCAATGAAATGAACATTTCAGATAACATCCTCCTGGACTTGTGGCTTTTGATTTATTATAAGCACCATTAAGAACACTTGTGATAAGACCAGGGCGCTCTCGGCAGATGTTACCGGGTGGGCTCCAGCTGGTGTTCAGATCCTTGGAAGCAAGCCACACTGGGCCGGTAGTTACTTCAGAATCACCTGCTGGGGCGAGTCATGGCTGAGCAAACCCTTATGTGGTCAAGGTTTAGTGTCCTGTGGCAAGTTTAGAGTCACCTGGGAGGCGAAGGCATGTAGAGGTCAGACCAGTGCTCAGGCCTTGGCTCATTAAACGTGGTGATACTGTTTGTAAATCTTAAGTCTCACCTGAGGTCCTTGAAACCACACTTGCAGGTTGTTGATCCCTAAGTTAACATTTCACAAGGTGAGACAGGAGTTAAAGTATTTGGATGAAAACGTAGAAGAGAGCTTAGATGTGAAATTCATAGTGTCAGAGTTAATTGAGTACCAAATTATAGTCATAGCAGCAAAAGCCCACCATTCCTCACAAGTTTTTCTGATATTTGCTTCTCCCTCTCACCAGTCAAGCTAGAAGCTAGGAGAATCTTTCACACAAAAATATGTTACATATATGTATTTTTTCATTTGGGGGGCTGAATCATTTTATTTTTTACTATATATTAGTATATTATAACATGAAATAAAACCCATTGTTTCACTTGCTGGATTATTTTTTAAGTGCCTACCTAGGGACTAAATAACTACATTTCAGAAGCAAGTATTTCAAAGCATCGTGCTTTAATCACCATGTAAATTTTCTGAAAATAAAAAAAATTTAAAAACACCTGATCCTGAAGTATAGTGTCAGGTTTGAGTTCAAAACTTTTAGAATTAACAAAAAATTTTAGAAATATTTTAAGCTGCATAATAACACTGAGAATGCACACAGGTTTTGTTCCTCTCCCCGCTAATCCTTGAAAATTCCCTATGCCCTCAGCTTCTCAAAAGGGGGGAGAAAAGCAACTATCGCCTCTTGTTGGCAGGAGAATTTATTCAGTAATTTACTTTCCAGCCAACTGCAGCCATTGCCATTGCCTCTGGGCACTGGTTCAAAAACGCAGAAATGAAATAACAGATTGGCCAGACTGAACACAACTCCCCAGCCACAACCCTGTTATCTCCTCATTCTGTCACCCCCATCAGGCAAAAGCCTGGGAAACGGAGGGTGACAACACAGTTTTTACATGGCTCGTGCATTTCCACAGCTCAGGGCTTCCTGCCACTGTCCCTTCTTCATTGTGTTCCCCTGCGTGCATGGCGGGCGACATTGGAGGCTGGGCATCGGAGTCCTAGGCCTGTGCTGCAGGCTGGCCTTTGCCCATCTGTCTGTCTGAAAGGATTTCTACGCTGCTACAAGCATGGGAAATGGCTCCTCAGTCCTAGCACAACCAGAACAAGATGAAGGGACCAGCTTCCTCTGTTTGTTGACCACCTATCTGTGAATGGATGTGGTGGACTTTTCAGAATCTTGTGTATATCTCAATCACCAGGAGGAATTTGGTTTCATGTTATTTATAGCTGTTCTATTCAGGTCAGAGCCAAGCAGAGCAGTTGCTTCATTTAATATCAGCCACACATGGGCTCTGCAGGCTCATCTCCTGAAAAACGGAGATTTCTCTTGACAGAATGAAGGTAGAGGAGAGGAGCATCTCTGTTTAATCTAGAGAGAATTATTTTCTGATTGTCACTTGCTGGTGAAATGCCTTTTAAAATTATAGGCACAAGATGCGGATGTTTGGAGAGGGTGTGGGGTTGCTGTCCCCCTTGGTCAAGCGTTAGAGAAGTTACAGAACCCAAATGAGAGAAATCCAAAATTTTCTCTTCCAGAATAGCCTACTCTGTAGACAGTATTCCTTTGCAGTGGTTGGATTTTTTTGAGTGGTTTGTGCCCCAGCAGGCTTTACCTTTTATTCTGTCTTCATTCCATGCACCTGTTCAATATAGACCCATAATTACATCTTTTATGAGTGAGTAATTCTTAGAGGAGATGAAAGGTTCTGAGGATTATTCATCACTTTGTCCCTCAACCTCCTGTTATGTAGCTGGGTGAAAAACACAGCTGGAGTCAGATTCAGTTATGTGGGGACTCTGCGCCTATTCAGAACTCCCAGTCAGCCCTGCCCCCTACAGATTTCTGGCCAGTAGGTGGTGAAACCTGGGTGAAAGCATTTCTGCTGGGAAATGGACAGTAGCCTTATTCTGAGGCAACAAGGAAGAGAGTACACAGCTTAATGATTTTCAGACAGATGTATTTTCCCCTAAAAAGCAGGTTTTGGTTCAGGTTAATCCATCCTAGAGAGAAGTATTCTTCATGACGGTTTTACTGGGAATGTGTGGGAGAGATGACAATCCCTCACCTCCCTCAGGTAAGAAAGAACAGGGTAAGATGAAAACAAACATTTTGTTATGGGTAAGATGGCCTGTGTTAAATATGTGATTGTTATTTCTTCTTGCTGATTGGACACTAACTGTCCTCTCCATTTCTTTGCACACCAGCTCATACCCCAGACAACAGCTTTCTGGGGTTTGTGGTTGAGCAGCACCTGAACTCCAGTGATATCCACCACATTAATGAAATCAAAAGGCAGAACCAGTCCCTTGTGTATGGCAAAGTGGATAGCTTCTGGAAGGTGAGTCAGTCTGTGCGTGTCTCTCTCTCTGAAAAGAAGCTTGTTGGGTAATTTAATTTAACTTTGATCCAGGGAATAATCAAGCCAAGTGCCCAGGGCTTAATGGGATCTACTTAGACATAAACAAGAATGTGCAAAGATTCAGTTGCTCAGCATTTGGGTTTCTAACCAAGGCTGTATGTACCTGCTCTTCTGATAGTGGCTGTACAACAGCCACCTTCACTCTCTGCATGTCAGAAGGGACACATTCTAGCTGCTTTTTCACACCTTGTACTTGCTTCTGAGAGCCAGGGCCCTCCAGGGGTTGAATATCTTTCTGGAGCAAGATACTGCACAGGGAGAAACTTTACCAAGGGAGTCTTTCCCTCTGCTTCTGGGAGGTAGTCTGTGGAGGTAGGCAGTTCCCTTTCCTGGGAAATGCAGTGGGCTTCACATCCTCTTGGCTATAGTCACTACTCACCTGACGTAGAAAGTAAATTCTTGCTGGGGCTGACTGTAGGCACTTTGTTCAGGGAGGTCTTGGCTGAAACAGCACTCTTGGCCACAGACCAAACCAAGTCCTCCAAAAGCATTGGGCCCCTTGGCCCTCCTGAGTTGATTTCCTGAGTACATTTGGGGAAAGTATAACAGGAGAGGAACCAGATTGGATGTGACCTGTTGACAGGTAATGCAGATCTTTTTATGTGGGAAGTCTGCCTCATTGGCCAAATGTCATAATTTTTTTTTGAGGA
Source organism: Homo sapiens (assembly GCF_000001405.40). Classification (NCBI taxonomy): domain Eukaryota; kingdom Metazoa; phylum Chordata; class Mammalia; order Primates; family Hominidae; genus Homo; species Homo sapiens. Next base: position 134,363,140 of record NC_000002.12, read on the forward strand.
AATGTTTTTAGAAGATAGAAGTCTTCAGGATCTCACAACATGCCTCTTCCTAAATGTAAGAATTCATTGCTTTCTTGAATGATCACAGACTGTGGTCTCATGTTTCTTGCTAGCCAAGGAAGTTAGGAATCCTACAGCTGAGGGAGTACAGGTGATGTACAGGATAAAGAATTCCTTGGTACTGCTTTTCTGACCCTGTGTTCAGAAAAGGAAAAGCAGTGCCCTACCCCTCAGCTCTAAGGTACTAACTACACCAAAGGGATGATGAGATCAGCCCATCTCCAGGGAGGCAGATTTAATTCCAGACAACTCTTTGTCTTAAACAGCTAGACCTTTGTCTTTGTTTAGTACAGTAGTTCTCAACTGCAGACGATTTTATTTACCGATTCCCCTCTGCCCAGGGAACATCTGACAGTGTCTGGAGACAATTTTGGTTGTGATGTCTGGTCAGTGGTGCTACAAGCATGTAGTGGGTAGAGGCCAGGGATGCTGTACATGTCCTACAATGAATGGGATGGCCCCTGGCACAAAATACCAGTAATTCCAAAGGTGGAAAACCCTCGGCTGGTAAGAATGTTTCCTATGTATGTTATACCATACTTTGTTGCCTCAAGTAAAATGAAAGTCAGTCTAGATTGTAAATGGCTATCGAAGATGGTCCCATAAATTTGTGTTGCTTTCCTTGTATAAAAATGTGTCCTGTGTTGATAGTGCATTTTCCAGCTGACTTTCAGCCAAAGTTGGGTTAAAACAGGCATATTGGGTGTTCTCATGCTCAGCTTGTTTGTGAAATTAATGGTTTACGGCATTGGTTTTAGGAGGACTGTGGCTTTTAAAGAAAAGCCTCTGTATCTGCTTGAAGAAGATAGCTTGCATGTCCGTGTGGGCTTAATATTGAAATTATATCACTTTGTTTTGGGGCCAAGTGCAACCACCTCCTAGCACTCTCTGGCAACTTTTTCCCTTTCCCTAGAAAAACAAAACAATAAATTGGTTCTGAAAGATTTTGGTCACCTGTTTTAGATAAATTAATATTGCCACTAAAAGGGTGACTTTTCCATGCCAGTAGGAATTCCGAGGCCAGGTGCAGTGGTGCATGCCTGTAATCCCAGCCCTTTGGGAGGCTGAGGCGGGTGGATCACCTGAGGTCAGGAGTTTGCAACCAGCCTGACTAACATGGTGAAACCCTGTCTGTACTAAATACAAAACAATTAGCTAGGCGTGGTGGCAGGTGACTGTAATCCAAGCTACTTGGGAGGCTGAGACAGGAGAACCACTTGTACCTGGGAGGCGGATGTTGCAGTGAGCTGAGACCATGCCATTGCACTCCAGCCTGGGCAACAAGAGTGAAACTCTGTCTCAAAAAAAAAAGGAATCCCAAAACCATTAACCATGTTGCTCAAGTGATCTGGAGTGAGATTTAGAAATCCTTCCAGATTTTGAGGTGTGAAAACTCCATGGGTGCCCAAGCTTCTGTGTACCTGTGCTGTGCAGCACCTAAAGATTATAAAAGGTTGGGTTGCAGTGTGTCCACATTCATCTTTGCCTGAGTAATAACACCCAAAAATCCTGGGTGTTATTTCAATTTTATTACATCCAGCATTCTGTGCTGGAAAAAGCCCAAAAGATGAAAAATCCTATAAAGTTTTCACATGAATTCAGGACATCTTCTCCAACTCTAGAACACGGCACAGTATGTGAGAATTTAGTTTCTTTTTCCAAAGCTTGTGCGTCCTGGAGTATTTAGTGAATGCACACAGAAAACCAATGTGCCTTTTAAGTGAGATGTTACTCCAACCGCATTTCTAAAGTTACGTTCAACATAGGCTTTAGCTAGCAGGATGTTTTATCAGTCGTCTTCCCTATCTTGTTCTTGTGTCCCATTCCCCTCTCCCCTACCCAATCCCGATTCACCTCAGAGAGCTTCAGGAAGGGAAGTGGCACCTTTGTGTCCTGGGAGGTTTAGGATTGCAACTGGAGGATGTGGGAGGGCACAATTTGGACCAGATGACTTTGGAAGGTCTTCCTTCACCTCAGATTGTAGGACTTTAAATTCTGAAGATTCCTGCTGTGCCATAAATCCTGCTTCACTCTTCCCACCACCCTCCTTCTTGAGGGAATCTCCCTACTCACCTCGGCACTTAAGTGGGAAATGCAACCATGTAACTCCCTCCAATGTTGGCTGATTGGACCCTGGAGTTGTCCTCTGACCCAGTGCAGTCCAGCTTTTTGGTGGCTGGAACTGTAATTCTGGCTCAGAAAACTGAGCTGCATCAATGAGATTCTTCAGTTCATGTTGGAAAACAGAGTCACTGAGAGTGAGCCATGTTAACAGAAATCAAAAAAATGCGTCTGTGGCAGGAGGGCGAGGCGGAAGCCTTCCAGGAGTCCACATGATGAAGCAGGACCAATGTTGACAGGGAGAGGGTGCTGTTGAGAGGATAATGCATTCCTCCACAAGGAGAGGCACCACCCTGACAGAATTAGGGTGCAGTGGAGGGCCTGATAGAGTGGAAGACACAGATAGAACTCCTGCAGCCTGGAGAGAAAGAGAAAGTAGCTGCTGGAGTTTCTGGCAGCTTTCTTTTCCCAGATTATATATCCTTTCTCACACTCTGGTCTTGCAGTATCTAAGTACTCTGTTCCTATAGTCATATCAACATACTTACTAAAATACTAGATACTAAATGCCTATCAAGAAAAACAAGTGTATTAAATATACAAGCTAAGGAGGAGCGGGCTTGTCCTTTAATATCCTGTCCCCAGATTCATGACCAAGGTACTCAATGGTCTTGTCGTGATGTTATAGTACATGGTGGGGAGGTTGAGGTGGGGAGGGGAATCTTGCCGTCAGACTCCAGAATCCCAGGGGCATCAACTTAGGAACCACCTCTGCCCAAGCCCCTTAATATCAAATGAGACTACTAACAGCCTAATCCCAAATAGAAGTCTCTCTTCTTAACTCAGGAAGCTGCAGTTCTGGGTCCCTGATCTCTACCTCTGAGGCCATCTAATCATTCGCTCCTGCTAACACTAGAGATGTACCCAGAAGAACAGCAATCTGTCCAGTATGGTCAATTTCAAAATCCTTCTACATTCTTTTAAATAAAGTCATCAGAGAATGGAAAATTGGTCAACTTTGTAAAAAGAGATTTTTGAAATATGGGAATTGAAGTGTTAACTATATTACTTTAATTTCTGTGTTTCTTTAAAAATAGTATACTGAGCATAACTGAATCTTCAAGTGATGGTGCAGGGTTAGTATCTTATGTATTCATGATCCTACTATGATCTTAATACAAGATAATACATGATCGCCGCTAAGGTAAATGTCCTGGAGGCCTTTCTTTGACCACGTCAGGAGAACAAGAGTTGCCTCTGAATCACACATTGGGGTTCAGACTTGCAACTTAACCACATGTAAGGTGGTTGACTGTCCTGAGCCTCAGGTTCCTAGCCTGTAAAGTTGCGGCAGTAATAGCTGATGGCTTCTCAGCCTTACTAATGCACACATCACCTGAGGATCTTGTTAAAATGCAGACTCTGGTTCATACCTGGGATGAGACGGAGACTCTTTCTCACAAGCATCCAGGTGATACCGGTGGGCTGTTGGAAGAGCATGCTTTGAGCAGCAAGGTCTTAGGATAGGTGGGATTTGTACAATGTGTGGTACAAAGTAGCTGACCAATTCGCAAATAAATAACTCCTCTTTTCTATTTATCTTTGTCTTCCTGCTGCTTTTATCAGACTGCTGCCTGTCACTTTTTGCTACTGTAGGTGCCTAGTTCAGTCACCCTCATTCCTACTTTGATATTTGCAGACCTTGCTACTTCTAATCTCTGCCACTTAGCCCCAAGAGCCAGGTAAAGCTGTGGTGAGCAGTGGGCTCTGAGAGGAGGTGAGAGGCACAGTGTCTTCCTCGTGTCCTGCTGTCCTGGTTTATACATTCAGGTGCCCCTGGGCAGTGTGATCAGGAGCATAGACTTGGAGATAGATGGCTGGGTTCAAATCCTGACTGGGCCACCAGCTGCCTAAGGTTGGGTACATTACTTAGCTGGTGCACAGTAAGTCTAAATACATGTTTGCTGCTCTTACTAATATCATTATTGGGGCCAGATAGGAAATGCTGCAGTGGGAATTGGTGGGGATGTGAGCCAGGGAGTTCTATCCTATGAGGAAATGGAAAATATAAGCCTGTCCAAAGATACTCAAATTCTAATTCTTAGTCTATGTAAGTGGTTGGCGAACTCTAGACTGTGGACCAAATCTAGCCCAACATCTGTTTTTGTCAATTACATTTTACTGGAACATGGCCATGGCCATTCCTTGTCCATGGCTGCTTTTGCACTAAAATTATAGAGTTAGATAATTGTGGCAGACTGTGTGACCCACAAAGCCTTAAAATACTTACTCTCTGGCCTTTTCTGGGAAAAGTTTTCTGACCCCTGAATTATGCCACGTCCCAAGTAAACCAGCTCTCTCTCAGAACACATTGGCCAACAGTCCCTGGCATTGATCTCATCAGAGGTCTTTCAGGGTTCTTGATTGTATTCTTCTGTATGATTGAGGCTGGTGGATGGCCAATATGTGGAAAAGTGAAGTGTAACTTAACTGAAATCCTGATCACTCTAGAGATGGAGCTCCAGGCATTGAGCCTGGTACCTCTTTGTAGGCATTCAGCAAAAGCTAGTGCTTATTTAGTAACTAATGCATTGATAATAAAGGAGTCGTGAATCTGCACAGTGTTTCTGCTTCTTGGAGCCCTTCACAGCCATCATTTAAGGTGGTACAGGCTGATGCCTTTTAAGGAAGCAAGGGCAGCTATTATCTTCCTTAACCATCCTGGTGTGTAGATGAGGAGCTGGCTCAAGGAGGGGGAGTGACATGGCCAAGTCCTACAGCACATGACTGGCAAAGCCAGAACCAGGGTCAGGCTCTGACCTCTCCTCTTGGAGACTTGCCTTCCTGCTGCCAGTTGTTCCATGGAGCTGCTCCACTGCCACTACCCTGGAGGGAGTGAGTCTGTGGTTACAGCAGGATTCTAAAGCTAGGAAGGAAGGTCTCTCTGGGTGAGCTAAGTGTACAGCAGAAGCCCTGAGCAAATACTGGCATCACAGGTAAAATGTTGCTCCTGGCTGCCCACCGCAGGATCGCCAAGTCAGCGACAGCCTTGCAGCCAGTTCTGTAGAGTGAGTAAATAAGCCTGATATGAGCATTTCAAATAGTTTCCAGCTCCAGACCCTAGGGCCTGATGTGGTCCAGCCCTCGCCTGCCTTGGCAACAACCAAAGTCAACCAGTCTTAACTGAATTTGAAAAGTTCCTTTTTATCTAGACTTCAAAGACTTTGTGGTTTTAAAGCATCCCCTGAAATGACACATGATCCCTTTCCTATATGCCTGAGAAATCAGGCAGCAGAACTTTCAGAAATGTGATCCCACTTCCCCTGCTCCTGCCCTTTTCTACTTCATTCTCCATACAGCAGCAGCCAGAGTGATCTTTTCTAAAATGCAAACTGAATCGTGCTACTCCTTTGCTCAGACTCTCCAATGACTTCATTTCACACTTAGAACACCTTACATTTACAGTGAAATCCAGTCTGGGTAGTGTGTTTTAGCGAGGCTCTCTGCAAGCCAGCCACTCCTGCTCTGTACCTACTCCTCTCTGGCTCCTGGGCTGTAGCCACAAGGGTCCTGTGTGTCACCCATTCCACCAGGGGCCACCACCCTCCTTAATGGCTGCTGCCTGTCCTGCTCACCCCAACTGGAGCCGCCAAGACCACCCTGTTCCACACTTGTGCCCTCAGCCAGATGTCACCCCTCCCCCTCCCTAGCACAGCACCCTGTTTATTCCCTTTATATCATTTGATTCATCTTGTAATCATATAATTATCTTTTTTTGTCAATCTCTCTTCCTTACTAGACTATATGCTCTGTGAGAGTAGGAATTGCACCTGCTTTGCTTACCCAGCTGCCTGGCACGTGGTAGGCACTCGGAAACTACTTGATGACTGAATGAATCTCCCCTAAGTTTAGCTTAAATTACTGATTTATCTGTGGAACTTGGGATACAACTTGGAATGCCTTCTGCCTAGAACATTTCCCTGTGTTCTTTGCTGACCCCAGGGAGACCAGGAAGAGGGAGTCTGGTAGAAAAGGAACAGAGCTACACATGCAAATTCTACAGACCACATAGAGGCTTCAAAAGTTTTTCTAAACCTCTTGTGAGATTAGCAGGGAGATGGATGGGAACAAGATACTGCACAGGGAAATGGGAACCTGGCTCTGGGCCAGCTCTGCTGTCATATGATTGGGACAGGCCACTCCAGCCTCAGTTTCCTCACTTGCATAAATGAAGGTATTGGTTTAAAAAAAGAATGAATTATTATACACAACAACATAGATGACTTCAAAATAAGAGGAGCATTTATTCTGTTTGATTCTGTATATATTATACATATAAAACTCTAGAAAATGCAAACCAATCCATAGTGACCAAAAAGAGGTCATTGGTTACTTAGGGAGGGGAGAGGAGGAGAGATGGATATGTTTGCTGTCTTGGGTGTGGTGATAGCTTTATGGTTTTTACATTGTGTGTGTGTGTGTGTGTGTGTGTGTGTGAATGACAGACTTTTATGTGTTCCCATAAAGTCTAGAAATTTGCTATCTTATCCTTTACGGAAAAAATTTGATGACAACTGGATAAGATCAATCATTATTCACCTGTGTGTTTTCAGAGCCCTAGGGTCTGCTATTATAGGAGGTCAAGGAGCAGCCACACAGGATGGGCCCTGTCTCAACAGAGCAGTTCTAATATATCTGTGGCATAGATTTGGCTTTTGGCTTTCCAGTAAGATTTAACTGGGGAAAAGGGTGGTTAAAGTCTCAGACTAGGTGACTGCTGCATCTGAGATAGAATCCCATTCTGAAAACTATGTAATTATCTAGCTTGCTAATTTGGTTGACTTGGGCTTAGTTTAAATTAATGCAAAATTGGGAATGGGAGTCATTTGGAGAAATGCCATTTTATTTCATAGTAGGAATTAACTGCTCTTAGCTCATTGTTTTAATGAACCACCCAAGACCTTTGTAATTAAAGAATGTACTGAAACCCTTGAAAAGAACACATTTTTGTAAGTAGATTAAACCTTGTCATTCTGTTTTGTTCTTCAGGCTACTTAGCCAAGCTTCTCTGCCCAGATGATGTAGAGATAAATAAACCAGATAAATTTAAACCCACCCTAACTCAAATTGGCATATATTTTGAAATAACAAAGTTAGAATCAGTTTTGTTGGATTTACTGGAAAGTCTGATGTGATCATAGCCATTTGTTCTGGTTCCAACCAGAAGAACATTAAAAATTAGAAAATAATGTGTCTCCTGCTTATTTCCCCTGGGGTAAAAGTCAGAAAAGATCTTTTCATGATCCCTTGGAGATGGCGCTTGCCAGAGGCAGGGAGGAGTGTAGGCATCAGTGGAGATGGTGAGCCCCCAGGGGCAGCCACTCACCAAGCCATGGTTACCTGTGCCTGTTTTGTGCCTAGCACATGATAAAGGGCACTCACATCACAGAGCCTGTTCTCTAAATTCAAGGATAAGATTGGAATAGGCAAGGGAGGAACAGAGGAGAAATAAAATGCAAAGGGAAACATCAGAAATGAATCATTAGCTTTTAAGATTCCAAGAGCCATGATCCAGGAACCTTAAGGATTTATTTTAATGGGTGTTGGCTGCATGCTGACTATAACATAACCCCATGTGGCATCCCCTGTGTAAGCGTGTCAGTGTTTGCTAAGTGTATGTGAGTAGGAATAAGTGTGGAACTAGGAGCCCATGGGACCCGGGGGTAGCCTTACCCGATGTCATCACCCTACTGGTCCATTCCCTGTTTCAGCAAGCTTTATGCAATCGTCTTAGATCCATGAGGTTTCCTTGTCACACATTCTTCTTGTACCCATTTCAACCCAGAGACACTGATTGGACATGGTGTAGAGGAGTTGGAGGCGGCTTGGGTGGCAAAGGAGATGCCCGGATTCTCATTTCCGTTGAGCCATTTATTGGGTACGTGTCCTCTGAAGTCATTTGCCCTCTGGGTCTCACTTTCCTTATCTGGCAGCCCTCCCAGCAGCTTTCTGAAATCTGTGAGGTTTCAGAAGAAGCTTTTGAGTTGAATAACGAGTTCCACGTTCCAGGCCAAGTCATGCTTTCAGTCTCCTGTTTAAAAGTCTATCAAGTTTTGGGGCATAAGGGTGGGAGGAAAATAAAACCAAGGCCCCTTTGTCAGCATACAGCTTCAGTAGATACCCCAAATTCTTGAAATCTGTATAGCAGACTGCTGGTTTTTTCTCCTTGTCAGAGCCCAGCCCACTGACACTTTACAGTTGACAGCCCAGCCCAGATATGGGCCGCTGTGGCTTCTATCGAATCATGCTTGGGATTGCCACAGTTTTCTTCTTTGGATTGGGGCTTGAGGTGGTTGGGAAGAATGCATGCCAACCAGCCCTGCATCTGGGACTTGGAGCCTGTCAGCTCCCTGCTCTTTGATGATGGAATAGTCTGTGGACTTCTTCCCATTTGTGAGAGAAAACTCCCCCTTAGAACTCAACTGGTAGAGCTTCTCATAGCTTACAGTTCCAAGCAATAGCTTGGTTGTAGGTCCAGGCAGGACTCTGACATGGCCCTCTGGAATAGCATTGATGTGTTGGGTTCTTTGCTAAGATGATTTCCAGTCTGTGTTCCAGGGAGATTCAGGAAAGCTGAAGTTCATTCTTAGAACCTAGGTCTGTGTTTGTTGTTTTGTTTTGTTTAAAAAAAAAAAAAAAAACCTTGCCTGATCTTAAGTGCCAGCTGGGAACTTGTTCAGCATCCACATGCCAGGGCCTCTTGTCACCCTCATTTAGTTAGAATTTCCAGGGGAGGGACCAGGAAATCTGTATGCTCCAACAGGTGCTCCAAACAGGCAGGCTTGGGAAATGCTACACTAGGTAGCCACCCATTTTCCTTGTTCAGAAAAACCTTAATCTCTTCCTGTCCATGTGTGGTATATGGCTGCCATGTAGCCAGCAACCACATCAGGCTGTAGAAGACACTTGCTATTCCTTTGTTTTACCTCGGTTGCATCCAGTGCTCCGGGCCTTTGCTTCCCAGTACAGCTGATCAACCACACGGCTTCCAAGGACTTGCCCCCTTGTTTCCATGATAACAGCCAATCGCATAAATCCATGTGGGGTGCAAAACATGGTTATGGGTTTCAGTGATATATCTCTCAAGAATGCTTATCTTTTAACCCAGGAATGCAAATAAAAATTTGTATGAATTTTAGATCTCTTAAAGCACTGTCTCGTAGCCTCTTGAAGCATGTGTCTATTTTACAGGTGATAAAGCCTCAGAGACATTTAGAAGAAACAGTCCACCTTTAGGATAAGTCATACTCTTCTCAGTGTCCCTCCTTTCCTGTGACCTTTACACTGTAGAGCTAGAGCAGGCCACTCATGGTACAAATGTTTGAATGATGGATGATAGAATCTTAGGCCTTTGTCGAAGGTGGTTAGGGAGGTGTTCCAGAAGCCTGGGAATGGAGAGTAGTTTTCTTGGTGCCCCCGCATGAAAACCACTAGCCAGTTGCTTATTGCGTGGGTGGCTGGCAGCCCTCCCAGCAGCATAAACAGCTAAGTGCAAATCACTGCAGCTGTGAGAAGAAAACATACAAGACTGCTGTCCATGAAAAGAGGCCCTTGGTGCTCAGCAGAGGGTCTCCTGCGAACGCCAGGGCTGGCTTGGGAAGCTGGAGGCTCAGGCAGCCAGTGAACATCCTGAGGGTGGGGCACTTCTGGAAGGTTCCAAATCACTGCCTTCCTGCTCCAATAGTGCTGGGATGAGTTCATTTGTAGCTCTTAGTAAACACAGCTGTTGTGGTTGTAATTTGCCTGGAGGCTTTTTACTATTACTCCAACCCTAACAGTTTGGCAGCCGATATGGGAGCTGCGGTGTTGAGGGATGGGAAAAGAAGTTGCTATCTGAGAGCAAAGAGAGATGGGTGGCAGCTGCCCATGGACAGAAGCCACCAAGCAAGTGCAAGTGTGTGGAAGCTGTTCTCCATGGACAAGGAGGAGGCAGCGTCTCACATAGTGACCCAGGGGCCTTTGGTGCCCAGAAGATGAGCAGTACAGGGAGAGAAGTCAGAGGACCTGTGTGGAAGGCTGTTAGAAAAGCATTGCAAGATTGTTTCCCTCAAGTGAGGAAAGGGTTGACAGCGCGTTCTTGAAGGGAGACAGAACTGTAATGCCTCTGAATTTGAAACAGTCTGAAAGGCATGGTCTTCTGAATGTTATTGGGCACAGATTTATAAGAATGAGGTAATTGTGTTGATTATGCGATTTTCCACCTAAATAGAACCTTATTAAAATACAGCTTGTAGGAAAACAGAGTTTGGATTAGATTTCTAGGCATAGTCCATATTCTAAGAGCATGGTGACAAATTGAGGAGATAGACCTATACTGGTCCATCCCAGACAGCAGGTTGCTGGGCTGGCAGGAGATCGCCTCACTGTTCAATACTGAGATACCGGGGTGCTCCTTCCAGTGTTCCCACAGAGCTCCTCGTGGCATCTCAGCCCTCCTGAGGCAGTGCAGTCCAGGCATGGAGAGACAGTCAAGGGCACTGCCACCCTCCCAACTCGATGAAGCCTTCTCAGCTGGGGAAGGAGAACTGGGGGCTTCATTTGGTTCAAGGGTGAAAATCCCTGAGGTTGCTCCAGCTTCATCTTGGGAGAATAATGTTCATTCCTCGTCAACACTGCTAGAGGTTCAGACACACCAAAAATAGGATGCCTTGGAATGAGTTCTCTATGGTCCTTATCAACCATTGTTTAAAACATCAGCCAATGGAGCAAAATCACAGCAGTAGAAGGAAACAGAAGTGTGTGTAGATTTCTGCCTTTTACTTGGAGAGAAAAGCAAAGTTAGTTGTATGATTTTAAAATGGAGGTGGAGAAGCAAATCTTAAATCTGGGAAGGGTGGGGGATTCATATAAGCCAGTGGAATGCATTGGGCCAGTTGAAGGAAGTCTGACCTCTTTCCGGTGGCTGTTTACACATACACAAGTATATGAAGTGTTAGTATGGATTTGCACCTGGGGGCTTACCATGCCAGTTGGAATACTTAAATTTTTGATAGACGTGAAAATCATGAGATTTACCCTGTGGAACCTTCTACATCAGTGCAGATCCATGTCATAAACACCTTGAAACATAGGCCCTGCAAGAACAGAGCTTGTTGATGGAGTTTTATATAAAAAACACAGATTGGGAGCAGACTTTACAATGTGGAATATTTGTTGGAAGCAGATTTCAACCTTCAATTGCAAGAAAGGGTATTATGGCATTGAGAATCGGTGATAAACCAACTTAGAAATTATTTTTAATATATTTGCTTCTAAAGTCATGTTTAGCATCGATACACAATTCTTTACTTAAATAAAAATCATATATGCAGCATATGCTCAAAATCCAGCGGTGGCTGTGCAGCCCTCAGTACTGAACGAGTCCATCTGCAGTCAACATAATCAGGACTAGCCCGGGCACAGTGGCTCATGCCTGTAATCCCAGTACTTTGGAAGGCCGAGGTGGGCAGATCACTTGAGCCTAGGAGTCTGAGACCAGCCTGGGCAACCTGGCGAAACCCTATCTCTTCTAAAAATACATAAATTAACTGGGTGTGGTGATATGCTCCTGTGGTCCCAGCTACTCGGGAAGCTGAGGTGGGAGGATCGCTTCAGTCTGGGAGGTCAAGGCTGCAGTGAGCTGAGATAGTGCCACTGCACTGGATAAATCGAGACTCTTGCTCTAGTCTCGAGGGACAGCAGAGCTCCAGGGAACGCTGGAGTTATCCCTGCTCAGTTGTAATTTGTACTGCTGGCCAGCCTTTGATTCTCTCCCTCTTGATTCTGTTTTTGATAGATTGAGCTCCTTGAGGAGATGATAATGGCTGACATTTTAGTGCTTCCTGTGTTCCAGGCATGGCCTTCACAATGACTATGAAGTAAATACTATTATTAACCCCACTTTTGAGTGAAAGAACTGAAGCAGATAGAGGTAAAGGTTCCTCAGGTGGTCAGGATTTGAATTACATCATGTATTGTAGCCAACACACTGGACTACAAGGAATGGATTCTCTCTTGGTAATTTCCTCCTCTGTCTCCAACCCATCCTCTCAAATCCCAAAAGCCTAAATAAATACATTTATGTTGGTGTGGTACTGATTTCAAGGAAAGGTTCTGTACGGTTCTGTGTGGAAACCTGAAATCCACTATGCAGAGTAGTGAAACCGAAATGGGCTACAACTGTTTGCCTTTGTTCCAAAACAAGTGAAACAAAGCTTTATTCTAAAGATGAAATGTGTTGGTTTTCAGTTTTCACTGCATGTGATTCTTGTCATCCAGAACCAATTATTAGGAACTTACTTGCGTATCAGGACTTCAAAAGATATGTCTGCCTTTAGAGAGCTTGGAGAGCAGAAATACCGACTTGGTCAAGGGAAAAATGAGGGAAATTTTTAAATGAAGTTAAAAATTGGGTGGTAGAGCATATCTCTTGAGCCCAAATGGGCTTTAAGGGAAAAGGCAGGAGTGATTGTCCACATGTGGGTTGGGGGGATTTCATCTCACTTCCCTAATTATGTCAGAGCACATCTCGTCAACTGGAGAGGGCCCAGAAAGTCAGTAGTGCTGGCTTTCACCAAGTATTTTCATCTTCTTCCAGGCTGCTGGGGGTGTTTCATGACCACAGAGGTGAGAGTCAGTACAGGGCTGCCCCAGAGGGTCCTGCAGGTTGTCCCCAGGCACTCCAGAGAGTAACATTGCCACCATAAGGAATTAGTAGAGCAATGTACAGCCCTGTTGATCCAGACCAGTTAGTGATCTTCCAGGTTCTCAAGGCGTGCTAAGGTTTGGCCAGGCCTCCAGATGGTGCCAGCACACCGACAATGAATAATGAGGAGCTTCCCAACAACCCTATAAGGCAGCAGCACTGTCTGTGTTTTTCCAGGAGGAAACCAGGCTCTGGGAGATGTGGAATTTTAACCTATTGCCTAAGAGAGTCTTCACTGAAATACTCAATTCAAACGCTCCCTTTTCATTCTTTCTCTTTCTTTCCCTTTCTCCTTTTCTCCTTCTTCCCCTTCCCTCACTTCTCCTCCTTCCTCTTCCCTCCTTTTCTTTACCGTTTTTAAAATGGATATCATTTACTGGAGATACACACAATTTGTCCTAAATTGTCCTAAAGACAGTGTCTTTTTATTTTCTTATTCTTAATGATAACGTTTACTTCGAAGGAGTTGGCAAATGAATCATTTAAACCAGTGACAATGTAAGTAACAACTTGAAGGAGAAGCAGAAGTTTAACCACTTTCATGGACCGATCCCTCACTATTTGGACCAGATACTCATTCCTCCTCTGTGACCTCTAACCCCAGCATGCCTCCTGTCTGGAAGAGCCTTCCTTGCTGTTGGACCTAGGGGAGGAAAGAAATTATCCCTCATCCTCATGCAGTGGCTCAGTGGAAGCAGCTGAAACTAGCAGGCCAATCTTTATTTCTCAGCTGAGGCCAGAGACCAAAATATTGAATTAGCCTTGTTTATATTTTGTGACAGTGTGCTGGCTTCTGTAGGACCGTGATCCAAGGATAGGCCCCCTGAAAACGGTACTCATTTAGCAGCCAGGGTAGGTCTTCCTACCAGCACCATCCAAGATGGTAACTCAGTAGGCCCAGACAAATCCTACTCTGCCACTAACCATCTCCATGCTCTGCCCAGATCCTTTCACCTACCTAAACCATGTTTTTATCCTTAAAACGGTCTCACAGCACTTGTTCTTCCTAGCTCACATTGTTGACACAGGGATCAGACAAGAGACAGGTTTGAAAATTCTTTGCAAACTGTCACAAGCTAGTCAGCTATGTCTGGGAACCTGTTTGGATAAATTAAAAGTGTGCCCAGCTATAATTAGCAAAATACCTCACAACCATGAAGCAAGAGTTAACTTTTCTCATGTAACACAGTGTGGGGTATGGGGCTGGTTTCTTCACTGGATGTCTGCAAAGACCCAGGCCACTTTGGTCTCTCCTTTGGCATCCCTCATGCATTGGCTTGCCACCATAGCGTCACAAGGCCTGCAGGCCTCATAGCTGTGGTCTAAGCAGAAAGAAAGGTGAAGGGGCTGGAGCCTTTTCTCAAGAAATAGAAGCTTCTCCTAAAGCTTCCCTTCCTCTGATTCTTTCCCCCCATTATTTGACCTAGGTCACATGACCATTCTTGGCTGCAGAGGAGGCCAGGAAAGTTGGGTTGGGCCAATTGAGATTGGCTTATCAATCAGGATTCAATAGCTGTGTCCTCAAGAGTACATGATTCTAGTAACAAGGTAGAAAGGAAGAAAAATAAGTTTTATGACCACGGCTCCTTTACCTTCCGGTTTCTTTCTGTCAAAGTCACACAACACTTACATGGACAAAGGCAATGTAGGCAGTGGTCATAGAGATACAGGAGATAGTTTATGTCTTCCCAGGGCCCTGCTTTCCCCAGATGATGTGACTTGGTCTTTCAAAGGACTCCCACCATCAAAACTATTAACTCTTTTCATGTTGAGTACTTTTTCCTCACCTGTTTTTCCATTCCTGTTAGCCGGAGCAAAAGGGCCTCCAACTCCTCTTTTAGAGAGAAATGACTAATGCTCATACTAGCAGATACCAGACGTGTCCAAGGAGGTACCTTGGGCTTAATTCCAGCAGTTCTCAACAGAGTCCACGTGGCATATGCTATACCCAGCATACCTAGCCTCTTCTGCCAGCCCTGCTTAGAAGGCCTTCAAACACGTTGTTTCCTGGCCTTGGCGTGGAGGGTCAGCCAGTGTACCAGTTTTCAGTGGATTGATATTCAGCTCCAAATTCATCGTTTCTAATTGCTCAGTGAAAACGGATCTGGCCCCTGGAAGTATGTTTTCTTTGGAGCTGGCACTAAAGTGTTGTCAGTAGAAGGTGTGGAAAGATGCTACAGGAGGAAGTGTTTTATATCTGGTTCCCGGGAAACTTCTTCTACAGCATCAGGATCCTGCCGCCCCAGCACTAGAAGTGGGGAGGTGGAGACCGTATTGGGGAGCAGAATGTGTGAGCTCAGGACTTTGTGACTGGGAGGCAGAGCCCATAGCAGGGTTCTCATCTTTTATAATTCTTCTCTGTCTGTGCTTTACCTTCCCCAGGGTCAGATCTACTTGACAAGGCACTCAGGGGTAGAAGTGTCTATCAAACCCGAGAGGCAGAATACAGTTAAGAGCATGGGCTTTAGAGACAGACCGGAATTTGTTTCCAAGCTGTGCCATTTACTCTCTCTGTGCTCTTTTACTGGACATTTAACTAATCTAAGTCTCAGTGTTCTCGATCGTTAAATCAGAACACTAATCATATACAACTCACAGGGTTATCTGGATTACTTTTTTTTTTTTTTTTGAGACAGAATCTCACTCTGTCGCCCAGGCTTGTGTACAGTGGCATGATCTCGGCTCACTGCCACCTGTGACTCCCGGGTTCAAGTGATTCTCCTGCCTCAGCCTCCCTAGTAGCTGGGATAACAGGCGTGCACCACCATACCCAGCTAATTTTTGTATTTTTAATAGAGATGGGGTTTTGCCATGTTGGCCAGGCTGGTCTCAAACTCCTGACCTCAGGTGATGCACCTGCCTCAGTTTCCCAAAGTGCTGGGATCATAGGCATGAGCCATCGCGCCTGGCCTGGATTACCTGAAGTGATGATATGTGAGAGCATTCAGTGCAGTTCCTGGCACATAGTAATGATTATGTTGTGGCTGTGGTTGAGGCCCCCGGCTTTCAGTGGGTGATGGGACTGGATAATTTGAGTCCTTTCTACTCTAAATCCTCATGATAACATGGATGTCTCAGGCCTTCTGGCTTTTTCTCCCACTTTGTCTTCTCCCCTGTTCTTCCCCACCTTTTGCTTGTATCAGTTCTTTCTCCCTATGTCTACACTTTTGCTGTAATGAATTAACAGTTGTCTGATGAAACAGTTTCTAAATATTTTCTTAGTCCCTTGCAGAAACGTGTGTACTTTTGTTCTGCATATTTTATCATCTTGTGATGACTTGCTAGTATTCCCGTCTCCAAGATCAAATATTCCTTTCCAGCTTTGTTCTTTTAGGAATAAAATAAAGAAGTGTTATTGTGGCCAGTACCCAAAAGATAGGTGAGTCAGAGCTCAGGAATAGACACAGAGGTCTTAGTGTAAGCGATTTCTTGTCCTTGCTAGGAAACATCTGTAACTTCCAATGGCTTCCCTTTGCCAGCTGGATAAGGAGTTCAAAGAATTAAGTTTTAGGCAGGCACACCAGCAGATGGAGGCAGCCCGCCAGCACCTGCAAGCCCAGAGAAAGTGGTTCTGTGGGTGAGTGCTGCCTCTGATGGGACAGAGGTTTTTACCAGCGAGCGATCATGGCTGGACTGCAGGCGTTATGAGGGCAGGCACCCAGTGGTCTTACATTTGTATCCCTGGTGACTAGCTAGGCCTAGCCTCAGGAGGTACAAAATACATATTTCAAGAGAATAAAATGTGAACGTTTGGATGGAAGTCAGCCAGTCCTAGGAGCATGAAGTCTGTTTCATCCCCTCTTGATAAGAACTCTGGCATTTCTCATGGACAGGGACAAATCAAGTGGTTTGCATCTGAGAGCTGTGTTCTTGTGGCGAAAGGATTAGGCCATGGCTCTGCACTTGTTCTGATTCTGTCACTTGGCCTGTGGCCTTGGGCATATTTTAACTTGTGTCAACCCAGTTTTCTCACCTGTAAAACAAGAATGACATGAACAGTGCTTGGGTCATAGGGCTGTAGAGGTGAGATGACGCATGTCAAAAAGTGCATAGTATAGTGTCTGGCATGTAGTAAGTTCCCAAGAAAGGTTTGCTTGGAGATTCCTTTCCCTAAGACAAGGAGCGTGTTGTTCAGACTTAGAGATTTTTAGCACTAAGGGTTTAAGAGGTCATTTTCTGGTCCAGACTCTCCCCATCCTGAATTTCATATGTTAAACAGGCATAATACTTACCTCATGGGATTGTGGAAAGAAATAAGCTAGAAATACGCACGTGGCATAGTTTCTTCTGGAGCATAGTAAATATTCAAATGGTAGTTACTATCTTTTATTTGCACCACATACTTATTGCACTGAAGTTAGCCTTTTAACGGAAAACAGTGGTGTCAGTCTGGCCCAGCTTTATGCTGTTGTTAGAATGCAAGTGCACCCTTTCTGGCCTGTTGTGATGCAAGTGGAGTGGTTAAGAAAAAGGGACATGGATTATAGGCAGACCCTCTCCCTCTCCCCTTGCCACCCAGCCTTGCAGTCTTGGGCAAGCCACTTGTCTCTGTGAGCTTCCGTTTCTTCATCTGTTACCCGGCAGGTTCACTGTGAAGCTCTCATGAGAGAAGAGTATAAATACTGATACCATGTTGGAATGGTAGCCCTCATTTTTCTGATTATATCTTAATTTAGTATTACTTTCACTGTCCTGCTTATGGTCAGATATTGTCCTGTTTAGCTCTCTTATTTCTGCCCACCCAAGCCAAGTTGGTTATATTCAATTTGTAACTTAACAGAGCGCAAGAACCTGGTTTCATTCATTGACAGTACATACAACTGTAGAGCAGACACTGTTGTAAGGTTTGGTAATGAAAGAGTAAACACGTTGTATGCTTGCCTTTATGGATCTGATACTCTAAAGAGGAAAAAGAAGGTAATACACCATTAAATTCATACATAGTGCAGTGATATGTTCTATGAAAAATAAACGTAGAGAAACAGAATGACAGAAGTTGCCCCCCTTTCTTGCTCTTTTTAAAATCCACCTACCTCCCCCCATCCCAAATTCCGATGAAGTCCTTGCATATAGAAGAGCCCATGCAATCATTTGTGGAAATGAATTCTGAACTCTTTGAATCATGGGAAGATTGAATTTTGCCTGATTATAATGACTATTATAGCTGGGTATGGTGGTGTGTTCCTTCAGTCACAGCTACTTGAGAAGATGAGGTAAGAGGATTGCTTGAAGCCAGGACGATTGCTTGTATTGTAGTTAGCCATCATCATGTTTGTGAATGCACTCCACTGCACTCCAGCCTGGGCAGCATAGCAAGACCTGTCTCATAGATAGATAGATAGATAGATAGATAGATAGATAGATAAGATAAGATAGATTAGATAGATAGATAGATAGATAGATAGATAGATAGATAGATAGATAGATAGCCTGGGCAACATAGCAAGACCTGTCTGGTAGGTAGGTAGGTAGGTAGAGAAATAGACAGACCAGACAGACAGACAGACCAGACAGACAGACAGACAGACAGACAGATAGATAGATAGATAGATAGCACTACAGCCTGGGCAACATAGCAAGACCTGTCTCTAAAATAGATAGACAGACAGACAGACAAACAGGAGAGATTAGCCAGAGAGAGATTAGATAGAATCATTATAGTTCCAGGAAAGGGTGGTTGGCTTCCTACTTTCCATGGAAATGCAAACAGTTTTCCAAAATCCTGCCCAGGCTCTTAAATGCAAGTCTTAGTCTTAGCTTCTTCAAATTTTGTAATTGGCTTTTGTGGACTTGGTCTTTAGGTTTGTTCTCTAAATCATTTCAATTTGTAATTCTTTAGAAGTTGATTTTTAGCTGCTTCCTGGACCCTGCTTAAGCATGAACATAGGTTTTTTATGGTAAAAATACATTTGAAATGTATATTCTTAATAAAAACAAAAATTATTTTTCTAATAGAGCCTGGTTATATGAAACAAGTTTGGGTTTTCAGGAATTGAGAAGTGTCTGACCCCATTCTTAATGCTACCCCTGGAGCTTTGCTATGGTTCTCAGCCAAGCTGTTGCTCTTTGGAATCACCCGGAGAGCCATTAAAACCCCAGTGATGGCCAGGTACAGTGGCTCACATCTGTAATCCCAGCACGTTGGGAGGCCAAAGCAGGAGGGTCACTTGAAGCCAGGAGTTTGAGGCTGTAGTGAGCTATGATCATGCCGCTATACTCCAGCCTGGGCAACAGCAATACCCTGTCTAAAAAAAAAAAATAAAGTCCTAGTGCCCAGGCCCAGCTCCAGATCAGTAGATCAGATCTCTGACATTGTGATAGAAGCTCCCCAGGTGATTATAATATGCAACAAAGGTTGAAAACTGCTGTTCTGGAGACTTTTCTATTGTGTCGAAATAGGAAGACTGAGGTTGCCCAGAATGCTTCTTTAAAGAGTGTTTTTCAAATATCGTGTGCCTGAAAATCATGGGTGGAACTCGTCAAAAGCAGTACCACCCTTAGGGATTTGGCTACAGTAAAGCTAAATATAGGGCCTTAGGAACACGAGTATTCTAGGTGATTTGATACAGGTAGTGGAGGAACCAAACTTAGGTAGAGCTTTTAAGCCTGTACCTCCCCAGCTAATTCTTGGGCGTTCCAGGATTGAACACTACTGTGAAGGTTTGGGAGTAGACCAGAAGATCTCTTGGTGGACTTCTACTTCTCAAAGTCCTGGTTGCCTACTTCTACCATTTCCTTTGTCAGACCTGCTGAGGCCAACAGCCCACTGAACATTGGGGCGGCCAGACTGCTCCCAACAGATACCATGAATTTCTGCACCCACAGCTTGAGCTGTGTGCACATCAAATGTTGAGAGAGTTTACTACCAAACCTGTTTATGCCACATATTTGTGTTGTAATTATGTAGTATCATTAACACATAAACTGATGAAATATAAATGTGAAAAGTAAGAGCACGCACTTCTATATAAACTTAGTTGGTAGCTTTGGAAAGATTTGATAGAGGTGAGTCCTTTTAAAATATTGCTGTTAAATTTGGGGTAGTCAAGGTACCAGTAAAATAATGGGGAAGTTCACAAAAATGTGGAGCCTGCATTTAACTTGCTCTGCAAGTATTTTTACACTTACCTGACATTTTAAAGAGATTTCAGAGACAGCGTTATAGTTTTATGGTAAAATGTTCGTGATACATGGGTATCACTTTTTACTTTGCCTGCATCAGAGGATTTTTTCTATTAGTTCATCACCTATTTCTCCCTCTTCTGAATAAAAAACAATGAGCAATGATATCTGCTGTGGTTAGGTCAGACTGCTGTGATTAGCCATTAACATACTCACCTGAGCATTTAATTTTCTGCTTATTATTTAAACAATACACAATTTAATGAACTTTGTATTTTTCTTATAAAACGCCAAATGCCTCCAATTTAAATCAAGCACTGAAAGGAGAGTATTAGTCAAGTACTTTATTACTAATCTAGCTATTGAACTGTACTTCATTGAAAGATTTGCTTTTGAAATTGTTTTGTTCCTGCTGGCTGCCCCAGGCTGTTTTAAATACTGCTGTTGTCCACTTCTGCAGCTGGTATCCACTTGTTTTTATATTAATAATACAGGGATTAATCTCAAAGCTCTAAATCAGTAGTTCACAAACTGCAGCCCACATACCTGTCACCTGTTTTTGTATAGCCAATGAGCTAAGCATTTTTTTTTTTTTTTGAGACAGTCTCACTGTGTCGCCCAGGCTGGAGTGCAGTGGCACGATCTTGGCTCACTGCAAGCTCCGCCTCCTGGGTTCACACCATTCTCCTGCCTCAGGCGCCCACCACCATGCCCGGCTAATTTTTTGTATTTTTTAGTAGAGACGGGGTTTTACCGTGTTAGCCAGGATGGTCTTTATATCCTGACCTCGTCACCGCCTGCCTCGGCCTCCCAAAGTGCTGGGATTACAGGTGTCAGCCACCGCGCCTGGCCGCTTAAGCATGGTTTTTATGTTTTTAAACTATTGAGAAAGAATCAAAAGAAGGGTATATTGGACATAAAAATTTTATGTAATTCACATTTCAATGTCCCATAAAGTTTCAGTGGGACACATCTAAGGTCATTTGTTTACTACTGTCTGTGGCTGCTTTTGAGCATCAGTGGTAGAGTTGAGTACCATAGGGACCTCATGGTACACAAAGACTAAAATATTTATTATCCGGCCCTTGAAAAAAAAAAAAAAAGTCATCATCCTCTCATCCAGATGTACGCTGTGCCCAAGTCCTAGGCTTTTTCTCTCTCTCTCTCCGGGCATACAATGCTCTTGCCCCTACAAGTTCCTTCCTGTCCACTATCCTTTTTGATTGAGGGTTTGTTTGGAAACTGCCTTTGAAAGTAAATGTGTTGAATGTAACTGGTTCAGTTTTTCAGGGTTCTTTCTTCACCGGCTTCATTGGAGCCAATCCCCTTTGTACATAAGAACCAAACTCCTAGTTCTTACTAGAACTGTGAACCACAAAATATTAGTAAAACAAAGTCTCAGTTAAAAAAAATATGGATTCTTTATAACTATTTGATTTTTACAATTACACATTTAACTTAAATTTCTCAAGTTCACATTTGATGGCACCAGAAGTACACTTACCTTTCGGAAGTTTGGTGTACAAGCATTTATGCTATATCATGATATCTGCATTTCTGAAAAATCTTGAAAACTACAGATTCAAAGTGATAGAATTTATGATAAAAGTAAGGGCCAAACCACTGCAAATCAAATCTACACATTTTTGAACAACAGCAGTTATAAAAATAACAATCCAAATAAAAATGGTAGAGTGAAAACATTTAAAAGCTAAAAAGCAAATACTATAGTAAATATACAACTTTACCTTTAAAAAGGTCAAATTAGCATGCTGGGGGTGGGAATGGTTTGAGGCTACTTTTAGTTTAGAGAAAGAAGGGTAAGATGCACCTGACCTTTCCTGATGGAAGAGAACTCCACAGAAGCATGTCCATGGAAGAGCCATGGCTACACATACTGGGCTGGAAACTAGTCATGGTATACAGTACTATACCCTCTGCAGATTACTACCTGTAGCTGAGTAAATGTATCTTATATTAAGCTGCTGTTATTGATTCTACAAAATAATAATGTGCTGGAGAAAAATGGTTATGAACCAAAGTGACTTACATGTTCTGTTTACATCATTTCCTACTTATCCTTCGTCTATGAGATAATTGACATTAGAGAAACACACATTTTAGCAGAACCCACTGTACTTCTTTCTTCATTCTCTGAGTCTATCTCTCCAAGTACTGCTATGCATTAAACAGCAATAGCAGCAAAACCTGCCTCATAATAACCAGCAAAAAATCAAGCAGATATCAAATAAGCATTAAAAATTTCAGGTCAGCATTTATGTCAAGACAGCATGTATATACCACAATATATATTAAATCCAAAGAGAAGGAAGAATAAAAGTGTGACTAGAATGTCCTTAGTCACTTAATCCTTCTTGTGCCATCAAAAGCCCCTCACTCCCTCGCTATGGCTCCTGACTTCAGAAGCCCTCAGCTGCTGATTGAGTAGACCTGGGGTGTTCAATCACAAGTGGAGGGCAGAGGACAACATAGTTTTTAATGCCACCAAAATTCGAGGTAGTAAGGTAAGTATGGTTTTTAAAAGGTACACACGTAAGGTTGGATATTTATAAATACATACGAAACATACATAGGGCATGACAATTAAAAAATGAAAAGTTTTGACAATATGACACTAGGGAAACATAAAGCCACTGAAGATAATATTGGGTATTTTTGGGAGGAGGAAGAAATGCAGATGATTAGGCTTGATAAATGCTTATTGAAAGGAAGATCGATTTAGCAGGGTTTTTTTGTTTGTTTTTACTTAGGGCATATAAAATAAGGTCATATTGGTTCTAATAGAGTGGGGAAATATGGAACAACTAAAAAGCTGTGCTAATCAACAGCAAAATCTCAGATGGTGAGATAAGATGTAAGAAGCACCTTGTTATCCGGCGGAACCACAACACAGTAAGCACTGGGGACATTTTGATCCGGTGACAAATTCTCAAAAAGGTGTCAGGGTAAAAATTTTGATGCAGAGTAAAATAATGTGTTATTTTAAGGTGTGCGAAATTAGCTTGCAGTTGGACCATGGAAAAATCACTTAAGCATCAGGATGAGAAGCTGTCAGAGGCAAAATACGAAATATTTGAACCAACCATTGATAGGAAAAGCAAAAAACAGGAATGATGTCAGAGAAGTTAGAAGAAATGTCATTTAAACAAGAGACTACATAGAAAAAAATCAAATGTTGGCATTAAAATTTCCGGTAGTCAGAACATGCAAATGGGTTGGTGTATCAAATTAAGAATTACATTCAAATGTGAATATTAGATTAAACCGTAAAATAAAAAAATCTCTTAAAGAATTTCCTTTTTCTCTTAAAATAGATAAGTAAATCGCACTGCTTTAGTGGTCTGTTATTAGGGACTCCAGCTGCTTCTGTCTTTCAACTGTCATCTTAGTAATTGCATCTGCCCTCAGAGGCACTCTTGGTCCAAGATGGCTGCTGAAGCTCTAGCCATTAGGGCCTCAATTCACTTAGGAGGCAAAAGCAAGAAGTGAAGGATAAAAGAGTGTGTGTTTCTCTGCTGAGGCAGCCCCCTCTAAAGAGCTTTCTCTGAAGCTGTGTCTAGTCTTTACCTACTCCTAGTTACTAGGGAGATTAGGAAATTTCAACTACTATTGCTGCCCCAAGAAAAAGTGAGATTCTGTTCATAAGGAAAAGGGGATATCTTTGCATTAGATAAAGGGGTAGAGAAGTAGTTCTATATGCTTAGGAAATATGTATATATGGGATATCTCAAAATAAGGAAAAGTTGGAGTGAAGATTAAAATAGAAAATAACAAAATGTTAACACACTAAGACTACACAAGAGACCATTTGGCCAGATAAAAGATATGTATGAGCCGGGTGCGGTGGCTCACACATGTAATCCCATCACTTTGGGAGGCCAAGGTGGGCAGATCACCTGAGGTCAGGAGTTTGAGACCAGCCTGACCAACATGGAGAAACCCTATCTCTACTAAAAATACAAAATTAGCTGGGCATGGTGGCACATGCCTGTAATCCCAGCTACTCGGGAGGCTGAGGCAGGAGAATTGCTTGAACCCGGGAGGTGGAGGTTGCAGTGAGCCGAGATTGCTCCCTTGCACTCCAGCCTGGGCACCAAGAGTGAACTCCATCTCAAAAATAAAAAATAAAAATAAAAAATAAAAAGTTATGTATGATATATATATATATATATATATATATATATATTTTTTTTTTTTTTTTTTTTTACCAAACCAGCACAGAAACTAGATTTCATAGAGTATTGGTTAAGAACTGTGTTCCAATCCTGGTTCTATCGGCTAACTTATTAGAGGACTAGAGGACCTTAAGCAAGTTTCTGGGCCTGAGTTTGTCTGTCTGTAAAGCAGAAACAGGAGTCTATTCTACCTAAGATCGTTGTAAGGATTAGCTGGAATGAGGCAAGTAAAGTCTTCCTACAGAGCTGAGCACACAGGAGGCAACATGCCCACTAACATGGCTGAGCCATTTTCCGCTAGAAGTTCCTGCAGCTGGTAACAAAACACCTAGCAAGCTCTTGCTGCATGCTACCTCATGTTGGAGGGAAGGAGAAGAATCATCATTCTAATGACTTGGTTCTGAACAGCACAAAAGAGTTTGGTGAAGGGGAACAAAAAAAGACACGAATATTGGGAGAAAGCTGCCCATTTATAGCCACAGATGGTTGAGTATTCAAATGTGTACCCAAGAGCTCCAAAGTCCAGTGATGGGAATTTGCCTCTCAACAGAAGACTAAGAATGGAGACCTCCAATGGAAGGTGACTTATAAGGTGATTGTTAAAGAATCAGGGTACTTTCCACATGTAATTCTTTGATGACAGCTCTTCCAATAATGAGAAGTCAGGAGACTCCAAAATCTCCAGCTAAAATTCATGGGGATCAGAGCCTTGGATTTTAGAAGGATGCACAAAAGATGAGTAGAAGGGAGGCACAGAACTAACATGGAAGGTCCCTAAAGCTCAAAATTGCCACCTCTTCCCAAAAAGTCAAGGACAATGAAAAAGAAAGTGTTCTTTCTCTCCACTTTGAGTATTTGAAAGCTTTTCTCAGAATAAACTGTGATGACTCTTTTTCTTTAAATTTTGCCACGAAACATTTCTAATAAAAGAATTGTATAATGAGCCCCCATGTACCTCTCACCCAGCTTCACCAATGATCAACTCACAGCCAGTCATGTTTCCTCCTTATCTGCCCTCCGCCCCCAGAATATTGTGAAGCAAATTCAAGACATCTTATTCTTTCATTATTAAAGTATTTCAGTATAGTATGTATCTCTAAGATATGAAGATCTTTAAAAAAAAAACCCACTGCTATTACACCTGAAAATAATTAACAGTAAATTTTTTAATATTGAAATATACAGGGTTCAGATTTCTTAGATTGTCTCGATTTTTTCATTTTATTTAAATAAAGATGCAAATAAGATCCACACATTGTGATTGGGTAGATTCTTTAAGTGTCCTTTAACAGGAGCTTATTTGTTATACCAGGTTATTTATCCTGTAGAGTTGCCCACAGTCTAAATTTTACTAATTGCATACCTGTGGTCTTCCTCCAGTATATTTTCTGAAGTTGGTAGATGAGATACAGCAGCCTGATCAAATTCAGGTTTGATTTTTTTGGGGGGTGGGGGGGTGGTCGGAGTCTCGCTCTGTTGCCCAAACTGGAGTGCAGTGGTGCAATCTCAGCTCACTGCAACCTCCACCTCCCGGTTCAAGCAATTCTCCTGCCTCAGCCTCCTGGGTAGCTGTTATTACAGGTGCACACCACCACATCTGGCCAATTTTTGTATTTTTAGTAGAGATGGGGTTTCACCATGTTGGCCAGGCTGGTCTCAAACTCTTGATCTCCAGTGATCGGCCTGCCTCGGCCTCCCAAAGTGCTGGGATTGGCCTCCCCAAGTGCCTGAGCCACCGCCCCCAGCCCAGGTTTGATTTTTGCAGGGCTACTTTATAAGGGGTTTTGAGGTATTGGCATCAGGAGGCACATAATGTCCGGTTATCTTGCTTTTTTCTTCATGTTAGCAGCCATTAAGAATAACTGCCTAGACCCATTAGTTCATTAGTACTTGCTAGTGATAGTCTAATTAAGTGTCTTTATGAACTCACTTAATTTAAATATATTTGTTTTCCAGTCCATTGCATTCTATGCTGACGAGTAATGCTATATTGACTAGTAAATATAGCTTGTAAAGACTAAGCTTGGGAATCTCTGAAAAGTCATCTCAGGAAACAGACCTAGACAACATCTGCACTAAGCTAGCACCCTCTGTCTTTTCCAGATTTGCTCCTTTTTTAAAGGAAGGCTGTTTCTCACTTTAATTTTTCTAAGTGGCGTTTAGCCTCAGCCTCTGTGCTACTCCATATGCTTTCCCAGCTGAACTATCAGACCAACCAGCTAGATAGGTTCCCTGGTGATTAATTTTTTCTTGGAGCCCCTGAGGCCTGTAGTCATGCACATATGGTGTCTAATGGCTTGGTGGATAACTGAGTTAATGGTGTGTGAAGGTGACCTGAATAAATTTGGAATCAAAACTAATACAGGTTATGGCAAGCTGGTCCCATCATAAATTTGGAGTACTTGTATTCTTGCCTAAGTAAGTGTTAGGTGACTCCTTTGGAGAGAAACTATGTGGTCCTGAGTTCAGAAATTCTGTTAAGGACACAGGAGACCAAATGCCTCCTCTTGTGAACCTTGTATTGAACATGTTCACTTTCCCTTTCTCACATTCAACTGGAGTTCAGAAAAATATCATCATTCTCCTTTTACAATTATTCTTTCTAAGCTGAGAACGTGAATAACTAGGACAGGCAGGGCGTTGGTGTGGTTTCATCACTTTTTCCCAATCCTTCCTGCAGTTTTTTGCAAGCCTTCCATTCCACGCTTCAGACTGCCACTGGGTCTTCAGTTTGTTTTTGATTGTTGGAGCCATGTCAATGAAAAAAGGCTGAGTTTGACCTCTCAATATATGGATACTAATTTATTGATAAAAATGGAGAGTAGAATAATGGTATTTATGGTATACAAATATTACACTGTAAAGAAACACATTCCTATTTTTTTGTGCATCCCCGTGGATCATCTCGTGCATCCCCTTTTTGAGGTTCACTTTTTAGATCAGGCACTGCTTGAGGTGCCAGCAAAACAGCTACCCTCCAATCAAATCAAACACCAAAAACAAAATCCAACTTCAGTTACTTTGTTTGTTTGTTTGTTTGTTTTTTTATTATACTTTTTCTAGGGTACATGTGCACAACGTGCAGGTTTGTTACATATGTATACATGTGCCATGTTGGTGTGCTGCACCCATTAACTCGTCATTTACATTAGGTATATCTCCTAATGCTATCTTTTTTAAATCAGAAAATATAGAAAGGAATTATTTTTATTTCAATATATGTTTCTTTTGTTTTCAGAAATTAAAGAGTATTCAAATCACATGGCAGAACCCTGTAACTATTTTAAATGTAGGACTAATCCAAAGACTTTAACCTTGTCCTATGTCTACTGTTATTTTCATGGAGGAGTCTGTCTTAACAAACACAGATTTATGTCACATGATATGTATTCTGTCTGAAAACACTTCCCCCTAACCCTCCCGCCCCCAAATCTAAGTGAAATATAATGGTCACTGATTTTTGGTAAAAATAGTTGCTGCAGAGTTCCTTTAACATAGCAAGTTATTTGGGCCTAGGTCTCCACTGAAGTGGGCCATTTCCAACCTCTCTGTATGGTTTCTTTTACTGGATAAACGTCTCTTCTTTAGCATCTTTTATGCCATCTCTCAGACTTTTGCCTCTCTTTGTCTTGTTTCAGACCCTAAAGGTCTTCGTTTCTTGGACTCCTATTTCTTTTAGCATGTGTCAATTGAGCAACTTCAGATGCTGTTGATCTAGAATATCTGATCAGGTCCTTGCCCCACTGAAGCTTGGAATCAAGTAAGAGGAGGGGACATATTGAACTCTCAAGCAGTGTTTAACCAGGTGGGAGACAGCAATAAGCAGAGGATTAGGGCTCCATTGGCTGGGGATGGGGATTGAGTGCTGAGAGAGTTGAGGAGGTAGGTGGTGCCGTTAGTGATCTGCTTGAGGAAACCATCCAAAAGAGGCTACCACTTGGAGCTCTTCAAAAGGGGTCTTACCTGGGGTGGTGAATGGCAGGATGGCACTTCTAAGCAGGAGAGAGTGTCTTGAACAAAGACTGGAAACTACAGTTAGTTAGCCTTGGCTGAGTGTTTGGGCTGCTGTGATAAAGTACCATAGACTAGGTGACTTATAAATAGCAGAAATTTATTTCTCACAGTTCTGGAGGCTGAAAGTCTGAGATCAGGGTGCCACTATGGTTGGGTTCTGGTGAGGGCCCTCTTCTGGGTTACAGACAGCCAATGTCTTATCCTTACCTGGTGGAAAGAGTGACCTAGATCTCTGGTCTCTTCTTAAAAGGGCACTATTCCTATCCATGAGGACTTCACCCTTGTGACCTCTTTACTTCCCACAGGCCTCACCTCCTAGTACCATCACAGGGGGGATAAGGATTTCAATAGCGGGGATATGAATTTTGGGGGACACAGACAATTAGTCTGTAACAATCCTGGACGTGGGATGGACAAGAAAGACTTGGCTAGAATAGAACCACAAGGTTGAGAAGTCATGAGAAGAATCCTTTGTAGTTTGAGTCACTTAACCACATTATCTCATGTGATCCTTTGGGCCTCTCCAGGAGGGAGGGTGGTTATTACCTGAAGAGTCCAGGTGCAGGTGGGTGAAACCACTTCCCAAGGGCACATAGCCAGCAAAGGGCAATGTCAAAGTTTGAAATCCTGGTTTCCTGGCTCTGGGTCCTTCTCCCTTTTTCTTATAGACACACCTCTCTATAGGGTGTGTCGTGTTGGCATTGGTAACAGGGCAGAGCTTCAGCACTCAGAAGCTGCCTGAGAAATGGGGAGGAGGACGTAGAAAGTGAGAGATTTTCTGAAAC
This sequence comes from Homo sapiens, assembly GCF_000001405.40. Taxonomy (NCBI): domain Eukaryota; kingdom Metazoa; phylum Chordata; class Mammalia; order Primates; family Hominidae; genus Homo; species Homo sapiens. The sequence goes on from NC_000002.12 coordinate 134,392,122, forward strand.
CATTGATGAGTATGAGACCTCAGCTTTGCTTTACCAGTGTATTTTAATTGTTCCTGTTTTCAAACTGCTGCTTGCAAATTAGACACTTCAGCTGCTTTTCCTTTCAAATATGTTTATTTGCAGCATTTTAGATTGGAAGGTACTCTAATTAGAGTGATCACTTTTATTTTGCTATCTTCATGTTTTTAAGAAATCAGGAATGAGGTGAATAAATTTCAAGAGGCATGTGATTTATTTTGAGGAGAGAGATGGAGAGGATATTTTTAGCTTCTGTCTTAAAAATCAGCTCTTCATTTAAAGCCTGGTGGTCAGCTGTCCTTTAAAGGGACCTTACGCTGCTATACCTGAATCAGAATCTCAATCTGTACACCTCAAACACAAAGAGATCGTGCCTGGAATTTAGAAGTTTGTTCTTAGCTTGGTGGGAGCAGGGGAAGGAAGGAGCCCAAGAGAGTCTTGTGTTTTAAGTGGCCTGGTTTGTCACGTGTCAAGTCCCCGCCTACAACAACAGCATGTTGACACTCGGTATTCTGAGGGGAGAGATTATGTGCATTATTACCAGTGGACACATCCATCATCATGAAGCCATGGGTATTAATGCATATGGCATGGGGCTGAGTGCCTCAGCAAGGAAATTTAGCAAGCACAGCCCTACAACTAGAGCTTAAAATTAGAAATGCACCTTAGTGATGTGGCATAGTGGAAACCAGCCTATGCTGTCCCACCCAGAAGGGGGCACCCCTGGGTCAGTGGACCCAGCATCTAGGACAGAAAGCCCTTGGTGAGGGATGGGTCTGCCCCACACCACACGAAGGCATTGCATCCTCTGAGGTCCATGGTGTCCCCAATCTCAGCCATAACTAAGTGCTGGGTAGAGCTCTTTCAGATGCATGAGCCTTGGGGACAGCGAGTTTGTGAAAGAATGTGCCTTCACATAATAATTTAAAAATCTCATTTGTTTCCGTGAATACCCACGTGAGATAATAGGGCAGGTTTAATATTCCTTCATTTTACAGATAAGAAAACTGAACTTTGGGAACTTGCCGAAGTCCCATAAGAAGTTAGTCAGAGAACTGGAATAAAAACACAGATTACTTCATTCTTGACCCCAAACTGCCTGCTAAATTTTACACAAATATGGATAGGGCCCCAGAAAAGGCCAGATTACCTCAGATCAGTGTGGGAGGGCTGGCCTGCCTGTGTAAAGGCTATTTACAGACAGAGACCAATTCTCCCCTGTCTCCACTCTGAGTAATTAATGCCACCCCTTCTGTGAGACTGCTGGTAAGAGCTGCCAAGCATAAGGATCTTCAAAAAGTCTTGTCTTTTTGAAGCAGTGCTGTTTACCCTGCGTATAATTATTATAACAATGAGAGCTTCCTGGCACATTAAATTATGTCTTATTTGGAGTCTGTCATCCCCCGTGCAGACAATGAAGTCAAGAGCTGGGATGGCACCAGAAGGGGCATTGCAACCTGCCTGAATCTGGCTGTCCTGGTGTCCCCAGAGAGGTGCCTTTTATTATCTATTGGGGCTTCAAAGAGAGGAACATCTCCAAATACTACTCTAGAATCATATGATTTATTATTTTACAGTAAATTAAGCACTGAGTGAAATTGTTTCAGCCCTTGACTCTGTGCCGCCATGCTTCTCCACAACATGGTGGCCTGGTCTCATGTTTTATGTAATTCAGAATCAAACTAATGAAGCTGTCCTGGTTGCACCCCACCCCCACCCCCACCACCTGCTGCTTTGGAAGGATCCAGGGAGAAGCACATGCATATTGAGTGGAGTATAAACTCCTTCCTTATGTGTGGTGCATTGAATTCAGGCTGCCCTTTTTATTCCTAACTTTGAGAGGCTGGCAGGAAGGTAAGGCCCTTGGGATGAAAGGTAAAGGTGTGTACCATCCCATAGAAGTGGGCCCTGCCTCACACGCCTTTTTCCCTTTCTGGTTTCCCAATGAAACTGGGCCTTCTCCACTCATCCCACCTCCCAGATTTCTACATAATTACTATATATGAGACGTGCCCATTGGAGCTGCCAAATGTGATTTTGCAGACAGGTCTTATCTTTCTCCCTTGGTTGTAAGATAATTACAAGTAGAAAAGTTGGAAATTACAAGAAAGCAATTACTTTTCATCCTGGCCTGCAGAAATTGTGTTCTGCCAGTCACTGTGTGTGTTCGTATTTTTATATTTTGCTTCATATGAAAAAAAACTTTTTGAAATTAATTTTAAGAATGTTTCTTGATCAACTGAGTAAAGATCAATTGACATCTGCTAATACTGTCCTTTAACATGAATATATGAAGAGTATTACTTTGATGGAATCCCTCACAGATTTACAACAGTTAATACTGGAAAACACAAAATGTAATGTTATTCCTTACTAAGAGAGACCAATATATAGATAGAATTCTCCCCCCTTCTTGTTACCAAGAAATACACTAAAATGATTTAAAAGTATTAATGTATTACTTTATATTTTTCATATTATTTTTAATTTATTCTTTACTGATGTGATTGGGTGGTACTTGGCCTCTGTGGTTTGGTTCCTGGCCTTTGGGGCCTCAGTTTAATTTTCAGAGGAAGCCCCGTCACACCTACTGCCAGTGTGACCATGCAGTTTTCCAAAATTCTTCCCTGACAACTCTCACAGGATGGTCCTGTAATAATAGGAGACACTTCTCCCTTGCCTTTAAACAGTATCTGGCCAAGCTCATCAAGCTATCTCCTCCTTTCAGGAAAGGATATTCAGTCCATGATTTCCTGACCCTTTAGGGATTCTATAAAACATGCAATTTCAGTTTGCCAAGGCAAAACCTTCCACTGTGACAGCCCTCTTTGTCACTAAACAGTCTGTTTTCTGTGGTTACTGCCCAGATAGGTGGAAAACAGAAAGCTCTTGGAGGAGTTTGCTGACACATTTGGGCTGTGGTGGTGTGTTTTCAACCTACCAGCCTGTTTTCTGCATGGTAGTATAGCTGGTGGGCTTTGTTGCTTTAGGACCATGCCAATCAGAGTAGATGAAGGAACATCATTATCCGTAAGTGACTGCATTTGCATTGAGGAAAAGAGAAACCAGCTCTGCAATTTGAAGGCCTCCTGCCCTTCTTAAAGCAGAAAGGAGGTCATGCCAAAGGGTTTCTTGTTTTCATAAACTGGCTGGTGGTTCCCCAGGGTCCTTTAAGAGCCATTCGTTAAATGGCAGAAAGCTCTGTGCTAAGGCAGAGAAAATCCTGAAAAACAAAAGTGCTGGAAAATAGAGACCCACACTGACCAGTTCGGACTGAGAGATGTAGAGTGGGCATAAGCATTGGTTCCACATGGGCAGTGATGTGAAGATGCTAGCCAGCTCAGGACTCTCATGTCTAGCTTGTCCCGTTTTATGGCTTTGGAGTAGTATTAGCACCTTGTTTTTAAAAGCAAGGGTACATACTTAAACATATTTTAAATGCATTTTATTCCCAGTGCTGGCTCAGCACTGTACATGTAATAGTTGTCTAAAAGAACCATTAAGTGGTATTACTTCCTATTTATGGATGAGACATTTGCCATCAAGTTGCAAATACAGGACCATTGCTCTTTCCGTACCACCCATTTAGCCTCAGAAATCTCCCTATGTCTGTCTTTGGACCAGAAACCAAAATTCTCACCTAATTGGACAGTAGAGAATAATAAGTAAAGTGTTTGTGGCTGTTCTTTCTTCCTGTTCGTTCCCCCAGATAGGCAAATTCTAGAGCCACTCAGTATCATACTTGAGACCCATTGCCCAAGATGAATCCTAATTTATACCAGATGAGCTCAAGCCAAGACTAAATGTGGAGGCCAGTACATGAAAGGAAGCAGACTCCCCTCTTTTTAGGGCCTGTGGGCCAATAGGTGGACCACAGACTGGGCTGGAAACAAGACAGCAAGCTTCCCCTTATTGTGCCACTGCAATCATTGAGCACCATCTTTTTCTCCTAGAGAGGTAAGGGTTTGGGAAGGAAGAGACAGAGGTGAACAGGCTTTGAGATTCTTAGCTTCCAAGGGTTTTTCAGAGCCCCACAAGGTTTGAGTGGGACACAACAAGGACCACCCCATACATATATACCTTGACCTTGGGTGGTTACTTGAGATAAATGAGCCAAAGACTGCAGAGACTTTAAATTGTTCTGAAATGTAAATTTTTTCGGCTACACTGCTGAAATTCACAGAGATTTGCATTTTAGAACTTACCTCCAATCTTGGAATAAAATAATTTTTCATCTTTGTTGAATTTTAGACTTCAGGAGCAAGCAGATGAGGTAGTTTCTTTTTGTCTCTCTCCTCTCTTTTTCTTTTTTGTTTGCCTTGCAGTTCCTAAGTGAATGTGGTACTTAGGAGCAATATAAAAAGGAGGATGAATCAACTATAAAATATACCTTTTAAGTTTTACAACTCTTTTTATTTTGTTTTTGATTAGAATACACACTTAGGTAGTCTTGGACTTTAAGCTCGTTTGCTGGAAGCAGGTGGAAAGTGAAGGAATGTGCCGTGCCCGAGATCCATGTTTCCCACAAGTCCATAAGTCCTTTGTGGTTTGTGTGCCTGCCCTCCTTGTGTTTTTCACTCAGCCAGCTTGTATTTACTGAGCGCTCGCTCGCCCTGTGCCAGGCCTCTGCCAAGCCTACTGGTTCTGCCCTGGAGAAGTTCACAGTTCCAGCCATCTGGGAACATCCAGTGACAGTGCAGCCCAAGCAGGAAGATGGTTAAGGCACAGAGGAGACAGCATTGACCTTCACCTGGGTGGATCCAGGACTGCCTGCTTGTAAAGGAGGAGGAGGCAGGAGTCCATCCAGAAGAAAAGGAGGGAGGAGAGAAGGTTCTTTTGGGCATTAGCAGTGGCAGACCAGGTGTGAGAGAGCAGGAGAGGTTTGGGAATGAGGGATAAGTTAAGTGTAGGCAGAGACCTTAGCAGATGACAGAGGGAATAGTTGGAGTTAAAGCTGGAGAGCTTGCAGAAGCCCAGATTGTGAAGGGCCTTGTGTGCAGTGTTGGGAAGCTCTTTATATAGGGGAACAAAACTTTGAGTTTTGGAACCTAGTGACAATAAGGAGGATGGGTTGAAGGAATGAGAGCCTACAGACAATGTCTTAGCCCACAGCCTCTAGGAAGCAGGGCCTGAGACAAAGACTAAAGTACCAATATTTTGCTGCAGAAGGAGTTGCAAATCCAGGGCAGCAAGGATGAAGGAAAAGGGAAGTGCAGGGTAACAGACGGTGTGTCTGACCATGCTGGCTCCTGCCTCACCAGGGGCCACAGAGACACAGCAGCACATTGGGCTGCCTGGACTCTCCCCAAAGGCCTGCAAGGAGGAGCTCTACCTTGGAATAGTGGAATAGTCTGGAGGAGAGAAAGGAGGTGGGTTTTATTCGCCCTGCTCCTTCCTGTGTCCTGTTTGCCATCAACCTTGGTTCACCTCATAGATTTCTAAGGCCCCTATAATTCTGCGATGCTATTTAGGAAGGAGGACCCCATCACCCCATCCCATGGTAAGCTTATTCCCCATCTGGCAGCAGAGGGCAGCCTGGTTTGTGTGAGCACTGACTGAAAAAGAGAGGAGCAGGGGCAATCTGAAAGGGCTCCTAAGGAGCGTGCCACTGTTGAGACAACGAGCCCAGCCCAGACATTACGATAGCAGTTCATGCAGGAGGGGGCTGGCAGAGCAAATGGAGGCGACCTGTAGTGGAGGGAGGTTTACAAGATCTTCATTCTGTGCAGTTGACAGCCCCAACCCCAACCTTTATAGGAGTTACGTTACAGTAACAGTAAAGTACTCCCATGGCTGGTTCTGGTCAATGCATACTCTGTGGCCTTGTGTTTCTTAAATAAAAAATAGGATTCATTATTGTATGTTTGTAAAACCAGGTAACAGGCCGATTTCCATATTTGTGGGGAAAGAGGAGGAGCTGCCACAGGCTGAGTATCCCTTATCCAAAATTCTTGGGACCAGAAGTGTTTTTGATTTTGGATTTTTTCAGATTTGGAGATATTAGCAAATACTTAACTGGTTGAACATCCATATTCCCGAAAATCTGAAGTTGAAAATTCTCCAGTGCTCAGCATTTTGGATGACGTGAGCTGTGGACCGAGACCCTGCCACTGTCCTGTTAGGCCTTCTCTGTAGGACTTAAATTTTTCTCTGCCCTCCATGGAGTGGGACACACGCTTGCCTCTGCAGCCTGGTTTTGTCACCCTGGAGAGGGATTGACAGCACTTCCCAGGGAGGACTACTGCTGCCTAAGACTCACAGATGTTCACCCTGGAGGAGCCAACTTTGGGCTGAGCTGCAGAATTTTTTAATGACAGGTCATAAGGTGCTGCGTGAATGAGGGGAACTGACGTCCAGGAGAAATATGTGTGTCTGCAGTGGGGAGCAGGGGTGTTACTGGGGAGGATACTGCTATTCACCAAAGAACATTCCTATACCCTAATTCACCAGCTAAAAAGGAAGTTGGAGATCAAAGAGATATCCGCATCCCCATGTTTATTGCAGCACTATTTACAATAGCCAAGATACGGAATTAGCTTGAGTGTCCATCAGCGGATGAATGGATAAAGAAAATATGTACATAATGGAATACGATTCGGCCATTTAAAAAAATGGCAGTCTGTAGTTTGCAGCAATATGGATGGAGCTGGAGATCATTATGTTAAGTGAAATAAGCAAGTCACAGATGTCGAATGTTCTCACTCCTATGTAGGAGCTAAAAAGGTGGCCCTCATGGAGGTAGAAAGTAGAATGACAGATACCAGAGGCTGGGAAAAGGGGTAGGTGGGAATAAAGAGTAGTGAGTTAATGTGCAAACATAAAGGTGGATAGAAGGAATAAGTTCTAGTGTTCAATAGTAGACAAGGGTGACTATAGTTACCAACAGTATATTGTCTATTTCAGATTAGCTAGAAGAAAGGACTTGAAATGTTCCCAAAACAAAGAAATGATAAATGTTTGAGGTGATGGATACCCTAAATACCCTGATTTGATCATCACATGTAGTATCCATGTATTGAAATATCCCATATATCCCATAAACATGTACAATTATTATCAATTTAAAAATGTTGTAAAATAAGTTGGGGAAAGCTTCTGATTCTCTAGTTCTGCATTCTACCACTCCCCCCTGCTGTGGACTTACAGGAGTGTTGCGTAAATTGAATTGTTTTTCTAAAGCTTTCTCTCCAAGCTCTAAATATCTTATGACTGGTTCTGAACATGTACCTGCCTCCAGCTACAACCATAAACAGCTGAAGAGACACTGACAACACTGCTCATTGACTCCAGCATGCGCTCTCCTTCCCTTTGCATCTCCTCCCCTCAAATGAGCTTAGGTGGATTTAAGTTTTAATCAGTTAGATCAGTTGTTCTTAATGAGAATTTAAATTGAACTAGAGAATAAAAGCATTAGGGGGGTTGCTGGTTGCTCAGCTGGAACCTTTGGGCGACAGAGGTGGTTGCATGCTGTGATATGATACTCAGTGCAGGCCCTTTTTGACTGCATCTCCAGAGATCTGTTGGTGATAAAGTTTTTAGAGCAGATAATTTTCTTTGACCTTAGTCTCTTAAGTTGGAGAAGGAAAGCTTTCTAAGAAGTGATCTCGATCCAGTTCTTAGATCAGTGGGACATACAGGTCTATGGTGGTCACCTATGGTCACCTTCACCCTGGGCCTGGATGACCAAAGTAAGGGAAGGGAAGGGGGAGTGTATGCTGGAAAATGTCTCTTACCTCTAACGCCCTCCCCATTTTGAGCCTTCCCATGTGTAGGGGAAAGGCAGACAAAGACACCTTTAATTTTAAAAATCCTGAATATCCTGCATCTTAAACACAAAAGATAAGAGTGTCCATGAAGACAGAAGGGGATCCTTTGAGCCCCTTGATGGCAAGAACTGACCCTTCCATCCTGGAGAAGAGGAGACCAATTTGATATTATGGAGGCAGAATATACAGGACTGTGTGACTAATTCGACATGTGTGTCCATGGAGCTTGAAGGGGACAGAACCACAGGTGCAAAACTGGTGTAGGTACTTGGCTGGGAGTTTGGTATGAGAGGCTTCTGGGGCACCTTTACCTGGAATAGGCAGCGTGGTTCATCTGCACCAGGATTCTACTCAGAACTCTTACAAGTGGTAACAAGAGACCTGAGGTAGAAGTACCTAATTGTTACATCAATGTCAAAGGCTAAAGTTAGGCTTGAAACATTTTTTTTCCTCTAATCAGCTGTTGGGATTTTCACGTTTATGAAATTGGTAAATCCTTTCTGAAGGTAATCTCTAGTTTTGATTTTACCATGCCTAAAAGTTAGTAAGTTCATACACTTTATTAGTCTTTACATATACCTCTTTATATTTGCCTGAACTTGCCCCCTTGTTATACTTCAAGAAACCCCAGCCTTTTCTGGGATTTAATGGTAATACATATGTAATCTAGTACCTTGTTACTTTCCCAGGCATTTAGTCTGGGAACCCTAATCTTGAGTCTGTCTACAGTGGATATTTTTCTCCAGGACAGGAACCAAATGGGCCAGTTACTGGTCTACCCTGTAGCTCACCACAGACATAGCCTAGGGGCCTTTGGCCCATCTTCACTAGTTGGCAACTGGCTTTTTAGGCGAAATGCCTCCTTTTGCATAAAGGAGAGATGCCTGTCCCCACCTGCACCGCCCATCTCCTGCTTTAAGGCCAGCAAGATGTCCCGAGAGGCCTCCTTGTAGATGAGTGAAATCCACACAGGGAAACTCAAGTAAAAATATGGGGTGGGGTCTGGGAAGAGCTGTGTTTATTATAAGGATCCAGAGGGACCTGGGGAATTTAGGATAGGGAACCACTGTGGGTGGGATAAGAACCAGAGTGGCTCCAGGCCCTAGTTTTTTCTCCTCTGTCTCTCTGCTTTCTTTTCCCACTCTCTTCTCTCCCCTTCCTTCTCCTTATTCTTCTTCTACTCCTCTTTTTTTTTCTAGCTCTGTGTCATGCTTGCAGTGGTGATGTTTTGGTTGTAGTCATGCTCTTGGGTCCCTCTTATGACCGACTGTCTGCGTCTTCCCCTCTCCTTTAGCCTTTACTTGGTTCTTTTCCCAACCCACCCGCCAAAACTGGCAACCAGCTTCCTCAGAACTTGTTATCTGGCTCGTAATTGCCCAGACTCCAACGCTCAAATGACCTTTTTGCTCTAAAGCCAGTGGCCATCTGGCAGTAATCTCCCTGTATACAGGATTCTGAGTTCCCAAGAGAGCATCTGGTTGGCTCCCCTTGCCTTCCTGAGTCTGCTACATCATTCCTGGGCTGCTGGCCAGCCTAGGAGTGGGTCCCCTCAGGTCAGACACACCCTGGGCAGGTCAGCAGCCAGCAGTGGGCACAGGGTAACAGAGCCCCCTGCCTACTTAACAGGAGCTGTGGGTGGGGGCAGGAGTTACCAGATACATCTAGCACAAGAACCATATCCTAGAACCCTTCAAACTAACATATGCCAGGTAGGTGTAAGCTTCTGTACTAATTTAAAACTATACATTTCTAAGTTAATGAATTCAGCATCTTGCGGCCATACCAGACATGGCATGGAATTAAACTTTCAGTCCCACTGTTCATTTTATTCATACATTAGGGTGGCAAGGGTGGTCTTGCTCATTGCAAGCAAAGTCATCCTGGTTCATGAAATGAAGAATGTGGACTGTGCAGTTTTCCCAGTCATGAAGACTTTTGATACATCACTTGAAATGTTCCTCCTGAAGTTGAGGGTCCTTTGTAATATCACCAGGGCAGTGAATGGCAGAGACCAGATCATGAATCGCTTCATTTAGAGCCTGCCTCCGGGCTTCCCTGCACTCTGTGGCTGCTAATACCACACCCCTGTGTCCCTTGTGGTCTTAAGTCACAAAACCAGCTATTATTAGATTTGCCTGGAGTGTCTGAAAACAGGCTTAGAATGAGGAAACCTTGTCCCACTTTTATACAACTGGAAAACATTACAGAATTTGACTTTTTGAAAATTTCCCAAAAAAAGGAAAAGAAAAACCCACAAACCCCAGCTTGTACAGTTTAGTCACAGGGAAACACAGAGGTAAAAAAGGTGAACTTGCTTCCACTTCACAGGTGGTTTTGATTTAGAAAACGTGCCTCAAAATTCAGTGCCTACAAATACAAGAAAAGGGGTTTGGTTGTGCTTCTAATAGTATAAGTAAAATTACTCTTGAATGTTTCAGGGCTCATCAAAATTTACATTTATTCTCTTTTTTCTACTTTTATCTACCTGAGTATTCTCATTATCTCTCCAGCTGTGAGAAACTCTCATCTTCCCATGATCCCAAATTAGGTGGGATCCAGTTCTGACAACATGAGTTAATCATCACTAGAAACATTGGCAAGAGCTGGGGAATGTTTGTATTCCTCTGGGACAGCTTAGCATCTCTGGGTAAATGTTGCAGTCCAACTGACTGCCTTCCCCGGGCTGTCCTTCCCCAAACTTCCTCTCCTAGAGGTAGGAAGAGCCAAAATCAACTGTTAGGTCTGTGGTAATTTACAAAGCAAGGATGATATTTCAAAACAGTTGGCTATATAATGTATTTCCTCTTGCAAAATTATACAGTTGGTATTCAGTAATATGTTGCCATATAATGTATTTCTTCTTAAAAAATTATACAATGGCTATATGACTGTTTATGTCCACAAAGTCCAGCCAGATTACTTTTCAAAGAAATTTTAGCAGTTTGATTGCCAAATTCCTGTGATCTCCATATTAAGAACTCTCTGTCTGTGGCCTCTAGTCTTAGAAGTTCTAGTCCATGATACAGGTTGTTATGCAAATGAAAGAAAAAGAGAAATGTCTTGTGCTTGTTTTCTTCTTTAGAATAAGAAGATCTACTTGGACATTATTCACACATACATGGAAGTGCATGCAACTGTTTATGGCTCCAGCACAAAGAATATTCCCAGTTACGTGAAAAACCATGGTATCCTCAGTGGACGGGACCTGCAGTTCCTTCTTCGAGAAACCAAGGTAAAAATTCACCACGGATGTGGTGTTCAGGTTATTGCCATTGGCTGTGAAAATGGGATCAGAATATTTCATGCTTGTTTTTCAATGCTGCAATAAACTCTTGTGGCTATTTTGGGGCAGCAGTTTGCTAGACCAATGGCAGCTGAAAAGTAAGTGAATTGTGGAATGAGATTGCTACAGTTTTTTTCATTGATTTATTCAAAAATCGTATTTACTAAGGACCTACTCAGTGTTAGGTGTCAAGCAAGGGGCTAAGGATAAGGCTGCAAATGGAAAAGGTAAAGCCCTGCCTGGAAGGACAGACTTTCTAATAGAGCAGCAGCTTTCATAGTAAGCCAGGGGTGCTGAACTCTTCCCCCAACCCAATCATCACTGTTCAAGGAGTGGGTTTCCCAACCAGCTTTTCCTCATACCTCCTTGTTCACCAAGTACGCATTGGACAGTGAAGAAGTTCAGATGAGGGCAAAGTCCCTGTGGGCTCAGGAAGCAGAGCAAGCATCAGGAGAGATGCAAGAGATGAAAGATGGATGGAGTGTAGACACACCTGGCATGTGGGCCAGACAGGAGTTAGAGTCAGGTGGTGGAGGTGGAGGTGGCATATTCAGGAAAGAGCTAGAAGCCAACCCAGCTAGTCTAAGTGTTGAAAAATAGTGGAGGTAAAATTGGATGAGGGAATGTGAGGGTCTGATTGGCACAGATGGAGGCAGAGTTCACACCATGTGGTGGAGGTAGCCGGGCAAGCCCTTGAGGATCATTTTGCTCAGCAGTAGCATGATGACGTGTTGCTTTGACACTGTAGGGAAGTCCACCCAGTGGTCTGTGTTTTTTCTGTAATGGTGCCATGGAAGTACCAAATGAAGTTCGGGAACTTGTGAAGAAACCAGAGTTTGGCCTTGAAGGGTTGGCTGGCATTTCAGTGTATTAGATAAACTCCCTCAGGTTTATTAATAAGTTTTTATGAATTTCACAAATATTTATTGAGTAGCTGCAATGTGCTAGGCGTTGTACAAGGGATGCAAGTGTGAAGAAGGCACATGGATCTCTCTTGTGGTATGTCCTAAGCACAAGGAAGCTTATTTTCAGTAGTGGATTTCTCAGCTCTCATCTCTGGCTCGCTTTGTTTTCATGTTCAAGGTAGGGGAGAGAGGTTGAGCAGGTGGACTTCTAGGGCATAATCTCAGTTGTCCAATCATTATGTGATACTTCATTTATAAAAAGTGTATTCACATATGCTATCCTCTTTGATTCTCACAACAGCATTAAGAGGTAGATAGAGCAGGTATTATTGTTAACTTTATTTTGAACATGAGGAAATAGGCTACAGAGTTTGGCTTGCCCACAGTAAACTGGGGTCAAGTCCTGGAGGTGGCCCTAACTCATGATTTTTTTAATTGCACATTAAAGCTCTGCTAGCCCCTTGATGTACTATCGTCATAAACACTCAAACTTAAGAACTCTTAGTGGACACCCACTAGCCAAAAGAATGTATATCTCCTCTTTGCCTCAGTTTCTCCATCTGTAAATGCATTTGATCCTATCTACGTCCAAGGCATTTGTATGATGCCACAAATAAAATGATTTGACAATTTCTTTAGCTTATTGGCCAAAGACCTGGTTTGTTTTAAGATTTTATTTCCTTCCAAGGTCATCTGTAGTCTGATGACTGTTTTTTGTTATCCAGGAGTGAAGTGTGTTCTCTAGTTTTCACTATTTGCTTTCTATCACCTTCTGTCTTAGGCTGACATTTCAGAATCATCAGAATGTCTGGGCCCTTTAATGGCAGTGCTGTTTTTGCCATTTGCCTCATTTTACTTTTCTCCACATCAGATTGTGGAAAGAGCTCAAGCTCCTTTAAAAAACACTTGGCAGAGCTGGTTTTCAGCAGTGTGTCATTACTGTCTCACACACTTTTATTAACCCAACCTCATGAATGTCTCTCTCAGCTTCGCAAATTTTGAAAGAACCCTTACTTACCTACCATCCATTACCCTGTCAGAGATTAGGAAATAGGCCAAAACGGAGATCGCTGATGTCCAGGGGAGGACAGGAAAAGAGGCAGGGAAGGCCCAGGCCAAGATGTCCAAGTTTGTCTAATGAGCAAGGATTGCAGCCTGAGTTAAAGAGCACGAGGGGTGTATGTTCATCCTTGAAAAACTGGGACCCGTGTAGAGGATGTCACTGATCCCATTACCTATTGCCTGCTCCTTGAGTAGAGTATATTAAAATACTCTGAGTGGAATCATGGCTCAGACATTTGGCAAATGTGACAAGGATGGGGCAGCGTATTGCTGAGACTCCCCTCACACCTGGCACACAGCTACAGGCTCCAAAATGAATGAACCTTTGGCTTTGAAATAATGACATGAAAGACCAGTCAGGCTTCGCATCTATAACCCTTTCTGTCTCTGACTCCTTTCTCTCTGTCTATGAGCAATTTAAAAGCGATTTATTCTAATCCACATTGGAAATGGGGAACTGGAGCAGCCGAGAAGCAGATGTCTGCAGCATGAATGGGATTCACACACTTCTTGGACTCCTTACTGGCAAGAGAAGCAGGGCTGACCTCCTCAAGAGAGTTAGAGACATAGAGAGATGATTGATGCTTGATCAGCTTCTGACTCATTATTTTTCTTTACAAGCCATCTTTGAATCTCTGCACCAATCTTAGGAAACCCTCTGCTCAGCAGAATTTTGTCCAGGCATGCCATTAGGGGTGCAGGCGTCATTAGTAGCCTCTTGCTTCAGGGAACCTGTGAAGATGGAAGGAATTCAATGTAACACTAATACTGGGGCTAAAAGAGCCAGGAAGTTGTTGGAATCTAGCAGATCCTTCTAATTGGGGTATAAACTTGGATGAATGAATTATTTATCACAGGACCACAGCCGAGTCATTCAGTCCAGCAAACCCCAGGAGTGCAGTTTAAGCCAGCAAATCAGGACTCACTAGGGTGGCATGTTTTTATTTTTGGTTTAAATCTCCATCTCTTTTAAAGTGGCTTCTTTCTTCATCTTCCTGGATTTAACCTCTTCATGTCCACCTCCCTCAGTCTTCCCTGTTTCATATATGATACTGAATAGTGCATTTGCATCTGCAACTCACTGAGTGCTTTGTGAGCTGGACCAGTACCGTCCTTTCTACAGTTGAAAACAAATTCTGGTTGTGGGGAAGAAAACAGGCAAAGCTGTGGCTTCTGCACATACTGTCGCTGTACCCCTTCTGTACCCAGACCTCCATTCATTCACCTCTCCAAGACTTGGCTGGGTCATGACGGCACTGTTTCCCCATCATGTCAGCTTATCAGCTTACCTGTGGGACTCACCTAGGAACATGGGCAGGCCTGGCAAATATGCAGTGCTCCCTCTGACTCATCTTATCCTCATGACTGACTGTGCCACCCTGCCCCCCACCAACTATGTCTCTTCTTACTGAGCTTGGATGTGCTCACAAAACCTGTCTAAGGCAGGTGCGGTGCAGTAGCTCACATCTGTAATCTTAGCACTTTGGGAGAGGCTGAGTCGGGCAAATTGCTTGAGCCGAGGAGTTCAAGACCAGCCTGGGCAACATGGCAAAACCCCATTTCTACAAAAAATACCAAAAAAAAAAAAAAATAGCTGTGCGTGGTGGCATTTACCTGCAGTTCTAGATTTTCAGGAAGCTGAAATGGGAGGGTCACTTGAGTCCAGAAGGCTGAGGTTGTGGTGAGCTGAGGACACCTGCACTCCAGCCTGAGTGACAGAGGGAGACCCTGTCTTTAAAAAAGGCTGTCTGAAATACCCAGGGCTTGAGGCAGCAGACTCTCCTGCAGCTGCATGAGGGCAGAGGGCCTTTGCTTGTTCTATCCACAGGTGCATCCACAGTGCCTGGCTTCTAAAAGGCATTTAGATGATTGTATAAAGAATGAAAGAAGGAGTCAAAATGAAACACATTGACCATCTGGGATCTCTGAGATTTCTTCCTGTTCTCGTATACCCTGCGCCTAGATCTCTTAGATCTCACCAGCTAGGGACACTACCCTTCTGATACCCCGTTCCTGCCTGTCTGTAATGTTGCCTACATCTCCAGGCCCTGTGAGTGATAGCCCAAGAGCTTGCTTCCTTAGGAGGAGCAGTCCTTCTTCTGTTTCTATTACAGATACTGGTTCCCATTTGCCCTCAGGCAGCCAATTGAAGCAGGTTTCATCCTAGTGAGCATACTTCAAGTCATTCCCATGCCATCTAGATGGGGAAAAAATTGTACGAACACATCCATGCCTCCTTCCCTCCCCCTTATCTACACATGTATATAGACTGAAGAGTGTACAGAGGTATGAGTCAGTAACCTGTCTGACTTTCAGAGCAAAAGTGCATCCCTACACTCAAATAAATACAACACGTTCAACTTCTGTGCACAGAGACACTTGATTGCTGGAAAGATCCAGTCTCATAGTATTTATTCTTTTACTGTTTCATCCAGCAAGTAAGTATAATATTAAGTACTAGATATATTCTAGGCCTTAGTCTAGCCATTCTAGAGACAGTGATGACTCAAGCAGTTTTGCCCACAAGGAGCATACAGGTATGCTGGAGGAGGAAAGCAGGTAACTGTAACAATGTGGAAAGTACACAGGTAGAACTAGTCATAATATGAAATAATGATACAAGCATAAAACTTCACTGTCACGCTGAGTGGGGCCAACAGTTCAGTTGTGTAAAATGTGGTTCTGTGACTTGTGAAATCAATGTAGTGAATTGGGCAGTCCCATTCAGAGGACAGGAGCCACTGTCAGTCACAGTTTAACACCTCCATGCTATTGCGATGCACCTGTCTATGGGATTTACCATAACAGTAACAGCCATTATCTCTCCCCTCTACCATGTACTAGGCCCTATGCTAAGCCCTTTCTGTGTATTCTCTCTTTGCATCACAAAAATCCAATGATCTTGGTACTGTTATAAACGGTACCATTTTAATGAAGCAGCCACTGAGGCTCCAGTCGTAAATAAGCCTGTTTTGCTGCCTCCGTGTTGGCGGCTGAGGGGTTGTCCTGGTGTGGAATTTGGGGGAGAGAGGCGTGGTCAGAAAAGGGTCCTCCCAGGAGATGATGCCTGAGTGGACTTTTAATGGTGAGCACTTGAGGCTGGCCCAACTGAACATGTTCAGCATCTACAGGTTTAAATTTATGCAAATATTCTTTTACTCCCCTATCTCCAAGTTAATAAATTTACAATGTGAATTGTAATGCATTTGATTTTATATTGGGGCTTTCAAATGACCGAAACTCAGGAACTTTTTATCCTGATGCTGTTGTTTGTGGTTTGGGTTTTTGTTTCTGAAACGGTAGTTAGGTAGCTTGGCATAATCAGCCAGCTGGTCTTCAGGAAATAGTCTTTGGTTTAGCAGCAGACTCTGACAAAAGTCTGCTTTGGGCATGTAAACATGCTTGGTGAGTCTTCTTTTCTTGGCCTCCGTGGACCTTCCAGCTCTTCCCTAGAGAGTCTTCAGGTCACATGAGTCAGGGGCTTGTGGAGCCCTTGGGAGGATAGAGCCAGCCTGGATGGAAGAGAGTCTGGCCACTGTTTATCCCTTCCTTAAGCATCAGGTACCTGAAAGAAGGCAGATGGCCAGGGAGGGACCCTTTGGGCTACATGAAAGCATCACATTTTGGAAAAATTGTTTTCTTCATACCCAGCCCCTTGTCTGGGTTATTTTTAAGATATAAAAGGGATGCCTATTACCAGAAACATTAATATAATGATTCCCAGTCATTGTATAAAAATAAACAAGCAAAGCTTAGCAATAGCATGTGACTCATGGGACTGGCTTATGTGGCAGTCACTGTAAACCATATCATCTCTTATCTCTCTCTTCTGATGAATATCCCTCCCCGTTTTTTAGTGCAGATACTTTATGAAACAATGAGAACTCATAAATATACATGCAGGTGCTGAACATCTTGTAAAAACCCACAAACATAACTCCTGCACACGTAAACTCCGTCTAAATGATATAAGGCCATGATATGCAGCTGTGTGAAGTTGCATATGGATTTGAACTTGAGTGACTGATTATCCAGCACTTACTAAGTGCCAAGACTTGGAATGAATCCTTTCCATGTACTATCTCATGTAATCCTCACAGCAACCCCATGAAATAAAGCACTATTGTTTTACCCATTTTACACATGAAAACTCTGAGGTTTAGCAAGCTTGTTACCCGGACTAAGGTCCTATAAATAGAATAGATTATAAATGGGCCTTAACTAATCCATAGACAGAAGCACCTAGCAGTGTGTCACAGTGACTGACCTGGGAAATGATGGAGCTAGACCTTGAAGCCTAATCTGTCTCCAGAACCTGCGCTGTTAATTACCACATTGTTCTGGGCACTTTGTGCCAATAATGGATTCATCAATTCATTTGATGAACCGGGGGTGATTCATTGCTCAGTTTCCCTCTAGAGTCACCATGCCAACTTCGCTAATTAAAACTGGCCAGAAAAGTATGTGTTGTGTGTGTGTTTCCTATTTATGATTATCCTCAATGTTCCCCATCAAGAGTGAAACTGACCAAGCCCATGGATAAGAACCCCCTTTATCCATGTTTAAAGATTCTTTAAGTACTCCACTTAGCAGTTTAAAACAATTGTTTCTTCTTTCACAGAGTGGGAAAAATCTGGGTGGTTTTACTGGACCCTTTGTGAATGTGTAGGAACGTCCCAATCCTATACTGTGAAGAAAACGTATGGTGCCTCATCTGTTCTCTCTGCTTAGCATTAGTTCAGAAATTTAATCCTAGATCCCACAATCCCTCTGTGTAGAAATACTCATTGATGGAGCTGGAGTTGCAGCCATGGAGATATTTTGTCATCTGGAATATCCTCATTAGATTCTGGGCTTCTGAAGGCAAGGTGAAGTATAAGTAAAATATGGCCAGTTTTCTCCAGCAGAGTTAAGCCTTGGCACTTATGTACATTCTTGCAGTGTCTCTTGCCTCCTTGCTAAGGAAATCGGTTAAGTAGGCAGAATAGCAGGAGATTAGGGGAAAAGCAATTCAGTGTGGTTAAGGTGCCAATGTGTGGCAAGACCATAAGTGCAAGGAAGTTTACAGAGTGCTGTTTGGTGGTGATGAACTCTCTCCGCCTGTTGTGTTTTCATTCAAACCTCAGATGTGCTATTTGACCTTAATACATCTGCTCCATTGTAATATCACAGGTAATAAGCACACAGGAAGCAAGAAAAAAATTGCTTATTGACTGAAGTGACAAAAAACTGTTATTTTGGTGTTTCCAAGTAATGTATTTCCTACAATCCTAATTGTGTGACAGAAAAACTCATTGCCAGGAAATTATGTTGTATTTGCTTAGGCTTCATTCTAAACATATGAGGCTTTGGGAGAGTTAATAAAGTTTTTATTTTATGTGTACTGAGATATTCTGGTGCCCACAGGGCAGAAGAGATGGTTCATATTGTTGTTCAGATATAATTAAACCTAGGTCACATTCAAGTCCATTAAGCAACAGCCTCAAATCCTTTTAATTAATGGATTCAGATTGATCTAAAGAAGCTAATTAAATTTTTCCCAAGATTTTCTATTTAAATAGACAAACATTGTGCTGCTTGCATTTCCTCCAAAGCTGTTCTTTGAAATTTAGAGTTGATGAAGGTATCCACACTTCATGGCAGGCCCTGATTTTCAGAGGTCAGGAGGCACTGTGGGTTCTCTGACTAAACCTGCAGAAATCCTGATCTGCGTCTTCTGGCACTTTTCTCCTCAGTCAGAAAGATCTGGACTCCCTGTGCTATCTTATGCCCAACCACGGCCTGACAGAGGTCATTTGTTTTCCACTGGAGAGCCGGCACATCCTCTCCAAAGTCTGATAGGAGAGGGCAAATCAGAGATCACAAGTCTGGTAGATAACAACCCTGGATTCTTCATATTCCATAAAGCTGGGATGTCGTGGGACTAGTACATTCCCACTGTTTCCTTCCATTTCATCTGCAGCAGTCAGATCTCCCCCACCCCTGAGCCACATGTCCAGGCCACACCCTATAGTTAGAAGTTCTCTCTGACAATCTCGTTTCTGTTAGCTGTATAATAAGAGTAAGATGCAGAGCAGGAGCTTCCTAATGGTAGTAGAGCTTTCCCTTTATCCTACAGCTTCCAGGCTCCTGGCTACCATGTTTTCCTCACCACCATCACCCCCACCCGTGATCTCTGGTGGTTCTGCTGCCCAAGGGGGAAATGACCCAGCCAGCATTAGGGGCTCTGCTGGCCTCTAAAGCTTCTTTTCTTCCCAGCTCCCTGCCCTGTGGACATCTCTGGCATTGTGATCACGCAGTTTTCAGGAAACGAAAATTTATTCTTTCAAAAAACCAAAAAGATTGAGTACCCTATTCTGTTCAAAACAAAAGTAAATAGGTCCAGAAAACCTGAGATGTTAGTGCTGTGCCCCAGAATTCCTTCAGGAGCTACCTGGTTCTCCAGTATGTCACCCATGGGCTGTGCTCAGGGTTGGCCTGACACATGCAGCCCGGCAGCTTGGGCCTGGCACCCTCCAGCTGAACCTTTCTAAACGATCATTCAATTAGAGCAGCTGCTAAGAGAGGAAAGCTGGTGAGAAGGAGGGGATTGCTGTGAAAAGACCGAGGGAAAAACAGAACCAAGCTTGCAGCTAAATCTAGTTGAGCCATCTCCTTCATTCTCAACACCTGGCCTTGTGGTTGGGTGATGCTCTGTGATGGCAGAAGGTAAGGACGCCCTGGGGCCCAGTTATCTTTTCTCACTTAATGTGCCCCTGGGGGCTGAAACAGAACAGGCTTTTATGTGGGTAGAGAGGACACAGCTTCGTCAAGCCCAGACCTGGACCCTGCCCATCAACAACCTGCAGTGCTCCAGCAGTGTGAAGTACACCCACTGTGATGGTACGTGCCGAGGCATTTCTGTGAGCAGTTATTTCATTTTTGGACCCAGGAAATCAGCACCACTGAACTGCAGCTTGTCCCCTTTGTCATCGTGGCTTCCAGCTGCTGTGGTTGCTCTGAGGACTGAGAGCAAGTTGTTGCTGCCATCTATGGTCTGTCTTGGGGGAAGCACATGGTTTGCCTGCTGGAGAGGGAAGCAGCTGCCTTGCAGATTCAGCAACACAGCACCCTCTCTCCCCTCTGAGGGGAAAATCAACACCAAGATGTTGGTGTCCCCAGTGTAAACCCCATTATGAAAACCTGTGTTTACTGACCTACCATCATTTTAAAGCAGTTCCGTTTGAACTGCAATCAAACCTCCAAGTGACCTTTCTGTCCCTCCGCCCAGCATTCCTGAAAGGGCCTGTTGTTTCTTTGGTTCAATGAAGAAACCTTCTGTGTAGTTAAGCAAGTGTTTTTCCAGTCATGTCTCCTGGTGAGTTACAGAAGGATTATTGTTGGGTCTTGGTGGTGGTGGTGGTTGTTTTTCTTTTAATACTCCATCCTCCCTACCCCGTGGATACCCCTAGACACTTAATTTTTTAGTTCCTTGGTGGAGGAGAGCATAGTGAGTTGAGCAGCTTTGTGGGGACTTTAAAAGTTCGTAGTTTTTCAGATCCTGGTGTAAGCTGAATTCTCTCTGCCCCACCCCCCAGGGCCTGGGAGCCTTCCAAAGTGAGGTGTCCACACGGGAATGGGCCACAGAATCGCCGCCTGCAAGCTAGGAATGCCCGTCCTGCCTGATGGTCCTGCCTGATGTGTTCATACGCTGTGTGGTTTTCTGTCTTACAGTTGTTTGTTGGACTTGGGTTCCCTTACGAGGGCCCAGCTCCCCTGGAAGCTATCGCAAATGGATGTGCTTTTCTGAATCCCAAGTTCAACCCACCCAAAAGCAGCAAAAACACAGACTTTTTCATTGGCAAGCCAACTCTGAGAGAGGTAAGCATCTATCAAAATTATTCCATTTTGAATAATATGAATAATAGCTATTTATTGAGTGCTCATGTAGGTATTAACTTCATCTAACATGATTGGGTGGGAGGGTGAGGGTATAGAGGCTCAGAGAGGCAAATGACCTGATCACATCACCTTGCAAGTTAGGGGCAGGATTTGAATCTACTTCTGCCTTCACCAAGTAAGGGATCTTGACACTCTACCCCCACTCTAGCTTACTGTAAACTCAGACAATCTAGCCTCTGATTATAGCTGAACTCTGGTTTCCTGAATGTTTGAAGTTTAGGGAGTGAGATCAACTGGTTAGCAGATACTTGTGAAGAATCTGCTCCCCATGATGGGCTTTGGAGAATAAAAAGTGGGCTGTGGGAGTTTTCAAAGAGCCATCAGCCTCAGGATACCATATGTATCATGGATAACTGAAGTAATGTGACTGATTTTTTTCACCCACCATCCCAAGAAGTAATCCTACCATTGCTAGAACCATTTGCAGAAGCCTCATTTGAATTGCCTTCAGAGATCCTGTTGAAAATCTGCAGTGTGTGATGAATCACCATTGAGGGTAGTTGGATTTGATTTAGGGCAATAAACAAAAGTCTTTTACAGCTACGTGTGAGTGATCAAGCTGGGTGTTTCTTCATCTGGTCAGAAATAGGTGTGTGCAAGAAACCATAAGATTGATTTTCTGATTATTTCTATGTAGTTAGTAGTAAGTGACTCTGCAGGCAGCTTATGAAGGGAAGTCATAGCAGCATCCTTGTCATTCAGGGCCTTTGGCTGGGGGATTACATTGATTAGCATCCGTCCCATGGCATATCAATGTAGAAGGACAGTTTATAAAACATATATTTTTCAGTTCTACTTTTAAACCCCTTCTGAGTCATTTTCTCTCCCAAATAGTATATAAGATGCATTTTCAATGGTTATTTTTTATTGATCAGTCAGAAACCTTGACAATTTATAGAACTGATTACTTTGAGAGTTATTTTTCTCTGACCCTTCCTGTCATTGGTGAAATAGCCAAAGGAGATAGAAGTTCAATAAGATCTATGTTTATCTATAAAAGGTTAATCCGTGGCCCAGATAACCTTTGACAAGGGTTGTGCACACACTTGTGTGTGTGTGTGTGGTTTTTTTTTTTTTTCCTTCTGCTAGAATAATAAATTTGAATTCTTCATTTGGGGAGTGGTTTTGTATTAAGAGGTCAGTTTGTTCATTTATAAGTCGGCAATACTTAATGTACATCTGTGTGCTAGGTGCTGTAGGAAGTGCTAGGACACAGAGACTGGGGACATTCAGTCTGCCGTGAACCTATTCTTTTGAAAAGTTTAAAAAGATGCTGCCCAGCAGTGAAAATATCTCAGTTTAGGAATCTCTGCTTTAGCATGTGACTGACTTCTTTGAAACTTTGGAGTTTGGCGGGGGGAAAGAAACTAGTAAATCATCCCTCGGGTTTTTTGTTTATTTTTGACAAAAAATATGCTTAAGGTGTACACCTTGATGTTTTGATAAATATACACATTGTGAGATAGTCATTACAATCAAGCTAATCCATCACCTTACATATTAAATAGATATTTTTTTCATGGTAAAAACACTTAAGATCTCCTTTTTTGGCAAATTTCAAGTATGCAATACAGTATTGTTAACTATGGTCATAATGCTGCACACTAGTTCTCCAGAACTTAATCAACTTGTATAACTGAGACTTTGACCAACATCTCCCCATATCCCCACGCACCAGTCTCTGGGAATCACGAATGTATTCTCTGCTCTGCGAGTTCAACCATTTTACTGTGAGTTGAACTGTGAGTTCAGCTAGGCTGGTCTGCATGTGGGATCATGCAGAATTTTCCTTCTGTGCCTGGCTTATTTTACTTAGCATAATATTTTCCACATTCATCCATGTTGCCGCCAGTGATGGGATTTCCTTCTTTTGCAGGCTAAATATTTCATATACACATAATTTGTTTATCTATTCATCCACTGAAGGCCACTTAGTTTGTTTCCATATCTTGGCTATTATGAATAATGCTGCAGTGTACATGCGAGTGCAGATACTGCTTTAACATACTGATTTTAACTGCTTTGGATATATACCCAGCAGTGGGATTGCTGGATTATGTGGAGTTCTATTTCTTATTTTTTGAGAAACCTCCATTTTCTTTTTCATTTATGGCTGTAACACATTACATTTTCACCAGCAGGGTACCAAGCTTCCCTTTTTACCACATTCTTGCCAGACACTTGTTATCTTTTGTCTTTTTGATAAAAGCCATTTTAACAAGCATGAGGTGATATCTCCTTGTGGTTTCAATGTGCATCTCCCTGATGATGAAAGATGTTGAGCACCTTTTCATATGTTTGTTTGCCTTGTGTATGTCTTCTTTCGAGAAATGTCTTCAGGTTATTTGCGTATATTTTAATTTGATTGGTTGGGTTTTTTCCGCAGTTGAGTTGTAGGAGTTCCTTATATACTTTGGGAATTAACCGCTTATTAAATATGTGGTTTGCAAATATTTTCTCCCATTCCATAGGTTGCCTTTTCACTCTATTGATTGTTTCCTTTGCTGTGCAGAAGCTCTTTAGTTTGATGCAATCTCAGTTGCCTGTTTTTGCTTTTGTTGCCTGTGCTTTTAGTATCATACCCAAACATCATTGCCCAGACTAGTGTCAAGAAGCTTTTGCACTTTTTTTTTCCTCGTAGTTGTGCTGTTTCAGGTCTTATATTGAAGTCTAATCAATTTTGAATTCATTTTTATAGATAGTGTGAGATAAAGATTTGATTTCATTCTTATGCTTGTGGAAATCAAGTTTTCCAAATATTATTTATTGATGACACTGTGCTTCTCCATTGTGTATTCTTGTCAGCGTCGTTGGGAATCAGTTCTTTTCTGGTTTCTCTGTTCTGTTCCATTGGTCTGTATGTCTGTTTTTATGCCAAAATCACCTGTACATTTGAAATTAGCTCTAGGAAATCTCTAAAGTTCTACTTCTGCCCAAATTGTAGATATTATTTTTCCATGTTTTATGCCCAAATTGTAGATATTAATTTTCCATGTTTGTTTAACATTTGAGATAAAGTATATACAACATAAAACTTACCATTTATCGTTAAAGTTTTTAACCATTTTTAAGTGTACAATTCACTGGCATTAAGTATATTTGCAATATTGTGCAACCATCACTGCTATCCATTTCCAGAACTTGTTCATCATTCTAAACAGAAATTCTGCACACGTTAAACACTAACTCCCCATTCTCCCCACTTCTCAACCCCTGGTAAACCTCTCTTCTACTTTGTGTCTCTGTGAATTTGCCTATTCTAGGTACCTCATATAAGTGGAACCATATAATGTCTGTCCTTTTGTGTCTGGCTCACCAACTTAGCATGTTTTCAAGGTTTGTTCATGTTGTAGCCTGTTTCAGAATCTCATTCCTTACTTTTTTTTTTTGGAGACCGGGTCTTGCTCTGCCACCCAGGCTGGAGGAGTGCAATGGTGTGATCATGGCTCACTGCAGTCTCAAACTCCTGGGCTCTAGTGATATTTCTTCCTCAGCCTCCTGAGTAGCTGGGACTACAGTTGTGTGCCACGACACCTCGCTACTCTTTTTATATTTGGTAGAGATGGGATCTCACTGTATTAACTAGGCTGATCTTGAACTCCTGGACTAAAGCGACCCTTCCAAGTAGCTTAGGATTACAGACACACCCCACCACACCCAGCTAATTAATTTTTTTTTTTTTTTTTTTGCAGAAACAAAGGTCTTACTATGTTGCTTAGGCTGGTCTCCAACTCCTGGGATCAAGTGATCCCCCCCACCTCAGCCTCCCAAAGTGCTGGGATTACAGCATGAGTCACCATGCCTGGCCTATGTCACTCCTTTTTATGAAAAAAATATATATATTTCACTCCTTTTTATGAATATCTACACACTACTTTCTTAAGGCTGAATATTCCATTGAATATATATATAAATCATTTTGTTTATTCAGTTATTGATGGATAAATGGGCAAAAGGTTGTAGTCACCTTTTGCCCATTGTAATGCTACTATGAACATTGGTATACAAGTATTTTGAGTCTCTGCTTTCAATACTTTGAGGAATGTACCTACAAGTAGACTTGCTAGAATTTACTTTTTACTTTGAAATAATTTTACTGGTACAGAAAAGTTGCAAAAATAATATGGAGTTCAGGCATACCCTTCATCTAGCTTCTTCTTATGGCAGCTTCTACAAAACTACAGTACAGTGGTCAAAACCAAGAAATTAACATTGGTACCATAGTATTATCTAAACTACAGACTTTATTTGGACTTCACCAGTTTTTCCACCGAGATCCTTTTTCTGTTCCTGGATCCAATTCTGGACCCACATTGCATTTAATAGTCGTGTCTCCTTAGTCTCGTCTGATCTGTGCCAATTCAGTCTTTCACTATCACCCATGACCTTAACCACTTTTAAGGAGCACAGGTTAGCTTTTTGTACACTGTTTCTCAATTTGGATTTGACTGATATTTTCCCATCAGTCAAATTTGAAGTTATGCATTTTTGGCAAGAATATCCCAGAAGTGATGTACCTTTCTCAGCACATCACATTAGGGGGCATATGATGTCAATATGTTGTACTGATTGACCCCAGGTTTCTCCACTATGAAGTTACTCTTTTAGTCTTTTCTCTGTGGTAGGGGTAGTACTCTGGGGCTATGTTAGAATATCCTGTTTATCCTCAAATTTTTGTATCATATAGCAGTGGATTTGTATAGTGTCACATACTATACAAATAAATACAGTATTTATTGTATCATATAGGACTGGATCATGTCTGCAACAATGATTACTGTGGTATTCTGATGGTGATTTTCTGATTCCCTCATGATTTTTTAAATGCATGAAAAGCAAAGAAGCCCCTATCTTTTCTTACTGCAGTTTCTATATACAAGCCTTTGGGAAATGAATCAAAAGTAGCTGAGATTAAGTTGGCAACTGACACACTTTTGTTAAAACTGACTCTAAAGGTTTTAATGACACTGTGGCCACTGAGTATTTTTTTCCCGGGAAAAAAAAAATTAGGACACTCTTAAACACAATCTGAACATTGCCCAGTGAATGATGTAATGTTACATGGATCAGATCAGCCAGCGTGAAGTTATCAAGAAAAGCATTTCATTGTTTTCTATCAGTTGCCATCATTTTGTAATTTACTTTTTGCTGAGGTCATGGAAGGTTTTCATTCTTCATGCTGTAAGAAGAGAATAGGCATTGGAGCTGTCACACGGACATTTGGTTCCTCCTGTCCCTTCAACCCTTCAGATGATTCCACCAGCCCTTAAATGTGACTCTATTAGAGAAACTGTGGGATCCTTTCAACAGTCGCTCAGCAAGTGACCTCACACAGATGACTCCATCAGTCCTAGGCTCCCCCAGGAGGGCAGGATGCAGAGGGGAGTTGACAGGTGTTTAATGCATCCCCGCAGGGTGGTACTAGTTGCTGCACTGGGAGAATTCATCAATGTACATTTCCTGTTTTCCAGGAGCTCCAAATCTGATATGAAAGAGTTATAGGACAAATGCATAATCAGTGGAAGTGCATGAAGAAATAGCTAAGTGAATTCAGGAGGGGAGTGAACTTGGAGTTGTGCTGGGTGGAGGATGTGCAGGGTTAGCTGCGAAGGGGATAGTGGAGGAGCTGTGCTTTCAAGGAAAAGGAGGCGAGCGGGTCTCAAGCCTGAGAAGCATGAATACTGACAAGTCGGGGATACCCCAAGAAGGTCAGTTTGCTTTATGCAAGAGGGCAGGTTCCATCTGATATCTAGCTCCCTCCAGCAACATCAGACAGCATTGAGAGGGACCAGCGAGCTTGATCTCATGTCCAGGTGGGTTACCCTGTCCTGCTCTGCCAGCTCACAAAAGTCCACAAAATCCCTGTAACCAAAGAAGCTTTTAATGGGAAAAGAGCTGTCAACAGGTTCATTTCTAAGAATCAAAAATCCCTAGAAATTATCTTTTTTCCTTAGCAAATGGAAACATTGTAACCAGAGTATACATAATTACAAAACTATCTTTTTACACCCACACAAATCTTTCATATTAAGTAATAATTGATCCACCTAAATTGATCATATCAACTGCATACATGTCTCTTTGCCTTCAGTTGAAGAGAAGAAAAGGTCTGGATATCTAAATGTGGGTTTAGCTTTGTTTTTATTTTTGTGCTGGACCATTTTTCAAACCATGATGTCTACTCAGAGGGAGAAAAGTTCCGCAAGGCCTTAAGTAATGTGGCTGGTTCAGGTTATGTTTTAATATAAACTGGATTTTTATCTTTATATTGGGAAACATATGAGTAGGTTCTCGATCATTTTTCTGACATTTTTTAAGCCATTAGAAATACTCTGGCTTCAGGGTTTGTGTGTGTGTGTGTGTGTGTGTGTGTGTGTGTGTGTGTGTGTGTGTTTCCATAAAGAGAACTCATGTTCTCCTTGGAGATTTAATAGCCACTCTGAAGTAATGTCTCATATTTAATAAGATTTTCATTACTTTTACAAACTA
Organism: Homo sapiens; assembly: GCF_000001405.40. NCBI lineage: Eukaryota > Metazoa > Chordata > Mammalia > Primates > Hominidae > Homo > Homo sapiens. Next base: position 134,419,586 of record NC_000002.12, read on the forward strand.
TACTCCAGTAAATTTATTGATTGATATACAATGAAGTATCTTAGATCAGATGGTTCTCAATAAATAGCAAGAAGGAACGTAACATTCAGAGGGGAACTAATGAATCACAAAATGCCTCACTCATAAAGCTAAGTAACCTTCAGTAAATGTAAATGAACAAAAGGATAATAGCTCAGCATTTTGTATTTTCCAAGTGCTTGGAGCAACCTTGTAAATAAGCAGAGACCTTAAAAGGCAGGAGAGGAGGGAGACTGCTGACATGTAAATTACTAAATAGTGACATTGATGGCAACTTTAACTTACCCTGATTCCGTCAGAAAATCTAATCAGTTCTCCAGGCCACAAAATGAAAATGATGTGACATTTTGCTCATCTTCAGAAAATACAGGCATAAATTCAGTCCTGAATTTAGGTTGGCAAGTTGTAAGAGCTGGATTAAAAAGCTGGTGTTTACATTGGGCCTTTGTCTTAAGAACTTAAAGACATCCTTTAAAATTGTCACCTTCCTTTTTATCCAAAGCTAAGAAGTTGTTGAAGGACCTAGATTTGAAGTTGGCTCTTCTCCTTTCCAGCTGTGGGGTCTTAGGGGAAATGTAATCGCCTCTCAGTCTCAGAATCGTCATTGATGCATAATAAACCTGAGAAATAACGTTTGTGCAGGTGATTAGCAGGAAGCGTAGGGCTTCCTTGGTAAGTGTTGAATTCAGAAGTGTGCAGAGAAAAAAAAATGGAAGTTTTCTGAGTTCCGTGGGCCTGCAGAGAGTCTGTAGCTTTTATCACTGACCATAGAGCTGAGCCGAGGAAGACAGCACCTGTCAGAAGGGCGGGAAACTGAAGAGACTGATGACGGGCTGCTGCTGGATAGAGGCCCAGATAACCTGCAGTCAGCAGAGGCTCACTGCTGGGCCCAGGGACTTGTCGGGCTTCCTGCCTTGAATAGCACATGCATGCTCTTGGTGTGGCAGGATACAAAGAACAGTGGCTAAGGGAAAGACGGAGGGGTGCCAGTTAATTCCTCTAGCCCTGTGAGTATCCTGAGGAAAAGAGGAGAGCCAGCTTGACCTCCAAAGCAAAGGCCTGAGGAGAAGAGAAGAGCCAGCTTGACCTCCAAAGCAAAGGCCTCAGCACTGGCAAACCCAATATTTCCTATTGTTATAAATATGAGATGAAATTTGTAAATTATATAACCTTGCCTACCCGTGTAATTTCAAAAGGGAATAATTCTCTAACAAATATAAAGGAGAAATAAAAGGAAAAGAATTTCTAATAAAGCAATACATATTTCAGTATTATGGAATCAAGAACTGTGCTGTCCCATACCCAACAGCTATACCAGGCACTATGATGCCTTGTTTCTCCTCACAATGAGTGTTTTTATTTAAAAGGAATGAAACATTCAGCTGAATATGGTCAGCCTTTTTACTTAAAATTGACATTATGAAGGAGGAGCGAAGCCTGAGTGTGTTTACGTATGCCCACATATAAATAGAATTGCCAGTAATGTGATAGCTCCAAATATAGACTAATGTGGGTATGTTTTACTGGAGACTCTGACATCCTCAGTGGCACTGACTTTGTTGCTTTGATCTTTCTGAAATGATGACAGCTCATTGGTGACGTTTCAGATAAAACAGAGCAGAGACATTGCTTCATTTACATGGTGATTATGTCTCTGGATAATTCAATGTATGTTTGAACTGTCAAAAAGTTAGATTCTGACTGGGCATGGTGGTTCATGCCTGTAATCCTAGCACTTTGGGGGCTGAGACAGGTGGATCACTTGAGGCCAGGAGTTCGAGACCAACCTGGCCAACATGATGAAACCCCATCTCTACTAAAAATACAAAAACTTAGCCAGGCATGGTGGTGCGCACCTATAGTTCCAGCTACTCAGGAGGCTGAAGCAGGAGAATTGCTTGAACCCAGGAGGCAGAGGTTGCAGTGAGCTGGATCATACTACTGCATTCCAGCTGGGGTGACAAAGCAAAACTCTGTTTCAAAAAAAAAAAATAAAAAACTAGATTCTCTAAGCCCACGTGAAAGCCCTGCAGGCCATTTGAAAGTTTCGTGGGCAGTGGACAATTCTTCCTGTGCAGGACTGTCCTTGGACATTGTGAAGTGCTTATATCCCTGGTTCCCACCCACAGACTAAGGGTAACATTCTCCAGTTATTATGGTAGCTGAAAATGCTCTCACACGTGGCTAGAATGCTCCCTTTACAACATGACCTTAAAGGGATATGAGGACAGAGGTGGAAACAAAATCAGGGGATAAATTTAGCTGTATTAAAGAATGGACTCAACTGAGCACAGTGGCTTGTGCCTGTAATCCCGGCAGTTTGGGAGGCGGACACAGGAGAATCATTTGAGGCCAGGAGTTTGAGACCCACCTGGGCAACATACAGAGACCGTGTGTATACAAAAAAAAAAAAAAATTGTTTTTAATTAGCCAGGCATGATGTGCACATCTGTAGTCCCAACTACTCAGAATGCTGAGGCAAGGTGATCTCTTGAGCCCAGGAGTTTGAGGCTGCAGTGAACTACGACTGGGCAACAGAGCAAGACCCTTTGGGGAAAAAAAAGAAGAATGGACACTTCATGAATTCAGAATTGTCATGGTTTGCACTTGGTTTCTTTGACCACATGTTGTTTTTAAAATAAAACCCCCTTTAGGACAAAAACTGCCATTCCTTGTTTTTCTGAATATTATGCTAATTATTATTCCTGAAACCATCCCAAAAATTCTGTGTATTTCTGATGGTGTCATTTTTTTCTATCACCTTTTGTATGCACCATGACTTAGCCTCCTGGGACTTTAAAAGCCTTGATTTTTCTTGTAATTGTCTATGCTGACCTTTCTGTCTTAGCCAGGAGAATAGATACTGGTTTGATCTAGTAATAGGTGATTTTCGGGGCTGGGTTCTGGGTAGGAGAAACTGTTCATCATTTCTTGATGTGATGTTGGGGGCTAAAGCCTCCTGTAGCAGCTTCCTTGTCACCTGGTTGTGACATTATCTTATTTCCAAGTGGGATTCAAGGTACAGAACCATCACTGTTTTGTTATCTGCTTATGGATGGTTTTGATCATCAAGGGGAAGGACACAGTGTCTTGTTACCTACACGATTATAACTCAGTACCATAAAAAGCATAGCACTCCATCTAGCACAGGTTATTTTAAAAATTGCTTGTGAGACTGAGGTGTTCGGTTCTTTTCCAGCTGACATCCCAGCATCCTTACGCTGAAGTTTTCATCGGGCGGCCACATGTGTGGACTGTTGACCTCAACAATCAGGAGGAAGTAGAGGATGCAGTGAAAGCAATTTTAAATCAGAAGGTTGGTTCATTTTATTCCACTTTCCCTCCTTTCTAATGTGACCTGAAATGTGTATAAAACACATCATAGGTCCTTGTTTTTAGCAAACAGATCTTTACCACATCAGCTTAACTCTGGAATTAGAAAATAACCAAGCTGCAGGATTTGGCCTGTGGATTTCATGAATGTTCTGTGAAATGGAAACAGAGCTGGTATCCCGATGTGGGCATGGATTCCATAGACCGTTTAGACATGACCATGGATCCCAGGCACAGGAGCAGGAACTGGAGTCATACTTGGTTCAGTGACCTGATTATGTTGCTCTCACAGAGATCTGAAAAGATAGCCCTGCTTCCTCTACAAAAGAGGGAGAAGTGCAAGGAAATGCTGAGGAATGTTTTTATAGAACATCTGTTTGTTTGTTTGTTCTATCTAAACATGTAGTAGAATTTTGTAAAAGTAACTACATTTCTGGCCTCTTCTGATCAATTCAACAGACATTTGTGAGGTACCTACCATACACAGAGTGCTCTCTGAGTCACCTGGGGTTGTGGAGGGCGGGGTGTTTACTTCCATAATCATAGAGGAGGCTGGCTTCCCACCTATCAGAAGTTTACCATCCAGTAAAGACGAGTTCAGTTATCCTTTCTCCCAACTCGGAGCCCACCGTGGACTCTCACAGCTGCACTCTGCTGCTGTACTTTGGTGGGAGCACTTTTTACACTTAGTTGCGATGCTTTAAGAGAAGCCGGGGTAGGCATGTGGGAGGGCAGGCTGGACGCACACAGTGTGGGTTCAGTTCTAGCTCTACCACTTACTAGCAGCTTCCCCTCATGTATAATGTAGGGCTAATATTACCACTTGATTGGTCACTTGTGAGGAGTAAATGAGATAATGTATGTAAAGTGCTTAAGTTCAATGTCTACTTGTGTTTAGTGTTTAGTCAATATTATGATTTTTGTTGATAGTCTAAATTTCTACTACACCATTAGCAACATGAAGTCAGGATATACATCTGTCTCATTTCTGTATTTCCGGTGCCCACGTAGGGATTTACCCAATGGATAGATGGGAGAGAGGAATAGATGTCTGCAAGTAAGCATAATACAAGGCTGAATATGTTCAGTGCCAAAGCAACATGCAAACGCTCCAGGAGCGGAAGCTGGGGAAGCCTTTCTGGAGAATGCAGCCTTTTAGTTAAGTCTTACAGGATGAGGAGTAATTTGCAAAGTAAAACTCAGAAGTGGGTGCAGAAAGGCATGGGTTCAAAGCACAGTGTGACTGAAAGGGAAGAGGCTGGAAAGGCATATATCCTGGGAGGGATAGCCAGTGTGCCCATGTGGAGGCCATCTTACCCTCTGGGAAACAGAACAGGATAATCAGTTTGTGGCCCACTGAACTGCTGATTTCAGTTAATTCAGAACATCTCCAGGGGAGTGAGGGCACTCCGATGCATTATCTGTGCTCTACCCGCTTCAAGGTGGTCTGGTTATGGGGCTTTAGTGTCAGCTTCCCATTGATGATACATACAATCCCAATCCCAGTTTCAGCAGTTTCAGCAGTCCCCAACCTCAGGAGACCGAGCTGATAAAAGAAGTGCCAAATGGAATGTGGTTCCTCTAGGCTGCCTCAAAATATCTGCCACACACCAAAAGCTTCACTACTGGAGTCATTCCTATGGAAGGGTGAAGGTTCTTCTTTCTTGATTCTCCCAGTCCCTTAGTATATGAGCTTCCTAGGGCTGCCGTAACACAGTAGTGCAAACAACTGAGTGGCTTAAAACAGCAGAAATTTATTCTCTCTGTTCTGGAAGCAAGAAGTCTGAAGTCAAAATGTCAGCAGGGTCATGGCCCACCCCCGAAGTCTCTAGCTAGATATCCTCCCTTGCCTCTTTCAGCTTCTGGTAGGCCTAGGCATTTCTTGGCTTGCAGCCTCAAAGGTTTGATCTCTGCCTCCATTATCCTATGGCTTCTCTCTGTATGTATCTCTGTCTTTTCGTTTTATACAAGATTAGGGCCCACCCTAATTCAGTGTGACCTCATCTAACTTGTTTACATCTACAAAGACCCTATTTCCAAATAAGATCACATTCACGGGTGCTGGGGGTTAGGACAGCATATCTTGTAAAGGGGTACAATTCAATCCACAACACTTAGTTAATGCTTGTACTCTTGAGGAGAGTAATTTAAAAGCTGAGGTAGAAGCAGAAAAGAAAAACACACCAAGATACATTATAATCAAACTGCTGAAAAGCAAAGATAAGGAAGAAAACCTTGAAAGCAGCCAGAGAAAAATGTATTACATTTAGAGTAATAATGGTATTAACACAGCCAACTTCTCATCAGAAATAATGGAGACCGTAAAAGGGTCCTCAGGAGCCAGAATATGTGTGGGGCCTTTCAATAGGCCATGGTAAACGTTCAGGGGTTTTTTTTCTCGTTTGTGTTTTTAGTTTTTTTTGTTTTTGTTTTTGTTTTTGTTTTGTTTTGTTTTTTTGTGGTTGGTTTTTGTGTGTGTGTGGTTGGTTTTTTTGTTTCTTTCTTTCTTTTTAAGTGTTGAGGATTTTATAAGTATGATGGGAAGTTTTGAACAGGGGGATGAGATGACCTAGTTTACTTTGAAATTATGAAGAGAAATTACAGATTCTGCTTACTCAGAATCCTATGGTTAGTATATGGAGGAGCCGTGACTCAAACCCTGGCCTCCTGATACTTTCTAAGACCATTTCTTATTGAATGATGCCAAGCCACATCTGTCAGGTCAGACCATGGAGGGCTTCTCATGGAGGCTGATCTCTAAAAGCAATTGCCTGTAGAAGTTGTCCCTGACTTGGAAAGGTGAGTTGGTACTAGTGGAGACAGGAAATCTCACAAGGAGGGAGGCCAAGAAGAGAAAATGGAGGGGAAGATAAGGGAAAATTTCCAAGGTCAGCAGGAACTTCACAGTGCAATCTGTAGGCATCCTTCCTGTGGCCCTCGCCATATGAGTAACAGTCCTTTTTTTTTTTTTTTAAACAAAGCAGGATGCCCAAGAATACTTCCTTGCTTCTCCACAGCTGGCCTAGCTTGGGTTTCTCAATGACTGGATGTGATTTAGCATTCTTCTTCATTCTGTCCCCCAAAGAGGCCTTCACTTGTTCCTAAAGAACTTTTATGCAGAAAACTGCCCGCTCTCCCAGCCCCCAGTCCACATTAACAGCTGTCACTTCAGAGGCTGTCAGGACTCTGAAGAGCTTTCCAATGCAGAAGCCCCTGCCTGCCCTCACCCACAGGGTCCAGCAATATAGACCTACCTTCTGACTCACCGACTTCCTTCCTTCCTTCCTTCCTTCATTCCTTCCGTCCCTCCATCTCTCCCTCCTTTTTGCTTTTCTTTTATAGGAAAATTGTTTGCTTCATATCCTTTAAAACAGTGAACTGCCCCAAAGCAGTGAATGAGTCAACATCCCTTTGGTTAAAGTGGGCTAGGTTGGTAGGAGAACAGAGGAGGAGCCATTTTTCTGTATTTTTGGCTTTGAACCCTTTGAATTAACTTTCTTTCATTTTCTAATGGATTCCCTTTGGAAATGTTGTTGGAATGGTGCTTGGGTACTCGGCGTGCTTCCTAACATAACTAAATCTGTTCATCTCATGAAAGATGACCATGGATGTTTATTTCACTGTACAAATCCTACTTTAACACTGATAAATGAACCCAGATATGCCATGTTCTTTGTTTTAGATCATTCCTTCTATGAATCTTTGAGAGGAAACTTATCTCTAGGCCAGCAATAGAAAGCTTCTGGAGTCACCCATGGGTTGAGTAAACATCCTTTAAAAGAAAAGAAAAAATTTTACATTTTGTGTGAAGGGCTGTGTCTGGGTTAGAGAGGGAACAGTAAGTTCAAAAGCTTGAGTTGACAAGGAACAAACTGAGAACATGAAAGTCAGTTCTTCGTAGTATTTTGAGCTCTTCAGAGATGAGCTGTCTAGGAATAGAGTGACCTCTCTGTTCTTGTAGAATAGTCTGCCATGATATTACAGTATTTACGGCTCAGCCTCTTTGAGCTCTATTCTGACAGCTGTAGGCCACTGTGGCCCACATTTGTGCATTTGTTCAGCATTTGAAGACAATTAAAATTTCTGAAAATCATGGTTGAAGATTTCAATGTAATGTGTGATTTGGCATACGAGAAAGGGGGAGATGATGCCCTGAGACCAACTGCTTGGCTGCCAACTAAGGAATGTTATTTCTGTTCATTGTCCCATTTTCAGCAAGCTTCAATTATAGAAGTTTTGCCTAGTTCTCCACCCTGTAGATCCCAGCAAACATTTTAGAGGTAGCTGGTGCTGGTGAAGGTGCCCCTCCGTCTACCCTATTGCTGAGAGGAGCTGTTGGGCTCCCTGAAGCAATAATAGACTATATTGCTGGTGATTTTCTCTCAAATGAAATTTCCATTTTAGATTGGTAATACACCTGAAAACACAGGCCTCATAGTGTTGGCAGACACTGTGCAGCAGAGATCAAACCCACATTTCTTCCCCTTCTCCAAGGTGTCACAATATTGATAAGATTGCCTCCTCTACCCTAATGAAGCATCCTGTAGAGTTTCCTACTCCCCTCAAATAAAATCGGGCTCTTTAGCATAGAAACCTCAAGGCTTTTTTGGAAATTCAGTGAATTTTCCACCTCGTCTCACCAGTTCCCATAATACTGAGCTGCAGTTACCTGCTGTCCTTTCATGTTAAAGACCACACTACTTGTTCACCAAGGATGTCTTCAGCATCTTGGCCCTCTCCAGTTTGGGCCTGCTAGACTCAGCCTGCCTTAAAAGCCCAGCATGAGTAGAAGTCTGCTTTGACCCTCTAGCCTCCCAGGACCCCCTAGCTGACTTCTTGTGACACTTTATAACTTTATTTTTACACCGTGAGTTCTTCGGATATAGGCTAACCTCACCTACAAATACAGACCAAATACAGGTCACTGTCACGGATCCTTCAGTTGCTCATTGTTGCCTTACAGCAGTGACCATGCATTCATTCAACAGATGTTTGCTAATTTCCTATATGTGCCACACTGTGCTCATCACTAGAATGTAAAGATGACCCAACAGCATGGACTCTGCCCTGTGGAAATTACCTGCTAGCAAGTGATAACTTCCATCTTTTGTTGAATGCCCACTATGTGCTAGTCACTAAACTAAGCACCTTTTTTCTCCCAGATAATCTTTGCAGCTTAAAAGAGGTGAGTTTTTCTTATCACCCTTTTACATATGAGGAACCTGAGACTTAGAGATGGCAAGTCATTTGCTCAGAGTCCCACACCTAGTAAGGATCAGCTTGAGATCACGACTTGCAAGTCCATAGTCAACCCTCATGAGGCCGACTCCTGGTGTTAGCACCCGTGTATTGAGTGAGTCGGAGGACTGAGGAGGTGCTACATGTTCTCTGTCCTTCTCCTTCATGGTATCATGCTCTGTTTCCACAGATTGAGCCATACATGCCATATGAATTTACGTGCGAGGGGATGCTACAGAGAATCAATGCTTTCATTGAAAAACAGGTAAGGCTTATCAGAAGTCAGTCTGTCTTTGCTGTGTACTGCTTCCTGTGACGCCATAGGGCTCTCAAGAACATTTAAGAGCTCACTGTGTTTCTGTGGCTATTTTCCTGCTTTGGGAGACTCTAGAAGCTGGATAATAGTAGCACTGTCATGGTCACCCAAGAGAACCAGTATTCCCTTGGAGTAGGTATGTTCTTGATGACAGTGTAAGGTGAAATGGAAACTTATAACAAGAGAGATGGGATGATTACTGTGAAGATGCCCCTGACCATCAGGGTCTGTGCCCTGAGTGGGTTCTGAGGCCCATTCTCACCTTAAGAAAGGCAAGAATTGAAACCAGCTTTTTCTAAGCATTATTTTAATAATACATGTTCAGCAATTCTAAATGTTAGGACTTTTTAGAGGTTTTCAGACATCTTCTAAAAGCAGGACCCTTTGTCAAATGAAACCTTATATGTATATAAAACAGATAAAAAGCAGGACAAAGCCAAGGAGGGTGCCAAGAGTTCCACCTTCCCCAACAAGGTTTGGAAACTGCAGCATGTGCTCCTAGAAGTAAAGGCCAGGAGCCTGTTGCTATCATTTTATAGCATTTTAATTCCTTGGACTTCAAAAGCAACACAGAGCTAGAAATAGACGGACTCAGAACCCCTGTGGGTAGGAGAATATGAACTCTTTGACTAGATCCCAGAAATAAGGTGCTCTTCCTAAAGGATAAAGCATTTTTTAAGGCAATCAAGGGATCTTTACACAATAGGGGATGAGGATGGTGCAAGCTGAAAATAGAAATGGTGTATTGAAAATCTAAGTAGGCCCAAGGTGGGCTTCAAAGGAAGAGTTGATGGTTTGAGGAGACTGAAACTGTGGCGAGCAGCCAGCAGCCCTGGGTGCTGCTGTTGGAGCTGGGAGCCGTGGTCATATACTTCGGGGTGGTGTGTCTGATATGCTGAGCTTTTGTTAGCAGCAAGAGAGCGCGCTCTGCAGCCAGGCCATGTGGGTTTTACTCCTGGCACCATGTGTTTCTAGTTACATGACTTGGGCATGTTACTTGGCCTCTCTATGCCTTAGTTTCCTTGTCTGTAAAATAAGGATGATGCTAATAGGGCCTACTTCGTAGGGCTGATGTGAGGATTTAATGAGCTAATACATACAAAGTGCTTAGAACAGAGCCTGGCACATACATAGTGCTCAATAAATGCAAACTGGTACTGTTGATTATTTAATACATTATGCTATATTGTACTGTAATACACTACTTTGTAGTATAATTATTTGGTTTCACGAGAAACCATTTGAATCTTTATCTCATTCAGCCTTTATATGACACCAGAATGACAGTATCATCACAACTCTAGCAACCACATCCATACAGATTTTGTGCCAGCATGTGCCAGACACATCATAATATAACATCTAATTCTCACAGTAATTCCAGGAGGTGGTAGTAATAACCCCATTATCTGGATAGTGGAAACCAAGACTCACAGTTATCAGGCTCACAGATTGTGGAATCAAGATTTGATACAGTTTGATGTGAGGCCAAGTCTACACCAACCATGCTTACCAGGGCCTCAGGAGACAGAAGGTGTCCAGAGCTTTGCTTCCCGTCTTCTTGCATCATCAAGGGCTGCTCACCCTTCCTGCAGCTGCAAAGAGGAGTTGCAGGGCCTCCTTCAATTATGGGTCTTAAGACATCACAGCTCTTGCCGCCATCTCGGCAGCTCTCTTGAGATCATACTAAGATCCCTGCAGCTGCTGCTGAAACCCTCTTTGCCTGTCTCCACGTCCTCTTAGGGAAAATAGTTACCCAACTGCCAGGCATAAATGACTCTTGATCAGGTTTATTTGAAGGCTTTTATTTCTCCCCTGAGGCTCAGGAATTCCAGCCAGTCTTTAAAAGTTACCAGGTCCTCTGTAAGCCTTGCTGGGCTTCCTTTCAAACAGGAAGGTCCTGTTCACCAAATAGACCTTGCTAAATGCTCCATAATGCAGAGGCTCCACCTGGCTTCACCTCTATATCCCTAGTAACCTGCTGGACACATGGTCGGTGCACAGTAACTTCCAGGTGACAGAAACAATGAAGGAAGGAAGGGAGGAAGGGAGGGTGAGTGTGCTTTTTATTCCTGTGTGTCAGGAACCAGGAAGCTCATCTTGGACTTCATGATTTGGAATACATGTTACCAAAATTGTCTGCTGGAAAGCATGCTAATAAAACTGCACCGCCCCCCACCCCCACCATATAGGCCTTTCTGCAGAGATCTGCAGTTCACAGAAATCCAGAGGTTTCTTTTTTGCCTGCTGTTGTTGATTCATTCTTCTACTCTGAATTATTTGTCAGCTGGAACATGCCATGGGCTGTGTGGTCAGTTGGGGAGGACAATAGCTCCAGGTCCCCATCCCTACCCTCAAGTAGCTGCAAGTTTCATGGAGAAGGCAGCCAAGTCCACAGGCAGTAAGTGCCACTGCTGTAGGTTCAGCCTGGTAATAGTGAAGCAACAGGATGCTTGGGGATCACATGGCCCAGCCCGCCGAGGGAGGACGGGGGAGAAATGGTAGAGTGTATCTGAAGGCATCTTGCAGGAGGTGAGTCCTGAAGGCAAACTGGTAGCACAGACTGAAGGCTGGACAAGTCCAGATGTGAAGGCCTGGAGGGGGGAGAAATGTCATGGGGAATGATAGGCACTTGACTGAAGAGAGGGATGAGGTAAGAGACCAGGCTGGAGGAGGAGATTGCAGAATGTGAAAAGACGCTGAGGCTCGGCTGAAGAATTCCAGTTTGATTCTGGGATAATAGGAAGCTAAAGAAGGGCTTTGTCGCAGGCTAAGGGGCAGTGGAACTGTCAGATGGGTGCTTAGAAAAATCATTCCAGGAATCTTGTGTTAGGGGCATTTCTTATTAAACATTCTCCAAATGTTCCTAAATGAGCAATAAAGGGGGCCTATTTTGAGTTTATCTCAGAGATTCTATTGAACCCAGAATGTTCCTCTGATGCCAGAAGGAAGATAGGAAGCCAAGACCCCATTGGTTCACAGATTGGGTCTGCTACCTCTTTTAGCTCCAGACCCCAGTGTTTTAGAGGTTGGAGTATTCATTATTTTTTGCAGCTAGACGAATATCTTCAAAGGGCAGCGAGGATGGAGAGGAGGTGTTCCTGGTATGAACAAGAAAGCCTGCAGCTCCGAGGAGGCCCTTCCCATCCCTTGAATGGTAGGAGCACTGCAGCCCTAATTAGGCCAATATCTGCCTTCAGAGTTCTCCATGTGATCTGCAAGGAGAACACAGAAGCTTTTACCCCAGAAACCTTTCAGGGTTGTCCGTCATGCTCAGCCAAGGCAGTGGGAGCCAGACGGAGCCAACAGACAGCAATCGAGGGCACGCCGGGCTTCAGTGTGCAGTTGAGCAGTCGCCAGCAGGAAACCCACCTCATACCCAGTCCTCCCTGGGTACAGGCACCCAATGAGAAAGACTCCTGGATCTAGGAAAACCACTTGCTCTTTTCTCTTAATGTCCCCACTTCCTTTACTGTACTGAAAATGTTGATTCAGAGTGCATGCTCTTTTAAATGAGCTTTCTCAAAGAGACGCTGTCTCCAGCAGGGAGAACTTCTTTGTAATCTAAGATCAAGCACTGTTGTTCCCTATCCTCAGTATGTGTGGGCTTGTTAAGGTTTTCATTATGCATTTCTTGGGAAAGTCTTTTGTATTAGCCTCAGGTCAGAGAGTATAGCAGGACTTTTTTGAAGGAATGGCAATTTCAGATTGATTTATTAAAACCATACATATGCTCTTGAATTATATTTTCTGTTTCCTGTAAAGACACTGTAAATATATAGCATGGTCACAGTCATGTTAATTTGTAAAGAGCTGTGTGATTCATCTGAGAAGCATTCTGGAGAGAGGGAGGGTAAAAAAAAGAGTTAACTCCAACAATGGCTGTGGAATCAGCTGAAGGTCCTAGGATGTCTGTTCATCAGAGCCCAGAATAAGCCCACTATGGAGTGTTCTGGATGCAAGGACAAGCCTGTTATGAATCTGGATAGTCCAAAGGTGGGAGCAATGGTAGAGGTGACAGATTGCAAGGAAAGAGGGAGAAATTGAAAAGGGGAGAAGGTTGGTACTAGCTTGAGGAATGTTTACTCTTGAGAAATCAATAGCTTTTGTTTACCCAGCCTTTCCTGCACCCAGAGAGACTAGGCAGGTAATGATTAAGCACAGAACCCTAGCAGCTGACTGCCTGGGTTCACATCTTAGCTCTGCTTGTCACTGTGTTTCTGACCTTGGGCAAGTTACCTAACATCTCTATGCTCTTTCCTCTTCTGAGAAATAGGGATAATGCAACCTACCCATCAGGCTGGTGAAGGAAAAGGTAGTTTGATAATGTTTAGCACTAAGAACAATGCCTGGCCCATGTGGGTGCTCTCAAAGCCTTCGCTACGAGTTGCCGCAGGAGCCCAGAAACCAACCAAGGTGTGTTTTTCAAACTGGCTCACTGAGGTATAGTTTACAGACCATAAAGTTCACTGCATATAAGGACACAATTCAATTTTTTTTTTAGCAAATTGGTAGTGTTACACAACTACCACCACACTCTAGTTTTGCAGCATTTCCGTCACCCCAAAAAACTCATTTGTCCCTGTTAGCAATCAATCCTTGCTCCCACCCCAGGCCTAGGAAACCACTGATCTGTTTCCTGCCTTTTTAGATGAGCCTTTTCTGGAGATTTCTGGCTTTCACTTAGCATGATGTTTTGGGGGTTCACCCATGTTGTTAAATGTGTCAGAACTGATTTTATTGCTGAATAGTATTCCATGTATGTACAGATTAATATCACAATTTGTTTATCCGTTCACCAATTGATAGGCTTTTGGGTTATATCCACGTTTTGACTAATGTGGTAGGTGCTGTTGTGAACATTCACATGCAATCTGTGTATGGACCTGTTTTCGTTTCTCCTGCGTAGACTCCTAGAAGTGTGTGAATAAGGTAGATTTCTGTTCTGGCTCTTCAAAGGTGAGTTTTTTGCTCAGTGGAATTTTGCATGTGTAGAGATAATCCATGGAGATTGCTGCCTACTGCTCAGTTTTATAGGCACCGTCACTGTTTCTTTTGTGGAAACAAAAATTCACACTCACTTCTGGGAAACAACCTCTGGGGCCGTGTGTGGACACAGTTCACTGTGTTTTAAGGGAAAGCACACGCCGAGAATGGTCGGTTTCAGCCTGGCACCTGAGGTGTGCTAATCCAGTCAGTTACTCAATATTTATGGAACACTTCCTGTGCCAGGCCCTGGATTTCTCAGCTGTAACACAGATAACCAATATGTGCCTTATCCCTCAAATAGCTGACCGAACGGGACCCAAACCCCATTTTCATGGTCCTACCTGTCCTACCAACTTTTTTTTTTTTTTTTGCCAATTTCTGGTTTTTCTTCCTCTAGATCCTGCCTGCAGACATTTATATTTGAACCTGTGTTCTTGGTTCCAGACAATGTGGGTTCCCACCAAAACCCACTTGCACCGAACTCTCATGGGCTTATTAGTAACTCTGTGAAAGAGTTGGCTGCAGTGGGTGGGGTGAGGGGTTTCTGGACCCCCTTCACACACCACTTAGCCCTCTCTGACTGGCCCTTCTGTTACCACTCCTCCGCTTTGCTCTGAACAAGTGACCCTTTCCCTGGCCCAGCAAACCAAGAGGGCGTGAACAAGCCAGTCCCGCTACCTGGCGCTTCTCCCAGGGAGCATTCTCCTCCCCTTCTCTGGCCCCTTCTGTATTTTTATGGTGTTTTCCCCAGGCTGCTAATTAATTAGCCTTCTTTACAAAGGCGGTGCTCTCACCTCTTCTTCAGGGTTGGCTGTGTTCATTTGTTTAGAACATTGTTCCGTCTCATAAATTGGTTGGTTATTAGACTTTTTGTTGGTTTATGACTACTGCATGGAAATTTCAGGATAGTCAAGCACATTTAGAGAAATTTGGTGACTGGTTGAAATAATTGTTAGGGAAGGATGCAGATGTTCTGTGTTCTAAGCAGGCTTGTTAACCAGATTGGAAATTACTGTTTATATCTCATTTTTGCTGCATAGGAGCTCGTTGAGTTAGAATAGTTTCCTTTTCTACTTCTGCTACTGTCAAAGCCTCAAGATGCAAAACACATTCAGTTTAGTTGAGCAGCTCCTGCAGTCTGTTCCCAGCACCAGCTATCTGCAAAGCGCCATGTTAGAGGTAAGCTGCTAACTTCCATACAGCCTACAAAACCCAGATGGCCTTCCCTATCTCCTGGAAGCCTTCTCTGACTGCTACCACCACTTTCCCCTTCCCTAGAGTTAATCTTTTCCTTTCTGCAAGTGGCCTGCGCATCCTATTTGGGCATTTGTTTCATACTGTTCGGTAATTTTTTAGCATCGGCCTCTCTTACTAGACTGCGCACTGAACCTCTGAGTCCAGGGACTGTGTCTCCTTCATGTTTATATTTCCAGCACCCAGTGGGAGACTTTAATAGTCATTAGTAAAGTACTGAATGAATGAGGAAACCTTCAAAGCCAGCTTACATGAGTGTTTCATGGGGATTTGTTGAACAGAGATGCCCTGTCTCAGGGTCTCAGTCCCGTATCTCTCTCCTGTGCTGTTGCGGCAGCTTCCTGTCTCTCTGCTGCTGCTTTGCTCCTGCAGTCTGTTCCCAGCATGCAGATCCCGTCACCCCTCTTCCCGGAAATCTCCAGTGTCTTCCATCTTACTTCATGGAAAAGCTAGAGCATTCAATTAGACCCCAAAGATCTGACTCCCAGGGCCCTCCTGAACCCCATCACTTCTGACCCATAATATACACACTCTACCAAGCTACCCAGAAGCGCCTGCTCCCCCTGGAATGTACTCCCTTGTCAAATCTTCTGATCTAGATGTTCCTCTGCCTAGAATGTTCTTCCCAGATGCTTGCATGGCTCACTTCTTTACTTCCTCGTGTCTTTTCCCAGCTGCCACCATTTCAGTGATGCCTTATCAGGACATCATCTCTGCCAACAGTCTCACTTCATTCTTTTCTAGAATACTTACCACCTTTTAATGTACTATATATATTGACTTATCCATTGTTTTTTTGTCTCCCTCGCTGAATGCAAGCCCTATGAAGGCAGGGATTTGTGGTTCCTCTGGTTCATCATCCTTTCCCTCACACTCCAGGGACTAGATTGCATGTCGTCATGGTGACAGCCAACATGCAGATGGTGTTTTTGTGTCAGGCGCTTTTCTGAGCATGTTATACATTATGATTAATAAACGGAGGAGGTAAGAGTCCACCAGGCAGTCTGAGCTCTGAGCCCTTATGCTTTTCTGCCTAGTAGCAAGTATTTGTTCAAAGAATGAAGGAATGAGTACTTATGATAAGGAGATAAGGCAAGTTGGCACTGCCTTATTAGCCTGTGTTGCAGTTGAATGAAACAGAGGATTCCCAGCCTTCTCTGAGCACCCAATGGGACTGGCACTTATGGGAGAGAAGAAGCTATGACAGGGGCTTCCATTTCAGTTGTGCCCTAAAAGCAGCTGGGCCAAAAGGTGGATCTTGTGGATGTAGGTGAATTATCATATGTAATCAGCCAACTCAACTTTTACCTCCAGACTCTTGCAGCAAAGAATGGTCAACCTTGGAACATTATCTTTAACATCTCAAAGTTCTTTCTTATCAGTCACCTCATTTTCTTCTCACAGGAATTAGATAAGGAGGGAAGGACAGATGGCATCATCCTCATTTTATGTGTGAGAGCAGGCAGAGCTGAAGAGACATCTATGAAGTCCCACAGCTGGGAGCCAGAATCCTAACCCAGATCCCCAGCTTTCTCCTGCCACCTTCAGGCCTCCCTCTGTTCAGTGTGATCATCTTTAGACTCTCCAGGTGGCAGCAAGCTTTGAGAAGTTCCTGCTGCTATTTTTACTATTCCTGATTCTGTTGACCCCCAAAACAGACTGCTGAGAGGATGCTAGACCATGCTCCTGGGGAGCACCAGAAAGGGTTCCTGGAGCTCCAGTGTTCAGCTGCAGGATTGAACTAAGCACACCTGTTGAGGGGGACCTTGAGAGGGGAGGCTGCTGTAGTTTACAAAGAAATGAACAAATAGGGCATATCAGCCCTGCAGTGCAGCTTTAAGGACATCTCCCATGGTTTGGGCCTTGCGGTGCCATCCTGCCCTGCTGGACCTGAGGTGCAAGGTGTCCATTCATCTAGGGCTGCCCCAGATTCTGCAGATGTCTCCAATGCAGTACCTTGGAAGCTCTACGGGGCACAGGCAGCTCTTCCAAGAAGGGCTAACAGGTGGAAAAGGAGCATTTATGGAGCACCTGCCATTTGCCAGCATTCTGCTCAGCTCCATGTCTTACTATCTGTTAGCCTCACTCTTTGCAGACAAGCAGGAGATGAGACCAGACTGGGTAACACACCCAAAGCACCACAGTGGTGGGGCAAGGCTCCCAGTCTGCTCCTTCTGACTTGAAGCACATTCCATCGCCATATCACTCATCACTTCCTCCTTGTCAAACAAAGCAAGACTCTGCACTAGCTTCAGGCTTTTGTTTTGTTTTTTGACACAGAGTCTCGCTCTGTCGCCCAGGCTGGAGAGCAGTGGCGCCATCTCGGCTCACGGCAACCTCTGCCTCCCGGGTTCAAGCAATTCTCCTGTCTTAGCCTCCTGGGTAGCTGGGATTACAGGCGCGCGCCACCATGCCTAGCAATTTTTTTGGATTTTTAGTAGAGATGGGATTTTACCACATTGGTCAGGCTGGTCTCAAACTCCTCCACTCAGGTGATCCAACCACCTTGGCCTCCCAAAGTGCTGGGATTACAGGCATGAGCCACCCTGCCTGGCCTCTAGCTTCAGTGTTAACCTTTGTGCTGCTTCCTGTACCCCATGAGGCTGAACATGAATAAGAAGCCAAGTTTCTAAAGAGTCTTCAAACTCAGTAGGTACAGAGATACTGCCCTCAGCTGTTTGTAGATGTCATGTAAGTAGAGATGTTCCACAGTTTTCTTGCCAGCCATGAAAGCCTAAACAGGAGCTTTCAGCCTTCGTGGGTCTTCATTTTCCCAGCCTAATCCAGGACTGGGTCAAGCCAAATCCAAGGTGCAGAGAGAAACATTCCCACTTGGCTTCTTCTGATGTAAATGATGTGATCTGGTCTAGATTTCCCGGTTGACTTATCTTTTCTGTTCAGTCACATGATTTGGTGTATGTGGATTTTAAAATCTCTTTATTATAAAATTTAAAGGCTGCAGAAGTTATCCAGTTGCTCCTAAAGAATTACAGGTTGAGCGGGCTGACATGGTGGCTTACACCTGTAATCCCACACTTTGGGAGGCTGAGGCAAGCGAATCCCCTGAGGCTAGGAGTTCGAGGTCAGCCTGGCAAACATGGCGAAACCCCGTCTTTACTAAAAATACAAAAATTAGCTGCGTGTGATGGCATGTACCTGTAACCCCAGGTACTCAGGAGACTGAGGCAGGAGAATCACATGAACCTGGCAGAGGGAGGTTGCAGTGAACCAAGATCATGCCACTGCACTCCTGCCTGGGTGACACAGCGAGACTCCGTCTCAAAAAAAAAAAAAAAAGATTTACAGGTTGAGTATCCCTAATCTGAAAATCCAAAATGCTCCAAAATCTGAAACTTGCTGAGCACCAACATGACACTACCATGGAAAATTTCACACATAAAAGTACTTTAACTTTGTGTAATGCTCAAATGTATTTAAAATATTTTTAAAAATTACCTTTAGCCTCCATGTTTAAGATATATATGAAACATAAATGAATTTTATGTTGAGATTTGGGTCTCATCTCAAAGATAGCTTATTATATATGTAAATATTCCAAAATCTGAAAAAATCCAAACACTTCTCATCCTAAGCATTTCAGATAAGGGATATTCAACCTATATAAACAAAGTTGCTTGCATTAGCCAACCAGAAAAACAACCAAAAAACACTTTACCTTTTCCAATGCCCATGCCCCCACTCAGCTCTGATCATCAGTAACTCCATTGATCACTGTGTGCTTTCATTCTTCCTGTCTGATGACAGCTGTCCCAATGGGATGGGCAGAGTGTCAAAGGCCAGCCAGCAGGTTTCCTGTCACCTAAGAAAGCAACGGCCACCAGTGATCACTGTGCCCCCATTCAGGGTCTCACAGGTCTGTACAGTCATGCTGTCTGCCTTAGTAGCAGCATTCAGACTCAAGTTACGTTGCGACCCATGGCTTAACAGGGGCCTGGATTGTGATGAAAATCACCATGAATATAAGGAGTCATTTGAGGGTCTTCTGTCTAGTTGTCTGTCTCTGGTGGTGCCCAGGGCTGTATGGGTCCTGGGGCACTCTGCTTACCCACTCACCCACTGTGCATCATTTTCAGAAGAGTAAGCTGCATCCTAATATCCCTCAATAATCCAATATGTTTCTTTTCATCTCTGAATTATTAGACCTTCCTGGAATTCTATTTGCAGCTGATAGGAATCCAAGTTCTAGGTTTCCTGCCAACTCTTCAGTGAAGCATTTTGCTCATTAACCACCAAAACTCATTCGGGCTGGAGTAGTCAAATCCCCTCATCATAGGAACACATGAGTGGAGGGCAACAGTGGGTTTGCCTGCCTTGTTGGAATCAGGATCCTTGATTTAAGGAGACTCTAAGAGAAGCTAGCACCAAGTAACCTAGTAGTAACCTATAGTTGCCTTTCTCAGCAGGCAATGCCTTTCTCAGCATTTCCTCCTTCAAGGAGATGGGAAGAAGCAATAACCCTAAGAAATCATCAGTATCATCATCTTCCTTTTTCTGATGAGGAAACTAAGGCTTCAGACTGTTAGGTATTTTGCCCAAAGGCTCACATAGCTGGTAAAAGCAAGAGGCAGGATGTGCTCTCAGGGCCAGCTGCCCACAGAGCCTTCGGTGGGTTTTGCTTTGCTCCTTCTTACTGTCTTTTGGCTCATTAAAAGTAACACAAGGCCGGGCGCGGTGGCTCACACCTGTAATCCCGGCACTTTGGGAGGTTGAGGTGGGCAGATCACCTGAGGTCAGGAGTTCGAGACCAGCCTGGCCAACATGGCAAAACCTCGTCTCTACTAAAAATACAAAAATTAGCTGGGTGTGGGGGTGCACACCTGTAGTTCCAGCTACTGAGGAAGCTGAGGCAGGAGAATTGCGTGAATCCAGGAGGCGGAGGTAGCAGGGAACCGAGATCGCACCACTGTACTCCAGCCTGGGCGACAGAACAAGACTTCGTCTCAAAAATATATCTATACAAGCACAAGGTTAAAAAAAAAAGAAAAGAAAAATGGCAACAGTATGCCCTCTGGATGCAGCTCTGGGCCAGCCCCTCTTCTGGTGCTACACCCACCTCCATGCCAAGGGGCCCGCCTGGCAGCATGAGACCCTCATATCCCTGTGGTGGCATTCCACATGACAGACAAGGGAGGGACAGAAACATTTCCTCGGCTTGCGTCAGTGCTAGGAGCCCTGGGCCCTGAGATTACTGATCAACTCCTCCTCCGCACAGATCTGGAAAGGAAACGTGAGGAAAAGTAGGCTACTCTAGAAGGACACACATTGAAAAGTACATCTCCTTACCACTCCTGGTGCTGGTACTCCATGTTACTGCTCAGTGGCAGTCCTCCAACCCTCTCCTCACCCCCGAGTCCTCCTTAGACCTGCTGGTTTCCTCTATTCCCTCTAGATCCCAGGGTCAACTGGCTCTGCCCCACTCGGAGCACTTAACACACATTCTTGGTAGGGGGTGCCATATTCCTGCTCATCCTATCACATGCTACTTAGACTTCTATTTCTCCAGTTCTTGAATATACGAAATGTTGTACAGAAGATCCTCAAATAATGTCATTTTGCTATAATGTTTAGAATGAAGAAAGTTGATTCCTGGTCGGGCCCACTGTCTGTGTGGAGTCAGCCCATTCTCCCTGTGTCTTCATGGGTTTTCTCCAGGGTCTCTGGTTTTCTCCCACATTCCAAAGCTGGGCACCTGAGGTGAACTGGCGTGTCTACATGGTCCCAGCATGAGTGAGTGGGGGTGCGCATGAATGCACCCCGCGATAGAACCATGTCCTGTCCAGGGCTGCTTCCCGTCTGGCACCCTGAGCTGCTGGGATAGGCTCCAGCCGCCCTCAACACTGAGCTGGAATAAGAGCGTTCGAAAACAAATGAATCGATACAAATTATTGTACAATAAAACTTCATAAAGTCTACGATAATCATACACATGCAAGAAATCAGAAGGGAACAGACCAGCTGGTGGAGGCAGGCCTGATTGCGGTGCCATGTTAGTGATTGATTGATAGTGAATTATGAGGTGGGAGGAGGCACTTCTTACGATTTTCACTTCGCAAATGTGTATTCCTCGATTGAACCCACCACCACAACTGCCGTCACTCACTGATTCACCAAAAATTGAGTAAATAATTTATCTTATTTGTATTTATTCATCTTTCTTAAATGTGTGTATAGCTCACATTTGTTTCAATGTTTAATATTAGAAGTGTTTTGGGTCTTTATTTAGAAGTTTGGTGATGTTTTTTGACAAGAAATGTACCATAGGAACTTAACTCTTGTTAATATCAATTAGCCTGTTGTAAAATTGGTTTCTTTATATTGTCATTTCGCTTAACGTTGCAGTTTCTGAGAGACTATTGACGACACTAAGTGAGGACTTACTGTGCTTGTTTTCAACCAACCAGCACTAAGTCCCTACCAAAGACACAGCACCATATGAGGTGGTGTCAGAAGTGTCTGCAGTCTCCTTGGCGTGATCTTCACCTCACAGCGTCAGAACCTTGCCATTGAGATAAAAGTAGCGCTTATGAAACAGTGTCGTATTAGGTAACTGCCAAGATAGGGTAGACACAGTGCCTTTGGAATCAGAGAAGAGAACAGACCAGCTGGTGGAAGCTGGTCTGAAGATGGGCCTTGAAGAGCAGAGGCTCTAAATAGCCTGGCTGCATAAGTGTTGATGGTGATGATTGAGAATAGCCACCCTTCACGGGCAGGCGTGGTGCCAAGCTCATCACAAGTATGACCTCTCATCCTGGAGCCCTTTGTGGAAGGCACTGCTGTTGGTCCCTGTCTTGAGGTTGAGTAAGCTGGTGGTTAGGGAGGTCAAGACCTGGGCTGAAGGCATATTCCAGCTGAGCCCCAATCCAGCCCATCCATGTGGCTCCCAACTCTTCCCCGTCCCTGTGCTCTCCCAGTGTGCCGCCTCCATTGCTAGGGTGGTTGGCAGGGCTGGGGATCCCCAGCTGTATCCTTGGACCTGTGGCTGATGGCTTCATTGTCGTTCTAGGACTTCTGCCATGGGCAAGTGATGTGGCCACCCCTCAGCGCCCTACAGGTCAAGCTTGCTGAGCCCGGGCAGTCCTGCAAGCAGGTGTGCCAGGAGAGCCAGCTCATCTGCGAGCCTTCTTTCTTCCAGCACCTCAACAAGGACAAGGACATGCTGAAGTAAGTGCCCTGGGGTGGGGGTGGGGACTCAGCCCCTAGACTCCAGCTGGCCTTGTTGGGTAGTCAGGTGAGAGGTACAGGTTTCCTCTTCCAAGCTACTGGGCTGTGGGGATAAGGTGTGGGAGGGGAGTAGGTTGCAGCAGGATCCCCCTAGAGAGTTAGCCCAGTGTTGTTACCGTTCCTTTTGGGTGAGATGAAGTCACCTGGCATGATGATGTGTTTAGAATTTAAATGGGAGTGTTGTATTTGCATAAATAAAGCTGTATCTGGGTTTGAAGATTGTGGGAGGTGTTCGGCTTGCTAATGTTGACCCCAAGAACAGTGGGAGTAGAGGTGGGCACAGAGCCACAGGTATAGATGGACCAGCTCCTCAGACCCCTGCTGGTAGCCAGGCCTCCAGCAGAGTCTGAGCAGTGCAAGGGGCTGGTGGCAAGTGACATTGTTCAACCCTGGAGTCAGAAAGGAATGAGAAACATGGAGAAGGAGCCGGCACAAAACTGCCCACAACAATCTCCAAGAGCAGCCTTCTCCTGCGGCCTGTTCCCTTTTGCACTTTCTTCTAGCTCACTGACACATGGTGCATCTCAGGCCCCAGCAGACCTGAGTCTGCGGGGTCTCTTGGTAATGAGGCGAGTGTGGCACTGGGAATGCTGGCCCAGGGCTGCACAGGGGAGGCGCCTTCCTTGAATTTCTTACCTTGTGCTTGCATTACTTAGTGGCACCTTTCCTTTCCCTTTGCATTGGCATTTTGAGTTGGGCATTTGCAGTTCCCAAATTTCCGTGTGAGGTTTCTTCTGGCCTCTCACCCATGATCTTTGACAGGCTTGAATCCATTCTCTCAATTTTTATCACACCCCACCGTAGTCCACATATTGCATAATTATCTAGCCTCCCCACCCACCCACCACCTTAGTAGCTCTGATTAGGTGTTTTATGCAAGAGACTAGCCTACAAATAATAAGACCCTGCTGTCCCAACTCCAGATATTCGATCTAGCAGGTGTACCATTCCAGGCTTGAAGAGGATGTTTAGGAAGTGGAGTGGACCTGGGGCTCAGGGCTCACCTGTCCCTGTTCAGGCTTCACGCCCTGTTAGTGCTGTTGTCCACTGTTGTTATTTGTGCACCATGGTCTGAGTTGGCCTGTTTCTTGTGAGTCGTCTTATCCTTAAGTGTGGTATAAAACCCTTCGTAGGGAGAGTGTGTGGCCTCTTGTGTCCTGCCTGCTGCAGGGAAGCTCTCATGAGTAGGGGTGTAAGCTATGTTTTTTTTTGTTGTTGTTGTTGTTGTTTTTGAGACAGGGTCTCTCTCTTTTGCCTAGGCTGGAGTGCAGTGGCGCGATCTTGGCTTACTGTAACCTCCACCTCCTGGGTTCAAGCAATTCTCACGCCTCAGCCTGGGACAAATAGCTGGGACTATAACTGCACGCCACCATGCCCAGCTAACTTTTGTATTTTTAGTAGAGACAGGGTTTTACCATGTTGGCCAGGCTGGTCTCAAACTCCTGGCCTCAGGTGATCTGCCCGCCTAGGCCTCCCAAAGTGCTGGTATTACAGGCGTGAGCCATCGTGCCCGGCCCTGGTGATGCTATTTTTTTCCTGGTCTTTTTATGAGAAGACCCAGGCACAGAAGCTGCCCTGATTCCACCATGAAAACAAAAGCATAGGTCAAAAGTGGGGGCTTGGGGCGGCACCCTGCTCTGCCACCAGGCAAGCTTTAGGAGGGGGCAGTGGTCCAGGATGTCTGGAAAGCCTGTGATGGTACTGGAAGTTTCCAGTTCCACAGCGCAAATCTTGAATTGTAGGGTCCTGTGAGGGGCTTTCCATGCGCTCCTTTTGCATATAGCTCTTGGAGTAAGGTGGATTCTTGAGAACCCTGAGTCTGTCTGCATCTGAAGTTGGAATTCACTAGTTACAGACTAGGGACTGTCTGCATAAGCCCACTTCTGGAAGAAGAGATACGAGAAGCCGCATCCTGGGAATGGGTCCAAATGGGACTCCTGAACAGCACGGCTTCCTTCCTGGCCAGGCAGGAGTCAGTGCTCTTGGCCCAGGGACTGTGCTCAGGGTCTGGCTCAGAGCTAGCATGGGGCCCTACAAAGGCAGGCCACCTCCAGGCCAGGGTCCAGGTCAGGGAAGGCAGGAAGGAGAAAGAGCAAATGGCCACTCCCCTCAGTTCTGCCAGTTTTCTCATCTGTAAAATGGGGATATCCTAGGTGATAGGTAAGATAATGAACAGCCCTTGCCAAAGACAGAGTAGAACACCCCTTTCTTCCAGAGAGCTTTGGGCAGTGGAGTAGGCCCGAGGCCACTGAGCCAAGACGGATAAGCCAGCCCCAGCCCTGGCCCCTCCCCACCTCCGTATCCATGCAGAGTTCACGAGAGCAAAAGGACTTGGCGTGGGGCTGTCCTGAGGCCAGGCCCTGTGCCATGGGATCGCTGGACCCCACCCCCACCTCCTACCCCACTGTAGAGATGCGGGCTTTCTTAGCAGGAGGCTAGAATGAATGCTAATTTTGCAATAAAGCCGTCTGATATTAATTCTCTGAACATAAGAACCCTGCTGAATAACTTGTTCATGCATTTGTAAATACTGATAATGTTGTAAAACCCCTGCTATCTGGCAGTCTATTGAGTGCCTCCTCAGTGTGGAGGTGATCCTGGCCCATCCATATTCATAGCCAATTAGCAATTAGCAGTTCCTGCAAGCCAGTGCTGCCTTTGCATCTCCAACTTGGAGCCTGCTTTGAGCTAAGTTTAAGTTCCTTTTTCAGTCTTTGGGTATCCATAGCGTTTAAGAACCACCTGTCCTCACTCTATAGTATGACTTTAGTATATCACATCAGGGGAACCCTTTGGAGTGTCCTGTGTTGTCTTGAATCAGGGCCATTCAGGAAACCAGCCTCGAGTTCTTGTGCATGCAGGGTGCAAGGGCGCAGTTAAGCACTGAAGAGGCCACCGCAGAGCACGCATGATTCAGGTGCGACCCACATCCTCTGGACAAGTCTCCTCCCAGACTGGGGTGGAGACTGGAAGATGCAGGCTCCAGGAAGTGCCAGGGTCCATTCCAGTGGGGCCCAGTGGAGAGGACCTCAGTTCCATACACAGGAACATGTGTTCCTGCCCAGTTTCTAATTTTGCTACCTCTTAAAGTTGTTTCTTCTACAATGTTAAATTATTGGCAACTGGGGTTGCTCTGTGCAAAGAAT
Organism: Homo sapiens; assembly: GCF_000001405.40. Lineage (NCBI taxonomy): Eukaryota > Metazoa > Chordata > Mammalia > Primates > Hominidae > Homo > Homo sapiens. Next base: position 134,445,122 of record NC_000002.12, read on the forward strand.
TCTAAGCAGTACAGTGTAGACTGAGTGCTTTGGTACCTGAGAGAGGGAAGGTGACCCTTAGTAGGCCACCTGCTCAGCCCCGCACCATGTTGCTGGGGAAGACAGTGACCCCAGCCCCATCAGGCAGGGCCAAGGGCAGAAGTCATCCAGGGACTCTGGCAAGACCCTGAACTTTTTGGTAGAAGGTTCTGATTTGGTAATACTCCTGCTGCACTCAGAGCAGCCCAGTGGAGTCTTTGCCAGGTGGGACCTGGCAAGGCAGAGCTGGAATGAACAGAGCCCTCAAGAGAGGGGGCTAAGGGAGGGAAGGCACTCAAGGGAAGGGGCAGGAGGGAGGGGCGGGAGCAGCAGGTGAGACAGCAGCACTCGCCTCCTGTCCAGCGCATCCTGTCCTGTGCATTATAGGTCTGTGTCAGGAAGGGACTGGTGACTTCTCAGCCCAGTGCCTGTGACTTCAGTCACAGCGTGGTCAGCCCCATTGGAGGGAGGCTTTGCCTTTTTTTATTCTTCAAGAGCTATAAACTGTAAACTGAGACCTGATGGGCCCAGAAACTTTAACTACCATCCTGTAAGAAACTAGGAAGAAAGGAAAGGAAGATGGCACACTGCGGTGGGGTCTCTGAGCAGGAGGATGTGCTTGTTTGTGAGACAGACACTGCAGGGACAGAGAGGCAGACATAGCACCATGCACTGCCTGGAAAGGCAGGGACCCCCTAGGGGTTGAGGATCCTGGGCTGCAGAGGCTGTCTGGTCTCCATGTGCTCTAGCGATTGGGGAAAGCTGCTTTGCCTCACTGATGACCTTTGCTCCCAAGGATAATGGAGTCACCTTCCTGACTGCTCAGAGCTATGGGATGGGCACATGCATGCCAGTAAAAGGCAGAGCTCACTGGGGGCTTAGAAGACACTGGGGCCAGGGGGTTGGTTAGAGCCCTGCATTCCACAGCCGAATCCATCAGTTGAACCCTTGAGGAGCTGCCTGGTGTCGGGTCTCACCTGTGGCCTGGTGAAGCGTCTGCTGCTTGAGCACTCTGCGGCGGTCTCTGTGCATCACCCCAGGCAGGCTTCTGCTGCTGCAGCCTTAGCTGAATCCTGCTCACAGACACACGCTCATGTGTGCTTCTACCCCGGGAGATGGTGGCCTAGAGCCTGAGTCCAGGTGACCCAGGGAGCGAGCAGGAGGGTTTTTCATAGCTCCTGACAATTATATTCCTCGCCATGGGGTCTGAGAGTCGCCGTAGAGATTTCTATGCTCTGGTTAGCAGTGTGCCGGCAGATGGTTTAAGTAAAGCCACAGCAGCTGCTGTAATTCACCCAAAAAAAAAGGTCATAAATATAAACCTGTATCCCAAGGTCATGTTCCATATGTAAACTTGTCATTCAGAATTGAGTTCCAGATATTTTTCTCTCTGTTGTCCAGCTGAGGTATTCTGTGAAGGAGCTGGTAGCTGCAAGTCTCTGACTCATTTTTCCTTTTAGGAAATCCATAAAAATTGACTTCCTGCCCTCTCCCTTCATGATTCATGACCTTAACTCCCTGGGCATTACCATCTCCCAGCTGGCATCAAGAGCAGGGGTGGTGGGGTATTTAGGGTAGTTGCAGTGCTCTCCCGGTGACTGTGGGAGCAAGAGAAGAGAGTCCCGCTCTCCTGAGCAGGTCTGGGCTCCTGGTGCAGTTCACACGTGCAGGAGGCGCCGCAGGCTCTGGGGGAGGGAGGCCTGAGCACCAGTGACATGCTGAGTTCCAGAAGCAGTTGGGGCTTCAGCTGCAACTGAGCAGGAGCCAGGCTGACAGCCTGGGAGATCTCAGCAGAAGCCCCAGCAGATGTGCGGGGAATCGCAGGATTAATGTTGGCAAGGGGAGGAAGGCCCCAGGCAGCTGGTTAGCTAGAGAAAGACAGGGCAGGAGTAGGAGAGAAAATGATGCTTTACATACACATACACATATGCATACGCATGCACGCACACAAATGCAAGTACATAAACATGCTCTACACACATGCCCATGTACACACACATATGCATACATACACATACAAGCCCATTTGGAAGCTTCTCAGAGGCAACGAGAAACCTCAGGCTCCCCATCCTCATCCCCTCCGTGTCAGCAGAAAAATGAGACTTCCATGAACCAAGTGAAATAGAAATGGTTGGTGTGTAAATTCATACCACTGGACAAGCAAGTGGGGAGGTGGTATAGCCCATCCGATGTCTGCCAAGGCAGGGTGATGACGACAATGACCACAATCCTGACAACAATGATGGTTGCCATTTATCCACTTACTTAGAGCTTGACTCTGTCACATGCTGTAGAAGCACTAACTTAATTCCTGCAGTAAAGAATCATTTATCCCCATTCTATGGAAGGGAATCTGAGCCACAGAGTGGCTCACTCATTTGTCCAGGGCCACACAGCTCCTAAAAGACAAAGCCAGGACTCAAACCCAGGTCTGCCCGTCCCCCAACACCACTTTCTCTGATATCAGATACAGCATGGGTTCCCACCTCGCATTCATGCAGGACACCAGGTGAGGCCGCTGCCTCCTTCAGGAAGCAAGGTGGATGGGAGCAGTCATCCCAAGTGGGAGGGAAAGATATGAGATAAGAGGCCAAAACTGTTGGGAATGGAAACATCAGAATATCCTTGGCCCCCCTACGCAGTGGTCCCAGCCAAAGGAAGCAAAGCCACCAGGCTCCACCGCCTGAGACCACTCAGCTGTTGGGAGAAGATGGCAGAAGTACAGGGCTGGGGAGAGAGGGCCTGGATTCAGGCCGTCTCTGCACATCCTGAAGCCTCAGTTCACCTTCCTCTAACTGGGGTTACCATTGCCATGGCTTAAGGGTGGCTGCAAAGACCCAGGGAGGCGATGCCCCAGGACAGCACCTTCTGTCTGATAGCTTTCCAGCAAGAGGCTAAGGCCATATAACAGGAATTCTTTAAAGCCTTTAATTAAAAAGTTAAACATACTTAAAGAACGTAAATGATGCTGAGCTTTGCCCCACTCTCACTTCTTGGAAGCAGCCATTGCTAAGGCATTAGCACATAGCCGTCTCGACTTGCAGCCTTCACCTCCCGTGTGCACACTGCGGGCTGGTTCCCCTGTGCTTCCCATTCTGGGACTCACCTTTCCCCAGGATGACTCTCCTGCTCCTCTCTTCTCCCTCATTCTTTTTCAACAGCTGCAGAGAACTCTAAAAGCACAGAAGGGCCATGATTTATTTGGCCATTCCCTGCTTGGTGAGTATTTGGGTTGTTTCCAGTTTTTCTCCATTGCAGACAAAGCTTCACTAGGCAGCCTCAAACACACACCCCTGCACACACTCCCTGGTGCACACATGCCTTCCTGAGTCTAGATGCCTAGAGGTGGAGGATTGCAGACGAAGAGGGTGGGCACCATTTCATTTCTAAAGTAGGACAAGACAACTGAACATCCCCCCATGCCTCAAGATGGGGGCTCACAGGGCCAGTGACGAGGAAAGGCTCTGTCCCTTCATCACCAACACTTGTGCCTTTCTCTTCCTCTTCAGGTACAAGGTGACCTGCCAAAGCTCAGAGCTGGCCAAGGACATCCTGGTGCCCTCCTTTGACCCTAAGAATAAGCACTGTGTGTTTCAAGGTGACCTCCTGCTCTTCAGCTGTGCAGGCGCCCACCCCAGGCACCAGAGGGTCTGCCCCTGCCGGGACTTCATCAAGGGCCAGGTGGCTCTCTGCAAAGACTGCCTATAGCAGCTACCTGCTCAGCCCTGCACCATGCTGCTGGGGAAGACAGTGGCCCCAGCCCCGTCAGGCAGGGCCAGGGACAGAAGTCATGCAGGGACTCTGGCAAGAGCCTGAACTTTTTCGTAGAAGGTTCTGAATTGGCATTGCCCTTGCTGCACTCCGAGCAACCCAGTGGAGTCTTCACCAAAACAAAACAAGAGCGTATGTCAGGCCAGGAGCCTGGCTTGTCCCTGGCACAACATCATTTCTGTTTCTCAAGGAGCAACTGTGGGAAGACTGTCACTGCAGCTGCTCCAGGGCAAAAGAAAGTCTCAAGAGTCCTTTAAAACAAAACAGGAGGAATTGAGCTGATGGGAAAGAACTCTGAATGGGAATATTCCTAAACCCATTAACTTATTTATTCGGGTGGGAGGGAGGGGACCGCGGGAGGGAGAGGAGGGATTGATCACAGGCTTCTTTTATTTCCACTGTTAATCATCCACCTTCACTATACTGTTGTTCTGTCTGCTTTGGGCAGGGTGCAGGAGAGAGACCGTGTGCCGTGGGGCTGGTGGCCTGCTCAGGGACAGCCATGGGGACCTGGCAGCTCAAAACAGATGGCAGCAGAACAAAAGAAACTTTTGCTTTGGAAGCACAGCCAAACTCCCCAGGGCATCGTCATAGATGGCACCTAGAGCATGGGCTGCCTCAGTCAGGGGGACGTGCCTGTGTTGTCCAGAGAGCCCAGCCAGGGACGAAAAAGGAGATGAGGCCCCTTTCCTCCATGTCCCCATGCCCAGACACATACCTTGGCCGTAATTTCTTTTAGAATCCCTTTGGGAAGGAAATACAGGATTGAGGGATTTTGGAGTTTCTGGTAAACTCACCCTCCCTCCAGCCCCGCTATGAGGAGGAAAGTAGAGATGAAAGACTCACGCTGTTCATGGACTTGGAGAGGATTATCTTTGAGCCAAGATTTGGACAGGAGTGAAGTCGGTCCTTAAGAATTTGTGGCGCGACCGGAGCTGGGCTCCTGACAGGTGGGCTTGTGTTGTGTCCCCTCTGATGGCACCAAAGTCCAGGGAAGGGGGCTCTTGATGTCTGCTGGGGGAGTGGGGGCAGCTCAGGATGAATGCAGTGCCCTGTCCTGGCTACTCACCTGAGGGTGTAGCTCGCAAAGGTGGGAATCTGGTGCTGGCTTTTCCTTCAGGCAGGATCACTCTGACTTGTTGAGTAATCAGTCATCAGGTTGGCCTGGTCAGACACACTGGACCCCACCTTCCAAACCCTGGACCCCCCCATGCTCTGCCTTTGTATAAGTTCCCACCCCACTGAATCATTGCTGCCATGCTCTGTACAAGTTTGTAAGTTTCTGAAAAGCCCCTGACATCTCCATGCTGATGCAAGTGAGACCCCTTCTGCCTAATGTGAGCGGTTGGCGTCCTCCACTTGGCCTCTGCTGGGCGCCTCAGTCGCTCAATGATGTGCTCTGTGCCGGGGCTTCCAAGCACCCTTCCTGCTAACAGAGGGCGGCCCAGTGGAGCCTCCGCTGGGCAGAACTGATGGGCAAGGCGTAATGGCTGGTAGCTTTCAGAATGTGAGGGAAAGGAAGAATTCCGCTTCATGGGGACTAGAGTTAGTGTGGGGCCTTTAAGTCTGGGAAGTTACATTCTGCTTCTTTCTCAATTGCTACACAAATGTGCAGCCAGCCTTTTTTCTTAGGCCCACTGAGATCCCTGCTCAGTGCGTCTCAATTGTATCTCCAGTCTAAGAGGAGGGTGGGGGGCACCCGGGGCCTCCTCCACTCCTTAGGTGGCCCCCAAGCACATCTGCCAGGTAGAGTACCATGGGGAGGCCTCTGCCCTGAGCATCATCACAGGGGCGCCTCCAGACCTGGCTGAGAATAGCCTCTGCTTGGGCCTAGGAAGAAGGGCAGAAGTCCAAAGGAAACCTTGGTGAGTGAGTGTGTGTGTGTGTGTGTGTGTGTGTGTGTGTGTGTGTGTGTGTGTGTATGAGCCTGTGCATTTCTTTTAAGCAAGGGCAGTTTCCTGCAGTAGGAGGGCAGATGACTGGCATCCTTGCTGTAAGGAAGAGCTTTTTCCTTGTGAATGGGCCTCTTGGCTGTACCCTAGGGTGTGGGAATTTGCTAGAGTTCCCTGACCTGCAATCCCTGGGCCAGTGCCGCCCTCTCCTGGGCTCTTCCAGGAGCATTGAACACTGAGGATGTCAATGCAAGTATCTGACCAACAGGGGGAGCCTGCAGGCCGAGCAAAGTTTAACCCACTTAGCCACTGCTACTTAAGCAAGGAAGCTGAAAGGTAACCTTAGCCCTGCCTTGTGTTCCAAAAGCTGCAAGGATCATTTGCTGGCTGTCCCTAAGTTCAAGGCCTCCCTACCTTCCCCTTCTTTTCCAAGTCACAACCCGCCCTGCCCGGGCCAGACAGCCCAGAAGAACACTTTTCTGCCATTTAAAAATCCCTCTTTCATCCCCCCCAGTCCAGTATTGAGTGGAAGTGCGCCGGAGTTCCACTGACAGGGCAGCTGCTCTTGGAGCAAACAAGCCCACACTCCAGTTGTTTAGGGCATTATCTGAAGAGTCAGTGACCCCTGAATGTGTACTGGCTCCCAGGCCTCCTCAGACTTGGCCCAGGTCTAGTCAGTGATCCTGGAGAGGAAACTGGGGAGGGGGCTTCCAACTGCCCTGCATGGAAGAGGAGAGGAAGGTGCCCCTGTGTGGGCTGGAAGCCTGCGGAGGTTTTGCCATTGCTGATCTTGATAGAATCCTAAACCGATTTATAGCTGATAACAGTTCCATGGGGAGAGAAATCCTAAGTTATGATTAATGTTTTTCCCCGCTATAATATCTTGCCTGTTTTTTTGGATTATTTTCCCCATTGTGATCCTAAGCTCTTAAAAAACTTGAGGGAAAACATTCATCTAATTTACTAAAAGAGAAAGCTTTCCATTGAAAGGTAGATACTTTGAGGAGTAAAAAGACTTCTTTGAATGCTGGTAAACACCGCATTTATTTTGTGTATGCAGTTTGATTTGCACATGTATAAATGGAGATGCTTTTCATTTTTGTTTGGACTGGGTTTGTGTCACTGCTCATTACAGTTTGCTTTTTTGTGTGTTTGCTGTGCGTTTGGAGATATTAGTCAGTTTCTTTAGTGATATTTGTTTCCTTGATGTGCCTTTTCGTTTTTCTTTGGGGTTTTTGGAATCCGGATGCTGTTGAAGGGCAATAGCAGACTCCTCCAGCTAAGAGACAGGACATGTTCTTGAGCCACTGTAGCTGTTGAAGCTGGACACCAGACGCTCCCTATAACCCCCCCGCCAGGCCATAGCGTGTATGCATGTGCACTTCCACCCACAGAGGAGGGTGTGAAGCCTTGAGAACCTCAAGAAAGGGCTGGATTCTGCCATACCTTTGGGTCTACCTTGGGACTGCTGGTTGCCAACGTGTCAACCAGCCTGTGTTCCCTGCCACCCACGCACTTGCTGAGGTGTGGCTGAGGCAGAATCATGTGAATGGGTGCATCCAAGGAGTTCAGGGCCCTGCTTGGAGAAGAAATACTTTAGCATCATGAAAGGGAAAGAACGTGCACCCCTTTTTTGTTTCTTTAGTGAATGCAAGATTTAATAAAAGTGAATAATGAGCTTCCCCTTTGGGAGTGGAGCCCAGTGCAGCTCACTGACAGGGTTGACATCAGTATGATGTGTTGGACTGAAACTGTATGTCTGTAGGTAGGTGTGTGCCTTTTAGGGCAGACCACGGTGGCCACCCCATTTCTCCAAGGTGGTTTACCTAGCTTGTGTATATTAGACATTGCCACCCTCACCTCTGGCCAAAAATTCTTGATTTAAAAAGAAAAGTCTATTTTGTTAACGACAGGCTCTGTTGTATGTGTTACTATCCCAAGCCTGGATTATTTTATTTATTTAAAAGTATTTTAATTTCCATATTGGCTTTATTCTAATCCCATCCATCCCTGTGGAGCTGCAGAGCATCTTCATGTGAGTAGACGGATGGACATAAATAGATTCATGCTCATTTAGGAAGCTGGGAGTTTCGTGAAGCTGAGGGTGAGTTCCTGTGATTCTTGTTCGCTTCAACAAAAAGTGGGAGACCAAGTTTTTATAGCAAAAGACCAAATTAGCTGTAGAGTCTTGAATGCAGAAAAAAATTACCCTAGCTTTCTTAGCACTTAGGGTTTTGTGAGGATTCAGTGTTTAGCACAGTGCTTGGCACATAGTAAGCCCTAGTAAATGTTAAATATTGTTATTAGTGTTTCGTAAAACTTGAGAAATAGAGCTGAGCTCATTCCCTTCCTGTTGATTCAAAAATAATACCTACATGAAAACATGATTCCAAGTTGATTGAATGTTGTAGGAATTACTGGTTTAGAGTAGCCCAGTTCTCGGCCTACCCTGCTGGTTGGGATCTTACTGTATTCTTGAATGCACTGGTTTGAAAATATGCCAGACTTCAGCCCCCAAGGAAACAAGGCTGCAAGAATTTATGAACTCCAGCTGGAAAAGGTAAAGGTGACCTTTGGCTAGCCACATACTGGACCTTACCCCACTGACGTCTTTCAGAACATTCCAAGGGTTTTCCTCAAGGAACATTTTTGAGCTAGAAATTAAAATGGGTTCTCTGGCAGACTGCACCCCTTGAGTCAAAGTTAACAGTATTCCTTTGAATGCAATAATAGAGGCTTTTCTGCGTTAAGGGAGAAGGAATGACCAATTGAACTTACACATTCCCCAGGCAGGTCCCTTTGCCGGCCCCTACAGGCTGGGGTGGCCCCTCCTGTCCTCAGGGATCAGACTCCCAGACTGGTTAGTTCTGCATGTTTCCATCAAATTAAAGGTTATTCCCTGGCCGCCTCCTGGAGAAAACCAACCCCACCCTGCCAGCTGGGGGCAATGGGGCAGGGATTTTGGCCTCTCAGAACAGCTCCTAGAGGCTGCTCATGACTGAATGTTTTCCCAAATCACCTAAATATCGGTTTGCTTTTTGTTTTGGGGGAGAGGATTTAGCCTCTTACTTCCCTGATGGATTCAAAGTTTTATCTATCTCCTTATCTCCTGCCCTGTCTTGGCACAACTCTGGATAGATTGCAGGTGTGGAATTTGCTGGAGTTTGGTGACTTCGTCAAATTCCTTTGGATTCTGTTCCGCCAAATCAGCAGTCTCGTCCTGTGGATGCAGTGACTGGAATTTCCCATCTGCAAAGCATCTCTGTAGCCCAGATTTTGTGGAGCCTTAAGACACTCCCTCAATGCCACCCTGACCCCACGGCTGGAGAACCCTGTGCTTATGTGGTGGGCAGGGCCACTGTTGATGGAGGATGGCGGGGACGGGGTGGTGCTCAAAGGATCTGTGGTGCTGGAGGTCTACACGCCTCTCAGGACAGCGTGTCAGGAACCTCAGAGCAGCTTCACATCTGCCAAAGCTGAGAGGGAGCGAACTTGGGAAGCATTTTGCTCATTGTCCTACCCAAGTATTAATAGCATAATAGTTGATGCCAAAGGAGATGGTGACGTCCCTTCCACTGTAGTTGCTGTCACAACCTTGACGTCTTTAAGCTAATGGCCGTTTGCATCTGTGTCTTCAAACAGATCCTGGTTACAGCCATTTTGTGTGATTCACTTCGGGGGTTAAGTAATGCAGGATTCTGCAAACAAGGTGTCGCCGTCCAAATGTACTGTCCTGGCATAGAGAGCACTGCTTTGTTTTCCACTGTTGTAGAGAAAACTAGGGAGAACTTTATTTTTCAATAAACTTTTCTTGTGTGACAGGTGGAAGTGATTTTTGGGGGGGCGGGTGCATGCAGGGTCACCTCCAGAACAAAGCTGAGCTGCTGTCTAGGCGCGTCCCCAGCACACAGCTTCCCCCAGCTGTATTTCACGGTTTGCAGCACACTGTTGAAACGGCTGGTAGGAAGACAGGAAGGTATACTTAAGGAGTGGAGAGGGGAAGGTTTTACTACTGTGTATTCCTTCCCTTATATCACATCCACCACTACTCATGTTAGCGCACTCTCCTTGTGCTGCCTTCCCCTAGAAGGAAATTCAATTAGAAAGTGAACTGCTAGATTTTGAGAAAAATCTTTAAGAATGAGCTAATAAAAATAGCTCTATAAGGGGCTGAGCACCAGCGACCATTGGACCTAGAATAGATTTCTCCCTTTCAAGAGCAGCTTTTGAGCCAGGAAGCAGTGAGCCATGAGCAGCTGGTTAGGCAAATGCCCTGGAGACAGGGAAGGTTAGTCCATGCCCCACCCAACAGTTTGTCTGCAGATGACACTGGCCCTCATCTGCATGGCCTCTCTGAAGCTGGCGGGCCTCCTGGCTACGGCCCAAAATGGACACCCCACACAGTTCACAGAGCATGTTAGAACACAAGGGAAAGCCGAGTGCCTACATTTGGGCAACGCTACCAGTGTCACTTCCCCTCCCTGAGCTTCCATGATGTATATTAGACACAACGAGAAAACCAGCAGAAGAGAAACCTACAGGCTCCTACACTTCCCAATCTTTTTTTTCTTTAGTTCATGTTGTTACATATTAACATCCCTTGACGTATTCCTCAGTACTGCTGGGGAAGCAACCTGAAAGCATGGTACTGGACCAAGTTTCCATGACCTCACAGAACAAACTCCCTTCACTGGCGTGGAGGGGAGACAGGGCCCCAAAGCTGCAGCAAGGCCATGGAGCAGCTGTCCCTCGGTGCCAGGTGAGTGTGTGGCCCCTACCTGAGTGGTCAGAGAGGGCGGCCTGCACCACAGTCCTTCAGGGTCTCCACGTTCAGCACCCCTAGGCACAAGCTTCCCCTCCCAGGTCATCCTTCAGCCACAGCGGAAAACCTGCCCATGACGGGTCTCCCCATGTGTTGGTGCCGCACGGTGACGACTGCCAAAGATTGCCTTCCCATGCCATACAAAACAGGTAAAGGTCTTTATTGGTCAGCCACTACTGCCCGGGCAAGCAGTGGTGTGAGAGGTACAGAACGGTGCGGGTTGGGGAACACTCTACAGAATCTAAACCTACCGTGACATCAGCTGAGAACGTCTTGTTCCTTACAGAGGGAGCGATCCATCTCTCACAGACTGTAATGTACCCATTACCACTTAACACAGCATATAGATATATGCATATACGGATAGATTATATTTATTTATTACAAATAAACTGTAGTTTCACATCTCTCAAAAATGGACCCAGTTTTCACATGGATGTTCAGGTTCTGAATGTACAAGAAAAGGTCAATGTGCTTATTTAATTCGTCCATGCAAAGCTTATACGTGTATCACTAAGTACTTTAAAAAATAGAATGGTCTCCTTTTGAGCAAATCTGTTTAGACTTAGGATTAGTAAAACAGTATGAAATAATGAGATACACTGATAGAAATTAGGAAGTGACATACTGATGATTCTGGGTATGTAAAGGGTGAGGGGTACAATCTTCCCTTAAGACCTGCCAGGAAAGGAGAGACTTGGAACCAGGAGTGGCAGGGCCACCCAAGCTGGAGGAGGTGGGTCTGCTCAGTCCTATGCAGCGCAGGCTCAGAGCACCACCGAAGACCTTTCTGCCAAAGATCTCATCCTACCCATGAGAACCATCATACTCCAGAGACTAAAAAACGCCAGTCCCAGCTGGAGACGGGGAAGGAGGTCCATTCCTATGGGCATTGTCCCAACATGTTTGATGGGGGCGGCAGGTGATGGGGGCAAGGTAGATCCACCTGGCTGGGCAGACCTTGTCTTGTAATGACAAACCATGTGAAAGAAAACTTCCAAAAAGAAACCAGATGTTCAGTTAAATATTGGCACCCTTTGCCTATGTGGAAACTCCTCATCTCGATGGTCTCATGCGGATGCTGGCCCCCTTCACTCAAACATCTCGTAGTGACGTGTCTGCCTCACCCTCGGCACCATGTCGATGAGGAGTCTGCAAAGACGAAGACAGACAAGGTCACCTCCATGGCATGGGGCTGAAGAGCTTGGGGAAGCGTATTTTCATTTTTTTTTTCCTGAGATAATTCACATACCATAAAATTCACCCTATGTGGCTCGGTGGTTTTTAGTATATTCATCCATTTGTGTTATCTCAGAAACCCCATGTCCACTGTACCATTCACTCCCCATCCTCCCCACGCCTGACGAGAAGTACCCTCCTTCTGGCCTCTATGGATTTGCCTATTGATATTTTATATAAACAAAATCACATAACGTGGCCTTTTGTGACTTCCTTCATAATATTTGAGGTCCATCTATGTTGGAGCGAGTATTAGCACTTCATTCCTTTTTGGGGGCTGAATAAGTGTCCACTGCACAGATCTACCACATTTATCCATTCATCTGTTAATGGACAATTGTGTTGCTTCTGCGTTTTGCCTATTGTGAATAACTCTGCTGTGAATTTCACAGACAACTTTCAGTGTGGAGGTTTGTTTCCATCCTCCCGCAGTGTATACCAAGGACTGGAAGTGCTGGGGCGAATGGTAACTCTGCGTCCATGGCAGCACCATCGTCCATTCCCACAGCCATGGATGAGGGTTCCACTTTCGCCACGTCCTCACTGACGCTGGCAGTTGTCCCTCTTTTTGATGATAGCCATCCTACCTTTCCTTGAGAATGGAAGCATTTTAACATTTAAAAGCAGAGCACCCTTTAGAAATGGTTCTCTGAAAGGCCAGCTCCAGCCTGGGTGCTGAAGTCCATGTCAGTGATGCCAGCACGGCCTTTCTGCACTGACTAGTCCCCTTTTGCAAGAAGTTCTCTAAGGCTAGGGATGCGGCCTCTGGCCAGCACACTGTTGCATCCCCCATTTGTGGCAGGAGGGGCTCCACTTGTGAGGAAACCACGCAAAGGTGCTTCCCTGGGGCATCATGAAGACTGTCAGAGAGGAAGGAGCATAGATGTCAGGACACGAAGGGTCCTAAAGGCATCAGATGGAAATCAAGGAGTGCCTTTGTGGCTTAAAGGCCTGATACCTCTTGTCCCTGCCTCACTTCTGTGCCAGCCCCAAGGATATCTGACCCCTGCTGGGTGCTTTTCCAGTCACCTGACACTGGTCAGGCTCAGGAGGGGCACAGGTACAAAATATGACCTTCAGAAGCCTGTCATTTCCTGACTGGGGAAGGCGGTGGAAAAGGGACACTCCTAGCTGCCAGGAAAGCAAACAGGAAAGCACAAGAACCTACTTGACCCCATAGGCAAATATGGTGAGGCCGATCAGAACGCCTATGCTGCCGTCCAGGTACCAGACCGCCGAGTCATGCTTGAACACTTCCGCGCTCAGAAGAATGGAGAAGCCCATCACGCCACCCACGAGGGAGTTAAACCCTGCAAAGGAAGTGGAGAGAGGCTAGATGGCAGTGCCAAGCAATCCAAGAAAATCACCCAAATGCCAGTCCTGCCTCCACGTAACTGGAGCATGTGCTGGGAGGAATGATGCCCAAAGCTCTCACGAGTGATAGCCACCACCTGGGCCCATCAAGTCTCTGCTCAAATGTCACCAGATACCTCCCAGAATAGAGCCGTCACCCCCACCATCATTCTGTACCTGCTTTATTTCTCTTCTGGGAACTGACGCCATATGTGGTTTATAGCTGGTCTCGCCCGTGCCCGCTAGAACGCAAACCTCCTAGAGGCAGGGGTGTGGTTTTCTGTTGAGTCCACAGTCCCCAGGACAGTTCCAGGCTCACAGTAGACATTCAAATACTTGGGGACTCATATCTGAGTGTCTGCTGGGCCAGATTCCGAGTTGGGTGTTCAGGACGTGTGGTTACCTATAACCTTTCTCAATCGTGTGACGTCACATTATCATCATCATCCCTGCTTTCCGATGAGAAAACTAAGAATGAGGTTAAATACATTGATGGAGGTTATCCAGATTGAGAAGGGCATTCTATCCCAACCTGCATCCTTTCCCTCCCGAGTCTCCTCTAAGTAACCTGAGGTTTTTTCCTTTCCCTCCAGAAGAGAAATGTAAAGTCTATTATGCTAAGTTTTTTGCAAAGTATTGGCTACATGGTTGGAGAAATGGCCATAAAAACAGAACTGGAGCTACTAGATAGTGACTGCCATCTCCTTTCACACAGCAGCCCACTGGGGCTCCCAGCTTACATGTGATACTTCTACTTTACCAGAGCTGTCAAAGGCCACATGGGAAGGGAAGGGAATGGCTTAAGGTAGCTTCTAGGGTCTCCCCGCGAAGGACACCAGCTCCTCCCCTGCCCCAACACACTGGTGGCCCCAAGAGAAGCTCCAGGTCCACGCTGCCCAAGGAGGCCCTGCTGGTAGGTTTGTGCAGGCCCGTAACCTCCCACGCCAGGCCTGGCTTCCCCTGGGGCAGAGGAAGATTGCCAGGCAGGGATGACCTGAGCAAATCTACTCAGGATCCAAGGCAGGGATGCAATGGCCGCTCACAGGAATGGAAGATGAACCGCGGACCTGCAAGGGCACCCCAGGGACTGGCCTGGACCCTACAACGCACTTGGTGGCACGCCCTTCTCTCCCCTGTGCTCAGGACACCGAGGTTTGGTCGAGGATACCTCATATTCCCCACACCACATCCACCACCCACCTGTAACTGTTCCTGTAACAGGAACAAGGGCTGGTTCTTGCGATGTTCCTCCCTCCCTCCTTCCCAGATTGGATTGGATTGCTCCTACTGGGATTAACCCACCTTCCCATCCCCAGTGAACTCTTCTTCCACCCCACGCCTCCCCCATCTGCTACTGGCCTTCACAAAACCCGCAGAAGAGTCTGCCTGCTGCCTCCACACTCACACCCCCCTTCTGCCCGGGTTCCCTCCTCCCCCAGCCCTTCCCAAAGTCAAAGTCATCCTCATCCTGCTACCTGCAGTGGTGACAGGCCCCCTTTTGGTGGGGGTCAATCCCTAGCCCCACACCCCCCTCCCCAGGCTCCTCCTGTCCCCTTTGCTGGGTCCTCCCCTGCATCCCCACCTGAGTGTCCCAGGCTCTGTCCTCTGAGCTGGCCCTCTGCCAATCCATGAGCCCTGCTCCCCTCAATTCCCAGCTTTTGTCCTGACCTTTGACCTCAGGCACAGGCTCCTCATGGAAGCATCTCAGACTGACCACAGCCATGACAAAGCCCTGAGCGCCACCTCGCCCTCCGCTGCATGCTCCGTAGATGGGGCCACCAGCTGCAGAGGCCAAGATTCTAGGAGCCCATCTTCCCTTACACCACCAACCTGCCCCTCGAGCCCCTTGCCAGATGTTACCCCCCCCCAAATTCATTCTCACTCTCCCCGCTGATCCCTGCTCTGTCCTGGCCACCTGTGGCCCTCCCTGTACCCCGCCACAGCCAGAGGGACCCTCTGTCGGTGAGCAGCAGCCAGACTCTCCCGCAGGAAAGCCCCCGTCACGGGCTCAAATCCCACCAGACCCCTCACATCCAGCCACACAACCCTGCAACAGCCATCCTGCCCTCCCCTCAGGGCCACTGGGCTTGTCACCATCACCCAGGGCCTCCCTCCCAGCCCTGTCCTCAGCCCTCAGCCCCTAAACTTCCTCCCCTCCACCCACCACTCCCTCCTGCCTCCAGCTAACAGGCGAGCTTTGCCATTTTAACCGCCCCCCTCCTCTCACTGGAAACCTAAGCTTAAGGACAGGAACTTTGTCTCTCCTTGCAGTATTCGAAGTCCCAGGACAGGGCCTGGCATTCATCAGGGGTGCAAATGACCGCTGCATTAACAAGTGACCACACGAAGGAGGAAGTAGGCAGGCAGGCATGGGCCCAGCCTGAGCGCCACCCCTGCCTGGCTCCCGCAGACAGTCACCCCAGGAGAAGCAAGCCCAAGCCAGGTGCTGCTCAGAAAAGAGGCAAAAGCGTGAGGTTCCCCAGACAGCCACTAGATGTCTGCTCAGCTCCACCAAGTCACCCGCTCTGCCAGCCAGCACCAAGGCCGGCCCAGCTTGCTATTCCTGACAGCAGGTCCACCAGGTGTTCCCCGACACCCCACAGCTGAGAGGCTGGTGGCAGGGGCACATGTTTGCTGCTTCTTCTAGGAGGAGACTCTGCCTTGCCTGGCTCGGCTCACCTTTTGTGATGACAGAGCCTGACTCATTTCAGCTTCACTTCTTGAGAGTCTGCCTGAGGATGCTGGATCAAGCACACAGGGACTAGGGACCGAGTCAGTGGCCACCTGCCACTTTGCTCCAAATGTCAGGGCCTTCCCAATCCGTCATTCCACATGAAGAGCCCTGAGCCCCCAGCCCAGCAGGCAGGCCCTGCCGTCACTCCCCTCTGCAGTGCCAGCCCCACGAGCTTGGCCCTGTCCCCACAGTTGCAACCACAGATCCGCTCTAACACAGAAATGTTATCAGTTTAGGAGCATACAATGGCACAAAATGATGGCTGAGGCCATCCTGATTACAGCTCCACCAGTCTGGCTTTGCCAACTGGATCAGGATCTGTGTAGTTAAAAACATTCATTGTATGCAGAATATTCTAATTTAAAAGTTTCTTGTGTGCTTGAAAGATCATCATAGATGGGGTATTTGAGAACTGGATATGAGCAGGAGAAAACAGCAGGCTCCTGTTTCAGAGGGGCTTCTAGATTTGCCCCAGCTGTTCCTGTAGGACTGAAGCTGTGCCCCTCGTCCAGAGCGCTCCCCCAGTGCTCTCTCATGCTCTTCCTCTGATTTGTAGTGTGTGTTTGTTGTACAAAATCACATTACCCTAGTACAAAGCAAGCTTCAGCCCAGTCCCAATAGCAACAAACCCATGATGACAACACATCCAAAGCCACAAACCAGATCAGACCAGATTCACTGCACCGCACAGGGTGAAGTGGGGAAGTCTGGAATTTCCCCATCATCTCCATCGGCCACACCCTGCTGTCCCTTTCCCTGAAGATCTGCCTCCCAGCTGTAAGGACACCCCAGCGACAAGTGAGCTGGCAGCATCAGCCTGGCCCACTTCAGCCTGGCTCCGGGTTGGGACCCAGTTGACAGGGGAAGCCGGCCCTCTCCCACAAAGGGGATGCTTGGCTCTGCCACAGCCTGGCTGGCAGCCTCAGGGAACCCCCAACGTTCATGACAGCCATGGCTCCCTGAGCCCATCCTGCCCGCCCACCTTCCAAAGTGAGGAAAGAACAGAGAAGATAATTATAGATCGCTCCCTAGTTCTGCTAATCAATGAATGTAAGAAGCCCAGATCCCAGATAGTACAATTAGCAGGAGGCTGTAATTACTGCTGCATGTTTTGCCGGCAACACACCCACCTAGCAGGGGATCGAAGGGCCACAGAGCACAGGGCCCCCTGGGAACAGGCTCGGGGGCGGGGGGCATTGCCTCTGCTCTCTGTCTCTCTCTCTCATTAAACCCACTCAGCCGATTCATCCCCACGCTGACCATTCTATACCTACCCTACCACTTCCCATACCCTCTCCTTCACCCTATCCGAGCTGCCATCCCCTCCACTCCCCAGGCCTCCCTCTGCTCAGCTCCCAGCTCCCTCGACTCTGCTCCCCACCACCAATGACCAGAGGGCTCTGCAGAAAACAGCACTCATGTCACCCTACCTGTTTCAACATTTGGCAAAATATTCCAAATCCCACCCTAGACCTCAAGCCCTGCCATGCTCTGTCCCCCCACTTCCAAGTAAGGAAGGGACTCCCCCATGCCCCTTCCTCACTCGGACTCCCTCCGCCTGAAGGACGGCTCTTCCCCACTCTTCACCTGATTATGAGACTGTTTTCACCCAAACTCCCCACTTTTCTTTGTAATGACCTCCTCCCTGGTTCACAAGTATGGTGGAAATACTGCTTACGTGTGTGATGGATTCATGTGCGCAAACCAGAGTCAGAAGTTGTTTCATTAGAAAAGCAGCCTTATTGTTGTTCTCCTCTGTACACCACATAACATGATGAAAGCCAGAACAGTGAAGCCTAGACCGAGATCGTGTATCTGGAATATCTATGTTAGGAAACAGCACCAACCAAGTCACAGGGCCAGTGTTCCAAGGAGGGGGGTCAAGTCCCATGGTCATGGGCAGGGTGGGGCCAGGGACTCTTGCTGGGGCTCTGACTGCTGGATCCACAGCCAGGTGTCCAGCGAATGAGGTTTCCTGTACCCCAACTGCGGTCAGTGAGGTGGATAAAGATCCCACAGATCTGCGAGCCAGAGGGACTTGACAGCCTGCCTGGGAACCAGCCGAGGAGCTGCCTGCTATGGACTCACCACTGGGAGCCCACAAAGCTGTTCAGACCCACACTGCCTACCCCAAGGGCTCCTGCCCTTCCCTCCTGTTCCAGGTGAGGAGACATTGCAGGGCAGGTGGGCAGCACACACAGCTGAGGGAAGCCGAGGCCAGCCAGGCCTCCACTCTGCATCCCTACAGGGCTGGGCCAGAGTGTGGCCCTCAGAACCACGTAAAGGGACCTCTAAGGCAGCTGGAGGTCCCAACCCAAACCCCTGGCCAGGGCCCACTCATCCCTCGGCTCTCAGCACAGAACCCACCTGGTGTCCTGGCTACACTCATCCCTAAGGAAAGAAGGGCTCCATGGCCAAGGAAGGCATTTGATTTTGCAGACCACAAAGCAGCAGACTACAAAAATCCCAGTGGGTGAACTCCCTACCCCAAATCCCAGGTCTGCCCCAGACAAGGAAGGCCATGCAGATGAACCTGGGTCTTGCAGGACAATGTATTAGGGTCAACTTGACGCAAGCTGGCTATAATTCTACGATGTCTCAGTGGGTGACGGAGACCCCAGAAGCCCAGGCTGTGGCCTCAGTATGCTGTGTCATTCTCAGGAGGCTGAACTGCAAGTTCTTTAGATCCGGCTGTGCTAGAAAGACCTGTGTATTTATAGCAGAGGGGTTGCTTGGCTGAGTTGCAACCACGTTTTGGGGATCAGGGCAGGATGCCTCACAGCAATAAGGCAGAAACTGGAAAGGGAGGCTCAGCTTTGGAGCTGGTTTCCCCAGCCAGTGCGGCACCTAACAGAGTGTAAAACCCCGCTGATCCGGTGTTACTGCAACTTCACGCTCCAACAGCATCAAACCCAGGACCTGACGGCAGCAGGATCCCGACTTCTCCCAGCCTGGCAGGAGGCAGCAACCCAGGGCTTCATCTGGAGCTTGAGGAAGGGGGTCCTGCCTGCCTGTTGCACATGAGGGGCCTTAGCACTGCTGAAAGCTGCACAGGAAAGAGGCAGTCTTAACCCAGGCAGTCAAGGTAGTCAATCCTCTCGCCATTTTAAACTGCTTTTACCATCTAAGTAGGTTTGGTTTCATATGAACTAAAGGCTTCCTCAACCCCAGGAGCAAGGTGGCATCTCACAAGGGCAGAAACCAACAGCAGGCCCTGCTGGTCGGGGCGACTTTAGGAAGGACTCTGAGCTGCTGGTCACATGGCATGCAGGAGTGCTGGACACAGCAGGGGCCACCTTCCCTGGGGAGATGCTGTACTTGGCCCCTGGGGCAGGCACAGGGGCAGCACCAAACTTCAGTGTGCACCACATAGTCTTGGGGGGCTGGCATAAAACATCAGTTCCCGGGCCCCAATTCAATCCCCTGGAGTCAGAATCTTCGGGGTGGGCCCAGGAATCTGTTTTCAGCAAACACCCCAAGCAATTTCAGTGCTGCCAGCCTGGTAGTGGTCAACTGATGAGTATCTGGGGTCTGGGATTTTGCAGTCAGGATGTCAGGTCCTGTAACCCCCAACATCTTCAGGCCTGTTCAAAGGAACCCCACGCACATCCATGCACACGGGTGATGCTCTTCCGAGGGTAGCCATGGGTGAAAAGCTGGGGGCGTCCTCTTGCCTTCCCAAGAGACCGTGTTGCAGACTCAGGAGGAGGAGTGGGAGCAGGCGGTGGGCACAGGGACTCCTGGCTCCCCAACAAGGACAACCAGCCCACACCCCCACCCTCACCCCCTAGAACTGCCGACACATCTGCCAACAGTCCCGCCACCTGTCGACAGTCCCACCACCTCTGCAGATGGATTCTTGGGCCAGAGCTCTGTCCCAGGGTGGAAACGTCACTTTGGCTTCCCATGTCCCTGCCCACTGTGCAAAGCTCAGCTCTGCACCCAGCAGGTCAACATCGGCTAAGACAAGGAGCCCATGCCATGTCACCATGCTCCGTCCTGCGGGTGAGAAGGGCCCCACAACTGTCACTGTCACCATGCATGTCTGCACTCCACACTTCACACACAAAAGAGCCTTGAGAGTTTTGGACAAGGAAGTATTTCTTAAAAAAATAATCTACCCGGGCACGGTGGCTCACACCTGTAATCCCAGCACTTTGGGAGGCCGAGGTGGGAGGACTGCCTGAGCTCAGGAGTTTGAGACCAGCCTGGGCAACAACATGGTGAGTCCGCATCTTTAAAAAAAAAAAAAACAAAAACAAAACAAAAATATATATATATACACACACACATACACACACACGTGTGTATAACATAAAACATGTTTGTGTGTACATATATACATATACAGACACATATATATAAACTTTTTAAAAAAGAATCCACATATTTCTGCTCTATTTTGTGCAGATGCACCCACCAACCCACCAACCCACAAGACTTTTGCCCTTTGACGTGACCCCTGGGCTCCGCACATGCCCAGGAATAAATCAAAGCAACATGTCCAGGAGGCACTGCTTGTCAAGTTTCTTGTCTACACATCAGTGATATCAGCGAGTCTGGGGCCTGAAACGTACTTTTCCTGCACTCACACACCCCTCTCTGTCATCCCAAAGGTCATAAAGAAAGTTCCTCCTGTCCCACAGGGACACACACAGACTTTTCTAGCTGGTTGAGATTCTAAGCAGAAAACACACAGGTCATTTCCCCAGAGCAGACACCTGGTAACTGCAACCTGAACTCCCAGGTGAGTGTCCCACTAGCTGGAAGGAAAAACAAGCATGGAGAATTCACAAAGGAAACATTTATAGAATCCAGAAAAGGCATTTACTTTTTATGGGGAGCAATGCACATAAAACCCAAGACTCCAGGAAGCCCTTTGTGCTTCATGATTAAGAGGCTGGGGAGCCCCAAGCCTCCCTGCTAGGAGGTCAGAGTGGAGGTGATTTATGAAGAGTTTATTGAATTCCCAGGGCACAGGATATCTGCCCTGATATGGGAGCTCTGAGAATCATTAAACAACTTGAGGCGGGTAGGAGAGTGAGAAATGGATTCCAAATTATTGAGTTCTCCAGCAAGGGAAACAACTAAAAGAGACCCAAACAGCATCTTCCTCCACTGTGAGCCCAGCCCCCAGAGATTAGGCACCCTGGCCTTACTCACCATCTGTTATGAGTGCTCTACTGGTCAGAACCTTCCCCAGCATGAACTTCAACACGGCCAGGATGCTGCAAAGAATCCCACTTAAAATGGAGACACTGAACAGGAAATCGTCCTGCAAGAGAAAGTTCCAGATTTCAACAGTTCACCTCCTGCTGGAGCAGATCATCTGCAACCCACTTGCCTTACAGATCAGCCTTGTTCCAAGTACAAATAGTCAGGTGTGCTGCCACCAGGTGGGGGTATACTGCATGCTTTCACACCTCAGTTATGTGTCACCAGGAATTGGAAAAGATGCTCAAAAACAGATAATCCCAATTTATATTTACTTAAAAAACCATTACGTATTTATTTTCCTGTAGGAGATTGACCTCCCCACTATTCTGCTAAAATGAGTAGCAGTCATAGATCAATAACAGAGTTGGTCAGAATGCTAAGAACAGCATCTTCTATATAGAATTTTCCACAGATAACTCACCAAGCAGTTGACTGAGAATTTTGGAACACGTAAACACACCACCAGCCTAACAATCCTTCAACAGAGCCAACTGAATTTGCCACAGGGTCAGTTAGGGCCAGAGCTACTTAAAACCATATTTTTTCCCCTTAAATTCACACAGGGCAATTGAGAGTTCATAGACATGGGTAGAGAAAATAGCATCTAAAAATATCGTCTGCTACTGACGTTATCTTAACACTTCCTCTAAGTTGTTACCTTACCTTCGCAAGCAAACAAGTGAGTCCCATATGCAATAAGTAAGCACCACTATTCTCCTGACATTGGGGCCCATCCAGCTCTTCTGCTTCAAGCTCCCATGTGTCACCCCCAAGAGACACAGCCTTCAGATTTCCCAATATTAAAATGCAACGGCCAGCAGAACTCTGATGCAGCATCATAAATAGGCAAAGAAATCGGCTTCTCCCTATGCATTTTATTAATCAAATTCACAAACCTCATGTCAGAACCTGGGAAGAGGGAGACAGCCTGCATCATGTTCAAAACTGAACAAAGCCATTTGAAAAGCAACTTCACTGGAAACAGGGTATCTGTATAGGGTCAAAGCATCTCTCCGAAAACATGGGTCAATGACGGTGGTGGTTTTGGCAACCTATGTTCACAAATTCTTTGCTACTCCATCCTCCAAGAGTTGGAGATTAATCTCCCCACCCCATCCCCTGCCCTTGAGTTTGGGCTGGACTTAACAGACTCAAATCTAACACAGAGTAGAGAAAGGGAAAAACAGTAGCTTACCAATGGAGAAACCAAGCAGACACCACCTTAGCCAAGTGATCAAGGTTCACATCACCATTATTAAGTTGTGTTGGTAACATGTGGCCCCTGATACGATGTGACAAGAAGGGCACTTTACCTCCACGGTGTTCCATCCCCAAATCCATAACCTCATTTTAACTGCGAAACAACATCAAACAAACCCAAACGGAGGGACCGTCTACAAAATACCCGACTCCTCACGTGTCAAGGTCATGAAACATGAGGAACGACCGAGAGACTGTCACACACTGGAGACTTAAGGAGATGTGACAAGTAAATGCAGCATGGCATCCAGACTGGATCCTGGAACACAAAAAGGTCATCAGTGGGAAAACCGGGGACATGAGAAGAAAGTCTAGGGTTTCGTGAATAGTGCTGTCATCTCATGGTAGAGATTAATTTGCCGTGGCTGTGTGCGATGTTAACAGTAGGTCAGGCTGGATGGAGGGGATATGGGCACTCTCTGTACTATCTGTAAAACTCTTCTATTAATCTAAAATTATTTCACATTTAAAAGCTTATTTAAAGTAATCACCTCACGGAAGTTTTACCTCCTCAAATGACCAGTAAGGACCGTCCCAAACCAGGCCTCTTGACAACTCTTCAGTCCCTCCTATGCAGAGGTTACACAGCAGGGGACACAGTGGGAGGGGGTCAGGAGCCCCACATGGAAGCTCTCTTTGTGCAGGACTCAGCCTAAGTCCAGGAGACAGCACCCACAGAAAATAAGGTGAACATGATGCTACAATCTGAGTATGTGTCCCTCCAAAATTCACACATGGAAACCTAATTGCCAGGGTGACGGTATGAGGAGGTGGGGCCTCTGGGAGGTGATTAGGCTGCAAGGACAGAGCCCTCACTAATGGAATGAGTGCCCTTATAAAAGAGGTCCCATAGTGCCAGCTTGCCCCCTCCGCATGTGAGGACACAGGAAGAAGCCACCATCTCATGAACCAGGAAAAGGGGCCCCACCAGGCACTGAATCTGCTGGCACCTTGTCTTGGACTCCCAGCCTCCAGAACTGTGAGATGGAAGTGTCTGTGGTTTATAAGCCACCCAGTCTGTGGTGTTTTGTTATAACAGCTAGAACTGACTAAGACACATGACCAAAGAATTGCATGTCAACAGCCCCAGGTGCTAACAGGACTCAGGAAGCATAGGCTGGGAGACTGAGGCAGTCAGGAAATTCAAGAACTTTGAGGTCTCAGATTTGGAGACTGAATACTCACTTTGCTTATCCCATGATGCCTGAATCCCCTTTGGCTCCATTCAGTCGCTGTTTGCAAAGCCCTCCTCCCTAAGTTTCCAGCGGTAGAGAAAATCTGTGCTTACCCCATCTAGGCCCCTAGGGCACAGGGCCTGGGGTGTGCTGCCCCACCCTGAGATGCAGCTCAAGAAACGCCACCCATGGCTTTGGTGGCCCTTCCTCCAGCTCCTAAAGGGAGCTGCAGACCCAGGGCTCGGCCGACCCAGTGGCAGTCGTGTGCCAGGCAGGCCTTTGCTCAACTCTAAACTCCATGGCTTACTGGGAAACAAACACTTGGATCTCTGTAAGCGGCAGTGGGATGCCTACAGCCCCTGGCAGCAGCTGGCAGTAAAAGGTACGAGTTGTTGTGAAGGGGCCCAAACACATGATCCACACACAAACGTCCTCCACCTGCCAGCCGCATCGGGTGCTCACGGTGAGCCCCAGACAAGCCTGGTCAGCATTCTCGTAAGAGAGACACAGGAAGCTTGTCACCGAGAAATAAGTATGCATGGTGAAACATAAAGAAACTTCAACTTCCAAGAGACCAGGACTGAGCTCCACCGCGGCCTATCCAGGGGCTGTGCGGGAAGTTTCCTGTACCTGGGAGGCTTCATCTCGGGGGAGCTCTCGATGGACCGGAGGGCCCCGAGGTCCAGCTCCTGGAGGACTCGGGTGGGCTTCCTGGAGCGAAAAAGTAGAAGCACTGGGTGGCAGCTTCAAAAGCACTGAAGCGGGAGTCCCACTTACTAGCTAGGTGACTCTGGGCAGGTCACTTAACCCCTCCCTCCCTCCACTGTCCTACCTATAAAGTGGAAAAAAATAACAGACTCCCTCACGGTGGCTGCATATACTGCGTGCACAGAGCTCAACTGGAACTACGTTGCCCAGAATTTCCTTCCTACGTGGTTCCCAGTTGAAGCTGACTCCCAGAGACATCTGCATGAGTGAAAGGTGGAGGTGAAGCGGCTCCGGTGCTGCCGCAGCTCAGCCAGGCACATTCTGCATTCTGTGGCTCCACGGGCTCGCCCAGGGGAGAGAGGGGCCGCACCGAGCCCATGGATTCTCCGCTCCTGCTGCATCTCCCCGCTCCAGCTTCGCTGAGTCATAAGCCAGGCGTGCATATAGCTCTGTGGCAAAGGCGCCAGCTTCTTCTGCAGGATGCCCAATGTCATGGAGGCTGAGACAGTGAGGGTCACGTACAGGTCCAGGCCATCTTCATGGGCGCCAGTTTGTCCTTGCGCCTTTCTCTTTGCCCAGCCTTCTTTCCTGACTGCACGGCTGCTGACTTCAGACCAACACCACACTCAGAGGCAACCGCTTTACCAGGACGTCGGCACCAGCAACCACCATGTGGAAAGTCGCACCCCTGCCACAAACCCCTATTCTGCATCACTTAGAGGGGTTTGCTTCCCTGCCTGAACCCTACCATAAAACTTCATACGAGGCTGGGCGCGGTGGCTCACGCCTGTAATCCTAGCACTTTGGGAGGCTGAGGCAGGCGGATCACGAGGTCAGGAGATCAAGACCATCCTGACTAACACAGTGAAACCTCGTCTCTACTAAAAATACAAAAAATTAGCTGGGCGCGGTGGCGGGCGCCTGTAGTCCTAGCTACTCGGGAGGCTGAGGCAGGAGAATTGTGTGAACCCGGGAGGTGGAGCTTGCAGTGAGCTGAGATAGCGCCACTGCACTCCAGCCTGGGTGACAGAGTGAGACTCCGTCTCAAAAAAAAAAAAAAAAACTTCATACGGATGTGTCATGGGGTCAAACAGGGCCCGGCACAGAGTGAATGCTATATTAGTATTGGGAAGCTAAGTTTTTTAATGTAGAGAAGCCAAGATGCAAAATGCAGGCTTTTTCTGAGCATGGGTTATTTCTACCAGCCACCCTTTGCTCCTAGGACTGGCTCTGAGAGAGCAATTACCTTTCCCTGTAGAGGAACAGAGTCTGGGGCCATCTCTGAGTGTCACGCAAAGCTGCAGGCTGCAGCTCACCACTGCTGAGTGGATCTGCCTCAGAAACAGATGAACCCTGCGGAGGAACCCAAGGAGGATCCAGGCTGGCACAGACCTGCCAAAGCTCCTCTCCCAAAACCAGCTTTCAATGTCCTGAAAGCTCTGTGATTACCCTACCCAGGCCCAGATGGCTCTCCTGCGGTGCACGTGCTCCTCTCTCCACACGGCTGCCATGTTGACTGTTGGCATGAACAGAATGTCACAGAGATGCAGTCAGCAGCCTGCTCAAGACATCAGTACCTGGCTGGGCATGGTGGCTCATGCCTGGAATCCCAGTGCTTTGAGAGGCCGAGGCGGGAAGAACACTTGAAGCCAAGAGTTCAACACCAGCCTGGGCAACATAGCGAGACCTGGTCTCTACAAAAAATGTAAATATTAGCCAGGCATAGTGGCACATGCTTGTAGCCCCAGCTACTCAGGAGGCTGAAGCAAGTGGATCACTTGAGGCCAGGAGGTTGAGACTGCAGTGAGCTATAATAGTGCCACTGCACTCCAGCCTGGGCAATAGAGTGAGACTCTACCTAATAAAACTATGTTTAAAAAGACATCAGTCCCTGTTATGGACTAGATGTCTGTGTTCCTACAAAATTCATATGTTGAAGCCCTAACCCCAATGTGATAGTATTTGGAGAGGGGGCCTTTGAAAGATAATTAGGGTTAGATTAGGTCATAGGGGGACCTCATAATGAGACTAGTACCCTTATAAGAAAACAGAAGATCTTTTTCCCCACCACCGACGTGCACCAAGGAAAGGCCACATGAGGACACATGAGGACACAGTGAGAAGGCAGCCATCTGTAACCCAAGGAAGGATCCCTCACCAGATGCTGACTCTGCTGGCACATTCATTGTGGACTTCAGTCTCCAGAACTGTGAAGATGAAATTCCTGTTTTTTAAGCCACCTAGTCTACGACATTTGTCTTTGGCACCCCAAGCTAAGACAGTCTCTAAGTTTAATAAAAGGAAGTTTCTGAGAAGATTCCTTTCAGAGAGTCAGGAAGCCACAGCAGACATGGAGACATGGCTGATGATGAGAAACCATAACACGTGTAGGCTGTTCCACCACTGACTCCTCTCAAGGTGCGGCCGCACCTACCATGCCACTGAATTCTCAGCACTGTCAGAGTGGGCGTCTGACAGATGCATAAACAGTTGGAGAGAGGCTAAATGACTTTCCCAGGGTCACTCTGCAGTGGCAGGACCTGGAATTGTTCCCAGCTGTAAACTCTACCAGGTTGCCTCATCTAAGGCCTTATCATCATCTCTCATGTCCCTCAACAGTGGACTCCGTGAAAACAGCAACAGCGATTTCCTTGCTGGGCATTCAGTTCCTGCTGTTACCAGCACTGTGTCTCTATAATTTCTCACAGTTGAATCTTCACTGATTGATGGAAGATTATGACAAAAAGGTTTAAGGAAATTAGCCACTCATTCAAAGCCAAGTATAAATGTACATTAAAGGTAAACTCCACATAAATTTTGTCCATGCTGGCAAGCTCCTTCAACATCTTGTAGTAGCAAAGCCATAAAAGATTGATATACTTGACTAGAGAGAAGTTAAGACATATTCAGGGGAAAGATCAAATACAAACTAGGAAAAGGGTTATCACAAAGGGTTAATCTCCTTACTATAGAAAGGGCTCATGGAAATCTAGAGGAAAAAGACCAACAAAGAGAAAATGGACAAAGATATATGTGAGAGACAGTTAAAAATAACATAAATTTTAAACATATGAAAAAGGCTCAAATGCTCATAAAAGAAATGAAAGCCAAAACTATAGTAAGATCCTTTTTATCTAACCAAAAATATTACAAGGCTATGAGAAAACAGTCTCTCATACAATTCTGGTGGCAGTGCAAAATGGTCCAACCTGTACAGAGAACAATTTGACAATTTCTCTGAAAAGTACACATCTACCCTTTGAGCAAGCCACCCACTTATGTGAATTTATCTTACTGCTATACCTGTACATGTATGCAAATGACGGCACATATGGGCCATTCATTACAGCAATGAAAACACTTTTACATAACTGATAGAACAAACTAACAGAAAGTCAGTAAACAGAAGACTTCAACAACATGATCAACCAGCTTTGCCTGACATTTACGGAACATCTACCCTACAAAGGCAGGACACACATTCTTTTTAAATGTAATATTAATGTAGATCACATTCTATGCCATTAAAAAGATGTCAACCAATTAAAAAACTGAATTATACAAGGCATATTCTCTGACAATGGGATTAAACTAGAAATCAGTAACAGGATGATATCTAGAATATTCTAGTATTTGGAAACTAAACAATAAAACAACCCACTTCTTAAAAACTCATGAATCAAAGAATAAGTCACCAGGGAAATTACAATATATTTTGAAGTGAAATAAAGTAGAACAACAGTATACTGAAATTAGTGGTATGCAGCAAAAGCAGAGCTAAGAGGAAAATTTATAGTAAATAATGTACTTAAAAATGTTTAAAAGGCCTAATATCAATGATCTGAGCTTTGCCTTTAAGAAAAAATTAAAAGAAAATCAAATTAATCCCAAAGTAAGGAGAAGGAAAGAAATAATAAACTTATGAGCAGAAATCAATGAGACAGACCAGGTGCGGTGGCTCACAACTGTAATCCCAGGACTTTGGGAGTCCGAGGCAGGTGGATCACTTGAGGTCAGGAGTTCGAGACCAGCCTGACCAACATGGGGAAACCCTGTCTCTACTAAAAATACAAAATTAGCTGGGTGTGGTGCCTCACACCTGTAATCCCAGCTACATGAGAGGCTGAGGCAGGAGAATCACTTGAACCAGGGAGGCAGAGGTTGCAGTGACCCAAGATCACACCATTGCACTCTAGCCTGTGCAACAAGAGTGAAACTCTGTCTCAAAAAAAAAAAAAAGAAAAAGAAACCAATGAGACAGAAAATGAATAAACAGTAGAGAAGAATCAATAAAACCAAAGACCTTGATAAAGATCAGTAATGTAGGATAAACCTCCAGGACTCATCTAGAAGAAAGAGGACACATGTTACCAATATCAGGAATGAGAGAAGGTACATCACTACAGATCCAACAGGATCTATTAAGAAGATAACAAGGAGATATAACCAACTTGATGCCAATAAATTTGACAACTTAGAAGAAATAGACAAATCAAACGTCATCCAAGAAGTAGATAACCTGAAGAACCCTGTATCAACCGAAGACCTTGAAACTGTAGTGAAAATCCTTCTCACAAAACTTCAGGCCCCAATGCTTTTACTGGCAAATCTGCCAAACATTTAATCATTTAAAGGAGAAATAACCAATTCTAAAACATCTCTTTCAGAAAAAAAAAGATAAAGAAGAAACACTTCCCAATTTATTTCTGAGGCCAGCATTACCATGACACTAAAAGCAGAAGCATCACAAGAAAACTACAGACCAATAGCTCTCATGAATCAGACTTAAAAGTCCTCAACAAAGTATCAGCAACACAAATTCAGCAATATATAAAAAGGATAATACAACATGACCAAACGGGGTTTATCCTGGGGAACCAATATTGATTAAACATTCAAATATCAATCAAAGCAATTTCCCATATTGACAGAACAAAAAGAAAGCCCATATAATCATCTCAATAGATGCAGAAAAAGCATTTGATGTGTCAAATGTGTCACTACCCACTCATGGAGAAGGGAAGGAGAAACAGAGGAAGCCAAAGACTTCTCAGCACTCTAGGAATGGAAAGGAATTTCCTCAACCTGATAAATGGTATCTAGGAAAAACCTACAACTAATATCAACCAACGGTGAAAAAATGAATGTTACTCCTAAGATCAGGAAAAAGGCAAGGACATCTACTTTCATTACTTCCATTTGACTCTGATTAGGAGGGAATAGCCAGTATACAGATAGAAAAGAAAGAAGTAAAGCCATTTTTATTTACAGACTACATAATTTTCTATTTTGAAAACCCTCACTAATTTACCATTCCTCCCACACACAAAACATACTTATTAGAACTATAAGTGAGTTTAATAAGACCACATACCAAGTTAGCAAGTAAAACTCAACTGTATTTCTGTACACTAGCTAGAAATATGGAGTTTTTGGAAATACTATTTAAAGTAGCACAAAAATACTAAATACTCAGTGATAAATTTTACATGTAAGACCTGTGCACTGAAAACTACAAAATATTACGGAGATAAATTAAAAGATTTTAGTACATGGAAAGATATACTGTGTTCAATTATTATTAAAACGTTAGTTCTCCCCAAACCGATCTGGATGCAAAAGCCACCCTAAGCCAAATCCCAGCAGGCTTTTTTAAAGAAATAAAAATGGACAAGTTGATTTTAAAAGTTATGTGTAAATGAAAGGGCTTACAATAAGTAAAGTGATTTTGAAAAAGAACAAGTTTCAAAGGTTTACACAAGGCCTTTCCTTATTTGATTTATGAAATAAGTCATTTCCAAACTGATTTATTATGAAGCTATTGTAATCAAGAAGTAATACTGTCATAAAGCCAGACAGACATACAGATCAACAGAACAAAATAGCCTAGAAATCATCCCACTCTCAGATATAGTCATTTAGTTTTAGACAAAAGCACAAAAGCAATCCAGTGGAAAATGTAAAGTCTTTACAACTAACAGCACTAGAACAATTGGATATGTGTACAGAAAGAAATAAATCCTGATCCTTATTTCACACTATATATAAATTTTAATTTTAGATGGACTGCAGATCTCAAAGTGAAGCTAAAACTGTAAAACTAAATTATGTATGACCTTGGGTTAGGCAAAATATTTCCTATGACAAAAAACAAGCACTAATCATTAAGAAAACTGTGATTAATTAGACTTTATCAAAATTAAAACTTTTGCTCCTTGAAAGACTATTAAGAAAATGAAGGCAAGCCATGATACAGAAAAAAAAATTGTAAAACATATCTGATACAGAACTGGTATCCAGAATATTTAATAATTTCTACATCTCAGTAAGAAAACAGATGACTCAATTAAAACAGAAGGCAAAAATTTAAACACTTTACCAAATAAGATGTAAGAACAGCAAATAAGCACAAATAAAGATAATCAACATTATTGGTCAACAGGGAAAAGTACATGGAAACCACTGTAAGTGACCACTACATACTCATTAGAATCACCAAAATTAAAAAAAAGAAAACACATAATACCAAGTATGTGAGGATGTACAGCAACTGGAACTCTCATATGTTGCTGGTGAGAATGTAAAATGGTACAGTCATTTCGTAAAAGAGATTGGCCATTCCTTATGAAATTAAATATAGACTTACCATAGGATTCAGCAATTCTACTCCAAGAGAAATGAAGGCATACGTCCACACGAAGACTTGCACACCAGTGTTCTCAGCTGCTAATTTCATAATAGTCAAAAACTGGAAATAACCTAAATGTCCAACTACTGGTGAATGGAATAACAAACTGTCATCTGTCCAGACAACAGAATATTACTCAGCAATAAATAAGAATGAACCACAGATATGTTCAGCAAGAATAGGGCTGCATTTCAAAAGCATTATGCTAAATAAAAGAAGATAGACACAAGAGACTAAATACTGAACTATTTCATTTATATGACTGCAGAAAAGGGAACCTAAAGTAACAGAAAGCAGACTAGCTGGGGAGAGGAGGTGATTAATGACAGCAAAGGGGCAGGAGGGATCATTCTGGGGATGATGGAAATATTCTATATCTTCATTGTGGTGGTAGTTCTGTGACAATACACATCTGTCAAAACTCATCAAGTTGCGTACTTAAAGGGTGAATTTTATTGTATGTACATTATATCTCAATAAAACTAATTGTTTTAAAAAATACTATTTATCTCAGGGATTCTTAGGTGATAATTACTGACATTTACATAATTCAGCTTATACACATAAGCTGGTATGATCATGTACATAGTAATGTTCATGATGTTCCTAATGTCCATTATTGGAATGTACAGTAAAGGACACAGATCAAACCACAGTCGTTGTAAAGATTAAATCAGAGGCTTAGAGGTCAGTGGTGGAACATGGACCTGGAGGGCTGGCTTTAAGTCTCAGGAGCTTCCTATGGATGTGGGTAAACACTCCTTTTTCTAGACATCTCAAGTGTTTTATCCTCTATTAAGCTTTTCCTGACAGCCCATCAGTGTTCTCACTGACCCTGTAGTATGGCCTGCAGAAGCCTGGGTTCTACATGATTATCATCACTGCCATGCCTCATGTTCAATTCAACTTAGTAAACCCCAGTTGAGTGCCTTCTGTTTACTCCTTCAACAAGTTTCCTCTTTATCATCAACTTCTCTGGAAAACCTTGTCTGACTCCTCCAGGCTGAGTAGGAACCCTCTTCCCACTGAAGACTGCACACCACACCTACGTTTAGCACTTGCTGCAGCATCTCGTAGTCTTTGGCTCACCCACCCCTCCTTCTTATCTGCCTGTGAGCTCTATGTCAGGGAGAACGTTGTGTTGCTCATTTGTTGTCCGGCACGTGTCCAGTGTCAGTCGCACTGCTGGCTCTGACAGAGCACTTGGGAAGCACTATGCAGGAGGTACTGGGTGAATTTCTAGGGAGATAGACATAAATGTGATGCCATTTTACTCTCAAGGAACTTACAACCTAGTTAGAGAGATAGACACATAAGCCACTAACTGTACCATAGTGCGATCTGTTTGTTTAAAAGCTGTGGCAGAGAAATGTGCCACGTTGGAGTGAATAAGAAGCATGGTATATACATGATGTGCAGGGTGGAATTTGGTAAGTCCCACCTTTCAGGAACCGTCAGTTTGCTAACCTGGACTTCATGAGAGTGTTTAGTATGTATCATAGCCATGTGGAATGGGAAATTTCTGGACAATCCAAATACTTCAATCAATGACATCAATAAAGACTCACTGAGCACCAGTGTATAGGCTGAAGTGTTTTACAAGAAGCAAAGAGTAAGCATAGCTTTTGCTTTTAAGATAGTAATCTTCAGATGAGAAAACATACCATGAAGGCCTAGAAAGTAAGATTTTTTTCAAAGAGAGCAAGAAAGAAAATATTGGATAAGCACCAACAAGGAAGTCTGTGATGAATTATCAACCCAAGGTCATACCTATTGAAATGGAAGAACATGGACCTCATAGCACTTTTCTGTCCCTCCCATCCCACAGAGTGGTGAAGCTGTACAAGATGTGGAATGGACAGGTTTGTTGATATGGTTTGGATGTTTGTCCTCTCCAAATCTCATGTTGAAATGTGATTCCAAATGTTGGAGGTGGGGCCTGGTGGGAGGTGACTTGATCATGGGGGCAGATCCCTCATGAATGGTTTGGCACCATCCTCTTGATAGTGGGATTATTATCAAGTTATTTCATGTGAGATCTGATTGTTTAAAAGTCTGGAACCTCCTTGTTCCCACTCTTGCTACTGCTCTCACCGTGTGATTCCTTGGCTTTGCCCTTTACCTTCTACCATGATTGTAAGCATCCTCAGGCCCTCACTAGAAGTCCAGCAGATGTTGGTGCCATGATTATACAGCCTGTAGAACCATGAGTCAGTTAAACCTGTTTTCTTTATAAATTACCTAGCATCAGGTATTTCTTTTAAGATACCTGAAAATGTGGAAGCAGCTTTGGAATTGGGTAATGGGCAGAGGTTGGAAGAATTTGGAGGGCTCAGGAGAAGACTAGAAGGGAAAGTTTGGAATTTCTTAGAGACTGTTAAATAGTTGTGACCATAATGCTCATAAAAATATGGGCAGTGAAGGCCAGGCTGAAGAGGTCTCAGATGGAAACAAGGAAGTTATTGGGAACTGGAGTGAAGATTGCCCACGTATGCCTTAGCAGAGAACTTAGCTGCTTTGTGTTTGTGCCCTAGGAATCTGTGGAAGTTTGAACTTAAGAGTGATGACTTAAGGTATGTAGGTTGAAGAAACTTCTAAACAGCAAAGCATTCAAGAGATGGTGTGGCTGCATCTAACTAAAGCTGAACTTAAAATTAAAAGGGAAGCAGAGTGTTAAAAGTTTGCAAAATTTGCAGCCTGGGCCCATGGTAGGGAAGGAATCCAAGCAGCCTGTGGAGCAACTACTTGCTAGAGAGATTAGCAGGACTGAAAGGGAGCCAGGTGTTCATAGCCAAGAAAATGGGGAAAAAGGCCTTGAAGGCACTTGAGAAATCTTCAAGTCAGCCCCTCTCATCGCAGCCCCAGAGGCCTCAGAGGAAAGAATCATTTTGGGATCCAGGCCCAGGGCTCTTGCTGCCTTATGCAGCCTTGGGATACTGCTCCCCTCATCCTGGGGTGGAAGGGGTCAGTTCTGGGGATTAGTGCCCTTCCTCATAAGAGAGACCCCAAAGGACATCCTTGCTTCTTCCCCATGTGAGAACACAGTGAGAAGACAGCCATTGATGAACCTGGAGGCAGGCCCTCACAAGACACCAAATCTGCTGGTAACTGGATCTTGAACCTCCCAACCTCCAGAACCATGAAAGATCCATTTCTGTTGTTTGTAAGCTGCCCAGTCTATGGCATTCGGTGATAGCAGCCTGAATGAACTAAGACAGTCCTGCAGCCCAAACTTCAGGGAAGCGTAGAAGATGCCAGTTCACCCTTCTCCCAACATGCCCCCTGCATTCCAGACTGTGTGGGACAAAAGCCAATGACCAGTGCATCTGAGTGGAATGTCTTTTCCAAGAGCTAGTAATGCTTAGATTTGAATTTTCCAACTTCATTGCCCCAAAGTGTGAAAAACAACACCTTTACCCTATTGAACAAAATGTTTATACAGGGATTCCAAGAACCTGACGGACCCCTGGGGTATAAAAAGCATTACATCCCAAATGTTTTGGTGTATACCAATACTAATCCTGTCATCTCAGAGAACAAGTTGTGGAAACACACATCCCTGGGGCCCCAAATCTGACCCCCACAGATAAGGGCGAGCATCCCTTCTGTACAAACGTGAGGTGGTCTTAAAACCATACAGCATTAGAAAGGATAAAGGGCTTAGGGGGCACCTAATTCATGCCACAGGTGATAAAACTGAGGCATGTTCAGGCTTGTAAAAATGAGGTAACTCCCCCAGAGACAGCAGAGAGACAGTGACAGAGCTGTGTCCCAAGCTCAGGGCTCCCAACCATCCTCCAGCTCTGATTAGGAGGCCTGATGCTACCCACCCTGCTGCTTCCACTTCTCTCAGCCAGGCTGGAATGTGGCGAAAGCCACAGGCCTAATTTTAGGATTCAAAGGCAATTAGGGGAGAGCTGACAAAATCTGATCTGGGTGAGGATTCTCGTGCTGACCTGTGATGTGGGTTATCATACACTAGCTCAGGAGACCTTGGTCAGCCAGACCAGGTCAGCTTTTCTCCTGGAAGACACACAGCCCCTGCACTGCCCCATACGCAGTCTTGCAAATTGGTAGATAAGTGTGCCCATGACCTGGTGTACATTATAAGACACGGTCTTTTCCAGCTCCTTGCAGAAAAGCCAACCCCAACCAAACCAGCTGGATAAAGGGGACTCCTCTGCCCTCACCTCCTAACACTCTCCCCTTTTCTCACTCTGTTCCAGCTGCCCTGCCTCCTCTGTTCCTCAAGTATGACTGGCAGGCTCCTACCCCAGGGCCTTTGCACATGCCACTCTCTCTGCCTGGAGGTTCCACACAGCCACAGGGCTCACTGTGTCATCTCTCTGCTCAAGTGTCAGCTTCTCAGTGAGGTGGTCCCTGACTGCAATCACTCCTCACCCCCGATCTTTCTTCTTTTTTTTAATAGCACTTTTCACATTTATACACATGTGCTTAAATTTAAAATTAATAAAATTAAGCACTCAGTTCCTCATTTGATTAGCCACAATTAAGTGCTCAATATGGCTACAGGCTATCATACTCAAGAGTGTAGACATAGAACATTCCCATGACCACAGAAAGTTTTATTAGATCACACTGATTTAGGAACAAGTTGGTTTTTCCCTCTGACCTTGGGATAAAGCAGTCAGTGGCTAGAAAGTGGTGCAGACAACTGAAGAACGGGAGCCGTGGGAGACAGTGACCTGGCAAATAGTCAAAAAGGAGTTAGGCAAGGAGAGGGGACCTGGGATTTGGCAAGTCACAGGAATAAAACTCATTGTGCTCGACTAACACCCTGCCTCCAAAATGTATCTAGGGATTAAGAGTTTTTTAATTATTATATACTTTTTTATTGAGGTGTAATTAGCATACAATAAAGGTACAGATTTTAAATGTTGAATTTGATAAATTCTGTCAATGGTAATACCAGTTTAACCATCTGCAAAACAAAACAGAATATTTCCATGACCCCCGAAGTTCCTTCACGTCCCTTTCTCAGACCCCTGCAACCACATTCTGACTACAATCACCATGGATTAATTTCTTCTACTCTTGGATTTTATATAAGTGGAATCACACAGTATGAATTTGGTGGGGGAGGGGGACTTAGACTTCGTTTGTCAACATCATGTTTTTGAGATTCATCCATCTTGTTGCAGACATCAGCTGTTGATTCTGTATCATCCTGGAGTCTTACTCTAGCTATTTGTTTCATGGCCCTCCCCCGACAGGTTTATTATAATTCCATCTAAATGCTTCCCATCGACACCAGGTGATATGATTTGGCTACATTTCCACCCACATCTCATCTTGAACTGTAACTACCACAATTCCCATGTGTTGTGGGACAGACCTAGTGGGAGGTAATTGAATCATGGGGGGGGGGGGAGCTTTTCCTGTGCTATTCTCCTGATAGTGAACAAGTCTCAAGAGATCTGATGGTTTTATAAAGGGGAGTTTTCCTGCACAAGCTCTCTTATCTGCTGCAATGTGAGGCGTGCCTTTCACCTTCCACCATGATTGTGAGGCCTCCCCAGCCACATGGAACTGTGAGTCCATTAAACCTCTTTTTCCTTGTAAATTACCCAGTCTCCGGTATGTCTTTATCAGCAGCGTGAAAATGGACTAATATACTAGGCTTTTTTATTTCAGTTCCCAATGGAGTTGGGCCGTTGTTGATGCAAGGACAGGGGAAGGAATAGGAGGGAAGCTGATGGGGTCTAATGCTCCCTCATTATGTAGGAGATCATCTCCCTTCATGACATCTACACATTCAGGTCAAAATATCAGAGTGACATGAGCTGAGATGAAAGTGCTGTGAGAACCATTTCTCCCGTCAAAGTCCACAAGCAGCCTTGAAGATGGCTGGTCCACTCACAGAGCAAGACCTCGGGGGTCAGGATGTCTCAAGGCGACCTTCCACCTCCTCCAACGTGCTCAGCAGGAATGAACCCCACCATCTCTCCCCATCACTCCCACCTGATACTCCATATACCAAAATGGAGGTGGCGGTGAGAGTGAGCATCTGTAAATAAAATTCCACCTCCTGATTAATTCTCATCTTCAAAGAAAATGTTTCTAGCTGGTCATCAGCCAATAGCAGTTTCCAACATTGTGACATCAAGTTTCTCTGTCCTCGCCACCACCCCCATTTTCCCATACAGTCTCATCTCAAAGATAAGACAACGATGAGTTGTTATTAATGGTGTTGCTCACAGAAAAACCTCATGTAGAAATAAAATGCTTTTCTGCAGGGCCAGTTGTCACCTCCCACTTTAAGCTTATTCCTCATCAAGGGTGACACCAGCAGTCATAAACCCAGGTCACGATGAACTGTGGCCACTGACACTGAGCAGAGACCATGTCTGAAATCCCAACCCACCCTTTCCCCTAAAGACCAACACTTCCTTTTTCATGAGATGTGAGCCAGCAAGCGGAATAGGAGGCTCACTTGCTTATGCCTGCAAAAAGGCGTCCTCTGCCTTCCTAATGAGGACAAATTCAAGCCATCCTGACACTACATGTGTTAGAGTATTACCCAGGGAAATGCTAATGCTGGCTGAATAGTAAATGAATATTGATTTATGGCCCCAGGTGAAATTGAAACAGTCACTCTTGTCTTGAGAACTTTTCATCACCACTTTCCCCACCCCCAACCAGCAGATGAGAAAAGCTGGCAGATGTAGAGGAAATTTCGCCAAGCCTGAGCCCTCCATTTCCCCTGGTTATTAAATTATATTGACAAGTTACCGTGGATTCACATTCAATGGCTTTACAATTTTTAAATTAGCATCAGACCATTTTGATGTCTGGAGGGTCAAGAGTTGATGTTTAGACAAGCAGGTGAGCAGCCAGAAAGTTCCCCAGCCAAGAGACATCAGGTTCGTCGGTGGGCTTCCCAGCAGACTGGGGTGCCTTGGTCCCCGGCATTTTCTGGCCGGCTGGCCAACCTGCCAGGTGAGGCCCTGCAGAGCACCGAGAAGGGAGCAGACACTCAGCTCCAGGGGCACCACAAAGCTGAGGCTGGCAGGGTCACAGGAAGCCACAGCAAAAGGTAAGGCAGCAGCGGCCGAGGGCTACGACCAGCTCCGTGACAATGAGGGCACTCTGAGGCGCTTGGCTGCCTCTTCCAAGACATAGCCCAGCTTCTGGTCAAGGAAGCACCGTCAGTTTGCTGTTTTCTGATACAAGAGAAGGAATCAGAGTCTCGGGGACAAGCCCTCCAACCCCTGAAGGTTGCCACGGAATCTGAGATGAGCCACCCTGGCTGGGCTCACACACCTCCCTCCCCTGGTGGCCGTCGGGCATTTAAAGGACCAAGCACAACATCCCCTCATCAAGCCCCTCGCAACACAGAGGCACCGCCATTCCTGAGGAACTCTGCTCAATGACAGAAGTAGGACCTCTGGTTGCCTGCTTTTGCTCCCTGCATTGGTATGAACACCACACCAACACCCCAGTATCAAACTAGAGTTGCTTAAGTTACAGTAATAACAACACAAGCCCATACTATTATTTAATGCCCATTAGAAAGGAGGCTCTTTTCCAAATGCTTAATAAATGATTCAATTTTATTTGAAACATAACTGTCACAAGACCCCTGCGAGGTGGAAATTCTGACCCTAAAAAGTTAAATAACACTCCTGCCCCCCGGCCTTAAGATCACCCAGCTAGTCAGAGATGCTGGAGGCATTCAAGCGCCCATCTGTCTGACCTAAAGTCCACTGCCCTTTACACCCAAAAAGACATGTACGACGCTCTTTTTTTAAAACATTGTCTGATGGCCCTGCATTTGAACAACAGGAAGCCCAAAATGGTAGATCAGAGAAAACATGATTTTTGAGAGTATTAACAATTTTGGGCCAGGCACAGTGGCTCACGCCTCCAATCCCAGCACTTTGGGAGGCCAAGGTGGGTGGATCACCTGAGGTCAGGAGTTCGAGACCAGCCTGGCCAACATGGCAAAACCTCATCTCTACAATACAAAAAAATTAGCTGGGTGTGGTGGCGTGCCTGTAATCCCAGCTACTCGGGAGAGGTTGAGGCAGGAGAATCCCTTGAACCCAGAAGACGAATGTTGCAGTGAGTGAGATCAAGCCACTGCACTCCAGCCTGGCTGACAGGGTAAGAATCCCTCTCAAAAGAAAAATTTGTGTTTTTGGCAAAACCAGGACTGAAGGACATGGGTTCCAGTCAGGGTCTGAGTGCCTAGCACAACGCGTGGAGGAAAAAAAAACACCCTCACCAAGGCGAATAACGAAATTCTCAGAACACCGAAGACAAACAGAAGATCTTACAAGCTCCATAGAGAAAACACAAGTTTTTTTTTCTCTTTTAAACAAAGGATTATTAGAATGGCATTAGTCATATCAAAAACATTAGAAATTGGAAGACAAGCTGAGCATGGTGGCTTACACCCATAATTCCAGCACTTTGGGAGGCTGAAGAGGGAGGATTACTTGAACTCAAAACCAGCCTGAGCAACACAGCAAGACCCCATCTCTAGGAAATATTTAAAAAAAATTAGCCAGGCGTGGTGGCATGTGCCTGTAGTCCCAGCTACTCAGGAGGCTGAGGCCCCTGTGTGTGTAACTGACGTATATATCCATGTATTAGGAAGAGGGAACACAAAACCTAATGCAAGAAAGGAAAAGACAAATCACTGGAGACTACAGAGCTCAGCTATGAATAA
The DNA here is from genome assembly GCF_000001405.40 of Homo sapiens. Taxonomy (NCBI): domain Eukaryota; kingdom Metazoa; phylum Chordata; class Mammalia; order Primates; family Hominidae; genus Homo; species Homo sapiens. Next base: position 134,484,694 of record NC_000002.12, read on the forward strand.
CAATGACAACAATAACAACAATGTTAAATCTTGATCTAACCAAAATAACATGTAACTATACTGGGAAGAGGGGTAATTTGGCAATGGGGGAATGGTTAAAGGGTCAACCAGAGTAGGAAGTCCATAAATCACGCTGATAACAAAAAATCAAGCAGCAGCAACCTGCACATGTTACTTAGAGGTGTGGAGGTTGAAAGGAGTTATAAATGGCTGCTGTAGGGAGAGAGTTACTTTCTATAATAAGCCTTGTAGAACAAATGGCTATTCAAATTATATATATGACTAACTTGGATAAAAACAAAAACTTGGAAAATATTTTAAGACAGTAATTTCTGGCCGTATCAATCAGTTCAACCAGAGAAAGAGAACCAGTGAGAGATACACAGGTGCTCCTTGACTTACAATGGGGTTATGTCCGGATAAACCCATTGTAATTTCAAAATACTGCAAATTAAAAATGCACTTAATACACCTAATCTACTGAACATCCTGGCTTAGCCTAGCCTAAACGTATCCAGAACACTTACATTAGCTGATAGTTGGTCAAAATCATCTAACACAAAGCCTGTTTTATAATCAAGTATGGAATATCTCATGTAATGCATTGAATACTGTACTGAATGTGAAAAACAGAATGGTTACATGGGTCCTTGAAGTATGTTTCTGCTGAATGTATATCACTTCCACATCCTTGTAAAGCTGAAAAATCCTAAGCGGAACCATCGTAAGTTGGGGACCATAAGTAGATTTAGAAACGTATTACAAGGAGTCGGCTTGTATGATTACAGGAACTGCGTAAGTGAGTCTGAAGTCCACAGGCCCAACCAGCAAGAAGGGTAGGCGGGGGTTCTCAGGTACAAGCTGAAGCTGCTGCCCGAGGCACAATTTCTTCTTCCTCCGGGAAACCTCGTTCTGTTCTTAGGGCCTTCAACTGACTGCATCAGGCTCACCCAGATTATCAAGGATAATCTCCTTTACTTAAAGACAACTGATCATAGATGTTCATCACACCTGCAAAATGCCTATATATTGAATACTTACATATTGAAGGTTGATTTGAAAGCAAATCAACAGGTCTGATCCACAGAATCAAACACTTCTTCAGAAACACTAGGACATACAAACTTTGGGCAAGTTTGCTTGAGAGAGAAAGCAAGAGCACAAGTAAACAAGTAAACCTTCAAAGCAACATCCAGCTGGGTGTCGGAGTGAATAACCAGGGATACATGCCCCTCACACTGGGTAGCACACCTGTGGCCTGCTCCATGAGAAAGTCCCCTTGAAAGCACTCGTTGGCCATCAGGCCTGAAGAATCATCTGAACTCTCAGATTTATAACTATCAGGGCTCCATCAGAGGTACTCACATGGCAGGGTGTAAGTTAGGCCAGAATCTGAAAGCCATGCCTAACACCTAAAAATACAATATGGAGAAGCTCTATGCACAACACTCTTCATGCAAAATACCTTTGCCAGCTCCTGACATAATTGAATATTTTATCTCCTTTCATTTAAAAATAAAACAGAAAAAAGAATTAAGTGCCAACTGCTAAAACCAAAAAGATAAACAAACTTAAAGCTCATTTACCCACCCCCAAAACCGAATGTGAACAAAACACAAGGAAGGCACTACTAACGATGAGAGCTTAGATCTAGAAAGCAAATCAACAGGTCTGATCCACAGAATCAAACACTTCAAAAACTTCTTCGAAAAGACGAGGACATACAAACTTTGGGCAAGGTTGCTTGAGAGAGAAAGCAAGAGCACAAGTAAACACTATTAGCAACAAAACAGGGCATCTAAATACAGATGGATTCGAGATTTTACAAATCACAAGTAATATGAGCAACTTTAATGCAATAAATTTGCTGTCGAAACAAAATTTGAAAATTCTTACAAAAACATGAACTATAAAATATATTGGATCTTCAAAAAGTAACAGGCCCGGTTTTACAGATAAATTCTACTAAAACTCAAAGGAATAGATAGTTCTTACGTTAAAATCAGTACACCAGGGCACGGAAAAGTAGAAAAGCTGCCTAGTTCATTACATGTGGTACAAAGAACAAGCACTTTAGACCAATGTTACTTAAAAGCACAGATGCAAAACTCCAAACAAAATAGTAGGTTGAGTCCAGCAATAGACTGAAAGAATAATGCTCTTTGACCAAAGAGGGTTTATCCCAAGAATTCAAAGATGCCTTATTAGAATATCAATTAATTTGAAATATTCACATCTTAAAGGAAAAGAAAATCTCAGTATAAACAGAAAAAGTATTCAAAATTCAATACCTATATACATAACTAACCAAACAAGCAAACCTCTTAGCAAACAGCAACAAACCACTTTTGGTAATGAAATTGAGAAGCCCTTCTGTTACAGTAAGAACCAACAGAAGGATATAGGATAGCACCCTTACCACCAACACTATATTGAAAACCTTGGCTAATAAGAAACAAAAAAGGAAAAAATATAGAATTTGAAAAGAGAAACAAAGTGGCATTATAAAACATACCCAAAATAATCCATTGATAAAAATAAAACTAATTTTTAAAAAGTCAGCAAGGTTGCAGGTTAATGAGAACAATATTCAAGTATCATTAGCTTTCTTATGCAGTAATAATTGAGAAAATTAATTAAATACAAACACTTAATAGCAATAAAACTCACAAAATATAGAGGAATTGCCCTGATAAAAATTTCACCAAAGGACATAAAAGAAAACCTTAACAGAGAAGGATGAAATGGAAGGGAGGATGCAATTGTTAAAGCAAGCCAATTCTCTCAGAATTAATAAATTCGATGCAACTTCACACAACACCCCAACAGGATTTTTCATTAAACTTGGCAAACCAGTTTTGAAATTCGTATGGAATATTACTAATGCAATGTTAGTCAAAACCACTTTGAAAATCCAAGAAAAGATGGTGACCAAACATTAAGACTCATTGTAATTACAGGAATTTTAGAGAATGACTCTAGAACAAAATGGACCCACGCATCCACAGAATGGAACGGCAAGTCCAGGGACAGCTGTGCACCTATGAGAACATGGCACATGATGGAGGTGGCCTTTGAAATCATCTTGGGCAAGTTGTATATTCATCTGAGTAAAAGAAAAACCAAATTGGATCCCTACCTCATACCAAATACAAATTCTAGATGAATTAAAGATCTAATTTTAAAGTCTAACCTTTAATATCTTTTAAAAGATAATACAGGTATATATCTTCATGGCATCAGGGCAATAGACCTTCTTAAACCTCTATGTCCTCCCTTGCCAAACAAAAACAAACCACCACAATCTCCATTTAAAAAAAAAAAAGACTGATAAATTTGATCACACCAAAATGGAAAGGGTGGGAAGATTTCTAATAGCAACAGATAGACAATATTAAAAGAAAAACTAAATATTAGGCGAAATTATTTGCAATGCACATATGTGATGGTTAATATTGAGTGCCAACTTGATTAGACTGAAGGATGCAAAGTATTATTCCTGGGTGTGTCTGTGAGGGTGTTCACAAAGGAGATTAACATTTTATCTTGAACTCCTGATCTCAGATGATCCCCCTGCCTCAGCCTCCCAAAGTAAAAAGAGATTAACTTTTGAGTCAGTGGACTGGGAGCAGCAGACCTAATCAGCTGCCAGTGTGGCTAGAATAAAGCAGGCAGAAGAATGTGGAAGGAGTGAACTTGCTGAGTCTTCCAGCCTTCATCTTTCTCCCGTGCTGGGTGCTTCCTGCCCTCAAACATCAGACTCCAAGTTCTTCAGCTTTTGGACTCCTGGACTTACACCAGTGAACTGCCAGGAGCTCTCAGGTCTTCGGCCACAGACTGAAGGCTGCACCATCGGCTTCCCTACTTTTGAGGTTTTGGGACTCAGACTGGCTTCCTTGCTCCTCAGCTTGCAGATGGCCTATTGTGGGACTTTAGCATGTGATCATGTGAGTCAATACTCCTTAACAGACTCATTTTCATATACACACATATCCTATTAGTTCTGTCCCTCTAGAGAACCCTGACTAATACAACATAGAACAAGACTGGTACCTGGAACACAGATAAATAACTCCTAAAAACCTGTGGGAAAAAGATAACAATAGATAAATGGGCAAAACATATAAAGCAGCAATTTATAAAAGAGGAAACATAAAAAGTCAGCAGATGCATAAAAATATAATCAACTTCACCAATAACCAGGGGAGAGCAAATTAAAATGAGATACCATTTTCCACCCATTAGTCTGGAAAATTGTGATAAGTTTGAAAATATAAAGTGTGGTAACATTCTGAGAACATGAACTAGGGCAGCCACACCGAAGGGCACTTGGGAAGATCTATAAAATGAAACATGGGCATAGTCTACGATCCAAAATCCATGTTTACCCTAGAGAAACACCATCCTCACACGGTACATACTACCATGAGAGTATGACAATGTTCATTCTAACAACACTGTAATAATAAAAAACTGGAAACTACCCAAATGTCCATCAACCAGGGAAGGCCTAAAGCACCTACATTTATATGATGAACAATTCACATTATAAATATTCTAGATCTTAAGACTATGTTGAGTAAAAAAGTTGCAGTGTGGGCCAGGCGTGATGATGATGGTTCACACCTGTAATCCCAGCACTTTGAGAGGCTGAGGCGGGTGGATCATGAGGTTAAGAGATCAAGACCATCCCGGCCAACAGGGAAAAACCCCGTCTCTACTAAAAACACCAAAATTAGCCAGGTGCAGTGGTGGGCACTGTAGTCCCAGCTATTTGGGAGGCTGAGGCAGGAGAATCATTTGAACTCGGGAGGCAGAGGTTACAGTGAGCCGAGATCGCACCACTGCACTCCAGCCTGGCAACAGAGCAAGACTCTCTCTCAAAAAAAAAAAAAAAGTTGCAGTGTGTTATGTGCAATATCCATCCATGGAATAACCCACAACAATGTTATAGTTCCTATGATATGATTATGTATCATATAATAATTGGAGGTGATGGTGAAAGGGGCCATACTTATGCACATGGGCTGCCTCACCTGCACATCATCTGTTCACATTCATCATCCCCACAGCACAGAGAGGATATGAAGTTCAGACCATGAACGAGGGCGAATAATCTGGGACAAGCCCCTTTTGCCATCTCTTTCTCTTCCAAAGGGGTGTAAAAATGTCCACAGCAAGGTCCCAGGCAGCCTCTGTTGGGGATTCCCCGAAAGATGAACTCCTCCTGGTTATATCCCTTTCCTAAGTGCAGTACCAGCTTACCGCCTGCTACAGCTAATGGCCACGTGCACACATGAATTCACTCATTCAGCAAACATTTATTGAGTTCCCACCCCATGCCAGGTCCTATATTAGGTGCTTTGCTGAACAGCGAGTCTAGTCCTCCAAGAGTTTACAGTCTCCTTTGAGAGACAAGTAGACAAAGAATTATAATGCAGTGTGCTGAGCTACTCCAACAGTCTACATGAGGTGTCATCGGAGCGCCACCAGCTGGGTGATGTTTGGGGCATTCAAAATGGGGTCGGGGGCAGGGTTAGCTAAACTCGATGGCTAGCAGGCAGAAGCCAGTGGCAACACTATCTCTCACCAGCGGTAGTGGGGAAGTGTCAAGGACCACAGCACTTCATGGCTCTTTCCTCTTACAACCCTCTCTGAATACAGCCTCCCTCTTCAGAACAGCCAACACTACAGATACTCAAGGAGCAGGTCCAGGGGTCCCTCCTGAACACAACTGACCTTCACAAGCACCCACAGTCAGCCTGGCTTCCATGTTCTGACTCTCCCTGGAAAGTTCTTTAGAGAAAAGATCCTGTGTTTAGCTCATCTTGGTCTCAGAATCTCTCAACTCCCACAAGGGCCTGGGATGATCAGATATCCCATTTTAATAGGATTACTGAAAGGTTAAGAATTTTTACTCAGTTTTTCCCAAATTACTTCCCAAAAAAGCATGAAGTGTTTCCCTAACAACTTTGGTAACAAATACTCATATGCTGGTCACAGGCAGAAAACTCCCAAGTGACCACATGGCTCCTATGATAGATGGAGGCTGGAACACATGTCACATGTCACGTAAAGGGGACCCTCATGACCGCTAGAGCTCACAGACGCCGCTTTGCTGTGCTAGGGTGTATTGTGTGCACCACATAATCAGGGATATTTCAGAGCTTGGGAAATAAAAAAAGCATTCAGTATGATTCTCTCCATTAGCTAGACAATCAACAAAACAGCCAGAAATGTTATGAGGATCATGTTGTTCATATTATACTTAGGAAACTCAATGAAAAAAAATATTTTCCTTAAACTGTTAAACACCTTTTAAAACATCTTCTTTCTTCAAAAGATAGGAAGGTGTTCTCAAAACCTTACAGAGAGAAAGAAGAGCTAAGTTAGTTTGTTTTCACATTCCAGATGGAAACATGAAAAGCAAAAGATTCACTCAGTGTCCCAAGTCAAGTAGAGAGGCATGTGAAGAGCGAAGCACTCAGCCCTGATACTCCCATACCCATCTCTGACGAACACCAGTGTCCTGAATACACAGATGCCTCTAGAGCAGGCTGGGGGCTGGAGAGATGAGCGTGTCTCCCTCACCTCGCTCTCTTCTCTATTTTTCTTTCCCTAACCCAGCACCCCCTAGGATAAGTCTCCAAGGCCACTGGGAAGATGGGGGTGGGGAGTTCACCCCATTCAGGAGAGTGTGGAAAAGTCCTAGACTTGGAGTTTTCTCAGAATCTTCTGAGAGACTGAGTCTCGGGGCCGTATTTCCTCTATCAGGAAACTTGGCCAGTTGTATTAGCTTTTCATGGAGGCTTTCAGATCCCAAATTCTATGGTACTTCAGGAGACACTCCGTGGACCAGAAAGCACCCTCCACCCCTTAAAAGACCTGGTTCCACTCGCCCTGTGTCTCTGACACTGATATGATGTAGTCTGGAAGGAGTGGTTTTATTTATCTGAGGATCTGTTTCCTTGTTATTAAATGGCAATGTGTCTAACGCCTCTGCCTACTTCAGAAACACCCTGAAGGTCTAATGAGATATCAAGCTAAAAAGCTCTTTTTTTGCTTTTTACACAAAGAGGCTTAATAGACAAAATAGAGTAACATGGCAGACGGCTCACAGACATATCACATCCTGCTTAAAATCCAAGGTTTCCAGAGTGAGGAAAAGAGGACCAATCAGAGACTCTTGTACAGTCATTTCCTAGGTAACACTCGAACTGACAAACAAATCCTACTGTAAGCAGGAGATGGAAAGGATAAGCTGCCCGTGCTTCCAGAGGTTTACGTGGTTAGCACCCTCCAGCCTGTGCCACCTGCTGGCACTTCATGGGTGTTTCTGGCAACTGCATGAGATCGGCCGTGGTTCAGCAAAGGCTCCTCTTGCTATCTGCCTCTGGTGACAGCTGTTATATTTAGCCTACTATTTACACTTTCTCCTCTTATCATACGCTTTGTCTTCTTATTGTCTATTTACAGCATTAATTTTAGCAGTGAGGTCAACATCTCAGGTACTGAGTGTATGTGTCACAATCAGGAAAACAAAACCTCACTTCACAGCACCTTACAATATTTATCCTACATGGATCTGAGCAGAATTGCTATTTGGCTTAGCAACGGGAGATGGTTTGTGGCCAACCACAGTCCCTGGGTGCACCTGAACCTCATATACTTAAAGTATACACCTTGATCAGCATTAACATATCTTAATTATGATTAACATAAATTAACAGACTAACGTATCTGTAACTGTTACCAAAAGCCAGAGACTATTTCCGTCACCCCCAAAAGTTTTCCCATGATTCTTTAATAATTCCTCCCTCCCTCCACCTCTAGCCTCAGGCAACCACTGTCTGCTTTCTCTCACTATAGTTTGTAGGTAAAAATTTAAGTAAACAGAGTCATATAGTATTAAATACATACTCCTTTTTGCCTTGCTTCTGGTACCCACCTTCACTATTTTGAGACCCACCCACATCACCGCATGCGTCAGTAGTGTCTACCACCGAGCAGTCTTCCACTGTGTGAATGCACCACGATTTCTTTATCCATTCACCTGTTAACACACATATAGGTTGTTTCCAGTTTTTGACATTAGAAATGAAACTGCAATAAACATTTGTGTAAGAGTCTTTGTGCAGACATGTATTTTCATTTCCCTTGGGTAAATACCTAAGGTTGGATGGCTAGTTCCTACAGTAAATAGATATTTGACTTTTTAAGGAAACCCTGGATTGTTTTCCAAAGCGGTTGTAACATTTTACTCTCTCACCATCAGAGCATAAGAGTTCCAGATGCATCACACAAATTTTGGTTTTGGGGGGTTTTCATTTGTTTTCTGATTTTAGATATTGTAATGGATATGTAGTGGTTTAATTTGTTATCCCCCAATGACTAGGGTAATGTTGAGTATCTTTTCATGTGCTTCTTGGCCATTTTTATCTTCTCTTATAAATTATCTGCATAAATCATATAAGTCCCTTTTCTTATTGGGTTGTTTGCCTTCTTAAGCTATTCTTTACACATTCTGGATACTAAACCTTTGTCTGATATATATATATGCTGTCTGTGCTATCTTGTCATTTTCTTAGTGGTGTCTTGGAAGAGCAAAAGTTTATTCTGATGAAGTCCAATTTTCAATTTTTTGACTTATGGTTCAAGCTTTTGGTGTCTTTTTTTTTTTTTTTTTTTTTTTTTTTTTGAGATGGAGTCTCACTCTGTCGCCCAGTCTGGAGTACAGTGGTGCAGTCTCAGCTCACTGCAACCTCTGTCTCTGGGGTTCAAGCAATTCTCCTACCTCAGCCTCCCAAGTAGCTGAGATTACAGGCACCTGCCACCATGCCCAGCTAATTTTTTCATTTTTAGTAGAGACAGGGTTTCACCACGTTGGCCAGGAGTCTTGAACTCCTGACCTCAGGCGATCTGCCCGCCTCGGCCTCCCGAAGTGCTGGGATTACAGGCGTGAGCCACTGCGCCCAGCCTTTTGGTGCCATGTCTAAGAAAATTTTGGCTATCCCAAGATTGCAACAATTTTCTCTTTTGTTTTCTTCTAGAAGTTGTATAGTTTCAGGTTTTACATTGAGGCTTATGATCCATTTTGAGTTAGCTCTTGAATAAGGGTTGATGCCCCTTTTTGTCCATATGGCAACCTGGGTGATCCAGCACCATTTGTTGAGGAGACTTTCCTTTCCCCCATTGAATTACCTTGGCACCTCTGTCAAAAACCACTTGACTAGATATGTGCAGGTCTATTTCTGGATCTGATATTCTCCTTGTATGAGTACGTCCTTAGGAGTACAAAGAAAGTATCAAGTCCAGAAATAGACCTACACATATCCCCCCACCGGAACTAGGCACTGATGAAAAAGGATTGTTAACAGACAGAAGGGAGGGAGAGTGCCAACCCCCGCCACACACACATTCTCTCTCCCTTCCGTCTGTTAATAATCCACTTTCATCAGTGCCCAGTTCTATTCTGTTTAGAAGTTGGTAGGTTCTTGCTCTAGGATAAATGAAGAGGTCAATCTTGCTGAGGAAATGGAATTATTTTGTCTTGAGTAACAACAGTAAGATGGCACTGATAGTCTGACACAATGATTTCTGCTTCTCTGTGCAGTGCTGAGGAGATGGTGATGGGCAGATGTTGAGGACTTTGACCACATATGATTGTTTTTAAAAACAATTAATAAAACTCCCCAATTAAATTCAGAGTTACACTTGACAGCATGTCATACTAGAGGATGAATCTTTCTATTGCTGACGGCGGATCTCGGAATTATAGGTTATGCTCAAGAAGGAACCTACGGCATTACCCATCCTGAGCTGAGAAGAGCGTCCCTGAAGGCATTTCATGGACTGTTTGATACGGCTTAATCTTCTAGAACCAGAGGCGCCAAAAGGCCCACCAACTTGCTTGGAAGCCTCTCCTCTACTCCAACAGCCATCATGTAAGCCAACATTACTTTCATAGTTATATGCTAAGCACATCCCCTACATCTTTTTATTTTCTTAACAATCCTATAAAGAAATTACCATTATTATTTCCACATTACAAAGAAACTGAGGCAGAGAGAGATTAAACAGCCAGTTAGAGCATGGCAGGGTTGGGCTGTCTCCTGGGCATCCTTAACCCCTATGCTCCGGGTCCCCCAGGCACTCACTGGTGCCAAGAGAACCCTCAGGAACTCATTCCCATGGGTGAGGCACTTGCTTCAGAAGACCCCCGGCAGACACGCTGACTGCATGGGCAGCAATCCTGGGAAACCATTCACCCTTTACTGCTGCCTCCCAGGTTCTCCCTCCCAGGTTCTCCCTCCCTCTGTCAAACGTTTCCTGCCTCCAAAGGGTTGCCGTGAAGAATCTACTGCCAGGGCAGGCTGAGGGGTGGTGGGAATTGAACTTGGATGTGTCAAAAGGGAGGCAAAGGAAAGGATGAGTGTCTTCAGAGAGCGCTTTCACGAGTGGCAAAGTCAGGGAAGGGGCTGGAAGTCAATGCCTGGGAAGGTGGCTTGGCCACAAGTGGCTAGGAGACACCCGAAAAAGAAGGCATGTGTACAGAAGCCACATTTCCAAGTAGGAAAGCAGGAGGGAGCTCACAGAGTTAAGGTTGGCACTCCAGCCTGGGTGGAGGGGAGCGGCCCTGAGTGGGAGGGAAGGATGAGTGAGAGGACAAATGGCACGCTGTACTGTAGACAAGGGTGTGGGGAGAAGGCAGGCGAGGCTGTCTCGATCCTCCTCAAGGCAAAACTCACTGAGAGTGAGATAATAAATGGCTGAAGAACATATCAATCACTCCTGACACCCCAAACTACAGGTTGAACACTGAACATGGTGCATACACAGAAGCCTATGATGGAAGAATCACAGTCACCTCCACAGGTGGGACATCTCTGGGAAAAGTTCTTGGCTGGGGGCTTCCAAATCGTTACACAAAACTCTGAGAGGCCATTGCTTTGGCCTGAGCTCCTGCACTAGGCCCCAACAGACCAGACCAAACAAGAATGGAGTCGTTCATGCTAAATGCCACATAACCAAACTGAAACTTTCATGAAGCAGACAGATCCCAAAACAGACTATTTTTTCCTGAAAACAGAAGATTCCAGTCTACCTAAGTTAGTGTCACAAGAAAGTCCCCTCTGCTTTAATCCATACAAAAAAAGTAATTTAAAGTAACCCAATGTTAACCAGTCTGCTTTTCTTCTATTTCTGTTTCCTTGTTCCCACCTCATGAAGCCCACTATTCTGCCATTGCCCCCTGGAAGCTCCCATCCTATGTTATAGAACGGAGGACTCCCCAATTCATCCACCATGAATAGAAGTCGGTTAGATCTATAACGAAATTTGTTGTAATTTCACAAAATCCAAGGCTTAACTATTTTTTTTTTTTTTTGAGACGGAGTCTCGCTCTGTCACCCAGGCTGGAGTGCAGTGGCGCAATCTTGGCTCACTGCGGCCTCCACCTCCAGGGTTCAACCAATTCTCCTGCCTCAGCCTCCCAAGTAGCTGGGATTACAGGTGCCCACCACCACGCCCAGCTAATTTTTGTATTTTTAGTAGAGACAGGGTTTCACCATATTGGCCAGGCTGGTCTCAAACCCCTGACCTCAAGTGATCTGCCCGCCTCGGCCTCCCAAAGTGCTGGGATTACAGATATGAGCCACCGCACCAGGCCGCAAACCTAACATATCTTTGACAAGAGTTCTATTTCCAGTTTTGCTCAGGAGCATGGAATCCCATCTGAGGCTCCTACAGGAACACCACCAACCTCTACACGGCCTGCAGAGCCAGCCTGGCCTCAAGAGCAGGACACACCAGAAAACACCTGTTGAATGGATGCACCAGTGAACAGAGATGGCCACCTCGCCAGAGCCACAATCCATGGGGACTGGAGACCAAATGACGCTAATGACTGCAGGGAAATGAACAACTGAGAGGGGCTCCCTTTTATCACTGGAGGGAAGCTGCTTGGTTCTAGTGAATGGGAAGGAATTGTAGGCAAAAACTCAGGGAGGAGACAGACAAGGAGAGCTTGGAAGGGGAACCTTACTAATTAAGACAGAGAAAACAAAATTTTGCTAAGCATCATTTCTGACTTACAACACAAAGTCATTTTTCCTTTCTTCCTTGTCCCTCCTCCTTTGCTCTCCCTATTCCTTCCCTCCTTCTACCCAGAGACTTCCACGTAAACAGGACACAAAAGCATGACAGAGACCACAGGTGCACACAGAACCTGTGGCCCCCTCTGCAGCTCCGCCTGGAAGTGCCTCCTCTTCCCACGCCTCCTCCCACTCATCGCCTGCCTTGCCCACAACCACCCTTCCTTCAGATGTCGCATGGAGTGTCTGCTTACTGGGGAAGGTCCCCACATACCTCCCCCTACTCCAGGCTTGACAAAAAAAGCTCCTCTGTGTTCTCATGTGATCGTGTCTATTATAGCTGTTATCACTACATATTTAATGTAGCAGCTAATGAGTCTCTCCCCCAACTGTGCTCCTTGGTAGCAAAAGCCAAGTCCTCTAAGAAGTAAAAGGCTTTGCAGTGCAATGCAAAAACTCTAGCCATTATTGCTATTTGACTCTGAATCCCAAGTGCCTAGACAGAGGGTTGGTCTGGAGATGAGCAATCAAATGGTAGCCAATATTATTATTATTAGCATATGTTCATGTATTATTTATTGCCAACATGTGGCTGTTTATTATTCTAATTATAATGATAATCAGCATTATTGCCACATGACCACTTAAGGAGTCTGGGCCCAGACACTGGCCAAGAGCGCAAGGTGAAGAGGTCATGGTCCACGCAAGGCAGAGGCCACTAATGAGCTGGTCATTGATCAGGACACAGAGATAGCTCAAGGGCAAGGACGGGACTTCTAGAACCTTAAATTTAGAAACAATATCATCTTCTTCCTTTGTAAAGCGTGCGACTGTTTATAAAGCATTTCTACATTCATTATTACATCATTTACTTCTCACAGTTCTGTTGTGGAGTACTGGGTACTGCATCCATTTTTGTCGTGAAGAAACTTGCTCAGAGAGGAAGCGTGATTTGCTAAAAGTCACTCAGCCAGTTAGGGGTGGGTTAGGCCTAGAGGTCAGGTCTTCCAATGGCATGTTCAGCTTTCCCCAGACAAAGACAGCTACAGCTGACTGAAGCCCAAGAGAGAGCAATACAAGCTCCATCCAGGGACCCCACAAGGCCAAGCATCAGAGAAGCCACAACTGGACATGTTGAGATGGTGCTCAGGAGCTGAGTCTGAAATCACCTCTGGCCACTATTTGGGGCAACCTTGATTAGCAATTCAGAAACTTCAAAAGGCAGAAGAGCAGCAGCCTCCACAGCAGGGCTCTCCTCTACTGCCGATTCTCCTAACTAACTGTTCATTTGATCCTTATCATAAGCCTTGGATGGAGGTGCCATCTCCATTTTACCTAAGAGGGGCCCCAGAGTCAGGGTGACTGCATGACTTGCCTGCAGTCACACAGGTAAGAAAAGGTAGAGAGCGCCACACCTTGGACAGATGCGGCCACGCCCAAGCCCTCCCACCATGCTCAGCAGCTTCACTCCAGCGCCACCCTCCACGTGCTCCACGCATCCCCCCTTCTCCTCATCCCACACTGTCCTGCTGCAGTCTCCACCGATGCTTGGTGCACTTGCATGTGGGCTTTTTTTTTTTTTTTTTTTTTGAGACGGAGTCTTGCACTGTCGCCCAGGCTGGAGTGCAATCTGGTTCAAGCAATTCTTCCACCTCAGCCTCCCGAGTAGCTGGGATTACAGGCTACCACCACACCTGGCTAATTTATTTATTTTTTTTGTATTTTTAGTAGAGACGGGGTTTCACCATGTTAGCCAGGCTGGTCTCGAACTCCTGGCCTTAGGTGATCCGCCTGTCTCGGCCTCCCAAAGTGCTGGAATTATAGGCGTGAGCCACCACGCCCAGCCAGCATGTGGGCTTTCAAGAGACAAGGTAGTGGAGGCACACCCTGGTCAGCAGCACAGAGTGAAGGGGCCCATATGGAAAGGGTCATAGGTGGCAGGAGTAGCCAGAAAGGCCAGGGACAGGCAGAGCCAGCTGGGGGCCTGCACATCCTCCTGCTTTGGGACAGCCCTCGGCAGCACTGCCCTCAGGAGTGTGGGGAGAAGACAGACAGGAGGCCGGAGCCAAAAAGCCAATGGGCAGCAGGATCCTAAAGGCCCCATGTGCCAGGGCCAAGATAGTCCTGGACGAGGAGACCAGGTTCAAATCCAGGCTCTGCCGCCACCCAGCTGACGATCTCAGGAAGATCACTTCAGCTTTCAGAGCCCCTGGGTCCTCGAGCAAAGGATAAGCTTGCCACCTGCCCCTTCTTACCAAAGCCAGGCGTGGCTGGTGGGGTAAAAACGGGGAGAGCAAGATACTTCTTTTAAAACAACCCATATTAATATACGCATCACTGTGGAATGGTTAAGACATCATAAAGATATACCATTTTTACTTGTTAATTAAAAAAATATAATAACTAAATAAAAAAGATGCAGTCGGGGAGGCAGAGGGTCAGTAGTGTCATGGGTTTCTGGAACCTGCTTATTTTGATTAAAACTATCTTTTCATGCTAAAATAAAACAAACAAAAATTAAGCAGCCTATTGGTAAAAGGAAAGCACTATTACTACCATTGTGGCACAGGCCACACACATCCCGGCTTCCAGAACTGCAGTTTCAGAGACGGCTCTGCGGAATCTGTTTCATGAACCACCTGCAGGTTGGGAGGCAGCAGCCTGTAGCCATTTGCCCACACAGCCCTGGAGCAGAGTCCCCAGGTCCTGTTCCAGTTCCCCAGAGAGCCAGCTGGCCTGACTGCTCCAGCAAAACCCTGAGGGGCAGGCAACACCACGAGGCTCAGAGTCAACCAACTTTACAGTTGGGAAATTCCAATTGCACAGCTCTCTTACTCAAAACTCACCCATTCCTGCAATTATTCCCACTCTGAGAACCGTGCAGCGAAACTAAAAAGAAGGCTGCCAAGGGACAGGGCTGGGGAAGGGAAGACGCTGTTTCTGACAGAACCTACAGTCACAGCTGGACAGAAATCCCATGTAAAACGCAGTTCTGCAACTGAGACTAAGGGGGAGGTGTCACTCGGAGCTAAGTCTGTGACACAGAGGCCCTAAACACTGGTCTCCCTGGTTTTGCCCAGATCCTACCCTCACAGCCTGGTTTCTGCAGAAGCAGCAAACTCTCTATGTGCAGCCAGGAGCCATGCTTTATTTAACCTGCATGAAATTATCCACCCACTCTCAACCAGAGTTTTCAAAAATGTTTAATTAGTTGCCAGTTTATCTCACATTAAACATAGGTTTCCACTTCCTTTTTAACACTCAGAAGACATGATGATGATGAGTCTTCCGTACAGCCCACATTCCAGCATGATATCTCCAGAGGAGGCCAGGCCCTTCATCCAAGTGCGCACACCCCAGTTGCCACAGACCTGGTCAGTTTCTCCTATTTTTGCTTCAGAACTGGCTTCTACCAGCATTTGAGTTTGACTCCTAATTGAGATGAAGCATTGTGAATAAATGCACATTTTGGATTACTGCAGGCCAGAGGTCAGGGGCCTGGCTGTCACCTGTTGGCTTCTATAAACCTCTAGCCAAGGGAACCAGAAGACCCAGGATGGAGACAGACACGGTCAGCTGCCACCTGGCAGCATTTACCTGGCCCCGTGGGCCACTCAGCCCTCAGCCGAGGAGGAGGCCTTCCCCTCTGGAGATGGGAGCTCACACAGCTTGAAAGCTCCTTAGTTAACAACTCTGAAGGCTTAAACAAAACCACCAGCAAAACCATCTGGCATCGCTTCTTCAGAGTTCTGATGAGATGACCATAAATGGGTGTGATTTTTAAATCCCACACCAACAATGGATGAAAGGATAAAGAAAATGTGGCATATATACACAATGGAATACGATTCTGCCATAAAAAAAAAAAGTGACATCCTGTCATTCGCTACAACACGGATGGAACTGGAGGTCATTACGTTAAGTGAGATAAGCCAGACACACAAAGACAAGCATCACATGTTTTCACTCATGTGCGAATTAGAAAGAGGTGATTGTGTAAGAGTAAAAAGTAAAACAGAGGATTCCAGAGACTGGGGAGGGGAGGGGGAAGGGAGGGACTTGTTAAAGGATACAAAATTACAGCTAGATAGGAGGAATAAGTTCTAGTGTTCTAAACAATTATAGGATGACTAGAGTGAACAATAATATACTATATAGGTTATAATTGTATAATATATCACATATTATATAGCTAGGAGAGGGATACTGAATGTTCCCAACACAGAAATAATAAATGTTTGAGATAATGGATATGGTAATTCACTAATTACCCTAATCTGGTCACTATACATGATATGTATCAAAACATCACTATGTACCCCATAAATTATCATTATTGTCAATTTAAAAAAATAAGTAAATTAAATGTTTACAATCCCATAGCACAATTCATCAAAGGTACAGATGGTATGGGTTCTGTAAGGACAGGCGCAACCATGGAATCTTCAGCTTCTCTGAACCCCAGGTGAGGCTGGGTGTTGGATATGTACACCTTGAGGGGGAATGTAAGTCGGTGAGCTGCTTCTCTTAAGAGTATTTGCACTGTGGGATAATAACAGATTGCTCCCAGTTAAAAGTGGTTCAGCTATCGGGAGAATAACAAGGAGAGCCATTACAAGGGCCGTGAGCACAGCCATCCATCCCCTATCACATGAGCCCTGCTGGAAATTAATTTTTAATGCCAAATAAATGAATGTGTCAACTGGCATAGTGCAGAAAATGCCCACCAACAAACATTTCTCAGAGTGGAGGCATATTTGCAAGGCCTATAAAACGTAGACGTTACCTGACTGACATCTAACATGTATAATCACACTTGGTGCCCTCATATCTTACCTAAGGTTCAGATTCTGACTGAATGAAATGCAGGCTAGCAAGTCTGATGGAGGAGGAGGACGCGAGAGTCCCATATGCCAGGCAACCAGGGAGATTGGTTAAGTAGGAGATGAAGAGCACAGGACTGTAATAAATGGTAATATTTGTTCGGGCTATCTCTGCTTCTGAAAAAGACTAAATACCACAAATAGGTACATTCCTATCCCCATATCCATTTTTCCTCCCTGTCACTGAGATGTTAGAGAGTAAGCGCTGGCCAACTGTGGTGATAAATAACAGTTAAAATCCTGGTGGATCATTAAAGGGATGGCACTAATCATTTACAAGGGAGTGAGGAAAACAACTTAAAGCAGCCACTTTCATGCCTCTACTAAATGCAGGAGAATGTCTCACCTCATTTTCATCTTCCCTATAAAAACACACATATACACACAAACACACATACATGCAATACATCACCCAACAAGGATTAATATCTTTTTTCAAAAGTAAAATTAAAGGTCTAATCATTTTGGTCTTATATCAGATGGTGCATGTAGCCAAGCTCACATCAAATCACATCCTAAGAGGAGACCAGATTTTGCATTCAAATTTCCATTGCAACTTGTACACAGGGAATTATTGTAATGGCAGCATCTTCATCTCCTGGTAACCACATCAGCTGCCTGTCACGAAGACTGCATGACAGGAGGCTGTAAAAATATTTCTTTTCTCAGCACTCATAAGGGGAGGGAGGGAAAAAGAATCAGAGTGCCGGTAATGACTCTCACCCAGAGGACAAAGCAGTCAAAGACACATTTTAATATGAATTTGTGTCCTCCAGTTTCAATATCCCAGTGTCAATTGTGCCAGAAAACCTAACATGAATAGATTTATGACTGAATTGAGGTGCAAAGGAAAAAAATAATTCTTAATACAACGATCATTGAATGAACACAGAACAACAGATGCAAACAACACAGATTGGATCACTCTGCTTCACAAAAATAACCCAATTTCTCTTTACACACACAAAAAGTCTTGCTTTAAAAATAGTGAAAATAGCTAAGGAAAGGCACACAGAACCCAGTCCTAGCTCACCTATCTGGAGTCTCTTCACCTTGCCCAGTGTTTCTCTCCACCAGGTCATTTGCATCCCTGCAACAAGTTCTTCTGACCCCCAGAATGTTGTCTGTTCCCTCTCAACATGCCCGACTCCACCCGGGAACCCTGCGATAAGAGGCAGCCCAGGGGGCCAGCGCTGGCAGGAAGGATTGTTAAGGAAGAAGAAGGACCTTACCACTTCTGGGAGCAGCCTAGTTGAGAGGTCATGGATGGCTTTGACCACTATACATATGGATGACAGAAGGAATATCACCCCCAAGATGACACAGGCTCTGCAAAAAACAAAACATTGAGAATCTTAACTGGGAGAACTCACACTGCTGAAGAGTCCACACAATTGACAGTGACAAAGACACAATCTGGGAATGAACTCAATTGTAATTTGCCACACCCCCAGGGTGACCACCCACAGTCCATGGATTGACACTAAGTCACCTCTAGGAGAATACAGTTCAGAGTTTGATCACCAAAGTCAACCACAGGGAAAAGAGATCACCATCCTACAGAAGCTCACAGCATACCATGAATGCTGTCATGGAAGGGTCTTCAAGGCCATGAAATCTTTCTCCCTTGCCTGGCAAATGTGATGTTTCATTCCTGCTCAAACGGGAAGGCACATGGTTTAACAGCAGAATGGAGGCTCTGGCATGAGACATGCCAAGCTCTACCATTTACTTAACTTGTGTGATCTTGATTATTGTCTCTCTTAGCCTTGATTTCCTCATCTTTCAAATGGGAATATATTCCCTACCTAAAAAGGAAATGAGACAATGCACCAAACATAAAATGGGAAGCCATTACTGTTAGCTTAAGCAAAGGAAAGTCTACTCTGTCACTTTTGGATATGACGTTGATAGACCCCTTTGCATTTTCCCAATGATGAAAAGGAGAAATGATTTGGTAATGACAAGACAGGAGTTTGTGGTAAGAGAAACTCTAAAAGGCAGAAATGAGGGGTAAGAAAGGAGAAGGTCAACCAAGACACTCAGCACAGGCGGAGGCAGGAGCAGGTGTGCAGTGAGGCCAAGGGTGAAGTGAGAGGACACACAGCTGGGGGTGTGGCATGGGGACTGGCAAAGAAGGCTATGGGACTCAGGACATAGGAAAAGTCTCTGACAACCCAGACACAACAAATCTCAGGATGGAAAAATGAAGAGTGACGGAAGATGAAGGTAGGCATGAGGAAATGATACCATTACAAGGGTTAAAATATCAGATGAAGAGGGAGAAAAAAGATAAAAAATACAAGAGTGACTACAGTGAGGTTGAGATCATTCCTGTCCCAGCTTGATGTCTCCACCATTTGGTGGCCTCCTGAGCAATCTTGCTCCAACTATCAAACAAAATCACGTTTTATTATCCACCGTGGAGTCCCTTCTCTAGAGTAACAGCATGGCCCCAAATTGCTCACCTAATTTTGAAGTGGCACCTACTTATAACCCAGTAAACCTGTGAACAGACCCCATCCTCCACATTTAGGAGTGAGGAATAAAAGCAGGTAAGCGAGGCTGCTTGGATTCCACTCAGCTTCTAAGTCACACTGTGGTGTAGGTTTTATTCCTTCAAAAGCAAAGACGGAATCATCGCAGGTTGGAGCAAAACACAAAAAAGAACAGAGATGGAAGGAAAAGGAATGAATGGGTTAGGAATCAGCACAGACTTGAGCAAATGAATATACACATGGATGATGGAAGGAACATCACCCCCCAAGGGACACAGGCTCTGCAAAAAAAAATGAAACATTGAGGATCTTACCTGGGAGAACTCCACACTGCTGAAAAGTCCGCACAATTGACAGTGACAAGGACACAACCTGGGAATGGACTCAACTGTAACTTGCCACACCCCCAGGGTGACCACCCCTAGACCAAGGATTGACAGTAAGTCACCTCTAGGAGCATACAGTTCAGGGTTTGATCACCAACGTCAACAGGGGAAAGAAGTTGCCATCCTACAGAACCTACATGAATGCTGTGAGCAACGTGGCCCCATGATCCACCAGGGGCAGAAGAGACAATTCAGGCAATAAGTAGGTGCTAATGTGCTGCCTGTGTGTGACAGTGCGCCTGGGGCTGGGAACCACAGTCCTAACGCTGGAATCAGGGACAGAGGGGGCCATGATAGAGTCCTGGAGGAATGAGGTGAACCTACTGGAGGGCCCTTTAATGACTACATACTGTAGCAAGAGCAGGGATTCCTAGGGCTTGGGAATCATCACTCCCAAAGCACTTGCCTCCTGTTTGGAAGACAGTTCTGGACCAGCTGTGCCAGGGACCTGGAGTAACCATTCCTCCCTATGAGCACATGTGCATGAGAGGTCCCATTACAGGAGAAGAGCCTAAAATCAGGATAGGCCTCCAAGGTAAGTTTCGCAATGTGGTCCTTCCCTCCATTCACAAAACTCCTGAGTGACTCACAGAGACTCACTCTTCAATTAACCTTTTCAGGTAACTTCAGTCATCAACTCAGCACTTCCCAGCACTGAGAGCACATTGTACTCACCTGGGGAATTCCTTTTTTTTTTTTTTTTTTTTTTAAAGTTTCCTGGACACCACTCCAGTTCAATTTTATCAGAATTTCCAGGGGTGAGCCTAAGCCTCTGCATTTGTTTAAAAGCTCCGCAGGCAATTCTTGTGTACACAGGATTGAGAATGTCCGGCCTAGAGTCAGGTGGGGCCCTGTCCCTAGGAAGCTTCCACTGTGAGGTGACAACACAGGACTCCCTGGAACAGAGGCTGAGATAGAAGCGACATCCAAGCTGGGGAGGAAGGAAGGGGGTCTCGTGGGACCTAATAGGCCTTGTAGTGCATTTGTTTGTCAACCAGCTTTCACTCCCTGAAAATCAAGTAGGGCAGCCACAACTTGCGTGCTATACTCTACACGCAATTTGTCACCATATCCCCAAGGGAGCTTCCATCTCCATACTCCTCTGGGGGAAGGAAGGAACAAATGCCTGCTTCTTTCTGACAGGGAACAGTGGTGATAATGCCGGAATTGCTTCTCACCAGCTCACTGCAGCCACGCCTCCATCACGCACAAAAGGCGGATATGGATTCTGTTTACATTTACCTAAGGAGATGAGTGTGAAGGATGCAAGGGCTTCGTAGGTAATTTATTGCTTACTTATCTTTACTCAAAATTACACTATAAATTCTGTAAAGGCAAAAACTACATAGCATGTAGCAGGTACTCCTCATGCAGTAGAGTGGATCGAACATCAATGGATTCATCCCTGACTGATCGTAAGCTCCCCCCATGGAGTCTGAGGAGGCATCAACCATTTACCACTGGGGATGGGAGGAGGAAAGAGACTCCCAACACGTCAGCCAAATGCCCGTGGAATAGCCCACACGGTAAGGCAGCTCTGAAATATAATGAAAATCAAAAGAAATTTGTGATTTGGTTTATTAAAGTTGAATTTCACAGAATTGTAATCCTATTTTCTTCACCAATATACCTATGAATATACTCCAAAATGTGTCAAAAACTCATTTGCATCTTTTAAATGTGTTACAGATTCAAAACCCACAGTCACCCCTCCTTCCACACTGCTGGGAGCCTGTATGTCAGAGTGTCTCCAACAGCCCAAAGCAGCTATTATTAGCGGAGGGCACGGTGCTATTTTTTAACGATTTATTAATATTTATTGTGTTTACACAGCAGTTTTCTCCTCTAGCACTCAGAGCTCCACACATCAGCTCATCAGTCCCCTGGAGGCCACTCACCGGACCCAGGTTTTTGTTTTTCTGCTATTTTATGGATGAGGGGTGGGGAGAGAGGTGTTTTATAAACACTAGTGTTTAAAAATGGAGGAGTCAAGGATTAGCGGGCTTGCCTAAGGTCACTCAAGGAGTTTGTGAAGTCCACCCAGAAATAGAATCCCATTCAACTGCCTCCCTCCTAACAGCCAGCCCTGCTCAACCATCCAGCCACACGAAAGCTCTGGGCAGCCACATCACGTGCTCACACCACCACTGCCCTGGGACTAGTGGTCTCCAGGATGCTGTGAAGATTTGAGTCAGGAGCAAACAGTGCAAATATGACTGCTTATGCATCTGCAAGTATGAGCTGCTTCCAGGCTTGGGGGACCAGAGACGGGTGGGGGCCAAAGGGTAATTGCTCCATCAGCAATCCCTGGCCTCAACCCAGAAAGGCTGGCCTGGCCAGTAACAAGGGCATTGAGGAACCAGGTCACTAAAAAGAATATAGACTCCTCCCTCCTGCCCCAACTCTGGGGGAGAACTTCATGGATCAGAAAGAGGCAAGGGAGATGTACCCCTTCAGCATAATCCCCCAGTCAACCCAGACTGAAACCAAATTTAAATTCCCGGCCGGGTGCAGTGACTCACGCCTGTAATCCCAGGACTTTGGGAGGCCGAGGTGGGTGGATCACCTGAGGTCGGGAGGTCAAGACCAGCCTGCCCAACACGGACAAACCCCGTCTCTACTAAAAATACAAAATTAGCTGGGCATGGTGGTGTATGCCTGTAATCCCAGCTACTTGGGAGGCAGAGGCAGGAGAATCGCTTGAACCTGGGAGGAGGTGGTTGCAGTAAGCTGAGATCACACCACTACACTCCAGCCTGGGCAACAAGAGCGAAACTCTACCTCTAAATAAATAAATAAATAAATAAATAAATAAATAAATAAATACCCACCGGATCAGTGGTTGTCACAGTGTGGTCCACGAATCAGCAGCACCCGCGTCACATAAGAACTTGGTGGAAAAGCAAATTCTGAGTGAGTCCACCCCAGACCTACTGAATCAGAAACTCTGGGGACGTGGCCCCTCAATCTGTGTTTTAATAAGCCCTTCAGGTGATTCTGATGTACGCTCAAGTTTAAGAACCACTGAATAGGCCGGGTGTGGTGGCTCACACCTGTAATTCTAGCACTTTCAGAGGCCCAGGCAGATCTGCTTGAGGCCAGGAGTCTGAGACCAGCTTAGGCAACACAGAGACCCCACCTCCACAAAAAATAAATTAGCTGGGCATGGTGGTGTGTGCCTGTAGTCCCAGCTATTCAGGAGGCTGAGGCAGGAGGATTGCTTAAGCCCAGGAGGTTATGGCTATAGTGAGCCATGATCGTGCCACTGCACTGCAGTCTGGGTGATGGAGAGAGACCCTGTCTCACACACACACACACACAGACACACACACACACAGACACACTTAATGTCTGAAAGGAAGCAATGGTTAACAAGCCACTTCAAAGAAATGATTAAAGGTAGTTAAAGCCTCCTTTTTTTTTCTATTCTGCTAAAGGATCCAAATTGCTAACTGTGCACAGTACTGTAAATCTCTAGAAGCATCAGTTTTTGATTCTGAAGTTATAAGGGCAAAACCTACTGACAGACACTCATACACAAAATGTTGTCAGATCGAAACTTTGGCCCCTTGTCATCTGTAGGTTTAAAGGCCTGTGGCTCACATTAAAATTGCCTGAGTCCTAGCCTACCAATTCTAGGTTACTTCCTATCAGATCAAAAGAGCCAAACAAGAGAAGCTTCTCCAATCACCCTCTAATTTACGATAGATCTAAACATAAAGTAGCCCTGGTGATTAACCAATTCATCCCACAGTTTAACGTGTAATTGTTTTATGTATCACCTTTCACTCTGGTCTCCAAAGCATTTGTAATCTGAGACAGTGCTCAAATGTGAAGCAAATAATGAAAAATAAAAGAGTTAAGTGGTGTGAGCATATAACACGGTACTTATGACTGCACAATTCCTAATGCTGGTTTTCTCCAGCTAAGCCCTCTTTCTCTCCGTGTGTTCTGACATTTCAAACAAAGCCACAGAGGAAGCTCATCTTGGAGGCAGGATAAAAGGAGAAAGTGAGCAAGGAATGGCTGTGAGCCATTCTCTCTTGTCTATCATGCAGAAGCCAAACCGGCACCATCTGGTTAAGACTCCACCCCTCCCTCAATCCGTCACTATCAATGCCTCTCTCCTCTCCTCCTTCTGGAACTCCCCCACTTCCCTTCATGTTTGTACTCATCATCACCTCATTTCTTCCCTCAACTCTCCTGAACTCCAGCCCCTCATCCTCTCTCTCCATCCATTTCCCATCTCTCTCCTCTATCTTCATCTACCTGCTGTGTTTGTGGAGCGGGTGAGATTGACTTGGACCAGGGACAGTCACTCAGACCACAACTTTCCACACAAGCATTCCCTACCCTCTCCATGGTAAGAGCCTCCACTTCCTCAAGTTGCAACCATTAAAACCTCTCCTTCCTCAACAAATGACCTGTGGTTTACACCTGTAATAATACACAAGCTGAACAGAACCCAACCAACTGAAATCCCACTTAGATAGGACTTTATTTCTGGCATCTACTTTAGGGACAAAAGTCAGCATGAGGAACTTGTTAAATGATTAGTCTCTAGAGCAGAGCAGACCCAGGGCATTTTCTGTGATGATGGATGCTATTCTATATGGTAGCCACTCACCACAGGTATCTACTGAGTATTGCAAATGTGGTTACTGCAACTGAAGAAATGAAATTTTAATTTCTTTTAATTAAAAACCAAATGGCCACATGTAGTTGGTGACTACCATACTGGACAGTACAGTTCTAAAGGTTGGGCTGAAAATACACAGGCTCACCAGAGGGGCCGTTGCCCAAGCCACTCCTCAAGATGGGGTCAATTTATGTGGACTAACAGGGACTGCTCTAGGAAACTATGTGAAGGCACATCAGGCCTTTGGTACCTGCACCAATCAATGCGCCATTTCCTTCCCTCCAGGGAGCCCACCAAGCCCCAGGTCTACATGCCAGTCTCTCTCTTGTTTTCATCTAACATCAACCTATCTCCAGCCACAGCGACCGCTTCACCAGGGTATCTGCATTTTAGAAAGTGACTTGAAAATTCAGTCACTCACATTTTAAGTTCTA
This sequence comes from Homo sapiens, assembly GCF_000001405.40. Lineage (NCBI taxonomy): Eukaryota > Metazoa > Chordata > Mammalia > Primates > Hominidae > Homo > Homo sapiens. Next base: position 134,509,626 of record NC_000002.12, read on the forward strand.
CATGTCAAGCCCTGAGGCTAAGGCAAACAAAATCTATACCCAGCCTCCAGAGAGCACGAATCTAGGATAGGAAACCTGGAAATCACTATAGGACAGTCCATCACTTGTGAATGTGAAAATAGGCAATGGACAAGGAATAAAATGAAGACAGAACTAAGAGTGATAAAACACAACCTGTGAGGACAGAACAGGAAGAAACGATGGCTCTGTAGTGCGACATCTAAGCTGGGTGTACAATGGACAGGAATCATGAAGCAGAGAAACTAGAAGGCTTTGGAGGTTACTCCAGACAGAGCAGAGGAAATTTTATGGACTAAAGCATAAAGACACAGCACTGTGGGGCCCTATTTCAGCAGGAGTTCAAAATGGAGATGCTGTTCCTGGAGCATTTGGCCCCAGGGGAGCAGCAATGCAGTGGCCACAAAGAAAGGCCCTGTGTGTCCTGGAAGCTCCCTCAAGATGGCAGGTGCATCACCCATGGTACACATAACGGATCTTAGACGGCATACAGACCAAAACCTGTTGTATTTAATAGTTACATATTTTAATGTACCTCAGAAAAAAAAGACCATCGCTCCATGATGGCAGAGATATTGTTGCTTAGGGAAAAAATGAATATGATTATATTGAGATAAATATTAAGTTCATAAAAGGATAGGATAGCTAGTACACAGATAGGGCAGGATCACCAAGTTGGAACACACAGGTCTGAGGTTGGGGAAACCTTTGTGGTGACAGGAAGTCGCTGCAGCATTTTAAGCAAAGGAGACCCATGATGTGATCTGGGCTTTGCAAAGACCCTCCTGACTACAGCTGGGATTGGGAAGGCTGAAGGGTAAGAACTAGAGGGAGGGGAATAGCCTGGAAGACAATGTCAATGGCCACGAAAGCAAACTGATGACTCTACGCACGGGCCATGACAGCTGAAAAGAATCAAGATGGAAAGACACCAAGAAGATCGAACTGGCAGAACTCGGTGACTGACTGGACACAGGCAGAGGAGGAGAAGGGTACAAGGACAACCCCAATTTTGAGACTGGACACAAAGGAAGAGGTAGCGGTGCATCCAAGAGCAGGAAGTGAGGAGCCGGTAGTGAGTCTGTTTGGGGCTTGCCAAGCTTAAGGAAGGTCTGGACAGTGAGATACACTGACCTGAGCCTGAGAGGCCTCTTCCCGGCCTAGGCTCCCAGGGCCATTTTCCTGGGGCTTCCAGGTTTCACATTTCAGGGTGGAGGGGAATGGATAGAAAGAAAGGAACAGGGAACAGCCCGTCTAAAGGTTGCCAAACCCTACCCAAGATCTCTGCTTCCAATGTACACTGCACAGGGAATGCATGCGGAGACTCGTGGCCCAAGGTCTTCCAATTAATCAGCAAAACACTGATTCTTGTGTTCCAGGGCAAGGATTTGGCATGAACAGGACAGCAATTGCCTGTTCTTGTGGAGCTCACATGGGGATAGGCAATGAACACATGAACACCCTGTACATTATATACAGAGACAAAGCAGAAAAAAGGGGAGAACAAGGCGGGGGGGGGTGCTGTTACTTTATATCCAGTACTCACACTTCTTTCTAATGAGGGTACATCTGAACAAAGACCTACCAGATGGGAGAGTCAGCTCTGCAGCCACCTGGGGACGAGCACTCCAGGCAGAGGGACAGTGAGTGCAAAGGCTCCTGGCAGGAGAGAACCCAGCATGCTCAACCTACGGCAACGAGGCCAACGTGGCTGGAACCCAGGGGCCTTGCCATTACCACAAGGACTTGTGTTTTTCCACTAAGGATGGCAGGGCACCACTGGAGGACTCTGCAAAGTCAGGAGACGCAACCTGACTCACATTCAAAAAGGATCACTCTGGCTGCTCTTTTGAGAAAAGACCAAAGAGGGACATGGGTGGAAGCGGGGAGACCAGGAGAAGGCACCTGCAGGGACGCTGGAAGAGGTGATGATAGAACAAGGCAGGAGAAGCGGCAGCGCAGGGAACACGGGTCCTACAGGCTCCCATGAGATCCAAGGCAGACTGGCCGGAATTCAGTGCATTCCAGCTGCTGAGGGAATAAGGGAACCAGTGGCTGTTTTGAAAGATTTTAAAGGTACTCTCAGGGTAAACCTGCTTCTCAGGAGAATATGGACATCTAAAAACCTTGCTACTTTAGCCAACTGTTTATTTCAAGTAAACCATGCAAGTATTTTCAATGTCAGGGCAATTAGCTGCACCAATTCCAATTTTTTCTTAAATATCTGCTGAAGGTACAACTGCTTGTCTATGCATGGAATATATCCAGGCAGATACCCAAAGAGAGTGAACAGCTTTTGCTGAACACGGATGGGGAATAGAAGCCTGCTTTAGGAAAAAATATTCTTAGAGAAGCTGATCATGGTTTTTGTAGTTGTGTGTGTGCAGATACAACCTATGAAACATGAAGAAACACCGAATGTCTACCATTTGCAAATAAACCTGCTGTGCATTAGCTACGAGGACAAAACATGGCCCTTTTCCTCCAAGTAGAGAAAGGGGGCATTTAAATCACACAAAAATATTCCTAGAGGCCCAGGCGCAATGTCTCATGCCTGTAATCTCAGCACTTTGGGAGGCCAGGGTGGGCAGATCACCTGAGGTCAGGAGGTCGAGACTAGCCTGGCCAACATGGTGAAACCCCATCTCTAATAAAAATATGAAAATTAGCCAGGCATGGTGGCACACATCTGTAGTCCCAGCTTACTCAGGAAGCTGAGGCAGGAGAATCGCTCGAGCCTGGGAGGTGGAGGTTGCTGTGAGCTGAGACTGCACCCCTGCACTCTAGCCTGGGCAACAGAGCAAGGCTCTGTCTCAAAAAAATACATATTCCTAGAGAAGCTGAGAATTGAGCTGACTTTGAACAAACCAAAGAAATTAACTTGATAAAGAGGAGTGAAAAGTATGTTCCAGGGAAAAGGAAGGCAAGTCCAAAGGCACGCCAGAATTCATTCATCCCGCACATTTCCACTGCACCTTGTGCCAGGCACTGTTCTGGGGGCAAGCCATGCAGGTATAGGGAGAAGCAGCTTCAGGCGCTGAGATGGAACCCTCTTAACTCCAAAGGGGAGTAAGAAAGAGGGAGAATGGTGAAGGCAGATCATATAAGGTCTTAGAGCTGTTGTCAGGATTTAGGCATTTACAAAGATGGGAAGCCACAGGGCGCACAAACTTGGAAACAACATGATGTGGCATGTTTTAACAGGACCACTGTTCACCAAGGGCAGAAACAGGGAGAGCAGCGTGCAGGCTGTGGCACTATCCAGGCCAGGTGAAGGTGTGACAAACAATATCATGACTATCCAGGCCAGGTGAGGATGTGGCAAATGATGTCATGGATATCCAGGCAGGTAAGGATGTGGCAAATGATGATATGGATCAGGATATAGTACTGAAGTGTGAGTCTGGACAATTTCTGATTCTGAGTTTTGGTCTGTTCAGGGATATATTCTGAAGGCACAGCTGACAAGTCTTGTTAATGCGTGGTAGGAAACAAAGGAGCCAAGAATGATTTGAAGCTTTGAACCTGAGAAAAGCAAAGGATACAGTTACCATTTCTGGAGACAGGGAAGACTGTAGGAGAAGCAGGTCTGGGGGCAGAAAAGATCAGGAGTGCAGCTGTGGACGCAGTAAGTGTGGGATGTGTGTGTTAGACATCCAAGTGGTGGTGTTGAGAAGGGAGCTGGAACAGGAGTTTAGATTCAAACATGACTCAGGAATCATCAGCACATGGATTACACCAAAATCTTTCAAAGCCAAGTAGATTCTTTCCCCCTCCAAGAAATTACAAATGCCCTAGAAAAGCTGGAGTGAAGGTTCCACGACGGATCCAGCTGGGAAGCTGAGTAGGAGGGAGAGTGAGACCCAACCCTGTGGAGCTTCACGTGCTAATAAGGTAAGCTGTATAAACGTTCTTGCGAAAAACCATGCAGAGCCCCTGACAGCTTTGAAAATGATGAAGATGATTAGATCTGCATTTTCCAGCACTGACTCAGGCACTGTCTGTGCTGCACACTTGCAGGGCCTGACCTGCATTCATCCTCCCGCTTCATGGGTAATGGGCCTCAATGCTCCCTCCAAGCTCCATTCTCCCTGAGGGGAGGACTGACAGTCACTGCACCCCACCTGGAACCCAGGCCCCTGACCCAAGCTGGGCCCATCAGACACTCTCCCTGGACTTTCAATCCAAGAGGAATGATAACAAGGACTGAAAGCCAAGATGATTCGTCCCTGAGCAGGGATGGCTAGAAGGCCATGCTCAGCTGAAACTGTCAACCAGAGTGCTGAACCAACACCCCTGGGTGTAGCCAGGCTTCCTGTAGCAGGCGGGCTGTCTTTCCCCGAGCCAGTGCTCCACTCAAACCAGGCAGAAGCTCCAAGGCCTTGGAAGCATGCCGCGTCTTTCCAGGGCATTCTGCAGCCCTTAAGTAAGCCATAGGCTTGCTGAGGTTAAAGAAGAAGGGGACAAGACGCCACCTCTTGATGGAGGAGTGACAAGGTAGCATTGTAGAACAACATGTGGAGGGGGGCTATGGTTGTGGTTATCTTCAGAAAATGCCACCTGTCACAAGAATGAAGAGGCCCAAGACCAGGTTGGTCATGTACTATGTTAGCAAACCCTTTGTTTCCAGAAATTCTCTCATGCTAGAGTCAAAGTCGGGGGTGTCAATCTTTTTGCTACACTGGAATAAAAAGAATTGTCTTGGGCCACACATAAAATACACTAACGATACTGATGATCTTTTTTTTTTTTTTTTTTTTTTTTAAAAAAAGAGGTCTGTACATCAATCTTGTATTATTTTAAGAAAGTTTACAAATTTGTTTTGGGCTCTGTGCATGAACTACTTTGACCAAGCTTGTCCAACCCATGGCCCATGCACTGAAAGCCATCCTGGGCCACATGGTCAATGCAGTTCACGCACAGAGCCAGATTCTGAGGTTTCTATGCTACGGTACAGAAGGCGATGAGTGGTCGTCAAAAGAAAACAAGGAGGCCAATTCCCAGTAGGCCTGCAGAAGTGTGTATCATTGCTCACATCAATTGCTCTCAACCTCACACCCCTACCTTTGCTGTGTGATTCACAGCACCTTTGTGTAGGGGATGTATACATCCTGCCCACTATGGGACTTGGCCGTGTGACTTGCTCTGGTCAACAGTGAGTGGAGATGACATCACTGTACCTGCGCAGAAACTTTCCATGTGCACAATTGGTTTGGCCTCATTTCTGCCCAGTGGTCCTAGGAGAGGAGCTATTCCTTCTGCCTAAAACCTGGAATGAGATCTCATGTGGAAAAGGCCACCACCAAACCTTGGCTTACATGGAAATGATTAAGAAATGCAAGTTTGCAGCATAAGTCACTGAGACTTTGGGTGCTGCTATTGCAGCAAAGCTGACAGATAGAAGATTCTTGAAAGGGACGCATCTTATGGCAGTGGCAGCAAAAGGCTGTCTCAGCAACGCGATACTTGGAACCAAGGGAAGAAGTTGCCTGTCCGAATGATAACAGATGAGTCATCTCGAGCCTTAGTCCATCCTGAAAACCAGGCAATCCCACTGACACAAGATGTACAGAAAACCACCTGAGTGAATAATCTTACTGAATCAAAAAGACAAGAATGGAAGCCCCCCGTGGTCTCTGAACTCTCACACGGGGTCTGAAGCATCCAGCCACTCTTCTGCTCTGTCTCTGTGGGAAATGACGAGCTCAGCACCTTCTGAACACAGGCTTCTCAGCATAACATGGTTAATTAAATCTTTTATTTATTTTGATTCCTATAAAAATACTCCATAATTTCCTTAGTAACCTATTTTCCAGTGTTTCTAACCTTGATTATAGTATTTCAAGTAATTGACTTAAATTATTCATTCACTTTGATCCACTTCTGGGAATCAATCCCTGAAGAAAAGGCTTTTTGCAGAAGAATGTTCACAGTAGTGTTATTTATATTTAAATGTGGGAAATTTAAATGTGCCACAAAGGGAGTGTTTAAGTAACTGTGATACATCAATTCAGTTGACTATCAGATGCCATTAAAATTTTTTTTGTTAAAGATAAATGAAAAACAGGATATAAAAATATACATATGCAGATTAGAAATACATAAAAATAAATCTAAACCCAGGGGGAAATTTTTGGAAGGAAACACACACTAAAGTAATAATAGTAAGAAGACAGACTTTGTTCCCTTCTACTTTTCTGTGCTGTACTTTTGTAACAAAAACAAAATTTCTAGAAATGTCTTCTCCAGCTACATCACTTCTAACATTGACCTGTATTTGCATCTTCACAAGACATGAAATGCTGGTCTCTATCAAGTCTCAGACTTGACATGTAAATCAACCATGTTTTCATGAGCACGTACTACGTGTCCTGCAGGGTGCTGGGGCTCAGGTGTGCAAGGTGCAGTTTTGGTGAGTTTCTGCACTGTTTCTGGGGCAACATAGAAAGCTGCTACCCAAGCTCAGCTGTTCATAGCTTCTTCTCCAAGGCTCAGTTTCCTTAGAAGGAAAATGGGAATGATAAAAAGACCACTTCCCTCCCAAAACTGTAGCAAACATAAATAAGATGGGTAGGCACAGGTCATCCAAGATGATATTAAGCATATATAAAATATGGGCCATGTGCGGAGGTTCAAGCCAGGCACAGTGGCTCACACCTGTAATCCCAGCACTTTGGGAGGCCGAGACGGGCAGATCACTCGTGGTCAGGAGTTTGAGACTAGCCTGGCCAACATGGTGAAACCCCATCTCTACTAAAAGTACAAAGATTAGTGAGGCGTGGTGGTGGGTGCCTGTAATCCTAGCTACTCGGGAAGTTGAGACAGCAGAATCACTTGAACTCAGGAGGCAGAGGTTGTAATGAGCTGAGATTGCGCCACTGCACTCCAGCCTGGGCAACAGAACAAGACCCTGTCTCAAAAATAAATAAATATATATATATTCATATATATTCATATATATGTTCATAAATATTCATATATTTTTATATATATTCATACTTATATTCATACATATATTCATACATATAGTCATACATATATGCATATATATGCATATATTCATATATACATATATATTCATATATATGCATATATATGCATATATATATGAATAGATATATATGTGCATATCTATTCATATATATATGCATGTATGTATGAAAGGTAAGGCTCCCAGGTGAGTGGAGAAGAGGCCAAACTCTGTCTACGGCCAAGGACCGCAAGACTAAAATGCTACTCTAGACTAGAGATTTACCAAGCACCCCAAATTAGAGAACAGAGGCAAACGTGAAGGGAGGTTGTGAGCTGTAATTAATGGTTATGTGTTTAGTGGATTAGTTTACATGGATTTTTCTGTCATTAGTTTGTAACTTCACAACTCCTTATCATGCTGACTTGCTTTACCCCCACCCACCCCCGCCAAAAAAATAACATTTCTAATCTAATCCTGTGGCATCATCTTCCATCATTGGGACCTCTGGTAAAATTCACCATACTGTGCCCTTTGGGAAGCTGATCAAACTTCCACAGCTGATCAAGCTGGCCAAGTTCTGTGGACATGAATTCCCTGAGGCAAACACCCCATGGCATGTGGGTAAGCATGTGAGGCTTACAGAGAACTCTCGTGGACTTCTCGCATGCTTTTCCTTGACACTGCCCAATGGAGTATACATTACCTTTCCCCTCTGACAAGTCAGAAGGCTGATGGGGAGATGGGGAATTACGGAGAAATAGAGAGCTGGAGACAGTCTGGGAAAAGTCTATGAGCTACCCAGTGTTATGAAGCTAGTCAACTGAGCTGGGACTCAAAGCCAAATTTGAGGCTTGCCGCGTAGACAAGCCGGAATTTTCTTTATCTGGGTGTTTGTCAACCTAAACACATACACAAAATTTTCACACACAGTTTTGTGTTTCATTTTTTCTAACTGGAATAGCAATATTGCTGGATTCACTAAACTGGAAGCAGAGCCCAGGAGTTCTTGTCATTAACTTGGAAAAAAAATGGAAAATATCTCTAGACTTCAGTTTCCTCATGTTGAAAGTTAGCCACTTTGACTTAACCGCCAAGATCCTGACATACTAAAACTGCAATCTAGATGGAGCAATGGGAATTCTGGCTTATTAAAGATTTTTATTTTAAATCAATAGGTTTAAGGCTCAGATTTATTTGCATAACCAAAATGTAAGAACTGAACCATAGGTATTATTTACCCACTGGCTAGTTAGGAGAAAAAGTATGAGTTTCCCACTGAGTGATCTGCAAATTGTGGGCTTCCTTTCATATATCACTACAGAGTTGTCAGATGGAAAAAAAAAAATGCACCATGTTTTTGGCTGATCTTACTTATTTCTGCAACTTCTCTGTGACCTATACACTCTACTATTTTGAAAGGCTGACATTTCCCAGAGTAAGAGAAAAAGGATAATACAGAAAGCAGAAGGAGAAAATTTTAAAAGAAAATGTTATTCATCCATTGCATTGGGAAGCTGGTCTTCTAAACAGAGCAATGATATTTAATTATGTGAAGAATACCAATACACCAGAGCCTCACTATATTGGGAAAAGCACATTAATGATTCATCTTAGAGCTTTCACCTAGAAGGGCGAGTTTCTGAAAATTCTGGAATATCAAGTTACACTGAAATGTGTTATCAGATTATCAGATTCACAAAATGCTGGCTTCCCTACAAAATACACATCTGCCCATAAATAGGCTATTGGTTTGTGCCTCAATCACTAGTACAAGTAAAAGATCACAATCACACCATCTCAAGAGATAAGTGCTGGTGTTTCCACACCCATTATCATCCTGCCTGTCCTAGAAATGGGAAATTAAGGAACCTAAATGTAACGCACCACAGTGCTGACTAAATACAAGGCCATCCCGGAGTCAAGACAGGTAGGGAGGATGGTCCTTTAACCACTCGGGGTCGCGTAAAAGACTTTTGGTGCCACATCACATCTTCTTGGCCAGCTCAGATTTCCTTCCAACACCGTGTACTTTCTAGCACGGTCCCAATTCAGCACGGTATAGACTTCTCAGAGGCAGAATCCAGCTGCCTCTGCCTACAGAAGTGACCACGATATCTCACCTCAATTGACTTTTCCTCTTTTCCTGTCTAACTCGCCCCCTACTTCACTCCCACTTCCTAGATCATGCCTGGAATCACTGTCCAATCTGCTGCCTTTCTTGTCTCAGGCCCCAGTCCCAGGCAGGGGGTGTTCCAGGAAGAACTTACAGCAGAGACAGTTATAGTATATTATACTGTCAAAATAAAAGGAAAGCAAGACAATTGGGAGATAACACAGACAAACTCAGAGTCTAACCACAAACATCCATGTGAACAAACCAAATGCAGACCCAGGACTTCAACATTCTCCTGGCTTTGCAAATTAAATCTATTCAGGACCCCAGGATCAGGACGTTCTCCTGGACTCAAACGTCCAACCAAAAGTGACAGTCCTTGGCAGAAGTGTTGTAGTAGCCCACAATTCCGTGTTGCCATTTAAGATACTCACAGACTTAAAGGCAAGGCTATCGCTAGACCAAGCCAAATAAATCAGATTAGAGAGCCCCAAAAAGCAAGACTTCCCTCCTTCAAATCACTACATATTTTGCCATGAACTCTGTTGACGTTCCCCTCTCTTGGGGCAGTCTTTAAAACCTTCTACAGCTCCATACGAGGCAGCCTTGATAAGTCTGTCCTGAGGTTTGTGTCGGCCTCAAATGAGCAGAGTGGACAAAGGTGGCATCAGGGATGTGAGCAAGCTTTAAAACACAAATGAGGTCAGAGCAGTGGCTCACGCCTGTAATCCCAGCACTTTAGGAGGCCGAGGCGGGCAGATCATGAGGTCAGGAGATCGAGACCATCCTGGCTAACACAGTGAAACCCCGTCTCTACCAAAAATACAAAAAAATTAGCCGGGCGTGGTGGGGGGTGCCTGTAGTCGCAGCTACTCGGGAGGCTGAGGCAGGAGAATGGCCAGAACCCAGGAGGCAGAGCTTGCAGTGAGCCGAGATCGTGCCACTGCCCTCCAGCCTGGGTGACAGAGTGAGATTCCGTGTCAAAAATTTAAAGAAAAAAAAAATACAAAAATCCACCAGGCGTGGTGGTATACGCCTGGAGTCCGACTACTCGAGACGCTGAGGCAGGAGAATCGCCTGAACCTGGGAGGTGGAGGCAGGAGTGAGCCGAGATGGCGCCACTGCACTCTAGCCTGGGTGACAGAGCAAGACCCCACCTCAAAAAAAAAAAAAAAAAAAATTCCCACACACAAACATCCTCTGAAGACTGAGCAGATGAATGTGGGGGAGGGAGGCAAATGTGAATGATTATGGGCCAGATGTAAGAAGAGACAAAGACAGTTCGCATCACCTGAGCTCTCATGCCAACATAAAGATGAAGGGGCGTGGAGGAAGAAAACCTCATTCTCATTTACATAACTCTACATACCACCACCTTAGAGAAGCAAGGGAGGGAGAGGCCCTTATAATAAGACAACCTGTCATTGTGTGTTTGATAGGTCCACACATTCCCCCAAAGACAGAATCAAATCAATGTCCTAAAAATGACTGATTTGTCCATTCATTAATGGCATAGACACCTCTAATAAGGAATTCTCATGCATGAACATTTCCATGAAGTCCACCGCAATGCCCTAATGTCTGGCAATAACAGTGGAAGTTCTGGCTATCCCTTCTTGCTTGCTATGAGAAAAGGCAGTAGAGTACTCCACAAAGCACAGTCCCCGGAACCTGTGTCTGGCTACTTACAGCACCAGCAACCTAGCAGGGTATGACCTCAGGTAAGCTGTGTCACTTCTCTATGCCATGATTTCATTGTCTGTATGATTGTAGTACTACTGTTGTGAGTTAATCCACATGCGGGTCTTATTAGCAAAGTGCCTGGCACAGTTTTGTGTGTGTGAGCTTTTTAGATGATGAGTAAATGTAACTGATTCAAACACACAAACACTTCTTGTTTACACTCTCATCTTCCTATGACAGGGTCTATAGCTCACCCCATAAGGTCCAAATGTGTTCTTGTCTACAAACTGACTTGCCCATTACTAACCTCTGACACAGCATGGGCAGATATTAAACTCATCTTTAGAATGAGATTGTAGCAGCCAAGTTCACCCAAAGCTACTGGAAAGGGGATCATGACAGGGTAAGTCTCTTGATCCCCAAACTGGCTGCTGATCAGAGGCTTCTGTGAGGCTCATAAAGAATTCTGATTCCTGGGCTCCCCCTTGAAGTTTCTTCTTCCATAGTCTTGCATTAGGGTCTGGGAAGGTGTTAGTTTTTGTTTTTACAAAGCTCTCCAGGTGTTCCTTATGAAGCAAGGGCCTTGGGAACTTTTTTTTTTTTTGAGAGGCAGCCTCCTTCTGTCACCCAGGCTGGAGTGCAGTGGCACAATCTCGGCTCACTGCAACCTCCACCTCCCAAGTGCAAGCAATTCTCCTGCCTCAGCCTCCTGAGTAGCTGGGACTGCAGGCGCATGCCACCATGCCCAATTAGTTTTTGTATCTTTAGTAGAGATGGGGTTTCACCGAGTTAGCCAGGATGATCTTGATCTCCTGACCTCGTGATCCACCTGCCTCGGCCTCCCAAAGTGCTGCGATTACAGGCATGAGCCACCACGCCCAGCCAGGAACTTTTTTTCTAAGGCTTAGGCATGGCTCTATGTCAGTGGCTCTCAACCAGGGTCAATTTTGCACCCTAGAGAACAAGGGGTCATTTAGCAATGTCTGGAGGCATTTTCCATTGTCATAATTTGGGCAAGGGTGCTACTGGCCTCTGGTGAGTAGAGCTCAGGGATGCTGCGATGCACAGGAAAGCCTCCTGACAACAAAGAATTATCTGGTCCAAAATGTCAACCATGCTAATTTTGGGAAACCCTGCTCTAAGTCATTTTAGGGTGTGCCTTTGACTTGGTGGTACCAAGGATAAGATTCCCAAGGCCATCAACTGGGGCCAACCCACAAAGCCAACAGAACCAAATTGGGTAACATGTGGACTGCCAGCTAACAGGAAGGCTTGTGAAGGAGCAATGGTGAACTCACAGAAAGGCCACCACAGCCTCTGTGCACACAAGGTGAACATCAACTTCGCTGAAGAGCATCCTATAATCCCAGGATCGGGGACATATCAGATGCAGAGCTGCACCTGCATAACCCCTCCTAGGAGGCAGGCACTGGGGAGACACTCTGCCTACACTATCTCCCACCACTCCTCATACCTGTCTGAGAAGACAGATATTTAAGCAGTCGAGGAAGACCAAGTTCAAAGGGTATGAGAAACATGTAAGGTTGCCAAGCTGAGATGTGGACTTGTCTGCCCATAAGGCTCAAAGCTTCCACTCCGGACACTCACCATCCTGTTTCTCATCTCCTTCTGTCCGTTTCTCCGAAGCATGCCCTGAGGCACCTGTTATACTGCCCCATCCTAGATCCGTGGAGAATTTCTAGCGGGGGTGGGCTTAGACTCAGGAGTCTTTATAAGCTCCACTGATGGCTCTAGAGCACCCAGAAGTCTAAGAACAGGACAGTCACTGTGACAGCCTTTGTCTGCCCAGGCACAATTACTGCCAGGCCAACTAGGGGCTTGTTTTCCACAAGAGGGAGAGACTGGCACTGCCCACTATCTGATTTCCCTCAAGAGGAAAGAAAGCAGCATAAAACACACTGGCTGAATTCATCACAGAGAAGGAATGCGTTTGAATTTGCTTCACTTTATTTGAGAGAAGCCAGCTGCTAAGAGAGCACCTAAAAGGTGAACTAAGCAGGTTAGTCCCAGAAACTAAGCCATCTTGGCACTGACAGCATCCGAAGTGCTAGCACTTTAAGGCCTGTGGATTCATGGACTGGATAATTTGCTCCCAAAAGTCCCACAACCAGAAATTAGGAGGGCACATTTGTAAATAACCCACAGTGCTTGTGTTAGAGGCCACAGATCCCATAGTGGCTTCACCAACTGTGGCATTTTGCCCACAACAGAAGCAGCCTTGTAAGGACAGGTAGCCAGCCACACAGGGCGAATGACTGTGGGAACAGTAAAGAGAAAAGTCATTTATTATTCCTGCCATGATTACTCCACTGGCATATCTAAGGCTCATCCCAATTTTCCCTACTGTTACAAGTACCCCATTTTTCTCTCATTTGTCTGCCCAATGATCTTGAATTAAAGTCACATGCTGATTTTAAACAAGGGGCGGGGGGAAAAAGATCGAATCCCTTGCATGTTGAAAGAAAAATGCCGTGTGGCTTTGAGCAGACGTTGTGATGCCTATTCCCCTCCTAATTACCAGCCTGCTGGCTTTCTGACAGATGGGATAGAACCACACCGCCTCATACAGCACTTATATAATGAGGTGCTGGTAATCACGACTCCACATTCAATCTGCTCCATTAATGCCAGAGGTGGTTCAACCAAATTAGAGAATTACGGTCTTACAGATAAGACTGAAACGTGTGTACACAGTAATTTTATTAACCATGAACATGCTTTGTGTAAAAAGGGCTTCCAGTTCAAAACAGTGAGAGAGACATGCAATTTGCAACCTTCACTGATTTAATAGCCTGGGAGTGGGTCTGCAGGTGGGGGTCGGAGCGTCTGTGTGCTATTACTGAACTGCGACAACACCACAGAATAAAAACATCACCAGCCAGTCAATTAAGGGAATTATTCATGAGCTTGTTAAAAGGTCACATGCCAAAAACTTCATGTAACAGGAAAGAGCTGAGGTGCGGTACTCAGTTGTTTTGTTGCTTTTAAAACTCAGAGATGATTGGAAATGAGGATAAGCCAAATTTCATTTAGAAAAAATGCTTAAAAAGCTATTACTGATGTCTTTCAAAATCCATTACTGAGAAAACCTAGAAAAGCACTCCTGTCTCTCCCCCAATCTCCCCTCAGCTGCTCCCTGCCACCATTACACCACGTTTCTCAGCAAAGGAGCTGATATCTAATTCATCTTGGTAGGAATTACTCTGATCGTGGTGAGGCCTCTTCCAGGCATTTAGGATCAGTCTAGAGGTAGACAAGTGGTTTTTCTCCTAGTCAAAGAAATAAAGTTTCCATTAAACAGAGAAACGGGAAGTGGGGAGGGGTCCTGAAACCCAGCCTTAGTAAGTAACACTACTCCAGTGGTTCTCACCTGAGGAGATTTTTACCCCCACTCCACCTCACTTCTCCCCCAACTCCCTCCCACAGGGGATACTTGGCACTTTCTGTAGACATTTTTGGTTGTCAAAACCAAGTGGGTGGAGTGTTGACAGCATCTAGTGGGTAGAGACCAGGGATGCTTTTAAACATTCTACAATACACAACAAATAATTATCCAGCCCAAAGTGTCCACAGAGCTGAGACTGAGAAACCCTGTTCTACTCCAATATTTTAGAGCCTTGCAACCCCAAGTGTGGTTCTTGGACCAGCAGCAGCGACATAACCCAGGATCTCAGAATCTCAGGACCTTCCCCAGACTTCCTGAACTACAGCCTGCATTTGAATAGCCCAGATTGATTTGTAATTGCATTAAAATGAGCTGCAGTCTTAGGACGATGGTTGTCAAAGTTGGTTACACACGAGAATTACCCAGGTGGCTTAACACTTGGGTCCCACACTCAGCCATAGAGGTGTAATTGGTCTGGGAAGCAGCCTAGGGGAAATGCAAGAGTTTTTGTTTTTTAATATCGATAACATTTAATGCTGTAATTGAGAGCTTGGGTTTTTAAAATTTTAAGTTCTGGGATACATGCGCAGGACGTGCAAGTTTGTTACATAGGTAACATGTGCCATGGTGGTTTGCTGCACCCATCAACACATCACCTAGGTATTAAGCCCCACATGCATTTGCTATTTATCCTGATGCCCTCCCCCTTTCACCCCCTACCCATAGGCCCCAGTGTGTGTTCTTCCCCTCCCTGTGTCCATGTGTTCTCACTGTTCAGCTCCCACTTATGAGAACATGTGGTGTTCGGCTTTGTTCCTATGTCAGTTTGCTGAGGATGATGGCTTCCAGTTCCATCCATGTCCCTGCAAAGGACATGATCTCATTCCTTTTTATGGCTGCGTAGTATTCCATGGTATATATGTACCACATTTTCTTTATCCAGTCTATCATTGATGGGCATTTGGGTTGATTCCATGTCTTTGCTATTGTGAATAGTGCTGCAATGAACATATACATGCATGTATGTTTATAATAGAATGATTTCTATTTCTTTGGGTATATACCCAGTAATGGGATTGCTGTGTCAAATGGTATTTCTGGTTCTAGGTCTTTGAGGAATCACCACATTGCCTTCCACAATGGTTGAACTAATCTACGTTCCTACCAACAGTGTAATAGCGTTCCTATTTCTCCACAGCCTCGCCAACATCTGTTGTTTCTTGACTTTTTAATAATCGCCATTCTGATTGGCGTCAGGTGGTATTTCATTGTGGTTTTAATTTAATGCAAGAGTTTGAAAAGCTCCCCAGGTGATTCCTGTGTGTAGTGAACTATAAGAATCACCGTCTTCAAAAGGATAAATTAGTGCTACTCAAAGTGTGGTTCCCCAGACTTGCAACATCTGCATCACCTGGGAGCTTGTTAGCAATGCAAATTCTCAGCTTCACTCCATCCCTCCTGATCAGAGACTCTGGGGTGGGCCTGGCAGCATGCCCCTTAACAAGCCCTCAGCAGATTCTGAGGCCCCTGGAGTCTGAGCAGCACCGCGTTAAATGATAAGACTTAGCTTCCTTGGAATTTCTGATCATTTGCAATTAGATTGTTGTGTTCTCCATCAGATGGGTATCACAATCGCCTCTAGATTAAAGAAGCCCCCATTTTGCAGGAATTCAACTACAAAATCAATCGCTGGGGAGCACTGGAAGGGCACTTGCCCCCTTTGTTGTGACATTATAAGTGTTGTGTGAAGATAGCGCCTAATGAAGTAGACATTTTGCTTTTGAGAATACCCTCTGGGCTAAGGGGACAAGTTTACTATAGTTTGGAACCACTCAATGGAACTTTGACCTCCAAGTTTGTGTTTAGGGAAGAACCCACTAAAAACAGAATCTGCCTCCTTCCCTGTCTAACACTCCCAAGACCAAGGTGGGCATTCCCTTCAGACAGCCTCAGAAGCCTGCCTCTGACACCTAGCTGGACCTGAGGGCATCTCTCCTGCATCAGTCTCCCAGACCTGGGGGTGTCCAGTAGTCCAGAAAAGCTTTCTAGAATGTTTCTGGGCAGTTGGGTTAAGATAAGTTAGGTGGAAGGCAACAAGGAGAACGGTTTGCAAATAAGAAGGCAGGGATGCTGCGGGCATTCACACAACAAATTTGTTCATCAGGCTGTTGGAAGGGATTTCAGCAGAGGGTATAGAGAACACAGCTGGAGAACTGGCTCAGGCCAGGCCTCGGGTGTGCCCCAGGTGTTGCTGCTTCTAGTGCCAACCATGGTGCTGGGCACTAGACCTTTCAGAGCTAGTGCAAAGCTAGATTTGCTCAGCACACAGTAGGTCCAAACACATGGTCACTTTTACCTTCGCATTTCACACTTGCTCTTGGGAAATCGATGGGAGAAGAAAAGGAGTTTTTCCTTCTTTTTAATAAAAGAAAAGGGAGCGTACACTTCAGGACACATTTAGCAGGACAACAGAATCTTATACAACCACCCAAGGTTAAGTAAAATATTTTAAGTAAACTAGTGTTCCACATCAGAAGTCTCTCAGACTATTAACCCCACAGAAGCCCCACCAAAATTCAACACAATTCCACATCCTACAGCACCACTAATAATTATCCCTAGACCCCCATAAATCGGAGAAGGTTTCACAGAAAAACCTACAAACCCTATCACCAAAAGAACACTTAACAATAAAGCATATGCCATTATGCATATAGTTTATGAGGCTTCCACATCAGAAGTCTCTCAAGAAGGGGCTGAATTAAAATCTCCTCCACAATTATGCTAGACAAATCAACTATGTGAAACTGAGCTTTTATGTAATTAATAAAGTCTCTCCAACTAGATTAGCTACTTCTAAAATCAGAGTGTAAGCTACTTTACACCCAGCAGGGAAAATAGCCCGGCAATGCAGTGCAGGCTGACAGGTCCTCTTACAGAACCACTGGAAAAGCATCATAAAAGTTCCATGTCTGCTTTTGCCCTAACTGGGCCATTATATTTTAAGAAGAACATGGTAAATGCTCATCCTCCAAGCCTTGTCTTTTACCAACCCCCTAAAAGTGTTCACTAAGAAAACCTAATAATGAAAACTTAAGTATGTCTAAAAAACAGCACGGTTCAGTATATGCTGTTCAAGACAGATAAACAGATGAAGTCTCCCATTATTTAGTCTAAGCTGTAACCACTCAACTAAGACCCTATAAAAATGCCTCACCACAAATAGTTTTCTAGGGAGTTATCAATTAATTCTGGTAATGAAATCTCCCATATTTCTCATTTTCTTTTTCATGATAACAGACTATTTGTCAGTCATGACTATTAGCTATAACTAGGATAAAATCTCATCTTCTTGGTGATTATATCATGTCTCTTCCATCTCCTTTCACTTGCCCTGACCCCTCTGCAAATCTATACAGTGTACATGCTTACATACGTGTATGCATCTATACATACATGCATATGTGTTTATGTGCATGCTTGTGTGTATATACACTTACTATAGAGAGAGAGAGGAAGGAAGGGAGGAAGGGGAGGAAACCTTAGAAAGTATATTATAAAGAAATTTTAGAAGTTTAAGAAAAAGAAAAACCTTCAGAAAAAAATACAACAAATCCTTAACATGTGCAAAAGACACTTGCCAAAAAAAACAGCCCCAGATCCCCAAATCCCGCTGCTATCGCTGAGGGTTGAGGAGTGAAGGGGAAGAGCAGCTGTGGCAGGAAATTGAAGGTCTAAGGGCTTTACAATTTCCAGAAAAGTATGTGACAGTGAGCCCAACACCACAGGGCTCTCCACTTCCCGCTCTCCCGGGATCCTGAGCAAGGCTATAGGAATGACTTGTCCTAGCCTTGGGAATCATTCCGGTCCTGGCTGAAACCACAAACACGGGCTGGGAAAATGACAGGATTGAGATGGGATGCCCATAAATAAATCACTGTAACAGCATGGAAAGCCCTCTGATGAGGTGATATTTAAGAGGAACATACGAAAATAATTAGCCAAAGACACAATCAAAAGAGTAGCGCCAACATGTATGTTAGATATAGGTCCAAAATGGGCTAAGTCTTGGAAAAAATATTTCCAAATGCCATTCAGAACAAAATTCTCAGGTTAACTACAACCCAAGAAGAATGGTCAATGTTTACATGAGACAAAAGACAGAATAGCACCACTTCTGGCCTGTCAACTGGGCAAGGAACAGAAAATAAAACTAATTAAGAGGACACAGAAGTCCAACAAGACAGAACGAAAAAGAAACACCTGGTCCTTCTAACACCATCCAGATCCTAAATCACATTATCCCAAATGGTGAAAGATCATTCCATGTTGTTATGGAAAAACTCCCAGTAGCCTTTTAAAAAATCAGGGCAAACAGGAAACTATTCTAGAAGTTGGGAAATGGGTCTTGGTGTTTGTAAGCAGATCTTAGAAATTCAAGACCGATGAAAGGCTTACTTCAATTATCAGATGGCTTACTTAACAGATTTAGTCTAACAATTCCAAAATGAAAAACATTTTGTTCAGCTCACCTAGGTTCACCAGGAATAAATCTAACTGGCCTAACTCCATTTCCTTTAGAGATGGCTTCCCTAACCTAGTAAACCAGGAGAATGCCTCAGATGATACATTTTGATTTTAACAAGGCATCTGATAAGAGTTTCTTATAACATTGTTATGAATGAGATAGAAAAGTTAGGGTATGGTGAGGTGAACTAAACTCTGGTTAGACAAACATTCTGGAAAATCTTGATCAGCCAAACAATTTGGAGTAACATCTCTAGGGTCAATTCTTAAGCCATTTGAAAAGTGAAAAAAAGTTGTAATGATACCACTTTGCCTCTTCAATTGTCCATTTTTAAAAATGAAAACAGCCAGTGCTGGTTGGAATACAAAGTGTCAATCTCAGTGGACAATTTAGTAATATGTCTCACACTTCTGATTAGAAATTGCATTTAAAGAAATATTCTTCCTAAGGAAATAATCAGACACAAGATTGTATAAAGCCCTTCACTGCTATGTTATAATAGGAGAAGAAAAACCATACTTGGGTATTTAAGGTGAATGGTTAATAACGGTGCATCAATAAGATGCAACATTGACACTTAAAAGGAAGTACATCAAGATTTTCAATAACAAAGAAATGCTCACTTTAGAAAGTGGGGGGAAAAGCAGGATGCACAACAGAACACGTACCATTAGCTCAGCTTTATAAAAATGTGTACCAACCCGGCCAGATGCTATGGCTCACACCTGTAATCCCAGCATTTGGGAAGCCAAGGCCAGTGGATTATTTGAGGCCAGGAGTTCAAGACCAGCCTGGCCAACATGGTGAAACCCCGTCTCTACTAAAAATAAAAAAATTAGCTGCGCCTGGTGGTGCATGTCTGTAATCCCAGCTACTCAGGAGGCTGAGACAGGAGGATCACTTGCGCCCATGAGGCAGAGGTTGCAGTGAGCTGAGATCACGCCACTATACTCCAGCCTGGGTGACAGAGTCTCGCTCTGTCTCAAAAACAAAAACAAAATGTATATAAACCTGCGCACATGCATAAAAGAAATGGAAAGAAAAAAATCTCCAAAAGCTAACCATTCTCTGGGTGGTAGGATGAGGGGTGACTCTTCATACATTAAATTGTCCAGTTTTTGGTCAGGCATGGTGGCTCACATCTGTAATTCAGCACTTTGGGGGGTCAAGGCAGGTGGAATGATCTGAGGTCAGGAGTTCAAGGCCAGCCTGGCCAACATGGAGAAACCCCTATCTCTACAAAAAAAAGTACAAAAATTGGCCGGGCATGGTGGTACACACCTGTAGTCCCAGCTACTTGGGAGGCTGAGGCAAGAGAATCACTTGAACCCAGGAGGCAGAGGCTGCAGTGAGCCAAGATCTCCCCGGCGATCACACTATTGTACTCTAGCCTAGGCGACACAGCAAGACCCTACCTCAAAAAAAAAAATTGTCCAGTTTTTAAATAATGAGTACATACTAATTTTAAAATCATGAAATGTTATTTAGACTATATGTATTTTTACAATTGGTTTTCAAAAACCATGAAAAGGAAAGTTTCGAGTAACCAAGCAGAAGCTGGAGGCGTGGAAGGCTACCATCAGGGCTGTGGTAGGAATGCAGTCGGGAGGATTCTTATGCTGGAAGGAAAGGGCTGGCATCAGTGCCTGCCAAGGCCACTTCCCACCTTGCAGCCAGTCCAGGCCTTCACAGGAAAATTAGACATACAGGTAGGAAGCCCATGTCCCCATTTAACTCTCGAACCAGAAGCAAGAGATATGTAGAGGCCGGGGAAGGGGACGCATCTGCTCTTCCTTCAAGCCCTTCTCCCTAAAAGTTCATGCTAGAAATGCCCCAGAAACAACCCATCTTTCACTGTGGATGCCCTCTGATTCTACTCTCCAGAAGGCAGTTAGAGAAAAAAAATGCCCCCTTGATTGATGTGTGTGTTTAATATATACATTGAGACACGGTCTCACTCTGTTGCCCAGGCTGGAGTTCAGTGGTGTGATTAAGGTTCACTGTAACCTCAATCAACCTCCTACCCTCAATCAATCCTTCTACCTCAGCCTCCTGAGTACCTGGGACTACAGGTGTGCAACACCATGCCCAGCTAATTTATTTCATTTTTTGTAGAGACAGGGTCTCACTGTGTTGCCCAGACTGGTCTCAAACTCCTAGGCTCAAGTGATACTCCCACCTTGCCCTCCCAAAGTGCTTGGGTTACAGGCATGAGTCACTGTGCCAGGCCTACTTCCCAATATAAAATGGGCCCCAGAGAAATTCAAAGAAGGCTTCCTCAACAAATCTACCCAAACCATTTTTATTCTATAGAAGAAAA
Organism: Homo sapiens; assembly: GCF_000001405.40. NCBI lineage: Eukaryota > Metazoa > Chordata > Mammalia > Primates > Hominidae > Homo > Homo sapiens. Next base: position 134,530,667 of record NC_000002.12, read on the forward strand.
AACAAACAAAACTAATGACTAGGTTAAGGCTTTTTCTTTAACTCAGTAACATATGCCTTCTTTGGAACTAAATTTAATAACCTAGGCTTCCATCTGGGGTTGGATGAAGAATAAATCAAAGTAATTATTTCTGGAAAGTAGCTAATGTGCAAATATATTTTCGCCCACAATAAAATTCCTCAACACATACCCATGTGCACAGACAAGCGCACGCACACACAACACACACCCTTCCTTTGAAATGAGCCAGTCCAATATTATCAAGCTTAGGATTCAAGGAGAAACTGACATATCCTTTTCTACATTTCCTCAACTGTGGTTTGATTCTTTCTGGCCTGAGCTCCAACTTCTATCAGCTTGTATCAATCTGGTTTTGATGCAGAGTGGGGAGTAAGGGGGCTAACAGTTTTGTTTTACTTTGCCCCCTTTTAAAAGGCCACTGAAATATGTACTGTGACTAACATCCTAAATGTGTCCCTAAGGATTTTTTCATGCCAGTACCTACCTCCCTTGCTAGCAATGGGCAGAAAGAGGCAGTGGACAGAGGCCGACGAAGGCGAGGTGGTGTGTGGGTATGAGAAAACCAAACTCAAGATATTTTTCTCTTGTCACTCAACAGCAACCGTGACAGACTTCTGTGACTGCTGAACACCAAAACATATTGAGATTTTCCCCACACACTAAGCAAGCAATTCTGCAGCAGACAGCAGCTGGGTGTCCTCCAGTTCAATTCTGACACTACCCACTCGGTGACGGTGTCAGATCCCACAAGGTGAGGGCTCAGTCCCACCAGACTGCCCCACTTCGAAGGCCAGCTCCAAGCCCCAGGGTGTTTTAACCTGTGCTTCTGACCCACTGGCTAGGAATTAGGGTTCCCATGACCCATTCTCTTTGGGTTCAATTATTTTACTAGAGTGGCTCACAGAACTCAGGGATACACTTAACTTACATTGACTGGTTTATTATGAAGGATTACAGAGGATACAGAAGAAGGGATGCATGGAGCAAGGCACAGGAGAAGGGGGTACAGTGCTTCCATGCCCTCTGGGGTGCACCACCCTCCACGTGTTCAGGTATCTGGAGCTTTTTGAACCCTGTCATTATGGGTTTTTATGGAGGCTTCTTTGTGTAGGCATAATTGATTAAACCACTGGGCACATCAACTTAACTTTCAGTCCCTCTCTCCTTGCCAGAGGCTGGGGGCTGGGGCTGGAAGTCCTGACCCTCTAAATTCTGCCTTGGTCTTTCAGGTGACCAACCCCATCCTGAAGCTACCCAGGAGCTGCCAGCCATCAGTGAACTCATTAGCATTCACTAGGACACAATTTTGAAGATTCTAAGAATTTTAGGAGTTGTTATGCCAGGAAACCGGGAAGATGACCAAATACGTATTTCATAATATCACAGGTAGGATGGACTCAGTTGGTTTCAAAACAAAGTTCAGGTATGTGCATTCAGCACGAGACCATAATCTTGTATCCTTGACAAGCCAGAAGTGAAAAGTCTAGCGCATCTGTGTCTGGGAGTCAGCCATTTAGGCAGAGATACCAATCTGCGCCTAAATGCTGGCCCAGCTATTAAAGCTGGATGCACCACGAGTAAAGAAATTGTTCTCCAAAATCTGCACACAAGGCCTCCTGTCGAGATAACACAACAAGCCCCAAGTGCTGTGAGATTCCTTCCAAACATCTCAGTAAAGCCTATCTTCTTGAACTGTCTTAGGGATTGGGTATAACAACAGATGCGGAAAAATTACTCTGGAATCATTTCTTTCTCCCAAGACCTTTCATCAGCCAAATCCTCCTCCCTAAGCTCCTTTGCTTTTGATAGGATATGATATTTGCAGAATGTGGATCCAATAATAAGGAAACATGTATTTTATCCTGAACATGCTTGCTACTGCCTCAAACAATCACATTTCTTGAAATGCAGAATTGCAGGTTAATTATGCAAAGGGCAGACCCAGCTTTCTGTAGTCTATTGTTTGTAAGCCTGTCCCTGGCTTTAGTTACTCATGATATTGGGAAAAGCAACCTAATACAGACCTGCAGCTGTGCCCACACAGTGAAGGCCGCTTGGGGAATACTGCTGGCTTCATGTGCATATCAAATAGGTGAGCTTACCATTCCCCACATATGTTCCTCATTGTTCTATGCATTTGTGGCTGGCAGTGTTTCCAATCACAGCAGCCACTCCATGAACAATCAAAATTACAGATCAGTGGCAAACTGCAAGCCCACCATACTTTGGGAGTGACAGGTCTGTGGTATAATGCACACCCTTACCAACAAACCAGCCTTCATTCTCATTCAGAATATGTGTTGGGCTAGGACACACTATGGACGTTTAAACTCAGTTTAGTTGTTTCTTATTAAAGAAAAAAGTACCCCACATCTCAAGCACAGGGCCTAAAGAAATAAACAAAGAGGTGTGCACAGATTCATGCACCAGCCATAAATGTCATCACAACATAAAAGAGCAAGAAATGGAACAACTCAGATTTCCTAATAGACTGTTAAATAAATTATGCTATAGCCAACAGAAGAACTCCATGAGGTCATTAAAAAGAATGGGTTACATATATAGGGAGTTTTTTAATGTCCTTGGTTTTATGTTAAGAGAAAGCACCAGGATCCAGAACAATATGAACAGAAAGATCCTATTTTCATTACACCTAGTTGTGTGTTTGTGTGTGTGCACGTGCACACGTGTAAAGCATATGGGTGTGCATCACACTTTATTTGCAAAGTAAGTATTCTGGAAGCACATGCACCAAACTGTTCACTGTGATGATCTTTTATGAGGAATGGAGGACAGGAAAACACTCACTTTAACATTCATATTAATTGAAACATATTGGTTCTACAAATATGTGCCACTGTTACAAATCAATGAGACGAATGAAAATATGTTCATTTTTAAAGAAACACAGGGCCTTCCATATTCACAAGAATGTCAGGGTTCTCTTGTAATAAACCATCTGAGCTCTCCAAGGTTAATTATATAAGCAGATCACATCACCCCAAGGCTTAATAATGCACCCGTGGCCTCCTACTGCTCCTATAATCAAAACTTCCTCCCCAGGCTCCCGAGGCTCAGCTGCATCTCACCTTTGCCCTTCACTAATTGGGTCCCACCACAGGAGCCTCTTTTTCTGACTTTTAAACACACCACGCTGGTCTCACCTCAGGCCCTTTGTTTGCAGCAATCCCTCTGTCCAGGGATGCTTTTTCTCAAGTCTCCTTTGTTGAAGTTTCACCAAAGGTTGAAGTGTCACCTACTCAGTGACCTTCCTTGGCCCCCAACTTCACAGTGGTCCTCCTCACATGCTGTCACATCACCCTGCTCTGTTTCCTTCACAGCTCTGCCTACTCTCTGCAGTCACTTCCCTGCCCATCTCCTTCTTTAGGTCCAGGAGAGCAGAGAGCTGGTTTGGTGCCTCAAAAAGCAGCCAGCTCAGGGTGGGCTGAATTGAACTGAATATTTTACTCATTAAATGAGTAAATATCAGGGTCAGGTTTTAGGAAATGCAGCTGATAGGACTCTGATAAAACAGGTTTTAGGAAATGCAGCTGATAGGACTCTGATTGATAAAACTGGACTTTTTTAAAAAAAATGCTACCTTCTCACATAGGAAACAAAATGTAGGCTACACCAACAGAACAGCTATCCAACCACAAACCAAACCACCACCCCACCATTCCACAGATGCAGATGTTGACCTGAAATTTCAAACAAGAATGGAGTTTACATTCACTAACCTGTCATGGAAGTTCCTCAAGATTGATTTATAAATCAACCTTGGCCAGGTGCAGTGGCTCACGCCTGTAATCCTAACACTTTGGGAGGCCAAGGCAGGCAGATCACTTGAGGTCAGGAGTTTGAAACCAGCCTGACCAACATGGTGAAACACCGTCTCTACTAAAGATACCAAAAAATTAGCCAGGTGGGGTGGCGCACTCCTGTAATCCCAGCTGCTTGGGAGGCTGAGGCAGGAGAATCGCTTGAACCCGGGAAGTGGAGGTTGCAGTGAACCGAGATCGCACCTCTGCACTCTAACCTGGGCGACACAGTGAGACTCCATCTCAAAAATAAAATAAAATAAAATAAAATAAAAATGAATCTTTATTCTACTTAGAAAAGGCCGTAAAGAGTCTCTCTGTGACCACCTGTCCTGAGTCGTCAACCCAAACAGCCAAGTGAATCCTTGAGGAAGAAGAGATATTGAGCCAGATTGGTCTTGATGCAGCTAACAAAGTACCTTGCTCAAAGTCGGGGTAAGGGGAGCACTGAGATACAGGGGCCTGAATGTCTCATTTCCCAAACTTCCATCTGCTTTCCCAGAAGAGACTTGTCAACAGACACCTCACACCACTACTATTTTGGAAAAGTACTCAATTTCAGATTCTAACACATGTCCTCATATTCTGGAAGAATTACATCTATAGAAACATGGTTTTTCCATAATCTTAGCCTCAGTCACCTTGGAAGAGGAGGAGAATTTGAACTTGGATTTTAAAAGCAGGCAAGATTCATGTCTTGGTTGTTCACAGGTGACTTCCACGCCACTGACACATCGTGCACATTGCTTTTCTCACTGAAAACACACACACACACAGAGCAAGCACTTTCTTGGCTGAAAATGCCAAGGAACAAATTTTGGTGGGTGCTAACACCCATGTAGCAACAAACACAAAAGCAAATAGAGACACAGCAATTTGCTTGTTCTGTCGCCCTAAGAAAGCTATGGAAAGAGGATTTTTATTAACTCTTCCATGTAAGCCTGGAGCAATCTTCCTGTCCAAATACTAAAGTCCTTTCAGAGATTTCCCCCTCTAGTGGTTTGTGTTTAAGAATCTAAGGGGAGAGTAGCAAATGGGAATTACTGATCAAAGGGCATAAAGTTTCAATTATACGAGACGAATAAGTTCTGGAGACCTGCCTATAGTTAACAATACAGTATTGTACACTTAATTTAAAAGGTAGATTTCATGTTAATGTATATTACTTTTATATGTATAAATATTTTATACATTTACTTATTTGTATGGTTTTTTTTTTTGTTTGTTTGTTTTTTTTGAGGCCGAGTCTCTGTTGCCCAGGTTGGAATGCAATGGCACGATCTAGGCTCACTGCAATCCCCACCTCCCAGTTCAAGCAATTATCTTGCCTCAGTTGCCTGAGTAGCTGGGACTACAGATGTGCACCACGACGCCTGGCTTATTTTTGTATTTTTAGTAGAGACAGGGTTTCGCCATGTTGGCCAGGCTGATCTCGAACTCTTGACCTCCAGTGATCTGCCCGCCTCAGCCTCCCAAAGTGCTGGGATTATAGGCATGAGCCACCGCGCCCAGCCTTGTTTGTATGTTTTACATTGTGTGTGTATATATATTTAGACGGAGGGCGCACGCGTATATACGTGCACTTTTCAAGTCTCACAGCAATGTCTTTTAATCCTTTTCTTAAGGCAGGTAAGATAAGAAGTTTCAACCTTAACCTAACAGATAAGGAAATGGAAGCAAAGGGTACTACATTATGTATAGCAAAAACAAACCTAAAACACCATTTTTTTTGCCTCTCAGATTGGGAAAACAACTTCCTTCTGGGCTGCAGGGAAAACGAAAGGAGACTCTGCCCAAAAACCCCTTCTGGGCTCCCCGTCCAGCTTGCTGGAAATCTGTGAGACACCCCGGTGGCAGTGACTGAGGTTGGGGCTGTTTACAGCTGTTCTCTTCCTCCTTTTTCCTCCTGAGTACATAGCACGCGAAGACTCCCTGGGGCCTCCCACCTGAGCAGGACGTGTGCTGCTGCCTTGAAGTGAAGGCAGCCCCGGGCTCTGGAGGCTAGCGGCACAGGGCATGAATCCTCACCCCACCAGCAGGATCCCAGCTCTATGGCTCTGGGCTTCTGTCCACCACTGAGAGCCTCTAAACCTCCATCTGCCACCTATAAAACTGGAAGAGCGAAACCTCTATCTCATAGGATTGTTCTAAGGATTAAATGAGACAGAATACAGAATATACTTAGTACAGTGCCCGAAGCATACTAAGAAAGTCAGTAATAAAACTATCTTCAGAGTTAAACTTTTAGGTCAAAAACCTGTCAGATTAGAAAAGGAACTATACAAAAACCCCTTGACTCCTGGGTCACGGTTCCCTGACAGGCTGTAAGAGCCATAGCTCTAGGTCTAGGGCCTACAGGCACTTAGAAAATGTGCAATTAAAAAAGTAAAGAAAGCCTCAATTATCAGCAGATGATCACAGTATCAACATAGCCAAAGAAAAGACTTATTAATCAGGAAGGGGGTTGGTCTGCTAGGAAAACACAAAAAAGATAGTTATAAGGGAAAATAGGGCAGATCACTTCAAAATATGTTGCCCACAGGGAAAGAACCTTGGCCACTGTTCTGGTCTCAAAGGTAGTCTCACTTAGACCCAAACCACATCTCTAATACCCAGACTGACAGATCAGGCAATCAGAGGCTGATGGCCCTAAATATTGTATTCACCTAATTCCTGCTTATCCCAAGGCCCAGGATCCCTATGTGGGTCTACCTGCGGGAGAAAAAGGGAAGAAACCACATGGACACTGTCAGAGCTCAGGCTGCTACAGCAAAATACCACAGACTGACTGGGCAGCTTAAGCAACAGTGACTTTCTCACAGTTCTGGAGGCTGAAGTTCTGAGATCAGGGTGCCAGCACGGTCAGATTCTGGTGAGGGCCCTCCTCCTGGCTCACAGACTGTGTCCTTACAAGGCAGGGGGAGCAAGTGCTGGCCTCTCTCCCTCTTCTCATCATGGCACTAATCCCATCATGGGGGCCCCAACCTCATAACCTCATCTAACCCTAGTTACTTCCCAAAGCACACATACCTCCTAAAACCATCACACTGGGAATTAGGGCTTCAATACATGAATTTCAGGGAAGACATAAACACCCAGTTCATAATAGACACCCAGACAAGGTCTTCTAAAGGAGATCTTTGCATCCACTAATAACCTGCTATCCTATCCATGTTTGCATGTCAGTTATTTGAGCTTGATTCATCTGAGTCCCCTGACTTTGTGCCATTAAAATCAAGCTTCAATCCATGAGCCCACAAGCCAGACTGTGCAGAGTGGTAAAGAGGCCAGTAGAACAAACGTCAGTGAGGTGCAGGGCCTCCTGGAAGTTTCCTCCAGAACAATGACCCACTACTTCAATAGTACTTTAATAACACTCAAGTACAAATCAAAACCACACTGAGATACCATTCACACCCACTAGAATGGCTGGAACCAAAAAGACAGATGATAACAAGAGTTGGCAAGGATGAGAAGTTGGAGCCTTCGTACTCTGCTGGTGGGAATGTAAAATGACATTGCCACTTTGGAAAACGTTTCGGCAATTCCTCAAATGTTAAGCATTGAGTTACCATATAATCCAGTGCCAGGGGCTACATGTTTCCAAAATTTATATGTTAAAACCATTACCTCCAGGGCTATGGTGTTAGGAGCTGGGACCTTTGGGAGGTGACTAGGTCACGGGGCCAGAGCCCTCATGAATGGGATTAGTGTCCTCATAAAAGAGGCCCGAGAGCTGCCTTGCCTCTTGGGCCATATGAGGACACCTCAGGAAAATGCCACCTATGAACCAGGCCCTCTCCAGACACTGAATCCGTCTTCATCTCAGACTTCCCAGGCTCCAGTACTGTGAGATATAAACGTCTGTTGTTTATAAGCCACCCAGTCTATGATATTTCATTACAGCAGCCCAAACAATGACACATAGCAATTCCACTCCTAGCTCTATACCCAAGAAATAAAAAGGAGAACATATTTCCCCACAAACACTAGCACATGGAGGGACATAGCAGCATCCTTGATAATAGCCTCAAGGCGGAAACAACACAAATGCCCATCAACCGATGAATGGATCACTTAACTGTGGCATATCCATACAATGGAACATGATGCCACAATAGAAATGGAGTACTGCCACACCACACGCCACAGTGAGGGTGAAGCTGACGACACTATGCTGAGTGACTAAGGAAAGAAAGAAAAGATATGCTAGGCCACAAAGGACCAAGAGTACCTGATTCCATGTGTATGAAATGTCCAACACAGGCAAATCTCTAAGGACAGGAAATAGACAGTGGCTGCGTGGGGCTGGGCATGGGGAAGGAGACCTGGGAGGGGCTGGGTGGTGAAGGCTACAGGGATTGGGACTTTTTGTGGTAATGAAAATGTTCTGAAATAGACTGTGGTGATGGAGGCACAACTGACTATACTAAAAGCCATTGAACCGTACTCTTTAATGGGGTGACAGTATGCTATGTGATTATATTTTAATAAAGCTACTTTATAAAAACCACCTATCTCTGTTTTGCCTGGAAAGCCTGCTAAAAATAACCCCCATGTATTGAGTACCTACTTTAGGTCAAACACTGTACCAAGCAATGTTATTATCTCATGTGTTTCTTATAACGATCTTACAAAGTGGGTAGGAACGATGATAAGCCACTCAAGGATTTATTTAAATGCCTCCTATTTAGTGATAGGAACAAGCTGAATCATGCTACAGAAAGATGCTGGTAAAACCCACACTGACTGAAAGCTCAAAGGGTGCAACTACTTAGAGAAAGGCAAGAGATGGGGAGAAAAAAAGTCACCAGAATTCCATTCGATGCAATTTCATGGACACCCGAGGAAGGCGACATGCACTGTGGTGGGGTCCTTCATAAGGGAGGTAAACGCACCCAGCGGTGCTGACGGTGTATGCACAATAGCACCCAGTGGGCTGATCACAGGAAAGCAATGCCAGCATAGAGGAAATGAGAGCTTTAGTCTTTGTTCTCACACTGGCTTGCTTCCCCCTGTACCCCACTAAAGGGAAAAAGTATGCTTGATATGATTACAAAAACTGTATATGTATCTTATAAAATATTTTTCCAGAAAATTTAAAAAGTCTAAGGAGAAAGTCAGCATGAGCCATAACCTAACATCAACACTTTGGTATTGATTTGTAGTCAATGGCAGGACCTATGCAAAATCAAATAGAATTTTCAATGTCCAGTAGCAAACACACTGGACAAAATCCGGAGACAGAAATGAGAAAAAACATGCCATGCTCTGAGCCTAAAACTTCAAAGACAGCTGTGGGGAAAACAAGCCCGCAGAGATTTCTTCTGAACACAGGACATCTGAGAAGGGAAGGAGCTTGCCCAAATCCCCACTGACCAAGGTGGCCACAAAGGGAGAAGGCTCTCACCCTCGTGCCTGTCTTCCTGAAATCTCACCATCAAGGAGGGCTCCTGAACTCAGCCCGCTCACCTCCATGCACAGGCAGCAGCTGACCGAGGGCAGCAGGGAGCAGAAGATGGAAGGATGCCAAACACCATGACTTCCAGGTGCAAGTGTCCAAGGGTAACCATCCTCAGGGTGAAACAGGGGCCCCATCCATAGCGCTAGGCCCTGGCACTCCAGGGATAGAACACTCTCCTTTTGGCAAATGCTTCCTGGCAGCAGGTGCCAGAGGACGGGCTACAGCTGCAGACAAAGGCCAGTTACGACTCCTTGATGGCAAAGCCACAGGGCTGCGGCCCAGTTACTTGTCATGGCTGCCATCTGCCTGGGGACCCAGGAAATGAACACTAGCTCCTGGGAACACCAACCTGGCCCCTAGACTGCCCTGCAGTGGCCCAGGCAGTTTATCTGTGTCTGGCCAACAGCCAGCCATTTCCCCACCTTGCAGTTAGAACCAAAGCCCAGGACTGCATTTCAAGTTGGAGAATTTTATAGTTCTCCATTTTTGTGGATCCCTAACCACTTTCTCTCTCCCTCTAGTTAATTTTGGGTTGTAGCTAATTGCTAGGAAGATGCATTTCCAGGAGGAAGGAGAGGGAAGGTGGAATGTCACACTGGTGAAACTGAATCATGCAAATGACCATTTGGAGAGATAGCATTGCATAGTGGTTATGAGCAAATTTCAGAGCAAGCAAGGCCCCTGTTTAAACTCCAGTTCTATCCATCACTAACCAGGAGCCTTCAGGAACAAACTTTACCTTCTCCACCAGGTGTTAAATAATACCTCTACTTAACAGAGTCCAGCATAATACATGACACAAATCAGGTGCTCAGTACATGGTTATTACTATCATCTTAATAAGGGTCATCCAAACCTTACATAAAATGAAGAAATTCCATAGTTAAGTCTTTCCTTCTGCAATTCTTTATGAGCACCTACTACATGCCAAGCATGAGTCTAGGGGTTCGGGATAAAAAGAAGACAGTTAAGGAATACTGTTGCCTCGGTGAGCTTAAAGGCTTGTGAGGGAGATGGACAAGTCAATAGACCAGTACATTAATTAAATGCAGGTAATTAAATCTTTAAACAAAAAACACCCATGGCATTGCAGAAAAAGAATATGAGTGGTGAAGGCAAAGCAGGAACTACCTGGTCAATTACTAAGTTGTGCTTCCTTAGTTGCCTAGGTTCCACAGTCTGGGAACTGTCCCAAGATGGAAATAAAAGGCTTTTCATTCCCATCTGAAATCCTGGCAACCCATTTCCCAAAAGAAATGCAAATGCTCCCAAAGCATATGAGAATATGTTCAGCTAGGCTGCTAACTAAAGAAATGCATGTTAACATGGAGAATTAGCATTGCTGATAAAAAGAATTATAACTCTTAGTGCTGGCAAAGGAGAATAAACATTTTCATCCCCTGCTAGTGGTAAATTAGTATGACCTTTTTGGAGCACGGCTCGACACTGGTCGTCAAAATTATGTAAGCATTTTCTTTGACCCAGACTTCTAGTAATTTATCCTAAAGAAATAACAAGACAGGCATTAAAATACAAATGTTTAAGGACAGTTATTCTGGATTTTTTCTAACCTTAAGGCATTGGAAATAACCCATGTCTTCAGCATAAAATTGCTAAAATAGGCTAAACCCATACATAGAATACCGCACAGCTATCAAAAAATAACAAACCTCTATTTATCCATGGAAAGATGTTCAAACTATGGTGTTAAATACAGAAAAAACAGTTTTCAAAAAAACTATACGTAGATCATCTCTGTTTTAAAAAAGCTAAATGGATATACGTGTGTGTACACACGTGCACACACACACACACACACACACACACACATACACACACACGGAGCATACATCAAAATGTTAGTTCCGGTTATCCCTGGAAGTCCCCATAACAAGTGAGTTTCACTGTATTCTCTGCACCTTTATGAATTACCTCAACTGTTTACAATAAACATATATTACTTTGCCTTGCCCCACGCCTTTCTTACTGCAGACCATGGGCGGGGGTGGGAATGAAATTGAGGCATCAAGAAACAATCTTTTTATCCCCTCACTACATGACTATCCCTTGTTGCTAAGTCAAAAGCAACTTTCTAAATATGCTGAAGTGTATGTCTGGGTTTTCTTACAATTTTATTACAAATTCTTTTATTCCATGTTCTTGAAAAGCAAAACAAAACGCGAAGGTAGACAATTTCAAACTCTTCCAGGATGACAAATAAAACAATTTTCAAAATTTTAGGGATAGAAAGTAAGTTATTCAATGCCATGTTTAATCTTCACCATTACGCCACTTGGCAGCTGTCGTGACCCTCCCTCCCTTTCATGGATGAGAAAACTGGGGTTCTGAAAGATGAATAAATCACGTGGAGTCACAGAGCAGGTAAGCAGCAGAGTGGAGCTCTGATGGAGGACTCTTCTCAGGACCACATTAGCTTCGTACGGCTGCCACAATACAGCACTACAAACCAAGTGGCTTAAACCAGGGGTCCGCAATCCCCAGGCCACAGACTGTCACCTGCTTTATCTGTATTTATAGCCACGCCCCGTCACTCGCATTACCGCCTGGGCTCCACCTCCTGTCAGATCGGCAATGGCATTAGATTCTCATAGGAGCACAAACCCTAAAAGTGTACAATAAATGTAATGTGCTTGAATCATCCCCAAACCATCCCCCACCCAACCCCAGTCCGCGGAAAAATTTTCTTCCATGAAATCAGTCGCTGGTGCCAAAAGGGTTGGGGACCACTGGCTTAAGCAACAGAAATGTATCGTCCCACAGTTCTGGAGGCTACAAGTCCGAAATCAAGGTGTCTGCAGGGCCACCCTCCCTATTAAACTTACAGGGAAGCTCCCTCTTCTAGCCTCTGGTCTTTGCTGCAATCTTTGGCATTCTTTGGCCTGTAGATGCATTACTACAATCTCTGCCTCCTTGTCCCGTGGGAGTCTACTCCCCATGTCTGATTGTGTCTCTGCTTTCTCTTCTTATAAGGACACTAGTAATATCGGATTAGGTCCCACCCTAATCAAACATAACCTGATCTTCACTTGTTTACATCTGCAAAGACCCTGTTTCCAAATAAGGTCACATTCTTCCGTACTGGGGGACAAGGACTTCAACATATCTTTTACGGGGACACAATTTAGCCCATAACAGGAACCAAGCCTACACTCCTTCCTCTAGTGCATCTTACCTGCAGCACCATAACCCAGTAGTGTCATGTCTGTGTTGTGCCTGGTTTCATCTGTCCTGGTCAGGACAGTGGAGGGCCACTCCCTTCTGCCTCCAGGTGAGTCTAAATTCACACTACTCAAAGCAGAGGAGCTCCCATCCTGCTGAAATGGCTCCACCTTCTGCCTTAACTCTCATCAGCCATCGAGGGCATCTCTGAAGTTATTTATTCTTCTAGTTCAGGTTCTGCTCTTGAGTTAAAACACATTCAAGAGCTTTGTCAAGTTAAGAGCACTAGACAAGTGTGGAATAAATAGGATTCACTTTCTCAGAGCCTCTGATTTAGGGCCAGATCAAACACCCTACGGGAAGAAGCGGGGAGAGACATGATACTGTTTTAATATGTTCTTGGTATAACTCATTGCCTTCACAGTCCAGCTCAGGCACCAAAAGCAAATTACCTATCCATCACTTCTTGACTCAATTTTCTTTTTAAATTTCTGGAGTTGTTTCCAAAAGCAGCAAGGGTGCTGGTGGAGTCAGTCATCAAAAGGCTATCAAGCTATCCTGTTGACTGGTGGTTTTCAGGCCGATGCATTTGGCTCAGCAAATTGGAAAAGAACGCACAGCAAGCAGCCTGGGTGAGAACCGGTGGGCCTGTCTATTTCACATGGGAAGACACACAAAGGACTTATGCCTCTCTCAGGACATCCACTGTGGGGCCCTCCAATTCCCATCCCAATGTGCTGCTGAGCAGAACACCATTGGGAGGTACATTGGAACAGGAGAACCACCTCTCGGGCTGCATTGTGACGCTGTGTTGTAGAATTAGAAGGCTGTCCAGGTGAACAACATCTCCCACCTGCCTTCACTTCCATCTCAGCAAGCTGACTGACAGCCCAGGAGACAGCTGGGCCTGGGGACCCTCCACACAGCCCCACCTGTACTGCAATCATATGCAAAATGTCAGAGACCCCCCAGTGAGTGTCAAGCTGGACCTTCTGTGGCAAGCATCCCATGGCCCTCGCAGCTGATGGTGGCAGGAGGCTGTTCTTCCTGGGGCCTTACACAGTACACAGGGCAGAGAATGGCAGGACAGACACGAAATTCCATGTCATTCGGCCCTGCCAAGTTCCTCCTACACTTATTTCTCCCCACGCCCTCCATCTCCAGCACCTCCTTCCTTTCCTCAGTATCCACTCTTCTCGTTTCCAAATCTCCTCAACCTTCATTTTTAAAGAACTTTCATCTGTTTTTTGAAAACAAGTTAAAAATGACCCAACTGAAGAGACATTGTCCAATACAGTAGCCACTAGCTGCATGGGCCTATTTAAATTCTTTAAATCAAGTTAAAAATCCAGTTCTGGCTGGGCACAGTGGTGGCTCGTGCCTGTAATCCCAACACTTTGGAAGGCCAAGGTGGGCAGATCACCTGGGGTCAAGAGTTTGAGACCAGCCTGGCCAACATGGTGAAACCCCGTCTCTACTAAAAATACAAAAAATTAGCCGGGTGTAGTGGCACATGCCTGTAATCCCAGCTGCTCGGGAGGCTGAGGCAGGAGAATTGCTTGAACCGGGGAGGCAGAGGTTGCAGTGAGCTGAGATCATCCCACTGCACTCCAGCCTGGGCCACAGAGTGAGACTCTGTCTCAATAAATAAATAAATAAATATCCAGTTCCTCAGTGACTCTATCCATATACCAAGTACCCAATGACCACATGGGGCTAGTGACTACCATATCGCACAGCACAGATACAGAACACAGCCATCGCCGCTGAGCATCTGTTGGACAGCTCTGGTTGTCATAAAATGTGTCCCCTCCTTCCTCTGTCCCCAGCCCCCTCCTGGAGGGGAGGCGACCCTGCTGCCAGTCTCCTTTGTATCCTTTATATGCCTACACAAGTGTGTGTGGATGCAAACCTCTTTTGTTAAAACAAATGAGAAAAAACCACACATGCTATTTTGTGTCATGCTCTCTTCACTTAATGCAGCTTGGAGGTCACGACGTTAAGTAAACAGATAGTGCTTCATTCTTTAGAGTGGCTGCATAGCAATCCACTGTCACCAGACCAGTGTCACCAACCCCACCCGCACCCCCAGGCTCCTCTGTCACCCACTGTGAGGCTGGCTCCCTTCTCTCCCAAACACTCTCATCCTACCCTCCCAGTCTCCACATCCTCAAACTCTTTTTCTGACTCTTCCTTTTACCTTTCTTGCCCTAATAAAAATGTAGCTGTTCTCTGAGGAAGCTGCTTTCCCTGCCTTTGCAGTAGAGGCTGCTTTTCCTCTCTGATCCCACATTCTCCAAGCCTCTTTCTTCCTGGTGGCTGCCCCCAGCTTCCTCCCTCAACACTGCCAGTTGCCATCAGACTAAAGCACCCACCACACCTCCCTCCTGGCACTGCCCCCTCACCTCCTGGCCCCTTCCCTGCACTCACTGACGACTCACTGATGATGACCTGCTTCATGGCCTTCACCTCCTCCCCAAATTCTACACACATTCCTGGTAACTTAAATCTCAAATGGATCATACTGCCAACACCTGGCCTCACCCATGTCCCTGACCTTTTGTCCCCACCCTGCCTCAGCCACTCACTCTACCCTAAATCTGTGCCAATAAATGAAACGCCTATGGAATCTTGGTTTTTAGCAGCCTACTCTCAGATTAGTACCCCACGCCAACAATTACTGACCTATCAAGGCTTCTCATCTTCTAATCAAGACTGCTAATCCATGGTGATTATTCATTAGCTTTGCCATTATCCTTCCACCTCTCCTTGGCTACTTTATTCTCTCTTCTTAGAACCCCTTGCTTGTAAACATAACTTTCCCTTGCCCCTCCTTCTATATTACCTGTTGAAAATCCTGGCCATGAGTAAACCTGATGGTCCACCTTCTCCATACCTTTATTTCCTACCACAGGAAAGTAACCAAATTTGGAACTTAAAAAAACTAGTTGGTAGAATTATAAAATGATGTAACAACTATATAAAACAGTATAGAGGTTCCTCAAAAATTTTAAAAGAGAACTGCCATAGGATCCAGCAATCCCACTTCTGGGCATTTATCCTAAAGAATTGGAAGCAGGGTCTCAAAGAGATATTTGCACACTCATGTTCATAGCAGCATTATTCACAATAGCCAAATGTCCATCGATGGATGAATGGATAAACAAAATGTGGCATATATTTACAATAGAATATTATTCAGCCTTTAGGCAGGGCATGGTGCCTCACACCTGTAATACCAGCACTTTGAGAGGTCAAGGCAGGCAGATCCCTGAGGCCAGGAGTTCAAGACCAGCCTGGCCAACATGGCAAAACTCCATCTCTACTAAAAATACAAAAAAATTAGCCGGGCCCCATGGCGGACGCCTGTAGTCCCAGCTACTCAGGAGGCTGAGGCAGGAGAATGGCATGAACCCGGGAGGCGGAGCTTGCAGTGAGCCAAGATTGTGCCACTGCACTCCAGCCTGGGTGACAGAGCCAGGCTCCATCTCAAAAAAAAAAAAAAAAAAAATTAGCCAGGTGTGGTGGTGCATGCCTGTAGTCCCAGCTACTTGGGAGGCTGAGGTAGGAGAATTGCCTGAACCTGGGAGGCTGAGGTTGCAGTGAGCCAAGATCATGCCACCGCACTCCAGCCTGGGCAACAGAGCAAGGCTCCATCTCAAAAAAATAAATAAAATAAATAAAAAAGATTATTCAGCCTTTAAAAGGAAGAAAATTGTGTCACATGCTACAAAAAAATGGAGGATCCTTGAGGACATTATGCTAACTGAAATAAACCAGTCACAAAAAAGACAAATACTGTATAATTTCATTTATATGAAGTATCTAAAGCAGTCAAATTCATAGAAACAGAAAGTACAATGGTGATTGCTAGGGACTAGGGGACAGGGGAAAATGGGGAGTTGTTCAATGGGTAGCATTTCAATTTTGCAGAATGAAAAAAGTTCTGGAGGTCTGTTTCACAACAACATGAGATACGCTTAACACTACTGAACCGTATACTTAAAAACACTTAGGCTAATGCATTTTATGTTATGCGTTTTAACAAAATAAAATAAAAATAAAAATTCACAATAAAAATCTTTAAAATGCAAAACAAAAACTATCAGGGCTAGGTACGCTCTGGTGGTGCTGAAACCAAACTCTCTTTCCCTGAGTATGAAATACCCCATCATATCCACAGTAGGGATACACAGTCACCAGGTGGCAAGGCTAAGGAAGGTTTCCAGTTGCTTTGCATGACTAATTCAAGCTCAAGATTCATCCCAAGGTTTTGGGTCCAGTTCAAAAAAATAAAGGGAATTAGCTAAGGGCCAGTTGCATATTTTCCAATTTCCTCTAATATTACTCTCCAGCAACTAACTGAAAACCAATGGCTTTTCTAGCTGTGCCCCTCATAACTCATTTATGCTCATTAATAGGCAAATATCAGCTTCTCAGCTGGCAGTGATTTCATTAATTTTAAACTTACATGGGGTAAAGCCAGGGATTAAAACTTTAAACCAAAGCCAACAATATAGAGGATTGTGAGTATCACTTAAATCCCTAGGTTAGGAATCTCCAAGTGAATTCATTGGCATTGGCATTGTCACGTGAACAATTACCTGGGAATTAATCAAAGCAACTCCTCTGTGAGTTTTTGCCTTTTCGACAATGATATATACTTTTAAAAAACAGTAACCTGTTTGGGGGATTATTAAAAACAGTGAAACCAAAGACATTTCTCATCATCAATTTTGATCTTGGAAAACCTCCAGACCTAACAAATGTTCACACAGATCCCAACGCTATAGAAAAGCCACAATTATTCGTGGCTTTCTGACTAACATGTACGAAACTCATTTCAGCAGAAAGGAAATCAGATTAAAAAGCAAATTAGAATAATGAAATTGGAAAACCCTGAATTCAATTCCTTCTGGAACTGAAAATCAAATTATGTATTATTAGCTCTAAAATAAGAAAGAAAAAGCAGAGGGAAAAACTTTCTCCTTTGAGGGCACTGGCCAATACAAATATAATATAAGCCACATATGTAATTTTAAATTTCTAAAAGACATTTTTAAAAGCTAAAGCAAAAAAAAAATTTAAGTTTAACCAATATATCAAAAATATTCTAATATCAACATGTAATGAACATTTTTTTAACTATTAATAAATACTTTTTCTCATTAAGTCTTTAGGATTTAGTGTGTATTTTATACTTACAACACATCTCAGTTCAGACAAGCCACATATCAAGTGCTAAAATATTGCATTAGTGGCAACCATATTGGACAGTGCAGCTATAGAACCAAAGATGACATGTTCTTCTGACACGACAGTGGCTAGCTCCTGAAATCCGAGTATATCTCTACATTATACTCTCTAGGCTTCTTATTGAATTCCTCAAATACCCAGAACAGCTTGGGTTGGGTGCATTAGTTGCTCCTTTGGCTAGACCAGCATTAAGTCAAGGTTGATCATCACAGGGCAGGTTAAGTATCCTTTATCCAAAATGCTTAGGACCAGAAGGGTTTCAGGTTTCAGATTTTTTTTGGATTTTGGGATGGCTGCATATACATAATGAGATATATTGGGGATGGAACCCAAATCTAAACATGAAATTCGTTTATGTTTCGTATACACCTTGTACACATAGCCTGAAGGTAATCTTATACAATATTTTAAGTAATTTTGTGCATGAAACAAAGTTTTGACTGTGACCAGTCACATGAGGTCAGGTGAGGAATTTTCTACTTGTGACATCAGGTTGGTGCTTAAAAAGCTTTGAATTTGGGAGTATTTCAAATTTTGGATTTTCAGAGTAGAGATGCTCAACCATCATTTGAAATTTTTAAAAGTCAGTTTACTACTATTTTCTAGTTTTTTTCAACCACAAATTCACTTTTAAAAATTAACTTTATCATAAATGATATCATCTGTAACATCACAAGTTTGATTCTTAATTTGTTAAAAAAAAAAAAAAACTAATGCCCATTAAAATAGACATTTAACATTTAAAGTAAGTTTTTGTACACTAAAGCTAATAATGACATGAACTAAAATTTGCTCTCATTAGTGAGTCAGTTATGGTGTCATCTTTTAAAAGTTTTCCATCTGGCATATTCAATCTCAGATATGTTACTGTCTGAATCACTTGGCCTCAAAGAGGTATTGCAACACTTGTATGTTGGAATATGGCCTAACATCCCATTCAAGAGTACTTTCTTGTTTGAGACAAAGTCTCGCTCTGTTGCCCAGGCTGCACTGCAGTGGCACAATCTCGGCTCACTACAGCCTCCACCTCCTGGGTTCAAGCAATTATCCCACCTCAGCCTCCCGAGTAGGTGAGCTACAGGCACACAGCACCACACGCAGCTAATTTTTGTTTTTGTAGAGATGGGGTTTCACCATGTTGGCCAGGCTGGTCTTGAACTCCTGGCCTCAAGTGATCCACCTGCCTCAGCCTCCCAAAGTGCTGGAATTACAGGTGTGAGCCACCACACCCAGCCTCAAGAGTACTTTCCATCTGGATACCACTACAAACCACAGAAAGGGGCATTTACTCATTTGTGTTCAACTGTCCAAAAGCTGCAGAGACAGAGAAAACTGTTGCCCTGATACCCACACATACACGTATACATGCACATATATACATATAACTGCATGCACACACATATACATACACATATTAGCGTATAGGTATATGCATAAAAATGTGTGTGTGTTTGTGTGTGTGTGTGTGTGTACTCATTGCAATCATCCTACGAAAGAGGAATTGTCTTTTTCTTGCTTTTCCAGACGAGGGAATGAGGCACAGAGCAGTTACTGGCTTCCATAATCACAGAGATACAAATCTGATTACGGAACCTGTGTCCTTATTACCCTGGGGTTTACAAATGATATAAAGAGATGGAAGTTGGAAAAGACATATGTTTTAGAGTCACAAACGTTAAGTCCTTCAAAGTCAAAATCTTCACCCATGGGATATGAAGACCGGGGCAAGCAACATCCCCTAATACAGAGAGGGGCAGAAGGCAAATAGAATAATTTAGAATGCCCTTAAGATGTCTTCTGTAAATGACAGTGGAGAATTCATCTTACTTAGAAGAAAAACAGCATAAAAATCCAAGAGAACAAAGATTCCGATAAGAAAAAGCAACAGGATGGATGGATGAGCGGATGGATAGACCAGCAAACACATATTCTCAAAATCTGAGAACAGAGAAAATTATAAAGGTACATCCTCTCTCTCTGACCATCCCAAGAGGACCCTACCACATGGCTGGCATTGCACTAGTCACTCTCAGAAGCAACCTGGGGACCTTCTTCTCATCACTGGGACAAAAGCTGCAGGGCAAGCTGTGTTGAGGGCCTCATTCCGTGGCCTTCATCTGCACGGGTTCTTCAGCCTGGAGAAAGACAAGAATCTACTTACATGTACTCCCTATGGGCAGAGTGCACAGCGGCCGCGTTGCTGTAACGCCACAGGACAATCGCCGATGACAGGACGTCCAGGATGGCATCAAACTAGGAGAAGGAGACATGGCATTAGAGGCTTTCCACAGTTAATAGCACACAAATGTGAAGACACAGGACAACTGTGCTGTGACTCAGAACATCTGCATGAGTAAACTCTGAGCAAAGAGGTCTCCCATCATTACGACGCAGCCACTTACTGCCCTCATGCCTGGGGCGTCTGGAGCTCAGACACCCAGTGTGCCATGTAGGGGGCTCTGCTCCCAGGGCCCCTGGCTCCCAGCACTCTGGAGATATAGAGCGGAAGGTGGGGGAGTTCACTGTTCTGAAACACATGGAATTGGTTTCCCCATGATAGTCAAGATAATTGCAGTAGTTTCCTGCACATCCCAGATAAGAGATTCGGGTGAGAATTCTATTTTTGACTCTCAACGGGACTATTCTATCTGGGGTCCAGGGCTGGGGGTGGGGGTCACCAGGACCTGCAATAAGTCTGCCAGCACTTTAAAGTTGCATATAAAATTCAATGCTTTTGTTTGAATGAGAGAGCATGAATGCACAAGCAAGCTAGAGAGAATGACAGAGAAAAATGTAGGTGTGTGTTTGTGTGTTTCTGGGTGTGTGTGTATGCATGTGTGTGTGTACGTGTGTATATGTGGTATGTCTGGGTGTGTGTGTGTGTGGTGGTGTGCCTTTTTCCTGGATGGTCCACATCTTTCATAAGATTCTGAAAAGAATCTGCAATGTCCCTACAATATCAAGTTCTCACAACAAAGGGCAGAAGTGGGTCTGGGAACAGGCATACCGACCCTTGGGTACAGGAAACCCTAAAGCTACGCGGCGGGGGTTGAGAAGAGCTCTCTTTATGGGTCACTACACCACACCACACTTCTCAGCTGGAAAATCACAAGCACTAGCATCCTCTCCAAGGGGCCTGGGGAAACTTCACCCAATTTCTAAACAGACCTAGCCTGTGAAGCAGAGACCCACTTTCTCCAACTAGCTTCCATCAGGAGGCCAGCTGGGAAGCCAGGTTACCCCTAGCTGGCTACAGACTGACTCATCCTAGCGCAAGTAGCCCCGATCTTCACTCGCAGCACATCTGCCTACACCAGAAAATGCTTTGCTTCAGTGCGTGCCAGGTCCACATACAACCTGGAAGGTAAAAAAGGGCTAAAATGCCCAAAACATCCTCTCACCCAACCACGTTGTGGGAAATGTGGTTCCCCCCAATCTGTGCATGAGAATTACACAGTCCTCATTGCCGCTTAATTCTGTTAAATTTTCATTTTTTAATAGAAGTGGGTTTCCATAAAATATGTTTCTCATGCTAAGCTCTCATACACTAACCACCCTCATTTGAGGGCTCAGGGTGAGGTTTATGGGCTTATGAAAAAACGTGCAAAACTTGATGAAAGTACATTTCAGGTTACTTACTGCAAACCCAAAAGCAGAGGCGCTGTACCTCATAACGGAGACAGCTAAAAAGAAAGAAAATATTATTCAGAATATTTTAAAACCTCTCTCATTTTTGAGTATATTAATACATTACATGGCCTTTTAAACATCAGTGGGGAAGTTCCAAGAGAACAAAACCAAAAATTAACTGTACTTGTAAAATCTAAGAATTTTTAAAAATGAAGAGTGAACTGAAAAGATTCCCAGACTCCACCTGCAACAACTTCCCCTCACAGTGTTCTGAAGCACCTGAGGGCCAATTTCCAAATAAAATTGCTTCAACAGCTGTCAATCAAATGACTTCTGATACTTTGAGAATTTAGCAACTGGGAACTATATCAAACTTTCAAAGTAAAACTCCAACCACCCAAACTGTTCCCATAATAAGGTGGTGTGGCTAAGTAAGGCATACACCATTGCTAAGATAGATGAAAAAAATCTGTGGGCACCAGAGTTTAAAATCCAATGTAGACACCAGTAACAGTTGTTTAGAAAAGAGTGACAAATGATCTTAAACAACAGATGTCTACAAATAGAGATGTCTACAAATGTCAATGCCACAATTCTAATTACGACATATTTTGATCCTTTTTTTTTTTTTTTTTTTTTTTGAGACAGAGTCTTGCTGTGTCACTCAGGCTGGAGTGCAATGGTGCTGTCTCGGCTCACTGCAACCTCTGCCTCCCGGGTTCAAGTGATTCTCCTGCCTCAGCCTCCCAAGTAGTTGGGACTACAGGCACCTGCCACCACACCCAGCTAATTTTTATTTTTAGCAGAGACAGGGTTTTTCCATGTTGGCCAGGCTAGTTTCGAACTCCTGATCTCAGGTGACCCACCTGCCTCAGCCTCCCAAAGTGCTGGGATTACAGGTGTGAGCCACCACACCCGGCCTTGATCCATATTTTTAAATTGGAGGACGTCAATTGGGTAGCACTTTTTCCTAATTCTGTTTTGTGCTAAAGCAATGACAGCTTCAAAGACTTCTCAATTTGACATAACAAAGGCAGATCTCCAGAAGAAAGCCATATTTAACAAGCATACATGCACCTCCAACCATGACTAAAGCCCTACACTAAGAGTCAGCAAAGCTGGCAGTGGCTTGTTCCCAGGCCTACGTTCTGCAAGTGGTCAGTGGCGCAGTAGAAGCGTGGGTGGGAGGCACAGAGGCCAGTGCCTACATGGACTTCCATCAGCTCATCACAATATCCCTTCTCTAGGACCTGCTCCTTGTCCTCTCCACAAGGTCCAGGGACAGTCCCCACACAACTGTGTTGTGCCTTGTGCCCTCCAGTTACAAGGAGGGCACCTGATCCACTGTGAACCAAACAGAGTTCATTTTCTGTGACTTAGGACTTGAGACAGAGAGAGTCTAGTTGGTCAATCTATGTGGTTAGAACAGCAACTTGTAAATGCTGGAGTTGCCATCGGCCACCGTTTGCCATAAAGACTGAGGAGCAGGAAGGCAAGCATGGGAAAGCCACAGCGCTGGGGAGAGTGAACCACTGGTGTCCGAGCGTTTCCAGACCCTTCCTGAAACTCAGCCATATTCAGGTCCTCAAACTGTGTGAGGTGGAATACAACCCATTAAATCCCTAACCACCGTTGTTTTTGACATGAGCTGCTCCAGGAGTCCCTGCTGTTGCTCTTACTGGCACAGGGAGAAGGGCAGAGCCAGCTGTGCATGGTGACCAGCTGGAGCTTTCATGGGACACACAGGTATGGTGCTGTAAAGGGGCACTGGCCCTTCCTGGAGAACATCAACTCACCAGCCATGCCAGCCATGCTGACGTGTGCAAAAAAAGCAGCTGATCCCTGGCGGGACTGCTGCAAGCACCGAGGCGGCCTATAAAACACAGCTTGACTCACAGCACGTGCTCCATAACTGTTAACTAAGCGTAACAAAATTTCACAGAAATAAGTCAAGGAGGATATCTTTTCTTTCCCTTTACAACCTGTTTTTAGAATATCTTAGCTGTGTGCTTTTTGTGGGTTTCTTCTTTATCAGCAGTGGAAACCTTTTAATTCCAACTAACATCTTGCACAGATGCTCCAGATCTACAACAGATAAAAGAAGAGCCAGGCATGGTGGCTCACACCTGTAATCTCAGCACTTTGGGAGGCCAAGGTGGGGGGATCACGAGGTCAAGAGATCGAGACCATCCTGGCCAACATGAAGAAACCCCATCTCTACTAAAAATGCAAAAAGAATAAGCCGGGCGTGGTGGCGTGTGCCTGTAGTCCCAGCTGCTCGGCAGGCTGAGGCAGGAGAATCACTTGAACCCGGGAGGCAGAGGTTGCGGTGAACCGAGATCACGCCACTGCCCCAGCTTGGTGACAGAGCGAGACCCCATCTCAAAAAAAAAAAAAAAAAAAAAAAAAAGAGAGAGAGAGAAATGCTGCCACCGGGCTCCCAGTCTGTCTCCACCTGTGCTCCTAGGGCTGAGCACCATGGAAAAGGCACAGCTAGAAAAATCACTTCCCCCGACTCGCTATGGCAGAAGAGCACCTGCCTCACCAGCAGTGAACCATGGCTTCAAAACAGATTTCAAGTAGACATTCACTTGATTATATTGAGAAAGACAAGGAACCTTGTCTCAGGAATCTGGACTCAAACAAAGGAGATGGCCACTAAATGGTGGGTGGGGTGTCCCCGACTCAATTGGAGTGTTGTGTCCATGATTTCCAATACCCTCAAAATTATGCAGGAACGATCCGCTTGTGAGAATAAAACCTTCCCAGAGAATGGATGACCTAGAGCACAAGTGGAATATTAGTATTCTCTATCCCACCTGCACCAAGGAAAATATGAGCGAGATGGCTCCAAGTTAACCCAGAGTCCTTCACAGAGATGTATCATTTACTTATAAATTGGCTCCGTCTAATTTCCTTGATGAGATGGAAAGGGAGAAATGCCAAAAATTGCATGGGGAATTGAGACTACTCTGAAGGGCCCTCCACACAGCCTTAGCTCTGACAGCTTCCTTTTGTGGCCAACTCCCCAACTCTTGCTACTAAATAACAGCAAATAGTCATTAGCACAGGATCTGAATGAAAGAGTTCAGATGGCCTTTCAGGAATTTCTGAAGAGTGTCAAGTAGTAACTTCATTTTATTTGTCTCATAACTCACCATGACACATCCCAATTTTGAGAAAAGAACAAACTCAATGGAAGGGTCAGAATGGTTTACACAGCACCCCACCCCCCAACTTCCATGGGGTTTTCACCAGGACGTTTCCAACTTCCCTCATGCTAAGAATGAGGTTGGCTTGGAGAACAGCAGGCCTGAGCCAGGATGATTATAAGGGAGAGATTACATGGTAGAGGCACCTGGAGCTCCATGCACATGTGGCTGAGTGTAGTGGAAAGCCACCACAGGGCCAACAAAGGCCTCAATGCCTTCAAGACAGCTGCTTATTAAACAGTGGACAAGAAACAAGGGCCGTTCTGAACTCGGACAATTATGTTGCAAACTGGCAACACATCCACAAAGAGACGGGCGACCAGGCAGCCGTGGGGCGGAGCTCTCCTATGAAGGCTGCTCTTGGCCCCATGTGGTCAGAGTAGAAACACATTGCTATCTGATTAGGCAGCAGTTACACATCCAAAAAAATGCATGCTTAGGATGCAGCTGAGCTCCTATCTCTTTCTCTGCTGGCTTTTATTATTAATTTATTTTAAGACACAGAGTCCCTAAAATGTTCATAGGTAAAATGAAGATGTGTCATTTGGGGCCAGCCCAGCATGCAGTCCCCATCCCATAAGAGCATCCTGATTCTCCTCTGGGAATGGCACCTGCCCTACCCTCAAGACTATGTGATTTGGGTGGGATGACACTATTCCCATGCTAGTATATCCCATTAACTTGTCCCATGTCCAGAGTTAATGATTCAAAAATGGCACAATTCAATTTGAGCCAATGAGAACCTGTGCCAAGTTTTTTGCTGAAAATATTGGAACGGGGATGTCTTTCTTAGAGGGGATTTTAGAGATAGGAGGCTGAATACAGGAGCTACAGGTAGTGATTTGAACATAAGTGGGAGGAGACTGCCTGAGAATGAAGCCAACACAAGAAGAAAGTAGATATTAAACACAGATCAGACTCCCGAAGACAGACTGAACCTCTTAAATCAGTCCTGCCTGATCTATCCCTCTACTCCTCAAATACATTAGCCAATAATTTCCTTTGATTTGCTTAAGCCAGTGTGAGTTGAGTTTCTATCACTTCCAGCCACATGAGTCTTAATACAAGGTATGTTGACCCAGTAATCCCATGCCCAAGATTTTAATGCGTAAGAAATGGAAAAACACTTTAAGTACAAAAGGTTCATAATAGGTTCATGTGATTTATAACAGCAAAACATTAGAGGTAACTAAATATTCCATAGTAGGGTGATGATTGAGGTATGATTTATTCAAAGAATAGGCTATAGGTAGATATTTTAAAGCCTTTGCAAAGAGTACTGTTGCTGGCTTGCAGTGGTGGCTCACACCTATAATCCCAGCACTTAGGGAGGCCAAGGCAGGAGCATCGCTTGAGGCCAGGAGTTTGAGACCAGACTGGGCAATATAGTGAGACCTCATCTCTACAAAAAAATTTTAAAATTAGCTGAGCGTGGTAGCAGACACCTGTAGCCCCAGCTACTCAGGAGGCTGAGGTGGGAGGATTGCTTGAGCCCAGGAGGTAGAGGTTGCAATGAGCCAAGATCACACCACCGTAAGCCAGCCTAGGCAACAGAGGGAGATCCTGTCTCAAAATATTTTTTAGAAAAATTAATACTGTTTAATGTTTCTATTAGCATATTAGAAAGAACAATGGCATTGATAATAAACAGATAGGTTGTATGTTGGGTTCTGCATTGGGTGCCACAGGAAAGGATGGGTCTGGAACAGGGGGAGTTCTAGCCAGCACAGGTGCAAACTGAATGGGAAGATCAGAAGAGGCTTCATTGAGAAGGGGACATTTAAGCAAAGACTTAAGGAGATGGGGGAGTAAACCATGCTGTTACCTGGGGAAGGACCTTCCAGAGAAGAAGAGTCAGTAAAACGCTCTGAGGTGGAACACTTGGCATGTCTGAGGCCATTCTGGCTAAAGCCAAAGGAAGCAGGAGGAGAGTTACGAGAGATAATTCGGGCAAGACACAAGATGAAGCATGTGCTACAACTAGCTTTACAGGCTGCATTGAAAACAACCAGAAAAAAATTCCCTCAAATGCTAACAGTGGTTAATCTTTGAAGGGTGGGAATATTTGAGTGGGTTTCTTTCCTTTCTACTGTGAACCCAAAAGTATCTGAGACAGAGATCAATCAATTTAGAAAGTGTATTTTACCAATGTTAAAGACATGCCCATGACACAGCCTCAGGAGGTCCTGACCGCATGTGCCCAAAGTGGTCCAGGCACAGCTTGGTTTTATACATTTTAGGGAGACATGAGGCATCTATCAATATGTGTAAGATATATATTCGTTCTGTTCGGAAAGCAGGACAACTCAAGGTGGGGAGGGGGCTTCCAGGTCACAGGTAGGTAACAGACAAATGGTTGTATTTTTTAAAGTCTTTGATTAGCCTTTCACAGAATACACAATTTCTGTGTGAGCGGAGGGTAGAGGAACAGTCACTTACACCTTTGCCCAGCTTGGTGAAACAACAGGGCAGAGGAAGCAATTGGATATACATCTGTCTCAGGTGAACAGAGAGAGGACTCAAAGTCTGTCTTTTGTGCACAAAGAATTTCTTTGTGGGCAAATTGTGAGGGAGGTATGTAGCTTCTCAATCTTTGTAGCTATCTTATTTAGGAATAAAATGTGAGGCAGGTTTGCCAGACTGTCCCCAGCTTGACTTTTCCCTTTAGATTAGGGATTTGGGGGTCCTGAGATTTATTTTCTACATTTTCTACAACCACCATATCATTTAAACCAGAAAAAGAAATCTATGTGGGGAAAAAGATATCCAACTCACAAAAATATCAACAAAGGTCTAAAATGGAGTCAAGAGAAACCAGATCTGTGATACATATCTGGGACTAGGCTGCACTGTGAGTTCACAAATGCTCTAACAGGGCGGCATATGACTATATGTGTCTTTATTACATCTAAGTTTCTGAATCCATCTTTCTAGGTCAAATCACCTACATCAGTGGTTTGTTAATGGCCCAAAAAGTTCATGGAAGTACAGTGGTGGACCAAGAAAGCCAGCAAGTGGAGCACGAGCAGAATGTCACTTGCAGTCTGAGGGACCTCCTGCCTCCCAGGATGCTGCGTGTCACACACACTACTTTCATTTACGTGTCAAAGGGGTAATAACAGCTACTCTCCCAGAAGCACACACACAACAGAAGTCTAAAATAAATATTTATACAAGTCTGGTTAAAAGACCAGACCTTCTTTAACTAAGTCACACACCAGGCCAGAAAGCATATCAGCTGGAAATTCAAATTCAAATAGAAAGACAGCTGGAAAATGGACAGGACCCAGGCAACCCATTGTTAGGGCAAAGCTAAATCGTGCAGCTGAATCAGCAGCAGGCTTTGAGGGAGGGTTCTGGACAGTAGAGACAAAATACCTTGGAAATGCACAAAGAGGTAAGGATGCCAGCAAGGCAACAGAGGATCAGTGCAGACAGCCCCTCCACAACCTTAAACAAAGAATGCCATTTCAATCGCTGGCAGGATTTGCAGCAAAAATGAGGACCCATCTGTCATTCTCTCCAAAGTCATGCAACAATTATCTTGAGCCTTAGCACTCTTCAGCAATGCCCCCAGGCCCCGTAACACCTCCAAGTTGCAAAATTATGTGACTGTAAGTTTCGTTAATAAATCAATCCTACTTTAATTGGACAGCCTCTATTACACAGGGGCCTGGCAACAACCTCACCTCCAGCCATGTAATTAACTCAAATGGAGAACCATCTTTCCATCATCCACAATACATACACACATACATAAATTTGGACCCCTCTTAGTTCCACCTCCTCTGCTGCCTAACAAGAAAACATAATAATGAAAACACCAATCTGGATCTTTGGATTCTCTCAAAACACTGAAATCTGCCCACCCTTGGCTGTCCCTTTCTCCCAGTGGTGCCAATGCTACGTTCAGATGAGGCATGTGCTCTGGGGTACACACCTCTCCTGCAACATCACAGCCAGCCTGCCTCACT
Source organism: Homo sapiens (assembly GCF_000001405.40). Lineage (NCBI taxonomy): Eukaryota > Metazoa > Chordata > Mammalia > Primates > Hominidae > Homo > Homo sapiens. Next base: position 134,559,225 of record NC_000002.12, read on the forward strand.
CACCTCTTCCACCTGCCTGGCCCCTGTGGCATCTAGTTGGCCCCGTAAGGCTTGAGTATTGGACCTCACATGTAGGGCATGAGCAACCTGCTATGTCCAGCAATGTCCAGCAAAGTGCCTGCTAAATATTCATTTTGCTGTATGGACTGTGGTTCCCAATGTTTTCTACTGGAAGGTCTGGCTCTCAGCAAATTACAAAAAGCTGTACCATGGCCAGGTTCTCAAAGCCAAAACCATTATTTGAGAGCTCTTTGACTTCTACAGACAACCCTGAGAACCATTATTAGCCTTAGGTAGGCCATGGGCACTGGCCTGCCACCCTCCGGGGCTCTGCCTGTCTGGAGAGCAAGTGTTTGTTAGGAAAGCAAGTGTTTGTCTCAGGCAAACCCTTGCCAAGACCTCAGGGATGATCATGGGTCTCTCTCACATGACGAATGGGTGGCTACATACAAAAAGGGACTATACAACCCCGCCCCTAATCCCACACCCACAATAACCTATAAAACCCACAAAAATGGGCTTGAAGAGGTTAGAAAATATTGCCCTCGAGCTGCTGCTATGGGGGTAGGGAGTGCCTTTTGCTAGTGTTCTGGGCCACTTTGCAATGAAAGGTCACTTGCACTCCAATTTCTAACAGGAAGCAGCGACTGTCATTCATCCCTCCATGCCCCTGGTACTTGTACACATTGGCCTCCCTGGAAAGGCCATGGTCCTTAGGATGGAGGAAGCCTCTGTTCTCTGATCTCCTCTTCTGCGGCCCACACCTGCTCACTGCACTCCAGCCACATGGGGCTCCTCGCTGACCTCCCCACAGCCAGGCCACGGCTCTTCATTCTGCCAGAAACAAGCTTACTCCAGGGATCAGCCTGGCCTGCTCCCTCCCCTCCTTCAGGTTAGGGCTGTCCTGGCCACCGCATTTAACGATGAAACCTGCCCTCGTTCCCAATCTGAGCTCTCTGTCACCCACCTCTAAATTTTCTTTATCTGAAGTACATCTCATCTACCACATTATCTTATGTACTTATGTAGGTTTCATCTGCCCCACCCTACTCCCACCTATTAGAATATATACACCACAAAGGCAAAAGCTTTGAATGTTTGTTCCCTGATGTATCCCGAATGCCAAGATCAGTGCCTAAACACATAGAACATGGAAAACTTTCAGATGGATTCATTAACACCTTCCCCTTAGCTCCAGCATGCAGCAAACAGAGCCTTCAGGGAGAAGGCAGACAGGACCAAGGGCTCAAAACACCGGGAGGCCCAGCCGTGCTACCCAGAAGCCCTTCCCTGAGCAAATGAAGCCGCAGCTGGCACTTTCTGGGGCACAATGGAGAAACCAGCCTCTAAATGGACCACTGCTTTAGGGACAGCTTGAAGCATTTGCAAATGGCAAAGATCTAGGATTAAGGAAAGAGTAAGGATAGCCCCGGACCCAGAAAGCCAAGAGCCAACACAGAATAGTATAACAGGAAAAAAATCCAAATAAAAACAACCCAAGGAAAGTCTCTAGCATGGACCAGGGCACCCTTGTTCCTGCTACCACACACCACCAGACTAGCTCTGTTTCAGTTTGCGTAACATGAAATGCACATGACCCCCGTTCCAAAGCAGGGATCGGCATTCCTGGGACATGGGCAGGATGCCTGCCACTCAACAGGGAGAGACCTGGGTTTCAAGAAGCTCTCAGAGGTCTCACACACAGGAGTCACCAGCTCAGAGACAAAAAGACAAAGACCCCAGCTTTTAATGACAAAACTTCCTCAACACCACAGCACACTTTCACTGTGCTGCTTCTTCAGTCTGGGAATAAGCAGGAGGAACATCCCCTGAAGGCACAGTTAACCAACTTTTATGAGCATTTATGGGCCGTCTCCGCCGTCTCCGATGGCGTATACAGCCCCTCAACTTGTTAGCACATTTGCTACACAGACCTCACACGCCAGAGCTAAAAGTAGCAGCAAAGTTCTTTTATTATTATTATTTTTGTTGTTGTTGAGACGGAGTCTCGCTCTGTCGCCCAGGCTGGAGCGCAGTGACGCCATCTTGGCTCACTGCAAGCTCCGCCTTCTGGGTTCACGCCATTCTCCAGCCTCAGCCTCCCGAGTAGCTGGGACTACAGGCACCCACCACCACACCCGGCTAATTTTTTTGTATTTTTTTTTAGTGGAGACAGGGTTTCACCGTGTTAGCCAGAATGGTCTCGATCTACTGACCTCGTGATCCGAGGTCCAGCCTCAGCCTCCCGAGTAGCTGGGACTACAGGCACCCACCACCACGCCCGGCTAATTTTTTTTGTATTTTTTAGTGGAGACAGGGTTTCACCGTGTTAGCCAGGATGGTCTCGATCTCCTGACCTCGCGATCCGCCTGACTTGGCCTCCCAAAGTGAGCAGCAAGGTTCTTGCTGAATGTCACTCACACTTTCCTAACACTTGCTCTTACACCTCCTTGTGCCAGGGTTGCCCACAATGCCAGCAGAGCTATCAAGTAAGCCTGTGGGAGGCAGGCCTGGTCAGGTGTCCTCAGACCACACTCAATTCATGTCCTGCAACCCACACTGCCAGACTAACATGAGTAGCCACGCTCAACTAATCAGTCTTTCATTCAACCAACAAGTGCTTACTGAGCACCTACTATGTGTCCCACACTATTCTGCTGAGCTGGGGATACAGCAGTTGCTTGCCCAACAATTTGATAAAACATACATTTTAAAGCCTTATGTTTCCCTTAATCATAGAATGCAGCTCCTTTAGCCCAGTAAGTAAAGCATTCATTAGATAAACAGAGATGGGGATAAAATTTATAGAACAGAACTTTCGCATTTTATCTTCTCTTGTCTTCTATGTTAAATACCTGTGAGGTTGCTGGGAGTTTGAAGCTTGTTTCTAGGTAAACTCATTTTCAGTCCATTCTTTTTACTTTGGCTTGGTGTCTTTTTGGGCCCCAAAGCTCCCTGCCCCTAGCTGCCTTTCTTTTATAAAACACAGAAATGCTCCTTGCCTTCTCCCAAGCAGCACACAAAAGCGTGAAGTCAAGGGTTGTATCATATTTGTCTCTATCCTCAGGGTCTGTGTGCTCAAGCACAAGTGCATTGTCAGTGCTCAAAAAATCCTTGTTAAACTGAACAAGACTGGAAGAATCTCTAACCCCCAATTATAATTTCTGGCTTTTATTTAATGTGTGACAGTCAATTCAGACCAGAACCAAAAGCTAACACTACGGGCAAGAAGAGCTAGCAAAGGCATGGATATTGTCACCCAAGGTCATCCTTGCCAGGCCACTGAGATGGCCCTTGGTCTGCACTGCTGATTCCAAACACATTGAACCTCTTTGGTTTGAAAAGTCGCTTAAGAAACATTTTAAAGAACAGAACATACTATGAAGAAGAAAAATACACTGAATAAGGGTCCAGAGATTTGGCTTAAAGAAACTATGCTGAACAAACACCAACTCATTTGATCTGAATCAAAGTCATTTGAAGATTAACGTGATCACTCAAAGAATACAAGTTAAACATGGTGGAATACAGCCCTTTTGTCCTCTCTCCTCACCACCCTGCTCCATAAAACCCAAAGCAACAAGAAACATGAAAAAACTAGAAAAAGAATAAAATGATCAAAGATCCAGAAAATGGCCAACCCCCAATAACCTAAGTTATAAAGGGAATCTACAAAATACATTAAAATTTAGACCATGCTAGGAGAAGATGCTGACAGCTGATAATATGTCTCAATCAAATCTTGGGCAGAGCTTAGACTTTTCCACAATTAGATGGCACAGTCATCAGTAATCCAAACGATTGTCCCTTATATGCAATGGCAAGCTTGGAGCTGAGCTCCAGCATCCACCCCTGGACCCTTTCCTGATATTCTACACACTAGAGAGCAAAGGCGTGAACCAAAGGAGTGCGTGCTCAGACAGACACCGATACAAGAATCAGACACCACCATTCCATCAACGAGAGGAGCCAAGGCTCCACTGCCAGCCAGGCAGTCTTCTCTTATATTCAAGGCAGGAAGATGTTCCCCAAGGTAGATCACTGAGATCAGGTGCCCCGAGAATAAGTACTCAAATTAAAGCTGCCTGCTGCTCCCTGCATGCCTGGTTCTCCACAAAGTCACAATTATTAGAGCAGTGAGGCACTGGCAAACTGGCAGACAGAATAGGGGAACTAGAAAGAATTAAGAAGTGAATTCAGCAAGGCCACCACACATTAAGTGAATACACAAATTCCAGTTATTTCTATATTAGCCACAAACGAAGGAAATGTAATTTTTAAAAGGCTCTATTCAAAACAACAAAATTATCAAATACCTAGGAAAAAACTAATGAAACTAAAAAAATATGCAAGACTTCTACCTAGAAAAGCAATGAAATATTTTAGGAGAAATTAAAGACAACTATTAAATATATGAAGAAACATACCATGTTTGTGGACTGGAAGCCTCACTGTGGCCAATTAAAATCCTAGCAGGTGGTGACAGAATTGATAAGATGAAGCCAGAGTTCATGTGGAAAGTGAAAAGAATCAGGAATAGCCAAGACAGGCCAGGCACGGTGGCTCACACCTGTAATCCCAGCACTTTGGGAGGCCAAGGCAGGTGGATCACCTAAGGTCAGGAGTTCGAGACCAACCTGACAACATGGAGAAACCCTGTATCTACTAAAAATACAAAAACCTTAGGCGTGGTGGTGGGTGTCTGTAGTCCCAGCTACTCGGGAGGCTGAGGCAGGAGAATCTCTTGAACCCGGAGGCGGAGGTTGCAGTGAGCCGAGATCATGCCACTACACTCCAGCCTGGGTGACAGAGCGAGACTCCACTGCGGCAGCAGTGGCGGTGGCAGGGTGGGCAGGGAGAATAGCCAAGACAACCGTTAACAACCACAACCAAAAAAACCTGGAAGACAGTCACTACCAGATACGAAGATTTCAAAGCTACAGTAAATAAAATGATATTAGCACAAGGATAAACAAAGAGACCACAGAACAAAAGAAGACCCACACAGATATGGTTACTTGATTTATATATTTCAAAAGTACCCCTAAAATACACGGGGGAAAGAAAGTTCTTTTCAATAAATGGTACTGGGCCAGTTGGACATCCATATGAAATGACTGAATTATGACCCTACCTTACTCCATATAGAGAAAACTGTCGATGAGCTGTAGATATAAAAGTGTAAGGTTAACATAGGAGAGGTCTGAAATAGAATATTGGCATGGAGTTTCATAATCTTGGGGAAAGGTAAAGATTTTTTAAACTAGACATAAATGCATTCATCATAAGGGAAAGGACTCGTAAACTGAACTACATTAAAGACCTCCTTCAAAGAGCAAAACAGCAAGCCATCGAGTTTATTGAGAAGATATTTATAAAACATAACTACCAGGGGACTTATATCCAGAACATATAGACTTATAAATCACTAAGAAAGAGAAATCAACCCAATAGGAAAATGGGTGAAAGACTTAACAAGCTTCATGAAAGATGATACACAAATGACCAATAAACATATGAAAATATACTCTACTTATTGGTAACCAGGGACAATAAAACTAAAACCACAGATGCCACTACATACTCAAAGTGTGACTAAAAAGTAAAAAAGCTGACAGTTTCAAACGTTAGTAAGGATGCAATACAACTGAACTCTTGAACTGCTGGTGGAAGTGTAAAACAGTACAAATACTTTTAAAAACTGGCTGCCCGTCTCTATAAAAGCTGATCAGGTCAGGTGCGGTGGTTCATGTCTGTAATCCTAGCACTTTGGGAGGCTGAGGCAGGCAGATCACATGAGGCCAGGAGTTTGAGACCAGCCTGGGCAACATAGTGAAACCTGATCTCTACTAAAAGTACAAAAATTAGCCAGGTGTGGTAGCGCGTGCCTGTAATCCCAGCTAGTCAGGTGGCTGAGGCACACGAATCGATTGAACCCAGGAGGCAGAGGTTGTAGTGATCTGAGATCACAACACTGCACTCCAGCCTGGGTGACAGAGCAAGACTGTCTCAAAAACAAAAACAAAAACAAAAGTGATCTTACTCCATGACCCAGCTATTCCATCCCTAGATATATACTCAATGGAAATACATACTTATGGCTGGGTGCAGTGGCTCATGCCTGTACTCCCAGCACTTTGGGAGGCCGAGGCAGGTGGATCACCTGAGGTCAGGAGTTCGAGACCAGCCTGGCCAACATGGTGAAACCTCGTCTCTACTGAAAATACAAAAATTAGCCAGGCGTGGTGGCAGGAGCCTGTAATCCCAGCTACTCGGGAGGCTGAGGCAGGAGAATCACTTCAACCTGGGAGGCAGAGGTTGCAGTGAGCCAAGACTGAGCCACTGCACTCCAGCCTGAGCGACTGAGGGCAAGACTCTGTCTCCAGAAAAAAAAAAAAACCATACATACATATGGATACTTGAAGATGCTTACAAAATGTTCACAGCAGTGTTATTCCTAATTGCCAAAACTGGAAACAGCACAAACATTGGTCAATAGTAGAAATGGATAAACTGGTGGTATATTCATCCAGTGAAATACAACAATGACAATACATGAATTACAGCTAATCACAACTACACGTATGCATCTCAGCAAAGGCAAACACAAAAGCACTCATTGGATAATCTATGTATGATTTGGTTTGTATAAAGTTCAAAAATAGACAAAGCAAATCCACAGTGGTAGAATTCAGGCTGGTGGTCACCTCCAGGGCAGGGAGCGGTGTCAAAGACGGGGCATGAACAGGTCTTCTCAGGTGGGAAGATGAGTGTGAGTGGTGGCTACACAGCTATGTTCACTTTGTGAAACTTCATTAAGCTATGGGATTTTCATCAATGATGCTTCTGTATGTCTATTATACTTCAATTTTTAAAAGAATACTTGCAAATCACTAAATTTTTTAAAAGCCCAAGAGCCTAAAAGATAAGGCAAGAAAGCAACATGAACATGCAATTTTAGAAAAGGAATTTAAAATAACTGATAAACATAAGGTAGCAAAACTGAAAAAACGAGAAGAAAATGAAGATCCGTCCCATTTCTACCTTTTACAATGGCAGATATAAAAGGATTTTGCTCACGCCTGTAATCTCATTTTGGGAGCCTGAGGTGGGTGGATCACAAGGTCAGGAGTTCGAGACCAGCCCAGCCAATATGGTGAAACCCCGTCTCTACTAAAAAACACGAAAATTAGCCAGGTGTGGTAGCACGTGCCTATAGTACCAGCTACTTGGGAGGCTGAGGCAGGAGAATCGCTTGAACCAGGGAGGTGGAGCTTGCAGTAAGCCAAGATCATGCCACCGCACTCCAGCCTGGGTGGCAGGGTGAGACTCCATCTCAAAAAAAAAATTTTTTTTGCAAATTCTGAGTGCTGGTGAGGGCATGAGGACAAATGTCTCATTTGGTGTCAGTGGGGAAACCTCTTAGAGGTGCAGCTTGGAGATGTTTATCAAAATGTAAGATATACATTATTTGCATCCAACAAGTTCTACTTTGAGAAATATATTCTACATTTATACTGGCACAAATGCAGAAAGAATACATACAGGAGTGTTTATTACAGATGTATAACAACAAAATATTAACCACTTAGGCATCCATTAATAAGAGAGTTGTTTAATAAATCACACATGCATACCATAAGATATCATTAAGCTCTTGAAAAAGATAGATGTGTAACGCTGCAAAATGTAGTGACAGAATAAAGCAAGGTAATTAATAGATTATCAAAGCTTCTGTGTGTGCATGGGTGTGTACAGAAATTTTTCTTTATGATACAATTTCAGAGAAGCTACACAAGAAATTCCAGATGATTTCCTCATTAGAAGGGCACTGGGAGTACAAGGTTGAAAGGCAGCTCTCATTCCACCGTACATCCCTCCATATGCTTCGGTTTTCTTACTCTGTGTATGTATAATATCTGCACGTATTTCTGAGGCGGGAGATAGGGGTTCATGCTCCACAACCAAAGAAAGCAGCCAAACCACTTTCCACATAGCCACTGAGAATCAGTAATTATGTGGTTCCTTGCCATCACTGACTTAAATGGGATTTGGCCAAAAAGAGCTCGTGCAGCGAGAGATTTAAGTTACAGATATTTTAAACTACCTAGGTGTAGTCACCACTTATACAGTTACAAAGCAAATAGATCCTGATTTGCCAATATTCACAAAATAAAGAGTCAGGAGCTGGGCGTGGTGACTCACACCAGTAATTCCAGCACTTTGGGAGGCCGAGGCGGGAGGATCACCTGAGGTCAGGAGTTCTAGACCAGCCTGACCAACATGGTGAAACCCCATCTCTACTACAAATACAAAATTAGCCGAGTATGGTGGCACAAGCCTGTAATCCCAGCTACTCAGGAGGCTGAGGCAGGAGAATTGCTTGAACCCAGGAGGCAGAGGTTGCAGTGAGCCTAGATCACACCATTGCACTCTAGCCTAAGCAACAAGAGCAAAACTCCATCTCAAATAATAAATAATAATAATAAAGAGTCAGAGACTTTCCAAAATTTAAGTCCCCAAGATAGCACCTTTCTCCATTTGCAACAAAACCTTTCCTTCCTAGTTGTGGATGATGTTAATGGGGAATCAAGAGGAGGAGGAACAGATCCAAGTCTTTGCAATGATGTAACTCTCTTGGACAAGCCCTGGGCAGATACAAAGGTCAGAGAACACATTCTGCAGTGGCTAAAAAAGGTCCACTTGGCTATATCGTCTCCTCTGTTAGGGGCTGAAAACCTATGTGTTTCTCCTTTTTAAAGGTTGCCATCATATCCCAAGCAACTGCATAGTCTTAGCATTCTTCTAACTTAAAATAAAACTAGACTTAAGTAAGATTTATAATAGAATAAGGTAATTTACTCAACAAATATGACTCCCTTTATTTGAAAGTGTGTGGTAACTGATATATTGTGGGGTGCCCCAGATCTATCATGTTCCAGTAGGGCATCACCAGCTTTCATTAACTTTGAGTGTAAGTATACAGGCCACATAGAGAAACAAGAATAAAGGAAAGAAGGCAGGGCGTGGTGGCTCACACCTATGATCCCAGCACTTAGGGAGGCAGAGGCAGGCAGGTCACTTGAGGTCAGGAGTTTGAAACCAGCCTGGCCAACATGGTGAAACCCTGTCTCTACTAAAAATACAAAAAAATTACCCAGACATGGTGGTGGGTGCCTGTAATCCCAGCTACTTGGGAGGCTGAGACAGGAGGATTGCTTGAACCCGGGAGGTGGAGGTTGCAGTAAGCTGAGATAGCACACTGCACTCCAGCCTGGGTGACACAGTGAGACTCCGTCAAGAAAGAAAGAAAAGAAAGAGAAAGAAAAAGAAAGAAAAGAAGGAAAAGAAAAAGAAAAGAAGGAAAAGAAAAAGGAAAGAAAGAAGGAAAAGAAAGAAAAAAGAAAGAAGAAAAAGAAAAGGAGAAAAAAGAAGGAAGGAAGGAAAGAAGGAAAGAAAAGAAAAAAGGAAAGAAAGAAAAAGAAAGAAACAAACAAAGAAACAAAGAAAGAAAGAAAAAAGAATGAAGGAAAGAAATCTTAGGTCTGGCTTCTGAATTAGCAAATGTATTAGCTATCCATGAGCCCTGTGAGCATTCTAAAGCAAGGAGAGTACGACCACAAAGACATCATCAGATCCATCAACCAATCAACACAACTTCACAGGAGAAGTCTGGGGAATCTGTCACAAGAACAAACATGAAAGATAACAACTCTCAAAAGTGAGATTCAGACACTCCATGAAATCACTATGCCAAAGACCCACAGTGACGCTGGTTACCAGTTACAAATAGCCTGGACTGAGTTCTGATAGGATTTTATAGATGGAGAGCTGTGTTTTTGACATTCTACATGAACCAGAACAATTTCCCAGTGATATTGAGCTATAAATCAAAAATGAATCAGTGTTGATGCTTCAAAAGAAAATAAAAATAGGAGTCATAGTTTTTCTTGATCCAATGACAATAATTCTTCCCTGACAGCATCAGCTTTACTTCTACTCAGTGCTAATAAATAACTCATAACCAGGTATCAGGGCAGTGAACTGAACACTGCCATGGTTGGACCACCACCCTTAGGGTTTTTCAAAACAAGTTCCTTAGACCCTGTAGGTTTAAGCCCTAAGGGACCACAGTGGGCCCCTCATCCCACCCCCACATCATTTCAATCAGAACGACTTCTTTATCATTTCCATTAGGAGCGAGAGTTATGTCAAAGATTTACCTGCAAAGATTTAGCTAAAAAGAACACTTGGAAAACACATATAAATGAAACACATATGAATGAAGACCCCCTAGCCACATTCATCCTTGTAGTTAGGACTGGAATTCTAGCCATAGTCACATCCCCAGTCCCTGGCCCAGATCGAACCTCTAATATAATTATTACCCACCAAGAAAATAAGATCGTATTCTGTTTCAGTACTCAGAGACGGTTCTCAGAGACATTCATCAACTACCTCCAACCAACACTCAACTTCATGGAAGCCATGTAGCCTTTTCCTGGGATCCATATACAGTAGTCCCCTTTGTCCATGATTCTACTGTCTGCAGTTTGTTACTCACAGTCGACTATAGTATGAAAATATTAAATAGAAAATTCAATAACTAAATGATCCATATGTTTTAAATTGCAAGCTGTTCTGAGTAGTGTGATAAAATCTCACACTACCCCACTCCATTATTCCCTAGACATAAATTATCCTTTTGTCCAGCAAATCCACACCATAGACACTCCCTGCCCGTTGGTCACTTATTAGCCCCTGGGTAATCAGGTCAACCATCATGGTATCTCAGTGCTTGTGTTCAAGGAATCCTTAATTTACTTCATAGTGGCCCCAAAGGCAAGAGTAGTTGATGCTGGCAATCCATGTATGTCAAAGGTATGCTGTAAAGTGCTTCCTTTAAGTGAAAAGGTGAAAGTTGTTAATAAGGAAAGAAAAAAAAAATCACATGCTGATGTTGCTAAGATCTACGGTAAGAATGAATCTTCTATCTGTGGAGTTGTGAAGAAGGAAAAAAGAAACTTGTGCTAGGTTTGTTGTTGCATCTCAAAATGCAAAAGTGTCACAGTGCATGATAAGTGCTTAGTTAAGATGGAAAAGGCATTAATTTGTGGGTACAAGGCAGGAACAGAAATGTATTCCATTAGGTGACAATCAGGTTCAGCACTATCCAAGCTTACAGGCATCCACTGGGGGCCTTGGAACATAGCCCCCACAGATAAGGGGGTACTACTACATATATATATACATATACATATACATATACATATACATATACATATACATATACATATACAACATAGTCATTTTTGCTCATTCTGCCCTCCTTACTTCTAATAAAAGAAAGCCTCTTTTTTTCTAAGGAGGGGCTGTTCCTTTTTAGTGGAGCAGTTGACAGTAATATGATCCTATCCTGCGTCAGAGGAAAGCAAGTGACCAAACTGCAGAGTGTCCCATTCCCTGGACACAGTGATAGGACAATCAGAATCCTTTTTCAGAGACTGAGATAAATGGTGCGACAGAAAAGGTCTTCCTCCCCTGATACTGTAAGGGCTAGGACCCTTTGGGGTCAATTCAAGGCCACTTGTGTAGAGAACCAGCCCAAGAATGAAGCTGACATAGAGGAGAGAAGAGAGAAAGGAGAATGGAGGAAGTGAAACAGGATTCTGACATCATTCGACCCCATAAATCTGGCCAGTTACATTCTGAAATGCGTTCTCATTTATTTTGCTTAAACTAACATGAGGATTTCCATTGCTTGTAACTGTGATGCTCTCAGCTGCTACCACATACATATGTCTCTTTTAATCAAAATGCTTGATGCTAAAGCTCATAGTACTACCCCACTCATCTTGGCATCACCTCAAAGATAAATTAGGAACCGATTCACACAAGGAATTTCTTCAACAAGTTCCCCTCAAATTATAGATAGCCTCAGTCTTAAGAATCCAATTATATCTAATTCAAAAACACAGAAGGACACACCAATATGGAAAATACACAGTGAACAGAATAATGGCTGAAATGGCATTGCCCATATACTGTCTCGCTTTCCATTGACCCTTTCTTGCTTGTGTTTCTCACAATCAAAAGCGTTTATCTAATGGCCAACAAGGCTATGGTTTGACCACAGAACAGGGGAGCTTCTGCTGGCTCATCCCCACTTGCCTCTGCCATGACATTTTTCTCACTACCAATTTAAGGGGAACAAACACCTGAAATACAGAAATAATTTTTACTCCGAAAAAAAAAATCTAAAGCATTCTACTTACAAAATACGTTTTCAGAGAGCTTTAGAGTACCTATATTAGGGGTCCCCAAGACTAATCCTAGCTTTGGTGACTCACAAGAGGGACTCACAGGACTCAGCATATAGTCACACCCATGGCTAAGATTTATGACAGCAAAAGGATATAAAGCTAAATCGGCAGAAGGAAAAGGTGCATGGAACAAAGTCTGGAGGAAACTAGGCATAAGCTTCCCAGAGTCCTCTCCCAGTGGAGTCACAGAAGGCATATTTAATTCCTCTAGCATCAAGTTGGGACAACAGGTGCAAAGTGTTGTGTACCAGGGAAGCCTGTTAGAGACTCGGTGACCAGGGATTTTACTGGGGGCTTGTTGCATAGGTCATATACTGCCTGGCATGTACCAGAATTCCAGACTTCTGGAAGGAAAGCAGGTATTCAGCATAAACCACATGGTTTGTACAAATGGTTTGGGCACACTGAGCCATACTTCTTTATGGAAAGTTTAATATTCACATAGGGAACTACTTACTAGCTATGTTGCCAAACAGTACCCAAGGGCCAACCTTGCAAGCAGGCTTTTCTAAGGATAGGGAATCCCAAAACAGCTCTATTAACCTTCTCTACACAAGACCAAAGTTGAATTCCTCACATGAAAAAGAGAACTGAGCCCTGAGACATGGAGCACCTTGCACAAAATCACACAGCAAAGCTAGAACCAGCACCCAGGTCTCCAGGATTGCAGAGAGAAGATGTCGTCAGCCACACCCCCAACATCTTCCAAAGATGCCTGTGTTTCCCAAAGTCTGTCCACTTCAGAGCAGAGACTGCAAATTGATGTGAAAATAGCTCTGTTCTCAGTCCACAAATTCGCCATGGCAACATTAATTACATCCCTCACTTGAAAGTTTCACTGATGGAATATAATTTTTAATATTCTACCACTATCCCTCCTCTTAGACAAAGATACCTCTCCAATCCTATTTAATTATATCTGAAAATATCCAGTTCATTACCACCTTAATTAAAATCATACATCTTCATTTAAAGCTGGAGGAGTCCTTAGAGATGGTCTATCTATTTCAACGTCTTTATTTCACAGAAGCAGTACTGTGGTTCAGAGAGGAAACAACTTGACTGGGCCTCCATCATCAATAGGTCTAAATGCCAGGGCCAGAATCCTCCCCACTTGGCTTGATGTCACGTGCCCTTCCTGCTGCCTCTTGCTGTCCTACCAAGCCAGACTCTCAGAATTCGGAAGACTGTGTGCTTATTATAAACCCTTCAGCGCTTAATGATCTGAAATGAGCTCCACTTCATGACCTCTGCAAGGAGGCCTGTACAGCCCTGCAAAGAGGCAATATTCCTGAAATTAGAGAATAAAAATGATTGCTGCAGTGGCAACGATCTCAAATGACATTTAGGTGTGATTTATACGCATCCTCTTTTAAATATATGCAGTTACCCAGAAGTACAACACGCTGTTGAATCTGGAAAGAATCAACATGCCTGGGACATCTTGCCCCACAACCAAAGCTGCTGGACTGGCTACCGAGGGATCTCCCACACCCTGTCTAGTTCCTGAGCAATCTGTGATTCTTTCAGGCTCAACTGGCCTGAAAGAAAATTAAGGGGCTTATTTACATGGCCCAAGGAAACAGAGATTCAGTCTTCCCCACATGTTATTATCACACTGCACAAAGGAGCCAGAAAGGCATGAACACAGAAGAGCAGTCATTTCTCTCCAGAACAGATTCTCATTGTGCATCATCCAGCAACTAGAAGAACCCAAGTGCTGAGAATGCTTCCCTATTCTAACCTGAAATATCTGTCACATCATAAAAGCTGATGGATAGAAGGGGCTCAGTCTAGAAAGTAGTATTTAAATGTATCAGAAAGGTATAAGCCAGTGTTTCTCAACCGGGGGCACTTTTAGCCGCCAGGGGGTATTTGGCAGTGAGACATTGTTGGTTGTCACAGCTGGAAGAGAGGTCATCACCACTGGCTTCTAACAGGTAGAGGCCAGGAATGCTGCTAAACAGCCTACAAGGTACAGGGCAGCCCCACAGCAAAGAATCAGGGCCCCAAATACCAATAGCACCCAGGCTGACAAACTCCCTTCTAGGCAGATACAGGCCAATTCACATTTCTTGAGAGGGTGGAGACAGATGTGATGCCGAGAGTTCTGTGCTGTTTCAGTGTTAAGTGCAATGACATATAATAAAAATGAGAAAACAGAACTAAAAAACACAGTTAACCAGGATTCCAGTTCCCATAAATTTTAGACTGAATTTTAGTTTATTTCACTGTTTTAGGCTTTGTGTCTTTGCATTCTGCAACACTTCAAATGCCTTTTGTTTCCAACTGGGCCATTCTGCTTGGGATGCAGTAGCAATGCTGCCTCCATTTCTAGAGCCCAGGAACCCAGGGAGTAAAGAACTCTCAGGGTGAACTTCCGGAGGGACCCACAGAACACAGCTTGCCCAGACAGCCATCAGCTATTATGTGGCCTGTGTTCCAGAGCCTCTGGCTACTGCCCAGAAGTTTGTGTTTTTAATTATGTTTCTAAGAATTTACAGCCAAATTTTAGAAACCACTGTGAAAACACTGGGAAATCAAGATAGCAATTAGGAATAAGAAAGAAAACTCATACTACCAAACACCGTAGCAGCACATCCTTATAATCTAGGCAACAGAGCGGGTGCATACTATAAAAATAAGATTTGCAAATTGTGCTTATAGAAGAAAAATAGCCAAGCATTAAAAGAGCTAGGACATAGGCTCTATTCAAAATCTAGAAGACACAGCCATGTACAATGGCTCATGCCTCTAATCCCAGCACTTTGGGAGGCTGAGCCAGGCAGGATGCCTGAGCCCAGTAGTTCGAGACCAGCCTGGGCAACATGGCAAAATCCCATCTCTACAAAAAACACAAAAATTAGCCAGGTACGGTGGCATGCACCTGTAGTCCCAGCTACTCGGAAGGCTAAGGCAGGAGAATCGCTTGAGCCCAGGAGGTGCAGGTTGCAGTGAGCCAAGATCGCGCCACTGCACTCCAGCCTGGGCAACAAGAGAGAAACCCTGTCTCAAAACAAAAACAAAACAAAAAAAATCTAGGAAGATGTGTTCAAATGTCATCTTTTCCAAAATTATTTAGTACTTGTCGGGGTCTTCCAGTGTTCCTCAAATTTGCACCAAGAAAACGTCCACCTGGATGAAGAAATTATCTGAAGACCAAATGGGACGGTTAGCTCATTAACAGGATCCAGCATGCTTTCATGTTTCCCAGCTGCAAGGAAGGAGCAGACTGCCAGATGGCTCGATTTGATGCAGCTGTGTAGGAGATTTGCTGCCTAAGGGCTCCCAGGTGAGGGATAGAGTGGCTGCTGAAACCCAGGCCGTTAGGCTTGCTGGACTGAGCACCTTGGCATGGGGTTCCATCTACATTAGGAGAAGAGGGCTTTTTCTAATATGCACTAAGGTCCCCGTGGTGTAGCAGGGCTGTAACTGTATGGTAGAGAAGGCATGGTCCATTTGCCAAGCAAGGCCAGCCCAGACATGTGGGGCTCTGTGGGGGGGTGGGGGAAGGGGACCATGTGGCGGTCCTGAGCATGCAAAATGGGAGGCCAGAGGGAGGAAGGGAACGCAATGACCTTCTTGGCGCTGTAGGGTTCTTCTTCCACACAGCTTGAGTGGGAAGAATCGAGAGGAAGTAAGTGACCACAAACCACAGGTACTGAGAGCTGGGAATAAACTTATAAAGATGGTTGGCCTTGATTTTTCATCTACAGAATGGACCCTGATTAAGCCATTCTGGAAGCAAATCCATCTGCCATCTGAACCATGGTCAGGCCCCTACCCCACCCCCAGTGCCCACCATTCCTGCTGCTGTCAGCCAAGAGCCAGGCCGAGAATCGCCCCCTCAGCTGTCAGACACCCTGATGTCATACTCACACTTGCCTTCAATGCTAGGGGCCTGCGGTATGTATAGAAGTGGCTGAAAACAATCTCTGCCTCTTAGGTCACAGTTTGGTAGAGGAGAGAGGCACACACACAGGGTTCTCATTGTTTTTCCTAGCTCCATGCCATCCCTCTGGGTCACGCTTTCATGAGATGTGTCACTCGCCACACGGAGTGAATGCCCAGCACCCTAGGAAGGTAGAAGAAAGCTAAGCAGCTATGAGGGTCCTTAGCTTTAGCTCCCTACCAAACCGGACCATAAGAGAGTGCAATTCCTAAACAGGATCTGGTTTCATGGAGAGAGAACACAAAAGACTGCACAGATGAACCTAGTTTGATTTAAGTTAGGCAGATTTCAGCAGGTGCGTGGGAGCAGGTGGCATTTATGAGAGAACATCCTAAGTCAAAACGAGGCATGTCTCGGGGAGGCAGGTCTCCAAAAAGGACAGGCCCCAGGAAGAGTGAGACTCCTGGGGACCCAACCACACAGAGGTGAGCCCAGGATGCAGAAGGTCCTAGGGAACACCTGTGCTTAAGAAACTGGGCAAAGATGGGAGAGCCAGTGAAAGAAACAAATGACACCCATGGGCACAGTAAGATGAGGATTTGAAGGTGCAGGGCTGTGCGGTCAAGGGAGGGTTTTCAGGGTGGTGGCCACAGACGTGTCCAAGAATAACTCCTGAGGAAAAGGTATTTGACTGGTCAGCTGGAGCGGGGTGGTGTGAGACCAGGGGATACAGAGGAAGAATTGAGGGGACGTGAGGATTCTGAAAAGTCCTGGAGATCTTAGGAGGAAAGATGCTAAGAATTAGGTTATGGACTGTGACTTGCCTGTGAAATTCTACGAAGTGGTTTTAGTCGTGAGACAAGCCTGTGACTGTTGCATTTCTCACCAAACCCTAAACCAGAAAAATAAAAATGCCACAAGGGCCTGGTATGGCCACACCTGGGGGAAAACTGTATCCCCAATGCTGATGGTTTAATCTCATATAGACCTAATTTTAGCTGACAGAATTAAGCTCCCCTAACATAAAAGGGCCACCCATTAAGTGGCAATAAGAATTTTAACCTTGAACAAATGGCCCAGCAGGACTCCTTCCCAATCACACAGAATGCCTCTCAGAGGCCAAGATTTTCTTTTTAGGAGAGAAAGGTCTCCCACACAAAAAGGAACCAAGAGGAGAGACAGATAATGGCCTGGCCTCTCCTGAGTCTCTGTTACAAAGCTGAAGGTTAAGGGCCAGCAGGGGTCATACCTTTCTTAAAATCTGAGGCATCTGCAAGTATTTACAAGTCCTGAAAAGAAAGGACAAACTTGGCACCTTGCAGACAGGTCCACCTAAGTTCCTCTGATGCACAGGAGTTCCTTCCTTTCCCAGAAGGAAAACACTATCTCAGGATGGGAGGTGGGGAACAACCCTTTTACCTCCTAAACTGAACTATTAAACACAGACATTAATATCTACTCACTGCTGAGATGCTGCAGAGCCAACTCTTTCTAAACCTCATAAACGCCTTTATGCATGATCACATTCCATCCCAACTATTGTCTGCCATGTTCCGATTCCTCTGGCCTGGAAGCTCCAGGAGCTGCAGCTATCTTATTCCTATCTGTGAATTCCTGCTCCAACCTTACCCCAGTATGAGGCTGAGACCAGCACAAAACAGACACCCAACAGACTCTTCTTGAACTTAATTAGGGTACCTGCCATGTTTTGAGCCTTTTTTGATAGACATTTAATGTCATATACACACACGTAGACATGCACACGCATAAAGATATGGACACCGTCGACTCTAATTTGATACCTTCTGAGAGCCCAAATCTGTGTTCTTTCTCTGTAGCACACATCGTGGCTCTTCATATGGTCTTGTTCCTTCCCTCAGGAAACACCTATATCAGCCAAGGTCCCGGCAGGGACCAGAAGTCCCTTTAGACGGCGAAAATGAAGAGATTGTAACTTACTCTCAGGGTTAGGGGAGGCACAGCTGGGACGCTGAGGCATCAGAAATACACAAGGGTCAGAAGCCAGTTCCTCGCTGAGGGCTGCAGTGAGAGGAGGAGACCATCCGCAGAGCAAGCTGGAGCCCTGCACGAGGCGCTGACTGAGAAAGAAGCTAGTCCAGAGGGGCTACAGCCAGAGGTGCAGGGCCAGGAGAGAGGGGGCAGGAAAGGGACCAGCCTCTCTCCTTTTCACACTGCAGGTCTCCGCAGGTGTTCCCAGGTACTTCAGACACACCTATCTCAGCTGGGAGGCATTTCCCCAGCCCTCCCCACCCACCCTTGGGAGCCTCCGTGCCCACCAGGTATTTACAGTCAGCCCTTCTCTGTGGGTTCTTTATCTGTGGATTCAATCAACCATAGATCGAAAACATGTGGGGGGGAAAAATACAACAATCAATAATACAAATAAAAACACAGCATAACAACTATTTACATAGCATTCACGTTGTATTAGGTATTGTAAGTACATCTAGAGGTGATTTAAAGTATACGGGAGGATGTGTGTAGGTTACATGCAAAATACTATCCCATTTCACATCAGGCTCTTGGGCATCCAGGAATTTTTGTATGGGGAGGTCCTGGAACCAACCCCTCTCGGGTGCGGAGGAATGACTCTACTTCTATCATAAAAAAAGAAATGTTGAACCCTTTTAACCCTCCAATTTTCCTATTTTTGATAATACAGTTATATTAGTTCCATAACTTAAAAATAAGAGGAAGAGAAAGGGTAGTTTTAGAGGAGCTGTGCAGTATTCTGGCAGGCTTTCATTAAAAGTCTTAAGCACAAGATTTTGCTCAAAAAAGAAAAGTCCACTTACAGATTCTGCTCACACTATTTCCTGTTCTGGATGTGCCCCATTTCAAAAGGATTACTCTCACCAAAGCCAAACAGAAGCACCCAGACACACCCAACTAAGGGAAGAGCAGAATATTTTGTGTATGTCAATGCCTCCACTGCACTGGTCTCGCCTTTCTAGAACCAGAAATGTAACGCGTGATGTTCCTGTCAGCCAGTTGTATTTGCAGCTTGTCATGCCCGTGAACAGAGAAGCATTTCCCATCGTGGTTAGCGTCTGTATGTGTAATGTTGCATGCAGCCATTTGGAAAGATTGGATAACGAAGAGCAAAAGGCATTGGACAACCTTTCCCCCACAGTACAATTAGTGTGAAAAATACTATGCACAACCAAAGTAATACTAACAAGCAGCTGTGATTATTCCCTTCTCTGCATGTCCAGTAATCTGACACAGGGCCTAGACTCAGCAATTCAGATCATGTAAAATCTCATGGCCTAAGAGATAAATAACTGGTTTGAGTGTGTGTGTGTGCATGTGTGTGTGAGAGGCAGTGTGTGTGCATGTGTGTGCATACAAAGCAACAATTTTCCAAGTGGAGCCTAACTGCATTTTCAGAAGGGAGGTAAAAAGAGACTGCTCTATTCACCAACAATCTCACTAGATTCCCTCCACCCCAAATTCCCTACCACAGAGCTACAAACTTCCATCCTGGATGCACCCAGTATTTGAATGGAGAGAGCGATCACAAAAGGAAGTAGATGGTTCAGTTATTCCTGCAGGAGAGAAACTTCAAAAGTGAAGTTTCCAGCACCCCAGGCTGGATGGCGTCAGGCCCTCCTGGGTGGGAGGATGCGTTGGACCTATCATGTCCCACCTGATTTTTTACAGCAGGCTGTCATGTGAATGGCTTCCCCCAAATCCTCAATTCAATCTAAGAAGACACTTTTATATCTACAAAGGGGCAACTATTCCCATTAGAACTTTTGATGCAAGGATTACTGGTAAACTTTCCAGTTTATCAAAGCATTTATAGTGTGGGGCACAGAATTCTTTCACGAAGTTCGTTTGTTTTTCTCACGCTACAAAATAAAATGGATTTAAAAATCACATCACCATAATCTATCCATCTACAAGTATAACTCTAAAGCTGTAAGTGACATAATGTTTTAGGATGATTCTTCCATGATTTTTTAAAAACAAATATGAAGTTTCTAACACTGAGAAGCTTTTTGGACAGACTCACTGTCCAAATGAACAGACTCACTGAATTTAAAAGTTCTGGATTCACCTACGTCCTGAATGTTCTTGCTGTCATCACCTAAACAAATCCATCCTTTTTTTTCTTTTTCCTGTTTTCTCCCTTAACAAAGGAGCTAATGAACAGGGTGAATGCTCTCCTAGGGGTAGGAAACTAAATTGGTTCCACAGGGCTTCGGAAGAGATATACTGGGATTTGAATCCAGTCCTGCTCTACACCAGCCATAAAGACAGGGCAGATTGTTTAATGTTTCCAAACCTCAGTTATCTCATCTGAAAAGTGAAATACTCACAAAGTTGTGAAAATTAAAAGAAATCTATGTAAAATATCAGTCACATAGTAAACAATTTACTGCATGGGTATTTCGTGCTGAAAACTTGGCCCCCGTGCTAATGGTAATGATTTGTTCTCTCATACAGGGCATGAAGGACCTCACATGATACCAGACTGAGAGACCTAGTCTTTAAAAAAATAAAATGATGACAAGAAACAAAAAGTACCTTAGGTACCAAAGCTCAATTATCAAACCAGAGTACTCAGTAAGATTTGAGACTTAAGAAAAAAATCTCAATCCCAGGCTTTCATCAAGCACTTCAATAAACAAAGCAGAAGTATTTTACCTGTCCAATTACGTGGTAATAAAGGAATTTTCTTAAATTGAGACGATGTATTTTCACGGCACATTAAATGCTAGATGTCTGCACCTCAATGACTTTTGTACTGAGGGAAACAAAGGTGAAGAGAGTTAGAATTCATTAAGGGCTGAAGATTAATTAGGCCACCTCAACCCCATGAGTCACAGCCATCAATTTAAGAGACGTAACAGCATACACTGGATTTTAATTAGGAGGGTTACAAAACTGTTTAAGAACCAAAGCCCAATTGTCAAGCCCAATTAAGCAGGCTGATGGAACATACTATGTGGTGCTATAAAGTGTTCCTTTTGCAAAAGAAGTGTAAAATAAAATCCTTGTTCAAGAGCTCACTGGCTTCCCCACATACTATATACTATAGTAAGTGTATACGGAATAAAATTCATTCATTTATTGTGCAAAGGATGTCAGTCTTTGAGACAACAAGAAATTAATCTGGAATTAGCCCAAGATCAATGCAAAAATAAGTCAAACAACCCTAGAGGCCGGGCGCAGTGGCTGCCACCTGGAATCCCAGCACTTTGGGAGGCCGAGCCAGGTGGATCACTTGAGGTCAGCAGTTCAAGATCAGCCTGGCCAACGTGGTGAAACCCCATCTGTACCAAAAAATACAAAAATTAGCCGAGAGTGATGGTGCATGTCTGTAATCCCATGTACTCAGGGGGCTGAGGCAGGAGAATCGCTTGAACCCCAGAGGTGGAGGTTGCAGTGAGCCAAGATGGCTCCACTGCACTCCAGCCTGGGTGACAGAGCGAGACTCTGCCTCAAAAAAAACCAGCCCTAGGACAGGAGCAAGATGTGGATGGTGGTTCTGGGTTTGACTAACCAATCTCTCCAGGCGGGGCTTCATGAGATAACCTCTGGGGCTCAATTCAGTCCCTGGACCCTCTAATGAAGACCTAAACTTCCTGACCATCACAGACGCAGGTGCCAAGAACAACAGAATCAGGGCAGGAGGGCACTGAAGGGAGAGTCACAGACACATGGGGCAAATCCGACGGAAAAGGATTTGTAGTCCAATATATACATTTGCTTCCTGAGGCACCATTTCTGGTTAACCTTGATCTTCCTTTTTTTTCTTTTTTAAACCAAGCTTCTATCACCCAAAGTAGCTACTTGATGAATAACTCAACAAGCTCCTTTCCCTTAAAAGGCCAACTAATTTTTTTTTAATTAACTAGAATATACATAACACAGAAACAATTTTCACATCTTCTTCATAAGTGTCTACATGCAAATAGCCTTAGCAACACATCATGCTTATCTCTTTCAGAACATATCTAAAATTCTCCACTTTACTTTGGTGAGAGAAATTGAATGTCAACATTTATGTTCATTCCAGAACTGGGTCCACTTCCTTCCAAATGTAAAATAGCAGCTGCCACCCCACTCTGGCTGCATTGCTGCACTGCCCTTCCCCCAAACAAACCACCAGCAATTCCCCCACTTACAGGAGCTGGGAACATTCTTCATGCTCTTTATGGGGGCGGGGGGGAGATGAATTTTATGAGGTTGATGAGAAAACAAGTTCAAAAGTCAAGTCAGCTCATTTTGAGGGGAGGATCTCCTACCTTTAGTTTCCCCATACTTTCCCCTTGCCCATGTCAGCATATGCATATACACATGTACAATAATGATACCAGAGTGACCAAAGAACACAACTTTACAAGAAGCAGCAGAACCAAAAAGGCAACTACCCTTCCATCTCCCTCCTGCCCTTGAACCACTGATTCTCCATGTTAAATATTCCATCGTTCAAAATATGGCTACACATATTGAAGACTTTGTCCTTCCTAACGGTGTCATAAAGCTGAAGGGTTTCCTTGTCACCATGAGTGCGCATAGAAGTATCAACAGCACTGCAACCAGCACTGCTTGGGTTCACACACACGGCAGAGAACCATGAGAGAGCACAAGGTATGCAAGAGTTTAAAACTTTCAGTTTCCTAGAAACCACAGTCATGTCAAAAAGGGAAGACAAGAAGATCGCCATGTGCTATGGGAAGATGCCTAATTAGAAAGGAACTAAAAGAGAGGACAAAGGCTGGGAAGGGGAGTAAGTTTTGCAAAATTGTTTTCTCATCAACTTCAAAAAAGGCAACCCAAATCCCCCAAAGAGCATAAGGAATGTTCCCAGCTCCTGTAGGTGGGGGAAGGTCAGTATGGTAGGTGCACCTAATAGCAATAACTTAAGAAATGACAGCTGCCATGCGGGGGCCGCTGCTAAGTGCAAGTGCTCTACAAACCGCACGCTTTTTGCAAGAGGTTGCAGTTCTCCTGTCCAGTCTGCCACCTTTGGACTGTTCCTGCATGTAAGTTCTCACAAATAAAACCCCATATCTCATTTGCTGGCTCTGGGTCTCTTCTCTGGACTCTTGAACCTAGTGCCGTCCCTGTTGAAGTTAACTGGAGTCTGACAAGACAAAAATTCACGTCAAAGCTTCACTCAGACTAATCAGAAACCCAAGCCCAAGCTGGTGCATGGTGGTGCTAGGTCCTGCCATGTGATTCTCATGACTTGCATACAGCCACTCAGTCATCATAAGTGCTGTCTCTGAAACAAGGAAGAAAAAAATAATCATGTCTCAAGCTGATGCTTTAGTTTTGGCAACAGTGAGTCACTGGCAGGTGAGGAAGAGGAAGTGGTGATATCTCATGTGGGGGCTGGGGGTCGCCTCCATCCTGAGAGGAGGAAAGGTAGGGGGCAGAAAAATGGCTTCTGGGTCCAAGGGGCCTAAATTCCCTTCTACCTGCAAAAGTAGAGAAGAATCCACTGGCTTGAACACACTCCACATATATGCTAAGAGATCTCTACTCTGGGACCATTCTTCCTATAAAAATGGCACTAAAACATATTTCTCTATTTTAACAGGCATCTCTGTGCAATGATTATTTGGATTTTAAAAAAATATGAGAAGAACTTCATTTCTGCTTAGTCCTGTGGACAGAGAACGGTGGAGCTTCACCAGAAAGCTCCTCTCAGCACAGCAGTCACAGCACCAACTTTGGAATCCAGCTACCCAGATTTGAATCCTCATCCCACGCTGGCAAGCCACATAAAATTGGACAATTTATTTAATGTCTTTGTGCCTTGGTTTCCTTCCCCACAAAATGGGAGTTCTACCTAATGGAGTTGCTCTGTATCAAGAGAGCTGACACATGGACACATTTAGACCCACAGCAAGTGCTTACTGGCATGTAAGTTTCTAATAAATAGTTCGCATCATTATTACCTTCTGGGCGCTTTGTATTTGTCACTTACAGTGATAAAAATTTCAGACGGCAATCTAAGAAGAGGCTCCTAGAGTTCGAAGAAACAAAAGCAATAAAACCAAGTTCAGCACCATGACACTTCTCACTCAAACCCCATGGAGAAGGCCACGACCCCTAGAAATGGGAGGCCGTTTGATCTACAATCGAGAAAGAACTCAAGGGCCAATAACGAAACTGAAGGCAATGGAGTTCTCGGAAAAGGGGTTCACCACATCCATGCAGCTACTGTCAGCCATGCTGTAAAACCACTAACAGATCTTTCATAGCCTAGCACTCACGCACCATCACTCCCAGTGACCTCATGGTCCCCTCCCCTCCCCTACATCTGCTCCAGCCACACTGTCTGCCTGCCCCCTATGAGATGCCCCCTGCTCTCAGGCCCATGGCTTGCTCTCTGCTCCCTCAATCCCTCCCATCTTTGTAGCTTTCTCAGGGAGGCTTTTTCTGACCACATTATTGAACGCATAACTGCTATTCCTGTCCTCCTCCATCCCCTTTCTGGCTTCATTTTTCTCCATAGCATCCCTCACAATCTAATATGTATTTTATTTCTCACTCCCTGAGGCAGGAATTTCTGACCATTTGTTCACTGCTCCATCTCCAGGGCCTAGAGCAGCACCTGGCTCCTAGTAGTGCTGAATAGATGGGCTACAAAATCTCTGCACAGGAAATGCAGACTATTGCTTGGCAGATGTAAAGGTTAAATGATAAAGCAAGCACATCACTAAGCTCTCCTTGCCCTGCTCCAGGATAAAGTCATATTTTGGATGCCCTAATTGATATCCAAGTATAATTTCTCAACTGCTGCCAGCAGCAGAACTAAGGAACAATGAAAAACCTTGAAATGAAGAACATAAACAGATCACGCTGCCAAGAGACGGCTGCATCAGGGAAGGGCAGCAGCCTCTAGCAAAAACCACAGACTCACTGCCCAGCCATGGTGTCTGAAGCAACATCCACAAAAGCATGTGTGCACTAAGATCCTACAAGGCAGAGGTCATGGAATGAATGTCCAGAGATCATTATGTAGGATAGCCAGGTGGCCTATATGCCTGCTCTATGGTCACCCATGTGAAAAATCACAGGTGAAAAACCCCTCCCCATTAACTAAGTTCCAGGCAAGGCACAATCCTCAATGTTTGTTTGGAAGATAAAGTACCCAGAAACGTAAGTTTCTTGACCATTGCATTTTAGAAGACCTCTCTGAAATTTCTAGTAAAAAAAAAAAAAAAAAAGTACAAAGGCATGTGATAAAGACTCGAGACTCTTGCTAAAGAAATAAGAGAGTCTGGGTGGCCAGAGAGTCTGGGTGGCAACTTTTACCGGATTCAGACACAAATGTTCATTCAAATTATCTATAATGTGAAAGTATCCACAATGTGCCAGGTACTAAGCTTAGCATGTAAACTTAGAGTAGTATTTCCATTTCTAGCTAAGGAACATGAGGCTCACCAAAGGCAATGACTTGTCCAGAATCAAAGAGCTGGTAAGCAGCAGAGTCCAATGCCCAGCTCCAGACCCAGCACCAGTGACCTGCCAACTACTCCACAGACACTTCAGGGACAGGACACTTCATGGATGCCTGGGTATTCTTCATATAGAACTTGAGAGGCCCCTAAACTGTGAGCTCTGCCTGCAGACATTTCATTCTCTTATAACTATGTCACATGTAGAGATCTTTATTAAATCTAACCATCACATTTCAACCCCACCTGGAAACAGGGACAGAAAGAGATGGCAACCTCGTCCTCTTTTTTCTTTTTTAGAGACAGGGTCTCACTGTGTTGTCCAAGCCAGATTCAAACTCCTGGGCTCAAGTGATCCTCCCACCTCAGCCTCCTGAGTAGCTGGGACTATGGGACTACAGGCACAGAGTCTGGCTACCTCACACTCTGGACCTAATAGATTCTCAAGTGATGGCTGCAAATAGAACCATCTAGTAAAACCTTTAGGCAAGTTATTTAATCTCTCTGTTCCTCCATTTCCTCTTAGAGGGTTGTTGTGAGAATCAAATGAGTTAATACATTAAAAATACCTGGAATGGCCGAGTGGGGTGGCTCACGCCTGTAATCCAGCACTTTGGGAGGCCGAGGCGGGCAGATTACGAGGTCAAGAGATAGAGACCATCCTGGCTAACACAGTGAAACCCCGTCTCTACTAAAAATACAAAAAATTAGCCGGGCGCGGTGGCGGGCACCTGTAGTCCCAGCTACTAGGGAGGCTGAAGCAGGAGGATGGCGTGAACCCGGGAGGCGGAGCTTGCAGTGAGTCTAGATCGCGCCACTGCACTCCAGCCTGGGCGACAGAGCGAGACTCCGTCTCAAAAAAAAAAAAAATACCTGGAAGAGTGCCTGGCACAGAGTCCATGCTCAATGAATGTTAGCTGTTATTATCAATATTTCTTATAAACATAAAGCAAAATTGGAATATTTAATTAACAAATAGTCATGTGAAGAACCAGTTGCTTCTTCAAATATTTATTAAATATAAAAGCCAACATTTTAGTATAAATGCCTTATAGTATATGTTCCTCCCAGGGAAGATTTTTGTGCATGGACTTAAGACTTTTTGAAAGAAGAGCCCAACAAAGTCTGGAATGAAGAGCAAGCAAGGCTCTAAGGACCACAAAACAGTGTTCAAAGTTTGGGTCATCAATTCTAAGATGTTTTACAGTTGAGTCAAGATACATATATGACACTGAAATTCTTCGGATGGCACCTGTTGGAGAAATGGCTGTTTCCAGGGCAATTTCCTTTTCTTTAGTGATTCCTTAATCTCAGGCCAAGCTTGTATTAGTTGGCAAGGGCTGCCAAAACAAAGTAACACAAACTAGGTGGCTTAACCAGGAGAACTTTATTGTCTGAGTTCTAGAGGCTAGAAGTCTAAAATCAAGGTGTGAGCACCATTGGTTCCTTCTACAGGCTGCAGAGGAAACTGGCCCCAGCCCTCTCTCTAGCTGCTGGTGGTTTGCTGGCAAACTTTGGCATTCCTTGGCTTCTGCTGCATCACGCTGATCACTGCCTCCATTTTCACGTGGCATTCTCTTTGCGTGCGTATCTGTGTCCACATTTCCCCTTTTCATAAGGACGCTAGTCATGTTGCATTAGGTCCCACCATACTCCAGCATGACCTCATCTTAACTCATTAATTACATCTGCAACAATCTTATTTCCAAAGGAAGTCACATTCTGAGATACTGGGAGTTAGGACTTCAACATGAGAATTTTGGAGGGACACAATTCAACCCATGACAGAGCTGTTGACAGAATCCAGGCCTCGTCAGCCAGGGCTGCAGTGGGATTGGTGCAACAGCAGCAGAACTCCTGGCCCAGTCACGAGACGGCAGGAAGCACCAGTGTGGGCTGTTATTGACATCTGTAATTAACCACAGAAATGTAGCAAGTGGCAGAGGTTATTAGAGCAAGCCATCTTAAGTCAAGCATCACCTATATTTGTTAATTCAATCCACCAGAAAAACCCCAAAGGCTCCTATTATCCTTTCCACACCAGTAAGCTGTAGACAGAGTACACTTCCTTTCCCATGAAACCTGGGCAAAATGAGAAGGGGAAACAGGGGTCTAATTAGGGTAAATCTTGGACTTAAGATCTCATCTGTGAGTCCTGAGAAGCCATGGCCTTTAAAGTCCTGAAAAAAAAATGGCTTAAATAAAAGGTCTACCCTCAACTTTGAACCAAAGTACCACCCCTTGGCAGGGCATAGTGGCTCACGCCTGTAATCCCAGCACTTTGGGAGGCCGAGTTGGGAGGATCACCTGAGGTCAGGAGTTCGAGACCAACCTGGCCAACATGGTGAGGCCCCGCTTCTACTAAAAATACAAAAAATTAGCTAGGTATGGTGGCACATGCCTGTAATCCTGGCTACTAGGGAGTGTGAGGCAGGAGAATTGCTTGAACCTAGGAGGCAGAGGTTGCAGTGAGCCAAAATACGCCATTGCACTCCAGCCTGGGTGACAGAGCGGGACTCTGTCAAAACAAACAAAGAAAAAAACAAAGTATCACCCCCGTGTGAGAAGCTAGGCTGAGAACACCATCCACAGAAAACCTGAACGCAGCAGGCCTCAGTCCCCAAGGCCAGCCTTTGTGCCTGTCTTCCTGCACGTCCAGGTCAAAGGCCTAAGAAGACACAAGAGAACCCAGACACGTGGTTCAATCACACAGTCAGGGCATCAAGAAACTCTGTCTCCTAACTGTTCTAAAACTAAGACTCTAAGACTCTCAATAAGAAAGCAGTTCCTTAACCAAAGAGATCCAAAGGCTTCTGGCTGATGGGATTCTTTTTGTAGGTAACAAAGATGCAGTTTATCCACACAATGTGGAAAACCTGGAAGGCTCCAGAGATATCCTCCTGGGCACTGACAAGAAGGTATTCAAACAAATAACAAGAAGGGATGCACTTCAAATCCAATTACTGCAGAGTGTTTATATTTAATCTACTTTTAGGAGGAAAGCAACTTCACAGTGCTCCCTGTTGTGTAGTATGAAAAATAATCCAGGCAGTTACAACCTCTCTATAAATCACCACATCCAAAGGGAAGGAAAATGTTACAGAAGGCCAGAGAAAATGTAAATGTGAGTCCTTTCAACATCAGCCAGGTTCCTACCCAACTTGTAACATCTCCATAAGCCAAAGTCTACTTACCCTGTGGTCCTACAATTGGCATTTTTGGAACCAAGAGAATTCACCACGTGAATGTGGGAACTATTGGTATCGTTCCAAAAATCCCACTCCTGGTAGAGCTGTGAGCAGATCCTGGAGAATCAGCCAGGCCACAGTCCTGGAAAGCTGCTAAGTTGTTAATGGAATTAACCATTCTCTGGCAACTCCAAAAGAAAACAGTGAGTCAGACAATAAGAAAGGAGGGAAAGGGGAAGGAGATGAATGATTCTGCAATAAAGCCATCGTCCACCACTGCTAAGCTATGCCAATCACACCTTGTCACATCATCATTCATGACAGAGAAGCAAAGTCAAACAGAAAAGACAATTATCACCTTGGGGTCCAATCAGCAGTTCCTAAACCCGATGAAACTGGAGTGGCATGGGCAGTAAGAGAGAAGACAAGGTCATCCCTGGGGACAAGGAGAGGGCACTGAACCAGCATGTGCCATTAACCAAGGCACATGCTCTCTCATGTGCCTTGAGACTCTCTCCAGAGGGACAGTCTTGCATTCACACATTTATTAGATGCCTGCTCTATACAAAGAACAAATGCTAGATGGGGTAAGAGGAAACTAATAGGAGGTATGCATGGACCCTGACCCCTACAAACTCATTCCAGTAAGGCAATGTACACAATGAAAGGTTTGCCTCTCACAGGAGAACAAGGGCCATAGCATTTATTCTTTGATCATGTCAGAATCAAGAAGGGCTACATGGAAGGATGGCAAGTAAACAGGCAAAACGTTGGGGGGGGAAGAGGCCATTCGGTGGGGAGGAAGAGGACCAGTTAGACCAAAGTGTAGAGTTCATGAAGAGCAGCAAACAAAGGAGTAGGGGCTTTCTTTAGTAGGAAATGGGGGACATTTCACATTAGAGGGAATAGGCGATACCCCTCAAAAAGTTTATTGTCCAGCAATGCCAAAGATAAATAGGAAGAGACAAAGGTCAAAGGCAGAGTATAACTATGAGGCTACTGCAATAGTCCATGCACAAGGTCATGACATCCAGAAGTGAGAGGCAGCAGAAAGAAGGGACTGAGGTAAGCTCTGAGGTACAGGTAGAATACACAGGACCCAGGCACTGAAAAGGGAATGAGAGAAGGTAATGTTCAAGAAAGAGGTCAAAATTCAAAGAAGAATTGTTAAAGGCATTTGAACCAGAGCAACTCCATCTTGAATAGGGGCTGGGAAAAATAAGGCTGAGACCCACTGGGCTGCATTCCCAGGAGGTTAGGCATTCTTAGTCACTGGATGAGATGGGAGGTTGGCACAAGATATAGGTCACAAAGACCTTGCTGATAAAACAGGATGCAGTAAAGAAGCCAGCCAGAACCTACCAAAACCAAGAAGGCGATGAAAGTGACCTCTGGTCGTCCTCACTGCTCATTATACACTAATTATAATGTTTTAGTATGCTAAAAGACACTCCCACCAGCACCATGACAGTTTACAGATGCCATGGCAATGTCAGGAAGTTACCCTATAAGGTCTAAAAAGAGGAGGAACCCTCAGTTCTGGGAATTGCTCTCCCCTTGCCTGGAAAACTCATGAATAGTCCACCCATTGTTTAGCAAATAATCAAGAAATAACCATAAAAATAGCCAACCAGCAGCCCTCAGGGCTGTTCTGCCAATGGAGTAGCCATTCTTTATTCCTTTACTTTCCAAATAAACTTGCTTTCACTTCATGGACTCGCCCTGAATTCTTTTCTTGCACGAGATCCAAGAACCCTCTCTTGGGGTCTGGATTGGGACTCCTTTCTGGTAACAGAATGACCCATTGAGCACTCATTGAGTGCCTATTGTGAACAGCACACTGGTAATACAAACATCAATAAGACTCCTCCCACCCAGTCCTCAAGAAACCTGGGTGAGACAGGGAATCAACAGCCACAGTACTAATGACAACAGCTATATGATCTGAGTTTTAATAAATAGACTTGCTCTTATTCATCAGTCACTCATAAAATTCCCATCATCCTTCATGCCCTCTCCCACCCTCCAGGCCCAAGCCCAACTGATTCTTTTTTTTTTTTTCTATAAGAGTCATTGACAAGTATACCCAAGCTAATTCTATGAAATTTAAGGTTAGGGTCCCCAATTTCAGACAAGGATCTAGTACAGAAACAGAAAGGTTAAGTAACTTGCCCTAGATCACAAAGCCAGTCGGTGGCCAAACCAGCTTGTCTGTCTCTAGCCCTGTGTTCCTCCTGGCCTTGCCTCCATGAAATCTTCTACCTAACCCTTCTTCCCACTCTCAGAGACCCCAGCTCAGCCTGACCACTGTCACTCAGCATCTGAGCTACTGTGGCTGCCCCAGTCATGTTACTGACCCCATCACTTACTCAAAGTTAACCTTTGGGTCAGTATTATTTCTTCTGTGGTCACCAGAAAGATGTTACCAGAAAGGGGGTCCAGATCCAGACCCCAAGAGAGGGTTCTTGGATCTTGTGCAAGAAAGAATTCAGGATGAGTCCATATAGTAAAGTGAAAGCAAGTTTATTAAGAAAGTAAAGGAATAAAAGAATGGCTATTCCATAGGCAGAACAGCCCTGAGGGCTGCTGGTAGTCCCTTTTTATGGTTATTTCCTAATTATATGCTAAACAAGGGGTGAATTATTCATGCCTCCCTTTTTTAGACCATATAGGGTAACTCCTGACATTTCCATGGCATTTGTAAGCTGTCATGGTGAGAGACGAGAAAGGAAGAAACCTGTCAGGCAGGCAGTTAGGATAGGTCCTCAGTTGAATTCTTTCAAACAAAAAAAGAACAGCCTGCAGGCACAGATGGGGGAACTTACACAGAGGGCCTTGCCTAAGACATGCCCACAGCTGCAAAGATAAGAAAGGCTACACAGGTGACTTGCCCAGACATGCCTGCAATGGAAAGTTCCATTCCCTGACACATGTGCAGTAAGGGGAACAAAGCAATATGGAGTAACTCAAGCTAAGGGCCTACATGTACATTAGAAGGATGGGGTAGAGCTACCAGAAATCTGTGCCTTATGCAAATGAGACACCCATCCCTCATCAATTTCTTATAAAAGCCTTTGCATTCAACTGTAAAAGTGACAACCCTCTTCCAGTTCCCCTCTCCGTGGCAGAGAGCTTTCTTCTTTCACTTATTAAACTTTCATTCCAACCTCACCCTTTGTGTCCATGCTCCTTAATTCTCTCAGTTGTGAGTCTCTCACAATGAGAGACTGCTGCATTGTGGTGCATTGGGAAGACTGTAACAGTGATGCTGGTGGGAGTGTAGCAGTGAGGACAACCAGAGGTCACTCTTGTCACCATCTTGGTTGGGTGAAATTTGGCTGGCTTCTTTACTGCAACCTGTTTTAATAGCCAGGTCTTTATGACCTGTATCTTGTGCCGATCTCCTATCTCATCCTGTGACTTAGAACACCTAACCATCTGGGAATGCAGCCCAGTAGGTTTCAGCCTCATTTTACCCAGCCCCTATTAAAGATGGAGTTGCTCTGGTTCAAATGCCTCTGACAGTCACACCTCCAAATCTGTTCCTCCCAGTTCCCACTCAATGCTTCCAGATAAATCTGCCCAAAGCCAGGTTTGCATCACAACACTGTTCCATTTACAAATGTTCCTGGCTCCCCAGTGTCTACCAAATAAAGCTCACATTCCAAGACTGACATTCAGGGACTCCAACCACCCGTCAAATGCCATCACTTAAATATGCTACTACCTCCCATTTAGCTCTCAGAAGCAACACAATCTTATGTTTTCCTGTAGCAATCACAGCCTATGAATGTGCACATGAGGCAGTCATTCAGACACACAGACAGTGTTGATTAAAAAAAAAAAAAAACAACCTGTAAAATATGTAAAGAGATTTACTCTGAGCTACTATGAGTGACCATGGCCCAGGGAACAGTCTCAAGAGGTCCCAAGAATTGGTTCAGCCTGGAAAGGCAGGACAGTTTGAAGCAGGCAGCGAGGGAGAAGGAGAGTGTTACAGGCCATAAGTGGATTCAAAGATTTTTGGATTGGCAACTGGTTTAAAAAGTTAAGTTTGTCTGAAGACTTGAAGTCAGTAAAAATTAAAACTTGAGTTAAGATAAGTGGGGATGTTGTGGAAGCCAAGGTTCTTGTTATGTAGATGATGTCCTTTGGTAGCAGCCTTCAGAGAGAATAGATAGTAAAAGTCTCCTTTTGGACCTTTAAGGATATCAGACTTTTAGTGAATCTCTCCTAGATCCATGAAAAGCCTGGCTGCATTAATATTCTTTACAGATGCAAATTTCCCCACAAAAGATAGCTTTGCAAGGCCATTTCAAAATATGTCAAGGAAATATATTTTGGGTTAAAATATTTTTTTTCCTTCAGGGCCTATCTGTCAAGTGATACTATACCAGAGTCAGGTTGGAATTTAGTATCTTATGGCCACAAAGAATCTGTTTTGTCAGTGTTAGGATCTCTATTTTAATGTTAATGCTGGTCAGCTATGCCTAAGCTCCAAAAGGGAGGGGGTATAACAAGGCGTGTGCTCCCTTCTCATCATGGGCAGGAAGTCTGTTTTCAGATTTCTCTGGGGTCCCCTTAGCCCAGGGGGTTGGGGAGGGGGTTGTTCAGTTGGTTGTGAGGGCTCAGGATTTTATTTTGGTTTTGGTTTATAACAGATAACTATCTCTCCCTGTATGCATATATACACATGTATATAGAGATACAGATATTAATATAGATATAGATAGATAGACTATCTCTCCCTGTATGCATATATACACATGTATATAGAGATACAGATATTAATATAGAGATAGATAGATAGATAGATAGACCAACCCTATATCCTTGGAAATGAGAGAGTTAGAAAAGCAATGTCACAAGTACCATCTATTCTCATAGTGCTCTACTCAGCTTTTTTCCAAAGTTTCCTAAGCAGCCTCAGGCTCCAGGAGCTTCTGTTTTATTGGGAATACAAGATAAGGCATTTTTAAAAAGACAGGATAGTAAGTGATCAATACCTGGGTTATGTGGTACTGATTAAGATGCTACGAGCTCTGAGATGAGAGAAATCCATGTGAACTGATAAGACCTAGCTTCAGAGGTGGACCAGAACTTGAGCTGGCCTGGAAAGGAGAGGGCAGGATTTAGACAGGGAGGGAAGGGGGAGATGGCACTGTCAGCTTCTTGGAAAATATGCAAATTTCCTAAAAGTTCCACTGTGATTCTAATTGCATTCACTTAAGATTGCATTAGGAAGCCCCTTTCTGTAGAGCACAGCCTGACAGCTACATGGACCCCAGACAAAACACCACACCATACCCTGAGGAGACTGCAGAAAAGAGCAGGCCAAAGAGACAGTCAGTCCCCTCTCCCTCTGCCATTAACATGCGCCAGGAAGGAAGCAGGACTTGTCATGACAACACTTAAAAAGGCACATGCCCCGCTGCTGTCTGCAGTTTGATTTGGAGGAGATGGCCGAAGAAGGTGCCCTGATGAAAAGCCTTCTATGTTCTCCTGGGCCAGGAGGATGTGGACTAGGGTGAGGAGAATGTCCAGCCTAGGTAGGGAGTTGGGGCAGAGGAGAGGAGGGGTGGAAGGTAAGCCGAGTCTTGAAACGGCTTAGTTACTGCTTCCTGATCAGTCTGCACCCAGGCAGTTCAGAACACGTGCTACTGCAGGGTTAATCATTTCTATGGCCTAAAAGCTTGATTCATAAAAAATTGAAGACTACGACACTGACTCTGGGAATTTTTTTTTTTTTTTTACATGCAGAAGTTTAACTCAGTAAGATGCCGGCTGCCTTGTAGCAATGCGATTAACCCCTATGAAGGCCGCTCAGCCCCCATCTAGCCTTCCTGGAGCATTCCTGCAGGGGAGGCATAGAAACCAACATGCCAGATGGAACAGGAGGGTCCTTTAATGAAATTTTCAGGTTCTCCAGGTGGAGAATTTAAAAGATGTGGACAACTACTTAAATGAAGAGACAAGAAACAAAAAGGCAGTTCTAGGCACAATTCTTGAACAACGGAAAAGACAAGATGGCAGAACTTCCCCACCTTACCCAGCAGCAGAAAACGTGTGTATCTGGCTTACTCAAGAAACACTTGTAATCTGCATCATTCTGGTTTATAAAACAGAAAGGAGGATGGGCCTGGAAAGAGTGAAGGAGAGACAGGGGGAGAGAAAGGGGGAGAAAGAGAGAAGCGGGGACAGAGAGAGGGGGTGGGAAATGTTGAACATTAATGCAATCTAAAGGTTCTCTATGTCATCACCAGGCTTATTTTATTCCATTATATGTGGACTTTACTGTGAGTTTCCAGTGAGTGTGATGCAGTCTGCCTTCTGCTAGGTGGTAATTACATCCCATAACTTATTAAATAAGAAATCCCATTTCAAAAAAAAATGTCATTACCACTAAAAATAAAAACAGGAGCTAGCTATTTATATGCTGCCTGTCACTGTGCCCTCTCACACACACAGCGGGATAAAAACAAAGACATATGTGGCACAAAAAGCGACTCTCCAGTTCCCTGAGAGCCCAGGATGCGGCAGAACTGTAGATCAGGGAGGCACGCCCATTGGCAGAAAGCCTGCTTGCTGAGTTTGTTCATTTAGGTCCATTTCGATCTACTGCTTTAGATGATCAGCAAGTAAATATCATTTCATCAAACACGCAAATCTGCCAACTTCAGAAGGAAGCTTGGTGCCCAATTCTCTGAATCCCACAGAATCTGCAGAATATAAACTTCAAGGTACAATAATATGCTACATGGACTCAAGAGACCTTGAGTCTCTCTCTCTCTCTCTCTCTCTCTCTCTCTACTTCTCTCTCTCTCCTCTCTCTCAGAAGAAAAAAGAATGACAAGGAAAGGTTTTGGCACAGAAGCAATATAGCAAGGTAATAGGTTACTGAAAAACAACAACAAAAAAAGATGGAAAATCTATTTCCAGGCAGCTTGGTGCATATTCTGAATGAGATTATGTGCAAGTGTATGATCAATTATACATAAAGCATAAATTTTTATTTTTATTTTTATTTATTTTTTATTTATATATATATTTTTTATTACACTTTAAGTTCTAGGGTACATGTGCACAACCTGCAGGTTTGTTACATATGTATACATGTGCCATGTTGGTGTGCTGCACCCATTAACTCCTCATTTACATTAGGTATATCTCCTAATGCTATCCCTCCCCACTCCCCCCAACCCCACAACAGGCCCTGGTGTGTGATGTTCCCCTTCCTGTGTCCAAGTGTTCTCATTGTTCAATTCCCACCTATGAGTGAGAGCATGCAGTGTTTGGTTTTTTTGTCCTTGCAATAGTTTGCTGAGAATGATGGTTTCCAGCTTCATCCATTTCCCTACAAGGGACATGAACTCATCATTTTGTATGGCTGCATAGTATTCCATGGTGTATATGTGCCACATTTTCTTAATCCAGTCTATCATTTTTGGACATTTGGGTTGGTTCCAAGTCTTTGCTATTGTGAATAGTGCTGCAATAAACATATGTGTGCGTGTGTCTTTATAGCAGCATGATTTATAACGCTTTAGGTATATACCCAGTAATTCGATGGCCGGGTCAAATGGTATTTCTAGTTCTAGATCCTTGAGGAATCGCCACACTGTCTTCCACAATGGTTGAACTAGTTTACAGTCCCACCAACAGTGTAAAAGTGTTCCTATTTCTCCACATGCTCTCCAGCACCTGTTGTTTCCTGACTTTTTAATGACTGCCATTCTAACTGGTGTGAGATAGTAACTCATTGTGGTTTTGATTTGCATTTCTCTGATGGCCAGTGATGATGAGCATTTTTTCATGTGTCTGTTGGCTGCATAAATGTCTTCTTTTGAGAAGTGTCAGTTCATATTCTTCACCCACTTGTTGATGGGGTTGTTTTTTTCTTATAAATTTGTTTGAGTTCTTTGTAGATTCTGGATATTAGCCCTTTGTCAGATAAGTAGATTGCAAAAATCTTCTCCCATTCTGTAGGTTGCCGGTTCACTCTGATGGTAGTTTCTTTTGCTGCGCAGAAGCTCTTTAGTTTAATTCGATCTCATTTGTCAATTTTGGCTTTTGTTGCCATTGCTTTTGGTGTTTTAGACATGAAGTCCTTGCCCACGCCTATGTCCTGAATGGTATTGCCTAGGTTTTCTTCTAGGGTTTTTATGGTTTTAGGTCTAACATTTAAGTCTTTAATCCATTTTGAATTAATTTTTGTATAAGGTGTAAGGAAGGGATCCAGTTTCAGCTTTCTAAGTATGGCTAGCCAGTTTTCCCAGCACCATTTTTTAAATAGGGAATCCTTTCCCCATTTCTTGTTTTTGTCAGGTTTGTCAAAGATCAGATAGTTGTAGATGTGTGGTATTATTTCTGAGGGCTCTGTTCTGTTCCATTGGTCTGTATCTCTGTTTTGGTACCAGTACCATGCTGTTTTGGTTACTGTAGCCTTGTAGTATAGTTTGAAGTCAGATAGCGTGATGCCTCCAGCTTTGTTCTTTTGGCTTAGGATTGACTTGGCAATGCGAGCTCTTCTTTGGTTCCATATGAACTTTAGAGTAGTTTTTTCCAATTCTGTGAAGAAAGTCATTGGTAGCTTGATGGGGATGGCATTGAATCTATAAATTACCTTAGGCAGTATGGCCATTTTCACAATATTGATTCTTCCTATCCATGAGCATGGAATGTTCTTCCATTTGTTCGTGTCCTCTTTTATTTCGTTGAGCAGTGGTTTGTAGTTCTCCTTGAAGAGGTCCTTCACATCCCTTGTAAGTTGGATTCCTAGGTATTTTATTCTCTTTGAAGCAATTGTGAATGGGATTTGTCTCTCATGATTTGGCTCTGTTTGTCTGCTATTGGTGTATAAGAATACTTGTGATTTTTGCACATTGATTTTGTATCCTGAGACTTTGCTGAAGTTGCTTATCAGCTTAAGGAGATTTTGGGCTGAGACGACGGGGTTTTCTAGATATACAATCATGTCATCTGCAAACAGGGACAATTTGACTTCCTCTTTTCCTAATTGAATACCCTTTATTTCTTTCTCCTGCCTGATTGCCCTGGCCAGAACTTCCAACACTATGTTGAATAGGAGTGGTGAGAGAGGGCATCCCTGTCTTGTGCCAGTTTTCAAAGGGAATGCTTCCAGTTTTTGCACATTCAGCATGATATTGGCTGTGGGTTTGTCATAGATAGCTCTTATTATTTTGAGATACGTCCTATCAATACCTAATTTATTGAGAGTTTTTAGCATGAAGCATTGTTGAATTTTGTCAAAGGCCTTTTCTGCATCTATTGAGATAATCATGTGGTTTTTGTCTTTGGTTCTGTTTATATGTTGGATTACATTTTTTGATTTGCGTATGTTGAACCTGCCTTGCATCCCAGGGATGAAGCCCACTTGATCATGGTGGATGAGCTTTTTGATGTGCTGCTGGATTTGGTTTGTCAGTATTTTACTGAGGATTTTTGCATCGATATTCATCAGGGATATTGGTCTAAAATTCTCATTTTTTGTTGTGTCTCTGCCAGGCTTTGGTATCAGGATGATGCTGGCCTCATAGAATGAGTTAGGGAGGATTCCCTCTTTTTCTATTGATTGGAATAGTTTCAGAAGGAATGGTACCAGCTCCTCTTTGTACCTCTGGTAGAATTCGGCTGTGAATCCGTCTGGTCCTGGACTTTTTTTCGTTGGTAAGCTATTAATTATTGCCTCAATTTCAGAGCCTGTTATTGGTCAATTCAGAGATTCAACTTCTTCCTGGTTTAGTCTTGGGAGGGTGTATGTGTCGAGGAGTTTATCCATTTCTTCTAGATTTTCTAGTTTATTTGCGTTGAGGTATTTATAGTATTCTCTGATGGTAGTCTGTATTTCTGTGGGATCGGTGGTGATATCCCCTTTATCATTTTTTATTGTGTCTATTTGATTCTTCTCTCTTTCCTTATTAGTCTTGCTAGCAGTCTATCAATTTTGTTGATATTTTCAAAAAACCAGCTCCTGGATTCATTGATGTTTTGAAGGGTTTTTTGTGTGTCTGTCTCCTTCAGTTCTGCTCACAAAGCATAAATTTTTAAACTGACCTCCACTTACTTATGTGCCAGAGTAGCTGACAGTCCATCCCCTGTGTAAAATGCCCTGACTGATCTAGACTATGTCTTGGGGTACTCACTTGGTCCTTCCTTCATTTCACCAGCTTTTAGCCAAGAAATGGTGTCACCTGCTTCCAAACCTGCTTATGTCAGTTGTATTTGTTAATACACTTACAAACACTAAATATTTATGGTAATAATAGTAGCTAGCACTATGTACTATACATTGTTCTAAGAACTTTATTTGTATTAATTGATATAATTCTCACAGCCATCGTGTGAGGTATATATGATCATTGGCCTTAATTTACCAATGAAAAAATAGAGGCCACAGCTCTGCTTTAAGCCAGCTAGTGGCAGAGCTCAGATAAGAACCTAGGCAGCCTGCTCCGTGGCTCGTGCTTTTAGCCACTAGGCTTTGCTGTGTAAATATGACACAAACTGATAAACAAGAGGGCAAAAAGAAAGCGTTGCAGGCTGGGCGTGGTGGCTCATGCCTGTAATCCCAGCACTTTGGGAGGCCAAGGTGGGCGGAGAATCACTTGAGCTCAGGAGTTCGAGACCAGCCTGGCCAACATGGTGAAACCCCGTCTCTACTAAAAAAATACAAAAAATTATCCAGGTATGGTGGCTCATGCCTGAAGTCCCAGCTTCTTGGGAGGCTGAGGCAGCATAATTGCTTGAACCTGGGAGGTGGGGGGTTGCAGTGAGCCTAGATAGTGCCACTACACTCCAGCCTGGGTGACAGAGTGAGACTCTATCTCAAAAAAAAAAAAAAAGAAAGAAAGAAAAGAAAGCATTGCCATTTCTATGGATTGGATTAAATGCTTTGAAAGGACTCACTGAAGCCATTCCGTTAAAAAAAAAAAAAAAAAAAAAAGGACTTCACACCAGCTGTGGACAAGATAATTATGAAAGACTGGGAGAAAGAAATCATTAAAAATTAGAATTCTGGGCTCAGATGACCTTGCAAGTATGTAGGTGTTGACTCCGCTGTAACCCCAAGCAAACTGGAATTGGAGGCTACACACTCTGCATATGGTTCATGACAAGAAGTTCAATTCATAGCTCCTGCCATGGAAGCCCAGGAAAGGGTTTACACGTTTTAGGTGTAGCCATGTAAACCTTAAACATGTAAAGAGTAGGGACTAAATGTTTATGCCTCTCCAAAATTCATATGTGGAAATCCTGACCCCCAAGGCTATAGTGTTAGAAGGTGAGGACTTTGGTAGGTGATTAGGTCATGAGGGTGGGGCCCTAATGAATGGGATTAGTGCCCAGAGGTCTCTCATGCTCACTTTCCACCATGGGAGGATACAATGAGAAGATGGCAGTCTGCACCCGGAGGAGGGCCCTCAGCAGAACCTGATCGTACACCCTCATCTAGGACTTCCAGTCTCCAGGACTATGAGAAACAAAGTTCTGTTGTTTCTAAGCCACCCAGTCTATGGTAATGTGTTACAGCAGCCCAGCTGAGCAAGACCCGAGACACAAACTTAAAACAAACACTGAAGATAGCTATGTTCCCAACTTTATCTTTTTTTTTTTTTTTTTTTAAGAGAGACAGGATTTCGCCATGTTGCCCGGGCTGGTCTTGAACTCCTGGGCTCAAGCAATCCACCCACCTTGGCCTCCCAGAGTGTTGAGATTACAGGCATAAGCCACCACACCCACCCATCCTATTCTACTTTTTCATTAACAAAAAACACTTGGTCCTAATAGCACTGGCTAAGACAATTTCTGTGTGTAGATGTGTTTACCTACACACATATATACACACACACACACCCTACACACATCTAGAGTCATCAAGAACCTCATAATAGAAAGTGTTACCTAATCAATTCCAGCGTTGCTCCCATTATAAAGCAAGTTCCTTGAGAGCAGGAGTTTGTCTGCTTTGTTCCCTTCTGCATCCCCAGACCCTAGAAAACTGCCCACCACGTAAAAGCCAATCAATCAATATTTTGTAATGAATGACTACATAACTAAATGAATGAAAATAACATACAACTGTGACACTGGCTCAGTGACATGAGGTCTATATAAGCAAAACAGGGAATTTGAAAGATTCCTTAATCCTCACAGGTAATGAAGGTGAATGTGGTTGTCATGTGACTTAATTGTTT
Source organism: Homo sapiens (assembly GCF_000001405.40). Taxonomy (NCBI): domain Eukaryota; kingdom Metazoa; phylum Chordata; class Mammalia; order Primates; family Hominidae; genus Homo; species Homo sapiens. The sequence goes on from NC_000002.12 coordinate 134,600,286, forward strand.
AGTAGTGCAATTCTTCACTTGCCTCTGATCCAACAGGATAATGACCCAACAATGGCATAAAAAATCTTGTCTAGTGAAAGGAAGGGAAGGGAATCTAATACCTGAGGGCCTATTACGTAACACTTGCCTCCAGATCCATTTCTATCTTAAATCACACACACATACACAAAATCAGTAAAGCAGGTTTTAGCCCTTTTAAGAGTTTTATCTACTTAGCTAATAGCCTGATTCCCTTTAAGACTTGGTTTATTAATGCTATAGTTCGAATGCTGGTCCCCTCCAAAACTCAAGTTAAAACTTAATCCCCAGTGTGGCAGAATTGACAGGTGGAGCCTTTAAGAGGTGATGGGGTCATTAGGGGGAATAGGGCATCAAAAAGCACCTGTGAATAATGAAAACAAATGAGATCCTTAGACTCTCTACTCATCTAAGTTGCTCCTTCTTCAGGTTTCTCAGGTAAAGGAGGCCAGCACATGGCAAAAGCATTAGCCAGAGGTTCAGAAGTCCTAACCATGACTGCAGCAGCTCAGTTGCCATGCGGTTTTCAGCCAAGTACAGCCTCTCTGGGCCCCAGCTCCCTCACCCATGAGAGAGGGCACTACATTTGCCCCATGAACTCAAAGACAACTTTAGGTCTCAGCCCACCATATCCTGGGTGGCCCCAGCCAAGTCAAAACTGGGGCTGTGTTAAGACTTTCATGGGCCCTGGACACTTTTGCCTTCATAGTAAAAACATACACACACACGCATGTATATATATGCTTTCACAGTAAAAATATATACTTTATATATATAAAGTATATCTATTGTCTAGTTAACTATTAAAAATTATATTTTACAACTGCAATGGAGGAAAGATGAATATATTAACAATATAGATTAAAACTTCTTTTACCTAAAAGGTCTTTTTTTCTTCTGATTTTAAAAGAAATTAAAACATTTTCCTGAGTGTAATGCAAAAGCATCATAGGCCCTAAGCACTTCATCTGTTCTAGCTAAAGGATAAGTCAGCCACGGTCACCTAAACCTACTTCATGGGAAAAATAACACCAGCCTTCCCTCCCTCTCAAATACACAAGAAACGATCGTGGGATCGGAACGACATCGCCAGCGATCCATCTGGCAGCATGTTAATAAGAGCAGCAGGAGAAGGCAAGGCCGGAGCCCCGGAAGCCAGTGAGGTGGAAACCAACCCAACAGCCAGTCCTAACTAAATGATGAGCTTCCAGGAGACAGATGCAATGCCACTGCAAAGGCAATTCGGCAGGGCTGGACCACAGCTGTGTTCCTTCCCGGCCTGCCTCCTAAATGGGTTCCAAGGTTTTCTGGTCTAAGTAATTCAGAACCAGTTCACAAATGCTTATGGAGTGCTTGCTGTATGCAGCCGGCACTGTGTGTTCAAGACACAACATCAGTACCATCAGGGAAATAAAAACAAAGAACGCCACCCTGGGAACATTCTTCTGAGATGGCAAACAATACGCATAATAAATAAACATATGGTACATCCAAAAGTGGTAAGAGCTATGAAAAAAATAGAGTAAGGAGGATCAGGAATTCTGGGTGGGGGTTACAGTATTAAACAGAGTAGACAAAGCAAGCCTCACTTAAAAGGTGAGATTGTAGCAAAGACATGAAGGCAATGAGTAGATACCTGGGGGAAGAGCATTCCAGGAAGAGGGAACAGCTTGAACAAAGGCTTGGAGGTAGGAATGCTCCTCCCTGACCACTCCCAAACTTGTCCTTCAAGGAGAAAATTAAAATGTCACCTGCAGCTGAAAGCAATCTCTACTTTAAATGGAGGATGAACGTGGTTAAGGTCTCATTTGAACAAGCTGAGTCTGAAATGTCCGGTGAGAAATTAGAGGTGCAGACCCTGTAACTGGACAGAGATCTTGGGCTGGAGGGATGCAGTTTGTGGTGTGGCAGAGACAATTAGATGTGCACCAATTCCATTTTCCATTCTTGGCTTTCCTGTGCAATTAGGCTGCAATCAGGTGACATCGTTCTGGTTAATTACACTGCTTCCAGACCTGACCATAAACCCTCCCGCATGCCTGTCCATGATCTTCCCCTTCCTACAGCCACAGCAGCAACCTCATCTTTAAGATGGTGGCATCATAAGGTAATGGCTCTGAGATTCCCAAGTCACCGCTTGGAGGATTGCTGCCAAGAAGGACTGCCTAGCCCCAGTTAGGAAGTGGTGTGAGTGAGACACTCTGACTTAACTGTGTGAAGTCCCTCAGGTTTCTAGGGTTGCTGTCAAAGCAGGTAGCCTGAATTGCCCTGACGAGCACAGTAAACATCTCTACAGAGGAGATAAAGTGGAAAGAACCAGCATCACTGAGGGATCATTCCTCTTTTGAAACCACTTTAAAAGGAGAATGAAAATGTCCTGATTTCCAAGTACAAGAGACACTAATTAACCTTTATCTTACTGGATATGTCTAAATCATTCCCTCCTCTCCTCCTTGAAATGCTCTCTTCCCCAGGCCCTCCTGGGTCTTCTGCCTGTCCCTGAGAGGGAGTGTCCCACCGCCGAGGACTCTTGTCTCCTCCCGTCCCTCCTTCTCCCTGGGGATCCCATTGGCTCTCAAAGCTTCAGCTCCCACTTACACACTCCTGAGTCTACCACCTGTATCTCAGTCCTCACCTAGCTCCCCAGCTATACTCCCTATTGGACATATCTGCCTTTGGGGGTATAGGCGCTGTCAAGTTAAAACTGTATGTCCAACACAGGACTGATCTCACCTCCAAAAGATGCTGCCCCATGTGGATCAGAAATAACATCATCCTTCTAGCCACCTGAATTACAAATCCAGGGTCACTCTAGACTCTTCTTTCCCAGCCCCATAGCCACAACTAAATCATCTCAACCTTGTCTCTTTCTGCTGGAAGAGATCACCCCAAAATCCACTCAAGGACCTGGGCAGACTACACTTCTTAATAAGGCTTTTTCCCTTTATTACCAGGCTCTTCTCTAAATTAGTTCAAGTTCAAAAACCATAAACATTATTTTAAAATGCAAAGGGATTTTATTATAATAGTTTGGATTTGGCCCCAAAGGCCATGTTTGAACTGACGGTAATGAGGAATTTTATGGAAGTAATTTAAAATGGCAAGCGGACAGACCTGATAAAATCCTGATGCCCTAGTAAAGAAGCCCCATCAAAGAAAGCGTCTTCAGACTCTCTGTCCTGGGCACGTTGAGATAACAAGACACACACCCACTACTGTGGCACCTTCTGAACACCACTAGTAGAACTGCTGTCCCTCCCTGACAAAAACAAATTAAAAAGCCATATGGCGGCTCCTCAAGACCCACAGGTTACTGAGACCACACACGCACACACATGCACACACATATCACACAAGACCTCAGTACATGTTGTATCCTGCCTGGCAGGGTGAAGGCTATAGCCTCTAGCACCTACCTCCCCCAGGCTAAGGACCCTCTCCTTCTCCTTGGACCAGCAATGACAGGAACATTGATATAGCTGGCACTGTTTTGCCCACATCTGGTGAGTGTATATAAGGTGGAAGGTGGGGGTGGGGGAAGGGGAGGGGAGGGGAGGGAACAGAAGGGAGGGGAAGGGAGGGGAGGGTATGGAAGGGAGAGAGAAGGAAGCGAGGAAGGAAGCTTTCTTTCCACTTTTGGACACTGCAGTTAGTCTTGGACAGTCTATCCCACTCTGCAGCCCCTCTCAAAGGTACCCTCTCTCCATCCCCACTGCATCCACTGAGATTCATTTTCACTTTCTCCTGGACTACTGCAATCAAAGGAGTGAAGTTGTTTAGCTCCAACGTAACTCCTTTTCCTTCACTCCGCTGTCAGATTAACTTCTGACAGACACATCTGACCCTAAGTAACTCTCCCCTGCTGAAACCTCCCATGAAAAGCATTGATGTGTGGAAGGAGGCCTGCCCAAGGACGCCTGCTGCAGCACTGTTTACAATACAGGGAAAGCTGGGGATGCCGAATGTCCATCTGTGAGGGGGACGGACTAAATTCTGTTACCACATAGAGAATGGAATAGAGCAGGGAAAGACAATGGTTAGGTTTACATGTGGAACAAAGAAACATGAACTAGATAAGCTGTTCATGAAAAACCAAGTTTGAGAACTTGAGCCATAACCTTAGCTTTTACTGGAAAAAAAAAAAAAAACCTCAAAATAAAGCAAGACATTTTCTCTAGGTACCAATGTTCATGTAAAGAGATAAGGAGGGGTCTGAAAGGTCATTTCCCAAACTGGTAACAGCTGAAGTTCTGGAGAGAGGAGAAGAGGGGTGGGACTGGGATGGGCAAAACCATGGGAATTGGAAACACACCTACAAGGCAGCAGTCATTGAAAATGTAATTAAATGATTACATTCAAATAAAAAGGGTAACACCTAAAGTATTTTTAAAACCTCCACACATCAATAAGAAAGCAAGCAACCCAATTTTTCAAAATTAGCAAATGAGATGCAAGACACTTCACAGAAGAAATCATTGGTCAATATACATGGTAAAATATTCTCAACTTTACTAATAACAGGAATACCTATTATCATATCTAAATGTTTCACCTATCAGTTTGGCAAAGATTTGTTTTTAAGAACACAATCCTTGGCCAGGTGCGGTGGCTCACACCTGTAATCCCAGCACTTTGGGAGGCTGAGGCAGGCAGATCACCAGAGGTCGGGATTTCGAGATCAGTCTGGCCAACATGGTGAAACCCTGTCTCTACTAAATATACAAAATTAGCTGGGCATGGTGGCGCATCTGTAATCTGAACTACTTGGGAGGCTGAGGCAGGAGAATAGCTTGAACCTGGGAAGCGGAGGTTACAGTGAGCTGGGATCGCACCACTGCACTCCAGCCTAGGCGACAGAGTGAGACTTGGTCTCCAGCAAAAAAAAAAAAAAAACCACAATCTTCATCCACTGCTGGCTCAACCACCTTGCAGGGGCCTTCTGATTGAGCATAATCTTGGGCTTAGCAATTTTTCTGTGGTATTCCATGTTACAAAAGTTCACTTGAACCCAAAAGAGCAAAGAAACATGTGCAGGATATTTGCTACTATATTGCTAATAATAGAGAAAAGTTAACAACAGCAGCGCCCCTCAATGGGAGTAGTTAAAAGAAATATTTGGGCCAGGCAGGGTAGCCTGTAATATCAGCACTTTAGGAGGCTGAGGCACGAGGATCACCTGAGGTCAGGAGTTCCACATCAGCCTGGCCAACATGGTGAAACCCCGTCTCTACTAAAAATACAAAAATTAACTGGGCATGGTGGCAGGCGCCTGTAATCCCAGCTATTCAGGAGGCTGAGGCAGAAGAATCACTGGAACCCGGGAGGTGAGCTGAGATCGCGCCATTGCACTCCAGCCTGGGTGATGAGAATGAAATTTCCATCTCAAAAAAAGGAAAGGCAAGGGAAGGAAGAGGAGGGGAGGGGAGGGGAGGAGAGGAGAGGAGAAAAAAGAAAAGAAAAGATGTGACACTGATTGAGTCTGAGAAAAAATAGGCCAGATCCAAACACATGGAAAGGTAAAGATGACAACAATGTATTGTGTAAGTGACAACAGCAAGTTACAGAATACTTTGTAGAGTAGGATGCCATGTTAGAAATTTATATATACATTACATACACACAAAAAAAATCTGGGACACATACAAAATTGATAACAGAAGTCCCCCTGGGGGTGATTTTGGTTGGGAAGAACATTCACTTTTCCTTTTAAACAATTGAGTATACGCGGGGGGCAGTGGCAGGTTGTTTGTGTTTTAGAAGGGGATATACTGAAAATGGGTTAGTTTTGGTAAAAGTTATATGGGTAACTTAAAATATGTGTTTTTGAATTCACTGGTCTCAAGGTAAATTGCAAATTTCTAAACACAGCACGTAATGTCTTTCTCTGACACCAAAACCCCCCTCCAGGGTCAACTTCCAGCACCTGCCCCCATGAATCCCACGCTCTAGCATTAAGACTTCTGCCCTCTGTGGAGGTTGCAGTGAGCTAAGACCGCACCATTGCACTCCAGCCTGGGCAACAAGAGCAAAACTCCGTCTCAAAAAAAAAAAAATACTTCTGCCCTCTGAAAATGCCATGTTCCTCCCTCTGCTCACAGTGAATGTTTTCTTCCTTCATCTCGCCACAATCAAAGTCAAGGGCATCCTTCAGACCCTGACTCAAAATCCCCTCCTCTTCGAGTCTCTCCTGGCCCACCCTGCAGAATCACTCTGCCCAAGGTGTTTCCAGAGCCATGCTCCCTGCCTCTACCCGCCTCCATCCCCCTGGAAGAGTCGGGCTGGGGAAGAGGAGCTGCGCGAAGACAGGGGCTGTGCCTCCTGTGTCATCGCGCCCCAGCACCTATAGATGAACTGGCAGAGCACAGGGCTGTGGCAACCGGCCAGTGGAAGACAGGGAAAATCAAGAGGGTCAGTAACAAGCAAACGGCACACAGTGTCCATCAGGAAAGGGTGGCCACAGCACTGAATGTCACAAAGAATTCAGGGAAGATGAGGATTGATGGGGGCAGTGAGTGAATCTCTGGATTTGGTAAACTTTCGTTTGGCGAAAAGCAGTTTCAATAAAACAGTGAAGTAGCAACAGGCTCGGGTGTGGCGCAGCAATGAGGACAGACCCCGAGAACTGTGCTGGTGAAAAGGAGGACAGACCCCGAGAACTGTACTGGTGAAAAGGAGGACAGACCCCGAGAACTGTGCTGGTGAAAAGGACAGACCCCGAGAACTGTGCTGGTGAAAAGGACAGACCCCGAGAACTGTGCTGGTGAAAAGGAGGACAGACCCCGAGAACTGTGCTGGTGAAAAGGACAGACCCCGAGAACTGTGCTGGTGAAAAGGAGGACAGACCCCGAGAACTGTGCTGGTGAAAAGGACAGACCCCGAGAACTGTGCTGGTGAAAAGGACAGACCCCGAGAACTGTGCTGGTGAAAAGGACAGACCCCGAGAACTGTGCTGGTGAAAAGGACAGACCCCGAGAACTGTGCTGGTGAAAAGGACAGACCCCGAGAACTGTGCTGGTGAAAAGGACAGACCCCGAGAACTGTACTGGTGAAAAGGAGGACAGACCCCGAGAACTGTGCTGATGAAAAGGACAGACCCCGAGAACTGTGCTGATGAAAAGGACAGACCCCGAGAACTGTGCTGGTGAAAAGGACAGACCCCGAGAACTGTGCTGGTGAAAAGGACAGACCCCGAGAACTGTGCTGGTGAAAAGGACAGACCCCGAGAACTGTGCTGGTGAAAAGGACAGACCCCGAGAACTGTGCTGGTGAAAAGGACAGACCCCGAGAACTGTGCTGGTGAAAAGGACAGACCCCGAGAACTGTGCTGGTGAAAAGGACAGACCCCGAGAACTGTGCTGGTGAAAAGGACAGACCCCGAGAACTGTGCTGGTGAAAAGGAGGACAGACCCCGAGAACTGTGCTGGTGAAAAGGAGGACAGACCCCGAGAACTGTGCTGGTGAAAAGGACAGACCCCGAGAACTGTACTGGTGAAAAGGAGGACAGACCCCGAGAACTGTGCTGGTGAAAAGGACAGACCCCGAGAACTGTGCTGATGAAAAGGACAGACCCCGAGAACTGTACTGGTGAAAAGGACAGACCCCGAGAACTGTGCTGGTGAAAAGGACAGACCCCGAGAACTGTGCTGGTGAAAAGGACAGACCCCGAGAACTGTGCTGGTGAAAAGGACAGACCCCGAGAACTGTGCTGGTGAAAAGGACAGACCCCGAGAACTGTGCTGGTGAAAAGGACAGACCCCGAGAACTGTGCTGGTGAAAAGGACAGACCCCGAGAACTGTGCTGGTGAAAAGGACAGACCCCGAGAACTGTGCTGGTGAAAAGGACAGACCCCGAGAACTGTGCTGGTGAAAAGGACAGACCCCGAGAACTGTGCTGGTGAAAAGGACAGACCCCGAGAACTGTGCTGGTGAAAAGGACAGACCCCGAGAACTGTGCTGGTGAAAAGGACAGACCCCGAGAACTGTGCTGGTGAAAAGGACAGACCCCGAGAACTGTGCTGGTGAAAAGGACAGACCCCGAGAACTGTGCTGGTGAAAAGGACAGACCCCGAGAACTGTGCTGGTGAAAAGGACAGACCCCGAGAACTGTGCTGGTGAAAAGGACAGACCCCGAGAACTGTGCTGGTGAAAAGGACAGACCCCGAGAACTGTGCTGGTGAAAAGGACAGACCCCGAGAACTGTGCTGGTGAAAAGGAGGACAGACCCCGAGAACTGTGCTGGTGAAAAGGACAGACCCCGAGAACTGTGCTGGTGAAAAGGACAGACCCCGAGAACTGTACTGGTGAAAAGGAGGACAGACCCCGAGAACTGTGCTGGTGAAAAGGACAGACCCCGAGAACTGTACTGGTGAAAAGGATGACAGACCCCGAGAACTGTGCTGGTGAAAAGGACAGACCCCGAGAACTGTGCTGGTGAAAAGGAGGACAGACCCCGAGAACTGTGCTGGTGAAAAGGACAGACCCCGAGAACTGTGCTGGTGAAAAGGACAGACCCCGAGAATTGTGCTGGTGAAAAGGACAGACCCCGAGAACTGTGCTGGTGAAAAGGACAGACCCTGAGAACTGTACTGGTGAAAAGGAGGACAGACCCCGAGAACTGTGCTGGTGAAAAGGACAGACCCCGAGAACTGTACTGGTGAAAAGGAGGACAGACCCCGAGAACTGTACTGGTGAAAAGGACAGACCCCGAGAACTGTGCTGGTGAAAAGGACAGACCCCGAGAACTGTACTGGTGAAAAGGACAGACCCCGAGAACTGTACTGGTGAAAAGGAGGACAGACCCCGAGAACTGTGCTGGTGAAAAGGACAGACCCCGAGAACTGTGCTGGTGAAAAGGACAGACCCCGAGAACTGTGCTGGTGAAAAGGACAGACCCCGAGAACTGTGCTGGTGAAAAGGACAGACCCCGAGAACTGTACTGGTGAAAAGGAGGACAGACCCCGAGAACTGTGCTGGTGAAAAGGACAGACCCCGAGAACTGTACTGGTGAAAAGGAGGACAGACCCCGAGAACTGTGCTGGTGAAAAGGACAGACCCCGAGAACTGTACTGGTGAAAAGGAGGACAGACCCCGAGAACTGTACTGGTGAAAAGGAAGACAGACCCCGAGAACTGTACTGGTGAAAAGGAGGACAGATCCCGAGAACTGTGCTGGTGAAAAGGACAGACCCCGAGAACTGTACTGGTGAAAAGGAGGACAGACCCCGAGAACTGTACTGGTGAAAAGGAAGACAGACCCCGAGAACTGTACTGGTGAAAAGGAGGACAGATCCCGAGAACTGTACTGGTGAAAAGGAGGACAGACCCCGAGAACTGTACTGGTGAAAAGGAGGACAGACCCCGAGAACTGTACTGGTGAAAAGGAGGACAGACCCCGAGAACTGTACTGGTGAAAAGGAGGACAGACCCCGAGAACTGTACTGGTGAAAAGGAGGACAGACCCCGAGAACTGTACTGGTGAAAAGGAGGACAGACCCCGAGAACTGTACTGGTGAAAAGGAGGACAGATCCCGAGAACTGTACTGGTGAAAAGGAGGACAGATCCCGAGAACTGTACTGGTGAAAAGGAGGACAGACCCCGAGAACTGTGCTGGTGAAAAGGGCACAGAAGGGCTGAGGAAAGGTTTTACGAGGCCTACAGGGGAAGGGGAGGAGAAAGCAGAGAGAGAAAATCAAAGCTGCTGGGTGGGGTGAGGCAAAAGGGACTGGTCAAACAAGACCCCTGGCAGAAGCAGAAAGGGGAAGAGGGAGAGAGTAAACAGGCCACAGGGCCAATCTTAGGAAGCACAAGGAGATCCAGACACCTCTTCTGACAAGGGTTGAGGAAGGGAGAAGAGATGGCCGTAAACACTGGTGACCGGATGGACCCTCATCCCCTAAGTGAAGGCAGAACCAGTCCTCTGCACTGCTGGGACAGAGGGGACAGAACCTATGGAGGGCTCTCTCAGAGCCACTGTGGCCGCCAGCCACTTGCAGCCTGTGCCCTGGAAAGCTGAAGTCCACCCAGGTGCCTGCTGGCCAGCTCCAAGGCCAAGCTCTCCCTGGAACTCAGCAGTTTGCAAATCTCAGCGTGATCCGAGTCAGCTGCAGCGCTTCTTAAAATAGATTGCTGGGCCCAGCCCCTGAGTTTCAATTTAGTGGTCTGGGGGGAGGTCTGGGGACATACAGTCCCGGTGGATTCCCAAGTGATGCTGCTGCTGATGATCTGGGACCACACCTTGAGAAACCCTGCTTTCATTCATCTGCCCAGAGGGTATTCTACAGGTCATAAGTCGATGGGATCCAGGTTTAGAACCGACCTCCAGGAATGCACACGGGATTCGAGTCTCAGCCTGGTAGCACGTTTGAGTCACCTGGAGATTTCTGTACAAATGATACCCATGCCTGGGTCTCACTTTCAGAAATTTGAACACAGTTTGTCTGGGGATGAGCCCAGGGATATATATTTTTAAGCTCCCCTGATGAATCTTTCTGAGCATCCAGGGTGAAGAACACAGCACGAGGGGACCCAGGGGAGAATGTGAGTGTGGGGGTAGAGCCTCAGAGCTTGGGCTAATTGCTACAGATTAGGCAAAATCATTAAATCCAAAGAGCTTCTATACCGAGACTATGATTCTCACTCCCAAACTGTCTTTTGAAGAGACGGGTCAGCAGCACTATTTCACACAACTAGCACATAGAATGGTGTATGCACAGCTGACAAATTAGATATAAATAACTGAAAGCAGATGTTTTTTACTCAAGCATTTTGGAAAAAAACCAAACAAATAAAAATAAAATTTAAATAACAATTACCCAAAATATGTATCATGTAGCCAAAAGTCAGTTACTACATCTCTCCATTAAAGCTATGATTTCTCCCCAGTAGAATCCAGGCTGTCCCAAAATGGCAAAGATCACTTTCCAAGCTTGGGTCTCACCTAATTTTCCCACTCATTCATTCAACAATGAATAGATACTCAGTTTTCAGGCACAGTGCTAGGGATGCAAAATTAGTAAAACAGGGAAATATAGTCCCTACCCTTAAGGGAATCACAGGATAGAAGGAAGAGACAAATATCTAAACAAACAAACAAAAAATATAATGAAGTGTTAAATGTGCTTTGACAGCTATTTCTATGGAGTACAGCAAAGCCACTTAAAGAGTGTCATATTTAACTAGGGGACAGGGATGTTGGAAAGTATGATCTCACCACAGTGCAGACAATTGACCTAGTCATGACATATTCAGAGGTGTTCACTGGGAGGAGGGGTAGGGACAATAACAAGGAACAACATTTTAGAGAGTGATGAGCAAAAGAACAAGGACACATAGGCTAAAATCATAAGAATTGCATTATTTTCCTGAAAATGATGCTAGACTCAACCCATTTAACACATTTTCTTGTAATCCGGAGGAGACCTGGTACAGTGGACTCTTTGCTTTCCATTTATACCACGGCTGTCCAGAGAGAGAAACCACCCGGAACACCTGCAGCCCTCTCAACGACGGCCAGAGCAGGCAGTGAAGAGGTGAGCCTCCATGTTGGGGGAAACAGGCAAAAACGACAGTCACTTGCAGGAAAGTAACCAAACACTAGCCACAATGATAGGCCTGTAAATGAAACCAGGAGTTTGCGTGAAAACACTGGCATCCATTCCCATCCCCTTCCTCCCAACAGGGGAAGTGGAAGAAACACCGGAAAACCAACAGGACCTTCCACAGAGGTCAGCATATGGTGGCTACCTAAAAACCAACAGCCTTGCCACCACCACAGGTGACAGACTGGACTTGGAGCTCCCTGAAAAGTCAATCCACAAAGTATTGCCACTATTTGACCTATCTCAAGCACCTGAAAAAGCCCCATTTGCAAGATACAAACTTTATTTGACTGGGCTTAGAGATCACCCTGCAGGAAAAGCTCTATCTCCAGGGTGCTTGTTGAAAACATTCAGCAGTAGTTGTTTGACATCACAGCTGCCTCTAGTAGTCAAGGCATAAGAAGAGCTGCCTGTAAACTTGAAGATTTAGGAAATGAGATGTCCACAGGGGCCTTTGGAAAGCTCTAAACTTTTTCTGGGAAGACAGAAGACTGCACACGTGCAGGGCTGTGTGAAAGCTCAGGAAAGACCTGGGAGAGCCCCAGTCTCTCATCCAGAGCAGATTTTAAGCCCTCACAAAAGCAAGAAGTGAAGGCTAGGCAGGTTTGTAAAATGCCAGAACACTAATGAAGGTTTGCCCCAACACACACACACACACACACACACACACACACACAGCTCCTTGGCAAAGGATGGAAGACTTACTAGTCAAAGGCATATAAGGAAATCTCTGACTAATCACTAGTGGACGACTAAGCTAACTGAGCAGAACTTCAGAGACCACACACTATAGGAAATATAGATGTTGCAGAATTCGTCCTAGAAAGTTATTTAAAAAAAGAACTAGCAGCCAAAACAAATCAGCAACAACAACAAATCTTGGGGAGGCAAGATAATTTTATTTCCAGAGTTGCCACATTATATTATTTTAAATGTCTGATCTTCAACAAAAAAGTATGACATGTGAAGAAATAAGAAAGTTGGGCCCATATGCACAGGGAGACAGCAGTTAATAAAAACTGTCTCAGAGGAAGCCAGATGTTAGACTTACTAGACAAAAACTTTAAGTCAGCTTTTATAAATGTGTCAAAGAACTAAAGGAAACCATGTCTTTAAAAATATCACAACAATGTCTAAGCAAATAGAGACTATCAGTAAAGAGACATAAATTATTTAAAAGAACCAGATAAAATACTAGAGTTGAAAAGTATAATAACTGAAATGAAAATTCTACAGCAGGTGCTTAACACCAGATCTGAGCTGCCAAAGAAAAAATCAGCAAACTTGAAGACTGGTCAATTGAGATATTCCAGCCAAAAGAAGAGAAAGAAAAAAGCTAAAGGAAAATTAAGTTTGGAGACTTGTGAGACAACATCAAGTATATTAACATATGTGCAATAGGAGTTCCAGCAAAAGATGTGTAAAAGATACCCCCAAAACTGGAGAAATAATGGTTCACAACTTCCAAAATTTGAGGAAAAGAATTCATCTAGAAATCCAAGGAAATCACTGAACTTCAAGGAGCACAATAGAAAGGGTTCTGTAACTGTAGACAAATCAGAGTCAAAATACTGAAAGCCAAAAACAGTGGGAAATTTTGAAAAACAAGAGAAAAATAGTTCATCACATATAGTGGGACAACAGTACAATTAATGGTGGATTTATCATTATAATGGAAATACAAAAGCAGTGGAATGACATATTCAAGGTGCTGACAGAAAAAAAACAAAAACAAAATTGTCCATCTAGAATTCTATATCCAGCAAAATTGTCCTTCAAAAATGAAGGCAACTAACAACAAGCAAATGGAAGCTGAAATTTAAAGAGGCAATACCATTTATAAATACTCTAAAGAAAATAAAATAAGGCCTAAATCTAAGAAAACACTTATGAGATCTATATGCTGAAAATTATAAGAGTCTGATAAATAAAAAGCCCTAATAAATAACAAAAACCACATTCTTGGTTTGGAAGATTCAACACAGTAAAGGTGTCAATTTTTCAAAATTTATTTATAGGTCTAATTCAGTTCTAGTAAAAATCCCAGTAAGGTTTTTTTTGTAGATATAGACAGGTTATTCTAAATTTTATATGAAAGGAAAATGTCCCAATAGCCAAAACAACAGAGAAAGAAGAAAAAGGTAGGATGAATCACTTTTCCTAATGTTAAGGCTTATTATAGAGCTATGGTAATCAACACAATATAATACTGGCAAGAAGACAGACAAATATGTCAATGAAACAAAACAGAGACTGGAAATAGACCTATAAAAATATGTTCAATTATTTCTGACAAAGATGCAAAAGCAATTCAATGGCAAAGGGACAGTTTTTTCAACATACAATGATGGAGATATCAGATATCAAAGGGCAAAAAGAATAGGGAACCACAACCTCACACTTTATATAAAATTAAATCAAAATGAAACATGAACTTTTATGTAAAACTTAAAACTATAAAGGTTTTTCTAATATTTTCTAATTTTTCTAATATTTCTAATTTTCTAATATTTCTAAAATTTTCTAATATTTTCTAATATTCTAATATTTTCACAACATAAGTGAAAATATTAAGGATCTACAGTGAGGCCAAGAATTCTTAGACTTGAGAACAAAAGAATGCTCAGTAAAAGATTGATAAATTGAACCTTATCAAAATTAAAACATTTTCAGTGGGACACAGTGGCTCACGCCCATAATCCCAGCATGTTGGGAGGCTGCAGTGGGTGGATCACTTGAGGTCAGGAGTTTGAGACCAGCCTGGCCAACATGGTGAAACCCCATCTCTACTAAAAATACAAGAATTAGCCAGGCTTGGTGCCACATGCCTGTAATCCCAGCTACCTGGGAGGCTGAGGAAGGAGAATCACTTGAACCTGGGAGGTGGAGGTTGCAGTGAACTGAGATCACACCACTGCACTCCAGCCTGTGCGACAGAGTGAGAGACTTCATCTAAAAAAAAAAAACAAAACACATTTTCTCTGTAAAAGACTTTAAAAATGAAAAGACAAATTACAAACTGGGAGAAAGCATTTGCAAACTACATATCAGACAAAAGGCATACCTAGAATACGTAAGAAATGATCAAAACTCAACATTAAAAATTAATCTAATTAGAAGATGAGCAAAAAAACATTAACATAGACACACACACACAGACACACAGACACACAAGTGAGTGCATGTACTAAAGGTCTTCAAAAAGCTCATGGAAGATTATGAAAAAAACTATGGATGGATTTCAATGTTTTTTGCACCAAAATGTACTAACTTGTTATAACATGTCTAAACAAGATGTAGTTTGAAGCACTAAAAAGGATAAGACATCAATTTGAAAAGAGCCCCTATCAGAGCAACATGAATTCTGCTAAAATAGAAGCAAGAACAAACATCAAATTTATGGTAAAGCCTAGGTGGAAGAATGGTGAAATCATTAATGCTTTACAAATAGTTTATGTGGACAATGTTCCAAAAATATCAGCGGTTTATAAGTGGATAGCTCATTTTGAAAAGGGGTGAGATAATGTTGAAGACGAAACCCATAGCAGCAGACCATCCACATCAATTTGCAAAGAAGTAGTTAATCTTGTTTGTGCCCTAACTGAAAAGGACAGAAAATTAACAGCAGAAACAATAACCAACACCATAGACATCTCAATCAGTTCAGCTTATATAATTCTAACTGAAAAATTAAAGTTGAGCAACCTTTCCACTTGATCTGTGCCAGATCAGCTGCAAACAAGAGCAGAGCTTTTTTTTTTTTTTTTTTTTTTTGAGATGGAATCTGGCTCTGTCACCCAAGCTATAGTGCAGTGGCGCAATCTCGGCTCACTGCAACCTCCACTTCCTGTGTTCAAGTGATTCTCCTGCCTCAGCCACCTGAGTAGCTGGGATTACAGGTGCCCGCTGCCATGCCCAGCTAATTCTTGTATTTTTAGTAGAGATGGGGTTTCACCATGTTGGCCAGACTGGTCTCAAACTCCTGACATCAGGTGATCTGCCTGCCTTGGCCTCCCCAAGTGTTGGAATTACAGGCGTGAGCCACCATGCCCAGCCTAAGAGCAGAGCTTTCAGTGGAAATTTTAAACAAGTGGGATCAAGATCCTGAAGCATTTCTTTGAAGAATTGTAAAAAGAGATGAGACGTGGCTTTACCAGTATGATTCGGGAGGTAAAGCAATGGCTACCAAGAGATGGAAGTGGTCAAGTCAAAGCAAAAGTGGACTGGTCAAGAGCAAAGATCATGGCAACAGTTTTTTGAGATGCTCAACGTATTTTGCTTACTGACTTTCTGGAGGGCCAAAGAATGACAACATCTGCTTATTATGAGAGCATTTTGAGAAAGTTAGCCAAAGCTTTAGCAGAAAAATACCTGGGGAAGCTTCACCAGAGAGCCCTTCTTCACCATGGCAATTCTCCTGGCTCATTCTTCTCATCAAACAAAGACAATTTTGCAAGAGTTCCAATGGGAGATCTTTAGGCATCCACTTTTGAGTACTGATTTGCCTCCTCCTGACTTCTTTTTGTTTCAAAATCTTTAAAAGTTTTTAAAGGGAACCCATTTGCATCAGTAAATAATGTAAAGAAGACTGCATTGATATGGTTACATTTCCAAAACCCCCAGTTCTTTAGGGATAGACTAAGTGGCTGGTATCATCACTTAAAAAAGTGTCTTGAACTTGATGGAGCTCATGTTGAGAAATAAAGCTTACACTTTTTATTTCTATTTTTTAATTCCATTTTTCCGCAAACCCTTTGAAGCCCTTTTGTATAACTGGTAAAATCTGTATGAGTTCTGTGGATTGTACCAATGTCAATTACCTGGTTTTGATATTGTACTATAGTTATATAAGATGTTAACATTGGAGGAGACTGGGCCAAAGTACACAAGACTTCCCTGTATATCTTTTTTGCAAATTCTTATGAATTTACAAATATTTCAAAATAAAATGGTTTTTAAAATGAAGGCAAAACAAGGACATCCTCAGCCAAATGAAGACTAAAAGAATTTGTAGTTAGCATACTTGCTTTACAAGAAATACCAAGGGAAGCTTAAGGAAAATGACTCCATATGGTAACATGAATGCACAGCAAGAGATAAAGAGTACTGGAAATAGTAATCATGCGGGCAAAAATAAAAGACTGTATGAACATATATTTTTCTCTTTTCTTCTTTTAATTTCTTTAAATGGCATAAGGTTATATAAGCACAATATTTTGGGGTTTGTAACAGATATAGGTATAATATATAAGACAATTATACAATGAAAAAAGAAACAAATGGAACTATTTGAGGCAGTTTCTATATTTTTCTCAGATTATGTTAGTATTAATGCAAAGTAGATTATGATACACTAAAATGCACATTATAATCCCTAGAGCAATCACAAGAAACACTCAATAAGTGGAGTTTAAAAATCAGAGGAATTGGCCAGGTGCACTGGTTCATGCCTGTAATCCCAGCACTTTCGGAGGCCGAGGCGGGCAGATTACCTGAGGTCAGGAATTTTAGACCAGCCTGGCCAACATGTACTCTACTAAAAAAGTACAAAATTAGCCCAGTGTGGTGGCGGGCACCTGTAATCCCAGCTACTCAGGAGGCTGAGGCAGGAGAATCACTTGAACTCGGGCAACAGAGGTTGGAGTGAGCCAAGATCGTGCCACTGCACTCCAGCCTGGGCAAAAAAGTGAGACCCCATCTCAAAAAAAAAAAAAAATCAGAGGAATTAAAATGGTATACTAGAAAATATTTGATTAATATACAAAGCAATACAGAATAAACGGGAACAACAAAAAAAATGAGACATAGAAAACAAATAGCAAATGATAAATGTGAAACCAATCATATCAATAATTACAATAAATGTAAATAAACTAAGGACCACAATCAAAAGAAGAGATGGTCAGACTGGATTTAAAAAGCAGGCCTCAGCCAGGCACAGTGGCCCACACTATGATCCCAGCACTTTGGGAGGCCAAGGTGGGAGGGGGGCTTGAGCCTAGGAGTTCAAGATCAGCCTGGGCAATATAGTAAGACCCCATCTCTACCAAAAAATTTTTTTTCATTAGCCAGGCATAGTGGCATGCATCTGTGGTCCTAGCTGCTTAGAAGGCTGATGTGGGAGGATCACTTGAGCCCAGGAAGTTGAGGCTGCAGTGAGCCATGATCACATCACTACAGTCCAGCCTGGGTAACAGAGTGAGACCCTGACTCAGAAAAAATAATGAAAAAAAAGGCAAGCTCCAACTAGATGCTATCTACCAGAGACACACTTGCAATTCAAATGTACAATTAGGTTTCATGTAAAAGGATGGAAAAAGATTTACCATGCAAGCAGTAACCATAAGAGACCTATAGTGACTATCTTAATATCAGACAAAATAGACTTTAAGATGAGGACTATTACTAGAGGTAAAGAGGGATATTTCATAATTCAAAAGGGTCAATACATAAGGAAGATATAATAAATACATATGCATCTAACAAAAGATCTCCAAAACACATGTAGTCAAAACTAACAGAATTAAAAAGAAAAATAGATAATTCAACAATAATACTTAGAAACTATGATTTCCTTTCTCAATAATTAATAGAATGAGAATCAGTAAAGATATAAAAAATTGAATAACATTATCAACAATCATGACCTAATATTTAAAGAACACTCCATCTAACAAGAGCAAGATTATTTTCAGATGCATATGGAACATTCTCCAGAACAGACCACAAAACAAGTCTCAATAAATTTAAAATACTTAATTCAAAGTCTCTTCTAACTACAAAAAAATCCAATTAGAAAGCAACAACAGAAAGACACTTGGGAAATCACCAAATATTTAGAAATTAAACAACACATTTCTAAATAACTCACAGATTGAAGAAGAAAATCACAATCAAGTTGAATGAAAACAAAAACACAACATAACAAAATGTATAGGGTGCTACTACAGCATGCTTAGAGGGAAATCTATAGCATTCAATGCTTACATTAGAAAAGAAAAAAAGACAAAGCTTCTATCACTAAAGGAAAGCACATTAAACCCAAAGTAAACAGGATGGAATAGTAAGTGAAATTGAAATTAAGAAAAAATAGAAAGCAGAGAATCAATTTTTAAAAAATCAATAAACCTAAGAGTTGGTTATTTTAAAATTAACAAAACAGACTTTTAACTATGATGATAACAGCCCTACATATGCAAAAAACTGAATTTGTAATGAAAAATTTATCCATAAAGAAAAATCTGAGCCCAGATGGCTCAACTGATTAGATCTATCAAACATTTAAAGAAGAAATAACACTAATAGTAGTCAATTTCTTTCAAAAAGTAGAAGACGAAGGAGCACTTTCCAACTAATTTTATGAGGCCAGTATTACCGTAATACCAAAGCTAGACGGACATCACAAGAAAGGTGAAACCAATGTCCTTTATGAATGTAGATCCAATATTCCTTAATGAAACATTAGCAAATCAAATCTAGCAACATATAAACAGGATTATACACGACGAGTAAAAGAGATTTAGCACAGTAATGCAAGGTTGGTTTAACATCCAAAATTCAATGTAATATGCCTCTACATTAATAGAATAAGAATAAGAGCCAAATGGTCTCATCAGTAGATGCAGAAAGAGTATTTGACAATACCAATTCATGGGGAAAAAAAGAAACACACACTTTGTAAAGAGCATCTATGAGAAACCTACAGCTAAATAATACCTAACAGTTAAAAACTAGTTTCCCCCAAAGCAGATACTAAGCAAGGATAAATGCTCTTGCCACACCTATTCAACACTGCACTAGAGGTTCTAGCCAATGTAATATGGTAAGCAAAAGCAATTAAAGGCACCCAGATTGAAAAGGGAGAAAAACTATCTTTACAGATATCATGATCCTAAGGAATCTACAAAAAACTACTGAAGTAAAAAACAAGTTTAGTAGGGTTGCAGGACACAAGATCAATATACAAATATTAATTGTATTTCTATATACCAGCAATGTACAATCCAAAAATGAAATTAACAATCCCATGCACTATGGCTTCAAAAAGAATAAAACACTTAGAAGCAAAATTAATAAAGTGTAAGACTCGTACACTAGAAACTATAAATATTACTGAAAATAAAGATCTAAATAGAAGAGAAATTCTTTACATCCAGTAACATGGCAATAATCCCCAAACTGATCTATAGATGTAATACATACACTATTAAATCCCAGCAGGTTTACTTATTTATTTATTTTTATAGAAACTGACAGGCTGATCCTAAAACTTATATGGAAATGCAAAGTATCCAAAATAGCCAAAAACAATTGTTAGAAAGAAAAACAAAGTTGGAGGATCTAAACTATCTAATTTCTTTTTTTTTTTTTTTTAAGATGGAGTTTCACTCTTGTTGCCCAAGCTAGAGTGCAATGGCGCGATCTCGGCTCACTGCAACCTCCACCTCCCGGGTTCAAGCGCTTCTCCTGCCTCAGCCTCCCAAGTAGCTGGGATTACAGGCATGCGCCATGACCCCGGCTAATTTTGTATTTTTTTAGTAGAGATGGGGTTTCTCCATGTTGATCAGGCTGGTCTTGAACTCCCAACCTCAGGTGATCCACCTGCCTTGGCCTCCCAAAGTGCTGGGATTACAGGGGTGAGGCACCACACCCGGCTACACTACCTAATTTCAACACTATAAAACTACAGGAATCAAAAAGTGGCACGGTTGTAAAGACAGAAATATGTATAAATGAAATATAGTTGAGAGTGCAGGGAGGAAAAATCTTTCATTTATGGTGAATTAATTTTTAATAAAGTTGAATGCAATTCAATACAGAGGAAGCTTGGTCTTTTCAATATATGGTGCTGGGACAACTGAATACCCATATACAAAGAAAGAAAATTGAACTTAAACCGTTACCTCATATAATATACAAGAACTGAGAAAAATGAGTAACAGCACTAAATGTAAGAGCTAAAACTACAAAACTCATAAAGGAAAACATAGGAGAAAATCATCATGACCTTGGATTAAGGGCCAAGATTTCCTAGACGCAACACCAAAAACACAATTCCCAAAGGAAAAAGTTGATAACCGAATATAGTCAAAATAAAATTTTCTGTGCTTCAAAAAATATCTTTAAGAAAATGAAAAGACAAGCTACTTACTGTGAAAAAATAATTGCAAATCATATTTCTGATAAACTACTTGCATCCAGAATATATATCCCTCGTATCATTCAATAAAAGGAGTAAAACAGCTCAATTTTAAAAACAGGCTAATGATTTGAGCATATATTTCACCAAAGAAGAAAACACACATGGCTAATAAGCACATGAAGAGATGCTTAATAATATTAGTCATTAGGGCAATACAAATGAAAACAAGATACTACTACAATACTCATTAGCATGGCTATAATCAAAAGACAGACAATAACAAATGTTAGCACATGGTATGGAAAAACTGGAATGCTTATACGATGCTGATGGGAGTGTAAAATGGTACAGCCACTTTGGAAACCAGTTTGACAGTTTCTAAAAAGGTTAAATGTAAGACTTACCCTTTAACCCAGAAATTCCACTACTAAGTATTTATCCAAGAGAAATGAAACTATACATCCATGCAAAGCCTTGTATGCAAATATTCATAGCAGCATCACTCATAACACCCCAAAGCTGGAAGCAATCCAAAGTCTATCAACTAAATAAATAAACCCAATGTGGGCCGGGCGTGGTGGCTCACCCCTGTAATCCCAGCACTTTGGGAGGCTGAGGCAGGCGAATTACGAGGTCAGGAGATCGAGACCATCCTGGCTAACACAGTGAAACCCCGTCTCTACTAAAAATACAAAAAAATTAGCCGGGCGTGGTGGCAGGCGCCTGTAGTCCCAGCTACTCGGGAGGCTGAGGCAGGAGAATGGTGTGAACCCGGGAGGTGGAGCTTGCAGTGAGCTGAGATGGTGCCACTGTACTCCAGCCAGGGCGACAGAGTGAGACTCCATCTCAAAAAAATTAAAATAAAAAATAAAAAAAAACTAAACCCAATGTGGTATATCTGCACAATGGAGTACTATTCAATAATTAAAAAGAACAAGCTACTGATACTTTCCACAACATGAATGAAATTTATTATGCTCATTGAAATTTCATTATGCTAATTGAAAAAAGCAAAACACAAAAGACTGTGTATTGCGTGGTTCGATTTATATGAAATTTCCATAAAAGGCAAACTCTACAGAAACCGAAAGCAGATCTGTGGTTACTCGAAGTTGAGAATAGAGACTGAACACAAGTGGACATCCGGGAGATTTTGGGGGTGATGAAATGTTTTACAATGGAATAATGGTGATACACAAGTTTATAAATTCTACAACTGGCAAATTTATAATATATAAATTATACTTTAAAAAATCATAGCTCGAATAAATTCAGCAAATATGTTTGCTGCCCATCTCTCCATTGCCTCCACGGCAGGGGGTCAGTGGCTTCACTTCTGTACAGGAAGAATGCTAATTTGCTGTAATGAAATATGCCAAGAATTTTTGTTAAGTTCCAGCAAAGGCCGTGTCTTTGCATCACTAACATATTGCGGTGAAACTGAGTGATACTGAAGCATTTGGCTTCAGTGTGCATAAGACAACAAGAGGTCTGGTTATTCTCCACTGGGCAAGTGATACTGGCTTCTCCTAATTCCACTTACTTAAGAAAATTACAAATGCAGCACAGACAGGTCTATGTAAATTAAAGTGTCTGCTGATTTCAATTAAGTCAAGTTGTTTTCTCAAATCCTGAGCAACTACCAGCCGCCTGCTTGCTAAATGGTCATTGTGGATATTTTCATTGAATTCACCTAGCTAATATTAAATAAAATCTCCACTTCTTTTTTTTCTTTTTGAGACGAAGTTTTGCTCTTGTTGCCCAGACTGGAGTGGAGTGACACGATCTCGGCTCACTGCAACCTCCGCCTACTGGGTTCAAGCAATTCTCCTGCCTCAGCCTCCCGAGTTGCTGGGATTACAGGCGTCCGCCACCACACCCAGCTAAATTTTTTGTATTTTCAGTAGAGGTGGGATTTCAAAAATCTCCACTTCTTACCATAGGAAGATAGCAGGAAAAAAGAGGAGGGCAAAAGCAGAAAGTGTCAAAAACACACAAGTAAGCAAACAATATTCTCTCATCTCTGACCCAAGCACCATCATTTTCCTAAGGATTTTCAGTGGACAGCACCAAGTCTTCCCTCCCATGCTATTTTCTATCTCTCCCTTCTAAAGGTTTCTGATGGTGGTGAAAATAGAGGGGAGAAAAAAGGGAAAAGGAACAGAAACATCATTTTCTCATCAACACTGGCTTTGTATATATGTGGGGATTTTTCTTGCATAACAATGCAGACCTCAGACAAATTCTGATGGCAGCCACTCACCCGAGTCTACATACCCAATCTTATACTTGAGTTAGTCTTAAGACTTCCATTTATACTTTTTCGAGCAGCACTCACACCCAAGTACTAGATTCTATTAAGAATGCTAGAATATTAGACACGGGAAAAACCAGAAAGTTCACAATGTCCAAACCACCCTACTTTACTAAAAGGGATATAAGTTGCCGGCCGCAGTGGCTCACGCCTGTAATCCCAGCACTTTGAGAGGCTGAGGCGGGCAGATCACATGAGGTCGGGAGTTCAAGACCAGCCTGACCAACATGGAGAAACTCCATCTCTATTAAAAACATGAAATTAGCCTGGCATGATGGCAGGTGCCTATAATCCCAGCTACTCGGGGGGCTGAGGCAGGAGAACAGCTTGAACCCGGGAGGCAGAGGTTACGGTGAGCCGAGATAGCGCCATTGCACTCCAGCCTGGGAAACAAGAGTGAAACTCCATCTTAAAAAGAAAAAAGGGATATAAGTATATGGGGCCCAAAGAGGTGAAACAAATCTTAGAAGTTCAGTTAGCAACAACCTAATAGTAAGAATTCTAGCCTCTGACCCCGAATTTAGTACTCTTTGCATTACTCCACACTATACTTTTACAACAAAGAGAAAACCATTTAAGAAGACCATGTAAGATCATTGATGAGTAAGATGACTACTTGTTCTCACCAGTGAAGCCACAGAAACCTTCCGCCCCAGAACTGGAGTTTCTTAATCACTATCCAGACGTTAAAATAAGGAAGTCACTGGTTGAAGATGGCAGGCAATCCCTGGTCTATAATAATTTTCATGAATGCTCAGACCTCCCAGGCATCACCAGCCCCTGCTCTATAATCTGGGCCAGCACATAAAGGCAGGTCTAGAAATAAATATCTGTGTTCTGCTAATATGAAGGAATGCTCATTGCTGAAAACTGTGATCAGGTAGTAAAGTTACATAGAAAGAAGCATCAAACGCACATAGAAATTTCTCATCTTTCACGAGATCATGTCCTTTGCAGGGACGTGGATGGAACAGGAGGCCATTATCCTTAGCAAACTAACAAAGGGACAGAAAACCAGATACCGCATGTTCTTATAAGTGGGAGCTAAAGGATGAGAACACGTGGACACGAAGAGGGGAACGACACACACTGGGATCTATGGAGGGTGGGAGGAGGGAGAGGATCAAGAAAAATAACTAATGAGTACTAGGCTTAATACCTGGGTGATGAAATATTCTGTACAACAAACCCCCATGACATAGTTTACCTATGGAACAAACCTGCACATGTACCCCTGAACTTAAAATAAAAATTTTAAAAATTTAAAAACAGCTAGGTGGAGTGGCTCACGCCTGTAATCCCAGCACTTTGGGAGGCTGAGGTGGGCAGATCACTTGAGGCCAGGAGTTCAAGACCAGCCTAGGGAACATGGCGAAACCCCGTCTGTACTAAAAATACAAAAATTAGCCAGGCATGGTGGCATGAGCCTATAATCCTAGCTACTCAGGAGGCTGAGGCAGGAGAATTACTTGAACCCAAGGAGGCGGAGGTTGCTGGGGGCCGAGATCTCACCATTGCACTCCAGCCTGGGTGACAGAGTGAGACTCTGTCTCAAAAAATAAAAATAAAAAATTTAAAAATAATAAAAATTTATCTTCAAAATGTCCACAATGAACCCTTTTTATACTACCTGTAGTTACTTAGTGTATGTATGCTGAATGCCTAGTATATTACATTTTAACAAATTAACTCTTTGAACTTATTTACTTAATTGATGCAAATATTGCTGTGCATATGCTGTATATGTGGGTACATGCTTATCTGAGTTACAGAGAAAGGGAGAGAGAAAGAGAGAATGTACATACTGCACAGAAAATAGAGAAAGAAAAAGTTTGTGTCCACTACCATTAATTATAATAAAAGGTTTAATAACTAATGCCTCTCAAAAAAAAGAAATTTCTCCTCTTTCTTTTAAAACAAAAAGCACTGCTCTGTTCTAAGAAGTCAATACACATGGATTGCCAAAGTAAACTAAACAAAAGAGTATGTCCCCTAACCCCACCACCTAGTCAGCCACTGGCCTTTTTTCTGCCTAGAACTACATGGAGCCATTTCATAATGGAACCGTGATGCACACACATATGTATTGCTTTCCATCAGGGAGAGGAGCGGATTTGTGAAAACAAGTCATACGCAGTTCTGAGTCAGAGTCCGGAAGCACAATAGGCAAACAGGCATTTGGGGATATCAGGAGGCTGGAAGCAGAGATACCTGTGATTCTGACTTCCTTCTTTTCCTTTATATGAGATGTGGCCTTGATGATTCTGAGTTTAGCTCAAAACCCAAATAGGTCCTGACTGGCTGAAAATATCACCTATTGAAAAGATACAGCATTGCCTATGTTATTCCTGAATAGTGACATAAAAGGTACAAAAGGGACTACGACACAGGACAAAATTAAGCCTAAGCGTTTACAATCTGGCAAATCTGTCCTTTTGGCAGACAGGGTCAACAGCTTATCAGAGAGTCAGCTGTAGGGGCAGCTCCTCACCCCACCAACCGTCCCACTGTGATACCCTGTCTCCCCAACCCGCTTACAGCGTGTAAGCTAGCCCCAGAGTCCAGGTTTCCCATTGCTGCTATAACAAATGACCACAAATTTTAGTGGCTGAAAACAAAGCAGAATTATTAGTTTACAATTGGACATCAGAAATCGTCTCACTGGAAATCAAGACATTGGCAAGGCTACATGTCACCTGGAGGCTCTGGGGAGAATCTGTTTCCTCTACTTTTCCAGCTTTTTTTTTTTTTTTTTTTTTTTTTTTTGACACAGAGTCTCGCTCTGTCGCTCAGGCTGGAGTGCAGTGGCATGATCTCGGCTCACTGCAACCTCCACCCCCTGGGTTCAAGCAATTCTCCTGCCTCAGCCTCCCGAGTAACTGGCATTATAGGCATGTGCTACCACGCCCAGCTAATTTTTGTATTTTTAGTAGAGACAGGGTTTCACCATGTTGGCCAGGCTGGTCTCGAACTCCTGACCTCATGTGATCTGCCTGCCTCGGCCTCCCAAAGTGCTGGGATTACAGGTGTGAGCCACCATGCCCAGCCTCCTTTTCCAGCTTTTAAGGCCACCCACATTCCTTGGCTGTTAGCCCCACATGGCTCTGTCCTCTGCTCTGTCATTATATCACCTCTTCTGACCTTGACCCTCCTGCCACTCTCTTAAAGGAGCATTGTGGTTGCGTTGGGCCCATCCGGATAATCCAGCATAATCTCTCCATCTCAATATCCTTAACTTGATCCCACCTGCAAAGTTCCTTTTGCCATGAAAGGCAATATATCCACAAGTTCTGTGGATGAAGACATGGACATCATTGGGTAGTGATGAGAAGTTGAATTATTCAGCCTATCACAAGTATTCATAAAACATTCTTCAGAAACATGAATTTTAATATATGCTTAGTATTCCAGCTTATGGGTAGGTCAAACATTCTCCTGTTGCTTCTGTTAGGTTGTTTCTAAATATTTTGCTATCATTAATAATGCTGAAATAGAAAACTATACTGTGTAAATATTTAAATATTCCTACAGCTATTTTCAGATCTAAGAATCTGAGCACACGTTTAAGCCTCTTGAGAAATGCTTCCAAACTGCCTTCTGGAAAGACTTTACTTACATGCTCGCCAGCAGCGTTTAAGAGAGCCCATTTCACGCCACTCTTGCCAACACAGAATATTATACTTTTTAAAAAGCATTGCCAATTCAATAGGAAATTCTAGCTTAATGTTAAATTTGTATTTCTTTTCTTTCCAGTGATGTGTATACTATACATTATATTTATTGGTAACCTATATTCCTCCCTTTGAAATTGTCTGCTCATGTCTTTTTCCTGTGTCTCTGGTACAGTAGGGCATTTCATCCTATGCATTTGAAAAATATCTGCCTTTAAGAGTGTTAAACTTTTTAATTTCATCCCTTATATATGTACTTTAGAAAAATCAAGCGCCTCATTTTCTTTTTGCATTTTATTTATGGATGTTTGGGACTAAATAGTTGAATCTTTATAAAAAATATTTAATTACCAGGCTTTTCTCTTTGGTACATATCTTGCCTTATGTTGACTTCCTTTATTGCTTACTAGCCTAAACTGGGATGTAAGAGAACACTGAATTGCAAATAATAATAGAAAACTTTTATATTTGAGTTTTATTTAATACAAAACACTCTCATACTAAAATTAGTTAACAACCACATAGAAACAGATGGCTTATTTTTTTACATTTAATAATTTAAAGACACAATTAGCTAACTATGGCCTACCACAGATTTTTATTTGGTCCACAAGCTGTTTGGGAAAGAAAAAAAGATGTATGGATACGCAACAGAGACAGTATATAACCCACAGTGACTAAAATATGTACTGCCTGGTCCTTTACAGAAAAAGTTATTCCTATGAAATGTATTTTAGTGTATATGGGGAGAAATAGAATACAATATACTTTTTCAAAGAAATCTATTGTACCAATGGAAATTTCAAAGAAACCAATTGTCCCAATACTGTGTATTAAATCCTTCTATTTTTCAAATTTGAAATGATGCTCTTCAATTTAAGAAGAAATAGAAATGGCCAGTTTGCATATAAAAATGTATAATCTATCTAATTACAATGAATTGCAAACTAAATTAATAAGTTGTCATTCAATCAGATTAGAAATGATAACGGGTTTATTATATATCATTGAAAAAATGTGGGGAAATGTCAACTCTGATTTTCTTGATGGAAATGTGAGAGCAACCTTCTTGGGGACAATATTACAAAAACTGTCAAAGTTGAATTCTATAAGAATCTTTGAGTCAACAATTTAAATTTCATGAATCTATCTATAGAAACTCTCAGAGAAGTTCACAAGACAAAATGTATATAGCTACTTCTTGAAGTATTGTTCACAATAGCAAAATAACACAAAACTCCTACATGCCTATCTGTGCAGGATAGGTTACTTCAGCAGACCCGGATTGCTCAAACCCTGCACAATCCCAAAGAAAGGCCTCCTTTCAAGGCTGGCCCTTGGCCAGAGACTAGGATATGAACTCTGAGCCTTTGCAATAGTCTCTCTGGTAAGAGCACTTTCATATGCCTGGGCCCATGGGCCATGCAGTCCCGGTTTCACCAGTTTATGCCAACAATGGGATATATGATTGACACCTAGTTTTGTTCTGAGGGACTGGAGTGTGATTAGCTGAAGCCAGTCATACAAGCACTCTCTGCCTACATAACTGAACCACAATAAAATCCTAGATACCAAGGCTCAGATGAGCCTGCCTAGTAGCACTTTGCATGTGTTGTCACACATCATTGCTGGGAGGATTAAGGACATCCATGTGACGTAACTGGGAGTTCAAGTGGGAGCTTGCACCTGGTTTCTCTTGACCTCACCCCATGTGCCATGTGCCGTCTCCCTTTGCTGATTTTAATTTGTATTATTTCATTGTAATAAATCATGAGTATAACAGCTTTTCTGAGTCTTGTGGGTCCTTCTAACAAATCCTCAAGCCTGAGGGTAGCCTTGGGGATCCCCAACACACCATCAATGAGGAATTTTGTTTAATTGATATCATGGCACAGGGTATAGCCATTGAAAGAAATAAAACAAATATATGTGTATGAGCATATGCTCATCATAGATGCCTACGATATACTGTTAGATGATCAGCTAGTTGCAAAATATGACCTTACATCTTAAAAAGCTATCTTGGATTGAGCATTCATGATGCGCCAGGTCTTACCTAAGTGTTTTACATGTATTACCTCATTTGATCCTCACAAAACCCCTGTAAATACTATTATCACCACTATTTTAAAGATAAGAAAACTGTGGCACAGACAGGTTAAGTAATGGATCCAAGATCATATAGGCAGGTTTTGAAACCAGACTGTCTTGTCTCAGCGCCAGCACTCTTAAGCAATGCACTATGCTGCCTCTCTCTCAAAAGTGTGCATATCTGTAGGTGTATTTGTAATATACCTCAAAAAATATATTAATCGTTTCTTCTCAGAAGTGAGATTACAGGATGAAAAGATGTGGTCTTGACTTTGAACTTTCAGATATACTGTGCTTCCTATATAACAAGCATGTAACAGTATTAATATATTAATGATATAATTTTTGTAGATTAGAAGATCTGCCTTATCACATGGCAAGTTTGTATAGATACAAGGGGGGACTATTTCTGGTTTTTCTATTTTCTTTCACTGATCAGCCCTTGTACCTTTCTGTTTTAATTTAGTATCTTCAATTTAAACTTCATGATAATTCTGATTATACTACTTCCCCCTCTCCAATCTCTGCCCAAACTCTAGGCTACTTTTGCATATTTACTTTTCTAAATAAACTTCACTATCACTCTATCAAGTTTTCTAATAAAATTCCATTGGTGTGTTAATTGCAGTTATATGCACAGGTTTCACATAAGAGTATAGCCTCATTAATAAAAGAGAGTATCAATTCAGAATTCGTGATTTCAAGGGGGCTGGCTCCTAGCTGACATCTCTGTGTGTAAAGAAAAGAGTTGACGGACAAACTGACCAGTGTTGGTCAGGTATTCCAAATAAACATATAAACTAATGGGAACAGCTACATCTAAGCAGCTATGAGCTGCTCTTTTAATTAGAGGACATGATGAATTATATATCAATATCAGTATCCACAGGCCCTCTGAGGGCCTCACCAGAAGCAATTGAATCCATTCATGCAACATGCTCACCACGTGCCTACTATGTGTCAGGACTGTTCACGGTGCCTAACTGAGTAACAATCTGGGCTTCATTCCTGTCACTTACCAGCTGTGTGATCTTAGGCAAGCACCTAACCTCCCTGATCCTCACTTTTTGCATCTGTACAATAGGAATAATAATTATACACATGAAAATATACACAAGAACCCAACGAGACAACACATGATAAGTCTCTAGGACAGGGTAGGTTTCTCAGAAATGGAAGGGATCATTGGTACCAGTGCCACACAATAAGCCTATTTCAAAGCTGTAGCTTATTTCCAAAAAGAAAAAAAAAAACTCTAAATAATACTCCTTTTATTTCCAGCGTTTTCAAATCAGTGATGTCTTCATATATCTGAATTTCCCTTATTAGGCCCCTCATATCCAATGCAGCGCTGTGCAGAGAATAAGACAAGCAGGGCGAGAGGGAAAAGCCCCCAATGCTAGAATGGGAAAGAAAGACCTAAGCAAACAGCCTAGACATGGGCCCGGCCATCTTGACACAGGCACATCCCCTGCACTCTTGGAGAGTCAAATGCTGATCCCAAGACTGTGCTGAGAAATCAGATGTTGCTGAGGGGCTGAACAGGGGTCTGACAGCCAGGTCCTCTCCCCTGGGCCCCTCCCTCCCTACCCAGGTTGAGTTATCGCCACATAGTTGCCATGGCAACCTTCCATCAGAAGCACACCACCTCCAGTTCCTCTTCACACTGCAAAATGTCTAGGATGCTTTTTGAAACTGATTTTGTAATATCTGTGTTTTGTATGGGAGATGTGTGAGGGACAGAGGGGGAGTTCTGGTT
Organism: Homo sapiens; assembly: GCF_000001405.40. Lineage (NCBI taxonomy): Eukaryota > Metazoa > Chordata > Mammalia > Primates > Hominidae > Homo > Homo sapiens. The sequence continues at coordinate 134,630,878 of NC_000002.12, forward strand.
GTTAATCTGTGGCTCAGCAGATTAAACAAAAAACCACCACAAACACACACACAATACTGAGCTAAGACAGGCTATGCTAATGGAGAAGTAAAACATTTTGACAGCCTCACTCAGCTAAGTGTCAAACACTTGAGGGAAAAAAAAAATTGGTTTAAAAAGGGAAAACCAGCAACAAAGTACAAACAAGAACCTAAAAGGAATGAATTAAAGGCATTCCAGGTGTACAGAAGGACCTTCTAATGCTTCTAATAAAAAGGAAAACGCAGGCTCAAATGAGGTTTACAGATCTTGGACTGGGGTGGCTAGAATATGTCAAGGGGGACATGGCAGTTCCGACATTCGCAGGCAGTTGGGAAGGGTCCTAGATAAGCACAGCTTGTTAATTTCTTGCTATGTTGCTTCTAAACCTTCAGTTTTCAGCTCAACTTTAGGGTTCCTCAATCTCACACTAATGACTTTTTTTTCTTGTTCTGTTTTGTTTTTGTACTGTAATGACATTTTTGAACATTCTTTGCTGGGGGGCCTTCCTGTGCAATTAGGTCTAGCAGCATTCTTGGCCTAGTAGCACACTAACCCCCAAGAAGTAGTGACTACTTCAAGACATTGCCAGACGTCCCCTGGGGGGTACTGCTGCTCTACTGGAAAGGGTATTTATCCAGGCCCACTTTACAGATGAGAAAACTAAAGCCCAGAAAGGCCAAGGGTCAAATCCAATGCCAGAGCACTGAGTTAGTGGCCAAGATGGTATTACATGCCATGGGAGCTATTTCTGGGTTCTTCGTGTTCCATCATACTGAGCTGGTATGTGCTGGGCCTTGGCTAAAGACAATAATATTTTAGCTCAAAATAAATGTTACCAAAGGCATATTTTGAAGAACTGAGCACCACTTGATCAACAGTATATTAGGAATACCTGAATGAGAAGCCTGTTACATTTCATGGCCAACCATATGACTTTTCTCCTATAATTCCATTCAGAATAATTCAACAAATATTTATTAAGCATTTCTTAGGCATCTTAAACATTATTTAAGCAGAGAAGATTTCCTGCTTTAGTGTATTTGTGGTGCCATGAAGAGACAGTATGACAAGTTCATCAGTCACCACGGTACATGTAGGAGCTAAATTCCACAAGAAAGTTTCCAACAAAGTCATATGGAGGCTCAAAAGGGACAAAATTCACATTTGTCTGGAAATCAGAGATACCATGGAGGAAATAGCCCTTGAAAAGGGCTTTGCAAGATGGCAAAAGCATTCCAGAAAGAAGTGATAATACCATGAAGGTGGGAAGCAAGGAACCACAGATTAGGACCAGTGACTTACCCAATTGCCTGGGACTCACGGAACACAGAGCAGGCAATGAGCTAGCAAGAAAAACCAGAGGCCATAGAAGGGAAGGCTTTGTGTGCCTCTCTGGACACTGGTTAGTAATTTGTTCACCAGTAGGAACAACTGGGCTTTCAAGCAGATAAGTGATATAAATGAGGAAAATTATTTCAACCATAACTACATAAAATAAATAAATCAGACATGGGATGGACTGCAGTGCCATCACTGACTATGTCAAGAAGGTGTCTTAGTCCATTTAAGCTGCTATAACAAAATACCTTAGACTGGGTAACTTTTAAATAATAGAAATGTCTTATTCACAATTCTGGAGGCGGGGGGCATCCCCGATCAAAGTACAGCAGATGTGGTGTCTGATGAGGACCTGCTCTTTGCTTCACAGGTGCCACCTTGTTGCTGTGTCCTCAAAGGGTGGAAGGAGAGGGGCGCTGCCTTCAATCTCTTTTATAAGGGCATGGACCCCATTCATGGTGGCAAAGCCTCATGTCTTTATCACTCCCCAAAAGGCCCTATGTTCTTTTTTTTTTTTTCTTTTTGAGATGGAGTCTCGCTCTGTCACCCAGGCTGGAGGGCAATGGCGGGATCTCGGCTCACTGCAAGCTTTGCCTCCCGGGTTCACGCCATTCTCCTGCCTCAGCCTCCGGAGTAGCTGGGACGACAGGCACCCGCCACCACACCCAGCTAATTTTTTTTTTTTTTTTTTTTTTGTATTTTTAGTAGAGACAAGGTTTCACCATGTTAGCCGGGATGGTCTCGATCTCCTGACCTCGTGATCCGCCTGCCTCGGCCTCCCAAAGTGCTGGGATTACAGGCGTGAGCCACTGCACCAGGCCAAGGCCCTACGTTCTTAATACCAACACAAAGGAGATTAGGTTTCAACATGAATTTTGGAGGGATACATTCAGACCATAGAAGAAGGTTTCTGAGGCACAATCTGGTTAAAAGGAGAGAGTACCACAAGGCAGTCTGTCATTCCTGGCCTAGAGCACTAAAGACAGAAAGAGGCTATTATATTGGTCTAAGCAAAAGATACTGCAAATGCTGGCCTGGGGTTGGAGTGGCAGGATTAGGACAGGCCAGGACAAATACATGAGATGACAGAGACATGAGCGGTTGGGAGGTGAGGGAGGAGGATAGGAGGAAATGTAATCATTATCTTCCAAATCTTAGTGACTGGCAGAATCATGTTGCCAAGAGCAGAAACCCTGAGGCGAGAGGAAGAACTAATCCTAGGGAAGGATAGGAATTTTTAATGTCATGCAGACTCTTAATACAAGTTCCATAAAAAATTAGAAAGATGGGAGCTTTTGCAAAAGATCAGGTCCACAATTTAGTTCACAAAGAAAAGCAGACTACAGATTCTGTACAAAGCTGGCTCTTCAAGGTCTAACCATAGATTAGATCCCTATAGAAGAAAAGAGTGAATAAGAACAGTCTTAAAATATGCCTGGTTTAGGCCACATGTGGTGGCTCACACCTGTAATCCCAGCACTTTGGGAGGCCGAGGCAGGTGGATCACTTGAGGTCAGGAGTTCGAGACCAGACTGGCCAACATGGCAAAACCTTGTCTCTACTAAAAATACAAAAATTAACTGGGTGTGGTGGTGTGCGCCTGCAATCCTAGCTACTCGGGAGGCTGAGGTGGGAGAATCACTTGAACCCAGGAGGTGTAGGCTGCAGGGAGCAGAGATCATGCCACTGCACTGGGCCACAATAGTGAAACTGTCTCAAAAAAAAAATACATATATATATATATATATATATATATATATATATATATATATATATATATATATAATAGGACTGTTTTAAGATGCAAAAGTAAGAGGAAAGATGAGAAAATGAAGTCTCTAAGGAATTTCTCTTTCTCTAGGTAGAAGAAGTAGAAAAGACAAACATAGGCAGCAAAAGTTCAAGTATGACAGAAAGATCAAGTCAGATGGGGCATGAACAAAAAAGCCTGTGTGCCTCAAAGCTAGGCTTGGTTTTGATGAGGCAGTAGCACAGCAGAGGAGGAAATGGGCTGCTCTCTGGAGTCAGACAGACTCGGTTCACAGCCAGGCTTTGGCATCTGCCAATTATGAGACAAGGGACAAGTTACAAAGCTGCTCTGTGCCTCATTTCTGTCAATAAAATGAGGATAATTCCATTCTCTCCATGTAAGTTGTAGAGAGGTTGAGCATGTAAAGCACTTAACTTAGTGCCTGGTACCATGAACAATAATTCAAGACCAGCTCCTCCTCCACCCTCACCCAGACTGGAGGACCACAAGGCAGTGACTAGGTGAGAAGGATGGGGCTGCACATCTCCAGCTAGTGCTTTTGGCTGACTGATTGGATATGTCATGGCATGAACATGATAGAGGAACCAGCCAAGGAGAAAATAGGATTAAGGTGGAGGGGGAGAAGAAGTGGGATGACAATTTAACACAATATGACAGGGATCCACCAACTCTTTCTGAAAAGGGCCAGACAGTAGATATTTTAGGCTTTGGGTGCATATAGTCTTCGTCAGAACTACTCAAATCTACCCTTGCACAGCAATTATGTAAACAAATCTCAATAAAACTTTATTTACAGAAACAGGCAGTGGTTGGCCCATAGGCCATAGTTTGCTAACCTCTGCAATAAAAGATGGAATAATGCCAAGCAGGGCAAATTTTCTTCAATCCCTAACTCTAGAATAGTTGCTAAGTTTAGAGAAAAGGATAAAAGAGAGATGAGAAACATACATTGAACAAGTGAAACCAAATTTTAAAGAATCTCAGCCAGAAGAATCTCAAGTGTGCCAACTGGGTTCACATGTGTAATGTGTCATTGCTGTTGATGGAGAAGGGGACAGGAGGAAAGACAGTGAGATTGGCTTAAAAATATGAAAAGGTCTCATGGAAAATAACAAGCAAGTTAAAGAAACATCTAAGTAAAAACATTTATGAAAATCCATCTACATCGAAAATTGAGACAATTACAGTCTCTGACTCCTTGCTGAGATTTCTGTGTTGACTGGAGAACAGGAATACTACAACCTTATTTCCTGGTGACAGGGACTTGTTCCCAATGCTCAGTAGACGGCTCTTCTATCTGTTGGCTCTGTGCATCCCTGAGCCACCCCCTCAGACTCCCACCCAACTCCAAAATTGCCCCCTTAAAATATCTCCTACTTCGTTTGCTAAAGGAATAGCAATTCATCCTTCTCTATCCCTCTTCCATCAATCATCAGTTGAGTTACCATTTGAGGTATCTCAGAGTGACAAAATCTTCTAAGATCCTTGGACTAACAAGTATTATACTAGAGGGACCAGAACAAGCATTCGATGCCGCTAGAGTCCTGGAAAATGCCTTCACTAGAATAGAGGAGACACAAAGACAAATGACTCCCGTCTTACCAGAATGTCATTAAAGTCTTTACCAGGGGAGATAAGACAAGGAAAAAACCAATAAGCCCATGCAGAAAGAAATACGGAAACCCAGACACAGATAAAGGCCTTCCAGCTTCAGAGAGCAGAGGGTGAGTACTTGTAGCCAGGAGCAAGGAAAAATGAACAGGGGATCTCAGCCAGCCTTGAAGCAGGGGCAAGATCGGCAAAAGTGGGGATTGGAAAAGAGTGTTCCAAGTGGAAAAGACCGTGTGGGTGTGGACACATACTCGAATCAGCAAGCAGAGACCCCATGAACAACATTCGGGGTTGACACTCATTGGGGAGACAACAGAATGGTCCTGCTGGTTGTTAAAATCCCCCAAACCCTCCATATCAGAAGGTATATGGCTGCTAGCTGGCCCTTCCTCTCCTGCCTCATGCATCTCTGCTACCCTCATCCTGGCCACCCTTCCTTTCCCTTCCCCCATGGAACTCTCAATTGTCTCTGCAATCCAGTCACTAACACGAGGACATGTGGACCAAGGGTCTGCCAGGACCTGGTCTAGCACTAAGTGCATTGTCAGGGCTGTGTCCACCACACCACACCAGTGATCAGAAGTCTGTGCCTTTCATCACTGGGCTCAGGCTGGCTGGCAAAGACCAGGTACAGGCACCAAATCTAAAGGTGCTTTAATGGAAGGCTGCTTCAGAAATCCAGACTTGTTTCTACAGTCCACAAGAATTACTTGCAAGGTTTTGTTAATTTATTTACTTGCCAAGGTTTCTTTAGGGAAAACGTAAACATGTACAGCAGCTCCTATATAGTATCTTTCGTTCAATGTCATTTAATTATCATCGAAACCGCCATTGCAAAATTATAACTGAGACAGTGAAAGAGACTTGACCTAACCAACTTCATCTTGCTTCTAACCTCCAAGCTGTCCTTGTTCTTTCCTGGGCATAGGGTGAACTGACTTTGGGATGAACTTAGTTTATAGTTTAAAGTTTAAAACAAAGACCATAACAGCCCTTTCCCAAAACAAACCTCCTTCTTGCCTAGGGACTAGACTGCCTTTGTAGCACTAACAAATTAGCCAGAAGATTAGAAATTATGATTTAGGAGTCATGCAGCTGGAGGCTACAAGATTCTGACCCTTCCCAAATTGCTCCTGGGGATTATATTACTATTATAAAACCTAAGATCAGTGCTTGATATATTTTGCAGATTCTGCACTTGATGGATCAGCTGGTACCATCCAAATCAATAAACTGGCTCCTCTGGTCTTGTGGTCCCCACACAGGAACTGACTCAGGGCAAAAGGACAGCTTAAACTCCCTATGATTTCATCTCCAACCCAACCAACCAGCACTTCTGACTCACTGGCCCCCCACCCACCACATTATCCTTAAAAACTCTGATCCCTGAATGCTTGGAAAGACTGATTTGAGTAATAATAAAACTCCAGTCTCCCACACAGCTAGCTCGGACTGAATTACTCTTTCTCTATTGCAGTTCCTCTGTCTTGACAAATTAGCTCTGTCTAGGCAGCAGGCAAGGTGAATTGTTGGGCGATTACAAAACATTGATGAGAAAAATCATCCAATTCCCCACCAGGGCCACTGTCTGTGTGGAGTTGGCACATTCTCCCCACGGCTGCATGGGTTTCCTCTGGAGACTCCAGTTCCCTCCCATACCCCAAAGCTGTGCATGTGAGATGAACTGCCAAGTCTACATGGTCCCCACTCATACTACATGAGTGAGTGTGGGTGTGCCTGAGTGTGCCCTGAGATGAGATGGCATCCCATCCAGGGCTGGTTCCCGCCTGGCAGCCTGTGCTGCCAGGATGGGCTCCAGCCATTCTCAACCTAGAACTAGAATAAATGGGTTGAAAAAATGAATGAATCAATAAATGAATGAATAAACATAAATTATTGTAAAATAAAAATTCATCAAGTCTACTATAATCATACAATTTCACAACAATATCCGATGCAGGCTGAGTGTGCTCAGTGAGTCCACCCTACTTGTGATTGTTTTTGAGCTGCTTAGGGGTAGGAGGTGCTCCTGATGATTTTTGCTTTGCAAACACTTATTCCTTAAATGAACCCACCACCACCACAACCACCATCACTCACCAATTCACCAAAAACTGGGTAAATAATTCTCTTACTTGTTTTCTCTTAAACTTTCTTAAATGTATGTGCAGCTCACATTTATTTCAATGTTAAATATTAGAAGTGTTTTGGGTCTTTATTTGGAAGTTTGATGATGTATTTGGAAGTTTGTAACAAGAAATATGCCTTTAGGAACTCAGCTCTTGCTTATATCAATGAGCCTGTGGTAAAATTGGTAAGGTCAGTTTCCAAGAACCAATCAACAATGTGAAGTGGGACTTAATGTGCATGGCTTAAAAAAGTAAACTGCACAAAACAGGGTTAAGTAATCTTCCAAAAATATTTGATGAATATTCATCCTGTTTGTTTAACACAAATAGAGACGTATTAATATATACATTGTTTTGCCTCTCACCTTTTTAAAAATTTACCAATGTACTTTGGAATTTGTTCCGTATCAGCAAATAGACACATACCTCATTATTATTAATAGCCGCAGGATATTCTATGCATTATATTACTCTACCGTAATTTATTTAAGCAGTGTCCTATTGATGGTTATAGAGGTTATTACCCCTTTTGCCATTACAAAACATGACAGCAAACATGTTAGCAAACTGTGTGTCAGACTTTCTGCATGCACATCTGCGTAAATCTGCAAGATAAATCCTAGTAGAAGTGGAAGACGTCAATCAAAGGGCATGCATCATTGAAAGCTCCTGAATGAGTAGGAAAGTCAAGAAAAGGGGGCTGGCAGGATCACAGACATCTGTGTTATGGTGGGAAATCTGGATAGAAGAGTCAAGAGGATTAAAGGAAGGAGATGATGGAGAAAGACCATTTAGGAGGCGCTAGCAATGTGCTGGCAAGAGAACCTGAATGAAGGCAGGGGTAATGGAGAGAATACAAGGAAAAGGATTTAGGACCAATACAGGAGAAACCACAGAGGGAAAAATTAATTGTTAGTGCCTGATGGTATGGGGACAGGAACAGAGAGCAGAGCAAGTGGGTAGGACAGTGAGGAAAGGAGAGGGGAGAACCAAAGGCTCCTACAGCGTTTCCAAGCCTGAGATGTCAGGAGGACACGGGTGCCAAAACAACACCCTCACCACGGGAGATGCTGAATTGAATGAAGGTGAGCTCCATGGTGCATGTGGTGACCTTGAAATGTTTATGGGACAACCAGGTAGATGTTTTTAACAGTGGCTGAAAATGTGTCATGGAACTCAGAAGGGACAGGAATGGGAACAGACCTTTAGGCACCACCCACAGAGGTGATGGCTGAAGCCTGGAATGGGACAAGGCCACCCAGGGAGAGAGGGGTACAGAGCGCCAAGTGCCACTTCTCTCTCAGTTCACCAACATTTAAGGAGGAAAGGGATGATCTGACGCCTGGACCCACAGTCATCTATCAACACAACCTGAAAAAACACCAAAGGAAGCAAAGGAAGTAAGACTAGAGCTGCATTCCACCGAGCTGACACTGAGCAGAATCAACACGGGAGTGAAGGAGAGCAGTAAAATCAGAGTGGATTTTTCACAGGACAGGAAGACTGTTTGGCATTCGTAAGCTGAAGAGAAGGTTTAAGTGAAGAAGGCAGAATATTGAAGAAGAGACAAAGCAGATAACTGATATATAGCAAAATCTCAGGACAACTGGTCCCAAGTGCCTCATCATCATGACTGCTGAGAGATTCTGACCATCTGAAAATTAGCCCACTGTGTAGTACTGCCATGGTCTCTTTTATTTGTGGTTTCTGGTTCCATTTCCCATTTTCTGGTAGCTTTTGCTTTCACTGGAGATGCTGAGACCCACCAATCCCCAATGGTGTTTCTGCAGTGAGAGAAGCTTCTAACAAAGAGGCTCACAGCAAAATGTCACTGACACAGGCTGTCGTCTAAATGTGCTGTTTTTGTGTAACCTTATCCATGGAGGACCCTTTTGTCTAGTTATAGCAAACCGTCTGCTAAATCAGAAATAAAGATCTAGAAAATGCCACAGAAACAAGCAACAACACAAAAGATGACATACCACTCTTTCCGAGGCCCAGCGTATTAGATACTTTTCAAACCACCGTTGACAATGAAATTAAAATATTTTTTCTGAATATGCCCCATGTCTCCCAGGAAAGGAAGATTCTAATGTTTCTTCTTTGGCTCATTCCTTTATTGTCAGGTCAGTAATAGCATTAAATTCAGCAAGCCGCTTCTTTCAGATATTAAATTATCTTCTTACTCACTTCTTTCCTGGACACAATGAGCACTTACAATTCAATTTTCCTTAAAAATAAACCCCAGTTTCCCCAGAGTATAGTTTATCTAAGACTTTGGTTCTCTTTACTGCCATTTCTATTTCCTGGTAACAAAGTCCTAATTTTTAAAGTACCAGTTCTGCAATCAGTACTTGGGAAAAGGTTAAAACTCAAGTCAATAATATGGGATATGAAATACAAAATCAGAAGATAAAATTATAAAAGGCAGAAAAGGAAGGGATGAGCCATGCTGTGCGACATCTGTGTTAAAGATGGCAGAGCACAAGGACCAGGGTCCCTCCTCACTTCATTAATTCCTAACAAACTGATGAAAAATACAGCCTTCTCCCCTCACGCCCAACCCCAGAAAAAAGAAAAATGAAGTAGATAAAACTTTACCCATCAATCCCAAAAAAGAAAAGAAATAGCTTTTGCAGGGTGCCTAGCCTGCAGAAGATGACAATATACTGAAAATTCTCACTAATACACTCCAATTTCATGAAAAGCAAGATGAGGAAATGGATAATAGCCTAGAAAACTCAAGCAAAATGGCATTGGTACAGATGAGTTTTAACCATCACTGCAGTATCTCTAGATCTCAGCAGAGGCCATCAAAACTGTTAACAGTTCTTTGGGCAGTTCTCTATGAACCGGGGAAATGCTTCAAGCCTGAGACTAGCCTCCAACCCACGGGAAAAGACACGCCCCAGGGGGACAAACCCTGGTTTAAGACCTTTAACCAAATCTCAGAAGAGAAAGCACAGCCCAGGTCTCTCAAAACAGACTACACCCACGCTCAGCCAAGCTCCATCCCCATAGCCCTTTACCTACCATGCACCTTCAGATCATAGAAAACTTACACATAATACTCAATGTCCTCAAACTGCAGCTCAGAGAGGAAGGCAAACAGGTCTCATTTAAGACAGAAAAGATAACATGAAGAAATCTGCTTTACTTTGTTAAAACAAAGAATAGTTGTAGATAAAGCTGTCCATGTTTAGCTGTCCATGTTTATGACAAAGAGCAAGCATGTGTGTAAACATACTACAAACAGCAAAAAGAAAGTTTCAAAGCATTCTTGAGAACATGGATGAAGATGCAGTTGGAAATAATACATAGCTACAAAAACAAAAGGAAATTGCCCATGAATACAAAATTTCAGTAGTAATCAAAATTGAGATAAGGGTAGTCAAATAAACAATGGCACACAAAATAAAATGCAGAAACAGGCCCACACATATATGGTCAATTGATTTTCAACAAAGATGCCAAGGTATTTCAAGAGCCAAAAGAAAATCTTTTTAAAAAGTGGTGGTGGAATAACTGAATAGTCGACTGTAAGAAAAAATGGACTCTGATTCCCACCTCACACCATATACAAATACTAACTAGAAATTGATTGTGAGCATGAACATAAAAGCTAAAACTATAAAACTTCTAGAAGGAAACATAAGAAAATATCTTTGCGAACTGAGCATAGAAAAAGATTTCTTAAAATAGCATAGAAAGCAATACCATTCAGAGAAATTAACCTTTTAACTTCTGCTCAGAAAGACATGGTTAAGGAAATAAAAAGTCAAGCAACAGATGGAAGGAGAAAATATGTGCAATACATATATCTGGCAGAGGAGCCACTAAAAATTTATATACAAAGACATAGTCAAAAGCACAATAATTAAATTAAAATGGAACGCTAAAACACGTTCAAATAATTCAAAAAGATCAGGAAAAGACAAAGAAACAAAAAATAGATAATTAAATGGTATATCTAAAGAAAAGCACATCAATAATTATATTAAATATGAATGCTCTAAATGCACCAATTAAAAAACAGAGGCTATAAGGATTGCATTTTTCAAACAAGCCAATTATGTGCTATCTACAGACTACTCACCTCAAATATAATTATATAAATAGGTTAAAAGCCAAATGTAAAAAGATATACCATGTCAACAAGAATCAAAAACAAGCTAGAGCAGATATATTAATATCAGACAAAGTAGATTTCAGAGCAAAAACAACTATCAAGGATACAGAGAGACATTACATAACGGTGAAGGGTCGATTCATCAAGAAAACACAACATACTAAATGTATATTTACCTAACAGCAGAGCTTCAAAACACATGAAAAAAGAACTGAAAAAGGAAAAAGATTGGTTATTAAGACCAATCCACGATTTTTTTTTTTTCTGAAATGGAGTCTTGCTCTGTCGCCCAGGCTGGAGTGCAGTGGTGTGATCTCAGTTCACTGTAACCAACCTCCACCTCCCGGGTTCAAGCAATTCTCCTGCCTCAGCCTCCTGAGAAGCTGGGATTACAGGCATGCACCATCATGCCCAGCAAATTTTTGTATTTTTTAGTAAAGATGGGATTTCATCATGTCGGCCAGGTTGGTCTCGAACTCCTAACCTCAGGTGATCCACCCGCCTTGACCTCCCACAGTCCTGGCATTACAGGCACGAGCCACCGCGAACGGCCACCAATCCATAATTACAGTTGGAGACTTCAATACTACTTTCTTAGTAACAGATAGAACTAGTAAGAAAATCAGCGAAGATGTAGAAGAATGGAACAACACCAGTATCCAACTGGAACTAATTGAAATTTACACAATACCATACACCATAACAGTAGAATACACATGTGTTTCAAGTGCACATGGAACATTCACTAGGATAAACCATAGCCTGGTTTACAAAACATGAAGTATATCCTCTGACTATAATGGGATTAAATTAGCAATCAACAATGGAAAGATGACAAGAAAATCTTTAAACATTTAGAAACCAAACAACACAAGTATAAATAATCCCAGACTCAAAGAGGATACTTCAAAAAAGAATTTGAAAATATTACAAATGCAACAAAAATGAAAATAGAGCATATTAAAATTTGTGGGATACAGACAAAGCAGTGCTTCAAAGGACGTTAGATCATTAAATGCTTATCTTTTTAAAGAAGGTAGGTATCAAAGCAATAATCTTAGTTTCTACCCTACAAAAAAAGAGATGAACAAAGAATAAGCATGGCAAGCAGAAGCAGAGAAATAATAAAGAGATCAGAAACCAATGAAATTGAAAACATTACAAAGGCAAAATAAATGAAACAAAAAGCTGATTATTTGAAAAAGAAATACGTAAACCTCTAGCAATGCTGACACAAAAAGAGAGAAGACACAAATTACCAATATCAGAACTGAAAGAGGAGACATCACTAGACCCCACAGACATTAAAAGAATAATAAGTAATATAACAACAACTTTATGTACCTGAATCTTTCAATTTAGATGAAATTGATCAATTCCTCCCTAAACTACCAAACTTTACTCAAAATGAAAGAGATAAATGGAATAGTACTCTAACTGTTATAGAAATATAATCCATAATTTACAATCCTTCTCTGAAGAGCAAATCTCCAGGCCCAGGTAGTTTCACTAGCAAATCCTACCAAGCATTTAAAGAAGAAATAACTCCAATTCCACACCAAGTCTTCTGGAAAATATAAGAAGAGGTAATAATTCTTACATTATTTTATGAGGTGAACATTATCCTGATACCAAAACCAAAGAAAGTATAAAAAGAGAAAACTACAGATCAATATTCTTCATGAATATGATGCAAAAATCCTCAACAAAATACTAATAAAAAGAATTCAGCAAAATATATTGATCACATCAATTGACAATTGTCAAAATTCAGTATTCATTCATGTTAAAAAAAAAACAACTCTTAGGAAACTACAAATAGAAGACTTCTGGGAGCTGATAAGAATGTTCACTCTCACCATTCCTATTCAACATGACACTAAAAGCCAGTATAGTAATGTAAGAAGAAATAAAAGGCATACAGATAGGAAAGGAAGAAATAAAACTGTCCTTATTTGCAGATGATATGATTTTCTAAACAGAAAATCTCAAGGAATCTTCAAAAAAGTAAAAAAGGAAACTCCTAGGACTAATAAGTAAAACTATCAAGTATGCAGGGTATAAGATAAACACACTAAAACCAGCCATATTTTTATACATTGACAATGTATAATTGGCAATAAGTTTTATAAAGCATTTACAATAGTTCCAAAACATTAAATGCAGGTAAATCTAATAAAATGTGTGCAGTAACAGTATGCTGAAAACTTCAAAACACTGATGAAAGAAGTTAAAGAAGTTCTAAATAAATGGAGAGACATACTGCATTCAAGAATTGAAAGACTAAACACAGTAAAGATGTACATGTCTGTAAACTTATCTATAGATTTAAGAAAAGGCCATTGAATTCCAGAGAGATTTTTTTTCTAGATATAGAGGAGTTGATTCTAAAATTCTTAGGGAAAGCCAACGGAACTAGAACAACTAAAACGATGTTTTTGAAAAAGAAAAATATTAAAGGAATACACTACCCAATTTGAAGACTTACTAGAAAGCTACGGTAATTAAGACCATGGGGTATTAGCAAAAGAAAAACAAGTAGCTCAGAACAGAGTCCAAAAACACCCGCAGAAATATGGCCATATGATTCCTTTCACAGATACTAATGCGATTCAATTTAAAAAGGTGGCCCCTTCAACAAATGATGTTAGAACAACCAAACATTCATATGCAAAAAATAAGTTGCAATCTATACACATCATAATTAGTTGCAACCTATACCTCATACATCAAAAATTAATTCAAAATAGATAATAAATCTAAGTGTAAAACATAAAACTATCAAAATTTTAGAAAAAACATAGGAGAAATCCGTTGGGATCTGAAGTTAGGCAAAGAGTTTTTAGACACGACACCAAAAGCATGCTCCATAAAAGAAAAAATTGATCAACTGACTTCACCAAAATGAAAAATATTTTTCTGCAAAAGATGCTATAAAGAGAATGAAAAAAACAAGCTACCACTGGGAGATAATATTTTCAAATCACATATCCACCAAAGGTCATGGATTCAGACTATATTAAAAACTGTCAAAACTCAACTGTAAGTAAACAACACAATTTTGAAAAACGGTTAAAAGCCTTGAAAAGCCACATTACTAAAAAAGATATACAAATGGCAAACAAGCACATGAAAAGGTATTTGACATCATTACCCATTAGGGAAATGCAAACTAAAACCATGAGATACTACTGCATACCTGTTAGAATAGCATAAGTTAAAAATGCTGCTTATACCAAATGCTTACAAGAATATAGAGGAACCAGAACTCTTATACATCGCTGGTAGGAATACAAAATGGTATAACCAGTCTTGAAAAACAGTTTGACAATTTCTTATAAATTTAAACATACACTTGCCATATGACCCAGCAATCCTACACCTAAGTATTTACCCTTGAACAGGGTTCAACCTATGTCCTCAGGCCAAATCCAGCAGCAGCTCTACTGTGCCCAGGTCCTTTTCATTGATGTATTGTTTATGGCTGCATTTGTGCTATAAGAGTGGAGTGGAATAGCTGCAACAGAGACCACATGGTCAGCAAGGCCAAAGATACTTACTATCTGGCCCTTTACAGAAAAAGTTTGCCAACATCTGGTCCAAAAAAGAGAAAACTTATGTTAACACAAGAACCTGTATGCAAGTATTTATGGCATCTCTAGTCATAACTGCCAAAAACTGGAACCAACTGAAACGTCCCTCAATAAAAGAACAAATAAACAAACTGTGGTATATCCATATAATGGAATGCTATGCAAAAATAAACAGGAACAAACTATTGATATACACAATTTGGATGAATCTCAAAGGCATTAAGCTGAGTTAAAGAAGACAATCTCAAAAGGTTATATACTATACAATTTCATTATATGACATCCCCAAAAAGACAAAACTATAGTGGCAAGAACAGATCAGTGGTTGCCAGGCTTTAGGTGTTGGGGGTATATATAAAGTGACTTTTGGGGGATAATGAAATTGTGCTGTATTCTGATTATGGTGGTAGTTAACATGATCTTACAATTGTTAAAAGTCATGGTACTGTATACACTAAAAAACAAAGTTGATTTTACTCTATGCTAAGTTAGAAAGTAAAATTTTTTTAAAGATAAACTTTACTCTTAATATTATGATTTCCTTGTAGAAGACATTTATTCACTTACAGTATCTGAGGATTAACATGCAAACATAGTCTCAATGTGTAACTTGCGGAATGGCTTTTTTTTTTTTTTAGACAGTCTCACTCTGTCACCCAGGCTAGAGTGCAATGGTACGATCTCAGCTTACTGCAACCTCCACCTCCCAGGTTCAAAGGATTTTTCCGCCTCAGCCTCCCAAGTAGCTGGGATTACAGGTGCCCGCCACCACATCTGGCGAATTTTTCTATTTTTAGTAGAGACAGCGTTTCACCATGTTGGCCAGGCTGGTCTCAAACTCCTGACTTCAGGTGATCCACCCGCCTCAGCCTCCCAAAGTGCTGGGATTACAGGCATGAGCCACTGTATGTGGCCTAGATGGCTTTTTTAGTTGTTGGTTTGCTTCTTTTCAGCTTCAACCCTCATTCTATGCTTTTATTTATTTATTTATTTATTTAGAGGCATAATTTCACTCTGTCACTCAGACTGCAGTGGCACAATCTTGGCTCACTGCAACCTCCACCTCCCAGGTTCAGGTGATTCTTGTGCCTCAGCCTCCCACGTAGCTGGGATTACAGGTGTGCATCACCATGCCCAGCTAATTTTTGTATTATTAATAGAGATGGGGTTTCATAATGTTGGCCAGGTTGATCTCGAACTCCTGACCTCAAGTGATCCACCTGCCTCAGCCTCCCAAAGTGCTAGGATTATAGGCATGAGCCACCATGTCTGGGCCATTCCATGTTTTTAAACTAAATACAAATCCTGGGACAACAAGGGGGTCAGGGATGTGAACCCACTGTGGTTGGATTCATGATGAAGGCATACAAGAAACAATTCCAGGAGACCACAGGATAAGTCATATTCATAAACTATTCATCCTCACACTCTGAATCCACCTGGAGTTGTGTAATTGATAAGAGGCAAGTCAGCCAAAGTTCATTCCCAATATGGGTCCCTTCTTCCAGTTTCTCAGAATACACTGTCAACACTGACAAAGGGCACCATATGCCAAGGTCCTAGCTTGAGAAGTAACAAGAAGACAGGCTCGGGAAATCCAGACCTGCCAATCATCAGCTGTGTGCCTTAGCCAAGTCATTCAATCTCTGCATGCCTCAGTTTCCTCATTTATAAAAGGAAGAGTCCCAATATCCTCTACATTGCTTCCAGCTCAAATTAAGTTTATATGATTATTATCTTCCAGTTCATTAGTCAAAATGTCTAGGAACTACATTTAGTAAACATTAAAAAGAAAACTGACACAGAGGGAACATTTATGGCAAAAAGGAAAGCAATCACAAAAGAAATAGTCTCAGCCTTTTTATAAAATTTAAAGAGGAAGACTCTTAGTTTCCCCCAGCATCCCTCACCTCTCAAAAGCGCCTGGAAGCAAATGGCCTTGGAATGTGCTACCAACCTCCGAAATCACTGACAGAGGATCTTCTTCAACAATTCCTGAGCACTCATGGACAGTGGGGTTTGCATCTGGACCCTCAATCTGTCGCACTGTACATTAAGTAATAAGGCTCAATATAAATTGTGGAGGTTATAGACTAGGTCAAAACTGATAGAGGGATTTACATTCCCTACACACCACAGATACTAAGAAAACAGCTGACAGATCAAAACCACATCACCCACCACCAGTTTTGAGCATTTGGAAAACCTACCGAAGCAGGAAACTTTCCCTGACTCCTTCACAGGTGGAAACTGGAGTGCACGGGTGCTAGAGCTAGCTGGCTGCTTCATTGCCAGCAGGGGCGGACTCCACTCATTCAGTCCCACTGTGTTCCACCCCTCACAGAGCGGGGAGCACAGGTGAGTAGGTGCAGGAGCCAGGGCAAGCGCTTTTGGATGCTGGCAGGAGCAAAACTCTGTGTGGCCCCGTGGCAGCATCTAGGAGGGTGCCCACGACCCCTGAAGCCCCAGAAAGTGTGTTACAGTCAGTGCTCTTTCAGTGCTGTCCACAGATGGCTTAAGTGTTAACAGCTCAGTGGAGGGTCAGCGTGACAGCCTTTTGCACCTGCAACTGAATTCTTGTCCAGCGTCCAGGAGGAATGAGGTCACACAAACAAATCAGAGATGGTAAATGTGGGGGATTTTATTGGCGATGAAAGTGGCTCTCAGCAGGAAGGAGAGCTGAAAAAGGGATGGAGCAGGAAGATAATCTTCCCCCAGAGTCTGGCCATCCCCAGTTGGACTCCTCTCTGAAGCAATACCATCAAGCTATCCCTCTGAAGTCAAGCTGCTTCTCTTCAATGTCCAACCATAGTCTCTGGCATCTCACTGCTTCTCCTCTTCTCTTCTCTTCTCTTCTCTTCTCTTCTCTTCTCTTCTCTGCTGTGTGGAACCTGGGGTTTCTATGGGCACAGGATGGGGCTGTGGGGCAGGCCATGGGTGGTTTTGGAAAAGGGAACATTCGAGCGGGAAAACAGGAATGCATGCTCTCACAGTGGGCCACAGTTCCAGGCTTGAGGGTGGGGTGGTTGCTGGGGACCCACCCTCTTCTGCCCAGAATTTCCCTACCTCCTGTCCCTATCACTACCTGATGAGTAGGAAAGATACATATTAAGGATATGGAAAAAGAACCATCATCCAGCTGGCAACAACGAAAGATTGTTGTATTTACTTTTCTATTTGAATTGTATACACAAAGATGTGAAAGGAAGCGATAACTCCACACAGACTGATAACTCATCAATCTGTGTAAGTGTTGTTGCTTCTAATTATAATAGGCTTTCTGAAATGGGTAGTATGATTCATGGTGCTAAGAACTTGCTTCCTGCCAACAGTATTAAACTGTAATATTTCTTATATCCATTTAGCCCTTGCTAATATGGGATGTAAATGATTCGCTTCAACCAGAAGTAAATACTTCCCCAGGGTATTACCACAGCTGATGGCTCACGGCTAAAAACTTCCCTGGTGCTGAAGAATCATTTTGACTACTAAGAAATCGTTATATATCCATGTATTTGTAGTGGGGGAAAATAAAATTGAAGAAAGAACTGAATGTCAGAACACTGGAGACATAATTCTCAGACCTGCGACATATCAAAAAGTTTAACACATTTGAGTCCATCAAAGTAAATAAGTGTGTGCGACAAAATAATAGGCAAAGAGGCTGAAGAAAATATTCACATGAAATACAACAAAGTATACGTATAATATATAAAATTATCAAACTCACTAAAAAATCAAGGCATCAAGAGATAAATGAGCAAAACAGACTCACACAGTTTACACAAAACAAAAACAAACACTTGAAATGTTCAATGTCAACTAATGATCAAACACAACTTGAGGAATCATCATGCTCCCCTCCATCCCTCCCATGTCCTAGTGCCTATGACTGATATCAGTGACCAATACACCCTCAAAGCGCTAATGCATTGGAAATGTTTATAATCCCTTTTGCAAACAATAGTGCAATGTAGCCCATTGAAGCACTCTCTATAGTAGAGAAAAAGAGACATTTAAGAGCATAACAATCTGGTAATGTTTAGGTGCATTCTTGGTTGAAAGATATCAATCTTAAATAATAAGACAGAGACATAGATAAATGCTTACACTGATTTTAAACTTGTAAGTACAGTGAAATTACATTAAAATATGGATGCATATTTTAATAACCGAAACTTTGAAACCATTTAAGTGTCAATCAGTGTTGGAATCGGTAAAATAACATAAGGTATCTCTATAGAACATTATGCAGCCTATATAGGCTGAGCATGGTGACTCATGCCTGTATTCCAGAATTTTGGGAGGCTGAAGCGGGTGTACTGCTTGATCTCAGGAATTTGAGACCAACCTGGGCAATGTAGTGAACACTTGCCTCTACAAAAAATTAGCCAGGCATGGTAGCACAGGCCTGTAGTCCCAGCTACTTGGGTGGCTGAAGTGGGGGTTCTCTTGAGGCCAAGAGACTGAGGTTGCAGTGAGCCATGATCACACCACTGCACTCCAGCCTGGGCAACAGAGTGAGACCCTGTCTTAAAAAAAAAAAAAAAAAAAAAGAATGATGTAGGTCTGCATATTATGGCATGCAAAAATGTCCATGATATACAATTGAGTGAAAAAATGGAAGGTATAGGGCAATACGCACAGTACAACCACATTTTTGTGTTTAAAAAAACTGTACTATATTATATATGCTTTAGTATGTATATGTATGTGTATAAAAACATCTGGAAGTACATATTTCAACTCATTAACACATAAAAAGGAGCTCGGAACCTTTAATTTTTAACTTCTTACCCTTCTCTATCATATATATTTTTAACATAAATAACTTTTTACTTAAAAAAATCAATTGTATCTTCAATTAAATAAGCAAAAAATTTAAATAATAAGGTTGAAGCAGCAAGATTATAGGTGATGATATAAATCAAACTTGAAAGATTTATTTTTAAATAAACATTTGTATAGAATCATATCATCAATGAAGACAGAGAATCTGACTTCTTCTTCTCCTATTTGGATGCCTTCTATTTCTTTTTTTTGTTTGTTTGTTTGTTTGTTTGTTTTGTTTTTTGTTTTTTTATTATACTTTAAGTTTTAGGGTACATGTGCACATTGTGCAGGTTAGTTACATATGTATGTATACATGTGCCATGCTGGTGCGCTGCACCCACTAACTCGTCATCTAGCATTAGGTATATCTCCCAATGCTATCCCTCACCCCTCCCCCCACCCCACCACAGTCCCCAGAGTGTGATATTCCCCTTCCTGTGTCCATGTGATCTCATTGTTCAATTCCCACCTATGAGTGAGAATATGCGGTGTTTGGTTTTTTGTTCTTGTGATAGTTTACTGAGAATGATGATTTCCAATTTCATCCATGTCCCTACAAAGGACACGAACTCATCATTTTTTATGGCTGCATTGTATTCCATGGTGTATATGTGCCACATTTTCTTAATCCAGTCTATCATTGTTGGACATTTGGGTTGGTTCCAAGTCTTTGCTATTGTGAATAATGCCGCAATAAACATACGTGTGCATGTGTCTTTATAGCAGCATGATTTATAGTCCTTTGGGTATATACCCAGTAATGGGATGGCTGGGTCAAATGGTATTTCTAGTTCTAGATCCTTGAGGAATCGCCACACTGACTTCCACAATGGTTGAACTAGTTTACAGTCCCACCAACAGTGTAAAAGTGTTCCTATTTCTCCACATCCTCTCCAGCACCTGTTGTTTCCTGACTTTTTAATGATTGCCATTCTAACTGGTGTGAGATGGTATCTCATTGTGGTTTTGATTTGCATTTCTCTGATGGCCAGTGATGATGAGCATTTTTTCATGTGTTTCTTGGCTGCATAAATGTCTTCCTTTAAGAAGTGTCTGTTCATGTCCTTCGCCCACTTTTTGATGGGGTTGTTTGTTTTTTTCTTGTAAATTTGTTTGAGTTCATTGTAGATTCTGGATATTAGCCCTTTGTCAGATGAGTAGGTTGCGAAAATTTTCTCCCATTTTGTAGGTTGCCTGTTCACTCTGATGGTAGTTTCTTTTGCTGTGCAGAAGCTCTTTAGTTTAATTAGATCCCATTTGTCAGTTTTGGCTTTTGTTGCCATTGCTTTTGGTGTTTTGGACATGAAGTCCTTGCCCATGCCTATGTCCTGAATGGTAATGCCTAGGTTTTCTTCTAGGGTTTTTATGGTTTTAGGTCTAACGTTTAAATCTTTAATCCATCTTGAATTGATTTTTGTATAAGGTGTAAGGAAGGGATCCAGTTTCAGCTTTCTACATATGGCTAGCCAGTTTTCCCAGCACCATTTATTAAATAGGGAATCCTTTCCCCATTGCTTGTTTTCCTCAGGTTTGTCAAAGATCAGATAGTTGTAGATATGCGGCATTATTTCTGAGGGCTCTGTTCTGTTCCATTGATCTATATCTCTGTTTTGGTACCAGTACCATGCTGTTTTGGTTACTGTAGCCTTGTAGTATAGTTTGAAGTCAGGTAGTGTGATGCCTCCAGCTTTGTTCTTTTGGCTTAGGATTGACTTGGTGATGCGGGCTCTTTTTTGGTTCCATATGAACTTTAGAGTAGTTTTTTCCAATTCTGTGAGGAAAGTCATTGGTAGCTTTATGGGAATGGCATTGAATCTGTAAATTACCTTGGGCAGTATGGCCATTTTCACGATATTGATTCTTCCTACCCATGAGCATGCAATGTTCTTCCATTTGTTTGTATCCTCTTTTATTTCCTTGAGCAGTGATTTGTAGTTCTCCTTGAAGAGGTCCTTCACATCCCTTGTAAGTTGGATTCCTAGGTATTTTATTCTCTTTGAAGCAATTGTGAATGGGAGTTCACTCATGATTTGGCTCTCTGTTTGTCTGTTGTTGGTGTATAAGAATGCTTGTGATTTTTGTACATTGATTTTGTATCCTGAGACTTTGCTGAAGTTGCTTATCAGCTTAAGGAGATTTTGGGCTGAGACAATGGGGTTTTCTAGATATACAATCATGTCATCTGCAAACAGGGACAATTTGACTTCCTCTTTTCCTAATTGAATACCCTTTATTTCCTTCTCCTGCCTCATTGCCCTGGCCAGAACTTCCAACACTATGTTGAATAGGAGTGGTGAGAGAGGGCATCCCTGTCTTGTGCCAGTTTTCAAAGGGAACGCTTCCAGTTTTTGCCCATTCAGTATGATATTGGCTGTGGGTTTGTCATAGATAGCTCTTATTATTTTGAAATACGTCCCATCAATACCTAATTTATTGAGAGTTTTTAGCATGAAGGGCTGTTGAATTTTGTCAAAGGCTTTTTCTGCATCTATTGAGATAATCATGTGGTTTTTGTCTTTGGCTCTGTTTATATGCTGGATTACATTTATTGATTTGCGTATATTGAACCAGCCTTGCATCCCAGGGATGAAGCCCACTTGATCATGGTGGATAAGCTTTTTGATGTGCTGCTGGATTCGTTTTGCCAGTATTTTATTGAGGATTTTTGCATCAATGTTCATCAAGGATATTGGTCTAAAACTCTCTTTTTTGGTTGTGTCTCTGCCCGGTTTTGGTATCAGAATGATGCTGGCCTCATAAAATGAGTTAGGGAGGATTCCCTCTTTTTCTATTGATTGGAATAGTTTCAGAAGGAATGGTACCAGTTCCTCCTTGTACCTCTGGTAGAATTCAGCTGTGAATCCATCTGGTCCTGGACTCTTTTTGGTTGGTAAACTATCGATTATTGCCACAATTTCAGCTCCTGTTATTGGTCTATTCAGAGATTCAACTTCTTCCTGGTTTAGTCTTGGGAGAGTGTATGTGTCGAGGAATTTATCCATTTCTTCTAGATTTTCTAGTTTATTTGCGTAGAGGTGTTTGTAGTATTCTCTGATGGTAGTTTGTATTTCTGTGGGATCGGTGGTGATATCCCCTTTATCATTTTTTATTGTGTCTATTTGATTCTTCTCTCTTTTTTTCTTTATTAGTCTTGCTAGTGGTCTATCAATTTTGTTGATCCTTTCAAAAAACCAGCTCCTGGATTCATTGATTTTTTGAAGGGTTTTTTGTGTCTCTATTTCCTTCAGTTCTGCTCTGATTTTAGTTATTTCTTGCCTTCTGCTAGCTTTTGAATGTGTTTGCTCTTGCTTTTCTAGTTCTTTTAATTGTGATGTTAGGGTGTCAATTTTGGATCTTTCCTGCTTTCTCTTGTGGGCATTTAGTGCTATAAATTTCCCTCTACACACTGCTTTGAATGCGTCCCAGAGATTCTGTTAAGTTGTGTCTTTGTTCTCGTTGGTTTCAAAGAACATCTTTATTTCTGCCTTCATTTCGTTACGTACCCAGTAGTCATTCAGGAGCAGGTTGTTCAGTTTCCATGTAGTTGAGCAGCTTTGAGTGAGATTCTTAATCCTGAGTTCTAGTTTGATTGCACTGTGGTCTGAGAGAGAGTTTGTTATAATTTCTGTTCTTTTACATTTGCTGAGGAGAGCTTTACTTCCAACTATGTGGTCAATTTTGGAATAGGTGTGGTGTGGTGCTGAAAAAAATGTATATTCTGTTGATTTGGGGTGGAGAGTTCTGTAGTTGTCTATTAGGCCCACTTGGTGCAGAGCTGAGTTCAATTCCTGGGTATCCTTGTTGACTTTCTGTCTCGTTGATCTGTCTAATGTTGACAGTGGGGTGTTAAAGTCTCCCATTATTAATGTGTGGGAGTCTAAGTCTCTTTGTAGGTCACTCAGGACTTGCTTTATAAATCTGGCTGCTCCTGTATTGGGTGCATATATATTTAGGATAGTTAGCTCTTCTTGTTGAATTGATCCCTTTACCATTATGTAATGGCCTTCTTTGTCTCTTTTGATCTTTGTTGGTTTAAAGTCTGTTTTATCAGAGACTAGGATTGCAACCCCTGCCTTTTTTTGTTTTCCATTTGCTTGGTAGATCTTCCTCCATCCTTTTATTTTGAGCCTATGTGTGTCTCTGCACGTGAGATGGGTTTCCTGAATACAGCACACTGATGGGTCTTGACTCTTTATCCAATTTGCCAGTCTGTGTCTTTTAATTGGAGAATTTAGTCCATTTACATTTAAAGTTAATATTGTTATGTGTGAATTTGATCCTGTCATTATGATGTTAGCTGGTGATTTTGCTCGTTAGTTGATGCAGTTTCTTCCTAGTCTCGATGGTCTTTACATTTTTGCATGATTTTGCAGCGGCTGGTACCGGTTGTTCCTTTCCATGTTTAGCGCTTCCTTCAGGAGCTCTTTTAGGGCAGGCCTAGTGGTGACAAAATCTCTCAGCATTTGCTTGTCTGTGAAGTATTTTATTTCTCCTTCACTTATGAAGCTTAGTTTGGCTGGATATGAAATTCTGGGTTGAAAATTCTTTTCTTTAAGAATGTTGAATATTGGCCCCCACTCTCTTCTGGCTTGTAGGGTTTCTGCCGAGAGATCCGCTGTTAGTCTGATGGGCTTCCCTTTGAGGGTAACCCGACCTTTCTCTCTGGCTGCCCTTAACATTTTTTCCTTCATTTCAACTTTGGTGAATCTGACAATTATGTGTCTTGGAGTTGCTCTTCTCGAGGAGTATCTTTGTGGCGTTCTCTGTATTTCCTGAATCTGAACGTTGGCCTGCCTTGCTAGATTGGTGAAGTTCTCCTGGATAATATCCTGCAGAGTGTTTTCCAACTTGGTTCCATTCTCACCATCACTTTCAGGTACACCAATCAGACGTAGATTTGGTCTTTTCACATAGTCCCATATTTCTTGGAGGCTTTGCTCATTTCTGTTTATTCTTTTTTCTCTAACCTTCCCTTCTCACTTCATTTCATTCATTTCATCTTCCATTGCTGATACCCTTTCTTCCAGTTGATCGCATCAGCTCCTGAGGCTTCTGCATTCTTCACGTAGTTCTCGAGCCTTGGTTTTCAGCTCCATCAGCTCCTTTAAGCACTTCTCTGTATTGGTTATTCTAGTTATACATTCTTCTAAATTTTTTTCAAAGTTTTCAACTTCTTTGCCTTTGGTTTGAATGTCCTCCCGTAGCTCAGAGTAATTTGATCGTCTGAAGCCTTCTTCTCTCAGCTTGTCAAAGTCATTCTCCATCCAGCTTTGTTCCGTTGCTGGTGAGGAACTGCATTCCTTTGGAGGAGGAGAGGCGCTCTGCATTTTAGAGTTTCCAGTTTTTCTGTTCTGTTTTTTCCCCATCTTTGTGGTTTTATCTACTTTTGGTCTTTGATGATGGTGATGTACAGATGGGTTTTCGGTGCGGATGTCCTTTCTGTTTGTTAGTTTTCCTTCTAACAGACAGGACCCTCAGCTGCAGGTCTGTTGGAATACCCTGCCGTGTGAGGTGTCAGTCTGCCCCTGCTGGGGGGTGCCTCCCAGTTAGGCTGCTCGGGGGTCAGGGGTCAGGGACCCACTTGAGGAGGCAGTCTGCCCGTTCTCAGATCTCCAGCTGTGTGCTGGGAGAACCACTGCTCTCTTCAAAGCTGTCAGACAGGGACACTTAAGTCTGCAGAGGTTACTGCTGTCTTTTCCTTTGTCTGTGCCCTGCCCCCAGAGGTGGAGCCTACAGAGGCAGGCAGGCCTCCTTGAGCTGTGGTGGGCTCCACCCAGTTCGAGCTTCCTGGCTGCTTTGTTTACCTAAGCAAGCCTGGGCAATGACGGGCGCCCCTCCCCCAGCCTCGCTGCCGCCTTGCAGTTTGATCTCAGACTGCTGTACTAGAAATCAGCGAGACTCCGTGGGCGTAGGACCCTCCGAGCCAGGTGTGGGATATAATCTCATGGTTCGCCGCTTTTTAAGCCGGTCTGAAAAGCGCAATATTCGGGTGGGAGTGACCCGATTTTCCAGGTGCGTCCGTCACCCCTTTCTTTGACTCGGAAAGGGAACTCCCTGACCCCTCGCGCTTCCCAGGTGAGGCAATGCCTTGCCCTGCTTCGGCTCGCGCACGGTGCACGCACCCACTGGCCTGCGCCCACTGTCTGGCACTCCCTAGTGAGAGAAACCCGGTACCTCAGATGGAAATGCAGAAATCACCCGTCTTCTGCGTCGCTCACGCTGGGAGCTGTAGACCGGAGCTGTTCCTATTCGGCCATCTTGGCTCCTCCCCCCGCCTTCTATTTCTTTCTCTTGACTGACTGCTCTGGCAAGGTCATCGAATGCTATGTTGAATAGGAGTGGTGAGACTAGACATCCTTGTCTTGTTCCAGTTCTCAAGGGGAATGGTTGTAGCCTTTGCCCACTCAGTATGACTTTGGCTGTGGGTATGTCATAGATGGCTCTTATTATTTTGAGATATATCCCTTCAGTGCCTTGTTTGTTGAGGGTTTTTATCATGAAGGGATGTTGAATTTTATAAAACGCTTTTACTTTGTCTACTGAGATGATCGTATGGTTTTTGTTTTTAATTCTGCTTATGTGGTAAATCATATTTATTGATTTGCATGTTTTGAACCAGCCCTGTATCCCAGGAATGAAGCCTACTTGATCATGGTGAATTAACTTCTTGATGTGCTGCTGGATTCAATTTCCTAGTATTTTGTTGAGGATTTTTGCATCTATGTTAATAAGGGATATTGGCCTGTAAGAACTTTTTTTGTTGTGTCTTTGCCAGATTTTATATCAGTGATGCTGGTTTCACAGAATGAGTTAGGGAGAAGTCCTTCCTCCTCAATTTTTCGGAATACTTTTAGTTAGTAGGATTGGTACAAGCTCTTCTTTGTACATCTGGTAGAATTCAGCTGTGAATCCATCTGGTCCAGAGCTCTTTTTGGTTGGTAGGTTTTTTATTACTGATTCAATTTCAGAACTCAATATTGGTCTGTTCAGGATTTCAATTTTTTCCTGACTCAGTCTTGGCAAGTTGTGTATATACCATGAAGTACCACACAGCCATAGAAAAGAAGAAAATCACCTCCTTTACAGCAACATGCATAAAGCTAGAGACCATTATTCTAAATAAAGTAACCCAGGAACAGAAAACCAAACACCACATGTTCTCACTTATAAGTGGGAGCTAAACATTGAGTACTTATGAACATAAAGATGGGAACAACAGGCTGGGCATGGTGGCGCATGCCTGTAATCCCAACACTTTGGGAGGCAGAGGCAGATGGATCACCTGAGGTCAGGAATTCATGACCAGCCTGACTAACATGGTGAAACCCCATCTCTACTAAATACAAAAAAATTAGTTGGGCGTGGTGGCGCATGCCTGTAATCCGAGCTACTTAGGAGGCTGAGACAGGAGAATCGCCTATATCTGGGAGGCGGAGGTTGCAGTGAGCCAAGATCGCGCCATTGCACTCCAGCCTAGGCAACAAGAGTGAAACTCCATCTCAAAAATAAAAAATAAAAAAGATGGGAACAACAGACACTGGAGGCCACTAGAGGGCGTGGGCGGGAGGAAGGTGAGGGCTGAAAAACTACCTACTGGGTACTATGCTCATTACCTGGGTGATGGGATCACTTGTATACTAAACCTCAGCAACATGCAACTTACCCATGTAACAAACTGATACACATACCCCCTGAACTTAAAAGTTGAAAAAAAAGACAAATAAATAAACATTTGCTTTAGAAACAAATAGCCATAACAGGAAGAAATGAGTATCGACTATTTTATTGTTACTTTTATTGATTGTCAGGCTGGTCAGAGTGATCCACTTGCGGATTCCTATAGACTTCAGAAACCTCCTACTATGCATAGGCAAAAGCCTATGAGAACATGAAGCAACATCCCGAAAGGCAGCAGAACTTGCAGAAAGAATGCAGCTAGGAAAAATTTAGTAACATTCACTGTTCCGATTTAACAGCTCAAAGGTCACAAAAACCTAGCTCTGAATTCAGGATTCTACTTGTTTTAGAGAACAAAAGCGACATGAAAGGCCTTTGTGAGGTTTTGTTTAAATGACAAACTCTCCCACCAGCACTACGTAGAAAGGCGGTCAATGTATAATATGAAAAATTAAATATTTTTCATGAGTTTTTGGAGGACAGATCCTGGTGTTGTTCTGAGTATTGGTATGAGCAAAGCAGAGCCTATGCCCCAGTTGTCACACTCATGGAGAAAAAGCGGAATGCATATTCCAAAACAATAGGTAACATAAACATCACTTATTTTTCTCTGAAATATATATATATATATTTTTTGAGACCGAGTCTCACTCTGTCGCCCAGGCTGGAGTGCATTGGTACAATCTTGGCTCACTGCAACCTCTGCCTCCCGGGTTCAAGCCATTCTTCTGCCTCAGCCTCCTAAGTAGCTGGGACTACAGGCGCCCGCCACAATGCCTGGCTAATTTTGTATATTTTTAGTAGACATGGGATTTCACCGTGTTAGCCAGGATGGTCTTGATCACCTGACCTCGTGATCCGCCCTCCTCAGCCTCTCAAAGTGCTGGAATTACAGGCATAAGCCACAGCACCCAGCCTGAAACATAATTTTTTATGAAGCATCTGCTTTGCAAAAGAACTCAAATACAGTCATGTGTCTCTTAACAACAGGGCTACATTCTGAGAAACGCATCATGAGGTGGTTCTATCATTGTGCAAACATCGCCGAGTGTACTTACACAGACCTAGATGGGATAGCGTACTGCATACCTAGACTATGTGGTATGGCCTACTGCTCCTAGGCTACAAACCTACAGCATGTTACTAGACTGAATACTATAGGCAACTGTAACACAATGGTATTTGTGTATCTAAACACATCTAAACATAGGAAAGGTAATGTGTTGCAATTCGACCTTACAATGTCACTAAGCAAGAGAAGTTTTCCAGCTCCATTTTAATCTATAGGACCACTGTCATGTATGCAGTGGACCCAAACATCATTATGCAGCACACAACTGTACTTCAAAAAGAATTAGGAAAACAGGGTTTAAAGTCTGAGAGTCCAAGAAGACTCAGGGTTTCCTGCTTTCCCCATGCTTAGCACAGACCGTAGAGGGGCCCCTCAGGCTAAGGCACAGAATGACTGCAGTGGCTCTGGGTGTGCCACTGCCCAGGTCCCCTCATGAGCAAGTGTGGATGGCAGGGACCTCCTTGCTCCTCACTGGGATGTACCATCTCCTGCTGGCACGTTAGCTTCCCCACTCCACACATATTCACCAAGTGCCTACTGTTTGTTCTAGGCTCTGCAGATGCCATGATGAAAGAGAAAGACAAGTCCTTGCCCTGTCCTCAGGGAGCTTACATTCAAGTGAAGGCAGACAAATATTTTAAAAGTCAACAAAGGGCCAGGCACAGCTCACTTGAGGCCAGGAGTCTGAGACCAGCCTGGGCAACAAAGAGAGATTAACCCCATCTCTACGAAAAATTTAAAAATCAGCTGGGGGTGGTGGTGTGAGCCTGTAGTCCCAAGGAGGCTGAAGAGGGAGGGTCCCTTGAGCTCAGGAGTTTGAGGCTGCAGTGAGCTACAACCACTATACTGCACTACAGCCTGGGCAACAGAGCAAGACCCCATCTCTGAGGGAAAAAAAAAGGTCAACAAAGACAAGAAAATTACTTCATACAATGTTTATTTAGTTCATGAAGAAAGTGAAACAGGGTGATTTGACCTGAATGAGGGAAGGAGCCAGCCTTGCCCAGATCTGGACATGAGCGGGGATCATGGAAGGCAGCTATGGCTGGAGGGGAATAAGTCAGCAAGTGCTCCTATGAGGTGGGGAGGTAGGTGGGGGGCAGACCATTCAGCACCCAGATGCCATGGTGGAGAGTTTAGATTTTTGTTCAAGTGCAATGGAGAAACACCAGAGGGTTTTTAAGAGAGTGGGAAGATTAATTTCTAACTAAAAAAATATGATGCTGCCTGTTATGAGAAGGAGCATAAGCCAGCTTGAAGGGCCCTGGATGCAGGGCATGTAGGAGGCCTCTGCAATCAGGAAGGCAAGATATAACAGAGGCCCAAAGCAGCAGAGAGGGAGAGGGGGCAGATTCGAGGCATATTTTGGATGATTACTAACAGAACTCACAAATGGACTGGATACAGGCATAAGAAAAAGGTAAATCAAGAGTGTCATAGGTAGAAGCTCAGAGATCACTTTGAAAGGAAACTTTTTTTGAACAAAAACAATTCCTTTCCTTATCCAAAAATCAGCAGTGCATGCTTTAAGGTGTCCCCCTGTAGGAGGTACAGATTTGCCTCATCTTCTAAATGTGCCCACTGGTAACCCATGGCCAGCTTCTGAAATCAGCCACATGACATCCACCATGGAGTCAGTCCATGGCAGAGAGAAGCAAGAGAAACCAGGCCATTAGACACACCCCAATTGGATCCTCATTAGCTGCACAGTCTAAGTGTGCATGCCCCGTGGCATTGCTGAAGAGCTCAGTATATTGCTCAGTTAAAAGAGGGGTTGGAGGAGACAGAAGTAGTATTTCCTGATAGTTCAGAAATGAAAGGCAGCTCTGAGGAAAGGTTTCACTTTGCTATGGTTTGAATGTGTCCCCATGGTTCATGTGTTGAAGACTTGATCTCCAATGAGAGGGTGTTGGGAGGTGGGGCCTTTATGAGGCGTTTCGGTCATGGGGGCACTGCCCTCATTAATGGATTGATGCTGTCACTGCAGGATTAGGGTCCTTATTGCAGGAGTGGGTTCCTTATCAAAGTATGAGTTTGGCCCCCTCTTGCACTCACACATGCTTACGTACTCTCTCACACACACATACAAACACACACACAGCTCTTGCTTGCTCTCTCTCTCTCTCTCTCTCCCATGAGATGTGAAAGAGAAGGCATGTGATGCCTTCTGTCACTTGAGTATGCAGCAAGAGGTCCTTCGCCAGATGCTGGTGCCTTGATCTTGCACTTCCCAGCTACCACAACGGAGCAAATAAATTTCTGTTCTTTATAAGTTACCCAGTCTCAAGTACTCTGTTATAGCAACACGAAACAAACTCAGACACACATACACATGCATAATTTTCACCAGGTATTTATTTGCAGGAGAACTTATATCGATGGGCAAATGAAAGGAATGCAGCCACATTCATGTTTCAAAACAATGGCTTCCCGCCACAGCCCAGCACCATTACGAAGTGTTTCTTTACAGCAAGTCCAGATGAAGATCGTGCAACCCTATTCAAAGGCTTTTAAACGTTATGGTTGCTTAATTTTTCAGGTAGACACCTGCTAATTTGCTAAGTTCAAGGGGCTTATGATGATCTTGAGAGCAGCCATTCACAATACATAGTCCATTTAAATTCTGCAGAATAAAGATCATTTTAACCTTTTTCTTCCATTTACACATTATGCAAATGTACGTAGAGCTCACACACATTCTTGAGAAGGCACTTTGCCAATCCAAGATTAGGAACCCAAAGGCCCTAGTTCTGCATATTTTCTGGAGAACTGTGTGATTTCAAAATGGGGAGTTTTAATGGAGTCAAAATTTGGAATAAATAACAAGATTTGATACAGTCTTTCAAGTAAGTTTTCATGGATTCATTAATTTTCTTTCTTTTTTTTTTTTTTTTTTTTGAGATGGAGTCTTGCTCTGTCACCCAGGCTGGAGTGCAGTGGCGCAATCTAGGCTCACTGTAAGCTCCACCTCCCGGGTTTACTTATGCCATTCTCCTGCCTCAGCCTCCTGAGTAGCTGGGACTACAGGCGCGTGCCACCACACCTGGTTAATTTTTTGTATTTTTAGTAGAGTCGGGGTTTCACCGTGTTAGCCAGGATGGTCTCGATCTCCTGACCTCGTGATCCGCCCGCCTCAGCCTCCCAAAGTGCTGGGATTACAGGCGTGAGCCACTGCACCTGGCCTGATTCATTACTTTTCATTCATTCAATTGCCACCCTTGGAAACAAGGTCCAATCATATTACATAGTTTCCCCTTCTTTAAAACTGATGTTTTGAACTGGGTAAAAAGTGATCTCTTCAAACAGAAAGATGTAAGGAAAGAGACAATATAAGGACAAGTATATGTGTCAAGCTCATGGGTACCTTCAGATATGGGGGAGGCAGAGCCAGAATGGGTATTGGTTAAAAAGATGAGACTAACTTCTCACCTACAATGTTCTGTTCTTAAGATAATTATTCATATAATTTCAAAATATGTATACAGGAAAAAAAAAGACTAGCTGTAAATATGACTGAAAGGTTCATAGTGCTTCATTCTGGGATTCGGGAGATGAGCAATTCTTATTCTCTCCTTTTATCTTTCTCCTAGGAAGGAAGAAAAGAAGGGAGGGAGGGACTTATGCAATTGTTATCATCCCTTGACATTGCTGACCTGAAATCCACCAGTGCTCCTGGGACTTATCAGATCATGGGTTTCAAAAGAGTGAGGAACAGCCAGGAGCTTTCCAGCATGCTTTCATATCTCTGGGTACCTAATAACCAAATCATGGTTTCTCTGCACCATGCCTGGCAGACTTGAGGCTGCCTGCCCAGCTGACAAAACCCTGTTTCTCTGGGAACCAAGCACACTCCAGTGGGCACCTTGTGTGATGGTATCCTCCATGCCCACCCCACCAGTTCCCACCAGCCACAGCTAAAAGCATGGCTGGGATCAGGCCCCCTCCACAGACAAGTCATACTCTCTGGCGTGGGAGTCTTGAGTTGGGTCTGCAGGACTGTTAGGTCTCTTTGTGTGATCAACCCTCTATCATAGGCAACCATACTTCACCCTGTGGCCAGAAGAACAAAAAAAACTTTGCTACAGAAATAGAATTAAACAGAACTGCAAAAAGGCACATAGGTGGAGATGATGGCCAGAGTTCCCTTCCTATAGGAATAAGCCTTGTGATTCCTTATGATAAACACTGATTTTTGCTTAAGGCAGCTCAGGCTGGTTTCTGTGACTTACATCTTCTGTTTGTCCTAATATTTCAAGGCCTGCTGGGTGGACCCCAAGGCCTTTGATCTGGTAAGTGAGGCAAACATGCGGGACAGAATTCAGTAGGAGCCACAGAGCAAAATGCCTCATCAAAGTCTTGCTACTTCCAAAAAAAATCAAAGATGATAAACCCTTTGCAGAAGACCCTGACTGACTGTTTGGATGAGTACTGCACTTGGTTCTGGGAGGAGTCTTGATAAAGATGTCTAGGAGCCATGATCACATGCTCTAAATGTGTGCACCACAGGTCCCTTTCTGCAGTGTCCTGCTCCAGCCACATGTGGAAGCATTGTCAGGTCTGTGTTCATTTTGTTCCATGTCAGGCATGAATGCTAGATGCTCTGCAAGCATCCTCCTGCATCCTTCCTCATCTTCCTGCATCCTCTCCCAACCCTGCAAGATGGCATTGTCTCCACCCAACAGGTGAGGACAGGGAGATGCTGTGTGTTAGGCAGCACGCCGGCTGCCCAGCTAACAGGTGGCAAAGCCAGGACCCTCCACATCTGACTCCTGCCCTTTTTACCACACCTGTTTCCTCTCAGATGCTCCAAAAGCTACCACTGAAGCCTTGACAGTAGGAAGCTGTCTCCACAATGCCTTGAGGCCTCTCTGGCAGGTGAGCACCCAACCTGGCCAGCCTGCTGATCCTCAGTAGCCCTATAGGCACAGGCTTGTCTAAAGGACCCAAGTCAAATGTCACCTCTCCCATTTTTGTTCCATGCCTCTCCTCCTCCCATCTGTGTCACAGCATTTCATCTAGATCATGTGTCCCTTTCCTCTTGCATAAATTCCAGGTCTAAATGTCTCAGACCAGCTTTCACCAACAGCAGGAAAAGCAAGCTCCCTCACAGCGAGTACCTCTGCTTCTTGTTGCCACTTCATATCATTGTGGAGAGATTATAATGTCCATGGCTTGGACTAATCTCTTCCCAGCGCCTAGCTCAGTGGACAGTTTCCACTTACAGGCTGAGCTGTGTGAGCTCAGTGTCAACTTCAGGGTCCATCAGAATCGCCCGGAGGACTGGTTAAGACGCAGAATGCTGGCCCCAGCCCCAGGGTCTCTGATTCTGTAGGTCTAGCGTGGGGTTTAAAACTTTGTATTTCTAATAAATTCTTGGGTATGAAAGCCTGAATAATGGCCCCCAAAGATATATAGGTCCTAATCCCTGGGATCTGTAAACATTACCTTGTAGGGGAAAAGGGACTTTGCAGATGTGATTCAGTAAAGGTACTTGAGGTAAGGAGATTATCCTGGATTATCTGCTAAACCCGAAGTATAATCTCAGGGGTCTTTATGAGAGAGAGGCAGAGGAAGATTAGATGACAGAAGAGGAGAAGGCAACGTGACAGGAAGGAGCAGAGATTGCAGTCGTGTGGTCACAAGCAGGGGGATACAGGCCACCACCAGAAGCTGGAAGGGGCAACGAATGGCGGATTCTCTGCTGCTGCAACTTGCAGAAGGAACAAACCCTGCTGCCATCTTGATTTTAGCCCTGTGAGACTCGGCTCAGACTTCAGCCCTCCAGAACTGTAACAGAATAAATTGTTGGGTTTTTTTTTGTTTTGTTTTATTTTGTTTTGTTTTGTTTGAGACAGGGTCTTGCTATGTCACCCAGGCTGGAGTGCAGTAGTGCAGTCTCGGTTCACGAATTCCCCGGCTCAAGCGATCCTCCCACCTCAGCTCCCCTGAGGAGCTGGGACTACAGGAGTGCACCACCATGCCCAGCCTAAATTGGTGTTTTAAGCCACTAAATTTGTGGTAATTTCTAACAACAGCCACAGGAAAGACAAACAGCTTGTGATGCTTATATTGTTGTTTGGGGGTCCACACTTTGCAAACTACTGCAAGACATCTGTATTAGTCTGTTCCCACACTGCTAATAAAGACATACCCAGGACTGGGTAATTTATAAAGAAAAAGAGGTTTAATGGACTCAACAGTTCCACAAGGCTGGGGAGGCCTGACAATCATGGCAGAAGGTCAAGGAGGAGCAAAGGCATGTCTTACATAGTGGCAGGCAAGAGTGCATGTGCAGGTGAACTGCCCCTTATAAAACCATCAGATCTCATGAGACTTATTCACTATCATGAGAACGGCACGGGAAAACATGCCTCCATGATTCAATTACCTCCTACCAGGTCCCTCCCATGACACCTGGGGATTACAGGAGCTACAATTCAAGATGAGATTTGGGTGGGGACACAGCCCAACCATATCAACATCTATCCCTGGCCATATCTAATGCCACCTGGAGGATCAGGGTCTGTGTGAATGGTCCCCTGGAAACTCTGATGATGATTCAGAACAGTGCAATACTAGGTGAGTACACAGCACACCCACCACCCCCTTCACTTTAACTCATACAGTGGGAAAGCACACAGCAGAGGGACTACAGAGCTGAATTCCAACCCTGCCTCTACTGATTACTGGTCCTGCAGCTAAGCCAGTTCCTCAGCCTCTCCGGACCTCAGCATCTGCATCTGAAATTCAGGTATAACACCACCAGCCTCAAAGCACTCTCAAGAGCATTAAACAAGATACTGCATCTAAGCTCCACCTGGCTTGTGGCAAGCTCTCACCAAACGTCTGCAGCTGTTATTATTTTTGTGACTGAAAACTGCTTTTAAAGTAGCTGAATGCATATGCCCCACTCAGATCAACAGAAGCCTCTTTCTTAATGATGTGTGTTTCTTGACCCAAATTAGTAAGCAGCTCCCTCTGAGATCTGATACTGTCATCTGCAAATTAACAGACAGAATAGTAATGAGAAAAAAATACATAGGAAGTTTAAAAAATCATATCCTCTACACTGCACTGCACATACAGCTAATCAGACTAAATCCCACAGACTAAATCCCACCCACCACCACCTTCCACCATGGGGCTCACAACAGCCGACTTCTGCCTGCCTTTCCTCTCATCTCATCTCCCCCAATCCTTTCCCACCCTCCCCCAACCCCCAAATTGCACTACAGAATAAAACTCAAGCTCCCTGGCACAGCCTAGAAACTCCAACACTGGGCCCCTGCCCATCCCTGAGGTCTAATTTCTCATGGCTCTCCCTCACCCACACAGACCATCTATTCCAAACTTAACTAGAGGACTTCCAGTTCCTCAGAAGCTGCTGACGTTTCTGCCTCCACCTATGCCACCTGCTCCGCCTTGAAAGCGCTTCCGGCTCTCCACCTTCTCCACCTTCAGCACAGCCATGATGTGTGAACTTCTCCAGAGCAGAATCCTCCACCTTCCTGCCTGGGGGCAGAATAAGCCTGGCTATCCCTCTTCTGGAACTGAGTAGGGGAAGCAACCTTTGAGGCTGCACCATCCAGAGTGTAGACTTTCACTTAAGACTAAGAGCAGGGACTCCCACATTCAAAACCTAGTTCCACCAATTCCTCATTTTAAGATCTCCAGCAATTTACTCCAGTTTCCTCATCTATAAAAAGGAGATCGTAATAGTGTCTGCCTACCACATATGGATTTTATGTGGATTAAATGAGATAATCCACATAATAAATGATGGCCAGCGTAGAGCAGGCGTTCGATAAATGTAAACTGTCACCAGAAGTTGCATAATCTGAGTGCTCCCCTTCAGAGACATCGTCCTGGGAGGATGTCGTCTTCTCCATCAAAGCCTTCACTCCTTGCACTGCCAAAGCCCCTCTGTGATGCTGTGGCTTCCAGAATCAGTGGATGAGCCCCACTAGAAAAATCTACTCATCACTCATGATTACCCCTTGTGCATCCCAGCATGAGTGTGACCTAGTGCTTGAACATCCTTATTCACCAGATTTGACTCAAGTTTGATTCCGAAATCAAACGTGCACCCAGTGAAGTGCTCCTTCTGAGAATAATCAAAACCAACATTGTGACAGAGGCTGCTGGCTAGGCTGTGATATTTCCTCTTTCTTCTGTAGTAACAGAACCACAGCGTTTAGCTGGGCACCTGGTATTGAGAATAAAAATCTTATTCGCAGCCTTCCTTGCAGCCAGAAATGGCCATGAGATGAAGTTCTAGCCAATGGGATCTGAGTGCAAACTGTGTTTTCCAAGGGATTCCCTTACAGAGAGAGGCCAAGCTTTCTCTTCCCCCTTCTCCCTTCACCCTAACTGGCATGTGACATGGCAGACATGGGATGTAGAATATGGAAACCTCTTCTCTCCATGTTAACGCACTCAACATTCTAGAAAAAGCAGAGCAGAAGGAAGGAAACAGCATTTCTGATGCCATGTGTCATTACAGCAGCCCTGGACTGCTTCCACCCAGGCTATGTGTTTAAACCATGACTATCTGGGGTCTCTTATGACAACCAAACCTATGTTTCAACTATTAATAATTCATATATGTAACCGCTTCTAAAAGCATCTGCAAAAGAAAAGCTTAAACTATGTTTTAAGCAAGGATAACACTGTATGGATTTTCCCAAAGTGACTTATTAAAGAACACTCATTGAGCTGGAGTATTTGTGTGCTGTTTGTTTAATTAGTCACACAGTTAATCGTTACATCTCCTGAAATAGGAAGAAAAAGCAACCCAATGGTCTAAATCCACCAATATCACCTAGACACATTCAGTGACATTTAGAATATTTTATTCTAACAAACTTTTTGAACACCACAGTTGGAAGAATAGAGATCATTCCAACAGGTCAAGCACTGGCCCAGCTGCTGGGAGATCGGATCTGCTGATCCAGCCCTGCCGAGGGCAGCAAGACCTGCTGGGCCTCGCTTTCTGCATCTGTAGATACTAAGGCTGAGGGACTTGGATGGGGCCAGGGACCAAAACCCTACAAACCAAAGAAAGAAATGGTCCAAAAGTAGCAACTCAAAGGAGAAAGAAAACTACTAAGAACACAAAATGAAAAACCGAAACTCAAAAGAGTTGTCCATCAGACTGCTTTATAACCATGTGTCCCCAGTTGGCACACAAACCTGTCCTGGAACAAGCCCACAGTTCTCATCAGCGCTCATCAGTGGCCACATATCCCTCTCTCCAAGGTCACTAGACCCGGTGTTGAGGGGCTGGAAGGGGAAGGACGGCAGTGGCAATGGGGTCAACAGAGTCCCATCTCTTGGCTTATTGATGGGCATTAACATTCTTCCAAACACTCAGACCTCAAATTCAAGTTCCTGAACCCAGAGAGCCAGTCCTCACTTTTAGGGGTCTTTACTGCCATTTCTTTTCCTCTTCCACTAGGCTTAGAGAACACAGAGATTGTAAAAAAATGGGTTTTCTGCAGGAGGCAGAGGTTGCAGTGAGCTGAGACCGTGCCATTGCACTCCAGGCTGGGTGACAAGAGGGAAACTCCGTCTCAAAAAAAAAAAAAAGAAAAGAAAAGAAAAATGGGTTTTCTGGTGCCCTTTCTCCTCTCCACCCCATAACATGGGTGAATACATAGTAAGCACATAGTTAACTGAATATATCTTAAATAAATGTCTGATCCTCTAAGAACCGAGTCACACACACACAAAAAAAATCTACGAAGGGGACTAAGCATACATGTATATATATATTTGCAGGCAAGATGGGCCTGTGTTCACACTTGGAAGGCCAAACCTTGCCCAGTGCGGTCATTTCTCCACTTCAGTTGCTGAACAACTACAGCATTTCCTAAAGGAGCTCTCACACCGAGAGACTCACTGGCTCACAGCCTCCAGCATGAGCTACATGAAAGAGACCACCGCCAAGGAGTGACTCAAACAAGAAGCCAGGGCGCCCCGTGGCCACATCCTCACTGCAGAGGCATCTGTGAGAGCAGAGCCTGGGGCTGCTCCCCCTCACTTCCAAAGAACAGGAGGGGCCATGGGGACTCAATGAAAAGTCCTTTGATCACGACCAGGATATGCTGGCACTATAAGGACCAAAGTCCCTCACCACAGCAAATACGAACCCTCTTGATACCCACTCATGTGTTCCTGAGCTTCTGTTTCCCCTGGAGATTCCCTCCTACTTTGGGCACGAGGTCCCTTCCTCGGTCACAAGGTACCGAGTCTCTCCAGTCCTAGTTCTATCCTTCATCACACAGAAAAGAAGAATCAACAGTCAAGAGCCCAGCTACCTCTACATCCTTTACTTTTTGCTTTCAATTCTGATCATCTCCAGATGGAAGACACAAATCAGATCCCTAGTACAGATTCTCTAACACCCTCATTCCAAAGCTCATCAGTTATAACAAGTTAATTCCAACCAAGTTCCCCATCCTGGGGCGCAGCAGATTGTTTTTCTGAAGATGGCTATGCCAATGTGGTTCCCATTCCATGTGCATCTCTCTCAGTGTGACCCTGACATTCCGTCACTGACAGTGGGTCTGGTTTCCCTTCCCTTGAACCTGGGCAGACCTCTGCAACTTCTTTGACCAAGAGAGAATGTGGCAAAAGTGATGCAGCACACCTCCTGAGGCTGGGTCACACAAGGCAAATCGGCTTCCACCTGGTTGGCTCTTGGGACATGTGCCTTTAGAGCCCAGAGCCATCACTGAAGACGTCTGGCAACTGCAAGGCCACCATGCTAGAGGGATGAGGTGGAAAGACTACGAGAAGAGAGATGGACAAACAGCCCCATCTGTTCCAGCCCCCGGTTGTTCAAGGGTTCCCTGACCAGGCACCATGTGAGGAAGAAGCCTGTGAGATGACCCTAGCCCCAGCAACCCTCCAACTGTAACCCCATGAGGGACCCTGGGCCAGAACCACCCAGATGAGGGGCTCCCAAACTCCTGCCCCACCGAAACCATAAGCAATAAAGAGCGATTACTGCTGTTTTAGGCCACTGTGTTTTGGGATGATTTTCTGTGCAGCCACAGTGACTGAAACATGGGAACTTTAGTAGACGTGGCTCCTTCTCTCAAAATAGCAATTTACCTCCTCCAGGGTAGGTTTAGAACATCTTGTCAGTGTTTAATTTCACAACTCTACTTCCTAGTAGAGTAAATGGCACCTTTAAAAAAAAAAGTAAGAGTTTAATTTTTTACTTCAAGCTCTTAAGAATTTCACAATACCTCTTTCAAGGTCACTCT
Organism: Homo sapiens; assembly: GCF_000001405.40. Taxonomy (NCBI): domain Eukaryota; kingdom Metazoa; phylum Chordata; class Mammalia; order Primates; family Hominidae; genus Homo; species Homo sapiens. Next base: position 134,670,325 of record NC_000002.12, read on the forward strand.
GGAGACCTCGCAGCATCTCACACAGGAGTTGGGCAGTCGCCATGGCTAGAAGTGCATGGCCTCCTGTGCTTCCAAAGGGCAGACCCCACGTGGGGGAACACTGGCAGGGCTGGGCAAGATTTGGGCTTCTCCCCTCCCTCTCCAGCAATCTTGCCCTGATACTACCCTTCCTCTACCACAACAGCCACGCCTACAGAGCAGGCTTCTGAAAAACCACAATCAGGCACACTTGTCAATACATAAAAGCAAAACAGCACTGGTGACGTTCATCAAATTCACTGAGAGCTGCTGGAATACCATGGCTGTGGGCAACAGCAGCAAATGACACAGAAAGGTGCATTAATGAGCTCAGGCAAGAGGAAAGAAGGCATGTCATGGGACCCCAGAGCTTCGATTTCAGAAAACCAAAGACTTGGCCTTTTAACTGAGTTTGGCTGGAATCTGAGATCACCTGCTCCCCATTTGTAACTGGAAACCTTTCCATAAAGAGCCAATTACTTGACATTAAAGTCCCCGATTTTAAAGGACTTTGAAACCAACACCACATAAGTGCTTGCATAAACAAAATGTCAGCTTGTGATATTCTGGCTCATGTCTTTTCTTTCAAGCACTGCCCCGTTCTTCCTATCAGCTGCTGGGTCTTCACAGGACTCTAGGAACTCAATCCCTGCCCTGTGGAAGGCTTGCCCTCTGCACCCCAGGTTGCTCTCAAAGGACCCCCTCTGGGAACGATGTCTGTGTCCCTGTCCAGCCGTGTCAGCAGCCCAGTGATTGGGACTGGGGACTGCTTCTCCTTTCCTCACCAGCAGTGAGCTGGCCCTCAGCAAAGACTAAGAGCAAATAAGGCAAAGACTGGCACCTGGCCCGTAGTTCTCAGGCTCCCAAAGGCTGTGAGTCCTGCCGTGTGGCAGAATCCTCACTACTAGTGGTGCCAGTTCAGCAGGCCCTGAGATTCTAAGCTGACTCTCAGGAGCACAGACACCCCTGCAGCAAGGAGACCCACCCCTCCCCAACTCCTGGCTCCTGTAGTCCAGGATCACTTGCTACTTCTCCCCAAACCATTTCAGATCCAGCCACAGATGACCATGGCGCTGCCCTCCCTCTCCCATGTCTGGCCACTCTGTCTCCAGCCTGGCTCTACAGGAACACTGACCTCCCTGGGTTCAAGCCCGAAACAAACTCCTCTGCACATGGCTGCTGCTGCATGGTGCTGCAGCCCCCAGGGATGCCACAGCTCTCTGCTCCTTGCTGACAATACCTCCACCACCCTCTTCTGGGATCCCTTTCTTCCCACCACTGGCTATGAAATGCCATTGTTAACCTCCTCCACATTCCCCACCCCCTGGAAAGACAGTGGTCACAGAATAGAAAGAACACAGGAACTGGGGTTGACGAGCATGAATATGGGCCACAGCCCCACCCCTGAGGGGCTTGACACAGGCTTTAGAGCCACACCCAGCCATCTGAGTCCAAATCCTAGCTCCACCCCTCTCTAGCTGTGACTTAGGACAAACTTCTCAACCTCTCTGGAACTTGGCTGACTCATCTGTAAAATGGGATGATAAAAGCAACTCTTATAGGGCTACTGTGAGGATGAACTAAGCTAATAAATGTAAAGTGCTCAGAGCCTAGCCTGGCATGGTGAATGTTCATATATGTTATCTATAATTATTATTCATTATTATCATCACCCTCATGTCAGTGACAGTTCATCCACCACCCCTCATCAGACTGATGCAATGATAAGATGGTATTTGGATTATAAAAAGTGTCCTATAAATTATAAAAGTAACAAAAAGTGTATTAGCTGTTGCTATTTCTGCCTCAAAACCTCCTAAGTCCTGCCCATTTTAAGGGTTTAGCTTTACTGAAGAAGAACAGAGTGGAGACATTAAATAAGAATAAAAATATGGAAAGTTCATGAATTTCTGTACCTCTGGACTCTAGAAATGGCTATGACCACATACTATATACTACTTACCTCCATTTGAATGTCCCACAGGCTCTATGATATGCATAGGTACAAAACCAAATTTATGTATTTACTGCCTTTGAGTGGAGGGAAAATTGGAGGCAGACCAACACGTGCCTATGTGAGCTCATACACAGGGTCTCACTCTGTTGCCCAGTCTAAAGTGCAGTAATAAGATTCACTGAAGTGATCCTCTCACCTTAGCCTCCCCAGTAGCTGGGACCACAGCCACACCTGCCTGGCTAATTTTATTTTTTTTTTGTAGAGACAGTGTATCACTCTGTTGCCCAGGCTGATCTCAGACTCTTGGACTAAAGCGATCCTCCCACTTCAGCCTCCTAAATTGCTGAAATTATAGGCATAAGCCACTGTGCCTGGCCTTAAAGCTGAATTTATCAGCTCCCTCCCAACCCACAATAACCCCTAAGCCTGCTCACCATCTATATCCCCTTGGTCCACTAACAGGGCCTTCATCCATCCAGAATGCCACCAATTACCCTTTGCCCTGCTCATCCATTAAATCATCCAAGTTCCATCAATTCTACCTCCCCATCTACCCTGGACTCAGTCCCAATGCTCTGCTCCCACTGCCTGCCCTGCCCATCATCTTTGGCCCAGTACTGGGGGGCTTCCTAAGGATGTCCCTGCCTCTACTCCTATACCTGCAAGTTCCACTCATGGCTAGTTTTCCAAGGCGCAACTTTAATTAGGTCATTTAAAGTCCTCCAAAGGCATCCCATCACCCACAGCTGCAACATTGAACTTTTGGCTCATAAACCCCATTGTTATCTGATGAATATCATCATGGACCCTCTCCACAGAAAAATGCACACATGCCTAAAGTTTTACATACAAGGCCAGGTGGTAGAGGAACACCTGGCAGCCTTCTACTAACCCCAGGACAAGAAGTCCTGATCCACAAGATATAGTCCCGTTTCATGAGCTCGCATTGGCACGTGTTGGTATGGCTCCAATTTTCCCTCCACTTTCATTTTTGGCTGCCTCCCACCTTATACCCGAGGCTCAGCCACTATGAATGCAGATCTTCCAACACTGCACATCCTTTCATGAGTTCCCACTCCCTTCAAGCCTACAACCCCTTGAAATGCAGAAAACTGTGCTGTTCATTTTTGTATCCCTAGGACCTACAGCTAGGTCCCCAAACAGTGCTCCCCAAAGATGTTCACAACCTAATCCCCAGATCCTGTGAATATATTGCCTTACAAGGCAAAAAGAACTTTGCAGGTTTGATTAAGCTAAGGATCCTGAGATGACGAGATTAGCCCATATTTTCCAGGTGGACCCAACATAATCACAGGGACCTTATAAGGGAAACAGCAAGGTAGGAGAGTGGAAGAAGGAGATGTGACAATGGAAGCAGAAATTGGAGTGATGTAATTGCTGGGTGGAGAGAGCCCACGAGCTGAGGAATGCAGGCAGCCTCTAGAAACTGGAAAGGCAAGAAAGCAGATTCTCCCCAAAGCCTATGGAAAAACACGGTCCTGCCAACACCTTAACTTTAGCCTACTGAGGCTGATCTTGGACTTCTGTCCTTCAGAACTGTCAGATAATAACTTTGTGCGGTTTTAAGCCACTAAGTTTGTGGTCATTTGTCACAGCAGCAATAAGAAACTAATACAAATTACTATACGGAATCAGAATGTTGTACATTTTCATTCCATAACTGTTTAGAATTCTAAAACTGTCTCCTGAGCATCCACAAATAGCAGACTGGTTCCATATATTATGGTGCATATGTACAATGAAGTACCTCACTGCTATCAAGAAGGAAAAAGTGGCTATTGGTCTATTCCTCATTTATGTGAACAAACACATACTTTTGTCAAGGGTATAAATTCTCCCATATCTGAGAGTATACTTTCTGTACATAAATCACATCATACTATACACACTGCTCTCTAACCTGCCTTTTGCACTTAACACATTACATCACAGGTATCAGCCCAGCTTTATAAAAAGTATCTCACACTCATCTCTGGAGGGTAGGATGTGAACGTTGTCAAAATCAAAATAGAGTCATTAATTTTTTTTTTTTTTTTTTTTTTGAGACAGAGTATCGCTCTGTCACCAGGCTGGAGTGCAGTAGCACAATCTCAGCTCACTGAAACTCCCGCCTCCCGGGTTCAAGAGATTCCCCTGCCTCAGCCTCCCAAGTAGCTGGGACTACAGGCGCGCGCGCGCGCGCGCGCGCGCTACCATATCTGGCTAATTTTTTGTATTTTAGTGGAGAAGGGGTTTCACCATGTTGGCCAGGCTGGTCTCAATCTCCTGACTTCGTGATCCGCCCCCGTCGGCCTCCCAAAGTGCTGGGATTACAGGCGTGAGCCACTGCGCCTTGCCGACTAATGTTTAAAAAAAAACAAAACCTGACAAATAGAGCCAAAGAAGGCCATGAAGAGAGGGTTCTCATGCTTGTCTGCCTAATAACAAAAATGATCACAAACGACTGCAAAAACCACAATCTTGCGCAAAGGCCCTCACAACCTTACATTAAAAATACCTCTGCAAGGACATCTACCCAGCAACTGCCTATCCAACCTCAGACTGGCACTACCCTTGTTATTGATCTTTGTAGCCAAAGCTACTTATCTCAAAACAATTATGTCACCCTCTTCATGTTCCTTTAAAAAACCTTTGTGTTCCTTCACCTCCCTGAATACGTACATAATTTGCTATGGCAAGTGTACTCCCATGGCAAAGCTCATTTCCGAGTAAATATCTTTTTCATTTAGAGAGCCTCTCTCTCTGTTTCTTATTCAGGTTGACAGGATTAAGCATCACTTTTACTTTTTATGTACTGATTGAATTTTACAATATGTATTATCGAAAAGAAACACATGAATGTTTCCATTTTGGGGAAGGATCCATTCTCAGGAAAGTTTCCTGTTAAAATTTCATTTTGATCATTACAGAAGGAAAAAATACACACCAAATATTAGTAAACTATAATAAAACACTCAGATCATGCAGTGACTTTTCCTTTTAATAAAAAATAATCAACAAGTGAAAGAAATCTAAACCATGTAGGCATAAGGAGAATTTATATCTGGGTTTAAACTTTAGCCACTTGTATCGCCTGAGGTTTTTCAAAACCTTTATTATTTCCACAATTTCCAGTGTGCCTGACCATCTAATGACTAATCTCACTCAGAGATGTTGACAAAGTAACACACGGGAACAGCAGTAAGATATGTGGCAATGATTTCTCAAGGGACCGATATGCTCAGCTCATAATATGAGAAGGATATGAATAATTCAGATATTCCCTGTCTGAAAAAAAAATGACTTTTAGATATCTAAGCCTAAATCAGATTGAATAAATTAAAGAAGATGAATAAGAAGTAAGGTGGATTCTGTTGCTTAGCTTCACAAGTTACTGTTGCAAATTTCATCCAGAGCTCCCAACAGGGCAGCCTCCAGTGAAACAGCAGCACTAATGAACAAATCCGGTCCCAGGATTTAGGAATCAAATTTTTCTTTCTCAAAAGCAGAAAGGCCATGCAAAAGCAATCACTGATGATTAGCAGACTATCCACAGAGCATAACTCCCCCAAAACAGGAGGCCCTTCAGGTCAGCACCCCAACCCTAAATAGACATGTTAGCTAGCCAGATGCTTCCTGGTGGAGGGAATGTGAGCCTAGCAGATTTCACAGTCAGCCCTCCTGAGCACCCCACCCCACATCAAGACAGTTCTCCTAAGCTCAGCTCTTAATTCAATTGCCTGGAGTAAAACTGACCTGCGACATAAGGTACAACAGAATGGGGCCAGTGGCATGATGGTCAATGTTTCACTGGCTCTCTGGGAGGAAAAAAGGCCCCGACTTGCAGCATTTGCCAATTTCTATGGTGTAAATACACTCTCCCCATTGCCAATTTCAAGCTACCAACTTGACGTCAATTAGCTTGCAAAATACTGAAAATGTAACCATCAGCTCTTGTGAGCCAGCCCACTCCAGTGCACTATTGAGTAGCCCTCCATCCTTTCTCAGAAATATAAAAAATAATCTTCAGAGGCCTGAATCTCCACTCATTCCTATGGGTAAAGTGTTGTTTCTTACATGTCTGTTCTCTCTTTAAGGGACATGCCCTTCCAATGGGTGATACACTGGCTGCATTGTTTAGTACTGCAGTAGATATAGATATATATATAAATATTCATATTTTTTAACATCTTTATTGATATACAATTTATGAACCATACAATTCACTGATTTCCAGTGTACAATTCAATGGTTTTTAGTGTATTCAGAACTGTACAACCATCAGCAGACTTAATTTTAGAACATTTTCATCACTCCTCTGCCCCAAAACATTCTTCTTGTCCTTGGAAGTCCTTGGAAGTGACCTCTCACGGTCCCTCAACAGCCCCAGTCCTAGGCGATCATTAGTCTACTTTCTGCCTCTATACATTTACCTATTCTGGATATTTCACATAAATAGAATCAAGACTTCACATAAATGGAATCAATATCATACAATATCATACATATACATCTAAACATAAAAATATTTGAGACGAACAGACCTTAATGGATAAGCACCATAGGAGCCAGTGCTAAATGAGAAAATTAACTACCCTCATGATTATCTTGTAGAACCAACTGATAAACCACCATAAATAGGGCAGGAAAAAAATACAAGAGTCTGTACTGATGCTTTCTGTCAGCAGCTTTTCTTCTACAGTTCTCTGCAGAAGACATTTTAACCAGATGCAGCCCACCCGAGAGAGAGAGATAAAACACTATGAAAATGTCCACACTCCCTGAGTGTAACTTGTGATGCTCCAAATCAAAGCAGGTCAGCTTCCGGCGACCCTGCTCTTCTCGCTTCCTTCCGCAGACCTCGTGGCTTTGGCGTGCAGAGAATTATGGCTTTGAAGAGGTTTCAGACCCTCACGTTGGGACGGAGGCTGCAGAGCAGTGAGGCCCGCTGGCCTGCGACATGGAGCTATTTTTAAAGGCGTCTCTGAAGTGTCAGCAACTGATCTTGCCAGACCCCCTCCCTCAGAACCAAATCCCACTCCTTATAAGAGAAAGACTACAGAAAAAAGCTTATGCAATCCACACACGAAAAGGCATGGAGAAGACAAAAATAAAAGTGGCAGTGGCCTTTTGAATCATAAAGAAACTACTGGCTTTCAATATAGTTGGATTTTTTTTAAGCCAAGCCATGTATTGCTTTTATAAGCAAAAGAAAAAAGTTAAATTCCTCTTGCGGGGAGCAGGGGGAAGGTACTTTCTGTCTCTGAAAAGTCTTTTTGTAATAAAGTCACCCAAGACCAGCAGTGTATAAAAACTCTATCTATAATATGACCATAGCTATACGTTTCTTAAAATGGATTAAGATTGTAGGAATGAACAAAAAATATTAAAATGGCTGTCCCTGAGATACAGAAGAGTAGAGGATTATTTCCCATTTTTTCCAAAATGATGTGTTACTTCTATAATATTATTTTGTAGTAATTAACTCTGTAATCTTTGTCTTCTTAAATAAATGTACCCCTGTGTCAACAGTTCCTAATGAAATGGGCAGCAGTTCTTCCAATGTCATTGGATACATAGGACCGACCTAATGAGGCCATGAGTTCTCCACATACAGTTTGACAGTAAGGAGAGACTCTGGCCAGGAGACACCCCTCCACGTTCCAGTAAGCCCACCCGCAGCCAAGCACAAAAAACGAAGGCGTGCCAGCAATGCCCAACACAACCTGCAGTGCACTCTTTGTCCTGGTTTCTTTCCGGTCTCAGGGAAGCAGATCGACCCTAGCTAATTGATTCTGCTGCTTCTGCTCCAGAACGTCCATTTTCCTGGACTGCACTGGGCTATTTAAAGTCGTTTTTATCACATCTGCTCCATTTCTGAGTCCAGCTGCAAACACCCACGGGTAAAGGGAGCCACAGAGTGACTGCAGGAACTCCGAGGCTTTACATCCGAGGGGTGCGAGCGCCAGGACAGGGAGCAATCTCACTGTGTAAATCCAGGCAGATGGCTGTTGAGCCTCAAGGTCAAAGCAGTGGCAGTACGCCCTGTCTCATTCTCAAGCCCGTGGAAACACGTGAATCTGTTATTCTCATTGGCTGCCTTTTCAGACTTTAGGGTTGCAAATGGTCTCAGAAAAGAAAAACAGGAAAAGGCTTTTGTCTTTCTGTAAATAAAATACAATTGTAGGGACTTTCCCAGTTTACATATAAATCCTCCCACCAGGATGAGGAAAGGACTGTGCCATCTCCACCTTCTCCTTCCACATATCCGCTGAGAGGGAGGCTGAAGGTCAGAGCAGAGGCCCTGGAATCTTCAGACCTGGGCTCAAGGCCCGTCTCTGCTACTCATAAGCTGTGTCAGCCTGGGGAGTCCTTTCCCATTCCCCAGGTCGACTGGGCTGCAAGTACCAAAAGCAATAGCAAGCCCTGGCACATTTGTATTATTTTTCCAAGCACAAAGCAGGTGATCAATAAATGTCTGCAGAATAAATTAATCATCTCAAGTTATTGGTTTTTCATTGCTTTAAAATTTGAATTTTTATAAAGCTATTTTGTTCTAACTTCAAGTGGATAAGCTACACTTTAATGAGGCTCCTGTATGTGAGAACAGCTATTAATTCAACTGCTGAATGTCAGTCTTTCACCAAGCAGAAAATCTCTTCCAATATCTACCTATGTGTATGAAAATAATGGATTTGTCCACAGAGGTGACAATCAACATATTTAACAACGAGCAGAGCTCTGGCCCCTGTCAGGCATAAGGCACAGTGTCTGTCCCTGGCCTAGGGAAGGTCCCAGAGACCAGGCCAGGCCTCAGCCCTTTCAGCTGCTGGCTGATAGGGACATCCAGAGGATCTGGGGTGGGGGACACAAGGATGGAGGTAAGGGGCTTGGGCAGTGGCTGATTACCAAGTGGTGTTTTAACAATCAGCGGAGCCATGCTGGGGCGCACTCACTGAACAGCAGCCCTGCGGTTCATGAATATGTGTACATGACTATACATATATGTCTGGCCTCATGTGTTTGTTCCATGACTCTAGGACAAACTCATGCACGTTACATCATGCATCATAAGATCAGGAAAGATTTCCTTCCATGAAAACAAGACTGGCATTTCAAGTAGGTGACAGATATATGTCATGGCCTTGCCTAGGCCACCCACTTCAATCATTTTCACACCTGCCTGGCCCCTGTGAGAATTTACACTTAGAACAATTCACCAGAGTGATAGAAGTGAGCGACGCAGTGCTCTGGGTTGGAAGGAAGAGCACTTTGTAAGTAAGTGCTTGCAAAAAGGTAAGATGCATTCAGGAGCTTCCCAGGAGCTTTCGAAGACATTTTATTTGATTCTTACACCTAATCCTGGAAAGGACTTAAGATAGGGATAACTAAACCCATTCTACAAATGACCAAAGAGACGCAGAGATACTCAATCTTACACAAGGTAACAAAGCTAGTAAGAGGTGCCCTGCCTAGAAACATCCCAGACCTTCGTCGCCAGCTCCCACCACCACCCCACAGCTGAATTATGGGGAAGTGATGAGCTCACCCACAAGGTCCCCGCCCACCCTGCCCAGATACTCAGCCATGACTTCCTTCTCTAACCACACCGGCTTCCCCAGCAACCCTAATGGCTCCACCCTATACCTGCCAGAATAAACGTACTTTAAGTTGTTCTGTAAGTGCTAATTCCAACAAAAATACCAAGGAATCCAGGCATACAGAAGGCTCAGAAAATACAGGCAACCTGAGTTTCCATGGCTCTGGGCCAGGTGGCATGATGGCTGAGAAAGTCAGGCTGCTAAGGCAAGACCCTGACTGTTCAGAAGCCTGTTAACTACGTAAATGGCTGCATGAGAAAAGAAGTTTTTCTACATAATGTTTTGGAGCAAAAAATCTTAAATGAGGTCTTAAGAGAATTTTTCATTGTTTTCTAAATAATTAATTACTATTTTCATGAAATTTTCATTTTAAATAAATATTTACCCTCAAGGGATAGATAAAAGGATTAAATTAAAAGACTAAAATCAAAGAAAGGATTTAACACACAAAAATGAGACCTATAAAAAAAAAAAGCTCTGTATGGAGGCTGTAGTGAGGCGAGATCGCACCACTGTACTCCAACCTGGGCTACAGAGCTAGACCCTGTCTCAAAAACAAACAAAAAAACGAACCTTTAAAGTTACTGGTCAAACTTGACTAAATGTCCACCTCTCACAAATCTTTCACTTTCTTATTAACTAAATCATCAAAACCTGTAATTTTCCTCTAGTGTTATATCCCCAAGGGCTCATTATGGACCACATTAATGCGCAAGGTTCTCTCAGTTCTTCTGACAGCTACTTTGTATGTTGGGCAGTTACCCACTCCCTGGCCAGGTCAAAGGAGTAGGGACGGCCCCCATCCCTGCTCAGAGTCTCAGAAAGTTTGGGACAGACAGGGTTTATAATGAGGACATGTTGAGAAAGGCTGGACTGTGGCACTGGAGCCAGAGAGGGGTTCAAGCCCAGCTTCGCCACGTGTCAGCTGTGATCGTGGGCAAGTTACTAACCTCTCCATACCTCCATTTCTCTGTGGAGTTGTCATGAGAATTACACAAAAGCACATGAAGAGCTTAGTTTGCCTGGCACACAGTAAGCGTAAAGATGAGCTTCTCAACCTCTGGAAACTATTGGAATAAAAGTAGTTCAATAGCACACATTCAATAATCCAGGATGGAGCCGCCACCCATCTTTATAACCACTTGGATCAACTGCCTGAGATTCTTGGGTCATTCAAGGGTGCCTTAATAGTTCCCATCATTTCCCAAGTCATCCTCTTCCCTCCATCCAACTTATACTGCCGGCTCATAGAAGCCTCTCCTTTCTCCAAATGTCCAACACAGCCACCCAGCAGTGCACCCCACTGCAAAGGGTCACCGTGGCCATCTCTGACAGGCACGTCTGGTCATGCCTCTCTCCAGTCTGACCTCCTTTGGTGACCCCGATGGGTACTGATAGAGTCTCAGTTCCATGCCGGGAAGGCTGGCTATGCATTACCTGCCTCCTACCCTCTTCTCCAGCTCAGCCTCACAGCTCTTCCCACACAAACCGCATTCCAGTGTCCCGGTCAAGCTCAGCCAACCACTGGCAATTGCCCAGATGCAAAGGCCTTTGAAGAACTCTGCCTTCTTGCCCCACAGCGTACACACACAAAACCTCTTTCTCTCTACCCCCCACTCTTTCTCTTTCTCTCTCTTTCTGCCCCAACCCCCTACATCCCATGCAAACAGGAATAGAAGCCTCCGTCTGTAAGTCCTACCACTCAGCTTCTATAAGTCACACAGGTTATCATGCCTTCTTTTAGCAGAGCATCACCTCCAGGAGACAGTATACTCTTGGTTTACAAATCATCCCACACTGCATTCCTCCTGATGACCCTGGTTCCCAGCACATGGCAACTTCAATCAGGGTGTGTGGAATGGACAAATAAACAGGTCACCAACAAGCACCTTCTTCAAGAAACAAAACAGCCTGATGCCCACCTACTGCCAATTTAGTTTTCACATACCCCAAAGCACCTTGGAAGTAGGCATATTTTCACAAATGTACATTTAGAACCCAGATTCAAAGGAAACTTCTAAAACAATTGGCTTGGGGGAGGGGGACACACATTACACACAGCAGAAATCTTACTACAGCAAACACGCAATTAAGAGATGCCTAAGAAAACAAATACAGAATCTGCATTCAATTAACCCAAAGGATCCTACGTAGTCTTTCAGCCTTTCTCAATTGGGATGCCTCATCTGACCTACAGAGCACAGAAAATGACTGGTGTGAGTTTTCTCAATTCTCCCAGGCATGGTACATGGCTACTGCTATTCTTGATGCATGGGACTGCGGTTAATCCATCACATACAACACTCTTCTCAGGGTATTAGAGCTTACATCTCTTGCAGAACCCAGGTTGAGAAAGGCTGAGGGAGGGGGATTTTCTCATACATTTTTATTCACTTTCCCTTATCACTTCACAAAGCTGCAACTTCTCTTCTTGTTTGGGGAGAGGCCAAGAACACACACAGGTCATGCTCAGCTTATTTTGCAGGGTCAAAGCTGTGTCTCAGTCTGCTGACCATTTCTTGTGTCAGCAGCATCCTCAGTAAACTGAGGTGAGTAGGGGCCATCCCTTTATACGGAAAGAAAACTAATGAGAAAGTAGGCCCAAGTCTACAGCACCACAGGCTAAGAGCGTGAAGAGCCTTGGGAGAGTTCTTCATTCTCACACTTACAAATATAATTAAAACAACGAGCTACCATAACACACCTATTAGAATGACCAAAATCCAGAATACTGTCAACACCAAACACTGATGAATAGGTGGAGCGACAGGAACCCTCATTCATTACTGCCGGGAATACAAAATGGTGCAGCCACTTTGGAGGACAGTTTGGCAGTTTCTCACTCTTACCAAAAATTGTGCTCCTTGGTATCTACCCAAAAGAGTTGAAAATTTATGTCCATACAAAAACCTGCACACAGATGTTTATAGCAGCTTTATTCACACTTGCCAAAAACCTGGAAGCAACCAAGATGTCCTTCAGTAGATGAGTGGATAAACTTTGCTACATCCAGGCAATGGAATGTTACTCAGTGCCAAAAGGAAATGAGCTATCAAGCCAGGAAAAGACACGGAGGAACCGTAAACGCATATTGCAAAGAGAAAGAAGCCAAACTGAAAAGGCTACATACTGTATGATTTCAACTGTATGACATTCTGGAAAAGACAAAACTATAGAAACAGGTTACCTAAAGGGAGGAGAAGATGAATAGGTGAAAGATGGGATTTTTAGGAGAGTGAAGATACTCTACATGATACTATAATGGTGGATACATGTCATTGTACATTTGTTCAAACCCACAGAATGTACAACACCAAGAGTGAGCCCTAATGTAAATAATGGACTTTGGGTGATAATGATGTGTCTGTGTAGGTTCATCAAGTGTAACAAATGCACCACTCTGGTGGGATCTATTGATAACGGGGGGAAGCTATGTGTTTATGGGGGCAGAGTATATGGAATATCTCTGTACCTTCCTCTCACATTTGCTGTGAACCTAAAACTGCTCTAAAAAAGTCTTTAATTTAAAAAAAAAAAAAAGAAAAGAAAATGGAAACCTAAACTAAACTCATTTGTGAAGCCATAAACCACCAGAACAACTTTTCTGATCATAGAGCAAACAACAGGGGTGGCAATTACAAAACATGAATAACTTGACACTATTACCTAAATTTCTGCTTATTAGTGGTTCTGCAACTCTGCTGACTAAATCCATAATAAGTCATGCTGATTACTGGGCATGCTGAATGACAGGCCTTACTCATTCCTCTGTCTCCACCACAGACCCTGGCTCAATAGCAGGTGTTTAGTAGACGCTGGGAGGGAAGGAGGAAGAAGTTTATCAGATTTTGCTATGAAAACAAATATGGCCAGCAACAGGCAAAAGGGCAATGATAGCAACTAGAGTGACTCATTTCTGCAATTCCCTGAACTTGACACGTCAACACCAAGGTCATCATTGGGGGAAACACAGAACAAACACTTTTAGCACTGGTGACTATGGACATAATATGCCCTCAATTTATAGAGGCCTCTGAAGGGTACAGTTTAACTTCTGGTCAATTCAAAGCAGTAAAATGGGCATTTTACCAGCAATGACTAATGATAATCACTGCCATTTATTTGTGCTAAAATGACCTAAGCAGTTGCATGTGTTAGGACCAATACTCACCATGTCCTGGAAGTAAGTACTATTATCTTGCTTTACTGATGAGGAAAGCAAGACCTATAACAAGGTTTAGTGACTTGTTCAAGGTCACAGAACAAACAAACAGCTCTTGGTCTTTGCCTGATGATATATACCACTCCCCTGATTCTCTTAACAAATGTTGAAGTGAGCACCTTCTATCTGCGAGTAAATGAAAAGATGTATCAAGCATAAACCTTACCATCGAGAGGCTTCACTAGTGAAGGTTACAGACGTACCCAACTACCACCTACAGGCAAAATGAGCCCCAGCTAAAACCACAGGCAGCAGTGCTGTGGGATGGTAATTATTAATAATTCTGCGAGCATGAGTGAAGGCTCAGGTGGTGCCTTGAAGGAGCTGAAGGTTTCTCCAAGGCCAAGGACAATGGGAAGAGGTTTTCTTCTGAGGGAACCCCATGAGCAAGGGGCACCTCGGAGTCTGAGCTATCAGCTAATGAGGCTGCACTTCAGAGGTATCAAATAAAAGGGCACAAGAATAGGATGGAGCCCCACACCCTCAGTGTTTTGGGAACACAGAGAGATACCTTAAAAGCAGGCCGGGCGAGGTGGCTCATGCCTGTAATACCAGAACTTTGGGAGGCCGAGGCAGGTGGATCATGAGGTCAGGAGATTGAGACCATCCTGGCCAACATGGTGAAACTCCATCTCTACTAAAAATACAAAAATTTGCCAGTGTGGTGGTGGGCACCTGTAGTCCCAGCTACTAGGGAGGCTGAGGCACGAGAATTGCTTGAACCCGGGAGGCGGAGGTTGCAGTGAGCCAAGATTGTGCCACGGCACTCCAGCCTGGGAGACAGAGCAAGACCCTGTCTCAAAAAAAAAAAAAAAAAAGAAAAAGCAGAATGAATTAGCTCCCAAGAGAATGGCCTACACAAACACGGCACTCCAAGAACGTCCATCCTCTCCCACCTAACTCTCAAACTTCATGTCCACACCTTGCTGATGTTATACTAAGATTAAAAAGGAACTACTTCTCCAAACCCTCCCTTGGGTGCTGAGTTGACAAGGTAATTGACAGAATATGTCTTCTCTCAAGGGTCAAACAGTATTAACGTTTAAAGATCCTGGCTGAGTCAGCTTCTGAAGCCACTCATTGCATCTTAAAGATGTCTGACCCTTAAGAATAACTGTTTCTAAAATTCCCATTTAGTTGCTCTAGATTTCCACTATAAACCCACCACTCACAATTCTCTTGCTTTATATAAGTCATCATAATATCCTAATAGCATATTAATTTCTAATCCAGAAAGAGCTGTGAGTAGGTAGAAAACAACAAACCAATAATTGGATCTGTAACTTGAAGTCTTTTTATCATGAGCAGTTTTGGGAGAGCAATTTTGCTCTTTGCTAAGTGAAGCAATTCAGAATGCTAGGAATACTAAATTATGGACATGAATTATTTATGAGTAATAAAGCATAATTTAGCATAATGTTACTATTTGAGTTATAAAATAAGGTACTTTCAAGAAAAGTCACTGTAAGGTCCAAGGTTAGCCTAATTAGATCTGGAGAACCCGTCACCACAGCTCCTGCTTTCCCACTTGCCCCCATCAGCATTTTATGCAATCATTATAAAACTTACAAAGGGAACATGGAAGAAACACCACCAAAACTAAGAATTCTCTGTCCAAAAATAAAACATACAATCATCATTAAACCCATTTTCTGAAATGACCACCTCATAGATTCTTGGGTATGATTACACTCTCCATTACCTACTTAGGGACAGCAAATAGGTTTTGCATTCACTTGTACTTTTTCATTACAAGAAATGGAGATTCCAACCCCGAATGGCCTAAGCAAAAAGGAAATGTATTCACTCATGTCACACACACCAACAAATGTCTAGAACAAGACTATCTTCAGCTATAGCTTGATTTAAAGACTCTGCCAGCCATATACCTGTCTGTCCTGTCACAGAAATGGCTGCCACAGGTCCTGGTGTCATACCCAGAGTCCAGCCAGGAGGAAAGGAGTGGCATCTGGGTCCACTTGTCTCTTTTATCAAAAAAGGACAAACCTTCCCTGAACCCAGCTGCCCTCCCCACCCCAGCCTGATAAGCCTCTACTCACATTTCACCTGCCAGAAGTTTTCCATAGCCACCTGGACTGCAGGAAAGGCTGGGGAAAAGAAAAGGTAAAAGCTTTTTAAGTGAACGGCTTATCCAACCTCCACAGCAGGTGGAGGAAGGGAGAGGAGGCCATGAATATGGGTTGCGAAGCCTGCCCCCGGGCTCAACCATGCAGCCTAGAGCCTAAAAAGCAATCCGTACATATTAAAGCAGGATGGTGGTGGCTTCCAGGGGCAGAACCCCAGTCAAAAGAAAGAACTGCTAGGTTATATGACAGCTGACTCGTGAGTTGTGTTTTCTGTATTATAGAGCTGTCAAAAAGCAAGGGACTACTTGACCAGAGTAAAAGAAAACTCACCAACTAAAAATTTTTCAAAGGCAGTGATTGACTTATGGGGCCAAAAAGGAGGTAGAATCATAGCATGCTACTCGGCTCATCATGATACAATTTTTATGCAGTAAAAATTATAAATACATTTGATACAAATTTAACCAAAGATTGTAATACTAAGAAATTTGGAGGCGTGGAAGTGAAAAGCTGTGAAGGATCAGAGATTTTACCCTACTTGCAAGGTAACAAGTTAGTCAGCCAGTTTCATGAATGCTGGCAGAAGACATGAGATTTTTGGGTCAGAGACAAAGGGCGATTTATTACTCACAGCAATAGTAGTAGCCAGAGAATCAGCATTTCTGCCTTGGTTTCCTAAGTCCCCATTCCCCTGGCCATCCAAAGAAGTGCAGATGAAAATTGCAGACACAGTGAGTTACACTACAGGAGAGGAACCCAAGCTTAGGGAAGCTGATTTTTTCACAATGGGCAATAAGCCCATAACATCTCTATCTTCCAAAGCTATAAGCAAACTGCCTTTTGCTCTGGCGGAAGACACTATATCATCCAAGACTATACAAACATCCTTGAAAAAGTAGTCAGAAAGAAAGCGAGTTAGTACCTCTACTTGCAAGATGGCCAGAAATGTGTGAGACCCAGGAAGAATCATCTCCCAGAAAGGAAGAGAGTAAAAATCTCCACTTGCTAAAATAGGTCCACAGAAATGCCAAAACGTGATGGCTTTTAGAAATGGGGTTGACAAAAAAAGCACAGATAAAATGTTGGGAAGAGTTGCTTCTCGGGTAAGAAGTAGCCATGGGAGGTGGAGAGAGGGAAAAGGACCCACAGGGATCTGTTTTTTGTGATCAACTTTAGCACTATTTCACTTAAATCATGAGCACATATTATGCTGATAAACAAAATCAATGTTAAAATATGTATAAGTTTAATAACAATGCACAATGAATGTATATTCATCTGCATATACAATTTCAACAATGTCATGAAAATGCTGAACATCAGAGGCCTCTCTAAAAGTGATGCAGTGTGGCTGTGACAAAGTGAATATGGCGAAGGTGGCAAAACTCGTTCTTAAATGCCATTCAACTGTGCAATGCATGATTCAGGTAACAGCTCAGTAAAGTTATTCCAAGTGGAGGTTAATTCATTATAAATCACATACTGTGACCAGCACCCTACTTAGATACCCTGGACTTTTTCATCAGAAAAGACATCAGTGTGGTAAAAGGCAGAACCTAGCTTATCAACCAATAATGTAATGTTTAACTCTATGCAAGGCACCATGGGATGACATAAAAGTATCAAGACAATTCCCAAACTTAAGGAGCTTAATTATTGGTTGCCAACAGCACCCACCAACTCTAATTAACAAACAGAAAAGGGATTTACATGGGGAAGAGTTCTGAGTTCAGCTGACTGGAAGACTGGCAAAACAAGCTCAGGAAGGGCATAGGAACCAAGGAAGGCCAGATACTGGAAACACAGCAGAGAGCATGGCCAGACCACTCCAATAACAAAGCCACTACCGGCCGCTCAACACCAAGGCACCTGACTTCTGGCTGCGCAGCAAGCTCCCCACTGCGCACCAGACACTGCTGTCATCTCCAATGCGAAGGAACCTCAAAAGACACTCCTGCCAGACTCACAACCCCAAGCAGGAGCTTCTCACTGGTTCTGCTTCAGTTATGTGCCTCGGCCCGAGCTGCAAGCATCTTGAGAAATAAGTTTCTTCCAGCCTCCCAGAGCCCTGCTTCCCCTCCCACCAAGACACAAATGGTGGGTGTCTCCAAACTCATGAAGAGGTTCAAAGGTCGGCTGCCAGAAAACAAATCAAAATGAATGTCACCTTGGTGGGTGTACCGAATACACATAAAAAGTCAATAATCGACCTATGACAAATTAGAAATAATCTCTCTAGTCCTTATAAATTTCCTCCTTATACAAATTCCTAGATTCTCTCAGTCCTTCTACCGGGGAATATATTAATCTTCAAAATATTCCTAAACAGGAAAGAGTAATTAGGTAATATATTACTTGGAGTTTGGAAGAGAAATAATTTTAGTTCTCCCACCACCCAAATCCCTCAGCTGTAACTATTTCTCCACTGGAGACATTCATAGACACTCTACATATTTCCTGCAACAGACATTGAGCAGCAATGGAAGAAATGACCTTCAATCTTCATCAAAGTATTAATCCTGTTCTAATGTCTTATAATACTAAGCAACAGATTATCTTCCTTTCAGGACTCAGACACACCGCCCCACTCCCTCCTCCCTGCTACCACACACGCACACTCTCTTTGGAACTATGGTATCCACTAGCCACATGTAGGTACTGAGTACATGAAACGTGGCTAAGTGGCTAGTCCAAACTGAAATGTACTCCATGTGTAAAGCACACACTGGATTCCAAAGATTTCACATGAAAAATAGAATGTAAAATATCTCAATAATTCTTATATTTTATTACCAAGTATAATATTTTGGATATACTGGGATAAATAAAAATATCAGCAAAATTAATTTTATGTTTCTTTTTACTTCTTTGTTTAATGGAGTGCCTAAGTTTTTTGTTTTGTTTTTTTTTTTTTTTTGAGATGGAGTCTCGCTCTGTCACCCAGGCTGGAGTGCAATGGCATGATCTTGGCTCACGGCAACCTCTGCCTTCCAGATTCAAGCGATTCTCCTATCTCAGCCTCCCAAGTAGCTGGGATTACAGGCATGCATCACCACGCCTGGCTAAGTTTGTATTTTTAGTAGAGATGGGGTTTCACCATGTTGGTCAGGTTGGTCTCAATCTCCTGACCTCAGGTGATCTGCCTGCCTCGGCCTCCCGAACTGCTGGGATTACAGGCATGAGCCACCATGCCTGGAGACAATTTTTAATTACACATGAGAGTCACATTTGTGACTAGAATTATATTTTGTTTCTATTGGACAGCACTGGTCTAGGGACTCAGCTCACTTCCCCAAATGACTAGCACTGTGACATCCTCTCCAACTGCCCACTCCTGAGAGGCCTGCTGCCACTCAAAGGAACTCAGAGGTCCAGAAACTTCCAGGGAGGCCTGCTTCAGGGATGGGGCTTCCTTGAGGAAAACAAGATGAGAGAGGTGGGGGAAACGTTCACAGTTCATCTCTCCCTAGTGCACATGAATGAGTTCAGAGGAAAAGATACAGTTAGAAAAACTAATAGCTTGTGCTTTTATGACCAAATGTTATGGCTTCCTAAATTTTAACAGCCAAATGTACCACAAAGTTACACATTTTAACTTTATTTCAAATAAACACCCAAGCAAATATAGGTCCCCATCAAAAATGTGGTTTCTCCAAAGAACGGCATGCAGAGCCCAAAAGTAAAAGTCAACTTGCTCCTTTGCGGTTTGTTTGTTTGTTTGTTTGTTTGTTTGTTTTTGGAGGCAGAGTCTCACCCTGGCACTCAAGCTGGAATGCAGTGGTGTGATCTCGGCTCACTGCAATTTCCACCTCCTAGGTTCAAGCAACTCTCGTGCCTCAGCCTCTGAAATAGCTGGGACTACAGGCACGCACCACCATGCCTGGCTAATTTTTGTATTTTTAGTAGAGACAAGGTTTCGGCATGTTGGCCAGGCTGGTCTCCAACTCCTGACCTCAAGTGATCCACCCGCCCCGGCCTCCCAAAGTGCTGGGATTACAGGGGTGAGCCACCGTACCCGGCCTCTTTGCATTTATATACACTGGATATCCATCAAGTTATCAAACTTTACCTACATCAGCAATTTTTTTTTTTTTGAGACAGAGTCTCACTCTGTTGCCCAGGCTGGAGTGCAGTGGCATGATCTTGGCTCACTGTAACCTCCACCTCCTGGGTTCCAGCAATTCTCCTGCCTCAGCCTCCTGAGTAGCTGGGATTACAAGTGTGTGCCACCATACCTGGCTAATTTTTTAATTTTTAGTAGAGACAGGGTTTCACCATGATAGCCAGGCTGGTCTTGAACTCCTGACCTCAAGTGATCCGCCAGCCTCAGCCTCCCAGTGCTGGGATTACAGGCATGAGCCACCGCACTCAGCCTATATCGGCAATTTATAAAGGAGAAAAGTCACAAATCAAGGTGAAGGATGGATTTCATTTACCACAAGAAAAGCCACTGAATTCTTCAGAGCCTTGAGCAAACTATGAAAAAACCCAATCCTTCCCTCTGACACAATTAAGAACTTCATGACTTTGGCTTTCTTTACACAGCTATTCTCAAGGCTGACTAATTAGACCTTGTATAATCACAGTTGTGGCCATTCCCACCAGTGTAAAGCCTAATACTAGCAAAATGCAAATATCAGTGAAACGGAAATACACTACTAAAGTAAAGACAGGGCCCTGGATAACGACTTTGAGAGACAACTTCCTCATTCATTTATTCAAGAAACCCTGACTACCCATCTACCTGGTCCAGGCAATCGGTGCCCCAGGGGTGGGTGACAAAACGGAGGAGATCAGGTCCCACACTCCAGGCGCTCACAGTGTGGCTGGCGGGAATGGTAGTCAGGGGTGGGGGAGGCACTCTGCCAATCACTGGGGAAATAGGAGGGCAGTGGTTCATACAAACAGCAGTGAGGGCCTCAGCAGGGAGCAGCCAACTCTCCCAGAGCAGGACTTTGGGGAGAACAGGGGAGAAATCAAAATGCCTGGTGAGTTCCAAGAACAAGGGTAGCAAAGCCCCCTCTTCATCTCTCTGCTGCTGGCCTTCTGCAGAAAAGGGGATCTCAAGTCAGCACCTGTCATTCCACAAGTAGACCCGTGTCCCTGGAGGAGCAGTCAAGTCACTGAGTCTGCCTAGCGTAGGCACCAAACATCAAGAAGCCCTTGTGGCTGTACTGAGAGCCCCATTCTCCAATCCGGGTTTCTCAGCCATGAAGCTGATATTTTGCTTTCCCTCTGTTTGACTCCTCTCTGGTTCTGAACTTGGGAAGAGAAAATGAATGTTATTCATTGTATTTCCAAACAACTCTATTGTAAATACACACACACGTGCATGTACACATACACATGCTCATACAGACATGCACACATGCGCACGTACACCCTTGTCAGACAACCCTAGGTGCCGCCAGGCTTCTCCAATAGACAGCACTATGCTGACAGTCCCTTTCCTTCTCCAATGCTCATGCCCATCTCTTGGCAACCTGGCTTCCTTGTTTACCACTCTGACAAAATGTTCTCTGCAGAGTCACAAAGTGACATCCTAAACACCAACTCCAATGAACAGTCTCCTCAGCCTTGACCCTGGCTGGCATGTAACATCGCTGGTCACACCTTCTTGAAGTGTTGTATTTGCCTTTCTGTATCCTTGTACAATCCTTGCTCCACATCCTAATCCCTAGAACCTGTGCACGTTACCTTAATAAGCAACAAATAGGATTGAGGCAGGGGCTGCAGTGGATATCTTTGCAGATGTGATTAATTTCAGAACCGTAGCAGGAGTGATGACCCTGAGTTATCCAGGTGGGCCTTAAATGCCATCACAAGTGTCCTCATAAGAGACAGGTGGAGGGAGATTTGACACAGGGAGAAGTAGAGAGAGATTTGAAGATGCCAGCCTTAAAGACTGGAGTGATATGCCCATGAGCCAAGGAATGCCAGCAGCCACCAAGAACAGAAGAAACAAAGAAAGTATTCTTCCCTACACCTCTGCAGGAGCACAGCCCTGCTGACCCTTCACTTCAGCCCAGCGATCCTGATTTTGGACTTCTGGTCTCCAGAAATGTGAAAGAATAAATAGATCTTGTTATTAGAAGCCACCAAGTTTGCAGTCATTTGTTACAACAGCCAGAGAAAATGAATACATTCCCTTCAACTTTTCTGACCTCTATGTCTTCCACTAGTTCCTTATCATCTTCCTACCCCAAGAGAAGTCATTCTCCAAATTCTGTCCTTTGCCGTTTCCCCTCCTTAGTCTGCTTGGGCTGCCATAACAAAATACCACAGGCTGGGGGACTTCAACACCATGAATTTATTTCTCACAGCTTTGGAGGCTGGAAGTCCAAGATCCAGGGGCTGGGAGGGTTGGTGTCTGGGGAGGGCTCCCCGTGGGTTCCAGATGGCTGCCTCCTCACTGCGTCCTCACACGGCCGTTCCTCAGTGCAGAGGGTGGAGGCAGAGAAGAAGCAAGCCCTCTGGTGTCTCTTCTTATAAGTGCACAATCCCATCACGAGAGTCCTGCCCTCATCACCTCATCATCCTCATGACCTTGTGTAAACTGAGCCACCTCCCAAAGCCTCCCCCTCCAAATACCATCACACTGTGGGTGACAGCTTCACATATTTATTTTGAGGAATACAATTCAGTCCAAAGCAGTTCCTCTCTCCTCCTCATGATCCCAGGCTACTTCACCCATCCACCACATTGCCTCAGTCATTGCCCTAAAGCAAAACACTCCCAAATCCATCTTTCTTCCAGCACCTCAGTCACGTTCCAGTTGCAGGTTTCCAACTGATCATCAGTTGTCTCCTTCCCAAAGTACTGCCAGGCCATAACCCAGCATCTTCACACTGAAGACATCTCTGGACCCCCCTGTGCCTCAGCCTCCACAGTGCCACAGAACCCTTGCTTTGTCTCTAATCCCTTATTTCTTTTAGAGATTCTGCCCTCCCCACCCTCTAGGCTCTGGAACTCTTTACTCTCCCTCTTCATCCAGAAACCTTGAGTATTAGCAGATACTGATATGGGCCCTGCTTGAAGAGTAAGACATTTAAAAAAATAAATTTTAACATTGGTTTAAAACTCCAGCAATTGTAGGTGATCAAAAACTGAAACCTTTCCAGACGTGGTGGCTCATGCCTGTAATCCCAGCACTTTGGCAGGCCAAGGCGGGTGGATCACCTGAGGTCAGGAGTTCGAGACCACCCTGGCCAACATGGCGAAACCCCATCTCTACTAAAAATAGAAAAAAATTAGCCGGGCATGGAAGCATGTGCCTGTAATCCTGGCTACTCAGGAGGTTGAGGCAGGAGAATTGCTTGAGCCCAAGAGGCAGAGGTTGCAGTGAGCCAAGATTGCAACACTGCACTCCAGCCTGGGCAACAAGAGCAAAAACTACATCAAAAAAAAAAAAAAAAAAAAAACCTGAAACTGAGCCTACAGCATGATGGAGCTTTTAAAAACAAATCAACCTTGACCTGCTTTGGTAGGAATTACTGTGAATTCCATACCTGTCAGATAGCAGGTCTACTATATTCTCTGTTGATGACATGACTTAGAAGACACCTCTGGGCACTGCTTTAAACAGGACACCTTTAGGTCCAGACAAGGTTGGCCAGGAGAGTGGGTTTCCTCCTACATGAGGAACAGCTGAAGAGTCTGGGGATGTTCAGTCTTTGGAAGAGGTGACAAAACAACACAATAAGCTCGCACTGCAGATCTGTCTTGTGAACAATGGAGATGGGTCCCATGGTTGAGAGTAGAGGCTCTGAGTCAAGTAGGGCAGAGTGTGAATACTCTATCTCTTATGAGCTTGGAAACTTAGGAAAGCTCCCTAACTTTTCTGAGTCTTAAAATCCCCATCTACAAAGTGGGGATGATAATGTTACCTCAGGGCAATGTTGCAAGAATGAAGTGTGATCTGTGGGAAGCACTTAGCACAGTGCCCAGCATACTATGTGCTTGCTAAGTGTTAGCTAAGAAAATAATGACTATAAAAGAGGAGTTAGAAAAAGGTAAACCATTCAATTAACCATTTAAAAAGCTTTCTGAAATTGGGACTGGGCAACATAAACTGGGTCTCGCTAAGTTATTAGAATCCCAGTACTAGAAGTATTCAAACAAAAGCTGAAGAACTATTGGAATTGACCTAAAGAGGGTAACGAATCTCTAATGATGGCATCTGGGAAGAATGGCACTGCCCATACTGGAGAACTAAAGGACTAGTGTCATTATCATGGTGACTTTATCACTTAAAGGTACTGAGATTTACTTACCACTAAGAACTTATTTCACCAGAAATAAATCACATCTGTCCTTGCTTTGGATAAAAAAATGGCCATCTTTTGTAATGCAGAATTCATTCCCTAAGAATGCTCTCTTTATGGGACATGTAAAGTTTAAGCTTCTCCTTTCAGGAGACTGGTACATCAATTACTCTGTAATAAATATCTATTCAGTTCTGATACCATATCTCCTCATTCACACTGAAGAATAACCTGGGATTAGATCCAAACTCTCACAAAATGACTATATACACACATTATTCTTTAAAAAATATAGCAGAAAGTTTCCATTTTGAAAATGTACTTTATCAAATGAACAAAGATCAACTGACATCTAAAAATACTACAATGTCTCTAAGTATAATTAACTGGAATGCCAGAAATCTCCCGGGATAAATAAAAGCATAATGTAAAAGGAACCCAGGTAAAAAGAAATACAAACTCCACGGTTTTCTGGAAAGAAAAAAACTGGTGGTGAAAGTTTTTTTATTTCCCTGAATTCCTCCTTAAAGACATCAGAAAAACTAAAATAGCAAAACCAATAACAAAGCTAATACTTTTAGAGAACTAAATGATGGAAAGGAGGAAAAAAAAATTTTTTTTGAGACGGAGTCTCGCTCTGTCACCCAGGCTAGAGTGCAGTGGTTCAATCTCGGCTCACTGCAACCTCCGCCTCCCGGATTCAAGCAATTCTCCTGCCTCAGCCTCCTGAGTAGCTGGGATTACAGGTGCCCATCACCACACCTGGCTAATTTTTTGTATTTCCAGTAGAGATGGGGTTTCACCATGTTGGCCAGGCTGGTCTCGAACCCCTGACCTCAGGTGATTCACCCATCTCGGCCTCCCAGTAGCTGGGATTACAGGCGTGAGCCACCGTGCCCGGGCAAATTTTTAATCAAAAAGAAATGAAAAATAAAAATGATGTGGAAAAAAATACTAGATAAAAATGACAAGCAAAAAAGAGCCAACATACACATACATTATAAATCCCTAAGGAATTAAATCAAAGCAACAGAACAGAACAAATACTATAAAAACTGTAGTTTTCTTGAACTAGAAAGACATGAAACTACCTTTTACCTGAAAAAAGTTAACCCAGAAGAGCTATTACCAAGATACAGTTGTTTTATATAGTGTTTTCTGTGCCCAAAGTTCTTCTTAGTCAGCTTGAAGTTAAATTTTTTGAAGTTTCTATTCATGGTTTGTGCTTTCTGTGTCTTAAATTCAAAAGCCTTTCTTTTACTTCCAGGTCAAATGGAGAGTCTCATATTATTGTTTAAAAGTTTTGGTTGGGCATGGTAGCTCATGCCTGTAATTGGGAAGCCAAGGCAGGCAGATCACCTGAGGTCAGGAGTTCCAGACCAGCCCGGCCAATATGGCGAAACCCCGTCTCTACTAAAAATACAAAAAATTAGCCAGGCGTGGTGGTGGGTGCCTGTAATCCCAGCTATCAGGAGGCTGAGGTAGGAGAATTTCTTGAACCTAGGAGGCGGAGGTTGCAGCAAGTCGAGATCATGCCATTGCACTCCAGCCTGGGCAACAAGAGAAAGACACCGTCTCAAAAAAAAAAAAAAAAAGGTTTAAATTCTTTCTTTTCAGGTTTAGTTTCTTAAATCACATGGAATTTATATTTGTATATGTGGGAGGTACAAACTTATTTTAGTTTTTCCATATAGACAGCCAATTGTGGTGGTATCATTATTTCCCTCCCTGATGTGTGATGCTACCTCTCTCACATATCCAATTTCCATATATGTGGTTACTATTTCTGGACTCCCTATTCAACTTTCCTGGTCTATTTGTTCCTAAAAATATCACAATCTCAACTGCCCTAGTTTTAGAAGTTTTGAGATATATATGCACCTTGTTCTTGAAAATTATCTTGACTATTCTTAGCCCTTTATTCCTCCATCAACATTTCAGAGCTTACCAACTGCACTGGAAAAAGCCTATTGGAATTCTTAGTGAAATTGCATGTATTAGGGTTAATATAAGGAGAAATGACATCCTTATTAGATTGTCTTCCCAGCTCTGAACATGAGATTTCTCTCTATTCAGATCTTATTTTATCATTTTAATAGCATTTTATAATTTTCTTCATGAAGGAATTATACCTATATTAGATTTATTCCTTTTGGTTTGTTGCTATGAGAAATGACATCATTATGAAAATTAAAAATGTATTGCTGTGTTGCTATTATATAAGAATACATTTGATTTTAGTATATTAAACTTCTACCCATCCCCAGCAGCTTTGTTGGAATTTCTTACTTCTAATAGTATCTGCAGAATCCCTTGGCTTTTCTTTTGTTTTGCTCTTGTCACTCAGGCTAGAGTGCAGTGGCATGATCTCAGCTTACTGCAACCTCCACCTCCCAGGTTCAAGCGATTCTCCTTCCTCAGCCCCCCGAGTAGCTGGGATTACAGGCACCCGCCACCATGCCCAGGTAATTTTTGTATTTTTAGTAGAGAGGGGATTTCGCCATGTTGGCCAGGCTGGTCTCGAATTCCTGACCTCAGGTGATCTGCCCACCTTGACCTCCCAAAGTTCTGGGATTACAGGTGTGAGCCACCATGCCCGGCTTCCCTTAGCTTTTCTATGTAGAGCTATGGAAAGCTCTATATTGACTATAATATCTATAAAGCTCTATGTAAACTATAATATCCACAAGCAATGATGGTTACTTTTTTCCTCCCCAATCCATATACAGTACCTTTCTTTCTTTTGCTTGCCCTACTATACTGGGTAGGACATCACGTATAATAATAAGGAGAAGTGGTAACAGCAGACGTCCTTATCTTCATTTTAGATTTTTATGGGCTGAGTCTGCCTAATTTACCAGTTACAATTAATATTTTAGGTTAAATAACCTTTATCAGCAATTCCCAGCCTGGTTGCTAAAAGTTTTTATCTTGTCTTGAATTTTACCAAATGCTTTTTGTATTGAGAGATACTATAGGTTTCTTCTCAATTTTTTTTTTTTTTTTTTGAGATGGAGTTTCACTCTTGTCACCCAGGCTGGAGTGCAGTGGTGCACTCTCAGCTGACTGCAACCTCCGCCTCCCGGGTTCAAGTGATTCTCCTGCCTCAGCCTCCCAAGTAGCTGGGATTACAGGTGCCTGCCACCATGCCCACCTAATTTTTACATTTTTAGTAGAGACGGGGTTTCGCCATGTTGGCCAGGCTGGTCTCGAACTCCTGACCTTTTATGAACATGGTAAATTACATAATAAACATTCTGATTATATCATCCTAGATTCCAAAAATAAACACATGTGGTGAGCATGTTCATTTATTTATTTATTTTTATATAAACACAATGAGATTTAGTTTGCAAATATCTTATTAAAGACTTTTTGTATCTATATTCATGAGTGATACTGACCTATAAATTCTCTGTTGCCTTTGATTTAGGTATCACAGTAGTAGTAGTCCCAAAATGATATAGGAAGCTTTCCTTCTTTTTCTGTAGAATGGAGTGCATGAGATTGGGATTATCTGATCCTTGAACATTCATAAAAGCACTCATAAAGCCACTGCTGGCCTAGATCAGAGTTTCTCAACCATGGGCACCACTGACATTTTGAGCCAGATAATTCTTTGCTGTGAGGGGCTGTCCTGTGTACTCTACGATGTTTAACAGCATTCTTGCCCTCCACCCAGTAGATACCAGTAGCACCTCCATTCCCAACTGTGACAAACAGAAGTGTCTCTTGACATTGCTGGATGTCTCCAGGGAAGGGAGGGGGTGCAAAATCACCTCTGATCATGAACTACCGTCTTGGATTAACATCTTTAATGGTCATAAACCATTCATGGCAAGTTATTCTAGTAAACTATGCACTTCATCCAAGTCTTCAAATTTATGGGCATACAATTGTAAATAATGGTCTCATTTCCTAAATTTTCTCGTATTACTAATTACACTCCTCATTTCACTTCTAATTACCTTTCACTCATTTCTTTTCTTTTTCATTCAATCTTACCAGAGTTAAGCCCATTTTATTAGTCTTAAAATAAACAGCTTTTAGTTTTGTTGATTTCTCATATCTTTTTCTCTTTCATTTATTTGTATTCTTCAAAGTTTTGTTTCCTTTCTTCTATTTATCTTGCATTTACAGTTTTTTTCTGTTTCTTATCTTCTTGTTTTGGACAGTTTTGTTTATCAACTTTCAATTTCTCATTGTAAGCTCTAAATATTGTTTAATATTTAATATAAATTTTATCCTTGAACTATTCAGAAATGTGTTGCTTAATTTCCCAACATGTATTATGATATGTACAGGTATTTTAGCTATATTTGATTTCAAATTATTATTGCACTGTGGTCAGAGAACATTGTAAAATGCACATCCTTAGGAATGTGATGAGAATTCGCTTGCATATGATGGAAGCAGTCACCTTTTACAAATATTCCATAATGTGCAAACATCCTTATTGGATGCATGGCTCCACATTGAGCCACTGGATCAATATTCTTTAAACTAAAGGGTAACAACTCACTAGTAAGGCATAAAATGAATTTGGTAGGATGTGACCAGCACTTTTTTTAAATGAAAAAGGATAGAAATTATCAAAGTGAAATTTTTTTCACATTTTAACAACTCTGGAATCAAGTATTAATAGCTCACAGAATGACTAGCATAGCGCACAGTTCAATAGCAGCAATTATTTTATTTTCTAGTACAAAAAATCACGTAGCGTATTATAATCAAAAGTGTTGTAGAGTGGCCAGGCATGGTGGCTCATGCCTGTAATCCCAGTACTTTGGGAGGCCAAGGCGGGCAGATCACTTGAGATCAGGAGTTCGAGACCAGGCTGGCCAACATGGTGAAACACTGTCTCTACTAAAAATACAAAAAATTAGCCAGGCGTGTGGTACACGTCTGTAGTGCCAGCGATTTGGGAGGCTGAGGCAGGAGAATCGCTTGAACCCAAGAGGCAGAGGTTGCAGTGAGCCAAGACTGTGCCACTGCACTCCAGCCTGGGCAACAAAGCAAGGCTCAATCTCAAAAAAAAAAAAAATGTTGTAGATATGATGACATAGAGTATATAACCACATAAGTTTACATATTCTGATATATTCTACATCACATATGCATTCCCTGTTATGGATGGCAGTCAAAAGTGTTTGAAAAACACTGAATTCCACAAGTCAAATCTTCAATATTTTCATGAATTTTTTTTCTTTTTATCTATCAACTAGTAAAAGAGGTGCATTAAAGTCTACCACTGTAATTATGATATGTCTGTTTCTACCTATAATCCCATCAATTTTTGTTTGAGTGCTCTGGGGTTTTGTTGTTTGGTATATGCAAATTCACAAATGTTTTATCTTCTGGGTGGTTGGAACTTTTGTTTATATGGTAACACCCTTTATGCCTAATAATGCTTTTTGTTTTCAAATCTATTTTCACTAATTAAATAGCTACATCAACTTTATCTTGTTATTATTTGCCAGATCATCTTCTTCTATCCCTACATTTAAGGAATTCTGTGGTCTTACGTTTTAAATTTGTCTCCTATTAACAGCATACAGCTTGATTTTTTTTTAATGCAATCTATCTCTGACTTTTACCTGATAGCTTTAATTCATTTACACTTTTGATAATTTCTGAAACATCTGGATTTGTTTCTACATTTTATTTTGCACTTTCTATGCTATTTGTATTATGTATTTCACTTCTGCTGTCTACTGATTAAGGGAAGTTTCCTAATTCTTTTTCTCCATCTAATGATTTGAAAGGTATGTACCCCATCCCTCCCATCAGCTCCAAAACAGTTTCAGATGCCTCTAAAAACACTGACTATTTTCTATTTCCTCTCTTTTCTGCTTTTGGAATTCTTACTTGTTTGTATTGGAGCTTATCCTATCCTCCATGTTTTTTAGTAAACGTGAACTTGAGAATCCCTGTTCCATATTCTGGATAAGCTCCTCTGATGTAGAGTTCGATTCTCTAGTTATTCCTCATTGGTTTCTGATTCACATACTATATTTTTCATTACAAATTGTTCTTCTGACACTTCCAGGGAAATATCGCAGGATGGTTCCTCATGTACTTTTGCTTCCTCTAAAAACCCCACTAAACTAAGAACAGAGGGGTGTTTTTAAAAAGATGAATCCAGCCAGGCACGGTGGCTCATGCCTGTAATTCCAGCACTTTAGGAGGCTAAGGCGGGCGGATGACCTGAGGTCATGAGTTCGAGACTAGCCTGGCCAATATGGTGAAACCCCATCTCTACTAAAAATACAAAAATCAGCTGGGCGTGGTGTCAGGTGACTGTAATCTCAGCTACTTGGGAGGCTGAGGCAGGAGAATTGTTTGAACCCAGGAGGCAGAGGTTGCAGTGAGCTGAGAGACCGTGACACTGCACTCCAGCCTGGGTGACAAGAACAAAACTCTGTCTCGAAAATACATAAATAAATAAATAAATAAATAAATAAATAAATAAATAAAGTAAAAAATAAAAAGACAAACCCATTAGTTTAAAAAAAAATGGAAGAGACCCCTCCAGAAAACTAGATGAATGCAGATGCATGGGGCATAGAGACGGTCCACATGGTCTAACCAGCAGTTGGAAGCACAGATCTGGAGCTCAGACGATGTACAAAGACACTAAACATGTTGTTTTGGTACTCCAAAGTAAATTCAAAACAAATTAAAAAGTTAAATATAAAAAAGTAAAACCATAAAAATTAGAAAGAAATCAGAGTGAATTTAAAAAAAAAGAAAATGGAAAAGGCAACAAAAACAATTTTTAGAAGCTAGAAAGCATATGGGCAAGTGGTAATTGATTTAACAGACTCCAGAAAGCAAACTCCTAACACAGCAGTGTGAAAGCAAAAAGGCAACCCAATTTACACCTCAGGACACCCAATAAAACAGAAATTGGTAGCACAGTATAATAAAGAGAAGACTGGCAATAGGGAGGTTTGTTCAAAGCCTGTGTAAAAAAGAGTTCTCCAGAATCCCTCCCCAGCTCTGCCCAGAAGGGCAATACCCACTCATCCCCAACTCTCCTATTGGATTATTGGAGGATTTTTCTCTGGAGAAGGTGCAACAATCTCTTCTTTGAGGCATACCAAACTCAGCCAAAGATGGGGAAACCAAACTCAAAGTGGCTAAGAGTTTCAGGCCAGGCGCAGTGGCTCATGCCTGTAATCCCTGCACTTTGGGAGGCTGAGGTGGGCGGATTACTTGAGGTCAGGAGTTCAGGAGTTCGAGACCAGTCTGGCCAACACGGTAAAACCCCATCTCTACTAAAAATATAAAAATTAGCCAAGCGTGGTGGCACATGCCTGTAATCCCAGCTCCTTGGGAGGCTGAGGCAGGAGAATCACTTGAACCCGGGAGGCGGAGGTTGCAGACAGCTGAGATCACGCCACTGCACTCCAGGCTGGGAGACAAGACCAAAACTGTCTCAAAAAAAAAAAAAAAAAAAAAGAATTTCAAACAGAAGGCTGAAATCTCCATCCTCTTCCCCAACTCAGCTCCCAAAATTCAAGCAGTCAGGAGTTCACCTTCAAAGCAGAGGCTCAGAGTAACCATCTCAGGGAAGCCTGGGTAGCCCAAAAAGAAGGATCTGAAAGTTTAAAACTGGAATCCACCAACAAAACAGTCCAACATGTCACCCTACAGTGAACACTGCCGACATGCTCGGAGCTCAGAACAGCCTTTTAATGACCTATTTTTAACAAGAACAGACTATCTAGGACCACACTCATAGGATTCCTCCCCTAACATGAATGATGAGTCCAAAGCAACAGGGGAAAGAAGCACCTGGAGGAAGACAATGCAAGAAATGGAAAAGTATTTTTTAACCATCACAAATATTTTCAGAAAGATAACCGCTATTAAAAAGATCCAACCAGGGGAGCAGTGGCTCACACCTGTCATCCCAACACTTTTGGGAGGCTAAGGTGGGAAGACTGCTTGAGCCCAGGACTTCAAGACCAGCCTGGGCAACAAGGTGAAACCGTGTCTCTACAAAAAATTCCAAAATTAGCCGGGCATGGTGGCACGCCCCTGTAGTCCCAGCTACTTGGGAGGCTGAAGTGGGAGGATTACCTAAGCCTGGAAGGTCAAGGCTGCAGTGAGCTGTGATTGTGCCACTGCACTCCAGCCTGGGTGGCAGAGAGAGATCCTGTCTAAAAATAAAAAATAAATTAATTAATTAAAAATAAAAAAAATTTTCAAAAAAGATCCACAAAACAAGAGCTGGAAAATTTTTTAAAGAAATACACTCAGACAATTTTTTTAACTTAATAATGGAAATGAAAAAGCTCAATAGAAAGGTAGGAATATAAAGGTGATTAAATTTCCCAGGAAGTAGAACAAAAAGACAAAGAAATAGGAAGTAGGGTGTGTATGGATAAAACAGCCCCCACCACAGCAGGTCCCATGCAAAGGTGTAAGTTTCAGAAGATCTTAGGACTTTCATAGCCACACTACAAATGACAATAAAATGAAGCAAAGTGTACAGAACTCTAAGGGAACATTATTTGTTACTGAGAATTTTCTATCCAGCTGTCAATCCAGTGTCAGGATATACTGAAGACATTTCAGGCTTTACATGGTTTGAAAGCTACACCTCCCATGTGACCTTACCTAGGGAGCTAGGAGTAGATGTGTTCCCCCTAAAAGGGAGTAAGCCAGAGAAGAGAAAAACATGGTATCCAGGAAACAGGGGGTCCAACAGAAGAGAAAAATAAAGGAAATCCCAAAAAAAGTGGGGAAGGAAGAGTCTGGGATGCAGCTGTGCACCAGGTGAAATGGGCAATCAGAACCGGTTACAGGAGGTCAGGTGCTCCATGAGAGGTTTCTTCAGGAAGAAACCAATAGAATTACCTCTGCATCTGAAAATATCACAGAGAAGCTGAGGTTAGAAAAGAAATGCTGAATGAAAGTTAATAAGAAATAAATTCATAGAAAAGTAAACATAGGAATAAACAAAACAGATATGAAATCCAGAAAAAAAATTGTACAAGAAAGAAGTCATCATACTTCACCCTATGGCTCTAGGAGGAGGATTTACATAGTCATAATAATGAAAACCATAACTACAATACAAGGATGGAAATGCAGGAAGTCAGTCTGCTTGTGTGGGGCCAGGAGTATAAAAGAGTAAATTATTTCCTTCCATTTGGGGAAGTTAACAAATAATGCCTAAACTTGAAAAACAAATTAAGAGTTAGCATTGGAACCCTGTTATTTACACAAGTAAATACAGGAACTAACTACAAGAGGTGAAGAGCTTGCTGGGAGAGAATGAGGGGGAAATAAGAGAGAGGGATGGAGAATGGGGGCTGCTGTCATTCTTAACGTTCTTATAACTACATCCATGTTAGAAAGTAAAAAAAAAAAAAAAAGATCGAAAATATCTTTATTTGGTTATTCTCCAGCTGCTCTTTTCAGCATTTGTATATTTGATTCCTTTTTTATTTTCTACTCATATTAAACACACTTATTTTACGGATTTTGTCAGCTACTTCTCTCACCTAGAATTTCAGGTCTAATCACGCTATCTGTATGACACTCAATCATGGTGGGTCCCCTGCTCAGGAGCTTTCTAATATTGGATTGTGAGCTCATCTTTGGTGGGGCTGCCTCCATGGGACACCTACTGGGCCTTGGTCAAAGTTCTTCTGCACCTGCTTCTTTCAGGTGCTCCAGGGGTATTTCCAACCTAGGACCATGTCCATGTTACTATCTCAGCTTGAGGGCCCCCAAGCTAAGTGCAGGGTATACATTCCCAGAGCAGATGCCTTGGTGTGTCTCCTAAATTCTCCTCCTGGACCTGGGCACTCATTTCCCCAGCTGCCAGGAATGAGGGCTGCTGATGGCTGCATCCCTTTCCCAGAATCCCCCTCCACTGAAGGACGCTGCCTCCCCGTGGTTGTACATGTCCCTGCGGCAGCCCACACCAAAGACTGGTCTGGTCCCCATGCTTCACCTGGAAGCCATCTCAGCTTCCAGGTCCGTGTGGGACAAGCCTCTAAGGCAACAACACTGCAGTTCAACCTCCCCTCTGCCAGTCCTGGCTCCCTGCAGGTGTTCTTCCTGAGAGTCTCCCTTAGTCCCTCGCCCCACTGCCAATAAACCTCCTGGAGGGAAGCTGAGTCTCCGAGTCTATTCCCCAGGGTATCGACCTACGAAAATTCCAAACACAAATGTACATGAGGTCAGTCTCATGGTTCTGAATTCCAGTGAAGGCTCCCCCACGCTCTTCCCCTCCTCAGCCCACACAGAATTATTCTGACACAGATGAGCTCTTCATTATCTCTGGGCTGCTAGAGGTATTTATTCTGGTCCACCCTTTCATTGAAGGTAAAGTCCTTTTAAGGAATTTGTTACTAGTTTCCTCTATCTGCTTGGTGCTGGCCAAAGCATTTGTTACTGACTGAACTGTGTGTCCTCAAAATTCAAATGTTGAGGCCGGGTGTGGTGGCTCACACCTGTAATCCCAGTACCTTGGGAGGCTGAGTGGGGGCAGATCACCTGAGGTCAGGAGTTCGAGACCAGCCTGGCCAACATGGCGAAACCCCGGCTCTACTAAAAATACAAAAACTAGCCAGGCATGGTGGCATGTGCCTGTAATCCCAGCTACTCGGGAGGCTGAGGCAGGAGAATCACTTGAACCTGGGAGATGGAGGTTACAGTGAGCTGTGATCGCACCACTGCACTCCAGCCTGGGCGACAGAGCAAGACTCCATCTCAAAAAAAAAAAAAAATTCAAATGTTGATGCCCTAACCCCCAGTACCCCAAAAATGCAGTTGTATTTGGAGATGGGGTCTTTAAAGAGGTAATTAAGTTCAAGTGAGGTCATTAAGGTGGGCCCTAATCCATATGCCTGGTGTCCTCATAGTAAGAGGAAATGAGGACACAGACACACACAGAGGGACAACCACACAAAGACACAGGGAGAAGACGGCGATCTATGAGCCAAGGAGAGAGGCCTCAGAAGAAAACCAACCCTGCTGACATATTGATCTTGGACTTCCCACATTCGCCAATGGGAAGGAGGCATGGCCGTCAGGCATGGGAGAAGGTGGACAGGGAGCAAGAGTTTCCCCTGCTGGGGTAGGAGCAGGGGTTCCCTTCCTACCCCGGCTTCCTCTGTTCCTTCTGTGTCTCAATATTTCTGCATCTCAAACCACAGCACAAGGCACTGAGAAGTCACGTCTTGTCCAAGAAGAGCTACGGCAGAAATTCACCTGACAGAGGCAATTCCTAGAGGACCAAATTACAGCCCTGAGATATCCACAGACCAGAAAACCCCTTCTCACCCAGCTGCTTAACAAATATGACT
This sequence comes from Homo sapiens, assembly GCF_000001405.40. NCBI lineage: Eukaryota > Metazoa > Chordata > Mammalia > Primates > Hominidae > Homo > Homo sapiens. The sequence goes on from NC_000002.12 coordinate 134,705,804, forward strand.
GGAAAAAGACTGAGAGGCAAGAGGAAAAACCCTGACAAATGTCCCAAAGGGCCCCTGCCAGCAAGGACCCAGGCAAGAAGGGACGAGGGACCCTGAGCATGAGATGAGCCCACCTGGGGCTCGCCGCCCAGCTACCCTGTGTCACCGCCACGGCTGTGCGACAGGGACACCGGGTGCTAATGCACCCTGGCCACGCTTCCAATTAAACGCTGTGTGAAGAAGGCACTGAGAAGGGAGGCAGGGCAGGCAGGCAGCTGCTGAGACCCCTCCCCCACTCCTGGCTGGAAACAGCAGCCCACTGTGAGCGGAGACTCAGGAAGATGAGTCCTCCTAACAGCCTCAGGCAAGTCCCTGTCAATAGAAGCCTGGATGCTTCAATCGGGGGTTAGGGGGATGCTGGGCAGTGCAGCATGGAGGAGGGGTGAGAGAATGAGCTCCTGCATCCCCACCATTTACAAAGTTGAAGACGCCCTCCTTGTTTCCTTTGTCTGGGATCTCTACCTGCAAATGTACATCCTCAGCCTGCTGCAACCACAGTGCCCAAGCAGGGAGGCGGCAAAACTGACTCCGGTCCAACCAGCGTCTGAGTTTCCACTGTGTTAGCGGCTGACAACACCGCCTGAAGAAGACGGGTCCTGGTGTGGAGGAGTGCACATGAGTGCCGAAAGCAATAACACAATGATACAAGTATTGTGCATCGAGTTCCTGATCTATGGGTTCCCGTGGGGCTATGGGGGAAGGGAGGTGTTTCAATCAGCCTGGAAGGCTTCCCAGAAAAGGTGATCTTTCATCTTGATCTTGAGGGATAAGTAAAATTTCGCTAGAAAAAGAAGCATGGAGGTCAGAAACCAAAGGCATCTGAGACTAAGGGAAGAGCAGGTACGTGGGTTTGGGGCAAGAAACAGGACACAGCCTGTAGGGCCCACAAGGAGCCTCTGGGGGCTGCAGTACATGGGGATGGGAGGAGGTGAGGCCAGCCAGGATGAAGGGGACAAGATCATGAGGGACCTCGTGGTAACCAAAGGGGCCTGTCTGAAATATGCGTCCGTACTCCGTGTGCTGTCTGAGCTCACAGCACAGAGGGTGACAGGCACAGAATCCCTGATCACGTGGCCACAGGGTATGAAGACAGAATGCAAAGGCAGGGAGAGTTGTCGGAGCAAGGTTCCCAAACCGCTGGTCTGCCTGTTCCTCCCTCCTGGTCCCCACCTCTCAGAAGCAGCCTCCGGGTTTATCGTTCCCAAGCACACCCACAGGGAGCACTTTATCCCTCAGAACACCGCCAGGATGTGGCTTTCAAACTTCCTGCCCACATCCTCTGGCCCCTGCACCATTGCCTGCTTCAGTGGCGGCAGCCGGACGCTAGGCAGGAAAACATTCCTGCAGATTCTCCACAATAGTTCCACCTCATACAAGGAGGTGGACACAGGAGCTTGCGAAGAGGCCCGGGGCTGTGAAAAGTCCAGCAAGGATTAGATGCCACATCTGACATGAGGAGCGGCCAGAAGTGTAGGCAGGCACCACAGCTGGGCCTGGACATGCACAGAAAATGTCCTGAAGAACAATTAAGACACTGGTAACAAAGGCTGCCAGCGGAAGAGAGAGACTTTAGGACGGGACAGAGATTTGGACTGTGCACCTTTGGTCTCAGGAATTTTTATCTTGTGTACATTCTGCTTTTTTCAGTAAAATAAATACACGACCAGCAAACTACGCAAAGGATCATTCCACATGCAGAATGTCAGCTGCACGGTTAAGGCTTTGGGTCATGGAAGTATTTCAGGGGTAGGGGAAACAGGCAAGTTTAGGGACATGGGCAGAAGAGGCAAGGGCTTCACAGCCTTCATCCATGCAGGAGGGGCACAAAGGGAAGAACTGTGATGAAGGAAATTGGCGGTGTCATGGATAAAACTGCTCTGGGGGAATGGGCGCCTGCAGTTGGTGAGGCCTCTTTGGGGAGGGGAGTTGTCAATGAGGAGGCTGCCATGTGAGATCCGTGAGATGGGTTGCCCAAAGGACATGGGCTCCAGTCCTGAGGAGAAGAAGTTTGGGGTGTCTGAAAAAAGGGGGGCAAAAGTCAGGGCAGACCAGAACTTTTTTTTTTTTTTTTTTTGAGACATAGTCTCCCAGGCTGGAGTGCAATGGTGCGATCTCAGCTCACTGCAACTCTGCCTCCTGGTTCAGGCGATTCTCCTACTTCAGCCTCCCAAGTAGCTGGGATAACAGGCACGCACCACCACACTTGGCAAATTTTTGTATTTTTAGTAGAGACAGGATCTCACCACGTTGGCCAGGCTGGTCTCAAACTCCTGACTTCAAATGATCCACCTGCCTCGGCCTCCCAGAGTGCTGGGATTATAGGCATGAGCCACCATGCCTGGCCAAGGCCAGACCTTTAAGGCCACTGCAACTATTTCCATGTTACTCAGCACACCAGAAAGTATCTGAAGAGTCTTATGTCTTTTCTGTCTCCCAATGTGTCTGTCAGATGAGAGAACACCTAAGAAAGTTCCCAAACATTTTTTGCTGAGTTTACAGAAGAATCGTGCAATTTCATTTTATCCATCTCTCAACTCTTAGTCTCATAATTTAGAAAGAAAAAGAATAAAAACACATATCTTACCATTTTTAAGGGTTAAGAGTTTACATTAAAATCAAATAAATTATTTTAAAATCTCCACATCTAAAAAGAAAATCACTTCTTTCCAAGGTGTTTTTCTAGTTCTTAAATCTACAGCTGCACCTAATTTTTTATATATTTTTTAATTTTATTTATTTATTTATTTTTATTTTTATTTTTTGAGACAGAGTCTTGCTCTGTCACCCAGGCTGGAGTGCAGTGGCATGATCTTGGCTCACTGCAACCTCCGTCTCCTGGATTCGAGCAATTCTCCTGCCTCAGCCTCCCAAGTAGCAGAGACTACAGGCACGCGCCAACACACCTGGCTAATTTGTGTATATTTTTTAGTAGAGACAGGGTTTCACCATATTGGCCAGGCTGGTCTCAAACTCCTGACTTCATGATCCACCCACCCCAGCCTCCAAAGTGCTGGGATTACAAGCATGAGCCATCGCTCCCAGCCAGCTGCACCTAATTTTGAGTGAGCTTTTTCTGAGAAGATCTGGGTTTGGAGTACTTTTTTAACGGAGCTGTGTATCTTAGGAAAGGTTTTCCCCTGAGAATGTTTCAAATATGTCTTCATTTCCCACAGAACATGTATTGAGTGCCTAAAAATTAACTTGCACTCAAACCTGAAAAACAGAGTCAGAATGCATTTTCCTAAATCACTGTAACAAAGATATCAGTGATGTCAAAACCCTGAGTTTTGAAACAGAACTTCTGTTCTCTTTCTAGCTTCATTATTAAAACAGACTTTTTTTTCCACATTTGTTCATAACAGGATTGCCATTTTCCATGCTGCCTACCGATTATAAACAGAATGAATTTTAAAACCAAACTAGAGCTCTCTCTGAAATATTCAAGATGTATTACCATCTGGTTTTATATCAGCATTTGAACAGATCCAAAATCACTACATTACCAAGTATTATCAAAAATAGTTCACATTAAAAAATAGTTCACATCCCTTTCAAAGCATACTCAAGGCACAAACTTTGAAAGTCCACCTAATTTTTCAAACTATACCAGACATATGAATGCCAACCATAATTACATATGTGATCTATAACAAATAACTCAGTAATACTGACGTAAGCTAGTTTTATCATCAGGTCTTTTAGAAACTACTAACTTGAGAAGACATGGTATATTGATTACCTGGAAGCTTATAGGAGATGAAGGGTAACAATCTTTAACTTGTAAACCGCAAATAAAATTTTAAGGCTCCCCAGTCATCTGAATGGCCCTCTCCTCTCAGCCAAGGGCACTCCAAAGTTAACCTGAAAAGCTGTTTCCAGCCGTGATGGGAAAGGGGACTTGGAGGTGCCTCACTGTACCCTCCTCCCTTCTGGAATTCAGGAAAAGCTGACCAGCATTAGCATCAACACAGACATAAAGTCTGATAAGAAACATTTGCAGTCTGTTCTCTCTGAAGTCTGCTACCTGGAGGCTTCATCTGCATGATAAAACTTTGGTCTCTATAACCCCTTATCATCAGAATCCAGAGATTCATTTTTATTGATTCCAGGTGTTTAGATAATAACTTAAGTCTTTCAACCAATTGCCAATCAGAACATTTTTTAATCTACCTATAACCTGGAAGCCATCCACTTCCAGTTGTCCCAGCTTTCCAGATCAAATCAATATACATCTTACAAATATTCATTGATATATTATGTCTCCCTAAAGAGTATAAGAGCAAGCTGCACCCCAGCCACCTTAGGCACATGTTTTTAAGACCTCCTGAGACTGTGTCAAAAGCGCGTCCTTAACCTTGGCAAAATAAACTTTCTCAATTGATTGAGACCTGTCTCAGAGACTTTTGGGTTCACAACCTACAATGTACATGTCAGGTAAAAATACAAATCTTTCCAGTTGACTGAGGAAAAGAGGTGTGCCCCCCAACTTCTATCCACCCTCCTCATTTCCAAACTCAAAAGAGCCAACAGCATTTCTTCAGAAGATACTCAGCTAAAAATCAGTAACTATGATTAAATAAATAGAAAATGGCAGCTGAGGAGGTGAAGACAGGAACTCCAGCTGACCCCAGGAGATGCAACTCCAAGACAACTCCCTTAGCAAGAGAATGGCCATAGGATGACCCAACTGCCCCCCAAAATTGTAATTGTTTATAAAATAAATGAAATCTCAGCCTTGTATGTAAATCTTTAGGTAGAATTTATCATTTTCCAAGAAATATTGTCCTTCCACCTAACTAAAAAAAAAAAAAGTGTTAAAAAATCTCTCAGTTCATTTATTACAGTCTTGAGTACTGATTCCATGCAAGGATGGATGCTCTTCCTGCCCCAAATTTTTCACCATCCAACAGTAGCAAGAAGCCATGTCCATAAATACAGTCGCTTTCTCTTCATCATGATTAACACCCCCTGCTAACACAAACACACACAGGCACACACTCCAAAACTTCCCCGCCACACCAAAGCATCATATATAGTAATTCTATAGCAATCCTCTTAAAAATACGAATTGATGCAACTCGGCCATTTCACTGGTTTGGACAGAGATGCAGGAAGTCAGAGCATTGCGTTTCATCCATCTGTTAACTACCTCCTTCCTTGAAGAGTAGGACTGGGAGTTTTTTGACACTTTACAAAAACCTTTATTGCCATTTTGAAATGTTCCATTTTTCTTTAGACACTAATTTAAACATAACTTCGAAAGTCAGTTTATATTGCTTAATCTCTATTTATTTCCATTCAAAACTAGGAAAATAATTTCACAAAAGTCTGGCGCCATATAAATGATGCTTTGGAAGAGATTTTAAATACTGCATATTAGAAATACATTTAGGAAACTAAATAGTAAAATCAGCAACCCTAACAACACAATCACAGACCATATCAAGGGTTTAAAATATGAAACACATACACACACACACAAATACTAAAGCTACTCTATAGTTAAAGTGGAGGAAAATATAATTCACCTTCTACATTTTTTAGTTTGACTAAACCAGAACAAACTGAAAGTGATGTGAGAACAAATTGAATGTACTATAGATAACACAAATCATGATATTATATGCCAATACCAACATTTTATTGGCTAGAAGTTAGAGGATTTAAATTAAATACTTGCTGCAATGAAGGTGTAAAATCATTTTTAAAAGAAAAAGAAAGAGAAGCCCTTTTCACAAAGCAACATTCTAATTCTGTATGCACTATGCAACTGTCTTTCTTTATTAAAGGAAATGAACAACATTTTTAAGATAGCCCAACTGATCAGGTGTAACATGTGAAACCAAAATTTCCTCATAATTTTTGTCTATTATGAGACTTAAGTAACATCCAATGTAATATTACTCTCCTAGAAGAAAGACTTGCCCAATATTTCTTCTCATTCAGGTCCTCATTCAAACATCCACGTGACAAATCAAAACAGCTTTATCAGGCACATGGACACGTCTGAGTTACTATTATTCTGTTTGTAAATCACCTCCCTTCATTCCTTTCCTTTTTCTTTGCATATGTAAATTATGGTGTCTGATCCAAAGTCCTCCACCAGCCACCACAACCAAATTATCCCCTAGGGACATCAATCCAGCTTGTTATTCTTGTTACAGCATTAAAAAAGTGGGGGCAAGGGGAAGGAGTAGCTATTTTCAGGAATCAGAATTCCCCTTGATTAGATTTCTGGCTCACCGGTAAAAAACGTTTATACTCTGGAATGCATTGCCCTCCACTTCTAAATGTTTGGCTGTTTTAGAGCCAAGATGTGGTATAGTGTTTCCAATATAAATTGCTTCAAGTAATATATGCCTAGTTTTGCAGGGAGCATTTGGTCAAATTTTAATATTCCCTCTTGGGAGCCAACCCCAACTTCCAGCAGCAGATCTACCCTTGCAGAATAGAATTTTAAACAACACACACACATAGCTTGTCTTCTAGCAGACATGTGCTTTTTTTCTCCTAATCTGAGGGTTGTCACAGGAGACACCTTGTGTGATGCCTATCACTGAGAAAATAGATCTTTCTGTTAGGTAATAAATTCGTCACAAAATGCAGTCTTTCCCCCGCATCAAAAAAAAAAACAAAACACCACGGGTTTCTACCAAGGTTGAGCTGTAACTGACACTGCTTAGGCTTGTGAGTCATTGCACAATTCATAAGAATAAATAGCACACATACATTTCCATAGGCTGCAAAATGTTAGTCCAGAAAACACATGCCATCAGCCTTCCTAACCCCCAAACAGGATTATCTGGCAGAAACTGTTCCACTTCCTTAGTTTTTCTTAATTGTAATACATGTTTTTGTTTCCACGGCCACTGAAAACTTGACAGAAGACCCTCCCATTTTCCTTTCACTAAAGTGTGCATAGGATTTTCCTCCAAGCCTTACACAGATATGATCAGGGAAAAGGAGAGGGCTCGCTGCAATATTGCACCCATCTTCTTGCATTAGGCTGAAAATAAGAATCTTAAGGATATATATGTGTCACATGTCAGCCCAAGCTGAAGGCATCCACCAAGAGTATTTTCACTATTCAGCTAGCAGCCAGCATCTACTTCCGCAAGCCCGCATACTGATGAGAGCCAAGGCTCGCAGTCACTCTCCACCTCATCTTCTTACCACCCTTTCCTATGCAGAGAAGAAAGCCTTTTGACTAATTTATCAGTACCCTGACTATCCAACAATCTAAAAAAATTTACTCATCAATAATAGTCAACTAAAAGCAAAAGCACATCCCACAGGAATTAGAGAATAAAACGGGCAACAGCAGCACATATTGGCCGACGAGACCCTTGATACTCACTAAAGGCAGCCACCGCGAGGGCCAGGGTGACAATGATGGAGAACCAGGACACCCACAATGCCTTCTTCCTGTAGTTCTGGGCTTCGTGAGGTTTCAGGCGGGTGCTGCTTTCTAGTAAGCCTGACAAAAACAAGGAGAAAGGGAAGTTAGACATTTCCTTACTAAGAAACCCACAGCGAGAGCTACAATTTCTTACCCAAAGATTGCAAACTAACAGCCCGTGGGCCAAGACGTGTTTTGTTTGGCCCACACTGTGTTTTAACAATTAGATTTCACATGAAAATCAAGCTTTCTGGCACCCCTTGAAAAATCACAGGCTCTGACAATATGGGCCGTGTATTTCTGCAGGGTAACAGCAGCTGTCCTCTTTCGAAGAACTCCACAGACCCCACCACTCCTTGACATACCACACCAGGCCATTCCTTTGCCCCTGTGTTATGTTGCTTGGCCTCAGGTAGATGCTGTTCCTGCCCACAAGACCTTTCTGTTAGGAAAACAGCACAAACCACCCACATTCAGCTGGGCCTTCAGGCTCCTCAGCTGTGAGCATTGATTCACCAGCACAGTCCCAACTGGTGGACTGGGTTTTGCCCAAAGCAAGGAGTCAGTCTACAAATGACCTCACTGCTCCCCCAACAATCAGGAGAAGAACCATTTCTCTTTAACCACATCCAGCAAGAGCCTCCAGGCCCAAATTATATGCCACGTTTCCTTCCCTCCTTTTTCTGCTCTATAGTATACACATCCTTTTTAGCAAGCACATGTCAAAAAATTCTCAGAATATTAAAGTGGGGCAAACCTACTAAAACTAGAGGTAGCTTCCCAGGTAGGCCATGTATAAGACAAATTTTATTTTTATCTCCTATGCTTTCAACATGGAGAGTCCTTGACAACAACAGAAATTCATAACAACTCCCAGGCAATGCCCACAACTGCCTGGGGTCAAAGACTAAAATGTCTTCAGAATGTCTTGATTTATAGGTTTATCCTTCTCCTTTGACTGTAGATCATATACAGCATCTCTTAGTTGCACACAGTACCACATTTTCAGCCATGCATTTACATAAACAGGAGCTTATTACACCATCTCTGGTGAAACAACCCACAATACAACTTTCAGAGGTTGAGCAGCCTCATCAGAGTAGCTCCAAAGAATGAAGAAATTGGTAATGAAAGCTCAGGTACCAATTTGTAAAATATCACACAGTGTGAGACATATCACACCTACGCATCACATAAAAGACACCATCTCATTCATCCAACTGGGTACCACACTAAGCCTCCAGTTGCCAAAAACCACATCCTGATCAAAAGTTAAAGCCAGGACCCTGCTAAAACTTCTCAGTTCCATTTATAACCCAGAATTGAGCATCGCTGAACAAGTCCTGAGCAAAACAAGCCAGAATGTCAAGAAGGTTGCTGAGTGAGCCCAGCTCACAGCCTAGAGATTTTTAAATAATTGAAACCCACAGGCTTACACAGAATCAAAAGGGAGATGAAAATGCAAATGTTGAGCATAAACACCATCACCATCCTCTCTCTGTAAAAATCTCCCCAAACCTTCCTTTGTGAGTGGACTTGGAGGGAAAAAATAAATACCTTCTCTCTTGTCAAATTCTGCCCAGGTACAAGTAATTTAAATAAAAATATAGCATGTCCCTTTGTCTATATCTTCCTTAGCTGCCAAAAACCACACTATTCCAGTTTTCAACTATACAATCACCAGTTATAGCCCTATCCTAGAATGAGCAGATTCCACGCACCCTTAATAATTTATGTCCCTTTTCCCAAATGATATAAAAATATTCCTTCCATCATGGCCAATTGATTTTCAGGAGAAGTGAAGCTATAACATTTAAGTACTGGCTCAAATAAGCAGTTTGTTTGCTAGGTATTTTGACAGCAACAATCTCCAGATTGTCATCCACTGAGGTAAAAACAAGGTTCCTTTGAGAAGTAGATTTCATTTTCTAAGAGGAATGACAATGATGCCCATTTTCTCTTCAGCCGCATAACATTTATTTTTCCATCCAAAGTCAGCTAGTTTCAATAATATAACTGGTCCTGACCACACATGTGGACCAATCTACATGCTTCACCCACCAGTGAAACAGCACCCCCCTGGAGGAGTTTCAGATGACAGCCCAGGACAGCTGGACTGTCCCGCTAAGGTGGCACTTGGGACTTCTCAGCATTACGACCAGTACTTCTTCCCCAGATCTGGGCCTGTGTGTGCCTCCTCCGTGATATTTTTAAAATTAAAAAATAAAATGGAATAAGTACAATGGGAAGACTGTCCAAAAATGGAAGGACTTTCCCATTTCTATTCAACTTTTGCTTATTTTCTGCTGATTTTCCTTTCTAAAAATATAGCCGATCCTAAGAATGGAAAACTTTGCACTCCTCAAGGGGAAGTGTAGTATGATGATGTATAAAGACTCAGTTCCTAGTGAATGTTCCACACACAGGTACCTCCACACTCATGTTGGATGCAGGCACACTCACAAGTTACAAAGATGTAGTGAGAATTCCTAATGTTTTCAGGAAGCTGTGCTTTAAAGCTGGAAGAAAGCCAGGCTGAAGAGACAGGACAGCCTAGAGAAGCTACGACAGGCCTCGGATTTGCAGGCAGGGCTGGATCCTCCCTACCCATAGCTGGCCCCCATATTTGAATTTCTAAACTCACTCAAATTTCATAATTTGCAATTTTGGCCTGGGAATACTAAGCATAGTACTAATGAGAGACTGATCCTTTATTTATTTTGGAGAGGGGAAAGGTACAAATACATATGGAGAGGCTGAAGCCATCAGTTATTTCTACACTAGTATGCATTAGTTCCAATTCCTTTCTCCTAAGTTTGTCAAGCTTGAACTCTGTGAAGAAAGGGAAATTTTGTTAGATGGGGAAGTACTGGGAAATGCTGACACATATAATTACCTAAGGCTAAGCTGGGCCCTAAGGTTACGGACAGAATGATGGGAAAATACTTGTAGGGAGAAGAATAGGTATTCAAAGGGGATGGGAAGAATGATTAAGATAAACCTGGCCTAATTTTTGTGTTTAGTCCCCAAAGGTCTTAGGCCACAGAGCTCTTGCTCCCTGAGCTTTAAGTTCAACCAGATGGCACTGCAGTTACTGACATTCTGAGCTAGCTAGGTTTCTGAGAACCAGCCCACATCATTTCTAAGGCGCAAATGCCTCCAAAGTCTCAAAACACTAGATTTTAAAGCAAACCTTTGATGAGAGTTAACTGTGGTCTGGAACCACATCCTGATAGCTCCAAAGGGAGTTAGGACAAAAGAGAATGCCAAATACAGGTGCAGATCCGAGGTACCCCTCAACCCCTCTACAGACAGCCTATAGGTATTTAGGCCTGAAAGAAAGCAAGCCAGGCAGGATGCAGAGACACACGGCAGGCAAGTGCTGGGGCTTCCTCCTCCCCAATTCCTCTCACCAGCAGGAAAGAGGTAGCTGCACTCAACCCATTCCCAAAGGATATAAAAATCAATATTGGAAAAATGCAGCCCCATAAGAAAAAAAATAACAGAAACAACAAACACAAAATCTTACAGTAAACCTCCCCAGGTAACGTTCTCGTTTACTTAACAAAAATCACTTATTCACCACATACTGGTTGCCATCAGGAAGAGGTCAAACAAAAGAATGTCACATTGACGTTCAGCTCTCAATGCCACACAGCACCGGGTTCTTTGGCGAATAGGGTTCATCCTAACAGAGAGGCTGTGTGTGATATGCCACGCTCTCAAACAGTGACAGTTTACGAACAGTCAATGCTTTCATGCTATCATATAATGGAAAATGAAATTCCGTTGACCAGAGAAAAATAACCTTAAGAATGAATTCAGAAGGGCTTTTTACACTTGAACATGAACTACAAAATGATGCTAAATATGAACTCACCCTAGCACTGTCTTCCCTCCTATCATTTTGTGGGGTAGGGAGAAACAGGCCAGCTCTTAGAGATGACCTGCAATGCTACAAAAATAAGCTCAACCCAGGCTTCTGTCTTTCTTCAATATGGAATTTTTAAATCCTACGATATTAGCTGGAGAGGGGCAAAGGTAATGAACACATCCTATAATAAAAGTGAGAGGTTTTGTTCCATGCTCGTGATGTCCCCTGTCCTCACCTCTTAAATGGCATCTAGTTATGTGAGAACAGGGGGAGAAACTGCAACAGAGGTGCAGAATTCGTTGCCACTGGAGCAGCTCCAGTTCTCGCTGAGCATCTAGGCGGATTCTCTGGGAACTGCCGTTTCCATGTCATTTTATTTCACATGCTACAGTTTAGAATTTCTAAGGAGAAAGAGATCGTGCATCCGAACACTAAACCGGAATAAAAATGTACAGGAGATACTAAGAATAGGACAGAAACCTGCTAAGTCTAAAATATATAAACCCGCCATAGCCAACAAAATAAGGCTTCCAAGAAAAGGGGGTGGAGGTGCAAAAGAGCCGGCTTCCCCTAAAGGGCCTGGCTGCAAGAATCCCTCTTTGGCCACTAAACGGTTTTAGCAGAACCACAGATTCGTTCTGAGGGGGACAATTTGGATTCGGATTCAGCAAGAAGTAGAAAAGGTGCAGACGCGGCCAAGAACAGGGCTCCCTCTGCAAAGAATCCAAGCCCAAAGGAAACGCGGAAGGGATGGAGAAGAGAGACGCGGGAACGAGCAGGGAGTCTCTCCCGTCCTACACTGGCGACTCAAGGGGGCATCGGCAGTCGGTGGGAGGCAGAGTGTGGTCTCCCAGCAGAGGCAAGTGTGCTGACCTCCAGGCCAGTGTCAGTGGAGGGGAGCTCTGAAGGGTCTGCAGACGCGCCCTCCGGAAACATCAGGTTTCAGTGGCATCCATCCAGATGAGGTTGGTGGCCCAAATCCAAATGTCCCATTCCTCTGCCCCATCATGAGACGACGGGGCAGGGACCCACTGTGACCCGCGTCCGCGATTAGAATCGGGGACTGCCCGAGACCAGAGGCCGCCCGAGTCCCGGCTCGCTCCCCTCCTTGCGCCCTTCGCCGGGGCGGGCAGCCGGGCGGCCGCCGAGGGACATCTCGCGGCTACACCCGCAGAGGGAAGTTCTCCCAGGCAGCCGGCGGAGCCGCAGGGGACTACGGAAAGGAGGATGCAACGAGCCTGGGTCCCTCCGAGCTGAGTAGGGCCCGGAGTGGCCCAGAAGCGCTCGACTCCGAACGCAAAAAATGCCTCCCGCAAACTTTTCCCGTGGGCGCCGGAGGGCCTGGAGCTGGCGGAGAGGAGGGCGCGAGTCCAGGCGGGGTCGGCCTGAAGGCAGCTGGGGTCTGGGCTTCGAGGGAAGGAACCGCAGCCGAGGCGGTGCCGGCCGCAGAAGGTGGGGCTGCCGCTCTCGGCTAGCGGCGTTCTCGCCGGGAAGTCGGGGCTCCGCGCCCCCGCGCGCTCCGAGCCCCGCGCCTCGCCCAGCGCGGCCCGCGAGTGGGGAGAGGCGGGCCCCGAGCAGCCACCCCGGTCGCCGGCCGGGTCGGGCAGCTCGCGCTCACCTCGGTCCTCCAGCCCGTCGCTGAACTGGCCGCTCTCGCTGATCCGCACCTGCCGCTCCTCCTCCAGCTGGGGCGGCTCGCGCACCGGGGAGCTCAGCGGGGCCGGGCCGGGGGCGGCAGCCGGTGGCGCGTGGCCCCGGGGCGGCGGCGGGACGGTGGGCCCCTGGGAGCTGCGGCGCTGGATGCCCGCGGCCGGCTCCATGGCGCGGGGCTGCGGATCCCGGCGGCGGCGACGACAAGCGCGGCGGGGACTCGAGTCAGAAGTGCGAGGCGCCGCGGCTCTGGCGGGGGCAGGAGCGGACGGACTGGCCGCGTGGACAGGGAGGGAGGGCGGGCGGGCGCCGCGGAGTGGAGGTGCACGGGCGGGGGCGGGGACGAGCGGAGAGCCGCTCGGCTCCGCGGCCGGTGGCGGAGGCTGGGGCCGCGTTGTTGCCGCCGCGCTCCGCCCCTGGGGGCAGGTGCGGGCGGCAGGGACCCGCCCCAAGGCCCGGGCGCGGGAGCCGGCGCACCGAGGCGGACGAGAGGGAGGAACCAGCGTGAGGACCCACAGGCGGCCCTGGCAGAGCTTGGCTAGGGCGTAGCGGGGACCCGCCCCACCTGCGCCGCGGGATGGTGCCCAGAGGGGACCCCTCCCACTGGATTCCTCTGGGGTCCGCGAAGCCCGCGGCCGCGCGTGGGTAGCAGACAGCGCCCCTAATTTGGCATCTTTCTCTTCTGGAGCTGCACAGGCTTCAGAGGCTGTACAGGGTCTTCGCCTGGGCCTCCATTCTCACTGCTCATCCAGGGAAAAAGGGTTCATCTGTCCCCAAGCCCGTCGCTCTCCGTCCTTCTCGGAGCTTTAACTCCCCTCCCAGTTTCTCCCTGGAGCACCCATTTAGCCAGGGATGGGGTATCTTTAGGACAGCGGGCGCTATAGAAGATGCTTGAACTCCGAGGCTTCCCCATTTCGACTCTTCCTGGGCCTTTGTCCCATACAGTTCGCTCCCCTGCTCATCTAAGTCTTGTGTGATCTTCAGAAATCCATGGAAGCCTCCCTTCTACGAGAAGTCTCCCCTACTCTGACCCCTGCAGCTCTTAATTCATTTTGTGCGGTGGGGCTGATCTCACCAGTGAGAGTCCACCGCAGGGCACACGCCAGCTCTCTTGATGCCCAGAGAGGAGCAAAAGAGGACCTGCTGTTTAATAAATTCAGCTTGGATTTGTTGAGGCTCAGAAAAGTATACCCCAACGTATGGCACTTTGGTATGCTAAGTTTGAACTAAAAAACTAAACAGGCCTCTGAAGCCGCCTTAGAAACAAAGTCTGTCTCCCCCCCGACTTTCTCCCCACTAAGCAGTTCACAGAAACCAGAATTCCTCTTCCCTACGGTGGTCATACAACCTAGAAATAGTACTCCAACCTCCCTGGTCCTCTGCCTTTCTGTGTAGGAGCTGGCCATGAAGAAATACTCAGACCTACCTTGTCTGATAGTAGATCCTGAGACCCTCATTCCAGAAGAGGTCCTGCTCTATACATGCTGCACAGAGAGGCCAAGAAGAATCTGAACAGGCCTCGCTGGGTTCAACCCTCAGTCTATTACCATTAGATCACACCCTTTGTCCAATCACATTTCTATAAGGCTGTCCATTCTTCACTGAATCTAAGCATAAAAACAGGCAGTTTTCCCTGAGTCTTTGCATCTTCATTTCTGAAGGCTCCTGTATCACATAAAACTTTGATTCAATAAATTTGTTACGCTTTTCTCTTATTAGCCTATCTTTTGTTATAAGCATGTTTGCCGTGCCCCTTATGATGGGGAGGAAAGTATCACACCTTTTCTGCCCCTACCGTTTCAATGGTATCAACATCCAAGCTCTAGAGTCCGGCTTTCGTCTTTAGATTGATTCAGTCTCTGAATTTAATCCGGGTACTCCAAAATGTCAATTCCTCATTTAAAGGAGTCCTCCTCGTTTCTTGAAGAGTCACCCTTTTCCTTTTTCTTGTCTGCTTTGCTTGTGATTGAAATGAGAGTAGGATTTAAATGCCTTTGTGGTGCACTGGAAATATCACCAGAAATGGGGAGAGGGGTCTTACTTTATTTTGTTGCTGCTGTTATTATTGTTGTTGCTGGATTGGAATGAGAAGATCTGAGTTGACCTTGACCAACTTACTTTACCTTGTTGACCACTAATTTCTTCAACTACAAATTGAAAGAGTTGAACTACGTCATTTCAAAGATCCCTTCCTGCTGCAAAGAAAAAGAAAAATGCTATGATTACTTGGATAAAGACAATGAAAATCTCTACCCATTAATCCTGGTTCTATCCTCTAAGGTAGAACATCCTTCAGATATATTTGCAGAGTCATCTCCTCCACTTTTTTCCTCCAGTCTATCCCATTTAATCCCCCTGTCAATGGCTCTCAAAGTATCACCTGGGGAGTCTAAGAACAAAAATACCGAAGCTTCGACTGCTAGAGATTCTGATATCATATTTAACGTGATCGTTCTTGGCTGGGACCTTGGCATGGGTATTTTGTAAGGCACTTCCCCATTCTAAGAGTCATCTGGGGGCTTAAAAAAAATTGGCTGGGCGTGGTGGCTCACGCTTGTAATCCCAGCACTTTGGGAGGCCAAGGTGGGCAGATCACAAGGTCAGGAGATCGAGACCATCCTGGCTAACATGGTGAAACCCCGTCTCTACTAAAAATACAGAAAATTAGCCGGGCGTGGTGGCAGGTGCCTGTAGTCCCGGCTACTCAGGAGGCTGAGGCAGGAGAATGGCATGAACCCAGGAGGCGGAGCTTGCAGTGAGCTGAGATCATGCCACTGCACTCCAGCCTGGGCGACAGAGCGAGACTCCATCTCAAAAAAAAAAAATTATTCCTCCCTGGCTCTCTGAGATTCTGGTTCAATAGATCTGGGATCTGGCTGGGAACCTTCCTTTAAACCCCTCTTGCCCCCCGGCCTCCAACACACATTCTGATGTCAATTATTCTGCAACCACCCTTTATGATTACTCTCCACAATATGGACCATCTAGCTCTGTGCCCTTCACATACACACACACACGGTCTGCAGCAGATTCTCACCAAAGGAACTGGTATCATTATTCTTTCCTCTGGTTCCTCAGTTGGTTCTGTAAGTCCAGCACATCTCAAAGGTGAGCGTGGCAATGAACATCCGCAATTCTTCTTAAAATGCTGATTCTAATTTAGTTGGTCTGGGATAGAGGCTGTCAACCTAAAAGGAAGAGGCTGAGGCACAAAATATAATTGAAAGAATTTGCTTGAGCCCAAATGAGGACAGCTACCCAGGACGTTTCTAAGTTGCCTTGAGGAGTGCTCCATTAGCCTTTGTTATAAGCAGGTTTTTAAAGGCAAAGGGAACAAAGAGAGGGCCGATATAAAGTTGTGTGACAGGAATCCTCATTGGTTTGCAGAGATAACTTGGCTATAGATTGTTGAACTGTCGGGTAGGAGTTATGGTGTCCAGTGTATGGCCATTTTATGGCTATTTGGCATAAATTAGTCTAGAGCCCACATAGTCAGTGGCTTCTAGAGATCATTATTTCACTCAAATGGTTGTCACTTGCTGCTGTTTCATTCCAGTAAGTCTCTGGGGCTGATAATGTAAAGGGGCTTGCATTCCTCAGATTAAAAGTTTCTTTTTTTTGTTTGTTTTCCACCAGGCTGAGATGCTGTTTCTAACAAACCTCCCGATGCTGCTGATGCTGCATATCTGAAGACCACACTTTGAGAAGCAAGGATCTAGGAGTTGTTTGTTATTCATGGAATAAATATATTTCCCATCATGTTCCAGCTGCTCTGGTTAAACAAGCCACTATTGTCTTTTCCAGAAAGATTTCTCTGACTCCAGCTCCCCTTTGGGTGCTCCTTTTTCTAAACTGTAATTGATTAATAATTCACCATTTATTTCATGTGTGGAGCAGGGATAGTGGTGCTTGCCTGATGTGCATTCCTTACAAACACCTACCTGGGCATCGGGGACACAGTGTCCCCTCAAACAATCTCTGCTGATTAACTGGAAGATAACACTAGCTTACATTTTTGGAGGACATACCATGTGCCGGGTACCTAGCTAAGTGTTTTACATGCATTGTCTCCCTCATTCAGCTACTACTGTCCTCATTTCACAGATGAACAAACAAAGGCCGATCTGCCTTGTCGACCTCTGCCCACCACCATAATCCACAGGGGTACTGCCCGCTAGGGGGCATTTTGGAAATTTGCAGGTACTTTCATTGGTCATCACAATGATGGGAGGAGGGGGCCACTGACATTTAGTTGGGGGTGGCCCCAGATGCAGGAGATTGGTCTGTGTCCCACATGGCTTTCATTTGTCAGACCTGACCTTTGCTTCAGTTGAAATGTGCATCGAATTACGGTGGAACTTTAACTTTGTTTTACATATAAACACAAAATGTTTTTGCATCTTGTGAATACACACAGGAATTTCTGGAAATGCAACTACTGTATAAGTCTAGGAAGGGATGGTACTCTTTTTACCACTTTGGAAAATCAGGACACAGAAGCCAGTTCCATTCATGTTATCTGTTTCAGCAATCAACACATATATGATGCCCACAAGCCCAGTAATTTCATATGTGTATATTTCTTTAGTTCCTGTTTCAAAATAACAGCAATTTAAAGAAAAAGTGTAAAAAATATTCCAGAGTGCCTGACTCTCTGTTCTTAAATTATAAATAGGTACAAATATCTGACTGCTTATTTGTGACCTCTGGTGTAGCTCTGAGTGAGCATTTAAATATTAATTATGTATTACTTTATTTTATTCCTCCTCTATTATAATTTAGGTCATTATATTGATTTTTCAACTATGTGTATATGCATTAGCCATGAATTAATTTCATAATCACAATAGTGAATAATGTAAAACAGTTGGGGCCAGGCACAGTGGCTCACGCCTGTAATCCCAGCACTTTGGGAGGCCGAGGCAAAAGGATCACCTGAGGCTAGGAGTTTGAGACCAGCCTGGTCAACATGGTGAAACCTTGTCTTTACCAAAAATACAAAAATTAGCCAGGCCTGGTGGTGCACACCTGTAATCCCAGTTACTCGGGAGGCTGAGGCAGGAGAATTGCTTAACCTGGAAGGCAGAGGCTGCAGTGAGCCAAGATTGTGCCACTGCACTCCAGCCTGGGTGACAGAACGAGACTTTGTCTCAAAAAATAAATAAATAAATAAATAAATAAATAAATAAATAACCAAACAAAACAGTTGGTATAAAAAGGGAGACTGGACCATTACAGCCAAAAGATCCTGAGGAGACACAACCACTAGCTGAAATATGGCATTGTGGAAGAAATCCTGGAACAAAAAAAAGACATTAGGTAAAAATCAAGGAATTCTGAATCAAGTATGGACTTCAGTTAGTAAGGTCTCAATTATTAGTTGTAAAAAAAAGTGCACTCATGTGAGATGTTAGTAATGAGGGCACTGGGTGCAAGGTACATGGAACTTTCTAATCTTCTCAACTTTATGCAAATCTAAAACTGTTGTAAAAAAGGAAAGCTGAGGAAGGGCTTCAAGACAGCTGATTAGAAGCATTTCATGCCCACCTCTTCCACTTAGTGTGTATAGACAGTCATACTTTGAATACACCATCCAAGAGAGAATGTCGGGATTCAATAGAGAAGTAACAAGAAACACCAGAAAGCAGGTAAGAAGGGAGAGAGACAGCCTGCCTGGAGGGGATGAACTGGGAGCAGGAGTAACTTCCCAAGGCAAGGAAAGGGTGAGTGACTTCCAGAGGCCCACATCCCCACCATGGAATCCTGCATTCCTGCCACAAGAGAGTCCCTCAACCCTCCCAACTCCTGACACTAACATAGGGAGCTGCTGGGAGATCATGGGATGGAACCACTCCAGGGAGGGAGCTCACATTGGGTCCCATACCCTTTCTGAGCCTAAGCAGCTATGGCAAGGTGCCATTTTCAGACCTAGCCTTTGGCAGACTGCATACTGTCCTGGAGCCCAGCAATGGCAAGACTGAGGCATTACAGAGACTCTGTTGCTGCTGGGACTGGGTAGCAAGCTGGAAGTTGTCGCACAGCCAGAGCTAAAAAGCAAGCAAGCTGTGGGCAGCCGTTGTTGGTGCCAAGAAGTGAGTGCCACTGGGACAGAAGACTGGGATGCAAGCAGGGTGTGAGTTGCTGCTTGGTCTTAGTCGCCAGCTGGGTGGGAGCTCCTACAGCCAGGGAGGGGCATAAACTAGGAACAGGCTACTACTGCTGAGGTGGGGAACAAGCCCCACTGGAACTGGAGCATGAGAGAGATGTGGTTTTCCTACCCTCTGGCCCAGGCTGTGACCACTGAGGATGACCCCACCCTCTCCAGTGGCAGGGCCTCAGTACAGCTGCTACCACCCTTTACCCAAGCACTCCACCTGCCGTCTGAGGATCACCATGCCCCTGCCAACCATGTCATCCAGGCTGGTCTTCAACTCCTGACCTCAAGTGATCTGCCCACCTCAGCCTCCCAAAGTGTTGGGACTACAGGCATGAGCCACCATGCCCAGCTGCAGAAAAGATAACTATTGGGTACTGCACTTAATACCTGGATGATGAAATAATCTGTACAACATTCCTGGTGACATGTGTTTACCTATGTAAAAAAACCTTCACATGTACCCCCAAACCTAAAATAAAATTAAAAACAAAGAAAAATAAAAGAAAGTCATATATGGGTAAGAGCACATGGTCATAAAACCTGACAACTGAAAGACTATAAGAAATTGAGTGCTGTATTTTTTTGTTCTTATTTATTTTTTAACATTTTTAGTAAATGTCCCCAGAGCCCTAATTTCAGGAATATACATAGGAAAGAGAAGAAAGACCAAGAAGACAAAGGAAACACGTTAGACATAAGAGCCTCCACTGGGAATAAACATCACAGTTATCTCTGGTGGAGCCACTTGCTAAGGGTCATGAGTGTTCTAACGAAACTCACATAAGAAATCACATAGTCCTCTTAGTCTATAAATCAGATATGGTATTATTAGCATCCCTGTTGTAAAGATAGGGAAACCAAATCTCATTCCTGAGGTCTGCTTTTATCTACTACCATGCACAGCCTCTATGGAAGAACCTGCAGATGGCCAAGAGCATGGCTTTTGCACCTGATACAGCTCCATGAGATTTCAGGTTAAGGTGTATAGTTACTTAGGTTAAGGTATATAGTTACTTTACTTCACTTCTTGTATGGACTTTGGAAAAACAAATATAAACATATTATTCATCTTTTGCATGTCTTGAAGAAAGATAAGCAACACCCAAGACCTAGGGTGTGGCACCCTTGCAGGCATGGACTCTAGGGCTGGGGCTGAGTGAGGACCTGTCCAGTACAGGAGTATCTAAGCTGGCTGCCAAGGTCAACTCCAACAGCACTTATAGGAAGGGCTCTAAGATCTTCACTTGGAAAGAGGGAAGTATGTGTATGTCCACATGCCTGAAGTGTGAATCTTAAATTTATTAACTCCCTTTACCATGGAATAAAAAGTATAAACTTGAGGTATGACTACAGAGCATTTGGAGAAATATCATGTTGGTTATAGCATTATTAAGAGTCTTCATTTGGAAAATATGCATACAAAAAGAATGTTTAAATGTCATTTCACCCTTTAAGAGACTTGCAGTCGAAATAGAATGGCATAGTTCTGCATTCCCAGCCTTTGCTGTGCATTCTCATCAGCAGTGGGTCTCAACTTTACAATCACTAGGGATAGGGCCACAAACTTACCCTGGTTGGCCCGAGACATTCCTGGGTTTAGCACTGAAAGTTCCATGTCCTGGAAAATTATCTCAGTCCCAGAGAAATTGAGACAGTTAGTCACCTTATCAGGATGCTTTTAAAAATCTTGATGTTCAAGCCCACCCACCCCTGACAAATTGCTCAGAATCTCTGGGGGTGGGACCCAGGCTTAACTGTTTCTGAAAGATCTCCAAGTGATTCCAATGTACAGCAAAGCACAAGAAAGCCCTGCTCAAGGACAGGCTTCTTAACTTGAAAGTACACAACAATCACCTAGCAATCTTGGTAAAATGCAGATTTTAATTCCTCAGGTCTGGAGTGGGGTCCAATTTTCTGCAGTTCTAACAAGCTCCCTGGTGATGCCAGTGCTGCTGGTGTACAGACCAGCCTCTGAATGGCAAGGATCTGGAAAACACAAGCAGTATGTTTTGTTTCTACTTTGAAAGAATCTATAATAGAGTCAGGAAGAGAAGTATGTCAGGACAAAATTAACAAAAGGGGGAAAAATCAAATAAAATATAAGTAGGTAGTAATGCAGTAAGGAGAGGGAGCAGGTCCTAAGACACATTTTCTTGGATTCCTTAGTACACTGACTACACATAATAGGTATTTGACACATATAATCTGGAAATGCTTAATGGGGGTGGGTTCTAACACTGACTTACAAGGGTGGAAGGGCATCCCAGGAAAAGGCAATGGTGGGCATAAAGGATTCTGCAACAAAATAAGCTAAAACTTTGTTAAGTGTACAAATCCACAATTTTCTCTGACTAATGCTTAATTGTGGGGGAAGAAAAGAATTTGGATGGGGCATATTGAAGGAACTTCTGGGGTGGCTGGGAGAGTTGTATTTCTTGATTTGGGTGGTACTTGCTTTATAATGATTTATTAAGCCATGCATTTGATTTCTGTGATTTTTAGTATCTGTGTTTTTACAATACTATTTTACAATAAAAAATTTATAAAAATTTTTATCTGGAATGACCACATATATTGGGAGGAATAGGTCTGCCTTGGCTAAACAGTTTGTACTGAAACCGGTCAGAGGTTGCTAGGGGCTACTGACTATGCAGAACTAATGAGTCATCTCACTCAGCTCCATGGGAAATGTCAAAGATGTGGAGGAGTAGGGGAATAAAAAGAATAAAGAACAAAGTCAGCTGCAACTGATATGGGAAAAGGGAGTTACGTACGCTCAAAAAATTGTTTCATTTTCTTCTGCTCACATATCAAAAAAAATTACGGCATCTGCTCTCCATGATTTTCTTCCTACCCCTCTGGCCTCTCGCCCTAGACCCACAAATCCAATTGTCCTTGAACATCTCCTGCTGAGTAAGCCCACTCCCCAAATTCAATATGTCCAAAAGCAGAATCCCAAAATCTATGCATCTTCAACCTCCATGTATTGGAGAATTTCAGCACCATCCACCATATCATCTCAAGCCAGGATCCAAGAAATACCTCCCCTTGACTTCACTCTTCCTCACACCTTACAAGCGGCAGGTGACCAACCTCTGATAATTCCACCTTCTTGCCACCCCTTAGATCATTGCGTCCTGAAAAACTACCAACTAAGGGGCTCCGATTTTTCCCTCTCTCTATTGATACTCTATGCATACTTCCATTGCAGCCCTTATAACACTGTATTTCTCTAATTTTGTTAATATACCAGTTTCTTTCTGCATGATGGGAAATTTCTTGAGGCAAGAACACAGTTTATTCATCCTAGTGTTTCAGGCGTCTACCAGAATGCAGGCAGAGTTTAAGTGCCCAGAAAAAAGAAAAGGTTGTTGAAGGAACAAATGAGTAAATGCTTAGCTGCTCTCTTCAAGCCTTAGATAATTGAGCTGACCAGGTCATCTGTGACTGACTTCACATCCGGCCACTGAGGCAGTTCCCAGAGATTGCATCTTCCTAGGCCTCCTTCCTTCCCCCTCCATCAGTAGAAAAATAAAGAGAAACATGTTCTAGCTTTGAAACTGCTAAGATGGGGGAAATTTCAGGAAAAAAAAAATGTAACTTTTACCATCCTCCTAAAGATGGCGGACAACCTTCCCTTCCCGTCTCGTATGTACATTGTGGCACATGCTGCTGAGATTACATTATTTCAAACCTGACACATGTTTTAACCCCTCTCTAAAAGCCTGCAATATTTTATGTAAACATTTTATTGAAGTTTAACGCACATGTAAGAGGGCACACAAATCTTAAGGTTACACTCAAAAAATGTTCACCAAGTGAACACACAGAAATATTTCCATAAACAGAATATGATCCGTACCCCTAAAGTGTCTCCTTTGTCCCCCTCCAAGCACTAACCCCACCCCTCCCACGACTAGATGAAAATATTTCCAAATTTGCTTTGGCACAAACTATTTTGTGAAAAGTTTCTATATTTTACTCTCCATTTATTTTAAAAAGTTTTTAATTCTAAAAGAAAGCAACGTATGCTCATTGTAAAAAGTTAAAACTTAACAGAAGTACAAAACTGTAGAAAGTGAAAGAGTTTCCCTATCAACACTCTGCCCACCCCGGACTTCCACCACCTCCATTCCCAAGGTTAAAAACTTGTAACAGTTTGGTGCATTTATCAGTTCAAACTATGCTACCATTAAGGAAAAGCTCAATTCAAAGTGGACAATACAGTAAAACAATGTATTGCCTCTCATAATTTACTTAATCATTTTCTGAGTGAATGAACATTTGTTTCCAATGTTTTGCTATTACAAACAATGCCACATTGACCATTTCATTTTGAACACTTTAAACAGATAATGTAAAGAGATCTTGAAAGTCCAGAGTTTGGGCAGGCTTTGGGATTTGTTTAATTCAGTCACTCAACTATGTCATCAAAGACTCCATTTCTATCTCCTTGCTCTGCTTCCAAGATATCAGCTGCATCCCGAGGCTGGCTTATTTCAGGTTGTAACATAGCTGACAACAGGGCTACATATTTTATCAGAGAGAAGTGGGTAGGGAGGGAAAGAAAAGAAAGAGAAGGAAGAGAGAGAAACTCAACAACGGTGGAGTGAAAGTCCTAGGCCTCATTCTGATTGGATCAAATTTGGTTATATGCCTACTTACAAGCCAATCATTAAGGCCTGGGGAATGTCAAGTAATAATTGGAGCAGTTCCCATTCCTGAATCAATCTCTGTGGCAAAAAGGATGGGATTATCCTAACTGATTCCAAGAATAGGACCAACCTCTGAAGGATGAGGGGTCAGTTCCACCCAAATCAAATAAATGGCTACTACATGATGGAGTATAGTTGGAATGGAGACTGGGAAGGCCACCATATTATTCATTGCTGTAAATATCCTTTGAGGCCATTTTTTGCATATATATATATATATATATATATATATATATATATTTGTATATATAGATATATACACACACACAGTTAATTTTTAACTATAATAAATCACACTATTCTGCAACTCACACTATTCTGCACCTTTATATACATATAAATCTACCTCACCTTCTATAGGTGCAAGATATTCCATTGTATGAGTGAACAATAATTAATTTAACTATTTCCCTAACTGATGAACATTTAGATTGTTTTAAATATCTCTTCTGCAAAAATTCTACATTGACCATTTCATTCTGAACAATATCTTAAACAGAAAATGTAAAGTAATTTTTGGAAGAGATACAGTCATCCCTTGGTATTGGGGGATTGGTTTCAGGACCCTCGCGGATACCAAAATCCATGGAAGCCCAGTCCATTCCCCTGCCTGCAAGCTCAGATCGACTTAAACACATGCAAGCTCTTAGCTAGAATGTCACCTGGAGGCAACCTAGAGCTTTAATACAAAATATTTCATATGGAGAATTTTCCATGAAATAACTTATCTATTGCATTCAACTGTAAACATGATTCTTTCTTTACTCTTTTCTGTAATATTTTACTTGTAGTTTTTATTATAACTTCTTTCCCTTTTCCTTATCTTCCTGACAGAGAATCAACTGGGTCCCTGAAGGAGGTGCTCCAGCGGCCTGCTCCGTCCTGTCGGAGGCTTCCTGAAGGCCTGTGTTCTCACCTGCCCTTAGTGGAAACCTTCTATTCATCTGATCTATTTTCTTGTGGGTGTCAGGGCCCATATGTCTCCATCTCCCTTTCCAGCTCCAAGATATCTGTTATGGGCTGCATTGTATCTCCACAAAATTCATATGTTGAAGCTGATATGATTTGGACCTGTGTTCCTGCCCAAATCCCATGTCAAACGGTAATACTCAATGTTGGAGGTAGGGCCTGGAGGGAGGTGATAGGATCATGGGGGTGGATTTCTCTTGAATGGTTTAGCACCATTCCCTTTGTGATTAGTTCTCATGAGATTTGGTTGTTTAAAAATGTGTCACACCTCCCTCCCCTCTCTTTTGCTCCTGCTCCAGCCATGTGATGTGTGCTTTCCCTTTGCCTTCTGCCATGATTGAAAGTTTCCTGAGGCCTCCCCAGAAGCCAAGAAGATGCCGTCATGCTTCCTGTACAGTCTTCAGAACGATGTGTCAATTAAATCTCTTCTCTTTATAAACTACCAAGTCCTGGGTATTTCTTTATAGCAGTGTGAGAATGGACTAATACAAAGCCCTAACCCCCAGTATATCAGAATGTGACTGTATTTGGAGATAGGACCTTTAAAGAGGCAATTAAGGTGAAACGAGATCACCTGGGTGGGCTCTAGTCCAATATGACTGATGTCTTTATAAGAAGAGATGAGGATGCAGATACCCACAAAGGGAAGACCATGTGAAAACAGAGGGAGGAAACAGCCACCAACAAGCCAAGGGAATGGCCTTGGAAGGAAGCAATCCTGTAGACACCTTGATCTTGGACTTCCAGCATCCAGAACTGAGGGAAAACAAATTCCTATTGTTAAAGCCCCTGGTGTGTGGTTTTTGCTATGGCAGCCCTAGTAGACTAATACAGTGCCCAAGCCCAAGTGTGCTATGGAAACCCCTGAATGGTCCAGAAGGAGCCTCCTTGACGTTCTGTTGCTGTCTGGGTGGCTCCTAGGCCCCTTCTTCCCTTTGTCTTCCTGACCTCTGATGGGTGGTCCCTTCAGTTCTACTCCTCCCAGATTCTGCCCACCAGTCCACTTAGAGTTGGTGCTTACTTCCCTTATTTGGTGCCTGCAGATGAATGGTTTTCCAGTCTTTCAGGGCTTAAGACTCACTGCTTTGTGAATTCAGACTCCCAGACCACAGCTCCAGAGATGCAGACTCACTAGTTCAGTGATGGGGCTGGGAAACCTGCACTTTTAACAAATACCCTCAGGTAATTCTGAGGGATATGACCACACTTTGAGAAACACCACTGAAGATATGTCCTCTTTCCTGTTTCTCTAACCCAGTGGGCTGCCACCTTGACTGCACATGAGATTCACCTGGGGAGCTCTTTAGAACACCCACGCCTAAGCCCACCTTAGATATTCTGGGTTAATTAGTCTGGGATGGGGCTTGGGCTTGGGTATTTTTTTCTCATAGGTTATCGGGGTACAGGTGGTGTTTGGTTACATGAGTAAGTTCTTTAGCTGTGATTTGTGCGATTTTGGTGCACCCATCACCCGAGCAGTAAACACTGCACCCTATTTGTTGTCTTTTATCCCTCGCCCCCTCCCACCCTTCCCCCCAAGCCCCCAAAGTCCATTGTATCATTCTTACACCTTTGCATCCTCATAGCTTAGCTCCCACATATCAGTGAGAACATACCATGTTTGGTTTTCCATTCCTGAGTTACTTCACTTGGAATAATAGTCTCCAATCTCATCCAGGTTGCTGCGAATGCCATTAATTCATTCCTTTTTATGGCTGAGTAGTATTCCATCGTGTATGTATAACACAGTTTCTTTGTCCACTCATTGATTGATGGGCACTTGGGTTGGTTCTACGATTTTGCCATTGCGAACTGTACCGCTATAAACATGCATATGCAAGTATCTTTTTCGTATAATGACTTATTTTCCTCTGGGTAGACACCCAGTAGTGGGATTGCTGGATCAAATGGTAGTTCTATTTTTAGTCCTTGAAGGAATCTCCACACTATTTTCCATAATGGCTGTACTAGTTTACATTCCCACCAGCAGTGTAGAAGTGTTCCTTGATCACCGCATCCATGCCAACATCTACTGTTTTTTTAATGTTTTGATTATGGCCATTCTTGTAGGAGTAAGTTGGTATCGCATTATGGTTTTGATTTGCATTTCCCTGATCATTAGTGACGTTGAGCATTTTTTCATATGTTTGTTGGCCATTTGTATATCTTCTTTTGAAAATTGTCTATTCATGTCTTTAGCCCACTTTTTGATGGGATTGTTTGTTTTATTCTTACTGATTTGTTTGAGTTTGTTGTAGATAGTGGATATTATTCTTTTGTCAGATATATAGACTGTGAAGACTTTTTCCCACTCTGTGGGTTGTCTGTTTACTCTGCTTACTGTTGCTTTTACCATGCAAAAGCTCTTTAGTTTAAATAAATCCCAGCTATTTGCTTTTGGGTTCTTGGTCATAAAATCCTTGAGTAAGCCAATGTCTAGAAGGGTTTTTCCAATGTTATCTTCCACAATTTTTAAAGTTTTGGGTCTTAGATTTAAGCCCTTTATCCATCTTCAGTTGATTTTTGAATAAGGTGAGAGATGAGGACCCAGTTTCTTTCTCCTACATGTGGCTATCCAATTATCCCAGCACCACTTGTTGAAAAGGGTGTTCTTTCCCTGCCTTATATTTTTGTTTGCTTTGTCAAAGATCAGTTTGCTGTAAGTATTTGGGTTTATTTCGGGGTTCTCTATTTTGTTCCATTGGTCTATGTGCCTATTTTTTACCAGTACCATGCTGTTTTGGTGACTATGGTCTTATAGTATAGTTTGAAATCAGGTAGTGTGATGCCTCCAGATTTGTTCTTTTTGCTTAGTCTTGCTTTGGCTATGTGGGCTCTTTTTTGGTTCCATATGAATTTTAGAATTGTTCTTTCTAATTCTGCAAAGAATGATGGTGGTATTTTGAAGCTGATTGCCTTGAATTTGTAGATTGCTTTTGGCAGTATAGCCATTTTCACAATATTGATTCTACCTATCCATAAGCATGGAATATGTTTCCATTTGTTTGCTTCGTCTATTATTTCTTTCAGCAGTGTTTCATAGTTTTCCTTGTAGAGGTCTTTCACCTTGGTTAGGTATATTTCTAACTATTTTATTTATTTATTTATTTATTTATTTATTTATTTATTGCAGCTCTTGTAATAAAAAAGCTGAGTTCTTGATTTGATTCTCCGCTTGGTCACTGTTGGTTTATAGAACAGCTACTGATTTGTGTACATTAATCTTGTGTCCAGAAGCTTTGCTGAATTCTTTTATCAGTTCTAGAAGCTTTCTGGAGGAGTCTTTAGGGTTTTCAAGGTAAACGATTATATCATCAGCAAACAGTGACTGTTTGACTTCCTCTTTACCAATATGGATGGCCTTTATTTCTTTCTCTTTTCTGATTGCTCTGGCTAGGACTTCCAGTACTACGTTGAAGAGGAATGGTGAGAGTGGGCATCCTTGTCTTGTTCCAGTTCCCAGAGGGAATGCTTTCAACTTTTTCCCATTCAGTATTATGTTGGCTGTGGGTTTGTCATAGATGGCTTTTATTACATTGAGGTATGTCTGATTTTGCTAAAAGTTTTAATTATAAACAGATGCTGGATTTTGTGGAATGGGGCATGGGTATTTTATTTTTAATTTGTCCAGGTAATTCCAACATGCAGCCAAATGGGAACCACTAGTCCAGTCCCATTGCCATGTTCCCAGAGCTGTCATCGTTTCTCACCTGAACTGAGCTAGAGCCTCCTGCTGGCTCTGCTTCCCCTAACAGCTCCCTCTGCCCCACTCCTTCTCCACAATGCAGTCAAAGTAATAAAACACAAGCTTAGTCGTGTCTTTTCCCTGCCAAAATGCCACCAATAGCTCCTCATTATCACAGGCTAATATTTACAAGTTCCCTAGCCTGACATCAAAAGCCACCCATGTTCTGGCCTCTTAGGGCCTCTGCACCTTTCTCTCTCCCTTTTGACCCCTAAGCTCCAGCCACACTCATGTCCTGGGTTCCCCCAAGTCACTAAGTCTTGCCCTTTGTTTTCCCACCTGCCTGGAATGCTCTTCCACCTGGCTAATGCCTTCCATTTAGTGCTTGCATGATCTGTGAAACCTTCCCTGACACTCTCCCCATGCCCAGGTGGGACATAGGCCCTCCTCCTTTTCCAAAAACACACCAGTGCACCCCTCTTTCAGAGCACGTATCAGATTGTATTGTATTGCTTTCCATTGGTCCCCTTCTCGTGACTGTACCCATCTTATTCTCAGTCTCCCTGGGTCTTAATACAGTGCCCAGCATGTGTACAGTAGGGCATGATGAACGTCTGTTGAATGGATGAATAAGTGGATACCTGGCCTCTCCCTGCCATGCCCTTGCCCAGCGCCTGCTGTCTGGTTACCATTTACAAATGAGCTTGGCTCCCTCAGTTCTGGTGTTTCCTTACCTCCGTGTTCCATGTCTACTTCAATCCCAGAATAACTGTTTATACCAGAGCTCGTCCAGCCCATAATTGGGGCGAGAACAGGTGAGAGACTCATAGCTACTCTGGGCCCAGCACTTTCCATTCTTTAACCCTCATGGAAGCAACACAAAGTCATCATTATCGCCTCCATCTTACAGCTGAGAAAACTGAGGCTCTGAGAGGTTGAAAATGACTTTCCTGAGGTCCCACAGCTAGGGGGTGACCGAGCCAAAACTGGAATCACAGAATCTGACTCCATGAGCTCCAGCCTTTCCTGCTGGGCCCTGTGCTCATCCACTAAAAGAGACAGGAGCTTGGTGAGTGGCTGTTTTGTGTTCTTTTGTGCGAGGATGAGTCCGTGTGGGCACAACAGGGGACACAGGGGAGGCTCAGGAAAACAAAGTTTATTATACTCACAGGTCCTAGAGACAGGAAGCATGATATGCCTTGCAGGGCCACAGGGGAAGACACCAGGGTGGTCAGGAGCCAGAAGACAGGAGTGAGGGCAAGGTTTAGACCAGAGCCTTCCTTGGTGTTTCTGTGGAAAAAGCAAGGTAGGGCAGGGTGAACAGTTTAGGATTGGCTAGTTTGAAGAATTTCAGTGGGCTCTAGGTTACAGGGGTGGTCCCTGGTTGCCTGGCACCTGGCCCTGGAGTGATGAACGCAGACAGACATTGTCTCCTGGGGTGTGTGGGTCAGATGAGGGAG
This sequence comes from Homo sapiens, assembly GCF_000001405.40. Taxonomy (NCBI): domain Eukaryota; kingdom Metazoa; phylum Chordata; class Mammalia; order Primates; family Hominidae; genus Homo; species Homo sapiens. Next base: position 134,735,752 of record NC_000002.12, read on the forward strand.
GGCTCTGGTTGGTTAGTTTGCTAATCAAATGCTCTAGGGCCAGGTGTGGTAATCCCAGCACTTTGGAAGGCCAAGGTGGGAGAATCACTTGATCCCAGGAGTTTGAAACCAGCCTGGGCAACAAGGCGAAACCCTGTTTCTATCCCAATGTTTTTTTAATTTGCTGGGTGTAGTGGTGCATGCCTGTGACCCCAGCTACCCAGGAGGCTAAGGTGGGAGGATGGCTTGAGCCCAGGAAGTCAAGGCTGCATTAAGCCATGTTCATACCACTGCACTCCAGTCTGGGCGACAGAGTAAATGAGACCCTCTCTCAAAAAAAACAAAAAGAGAAACAAACAAACATAAAAAATAAATAAATAAATAAATAAATAAATAAACAAAGACCACGCTCCAGGCTGGGCCTTTTGTTATCTCTAGGAATTGGCTAGCCCCAGAGGGGCAGTCTCCCCTGGACCCAAAATGGGTTTAATGTTTGATGATGTCAAAACATCATAATATACAGAAAATTTAAGAATATATTTGCAATACAGTGGGGAAGGAGGAATGGCTGCTGGAGACACAGGCTGACAATGTGACTCACCTCCCAGGAATGAACCTGAGGAAGCCCTCTAATTCCACAGCCATCAGCTTTTCACAATCAGTAATGCCACGCTCCATCAGACATCCTAAGAATGTGTGGCCCATGTGGATGAGAGGGGTTGCCACTTTTATTCAAAAATGTATCACGAATGCTTAGAACAGTGCCTGGGATAAGGTAGACAGACATTTATAAAGTGGAAAAATATTTACTGATTTAATGAAAAAAGAGTGAATTAACAATGACCCTATTAAAATAACTCAGTGTAGTCCTTTTCACTACTGTTGTTTAAGGACCCTGTTTCAACACAGTTGTTTAAGGAACCTTTACATAAGGGTGGAAATTTTTGTTCCTCTTTCTCCTCTGTGATGTTTTTCTTCCTCTTTTCTCAGGTGAAGACTGAAAATTCTAAGTTCTCACTGGGCAGAAATGGACATCAAGATCTTCAGATGAAAAGGCCCCTTAATAAGTCGGGGGAAAAAGTCCTCATAGTACTTTAATTCTAAAGTAGTAATCCCATGTGTGCAAGTGTCTGTGCCACCTTGGGAAACTGTGAAGCTTTGTGGCTGTTTATAAACTTGATAATTGGTTCTAACACTCAATGCCTGTTGGGAAGGGCTGCTATTCATCACCTTGACTCTGACTTTCAAGTCCTCCCTTAGTCTGACCTTGTGTTGTCATCTCATGATGCCAATGCCATTGGGATTGGCCCAAATTATTCTTATCCAAACAAAACATAAGCAAGAAAGACCTCTTCTATGACTTTGTAATCTAACAGAACTGAAGAGATGAGTGACTGGGTTCTGGTTCGCCTTGGCCAGAGCTGTGTGTCCTTCTTATACCTCACTGCTCCTCAATTTCTGAATGTCTGAAAAAGCCAGCTGATAGATACTATAGATACTTATTCTGCCTAGCCCAAAAGAAAGCCAAGAGAATAATTATAGAATGCAAATACGAAAAAGAGAGTTAGATGAGGCCTCACAGGTCAGCTAAATTTGGCAAGACTTCCAATTTACAAGTGAGAAACTTGAGGTGCAGTGGTGTGTGCTCATTTGTTATTGCTCCGTAACAAATTACTGCAGACTTGGAGGCTTGAAACGGCACAAATTTATTCTCTTACAATTCTGGGAGTCAGAAGCTGGAAATGAGTCTTATGGGGCTGAAATCATCTTATGGGGGTGTCAGCAAAGCTGATTTTCTCTGGAGACTCCAGGAGAGAATTTGTTTCCTTGCATCCTCCAGCTTCTAAAGGTGGCCGTCACTCCTTGGCTCCTGGCTGAATTGCTCCAATCTCTGTTTTTATTGCCAGTTAGCCTTCTTCTCTCTGACTCTGATTCCCCTGCTTTCTTCTTATAAGGATCTTTGTGATTAAAATAAAGCCACCCAGATAAGCCAGGATAATCTCAAGGTGAAACAGACAGAAATCGATGACAGAGCCTATGCTGGCTTGTGTCAGCAGGAAGGACAGGGTGCACCAGGTGTGGCAGACCCTGAACTGCATCACTGTTGTTAGACTGCTGTTTACTCTCTCCACGCCTTGCTGCTGTCACTTCCTGAATGTCGGCATACTGTATATTACCTCCGAAGGGTCTTTCCCACATGGCAGGAAAGATGAATGCTGACAGCCCTAGATTTGAATCCTTCTAAAAACTCGAGAGGCAGGAGGCTGTCCTTTCCCTTAGTTTCTATAAAACAGTCCCAAGGAAGGGCTCTAATTATCCTGGCTTGATAATGTATGCAAAGTTCAAGTCTGGCAGGAGGTTTTGCACAAACCCAGCTTCCAGAGTTCTGCGAGGGTTCTTACTCTGGGGCTCAAAGCAGCCCTGGCTGCTGCAGCAGTCCCCACGCCATCAGGACAGTTGCAAGGAGAAAAAAGGAGCCCCAATCCCTCACCACTTGCATTTTTTGGTCTAGTCTGGGAAGACAGAACATTGGCACAATTTATGAAAAGCAACTTTGTTACTCACAGTTAAGCAGCAAAAATCAACAGAAACCCAGGGTCCACCATGAGCAGTTCCCCAGGGTTCAGGAATGCTGCCAAGGGCAGATGCAGTCTAAGCATGCCTCACATTACACTCTAGCTGAGGGACTCTGAAAGCACTCCATCCTGGGTTTATATACCCTGGGTACCACTTGGACCACTGAATGCAAGCACTGCAGAACATCCTATTCTAGAAGGAATAAGAATGTAGCCTGGATTGCTCCAGACATTTCCTCCTTATTACAGGATTTTCAGTAGTTTCTGTCTAGGAATGAAAAGCAAGAAGGGGAAGAGCTGGGTCGGCCAAGGTCATCCAGGGACTTATGTTCCTGCAATGTGCTCATTTCTGAGCCAATCTCTGTAACCAGCCAGGGATGGTGCCCTGGTTCAGCCTGGGTCATGTGTCCACACTGTGGGCAAAGCTGGAGGGCAGGATTACTATCAGGAGAAGGCACAGGAAGAAAATCATGCTGGGCAAGGCAAATTCATGGTTACCTCAGCCTCCAGCTTGTCTGAGAGTGTCCCATGGCCATGGTTCATGATGGGTGATGGGCAACCAGGATGAGACAGAAGCCAGGGAAAGAATGAAGATAAAAAAGAGTGGGCCCAGAGGAGCACAGCCCATGAGATTGCACCTCTGGTCCTTGGGAGGCAGTGGTTTCAAAGAGGGGCACTGCAGATGAACACTCCCAACACGGCTAAGGAGGTCAGAGACATGCCACATCTCTAGGACAAGATGAAGTGGGGACAGCCACCTCCAGCTTCACGCTCCCGCTCAGCAAAATATGGACAATAGTTCTGGATTCATAGGGCTTGTCTGAAGTTCTATAGAAGCAGGACCTGAGACACAGATTCTTGGTGCAAGTGATCTCAGAAAGAGAATGTGAGTGGCAAGATAGAAAGAAAAAGGAAGCCAAGAAAAATGTAGATTCAGCTGCATTTTAACCTCTCAGTCTGATCCCACCTCAGCCTGATCCCACCATAGCATGAAGAACACCACAAAGTTATGCAACCTTGAGACAAGGCACCAGACTTTTGCACCCCATATCTGTCACTCATTGTCTGTGGCCACCCCTAGGGGGAAAGCAGGCATTTCTAGGCAAGGTGGCTCCCCTTAGCTGAGCATTCAGAAGAAGGAAGCAGCTGCAACCTGTGAGCAGCCAACACTCAGCTACGGGGTGGTGCCTGGCAGATTAAAGTGTATCTGGTGGGGGCCCCAACTATACCCCTTATGGGGCTATTGTGAGATAATGAAGCTCAAGTCCTATCACAAGGCTGGGAGTTATCATTGTCATCATCATTATCTTATCCCTGTTGTAGAGAAGTAATAAATAGTAAGCATCACATAACACATGCCTCTTGGCTGGCTGCTGCACAGACATACATAGGCAGTAGGAATGTACACAGTCCTTTGTTCATATCCTGTGCCACCCCTGCCATGGACTAGTTATGTGATTTGGGGTGCCAAATTTAGCCCCCTTGAGCCTCAGGGTTCTAATCCATAAAATGGGCTAGGTAACCAGAGCTGGGCTGTTGCAAGGATGACATGAGGTCATCCCCATGGTGCTCTAGGTGCGGTTCTTGGAACAGAAGAAAGCATTCAAGTGACTGTGGGTCATCAGCTTCTGTGGTCAGACAGTCTAAAGCTTCAGCTGACACACATGGAGGCCAAGAAGACACTGGCTTCACGAAAGGCAGTAATATGACTGTGTATTATGTAAAAGATGAAGCCAACTGTGTTTAAGGAAGCAAATCCATTTTCAAAAAGAGGATGTGAAAACAAAGCCTCTAAAGACGTCTGTCTGTTACTCATCAAGACTGTGCCACGGATAGGGCCTTTGCTGTACAGCACCTCCTCAAATGCTCACACAGGCCACCGCTCAGAACAAAGGGGCCTCACCCTGGGCTTCCACAGAGATTTGTCAGCCCGAGGCCACCACCTTTAATTTGGTGGATCAGCTTTTCCTGCCTGTAATCAAAGAGGATAGGATGTGTGTCGAGGTATAGATTAGTTGGGGCTGCCCTGCCCCGCACCCTAATAAAGGTGTAGCCATGAACCTTATTTAGTCTCTCCTAAGCCTCATTTCCTTCTTAGTTAACGGGGGAAAATAATATTTGCATTTAGGATTATTTTAGAGAACTAAATGAAATGGTATTTGTGAACACTTAAATCAGTACCTGGTCTTACATCAGTCCATTTGAATCAGCACCTGCTGCCAAAAAGCAACTATTATTGTGGTTATTGATGTTCATTTTTTCAACCAGTATTTACTGTCTACCATGTGACAACATTGATTTTGGTGGTGGGAAGACATTGGCAAGAAAAAAACATGAGGGTCCTGTGCATAAGAAGCTTACATTCAAGCGAGGAGAGATAGTTAACATAGAACCACGAAAACCTACAGGATGCGATAGTCACATAGAGAATTAAAATAGGACGATGAGACAGAGTGATGGAATAGATCCCTGAGTCTGGCCTCTACTTTAGAAAGGCCTCTCTAAGAGGTGAGGTTCAGGCTGAGATCCAAAAACCCAGATGAGGCCAGGCACGGTGGCTCATGCCTGTAATCCCAGCACTTTGGGAGGCCAAGGCAGACGGATCGCCTGAGGTCAGGAGTTCGAGACCAGCCTGGCCAACCATGGCCAACATGGTGAAACTAAAACACTCTTCTCTACTAAAAACACAAAAACTAGCCAGGCATGGTGGCACATGCCTGTAATCTCAGCTACTCGGGAGGCTGAGGCAGGAGAATTGCTTGAACCCAGGAGGCAGAGGCTGCAGTGAGCTGAGATCATGCCACTATACTCCAGCTTGAGCAACAGAGTGAGACTTCGTCTCAAAAAGAAAACAAAAACCCAGATGAGCAGCATCACTGGCGAAATCACCTGGGGAAAGTATGTTTCAGAGGGAGTGCAAAGGCCCTGAAGTAAAACAGTTAGGCATAGTGGGAACAGGCTCAGTATGTTTAAGGGACACACAAAAGGCCAGGGTGGCTGGAGTATGGTGGGGAAGGGGAGTGGTCAGAGGAGAGATGAGTTTGGAAGAGTGGACAGAAAAGACCATTTAGTTTCATAGACCAAGGTAAAGAGTTTAGCTCTTAATCTAAATGGGATAGAAAGCAACAGAAGGGTTTTAAGCTAAAAAGATATAATCTGAAACAGGCTTTTAAAAGGTCACCTGGAGCTGGCACAATAGCTCATGCCTGTAATCTTAGCACTTTGGGAGTTTGAGGTAGGAGGATCGCTTGAGGCCAGAAATTAGAGACCAGCCTGGGCAACACAGCAAGACTTCATCTCTACAAAAAAAATAAAAAGGAAAAAATTATCCAGGATAGGTGGTACGCAGTGCCTGTAGTATTAGCTACACAGGAACCTGATGCAGGAGGATTGCTTGAGCCCAGGAGTTTGAGGATGCAATGAGCTATGATTGCGCCACTGCACTCCAGCCTGGGTACCAAGAGAGATGCTGTCTCAAAAAATTAAATAAATAAATAAATAAATAAATAAATAAAAGTTTGCCTGGATAATTTCATCCAATATTTAAGGAAGCAGTTACAACATCCCACATATATATCTTTCAGAAAATTGAACATGTGGGAATACTTCCCAATTTGTCATATGAAGCTGGCATTATCCTACCAACAAAGCCAAATACAGCAGGAAAAGAAGACTAAAATCTAATGAATAATAACCCTATGAACATATGCACAAAAATCCTCAACAAAATGTGAGAAAGCTGAATCCAGCAACATGTAAAAAGTGTTATGTACCATGATCAAGAAATTTATCCCAGGAATGTGAGGTTAGTAACATCTAAAAATCAATTAATGAACTGCAACATATTAATAGAATAAAGAAGGCCGGGCACAGTGGTTTATGCTTGTAATCCCAGCACTCTGGGAGGCTGCGGCAGGCAGATCACTTGAGGTCAGGAGTTCCAGACCAGCCTGGCCAACACGGTGAAACCCTGTCTCTAATGAAATTACAAAAGTTAGCCGGGCATAGTGGTGGGCGCCTGTAATCCCAGCTACTCGGGAGGCTGAGGCAGGAGAATTTCTTAAATCCAGGAAGTGGAGGTTGCAGTGAGCCGAGATCGCACCATTGCACTCCAGCCTGGGCGACAGAGTGAGACTCCATCTCAAAAAAAAAAAAAAAAAAAAAAAAAAAGAATAAAGGACAAACCTTTCATATGCACTTCAACAGATGCACAAAATGCACTTGCTATGGAAATGTAAAATGGCGTAGCTATGGAAAACAATATGGCAGTTCCTCAAGAAGTTAAAAATGGAATTACCACAGGATTCAGCAATTCCACATCTGGGTATATGCCCAAATGAATCAAAAGCAGGGACTTGAACAGATATTTGTACACCCATGTTCACAGCAGCATTATTCACAATGGGCCAATGTTGGAAGTAACCCAAATGTCCCTTAAAGGATGAATGGATAAACAAAATTTAGTATATACCTACAATGAAGTATTATTCAGCCTTAAAAAGAAAGAAAATTCTGATATATGCTGCAACATGAATGAACCTAGAGGATATTATGCTAAGTGAAAAAAGCCAGACACAAAAGGACAAATACTGTATGATTCCCCTTACACGAGGTACCTAGACAAACTCAGAGATAGAAAGTAGAATGGTGGTTGCCAGGCACTAGCAGGAGAAAGGAATGGAGAATTAGTGTTTAATGGGTATAGGGTTTCAATTTTGCAAGACGAAAAGAGTTCTGGAGATGGATGGTAATGAGGGTAGCACAATAATGTGAGTGTACTTAACACTACTGAACTGCACACTTAAAAATGGTTAAGATGGTAAACTTCATGGTATGTGCATTTTACAATTCAAAAAAAAATGGGGCCAGGCAGGATGGCTTATGCTTGTAATCCCAGCACTTTGGGTGGCTGAGGCGGGCAGATCACTTGAGGTCAGGAGTTCGAGACCATCCTGGCCAGTATGACGAAACCCCATCTCTACTAAAAATACAAAAATTAGACAGGTGTGGTGGTGCGTGCCTGTAGTCCCAGCTACTTGGGAGGCTGAGGCAGGAGAATTGCTTGAACTCGGGAGGTGGAGGTTGCAGTGAGCTGAGATCACGCCACTGAACTCCAGCGTCTGCAACAAAGTGAGACTCCATGTCAAAAATAAATAAATAAATGAAATGAAATGAAAGCTACTGTGGCTGTGAGGCCATGACAGGCAGATGTGGCATCACAGTGCTCTCCACAAGCCCATGCAGCTGATCAGACTTCCCTGTGAGCCCAGCCTTTCCTTTGTTTCAGGCTGACATCATTAGTGACTTTTCCTCTGATCCTCCAGCTGCAGCCTTCCAGAACTCTCCTCTTCCAGCTCCACCGACAATCTAATTCCAATATAAAACCTGTTAATACTTTTTAGAAAATAATGCATTTGAAAAAATCCAACTCCCATTCATGACAAAACCTCTCAGCAAAATAGGAAAAGAAAGGAACTTCCTTAATCTGATAAAGGGTATCTATGCAAAACCTACAGCTAACTTCATATTTAATATGAAATACTGTTAAGACTGGTAGTAAAGCAAAGGTGTCACCTCTCATTATTTTTATTCAACATGGTATTAGAATATCTTATCACTGCAATAAGGCAACAAAAAAACAAAACATCTAGATTGGAAAGGAGGAAGTAAAGCTGTTTTTATTTACAGATAACATGATTCTGTATGCAGAAAATCCCAAGGAATCTATCATCAAAACAAAACCCAAAAACCCATACTACTAGAACTAATAAATTCAGTAATAAGATAAACAATCCCATTTTTAAATGGGAAAGGAATTTGAATAGGCCATTTCACCAAAAATTAGATGTTCAATAGCTAACAAGCACATGAAAAGATGCTTAATATCATCAGTCATTAGAGAAATGCAAATTAAAATCAAAATGAGATGCTACAACACACATCTACTACTAGTGTCAAAAAGACTGACAATATTAGGCATTGGCAAGGATGTGGAGAAACCTTATACATTGCTGATGGGAACATAATATAGTACCATCACTCTGGAAAGTATTTTGGCAGTTTCTTAAAAAGTTAAGTATATACTTATCATATGATTCAGCAATTCTACTCCTAGATATTTACTCAAAAGTAATAAAAATATATGTCCACACAAAGACTTGTATGCAAAAATTCACAGAAGCATTATCCATAGTAGCCCAAAACTGGAAATAATAAAATTTTTCATCAACTAGTGAATGAATAATCAAAATTTGATGTATCCATACAAAGGAATACTGTTGAGCAAAAAAAGGAACAAACTACTGATACATGCTACAACCTGGATGAATCTCAAAAACATTTTACCAAGTGAAAAAAATCAGACATAAGCAACCACATATAGTATTATTCCATGTATGTGAAATTCCAGAAAAGGCTAATCTATACAGTCAGAAACAAGATTTAATGGTTGCCTAGGCTGGGCGTGGGCACTGGACTGACCAAAAATGGGTCAACCCTGTTTGGAAGACATGGAAATGTTCTCAAATTAGATTATGGTGAAAGTTGTACAACTCTACAAATTTACTAAAAACAATTGATTTGTACACTTACAATGGATGAAATTTATGAAGATAACATATACCTTAATACAGCTGTTTAGAAAACTGGGGGTAATTAGTAGGGGAATGGAGCTGTTGTAGTGATCTAAGGTGAAGGTGATGGCTTAAGCCAACATGGTGGTAGTGAGGATAGTGAGAACTGATGGGATTCTGGTGTTAGTAAAGTTGACCAGACTTGCTAACAATGAAACACATAGTGAGGAAAGAAGATAGAGAGGAACTGTGGGAATAGAGGTGGTGATAGTTGTGGTTATATTTTGACCTGGAAAAGACAGGCTTTGTGGTTAAATTCTGAGGGTTCATTATCACCCACAGCTGAGAGCCCTGGCTGATGTGTGGGTGGAGGCAAGAGGAGGTATATGTGTGTGCATGTTGGGTGAGGGGCAGGAGGGCCCTTCCTGTAAGTACAGATTCCTGGGCTCTGCTTCTACTGAATCAGGACTGCTAGTGGTTGTTGCTATAATCCACATTAAAAAAGAAAAAGTTCCCTCAGGCAATTCAGAAGCACAGCAAGATTTGTACATTAATTTGCTATATGCATTATTTTGAAAGTGTTACAATGTGTGATTTTAAAAAATTAATTCCTATAGTCTAATGTTCATCTTTAGTGTCAAGAGTATAGATATCCTGTTCCCATTCACATTGGTTTGGCCCTAAGAAAGCCAACATCAAAAGTCTTTCCCGTAGTTCAAAAACGGAACTTCACAGAAAACCAAAAACAAATATACAGCATAAGACTATCACCAGCAATATCCCAGAACTCAAATATGAAAAAGAGACAGTTCCTGGGGCCACAGAGAAGTGAAAATTTTCTGAGCAGAAACAGACTGTTCTCGCTAAGAATCTGCCACATCCTTCCCAGCAGTCTGCCCAGCACCCAGCATGAGGGAACCTCTCCACCCCACAACTCACAGTTTCTACAGCGGAAAAAGTGAGATGAAGGTGGACAACCAGCTTCCCTGCTATCCTGAGTTCTCTGGCAGGAGAATTATCCCTGCCTCCATCCATGGGAAGCATCAAGAATGCCTGGTGGGAGAAATATCCCTGAGAACAGCCAGAGACAAACAGGGGAAGTAGGGTCACTATCCCTAGCCATGGAAACTGCTCTGTAACTTGGCCAAAAGAGATGCCAAATCAAAGTGGCTTTTCAACAGAATCACTCTGTGGGAGATTCATTCCACAGGGACACAAACCCCTAGTCAGCCTCCCCATACTTCTGGGATAATCCCTTTGGGACATCCCCGACTCAGGTCAGGTGGCATTCTGATTGTTTAACCAGAACTGAGGCAAACCTGGAATTAAGGTGTCATCTAGCGCTAAAAAGAGAGCAGTTACCTAGTAGGGGAGAAAAAGAAAGAAAGAAAATTGCAAAGAATCTCTAAGCAAACATATACAATAAGAAGCAAAATGAGCCAGAGAGGACTGGAATAAACAATTAATCCTTCAATATAAAGACATAGATGTATGTCCACGAGAAAGAACAGCAAACAGGGAATGATGCCTTCCCAAACGAACAAAGCAAATGAGCGCCCTAATGAAATGGTGGTATGTGAACTCTCTGACCAAGAATTTAAAATAGCAGTTTTTTTCTTTTTTTTTTTTTTTGAGATTTTGTTTTAATATACTTTAAGTTCTGGGGTACATGTGCACAACGTGGAGGTTTGTTACATATGTATACATGTGCCATGTTGGTGTGCTGCACCCATTAACTCATCATTTACATTAGGTATATCTCCTAATGCTATCCCTCCCACCTCCCCCCACCCCACGACAGGCCCCGGTGTGTGATGTTCCCCACCCTGTGTCCAAGTGTTCTCATTGTTCAATTCCCACCTATGAGTGAGAATATGTGGTGTTTGGTTTTCTGTCCTTGCTATAGTTTGCTGAGAATGATGGTTTCCAGCTTCATCAATGTCCCTACAAAGGACACGAACTCATCCTTTTTTATGGCTGCATAGTATTCCATGGTGTATATGTGCCACATTTTCCTAATCCAGTCTATCACTGATGGACATTTAGGTTGGTTCCAAGTCTTTGCTATTGTGAATAGTGCCTCAATAAACATACGTGTGCATGTGTCTTTATAGCAGCATGATTTATAATCCTTTGAGTATATGCCCAGTAATGGGATGGCTGGGTCAAATGGTATTTCTAGTTCTAGATCCTTGAGGAATCGCCACACTGTCTTCCACAATGGTTGAACTAGTTTACAGTCCCACCAACAGTGTAAAAGCGTTCCTATTTCTCCACATCCTCTCCAGTACCTGTTGTTTCCTGACTTTTTAATGATCACCATTCTAACTGGTGTGAGATGGTATCTCATTGTGGTTTTGATTTCCATTTCTCTGATGGCCAATGATGATGAGCATTTTTTCATGTGTCTGTTGGCTGCATAAATGTCTTCTTTTGAGAAGTGTCTGTTCATCTCCTTTGCCCGCTTTTTGGTGGGGTTGTTTGATTTTTTGTTGTAAATTTGTTTAAGTTATTTGTAGATTCTGGATATTAGCCCTTTGTCAGATGTGTAGACTGCAAAAATTTTCTCCCATTCTGTAGGTTTCCTGTTCACTGTGATGGTAGTTTCTTTTGCTGTGCAGAAGCTCTTTAGTTTAATTCAATCCCATTTGTCAATTTTGGCTTTTGTTGCCATTGCTTTTGATGTTTTAGTCACGAATTCCTTGCCCATGCCTATGACCTGAATGGTATTACCTAGGTTTCCTTCTAGGGTTTTCATGGTTTTAGGTTTAACATTTAAGTCTTTAATCCATCTTGAATTAATTTTTGTATAAGGCGTAAGGAAGGGATCCAGTTTCACCTTTCTACATATGGCTAGCCAGTTTTCCCAGCACCATTTATTAAACAGGGAATCCTTTCCCCATTTCTTGTTTTTGTCAGGTTTGTCAAAGATCAGATGGTTGTAGATGTGTGGTATTATTTCCAAAGGCTCTATTCTGTTCCATTGGTCTATATCTCCGTTTTGGTACCAGTACCACGCTGTTTTGGTTACTGTAGATTTGTAGCATAGTTTGAAGTCAGGTAGCATGATGCCTGCAGCTTTGTTCTTTTGGCTTAGAATTGACTTGGCAATGCGAGCTCTTTTTTAGTTCCATATGAACTTTAAAGTAGTTGTTTCCAATTCTGTGAAGAAAGTCATTGGTAGCTTGATGGGGATGGCATTGAATCTATAAATTACCTTGGGCAGTGTGGCCATTTTCACGATATTGATTCTTCCTATCCATGAGCATGGAATGTTCTTCCATTTGTTTGTGTCCTCTTTTATTTCATTGAGCAGTGGTTTGTTGTTCTCCTTGAAGAGGTCCTTCACTTCCCTTCTAAGCTGGATTCCTAGGTATTTTATTCTCTTTGAAGCAATTGTGAATGGGAGTTCACTCATGATTTCGCTCTCTGTCTGTTATTGGTGTATAGGAATGCTTGTGATTTTTGCACATTGATTTTGTATCCTGAGACTTTGCTGAAGTTGTCTATCAGCTTAAGGAGATTTTAGGCTGAGATGATGGGGTTTTCTAGATATACAATCATGTCATCTGCAAACAGGGACAATTTGACTTCCTCTTTTCCTAATTGAATGCCCTTTATTTCCTTCTCCTGCCTAATTGCCCTGGCCAGAACTTCCAACACTATGTTGAATAGTGTTGAGTGGTGAGAGAGGGCATCCCTGTCTTGTGCCAGTTTTCAAAGGGAATGCTTCCAGTTTTTGCCCATTCAGTATGATATTGGCTGTGGGTTTGTCATAAATAGCTCTTACTATTTTGAGATACATCCCATCAATACCTAGTTTATTGAGAGTTTTTAGCATGAAGGGTTGTTGAATTTTGCCAAAGACCTTTTCTGCATCTACTGAGATAATCATGTGGTTTTTGTCTTTGGTTCTGTTTATATGACAGATTACATTTATTGATTTGTGTATGTTGAGCCAGCCTTGCATCCCAGGGATGAAGCCAACTTGATCGTGGTGGATAAGCTTTTTGATGTGCTGCTGGATTCGGTTTGCCAGTATTTTATTGAGGATTTTTGCATCAATGTTCATCAGGGATATTGTCTAAAATTCTCTTTTTTTGTCGTGTCTCTGCCAGGCTTTGATATCAGGATGATGTTGGCCTCATAAAATGAATTAGGGAGGATTCCCTCTTTTTCTATTAATTGGAATAGTTTCAGAAGGAATGGTACCAGCTCCTCTTTGTACCTCTGGTAGAATTTGGCTGTGAATCCATCTGGTCCTGGACTTTTTTTGGTTAGTAGGCTATTAATTATTGCCTCAATTTCAGAACCCATTATTGGTCTGTTCAAGGATTCAACTTCTTCCTGGTTTAGTCTTGGAATGGTGTAGGTGTCACGGAATTTATCCATTTCTTCTAGATTTTTGAGTTTATTTGCATAGAGGTGTTTATAGTATTCTCTGATGGTAGTTTGTATTTCTGTGGGATCGGTGGTGATAGCCCCTTTATCATTTTTTATTGTGTCCTTTTGATTCTACTCTCTTTTCTTCTTTATTAATCTTGCTAGTGGTCTATCAATTTTGTTGATCTTTTCAAAAAACCAGCTCCTGGATTCACTGATTTTTTTAAGGGTTTTTTGTGTCTCTATCTCCTTCAGTTCTGCTCTGATCTTAGTTATTTCTTGCCTTCTGCCAGCTTTTGAATGTGTTTGCTCTTGCTTCTCTAGTTCTTTTAATTGTGATGTTAGGGTGTCAATTTTAGATCTTTCCTGCTTTCTCTTGTGGGCATTTAGTGCTATAAATTTCCCTCTACGCACTGCTTTAAATGTGTCCCAGAGATTCTGGTATGTTGTGTCTTTGCTTTCATCTATTTCGAAGAACATCTTAATTTCTGCCTTCATTTCGTTATGTACCAAGCAGTCATTTAGGAGCAGGTTGTTCAGTTTCCATGTAGTTGAGCAGTTTTGAGTGAATTTCTTAATCCTGAATTCTAGTTTGATTGCACTGTGGTCTGAGAGACAGTTTGTTATAATTTCTGTTCTTTTACATTTGCTGAGGAGTGCTTTACTTCCAACTATGTGGTCAATTTTGGAATAGGTGTGGTGTGGTGCTGAAAAAAATGTATATTCTGTTGATTTGGGGTGGAGAGTTCTGTAGATGTCTATTAGGTCCACTTGGTGCAGAGCTGAGTTCAATTCCTGTATATCCTTGTTAACTTTCTGTCTCATTGATCTGTCTAATGTTGACAGTGGGGTGTTATAGCCTCCCATTATTATTGTGTGGGCGTCTAAGTCTCTTTGTAGGTCTCTAAGGACTTGCTTTATGAATCTGGGTGCTCCTGTATTGGGTGTGTATATATTTAGGACAGTTAGCTCTTCTTGTTGAATTGATCCCTTTACCATTATGTAATGGCCTTCTTTGTCTCTTTTGATCTTTGTTGGTTTAAAGTCTGTTTTATCAGAGACTAGGATTACAACCCCTGCTTTTTTTTTTTCCCCATTTGCTTGGTAGATCTTCCTCTATCCCTTTATTTTGAGCCTATGTGTGTCTCTGCACATGAGACCGGTCTCCTGAATACAGCACACTGATGAGTCTTGACTGTTATTCAATTTGCCAGTCCATGTCTTTTAATTGGAGCATTTAGCCCATTTACATTTAAGGTTAATATTGTTATGTGTGAATCTGATCCTGTCATTATGATGTTAGCTGGTTATTTTGCTCATTAGTTGATACAATTTCTTCCTAGCATTGATGGTCTTTACAATTTGGCATGTTTTTGCAGTGGCTTGTACTGGTTGTTCCTTTCCATGTTTAGTGCTTCCTTCAGGAGCTCTTGTAAGGCAGGCCTGGTGGTGACAAAATCTCTCAGCATTTGTTGGTCTGTAAAGGATTTCATTTCTCCTTCACTTATGAAGCTTAGTTTGGCTGGATATGAAATTCTGGGTTGAAAATTCTTTTCTTAAAGAATGTTGAATATTAGCCCCCACTCTCTTCTGGCTTGTAGAGTTTCTGCCAAGCGACCAGCTGTTAGTCTGATGGGCTTCCCATTGTGGGTAACCCGACCTTTCTCTCTGGCTGCCCTTAACATTTTTTTCTTTCATTTCAGCTTTGGTGAATCTGACAATTATGTGTCTTGGAGTTGCTCTTCTCGAGGAGTATCTTTGTGGTGTTCTCTGCATTTCCTGAATTTGAATGTTGGCCTGCCTTGCTAGGTTGAGGAAGTTCTCCTGGATAATATCCTGAAGAGTGTTTTCCAACTTAGTTCCATTCTCCCCGTCACTTTCAGGTACACCAATCAGACACAGATTTGGTCTTTTCACATAGTCCCATATGTCTTAGAGGCTTTGTTAGTTTCTTTCTACTCTTTTTACTCTAAACTTCTCGCTTCATTTCTTTCATTTCATCTTCAATCACTGATACCCTTTCTTCCACTTGATCAAATCCGCTACTGAAACTTGTGCATGCATCACATAGTTCTCATGCCTTGGTTTTCAGCTCCATCAGGTCATTTAAGGACTTCTCTACACTGTTTATTTTAGTTAGCCATTCATCTAATCTCTTTTCAAGGTTTTTAGCTTCTTTGCGATGGGTTCGAACATCCTCCTTTAGCTCGGAGAAGTTTGTTATTACTGATCGTCTGAAGCCTTCTTCTCTAAACTCGTCAAAGTCATTCTCTGTCCAGCTTTGTTCCGTTGCTGGCGAGGAGCTGCATTCCTTTGGAGGAGAAGGGGTGCTCTAATTTCTAGAATTTTCAGCTTTTCTGCTCTGGTTTCTCCCATCTTTGTGGTTTTATCTACCTTTGGTCTTTGATTATGGCGAAGTACAGTTGGGGTTTTGGTGTGGATGTCCTTTCTGTTTGTTAGTTTTCCTTCTAACAGTCAGGACCCTCAGCTGCAGGTCTGTTGGAGTTTGCTGGAGGTCCACTCCAGACGCTGTTTGCCTGGGTATCACCAGCAGAGGCTGAAGAACAGCAAATACTGCAGAATGGCAAATGTTGCTGCCTGATCCTTCCTCTGGAAGCTTTGTCTCAGAGGAGCACCTGGCTGTATGAAGTGTCAGTTGGCCCCTACTGGGAGGTGCCTCCCAGTTAGGCTACTCTGGGGTCAGGGACCCACTTGAGGAGGCAGTCTGTCCGTTCTCAGATCTCATACTCCATGCTGGGAGAACCACTACTCTCTTCAAAGCTGTCAGACAGGGACGTTTAAGTCTGCAGAAGTTTCTGCTGCCTTTTGTTCAGCTATGCCCTGCCCCCAGAGGTGGTGTCTACAGAGGTAGGCTGGCCTCCTTGAGCTACGGTGAGCTCCACTCAGTTTGAGCTTCCCAGCCACTTTGTTTACCTACTCAAGTCTCAGCAATGGCGGATGTCCCTCCCCCAGCCTCACTGCTGCCTTGCAGTTCGATCTGAGACTGCTGTGCTAGCAGTGAGCAAGGCTCCGTGGGCGTGGGACCCTCTGAGCCAGGCACAGGATATCATCTCCTGGTGTGCCGTTTGCTAAGGCCATTGGAAAAGCACAGTATTAGGGTGGGAGTGTCCCAATTTTCCAAGTACTGTCTGTCACGGCTTCCTTTTGCTAGGAAAGGGAATTCCCTGACCCCTTGCACTTCCCGGGTGAGGCAATGCCCTGCCCTGCCCCATGGGCTGCAACACTGTCTAACAAGCCCCAGTGAGATGAACCCAGTACCTCAGTTGGAAATGCAGAAATCACCTGTCTTCTGTGTTGCTCATGCTGGGAGCTGCAGACTGGAGCTGTTCCTATTTGGGTATCTTGGAACCTCCTCCTAAAATAGCAGTTTTAAGGAAACTCAGTGATCTCTAAGATAACACAGAAAAGCAATTCATAAATTACTCAGAGAAATTTAACAAAGAGATTGAAATTTTAAAAAAATCAAATATTGGAACTGAGAAATACATTCCCTGCATTAGAGACTCTCAATGACATAATAGATCAAGCAGAGGAAAGAATCAGTAAGCTCATAGACAGCCTATTTGAAAATATGCAGTCAGAGGAGAAAAAGAAAAAAGAATGAAAGGAATGAAGATTGCCTGCAAGACAAAGAAAATTATCTCAAAAGACCAAATCTAATAATCATTGATGTTCAAGAAAAAGTTGAACAAGAGCAAGGGGTAGAAAGTATATTCAAATAAATAATAATAGAAAAGTTTCTAAAACTTGAGAAAGAGACAAATAGCCAGATACTGAAAAGTAAGAGAACAACAGATTTGACCAAAATAAGACTATTCCAAGTCATATAATAATCAAACTCTCAAAGGGTAAAGACAAATTCTCAAAAGATAAAAGCAGCAAGAGATAAGAAGCAAATAACATACAAAGGAGCTCCAATTCATCTGGCAACAGACATCTCAACAAAAACCATACAGGCCAGGAGGGAGTGGCATGACATTTTCGAAGTGCTGAAAGAAAAAAACTCATCCAAGCATACTGTGTCAAGCAAAGATATTCTTCAAAAATGAAGGAGAGATCAAGTCTTTCTTGGACAAACAAAATTCTGAGAGAATTTACTACCACCTGACCTGTTTTACAAGAAATGCTAAAGGGAGTTCTTCAGTGTGAAAACAAAACAAAACAAAACTCTGACATGCAAAAAGAAAGTACTTAAACATATAAAACCCACTGGTAACATTAACTACATGGACAAACCCAGAATACTCTAATACCGTAATTGGGATATGTAATCCACTCATAACTCTAGTATAGAGCCCCAAAGACAAAACTATTAAAACTAGCAACAGCAACGTGTTAAGCTCTTAGCAACAGCAATGTGTTAAGAGATAGGCAATATAAAAATATGTAATTAGAGATGACAAAGTCAAATTTTGGAGGGGATAGAGTTAAAGTACAGTTTTTTTTTTTTCATTTTTTTCTTTGTTTCTATTTTCTTTGCCATTGAAGATATAATCTCTTTAAAATAACTCGTTATAACTATAAGATGTTTTTTGTAAGCTTCATGGTAACCACAATGCGAAAATCTACAACAGATTCACTAAAAATGAATAACAAGAAATTAAAACATACTACCAGAGTAAACCACTTACCCACAAAGGAAGACAGTAAGAACGGAAAAAACAGAAGAGAGGAACTACAAAATAACCAGAAAACAAGCAACAAAATGGCAGTAGTAATTACTTATAAATAATAACGATGAATGTAAATGGACTAAATTCTTCAATAGAAAGGCATAGAGTGGCTGAATTAATAAAGAAACAAGACCCAACTATACATTGTCTACAAGAAACCCACTTCACCTATAAAGACACACATAGAATAAAAGTGAAGGGTTGGAAAAAGATATTCTGTACAACTGGAAACCAAAAAAGAGCAGGAATAACTGTACTTAGATTAAAAAATGGACTACAAATCTAAGACTGTAAGAAGGACAAAGAAGGTCATGGTATAATGATAAAATGATCAATTCAGCAAGAGGATATAATAATTTTAAGTATCTATGCAAATAACACCAGAGCTCCCAAGTATATAAAGCAAATATTAGGAGTTCCAAAGGAGGGATAAACTGCAATACGATAACAGCAGAGGACTTCAACACCCCACTCTCAGTAATGGACGGATCATCCAGACAGAAAATCAACAAAGAAATGTTAGATTTCACTACACACTAGACCAAATAGCCTTAATTGACATTTACTGCAATAAAATACACATTTTTAATAAGTACATGGAAGATTCTCCAGAATAGATTATATTTTATGTCATAAAACATGTCTCAACAAATTCAAAAAAGTAGAAATCATATTAAGTATGTATTTTGACCACAGTGAAATAAAACCGAAAATCAGTAGCAATAGGAGCCTCAGAAAATACACAAATACCTGGAAATTAAACAACATGCTCCTGAATGAGCAATGGGTTGATGAAGAAATTCAGAAGGAAATTTGACGATTTCTTGAAACAAATGCAAATGGAAATACAACATACCAAAATCTATAGGACACAGCAAAAGCAGTTGTAAGAGGGAAGCTTGTAGCAATGAACACCTATATCAAAAATGTAGAAAGACTGAACGATCTAATGAGGCATCTCAAAGAACCAGGAAAACCCAGACAAACCAAATCCAAAATGAGTAGGAGGAAAGAAGTAATAAATATCAGAGCACAAATAAATGAAAAGGAAATGTAAAAAACAATACAGGCCAGGCACAGTAGTTCACCCCTGTAATCCCAGCACTTTTGAGGCTGAGGCAGGTGGATCACTTGAGCCCAGGAGTTCAAAACCAGCCTGGGCAACATGGCAAAACCCTGCCTCTACTAAAAACACAAGAAATTAGCTGAGCATGGTGGCACATGCCTGTAGTCCCAGCTACTCAGGTAGGAGGTAGGAAATCACCTGAGCCTGGGAAGTTGAGGCTGCAATGAGCTGAGATGGCACCACTGCACTCCAGCTTGGGCAATGGGAGTGAGACCCTGTCTCAAAAAACAAAAACAAAAACAAAACCCAATACAGATCAATGAAATGAAAAGTTGTGCTTTTTTAAGAAAGATAAAATTGGCAAACCTTTAGCTAGACTAAGGAAAAAAAGTGACCCAAATAAATAAAATAAAAAATGAAAAAGGAGACATAACAACTGAGAAATACAAAGAATAATTAGAGACTATTGTGAACAACTACATGCTAACAAATTGGAAAACCTAGAAGAAATGGATAAGTTCCTGGACACATACAAACTACCAAGATGAACCATGGAGAACGAGAAAACCTCAACAAATGAGTAACAAGTAATGAGATTGTCTTAGTCCATTTTGCATTGCTGTAAAGGAATACATAAGGCTAGGTAATTTATTTAAAAAAAAAAATAAGAGGTTTAGTTGGCTCACTGTTCTGCAGGCTATACAAGAAGCATGATGCCAGCATCTGCTTCTGGTGAGGGCCTCACGGGATGCTTCCACTCATGATAGAAGGTGACAGAAAGTTGGCATGTAGAGATCAAATGGTGGGAAGTGGGCAAGAGAGAGAGGGGAAGAGGTGCTAGGCTCTTTTCAACAACCAGATTTCTTAGGAAATAATAGACCCAGAACTCACTCGTTACTATGAAGACAGCACCAAGCCATTCATAAGGGATCTGCCCCCATCATTCAAACATCTCCACTAGGCCTCACCTGCAACACTGGAGATCAAATTTTGACATGACATTTGGAGAGCACAAATATTCAAACTATATCAGAAATTGAAGCTATAATAAAGTCTCCCATCAAAGAAAAGTCCAGGACCTGATAGCTTCACTGCTGAATTCTGCCAAACATTTAAAGAACTAATACCAATTCTACTCACACTCCAAAAAAATTTAAGAAGAGGGACTACCTCCAAACTCATATTACAAGTCCAGCATTACCCTGATACCAAAACCAGATTAGGATACAACAAGAAAGGAAAACTACAGGCCAATGGCAATGATAATATAGTTGGAAAAACCCTTGACAAAATACTAGTAAACCAAATTCAACAATACATTAAAAAGAGTATTCACCATGATCAAATGGGATTCATCCTAGACATGAAAGGATGTTTCAACATTTGCAAATTAATAAACATGATATATCACATTAACAGAACCAAGAACAAAAACCATAGGATCAGCCAGGAGCCGGTGGCTCACGCCTGTAATCCCAGCACTTTGAGAGGCCAAGGTGGGTGGATCACGAAGTCAAGAGATCGAGACCTCCCTGGTCAACATTGTGAAACTCCATCTCTACTAAAAATACAAAAATTAGCTGGGCGTGGTGGCATGCACCTGTAGTCCCAGCTACTCGGGAGGCTGAGGCAGGAGAATCGCTCGAACCTGGGAGGCAGAGGTTGCAGTGAGCCAAGACTGTGTCACTGCACTCCAGCCTGGGCAACACTGTGAGACTCTTTTTCAAAAAAAAAAAAAAAAAAAAAACCATAGGATCATTTCAATAGATACTGAAAAAGCATTAAATAAAACTCAACATTCCTCTATGACAAAATTCCTCAACAACTGAGTATAGAAGAAACATACCTCAACATGATGAAGGCCGTATATATGACAAGCTTACAGCTAATATACTGAACAGGGAAAGACTGAAAGCCTTTCCACTAAGATCTAGAAGAAGACAAGGATGCCCACTTCCACCATTTTTATTCAACATAATACTGTAAATCCTGGCCAGAGCAATGAGCAAGAGAAAGAAAGAAAAAGTCCAGGCACGATGGCTCATGCCTTTAATCCCAGCACTGTGGGAGGCCAAGGTGGGCAGATGGCTTGAGCTCATGAGTTCAAGACAAGCCTGATCAATGTGGCAAAACCCCATATCTACAAAAAATACCAAAATTAGCCAGGCATGGTGATGTGTGTCTGTAGTCTCAGCTACTTAGGAGGCTGAGGTAAAAGGATGGCTTGATCCCAGGAGGCAGAGTTTGTAGTGAGCCAAGATCATGTCACTTCACTGCAGCTTGGGGGATAGTGCCAGATCTTGTCTCAAAAAAAAAAAAAAAAAAAGAAAAAAAAAAAAGGAAGAAAGGGTATTGAAATCACAAAAAAAGTCAAATTAGCCTTGTTCACAGATGAACATGATCTTATAATTAAAGAAAACCAAAACTCCATCAAAAAACCATTAGAACTGATATATAAATTCAATAAACTTGCTGGATACAAAATCAGCAAAAAAAATCAGCAGTATTTATATATGCCAACAATGAACAATCTGAAAAAGAAATCAAGAAAGCAATCCCATTTACAATAGCTACGAGGAATCAATTTAACCAAAGAAGTGAAAGATCAAAGATCTATACAATGAAAACTATAAAACACTGGTGAAAGAAATTGAAGAGGACACCAAAAAAAAGGAAAGATATTCCATGCTCATGAATAGGAATAATTAATGTCATTAAAATGACAATACTACTTAAACCAATTTGCAGATTTAATGCAATCCCTATCAAAATACCAATGACATTCTTCACAGAAATAGAAAAAACAATCCTAAAATGTATATGGCACCACAAAAGACCCCCCATAGCCAAAGCAATCCTGAGTAAAAAGAGCAAAGTTGAGGCATCATGCTACCTGACTTTAAAATATATTACAAAGCTATAGTAACCAAATGAGCATAGTACTAGCATAAAAGCAGATATATAGGCTAGGCATGGTGGCAGGTGCCTGTAATCCCAGCTACTCAGGAGGCAGAGGCAGGAGAAACGTTTGAACCTGGGAGGTGGAGTTTGCAGTGAGCTGAGATTGCACCACTGCATTCTAGCCTGGGCGACAGTGCAAGACTCTGTTTCAAAAAAACAAAAACAAAAACAAAACAGATGCATAGACAAATGGAACATAATAGAAAACCTAGATATAAAGCTACTCTTTTACAGCCAACTCATTTTCAACAAAGGAGCCAAGAACATACAATGGGGAAAGTCTCTTCAATAAATGGTGCTGGGAAAAATGGATAACTATTTGCAGCAGAATGAAACTAGACTCCTATCTCTCAACATACACAAAAATCAAATCAAAATGGATTAAAGAATTAAATCAAGACTCAAAACTATGAAACTACTAGAAGAAAACTTGGGGAAATGCTCGACTCCATTGGTCTGGGCAGATTTTTGTGTGTGTAAGACCTAAAAAGCACAGGCAACTAAAGCAAAAATAGACAAATAGGTTTACATCAAGCTAAACAGCTTCTGCACAGCAAAGGAAACAATCAACAAAGTGAAGAAATGACTCATAAAATGGGAGAAAATATTTGCCAACTATGCATCTGAAAGGGATTAACAACCACAATATAGAAAGAGCTCAAACTATTCAACAGCAAAAAAACAAATAACCTGATTAAAAATGAGTAAAAGATCTCAATAGACATTTCTCAAAAGAAGACATACAAATGGCCAAAAGGTACATGAAAAGGTGTTCTACATGACTAATAATCAGAGAAATGCAAATCAAAACCACAATGAGGCATCATCTTACCCTGGTTAAAGTGACTTTTTATCAAAAAGAGGAAATAACAGATGTTGGTGAGGATGTGGAGAAAAGGGAACCCCTGTACACTGTTGGTAGGGATGTAAATCAGTACAGCCACTACGGGAACTGTATGAAGTTTCCTCAAAAAAAACTAAAAATAGAACTGGCATATGATCTATCAATGTACTACTGGGTATATATCCAAAAGAAAGGAAATCAATATATTAATCAATTGGATTCTTTTGGATATACCTGCACTCCCATGTTTACTGCAGGAATAGTCACAATAGCCAAGACATAGAATCAATCTAAGTGCCCATGAATAAATGAATGGTTAAAGAAAATGTGATTTCAAGACCAGCCTGGCCAACATGGTGAAACCCCACCTGTACTAAAAATACAAAAATTAGCCAGGCATGGTGGCAGGCACCTGTAGTCCCAGCTACTCGGGAAGCTGAGGCGGGAGAATTGCTTAAACCTGGGAGGCGAAGTCTCCAGCCTGGGCAACAGAGTGAGACTCTGCCTCAGAAGAAAAAAAGGAAGAAAGAAAGAAAGAAAAAAGAAAGAAAGGAAGAAAGGAAGAAAGGAAGAAAGGAAGAAAGGAAGAAAGAAAGAAAGAAAGAAAGAAAGAAAGAAAGAAAGAAAGAAAGAAAGAAAGAAAGAAAGAAAGAAAGAAGGAAGGAAGGAAGGAAGGAAGGAAGGAAGGAAGGAAGGAGAGGGACAGAACAGAAGGAAGGAAGGGGGAGGGGGAGGAGGAAGGAAGGAAGGAAGGGAGGGAAGGAAGGAAGAGAGAGGGAGAGACACAGAGGGAGAGAGAAAGGGGAGGGGAGGGGAGGGGAGGGGAGGGAGAAAGGTGATATATATGCACAATGGAATATTATTCAACCATATAAAAAGAATGAAATCCTGTCATTTGCAGCAAACTGGATGGAACTGGAGGTCATTATGTTAAGTGCAATAAGCCAAGCACAGAAAGACAAATATTGCATGTTGCCCACTCATATTTGGGAGCTAAAAAAGTGGATCTCATGAAGATAGAGAGTAAACTTGTAGTTACCAGAGGCTGGGAAGAGGAGGCGGGAGGGTGAGATAAAGAGAGGTTGATTAATGGGTACAAATGCACAGTTTGATAGAAGAAATTAGAACAGGCATTTGATAGATCAGTAGGGGAACTATAATTTATAATTATTGTATATTTCAAAATAGTCAGAAGAGAATGATTTGAATATTTCTAGCAAAAGACAAATATTTAAGGTGATGGTTATCCCAATTATGCTGATTTGATCATCCCGCATTATATGAATGTATTAAATTATCACATGTACTTCAAAAATAAGTACATCTATTATGTATGAATTTTATTTAAAAATTTTTTCATTGGAATACTCATAATAAAAGAATGGATTCATTTTTTAAAGTTCTTTCAGGGAATGTCCAGCTTTCTCTGTGCACTGTGTTCTTTCTCACTTAATTCTGTTTGCCCAGGATGGTGAGAACCACTCCCAAGAGACAGGACACGACTTTGGAGGAGAAAGTTTTACCTAGGCTGGTGTCTGGAGTTTCCATGCCAGACTTCCTACCAGGGACTGTTTTAAAATGATGTAACCACAATTCTGACATGAACCACTGAAATTATTTAGAATTCATGGAATTCACAAGTGTTCCCACCAACCCTTTTAATTGGTCTTCCTCTCTTTTTTCTCTGACTATATCCACCTCTTCTTAAGACCATTGATTTATGAAACCTGAGTTTGAAACCTCATGTCCCACTTAACTAGCCATGTGGCCTTTTTCAAGTTCAGGGACACAATTAGCTTATCTGTACAGGGAGCATGGAACAAAACCAGTGGAACAAAGTCTTAACCCTAGCTGAACATTAGAATCACTGGGGAGGAGATTTTTAAAACTACTGATGCCCTGGCCACATCCCAGACCTCTGGAATCAGAATCCCTGGGTGGTAGTCAGGCCTCAGTAGCATTGAAAGATACGCAGGTGATTCCACTGTGCAGCTGAGGCTGAGAACCACTGATGTAAGGTGATCATTAAGAACACTTAAAGTGGTCAGGTGCAGTGGCTCATGCCTTTGGGAAGCCGGGGCAGCCTTTGGGAAGCCAGGGCAGGAGGACTGCTTGAGCCCAGGAGTTTGAGACCAGCCTGAGCAACATGGTGAAACCCCGTCTCTACAAAAAATACAAAAATTAGTCAGGCATGGTGGCACATGCCTGTAGTCCCAGCTACTCAGGAGGCTGAGGTGGGAGAATCATCTGAGCCCAGGAAGTCGAGGCTGCAGTGAGCCGTGATTGTGCCACTGTACTCCAGCCTCGGCCACGGAGCAAGACCCTATCTCAAAAAAAAAAAAGAGAGAGAGAAAAAACTCTTAAAGTTCTTTCTCTGATCTGCATTTTCCTTGGCTCCCATGATCCCCACCCATGGCCACCACTCCAAGGCAAGGATGAGTGGGGTACACTGTATCCCAGTCAATACCAGAGAGTGTATCTGTTCAGTCCAAGGAGGACCACATCTAGCCTGGCTATGAAGAACCAGTATTTGAAGGTGTGTTCTCGAGCATATAAGCAAAACCAGCCTCCCTGGGTTGCATGCAAGATCCTGCCCTTGATGTCTCCTAAATCAAGGAAAACTACCACTTTATGGAGAGCAGGGGTTATATCTCTTAAAGACATTGCCTGGAAGCCTCCAGAATCCACAGAAAGGCAATCACGGTTTGTTTTTTCATCTTTTGTTTCTGCCACCCAGATGGAGTGAGTCAAATAGAGGGAATGTTAACTTCAGGAAGCAGAGACTATTTTTAAACATTAATTTGACTTTTTGGATTGATCAGGTGTCAACATTAGCTAATAGGATCCTGAGAAATTTGTAGGACTTTAAGTTATGTGGAAATCTCTAGACATCTTATTTTTCTATGTATTTAGAAATTGCCCATTATGCCTATATGGTATAAATCATTCCTAAACCTATACAACACAGAATCTGAAGACAACAAGAATGTCTGAAAACTTCAAATTACCTTCCCCACAAGTGTCTCCCCCATCTCAGCACACGGCACCATCTAAAAACCCTGGGTCCACCCAGGCACAGTGGCTCACACCTGTAATACCAGCACTTTGGGAGGCTGAGGCAGGTGGATCACCTGAGGTCAGGCGTTCAAGACCAGCCTGGCCAACATGGCAAAACCCCGTCTCTACTAAAAATACAAAAATTAGCCAGGCGTGGTGGTGAGCACCTGTAATCCCAGCTACTCAGGAGGCTGAGCATGAGAATCGCTCGAACCCGGGAGGCGGAGGTTGCAGTGAGCCGAGATCACACCACTGCACTCCAGCCTGGGCAATAGAGTGAGACTCTGTCTCAAAAATAATAATAATAAACAAATTTAAAAAATAAAAAATAGAAAAATGAAAACCCTGGGTCCACCTTGATTCTACTCTTTCCCACCTGTATGCCCAATCCATCAGCACATTCAGTTAGAAGTACTGTCGTCATATATCCCTAGCCTAATTTTTTCCACCACCTGTGTCTAAGCCACTGGCATTTCTTTCCCAGGTCTGGCTTTAATGCCCATTTGCTTTGTGACCCACTGAAGCAATATCTCAGGTCTGACCCGCTAATATCTGAGGTCTCTGCTAGTCCTAAAGGTCTAGATTCTAACTCATAGAAGTGGACTTGTACTGAGTGCTTACTCTGTACTAAGTGCTCTGCTTCTGTTATTTCCTTCCTCATGCCAACCAACGAGGTAGGTGCTATTATTCCCCCTTTGAAAGGATGAGATGGCGGATGCTTATGGAGGCTGAGTGTGACAGATGCTGCTGGTGCCTACCTAAGGCCATTCTCCTGTGCCTTCTTGCTAACAGAACCTGATTTTGCTGGGAATGGCAATGAGCCCAGCTCCTGGTGAGTCAGTGAGACAAGATTAGCCAAGCCAGTTTTGCTAGCCACAGTCCACTTTATCCATGTTTGGTACAGAGGTGGGCATGACAGACAGAAGGGAAAGTCTGTTGAAGGCTCCTGGGGAAGTCTTTTCTCCCCACAAGAAATAAAAGAGCAGGAGACAATTATGCCACTGCTCCTATTACTTCATGCTTAGGATATTATCATGAGAGGAGGTGAAGCTGGGGTCTTTGTCAGTCTTATGGCAATCATAAGGGGCAGTGTGGGATGAGATGTACCTGAGGATGGAAGAAGAAAAGGATGAGAAAGTTCGGTCCTTGGTGATGTCCTTGAGCCACTGAAAGCTACCTCATCTTGCCTAGCTCTGGGCTGCTTCTTAAGTGAACCATAAATGTCTTTAGAAATTAAGCCAGGCTAGTCAAGAATCGTGTTACATGGGACCCAAAACATCTTGACACAGGAGCAACTTCCCTAAGGACACACAGCTAGGAAGTGGCACTGCCAGACTGCAAAACCATGTCTATCTCTCTGTCTGTCTGGAAAGCCAAAGTGGCCAGGCTCTTGCCTCTGTCCCACCCCTAGTTTAATTCCAACTCTACAACTCTGTAATCAGCTGCAGTCGAACAAGCATTCAAGGGCTCCCGAGCCGCAGCTGCTGCTGGGCATAGATCTGAACACAGCTGCTCTTCTCACCCTCCTGGGCTGCACCATCCTGAAGTCAGCTCTGTGGGAACCAGGGACCCCCATCCCCTAGCATTGGGAAACGGTAGTCAGGGGCACCAGTGCATCATAATAAACAATGAGACTCACAGGAAGCCACTCAGCCTCCCCACTCATCTGCCTTCATGACTCTGCATTTCACTGTGCTTATGTCTGGAGCTTGGTTGACTCCACTCAGCCTTATTTTCTGGAGTTAGAACTCAACAGGAAAATCCTTCCCCCAAATTATTATGTTCTCATTTGGGAGGCCTCTGAAGTCAAGCCACTCATTCTTGTACTGTACACAGAGGGCTCAGGGAGGGTGACTGGAGTGTTCTCCTCTCTCCACTCCTGGTCTAACCCTATGCCCCAACAGGCTGGCCTGTAATTGTTGAAGCAAAGAGATCTGAGGAATGCCAAAAGCTTCAGTCATCTACAGATGTCTCCCCCATTGACCTAGCGTAGGGTGAGAACTCCTACCCTTAGCCAGTCCAAAGAAATATAGTAGTATTTCAAAATTTGTATGTTTTGCAAATATACAGATTCGTATATTTTGCAAATATATTACTTAATAGGGATAGCAGATCAGCC
Organism: Homo sapiens; assembly: GCF_000001405.40. Lineage (NCBI taxonomy): Eukaryota > Metazoa > Chordata > Mammalia > Primates > Hominidae > Homo > Homo sapiens. The sequence goes on from NC_000002.12 coordinate 134,764,003, forward strand.
TCCTTGTTACACAGGAGGCTTTTATATGCTGCCTCCGTTTATGTGGAAATAAAACCTATCTCTATTTGAAACAATTGTTAATATAGAGATCATAAGACTGACAGAATGGACTTTTTGTGTCAATAAGATACCAAATTATAAACAAGAACCTAAAGCCATGCCAGACAAGGGTTAAGTCATACATCCCAAAGAATAAACTATATTCTAACTGCTACAAGGCTTTTTGCTTTTTCTCTAGCAGCTAAACAAGCACTGGCCTTGAGATAAGCAATGTTGAAACAATTGGAGCTCACTGACAACCAGATGCTGACTAACTGGCCCCATGTTCAAAAAGCTGTAACTACAGCTTTGATTGGATAAGAGACTGAAGTCAGTAACTTTCTTTTTTTTTTTTTTTTTTTTTTTGCTTTGTTTTTAGACAAGAGTCTCACTCTGTCACCCAGGCTGGCATGCAATGGTGTGATCTCAGCTCACTACAACCTCTGCCTCACGGGTTCAAGCAATTCTCATGCCTCAGCCTCCAGAGTAGCTGGGATTATAGGCATGTGCCACTACATCTGATTGAGTTTTGTATTTTTAGTAGAGACGGGGTTTTACCATGTTGTCCAGGCTGGCCTCAAATTCCTGGCCTCAAGCGATCTGCCAGCCTCAGCCTCCCAAAGTGCTGGGATTACAGGTATAAGCCACCATGCCCAGCCAACTTTCTCCTGTTAAGAGATCACTGATGGTGGACTGGTTCTGGCCAGTTTACAGAGGCCGCACACTGAGGGCCTTCATGTCCCTGCTTTACCCTTTGACACACAGGGCTTAATTGTAATACATTTAAATGTTATGTCTCTGCCCCAAAGTGAACATGGGTTGCATGTAACAGGCATGTTTGGTTAGCTTATAACACATGTGTGCATCCCTCTCTTTGTGAATATTAATAGCTCCTCCTATAACCTGTTGCATATGCATACTTGGCCAACTTATTCAGCATAAATCCTTGTCTCATCTTTCCCTCCCTTGAAGTACCTGCTTTTAGTTTCTGCTGGAGGCTACACTTCCCAGCCCACAGGATGGCCAGCCTGCAGGATGTAGCCCTTTATAAGAAATAAAGTTCCCCTTTCCAAATTTATGGATCTCATGATTTTTCAGTTGACATTAAGTACCTTTAAAATGTGATTTGTGGCTAGGTGTGATGCCTCATGCCTGTAATCCCAGCACTTTGGGAGGCTGAGGCAGGCAGATCACCTGAGATCAGGAGTTCGAGACCAGCCTGGCCAACATGGTGAAACCCCGTCTCTACTAAAAATACAAAAATTAGCTGGGCATGGTGGCACATGCCTGTAATCCCAGCTACTCAGGAGACTGAGGCAGGAGAATCCCTTGAACCCAGGAGGCGGTGTTTGCAGTGAGCTGAGATCACGTCACTGCACTCTAGCCTGGGTGGCAGAGTGAGACTCTGTCTGAAAAAAAAAAAATGTAGGCAGAGCGTGGTGGCTCACGCCTGTAATCCCAGCACTTTGGGAGGCCAAGGTGCGCAGATCACGAGGTCAGGAGATCGAGACCATCCTGGCTAACAAGGTGAAACCCTGTCTCTACTAAAAATACAAAAAAATAGCTGGGCATGGTGGCGGGTGCCTGTAGTCCTAGCTACTTGGGAGGCTGAGGCAGGAGAATGACATGAACCAGGGAGGCGGAGCTTGCAGTGAGCCGAGATCACACCACTGCACTCCAGCCTGGGTGACAGAGCGAGACTCTGTCTCAAAAAAAAAAAAAAAAATGTAATTTGTTATTAACCCTGTTTCTCTTTCTCAATAGTCTGTAAGCTCTGTGAGTGTGTAGGGCCTTATTTATTTAGTAGTCTGAGCATATAGGATGGTACCTGGCATATAATAGGTATTTAATAAATATATATTGAAAGAATGAGTGAACTGTACAATGGAAAGTCAAAGGGAGGTAGGACGTGGAGACAAGTGTAAGTAACTTTTTTAAGAAGGTTGGCTTCTTAAGGAGAGAAAATGACTGTTAAGAAAGGAGATGGCTGTTGTTGTTGTTGTTGTTGTTGTTGTTGTTGTTGTTAATAATATACTGGAGAGAAAGGGATGGTAGAGAAGTATTATTTTCAGGACAATGCTGTGCATTGCCAACTCCAGGTGGCATAATTTACACTGTATTACTTGTGAATGGCACCCCCTACAGTTGTGCAATGCAGTGGCCCAGTTGCACATAGGCAGGGAGTGATCATCAGTGAGAGGAAGATAGACAGGGATCTATCTAGAACATAGCTTGGCTTTAGTTGGGGTGCTCATCCTTTGAAATTGAACATAGATGAATATATTAGGAGTAAAGTGGGAGGCAGGAAATTAGGGCAGTTTTTGCCCAGTGGGTTAATTTTTTTTGGTAATATGGGAGATGAAACCATCCAACTATGACAGGGCTGGGACTGTGTGAAGGTCTTAAGGAATGTGAAAAAGGTTTGGAAAGGGAGAAAGACAAGTAAAAGAATGTAACTAAATTACATGCAATGTCCTAGGGATCATAGACCTGGGTCCGGGAGACCTGGGGACCATCCAAAGGGAAAGGAGGGGAGGCTGAGAAGTGAAGTCGGGGGAGATGGTGAAGGCTGGAAGGGTGTCTTTCACGCACAGCCTCCAATTCACATATGGTTAGAAAACTCATTTTTAAGTGACTTATCTGGACTCACACAGCATTGTCCTATCGGAACTATTGTTTACAGTGGTTTGATTCTTCAACCAGCAACACATCAAAGTCTATTTATTCTTCAAAGTCGCTGACGTCATGAGCTGATGGCTGTAGTAATACTTCAATGTCAACTCCCACTATTACTATTTGTAACCTTTGTATGGAAAAATGTATTCCATGTTACAGGTCAGCAGACCAATAGCACCCTTCCCTTTTACCACCCATCTCTGAGAATCTCCTCCAGCTTCCCTGCCTAACATGTGGTGAAAGCCTTGGTCAGCCTCCAGTGCCAGCCTGCAGGTGGGACCAAGACTCTGTGCCTCCAGAGTTTGTTGTTAATTCCATTCACTCAGCCAGCCACTGGACCTGTAAGCATTTGTAGTGGGACTTAGCATCCCCCAGAGTTTCTGAATTCCACACAAATGGCAGCAGCCACCACGTGTGCTTGGGGAAGAAGGCTTTAGAGAATGGAGCACTCTGAGACAAGTCTCCCTTTGATTGACAAGTCGTTTCTACATCACGACACTTAATCATTGAAAGGACCCTTAGACTTCGATCCAGCAGTCCTGTTTCTAGGATTCTGGCTGGTTGAAATACCTACACAAAAGTGCAAAGATAATCTTGAAGCTCTTCACTGCAGCACCATTTGTATTTAAGAAAAACTGGAAATGATGAAAATATTCATTATGGGGGAATAGGTAAATTAATTATGGCATTCTTATTTCCCCACACAGTGGGCCACCATGTGACCTTTAAAAGGATAAGGTAGGTCTCCAGGTATTAATATGATGTATAATTGAAGAAAAAATTGGGTTAGATACAGTATGTGTGATATTAACTTAGATATAGCTGTATTAAAAAATATAGGCTGGGTGTGGTGGCTCATACTTGTAATCCCAAGACTTTGGGAGGCCAAGGCAGGAGGATCACTTGAGCCTAGGAGTTCAAGACCCTGTTCAAGATGGCAAGACTCAGTCTCTACAAAAAAAGAAAATTAAAAAATTAGCCATGTGCGGTAGCAGATACCTGTATTCCCAGCTACTCAGGAGGCTGAGGCGGGACGATCCTTTGAGTGCAGGAGTTTGAGGTGGCAGTGAGCCACTGCATTCCAGTCTGGGTGACAAAGCAAGGACCCTGTGTCTAAAAAAGAAAATATACACATGTTAAATATATGTGTATGCATAATTACAAATGTGCTTATTGAAAGCACCTTGTAGGATGAACACCTCATAACAGTAAATTTTAGTATCTGCTAGGGTTTATCTCTTTTAATTTCTCTTCCTTTTCACAAAATTCCTGATTATTCTACTGTGTTTATTTTTTCATATTAACTTGAAATCAGCTTGTTGGCTGGGCATGGTGGCTCACACCTGTAATCCTAACACACTTTGATCCACCAAGGCGGGTGGATCACTTGAGCTCAGGAGTTCAAGACCAGCCAGGCAAAATAGTGAAATGCCATCCCTAAAAAAAAAATTAATTAATTAATTTAATGAAAATAAAATCAGCTTGTTATATTACCCTCAAAAAGCCTCTATTTATATTTTCATTGGGAGAGCATTATATTTATAGATTAATTTATGGTAACATAACATACTTACAATACCTGATATCCTTTTAAATGGGCTTAAAATGCTGTTTCTATTATAGACATAATACATGCTCATTGTAAAAAAAAGTTCTGGCAATTCTGTAATTTATGAGGTAGAGTATTGAAGTTCAGTTTCTTCTGTCCTAATCTTTCCCCTAGAGGTAACCACTGTTCATCATGAGGAACGCTTTTACACTGTTGATGGGAGGGTAAATTAGTTCAACCATTGTGGAAGACACTGTGGCAATTCCTCAAGGATCTAGAACTAGAAATACCATTTGATCCAGTGATCCCAATACAGGGTATATACCCAAAAGATTATAAATCATGCTACTATAAAGACACATGCACACGTATGTTTATTGCGGCACTATTCACAATAGCAAAGACTTGGAACCAGCCCAAATGCCCATCAATGATAGACTGGATAAAGAAAATGTGGCACATATACACCATGGAATATTATGCAGCCATAAAAAAGGATGAATTCACGTCCTTTGCAGGGACATAGATGCAGCTGGAAACCATCATTCTAAGCAAACTATCACAAGGACAGAAAACCTAACACTGCATGTTCTCACTCATAGGTGGGAGTTGAACAATGAGAACACATGGACACAGGGTGGGGAACATCACACACCGGGGCCTGTCGTGGGGTGGGGGGTTGGGGGGAGGAATAGCATTAGGAGAAATACCTAATGTAAATGACCAGTTGATGGGTGCAGCAAACCAACATGGCACATGTATACCTATGTAACAAACCTGCAGTTGTGTACATGTACCCTAGAAGTTAAAGTATAATAATTAAAAAAAAAAACCATACACCTGGTTTTCTTTTTTAAAAAAAGAAATTATAAAAGTATTCGAATAAAGTATAACAGAATTTGAGAATATGTAAAATACAGAATGCAGAGTGATTTTCTAAAGAATACACAAAGCCCAGAAACCATAGAGGAAGTTATTGATGCATTTGACTTGATAAAATTAAAATTTTTTCTACATGGCAACAAATACCTAAAACACACGAACTGCAGACTGGAAACATATTTGCATAATAAATATTAGGAGGTTAACTTCCCTAATACATAGAGTATTTCTACATCAATTTTAAATAGAGGTCAAGGAATCAATGTTTAAAAATAACCAACCGTGACTAGAAATCCACAGAAATCTAACTATAAACATACATGGCTCATGACCACTTAAAAGATGATCAGCCTCACACAAAACAACATAATATCATTTTTCATCTATTAGCTTGACACAGATAAAAAATTTAACAACAAAGTTTTAGTAAGGCCATGAGCAAACAGACTCCTACACGGTTGGTAAGAGTAGGTATGATCCACTTTGGAGGGGAGTTTGGCAATATCAGAATAAATGTGCATCTACTCTTTGGCCCTGCATTCCATTTCTAAGAGCTCATCCTTCAGATGAACAGTACCTGTGTGCAAAGATGTATAGTCAAAGTTGTAGAACAAAAGACTAGATATAACCTGTCTATCACTAGGGAATTAGTTAAACAAACCAAGGTACATCTATGCCAGAGAATGGAACATTACACTGTTATGGAAAAGAATGATTGCCTCTTATGTATGATGATACAGAACAATTTTCAAATTATATTTTAATGACAAAAGCAATATGCAAAACAGGGTGTGTAATATACCGCCATTTGTGGACAAAGGGGGAAATTGTATCTGTGCTCATACAGTCTCCGAAAGCATGCCCAAGAAAGTATATGGTGCTTGCATCTGGAGAGAGAGACCAAGGACTGTAAGTCTGCGGTAGAAGATAAATTTATTTTCATCATACATCTTATTCAGACTATGTGAATTGTTTGCCAACTACCTGCATCTGTTTTCAGTTAAGCAAACAAAATGTAGTTGAAAATACAACATTACAGATCATTAACTGAGTCCAAACCTCCCATTTCACAAACAAGGGAATGGAAGCCCAGCCTATTCATTCGTTGAATGCTTTTGAGTGCTGTTTTCGTTTCCTATTGCTGCAGTAACAAAGTGCCACAATTCAGTGGCTTAAAACAACACAAGTTTATTCTTACTGTTCTAGGAGGTCTAAAATGGGATGGAAGGACTGCATTCTTTCTGGAGGCTCTAAGGGAGAACCCATCTCTTTGCCTTTTCCAGCTTCCAGAGCCTGCCCGCATTTCTTGGTCCGTAGCCCCTTTCAACAATCACATCTCTCCAACCCTGCTTTCATCATCACATCTCCTTTGACTCTGACCCTTCTGCCCTCCCTCTCATAAGAACCACTGTGATTATGTTGGATCTACCCACATAATCCAGGATAATCTCCTCATCTCAAAACCCTTATTTTAATCATGTCTGCAAAATCCCTTTTTCCATGTAAGGTAACATATTCACAAGTTTCAGGATTAGGGCATAGACATTTTGGGGGATTATTACTCTGGCTACCACAAGTGCCTTTAAAACAGGAATAATACAAGGCGGTCATAGGAGAATAGAAAATTCCAGGCAGCAGTTTCACATGACAAGCAAAAGGAAACCGTTAAAATAGCTGCAGAAGCTAGGAACTGATTAAGACCCTGAAAAACAGGGTGTGGACCAAGCTGGTTTAGGATCGACTGGACCCAACATGGTAATGTACTTGATTAACATACAAATCACACACCCACCAGCACCATGACAGTTTTGAGAACACTCATATTTGGTGCAAAAATGGGTGGCATGGCAGTTCCGAGAAATCCCCACCTTTTCCCAGGAATTTTCATGACTATCCCACCCCTTGGTTAAAGAAAACCATAAAGGTAGCAGATCAACCTCCCTCACGCGTGTATCTCTTGAGTATGCTTGCACTCCCATGTGTTCAGTGTGTACTTTTCCCTTTGCAATCCATCCCTGTACTTTCACTATTTTCTGATGCATCTTTGAATTCACATTCTTGAGATGGCGTCAAGAACCTCGACACTAGCTGGGGTCGAGGTCCAACTGGTATTTGGGGACCTCCCCCAGCCCCAAACAACTGGTATCCCCTTTCCTGTGCTGGTGCCTAGTCTGAAGCAGGGACTGAAGATACAGCAGCGACAAGACATACAATCCCTGCCTCAGGCAATTCACATCCAGTAGGGGGAGGGAGACAGTAAACAACACACATGGATGAAATAAATACTGTTAGATGGTGACTCGTGACTCTTGCTACAGACAGATAGCAGGATATTGGGGGAAGGGGTGTTGGAACTGGGGTGGAGGAATTTAGAACCAGAAAGCCTTCACTGGGAAGATCTAATTCACTGGTGTGAAGATCTAGGGGAGATAAAGAAGTGGCTATGCAGACATCTAGGGGAAGAGCATTCTCAGCAAAGGGAACAGCAAATGCAATGGCTCCAAGGCTGGAGTGATTCTGAAATGTTCACTGCAGCACAGAAAATGACGTGTGTGGCTGGAGATGGGGAGGGAGATGGTAGGAGACAAGGCCAGAAAGAGCTGAGTGGGCACACAGTGCAGGGTCTTCAAGGCCGTTGTAAGCCTGCTTTTCATGTGGAATGTACTGAAGCTTCTGGAGGAATGTGAGCAGAGGTGTAACAAGATCTGTCTTACAAAAATCCTGTTAAAATGTAAGGGAGGAAACCAGGCAGTGATTGTGGATTAAAGATTGTGGTAATCCAGGTATTAGAAGGTGATAGTGTGGTTCATGGTAGTAGCAGCAGAGGTGAAGAGAAGTAATTTGATTTTATGAGACGACAGCATATGATATATACGCCAGACAGATTTATAGACAGATTGGATGTGGGATGTGAGAGAAAGTGATAAGTCAGGGATGACTCTAAGGGTTTTGGTCTGAGCAGTTGGAAAGATGGCACTGCTACAACTGGAGAAGCGGAAGAGCTTCAAAAGAAGCAGATTTGGGAGGGGCTGGGGGCCAGGAGACAAAGATTAGGAATTTAGTTTTGGACATGTTAAGTTTGAGAATCAGGCTTCCAAGTGGAGATGATACATGGGTAGCCATAAATCCAAATCTTGAGTTCAGAGGAGCGGTCTGATTGGAGATGAAAATCAGGAGTCAGAGAAATGGCACTGAAAAGCATGAGACTGAACTGCTACCAGAAAGGGGTCCCAATCCAGACCCTCAAGAGATGGTTCTTGGATCTCCTGCAAGAAAGAACTCAGAGTGAGTCCATAGAGTAAAGTGAAAGCAGGTGGATTAGAGAAGAAACAACAGAGAGGCTACCCCATAGAGCAGCCCTGAGGGTTGCTGGTTGGCTATTTTTATGGCTATTTCTTGAGTATATGCTAAGCAAGGGGTGGATCTTTCATGAGTTTTTTGGGAAAGGGGTGGGGATTGCCTCCCCAACTGAGGGTCCTCCCTCTTTTAGACTATATAAGGTAACTTCAGGCGTTGCCATGGCATCCGTAAACTGTCATGGCGCTGGTGGGAGTTTTTTAGCATGCTACTGCATTATAATTAGTGTATAATGAGCAGTGATGACGTTGCTTTCATGGCCATCTTGGATTTGGTGGGTTTTGGCCAGCTTCTTTACTGCATCCAGTTTTATCAGCAGGGGCTTTATAGCCTGTATCTTGTGATACCAGACCTACCAACCTCTTAGCTCATTCTGAGATTAAGAATGCCTAACGTCCTGGGAATGCAGCCCAGCAGGTATCAGTCTCATTTTACCCAGCCCTTATTCAAGATAGAGGTGCTGCGATTCAAACGCCTCTGACAGAACAATGGGCCATGGGTTGGTGAAGCCACAGCTTGGGCCCAGATCTACTTACACTTGCCCTTCTACACTGAAGACGTGAGGAGAGAACTGACTGTATTTGTTAGTTTTTGTTTTGTTCTGTTTGTAAAAGAATTAATTTCTGTTTTCCTTTTTTAGTAGGAAAGTATTTCATGTTCAACTTAGAGACTTTCTAAGAAAACATAATAAACATCAAAAATAAAAATTATTTATAATCTCATTAATCACAAATAATTGCTCTTAACCATTTGACATATTTTCTTTCAGACTCTCGCCAGTGTACAGTATATATTTTGTATGTCACACAGTGTCCTGCCCAAAAAGTATGAGTTGATTTGACTTTTTTATTTTATAAAAGAATGTGAGAAGGGAAACAGGCAGCCCCAATGGGAGGCTGGCCGGGAGAAAGAGTGGAGAATTACCATCCATCACTATCCCCAGTGCAGGCTTCCTGCCCAAGGAGGCTTGGTTTTGCATAAGAATTCTCAGTGCCCTGCCCTGGGCCATGTGGCCATGTGGCTCTGCCATCTGTTGAGCAGATAAGGGAGCCTGGGTTTCTGACGTGGGTCCCTGGCACCTGGTGAATACACCGGTAAATGGGCCTTTCGCTGGTGTGACTGTCTGGTGCATCACAGACCTTACCGCCCTGGGCTTCCCCCCACTCCGCAGTTGGGTAAGTGAGAGGCTGTTGCCGTGGCAGCAGGAAATTTGTTTCCTTATCCAAACTGTGAGGTTCAGGGAAGGTTATTCAGGAGTGGTTTCACAGTGGAAACAGAAAACTGTTTCAGACAAAATGGGGAAAAAAATAAATCTCAGGAATTCATTTTGTCTTCTTGGCTCCCAGAACATCTCATTCAGAGGGAAGCTGTCACCTTTCTGTTTCTGACCTGGCACGAGGCTCAGAACTCATGCCCTGCCTGTCTTTAGCCTGCTCTTTTTTTTCCCCCTTAATGTGAGGCCCAAAGTGAAAGTCCCCAGGGAGCAACTGCTCTAAATACTGATTCACAAATGGAGGAGGGGTGTGGGGCAAGATCTGCTGCGACCCTCCCCAGCCACACACCTTTCCCACTTTCCTGCCTCATCATCCCACATGCTCTGGCCAGGACAAAGTGAAAGTGTGACATGACCCCAGGGGCCCCAGGCTCAGGGTTTTCCTTTCCATGGAGGTCAGCGCCTCTTATCACAATGAATTCAGCACACTCAGCCTTACTCACTCCTGCCAGAGCCCAGCATGATGCATTGATAAAAGCACGGATTTTAGAGGCAGCACATTTGGGCTCAAATTCCCCCTTGAGCAAGTTCTTTAACTTCTTTCAGACTCAGTTTCCATGTCTGAACAATGGAAATGGTAATGCCCACGTCAGGTCTCTTAGGCAGACTAAATGGCTGCAAAGCCCCTGGCCTAGAGTACAGTCACAGCAAACATGACTTCCCTTCCCTATTCACAGAGGCCAGTCCGGTGGAAGTGGATTCCCTCTCTATATATGTTTCTTCTGGGGACCTCAGGAGGTCATCTGGTGACACACTTCTCCATTAGCATCTTCCACAGTGTTCCCAAAAAGGAATCACATGTCATTACCTTGACATTTGCAGTGCTTACTAAAATAGAACCTGATATGAAGTTCAGAGACTAAAAGTCACAATTCAGGGCCTAAAGAGGGTTCAAAATAAAAATTACCTGGGGTGAGAAGTTTAATTCGGGAAAATGTGAGTAACTCTCTTTGGGGAAAAAGGTAGATGCTTCCCAAAACTGCCTCAACAGAAACATTTAATGAGGAGGAAGGCCTGCTGGGGCCTGGGGATGGCACAGATGTCCCAGCCCCATGCGATGAGGCCCTCTTGGATTAGAACCATTGCTGGGCCCAGGTGTGGCCTGTGGAAGAACGTGCATGTGGGTCCCAGAGGAGTGCCTGAGCCCTGCTTTTATAAACAGCTTCATCAGATAATCTCCTGACACTTCGAAGGGGGAGTCCTCCCCACAGGAAACGCGAAAGCACAAGATAAGTGATCTTATCCTTTTCCACTTAGGCTTCTTCAGAAGAGACACAGCGGAGAGCAGTGTGTGAATGGAAGACAATTTTTACTTAAAGATTGTAGTTTCAAGATTATTTCTACAAACAGATACTAAATGCCTCCATGTGACAGGCAGGATAAAGGCCAACTCCTCACCACAGCATGACAGGCCAGGGCATCCAGAGGGATGTATGCTCCCTCCAGCCGCCCTGAACTTGACTCACTTCCTTGAGCACCCCGACAAAAACCCTCCTTCCTCATCCCAGCTCCAGGGGTGAATGGTGGCAGTGCCTAAACCAGGCCTGGCAATCCCATTTCCCTGGAGGTGATTCATTTGGGTGTGGGCATGGAACAGAGTTCTGGCTAAGAACTAGAAGGGAAATCTTTAGTTCCCTGGGGAGTGGGGAACCAAAAAGCACATTAAACAAAAAGCTCCTATTATTCTGCTGGACACGCCCATGTCTGTATGTGAAGCCAGGAACAAGGGCAACCACTTCGTAACTGAGAGTGAGCTAAGCTGATATGTGAAGATAACAAAGGGAAAAGGTGAAAAGAACCTGGGCTTTAGAGAATGTTGTTTGAGCTGCTGGACTAATTGGCCCTGCAGCTGCTCTACCTCAGGACTTCTTGCTGAGTGAGACAATACATTCCCCTATAGAGTGAAATAATACATTCTCCTATACAGTGACATAATACATTCCCCTATAGTTGTAGCCATTTTGAGATGGGTTTTCTGTTCGTTCCCACCAAAAGCATCCTAAGTGATACATGGTCCCATCGACTTGAAGTCGATTTTTAATGCTGTATTTTAATTATATACATAGTCACAAGACTAGATTGTTTTTCTCTGAAGCTTCTACTTTGTTTTTCAAGGGAGCAGGGGAAATGAGGGGCACAGCAAGAGAGAGGAAGCACAATCTTTCTTGGCTGTCTACGAACTGAGACTAGCATTTGCCTGGATGATTGTTTGTTCCTGTGGGGATGAGTGGTTGCCTTTTCACATTTCACTAGGGTGTATGTACGTGTGTGCTGTGAAGGGGAGGATGCACTTGGAGGATTGCTTGCAAAAGACAAGGAGCTGAAGGAAAAAGTTAAAGGAGTTCTTTTTCTGAGGGTTTTTATGGGAATCTATACATGGACAGCCAGGGACTTTTCTCCACTCCACACAAAGCCACCTGGCCAAGGGGGCGAGTAGGCATGCAAATCCAGCTCGTTCCCTGCTAATTGAAATGCCTGGCACTGGCTGCATCCACCTGGAGGAAGGGGCATTTTTCTAATCTGCACAAAGGTACGATAAGGGCTGGTGGTCACTTTATTGCAATATTGCTTCAAGGCCAGGTAACGAAGTGTGTCACAGAGGTCAAGAAGACCTATGTTCATATTTAGCCCAAAGCTGTTCTAGAAGTCCATTCCGGAAGTAGGGACTTTGGCAACAGCAGGAGAGAGCTTTCGGAACAGATGTTCTTGACATCTCGAAGAGCATGTCCCTATGTCTATAAATTGCTTTAAACATTTCATCATAGACCAGGTGTGCTAGACATATGTGCTAGATGGTTCAAATGTCATCTCTGAGCATGTCAGTTGTCTTAATCAAACATATGTGTTCTAGGGGTGATCAGTTGGCTTTACATCAGAAAGGCCACAACACATGCTTCTGATCGCATTTCCATCAATGCTTTGCCAATTAGGACAGTAAATGTCAGAAATTGCTGTTGAATGATGAAATTGGCGACTTGTTGATTAATGTGATTCATGGTTAGATATGCATTCTCGTTGGTGAAATAATGGTATTTAAGATATGTGGACTGCACAAAATACTTTAGAGATAGACAATTAAAACACAGCTTGCTAAATACTAGGATAAAGGGTCATCAGGCTGCTTGGATCAGACACATCACAATACATCAAGGCTTGAGGGGCGATCTTCCAGGGTGTGATCACTTGATCTGAGTCTTGCAGGATTAGCCAAGTGGCCAGGGTGGAGGAGCAGAATGAAAGGCATTCAAGTGGGATGGCAGCATGTGTGAGGGATTGCTGTTGTGACTGTGGGGTCCCCGGGGAGTCTGCAGGGAATTAAGCTCTTTGGCAGGTGGGGCATAGGATGCACTGGGTGGGGAGGGTGCAGGATAGAGTGGTTGGGGTAGCATCAGAGAAAGCTGAAGCTCCACGCAGTGCCCAGATCACAGAGAATATTGAACTTAATACTGAAGGTGATAGGAATTCAAAAGATTTTAAACACAGAAGGAACTTATTACAAAAATATTTTGTTAAAGGGCATCGAGGACAGACTGCAGTAGAAAAGAAAGATGGGAGGCAAGGCCATGGCAGCGGTCTACTGTGCGATTTTTAAAAAGACCCCATTCACTTATATTTACCCCTAATATTATTCTACTCCCATAAGTAGTCTATAATTAAGGTGTTTTTTTTTTTTGAGACGGAGTCTCACTCTGTCACCCCCAGGCTGGAGTGCGGTGGCGCGATCTCTGCTCACCACAACCTCCACCTTCCGGGTTCAAGCAATTCTCCTCCCTCAGCCTCCTGAGTAGCTGGGACTACAGGTACACGCCACCACGCCTGGCTAACTTTTGTATCTTTTGGTAGAGATGAGGTTTCACCATATTGGCCAGGCTGGTCTCAAACTCCTGACCTCTTGATCCACCTGCCTCGGCCTCCCAGAGTGCTGGGATTACAGGTATAAGCCACTGCACCCGGCCGATATAATTAAGACTTTTAAGTTGAAGGCTCATTGTTCTCTAGTACTGGTACTTGAATCAAGGAATGCTATTTATCATTACCAGTAAATCATGTTGCTGAGCAACTTCCCACCTGTTGAAGCAGCGGCCTTCTTTGCTTCAGAGAGAAGGCAGACACCACTGAGATCAAAGAAATCATAGCTCAGCTTTAAGTTTCAAGTATATTTGAATTCCATGGTGAAGACAATAATCTTGAAAGCTGGGCTTTGTTGAATGACAAGGGTGTTTTCTAAATTCTGAAACCTTCTGTTTAAATAAAAAGAAAAAAAGCTTCGATCATAGAGAAGGAAAGAACTTGGATAAAGGGGGAACATTTGAAAAGGGAAGAGGAAAGGGGGCAAAAGATCAAATGCAAATGCCTTGGCTTGTCCTGGGGGGTGGAAACTTCCAGAAGACGTGTAATGAGCCCACTCTTACGTTTGAAGAAACCTGAGAACACTGGGGGTTCTATGCATGAGGAAGCTGGAGGAAAGGAAGTCCCACACTAGGCAATGATGCTGTAGGGAAGTGGTGGAGCAGCTTCATTCAAGTGGAGTTAGTGGTCCCAGTGGACCACAGTCTACATGGTGCATGCAGGGCTCCAGGAGGGGATGTGGAAATACTAAGAAAATTGGTGGACCAGAGAAAGCCTGGGCACCAAAAAGAGGAGGCCCCACAGCGTAAGATCTTATGACTGAAGGATGTAGCAGGGACCTTCATATTTTGTGGTGACATCCAAAATTCCAGCCAGGACCTATTTGTCCTCAACATCATGGTTAGAGATGGCCCTGTAGGACAAGGGCCATCTAGTGGTCAGCAGGGGCAACCCATAGAGGGCACCACCCCGCCCCGCCCCACCACCTGCCACCTATACCCAGGTGCCCAAGGAGAGGGGAAGATACAGTCTTGAGAAAGAATGTAAATAGGGTAAAAATCCACTATTTACCCACAATTCACAGATTTAAACTGGGAGACTGAGTTAAATTTAATATAAAATTTTAAGTGTTTTCCTCAACACGGGCAAGACGGGCTCACTGAGTAAATACAAAATTACAGGCTTTGTGTGTGTGTGAGTTGTAGTGTGTAAACTTCTATCCTGCTTCATATATGTATGTGAGTATATATGCGTGTATTCATATACACACACAGACACACACACAGGCTTTTGGATTCCTTCTCTGACAGAAACGAACATGTCAAAAAATATGGCCCGATGTAGCAGACAACAAAAAATCCCAGTGAAGGGTGGCTTTCCAATGAAAAGGGTGAGCATTCATTTACAGAGTATAATCATTACAGAGTATAATCACTGAGCCCAAGGGACCAGACTTGGAGTCTTCGGACCCTAGTTCTGTTACCAGTGGATGGTGTCCAGGTTCTTGGCATTCTGAACAAAGAATTGTTCACAATGCACAAACAAAGCAAGGAAAGAATTAAGCAAAAAAGCAGAAATTTATTGAAAACAAAATTACACTCCACAGGGTAAGAGCAGGTCCCGAGCATAGGGCCTCAAACGCTCAAGAGCCGGTTATAGAATCTTCTGGGGTCCAAATACCCACCAGAGGTTTCCCATTGGCTACTTGATGTTTACCCCATGCAAATGAAGTAGTGGCTCACAATCAGTCTGATTGGTTGTGACCAATCAGAGGTACTTTCCATTTTCCATATGCCTGCAGAAAAGTGGGGTGGTAGGGGTTGCAAAGGGAGTAGCCTCTGGTCCTTTTGCTACTTAGGCATGGAAAGTTGGGATTTTCCTCTTGATTTAGTTCTAGGAAGTCAGCGTGAATTGGCCTTAGTTTCCCTGCCTCCAGACCCTATTCTCTTGTCTCAGTCCCACCACTGACTAGCCGTGATCTTGAGCAAGTCATTTTTCTCAGTGCCTCAGTCTCCTCGTCAGTAAAATGGAAATAATAGTACCCACTTCCTAGGGTTGTCATGAACGTGAAATAAGTTGATATTTGAAAAGCACTTGAAATAGCGCCTGGCCACACAGTTGGTGCTGTGTTTAATGAATGAACACTGCTCTCAGAACCTCAAACTCCGGAGGGTCCCCTGTGGTTGAAGGCACAGGGCACGTGTGAGATAACCATTTAGAATTTTTAAGTGTAAAATTATTTTTGTCCAATCTTCTTTTGGAATCTGGGCAGGTCCTTGGGCTGCAAAACTTCTTTTCTCCTAAACCTCTGTACTATGGATATAAGTTTCTTTTGCCTGTTTCTTACACTAAAGGACTGTGGAAATGAATAAGGAAGATGTCTGTGAAGTGCTTTGAATTCTCTGCAGGAAAAGTGTATCATAAATAAAAGGTGATCTAATTTTTGAGGCACTTTTTTATAATCTTTTATGTCTAACTGTTTCACATTGTTGTCTTTCTTCTAGTATTCTCTATTTACCAGGTGAAAAAAAGAAAAAGAAAAAAGAATACCAATCAAAAATATGATGTTTCATGAAATGTTTGTCCCTCAGCTCTCTCATAAAATTTAGAGCTGGGTGGCCTATGATATGTATTTAATATATTTTCTTATGTTTGTATTTAATATATTTAGATTTAAAATAAATTTTCATGTGTTAAACAGAAGAAGGGATTTCTCTTACACTGAATCCGGAAAATTAATCTGACATCTATCTAAAAATAGAGATGGTTTCTTTTCTAATTTTTTTATTTCTGGAACAGGGTCTCACTCTGTCACCCAGGCTGGAATGCAGGGGCACAATCTTGATCTTGGCTCACTACAACCTCTGCCTCCTGGGTTCAAGTGATTCTTCCACCAGCCTCCCTAGTAGTTAGAACTACAGGTTTGCACCACCACACTGGCTAATGTTTGTACTTTTTGGTAGAGACAGGGTTTCACCATGTTGGCCAGGCTGGTCTCAAACTCTTGACCTCAGGTGATCTGCCCACCTCGGCCTCCCAAAGTGCTGGGATTACAGGTGTTAGCCACTGCGCCCAGCCTGTTTTCTTTCTTCTATGTCCTTTTCTCTATTTTTGAAAACCCACTGCTGTTCATTTGCCTTTCCCAGATGTTAGCTGGAAAGTCTAAATCTTTTTTAAAGCCTAGGTAGAAGAACTCACAGACACACAAAAGTGTTGATAAGACCAAAGGTGGAAGTTACATCAAAATCTCACAGAATTCAAAATTCTGCATCGTTGCCACTTCATCTTCCATTATTAAATGCATAGAAATCACAAGATGTGTGCCTGTGAGAATTTCTTGAATTAACAAACATCCAAAAATGTAGAACTAATGGGAATGACATTTAGGCTTTGAGGCAGGGCTAAATTCAGATTTTAAAAGGTGGTCAGCTGTTCAATGCAGATGTTGTTTTAATCTAGTGCTATGATCATTTCATCAAACGAGCATGTTTCTTGAAGTGGCAGGAAATTTGGGTCTTGAGATATGTTTAAAAGGGGTAGTTCCTGTGATCCTCCTAGGTGCATGTGTGAATTACACTCAACTGTGTCCTCTCCCAGGATCTTACCAGTGTTTTTTCAAACTGGGTCATGACCTATTCATAGGCCTTGAAATCAACTTATGAATTAAAGCTAGCATTTAAAAAAATAGAATAGGAGATAAAAGAAAACACAACATCAGAGGAATGCATTATGTGTTCAAAGAGAAAGCTTTGTTTCAGTTCATTTATGAGTGTGTGGGGGTGTGTTTGGTTAAGATACAAAATGTGTTTTTTAGGGTGAGTTACAGTTAAATATCTTTGAGAGCCACTAAGATTACTACACGCAGATTTCCCAGCCCATCATATTGCTAGTAGGAGAGAAAACTAGTACAAACCTAATGGAAAATAATTTTTCAAGAAGTTTCATAGACCTTGAAATTAGCCA
Organism: Homo sapiens; assembly: GCF_000001405.40. Taxonomy (NCBI): domain Eukaryota; kingdom Metazoa; phylum Chordata; class Mammalia; order Primates; family Hominidae; genus Homo; species Homo sapiens. Next base: position 134,781,591 of record NC_000002.12, read on the forward strand.
CACCTCTAAACCACTTATTTCATCTTTGGTTATCTACCTTAAGGAAATAATCCAAAATTCAGCAAAGGCTTTGCACAAAAATATTCACTACACTGTTATTCATTATACTGGAAATCCCAAACAGCTTAAATGCTCAAAACAGCAACATTAAGTCCATTTTAGAAGATGAAAATGGTTGAGTATTGTGTCATCATTAAAAGCAATATTTTCAGAGGATTTATAGTGATGTTGGAAACGCTCATGATATAATATGAAGTAAAAAAAATGATTCAAAATTGCTCATGCTACATACTCTTGACAATTACAAAAACTGGTTAGAAGAAAAATGCTGCATTAGTGGTTCCCCAAGTGGTGGAGTTATGGGTGATTTTTATTCTCTGTTTTCCTATATTTTCTAATTTTCTAGAGTGCACATGTAACATATATCTATTGCCTAAGGAAAAAAGTGTTTATTTCAAAAAAAGATCCCCCTCCCTAGGACAGTTAGGTGTATTCTCATCAGTCAGGTAACTGTCATCATTTACTTTTGCAAGGATGCCACCTTGGTTGGCTCTCTGTTGGGCCAGAGAGAGTAAAATTTCTCTTCCTGTAAATGCATTTTCACAGTGTCATGACTTTCAAGGATTTGGTTCACGTTCTTCCTGGGTGATTAACACAAAAGCAACAGCACCAGGGTCAGGGTTTTAGGTCTCCTGGCAGCGTGCCCCATAGCGGCTTTCTCTTTTCTCAAAAACTAGTCTATTCGTTTCCTATGGCCGCTGTAACTAATCACCAGTAGCCTGGTGGCTTCGAACAACACACTCTTACTATCTTACAGTGCTAGAGGTTGGAACTCTGAAATGGGTCTCACTGGGCTAAAATTAAGGTGTCACCAATCCTGGGTTCCTATCGGAGGCTCTAGGGGAGAATCTGTTCCCTTGCTTTTTCTAGCTTTATGAAGCTGCCTGTGTTCCTTGGATCATGGTCTCCTCCTCCATCTTCAGAGACAGCATCAAAGCATTTTCAGCTCTCACTCTGCTTCTGTTCTATCTCCTTGTCTCACTCTGGCCTTCCTGCCTCTTTCTTGATGGCACCTTCTGATTACATTGGGCCCACCTGGATAATCCAGGGTAACTGCCCATCTCAATGTCCTTAACTTAATGACATCTGCAAAGTCCTTTTGGCCATGTATGGTAACATATTCACAGGTTCTGGGGATTAAGACACAGACGTCTTTGATTGGGGGTGGGTGGGAAAGAATGTTCTGTCTACCACAGCCAGGTTTGACAGAACAGCTTGAAACTGGGAAGTTTCATCCCGCTTGCATAACAGAGTGGTTTGAAAATTGCACTGTGGCCAAGTAGCTGTCCAAAATGTGAACGGTCCTGTCAATTTTCCACTAGGGGACAATATCCATTAATAACAGATCCCTGTCACTCAGCACTGGCACTGGCTAAAGGTTAAACTAAGAAGAGATGGTATTTAAGTTTACTGTTATCTTTGTCATACTCTACAGCATGACAAAAATGTAGGCAAGGTAGAAGCACATACATAACAGATGCTAGAGGACCTGCAGTTGCAATTAGGATTCCTTTGTATTGTTATACTTTGGGCTATTGCCATATAGAAAGCAAGTGAACCAGAGGAGGGAGAATATGGGCTCAAAAAATTCAGAGGTTATTGTAAATAGCTTTTATTTTTATTTTAGAACTTTTATAAATCACTTGAGTAATGCCACATTGTAGAAAACTTAGAAAATACAGGTAAATTTTTACATGTTTTTTATGCCACTTTCAGTTCTTGCAAGTTGAGTACAAAACAACTAAGTGTCAGTGTTTTATTTCTTAAAGACCTTTTTACTGAGTCGTGGATTTTGAAAATAAAAGTTCATTTTAATAAGTCAAATTCCAAAGCAATAAGAACATTTGGTTATTAGCTAATTATCTTTGCACCTACTGTTTTTGTTTGCTTGTTTTAAACTCTAGTGTGCTTTTTTTAAAAAAAAATAATTTTACTGTCTTATCAAATTTTAGAATCACAGTTTTCTCCAGGTTTGAGCAGACCTCTGTGTTCCTGGCTTTTTTTTTTTTAATTTAATTTAAAAAATTTTTTGGCTGGGTGCTGTGGCTCATGCCTGTCATCTCAGTACTTTGAGAAGCTGAGACAGGCAGATTGCTTGAGCCTAGGAGTTTGAGACTAGCCTGGGCAACATGGCAAGCCCTGTATCTACAAAAAATACAAAAATTAGCCGGGCATGGTGGCACATGCCTGTAGTCCCAGCTACTCGGGAGGCTGAGATGGGAGGATCACTGGAGCACTTCAGCCTGGGCAACAGAGCAAGACCTGTCTCAAAAAAAAAAAAAAAAAAAGGCAAGACAGAGTCTCTCTCTGTCACCCAGGCTGGAGTGCAGGGACACAATCATAGCTCACTGTAACTTTGAACTCCTGGCCTCATGCAATCCTCTCAACTTGGCCTCCCAAAGTGCTGAAATTACAGACATGAGTCACTGTGCCAGCCCGTTTTGTTTTAAATAGCCTCCAGTTCGTGTTTCCCTTCCTTTCCTTTACTTCAAAACTAATAGAGGAAATAAAATGCCAGTATTCACAAGACAATGTGCCTTTTCTTTTAATTCCTCTTTTTGGACAAAAAAGTAAAAAAAAAAAAAAAAAATTCTTTCCCATCTGTCTCTTCATTTCCTTTAAACTTTTTCTTCTCAAGAAATTATCCTGCCTGAAATAGTCTGCCTTCCTCCCCATTTCCCTAATCTCTGCCCACCCTCTCAAAGCTCAACTCAGATACTACCTCTTCCATAAAGATTTACAGAACCACAGAGGCCAAAGTAGATTTCTCCCTCTCTGAGTTTCTCCAGAATGGATAGATGTTCTCCCCAAGTCTGCTACTTAAGCACCGGTGTGTTGACCAAGCATTTTCATGTGGCCTGAACGTATGTTCCGAACTCCCCTTTTACAGCTAAGGGAATTTCATCCCAGAGAGGTGAAGTGGTTGTCCCGAGGCCTCAGGGGACCCTCAGCACCAGTGCCATGATATTGTCAAAAACAGGTCTTTTCATTTTATGAGATTAAGCTCTTGAATGTTCATATTTCATCCTAGATACATTATAAACTGCTTGAAGGTGGAGGTCATATTATTTCATGCAAAGTACAAAGAATATGGATTGAGCTCCTACTGTTTGCCAGGTACTGTGTCAAGCGCTAGAAATGCAAGGCTAAATTAAGACCATCCTTACCGTCAAAGTTCCTAGGGTCTGGTGCAGAACAGAGAAGTAAACCAGCAATGGCGCTGCCTTGTGCAAAGAGTCCTAATATAGGAAAATGCAGGGGTGGCCAAGACAGCCTCGGGGTCAGGAAAGCCTTTCCAAAGGAAAAGTCCTTGAACTGAGCCTGGAAAGGAAAGGAAAGCAAAACGGAGGGGAACTAGCATTTATTCAGCAGGTAGTATGTGCTCAACATGAGCCGGCTGCCACTGGCATAGACCCCTTTTAATCCTCATAGCAACCCTATGAAATCTGCGGGGGAGGGCAGAGGACACCAGACAGGTATGACTTACTTGCTGTGTTTCACCATACATTACTAGTAACGGCAAACTCATATGCAGCATGTATGAGCCGGCACTATTCCAAACATGTCATGTATGTTACATATTTAATCATCACAACAACCCTACTAGCTAAGCACTGTTTTACAAATCAGTAGAGCAGGCACAGAAAGGTTGAATAACTTGCCCACAGTCTCACAGCGAGTAAGTGGGCAAGCTGGATTTAAACCAGGCAGCCTGGCTCCGGAGTCTAACCACCATGCTATGCAACCTCTACCAGACTTTTTTCATTCCTTGAACACTTCTATTGGTAAAAAGCAATGCATATTCTTATGAAAGAAGTCAACAATTTAAAATTGTATAAAATGTAAGCCCCTTCTTCACACTGACCCTGACTGCATTTCCCAAAAGGAGCCAGTATGAACAGTTTGGTAAGTAGTGAAGCTAAATATTATTATCTCTATTTTACAGATGAGAAAATTGAGTCTCAGAAATGTTAAGTAAGTTGTCTGGGTCACACCATTGGTAGGTGGCAAATCTGAGGTACAGAACCAAGTCTTTCTGGCTCTAACACCTGCGTGGGCACTCCCAGGCAAGCCGGGAGTCTGGTGAAGGGTCACTAGCTGACTACTGGCATGTGTTTTGTAGGTGAGATCAAGAAGAGCTGAACATGCCATGCTAATGAAATTAGGCTTGTCTTGTTGGCAACGTGCCAACAAGGGCACACATGATCCCATTGGCTTTTTAGGAATTTCTCTCTGGTGACAGTGTAAGGTTTGAAATGTCGGACACCAGAATCTGAAACAAGGCAGTGGTAGAGGCGGAAAGATGCCAGTGATACTGGGGGATTGCGGTGGTGGAACTTGGTGACAGATCTGCTGTGGGGAGTAAGGGAAAGGCAATGTCTGTGTGGGTCCCTGTCTTCTGGCCTGGGTAAGTAGGTCTAAGGGCCACTGGTGTCATCCCCAGAGGTAGGGAGGACACTTTTAATCCACGAGGAGTTTGCTTGTAGTAGGATGCTGATGCGTGGCAGAATTTCAACATTAGTTCTAGGCAAGAAAAATTTGTCTTTGTTTTACTGGTTGTGAAATTGCTAGACAATTTACTTTCCTGGAAATAGTTCCTCATTAAGAGTTCCAGAAACTGCTTCTGATGGTTCAGGCAGTCTGAGTTTACTGGAATAGGCTGAATATTTATGTCCCCCTAAAATTTATATGTTAAAATCCTAACCCTCAAGATGCTGGTATTAGGAGGTGGGGCTTTTGGGAGGTGATTAGGTCATGACAGCAAAACCCTCATGAATGAGATTAGTGCCCTTTTAAAAGAGACTCCAGAGAGCAAGCTTGCCCCTTCCTCAGTGTGAACACAAAGCGAGAAGTGTCATCTAAGAACCAGGAAGTGGACCCTCACCACGCACAGAATCTGCCTTGATCTTGGACTTCCCAGTCTCCAGAACTGTGAGAAACAAATTCTTGTTGTTTATAGGCCATCTGGCCTATGGTATTTTTAATGGTAGCCCAAACAGACTAAGAGAGTTGCTTTCCTGCTGTCTTCTTTCTCTAGCCTCTCAGGAGAAAGCTCTGCCACCCCTGTATCTCCTGCCCATTGAGTTTTCTTTCCACCTTCTTGGTCCCTCTCTGAATGATACACTTAGTTCTGGGCTACGGTTCACCATCTCTGGCCAGCAGCACCAGCTTCAACAACTGCATCAGACAGTAAGTGAGCAGTGAAGAGAGAGGGGCCCCAAAGCCCATGCTGGCCAGGAGCTGTGCATGTGAAGATTGTCAATCAGAATATAAAGACCACAGTGTGGCAAAAGGCAGTGGGTTTGTCACTGGGAGACCAGAAGCAGGAGAAAGTTGAAGGAGTATAGCTTTTCATCTTAGCGTCGAAAGTCCTGACCAGGGCACAGCATAGACTAGGCCAAGGGGCAATACTAAAGAGTTATCCTGGCAGACCTCCCTGGAACTCAGTCAGCAAGCACACCTGCTGAGCACTCTGGAGCTTCCAAACAATATTTCCTGCTTTTGTAGACTTAAATAGCTCAGGCCTACTTTGCTAAGTCTGTCTCTGCCATTTTTCTGGACTTCATCAGAACATTGATAGCAGGAAACAGGGATTACTGATCAGCTAAAACATACAAAAATCCAACAAATAAAAGGAAAATAGCAGGAGGCATTCAGTGTAGGAGTCTTCAGGCCCTGAGGAAATCATGCTAGTTCAAAAAGGTACTGTGTTAAGAGTGATGCTACAGCTGGGCGCGGTGGCTCACACCTGTAATCCCAGCACTTTGCAAGGCTGAGGTGGGTGGACTACTTGAGGCCAGGAGTTCAAGACCAGCCTGGCCAACATGATGAAACCCCCGCCTCTACTAAAAATACAAAAGTTAGCCAGGTGTGGTGGCACACACCAGTAGTCTCAGCTACTCGGGAGGCTGATGCAGGAGAATAGCTTGAACCCAGGAGATGGAGGTAGTAGTGAGCTAAAATAACACCACTGCACTCCAGCCTGGGTGAACGAGCGAGACTCCAGCCTGGGTGACAGAGTGATGCTATGCTATTTTATGTTTAGTATCATTTTACCTGGAAATAAAGGAAAAAAAATTGATCAAAAAGATTTCCCTCCCATGGCTAGAAATTTCAACTTGTGCGCTCAACAGACACGTTTCAGGTCCCTGGAAAACTCAGACCTCATTGTCTGTGAATAGATGATGGGAACTTATCTGACCCATGGCCTTCCCCCTAGTTCTGCTGGCTCAGGTGAGGCCACTCATCTGAAACTGCAGGGGAATGTCCTTAGGGCAGAGTGAGAGGGTCAGCTGGCCCAGGCCCCACCTTCACTGTCTACCTGGAGGGAGCAGCTGGGAATGTGGGAGGCAGAAGTCAGGCAGTGCCTCCAAAGTGCGCCGTGGGCTTGGACTCCTTGAGAGGCCTGAGTCACACCCAACCCCACCAGGACAGCCAATAGCACACCTCTGCCCTCCCCTCTGCAGGCTGCACTGTTTTCCCTGATTTTCTCATGCTCTACGTCCACTTCCCTGGATGCTCATTCCCCTACTTCACTGGGATGGAGGTAACAGTGAATGGTTTCTCAGACCTGCCCTCTGACAGAAGGGGCAATTTACCTCTGGCAACCCCCTCCAGGTGCCCCAGACTCACGCCTCCACTGTCCGGATAGGGAAAGTAAATGTGTGAGGCAGTCCACAGGAAACAAATGGGAGTGGTGGGAACTGTGGCCAGCTCCAGAAGGCATCCCTCATTCCCAATCATTCCCATTCCATTTCTTTTTTTCTTTGCATCACCATGCTGGTCAAACAAAATACCAACTATCCTCATTGTCTGCAGATTCTGTATCTGTGCATTCACCTACTTGCTAAAATGTATTTGTAGCCTCCAAATGAATACTTGCCTGTGTTTGTGGGTCATTTGCAGGCATGCATAAGCAGCAAAAATTGGAAGCTCACCACCCACCTGTTCCCCGCTGAGGTCAAACTAGCCACACTCTGCCTTCCTGTTTCAGCTGCCATACTGTAAATAAGTGTCCTTTCTGCTACCTATTTACTGCCACATTTGTCATGTTTTGGTGGAGTTTTTGTCTGTGATTTTGCTGTTGAAAATGGCCTCCAAGTGTCGTGCTGAAGTGTTGCCTTGGGTTCCTAAGCACAAAAAGGCTGTGATGTGCCCTATAGGGTAAATAACATGTGTTAAATAAGCTTTGTTCAGGCGTGAGTTGCACTGCTGTTGGCCATGAGTTCAACATTAGCAAGCCAGCACTGTATATTAAATAAGATGTCTTTAAACAGAAATACACACAAAACAAGGTTATAGATTTATTGGCTGACAAAAACGTTGTGACCAGAAGCTATAGGAATTTAGCCCTGTATTTCTCTTAGGAGCAATTGTTCAAGATTTGCAAATTCAGTGTTTGCTGCTACTATATAGAATCTAACTGCCAATTATAAGAAGAATCATCTGTATCTAAAAGCCCCTCATTTGGCTGTCAGTTTGGGAGTTTCTATTTGATAACCTTATCCTAGTTCTCAAACTTCTCTGTTGTGGGGCTTCTAAGGTATAATGGACTGTCACTGGGACTCATCATGAAGTACTGAAGTGTGTGTATTAAATGAAATTTACAGTAATCCCTATAATAACATCACTTACATTCTGCAATGCCTTCTAGAATGGGAGGATGTATCAGTCACAGCCCTCCAGATCACCTGCCGGTGCTTCCTGTGGCTAAACCCAATGGGAAGCCAGGTGGCGAGGGAGTCCAGGGTCAGCCTCTGGGGACAGGGAAGGGTGAGGAATGGGCCTGGGGGAGGGCCACGGAGAGAGTTAAAACAGCACAAAGAGCCAGATATGAACCAAACAATCCCCACATTAAAGTAAATATACACACTAAACACTCTGAAGGACAAGCGCTTGATGTCCTAACAGCTTAGGACACAGGAGGATGATCCTGCAAGGGGGTGAGAAAGCAGGGCTTGAACTGAGATCTGAAAGATGAGGAAGGGAGAAGAATCCCAGTAGAGGTAATAGCATGGCATGTGCAAAGGCCCCCAGAGGGGTGGGGGCAGGGGCAGGGTTCACTGAGGGCTGTTGGTAAGAATGTAAATCCATGGTCTTTTGAGAGGCAATTTAGCTGCTGCTATCAATTTTTTAAATATGCATGCAGCAAACCTCCACTAGGTTTCTATTCTAGCAAATCTGCTTGAGTGTGGCACAAAACAGTGTTAATCTGATGTTGAGGGCAGCAGTGTTTGTTACAGCAAATCTCTGGAAACAAACAAGGGAATGGTGATATCAACTATGACACATTCATCTTACAAACACCAGGCAGCAATGAAAATGAATGAAGTAGATAGAGATAGGGTAGCTTGGAAATATCTAGAAGATGGAGTCATTATGGAGAAAAAAAATTGAGAAGAATATAAAAAGCATAATTGCATTTATGAAAAATATATTTTTATACAAACATATTCAAATATAACAGCAATGGAAAGATCTGAATGGATATACCCCATCCCAACAAGAGAGTTACCACTGCAGTGTGGGTAAGAAGGAATTTTTGCCTTTTTAACCTACCTACAAAGGCTTCAAACTTCTAAATCATTTGAAGCCTTACGAAGGTAATTTGTGCATAATTTCCATAATTAAAAATAAGTACAGTATATTTTAAAAACAGAAAACGAGACTTTTTTGACTCAAGCACTGCTGGTATCTGTGAATTTTAGTCTTAGAACAGATAAGCTTTCCCAGAATAATTCCTTCCTATAGTTTATCCTCGTCCTTAAAGATCCTTTAGGCCAATGGTTTTCAACCTTGGTTGCTCATAGGAAAAACCTAAGAAGCTTTTCAAAATGATGGCATTCGGGCCCCATACGTTGGTTGTGGTAGGAGCTGGTTATTTACTTATTTTTTTAAAGCTCCTAAATGATTCCAATGTGCAGCCAAGGTTGAGAACTCCTGTTCTATGGTATCTTTATTCCATGGGTCAGAAAGTCAAAAACTGGCCCAGAGGCTTTAGTCAGCTTGGAATTGCCATGCCCTGGCAAAGACTAGTGGCTGGAAAGGGTATTGCTAAAGCCATCCTCACCAAGAACTATGAGTTATTGTCAGAGAACAGGCACGCACATGTTGGCCTCTGAGTTGAGAAGATACCACTGACCATCACAAGACTGTGAAAGCTACACAACCAACTAAGGAACTTTGAAGACATATGCAATTAGAGAAAATTTTACTTGCTTGGTTATTTATTGAGCACCTACTGTGTGCTTGGCCCTTGAAAAGAGAACACAGACCCTGCTCAAGGAGAGGTGAAAGGATCAAGAACTTTTAAAAAAAAAAAAGTGTTGGTTTTTTTTAAATTTTTTAGAATAAATAGAGACGGGGTTCTGCTGTGTTTCCCAGGATGGCCTTGAACTCCTGGCCTCAAGCAATCCTCCTGCCTTGGCTTCTCAAAGTGCTAAGATTACAGGCGTGAGCCACCACTCCTGGCCAAGAAGAACTTAGAGCAGGTGAAGCTTGTGGTGTGCTTGAGACTGTGTTTGTAAGGTGGACAGGATACTTCGTTTCTATGCAAGCAGATAATTGCCCCTTTGAGATTTAGTCACAGTGGGCTTAGCCTATGGGAAATTCAAAAGAGAAAATAAACATATCTGTATGCTCAAAGAGTACATTCTCCATTTCTAAAAAGCATTATGAAAGATGACCATTGGGGAAGGTGGGTCATCCACAGATGACCAACTGTACCAGTTTGGGGACACTGAATATGTGCCCCCAAAACTCATATGTTGAGGTCCCAACACTTTGGGAGGTATTTCAATTTAGATGAGATCATGAGTTTGGAGTCTTCATGATGGGATTTTAGTGCTTTTATAAGAAGAGACCAGAGAGCTTTCTCTCTCACTCTCTCTTTCCTTCTCTCTGTCTCTGTCTCTCTCTCCACTATGTAAGACACAGCAAGAAAGCAGCCATCTGCAATCTGGGAAGAGAGCCCTCACCAGAACCTGATGAAGCAGGCAGCCTGAGCTCGGACTTCCAGCCTCCAGAACTGTGAAAAATAAATGTCTGTTGCTTAAACCACCCAGTCTATGGTATTTTGTTTTCGCAGCCCAAACAGAGTAGGATGCCTGGGATGTGGGACTTTCCCTTTGAATAGAGGGACGGTCTTGGCAAACCATTCCTGGTTGTGTAGGACTGAGAGGTTTCCTGGCACTTGGACTTTCAGTGCTAAGACTGGAAAAGTCCCAAGTAAGCCAGATGAATTGGTTGCCCTACTCACCACACACAGTGCTCCTCTTTCCAAATGAGGGGTTTGCTCCTTTTATTGGACAAGGGTAAGATTTTTGGCAACTCTATTCTAGGAGGTATCCCAGATTCCACCACCCCCGTAGTTTGGTCCCTGGGGTGAAGGCATTTGCAAACAAGAGCGAATCCTCCTTGGCATAGGGCACGCTGCTTTCAGAAAATTGAAGCAGAAGGTTCTCCATAAGCAAAGCCTCCATGGCTTTCATGACTAGTCAGACTGAGGAAATGGCCCACTGAGAGGCACCTGAAATTGTATTTATTTTATATTAATGTATCTGGGCTTCTCTCAAGGCACCAAGGTAAGCTTGATAAAAGTTCCCTTACAGATGATCCCCGAGTGGCAGCTTCTTTGCCTGTAATTCAAAGTCAAGTGCGGCTCCTTGTCAAATGGTTGCCAGGAGATAGCACAGGAGCCAACTCCCCATCTCCTCTGCCATGGCAACGTGCTGTTATTTCCTCATCCATCTTCCTTCTGCAGGAGTCTAAATTTCTGAGAGTAGTGTGCCATGCTTAATTATGTAATTAATCTTGCAGAAAGAAAAGAACCCTTCTAACCTTTCTTCTGCACAAAAAGACCTCCTCGTGTGATACCAGCCTACCACCAATTTTCCTCTGTGATCCTGCATGGTAGTAACCATCATTCTGTCTTATCCTCTCAAGGCTAAAGTGAGACACTTCTCGAAGCAGCAATACACTTTGAACCCATAAAAGTACAATCACTCACTTAAATGGTGGCTTCTCAAATCGCAGGCAAGGTCTTTGTAATATTTCCCTGACCCAAGAGCAGGAAGCATGATGAACACAGAGTTGATGGAAGTGGGGCTCACTAAGTGCCTCAGTTTCTCTATCTGTAAAATAGGCATGTACTCACTTGTAGGTTACTGTGGGGATTGCATGAGTGAGTATGTTAAGCTCTCAGAACAGTGCCTGGCACATAGTAGGTGCTCAATAAATGTTAGCTCTTATCACTATAAGAATTACTCCAACTTGTTTTTATTGAAAACTTTAATCAAATTTACAAAAAAAAGAACTTAATAAAAATTGTTAGGACTGTTCTGGTTGCAAGTGACTACTCAAGTAAAGGCGTCACATGGTTCCAAGTTGAGTTGTTTTCAAACAGCTGGCTCTGAGGGCCTAAAGACAGTCTCCAGGACTTTCCCTGTCACCCCATTACTTGGATCTGTTTTTCTCTGTTGTCTTCACACTCCAACAGGCACTCTCACAGCCCCAGACTGACCTCCTATCATCTGGCCATCCCAGTGGAAAGAGGACTTCTCTTTCCCAAAATATCCCACAAGGATTTCCAGCTGGGGGCTCCTGGACTAACTGACATCTTGTGCCTATCTCTGAGCCAATCTTTGTGGCCAGACGGATGGGACATAAGATGGGCCAGAACTGGGTCTCAGCTCCATCTCTGGAGCCAGATGGGGTAGCAGAGTGGTTGAGGAGGTCTGAGGACATAAGGTCACCCTGACCCAAACCACATCAACTGAGAGTGAGGTAGGAGACCCCTCAAAGGAAAGCCAGAGTATTAATACTAGAAAAAGGAGAAGAGATGGCAAAAACAACAGATAGATACGTGGTGCAATATCATTCTTGGTATATGGAATTATTACATAGTTTAAATCTAGTGATTTTTAACGAAGGGTGAACATCAGAATTATTTATGGCTTTTTAAAAATTTGGAAGTCCAGTCTCAACTATAGAAATTCTGACTGAGTAGTCCTAAAGCAAGGCCCAGGCATCAGCATTTAAAAAAAAAAACTTCCCAGGTAAGGTTTATATAATGTGTAATTTTTTTGAGACAGGGAGGGTCTCACTCCATTGCTCAGGCTGGAGTGCAGTGGTGTGATCATGCTCACTGCAGCCCCGACATCCCGGGATCTTGAGTAGGTGTGATTACAGTTGTGCACCACTACACCTAGCTAATTTTTGTATTTTTTGTAGAGATGGGGTTTTGCCATGTTGCCCAGGCTGGTTTCGAACTCCTGGGCTCAAGACATCCACCCACCTGGGCTTCCCAAAGTGCTGGGATTATAGGTATGAGCGGTATAAGTTTTCTTTTGTGTTCTTTTTCTTTTCTATTTGACAAAGGCAGCATGCATGTTCTATATACTTCTAGAACTTTTTAAATCCCATGCCCATGAATCTAAAGTAAAATAGAATACCATAAAGATGAAATACTTAACAGCACCTTCCTTATACTCTGACTGTACCTCCTATAGTGATCAGTTACAGCCTTCATCCAACTCCTTCATCTACTCCATCCATTCATTCATTCATTCATGCATACATTCATGTATTCTTCTCTTACTCTTTGCTTGGTGTGAGAGATTCACTTCCTGCACCTGAGAAGCTCCTGGATTTCTGAGAAGAGAAAAAGACGAACCCAGACAGTGACAAGGCAATACAATAAGAACCACGATGTATAATGCTTACATGGGGTGATATGAGACGTAGAAAGCCATGGAGAGGCTACTACTGTTTACCCACCTATTTCCTTCACTAGATGCTAAGCCCCACGAGGACAGAGATTGTACATTTTCATCTAAGTTTCTCTCTGTTCCAACAGAGGCTGGGAGGGAGTGAGATTGAGGCAAATCCAGGTTTTGTGGAGCCCAAAAGCTTACACAATTTTTGAGATACTCTCTAAGAAAAATACTAAGACATAAGGAGACAGAAAGATGAATATTTATTTAGAATGAGAAGAGAAATCAGAACAAAGCAGTAGAGCCTTGCAGATTCCCGTCACTTTAATTTGAGGTCTCTTCAGACAACTTATCAAAAATGCTTACAGAGAAATTTTTATTTTATTTTATTTTATTTTATTTTATTTTATTTTATTATTATTTTATTTTATTTATTTTATTTTTAGAGATGGAGTCTCACTTGTTACCCAGGCTGGTCTCAAACTCCTGGGCTCAGGCAATCCTCCTGCCTCAGCCTCCCAAAGTGCTGCGATTACAGGCGTGAACCACTATGCCCGGAAGTGAGAAATACTTTCAATTGTTGATGGATTTTGCTTCCCCACACAGAACATGTTTTACATCCCAACAGCAATTGGCACTCCAGGGGCCCATGTGAGTGGGGGAACTTCAGGCTTCAGTTTCAAGAGCTTCAGGATAAATCCACTTCTGACAGAGTATTTCTTCCTGGCTCTCTCCCTGTGGGCTGCAGAGCCACACAACTCTCACAGTCTTGGTTCTGGAACCTCTTTCTTCCCTTGTGCATTCAGGCCTCAGAGAGGTAACTGCACCTCAATGTTTCCCGCCCTGGGGCACTGCACTTACCCAACAGCTTCCCTCCACCCTGCCCACAAGTTTGTAATTAGTCCCTTCATTCAGGTCTCTCAAATTTTCTAGTTTGAATGTGCCATCAGTTTCTGCCAGGACCTTTCATGAATACAGAAAATAAAATGTGTTAATTTATATTGTGCATGGGTCAGCATTCTCTCAGTATGATTATATGATCTGTTATATTACACACCTCATATTATGCATATAACGTCATTTCTGTGAGTATGCTCACTATTCCTAGCTCCTTTTAATTCACTGGCATGAGAGTTCCTTTTTTTTTGAGAAGGAGTCTCACTCTGTCACCCAGGCTGGAGTGCAGTGGCGCTATCTCAGCTCACTGCAACCTCCACCTCCAGGGTCCAAGCGATTCTCCTGCCTCAGCCTCCCTAGTAGCTGGAAGGACAGGCACGTGCCACCATACCCAGCTATTTTTGTATTTTTAGTAGAGATGGGGTTTCACCATTTTGGCCAGGATGGTCTTGATCTCTTGATCTCATGATCCGCCTGCCTCAGCCTCCCAAAGTCCTGGGATTAAAGGCTTGAGCCACCGTTCCTGGCCGAGTTCATTATTTTTATTCCTCTAGTGATAAGAGATGCTAATACAAATAGAAACCTAAAACCTAAGACAGAAAAGAAGCAAGTCAGGCCTCCTCATTGGAGAAAATCTACCAAAGGCCAGTGAACAGTGAGTCATCCTCTTCCAGTCTCTACAAGTGAGTCCCGAAATCAAATGAGGACTCAGAGGCAACCCAGATCACCCATAGCTCAGGGGCTTAGGCCGCTCAGAGGGCAAGAGCAGCTTCAAGCACAGACAACTCACCAACAGGCTCCAGTAGGATGAGAAACCAAATTGCCCCAGCAACTAGCACTTTTCTATAATGTACCTGAACAGGGCCATCCTGGAGCTCCAAACTCTAGGCAGCAAGCACAATTTTAGCAAACCAAGGAGACCAAGTTTCAGCAAATCAACTCAAATTGGCTTAAGACAAAAAATGTATTAGCTCATATCACAAAAAAATCCACGGGTAAATCTTGCTTGAAACGTAGCTGGATTCGGGTGCTCAAAGGGTCTCACCAGGAACCCCGCTCCCTGCTCCTTCTCCCCCTGCCCCTCTCTTTTCCCCCTCTCTCTGTTTCTCTGTCTGTTTCTCCCTCAGTCTCTCCTTCTCAGCTTTGCTTTCCTCAGGGTTGATTTGCTTCTCAGTCAGTCTCTTTCCAAGTAGTGGCAAAACGACCAAGAACACCTTCAATTTTATATCTTACTAAATGGACACCATATTTCTTCACAGCAACAGCAAACAGCCTGAAGCTGGGTCTGATTGGCCAAGTTTGGGTCACATGTTCATCCCTCTACCAATCATCTTGGCCACTGTCCAGACTGGAATCAGGAGATGGGGTTTGCCCAGCTGAAGCCACGTGGACTGAGAGAGGGGGAAAGGGGAGTGGATGCTGTCAGGAAAAGAGGAAGAAATCCTAGGAAGGAAAAAACCACAAATATCCATCACACCATGGCTGTAGGGCACCAGGCTAGAGCTAAATGCCTCAAATCTAGGACCTACAGACAGATACTGGACCTAGGCCTTTGAGACTCCTGCAGTTGCAAGGCAGGGGAAAGGAGAGAGAGGAGGCATCCCAGCTTGGGCACTGCCTGACCCTGACCTCTCAAGTCACTTCTCTTCTTTGCCTTTAATGGCCTCAGCAGCAAATGGTGGTGTTGGAATAGATTTCTAAGGGTCCTCCTGGATCCAGAGAAATCGACGCTTGAGTATAGAGAGGTTTAAAATCTCCAAATCCCAGATAAGAACAAAGCAAAATTCACCGCCAGAATAGAAACCAGAAATATGAATTATTTTTTACTTTGTTCTTCCAGCCGCAGAGGCTAGCAGATCAGCACCCTCAGGCAACCACCACATCACCTGGTCTTGAGGCCTCATCAAGGCGGCTTATGGGCAGACATTAGTGAGACTCATACGTATTTCTTTGTCACATGCTGACCTTAGCAAAGCACCCAGAGACATTTTCAACAAAGGATTTGACTTGGGGTCGGTAAAACTGGATGTGAAAACAAACTCATGCAGGAAAATGAAAGAAGCCTTAGGGAATAGAAATGGGGTGATATGGTATGACTTTCATAGAAAGTCAGGAACATTGATTACACTTAGGGAATATAAATTATTGAAGACCAGAACTGTCATGGTTTGAAACTGACATTTGATACTAACTCCCCAAAAAACACAGGAAAGAAAGGGGATCACATGAAGACTGTTTGCAAACAGGAGAGTATAAACTTGATGGAATATTGACTTTGATTTTGTCAGGTCTGCCATCCTTGGATCACTGTCTTTGGTTTTCAGAGCTGGCACGTTGACCAGATGACCACTGACAGTGCCACATCAAAGCTGAGAAGGAATCAGTTTGCAGTGGGCAACGGCACACTGATACCAATAATGGGCAGCATTTAGAGGTTCAGTCTGTCAAAAGTATGTAAAGACCTTGATACCCAGCTTGGACATCAGGCACTAAGCGATTCCAGGCTGCTACCGCAGCTAAATAGCCATTGATCCCACTGCTTCCTTTTCTGAAGAAGTCAACAATTCCACTCTAATTGGAACAGACCCTACTCAGCCCCTGAACCCTGGTATGACATTCTCACTGGCTGATCTGGAGTTGGAGGCTGGGCATAGACCTTATTAAATAAAGCAGGTTTGGCCTTATTATATTTCCAATTTCTTTTTTCTCAAGGGGATGATATAATCAAAGGATGATGAGTACAAGAATATTTAGACAATTACTTGCCTGCTGGTTTCTACTTAAATTGATTATTCAGTTACAACACAGTCAACTACACAGTATTTAAATGTATTTATTTGTAAAATGCTGCCCACCAATAATGAAATAGACCTTCACTAAAACGACTCTTCCTTGCTCTGACTCTGCCCAGACTTTCTAGGTCAGGGTTATATTATATATCTTGCATTATAGCAGTGGTTCTCAAACTATGGCTTCAGCACCTTTTTACATACTTAAAAATTGAGGACACTGAAGAGTTTTCGTTTATGTAGGCTAAATCTATGAATCTTTACCACATTAGAAATTAAAACTGAAAAATTTTTAAAACATGTTTATTAATTCACCTAAAAACAATAACCCTACTTAATCATAGCATAACTTTTTATGAAAAATAACCATATTCTCCAAAGCCAAAAAAAAAAAAAGGAGAGAAGTGTGGTAGTGTCTTCCAGTTTTTCAAATCTCCTTAATATCTGACTTAGTTGAAGACTGCTGGATTCTCACATTTGCTTCTGCACTCAAGCTGTTGTGATATGTTGTTTTGGTTGAAGGATATGAAGATTATCTTGGCTCACATTGACATACAGTTGGAAAAGGGAGAACTATTATAATAGCACTCTCAGATAATTGTGGATATTCTCCTTTGATTCTATACCAAAACTTGACAAGTAGCAGTTTCTTAAAAGTTAGTTGCAATGCGGAATCTGAAACCACATTAATTCTTTCTATTCTGTTACTTTAAAACCCAGTGGTCTATCTTGCATTGTTAATTATTTTGGAACATCATGCATTGGTCACCTGAAAAATATTAGTTCTCTGAGCTCCAAATATTTTATAATAAAATAAAATATATTTCATTTAAATACATTTACAATAAAATATATTATAAAATAAAATATATTTTATTTGATACTAACTCCCCAACAAACACAGGAAAGAAAAGGGATCAAATGAAGACTGTTTGCAAAAAGGAGAGTATAAACTTGATGGGATGTTGACTTTGATTTTGTCAGGCCTGCCATCCTTGGATCACTGTCTTTGGTTTTCAGAGCTGGAACACTGACCAGATGACTACTGACAGTGCCACATCAAAGCTGAGAAGGAATAAGTTTTCAGTGGGCAATATTACATAATGTTGTATATATAATTATAAATATTATATAATTTTTTTAAAGTTACATTCATTAATAGCACTATCGATCACATGAAAAAAGTCTTTAAGTATCAGAAAGTTGTTGAGCCCATAGGGGATCATGCATGTTCTCCAAAATTCTAATTTTTGCTTGAAACCTCAAATGTTATCATTGACAAAAAAAATTGACTGCATTCCTTAAAGTCAAACTTTGCTAATTTTCAAGAAACTATGTCAATTACACAAAACTAATAACCATAGTTTGTCCACCAGACATTCTTTTAAGTAAAAATGTTATTTCATGAAAAAGGTGGCTAGCTCAGCTCATAACTCAATCGCACAAGTATTTTACTCAAGATATGCATCCTTCAATATGCAGCAGCAATTTTTTATGCAGACAGTCCCATTTTTCCACTGGAATATTTTCCAAATATTGCATAATATTTAAAATATATGTAATCAAGGGTTTAGATTTAATACAATTAATAATTTGTACTGCTTCATTAAGGACATTCTTAAGTGAAACTGGCTTTTTCTTTTAACTGCAAGTGCATAATGGTGAAAATACAATCACTGCTGGTGCAGTTCAGTGGTGTTGGCTTGATTCCTTTTAATAAGGCCTCAGCAGTTTTACCCACCATTGCTTTTACACTATAAGAGTAAATGTCAGCACAGTGGAAAAAGCAAATCACGGTTTAGTGTTGTATGATTTTCTCCAGTTACCGCCAACTGCTCAGGTACTGAGTAGGCAAGCAGTTGGGTTTTAACCAAGGCTGGGATTCTGCCAGGCAGATACAAGGACAGATTGGACTATGGAAGTCAAGAATGTTTAAAAGGGAGGCATATAGTATGCACTTAGGAATCTAAGTTGAGAAGGAAGGAGCTGAGAGTAATGGATAGTGAGAAAGTGGTATGCCCAATGGAAGGATGGGGGCAATGGTCCAAGCCGGAAGATTGCCATTGAGATGTTAGAGATGCGGTAGTTACTGATGATCTCATCTTGGGTTTGACCCTATGACATCACCCTGTGGTGATACGAGTGACTGACAATAATAAGAACAGTAGCTAGCATTTATTCAGGCACTATGCTAAGTACTTTACAAGTGTTGTATCATTTCATCTGAATAAAATTTTAAAAAATTATTCTCTAAAATAAATTTTTTTAGAAAGTCATTGACTTGGACTAGGCTCTTGTACTGGGCCCAACAGACCAAACCAATGTAGAAGTTGATCCCAGTAGCTGAGCTTTAGTTAATTGCAGGAGGCTCTGTAACCAATTAACCAGTTAAGCTATAACCAATTAAGTTGCCTTTATACCTCACTTTTTCTTTTCTTTTCTTTTTCCCTCTTCCTCCAGTCCTATACCTCACTTTTCTATAAATGCTGACATATCATTCTGTTGGTGGGAGTCCTCTGAATCTGTTTGGTTCTGGGGGGTTGTGAATCCCCCCAGATTTGAGAATCGTTTTTTGTTTTCTTTTGCATAATTTTTCTTTGCTCAAATAAACTCTACTTGACATAATTGGTCTACAATATTTTTTCCTTTTTACAGCTCTTTATGTCAATTCTGTACTATCACGACCCACATTTTAATGATGAAAAGTGGGCTTTTCATCACTAAAAGTGAAGAAATGGTGAAGACCTCAGTACACAGATAAATAAGAACATGTGGCTGTTTCTCCTAGCTCTTTTTCTGTCATTGGTCTGAGATGGGAAGAGGGAGAGAGAGAGAAGATTGTGGTTCAAGTGCCACAAACTCTCAAAATTATGAGATTTAATAAATTCTCTTGAATAAATATTTCTTCATTTGTTGTATTCACCTCTGATTTCTCCTACAACAGTTGCTTTCTTTTGATGCATAGAAACAGAATTCTTCCCTGCTTGTGAATTCTTAGCTTTATTCCAGGCTGTTTCTTGGTCCACGGACATGTAACTCAGTGACATGAGCTGGGAAAAGTGGGACAGACTATATTACATGTTAATTTGAAATTGAAAAAATTGAAAATCTTTTTCCTTAGACATGGGCAGATGCATTTTCTACATTGAGATATAAAGCATATATATATATATATGTGCTTTTTTTTTGAAGACAGGGTCTTGCCCTGTCACCCAGGCTGGAGTGCAGTGGCACAGTCATGGCTCACTGCAGCCTTGATCTCCCACGCTCAGGCGATCCTCTTGCCTCAGCCTTTTGAGTAGCTGGAACTACAGGTCCACATCACCACGCCACGCAAATTTTTTTTTTTTTTAATATGGAGTCTCACTCTGTCGCCCAGGCTGGAGTATGCAGTGGCGCAATCTTGGATCACTACAAGCTCCGCCTCCCCATTCTCCTGCCTCAGCCTTGCGAGTAGCTGGGACTACAGGCACCCGCCACCATGCCCAGCTAATTTTTTTGTATTTTTTTTTTAGTAGAGAAAGGGTTTCGCCATGTGTTAGCCAGGCGTCTCGATCTCCTGACCTCGTGATCTGCCCACCTTGGCCTCCCAAAGTGCTGGGATTACAGGTATGAGCCACCGTGCATGGCCCAGGCTAAATTTTTTAAAAAATTGTTTGTAGAGACAAGGTCTCACTCTATTACCCAGGCTGGTCTCAAACTCCTGGGTCCAAGCAATCCTTCCGCTTCAGCCTCCCAAAGTGCTGGGATTACAGGTCTGAGCCGCCGTGCCTAGCCTAACGCACATGTTTTGAATAAGAACAGATTGTATTACTGAATCTTAAAAGTTGGCAAAATAATGGCTCAAGAGTTCACAGTTGTCATATCTTCTGTCTGAGATGATTGGGATACAAATCCCCTTTTAAAAAATGGTTTTTCAACATAATGCTTTATATGTTTCCTAATAATTTCATTCATTCCTTCATATATCAAAACTTTTTTTTTTTTTGAGACGGAGTCTCGCTTAGGCTGGAGTGCAGTGGCATGATCTCGGCTCACTGCAACCTCCGCCTCCCGGGTTCAAGCAATTATCCTGCCTCAGGCTCCCAAGTAGCTGGGACTGCAGGCACGCGCCACCACGACCAGCTAATTTTTGTATTTTTAGTAGAGAAGGGTTTCACCACGTTAGCCAAGATGGTCTCGATATCTTGATGTCGTGATCCACCCACCTCGGCCTCCCAAAGTGCTGGGATTATAGGCATAAGCCACCTCGCCTGGCCCAAAAGTTTTATATATATGGAGGATCTACTTAGTGACCAAGTGGTATCAGGCATAGACAGAGACTAAAGAGCCGAACCAAACGCTTGAATCGCTTGAACCCGGGAGGTGGAGGTTGCAGTGAGTCGAAATCACACCACTGCACTCCAGCCTGGGTGACAGAGTGAGACTCTGTCTAAAAAAAAAAAAAAAAATTACCAACGCATTTACTCCACTTACCCTCATCCTACAGATATGCCTGCTTTGCATTAAATGGCACATGTTCAAAATCATTCACAGCAGTCTTGTTCATTAGAGAAAAATATTGTAAACAATACATTTGTTTATCTCTAGAGCAATAGTGAAGTGAACTTTACAGTGGAATAGCATACAGCTGTGAAGAAGAATGAGGAAGCTCTCTACAGACTGATAAGGAAAGATCTCCAAAATATACTGTTAAGTGAAAAAAAGCACAGTACAGAGTAGTTTATATAATGTGCTACCTTTGGTGTATGAAAAGGAGAAAATAAGAATATACATTCATATTTTCTTATACTTAAAGAAATACTGAAGGGATACATCAAAAACTTAAAAAAGTAGTTACCTATGGAAGACAAGGCTGTGTGGAATGAGGTAAATGGGGTGGGAGAGGTACATTTTTCAACGTTCATCTTTTCATATCTGATTTTTTAACTAAATGAATGAATGAATGAATTTAAGTAACTTACTGGTCTAAGGTTGCATAATTAATTATAACAGTAGCAGCAAGAGTACAAACAGCAGTAGTGGCAGCAGCTACCCCATATTGAACACATGTTATGTGCCAGACATTGTCAGGTCTTTCTCATTGAGTCCTTACTATAACCCTATGAGGTAGGTGTCATTATTCTCCATTTATAGATGAAGAAACTGAAGCTCAGAAAGATTGAGTGACTTCCCTGTAGTCACTCAGCATGTAAGCAGAGGAGTTGGCATTCTAGCATAGTTCTCTCTGACTCTAAAGCCTGTGCTCTTGGCCACCAGGTTCAGTGCCTAGAAACCACTTCGACTTCTAGCATAGGGCTCTTAATGTTACAACATACCAAGGTTGGTCACAGTGGCTCACTCCTGTAATCCCAGCACTTTGGGAGGCTAAGGTGGGAGAATTGCTTGAGCCCAGGAGTTCAAGATCAGCTGGGGCAACATCCAGAATTTTTTCCTTCCAGTGGTTCTTGGTCTCGCTGACTTCAAGAATGAAGCCACGGACCCTCGCAGTGAGCGTTACAGCTCCTAAACGCAGCACATCTGGAGTTGTTTGTTCCTCTTGGTGGGTTCGTGGTCTCACTGGCTTCAGGAGTGAAGCTGCACACCTTCGTGGTGAGTGTTACAGCTCATAAAGGCAGCACATCTGGAGTTGTTCATTCCTCCTGGTGGGTTCCTGGTCTCGCTGGCTTCAGGAGTGAAGCTGCAGACCTTCGGGGTGAGTGTTACAGCTCATAAATGTGGTGCATCTGGAGGTGTTCATTCCTCCCAGTGGGTTCGTGGTCTTGCTGGCTTCAGGAGTGAAGCCACAGACCTTCGTGGTGAGTGTTACAGCTCATAAAGGTGGCGCGTCTGGAGTTGTTCTTTCCTCCTGGTGGGTTTGTGGTCTCGCTGGCTTCAGGAGGGAAGCTGTAGACCTTCCCAGTGAGTGTTACAGCTCATAAAGGTAGTGCAGACCCAAAGAATGAGCAGCAGCAAGATTTATTGTGAAGAGCAAAAGAACAAAGCTTCCACAGCGTGGAAGGGGATCCAAGTGGGTTGCTGCTGCTGGCTCAGGTGGCTAGTTTTTATTCCCTTATTTGGCCCCGCCCACATCCTGCTGATTGGTCCGTTTTACAGAGCACTGATTGGTCTGTTTTTACAGAGTGCTGATTGGTGCATTTACAAATCTTTAGCAAGGCACAGAGTGCTGATTGGTGCGTTTTTACAGATTGCTGATTGGTGCATTTACAAATCTTTCAGCTAGACACAGAGCACTGATTGGTGCATTTTTACAGAGTGCTGATTGGTGCATTTACAAACCTTTAGCTAGACACAGAGCACTGA
This sequence comes from Homo sapiens, assembly GCF_000001405.40. Classification (NCBI taxonomy): domain Eukaryota; kingdom Metazoa; phylum Chordata; class Mammalia; order Primates; family Hominidae; genus Homo; species Homo sapiens. The sequence continues at coordinate 134,804,353 of NC_000002.12, forward strand.
CTGTTGCGTTTCTACAGAGTGCTAATTGGTGCATTTACAAACCTTTAGCTAGACACAGAGAGCTGATTGGTGTATTTACAATCCTTTAGCTAGATAGAAAAGTTCTCCAAGTCCCCACCCGACCCAGAAGCCCAGCTGGCTTCACCTCTCAGTACCCCCTCTAAACAGGACACCCCAACAGCTGTTGGGAATTGGGCGATGACCACTCTAGCTACTTCCTGCTGAATAGGAGCAAAGAAGGGGCCCTGCAGTTGTAGTGTCCTCCAGAGGGGAACTCTTCAGGCCAGTGAAAGGGCCAGTGAGTCAGTCCAGGGGTCCTTGGTAGAAGTTGTTAGTTGAGCTCATTTGGAGTTCCATTTGTAAAATCATCTGTAGCTTGATGGCCTCAATCCTAGAGGAAACAAATTTGACAAGGAGGTTAAAAATACAGGGCGCGAAGGCGAGTAACAGCAAGATGGTTGCCACGGGACCTAGAAAGGGGAGAAGCCATGTTGCCCAACTCCAGAGGTTGGTATAAGAGTTTGAAAGGCGTTGTCTGATTTCAGAAGCCTTTTCCTGTAAATGCCAGGTGGCATCTTGTACTATCCCTGACTGATTAGTGTAAAAACAACACTCTTCCCCTAAGAAGGTGTAGAGTCTTCCTTTCTCAGCAGTGAGAAGGTCTAGGCCTTGGCAGTTTTGGAGAGTCACTGCTGCCAAAGAGTCTATTTGGGATTGTAGAGTAAGGATAGATTTCATTATTTCTTGCAAACTGTCTGAGAAATCCTTTGAGAGTGTGTGGTAGTAGGATAATGAAGTAGATAAATTGGCTATTCCAGTTCCTGTGGCAGTAGCCATTCCTAACCCTATAAGTAGGGGTATTAGTTGTATGTCTCTGTGCTGATGGACTTGAGCTTTGAGGGGTACTGATAGGGTCTGATTTCCACAAGACTGGAAGTTAGGATAATATATGTTTACACTGTTAACTTTTAGCAAACTTTACTTTTGTTGAAAACCTTGTAAGTTTGGGATTTCAATTATTCTTTGCTATTAATAAGACCTCATTCAGTCTATATTAACTTAGAATTGGTATAGATGGCTCCTTCCTGATTCTGTAAGTACGTTAAGGTTTGGCTCGCACATTTGAGCAGACCAATTATTGGGCAATTTTCCTAACTCTGCTTCTACAAGAGCTTCCTTATCATTTACTGAATACCCATTGTGTCTTTTTTCCTTAATCTCCCGGGAGGAACCATCTATCGTCCTGTCCTGAAGGGAGCTCCTCCTAGATCTGGTCAGATCTTTGTATGGTAATTAATTAAGACTTAGATCCTCTGTTAGGAAACCTGCTGGGTTAAGGATTTTTGATAGGAAGGCTATGGGTTGTCAGTGGCCTCAGTGTTTTTGAGCTATGCCCTTGTTTACACTGACAACAAGGTGGTGTTGGAGTGTTATAGGGCTACATATAAGACCTTCAATTATCAATTATGGGTTTTAAATTTACCCTGGCTTTTAAAGGAATAGGGTACACTGTTTTTTCTTTACTACTTCTATCTCTCTCTTTCTCTCTGACTTCTTCTTTGTCTCTTCCTCTCTTTCCTTCTTCTCTTTGTCTCTGTTTCTTCCTCTCTCTCTCTTTCTCTGACTTCCTGTCTCTCTCTTTCCTTTCTGCTGCCTCTGCCAGCTGCTTATGCTGCTGTTCTCCCCTCTCCTTCCCCTTTTGATGGCTTCAGCAGTGTAAGACTGCCACCTCCTTGAGTTTTTGCACTGCGTGCAGTAATTCCATGGTTTCTTTGTGATATTTAATGAGGGTTCCCCCAGAGGTTAGGAACTCCCTTTCTTTCCATATTGCAGCATGGGCACGTAGGATTAGATAAGCACACTTGCTATCTGTATACACACTTATTCTTTTTCCTTTTCCCAGTTCTAAGGCTCAGGTAAGTGCCACTAGTTCTACTAACTGGGTGCTGGTCCCTGGGGGAAGAGGCTTACTTTCAAATACAGTTATATCACTAACTATGGCATAACCTGCCCTTCATATCCCATTCTCCACAAATGAACTTCCATCGGTTTATAGGTTAAGGTCAGAATTAGCTAAGGGGACTTCTAAGAGATCATCTCAGGTGGCATAAGTCTGAACTATAATTTGTTGGCAGTCATGCTCGATTGGTTCCCCGTCCTCTGGGAGAAAAGTGGCAGGGTTGAGGGCCATGCAGGTACATATTTGAAGCACCAGTCCCTCAAAGAGTAGCACCTGGAATCTAAGTAGGTGGTTGTCTGATAGCCATAAACTTCCTTTGGCACCTAGTGTGCCATTTACATCATGAGTAGTCCAGACAGTGAGATCCTTTCCTTGCATTATTTTGATAGCCTCTGACACTAAGACAGTCACTGCCGCAAACTACCCTTAAACAGTGAGGCCAGCCTTTTGATACTACATCAATTTCCTTACTTAGGTATGCCACTGGTTGTGGGGTTGTCCCAAGAGTCTGAGTAAGGACTCCAAGAGCTATCCCTGCTCTCTCTGTGATGTATAAAGAGAAGTTTTGTCCTGTGAGAAAGCTTAAAGCTGGAGCTTGTACTAGGGCCTTCTTTAAGGTTTTGAAGGCTGTTTCTGCCCCTGGCTCCCATTCTACTAGATGATTATTTGCCCTCTGGTTCTCCTTGATTAGGGTATATAGGGGCCTGGCTTTCTCGCTGTATCTAGGGATCCATAGTCGGCAAAAGCCAGTGATTCCAAGGAACCCCTACAACTGTTTTAATGTCTTAGGGTGAGGATAAGCCAGTATAGGCTGTATTCATTCCTTGCTGAGGGCCCTGGTTCCTCTGGCTAAGATCAGGCCTAGATAGTTGACCTGCTGTAGGCAAAGCTGGGCTTTCGACCTAGGCGCCTTGTACTCTTGATTAGCTAGAAAGTTCAAGAGATCTAGAGTAGCCTGCTGGCACGAGGCTGCCGAACTGGTAGCCAAAAGTAAATCATCCACATACTGAAGGACCAGAGTGCCTGGACTTCAGAAGTGGCCTAGATCTTGGGCCAGGGCCTGACCAAACAGGTGAGGGCTATCCCTAAGCCCTTGGGGCAAGACTGTCCACGTAAGTTGGGACATGTGGTCTGTGGGATCCTCAAAGACAAAGAGAAACTGGGAGTCAGAGTGCAGGTGAATACAGAAGAAGACATCCCTGAGGTCCAGAACAGTGAACCATTTTGCCTCCTCTGCTATTTGAGAGAGCAGAGTACAGGGGTTGGGTAAACTGGATATAGAGGAATTACTGCCTCATTGATGAGTCTAAGATCTTGCACTAGTCTCCACTGACAGTTTGGTTTCTGTACTCCTAGAATTGGGGTGTGGCAGGAACTGCTGCATTTCCTTACTAAGCCTTGTTAAATGTTTAACAATATCCTGTAATCCTTTATGAGCTCCAGGCCTTAAGGGATATTGCCTTTGATTAGGAAAAGTGGTGAGATCCTTTAGCCTGATTTCGACTGGGCAGGCATTTTTTGCCCTTCCAAATTGTCCTTCCAATGCCCAGACTCAGCATTGATTCCCTCCTCAAGTAGGGGACAACAAATGGGTAACTTGTTCCCCATATTCACATAGATAATATCTCCAGCTTTGGCTAATATATCCCTCCCTAATAAAGGTGTGGGACTTTCAGGCATAACAAGAAAGGCAGGTGAAAAGAGCAAAGTCTCCTAATTACAACTAAGGAGGTGGGAGAAATACCTGGTTACAGGCTGTCCCAGGATTCCTCAGATGGTAATGGACCTTGAGGACAGCTGTCCAGGACAGGAGATTAACACTGAGAAAGCCATGCCAGTGTCCAGGAGGAAGTCAATTTCCTGGCCCTCAATAGTTATACATACCCAGGGCTCAGTGAGAGTGATGACATGAGCTGGCACTTGCCCTGGGTTCCCTCAGTCCTGTTGTTGGATCATCTGGTTGGGGGCTTCTGGCCCAGAGAACCTTTGTCCTCTGGGGCAGTATGCCTTCCAGTGATTGCCTTGGCATAGTGGACATGGGTGAGGGGGCAGCTTGTTTCTCATAGGACAATCTTTTTTAAAGTGTCCTTGTAAACCACACTGGTAACAAGCCCTACCAGGTGATTGGCCTGCTCCATTTTTTGTCCTCTCTGAACCACCAAGGTTTGTTTGTCTGAGGGCCATGACTAAGGCTGTGGCCTTTCTCTGATCTCACTTTTCCTTTTAGGCCTGTTCTTCTTGGTCCCTATTATAGGACACTGAAGTTGCCAGGTTTAATAATGCCTCCAGATTTTGTTCAGGGCCCAGGGCTCGCTTTTGGAGCTTTCTCCTGATATCTGCAGCTGATTGGGGAATAAACTTATCTTTTAGGATCAATTGACCCTTGAGTGAGTCAGGTGACAGGGGAGTATATTTTCTTAAGGCCTCCCATAGCCGCTCGAGGAGGGCAGAAGGATTTTCTTCCTTTCCCTGAGTTATGGTGGACATCATTGAATAATTCATGGGCTTTTTCCTAATTCTCCTTGGTCCTTCTAGAACACAGGTCAACAGATGTTTACAACTCCAGTCCCCATGATCTGAGTTGAGGTCCCAGTGGGGATCCATACTGGGAACAGTTTGCTGACCAGTAGGGAATCTGTCCCTTTCTTCGGCTGTCATTCTATCATCTACTTGACTAAGATACCAGGTATCTCCAAACTCTTGGGCTGCAGCTAAAGCCACATTCTTTTCATTAAAGGCCAGGGTTTGATCTAACAATAGCATGACATCTCTCCAAGTGAGATTGAAGGTTTGCCCTTGACCCTGTAGGACATCTATGTACCTATCAGGATCATCTGAAAACTTCCCCAGGTCTGCCTTGATCTGTTTTAAATCAGAGAGGGAGAAGGGGACATGTACCCGGTTTTGGCCAAATTCCCCTCTCCCTACAGCTTAAAGGGGATATAACCGATAGCCCACATTTTTTTGTGGTCCTTTGGAGATTTCTTTGCTTATTTCCTTCTGGGCGGGGGAGATTAGAGAAGGCTTACCATTAATAGGAAGGAGAGCTATAGGGAGGCTAGGATATGGGGGTAAGCTGAAAGGTCCTCCTGTGGGATGCAGATTGCAACCTTTGCATAGTTGTGTATTCTCCTTCAATGAAAAGAAAGCTTGGACATAAGGTATTTCACTCCATTTGCCTTCCCTCTTACAGAAAAGGTCAAGCTGCAGGATAGTATTGTAATTTATACTTCCCTTAGGTGGCCATTTTTCCCCATAAGAGAGAGCATACTGGGTCCAAGCCATAGTGCAGAAAAAAATGAGCCACCTCTTTTTCAGGGTTTGTGGGTCAAATTGGTCCCAACGGCTTAGGATGCATTTCAAGGTGAGCTTATTGATGCCTGAGTGTTTCCCATCTGAAAGACAAAACTGCCTGCAGTTTTGGTTTGTTTCTCCCCCTGCCCAAGAATCTGCAACGGTCCCTGGAACCTGCTGATTGGAATAGTTGCGCTCACCAATGCAGCAGCAGAAACACCTCTTGCCCAAGAACCCACAACGGTCCCTGGGCCCTGCTGATCGGAATAGTTGTGCTCACTGATGCAGCAGCAGAAACACTAGTTTTCCTCCTAGACCACAAGGAGGACCAAGGAATGTCGGATTTAGTGGTCCTTACCGAAGCATTCTCAAAAACCTGCACCTTTTCTGTCCTCTTAGACCACAAAGAAGACCAAGAAAAATCGGATTTAGTGGCCCTTAACGACACATTCTCAAAAACTTGTTAGAGTCTTGAGCATTCTCCTGTTAGTATTGGGACTTTACCCCTGTCCTATAAAGATGTTATGCCCCAAAAATGAAGTGGAGGGCCATACCCTGAGGGAGGGGAGGGATCTCCAGAGTTGGAAGAGTGACGCCTTTTGTCTTTACTTATATGAATAGGAAGGTTACAATTTCTGAGGCTTCCCATATCCTAGCTTCAGGAATAGCTTTTGTTAGGCCTGCTTGTCTGAGGAGGGATCCTAAAATTCCAGATAGCCCCCCTACAATGGGGCTTTGGGCAAAAATTATGTCTTTCTGATTGGTGGGCCCAGGTACCTAAAGAAGGTAACAGAGTCCTGGAGTTTACACTAGAAATCATTCTTACAGGAGAAACTAGAAAAGCACCAGAGACAGGGAGTGGTTTTTAGAAGCGGGACTAGCCTCAGAGAAGAGAGGCAAGAGGAAGTTTGCCTGACACGTATTAGGACCCAAGAGGCAAGGGTCAGGATAGACAGGATGGATAGACGAGTCTCGCTTGGGCGACATGACTTTGAGAGTTCTGTTCATGGCTGCAGGGTCAACCAACTTGTTGTCAGGACCCCAGAGCTGAATGGCTTTCCTCTCTGTCGACCCTCGTCTCAGCCCAGAAGTACAGGAAAAGCGGAAGCTGGTTCCAGGCAAACTGATGCTCCCAACTCCAAAGAGTCGGGGGTTGTTAGAGAGCCCTTTCCCAGAAAGCCTGATACCCATGTCTTTAGTCTCGTGGCTGCACTAGTCGCTTTTAACTGGCCGACAGGTGCCTGGTATTTAGCCCCCAAATTCTAAGGAAAAATAGGACAGAATAGCAAGTGAAAGGGGTCCGACAGTACTCACCACTTGGTGATAGTCGATGGTTCCTTTGTGGTCACCAAAATGTGCCCCACATTGGGTGCCAAAATGTGTCTGGAATTTGTTCCTTCTGGTGGGTTCTTGGTCTTGCTGACTTCAAGAATGAAGCCGTGGACCCTCGTGGTGTGTGTTACAGTTCTTAAAGATGGTGTGTCCGGAGTTTGTTCCTTCAGATGTTCAGATGCATCTGGAGTTTCTTCCTTCTGGTGGGTTTGTGGTCTTGCTGACTTCAGGAGTGAAGCTGCAGACCTTCGCAGTGAGTGTTACAGCTCTTAAAGGTGTTGCATCTGGAGTTGTTTGTTCCTCCTGGTGGGTTCATGGTCTTGCTGGCTTCAGGAGGGAAGCTGCAGATCTTTGCAATGAGTGTTACAGCTCATAAAGGTAGTGCGGACCCAAAGAGTGAGCAGCAGCGAGATTTATTGTGAAGAGCAAAAGAACAAAGCTTCCACAGCATGGAAGGGGACCCGAGTGGGTTGCTGCTGCTGACTCAGGTGGCCAGCTTTTATTCCCTTATTTGGCCCCACCCACGTCCTGCTGATTGGTCCATTTTTACAGAGTGCTGATTGGTCCATTTTTACAGAGTGCTGATTGGTGCATTTACAAATCTTTAGCTAGACACAGAGTGCTGATTTGTGTGTTTACAATCCTTTAGCTAGACAGAAAAGTTCTCCAAGTCCCCACCTGACCCAGAAGCCCAGCTGGCTTCACCTCTCAATAGTGAGACCTCATCTCTACAAAAAATCAACAAAATTAGCTGGTTGTGGTGTCATGTGCCTGTAGTACCAGCTACTTGGGATGCTGAGGTGGGAGGATGGTTTGAGCCTGAGAGATAGAGGCTGCAGTGACCTGAGATCACACCACTGCACTGGGTGACAGAGTGAGACCCTGTCTCAAAAAAAAAATTTTTTTTACAACATAGCATATCACATACACATTGTTTACTGACTAAAATGGGAGCCAAGCTGGCTAAGTGAAATATGAGCATTTATTCTATTTTTGCTATGCTCTTCTGTGCAGCTTTGGAAACTTAATTTGGGGACAAACCATTGTTTTTTAAAAATCTATAAAATGACATAGTACAAGCAGTCTCATTAGTGTTTGCACCATAAAATGAAATTGGCAGGTTCTTCCTTACTTTCCCATCTAGGATCCAGATCCAAGCCTCTTGAGTTCTCCACCTGCCCTCCAGGCTGGACCCTAACATCTACAAGGTCTGGGGCAATAATATAATTGGAGATCCATGTACCATATTTGTGAATATTTAGAAGTTATATCTCAAGCTTTCAAATAAAATATATTCTATCCACCTAACTTAACAAATATACCTTCAGAACTATGTGGAATGCTAAGAGTGAAATTAAAATTCTTGGGTTCCTAAAAGCTCTGAGCCCAAACATGATATTGTTGAGATCTCTGGCCCCTGGCTCATGAACTATGTGGCTTTTCTTCCCATCTCCAGTTTCCCTCCATGCCAAAATAGGCTTCAAAATCCCAGTCGAGGCTGGGTGTGGTGGCTCATGCCTGTAATCCCAGTACTTTAGGAGGCCAAGGCGGGCAGATCACCTGAGGTTAGGAGTTTGAGACCAGCCTGGCCAACATGGTGAAACCCAATCTCTACTAAAAATATATAAATTAGCCCAGAGCAGTGGTAGGCACCTGTAATTCCAATTACTAGGGAGGCTGAGGCAGGAGAATCACTTGAACCCACAAGGCAGAGGTTACGGTGAGCCAAGATGCACCACTGCACTCCAGCCTGGGCGACAGAGTGAGACCCTGTCTCGGAAAAAAAAAAAAACCCAAATGCTCATCAATGTTAGACTGGATAAAGAAAATGTGGCTTGTATACACCATGGAATACTATGCAGCTATAAAAATGAATGAGTTCACATCTTTTGCAGGGACATAGATGAAGCTGGAAACCATCATTCTCAGCAAACTAACACAGGAACAGAAAACCAAACACCACATGTTGTCACTCATAAGTGTTCTCAATGAGAACATATGGGCACAGGGAGGGGAACGTCACAAACTGAGGCCTGTTGGGGGGTGGGGGTCAAGGGTAGGGATAGCATTAGAATATATACCTAATGTAGATGACAGGTTGATGGGTGCAGCAAACCACCATGGCACATATATACCTGTGTAACAAGCCTGCATGTTCTGCACATGTATCCCAGAACTTAAAGTATTAAAAAAATTTAATGTAATACGACCTTAGCTTTTGGCAGTTATACGTACTACAACTGTTCTGTTTTATATACCACAAAATAATTTGCAACTCTCATGTACACTAAAAGGACCATATCTAAACTACAACAGAGAAATAAAAGCTAAGCTTTAGATTTATATCAGAAAAAACACTCAAATGTTTGTGTTGGTAATTTTAGTTCCCAGATAGCAATACCCACTGGACAATTTATAGTCTACTACAAAATCCCAGTCCACATGTCCAGGCTCCATCTACACACCCACAAACAGCCACTCCTTGGCCACTCTTTGGTCCTAGGAGTATGTGTTCAGTGGCACATTCCGTCCTTGGGAGGATGGACCAAGAGACCCACATAGAACCTGGAAGCAGACTCAGAGCCACTGGGAATTCTAGGGCCATGGTCTAAATGGTGAGAGAGATGGTTACAAGTGGTCACGTCTTCTTGGCCTCTGGGACTCCCCTGCCCTAGTGGGAGGGTCTGAGGCCAGAAGAGAGCCAGAGTCAGTATCTGTCTGCTAAGCATGGGGTGCAGAGAAGGAATATTTCTTTTTCAAGTCCAAAAGAAACACTACCTGCCCCCAGAAGTATACACAAAAGGGATCCAGGAGATGAGTAAAATGCAGAGTTCAAGCTCAGTCAATCACTTAGTGAACCAAAGAACGTAGTGAAGAGAAAGAATCAGGATGAACTCACATGTAAAACAGGCAAATAGTGGAGGAAAGCAACTAGATTAGATTCAACACAGTGGTGATGCTTTAGACACATGTGAGCTCAAATGTAAATGACCGGCAGTTGAGCAATGATGGAAATTCACCATTTTCCTTTTTATTGTTTATGTCAGAATATTTAAGCCACACACATGCACACATGGGCGCACATACGCACTTTTTGCCTTAGAATTAATTCCCTCATGCCATGAAAGTCCATTTCTGGGTTGTTTGTGCTCTGTCGATTACAAGGAACTCAGTGCCTCTCAGGTACCTAAAGTAACAGGGGTTTGCTGTAAGGCCACGATGGGTCACATTGTTAACCTAGGTGTATCCCCAGACAGTCCCCTCTCCCTGCCCACCAAAGAGGATTCTGACTGGGCCTGCTCAGTCCAGTTCCTACCCCCATGTTTCTAAGTCAGACTTTTGGGATTTAAAACTGCAAAACTGGGAGAAAAGGGAAAGGAGGATAAAAACTAAAAATCCAAAGGCTGGGGCTGGGGAAGAATTGGGAATATGAGGTTGTATGTGGGGAAAAAAATGTATTTAAAGAAATTTTAAGATGTTTTATTTTGGTCTATGTGTCCCCTAAATGGTGTTTAAGAAATACAAGTTGGAGTTTCTTAGAAATTACATTTAAATGTTGGGGTAGCCTCTGTCAGTGGTGATTTGGTAATGTGATGAGACCTCATAGGTGAAGCCTTCATGAGCTTCCAGCTGTCTGTGGAAATAAGGATCTTGGGACTCTCATAGGAGCATGGAACAGGCATATTAATGCATCCCATGTGGACCAGAATATAATGCCAACAACCTTTGATGTGGTCCAGTACCAAAAGCAGCTTCAGCAGCATCTTCTGAATCCTGAGCAGCACAGCCTGGTCAATGCCCCCTGCCACACCCACACATATTCACACAGCTACTTTATATGATCCTCTTCATCTGCACCTCATCTTCTATTACTCCTGCCACTGCCAAACAGCCAACAAGAATTTTGCTCAATTCATGCTTCCTATTATCTCATGGCCTCTGCATGCTGTTTTCTTCTGTGTTCCAGTTTTAGTTTCAGCTTCTTTCTGTATGGTCATTAGAGCAGTTCCCAAATCCTCTGGCCCTCTCCCCTTCTAACCAAATGGTAAGAGTGTATTTACCTGCTCCACGAGAAGCTGTGCATGGCTACATGATTTCCTTTGACCAAGGAAATTGAGTAAAAGTGACATATGTCACTTCCAGGGGGAAGCTTTAAGAGCCAGGGTGTCCTTGACCACATCTCTCCTTTCCCTCTGCCTCAGTGCCCAGAATGCTCAAGATAGTGGCTGCTCCATACAGCTGGGTCCCAGAGTGAGGAAATCACCATTGTGGACCAGAACACGCAGCCAGTGCATGATAGACACATGGCATGAACAAAAAATAAGCTTTTGTTAAATCACTGAGATTTGGAGCTTGTCACTGCAACATAAACTAACCCAGTAATTCCCAAAGTGTGGTCCCTAGATCAAAATAAGTAGCAACAGTATCACCTGAAAATTTATTAGAAATGTAAATTATTGGGTTCCAGTCAAGGTCTATTGAATCAGAAACTCTGGGATGATAGCTGGGTGTGGTGGCTCACACCTATAATCCCAGCACTTTGAGAGGTTGAGGTGAGAGGATCACCTGAGCCTAGGAGTGATTAAGACCATCCTGGGCAACATAGCGAGACCCTTTCTGTACAAAAAATAAAAGTAAAAAAGTTAGCCAGGAATGGTGGCGCATGCCTGTAGTTCCAGCTACTTAGGAGGCTGAGGCAGAAGGATCGCTTGAACCCAGGAGGTCAAGGTTAGAGTGAGCTATGATTGCTCCACTAAAATAAACAAATAAATAAGAAACTCTGAGATGTAGTCCAGCAATCTGTGTCTTAGTGAGCTCTGTAAATCATTCTAATGCCCTCTAAATTTTAAGAGCAACTGACCCAACTGATTCCTCTTCTATTACTGATCACCTGATGCACTGTATCCAGAAATAAAATACACAAAGAGAGAACCTGTCTGGCCTAATTTAATCATCATCACCCTGCCTGGGCAGAGCTCTTGTTACCATATCATCTCATAAATCATTGTACAAACATTAAACTGACCATCCTGGGTGATGTGCTTCCCTTAGGTTCAGTCAGCCCCAGGCCCAGTAGCCACAGTTTGGAAGAGGCAAGGAGGGTCACTGATAAACAACACGGCCAGGCATGCCTGCATAACCACCTGGAAGTGTCCACTCAGCAGGGGCCAGAGGTTGGCAGTTTCAAGAGGGGCTGTGGGTGCAGCAGGTACCAAGAGTGTTCTCTTCAATAAGTTATAGCAAATATAGAATATAGGATAACAAAATAGATGACCTTAAAGGAGTTGAAGGTGATCTCGGCTTCATGATTGCAGCAAAGTATTATATATCAAGGGAGGGTTGTTGCTTGGGAAAAGCCAGCTGATTTGAAGTCTAGAGGTCTTCCAAAGTGATATCTTGTTTAGGAGCTCAAGCCTGGGACAGTGGTATGCATTCCTTGTACTGTCATTTCAACTCACTCCTGGATCTACAAAAAATTCCTGGAGTCATACATGTACCCTCTGATTTCTCTTTCTGTTAGTCATATATGGCCTAGAAAAGCTGTATAAGAAGCCAATGATAAAAATAAAGGCCAAGTAGACTGTAAAGGTTTAGACATAAATGGATTACCAACAAAAGGACCAACAAAAATCTCTGATAAGAAGAAAAACTGAGGCGATTTTTCCAAAGGACCTCATCATTTTAAAAATGGACCTGGTAATATGAATCACCTTCTTTTTAATTGTCTCTGACCTCTTTCTCTGAGACTTGAATTCAGGAAAGGTAGTTTAGATATTTACCTTTTACAAATCAGGAAATACATGGTAGGTATATTTAAAATGTAGTTAGTTGTATTTAATGACCTCATTTCTGAATTCAGTTTTCATTAATATAGCTTTCATTTCTGTATCTGCCATTTTAACAATATGACAAATGGAAGGCTTGTGATTTAGACACTGTTTCTAAATCAGTACTTTAAAATCTTTGGTTGTCAGGTGCCTCCTGAGCGCAGTAGGTATCACGTCAGTCTCATAAAATCTTTAGTTGTCTATTATTCATTCATATGAATTTGATGACTGCTCTAATTTCTTTGGACTCTTCTCATTTGAGTGGGGTACAATTTTACCATGAAACAGTGCGGTCAGACTGCAGTTTTGGAGGTGATAATGATGTCAAACACAAAGATAGAATTACTGTCCAACACAATGGAGCAGTTTGTCCATGCAATAGTAATATAATTTATTGCTCTGAAGAAGATAGAAAAGATAGGGAAATAGGGGAAACTTTCTTGAAAGATGAAACATCTTTTACATAAATGTTTAATATAATTATAAAATTCTATTTAAAAAAAAGGAGTTGGGGCCGGGCACAGTGGCTCACACCTGTAATCTCAGCACTTTAGGAGGCCGAGGCAGGCAGATTACATGAGGCCAGGAATCTGAGACCAGCCCGGCCAATATGGTGAATGAAACTCTGTCTCTACTAAAAATACAAAAATTATCCGGATGTGGTGGCACATGCCTATAATCTCAGCTACTTGGGAGGCTGAGGCAGGAGAATCGCTTGAACACGGGAGGCAGAGGTTGCAGTGAGCCGAGATCGCGTCACTGCACTGAAGCCTGGGTGACAGTGAGACTCCGTCTCAAATAAATAAATAAGTAAATAAAGGAGTTGGAATGGGTGTACTCATCCCATGGCTGTTTTCCCAGCCTTCTCTTTGCTGTTTTTAGTTTGCCCTTTGCCAACCTGAACCTACAAAGGACACCATATATATATGTATATGTACACACACATAAATAATATATATATATGTGTGTATATATATGTGTATATATATATTTGAGACAGGGTCTCACTCTGTCACCCAGTCTGGAGTGCAATCGTGCAATCATAGCTCACTGCAGCCTCAAACTCCTAGGCTCAAGCAGTCTCCTTGCCTCAGCCTCCCAAGTAGCTGGGAATACAGGTGTGCACCACCATGCCCAGCTACTTTTTAAATATTTTGTAGGGAGGGGACCTCGCTATGTTGCCCAAGGCTGGTCTGGAATTCCTGCCCTTAAGCGGTCCTCTGGCCTCAGCCTCCCAAATCCACATCTGGGATTACAGATGTGATCCACTGCACCCAGCTGCAAAGGACATCTTCTAAAGTTTAGCCCAGTCTTTCAGAATCTTGGTGCACATTAGAGTCACCTGAGGAACTTAAAAAAAAACTACCAGACCTGTGTCTCCCTAAATAACATCAAGAACCCTGCAGGGGATTTGCAAATCCAGGACATATGGGCTACAGGGACTGTAGACATGTCCAAAGAGATTAAGGCAAAAGGGAAGCTTTTAAAGGGAAAAGGGAAAATTACACATAATTTGTTTTGGGTCAGAAAGAACACTGGTTACAGGGGCTTATCACAGGAGTTGATGCCAATTCATTATGGAGACAGTGTCAGGCAAGTGTTCCATACGTCCAGCTAGCTGTGACTCAGTAGCAAGCTGAGTCACAATACGTCCTTGTGACTCAGGTAGCAAGCTGCAATTTGAGAAGTCCTTGACTAAAGTTCTTGTTACAGGTATATGTGCGTAAGAGCCCTTCTGAGAGTCTTTGTAACAGTTCTTATCACAGGCATTTGCGCACTGAGGGCCCTCCCTTCTCAGAATCCCAGCTTTGTTTATTTTTTTGTTAGAGTTTGACACAAGCGACTCCATTTTGCTTCTGACAACTTTCACACCTGTTAATTCTGAATGTGGTTTGGGGTGTGTACATGCCAGATTTAGTAGGTAGAAATACAGAACTGTAATTAAATTTGAATTTCAGATAAGTAATGAGTTATTTTTTGGCCGGGCACGGTGGCTCAGGCCTGTAGTCCCAGCACTTTAAGAGGCCAAGTGGGGGCAGATTATCTGAGGTCAGGAGTTCCAGACCAGCCTGGCCAACATGGTGAAACCCCGTCTCTACTAAAAATACAAAAATTAGCCAAACATGGCGGCATGCACCTGTAATCCCGGCTACTCGGGAAGGTGAGGTGGGAGAATTGCTTGAACCCGGGTGGCAGAGGTTGCAGTGAGCTGAGATCATGCCACTGCATTCCAGCTTGAGTGACAGAGTGAGACTCCATCTCAAAAAAATAAAATAAATAAATAAATAATGAATTATTTTTTAAGCATAAGTACATCTCAAGCAATATTTGAGACACACCTTATACTGAAAATATTATCCATTATTCATCTAAAATTCAAATTTAGGCATTTCTGGCAACTGTGGGAGGGGAAGAAAGGGATGAAGGGGAGAGGTGGATAAAGTTCTCTCAAGTGATTGCCATTTGGTATTTAAGATTGAGAACCTCTGGTTTTGCCCAACCCACCCTCAACCTTACAAGAAAAAGAGTTATTTTCTGTCACCAGAGTTCTGAATAAGTCTAGAGTGATGTTCATTCTTTTTAAAACACACATCAGATGGTTAATTTCCCATTCCTTTATTTCTGCCTCTCCCCTCCATAGCTTTGTAACAGTATGCCATGATTGACAACCCTAGCATTGTCATTATGAATGACTAGCACATAATCTCCCATCATGTAAATGTCTACCACCTCATTTCTGAATTAGTCATCGATTACGGCAGTAGGGAATGAAGAGGCTTAGTCAGAGGAAAGCTGCTTCCTGATTCAAAGTCATGGTGGAAAAAAGATGAATAAAATTCAAGTGCACCACTAGCTTTTAGGTTGGCACTCATAAATCTGATTTAAGGTGAGCCAGTCATTTTTCCTGGATGCCAGTAGGCATAGCTAGCTCTTTCCACAATTGCAGAGCCTTATTAGGTTACTCTGATCTGGCAAAGCTAACACAATCAGAGGGGATCCTGGATTGAATCTCAATTTTTGGTTCCTGCAATTGATTTAAAAGAGTTCAGGAGGCAACTAGAGTAGAATGTGGAGGGCTGTAGGATTACTGACTCAATTATTTGAGCAAACAGGTATGTCTAGGTTATCAGAATGGGATGAGAACATTGGATTATGACTAAAACAGCTCAGAGAAGATAAACCATTGTGTTTCATGGTCAAGGATGGCATTAGTGATGATGACTTTTGAGAACAGTGACAATGTGAAACATCACAAATTCTTTTTATTATTATTATTATACTTTAAGTTTTAGGGTACATGTGCACATTGTGCAGGTTAGTTACATATGTATACATGTGCCATGCTGGTGTGCTGCACCCATTAACTCGTCATTTAGCATTAGGTATATCTCCTAATGCTATCCCTCCCCCCTCCCCCCACCCCACAACAGTCCCCAGAGTGTGATGTTCCCCTTCCTGTGTCCATGTGTTCTCATTGTTCAATTCCCACCTATGAGTGAGAATATGCGGTGTTTGGTTTTTTGTCCTTGTGATGGTTTACTGAGAATGATGATTTCCAATTTCATCCATGTCCCTACAAAGGACATGAACTCATCATTTTTTATAGCTGCATAGTATTCCATGGTGTATATGTGCCACATTTTCTTAATCCAGTCTATCATTGTTGGACATTTGGGTTGGTTCCAAGTCTTTGCTATTGTGAATAGTGCCACAATAAACTTACGTGTGCATGTTCTTTGAAACCGACGAGAACAAAGACATACCAGAATCTCTGGGACACATTCAAAGCAATGTGTAGAGGGAAATTTATAGCACTAAATGCACACAAGGGAAAGCAGGAAAGATCCAAAATTGACACCCTAACATCACAATTAAAAGAACTAGAAAAGCAAGAGCAAACACATTCAAAAGCTAGCAGAAGGCAAGATATAACTAAAATCAGAGCAGAACTGAAGGAAATAGAGACACAAAAAACCCTTCAAAAAATTAATGAATCCAGGAGCTGGTTTTTTGAAAGGATCAACAAAATTGATAGACCTCTAGCAAGACTAATAAAGAAGAAAAGAGAGAAGAATCAAATAGACGCAATAAAAAATGATAAACGGGATATCACCACCGATCCCACAGAAATACAAACTACCATCAGAGAATACTACAAACACCTCTATGCAAATAAACTAGAAAATCTAGAAGAAATGGATAAATTCCTCGACACACACACCCTCCCAAGACAAATTGTTTTTAAATATGCTTTTATAAATCTTTCAAATGATCAGAGTGTAGTAACTTTATTATAAAATATTTGGAAAACAGGGACACAAAAACTCGTTCATAATTTTACTACTCTAATAGAACCACAGTATACATTTGGCTGCATTTTCTTCCAGATTTAAAAAAAAAAAATTTCTTTGTATGTTTCCAAGTGGTTGTCCGTTAAACATTCTTAAAGTCCAGCTACAATGGTGCCCTAATGCTGTTCATCACCTAGCAAGCAACTCAAGTGCCATTTTAAAGCTATTCCTTGCTTTGTAAATCTCCAACTCTGTCTCAGTGGATGACTTCACTTGCTACCTTGGAAAGACCATAGGTACTGACGACTCTTGATTGGTGATTGCTTTCAGGTTAACACATCATGGCCCCCTTATATAGTTCCATCTTTTCCTTCACCCTCAAAAGGAGAGATGATCCCTCCTCTCCAAAGCTAACCCTTCACCTATACTCTGATCCTCACTCCCTGTCCCCCTGAGCTAACCCTCACCTGTCCCCTGGTCCCCATCACTCCATGGGTCCTTGAGCAGCTCACCTCCCTTGATAATATGGCCTATATACCAGTGGGATTATCAATCCCAACCTTCCAAAGAAAAACTGCCTGTCTATATAATGAGATCTGAAATTCCTAATTCGCTTGCAAAAACTTCAGGTGTGTCATTTTACAAATATGTGCAAAATGTAATTTTTTCTACTTTTCTATAATACCCCTCATTTTTTAATACAAATCCATGTCATCAGATGGCAGAAACATAGTCTCAGTTATTTCAGGGTTTCTTTTACCCACACATTTTCCTTGAGGCTTTGTTTAAATTGTGGCAGGCTTATGTGACAATAATAACATGAGAAACAATGACTAACCCTTATATGCCACTAACTAACCATTGTTTCATATGCTTTCCCTGATTTAATTCCTTTAATCCTTACAACAGCCCAAGACAGGTTCTACTATTATTGTCCTATTTTACATATGGAGAAACTGATACATAGAGAATTAAGTAATTTACCCAAAGAAACAGATTTGTAAGTTTATGCCAGAGTTCATGCTCTAAATCATTATCCTAGACTCTCTCTTACTCTCTTTTGTAGCCCACGGCATTAGCAGTCAGAGGTGGTACCTGGTTTGGGTCACTGTCTAGGTTAGATCGGCAAAAACATTTTCCTCCCATCATCAACACACACAGGTGCCTACTGGGTCATCCCTCACTCCTCACCCCAAATCCCTTTCATGGCTGGCTACTTTCAGCTACTGTCACCCTTCTTTTAGGACCACTCTATACCTGTCTTGCCTTGCTGAGCGTCGGACACTCTGCTCACTTATCTAAAGTCTTCTTTGTCCACATACAACATTCAACACTTTTTCTTGCTGACCCAGATTCCCTCTACTACTAGGTCAAAATCCCCTGGCTCACCTGGGGTTTCTTTCCCCACCCCATCCTGAGGCCTGGCCCTGGAAGGCAGGGTTCAGGGAGGCCCTCCTCAGGGACTCATAGCATCCATACATTCCCTTCTGTTCTTTGACTCCCCTCTACCTGGTCTACAAGGTTTTATTTAGGGGAAAATTTAGTCTCAACCCTAGTTCCTCCCAAGTCTAAGGCTCAAAGTCTTCCCACTGACCACTGTAAGTGAGGTGCTTTTTTTGAGACAGTCTCGCTTTGTCGCCCAGGCTGGAGTGTGGTGGCATGATCTCGGCTCACTGCAACCTCCGCCTCCCAGGTTCAAGCAATTCTCCTGCCTCAGCTACCTGAGTAGCTGGGATTGCAGGCGTGCACCACCATGTCTGGCTAATTTTTGTATTTTCAGTAGAGATGGGGTTTCACCATGTTGGCCAGGCTGGTCTCGAACTCCTGGCCTCAAGAGATCTTCCTGCCTTGGCCTCCCAAAGTGCTGGGATTACAGGCTTGAGACACCATGCCCATCTGAAAGTGAGGCTTTTAAAACTCAAAACCCAAGAGCTGGCTTCTGTTTTTACCCTTTATCACTTAATTGACTAAATATAGAAAGGGCCAGAGGGTTCAAAGAAACATGGGGAATGGCACCTGTTGCTCCATGATATTGAATAAGGGCTGAAATCTCTTACATAGCAGTTCCACTTGAGTCTTAGATAGAAATGTTCCTGAAAGGACATTTTACCCACATATTCATGTCGATTTACTTAATGATTAATTCGTTCATCAAAAATGTATCAAACATTTATAAAGCACTGTATTAGAGTTTCCTAGAGACACACAACCAATAGGAATGTGTGTGTGTGTGTGTGTGTGTGTGTGTGTGTGTGTGTGTGTGTGTGTACTTATAAATATAAGGAGAGAGAGAGAGACAGAGAGAGAGATTTACTATAAGGAATTGGCTCACATGATTGTTAAAGGCCTTCAACTGACTGGATGAGGCTCATCCACATTATGGAGGGTAAACACTTTTACTCAAAGTCTATTGATTGAAATGTTAATCCCACCTTAAAAACCCCCAGAGAAACATCTCGAATAATGTTTGACAAAATATCTAGGTGCTGTGTGACCTGGCCAAGTTGACACAAAATGAACCATCGCAAGCACCTACTCAATTGCTTTTCACTGAGAATGTAATCCAAGATAAACATGGCCCCTGTCCCCATGGTGTTTACTCAAAAACTTAATTCAACAATGCCCAGATATAGACAAATTCAAACTCAAGTGCAAAAGACTGAAACCAGCTCCTTTCCCATAGCAAGTATTTATAAGGAGGAGAAAGAGACTAAGAGGTCTCTGGGTATCAAAAGCTAGGGACTGGGAAAAGGCAGCAGAAAGGGACTCTGGTATCTTCTAAGATGAAATTGAAATTATTCACTGCTTTGTCAAGGTCATTGGTACTCCCACTCCTCCAACTAACTCTTCCAGGAGGATATGGTCCCTTTTACCATTTAGGGACAGTAGTAGTCAGGAGAGGCTTCACAGAGGAGGTGATGTTTAAACTAAATGTTGAGTAACGGACAGGAGTAACTTTGGCAGAAAGAAGGGCAGGCAAAGGTCATTCTAGACATCAGAGGCCAAGGAGCCATAAATAAAGACAGAAGGGGGAATGTACTGCATTTGCTAGGCACAAAGTGCTTCCTGTGCCTGAGGGATAGGGCACAGTGGCAAAGCACAGAGACAAGAGAGGTAGAGAAGTACCTCGGAGGCCTTATTTCCCATAAATGCTTGGACTTAGCAGTGAGAACCCATGAAAAGTGTTACACTGGAAGGAGATGTGATCATTTTGTATTTTAGAGAGATCACATGCTGGCCAAGAGAATCTTCCAGATGAATCACTGTGGACCAAGACTAGAGTCAGAGACCATTAGTAGTTAATTTAAAAATCCTGGAGTGAGACGATGAGGGCCTGAAAGTGAGACTAGAGACAAGGAAACAGAGTTGCTATAAAAAGGGGTTATGATAATGCAATGGGATTAGAATAAACAGACTTGGTGATCTATTGATTGTGAAGAGAGAGAGACAGGCAGAGATGGGGGAGTTTGGCTTGGATAGTGTATCATCCACTGAGAGAAAGAACACAAGAAGAGGAGCAGATGTCAAGGTAAGGAATCCCATTTTGGAATGGGAGCTTCCAGAAGTGGTCCGTTCAACCTGTGGAGCTCCCACATTCAAGTGGATCACACAGACCTGGCCAAGGGAAAACACAATCATGGTGACCACCACAGAGGGCATTCCCCAACCCCATATTCCTGGATCACCCAGGATTCTTATATAACATAATCCAAGAAAGGGGAAGCAAGTTCTCTTAAACTGATAGCAGACTTCAAGCCAGTCTTTGTATATGACGGATTAAAAAATAATTGGATTGGCCAGGCGCGGTGGCTCATGCCTGTAATCCCAGTACTTTGGGAAGCTGAGGTGGGCAGATCAAACGCCTGAGGTCAGGAGCTTGAGACCAGCCTGACCAACATGATGAAACCCCATGTCTACCAAAAACACAAAAATTAGCCAGGCGTGCTGGCATACACCTGTAATCTCAGCTTCTCAGGAGGCTGAGGCAGGAGAATCACTTGAAACCAGGAGGTGGAGATTGCAGTGAGCCGAGATCACACCACTGCACTCCAGCCTGGGCGACAGAGCAAGACTCCATCTCAAAAAAATAATAATAATTGGGTTATGTGCCAGGCATAATCCAGAGCTGATAGCTTTATATGACTCAAGTTATTGCTTACTACAACTCTATAAAATCAGTTCTATTATCATCCTAATTTTATGGACAGACTAAATAACTTACCCAAGGCTATCCAGTTAATAAGCAGTGGAGTCAAAAGTCAAACCTTGGTATCTGAACTGATTCACAGTCATCAGATTAGGGCCAAGAGGAAGGAGCTTCTCAGACATGGTCTAAACCTCTTTATTTTTATCCAGTGCAACTACTGAATAATGTAAGAATCTCTTGGTTTTTGGAGCCAAGATGGCCGAATAGGAACAGCTCCGGTCTACAGCTCCCAGCGTGAGCGACACAGAAGACGGGTGATTTCTGCATTTCCATCTGAGGTACCGGGTTCATCTCACTAGGAAGTGCCAGACAGTGGGCGCAGGTCAGTGGGTGCACGCACCGTGCACGAGCCGAAGCAGGGCGAGGCATTGCCTCACTCGGGAAGCGCAAGGGGTCAGGGAGTTCCCTTTCTGAGTCAAAGAAAGGGGTGACGGACGCACCTGGAAAATCGGGTCACTCCCATCCGAATACTGCGCTTTTCCAACGGGCTTAAAAAACGGCGCACCACGAGATTATATCCCGCACCTGGCTTGGAGGGTCCTATGCCCACGGAGTCTTGCTGATTGCTAGCACAGCAGTCTGAGATCAAACTGCAAGGCTGCAGCGAGGCTGGGGGAGGGGCGCCCGCCATTGCCCAGGCTTGCTTAGGTAAACAAAGCAGCCTGGAAGCTCAAACTAGGCGGAGCCCACCACAGCTCAAGGAGGCCTGCCTGCCTCTGTAGGCTCCACCTCTGGGGGCAGGGCACAGAAAAACAAAAAGACAGCAGTAACCTCTGCAGACTTAAATGTCCCTGTCTGACAGCTTTGAAGAGAGCAGTGGTTCTCCCAGCACGCAGCTGGAGATCTGAGAACGGGCAGACTGACTCCTCAAGTGGGTCCCTGACCCCTGACCCCTGAGCAGCCTAACTGGGAGTCACCCCCCAGCAGGGGCACACTGACACCTCACACGGCAGGGTATTCCAACAGACCTGCAACTGAGGGTCCTGTCTGTTAGAAGAAAAACTAACAAACAGAAAGGACATCCACACCAAAAACCCATCTGTACATCACCATCATCAAAGACCAAAAGTAGATAAAACCAAAAAGATGGGGAAAAAACAGAACAGAAAAACTGGAAACTCTAGAAAGCAGAGCGCCTCTCCTCCTCCAAAGGAACGCAGTTCCTCACCAGCAACGGAACAAAGCTGGATGGAGAATGACTTTGACAAGCTGAGAGAAGAAGGCTTCAGACAATCAAATTACTCTGAGCTACAGGAGGACATTCAAACCAAAGGCAAAGAAGTTGAAAACTTTGAAAAAAATTTAGAAGAATGTATAACTAGAATAACCAATACAGAGAAGTGCTTAAAGGAGCTGATGGAGCTGAAAACCAAGGCTCGAGAACTACATGAAGAATGCAGAAGCCTCAGGAGCCGATGCGATCAACTGGAAGAAAGGGTATCAGTGATGGAAGATGAAATGAAGTGAGAAGGGAAGTTTAGAGAAAAAAGAATAAAAAGAAATGAGCAAAGCCTCCAAGAAATATGGGACTATGTGAAAAGACCAAATCTACGTCTGATTGGTGTACCTGAAAGTGATGGGGAGAATGGAACCAAGTTGGAAAACACTCTGCAGGATATTATCCAGGAGAACTTCCCCAATCTAGCAAGGCAGGCCAATGTTCAGATTCAGGAAATACAGAGAACGCCACAAAGATACTCCTCGAGAAGAGCAACTCCAAGACACATAATTGTCAGATTCACCAAAGTTGAAATGAAGGAAAAAATGTTAAGGGCAGCCAGAGAGAAAGGTCAGGTTACCCACAAAGGGAAGCCCATCAGACCAACAGTGGATCTCTTGGCAGAAACCCTACAAGCCAGAAGAGAGTGGGGGCCAATATTCAACATTCCTAAAGACAAGAATTTTCAACCCAGAATTTCATATCCAGCCAAACTAAGCTTCATAAGTGAAGGAGAAATAAAATACTTTACAGACAAGCAAATGCTGAGAGATTTTGTCACCACCAGGCCTGCCCTAAAAGAGCTCCTGAAGGAAGCGCTAAACATGGAAAGGAACAACCGGTACCAGCTGCTGCAAAATCATGCCAAAATGTAAAGACCATCAAGACTAGGAAGAAACTGCATCAACTAACGAGCAAAATAACCAGCTAACATCATAATGACAGGATCAAATTCACACATAACAATATTAACTTTAAATGTAAATGGACTAAATGCTCCAATTAAAAGACACAAACTGGCAAATTGGATAAAGAGTCAAGACCCATCAGTGTGCTGTATTCAGGAAACCCATCTCACGTGCAGAGACACACATAGGCTCAAAACAAAAGGATGGAGGAAGATCTACCAAGCAAATGGAAAACAAAAAAAGGCAGGGGTTGCAATCCTAGTCTCTGATAAAACAGACTTTAAACCAACAAAGATCAAAAGAGACAAAGAAGGCCATTACATAATGGTACAGGGATCAATTCAGCAAGAAGAGCTAACTATCCTAAATATATATGCACCCAATACAGGAGCACCAAGATTCATAAAGCAAGTCCTGAGTGACCTACAAAGAGACTTAGACTCCCACACATTAATAATGGGAGACTTTAACACCCCACTGTCAACATTAGACAGATCAACGAGACAGAAAGTCAACAAGGATACCCAGGAATTGAGCTCAGCTCTGCACCAAGCGAACCTAATAGACATCTACAGAACGCTCCACCCCAAATCAACAGAATATACATTTTTTTCAGCACCACCACCACACCTATTCCAAAATTGGCCACATACTTGGAAGTAAAGCTCTCCTCAGGAAATGTAAAAGAACAGAAATTATAACAAACTATCTCTCAGACCACAGTGCAATCAAACTAGAACTCAGGATTAAGAATCTCACTCAAAACCGCTCAACTACATGGAAACTGAACAACCTGCTCCCGAATGACTACTGGGTACATAACGAAATGAAGGCAGAAATAAAGATGTTCTTTGAAACCAATGAGAACAAAGACACAACATACCAGAATCTCTGGGACGCATTCAAAGCAGTGTGTAGAGGGAAATTTATAGCACTAAATGCCCACAAGAGAAAGCAGGAAAGACCCAAAATTGACACCCTAACATCACAATTAAAACAACTAGAAAAGCAAGAGCAAACACATTCAAAAGCTAGCAGAAGGCAAGAAATAACTAAAATCAGAGCAGAACTGAAGGAAATAGAGACACAAAAAAACCCTTCAAAAAATTAATGAATCCAGGAGCTGGTTTTTTGAAAGGATCAACAAAATTGATAGACCACTAGCAAGACTAATAAAGAAAAAAAGAGAGAAGAATCTAATAGATGCAATAAAAAATGATAAAGGGTATATCACCACCGATCCCACAGAAATACAAACTACCATCAGAGAATACTACAAACACCTCTACGCAAATAAACTAGAAAATCTAGAAGAAATGGATAAATTCCTCGACACATACACTCTCCCAAGACTAAACCAGGAAGAAGTTGAATCTCTGAATTGACCAATAACAGGATCTGAAATTGTGGCAATAATCAATAGCTTACCAACCAAAAAGAGTCCAGGACCAGATGGATTCACAGCTGAATTCTACCAGAGGTACAAGGAGGAACTGGTACCATTCCTTCTGAAACTATTCCAATCAATAGAAAAAGAGGGAATCCTCCCTAACTCATTTTATGAGGCCAGCATCATTCTGATACCAAAGCCAGGCAGAGACACAACAAAAAAAGAGAATTTTAGACCAATATCCTTGATGAACATTGATGCAAAAATCCTCAATAAAATACTGGCAAACCGAATCCAGCAGCTCATCAAAAAGCTTATCCACCATGGTCAAGTGGGCTTCATCCCTGGGATGCAAGGCTGGTTCAACATACGCAAATCAATAAATGTAATCCAGCATATAAACAGAGCCAAAGACAAAAACCACATGATTATCTCAATAGATGCAGAAAAAGCCTTTGACAAAATTCAACAGCCCTTCATGCTAAAAACTCTCAATAAATTAGGTATTGATGGGACGTATTTCAAAATAATAAGAGCTATCTATGACAAACCCACAGCCAATATCATACTGAATGGGCAAAAACTGGAAGCATTCCCTTTGAAAACTGGCACAAGACAGGTATGCCCTCTCTCACCACTCCTATTCAACATGGTGTTGGAAGTTCTGGCCAGGGCAATTAGGCAGGAGAAGGAAATAAAGGGTATTCAATTAGGAAAAGAGGAAGTCAAACTGTCCCTGTTTGCAGATGACATGATTGTATATCTAGAAAACCCCATCATCTCAGCCCAAAATCTCCTTAAGCTGATAAGCAACTTCAGCAAAGTCTCAGGATACAAAATCAATGTACAAAAATCACAAGCATTCTTATACACCAGCAACAGACAGAGAGCCAAATCATGAGTGAACTCCCATTCACAATTGCTTCAAAGAGAATAAAATACCTAGGAATCCAACTTACAAGGGATGTGAAGGACCTCTTCAAGGAGAACTACAAACCACTGCTCAAGGAAATAAAAGAGGATACAAACAAATGGAAGAACATTCCATGCTCATGGGTAGGAAGAATCAATATCGTGAAAATGGCCATACTGCCCAAGGTAATTTACAGATTCAATGCCATCCCATCAAGCTACCAATGCCTTTCTTCACAGAATTGGAAAAAACTACTTTAAAGTTCATATGGAACCAAAAAAGAGCCCGCATTGCCAAGTCAATCCTAAGCCAAAAGAACAAAGCTGGAGGCATCACACTACCTGACTTCAAACTATACTACAAGGCTGCAGTAACCAAAACAGCATGGTACTGGTACCAAAACAGAGATATAGATCAATGGAACAGAACAGAGCCCTCAGAAATAATGCCGCATATCTACAACTATCTGATCTTTGACAAACCTGAGAAAAACAAGCAATGGGGAAAGGATTCCCTATTTAATAAATGGTGCTGGGAAAACTGGCTAGCCATATGTAGAAAGCTGAAACTGGATCCCTTCCTTACACCTTATACCAAAATCAATTCAAGATGGATTAAAGACTTAAACATTAGACCTAAAACCATAAAAACCCTAGAAGAAAACCTAGGCATTACCATTCAGGACATAGGCATGGGCAAGGACTTCATGTCTAAAACACCAAAAGCAATGGCAACAAAAGCCAAAATTGACAAATGGGATCTAATTAAACTAAAGAGCTTCTGCACAGCAAAAGAAACTACCATCAGAGTGAACAGGCAACCTACAAAATGGGAGAAAATTTTCGCAACCTACTCATCTGACAAAGGGCTAATATCCAGAATCTACAATGAACTCAAACAAATTTACAAGAAAAAAACAAACAACCCCATCAAAACGTGGGCGAAGGATATGAACAGACACTTCTCAAAAGAAGACATTTATGCAGCCAAAAAACACATGAAAAAATGCTCATCATCACTGGCCATCAGAGAAATGCAAATCAAAACCACAATGAGATACCATCTCACACCAGTTAGAATGGCGATCATTAAAAAGTCAGGAAACAACAGGTGCTGGAGAGGATGTGGAGAAATAGGAACACTTTTACACTGTTGGTGGGACTGTAAACTAGTTCAACCATTGTGGAAGTCAGTGTGGCGATTCCTCAGGGATCTAGAACTGGAAATACCATTTGACCCAGCCATCCCATTACTGGGTATATACCCAAAGGACTATAAATCATGCTGCTATAAAGACACATGCACACGTATGTTTATTGCAGCATTATTCACAATAGCAAAGACTTGGAACCAACCCAAATGTCCAACAATGATAGACTGGATTAAGAAAATGTGGCACATATACACCATGGAATACTATGCAGCCATAAAAAATAATGAGTTCATGTCCTTTGTAGGGACATGGATGAAACTGGAAAACATCATTCTCAGTAAACTATCGCAAGAACAAAAAGCCAAACACTGCATATTCTCACTCATAGGTGAACAATGAGATCACATGGACACAGGAAGGGGAATATCACACTCTGGGGACTGTTGTGGTGTGGGGGGAGGGGGGAGGGATAGCATTGGGAGATATACCTAATGCTAGATGACAAGTTCGTGGGTGCAGTGCACCAGCATGGCACATGTATACATATGTAACTAACCTGCACAATGTGCACATGTACCCTAAAACTTAAAGTACAATAAAAAAAAAAGAATCTCTTGCCTTTTTCCACAAAGGAATGTGCAGTATAAAGCTCATCTAATTAACAATTCCATTTTTTAATGTACAGATGAGATCTTATACAATTTTCCTTTTGGTTTTCACTTTTCTTAGTGTTACAGTGGGAACGGAAACAGTGTTATCTGCTCACAAAAACTCTATCTAACCTCTTGCCCATTTAGCCCAAAAGTTTGTCTGTCCTTATGAGCAAAACTAAAAGCAATCCTCTCTTCTTCTGTTACAGGTACATTGAACATACATTAAAGGTAGTCATACACACGATTTTTTAAATCTCGCACTTTCCCTTTAATTCTGCTTAGTGAAAGTAGTCTTTCTCCTCTCTCTGGATGAAAACCTGTGTAGCCTCCAAGACATTTTTTTAATATAATTTATGTTCCAGGATACACGTGCAGGATGAGCAGATTTGTTACATAGGTAAATGTGTGCCATGGTGGTTTGCTGCACCCGATCAACCCATCATCCAAGACATTTCTACTCACTTTTAGGCTGCTTTAAATTGAAAGCCAAGTCTCTGTTCAGAAAGTAAAAATGCCCAGTATAATATATTAGGAATCTCTTCAATCCTTATGGGAAGGTAAGGCTTCTCTCCCTGAAAATGAGCATATGAATCTTTCTTTTCCTTCCCTAACTGGCATTTCCCCACTCTAAGCTTGATCTCTTTCTCTAGCAGGGTCAAAGCAGGGAGAGGGAGGACATGTGAGGGCTACAGAAAAGTTGTTACTTGACTGACTCTCTGGTAAGATGGCTCAGAGCCCTGTGGGCCAGGCTGGAGCTTAAAAAGCACTCTCCTTTTCTTGTGGAATGCTTTTGAGGTTCTTTGGTGGTTCTCCAGCATTGGGACACTCTGCTGCCATTCCTTGTAGATAATTTTTATTTGATTGACTTACCAATAATTGAAAGACATATGTTAGAAAAT
Source organism: Homo sapiens (assembly GCF_000001405.40). Classification (NCBI taxonomy): domain Eukaryota; kingdom Metazoa; phylum Chordata; class Mammalia; order Primates; family Hominidae; genus Homo; species Homo sapiens. Next base: position 134,832,401 of record NC_000002.12, read on the forward strand.
TTGTCAAATATATATATACATATATACAGTCATGTGTCACATAAGGACATTCTGGTCAGCAATGGACTACATATACAAAAAAATGCAGAAACTACAAAAAAATACAAAAGAAGTCCAATAAGATTTTAATATTGTGTATTTACGGTACCTTTTCTATGTTTAGATACACAAATACTTTCCATTGTGTTACAATTGCCTACAGCATTCAGTACAGTAACATGCTGTCCAGATTTGTAGCCTAGAAGCAATATTATGCCATCTAGCCTAGGTGTGTAGTAGGCTGTACCATCTAGGTTGTATAAGTGTACTCTGTGATTTCTGCACAATGACAAAAATCACTTAATGAGGCATTTCTTAGAACATATCCCTGTTGTTAAGTGATGTATGTCTGTGTGTGTGTGTGTGTGTGTGTGTGTATTTGTGCATTACATATTTTGAGGCAAATTTGTAACAAATTTAGAATTATTACTTATTTTAGTTTTTATTATAGTGGTCCTCTATATTATTTATACTGGTCCTCTATATATTATTTTGTGGTCCTTTCTACATATTATATTGATAGTGGTCCTCTATATATTATATAGTGGTCCTCTTTTGTCTCAATAATGCTTTACATTTTTTAGTCTTGTTTATCTGACATATGTTCCTGCTACCATAAAATGTTATGATAAAAAACTATCATAGCGGCCGGGCACGGTGGCTCACGCCTGTAATTCCAGCACTTTGGGAGGCTGAGGCAGACAGATCACTTGAGGTCAGGAGTTCAAGACCAGCCTGGCCAACATGGTGAAACCCCATTTCTACTAAAAAAATATAAAAATTGGTCAGGCATGGTGGCACATGCCTGTAATCCCAGGTACTCGGAAGGCTGAGGCAGGATAATCACCTGAACCCAGGAGGTGGAGGTTACAGTGAGCAGAGATCATGCCACTGCACTCCAGCCTGGGTAACAGAGGGAGACTCCATCTCAATAAACAATAAAAACAAACAAAAAAACAAAAAAACCTATCATAGCTATCTTTTGGTTAGAATTCGCTACTTTTAATTTCTTGTAATATTTTTACTTTCAAACTTTGTATACTCTTATAGTTTAAATGTGTTCCTTATAGCTGGATTTTGTTATTTCTGCCATTTTGTTTTGTGCTTTCTATTTGCCCTACTATTTATGGGTTTTTTTTCTCTTTTATTGCCTTCTTTTGAATTAATTTTTTTCTTATTCCATTTTCCACTTCACTGGCTTTTAAGTTACATATTCTATTTGTATTCTTTTAGTAGTTACTCTGGAAATTTTACAATGCCTAATTAGGGACAGCTGAAAGTGTCCCCCTCTACCTGCTCAAAGATGTCCACACCATAGTCCCCAGAACCTGTGAATATGTTACTTTACATGGTAAAAAGGGCTTTAAAAATGTAATTAAGTAAGGATTATCCTGGGTTATCTAGGTAGGTCCTGTGTAGTTACATGGGCCTTTATAAGAAGGAGGCAGGAGAGTTAGAATTTTAAAAAGGCAAGGTGATGATAGAAGCAGAGAGGACTAGAGGATGCCAATGTCTTTGAAGATGGGTTTCGGGGGCAGGAGCCAGGGATGCAGATAGTCTCCAGAAGATAGAAAGGCAAGGAAACATTCTTTTGCAGAGGCTCCAGCAAAAAATACCCCTGCTGACCCATGTTAGACTTCTTACCTCTAGATCTATGAGAGAATAAATTCATGTGTTTTAAGCCATTAAGTTTGCAGTAATTTGTTACAACAGCAATTCGAAGCTAATACAGAGTTTGGTACCTGAAAGTGGAGTACCGCTGTAATAAATACATAAAGATGTGAAAGCAGCTTTGGAATTGGACATTAGGCAGAGGGTGAAATAATACTGAAAATCCTAGATTGCCTTGAAGATACTGTTAGTAGAAATATGGATGTTAAAGATTCTGCCAGTGAGGGCTCAAAGGAGTGAGGAGCCTGGTAGAGAGAACCTATATTGTCTTGGAGAACACCTTAATCATCCTAAACATACCATTGGCAGAAACATGGATATTAAAGGCAATGTGGGCCAGGTGCAGTGGCTCACACCTGTAATCCCAGCACTTTGGGAGGCCAAGGCAGGCGGATCACCTAAGTTCAGGAGTTCAAGACCAGCCTGACCAACATAGAGAAACCCCATCTCTACTAAAAATACAAAAATTAGCCAGGTGTGGTGGTGCATGCCTGTAATCCCAGCTACTCGGGAGGCTGAGGCAGGACAATCATTTTAAGGCCAGAGGCAGAGGTTGCGGTGAGCTGAGATCATGCCATTGCACTACAGCCTGGGCAACAAGAGCGAAACTCCATCTCAGAATAAAGAAAGAAAGAGAGAGAGAGAGAGAAAGAGAGGGGAGGGAGGGAAGGAAGGAAGGAAGGAAGGAAGGAAGGAAGGAGGGAGGGAGGGAGGGAGGGAGGGAGGGAGGGAGGGAGGGAGGGAAGGAAGGAAGGAAGGAAGGAAGGAAGGAAGGAAGGAAGGAAAGAAGGAAGGCAGGCAGGCAGGCAGGCAGTGTGGTGACGGCTCAGAAGGAAATGAGAACATGTTAGAAAGTGGAGGAAAGTGAATCCTTGTTATATAGTGACAGAAAACTTAGCTCAATTATGTTCCCTACAGTTGTGTGGAAATCAGAACTTGTAAGTGATAAAACTGGATATTTGGCTGAGATTTCCAAGCAAAGTATTAAAGATGCATCCTGGTTTCTTCTTGTTTATAGTACATGCAAAAGGAAAAGACAGATTGATAAAATGTTAAACTAAAAGGAACCAGGACTTAATGATTTAAGAAACTCTCAGTTTATCCAGATTGCAAAAGATGATAGAGTTAGGAGATTCACTGTTGGAATGGCATGCCAAAGATGTGGTTGGATAACATTTTGCTATGTCTTAACTCCTTAAAACAGGCAGTAGTAGTAGTAGTAGTAGTGGTAGTAGTAGTAGTAGTAGTAGTAGTAGTGCTTAATATAGTTAGGTTTACTTATAAGATTACCAGTTTGTTTGTTACCCATTCAATCTTGTATTTCAGACCATCTTTCTGGAGTCACTTTTTTCTTTTGGGAGTACGTCATTAAAAATTTCTTCAGTGAGGCTCTGTTGATAGCAAATTCAGTTTTTATCTGAAAATGTCTTTACTCTTCCTTCATTGTTAAAATTTTACATGGTGTACAATTCTAAGTTCACAGTTAGCATCTCTCAGCCTTTTGAATATATTATCCTATTGTCCTATGGATCTCATTATTGCTCTAGGAAGTATGCTGTCAGTCTAATTCCTGAGTTTTGGAGGCATTCTCTTTCTTTCTCTCTAACAGCTCAAAGGATCTTATTTTGATGTTCTGTAGTTTTCACTACAAGGTTTCTACAAATGAATTTTTGTCAGTTCTTCTTGATACAGGTTTTGATTCCTGGATCTGTTGGCTCACTAGGTCTAGAAAATTCTCAGCTACTATCTCTTGGAATATCTCTTCTCCAACTTCTGACTCCTCTATTTTAGCAATCCAGTTGGACTCTATTTAAACTTTCTTGTTCTAACCTGTGTGTTTTGTGCCTTACATATGCTTAATTCTCTCATCTCTGTGTGAAAGTCTCTCTTCCACTTCATTAATTCTATTTTTAGCTACATCTGTTTAACCTCTCCACTGAGTTTTTAAATTAAAATTATTTTGATTTCATTTTTAAAGTCTCATTTTGCTCATTTTCAAACTTGGTAAACATTCTTGGAGGTTTAAATCTATTATTTATTATATCTGTGGACTCCTGCTCATAGTGACTTTTTTCCTCATGTGTGTAGAATTTTTTTATTGTGAGACAATACTTTGTTGGGGGTGCTTAATCTGTGGCAATACTGAGGAGACAGAATTGGGATGTTTTTCTTCAGGGAGGATTTACATTTCCTTTTTCTGGTCAAAAGTAGTACTAGGGTTTGGATGTAATTTCTCCCTACCAAAACATGTTAACATATAATTGCCAATGTAGCAGCATTGGGAGGTGGTGTTTTTAAGAGGTGATTAGGCTGTTAAGATGGGTTTTTCACAAGCCTGGTTTAGTTCTTGAGGTTGGATTAATTCTCATAGAAATAGATTAGTTCTTCCAAGAGTGGGTTGTTATAAAACTCATTAGCCTCCTTTGTCCTGTCCCTCTTTGCACACATCTGCATACCTTTCTGCTTTTCTACCATGTTGTACCTCAGCATGTGGCCCTCACCAGAAGCCAAACAGCTCCTGGTGCAATGTTCTTGGACTTTCCAGCCAGCAGAACTGTGAGCCAAATGAGTTTCTTTTCTTTATAAATTATCCAGACTCAGGTATTCTATTAAAGCAACACTAAATTGACTAAGACAGGGTGGGAGGAAGTAGGTGAGTGGTACTTTAACTAAAATCTTAGTGGGTGACCTTGAATAGTAATTCTCAAAGAAATTCTCAGAGAAAATTGTTATTTCTTCTCTTTTTTTCCCCTCATAGTGAAGACAGGTTTCATTACAGACTCCCTCTTTTTGGCCAATGGATTTTTTTCCTAGACTACTTTTTCCCTGAGGGTCTAGATCCTTCAAGACTTTTAGTGTAATGAGGGCATTTCAGTTTTGTACAAGCCCATATTATTATCTCCCATTCCCTTGTGGGATATTAACCCTGAAATCTCTAGGAGTCTGAAGCCACATTTTCTGGATTCTAATTCCAGTTCTCCCACACACTATTGTGTAACCATGAACAAGGTACTTCTCCGTGCTTCAGTTTCCTCTTCTATAAAATGAATATTGGTCCTAGTTCTTCCCCCACAGGAATGTTATGAGTAATAAGTGAACCGACTTTATTAAAATTCATGGACCAGTGCCTGGCCCATTGGGAGTGCTCTAAAAATGCTTGCACTTACTTACTCAGTATTAGCAAGTGCCTCCATGTTAGTTTAAGGCTTACTCATTCAGTTTTAGCTCACTGAACTTCTAAAAAAATGGATTTCAAGGATTTCCTTTATTTTCTTTCAAGCTGTCTGTTATAATTTATCCAGAATCTAGCTGAATTACAGAAGGAAGCTTTTTGACTACTCAATTTATGTGTTGTGGAGTCTGAGCTGAAGGCAGCAACCAAGGCAGGTTTAAGGGTTTGCCAGGGGACCTGGGGTCCCTTGAACATTTTAAGCTGTTCAGGAAGAGGAAAGGGTAAACACAGAACAATCAAGGGCTGTTTTGTTCCAGGCTCTCTTTAGAGGCATGACCATATAAGCCCCACTTTCTGCTATATTGGAAGCCCTCCCTGACTGCTCTGATAATGCTAAATGGAAATGGCTACTATCTTCTTTTCCCTACACTTTAGGATATGTATCATCTTTCTCTCAGTCAACCTTACATCGTCAGCATATAGCAGTTCTCCATAAATGTTTGTTAAATGCATGAATGAAGCTGGGTGCAGTGGCTCTCGCCTGTAATCCCAGCACTTTGGGAGGCAAAGGTGGGTGGATTGCTTGAGCCCAGGAATTCCATACCAGCCTGGGCAATATAGTGAGACCGCATCTCAAATTAAAAAACAAAAAAAAAAGGAAAAAAATGCATGAATGAATGAGTCCAAGACAAAGGCACTGGAGGAAAAAACATATATGAAGAGTGGACTCTTTCTGTGATTTAAAATGTGAAACCTCCCCATAACTTTTCAACACGTTAAATTTTCATGAACAAGACAACTGTTAAATATTATTTAAAGATATGGGAGTAACTAACTGAACAAAAAGCAAAATCATAAAAACTGGCTGCTTCTGAATAGTGCAAGGAAAAGTAAGAAAAGGTGAGTCAGGGATCTATCCTTTTTCTGTAAAAGCCCTCTGCATGGTTTTATTTTTAACTACAAACTATTTAATTATTAACTATGTACAACTAAGTTAAAATATTTAAAATGAAAAATCAGTCAATTTTTGACCTGCTGTAAGTCAAAGCATCCTGCTGTGCTTTTGACCTCATACAGTTGAGTACAGTTGTTTTTTTGTTTTTGTTTTTGTTTTTGTTTTTTTAAGTTTTGTGCCAAGAGTCCTGACTACCAAACTGTGTTGACCCAAAGCTTGATTAACAAATAAAGCTTGGTTAACCAAAGCTTGGTTAACAAATAAACAGAACTTTGAACTTTAATAAAGCAGTTCTAATGGACCTAGACTGGGTTGGGCAGGCCTACTGACTGCTGCCTGAAGGTTGCTGTAAAGGGACTAAGTAAATCAATTAACTCCACAGTTTTCACAAAGGTCTCTTGATATCAAAACTTCTTTCCTTGCATGCTTCTCTGATCCTGTGGAGATGAAAATTGACATCCATAGTCATATTCTACCAAAAGAATGGCCAGATCTAAAAAAGGTAATGGTAATTAATTTGCTGAATTATTTCTGAAACTTCTCCAGGGTTTCTCAATGCCTTTCTCTTCTTTGTGGAATTAGATGTCTAGTTTATCTGCTTTGGTGGGGGGCGAGGGGGTTAAATCATTTGGTAGTTCTGATTTTCTAGCTTTTAAAAATGACTTTTATATTTATTTTGAAATAACATTGGATTAAAGAAATAAGTGCTTTCTCAGAAACCCTTTTTTCCCTCAAATGAACCATTCTTTAAAATATCTGGACAATTTAAATAAGGCAGATTTACCTTTTCAAAAATCACATATTCAGCTGCTGGGAAGATACATGCCAACTACAGAATTTAAAGTTACAATTTTAAGTAGAAGACCATTAAAAATGGAATGTGATCGGTTTCAAGGACTTCTAAAATATATCTCCTTTCCAAAATGTTTAAAATAAGTTTTAGAAGCACCAAGAGATAGCTTTGTGAATTTTTTTAGTCTATTTTAGGACACTGCCTGAAACCTTTACTGTTTGATGTTCTTTATTCTATAAATCTTTGTCCTGAAGAACTAGGAAGTAGGTACATCAAAAAACCCGAGAATAAATGACATGAAGCTTTTGCACAGTGACATCTCCTAAGAGAGTATTCTTTGTGTTTCTCTAAAGATGGAAATTTCCTTTTGTCATTAAGAACTTTTGAATGAATATAAAAAGAGGAAGGTGAGGAACATGAAAGAAATGTAAAATTGGCTAGAGGTTTGTTCAGGCTTAATATCAGGTTTTACCCAATCTTCAGCATTCTGCCAGTACTTTCACACCACCGATAATGTTTCAACTTTTTTATCCCAAGTGAGGGAAAATGAATTAACCCAAACTTGAATTAAATGTGGTTCATTGTGCAAATAGATGAAACTATTTTCTTCTCATAGTTGTCTCATTGAAGAATGTTTATCTTAAGTATTTCTTTGTCCATTGGTATCTTAGGTAAGAGGGGTGGTAGAAACTGTGGATTGAAAAACAAAATCTTTGAAAGCCTATCCTATGCACAGCTAACGATAAAAGATAAACCTCTCAACCTGCTCTTCCTAAAAGGACTCTACATGTTTACACAGGAACATGCTGTTCTGAGTGCTGTTGTCCTCATCATAGTTTACTGAAGTGTAAACCACTTCACAATGTTAATGATTTCATGAAGGGAATGCACCAGTTACTTTGTGGGAGTGCATCTGCCTTGTTTAGAAGCTGCATGCAGTTTCTTACATCTTATGGCGCCCACCACTTTCTACCCCTCATTTATGAGTATTTGCCTGATGAATGATGCAATGAACACATTGACTAACTTGTGATACAGGTAATGGAAGCAATAGATTATACTCCCTAATCTGAGAGTTTTAGAAAAATCCAAATTTTAGTATTTGGTATTTTAAAATAGCCATAAACTATACCTAGCAAAAAAAAAAAAAAAAAAAAAAAAAACCACTAATTCCTCTGTTACAGCTTTTTTCTCTATTTGAGTATGAAAGAATATCCACATGAAATGCTTTGGAAACCACCACGGTGGTCTCTAGAGGACAACGCCCCCCTGTACTATCCCACTGAGAAAGCTAGCTAGCATGATCGACCCTCCAAGCAGGGCTCCAAGCTCCAGGGCATACACCTCCTTGTGCAGACAGGATTTTGAGGCTTAGAGAGAGCTACAGTCTGAATGTGTATGTCCCCCCCAAAATTCAGGTGAAACCCTCATCCACAAGGCAATGGTATTAGGAGATGCAGCCTTCTGGAGGTGATTAGGTAATGAGAGCAGAGCCCTCATGTATGAGATTAGTGCCCTTATAAAGTAAGCCCAAGGAAGCTTGTTCGCCCCTTCTGCCACGTGAGGGCACAGCAAGAAGGCACCATCTTAGAACCAGGAAGCGGGTTCTCACCAGATCTTGGACTTCCCAGCTTCCAAACTCCCTCTCCTTTCTATCACCAGCTATTGCTTTAAAGAGGGAGAGGAATTTTGTCCCAATAAACCAGGTTTCTTCTTCTTTTTTTATTTTTATGTATTTATTTTTATTTCCATAGGCTATTGGGGAACAGGTGGTGTTTGGTTACATGAGTAAGTTCTTTAGTGGTGATTTGTGAGATTTTGGTGCACCCATCACCCAAGCAGTATACACTGCACCCAATTTTAGTCTTTTATCCCTCATCTGCTTCCCACCCTTTCCCCGAGTCCCCAAAGTCCATCGTGTCATTCTTATGCCTTTGCATCCTCATAACTTAGCTACCACTTATGAGTGAGAACATATGATGTTTGGTTTTTCATTCCAAACCAGGTTTCTTCTTATGTAGTAGTCTCATATGCTGCAAGCAGACAGCTGATACACTTCATCATCACCATCTACATCATTTCCATCATTATAGTCATAACACTTCGTACTTCCAGGGAGAGACAGAGGGAGAAATAATTTACATAAACCTTGTGAAATATGCAGATAAGATTTATATTATTCACTTGACAGATGAGATGCTTGAGACTCAGAAATGAACCTAGAATCCCAGAGCTATGAGAGGCCACCGTGGTCCCTCAAGAGCCTCCCCACCACCACACCCATCTTGAGAAAACTGGCCCAAGAGAGTACTGCTGCTGGAATAACCTTGACCTTCTTGCACAATGAAGAGACAGAAAAGCAGAATCAACACGCCTGAAGTGATGTTTAATTAATGATGATAATGGACGGGGATTTGAGAAATCTTTTCATTTTCGCTTGCTAATAATAATTTTAGTCAGAGTTACAAGTAGGGTTCTTGAAAAAAAAACATATCTGACGTATAAAGACAATGGATTCAGGGATACTTGATCAAATTGTTTCTGATGAATGAGGACCCACACTCTCTGCTGTCACAAACAGGAGGTGGGGCCCAAGAAACAGTGGTGAAAGATGTTTCAGGTTGATCTGCAATGGATTATTCACAGCAACAATGAGGATGATACAGTTTCAGCTTTTTCCTCCAGCAAGGCCTTACTGACAACCTACTGTCTGCCCAATAGTAGGGCTTGCAAAGATTCTTCTAATTATAAATGGAGCAAAAAATTCTGACCTTCAATTTGAAAATCATATACTTACACCTTCTTTTGTTAGCAATTGCACTTCATCGATATAAGGCTTTAGAAGACAAAATCCTAGACATCATTTGATTTTTAGAAAATCCTTCTGAGGAGATAAATATCTGGTTTCATCACCCAGGAGGCTCATTATTCACCTCATGGAGGTGTGATGTCTTCAAGACATTAACAATGTCATTCAGTTCATCCACTTTGATTCATACATGCCCATTTCAGAAACATATCTCTTGTATATAAAACTGAATTTCCTTGAATGTTTTCAATTGTTTATTTGGCATGCTCATAAATGCTGTGAGACACTGGTTATTGTCAGTCAAACACTTTCAGATTGTAGATGCTTCCCGGCATATGCTCAGACCAAAACCACTCCCAGGGTCATAAATTTTAGACTCCAGGCTCGGCTCAACCTAGGATGAGAACTGCGGGGCTACATCAAGCACAGACCTGGAGAAGAATAAAGTTGCCCTAAATAAGTTGAGTCTTTGCAAGGGGCCTGTGAGGTAAATTGGCACTTTATACTTTCCAGGAAAGGGAGGGAGGGACACAGAGGGACAAAAGGCTCTTTTCTTCATGGCTCTCCTTAGTTCTGACCCCAGGGTATTCTATTTGGGGTTGGAATAAGACTGTCGCCACAACTGCCACCCCTACCACCATCCCCACTGCTACTATCACCATGGCTGTCACTGCTAGCACCATCACCATCAGCCATCACGGGTACCACCATTGCCACCATACTCACTACTTCAGCCACACCACTACCACCACCTCACTCCCTCCACCATGGCAATTAGTGCCCCCATCATCACCACCGTCACCATCAGCATCATTGTTAGCATGAATGAAGCCTTGTCCACTGGCCAGGCCTGGTGTCAGCAGCTTTATATGCACTATCTCAGCTAATTCCCCTGAAAACTTATGTCCCCACCACTCCTCTTAGCCTCATTTCATTAACACACATAAGGATACAGTGACTTGGAGACATTTCACACCAACAAAGTCAAGTGCCTTGTAAGTGACTTGTCGCATGTGGGAGGATCCCTCTGCTCTGCCTTTCCTACCTCCCTATCCTTCCCCAGATGGAATACTTCTCTACCTGCTAACATATGGGTTACAGTTCCTTACAGAATTACAAGAAAGTAACAAAGAAAGAGAGTGAGGAAGAAGCGGGAGAAAGCAGGCAGTAGAGAAAGAGGGAAATAAAACCTTTTCTTCTACATTAAGGATAAAAATTCAATGGCAAATTTCTAATTTAAGAGCACATAGTCTTAAGTTCACTCTAAAGTGTAACTGATTAAGGTCATATTCCATTCCTCCCCCAACACACCTCTCTTGGCAGCTTTTTCCAGGGGAAAAGAAGGAAAAAGTACCAGGGCATTGAATGCATGAAGGGTGAGAGCAGGGGTTGAGGGCACAAGCAAAGGAGAGGCTGGATGCAGAGAGGAGAAACTGAGCTCCCTTGCCTGCCCAGCCTGCAAAACCGGTTCTGCTGATGTCACTGGGGAAGAAACAGAAGATAGATTTCTAAAGGTAATATGATAATTTGGGGCTAGGACTCAAGAACAGACCTTATACCTGGGTGGAATAAGACTGGTATAGAATTAATCCAAACCTTAAGAAGCTGTTGAGGCAGACCCCAGGCACAGACAGAGACACAAACACCTCTATGCTGCACCATGGCCCAGGCCCAGACCTTCCCCTCAGTCTAGTGGTGAAGGGAGCTAGGAAAGGAGTCCACCAAGACCTGACTCCCTACAGACAACTTCCCTGCACCACAGCATGAGAACCAACTGCTGTACCCTGGCCTCATCCAGCCACAAGTGAGAGGTTGAGTTGATGTTCAGTTTGCTTTACTCGTTGACCCATCACCGCTGACCAACTCAGAGCCATTAAGGAGCTCCCTCATGTAGCTATCTCCTGCCTCCATTCCTTCCCTCTGACACCACACTGTGAGAGCCATGCAGGAAGCGTGGAAATCCTGAACACTAGAAGATCCTCTGCAATCTGACCCCAGGACTACCTTTTCAACCTCCCTCCCAATACCGCAGCCCAAGGTGTTAGGTCAGCTCCCTCGCCAAGGCCCCCAGAGCACCTGTGCATCACAGTCACAGTGCGTCTCACACGCAATGATGTGGCCCTTCAATTCCTTGCCTACCCCAGCCTTAACCTCCCAAGACTCTGCTCCACATGGGCTGGAACTAACCTTCACTTTTATTTTCTCTGCCCTAGTAAGGCTTGTCATAGATGGGACTCCATGAAAGCGTGAAGAAGGAATAATGATATGATGCAGTATGATATGATATGATAAAGTCAATAGTTATTTGAGTCATACTTACCTATGTTTTCAGGCGGTGGCTTTCCACAGTTTTTATGCATGATCCCCAGGCGGAAATCTATTTTACATTATGACTCAGTACAAACATTTATATACATTAAATGGGAAGAAAAATGTTATGAAACCATTACTTAATACACGGGAGACATTCTAATTTATTCTATTCCTTTCCATTCCTTTACTCTCTTATGTTTTCCAAGAAGCAGACCCTGAGACAAGGATTCAGATGCAAGTAGTTTGCTTTGGAGGTGATCCCAGGAAACACCAGTAGAGTGAGGAAGTGAGACAGGGAAAACAGGGCAGCCAGTGAAAGGTTTGTATTCCAGAGCAAAATGTGTGCCTCATCTCTGTGTTATCCTGACCGAGGGGTGGGGTACGGTGTGTTCAGTGTATTTATATACAACTCCCTCAATTATCTGTTAAGGGCGTTGGGCCAAGGGGATGCAGGGGGCTAATTTCTTAGTACTTCTGACCTACTAGGATGGCTTGATCAAAGCAGGTTCCAGGAGAAAGCCCTCAGCCAGTGAAATGCAGGCGCTGGCTGATGGAGGTGGGCTGGCATGCACAGAAGTGTGAAAGCAAAGGGATATGAGCGGGACACCAACAGCATCTGCTACATACATGATTTCCTGTTTTAAAATGTTTGAGTCCCTATCCACTAAACTGATATCACAATCTACTCATGGATTGCAACCCACAGTTTGAAAAGCAGTGTATTTCCTAAAGAGTGGTCCTTAGGAGCTATGTACTCCTGGTAGCCTGTGAAATGATTTTAGGTGGCACATGAACAATATTTTTTCATGTTAATCTTTATTTTAAAAATTCAAGCTGCATTAGGGGAAAAGATAAAACCAGCACTGCTGAGATAACAGTATTTTCTTCTTGTATAAATATATTGAAGGAAAAATGTAAGTGAATTTAATTGTAAATACTAAATAGGCGATACATGGGTATGGGGGAAATGGGAAGGCAATGCTTGAAAGGTGGAGCTCAGGATCTTCTGCACTTAGCATGCCCCTTGATTGCAGCCTGGTCTTTGCTCTTTGACTCTAACTGTGCTTCTCCCCACTGCAGAGGTTTGGCTACGGAGGCTGGGTGCAGCTCCAACACCACAGCAAGGTGAGTTTCTTCCAAAGTATGAACATCAGTAGCACTCAGGGAGAGCTGAGCCATGGGATACCTCACTGCAGGCTGGGCCTCCAGGGAACCCCACTCTTCTGCCCATGTATTAGCTTTGTTGTAGACAAGGGAACAGCACTGAGATTTCTCAGAATAATTGGGAAAAATGGAGGTGACTTCAAAGAGTAGTATTTAGGAAGATAAAATTGGAATTTGAGAACACATTAAAAGGTCTCTCTCTCTCTCTCTCTCTCTCTCTCTCTCTCTCTCTCTCTCTCCCCTCTCCCCACCCCCACCAACCAGTTTTAGCATTTATTGCTCTGCCTGGAGGAAGTGACCTAGTGCTCTCTACAGGTTATTACAGTATATTAAAGCTGACCAAATAAATGGGACAGTTAGGTTTGAGCACAAGCTGGAAAAATTGAACACTGGAGACAAAGGGGAGAAGACAGTGTTATTAAGGGTTGAGTTTGGTAAGAGGAAAAAGCAAAAAGAAGAAGGCTGTGGGCAAAGCCCTCTAGAAATAACGAGCCCCAAGAGTGAGCTGGGAGTCTAGATCTGCCCAGGGCATGGGTCTGACTTCATTTTCAGAGGCATCATATGTCCTCTCCGAGTTCAGAGGGAATATTCTTGAGCTTCCAGCTGGCATGCAGACATGACTAATGCAGGCTCTGGAGGACTTGTGGTCTGGAAATCTAGTTAATGTGCAGAGTTAACCCAATGCAGCATGGAAAGGTTAGGACTCCCTTTACATCAGGTGCTAAGGGGCAGAGATTTGGGCACCAAGGATCAGAGAAGGCCTTCTGGAGGAAATGATGCCCATCCCACATCTTAAAGCAGGCAGGGAGGCTTGCCCAGGGAATAAGGAAACCATGTTCTAGGAAAAGAAGAAAGGGAACAAAGGCATGAAATATTAAACATATGTAAGCTCAGAATTCAAGCACTCAGCTACCAGCATTTCTCAAACTGTGGTCCCACAACCAGTTTCACCATCACCTGGGAACTTGGGAGAAATGCAAATTTTCAGGCCCTACCCCAGTCCTACCAAATCAGAACTCTAGAGGTAGGGCAAGCAACCTGTTTTAACAAGCCTCCTGGTGATTCTGATGCACTGTCAAGGGTTTTTTAATTATTAATTTTTTTAAGGACAAAGTCTCGCTCTATTGCCCAGCTGGAGTGCAGTGATGCAATCACAGCTCACTTGCAGCCTCCAACTCTCAGGTTTAAGTGATCCTCCCACCTCAGCTTCCCAAGTAGCTGAGACTACAGGTACACACCACCATGCCCAGATCATTATTTTATTTTATTTTTTAGACAGGGGGTCTCACTATGTTGTCCAGGCTGACCTCGAACTCCTGGCCTCAAGTGGTCCTCCCACTTCAGCCTCCCAAAGTAGCACATTCAAGTTTGAGAACCACTGGCTCTCACACATTCATTCACTGACTCACTACTTTTTATTGAAACTTGTTTTGTGTCAGGCCCACCAACCTAGACACTGAGAATATGCTGGTGAACAAGATAGACATAGTCCCTGCTCTGATAGTGCTCAGATTCCAGGGGTCACAAGTCAACATGATCAATTCAGAGAATGGAATATAAAGCAGCGATGTGATAGAGAGCAAGAGGCTGGCTGGTCTGTGACCTGGCAAAGGCTTCGAGGATGAGAAGGGAACACTTTTCCAAGTGGGGGAACAGCAGTTGCAAAGGCCACCAAGTGGTAAAGAGTTGATGTGTTCAAGGAACAGAAAGGAGGGCAATGTGGCTGAAATGCAGTGAAAGGGGGAGATAGTAGGAAATGGGCTGGCAAGGTAGGCAGAGGCCCAGCCACATGGGGACTTGCAGGGCACGCTAAAGAGTCTGGATTGCATTCTCAAAACAATGCAAATTCTTCGGAGGGTCTTAATGGCTTTAAAAGACCACTTTGGTTGCTCTGTGGAGAACACATAGAGGCAGACAAGAGTAGGGAGAGTGAAAAAGAGGCAAAAAGATGGAGAGGAAGCCAGAAACCTCATCAGACAGGGCCATGAAGGATTTAGGGGTTTAGGCCCCAAAATGAGCTTAGGTCTTTGAACTTGATCCTGAAGACAGTGGGGAACCACTAAAGAGTTTTTTGGGGATACAGATAGATAGATAGATAGATAGATAGATAGATAGATAGATAGATAGATAGATATAGATAGAGATAGAGATAGATATATATACTTTAAGTTCTGGGATCCATGTGCAGAATGTGCAGATTTGTTACATAGGTATACAAGTGCCATGGTGGTTCACTGCACCCATCAACTCGTCATCTACATTAGGTATTTCTCCTAATGCTATCCGTCCCCTAGACCCCCATCCCCCGACAGGCCATGGTGTGTGATGTTTCCCTCCCTGTGTCCATGTGTTCTCATTGTTCAACTCCCACTTATGAGTGAGAACATGCAGTGTTTGGTTTTCTGTTCCTGTGTTAGTTGCTGGGAATGATGGTTTCCAGCTTCATCCATGTCCCTGCAAAGGACATGAACTCATCCTTTTTTATGGCTGTATAGTATTCCATGGTATATATATGCCACATTTTCTTTTCTTCTTTTTCTTTTTTTTTTTTTGAGATGGAGTTTCGCTCTTGTCACACAGGCTGGAGTGCAATGGCACAATCCTGGCTCACCGCAACCTCTGCCTCCCGGGTTCAAGTGATTCTCCTGCCTCAGGCTCCTGAGTAGCTGGAATTACAGGCATGTGCCACCATGCCCAGCTAATTTTGTATTTTTAGTAGAGACAGGGTTTCTCCATGTTGGTCAGGCAGGTCTTGAACTCCCAACCTCAGGTGATCTGCTCGCCTTGGCCTTCCAAAGTGCTGGGATTACAGGCGTGAGCCATTGCACCCAGCCAGCCACATTTTCTTTATCCAGTCTATCATCGATGGGCATTTGGGTTGGTTCCAAGTCTTTGCTATTGTGAATAGTGCTGCAGTAAACATACGTGTGCATGTGTCTTTATAGTAGAATGATTTATAATCCTTTGGGTATATACCCAGTGATGAGATTGCTGGGTCAAATGGTATTTCTGGTTCTAGATCCTTGAGGAATCGCCACACTGTCTTCTACAATGGTTGAACTAACTTACACCCCCACCAACAGTATAAAAGCATTCCTATTTCTCCACATCCTCTCCAGCATCTGTTGTTTCCTGACTTTTTAATGATAGCCATTCTAACTGGCATGAGATGGTATCTCATTGTGGTTTTGATTTGCATTTCTCTAATGACCAGTGATGATGAGCTTTTTTGCATGTTTGTTGGGCACATAAATGTCTTCTTTTGAGAAGTGTCTGTTCATATCCTTCGCCCACTTTTTGATGGGGTTGTTTTTTTTCTTGTAAATTTGTTTAAGTTCCTTATAGATTCTGGATATTAGCCCTTTGTCAGATGGATAGATTGCAAAAGCTTCCTCCCATTCTGTGGGTTGCTGTTCACTCTGATGATAGTTTATTTTGCTATGCAGAAGCTCTTTAGCATTTGTCAATTTTGGCTTTTGTTGCCATTGCTTCCGGTGTTTTAGTCATGAAGTCTTTGCCCATGCCTATGTCCTGAATGGTACTGCTTAGGTTTTCAAGAATTTTAAACATCACTGTCTCTGAGGCAGCCCATCCTCACCTTCTTGTGTGTCCACTAAGTGCCAATTCAAACACTGTGCTTCACTTCTCCCATTCAAAATGCTAGTTCCTAGACCAGGATCTGATGCTCTAAGCTGGCCTCAAGTCTCTCCGAGGGAAAACATGATATAAATGGAGCTGACGGCAAAGCAGCTAGGAAGCCCCAGCTGCAGGGACAGGCAGCTGTGATTTTTTTTTTTCTTTCTTACTCCATGTCCCTGTCTTCAGTTTGTCCTTCAATAGTGGATTTGAATGGCCTTCATTTCATTTTGTTTTAATATCAAGAAATTTCATAAACTTAGTAGCCAAATCTCCAAAATAAAACAAAAAGGAAATATTTTCCAGTCACATCTACTGACTTATTTCCAGCAAAATCTGATACAATGGTAATCAAATAGGACAAAAGAGTAACACACTCCCTCTCTCTCAAAAACAAAACAAAGCAAACCAAAACATACCCAGTCTGTATTTTTCATAATTACAGTTGTCAGGGATTTGAGTCCATAGAAAACAATATGCAAATGTAAACAACATGCAAATGTATACAATTATGCAAAATAGGCTGGGAGCAATGAGAAAATCCAGGATTTGGGATTTGAAAATAATTCTTACTCTCCTATGTTCCTTTAGTGAAGAAATGTGTTCTGCCCCCAGGATTGACTTACCCTGGAGATACCTGTTCTCTCAAAGTTCTTTCCAAAACATTTCTCTGGTTTGCTCCATTTCTCTTCTTAACTCTTGGTTTTTCAGTGTTCCCCAAACAAATTGAGGGGTAGTCATTTGTCATGGCAAAGCCTTGCTCAGAAGTGAAAAACATTATTTGTCTTTTGATTGAATATTTATAAAAGTGTAAGTAGCAGGCCAGTCCTTGGTTTGTATGACAACCTGCCAGGATCTGCATGGGGTGGGAGCAGAATTGTGCCCTGATGGCAAAGACACCTGGGAGCATTTTAAAGCCTCCAACCCAGGAGGGTAGACACAGGCCCGTTTCAAAGCCATAGGTCAACAGCACCTAGAAACACACACTGAGTTCATCCCAGGGCCTTGGGAACACACACACACACACACACACACACACACACACACGTGAACATTTACATCACACTTTCAGCATTTTTACACACATAATTCTGTCGGACTCCTCACTGTTATCAACTGTATTTGTATCCCCCGCCCCCCAAATTCATATGTCGAAGTACTAACCCCCTTAAAAAATGAAAAAGATTGCAAAACAAAATAGTAGAATGCACTGCTTATGGCAAGAGTAAATATTGTTTCATGAATCTTCTTTCTCAGTTTGTGTCTGTACAAATAGATATATATGGGTATTCTGAATGACAATGAAAAATAGATTTCTTTTTTTTTTTTTTCTGAGATGGAGTTTCGCTCTTGTTGCCCAGGATGGAGTGCAATGGCACCATCTCAGCTCACTGCAACCTCCATCTCCCAGGTTCAAGCGATTCTCCTGCCTCAGCCTCCCAAGTAGCTGTGATTACAGGTGTGTGCCACCACACCCAGCTAATTTTGTATTTTTAGTAGACACAGGGTTTCACCATGTCGGTCAGGCTGGTCTCTAACTCCTGACCTCAAGTGATCCACCTGCTTCGTCCCCCCAGAGTGCTAGGATTATAGGCGTGAGCCAACAGGCTTGGCCAAAAAATAGATTTCTTAATGTGGGGTCACAGCCAAAACTGGCTGAAAGCCATTTATCTTGTCCAATACCTTCAAATGTTTTTAAGAATAATTTATTATTATTATTATATAAGTAATATTTGACTAAATGCTCCTTTTTAGATTCAAGCCATTAGAGATAAAGCTACAATTTTCTTGGACCAGCACTCCCTGTTCTCAAAAGTTCTTCCTTTCTTTAAAATAATTTCAACTTTTATTTTAAGCTCAGAGGATACAGGTGCAGGTTTGTTACCTGGGTGTATCAAGTGACGCTGAGGTTTAGGGGTATGATTGAACCCGCCACCCAGTTAGTGAGCATAGTAACCACTGGAAACAATCAGTTTCTCAGGCCTTGTCTCCTCCCTCCTGGCCCCCTCTGGTAGTCCCCAGTGTCTACTGTTGCCATCCTTATATCCATGTAAACCCAATGTTTGGCTTCCATTTCTAAGTGAGAACATGCAGTGTTTGGTTTTCTGTTCCTGTGTTAATTTGATTAGGATAATGGCCTCCAGGTGCATCTGTGTTGCTGCAAGGATATGACTTCATTATTTTTTATGGCTGCATGGTATTCTATGGTGTATATGGAATATCCATGGAATATTATATTTTCTTTATCCAGTTCATCGTTATGGGCACCTAGGTTGATACCATGTCTTTGCCATTGTGAATAGTGCTGTAATGAACATACAGGTGCATGTGTCTTTTTGGTAGGACAATTTATTTTCCTCTGGATATATACCCAGTAATAGGATCACTAGGTTGAATGGCAATTTTGTTTTAAGTTCTTTGAGAAATCTCTGAACTGCTTTCCACAGTCAGATACTCCACTAATTTACATTCCTACCAACAGTGTAGAAGCATTCCCTTTTCTTTTTTTTTTTAGGAGTCTCACTCTGTCTCCCAGGCTGGAGTGCAGTGGTGTGATCTCGACTCACTGCACCTCCGCCTACTGGGTTCAAGCCATTCTCCTGCCTCAGGCTCCTGAGTAGCTGGAACTACAGGCAACTGGCACCATATCCGGCTAATTTTTGTATTTTTAGTAGAGACGGGGTTTCACCATGTTGGCCAGAATTGTCTCAAACTCCTAACCTCGGGTTATCCACCCGCCTTGGCCTCCCAAAGTGCTGGGATTACAGGCGTGAGCCACCATGCCTGGCCACAATCCCTTTTCTCTGCAGCCTCACCAGCATCTGTTATTTTCTGACTTTTTAATAATGGCCATTCTGATTGTTGTGAGATGGTATCTCATTGTGGTTTTGATTTGCATTTCTCTGATGATCAGTGATGTGGAGCATTTTTTCATGTCTGTTGGTCATTTGTACATCTTCTCAAAATTAATTCCTATTAACAGTTTGGTGGGTATTTACTTCTCCTATGGTTTTACTGAAATAGGAATGCACCTTTGGAAATAACAGAGTATTATTAGTGTGTTATACGTATGGTGTTTAAAGCTGGATGAATCGGGTTCCAAATAGAAAACAAACGGCACACTTAAATTAGACTACTTTGAAAAGAGTTCATAAAGAGACTATTTATAAAGGTATAAACATGAGGAAGTAACAGAGGTAGGCAGGGGTTACTTAGATCATGCGGGGTCTTACAGGCCAGGTTAAGGAGTCTGGATTTCACCTTCAGGGAAACGGGAATCCATTCAAGAGTTTTAAGTGGGGCAGTGGCAAGATCTGAGATGGGGATTTGTAAGTTTACTCTGACCACTTTGTGGAGACTAGGTTGAAAGGGAGTCAGAATGGAAGCAGGGAGATGGGGCTGGAGGCTGAGAAATCATTCAGGGAGAGAGGATGAGGGTGTGGAACAATGAGCAGTGGAGGTGGAGAGAAGTGGACCAGCCATCGTAGGCAATATTCTGGATAGAGAATCAATGGTATTAGGAAGTGAATTGGATGGTGGCCTATCAGGCAGAGGGAAGCAAAAAAATGATGTAGTCTCCAGGCAATAAGCAAAGTAACGTAGGCTTGAAGGATAGAAGCCGCCAACCCAGAAGGAAAAGCAGGCCAGGGACCAAGAAGAAAAACAGGCTGAGCAAATCGAGTTTGGGTTGGTTGAAGTAGGGCCTCCCGGGGGAGCTGTCCTTCAGAACCTGGGAATGTGGGAGCTGCAGTGACTACAGAGGTTGCTTCCTGATGACAAGGTCTGGGCCATTTCTGCCAACTCTGCACCTCGAGCCCAACCAGCATGGCAGCTGGTGTGGTCTGGAGGGATTGCTCGAGTGGGCACTAGGGGGATGGGGAGGAGAATGGAAATCTGATGGTGAAAGACTGAGTTTAAAAATACATTTCTGGCTGGGCATGGTGCCTCACGCCTAATCCCAGCACTTTGGGAGGCTGAGGAGGGCAGATTACTTGAGGTCAGGAGTTTGAGACCAGCCTGGCCATCATGGTGAAACCCCGTCTCTACTAAAAATACAAAAATTAGCCAGGTGTGGTGGCACGCGCCTGTAATCCCAGCAACTCAGGAGGCCGAGGTGGGAGAATCACTTGAACCCAGGAGGCGGAGATTGCAGTGAGCCGAGATCGCACCACTACACTCCAGCCTGGGGAACAGAGCGAGACTCCATCTCAATCTAAAAAAAAAAAAAAAAAAAGGAAAGACAAGAAAATACATTTCTGATGATACATGCAGTATCAGATATTTGAAATACCAGCCATATTTGGGCTTGTTTGGGGATAGTATTAGAATTAGAACTTAAAAGTCAGAAGTTCACAGGTTAGGTTCCCTAGGAATCAGACTCCAAGATGAAGTTCTGGCTTTAAAAATATAAGAGGTGTATTTAAAGTGTGTTATCTGGATAGTAATAGTTGCATGGAGGAATTGTTTAAAAAAAAAAAACTTGATTTTCTTTTGAGAGTTTAGGAAAAAATGGGATTGGGCTCTGGTTGTCTAAATTAAAGCAGCTTGCTCCCATTACTTGGTTATTAGTTTAGTTTAAGATCTTGGTTAATGCTGAGGTCAGTGTTAAAAACCAGGACCCAAGAAATCCCTGTTTCCTCCTCCAGCAGCAAGTGCTGACAGACACATCCACAGCCTTGCCTGAATGTAAAGCGACAGAGATCAGGGATTGATTCCTTACAATGGCTGTCAGCTCTCAAAATTCCAGCTGGAAAAAAAAAACCAATGAGAACTGGGGGCTTATTATACGGGCACAGCTGCTCTGCAGTGATTTTTACTCAGAAAGAGTTCTACCGACTTGCTACCGTTCATTTTTCTTACCATGGATCTAGCATGAAGGATGTGAAAAAGTGAAGTTTGGTGAGTCTGCTTCTCCTGCCATGTAATGAGAGGCACTCCCAGCCCCTAAAAGATCAAACTCTTTAGGAAATTATAGTAATTAACTTTAGCCTACTACATAGACACCCATCACCAAATATTAGCCTTGTGAGATGGAAAATGGCTTCATAAACCACAGCTCTATACCAGCTAAGCATATGGCCTTGGACAAGTCACTGCACCTCATGGACTTATTGGTAAAATGCAAGGGCTGAACTAAATAATCTATTGCAGCTTTAAGATACTCTGCTTTGTTTGAAATCAAAACTTACTCAGGCATCTCCCACAGAAACCCAATTTCCTCCCTTGCAGTTGATAATACATGGTAAAATCTGGCTGTTATTTATTGAGCATGCTCTCTGGCCTGGTGCTAAGTTCTTTACATTCTATGATTGAATCTTCTTTATCACTCAGTGTTCTTAATTGCAAACAACAGAATTCACTCTAGTTAGTTTAATTAGAAAAACAGCTCCCAGAGTTCCTGTGAGGGCCAGAGATCAAGCTCTGAGGGCTGTGCTAACATGATCAATGCCCACATTCACCTGGTGAGCTGCTCCAACAAGGATGCAAGTGTTGCCACTCCCAGTCATGGACAGGATGCTCATGCTAATGCTGCCAAGGCTGGAGACTAGAAGCTTTGCCTCTGCTGCTCCAGTCATGTTCAACATCTTAGACAACACCCCTGTCTACAGGTGGACTCTGCATAGTCCCTACTTCCTCACATTGCTCACTTCCAGGTCAAAGTTATATGCACAGGTGGGTGCATATAATTGGCAAAGCCCAGAGCACATGCTAATGCCCCATTACAAGGGAGACTGGGAAAGCATATTTTGGATTCTACCTCAAGAAAGCAGAATTTATAATTGTGAACGTTACTTCACACATAGGATGTGTTCCAAGGATGTTGGATGGCCACAAGCATGACAAGTATAATGATCCACATTTTACAGACAGAAAAAGTGAGGCTTAAACTCAGAGGGCCCGTAACTTCACCAGTCAGTGCTGCTACTAAGTAATTTAATGAGATTTAAACCCAGAGCTGTCTGAATGCAAAGACTGTGCTCTTTGGCACTCTGCTATACTGGGTATTTTATAGTGATTAAGCTTTCCCAGCAAGGAGCAAAAATAAATAAATCCTCCAATTTGCCAAATCAAAGTTTGTTTCTCAACTTTTTTTTTTCACCATCACCCCTCTCCTCTCCCTTCTTCACCAAATGAAAAGACATGTGTTCCTATATCCTATTTGTGCAATCATTATCAGTCAGGACTCTTGGTTGCAGGCAACAGAAACCAACAATCATTAGTGTAAGAAGAAAAGAAATTTGTTGAAATATTTTAAGCCCCTCAAGAACTACAAAGTATCTGTGGAATCAAGCTCAGAAAACTTGCAGAAACTCAGGGAATTCCCATGATTGAAGCCACAGCCAAGGCAACACCACAGGAACAGCCTGGCAAGGAGGCTGCTGCCCCAGCTGGATACTGCCCCCAGCACCACTGCCAATAGCCACTGTACATGGCCACTGCTGGAATCACTGGCAGAATAAATTCAACTCTTCCTGTTTTTTTGCATCACGTAATGCAAAACCAAGCATTGATTGGCCAAGCTTGGGGCAGGGAGAGCAAGTATTTGGCCTTCTGCAGAAGAAGGCTAGGCCCTGCCTCCACCACGACTGCTGCAGGAGATTCCCCAACCTAGGAAGTGGTTCAGATGCTGGCATGGTCAACGGAGGATCAGAGCTGAAGCACATCAATCTTGGTGTCCTGATGTCAGAGACCCAGCTCTGCTAGTGTGTGGACACCTGTCACAATTACACAAGTCAACTTGCTCACTGACCTGTTCCCCATCCCTGAGAAATAAAATGTGGATCTGAAGTCTTCCTCATATATGTGCAAAATGAACAGGCTACAGCACTTAAAGGTGAAAAGCATCCAGACTTCTTCATGCAGGAGATGGAGTAGAAGGATGTCTTGTCTATGGAGTAGAAGGATGAAGCCTTGGATGCAATTCATGATCAAGCCAAGAGGAGGAGGAGGAGAGCAGAGGACTCCACCAAGCAGAGCTCAAAGCCTTTGATCATTGCACACCCACTTGGACATTCTATGGGGCCCAAAGGTAACCTTGAGGCCCTGAAGCACCACCAAAGGTGGTGTGCCCTCAAAGCAGAGGAACACTGTCTAGCCCCTAGTTATACAACATTAATAACAAATAACCATAATAACACTTATGTGTCAGATACTCCACTAAGCGCTTTATATGGATTATCTTATTTCATGCTGACATGATCCCTTTAATGTAAGTCACATTAATTTTTTAAGGTAAGTCATTATCATCCCTATTTTAAAGATAAACAAACTGAAGCTTGAAGATATTGTTTAACTTGCTCAAGACCACATAGTAAGTGGCAGAACAAGAATTTGAATTCAGGCAATTTTATTTCCAGGGCCTACCCTAGTTCTTCCCCTTTTCTTTAGGAATCACAAACTGGAGGCCCAACGTAGATGCCACTGCCATGTTCTGCACAACCATTTAGTTTGGTCCCCTGCTCTGAGTATTAAAAAGTTGTGTATTCCATAATGGCTGTACCAGTTACCAAATAAGAGCATACAAGGGTTCCTTTTTCTCCGCATCCTTATCAACACATTATCTTTTGTCTTTTTGATAACAGCCATCCTAACAAGTATGAGATGATATCTCATTTCTCAATGATTAGTGAAGTTGAACATTTTTTCTTATACCTATTGGCCATTTGTATATCTATTCTGAGAAATGTCTTTTCAGGTCCTTTGCCCCTTTTTTCACCCAGTTATTTGTTTTCTTGCCATTGAGTTCTTTGAGTTCCTTATATAGTTTGGATGGTAACTCCTTATCAGATATATGGTTCACAAATATTTTCTCCTGTTCCATAAACTGTCTCTCTACTCTGTTGATCGTTTCCTTTACTGTGCAAAAGGTTTTTAGTTCCTCCAGCTTTGTTCTGTTTGCTCCAAATTGCTTTGACTATTTGAGATCTTTTGTGGTTTACATGAAATGTATGGTTTTTTTTTCTATTTCTGTAAAAATGTCATTGGAATTTTGGGGGGCATTTTATTAAATCTATAGATTGTTTTAGGTAGTATGGACATTTAAACAATATCAATTTTTCAATCCACGAACATGGGATGTTTTTCCATTCGTCTGTGTCTTCTTTAATTTTTTCATCAATGTATTATAGTTTTCAGATCTTTCACCTTTTTGGTTAGATTCATTCCTAAGTATTTTTAAATACTATTTTAAATGGGATTGCCTAATGCTGGGAGCAGTGGCTTATGCCTGTAATCCCAGCACTTTGGGAGGCTGAGGCCGGTGGATCATGAGGTCAGAAGTTCAAGACCAGCCTGGCCAACATGGTGAAACCCCGTCTCTACTAAAAACACAAAAATTAGCCGGGCGTGGTGGCGCATGTCTGTAATCCCAGCTACTTGGGAGGCAAAGGCAGGAGAATTGCTTGAACCTGGGAGGCAGAGGCTGCAGTGAGCCGAGATCATACCACTGCACTCCACTCCAGTCTGGGCAACAGAACAAGACTCTATCTCGAGAAATAAATAAATAAATAATGGGATTGCCTGATATCTTTTGCAGATTGTTAACATACAGAAATGCTATGGGCTTTTATATATCAATTTTGTATTCTGCAACGTTACCCAATTTATTAGTTTAACAGTTTTTTGGTGGAATATTTAGGGTTTTCTATGTATAAAACCATGTTGTCTGCAAACAAAAACAATTTAACTTCTTTCATTCTGATTTAGGTGACTTTTGTTTCTTTTTCTTGCTTCATTGCTCTGGCTAGAACTTCCTTTATGATGTTGAGAAGTGGCAAAATGAGCCCCCTTGTCATGTTCCTGATCTTAGAGAAAAAGTTTTCAACTTTTCATCATTTTCACCATCAAGTATGATGTTAGCTGTGGGATTGCCATACATAGACTTTATTGTGTTGATCAACAATAAAGTTCATGTATGGCAATCCCACAGCTTTATTCCTTCTATACCTAATTTATTGAGGTTTTTTAAAGTCATAAAAGGATGTAGAAATTTGTCTGTATCTATTGATATGATCATATGTTTTCCTGAGAAAAAGTAAAAATAGAACTACTATATGATCCAGCAATTCTACTTCTGGCTATATATGCAGAGGAAATGAAACCAGTATGTTGAAGAAATATCTGCATTCCCATGTTCAATGTAGCATCATTCAAAATAGCCAAGATATGGAATCAATCTAAGTGTCCATCAGTGGATGAATGGATAAAGAAAATGTGGCATATATACATAATGGAATACTATTCAGCCTTTATAAAAAGGAAATTCTATCATTTACAACAACATGAATAACACTGAAGGATATTATGTTAAGTGAAATAAGCCAGACATAAAAAGACAAATACTGTACTTATATGTAGAATCTAAAAAAGTCTAACTCACAGAAGCATCAAGAAAAATGGTGGTTACCACAGGCTGAAGGGGTGGGGAGAGATTGAGAAGGTCAGAGGATATGAAATTTCAGTTAGACAGGAGGAATAAGTTCATATCTATTGCACAATATGGTGACTATAGTTAATAAAAATGTATTGTATACTTGAAAATTGCTAAAAGAATAGATTTTAAGTGTCATCACCTCAAAAAAAATAAGTATGTGAAGTAATGGACATTTTAATTAGCTTGATTTAGCCATTCCACAATGCACACATATATCAAAAGATAATGTTGTACAGCATAAATATATGCAATTTTTATTTGTCATTTAAAATGTATAAAAATTATTGCTGTGTACCCAGGCAAGCATGATGCCTGGTGGAAGAAGTAGCTCAGTACCAAATTTTGTGCTTGCTACCAGACTGACTTCTTTGCCCACCTCCTCCCACAGGTATTGACACTAGTGGGCCCTGCTCTGTTTGACAAATCATACACTGCCATTATCCATATATTGCTTCTCCATAAAATGAGAGGGTTGGACTAGGTGGTCTATCTCAAAGGTTCTTTTCAATTCTAAATGTTATAGAACTACCATTTTCCAGACGCTGGGCCATCCTCTTGTATCTAGTAGCCAGGGGTTCAGATCAGCAAGGTGATCAGCCATTCTCAGTCAGGCAGCCCAGAGAAACATAACCTCAACCTTGCTATCTCTGTGTCCAGCCATTGACGCCCACAGAGCACACCCCTTCAACTCTAGGCCAAAGAAAAGCATGAGGAAAGAAAGCTGATTTTTGTTAAATTACTGATTTCTACTTCCACAAGGATTAAGTAAAAATCTTTTCAAATATTAGGGAAGAAATACGTTCTAAAGCACATGAGGAAAGATTAGTCCAAGTGGTCTTAGGTTGCATTTTAGTAATGTGGGTTTTCTGCCCCAGGGAGAAGCAAAGTTGTTGAAAGATGGGAAAGTCTTCAGAGTGGTGCGAGAGAATTGCTGGGATCCAGAAGTTCGTATTAGAGAAATGGACCAAAAAGGTACGATGAGAAGTGCTACCAATGTTAGCATCTGATGTAAAAGCAATGTCTGCCCTTAAAGTTTGCTGACAACTTTATGTGATGGTAACTTCTGACCCCCTTTTCTCTGCCAGGACAGGCTGTTCCAGCTTCACTGTGGGAGGGACAGGGCCTTCCACTACAATGCTTTTAGAGTGTGGATTCAAAATGTTTCATATGAGTTATACCCTGTTTTAAAATAGAATGCTATATCATGAAAAAGATAAAAATGGCATTTTATTATTTTTAAAAATTAGTTCAAATGTATAGTATTTACTTATTATAAAATCAATTAAAATAGTAAAAACTGGAAATCACAAAACTAAGAATGACAATTGCCTGCTTAATAACACTTAAGATCCAATTTCTTTCTGTAGTTTGTCTCGGTGCATCATACACAGAACATTCCCACTGACACATCAGGGTTGGAAATGGAAGCAGTTAAAAATAGTTAATTGTGTAATCTCAGAATACACTACAATAAAATCAATCCAGAAATTTGAAAGAAGAGAATTAGGAAGTGTTCGTTTCAAAGCTGAATTGCTAAAAAGCTATAAGAACATCTTGCACTTTTTACCTTATATCTAAAAATCAAACAAGTCCTCACAATTTAAAAGAATTTCAGAAAAGGCACAGTAACAGTTTGGGAGGCCAAGGCAGGTGGATCACCTGAGGTCAGGAGTTTGAGACCAGCCTGGCCAACATGGCAAAACCCTATTTCTACTAAACATACAAAAATTAGCCAGGCATGCTGGCGCGTGCCTGTAATCCCAGATGCTCAGGAGACAAAGGCACAAGAATCGCTTGAACCCAGGAGGCGGAGTTTGCAGTGAGCCGACATTGCACCACCGCACTCCAGCCTGGGCAACAAAGTGAGACTCTGTCTCAAAACAAAACAA
Source organism: Homo sapiens (assembly GCF_000001405.40). Classification (NCBI taxonomy): domain Eukaryota; kingdom Metazoa; phylum Chordata; class Mammalia; order Primates; family Hominidae; genus Homo; species Homo sapiens. The sequence continues at coordinate 134,860,275 of NC_000002.12, forward strand.
AATGAAATTTCCAAGTCTATCTAAAGTATGACATGATGGCCACATTATGCTTCACCTGTGACTGCCTGGTTGACTGTGCCACCTGAGGAGAACATGCTCCAAGAAAATGCCTGAGCCTTCCAGACACATGTGGGCTGTGTCCATGGGCTGTGATGGGGAACTGACCACCACTGACATTGTCAGAACTAAGTGTTTACATTGGTGGAAGATTTCAACCAGAAAAGAAACAATTCAAACACACAAATAAAAGAGCAGTTTAGCACTACCACCTTCCTAATCAAAGACAAATTGTAAGAAGTTCAAATATACAAAGAGATGGCAGGAGACATTTTATTCCAAGGTCTGCAAAAAAGGAATCAAACGGTCAGCCTAAAGTGAGTAGGTGGTCTCCAGCATGTTGGAATTTGTTGTAGATACCTTTGTCCAGGTTTTGCTTTATATATTTTTTAACAATTAAAAATAGAGCCAGGTGTGGTAGTTCATGCCTATAATCCCAGCATGTTAGGAGGCCACGTCAGGAGGATCCCTTGAGCCCAGGAGTTCAGGATCAGTCTGGGAAACACAGTGAGACCCTGTCTCCACAAAAAAAAAAAAAAAAAAAAAAAATTATCTAGGTGTGGTGGCATGCACCTGTGATCCCAGCTACTCAGGAGGCTGAGGTGGGAGGATCACCTGAGCCCAGGAGTTTGAGGCTGCAGTGAGCTGTGATTGCACCACTACACTCCAGCCTAGTGGTGGAGCAAGACCCTGTCTCTAAAAAAATTTTTTAATTAAAAATATATTTAAGTGGCATTTAAATTGAACTTTGCAGAAAACCTGCAGCACCTCTGTAGAGTACTCCACAGAATATAGCATATATCCCTCTGTTCTAAAAGTATATTGGAGTGGGAGGAGAGCTGGAGAAAGAACATGCTTCCCTGACCTACAGCAAAGAGCAAGGTTTTGTAGTAAATGTGAAGCTGCAGCAAGGACCTGCCTTTTCAAGGAGAAAACTAGTGAGCATGAGACTTGAATGACTGGTGTCAGAAACCACTACTTACGGCTGCACGGTAAACGAAGTGTGTGTGTCAACTTTGGTTTTTGTTGTGTGTTGCATTCCTTGGCTGTCCCTGAGAGAACAGTCATGACCAACCCTCATTGAGTATTTACTTTGTGCCAGGCACTATTCTAAGAACCTAACATGTATTAACTCATTTAATCCCTACAACAACCCTAGGAAGTAGACCCTCTTGAAGACAAAAGATTCTTGGCATCCTGGATGCTGGAGTCAAACTCAGGGTCCCATTCTGGGTATTTCAGATCATGGGACTCCTTCTAGGATCACTTAGGAGCTGAATTAAAGGGGCAGGGAAGGTGGCTGAGAGACATGCTCTGTTGTGCATAACCTAAGACAGAAAGCCTGAAAAAGTCTTGCTTAAATAAAATTTCACAGGAAGGAGGGCAGAAATAACTCTTTGGAAATGGGGTCAGTTAGTTTTCCTTGAATGATCTCATTTGTGTCCAATCTTTACTTACTTCCCTAGAATCTGGGGCTGGGGGCTGAGGGGGGTCCAGGGAGAGGACTGAGAGGGACGCAGGGAGGGAGAGCAGGAGGAGTTTAGGGTGGAGGCTTGCTGCCGCTTGGCCTTGGGAAAGGAAGGAGTGCCCAGCCTATTCTTCTCACCAGCTTTGCCCTTCTTTGTGTCCATGTCTAGGAGTAACAGTGCAAGCCCTTTCCACAGTTCCTGTCATGTTTAGCTACTGGGTGAGTGTGAAACCTCAAGCCATCTCCTTGGTGTTGAAGGTTCGTGTTGAGCTCCCAAAAAGTGAACAGATGCCTCAAGTTTGGACACCAGTACCACTAACTGCCCCCAACAACTGTCCTCCCCTTTAGCGATCAGCAGGGTCCCCTCTCAGGCCTGTCTTCTTAGCCATGTCTTTGCTCCAGTACGGTAGCCAGTAGTCACATGTTGCTATGTGACTTGCATTATAGTTTCACTGTACAGTGGTACTAGACCAGCCTTAATCTCCACCAGAACTTACCTGTCTGGTGACTCATTCCTGCAATGCCTTGCCGGGGAACTGACAAGCTAATATCTTCTGAGACGAGAATGATTTTGAGGTAGGAATAATAATCATGACCTAATATATCACCTCTCCAAGGGAAAAACACAATTCAGAAGGGTAATCCTGAAGTGGGATGCCCTTTCCCAAGTGAATAAATCTCAAGCACTAAAAGTTTCAGGCATGATTTCCAGCCTGTGGAGGAAAATTTTTGTACGTAGCCGGGAATGTGCTAGTCCCTGCTCATCCAAGCAGATACTCACTCTCGTGATTTAAGGAGCAGTGGAAATATCACCTGTTCATACATACTTCCGTGATCTGTGTTCATAAATCCAGTATTAGTGAGTGACTCAGTCTTTGCCTGTTCCTGCGATTGCATTCACTACTTAAAAGTGCCCTGAGACCTCAAAATGCCTGAATTTATCAGATTGGCTACCACTCTGATTAGACAACTGAGGCTGCAGGAGAGGACCAGATTCCTGGCAGTGGGCAGTGGGGTGACAGAGGAAAGTAAACAGTGAAGAAGGGAGCATTAGGAAAACCAACAGTAAACTTCAACTGCCTCAGCATTTTGCCAAGGACAGCCCTGAATGTCACAGCCAACAAGAAGGACAGAGAGGAGGACAGGCAGGGGCAGGACAAGTCAGTGAGCCAGCCTGGCGGCCCTCAATGGGGCATGACAAGGAGGTGCCTTGATGGTGGCCTGGGGCCCTTGGCCAGGCCCGACCTCCTGGGAGGTAGGGGGGCATTAAGATCTTTCTGCAGTTGGCAGTGGCCCATGCTCATTCCATCTCTAGTGTTGGGATACCATGCCAGTAATTGTGTTCTTCCCTTCTGATTCTGGCCTCAATTTTTCCAATGAATCAGCAATATACCTGCAGTTTTCTTTGCTTTACAAAGATTGGCTTCTCGGTTGTCTGTGGCCAGCACCTTTCCCAATCTGTGCCTCTGTTTTCTGATGTGGTAAAGCCACTGAAAATGACAAATATTATAGCCATGAGGAGGCACTGTTCAGAGTGAATGTCTAAAAGAAGTAGGTTTTCAACAATGCGGTTTTCCCTTTCCTGTCTCCACCAGGCCAAACCTGAGGACACTTTAAACCTGTGCCAGCTTTTAAACAACGACCTTGCCAGCACCGTTGTGAGCTACCCCAGGAGGTTCGTGGGTCTGGGGACGTTGCCCATGCAGGCCCCTGAGCTGGCGGTCAAGGAGATGGAGCGCTGTGTGAAAGAGCTGGGCTTTCCCGGGGTCCAAATTGGCACCCACGTCAACGAGTGGGACCTGAACGCGCAGGAGCTCTTTCCTGTCTATGCGGTGAGTAGCGGGGCTGCTCAGCCAACGCCAGCCGCCCAGTGCCTGGGCCGGGGGCACCGCTGGGTGCTGGCAGGGAGGAGGTGAAGCGTCACCCCACTGGGAGGGGAGAGCGGTGTCCACGACTTGTTTGATGTAGGTAGAAGGTGTGGAAATAGCCCCCGCAAAGGAGTGGGCCATTCCAAAGAGGAACTGGTGGAAGGGTTCCTAGGCCAGCACTGAGTTAACAGTGAAATCTCTTTTCTTTCCATCCCCCTTGCCCTCCTTTTAATCTTTCACTTGGAAGACAAAATACCCTCTTTACAGCCACTGTGCAAAAGAATCGTGTTAATGACATACAAATATATATATATATTTTGGCCAGGTGCAGCAGCTCACACCTGTAATCCCAGCACTTCGGGAGGCCCAGGTGGGCGGATCACTTGAGGCCAGAAGTTCGAGGCCAGCCTGACCAACATAGCAAAACCCCATCTCTACTAAAAATACAAAAAAATTAGCCAGGCGTAGTGCCACACCCCTGTAATCCCAGCTACTTGGGAGGCTGAGGCATGAGAGTATCTTCAACCCAGGAGACAGGTTGCAGTGAGCCAAGACTGTGCCACTGCACTCTAGTCTGGGTAAGAGAGCAAGACTCCATCTCAAAAAAAAAAAAAAATCTGCTTTGGAAAAAAAATACTAAACATTTTTCAAAATTATGAAATAATTTGGAAGAAATTATCGAAAATACAGAAAAGTATAAAGATGATAACAAACATTACCCATAATCCAGCCTCCCAAAGATGAGTAGCCACTGTTACCATACATAGTTACTTTCTTGATATACATATATCTATATTTTAATGAACCTGAAATTCTGTTACACATGTGATTTTGTATGCTAATTAAAAATTTCCAACATAAGTGAAAATTCTTTTAATGCACGATTTTTAAATAACTGCAGAATATTCCAATATATGGCTATGCTTTGATTTATTTAACCAATCTGTAATTAAGATATTTTTAAGTCATATATTTTGGAAATGTACTTTAAAATACCTAATAAAAAATAATACCATGAAAATGTTAACATTTGATGAAACTAGGTGGTGGGTATAGGGATGCTCATTGTGTTATTGTTTATACTTTCTATACTTAAAATATCTCATGGTAAAATGTATGTTCAAAAATTCAGTGCCATTCATTTCTGAAATATCCAACTTCAAGTGTCCATAGTTCCACAGTCATCTCCATCAGTCTTCTTCTTCCTCCTCCACTTTCAACTCTTTCTATAACCAAACCTTCTCATCTCAGTACCAGGATTCATGATGCATAATTCTTTACTCAATTGCATTTTTTAATTTTTTATTTCCCTCCTAGAATTATAATAATATTGCTTTCTATTATTTTCATTATAAATGCAAAATCTTTAATAATGACTTAAATAGATGTTTGTGGACTCACCAGGCACTGTGACTACTGATCATTTACTCATTTAGTATTTACTGAGGTCTAACTACAGGCAAAAAATTTTCCATGTTTGTATCTATGGCGACTGCCCACCAGTCAGGAGATTGCCTGTTAAATTGCCTTCTAATGACTTGAAAGATTTAATGTTCCTCAATATACTGAACTCCCTGAAGCTTACTGGCTGCAGTGGTTTAGCTGATGCAGTGAATGTTTTCTAGAAACTTTAATGAGCTTTGAAAGAGGATTTATTTACTTATGCATCCAAGTTGTTTCAGCACAGTGTGATCGAGACTTCAGCTGCAAGTCATTTTAGCATTCATTGGATTTGGGTTTATGAATTACTAAGGGACTTAGGAAGCAACAGCAGCCGGTTGAGGTCCACATGGATATTTTCATTTGTGTGACTAGCTCGACCCATCAATCCTTCTAACTGGGCTGTTTTGAGGACATCCAGTCTCTGAAGGGATTCAGGAGCACATCCTGTCCCCAGGTGACTTATGATGTCCTGGGGGTGGCAGCATATTTGTTTGGTTAGCAAGGTTTGCCTGCCTCTCTGCTCTCTAGTTTGCGTCAATAATGTGCTGAAATGAATTATCATGAGCCAGGTTGGCTTTGTCATCTCAAGGTGATCCTGGTACTCCAAAGGTCTAACTGTCCCCTTTATCTCCTAGACCTCCCTTTTTAGTGAGTAAACCCAATCATACATGCTCAGGTCAGTTTTCAGTTGCAAAAACAACTTCGTTATTGGTATAAGGCAGACTGAATGGTAGTGCCAACTGCCCAGCTCCACCATCTATCAGCCACAAGGCCTAAGTAAGTTAGCTTCTATCTGCCTTAGTTTTCTTCTCCATAAAATGAGGGTAGTAAAAGTGCGCATCTCACAAAAAATTAAACTAGTTAATAATTATAAAATTCTTATAACAGCTTGGGCACATAATAAGTTCTCAGTCAATGTTAATTATAATTGTGAGAGTATAACTTCTTTTTCTATTCTCTACAAACCCCACATATAGAAGGAGATCAACAATATGTTAATTTGAACTGAACAGAAATGAGGGTGGGAGGAGGGTGAGGATCAAAAATCTACCTATTGGGTACAATGGTTATTACCTGGGTGATAAAATAATCTGTATGCCAAGCCCCTGTGACATGCAATTTACCTATATAACCAACCTGCACATGTACCCTTAACATAAAAGTTAACAAAAAAATAAAAAGGAAAAATTTTAAAAAGAAAAGAACCACCAGAGGCACATAGAATAAACTTGTATCCAAATGAGGAGTCAAATCCCACTGAGATACCATGACCATGCACCTTTGCCAAACCCAAACCATCCCAAGAGGTCAATATTTTCTTTCCAACAGGCACCTATTATCAGAAACCAATTAGCTTCTCTCTCTTTAAAAGGCTTATATCTCTTCTGCTACCCAAGACCTGTTGAATTAAAAGTCCTTTCTTCAACTTACCCTTTTCCTGACACTTCCAGAATCCCTTGTTGTCCCAGAATTGCTTTTCCATTTTAAAAATGCTTATGTACACAAGTCACATTGCATCAGCCTGGTTAGCACAAACATTTATGTATGAGGGTAGGATGAATCACTCCAGAACCTCAATATATGTGGTGAGGAATTATTCTAAGGGAAATCTCTTTTGAATCTTGACGAGCACTAATATTCAATGCCTGTTGAGGAGACTTCTTTTAATTAAACTTTTTGTTGCATAAAGGTCATTCCATCCAGATGGTATTTCCATTTCTCAGAAGGCCCTGGAGCATGCCTATGACATTCATGTCAGTGCCTGTCTGGCTAAGGCACTGACCTCTTCCATTTCTGAGGTCATCTCACTCACAGCCAACTGTTCAGAGACTCATCTGGGCTTCTGGGGATGGGTGAATGCCTGTAGACCCCAGGGATTCCACCCAGTGCTGGGCTCTGAGTAACCAGGTGGCTTGGGTCAGGCCAGCCAGCCCCAGCCCAGCACTGAGCCTCTGGCTCCAGCACATCACTTCTTCACTTTCCACAAACTCTGGTTTCCAAGTGGGGAAAAGGAGGGGGCACTCTCGCCCTGACTCCAAGGATACAATCTCAGCAGTCCTTCCAAAAGTGTAGACCAAGTAGGAGCCAGAAGGAGCCAAATGTAGGGGAAATTTTCCCCTACATTTCAGCTGTGGGATTAGTCCTTGAGCATTTTGCTGTCAGCCAAAACATTTGAATGATGGATATTTCCTGACGCTTGTTTTACCAGATGATATATTAAGTTCATCAACCTCAATGGTAAATCTACCAACCCCCTTTGTTAATTCCAAGTGTCCCTTTTATTTTCTAAGCAGGAGAAGTTTGTCAATATCTCTTCTATATAGATCATAAAACAACTTAAAAAGCATTTTAGTTTATTTGTGCAGACCAATATAGACTCAGAGAAAAGCAGTTTCCCCAAAACAGTACCTGGTATCTGCTCACTCATCAAAGTAACCCTCTCTCTCTCTCTCATTGCTTCTTTGAAGGCAGCCGAAAGGCTGAAGTGTTCCCTGTTCGTGCATCCCTGGGACATGCAGATGGATGGACGAATGGCCAAATACTGGCTCCCTTGGCTTGTAGGTTTGTGTCTGTGTGGGGTCTGGAACAGAGGACCAACTCTTGGGTTTTTCCAATCATCTATGGAAACCTATTATGTCAAATAGGGAAAGTATGAATAATTAACAGGATTATGAGTAATAGCAGCTATCACTTACTGAGCTCTTACTTGGATTAATGCTATATATATATATATAACCTCATTTAATTTTAAACATATCCAATACCATCATAAATAAATCATATATTTAATCTATGAGTTTGACATTATAATGATCATTTTACAGATGGAGAAACTGAGGCTTGGAATTTTTAGGTAAGGTGTCCAGGTCACACAGTTAATACATGAAAATGTAATTTACACAGATATATCTGACTCCAAAGCCAGTCTTGCTACACAGACTCCCAAAGAGGCTTCAAAAAATGTAACCATACCTGTCTAGTAAATTTTTTAGACGATGATAATAGCATCAGCTCATACAAATGAGAACCCTAGAATTAAAGGTAGAAGGTCAACTTCCACCACCCAAAGATCTGAAATCTTATATAAAAGATGACCCAGGCTTGCAATTTGCCTGTTATCTGCTCCTCTCTTCTGCCCTTTGCCTCCTGCACTATCCATAGTTCCACGAAAGGGTAGAGGAGAAAGCTCCATTTGCTCTATCCAATCTCTCATCATCAGTTGTGGTAAGAAGAGATAGAGAACAGATGTAAAATTCTGGAGCTATAGGTGAAAAATACAGCTCATCTACAAACCCAATGAAAACTTGGTCCCCAAATGAAAAGTGCTGGATATTTTTTTCTTTTTTTTTTTTTTTTTTTGAGACAAGGTCTCACTCTGTCGCCCAGACTGGAGTACAGTGGTGCAATCTCAGCTCACTGAAAACTCCACCTCCCAGGTTCAAACAATTCTCCTGCCTCAGCCTCCCAAATAGCTGGGATTACAGGGGTACAATGCCACGTCCAGCTAATCTTTGTATTTTCAGTAGAAACAGGGTTTCACCATGTTGGCCAGGCTGCTCTCAAATTCTTGGCCTCAAGTGATCCACCCACCTCAGCCTCCCAAAGTGCTGGGATTACAGGTGTGAGCCACTGCACCCGGCCTGGATTTTCTTTAAGGGGACCATTGTTCTTTCTCTCCTCAGCCCAACTAGTACAATTAGTAATTATTAAGTAATCGAAATGGCAATCACCATGAAGAATTAAATGGGGCAATATATTGGAAGTCAAAAACCGGGATTTTAGTTTCAATTTAGTCTCTATTTCACTGTATTGCCTGTAGTAAATCACTTTACCTCCATGGGCCGTGGTCCCTCATCCGTAAAATGAGAATGCTGGTCCAGATTTCTCCAAAGGCCTCTTTCTGCTCATGTTTTATATATTCCTGTGATTGCTGTTGGAAACCAAAGTATTTAGTAAGGAGGCTTCCTACTCATCCCCTACCAAATTCTTGGGCAATAATTAATAGGATGAGATAACCCAAGATGCCCAGTGCCATCAAGCTTCAAAGAAAAATGTCACCCTTATTCACAAAACTCTGATAAGTCCCACAAGCTCATTTATTTATTTATTTATTTATTTAGAGACCGAGTCTCACTCTGTTGCCCAGGCTGGAGTGCAGTGGTGTGATCTCACCTCACTGCAACCTCTGCCTCCCGGGTTCAAGTGATTCTCCTGCCTCAGCCTCCCAAGTAGCTGGGATTACAAGTGCACGCCACCACGCACAGCTAATTTTTATATTTTTAGTAGAGACAGGGTTTCACCATGTTGGCCAGGCTGTTCTCAAACTCCTGACCTCAAGTGATCTGCCCACCTTGGCCTCCCAAAGTGCTGGGATTACAGGAGTGAACCACCGCACCCAGCCCACAAACTTATTTATATTGCAACAGGAGAGCATCTGCATATAGAGTCATTTCATCATCCATTTATGCAACACAAATACATTGATTCCTTCTAGCATGCCAGGCCCTGTCCGAGGCACTGAGGATATAGACACAAACAAAACCTCTGCCTTCATGGAGCTTATATTCTGGTTAGAGGAAAGAGATTATAAACAAGTATATATATATATATATATATCACAAGAAAACAGGCTAATTTTGGAATTTTATTCTGGATGCAAAGGTGGTCATTAGTGGATTGGAGGATTCCCAGCAGAGAAGTGTCATGATCCAATTCACATTATGAACGTAACTCTGACTGCTATATGGAGAATGGATTGTGGGGTTATGGTTCAAGTAATTATGGGAAAGTAGAGTCACAGAACTAGAAGAAAGTGATGCCATCCATCTCTCTGCCTTCAGGAAGCTCTACCCACAAACTGCTTCCAGATGGGTACAAATCCATCATGCTTCCAGAATTCCCAGGCAGCTGGGTGCCAGGGGCGTCTCTGCCTGTGAAGCAGTGACCAGCCCCGGGCAGAATGAGCATCCTGTGAAGCCTAGCTCCGCAGCCTACAGAGTCAGGCTTCCCCAGAAGGTGCAGGGCACAGCTGTGGAGCGGTCAGATTTCTGAGTCATGGTCTGAAAAGCAGTCAATGGCAATGTAGCTTGGACTGGCTCCTCAGGGATGAAGGCATTAGACATGGACCAGCTGCTTCTCCTAGGAGCACAAAGCACTTGAAATAATTCATTTTAATCCAGTTATTTTCAATCTCAGCTACCAGAGGCAGCAAAGATTTTGCAGGAATGACCATAATGATAGTTAATATTTAGTGAGCCCTTACTAAATGCCAGGTGCTGTCTGCCAATCCTCAAAACAACTCACTGGCAGGAACTCACCATTTTACAGATGAGGAAATTGAGAGAGAGACAGCTAATATTTTTGTTGAGCACCTCCATTGTGAAGTTCTGTCCGGGAACTTGGCCGACATCATTATTTGCAAGGCTCCACAACAGTCTTGCAAAATGGGCAACACAGACGTCATCTTACAGATGAAATGTGGGCTCAGAGCCATTAGATAACTTGCCAGAGGCCAGGAGGCAGAAAACTGGAGGAGCTAGGGTCCAGCTTGGACTTGGCACACTCCATCTGTCCCACTGCATCCCAAACTGAAGTCGGGGGAATTAGGGCAAAAACCAAGTCCTCTGGCTCCTCAATCTCTCTAGCCATTAGATGACTCTCCCTTCAAGTGGCAAGTAGGAAGTTTCACGTGGTTCTCCTTGCCAAAGTAATGTCCTATATAATACAGCCAAACTATGCCAGGGTACAAGGGCCTCAAGTTTCTTTGCACTGACAATTCCCCAGCCACTAACATCACTGAATTCTTCTTGGTGGGGTGATCATCCCTGAACCTTGTGACTATTTCCTCTTTCAGGAATGCCAGCAGAGACCACCATAGCCATTTGCTCCATGATCATGGGTGGAGTATTTGAGAAGTTTCCCAAACTGAAAGTGTGTTTCGCACATGGTGGTAAGACCCTATCTTTATTAGTCAGCTCAGGCTGTCACAACAAAATCCCACAGATGGGGTGACTGTAAGAAAACAGAAATTTATTTTCTCACAGTCCTGGAGGCTAGAAGTCCAAGATCAAGGTGCTGGCAGGGTTGGTTTCTAGTGAGGGCTCTCTTCCTAGCTTGCACATGGCCACCTTCCTCACATGGCCTTTGGTTTCTCCTCCTTTTCTTACAAGGACATCAGTACACCAGTCCTGTTGGATTAAGGCCCCACCTTATGACCTCATGTAACCTTAATTATCTCCTTAAAGGTCCTTTCTCCAAGCACAGTCACATTTGGCATTAGGGCTTCAGCATATGAGTTTTGAAGGAATTCAGTTCGTAACATCCTTCCAGCCATCATTCTAGTCACATGATGGTTTAGGAACCAAATTCTACTTTTGTAGGCAAGTTTAGTTTTGTCATTGTTTTTTTTTTTTCTGTTTTTTTTATTTAAATCCCTCTAGTTAGATCATGAGCTCTCCAGTCTACAATAGTCCCCACTATTCTTCATTGTTTACAAATAGGCCTATTTCATTCTTTTACATTGTCTGCCTGGTCCCCATAGGTAGTTGAATTTGTGACCCTTCAACAGACAGACACACACACACACACACACACACACACACAATCAAACTACACATGTTACTCGCTAACATGCCTTTCCTCCTCAACAGCATAGAGAAGACATCTTTCCAGGTCAACAAATACAGAGCTTCATCATTTTTTATGGTGTCATGTATGGCCTTATATTTCATGGATATGCCATCATGACTCAGATAGCCCCCGACTGATAGGTTGTCTCAATATTTTGCTATTATAATCACACTATATTTGAAAACTTTGATTACATATCTTTACACACTTGCCTTCACTCTTTTTTTTTTTTTTGAGACAGAGTCTCACCCTGTCACACAGGCTGGAGTGCAGTGGTGCAATCTCGGCTCACTGCACCCTCCACCTCCCAGGTTCAAGCGATTCTCCTGTCTCAGCCTCCTGAGTAGCCATGGCTACAGGAATGTGCCACCACACCCAACTAATTTTTTTGTATTTTTAGTAGAGGTGGGGTTTCACTGTGTTAGCCAGGATGGTCTCGATCTCCAGACCTCATGATCTGCCATCCTTGGCCTCCCAAAGTGCTAGGATTATAGGTGTGAGCCATTGTGCCTGGCCTGTCTTCTCTCTTTAAGATGAATTTCTCAAATCTGAATTTCTAGATGAGTTAATGCCATTTCTTCCATCATCTCCCAGCATTCAGAACACAATAGGTCCTCTGTAATTACTGTTAATCAGCTGGCCTACAGTAACTTCTTGCATATAACATCAAGACTAAAGGAATCCTTTACAATCAACACTAGCCCCTCAGTAATGGGTTTTACTTGCAGGTGGTGCCTTCCCCTTCACAGTGGGAAGAATCTCCCATGGATTCAGCATGCGCCCAGATCTGTGTGCCCAGGACAACCCCATGAACCCGAAGAAATACCTTGGTTCCTTTTACACAGATGCTTTGGTTCATGATCCTCTGTCCCTCAAGCTGTTAACAGATGTCATAGGAAAGGTAAGCCCAGTCTGCCACTTGGATGGCTTATGGGGAGCAGAATGCTGCATCAGCAACCCATTCTCTCTCCTTTGGCCTCTCTCCAAAAAAGGGATGGAAGAAAGGTATTAGATGAAAGGAGAGAGACAGTGAGGTTTGGGATTAGGTTTGCTCACACAGGGGATTCTCTCCAGGGTCTCCCTCCACACAGAGTACATAACACTAAGAAACTATTATATATGCCAGAGAAATCCCAGATCATCTACATGGCTGGGTATTCCCCCAGATCAGCTCCTCTTCCTTAGCGACATCCCTATATGCACCCAAAATGACACATGGCAATGTAGTAAGCAGGAAAGGGGCACAAGTTTCAAAGTCAAATTGACCTGGGTTAAAATCCTGGCTCTACCTTTCACTAGTTGGGTAAATTGTGAATACAACTGTCCTCATCCACTACATGGAGAAAACTGGAACATTGAAAGTGTGGAAAATGCATAGTTGGGAAATTGCGCTGGACAGGGAGTCAGGGGAAGATGATGAAGGGTCTTGTGTATCATGCCCTGAGATTTCTTCCTGGAATAATATGGCTTTTGATTCTCTCATTTAATTAAAACACCAGCATAGTGGTACTTTAAAGCGCACAAGAAAAAGTCTTTCCTCTGATGTAGTCTCCTCGCCAATCTCTCTGTTGGTGGCACACCCACCCTTTAAGTATTCTTTAAAAATGCTAACTCAGCAAGTTCAAGAATTTCTAGGGAAAAGGCCATAGTGAAAAGTCTAAAATATTTTGTATTTCAATTCCATCTTATTAACAGATATCTATAGAAGATTTCCACATTTTCCCAAGGGAAAAATCTTTGGGGTTAAAAGTATATAGACATATTTAAAAATTTGCAATATGGTACTTGAGTTTAGACTCTAAGGTTTAAAAAAATCATGTCGAGCAAAAAGAGGCCCATCATTTGAAAGTTGCAAGTAGTGGTTTATCTCCAGAATGGACACTTTATCTCATATTAATGCTGACTGTTTCTCTGGCTTGAGAAAATAACCAGAATATAAATATTAAGCATTTTAGCTTGGTAATCAATTATGTGGTTGAGCTGTGCCTCTGAGTTGTTTAGCTTTTGTGTCACCCCTGCAAACATGGATGGTTAGCAATTGGTTGTGACTGTTGATTGTTTTTGGTTTGGATGGAGAGTGATGAGAAGGCATGTAAGCAGAAGACTTCACAGGGCAGAAACTGAAAGAGACTTTGTGGGCTCTGGACATTGAGCAATGGAGGAAAGGAAGAGGGAAAATCATGTGGAATTGGGGGAAGGGCTGTTCTTATTACATCCCATCAAGCCTAGTACCTCCTTACTAGTATTCTTGGAAATTGAAAACACCAGGAGAAAACACCATTGCCAAATCCAAAGCCCATTTTCTAAGGGATACTATCAGCACCTTCAGCGAGCACCCAGTGCAATACACATTGGCCAGGGGACAGGAGCAGAAGAGGAAAAATATGGCAAATGCTTCATGTTAACCAGTGGATGGACTAGTTGGTGAGCACGTGTGAATATATTCCTATTAGGGACCTCCAGAAAAACTCAGCAGGTACTTTACAAACTTCTTGATGCTGAGATCTTACATTCAAACTGTGAAAGCTTGAGCTATAATAATTTGGGCATCAAAAGCAAATGTGACCTTATTTTATGTGATCTCACAGGCAGGTGAATCCAGGACATAGAAGCGGTATATATTAATAATTTAGGATTCTTTTTAAAATATTAATACTTCTTCATTCTAGTCATATTCACATTAGCAAATTCGCTTTTAAAAACAATCCCCATATCAGAATGGCTAAGGAAAGTCCTAGCTAGACATCTGGGCTAGAGAGCAACCTGGCCAGATTTGAGCAAGAGGACAAAATGCCGTGGAGGGAGGTCTCTAGAAAGAAAATAATGGAACTGATGAATTATTTGATCTGTCTGAGAGTTGGAAACAATTATTGCCAGACATTTAACAGATCTGTTGATGCATTAGGAACAAATGCAGGATATACATAGAAAATTAAGCTAATGAAAGAAAAGGAAATAATCAACTCCAAGAAAACAAAAAATCTACATGAGGGCAGATAATCACTGTATATTACTTGACTCAGCAGTGAGCAATATTTGTAGTCATAATAGGGTAAATATTAGTACTGGTTTAAATGAAAATCATAATTCTATTAAGAAAATAGAGTAAGAAAGAAATTCTCAATGATCATAATGGGAAATCAGTAAATACTCTCTAAAGTTAGTAAACTAAGAAACAATAGTATAAGCTTATTATCTGGGAATATAAAGGTAATTATCAAACGATGCATGCTAAAATGGTAAAAGTGGCTGCCTTAGGGGATAACAGTTGGGAAAGTGAGTCAGGGTTTCACTCTGTTACCCAGGCTGGAGCGCAGTGGCGTGATCACAGCTCACTGCAACCTCCACCTCCCAGGCTCAAGCCATCCTCCCACCTCAGCCTCCCAAGTAGCTAGGACTACAGGTACACACCACCACACCCAACTCTTTTTTTTATTTTTTGTAGAGACAGGGTTTTGCCATGTTGCCCAGCAGGTCCTGGACTTCAGCAATCTGCCTGCCTCAACCTCCCAAAGTGCTGGGATTACAGGCATGAGTCACCATAACTGACCCAAAAAGTGTTTTTAAAAAAGAGCTGCTTTTGATAATAAAGATATTTTAGTAATATTTGATTGTTTATGTATAAACTTTACTTTGATAAATATAAATTTTAAATAACATCTTAAGAATACACAGATACATGTCATATATAAAAAACCAAAACCATTATTGAGCACCTGCTATTTCTAAAACCCTGTGCTATTTGGTCAGAAAGTATTTAAATGGCATAATCTCTTGGTTGCATAATCTCTTGGCTTCCTTCCACCTCTAAAATTCTTTTGCTTTTAAATTCTTTGCTTTGATTTTTAAAGACGGATACAAAGAATGCAGGTTATAGATTATCAGTCTAACACTGTGAGAAATACAAAAAAATGGAAAACTATATTGCCTCCCTATATTAACATGATCACAGAAAATACACTTCACTATTTAAGTGGATAGATTTTTGAGAGGTCGGTCATACGCTCATTATGAGTATATCATAATTCTGGCTAGATCCATTGGTAACCTACCGCTGCATAATTACAGTCATGCATCACTTAACAGTGGAGATATGTTCTGAGAAATGCATCATTAGGCAATGTTGTGGTTGTGCGAACATCACAGTGCCCTTACACAAACTTTTATGGTACAGCCTACTACACACCTAAACTATATGGTATATAGCCTGATGCTCCTAGGCTACAAACCTGTACATGTTACTGTACTGAATACTGTAGGCAGTTGTAACCCAATGATACATATTTGTGTAGCGAAACATATCTAAACATAAAAAGGGTACAGTAAAAATAAGATGTAAAAGATGAAAAATGTATAGGGCACTTACCATGAATGGAGCTTGCAGGACTGGAAGTTGCTCTGGGTGAGTCAGTAAGTGAATAGTGAGTGAATGTGAAGGCCTAAGATACTGCTTTATATTACTGTAGATTTCATAAACACCCTACACTTAAGCTACACTAAATTTTTTAAAAATTTTCTTTCTTCAATAATAAATTAAATTTAGCTTACTGTAACTTTTTTACTTTTTAAAATTTTTTAAACTTTTTGACTCTTAATAACACTTAGCTTAAAATAAGAACACACTATACAGCTGTACAGAAATATTTTCTCTTTATATCCTGATAATCTCTCTTATATTAAAGAGAATTTTTTTTTGCTTTTTAAACCTTTTTGTTAAAAACTAAGACTCAAGTATACACATTAGCCTAGGCCTACACAGGGTAAGGATCATCGTCACTGTCTTTCACCTCCACATCTTGTCCCACTGGAAGGTCTTCGGGGTCAATAACACAGCTGGAGCTGTCATCTCCTACGACAATGCCTTCTTCTGGAATACCTCTTACAGGACTTGCCTCAGGCTGTTTTACAGTTAATTTTTTTTAATAAGTAGAAGGAACACACTCCAAAATAATGATAAAAAGGATAACATAGTAAATACATAAGCCAGTGACATCGTCATTTATATCATTACCAAGTCTTACATACTGTACATCATTATCTGTGCTATACTTTTTTTTCTTTAAGACAGTCTCACTCTATCACTCAGGCTGGAATGCAGTGGCATGATCTCAGCTCACTGCAGCCTCCACCTCCTGGGTTCAAGCGATTCTTGTGTTTCAACCTCCCAAGTAGCTGGGATTACAGGAATGCACCACCACACCCAGTGTATTTTTAGTAGAGATGGGTTTCACGATGTTAGCCAGGCTGGTCTCAAACTCCTGACTTCAGGTGATCCACCCACCTTGGCCTCCCTAAGTGCTGTGATTACAGGCATGAGCCACTGCGCCCAGTCTATCTGTGCTGTACTTTTAATAAGACTGGAAGAGATAGGTTTGTTTACACCAGCATCACCACAAACACTTGAGTAATGCATTGCACATAATAATAGTAGTAATAATGCATCACATTATGATGGCTATAATATCACTAAGCAATAGAAACTTTTCAGCTCCATTATAATTTTATGGGACCACCATCACATACACAGTCTGTCATTGACCAAAACATCATTATGTGATGCATGACTGTAATTACCCCAAAACTTAGTGGCTTAAAACAAGCCACATAAACAATAATAAACATTTATTATCTCTCATGGCCTCTATATGTTAGGAATTTAGAAATAGCTTAACTGACCCAAAATCTCTCAAGAGGTGAGACAGGCAAGGTGTCAGTCAGGGCTGTAGTTATCTAAAAGCTTGGCTGGGGCTAAAGGATTTACATTCAAGGTGGATTTTACCCATGAGTGGCATGTCAGTGCTTGGTTTTGGTGGGAGGCCTCAGTTCCTCTCCAGGTGCACCTCTTCACAGCTGCTTGAGTGTCCTCACAACATGGCTGCTGGATGCCCCCAAGAGTGAGTGATCTGAGAGAGAAATGGGGAGAGATGGTAATCAAGACAGGAGGGAGGGAGGGAAGAAGAGGGGGGGGAAAAGAGAAAAAGATAGAGAGAGATTGAACACACACCAGAGAGAAGCTATCCTTTTTATGACCTAGAGTCAGAAGTCATATAGTATTAATTCCATCACATTTTATTCATTAGAAGCACGTCATTTAATCTAGCTCACATTCAAGGGGAGTAGAATTAGATCCCACCTTTTGAAGGGAGGCTTATCAAAGGATTTGAAGGCATATTTTAAAACTACCTCATTCCACTCTCTGGCCACAAATTATTTATATTCCTCCTAAATGCAAAACACCCTCACCCCTACCAAGACTGCCCCAAAAGTCTCATCCATTTATAGCATCACTTTAAAGTCTAGGATTTTGTTGCTTAGATGAACTGGTGTATGAGGCTCCTCATGTATACTTTCTCCAAATCTGAAGAACTGTGAACTGAACAGACAAGTTCCTTTGTTCCTCACACACTCAATATAAAATGGCGAGACAAGCATAGGATACTTGCTATCCTTTCCATTCCAAAAGGGGAAAACAAGAGCTTCAGAGGAGGTCACTAGCCACTAGCAAGTCTGAAATCCATCAGGCACATATTGGTAGTTCCTTTATTAGAACTCAAAGCATAGAAACCATTCAACAAAAACATTCTTTTCGTTTTGTTTTGTTTTTGAGACAGGGTTTTGCTCTGTCATCCTGGCTGGAGTGCAGCGGCACCATCTCAGCTCACTGCAACCTCCACTCCCCAGACTCAAGGGATCCTCCAGCCTCAGTCCCCTAAGTAGCTGGGATCACAGATGCATGCCACCACAGCTGGCTAATTTTTGTATATTTTGTAGAGACAGGGTTTTGCCATGTTGCCCAGGCTGGTCTCGACCTCCTGGACTCAAGTGATCCACCCACCTCAGCCTCCCAAAGTGCTGGGATTACAGGTGTGAGCCACTGTGCCAGGCCAATTCAACATAGCTGTTGCTTCTACATTCTCAGTCATCTTTCCTTTTCCATAAAAGCCTGTGTTTGTGGCTGAGCAGTTTGTACAGACTGCTTAATGCCTGTACATGTTTTATAGTCCAAAGGTTTACTTTCCTTTTTTATATCTGTTCCTTTCAGTCCAAGCTGGTGGTGCTTCTAATACAATTCCTTTAAAAACCAAATGAGTCTTTCATGAATCTTATTAAGTTTCACATCATTAGGCAAAAGACTTAGCCACAAATCTCTGAGAAAAGCCCTTCTCTACCTTTGGGTTTCTGCTAAGGTGGCTGAGAGACAACAGCCTTAAGCTTCTGAGAAGCCCTTTTTGTTTGACTGAATGGCTTTTTGAGGCACTTCCTAAATCTTTTGAGGTTATAACAAAGACATTATAGTCACATCTTGGCTTAATTTTTAGACTCTATTTTTCTGATTATGCCCTGGATTTAGTTTTTGCCAGAAATCCGTATCTTAACTTTAGCATCATTTGCTATAGGAGAGGCTGGAAATATTCAAACCCAACAATCCCCATAGTACCAGTCCATGGCTCAGGGGTTGGGGACCCCTGTTGTAGTTGACAGCATTGCTAAATTTTTGCCACCACCATAGCAAGGATCACCCTTCTTCTAGTTTCCAATCACATTTTCCCCATTCTCCTTTAAGCCTTTACTGCAACCTTCTCACAGGCCATTGGGCTTCTAATAAGAGTCTTTACAAGGACCTTTGGTCTTTTATTATTCTCAAAGTCCTTCCTACTTCCTCCTACTAATCAGTTCCAAAGCCACTCCCACATTTTCAGGTTTTTGTTATGGTAGCACCAAATTTCCAGGAACCAAACTCTGTATTCGTTACATGCTGCTGCATCACAAATTAACCTAAAACCCAGTGGTTTAAAACAAGAATGCATATTTACTATCTCATTCATTTTCTCTGGGTCAGGAATTCAGGAACCCTCTGGCTTGGCAATTCTGGCTCAGGGTTTCTCTTGAGGTTCAATAAGATGACTGCAGACCACCAATTTCTTCTTTCTTTCCTTCCTTGTTTTATTTTATTTACATGCTACTTACACAAACTTAACCCTAAACTCTCCACCAGTTTTGTAACTTTCCTCTCAGTACATTCAGACGCATAGACTAACACTAGTCCATTAATTCTGTGTTCTTAAAGAAATATCTTCAGGAGCCTTCTGATGCTCTAATTGGGACTGAGTTGCTATTTAAACCTGCTGCACATCTGTCATCCTGAAATCTCTCTTCATGAGGATATTCTCAATCTCTCTCATTGGATTCCTTGTTTGCTGAATCTCATGATTTTCCCATTTCTTGGTTTTACTCCTTCATCTTGGTGGACAACATCCTTCAATAACTTTCAGAGAAGGAAGTATGGAGGATGAACTTTTCAAAACCTTGTTTATCTAAAAATGTCTGTATTCATCCTTCGCAATGACCTAATTGTTTGGCTAGGTAACAATTCTAGCTTGGAAGTCGTTTCTTTCCCTCAGAATTTTAAAGTCATTGTTCCATTGTGTTCCAGCTTTTAGAGGTGCTGTTGGGTAATGCAATGACATCCTAATTTTTGAAATTTGTGTAAAACCTGCTTCTCTCTTCTCCTTACCACAACTTCAAAGAGTCTAAGGATTTCTTTTTGTCCTGAAATTTCACAATGATACTACTTGATATAGGTCTATTTTCACCCATTACCCTAGTCATTTGGTGGATCCTTTCATTCTGTAAATTTTCTTAAATTATGTGTTAATGATTTCCTTCCCTCTGCTTTTTCTCTCTAGAATTCCTATTGTTCTAAAGTAGAACCTATTTTTGTTTTCTGTCTTACATACCACCTCTTTGAACTTTCGTTTTACTTTCTGGGAGATTTTTTTCAACTTTATTTAAAAAGGCTTCTATTTAGTTGGTCTCTTAATTTCCAAAAGCTTATTATTTTTCTTGTTCTCTGAATTTTTTTTAATATCCTGTCCTTGTTGGGTGGATGCAATACCTTTTCTTATCTCTCTGAATATAGTAAGAATTTTAGGAAGTTTGATTATCCCTGCAAGTCTTCCTCCAGGTGGCTTTTTTGTCTGTTTTTTAAAGTCTCGGTCTTTCATATTAAATGCTTTCCTCATGTGTCTATACTTTTTGAGCATGTACAATGTTTTAGTGCCTGACTCTTGGAGTTGTTAGGGCAAGACAGAGGTAATAATTGCACAGCACTGTGAATGTGCTCTATGCCGATGAAGTGTACATTTTAAACAGTTAATTTTGTGTTATGTGAATTTCACCTCAATTTTTTTTAACGGGCCTGTTTCTGCAAGTTAGACTTTCCGCCACCCCAACCAAAATATCTATTCATATGTTATTCACTTTCTTTATTTATTTAGAGACAAAGTCTCACTCTGTCACCCAGGCTGGAGTGCAGTGGCATGATCTCAGCTCACCGCATCCTCTGCCTCCCGATTCAAGCAATTCTTGTGCCTCTCAGCCTCCTGAGTAGCTGGGATTACAGGCATGAGCCAGAACACCTGGCTAATTTTTGCATTTTTAGTAGAGACATGGTTTCGCCATGTTGGCCAGGCTGGTCTCAAACTCCTGACCTCAGGTGATCTGCCTGCCTCAGCCTCCCAAAGTTCCGGGATTACAGGCATGTGCCACTGCACCTGGCCCTTTTCTTTATTTTTAATGGAGAATCTCGAAATTCTTGTTCTGTAAAATAGAAAGTATTTTTATTTTGTAGTAAAAGAAACGGTTCACTTTTAGGAGCAACACTGTCAGTTTTTACAACAATAAGCAGAGATATGATCTTGTCTTGGGCATTTGATCTGTGAGTAAGAAGATGAACCTAAGCTGGACATCATTCAGGCCCAATGGATAAAACTTCACCATCCCCCTTCTGTACCTCTACATCTTTCATATTCAGGACTACTCTATTCAAGGGGTTCTGAAGGGCAAGGGTGATCCAAAAGCACTGAAAAGTGATTTATCATTAAAGAAAGATTTGAATATACCCACAGCTATTGTAGGCAGCAGACCATACCATACGTATTAGAAATATTTCCAACATGGCTTAAAACAAAGAATTTCTCAGGCTGCGCATAATCCCAACACTTTCGGAGGCCGAGATGGGAGGATCACTTGAGGTCAGGAGTTCAAGACCAGCCTGCCCAACATGGTGAAACCCTGTCTCTACTAAAAATACAAAAAAAAATTAGCTGGATTACGCCTGTAATCCCAGCACTTTGGGAGGCTGAGGTGGTTGGATCACTTGAGGTCAGGAGTTTGAGACCAACCTAGCCAACATGGTGAAACCCCATCTCTACTAAAAATACAGAAAGTAGCCAGGCGTGGTGACGGGCACCTGTAATCTCAGCTACTCGGGAGGCTGAGGCATGAGAATCACTTGAACCTGGGAGGTGGAGATTGCAGTGAGCCAAAATTGCACCACTGCGCTCCAGCCTGAGAGGTACAGTGAGACTTGGTCTCAAAACAAACAAAAAAAGGTGGGGGAGGGTACCTGCCTAATTCCCACCTAACTTGACATTTAAATTTGTTTGAATACTTAGGCTTCCAAGTATTTTGGTTACAAGATATTTTCCTGTGTACTGGAATCCTCAATAGAGTAAAAATACTTTTTTGAAGCCTGTAACCTTCCTTTCTGTCTTCTCAAGAAGTTGTGGTAAGCGAGAGAGTTCAAGTCCTGGCTCTACTACTAGTTAGGTGGTGACCAAATATCAAGTCACTTACCCTTCTCAGCCTCAGCTTCTACAACTCTAAAATGGGGATGATAACCAGGCAGAGTTGGTGTGACGAGTTAACATAATACTATGCCAAAGGACTGTATAAATGTCAAGAGATTTTCATTACCTACTCCAGCACTTTACAAATAGTAGGTGTTAAGTTAATGTTTGTTTAACTGAATTGTATAATGATCTTGGGAATATAAAGCTAATTTTACTTTGCATTGATTGAATTAAACCAGGCTCTTTCTCTGGGAAATTATGTCTCAGGGAACAAACTAAATCTCTGGTATGCTAGAATTTTTGGATTAAGTTATGTTATAACAGAGTATGCTGTATTTACTGCAAATGCTACTAATGAGATATGCTAATGGGAAGATAATTAAGTGTTCCTTTTCCAGAAGAAAAAATGAAACTTTCTCCCACAATTAGAACCATTTTGTAAGCCACATCTTTGTGTTTGCAGAACTCCCTAAAAATGTGAAAAAGTTCATGCATCCCAGCAGGTGAGAAGTTTATTTCTTTTCCCTGACAGGAATATTAATCACTATTATTATCAGCTCAGTAAGTCCTTGACCTCATAGGGAGATGTGTGCAGCTGCTGGCTTTGGAGAGGGAAATGTATGTTGGAGCAAAGTGTTGATATCCACTGCTTTACTGCCTAATAAGGAAAGCCAGCACCTGTCCAGAAGGTAGAATTCCAGGATTCCAGATGAGGCAGCCATGGTACCTAAAATGTCCATCATTAGAATTATTCCTTGGGGTTTAATACAGTCTTTAGAAATGCCCTACTAAAATGGAGATGTTGTCAAATGCTACATTAGCACAGATATCTTTAAAAACTGGTGCATGATTATGACGGATACCAAGGGAATAGGATCTGGGATCACAGACAAAAAAAAAACAGAAGAAATTTCAGCTTTTGGGAGGCCAAGATCAGATATGTTATTTGGGAACCTAAGATGTGAGGACAGCTTTGGGTATCCCAAGGAGCTAAGGTTAATGGAAATGGAATCAACAGTCATCCAAGGCCATATCATATGACTCCTTAACCCAGGATTCCTCATGTAATTCATTTAAAACATAATCAATTTGCAGTTATGAAATAACAGGTGATAGAACTAGCAATAGAAAAAGTCATTTTTTTAGAGACAAGGTTTCACTCTGTCGCCCAGGCTGGGGTACAATGGTGCGATCATAGCTCACTGCAGCCTTGAACTCCTGGACTCAAGTGATCCTCCCACCACAGCCTCCTGAGGAGCTGGGACACAGGTACCATGGCTGGCTAAATTTTTGATTTTGTAGAGACAAGGTCTCACCATGTTGCCCAGACTGGTCAACATAGGTTGCTTCTGGCTGAAAGTGATCCCCCCCACCTCAGCCTCCCAGAGTGCTACAATTACAGGTGTGAGTCACTACACCCAGCCAAAAAAGTATTTTAACCCAAGTATTTATTAGGCATCAATCAACAGGAGACTGGCATTACTCAATAGAGTATGTGACCTTCATCCTACAGGATCATATACTCTTGAAGAATCTCTTCCCTCCCATTTTTTCTTGCTACTATCTCTTCTCCCTCTGAACAAGAAACTCAATAAAAATTTCATTTCCAATTTTGTATGCCTATCGCTTTCTCTCTTGCGAAATTACTGACAAGTCAGAAATGGTCAAAGATTTACCAGAAGTTTCAATGAGATGTACAGACAGATAACAGGTATGAAAAATGAAAAATTCACAAGCCAAATACAAGTACATACAATTATCTACTTGTACATAATTACAAGTAGATAATTAACCTCCTACAGGGAGGAGTTGTGAACAATAGTTACTAAATAATAATTCAACATTGCCAAACTCTGAGTGTGATGTTCTGCAATGGGCATCCAAAATCAAGTTAGGAAGGAAAGCAGGGAAGTGTCTTAACCAGAAGGACAAATTGCAGAAGGGTGATTTTCATTTCTGCTTCAGAATTATTTGCTTTCTCCATATTAAAATGGAATATACCCCTTCTTAAAATATATTTATATCCAAGAAGGCCATAATACTGGAAATGGAAGAATTCCAGACTAGAAGGCAAAATTAATTTCTAGACTTCATTTTCATGTTAATGTAGTTGACAAATGTAGTGAAAGCAAGGGACTTTTAAATATTATGTTGTGTTTTGGAATTGTAAACAGCTTTAGCAAGAGGAGTTTAGAAATAAGGACAAATGAACTTCCAGTGAATACCAAGCAGACAATTCAGAATGAGATCAGCTGTTGCCACAGATGTAAGTAGACATAACTTTGGGACTTTAGGACTATTATCAGCAGGTGTATTTGTTTGGTTTCATACAGCAATGAGTACAGAAATCTAAAAATAAGACTTGTTAGTCTACCATGGCCTTCCTCTAAACTGTATTATATACTTTCCCATATTATTTCATATAAATGTATTTATAAAACCTAGGAAAATCTTTTTTGGGGGTAGAAATCAAAGTGTCATTTATCCTCAAATAGCTCAAATTTACAGTATTTAAAATATATTTAATATTTCAGGCCTAGGCCAGGCACAGTGGCTCAAGCCAGTAATCCTAGCACTTTGGGAGGTTGAGGTGGGTGGATCACTTGAGCTCAGGAGTTTGAGACCAGCCTGGCCAACATGGTGAAACCCTGTCTCTACGGAAAATTCAAAAATTAGCCAGGCATGGTGGTGCACACCTGTAGTCCCAGCTACTTGGGAGGATGAGGTGAGAGGATCACTTGAGCCTCGGAGGCAGAAGTTGCAGTGAGCGGAGATCATGCCACCGCACTCCAGCCTGGGTGATGGAGTGAGACTTTGTCTCAAAAAATATATACATATATATATTTATATATAATACATATGTAAATATATATTTATATATAATATATATATAAATATATATATTATATATTATATTTATATATATATTTAAATATATATATATAAATATATATGTAAATATATATTTATATATAATATATATTTACATATATATTATATATAATATATATGTAAATATATATATTTATATATAAAATATATATGTAAATATATATAATATATAAATATATATAAAACATATGTTAGATATGTGATTTTTTTTCAGGTCTAGTTAGTCAGACTTCATCTTTCATATATTCAAGCATGCATTCCTTCAACACACACACATTTGTTAAAGTAGCTGTCATATTGATTATGAACATGTATCAGAGTTTTATTCTAAACTTGTATCAAAATAAGAAACATGCTCAAAAGTCCAATTCAAAGAATCCTTCTTACAAACACATTTTATAGAGAAAAAAATCAGCAGATAAATTATTAAACTAGATTTTTTAAAGAAGGAAAATAATATCCAGTTAAGGATGACAGCCTCTTTGCCTTATTGGTTAAAGGTCTTAAACCAGTTTCAAGAGTAATAATCAGTCGAGTGGGTTTCCCGAGAGGGTCTTTTAAGCTCATTACTCTATTAGAAAATTGCTCAAGTATTTTATCAGGAAAAGAATTATTTCCCGAGGAAAAGCAGCTAGTCACATCAGACCACAAAGTTCTGCCCCCACAAAGGTTCGGGACCCCTTTATTTCTCACATTTATTGGGGGCTGCTTATGCCATGCTTTACCTTCTAGGCAATGGAAAACTATTGACAGGGTTTAAGCAGAGATATGCCATGATCAAATTTGTATTTTTAAAAGACCATTTTCTCCACTATTTAGTATTGACTGAAGTGGATGAGACTGGAATTCCAGGAATAGGATGGCCTTAACTTTTGAAAATCAGTGTAATTCACCATATTCATGAAATAAATAGTATGATCATTTTATAGATGAATAAAAAGTACTTGGCAAAATTCATTACCCATTCATTATTATTATTATTTTTTTTTTTTTTTTTTTTTTGGCAGAGTCTCGCTCTGCCGCCCAGGCTGACGTGCAGTGGCGCCATCTTGGCTCACTACAAGCTCCGCCTCCCGGGTTCACGCCATTCTCCTGCCTCAGCCTCTCGAGTAGCTGGGACTACAGGTGCCCGCCAACACGCCCGGCTAATTTTTTGTATTTTTAGTAGAGACGGCGTTTCACCGCGTTAGCCAGGATGATCTCGATCTCCTGACCTCGTGATCTGCCCGCCTCAGCCTCCCAAAAGTGCTGGGATTACAGGCGTGAGCCACTGCGCCCGGCCCATGATTTTTAATAAAACAAAACTCAGCAACTAAGAATAGAAAAGAACTTCCTCAATCTGATAGAGATTGTCATAAAAAAAATCATAGCTATCCCCATACATAATGGTGAAATATTAAACACCTCCCTAAGATGGGGAGAGAGGCAAACATGTCCACCCTCACGCCTTCCAATCAACAATGCACTGGCAATCCTACCCAGTACAAGAAAACAAGAAAAAGTAAAAAGGCATACATACAAAGAAGTAAATAGTCTCTTTGGCAGATGACATGACATAATTGTTTATGTAATAAATTTTTAAGGACCCTACAAAGCAGTTACTGGAACTAATAAGTGGCTTTAGCAAGATTGCAGGACATAACGGCAATATTTTAAAAATCAGTTGTATTTTTATATACTAGCAGCAAGCAATTATAAATTAAACTTTTAAACAATTCAATTTATAATAGTGTTTTAAAAAAATACTCAGAAATAAACTGAAATGATGTGTAAGACCTCTACACTGAAAACTATAAAATATTGCTAAGAGCAATTTTTAAAAATCTAAATAAATGGAAAGTTCTATCATGTTTATGGATCAGAGAACTCTACGATGTTAAGATATCAATTCTCCTCACATTGATCTATAGAGTCAATGTAATCCAAGCTAAATCTAAAAATCTAAAATGTATACAGATATACAAAGGACTAGAAGAGCCAAAATAATCTTGAAAAAGAAAAATAAGTTAAAAACTTGCATTAACTGACCTCAAGGGTTACTACAGAACAACAGCAATCAAGATAGTGTGATATTGGCATAAGGAAAGACAAATAGATTAATGGAATAAACTAAAGAATCCAGATATATATCCATTCTTTTTCTTTCTTTCTTTCTGAGACAGGGTCTCACTCTGTCACCCAGGATGGAGTGCAGTGGCACGATCTCGGCTCACTGCAACCTGTGCCTCCCAGGTTCAAGTGATTCTCCTGCCTCAGCCTCCCAAGTAGCTGGGATTACAGGCATGCACCACCATACCTGGCTAATTTTTGTATTTTGGGTAGAGATGGGGTTTCACCATGTTGCCCAGGCTGGTCTTGAATTCCTGGCTTCAAGTTATCCTCCCACCTTGGCCTCCCAAAGTGCTGGGATTAGTCATGAGCTGCCGTGTGCAGCCCAGAAATATATTCATCCTTATACGGTCAATTAATTCTTGACAGAGACACGAAAGCAATTACATGGGGAAAGGAAAGCCTTTTCACAAATGGTGCTGAAGCAAGAATCCATCATATGGGGGGGAAATGAACCCTGACCCTATCTCATACCAGCCATACACAAAACTTAATTTGAGCAAGATTATACAACTAAACAAAAAAGCTAAAACAG
Source organism: Homo sapiens (assembly GCF_000001405.40). NCBI lineage: Eukaryota > Metazoa > Chordata > Mammalia > Primates > Hominidae > Homo > Homo sapiens. The sequence continues at coordinate 134,887,911 of NC_000002.12, forward strand.
TAAAGCTTCAAGAAGAAAATATAGAAGAATATCTCTTCAACCTGGAAGCAGGCAAAAATTTCTTGGACAAGATGCAGAAAGCAATAAAACCATAAAGAAGAATTTGACAAATTAGACTTCATCACATTAAACACTTTAGCTCATCCTAAGACAACATTAGCAACATGAATAAGTAAGCCACAGAATGATAGGAAATGTTCATAAAGCATATATATGACAAAGGACTTATATCCAAAATTTATAAAGAACTACTAAAACTCATGATGAAAAGTCCAACAATCCTATTTAAAAGTGGGCAAAAGGCTTAAATGGCCACTCCCAAAAAGAAGGTAACAATTAGCCAATAAACATATTTAAAGGTGCTCAACATCATTAGTTCATCAGAAAAATGCAATTTAAACTATGATGAGAAAACACTGCACATCCACTGAATAGCCAAAAACAAAAAAGACTGAGAACTCAACTATGAGCAAGGATGTAAAACAACCAGAATTTTCACACATTGTTAGTAGAATATACTCCTATCCTATCACCCAACAGTTTTACTCCTAGGTATTTACCTAAGAGAACTGAAAATACATATCCACACACAAAAATACAGCTTGTATAAAAAAGTTCTTGGCAGCTTTATTCCAAATAGCCAAAAACTGGAAAAAGTGTTAAATGTCCATCCACAGAAGCATGGATAAACAAATTACCATATATCTGACAAAATGGAATACTACTCAGCAAAAAACAACAACAAAACAGAAAAGAAAAAAATAATTTGCTGATACACACTACAACATAGATAACTCTTACAAAAGGCTGAATGAATGAAGCTGGATCCCAGAGAGTGTATACTGTATGACTCCATTCATATGAAGTTCTTGAAGAGGCAAAACTAGTCTACGGTGAAAAAAAAAGACAAGTTATTACCTTTAGTGGGAGAACTGAGAGGAGAGAATGACCAAGAAGGAGCATGAGGGAGCTTTGTGGGGTGATGAAAATGTGCTGTATTTTGATAGGGATGTGGGCAATGCCAGTGTATTCTTTGTCAAAAATCAGCAAATTCATCACTCAAGAATTTGTGTTTTACTCTATGTAACTATTACTTTTAAAAAAGACATTGAATGCTAGCTAGTAGATTTGCTTTTTGCAGTGGTGTGGGTTAACAATTCTGAAAATACTTCATGTGCATTCTAGGCTCATGCAAATGAAGAAACAACATGAGTAAAATGGCAGGTGTCTCACTGTTGGATAAGGTAATTAGAAATCTGAAGAGTAGGAAGAAGATGAGAAGGTACCCTGCAGTGTTTGGATTGGAAATGGATATATTGGTATAATACATGGTTTTTAATATAGAAAGATATGGAAATATAGATATGTGTGTGTGAGGCAGGTATTTCCACATCAGTAGCAGTTATCACTTACAGCGCCCAGATCTTGGTTTCTAGTTACCATTTTCCATCAAAGGAAGCTAGTCTGCTTGGAGAAAAGGCTGTTTCCAAGACAGAGAAAGTATAAAGTGAGCTAGAACATTTTGTACCTGAAAGTAAGGAAGTACGGTCAGCCCTCTGTATTCACAGGTTCCACATCCACAGATTCAACCAACTGAATTGTCCAACAGGTCAAAAATAGTTTTAAAGATAAAATAAAATAACAGAATAACAAATACAAATATAAAGAATAATACAGTATAACAATTGTTTACATAGCAACATTGTATTAGGTAATATAAGTAAAGGATGATTTAAAGTATGCAGGAAGATGTGCATAGGTTATATGCAAATACTACATCATTTTATATATAGGATTTGAGCATCTGAAGACTTTGGTCTTGAGGGTAACTGTACTCAAAGAATGGTGGGGAAATAGCATAAGGATACAGGAGTCAACCTGAAGAGGTGATTCACATTGAGCAAACCTGAGATGATCTGGCTATCAAAATAAACAGTGATAATAATGAATTATAACCAATTGGATAAAATTAAGTCCATGAGTCCAAAATGATATAAATAAAAAGAATGAATATATTAATAAATAGGTGAACATATATATTTAATTTACATAAGTTAATGTGTTTGTATATATGAAGAAATCTCTTCTTTATAATGAATATAGAAATAACAATAGTTAGAAAATTATTACTGAATGATAATACCAGTGGATGAAAGTTGGAAAAGGACAAGATATTTAAATGATCTCAAAGTGGCTCCCCACAAATTGCTTATTAATCATGAAGAGAAAAAAATGGTGATTTCACATTAGAGAAACCCAGCAAACACCAACTTAACTAAATAATCAAAATTACCAATACTAAGACAAACCGACATGATATGCCCTGATATAATGCACTGAATAAGACTCAATATCACTTCGGTAGTATTCCTATCCCAAATGCGTAATTTGTACACAATCACGAGGAAACATCAGACAAACACAAACTGAGGACATTCTATAAAATAACTAATCTACAATCTTCAAAAATATCCCAGATGAAGAGTGACAAAAAAGGCCAACTGATCCAAATTAAGGGAAACTTCAGAGACATAACAACTAAATTTAATATGTGATCATCAATTAGATCTTCGACTAAGAAAAATAATTAGCTATAAATCACATTATGGGGGCAATTGACAAAATTTGAATATGAACTATGGATAACGAAATAACACTGTTATCAATGTTAAATTTCCTGATTTTGAGAAGTATACTGTGGTCATATAAAAAGTATCCCTTTTTTTAGGAAATAAACACTAATTTATTTAGGAGTAAGGAGCCATGACATCTCCAACTGACATATAGCTCAAAGAAGTGTGTATATATACATAAATATCTATGAGAAAATGATAAAGCAAAGATGGCAAAGTATAAACAATTGTTAAATCTGGGTGAAGATTACATGGAAGGTTCCTGAATTTTCTTGCAACATTTCTGTCAGTTTGAAATTCTGCCAAAATAAAAAAAAATTCCACCACATTCATTAATCAGTTAGTGAATAAAAAATAGGAGTTCAGACTAGTCAGGAAACCATAACATATCTGTATAACTATTCATGTTCTTTGCTCAATTTTTAATGGGGTTATTTGTGTGGTGTTTTTTGCTGAGTTCTTTGAGCTCCTTATAAATTATAGATATTAATACCCTGTGTCAGGTATACGGTTTTCAAATATTTTCTCCCATACTGCAGGTTGTCTTTTCACTCTGGTAATTATTTCTTTTGCTGTGCAGAAGCTATTTAGTGAATTAAGTTCCATTTGTCTATTTTTGTTTTTGTTGCTTGTGCTTTTGAGGTCTTAGTCATGAATTATTTGCCTAGACCAACGCCCAGGAGAGTTTTCCCTAAGTTTTCTCCTAGTATTTTTATATTTTCAGGTGTTGCATTTAAATTTTTAACCCATCTTCAGTTGATTTTTATATATGGTAAGAGATAGGGGTCCGAGTTCATTCTTTTGTATGTGGCAATCCAATTTTCTCATTTATTGAAAAAGGTGTCCTTTCCCCAGTGTATGTTTTTGTCAACTTTGTCAAAGCTCATGAATAGACACACTTCAAAAGAAGACATACAAATGGCCAACAAATATGTGAAAAAATGTTTAATATCACTGATCATCTGAGAAATGCAAATTAAAACTACAATGAGATATCATCACATGCCAATCTGAATGGCTATTATTAAAAAGTCAAAAATAACATATTGGTGAGGAAATGCAAAGAAAATGCTTATACACTGTTGGTGGGAATGTAAATTAGTACAACCTTTATGGAAAACAGTATTGAAATTTCACAAAGAACTAAAAATAGAACTACAATTCAATTCAGAATCCCACTACTGGGCATCTACCCAAAGGAAAAGAAATCATAATAGCAAAAAGATACCTACACTTGTATGTTTATAACAGCACTATCACAATAGCAAAGAAATGGAATTAATCTAAGTGTCCATCAGTAAATGACTGGATAAAGAAACTGTCATATATATGCACAATGGAATAATATTCAGCCATAAAAAGTATGAAATCATGTCTTTTGTAGCAACATGGATGGAACTGGAGGCTATTATCTTAAGTGAAATAACTCAGAAACAGAAAGTCAAATACCACATGTTCTTACTTACAAGTGGGAGCTAAATAATGTGTACACACAGACATGAAGTATGGAAAAATAGATACTGGGGACTTGGAAGGGTGGGAGGGTGGATGGAGGTGAGGATGAGAAATTACTTACTGAGTGCTATGTACATCATTCAGGTGATGGTTACACTAAAAGCCCAGACTTCACCATTATGCAATATCTCCATATAACAAAACTGCACTTGTACCCCTTACATGTATTTTTTTTTTAAAAAATCGGGTATAACTGGAAAACAGTGTAACTCATTTAGGGCTCCAGCAGAAAATAAGATGACATACATGAATTGGGAAAACTAAACTAGTAAAGGGAAATTAATAAAGGGATTATTGACAAAGTTGTGAAAAGCTCCATTACTATTCCAGGCCAAAACTTGAAGCTAGAGAGGCTCTGTAAAAAGGGCCTGTGCTGAAGTCTTAGGTTTCTATTGCTGTGGAAAAAATAAATAAATAAATAAATAAATAAATAAATAAATAAATCCCTGTGGACAGGAGCTGAGACTTCTAGTTGGAGGCTAGATGACTCCATGGAAGGCGCTAGGTAATTAAGTACTTTCCTTTCATTCTACAATCTCCTGCCTGTGTTGCTCATTAACTAAATCCATCTGGAAGCCTAGGGTCAAGGGAGTCCATTGTATACTTCATACAAGTCAGTCTCCAGGGGACAAGTAGGAGTGAAGAAGGATGGAAAGTTGATCTGGAAGAGCAAGCAGCAGATATCCAGAATGAAGGTGGATCAAGGTGGGGGAGAGGCCAAGAGAGCAAAAGCAAGAATGAGAGTGACAGAATAGAAATGAACATGATGTTGAGTAAATACTTAGATGACAACTTCAATATTAGCATAACATGCTGAGTTTTAATTGCCTGTGAAGCAGCCAAGTGTGGCTGTCCAGCAGGCAGTCACATACCAGAGCTTGAAGCTTAGGATGAGACTGACTGCCCAAGCAGCACAAATAGAGTGACAATGACAGAGAAGAAGTAAGTAGTTAACACTTAGATTTGCATTTTTCACCACCCATTTACTTTTGATTGAATGCATTTGATTTTTTCTTTATCACTCACTGAAACTGCATTTAATAAAGCTGCCAAATCCAACAGACACTATCCAGTCCTTATCTTTGTCTTCCTCTTGTCTCTTGTGAATCATTACTTATTAAATACCTTTTCTTCCAATATATCACACTGCATTTTTTTTTTTTTTTTTTGAGACAGGGCCTCGCTCTTTCACTCAGGCTGGATAATCATAGCTCACTGCAGCCTCCATCTCCCAGGCTCATGCAATCCTTCCACCTCAGCCTCCCAAGTAGCTAGGACTACAGGTGTGTGCCACCACACCAAGCTAATTTGTTTTATTAAGGTCTCACTATGTTGCCAAGGCTGGTCTTGAACTCCTGAGCTCAAGTGATCCTCCTGCCTCGCCCTCCTAAAGTGCTGAGATTACAGGTTTGAACCACTGTGCTGGCTACATATTTTTTTAGATAGTACTTCTTTCTAGTTCTCTTTCCACCTCCCTGTCTCTCTCTGCCTCTTTTGTAGGCATTTTCCCCCTGTCCTCCATTTCTGCAATCACTCCACCCACCATGTTGATGATTCCTATGATTCTATCCTTAGCCCTCCTCATAAACCACGGAGGCCAGAAGGCAGTGGAAGACAAATTTAAAGTACTAAAAGAAAGAAGAAAAAATACTGTAACCCTGTAATGTGAGAACTCTATTTCAAGCAAAACTATCCTTTAAGAATGAAGGAGAAATTAAGACATTTCTAGATGAAACAAACTGAGCTAATTCATCATTAGTAGACCTGCCATACAAGAAATGCCAAAGGGAGTTCTTTAGGCTAAAATGGAAGGACACTAGACAGAAGAAGTCACAAGGAAAATTAGAAAACATTAGACATGAATAGAATACAAAAACACAACATTCTAAAACTTATGGATGCAGCTAGAAGTAGTACTTAGTGAAAAATTTATAGCTGTAAATGCCTATATTAAAAAAGAAGAAAGACCTTAATTCGGTGGCCTAGGACTTGGCCTTGAGAGCTAGAAAATGCAGAGTAAACTAAATCCCAAGCAAGCAGAAAAATATATATAAATATTAGAGCAGATATAAAAGAAATAGATTATAGAAAAACAATAGGGAAAATCAGTGAAACCAAAATTTGGTTCTTTGAAAAAATCAACAAAATCGGCAAACCTTTAGCTAGACTGACCAACAAAAATAAAGAAAAAAGATTCAAATTACTAATACTAAAATCACAAATGAAATAGGACGGCAGTACTACAGAACTTACAGAAATAAAAAGAATTATAAGTAAAAATTTGAGCAACTATATGACAACAAATGAAATAACCTAAATGATTTATGAAATTCCTAGAAAGACTAACAAAACTGGCTGAAGAAGAAATAGAAAGTTCAAACAGGTCTATATTAAGATACTGAATTAATAATTTTCAATCTTCCCACAAAGAAAAGCTGATGACCAGATGTCTTCGCTGGTGAATTCTATGAAAAATGTAAAAAAGAATTAAAACAAATTCTTCACCAATGCTTCAAAAAATATAAAAGAGCTCAATAAACAAGGAGTGGAAGGGAACATCCTCAACCTAATAAAAAGCATCATGAAAAACCCACAACTAACATCACACTTAATAGTGAAAGACTGAAAGGCTCTATTCTCATCACTTCTATTCAACATTGTACTGGAGGCTCTAGTCAAGGCAATTAGGCAAGAAAAACAAAGAAAAAGCATCTAGATTGGAAGAGAAGGAAAAAAATTTTCTCTACTTGCAATTGAGACGGCTTTGTATCTAGAAAATCCTAAAGAATCCACAAAGAAACTATTAGGGCTAATAGATTCAGCAAGCTTAGAGAGTACAAGATAAATAAAAAATTAATTGTATTTCTATTTGTTAGCAATGAATAATCCATAAATGAAATTGAGGACACAATTCCATTTATAATAGCATCAGCAAGAAAAACATTTGTGAAAAATATAGCCAAAAAAGGCACAAAATATATACCCTGCTGTAATCCAAGCACTTTGGCAGGCCAAGGCGGGTGGATCATAAGGTCAGGAGATCAAGACCATCCTGGCTAACACAGTGAAACCACATCCCTACTAAAAATACAAAAAAATTAGCCGAGTGTGGTGGCATGCACCTGTAATCCCAGCTACTAGGGAGGCTAAGGTAGGAGAATAGCTTACCAGGAGGTGGAGGTTGCAGTGAGCTGAGACTGTGCCACTGCACTCCAGCCTGGGCAACAGAGTGAGACTGCATCTCAAAAAAGAAAAAAAATATATATATGTTATATATATAATATATATATAACATATATAATATATATATATGTTACAAAACATTGTTGAAGAAAATTAAAGAAGACCTAAATGAAAAGACATTCCATGTTCATTGATTCAAAAACTTAATGTTGCTAACTGGCAATACCCCCCAAATTGATCTACAGATCCAATGCAATTGCTATCAAAATTCCAGATGTCTTTTTTTTTTGGCAAAAATTGATAAGCTGATCCAAAAATTCATATGAAAACGCAAGGGGGCCAGGTGCAGTGGCTCACACCTGTAATCCCAGCACTTTGGGAGGCCAAGGTGGGTGGATCACCTGAGATCAGGAGTTTGAGACCAGCCTGGCCAACATGGCAAAACCCTGTCTCTACTAAAAATACAAAAATTAGCTGGGTGTGATGGCGTGTGCCTGTAATTTCAGCTACTTGGGAGGCTGAGGCAGGAGAATTGCCTGAATCCGGGAGGCAGAGGTTGCAGTTAGCCAGGATCGCACCATTACACTTCAGCCTGGGTGACAAGAGTGAAACTCCGTCTCAAAAAAGAAAATGCAAGGGATCCAGAATAGCCAAACAATCTAGAAAAAACAAAATTGGCACAGTCACATTCCCAACTTCAAAACTTTCTACACAACTACAGTAATCAAGACTCTATGGGACTAGCCTAAAGACAGACATAAAGATCAACTGACTTTCAACAAGGGTGCCAATACAATTCAGTGTGATAAAGAATAGTCTTTTCAACATATGATAGTGAGATAAGAGTAGATATCCACATGTAAAAAAAATAAATAAAGTTGGACTCCTTCTTTACACCATGCAAATTAACTCAAAATGGATCAAAGACTTAAATTGAAGAACTAAAACCACAAACTCTTAGAAGAAACCATAGGTGTAAATCTTTGTGACTTTGGGTTAGGCAATAGTTTCTTTGCTATGGCACCAAAAGTACAAGCATCCAAAGAAAATAATAGATGAAGAAGACTTCATCAAAATTTAAAACTTTTGTGCTTCAAAAGACAATACCAAGGAAGTAAAAAAGACAACTCACCGAATGGAGAAAATATTTGCAAATCATGTATCTATAAGGCTCTAGTATTCAGAACACACAAAGATCTCTTATAGCTCAATGATAAAAAGATAACAAAATGGACATGAATGTACACAAGGGATCTTAGTAGACATTTCTCCAAGGAAGAGATACAAATAGCCAATAAGCACATGAAAAGATGTTCAACATAATTACTTATTAGAGAAATACAAATAAAAACTACAGTGAGATACCACCTCATACCTACTGAGATGGCCATAATCAAAAAGATGAATAACCAATGTTGGCGAGGATCTGGAGAAACTGGAACCCTCATACATGCTGGTGGGAATGTAGAAAGCTGCAGCCATGGTAGAAAATAGTTTCTCAAAATGTTAAACATGGACTCACCATATGCGCCAGCACTTCCACTCTTAGGTACGTATTGATTCAAGCAATAACATGGGTGAACCTTGAAAACATTAAACTAAATGAAAGAAGGCTACATATTATGTGATTCCATTTATGTGAAATGTACCAACCAGGCAATTCTGGAGACACAGAGGGTAAACTAGTGTTTTCCAAGGGCTGGAGGGAGAAAAGAATGGGGAGTCACTGCTAATGGGTACAGGGTTTATTTTGGAGGTGACAAAAATCTGTGGTTATATAAGATGAAAAAAATTTTTTTAAACATTCTATAATTAGTGGAAATGATTACACAAACTTATGAATATACTAAAACCCATTGAATTATACACTTTAAAGGGGGTGAATTTTATGGTATGTGAATTATATCTCAAAAAAAAAAGAAAAGGGGATATTCTGACCCCCAAGCCCTAGTCCTACTCCATGGAGGAAATTAATGTTATTTGTTTCTTAGATACCATTCCTGAAATAGACTGTATATATACAAACATATATTTGTGGGTCTATAGGTACCTTATTGAAAACAGAAATCAAAGCATAGCAGACACATTGTTCTAGACTCTTTATTTCTCTTTATAACTTCAAGATCATTCTTCTTTACACTGTAACTTGGAGATTATTCCATTTCAGCATATGTAAGTATTCTTTATTCTTTTCTATTTGGAGATATTCTGTAATTTAATTGGCCAGTCTTTTGCTGTTCCAAATAATGTTGCAATTTATTTCTTTGTATATCTTTCCAGCACAAGTGTATGAGTGGAATACATTTTGAGAAGTAAAATTTCTGGTTTGAATTTTTATTTTATTTTACTTTGATAAATTGCCATTATTGACATAATATCTTTCTCACTTGATTATGAGTTCCTTCAGAAAAGGAACCATGTCTGTTTTGTTGACAAGGGTACATCTAAATTCTAGCACATTGTCTGACACAGTGCTTAATATATTTGTAGATTGACAAGCCTACGTATTTTATTGTATAAAGTGTCAAATGGAAATTCAAAGCTATACTGTTCAAAAACTTATGATCCAGTTTATAGGAATTGTTTATAGGAACTGATCCAGAGATAGGGGATTTTCTTTTTCTATTTTTTGTTTTTGTTTTTGTTTTTTTTTTTTTACTTTTTATCGAGTTATTTGTTTTTTATGTTTCCTTTCCTACTCTGTTAATAGTATGTTTTGAAAAACTGTGGAATCAATTGCAATGTATCATTCTAAGAAAGACAGAATCCCTTAATTTCATCTGAATATATATATTTTAGTAAATAAATATCAATTTCTTATATTTCAGTATTCTATATTTCAGTTATTTAAAAAGAGAGAGAATGGGGTTGATTTGCAACAAAGAGACCTAATAGTGACACCTGCTGGAAAAAAAAAGTCAGAATAAAATTTGAACCATTAAATCTTTTTAAAATTTTAGACAAGTTTTATGTTTCTATTAATCAGGAAAAAATGTGTTATTTTTATGACAGGAATGTTTGTAATAAGTAAACAATTGTTTACAGGAGGCTCTTTCATGTTTTACAAAACAACAGAGAAATATATATTTTGTTTTTTAGGATAAAGTCATTTTGGGAACCGATTACCCCTTTCCACTAGGTGAGCTGGAACCTGGGAAACTAATAGAGTCCATGGAAGAATTTGATGAAGAAACAAAGGTATAATGTCTTTTACTTCACGGCTTTCTTACTGACTTTTCCTGCTCTAATTGGGTTTGGTTTCAGAGCACTTTGATATATAAAAACAAAGAACAGAGGAACCATTACACTGAATTCCCTAAAACTATTACTCTATCTCCATAAATAGCTAAACTATTAAAGGACAAAAAAAATGACAAAGCTGAAAGTCAGCCTAGTACAACTAAATTCATAAACCCAAGAAAGAAAGTTGTATAGAAGGATATGACAATAAAATATGCCTGCATGTTAGATAGATCATAGGAAAAATGTCTAAATTTTTTCTATATTACTTCTGTTACAAATCTACCAATCTCAAAAGTTGTAATAACTCTAGTTATTTAGATGATGAAACTAAAGTCTTGATTAAAAGGATCCAAGGAATCAGATCCTTTAAGTAACTAGACTTTATTTTTTTTCCCGGCGTTTGACTTTTAAGGCAGGTAAATGATACTAATATGTGCTATAATGCTACCATTACCTAGTCTACCCCTTAGACTCCTAAACCAAGATGAGTTTAAAATGAGATGCAGTGTCTTCAGTTTCCCTCTCCTTTGCCACTCCTTCCACACCCCCATCCTCCAAAAAAATAAGTTCTTCCTAAGACCTTCACTGCCCATCACTCCCAGGAGTCAGGGATGGCCAAAAATAACAATATGAGAATATATAAACTCTTAATAAATCTTACAAAACTTTTAGTTGTAATCCTTTTGCATAATTCTTGGCTTTCTTCTAAACTAGAATCCAAAAGTTACCTTGAACTCTCCCTGCCTTAACTATTAAAGATATTGTTCATCAAATCTTCTCAATAGGCTTAAAGTACATTAACAGATGCCAAGAAAAATTCATTCTTCAGTATACTAGTTACAAGTTATTAACTGGGAAACCTTAGACTATTTTATACACAAAGTGTCCCTTTTGGCACTAAAAGTCTTGAACTGTTAAATATTACCTACTAAATATTGTTAAATATTTACCCACTTCCTTCCTAAAGTAGGAAGCTGTCATAAAGGCATTTTTTATCTTTTTTTTTAAACAACAAAGGTTGAAAATGAAAAACTTTCTATTAACCAAAATTAAACAGAAACCAGATGACCCACATATCCTGATTAAAAACTTAATGGAATAATAGTAATTATTATTACATGCCTTTTATTGTTTATTCTTATGTGCTTATCACTTTCAAGTTTTTTCTGTAATCTTGCATAAAGGCTTTATACTAACACAAATTCACAATGATATTCTGTACAAGGGTACTCATTGTAACGCTGTAATACTGAAAACAATCTTTAGGGGAATAGTTAAATAAATCATAATATATCCACACAATGGAAATTATGCCACCATAAATAAATTAGAAATCAATTTCCAAGATACATTAAATTTTAAAAAGCAAGGTATAAAACAATTTGTATAGTATACTTCCATTTGTAGATCCAATACCTCTTTTGTGAAAAAGAATCTTTATATGCCTGAATATAAGTATTTGCTTATGGAGTATAAACATAAAATATCTCTGGAACATAAACAAGAAACTGATCAAACTCTGGGAAGAAAAAGGCACTAGGAATGAAGTATCTATTTTAGACATTTTGAATTTTGAACCATGCGAAGGTAAATACCACTAAAGAAATTTAAAATAAAATAAATAAATCCATTTGATAAGTACATTGGAAGGTATAGCAGTCCCCCCTTATCCTCAGTTTTGCCTTCTACAGTTTCTCTTACCCCAGTCAACCACAGTCCAAAAATATTAAATGGAAAATTCCAGAAATAATTCATAAGTTTTAAATTACATGCCATTCTGAGTAGCATGGTGTAAGCTTACACTGTCCTGCTCTCTCCAGCCCAAGATGTGAATCATCCCTTTGCCCAGGGTCTCCATGCTGTATCCACTCCCTCCCCATTAGTCACTTAGTATCATCTTGGTGATCAGATGGACTGTCGCCATATTGCCATGCTTGTGCTCAACTCACCTTATTTTACTTAATAATGGCCCCAAAGCACAAGAGTAGTAATGCTGGCAATTCAGATATGCCCAAGAGAAGCTGTAAAGTGCTTCCTTTAAGTGAAAAGGTGAAAGTTCTCAACTTAATAAGGAAAGAAAGAAAAATTATATGTTGAGGTTGCTAAGATCTTACTTTGTAAGAATGCATCTTCTATCTGTGTAACTGTGAAGAAAGGAAAAGTAATTTGTGCACAGTATATATAGGATTCTATATAGCATCCACAGAGGGTCTTGGAATGTATCCTTCATAGATAAGGGGGGACTGCTGTATATAGGCAGATGCATTCTACCATGAAGATGTGGAGAAAGAAAACAAGACTTGGGAGTTGAGTGACTTGCCAAAGGCAATATAACTGGTGGGTTATAGTGTATGGATGCGATCCCAAATCCCTTGACTCCAGGATCAGATCTCCATCCAACACTCTGAAGGGTACCTCCCTCAAAGGATACATGGTACTAAGCTATCTTAAAAGGTAAAGTACATGGTTCCTCCTAGCAGCAATAGTCACTTCTGAAATCTTCCTCTAGAGGAGGATGGCCTAAGTATGTATTGGGGAAGAACCCTGAGTAAGAGGTCCTGCCTCAAATCACCCACTTTTCAAGGCTGTGTAAGAACCCTGAAGTGGTCATAATATAGAAGGACACATTAATGGTATGGATGTCACACAACCCCATATATTTCTTCCATCCTCAGCTACATACCTGTCCTTTGCAAGCTGGATAAACAAATCAGTTAGGGTATCACAAAGTTACTTCTTAAATCTCTTCTTTCAGCAGAGTTGATATAGTTTATAGCTGGGGAGTCCATTTCTTATGTGAAAATTTTAAGATGTACGGATTTGTACCCTCATCTGAGACCCTTCATTTATATCACTTCTCTTGCTCTGAAAAAGCTTAACTTTTATTTAGGGCCATGTGAAAACAACAACACATATGTCTAGCAGCTGGGGGATGGCTAGATGACTTTTGAGCACCTTTTGCAGCCCTCTTGTCCCACAGACCTAACTGTACCTTTTCTCTGTATTTGCCCCCAAATGGTCCTTAAGATCCAAGCTGTTAGAGGGTCCAGTTTCCAAACAAGGGCACCTCCTAAGGAGGGCTCTCCCCTTTATAAGTCTCTTCTCTCCCCCTACAATCAAGTTTCAGATTTAGATTTCAAACAGCGGGGCAAAACATAGGTCAAGAGGATTTTGGTAAGAGATTCACTGTATAACCTGCTAGTATTTTTCTCTCATATTGGGGAGCTGATTTTTTTAAACCTGATCAATGTAGTACTTAAAAGTACTTAAAAAACAACCAATAATGCTTTAAAATATTTTCTTTTCTTTTCAGAATAAACTCAAAGCCGGCAATGCCCTGGCATTTTTGGGTCTTGAGAGAAAACAATTTGAATGACTGAATTTACTACAAAGGCAAACTTTCAAAAGGATATCTCATTTTTGTTTCTAAATATGTATCAACAGGTATCAACAAAATCCTATTTTGAACTATTTTACTCAGAAATGAATGTCCCAAATATCCTAAATTATTCATAATAAAAATGATTTGTAAGTGTTTTCATTCTGAAAAGCAGTACATTATTTCATGTGCAAATAAAAAATGATTTTCCCAGTGCTCTTTTAATTAATCTGGAGAAATACAAAATAAAATGTCATTAATGATTTATATGGAGAAAGATTCATCCTAGAAGACTTAGGTAGGTTGTCCATTTTGAACAAAGATATGTGAATTGGACTCAAATAACCTGTTCCATCTGCCTTTAACACCTACCATTAGCCCAGAACTGGGCTGGGAATGCTTTAGCCTCCACAAAATAAATAACATGAATATAGGATATCCATAACCTCAGGGAGCTTCCAGACCAATTAAGGAGGTAAGAGATGTTCATGGAATAATTACTAAGCTATCAACTTTGAGTGTCAAAGAAGTTTCGTTAAGCGGAATTCACTTTGGTCTAAAACTGTGGAGCAGATCTTCACAGAGGGTGGAACATGAGAGTCCAGGAGATGAATAAGGAATTTTTAGGGTTAGAGGATGGGAAACAGGAAGGCAAAACTATGGGAACACAGCTGTGGTTTCAGACTGAATGAGACATCCATTTTAAAAGTTTTTGTCTATAAATTTACTCCTACCAGAAGCTCTTTTGATTTTAAAATACCGAGCAGAATGTATGAAGCTAACTGTGGAAAGTTAATAGGGCAATACCAGGGTAGCCTTGTTTTACCCATTTCATTTATGGTCCCACTTGGGCTGCTGAAAAGGAACTTGGTCCTGGGATGGGTGATGAAATCTATGGTTCATCTGCCTCTGGCTGAATTCCAAAATCAAGCATGGATTCATTCATTATTTTCCCTTCCATTCATCTAGAAAATCAAGAGTTGAGTATTGACATGTAATTTGTGCTGACCCCTCTCCAGAATAAAGATGAGATCTAATTCTTACTTCACTATGCTCACGCCATTATTTTCACTTTATATAGTTCATTGCCCCACCTCCTTCTCACCCCACCCCCCACCATTTCTTTCTAGGATTTTACTCACCCACCATCTGCTTATTGCTCCAATCTGCCCAAAAAGGAAAACAAAGTTGAACAAAGCAACAACATGAACCATATGTTATTTTTTCCTTCCCCAATCTTTGGGGATAAAGTCCATACCTTTTCAAATATTCTATATTTGAGCACTCTGAATACAGCATTTAATGATTGTTTTATTATAAAAAGTAACCCAATCACTTTATTCAATATCATACACACACATACACATGCAGAGTGAATGGATATATTCATATTCACATGTTTTCTATGTGCCAGGACTATAGGAATGCTCCAGGCACTGGGGGTATAGATGTAAACAAAAAAGATAAAATTCCTTTTCTGACAAAACCTACAATCTGAAGAGTGAGAAACATAAATAAGGTAAGGAAGAAGAAAAAGAGGAATAAAAGGAGGAACAGAAGGAGGAAAGAAGGAAGGAAATTTTTCTTATACTGATAAACACTATGAAGAAATTAAAACGAAAATGTGGTAGTGACTAGGAGAAAGATGGGGGGGTAAAACGTTAAATTGTAGAGTCAGAGAAGGCCTCTTTAAAGAGGACTTTCAACTGAGATTTGAATGATAGAACAGTGAAGAAAATGCAAAGGTTCTGAGGCAAGAAACCTCGTGACAAGTTTGTGAGCAAGGAAGGGAGACAGGAGAGGAAGCCAAAAAGTTGGCTAGATCAGTAGATCATGGTCAAGGGTTGAGTTTTTGTTGTTGTTGTTGTTGTTGTTGTTGTTGTTGTTTGAGGCAGAATCGTACCGTCACCAGGCTGGAATGCAGTGGCGCGATCTCGGCTCACTGCAACCTCCGACTCCCTGGTTCAAGTGATTCTCCTGCCTCAGCCTCCTGAGTAGCTAGGATTACAGGCACGTGCCACCAGGTCCAGATAATTTTTTTTTTTGAGACAGAATCTTACCCTGTCGCCAGGCTGGAATGCAGTGGCGCAATCTCGGCTCACTGCAACCTCTGACTCCCTGGTTCAAGTGATTCTTCTGCCTCAGCCTCCTGAGTAGCTAGGATTACAGGCACGCGCCACCAGGTCCAGCTAATTTTTTTTTTTAATAGAGTCGGGGTTTCACCCTGTTGGCCAGGATGGTCTCAATCTCCTGACCTCGTGATCCTCCCGCCTCAGCCTCTCAAAGTGCTGGGATTACAGGCATGAGCCACCACGCCTGCCCAAGATTTTTATCTTGTTTCATAGGAAACCACTGGAGACTTTTTAATAGGTCTGTGACATGCTCGGACTTATGTTATTCTTTTAAAACAAACAAACAAAAAATAGAAGGGTGCAGTGGCTTGCAACAGTAATCCCAACACTTTGAGAGGCTGAGGCAGGAGGATCACTTGAAGCCAGGAGACTGAGACCAGCCTGGGCAACACAGCAATCTCTACAAAAAAAAATTTTTTTTTAATTAGCTGGGTGTGGTGGCTCATTCCTATAATCTCAGCTACTCAGGAGGCTGGGATGGGAGGATGGCTTAAGCCCAGGAGTTCGAGGCTGCAGTGAGCTAGGATCATGCCACTGCACTCCAGCCTGGGTGACAGAGTGAGACCCTGTCTCAGAAAAAAGAGAGGAGAGGAGAGGAGGAAAAAAAGAAAAAAGAAACCCATATACATTAACAGCTTTGTAGAGACCTATTAAAGGGAGTCAAGAAAGGAAGTTGGAGGCTAGGCAAGAAATGATGGTGACTCAGGCATAAATACAAGAATGGGGATCATGAGATATGTTTGTAGGCAGAACCAACAGCATTTAATGATGGACTAAATGTGAGGAAGAGGGAGGAAGGGGAGGAAAGAAATCAAGGCTGACTCCTGGGCATGTGAATGTGAAGTGTGTGTACACATGTGCACACCATGCTTTTGTCAATCAGTCTCCTATATTTGGACATTTAAATAATTCCTAATGTTTTGTAATTATAAATAATACTGCAATAAAATTTGATTCATTTCCCAAATCATACATATGGATAAACTACAACTCTGATTGGATCAAAGATTTAACTCTAAAATATTAAACTATGCAGGTACTAGAAGAAAAGATGCGAGAATTCCTCTTTAATCTGGGTGTAAAGAGGGTTTTCTAACTAGGACTTTCCTGGGCACATACTCCTGGTGACATTTAAGGTTTGAGATGATTAATAGTAGTTAATGGTGTTAAATGCATCCATACTTTAAACATAGGTGCTTTGATTCCCAGGCTTTTCACTTGAACAGCTGGGTAGATTTATTACCATATACCATAATGAGGAAGACTATGGGAGAAACAGTCTTGAGAGGAAAGAGAATCAACAGTTCTGTAGTTGGACTTGTTATATTTCAGATGCCTCTTAGACATTTAAGTAGGAATGTCAAGTAAGCACTTGAGTGTTCTAGTCTGGAGAGTTCAAGAGAGAGGCTAGGGAAAAATCACCAGTGTATAAAAGGTATTTAAAGAAATGAGACTGGATGAAATCACCTGGTGAAAAAGTAGAGTAGAGACGCAAAAGACCCTAGGCCTATTTCCTGGGATTCACTAACACTTAGAAGTTAGATGAAGGCTATACAAAAATTAGCCCGGGCATGGTGGCACGTGCCTGTAATCCCAGCTAATCGGGAAGCTGAGGCAGGAGAATCACTTGAACCCGTGAGGCGGAGGTTGCAGTGAGCCGAGATCGTGCCACTGCACTCCAGCCTGGGTGACAGAGCGAGACTCTGTCTCAAAAAAAAAAAAAAAAAAGTTAGATGAAGGCACCAGCTTTGTGCACAGAAGAGTAGCCAGTGAGGTAGGAGGAAAACCAGGAAAATATACTCAGGAGTCAAGAGCAGACAATGTTTCAAGAAGTCCTAACAGCATTAGGCATACACACACACACACAAAATCAAAGCTACAATACTACGGTATTCAATAGAACCATATGCCTCAGATATAACTCAATCCCTTTATCCCAAAATTTAATTCCACTTCTTACAGTCCCAACCTGATGAATGGCATCACCCAGTCACCTAATCCTTCTCCTTCACCCGTATCAATACACCATTAAATCCAAAAGATTCAACTCATTTTATATCTTTTATTTCTTATCTGTTCTTTCCTCCATATGGCTTCCAACTAAATTCAGGTCTTCATCTCTCAGCAGGATATTGAAATAATCCCTTATTTGTACCCCTGCCCCTTGGCTTAGTCTGGTACAACCCATCTTCTACCTTGGTGCCAGATAAAAATGTCCAAAGTATGTATTTGATTATATTACTTTCTCTGTTAAAATTCCTCAGGACCTAAAGTGCTGGTTTCTAGGCTTTGGGATTTCATCGCTCAGTAACTCCCCCTTCAAAAAACCGAAAACAAAAAAAAAAATGTACTGCTATCTCTAACAGAGCACACCTCTCATTTTGAGTTGTGATTCCTATCTGCCTTCTAGACTGGACTTTCTTGAGGGATGACCTAAGTCTTCATTCACTCATGCATTCAACAAAATTTATTCAGGACTTATGATGGGCCAAGAACCATGCTAGATTCTGAGAGTATGAAAAAAGCAATCATGGTTCCTGCCCTCAGTTGTGCTTATAATCTAGTTAGGGAGACATGTATCAAGTAAGCAACAAATCAATAGAAAATTGCTACCACAACAGGAGCTAAGAAGGAAAGGCACATAGTATGTAGAAAGCTTATTATAAAGGATTTGTCCTAGTCAGAGTCGGAGAAAGATTTTTCAGAAAAAAGTTTTGCTTGAGCTAGGATCTGAAAGCAAACAACAGCTAAAAGGTAAAAAGGGAAGGGAAGAGTATTCCAGGCAGGAGAAACAGGATAAATGAAGCCTTGTGTCTGTGTAGGAAAACAGCCATTGTATGGCAAGAGTGACTCCATCTGGAAGGAGACTCGCCATGATAACTGATGTTTGACCACAGCATACCAAGGTGTTCTGCAGCAAGGTCTTTAAGCAATGCCTGTAGCATACATAGCCCTGCATAAAGATGCTTATCTAACCTCCCCAGTAGTCACGAGTTTCAGCAAGAAAGTCTGAGATGTAATCAGCTTGCCATACAAAGGATACTTTCTGGACAGTGAATGCAGGGACCCACCATTGCATGGTTATCCCAGATATCACTTCTGTTTGTAAGAGCCTATTAAATATTTCTTTCTGAGAAACTGAATTTGTCAGCCTCTTTCTTCAGCCTCTCACCTTGGGGGTGGGTTTGCACAGACCTGCTCACCACGGAACAGGCAGGAGAGAACACAGCAAGAAAGAAAACCACTGTGGCTGAAGATGACAAAGGAAGACATTCTTGGTAAAAAGTGACAAGCTCATGTGAGGCCATAAGTCAGTTGAGGAATTTTATATGTTGAAAAGCTGTGAGAACTCACAAATGGGAGAAAACATTTGCAAACTACCCATCTGACAAGGGATTAAGAACCAGAATCTATAACGTGCTCAAACAACTCTACAAGAAAAAAATTTAATAATCTGATTTTGAAATGGGCAAAAGATTTGAATAGACATTTCTCAAAAGAAGACATACAAATGGTAGACAGGCATATGAAAATGTCCTCAGTATCATGGCTCATCAGAGAAATGCAAATCAAAACTATAGTCAGATATCATCTCACCCCAGTAAAAATGGCATTTTTCCAAAAGACAACCAATAACAAATGCTGGCAAGGATGTGGAGAAAAGGGAACTCTTGTCCATTGTTGGTGGGAATGTAAATTAGTACAACCACTATGGACAACAGTTTGGAGGTTCCTCAAAAAACTAAAAATAGAGCTACCATGTGATCTAGTAATCCCACTGCTGGGTACATACCCAAAAGAAAGGAAGACAGTATATCAAAAGGATATCTGCACTCTCATATTTGTTGCAGCTGTGTTCACAATAGCCAAGGTTTGGAAGCAACCTAAGTATTCACCAACAGATGAATGATTAAACAAACTGTGGTACATATATACAATGGAGTACTATTCAGCCATAAAAAAGGATGAGATCCTGTCATTTGCAACAACGATGGAACTGGAGGTCATTATGTTAAGTGAAATAAGCCAGGCACAGAAAGACAAACTTTGCATGTTCTCACTTATTTGTGGGAGCAAAAATTAAAATAATTGAATTTACAGACATAAAGAGTAAAAGGATGATTACTAGAGACTGGAGTGGATAATTGGGGAATGGGGATGGCTCATGGGTACCAAAAGTAGTTAGAAAAAATGAATAAGACCTCATATGTGATAGCACAATAGGTGACTATTATAGTCAATAATAATTTAATTATACATTTAAAAATAACTAAAAGTATATAATTGAGTTGTCTGTGACACAAAGGATAAACGCATGAGGGGGATGGATACCCAATTTACCAAGATGTGATTAATAAGCATTGCATACCTGTATCAAAATATCTCATGTACCCCACACTACTATGCACCCACAAAAATTAAAAATTAAAAAAAAAACAACAAGAGTTGGAAGCAAAGAAGCATGGATTGGAGTCTTACGGTCACAAGCCAAGAAAGGCCTAGAGTCACCAAAAGCTGAAGAGCCTAGAAACAGATTCTCCCCAATAGTCTTCAGAGGGAGCACAGCCCTGCTGTTTTAGTCCAGTTTTCATTGCTCATAGCAGGATACCTGAAACAGTAATTACTTCTTAGAGTTACAGAGGCTGAGAAGTCCCAGGTTGAGGGGCCACATCTGGTGAGGGCCTTCTTACTGGTGGGGACTCTGCAGAATCCCAAGATAGTACAGGGCATCATATGGCAAGGGAGCTGAACGTGCTAGCTCCAGTCTCTTCCTCTTCTTATAAAGCCGACCAGTTCCATTACCATGATAACCCATTAATCCATTAACCTATTAATCCATTCATGAGGGCTCTGCCCTCATGACCCAATCACCTCTCAATACTGCCACATTGGGGATTAAATTTCAACATGAGTTTGGGAGAGGACAATCATTCAAACCATAGTCCCTGCCAACACATTGATTTTAGACTTCTGGCCTTTAGAATTGAGAGATAATAAATTTCTCTTGTTTTAAGTCAAAAAACAATACCAAAAGAAAACAAACAAATAATAACAACAACAACAAAGAAAAGCAATGAGAAGGTTTTTAAGTAGGGGATGGCATTAATTAGAGCTGATTTTTTTTAATCCTGCTCCTGTGGGATAGAATTCAATTTTGAAAAGATTCCTCTGGCAGGCTGCAGGATGACAACAGCTTGCAGGGGAGCTTAAGTGAAATAGCTTGGGCCAAGATGGTGGTAGTGTTGCTGGTGGAGAAACATACGTAATAGACTCCAGAGATAATAAGGGTCAACAGAAAGGCTTTGGTGATGGGTTAGATACGGGAGATAAGGATTACAGATACCAAAGATGACCCCTAAGTTTCGGACTTGCATAACTGGAAGTAGTGCCATTTTACTACAAGAGGCACAGAGAGAAGACCAGGTTGGAAAGACAGGATTATGAGTTTAGTTTGGGGAAATATTGATTATTAATGCCTTTGAGACACACAAAAGGGAAAGTCGAGTGTGCAGACTTATGCAGTTTGAATTTCCTAGCACACAGTAACATCTCTACTAGCATTCACTGGATAAATAAATAGTAAAATAAAAATAAGTAAACAGGTCTTCCTCCTAAAATGAGCAAAGAAAGGAACCGGAAATCAATCTTCACCGAGTATGTTAGGAATTCATGCAGTTCTGAGTGTAATCCAAATGGCAAGGCCTCACAAATTTGTGACTATCTACAATGACTTGAGTCTTCACTATCCTCGTGAGCCTTTCTTCTTGGCTCACCCGCCTAGTAAGCCCTTCTCCTTGGCTAATAGATGGGTGTCTTCTCCCTGTGTCTTCATATGGTCTTTCCTCTGTACATGTCTACATCATGACTGACTCTTCTTCTAGGACACCAGTCATACTGGATTAGGGCCCACCCTAATGATCTCATTTTAACTTAATTCCCACTTAAAAGAACCTGCATCCAAATATAGTCACATTCTGAGCTACTTGGGGTTAGGACTTTTGGGACACAATTCAGCCCGTAACAAATGCCTTATATATATTCACAAACCAATCTGGCAATGTCCATACCAGGGGTGTAATTTGGTGACAGCAGACATTCTTCTCAGATGCCATTAGCAGCACAGGGTTCTAAGCAAAGGTAAAGAGAATAATCTCCTCAGTACCATATTTGATTGCCTGGCCCTGGAACAATATTGCTTACACAGTGAATCTGCTCACAACCCAGAATCTAGAAAAGTCACTCAGGAAAATCACCTTTTCAGTGTTTTCTCTCCTTCCTTATCTACTGCAAGCACTTCTCCAAAAACAACCTTTTTAAAACACTCCCAACACCACCAGATTCCAAAGGAGAAACAACCACTCATAGCCATCCAAGCATCTTTCTCTTTCCGTTGTACAGTACCTTCTCCTATATCCCCTAAAAAGAAAGCCAGTACTGGCTCAGCCTAATTCATATTCCCTGACCAAAAAGCTTAAATCTGTATTCAAGGTAATCACTTTAGATTAACATACCAAGACAAATACCAGCTTTAAATTTGTTTAACTTAAAGAGACCATTATGAAGATTTTTCCCAATCAAAATTGAAAAAAGGTAAATTGAAGTTTCCATTTCTGAAAATAAAAAACTGCTCACAACCTAAAAACATTAAAGTTTATTTTTAAAAAGTCAACACAAGCATATGTAAAAGTTCAAACAGATCAAATTCAACCTATGTCTCCCAGTCTACACCCCAGAAGGAACCAATTTTATCTGTTTTGTGTGTGTGTATTCTTGCAAACACAGTCTATGATTATACAAGTATTTACATGTATATATTCCTTTTTCATTTTAAGCAAACAGTAGAATTTGCCCTTTCTGGTACCTTTTAAATACCTTGCAGGGTACTTAATAACTTGGTGGTCATTCCACGTATAAACTGCCTCTTTCTTTTTAATGGGTGGATCCTATGAATGAAAATTACAGATTACATAGATGTACATAATCATCCAGTCCTCAACACATGGACATTCCTGTTTCCAATCTTTTGCAATTATGAACTGTTGCCAAGAATACCCTTGTCACTGGAAAGGGGTCCCAATCCAGACCCCAAGAGAAGGTTCTTGGATCTCACTCAAGAAAGAATTTGAGGTAAATCTATAAAGTGAAAGCAAGTTTACTAAGAAAGTAAAGGAATAAAGAATGTCTATTCCACAGGCAGAGCAGCCCAGAGGGCTGCTGGTTGCCTATTTGTATGGTTATTTCTTGATTATATGCTAAACAGGAGGTGTATTATTCATGTCTCCCCTTTTTTTAGACCATATCCCCTTTTTTAGACCATGACGTTGCCATGGCATTTGTGAACTGCCATGGTGCCAGTGGGAGTGTCATTTAGCATGCTAATATATTATAATTAGCAAATAATGAGCAGTGAGGATGCCCAGAGGTCACTTTTATCGCCATCTTGGTTTTGGTGGGTTTTAGCTGGCTTCTTTACCACAGACTGTTTTATCAGCAAGGTCTTTATGACCTGTACCTTGTGCTGATCTCCTATCTCATCCTGTGACTTAGAATGTCTAACCTCCTGGGAATGCAGCCCAGTAGGTATCAGCCTTATTTTACCCAGCCCCTACTCATGATGGAGTCACTCTGGTTCAAACGCCTCTGGCACCATTATATATTTGTTCAGCATCTTTTCATATGCCTATTTGCCATCTATATACCTTCTTTGTGAGGTATCGGTTTAGATCTTTTGCCCATTTTTTAATTGGGTTGTTTATTTTCTTATTGCTGAGCTTTAAGAATTCTTTTTTTTTTTCATTTGCCATCTAATCTTTTAAAAAGTTCTGTGGGAACACAGTAGGTATATATAATTTACGGGGTATGTGAGATATTTTGATACAGGCATGCAATGATGTGAAATAAACACTTCGGGGAGAATGGGATCTCCATCCCCTCAAGCATTTATCCTTTGAGTTATAAACAATCCAATTACATTTTTAAAGTCATTTTAAAATGTATAATTAAGATATGCTTGATTATATTCACCCTGTTGTGCTATCAAATAGGTCTCATTCATACTTTCTTTTTTTGTACCCATCAACCATCCCCATATCCCCACAAGTCCCTCCGCCCACCCTTCTCAGCCTCGGGTAACCATCCTTCTACTATGTCCATGAATTCAATTGTTTTGATTCTTAGATCCCACAAATAAGTGAGAATATGCAATCTTTGTCTTTCTGTGCCTGGCTTATTTCACTTTACATAATGACCTCTGGTTCCATCCATGTTGTTGCAAATAACAGGATCTCATTCTTTTTTATGGCTGAATAGTACTTCTTGTGTATATGTACCAGTTTCTTTATCCATTCATCTGTTGATGGACACTTACATTCCAAATCTCAGCTATTGTAAACAGTGCTACCACAAATATGCAAGTGCAGATATCTCTTTGATATACTGATTTCCTTTCTTTTGGGTATATACCTAGCAGGGGGATTCCTGGATCACATGGTAGATCTAGTTTTTTGAGGAACCTCTAAACTGTTGTTCATAGTGGTTGTACTAATTTATATTCCCACCAACAGTGTACAAAGAGTTCCCTTTTCTCCACATCCTCACCAGTATGTGTCATAGCCTGTTTTTTGGATAAAAGCCATTTTAACTGGGGTGAGATGATCTCACTATACTTTTGATTTGCATTTCTCTGATGATCCATGATACTGAGAACCTTTCCATATGCCTGTCTGCCATTTGTATGTCTTCTTTTGAGAAATGTCTATCCAAATCTTTTACCCATTTTAAAATCAAGTTATTAGATTTTATTTCCTACAGAGTTGTTTGAGCACCTTATAGATTCTGGTTATTAATACATCGTTAGATGGGTAGTTTGCAAATATTTTCTCTCATTCTGTGGGCCGTCTCTTCCCTTTGTCTGTTTGTTTGTTTGAGACACAGTCTTGCTCTGTCGCCCAGGCTGCAGTGCAGTAGCGTGATCTCTGCTCACTGCAAGCTCTGCCCCCCCGGTTCATGCTATTCTCCTGCCTCAGCCTCCCGAGTGGCTGGGACTACAGGCACCCGCCACCACGCCCAGCTAATTCTTTTGTATTTTTAGTAGAGATGGGGTTTCACCGTGTTCACCAGGACGGTCTTGATCTCCTGACCGCGTGATCCGCCCGCCTCGGCCTCCCAAAGTGCTGGGATTACAGGCATGAGCCACCCTGCCCAGCCCTCTTCCCTTTGTTGATTGTATCCTTTGCTGTGCAGAAACTTTTTAACTTGATGTGATCCTATTTGTCCATTTTCGCTTTGGTTGCCTGTGCTTGTTGGGTATTGCTCAGAAATTTTTGGCCAGACCAATGTCCTGGAGATTTTCCCCAATGTTTTCTTGTAGTAGTTTCATAGTTTAAGGTCTTAAAGTCTTTAATCCATTTTTATTTTTTTATAGGACAAGAGATAAAGGCCTAATTTCATTCTTTTGCATACTGACATCCAGTTTTCCCAGCATCATTTATTGAAGAGACTGTCTTTTCCCTAGTGTATGTTCTTGGCACATTTGTTACAAATGAGTTCACTGTAGGTGTGTGGATTTGTTTCTGGGTTCTCTATTCTGTTCTGTTGGTCTATGTATCTGTTTTTATGTGAGTACCATGCTGTTTTGGTGCTGAAAGCTCTGTAGTATAATTTTAAGTCAGGTAATGTGATTCTTCCAGGATTGTTCTTTTTGCTTAGGATAGTTTTGGCTATTCTGGGTCTTCTGCTACTCCATATAAATTATAGGATTGTTTTTTCTATTTCTGTGTAGAATGTCATTGATGTTTTGAAAGGGATTGCACTGAATTTGTAGATTGCTTTGGGTAATACGGACATTTTAACAATATTGATTCTTCCAACTCATGAACATGGAATGTTTTCCATTTTTTGTGTCATCTTCAATTTCTTTCATCAGTGTTTTATAGTTTTCATTATAGAGATATTTTGCTTCTTTGGTTAATTCCTAGGTACCTAATTTTATGTGTAGATATTGTAAATGGGATTACTTTTCAATTTCTTTTTCACATTGTTCACTGTTGGCATATAGGAATGTTACTGATTTTTGTGTGTTGATTTTGTATCCTGCAACTTTACTGAATTTGTTGATCAGTTCTAATAGTTTTCCTTTGGAGTCTTCAGGTTTTTCCAAATATAAGATCATATCATCTACAAACAAGGATAATTTGACTTCTTCCTTTCCAATTTGGATGCCCTTTATACCTTTCTCTCGTCTGCTTTAGCTAGGACTTCCAGTACTAGGTTGAATAACAGTGGTGACAATGGGCATCCTTGTTGAGTTCCAGATCTTAGAGGAAAAGCTTTGTTTTTTTCCTATTCAGTATGATACTAGTTGTGGGACTGTCATATATGGCTTTTATTATGTTGAGGTAAGCTCCTTCTATCCCGTTTTTTTACGGCTTTTATCATGAAGGGATGTCAAATTCTATCAAATACTTTTTCGGCATCAATTGAAATGGTATGGTTTCCAGTCTTCATTCTGTTGATATGATGTATCAAGCTGATTTATTTGCAACCATCCTTGCATCCTAGGGATAAATCCCCTTTGATCATGATGAATGCTCTCTCTAATGTATTGTTGAATTCAGTTTGCCGATATTTTATTGAGGATTTTTGCATCAACATTCATCAGAGATATTGGCCTGTAGTTTTCTTTTTTCAATGTGTCTTTGGTTTTAGAATCAGGGTAATACTGGCCTTGTAGAATGAGTTTCGAAGTACTCTCTCTTCCTCTATTTCAGAATGGTTTGTGTAGTATTGGTGTTAGTTCTCCTTCAAATGTTTAGTAAATTTAGCAGTTCGGCCATCTTAAGAGTTCTTTATCAGACGTATGTTTTGCAAATATTTCTTCCTTGTATTTCATTCTCTTAACAGTGTCTTTCACAGAACGGAGGTTTTAATTTTTTTAATTTTAAGTTTTGAGATGGAGTTTCACTCTTTGTTGCCCAGGCTGGAGTGCAGTGGCACGATCTCGGCTCACTGCAACCTCCGCCTCCCGGGTTCAAGCAATTCTCCTATCTCAGTCTCCTGAGTAGCTGGGATTATAGGCGCCTGCCACCATGTCCAGCTAATTTTTTTTTTTTTTTTTTTTTTTGAGACGGAGTCTCCCTCTGTCGCCCAGGCTGGAGTGCAGTGACACGATCTTGGCTCACTGCAACCTCCACCTCCTGGGTTCAAGCGATTCTCCTACCTCAGCCACCCCAAGTAGCTGGGACTACAGGCATGCGCCACCATGCCCAGCTAACTTTTTTTGTATTTTTAGTAGAGACAAGGTTTCACCATGTTGGCCAGGCTGGTCTCCAAATCTTGACCTCAGGTGATCTGCCCGCCTCAGCCTTCCAAAGTGCTGGGATTACAGGCATGAGTCACTGCGCCTGGCCAGAGGTTTTTAATTTTAATGAAGTCCAACTTACCAGTTTTTTCTTTCATGGATTGTACTTTTGGTGTTGCATCTAAAACCTCATTGCCAAACACAAGGTCAACTATATTTTTTCCTATGTTATCTTCCAGAAGTTTTACAGTTTTGCATTTTACATTTAGGTCTGCAGCCCACTTTGAGTTAAATTTTGTGGAAGGTATAAGGTCTGCATGTAGATTTTTTTTTTTTAATGTGGCTTTCCGGTTGTTCTAGCGCCATTTGTTAAAAAGACTATTATTGCTCCATTGACTTGCCTTTGTTCCTTTGTCAAAGGTCAGTTGACCATTTATGGGTGGGCTCTCTATTCTGTTCCATTGATCTATGTGTCTATTCTTTCTCAAATACCACACCGTCTTGATTACTGTAGCTTGATGTTAGGTAATGTCAGTGCAACTTCTTTGGTATTGTGTTGGTTATTCTGGGTTTTTTGCCTTTACATAGAAGTTTTAGAATCAATTTGTCAATATGTGCAAAATCACTTGCTGAAATTTTGGTTGGGATTGCACTGAATTTGTAGATCAACCTGGGAAGAATTGACATCTAAATTGATTCTTCTAATCTATGAACTCAGAATAGCTTTCTGTTATTTAATCTTTTTTTGTTTTCCATTAGAGTTTTATTATAGTTTTCTGCATATAGATCCTGTACATATTTCAGATCCATATCTTTTTTTTTTTTTTTGGAGATAGAATCTTGCTCTATCACCCAGGCTGGAGTGCAGTGGAGTGATCTCGGCTCACTGCAACCTCTGCCTCCTGGGTCCAAGCAATTCTCGTGTCCCAGCCTCCCAAGAAGCTGGGATTACAGGCATGCACTACCGCACCCAGCTAATTTTTGTATTTTTAGTAGAGACAAGGTTTCCCCATGTTGGCCAGGCTGGTATTGAACTCCTGGCCTCAAGCAATCTCCCACCTTGGCCTCCCAAAGTGCTGGGAGTATAGGTGTGAACCACTGCGCCCTGCCTAGATCCATATCTAAGTACAGGTTGAGTATCCCTAAATCTGAGAATCAGAAACACTCCAAAACCCAAAACTTCAAGCCCCCACATGACATTCAAAGGAAATGTTCATTGGCGCATTTCAGATTTAGAATTTTTGGATTAGGATGCTCAATGGCTAAGTTTATAATTCAAATATTTCAAAACCTAAAAAAACCTGAAATCCAAAACACATCTGGTCTCAAGCATTTCAGATACGTGATACTCAACCTGTATTACTTTGGGAGACGGTACTATTGTAAATGGCATTTTTAAATTATAAATTCCAATTGTTCATTGCTGGTGTATAGGAAAACTGACTTTTGTATTCAACCTTATATCCTAAAATTTTACAGAAGAAGTTTTATGTCTTCCTTCCCAATATGTATATACTTTTAATTTACTTTTCTTGTTAGCTAGAACACCCAGTACCACGTTGAAAAGACTGGTGAGAGGGGACATGCTTGCCTTGTGTCAGACTTTAGGTGGAAAGAATGTAGTTTCTCACAACAGAAACAATCTATTGTTAGCTGCAGAATTTTTGTAGATGCTCTTTATCAAGTTGAGGAAGTTCTCCTTTATTCCCAGTTTGCTGAGTTTTTATCATGAATGGATGTTGAGGATGGGCACTTCTTTTATTTGTGTGTGTGTGTGACAGGATCTCACTCTGTCACCCAGGCTGGGGTGCAACCTCACCTCTCAGGTTGAAGCGATACTCCCAAGGAGCTAGGACTACAGACGCCACCACATCCAGCTAATTTTTTAAAAAACTTTTGTAGAGGTGGGGTCTCATTATGTTGCCCAGGCTGGTCTAGAACACTTTGGCCTCCCAAAGTGCTGGGATTACAGCCGGGAAACACTGCACCTGGCCAAGGGTTTGCACTTTTAAAATGTTGCTTTAAATCAATCTATTCCAGAAATTGTAAGCAACATAAAACGTAAAGCAAGGGAAGTGAGTATGAAATAGCAACTGTTACAAAAACTGCCTACTATAATCAATATTCTTGTGCAATGCAGTATGCTGAGCGTGGGAGCCCCATAACAATCACTTGCCTCCATGGTCTTTGGCAAATAGATATTACTTTATTTTTTATTTTCGAGACAAGGTCTTGCACTATCGCCCAAGCTGGGGTGCAGCAGCGAGATCTAGCTCACCGCAGCCTCCACCTCCTGGGCTCAAGCCATCCTCCCACTTCAGCCTCGGGAGTAGCTGGGACTACAGGCGCGCCACCAAACCTGGCTAATTTTTGTATTTTTGGTAGAGACGGGGTATCGCCATGTTGCCCTTGCCCTCGAACTCCTGACCTCAAGTGATCGGCCCACTGGACCTCCCCAAGTGCTGAGATTACAGGCGTGAGCCACCGTGCCCGGCCTCCAAATAGTTAAGACTTTAAACTTAGAAACCCTATTCACAACACAAACTCCGAGTGAAGCTCAGTGGCATTTTCTTACAGGAAGAAATACAGGAGTTAATCAACAGGTATGTGGGATGTTCCCACATCAAATCCTAAAGATAAAATTTTAACTCAGTTCCTCCTGCACTATCTGATTCTCCCCAACCTTGTCTCGCAGAAACCACAGCGCAGCCTGAAAACACGCCCCGTCTAGATTCAACACCTCATTTAGAAATTCAATTTCTCGTTGCTAGTTGGATAGCGTTTGCCAAGTAATTTGAAAAAATAAAAATAAACCAAGTGGTCTGGGATTTAAACAAGATAATGTAGGGTGAAAAAAGCACTCAGGTGCGGACAGCCATGGAGCGTGACTTCCTGTGCACTCTTTCCCCGCCAGCTCAACGCCAGAGCCGCGCGCTAGGCGGAGACTGTTGGTGGCGGAGGCCGGAGTCGCACGCCTACGAGACTGCGCGGACCCGCCCAAAAGGAAAATGGAAGTAGTGGCGTGAGGCTGCGACAGTGAAGGTTATTTTTCTCTTTTTAAAGGGCCGCTAGACCTCCCGTCTAAAGGAAGCGCCCGACGGGCCTCCGAAGTACACGCCCAGGCCCCCACAGCGCAGCCGCCCGACCGCCTCTCTTCACACCGGCCAGAGTCCACCCTCTCCCACTTTCCCCTCCCCTCCCCTCCCCGCCCCTTCCCTCCCCACCCCTTCGCCCCGCCAACCCTAGACCCGGCATGCGCTGCGCCGACCTTTTCCTTCCGAGCCGACCTCTCCACCTTCGGCGCCTCCCAATGACAAGCGGCGCGGAGCATTGTGGTCCCGTGCGCAAGAGCGAGGCCGAGGGCAGAAAAAGAAAGCAAAAGACTAGGGCGAGTCGGTAGAGCGGGCCCCGCGCATGCGCAAGGGCGGAGGCGGTGGTGAAAAAGGGTGGTGCGTGGTCTACGGCGAGCGGAGTGGGGCGGGGTCGCGCGCCTTGGCGGGGAGTCCGCGAGCCAGGAGGGGCGGGGGGTGAATGAAGGAGCGGGCGGAGGAGGAAGTGTCATGGCGTCGGGCCGTGGAGCTTCTTCTCGCTGGTTCTTTACTCGGGAACAGCTGGAGAACACGCCGAGCCGCCGCTGCGGAGTGGAGGCGGATAAAGAGCTCTCGTGCCGCCAGCAGGCGGCCAACCTCATCCAGGAGATGGGACAGCGTCTCAATGTGTATCCTTTTCTGTTCGCCGCCGCTCACGCCCTGTTTCCCTTGCCCGGTCGCCGGGCCTGGTGCCCCGCGAACATGGCGCCGCCGGCCTCGGCCTTCGCTGGGCCTCGGCGCCGCGGTCAGGGAAGTAATGTTCCGGCTCGGGCAGTCGCGAGGGGTCAGCAGAGGAAGGGAGGAGGAGATAGGACCCCAGGAATGCGGGCCAGGAGCCTGCGTTGTGTAATCTGTTTGGGGCAGCGCGTGGTGGTGGCGGCGGGGGTTGGGAGTGTGGCTCAGGCGAAAGAGGAATTTTAGGGATTATTGCAGAAAAGGGGCGGCTCCCTGGACTTGTCCCTGACCCCGAAGGGTTTGAGAGGTAGGAGGGTTAGCGATGCTGAAAGGCCTAAGTGTTTGCCGCAGCCTTTCCCGGCTCTCGTCGCCGGCTTGATGGCGGCTCTCTTCTACCTTGGGAGCGTACTGGAGTTCTTTATGTTCTTGGCGTGGTTTTGTATGGGTGTGTGCGCGCGCGTTTCAACTGTTTCATTTTGAGTTTAGTTAGTCGTAGCCATTGATAAATAGTTCCAGGGCCCTCAGCGCTGTTAGAGTGAAAAGATCAGCAGTTCTTATTCCCATTTATTTGGCGTCAAGCCTATTCTCTTCCTGCCGCCCCACCCCCCGCGGGCATTTATTTCTTTATTTCCAGTTTGGGGTTTGGATTTGAATGGGAGGTATTGGAAAAGAACCTGGGAATTTTCCATCAAAATTGTTCTGGGAATGAGATCTTGCTTTTGTCAGATATTTCCTAAATATTACGTTCCAGCTCTCAGCTTACAATAAACACTGCGATTGTTTATATGCACAGGTTTTATATGCACCATTCTTTCACCAAATTCAACAAAAATGTAAGTACTAGTTGTCTGTTTTTACTGTCCGCAAATTTGAGGGTAAATCGATACGCAGAAAAAAAGTTGGTCATTGCGTTGTTGGATTTAGTGTTCTGAATTAACGGTAAACGTATATCACGTGATAAATATTTTGCTTCAGATGCGGTGTTTTTGTGTTTTTAAAATTTATGATGAATTAAACTGCAAGGCACTGTTAAGCTCTGCCAGGCCTTTTAAGCTAAAAAAGAAAAACATTTATTTCTTTACAGAGTTATTACATAGGTTTTCTTCATTTAAATTCTATACTTAACATTTGAATAATTTCAGTAGTGATGTACAGTGGAATTGGGCAAGCCTGGTCGTTCTGTGATACATCTTAATTATGTTGGACTCATTGTTTAAAAGACTGTCAATTGAGATTAAATTAATTATGACATTCTTTTGAAAGAGCTATTTAGTAGAAATAATTCATTTCTTCATTTGCTAACCTAGTAATTTCTTAAGATGTCAACGTTTCTGTTTATCACGTTAGCATCAGTTGTCTCCTAAAATTTTGGGTGATTCAAACGTCCACTCTTGCTTCAGATATAGTACGTCAGGAGTATGTTTATGTATTATTAGTAAAATTTACACCTGAATATTAAGGTATATAACCTGTAAACCTTGACAAATAGAGTAATGGCATTTTGTTGAAATGTTAATTTCATTTATGAAAGATACGAGTTTGGTGTATGTTGAGTAACACGCATACTGTGTTGTGTGTGTTAAAGAAAATTGCATATTGTTTAGAAATGTTTAACTCTGCTTTAATTCTGTCTTTATTTGTTACTTTTTATCATAGTTATTTTTAGAATATTATTCTGAAAGGTATGTGTAGAAAAATGGACCAAAGAAGACTTTCTGCTATTTGTGGATAGTCATTAGGACTTATTTGCTAAGAAAACAATCCTAGGAAAGATCCTCAGAATATTATTTTTGAAATGGAAGGAAAGGCTTCATGGTTTAGATTGAGTCCTACCTTAATCTCTTCGGATCCTATTTCATTTATCAGTTTGGCATACAGGTTTATCTTGGACCACAAGTATTTTAATATACATTTTGATCTCTTGAAGACTTCTTCTATTTCTTTTTTAAATCTGCATAATTCTTGCTCTGTTGCTTCTAGTTTCCTAGTTATTTCTTGTGCATAACATTTAGGTCAGTGATAGTGTTATGGAAGAGAAAGGAAGCCATTGGTGATAACATTTAGATTAAGGGAATTCATTATAAATTGTCTCCAAAGGCAGTAGTGAACTAATGAATGTTAATATAAATTTGGCATTCCTTACGTAACCCTGGATAATAATGGTAGAAATTACAAATCAAAATAGTTCTGACTATTCTTTATATGGCTACAGATGTCCCATTTGCCGAATCAGGCATACTTTTGTACTTCCAATAAATGATCTAGCCACAAGTCTTCACTTCTTTTATTTATTAATTTTTTTTTTATTTTTTTGAGACAGAGTCTCACTCTGTCACCCAAGCTGGAGTACAGTGGCGCTGTCACAGCTCACCACAACCTCTGCCTCCCTGGTTCAAGCTATTCACCTGCCTCAGCCTCCTGAGTAGCTGGGACTACAGGTGTGTGCCACCACTCCCGGCTAATTTTTGTATTTTTAGTAGAGAGGGGGTTTCACCATGTTGGCCAGGCCGGTCTTGAGCTCCTGACCTCAGGTGATCCGTCCGCCTCGGCCTCCCAAAGTGCTGGGATTACAGGCACGAACCACCGTGCCCGGCCATCTTCACTTCTTTGTTTTGAGCCCTCCTTATAATTTGTCTTTATGGCGTGGTTGGCGTGCTTTACAACAAATACCCTGCTTAAAGCCAGAATTCACAACTTTAGATTGTCATTTGCATTCTAGCTTTCACTATTTTACTTAAATGTTTTCCTTCAATAAAAAGGCCAAGGTATTAATTTTTTATTACCTTCTTTAATGTCTTATTGTGTATGAAGGTAAACTTCAGCATTTTTACGTAGAGTCAGTAATAATTGAAATCTGTTCATTTCTGTTTTGAGAAATATTATTATACCCTTCATATCTGTTGTCTTTTTTTACCTTTGCTATTATAATATCAAAAGTGGTTTTTATATTTGTGTCAGTGCACTTGCATCAATTGCACCGCCTCACTTTTATCTTTCTTCCCCCCTGTTCTTTTAGGGCAAAGGGGGTGGTCTGAAATTGAATGTGAGTCGCTTTTAAATTTGTATTATTCCACACCAGTGGGAAATTTTTTTCTATATACTGAAATGTCATGGTAAACTTTAAAAAGCGTGAATCTTCACCAGAGTAAACTGAACACCGTTCAGCAAATTAAACCCTATGAAATAACAAGCTTAAATAAGTTAAGATGCTAGTGACAAACTATATCTAGTC
Source organism: Homo sapiens (assembly GCF_000001405.40). Classification (NCBI taxonomy): domain Eukaryota; kingdom Metazoa; phylum Chordata; class Mammalia; order Primates; family Hominidae; genus Homo; species Homo sapiens. Next base: position 134,922,291 of record NC_000002.12, read on the forward strand.
TTATAGTAAATATTAATAACATCCATTAACTGTGTGAAAATATTTTTAAATGTTCAGGTGACTTAATTGTATTTTCCCACATTGACATATTAAAAGTTTTAAAACCCCCAAAAGTAATGTGCTGCTGTATTAATATTTAAGAATAAAATCAGTATCAGCATGTTTTGGTGACCCAGAAATGGTCTCTTATCATTGAGTTCTTTTGTCAGTTACTCAGAGTTGAATAGCTGTCAGCAGTAAATGACTTTTATATGTAGCCTAATTAGATAAATCTACACTTTGTTCACTAGATGCAATGAGGTTCATGTAATTGGAATTAATAAAGAATGGCCTTGCTGGATCAAGCTCAAAAATAAATTTAGTAAAGTGTAAAAGCCCTGGAGCCAAAAGTGATGCCAAGGTATATACTGAGGGAAAGCACCCACCCCCCAAGTCACACTTAAGTAGATATTGACCCAGCTTCTCTTACAAACTCCTAATTTGGTCTTTTGTGATGCATTTTTTTTCTTATACCAGTTCCAGGTCTCTTAAGATTAGGTTGTAAAGAGCACACCCTTTTCTAAGTATTTTTGTTGGTCATGGTCTGTTCTCATAGCACATCTCCAATTTATTTGATCTTTTCCATCTTCTCTTACTTCCATTGCCTCTTTCTTGAGCTCTAGCAATCAGAACTCCATGTATAATATGCAAGATTTAAAGCTATTGTAGGGCCTGGCATGGTAGCTAATGCCTGTAATCCCGGCACTTTGGGATGCTGAAGTGGGCGGATCCCTTGAGGTCAGGAGTTCAAGACCAGCCTGGCCAATATGATGAAACCCCATCTCTACTAAAAATATAAAAATTAGCTGGGTGTGGTGGCACGTGCCTGTAATCCCAGCTACTGGGGAGGCTGAGGCAGGAGAATCACTTGAACCTGAGAGGTGGAGGTTGCAGTGAGCCGAGATCACATCACTGCACTCCAACCTGGGCAACAGAACGAGACTCTATCTCAAAAAACAATAATAATAATAATAAAAATAAATAAATTTTGCTTTTTCTCCTGTTCATTTCAATTCATTGTTATACTCTGGTCATGTTTTACAGAAGTCAAATCAGCATATGTTTCATTGTGAAGTCTAAGCAGGTGTTTATAGCTTACTTCTCTTTCTGCCTTTTAGTTTAATAAAGCAATAATTAATCCAACAATAATCTTATGCCCAAGATCCATTAGCATTACTTGGAAATACTGCAGTGCTGTCCAGTAGAACTTTCTGCATAGCGCAAGTTTTGTGTATCTGTGCTCTTCAATGTAGTAGGTACTAACCTGTAAATTTGAGACGATTAGCCTAGATGATTTTTAAATTCCTTTTAAACTATAAATTACCTGGTTGAAATTTTATTAAGATCTCACTATGCCAGGCACTTTATATTTGTCTTGTTTTCTCAGGTAAAGTATTCTCCTAAGGAAGCAGACGCAGTTACCAAGTGACTTGTCCGAAATTAAAACTATTACGTGGCTGGGATTTGAACCCAAGTCCTTTGCTTAATCCCAAACTGTAGTTCTCACTTTTTCCTGTTCTAGTATATTTCAGAAGTAGAGCACAGTAGCAATTTATGCCAGTGATTTGTAAGATTTATAAAGTAAACAATGAAAAAACCTCAGATTTTTATTTGCCCGCCTCATTGCACTAAATCCAATGAGGTCCTCTTTATAAGTCCCAAATTCCTCTTTTTCAACTATACATCAGTGTTAGCATTTATGCATTGTGTATCACTGTTTTTCCTTAGGGTGCTTTCTCTTTGCTTTCATGTGACTGTGCTCTGTCAGGTTTTAAGACTCAGCTGAAGTTGCTACTCTTTCATAAAGCATTCCCCAGATAACTCTCTTTTCCATTTGTGAATTTATCTCTCTGATCTTACCTTTGAATCTTATTCACATCCAGTTGTATTCCATCTATTTGGGAGTTTATAGTGCTGTAGTGTAACTGTACATATATGAGATGAGTGTTTTCTTTTTAATTGTAAAATATATAAAACCACCAAACAAATGTATAGTGGATTATTATAAAACAACCTTGTAATCACCAACCAAGTCAAGAAATAGAACTTTGCCAACTACCCCGGAATGTCTCCACGTGCTCAACTCAGTGTCGATCCCCTCCCTCCAAAAGTAACCAGTATTCTTTTTTATTTTTTTGAGATAGGAGTCTGGTCTTGTCGCCCAGGCTGGAGTGCAGTGGTGCAATCTCGGCTCGCTGCAACCTCCGCCTCCTGAGTTCAAGTGAATCTCCTGCCTTAGCCTCCTGGGTAGCTGGGATTACAGGCATGCACCACCATGCCCAGCTAATTTTTGTATTTTTAGTAGAGACGGGTTTTCACCATGTTGGTCTGGCTGGTCTCAAACTCCTGACCTCGTGATTCCCCCCACCTCGACCTCCCAAAGTGCTGGGATTACAGGCGTTAGCCACCTCGCCCGGCCCCAGTATTCTTACTCTAATCACTTTCTTTATAGTTTTAGCACCCAACTCTGCATTCCCAAATACCATAGACCTTGCTCATTATTAAAAATTTGGTAAGTCTTTGAAGTCTCTCAGTATGCATGTTTCCCCTCCATCTTTTTATGTCAACTAAGTTGTAGCTGTTGAAGGACCCTAGAGTGTGTGACCTGTAGAGTTTCCAACTGTCTGAATTTTGCTGATTGTATACTCATGGTGCAGTTTACTGTGTTCCTTTTTTCTTGCATTCCTGGAAAAATTGATGATTAGATCCAGAAACTTAATCAGACTCCTGTTAGATCCCTTAGGCAAGGCTATAGATGGTGTTAATGTTCTTTGGTCAGAAGGTCTAAAGTCTGGTTGTCTCTCTTTGTAGTGTTAGTGGCTGCTGATATTCAATGCCTGGGTCCTTTCATTCATTGGTGATACTCTAATTCTGTCATTTCTTTCTTACAAATTGGTATTTTTGTATTGGAATTCTTGATTCATCTCATATGGACACCCAGTGGCACGTATCATATAGGATAATTACTGGATTTTTGCCCTTTTTGTGATATAATTCACATATTGTACATTTCACCCATTGAAAGTATGATTCCGTGGGGTTTGTGGGTTTTTTTAAGAATATTCACAGAGGTGTGCATCAATTTTTAGAAGTCTTCACTACACCAAAAAGAAACCCCCAACCCCGCAGTCATTTCTCCCTATTTTTCCCCCAGCCTATTAATAGACATTTCATTAATGGAATCCTACAGTATGTTGTCCTTTGTGACTGACTTCTTTCACTTACCGTGTTTTCAAGGCTCATCTATGTTGTTGTATTTATTCAGTAGGTTGTTTACTTTTCTTGCTGTACTACCCATTATTCCACTGTATGGCTAGACCACATTATATATATATGTTCATCAGTTGGTGGGCATTTGGATTGTTAGCCACTTTTTGGCTAATATGAATAGTGCTCTTAAGAACATTTGTGTACAAGTTTTTGTGTAGACTTGTGTTTTTGGTTTCTCTTGGGCTTATACCCAGGAGTAGAATTGCTGGATCATATGGTAACTCTAGATTCCAATAATATTGGAAACTTGGATAGCTGCCTTTTTTTTTTTTTTTTTTTTTTTTGAGACTAGGTCTCCCTCTGACACCCGGGCTGGAGTGCAGTGGCACAATCATGGCTCACTGCAGCATCAACCTCCTGGGTTCAAGTGATTCCCCCACCTTAGCCTCCCAAGTAGCTGGAATTACAGGCACATGCCACCACACAGTTAATTTTTTTAATTTTTTGTAGAGACAGGGGTCTCACCATGTTGCCCAGGCCGTTCTTAAACCCCTGGACTCAAGCAGTCCTCCTGCCTCAGCCTCCCAACACTCAGCCTAAAGCAGCTCTTTCCAGTGTGATTTGTCACTTTAAGCACCACTCTTCTAGTCTTTTCTTACAGTCTTTGTGTGAACTGAATACTCTTCGGTTACTCATTTTTGTGAGATATTAGCTTTCCTGAACTTTAAAAAGGTGATGTACCTTCAGAGTGCTTTAATAATTTCACAGAGCTCCCTTTTCTGTTATTTTGTGTAATGTTCAGAAGTGTAGCAGCTTACTTTCTGGGAGTTTCTGGCCCTCTTCCCCTCCACATTTTTAGTTTCTCTTTTCCCTTCTTCCTATCTTGCTGATTGTGCTTTTCCTCCCAATGGTTTCTCTTCAAACTGGAGTCTTGGAAGAGAACCTTGGAAGATCAATTTCAAAAGTTCGTAGAAGTTAGCTTCGGTCTTTTAATCCTTACTGTAGGTCTCTTGCATCCATCTACTTATTGGACTGGCAAAACTCCCAGTGCTAGCTGCTCTTCTCACATTGGCCTGCCATGATTTCCAGTGAATGTCTTTTGGCTCTTTGAGGTTCTTCTTATATCAAGTCCAGCACATGCCCCATTCCTTTGCATCTTGTTGCACTGTGCTGTGTATGTTGACATAGTAGCCTGTTTTTTCCTCATTCGTATGTGTTAGGAATTCCCTAGGAATGGCTTGTCATGTGATTTGGTTGTAGCTATCCATGGGGTTTTGGTTTTGCTATCTTGTTGCTCTGTTTTTCTGTGGGGATTTAAGTATCCCCTCTGCAGCCATCAACTCAGAATTCTTCAGGTAAATCACTAAAAGTTTACCTTCATTCAGAAGATGATACACTCATTTCCAGTGGGACTTCATCTTTCCAGAAGTATTTATAAGTACATTTAAATGACAGCCTATTGTGGTCCCACTGGAAATGAGTGTAAGATGAAGTTGATTTTTTAAAAAGAATAAATCACTTGAAGTTTCTGTTAAATAAGGAAGCTGTGGGAGAGTTCATTTATTAATAGGCATTACAAAGAATATATGATATTTTTGATTGATTTTCTCAAATTAATTCTGAAAGCTACTCTAGAACTTCCCCAGAAAGCTTTAAATGTTATTTTGAAACATGCTGCTCTTATCTGCCTAATTACAGGGATACTGACTTCAGTGACTCTGTATTATTATAGAAGTCTTATGAAGTATTCCTGAAGCGGCTTAAAATTTTTTTTTGCAAAATTAAATGATTGTGAAATAACTCATACCTTTTCTCTGCACACACAGATACATGTATATTTTAGCCTTGGTAATTTATATGCTTCTCTGTGGTCCTGGCTCATCCTTTTTGTTGAGTCATCGCATGGCAGGAGTGCAAGAGAGTGAACCCAGTCCTGCAAGATCCAAGGCGCTTTCAAACCATAACAAATTCTAAACTTAGGTGTATAGAGTAGAATAGGTTAATATATTAACAAATGTGCATTGAGTGTTTGCATTGGCCAAGGCATGCAAATGTCTCAGTATAAAATCAGACAGATTTTATATAGTTTATAAACTGATTTTCAAGGCCATTGCAGAACAGGAGTTTTGTTTTTAGTATTAATAGCTAAAATTGGTTAAGGTAATTTTTTAAGTGAAAATCCAATTAGATAACTGCATTTTATTATAAACATACATATACATTCTAGGGAGTACATATTTACACATGTTCTAGGGATTAGGGGAAATGATGGAATCTCCTTACCACTCTACATTTTCTGGTGTTAACCTAATATTTTACCCCTAAATAAGCTAAGGCTCTGATTGTTAGTGACATATTACATACTCTTTATATGGCTATACATAAGGAAATACATGTAACGTGAATTTTTCTCTAAATTATTTGGAGCTGATACAGAAAAGAAATGGATGAGAACTGTAGAAGTTCACCTATTTGTTATTAAAAGTTAAAAGTGAAGTTAAGGCTTGTGCTTAGTGACAATATGCAGTTCAAGCAATTCTCCTGCCTCAGCCTCTCAAGTAGCTGGGATTATAGGCATGTGCCACCACACCTGGCTAATTTTAGTAGAGACGGGGTTTCACCATATTGGTGAGGCTAGTCTCGAACTCCTGACCTCAGGTAATCCACCTGCATTGGCCTCCCACAGTGCTGGGATTACAGCATGAGCCACCATGCCCGGCCTCACATTGTATTTCTTTTTTTTTTTTTTTTTTTCTGAGACGGAGTTTCATTCTTGTTGCCCAGGCTGGAGTGCAATGGCGCGATCTCGGCTCACCACCGCCTCTGCCTCCCAGGTTCAAGCAATTCTCTTGCCTCAGCCTCCCAAGTAGCTGGGATTACAGGCATGCACCAACACTCCCGGCTAATTTTGTATTTTTAGTAGAGCCAGGTTTTCTCCATGTTGGTCAGGCTGGTCTAGAACTCCCGACCTCAGGTGATCCGCCCGCCTCAGCCTCCCAAAGTACTGGGATTACAGGCATGAGCCACCGTGCCCAGCCTATATTTCTATTTGACAGTGACGGTGTGGGCTATAGTCATTTGTATCCACCAGCAAATAGAATTACTATTGGCCATTCACACTATAGTAATTCCTTCCAAAGGCAAATGTGCACTTTCACACTAATCTTAAACTGAGGGTTCATTTAGAAGTTGAAAAAAAAAAATGGGAAAGATGTTTCTTCTGTGGCCAAAAATCGGAAGATAATGAAACTTTATATAGTTCCATGCTTAAAAAGAAATACCTGAGAGGGCAGGAAGAGAAAATTCTGAGGGTTTGGGGGTAATCTTTAAATGATGCAAGGATTCAGAGAGGATACCAGGTATTTCCACACCCCCACCCCAAGGTAGATATTTCAGTTACTTTGTGTTGCTATAGCTCCATGATTGGGGTTTTGAATGCCTAGTGTGAGTAACTGTTTGAGTTGATATGGTTCACTTTATGTAGACTTAAATATCTGTTAAAATTATTTTTGTTACCCAAACAAATTAATAATTTTATGAAACAATTGCTTTTTAAAAAATAATATAATTGCATAATGTAAATGCCAAAAAGTTATTTGCTGTTTAAGAAATTGATATTCTCAAAACAAAACCTGATTCTACTTTTAAATTAACAAATGTGTGATAAAGTTACACATGGTTAAGATGCATATTGTTTATTAGTATTTGTTACGTTATGATTAGGCTTTCGGTTTCCTTGAAATTTCTTTTGTTAGTGCATGCACACTACATCTATGGAGATCTGGCCAGGCATGGTGGCTCACACCTGTAATCCCAGCACTTTGGGAGACAGAGGTGGGAGGATTGAAACCAGGACTTCAAGACCAGCCTGGGCAACTTGGCGAGACCCTGTCTCTACAAAAATTAATTTAAAAAAAAATTAGCCCGGCATCTTGGTGTGCGCCTGTAGTCCCAGCTACTTGGGAGGCTGAGGCAGGAAAATCGCTTGAGCCCAGGAGGTTGAGGCTGCAGTGAGCCACGTTCACGCCACTGCACTCCAGCCTAGGTGACAGAGCAAGACCCTGTCTCAAAAACAGAGAGAGAGAGAGAGAGAGAGAACTAATAAATAGATGCCTTTTTTTTTTTTTTGAGACGGAATCTTGCTGTGTTACCCAGGCTGGAGTGCAGTGGTGCAATCTCAGCTCGCTCCAGCCTCCACCTCCTGGGTTCAAGTGATTCTCCTGCCTCACCCTCCCTGAGTAGCTGGGATTACAGGCATGCACCACCATGCCTGGCTAATTTTTGTATTTTTAGTAATGGCAGGGTTTTACCATGTTGGCCAGCCTGGTCTCGAACTCCTGACTTCAAGTGATCCGCCTGGCTTGGCCTCCCAAAGTGCTGGGATTACAGGCATGAGCCACCCCGCCTGGCCTAAATAGATGTCTTTAACGTTAGCTCCTTAAAAAAAAAAGAGAGAGAGAGAGATACAATTCATATACCGTAAAATCCACCTATTTAGAATGCATAATTCAGTGGCTCACACGAAGTTGTACAACTATCACCACAATCTCAGTTTAGAATATTTTTATCACCCCAAAAAGAAACCTGGTTGCTGTAAGCAGCAGTTCACCAGTCCCACTCCCCTTCCCAACCCTGGGCAACCCCTAAATTATTTTCTGTCTCCATAGATTTGCCCATTCTGGACATTTCATATAAATGGAATCATGTATATATGGTCTTTCACGAAGCATGTTTTCAAGGTCCGTTCATGGTGTAGAATGTGTTAGTACTTCATTCCTTTTTACTGCAGAGTAATTAATATTCTATTCGTCATGTGGCTGTACCTCTTTTTATTTATCCATTTATCAGCTGATGGACATTTGGGTTGATTACACTTAACAGCCATTCCACTGGCTATTATGAATAATGCTGCTATGAACATTCATGTACAAGTTTTTATGTGAACATATGTTTTCATTTCTTACGGGTGAGAGTTACATGAGAGTGGAATTGCTGGATTGGTATGGTAACTTTAGACTCCAATAATCTTTTTGGATAGCTTTTAAGAAACATTTTGAGGAACTGCCGAACTGTTTTCCAAAGTAGCCATACCATTTTGTGTTCTCAAAATGTGTGAGGGTTGCAATATCATCACTTTTCTCGTCTTTTTTTTATCGTAGCCATCCTAACAGTGTGAAATGATATCCCCTATTCTATGCATTGTCATTTTTATGTTCTTGGTGGTATTTGCAGCACAAGCATCCAGTTTATTAATATTTTTCTTCTGTAACTTGTGTTCTTGATAGCATATCTAAGAAACCTTTACCTAAACTAGAGTCATAAAGATTTATTTGTCTTTTCTTCCAAGAGTTTTATAGATTTAGCTCTTACATTTAGGTCTGTGATTCCTTTAGAGTTAGTTTTTATGTATGATGTAAATAAGGATTTGAATTTTTTTTTTTTTTGAGACATCTCACTCTGTCCCTCAGGCTGGAGTGCAGTGGCGCCATCTGGGCTCACTGCGTGCTCCACCTCCCAAGTTCACGCCATTCTCCTGTCTCAGCCTCCCAAGTAGCTGGGACTACAGGTGCCTGCCGCCACGCCCGGCTGATTTTTTGTATTTTTAGTAGAGACGGGGTTTCACCGTGTTAGCCAGGATGGTCTCGATCTCCTGACCTCGTGATTTGCCTGCCTTGGCCTCCCAAAGTGCTAGGATTACAGGCATAAGCCACCATGCCCGGATCTTTTTTTTTTTTTTTTTTTTTTTTTGGTATTTGAATATACAGTTGTCCCAGCACCATTTGCTGAAAAGAGTTCTTTCTCCCACTGAATTTTCTTGGGATTGTTAGTGAAAATCAATGGATCATAAATGTAAGCATTTATTTCTGGACTCTGGATTCTATTCCATCCCCTTATGCAGACCACATAGTCTTGATTACTGTAGCTTTGTAATAACTTTTGAATTTAGGAAATATGAGTCTTCCAACTTTGTGCTTTTTCAAGATTGTTTTGGCTATTCTTAGTCCCTTGTATTTCCATGTGAATTTTAGGATCAAGCTCATCAGTTTCTACAAAAGAAGCTGGGATTTTTATAGGGATGACATTGAATCTGTAGATAAATTTGGGGAGTACTGCCATCTTCGTGATAATCTGTTCGAAGGAAAGTGGCCTTTTGTAACATTTATGTAGTATATTTGAATTCCTGTGCAATGTTAATGTTCTTGTTTCACAATACAAGTCATTTTTTGTCCTTTTGGTTTTTTAAGAGAAGGGATCTCACTCTGTTGCTCAGGCTAGCCTCAAACCCATGGACTCAAGCAGTCCTCCCACCTCAGCCTCCCAGGTAGCTGGGACTTAGAGTGGTATTTTTTAGTATTTATTGTAGGCTGTTAGGAGCTGTGTCTATATAAGAGAGAGTAGATAGAGCCTTAACTATGAAATACTAAGTATACTTTATAAGTTGGTTTTTTTCATTTTTTCTTTTTTGTTTTTTTTCAGACAGTCTCACTCTGTCACCCAGCCTGGAGTGCAGTGGTGCTCGCTGCAACCTCCGCCTCCCAGGTTCAAGCGATTCCCCTGCCTCAGCCTCCCAAGTGGTTAGGATTACAGGTGTGTGCCACCATACCTGGCTAATTTTTTTGTATTTTAGTAGAGACGGGGTTTCACCATGTGTTAATCTTGAACTCCTGACCTGTTGGTCTCAAACTCCTGACCTCAGGTGATCCGCCCGTCTTGGCATCCCGAAGTGCTGGGATTACAGGCATGAGCCACCACGCTCGGCTGATATTTTTTCTTTTTTAGAAACATTCATAATGCTCAGGTACTCCCCACTAAATAATTTTTTAAATGCCGGTTATGTTAACCATTTTCAGTATATTGTTTAAGTATAATGTAGTTACTCTATGGAAGTCAAGCCTTATTCTCTTAATCAGTACTGCTTTTCAGCAATATTGAATACTGATATTTTGGGGCCGTTATTAACCCAGCTTTCTTTTAAATGTAATTAGGTATCTTAACATCCAGCTTGAAGATTTTTTTTAATTTTTTAATATAAATTTGCTTTCATGTCAGTCTTTCACTCACATAATTATTTGAGTAAGAAAACTAAAATGCCACACTGGGTTAATAACATTTTCTGCAATTCCTTAGTGCTGGTGTTTCTAGTGCAGCAAAATTAAGGATTTAAACCACTTTTTAACAATGTGCTGGAATTTTGGTTTGATAGGCTCACACTTGGCAAATGCCAATTAACAAATGGGCATTTTGACTTATTCCACTTCCTTTGTCAGTTTGTTACCTCTCTTGTCTTTCCTCTACTTTCCTTTTCTTATTCTAAGACCTTCTTTCTATAAGCCTGTAGTAAGGTTATACAACTATCCCTTCTCCTGAACTATAGCCTTAGCAAGAAAGTTCCAATTTCTGAGCTGTAATAGTCTGACTAGAGCTTGCTGAATATTTATTAATGAAGTCCGTTTCAAGGCACTGAAAATAGTTATCCTAGTGTTAGTCAGGGATTGGATAGGGGGGTGTTTAGGGCAATGGGAGAAATGGCATCACTAGCCTATAGAACCTAAAGATGAAACACAAGAACAGGTTAGAATGAACCTGTTGGTAATAGTAAGTGAAAAGCAAACTTGGAATCCTTTTCTTTGCTTCTGTTGGGGTTTTCCTGGATTGGGAGATTTAATGTTGAAGAGTAATCAGATAGCTTTGGCTAGTTCTTAAATACAAATACACCCACAAAGTGTTTGCACAGGATTAATTATTAATATTAAGAGAATAAGGACTAGAATGATTCATTGAAACTGAATACAGCCATCTTGGGTGACTTAGAAATTACCCAGACTTTTTGTTAACTCAGCCTGACCTTGCCTCCGCTATCAAGGTTGAAGCCAGCAGCGGAGAGTGAAGAATATCAGCAGTAAGGGTATCAGGAGCAGAGAGGGGAGACAGCAGCCAGGAGTGGGCAGGAGGAGAAAAAATGGAGAAGGAAGGGAGTCAGATCAAGAAGTAGGAATGGAAACAAAAAGGAATAAAAAAGAGAAGGAGTGAAAGGAATATGGATGTAAATCACTGAAGTAATGTCAAATATCATAAATTCAGTGTTTGGATATGCTTGCTTAGACTGCAGCAGGACCCTCCAAGAATTAAGTTTACCTGTGAAAGGAAGAAGGTGAGCAAGAGAGAAGGGAATTTAAAAAATACACTTGTTAAATTGTTTTTTAAATTTAAAATCAACATTAACATGCACAATTTTAAAAATTTTTCAACATAATAATAATATTTGAGTCATATTACTAGGGAGCACTATTCTAAGTCCTGTGTATATTGGTTCATTTAATCCTCACACAACTTTACAAGCAGGTACTATTAATATTTCTCCCATTTTACAGATGCAGAAACTGAGCCACAAAGAGAATAAGTAAATTGTCTAGGCTAGTCAGATCACAGAGCCAAGATTCCACTTGAGGCAGCATGGCTATGGCTGGCTCTGTCATCTCTACCTCCCCGTCTCCATGATTTGTATGATATATTTCTATAGAGAAATTCCACAAATATCTATTTGTCTCATTTTGAGAATGTTACATTTCCTTGAAATAGTTATATATCTGCTAGAGTAACAAACTCATGACACTATTCAGAGTTCAAACAATTCTAAACACTATTCGCATCAACTTCCTTTTACTTTTTTCCCTTTAATTTGAGAACGTTTATTAAACTAGGTCCAAAATACAAAAATAAATAGTGCATGGTCCCTGTCCTCAGTGAACTGAATCTCAGTTTGTAATTGTTTGATTACTTGAACCAAACCAGCTGTACTCCTCCAATACTAGTGTGAATTATTTGGCTTGAACCAAGCTTGCATGTGCCAGTGAATGTTTGTTGGCTTCAAAAGTATGCTCACCTTTAAAAGCTTTGGACCAACTAGTAATATTTCTGTTACCCAAAACATTTGGAATTCTTTTAAGCCTCACAACAAAATCACCTTCCATACAAAAAGCAGTAGTACCTAGTTTGATCACCTTCCTTAATCATCCTTGAAATTAAAGCCTCACATGGATACTCACAAAATATTTATCTAAAAAGGTGTTTTGTTTTGTTTTTACAGCCTTGATGGAGGAAAATATTTGCAGGTTATAGAGAAGGAAATGTGAATGGAATTAGTGGATTTCACCAGGAACTTTGGAAGAGTGTTGGGAATTAGTGTTTAGCTGGAAAGTATTTCTTGATCAGTGTCTTTCAGGCAAGTAAGAGAAATTCTGGATCATCTGACAGGAAGGAAGTTTAAGTACTAAATTCGGTCTAATTTGACTTTTGACCTGAGCCTCTATTGCTTCACTCTGACAAATAGTTTTAGCATTTGAAGGCTTGATTAACCATTCCCCTGTTAGACATGAATAATGACAATAAATGAGAGATTGTGGGAAACTGAGAGTGTCTTCATTTTCTTGAATGTCTTATGTGGGCATCAGCTCTCAGATTTTTATAGTGGCATTTGGAATACTTTGAATTTAATATTAGTGCCACTATATATTATACATATTCATTCAACAAATTGAACAACAGCCACATAGTGCTAAATCCTAGGAACACAAATAAAGAACTCTGTTCTGTGTTCAAGCTACTTCCAGACTAAATTACTCTTTTGAGCATTCTCAATTTTTCTAATCCTTTCCTTGTTGTAATTTTAAAAGGAAGAAATAAGTTGAAAGTGCAAATTAAAATTATTCACTCATTTTAAGTTAACATTATTTCTAGTTCTTGGGAGCCAAACTCTATTTTACATCTGTTATAAAGATTTACCAGAAGGAAAACTTCTTAAAGTCATTTTTACTTCATTTACACATCTGCAAATGCAGTTGGACTAGAAAGGTCCTTTTCAGATCCTAATTCCAGTGATTAAGTTTCATATTACATTTTAAAAGATCTCATACTGAAAGGATCCACTGTCCCTCTGTCAGAAATTTTCTTCACCTCCAGTTTGGCATTGTTTCTGTACGGTAATTGTTGACGCCCCCTGCAAGACATAGTGAGGCTCAAATGTTCATCTCTTGAAAAATGGGTACTCAAATCTTGACATTTAGAAATTGTCTTCCCATGGGAAATTTCTTGAATGTAATCTTAAAACATTATTTGAGTTTATTTTATGCCTATTTTCTAAGTCCACAGTTACTTGATTTATTATTAACTTTTGGGGTACATATTCAAACTTCATGTTTCTCTGTCTTAGTATCTTTGTAGTGCTTGTGTTCTTATATTTCTGTCCCAAGGACCTAATTTACTAAGCTAAAAAAAAAAAATTGCTAATTTATGGATCTCTGATTGGCAAAGTTTCTACTATATTGGTTTATATTACATGCTTATACCCTGGTGGTGTAGCTGCTTTCATTATTGCTATAGTTAAGTAATAGAGATAATTAAGTAACAGTTTTATGTTCAGAATCCTCCTTACTTTGCCCTCTAGGTGGTTTTTCTGTTCCTTCAACAAGATAGTGAAGGTATCTTCACTATCTTGTGTGGTAGTTATAGCCACACAATGAATCATTGCTTGATTTTTTAAAAGAGTATTAGAAAATGGTGACTCTGTGCCTAGAAAAGGAGTATAGTGGGTATACTTGATCCGCTTTTCATCTTTTTTTTTTTTTTTCAGGTATAGCATCATCTTTTTGCTTATTTTCTTCTTTGCCTCCACAATGTGCAAATTAATATTATTTAAACTTTCTCTTTAGCATTTTTAGTATGTTCAGTCAACTTACTTAGTATGTCTTTTCCCTTTTCCCCTTTGTTCTATGTGCAAAACGAGTAAAACAGATTTATAGATTAGTTCTATTTAATGAATAACTTTATTAAAACTATTACATCAATCTTGTCATAGCCCAACTCACAGTTCATACTATTAATATTGCATTCCTTCCTTGCACACCCGCCCCCCCTTAAAAAATAGAAGGTTTGGGCTGGGTACAGGGGCTTATGCCTGTAATCCCAGCACTTTGGGAGGCCGAGGCAGATGGATCACCTGAGCTCAAGAGTTCGAGACCAGCCTGGCCAACATGGTGAAACCCTGTCTTTACTAAAAATACAAAAATTAGCCAGTGTGGTGGTGCATGCCTGTAATCCCACCTTCTCAGGGAGGCTGAGGCAGGAGAATCGCTTGAACCTGGGAGGTGGAGCTTTCAGTGAGCCGAGATCACACCACTGCACTCCAGCCTGGGCAACAGGAGCGAAACTCCACCTCAAAAAAAAAACAGAAAAGAAAAGAAAATAGAGGGTTTTTTGAAATGTATTTGTTCTTAAATGACCAGAGTTTTATCTTTTCTGCAGATAATATCGTCTACTGCATTATTTTTGGCTGCAAAAGTGGAAGAACAGGCTCGAAAACTTGAACATGTTATCAAAGTAGCACATGCTTGTCTTCATCCTCTAGAGCCACTGCTGGATACTAAATGTGATGTATGTAAATACTGGGTTTTTTATTTTTCTTTGTAAATTTGAAACTTTTTCATAATGTAGGCCTAACAAAAATACACAGTTCAATTAGTGGTGCCTTCCAAATGCTGCTTGTTTTATTACCTCTTAGGAATGCAATGCCAGGAAGCAGTCTGGCAGAAAAACATATAATGTATGTTCATGAATTTGGATGTCATTCTGAATTATAGAAGGCTTTGATTCCAGGTGCTTTGTTGATTCAAAGATACTTTTGTTTCATATTTTGTTGTTCAGAGTTATGATATATGTAGAGGGTAAGTCCTATCACCTCCGCTGGAAGCTGTATTTGAGACCAGAATATAAATAACTCCTTAAATTGTCAACAGATGAAGGAACAGAAAATCTTCTGAATTTACCCCTAGATGAGTAGTCTTTTTAAAGTATTGTTCCTTTTTTAATGCATGTACTACTGCTTATCTCTCTGATACATAAAGCTGCATTTTATTTTGCTTTCATGAGCAGCATTTTTTTAGTATTTTAATTTTCCTAGAGTAATGTTCCTTTCCAGACAACTTTATCATCAACATTGTAATAGACCTTATTTGAAAGAACTGTTTTAAATTTTTCTGACATCTTAAGAAATAAGGAGAAATAAGGAAGTTAGAATTATGGCCCTTTAAAAATTTTCGGCCAGGCACAGTGGCTCATGCCTGTAATCCCAGCACTTTGGGAGGCCGAGGCAGGCGGATCACCTGAGGTCGGGAGTTTGAGACCAGCCTGATCATATGGAGAAACCCCATCTCTACTAAAAATACAAAATTAGCCAGGCATGGTGGCACATGCCTGTGATCCCAGCTACTTGGGAGGCTGAGGCAGGAGAATCGCTTGAACCCAGGAGGCAGAGGTTGCGGTGAGCTGAGATCGTGCCATTGCACTCTAGCCTAGGCAACAAGAGTGAAACACCGTCTCAAAAAAAAAATTTTTTTTTCTAGCATCCTGAGTTACTTAATCAGGAACCTTTACCCATTGAATGACTAACAGATTATATTAATTCAAAGTCCCGATTAATTTAAGCTTCAATGGAACTATATCTGATTTTATTAATGGCAAGTTTTATCATAATGTTGGCTTTAAGGGAGTAAACTGTTAATGTAGCCATTAAATAATAGGTTGTCATTATTTAAAGATAATTCCTACAGTTTATATTAACTGTACAAATTCAGAACTATTTCTTGGGGTACTGTTTAAATAATAGAAATTGACTGTTTTAAAAATCAGCTCAATGACCTTTCAAAGTAGAGCATAAATAAAATAAAAGGTACTTTTACTCTCTGGCTTTAGAAATATGTCCTTACAAAAATGAATATAGGTATATTCATATCAGTAATATAGTATTTCCTTATCACTTTGGTCAATTGTCATGATTTCAGAATAGGACAGCAGTAATTTTTCATATCCTTTATTTCCAGAGTAACTGTAATAGAGGGATAATTTCTTGAAATTGAATAAGGAGGTTCTCTGGTATTTATGTCCCCGTGGGTATGAGATACATTATTTTGGTATGTTTGGTCATTTCTAAGGTGGCAGGGAAGTTAATTCTAAAATTTACTCAGTGACTTACTGTGACTTTTGAGGAATTACCACATGAAATGTCCTAGAGTGAGTTTGTAAGCCAGGTTTGGGTTAAAGGCAGGTTTGAGTTGGATGTTTTTAATTGACTTGGTGCTTCCTGTCTTTAATATCTCTTGAAGCACCAGTGCCTAGGTTGTTTCACTTTACAGACTGTGCACATCTCCTTATTTCAATTAACTTACCCTCTTTCATATTGGTTAGGTTTTTGTTTTCTGGTGTTTGTTTCCTGTTACAGAAAGTAATTCAGTTTAGGCTTGCCACAGAATACAGGCTTTCTCTGTCACCCTCAGTTTATTTTCTCCATATTTTCAAACTACTGTGGTTCTTTTGTAATCAACCTGTAATTCTCACAAGATGTAACAGTCATGCAGTCTAGTAATGTTATTTTTATTTTAATCAATTTGATAATATTTTTATCTGACAGGCTTACCTTCAACAGACTCAAGAACTGGTTATACTTGAAACCATAATGCTACAAACTCTAGGTACGTACTTACATCAGATAATGGCTTTTTGTGTGTATTTCACTAAAGCATTCTAAATAAGTGAAAAGATTTCTGAAATAATTGTATTATTGAAGAAAGTTATTTTAAAACAGGTTTTAGACAGAATAAGGTTGCCTGGTTATAAGGAAATTACTTTTCTAGAATTTAATTTCATTTGGCATAATTAAATTGAATGGTAAACGTACCCTTCAGTATGATTTCTTAGGTTTTCAGGTAGTTGAAGTACTGTGCTTCACTCTGGATTTGCACTGGAGAGTAAAATGGTCCTTTAGGGTTGTTTTATATGATTATGATGTATACAAACCTACACAGCAATCCTTATTCTCCTCGAGCTGCCAGTCAGTATTTTATGAGTATATCACCTTTTTTATTTTATTTATTTATTTATTTATTTATTTTTAAGACGGAGTCTCGCTCTGTCGCCCAGGCTGGAGTGCAGTGGTGCCATCTCGGCTCACTGCAACCTCTGCCTCCTGGGTTCAAGCAATTCTCCTGCCTCAGCCTCCCGAGTAGCTGGGACTACAGGTGCATACTGCCACACCTGGTTATTTTTTTGTAATTTAGTAGAGACGGGGTTTCACCGTGTTGCCCAGGCTGGACATGAACTCCTGAGCTCAGGGAATCTGCCCACTTTGGCCTCCCAAAGTGCTGGGATTACAGGTGTGCGTCACCACGCCCGGCCTATCATATGATTTTTAATGTGACATAGTAATTATTTAAATGTTGGTCATCCTTTTCTAAAGGTTATATCTTTGTATGCAAGTTCATTTACTGTCACCATTCACCTTACTCAATTTACTGAAATTGAGGCCTAAGAAAGTGATGGCTTATCTAAAGTCATATGTTAGTTCTGGAAGAACCTACTAGGATGTGGTAGGAAGAACATGGGCTTTGGGGAGATCCAAGTTAAAATCTGTAGGCCTCTGACTTGCTTTGTAAACTTGGGCAAAAGTTCCTTTACCTGTTGTACCTCCATTCTGTAGAGGTGGAATAGTATCTGAGTCATATCGTGAATTTGTCATTTTTTTAATTTCATTACTCCATTCCCAGATGTTGAATAGAAGTGCGATAAATCAGTCACAATTTCCCATTGTGACAGACTCTTCGTTACAAAACTAGTTTGTGTGAAATACATATGCAGTTGACCCTCAAACAGCACGGGTTTGAACTCCATGGGTCTACATGGATTTTTTTCAATAAATAATATTGGAAAATTGGGAATTTGCAACAATTTGAAAAAACTTGTAGGTGAGCTGTAGCCTAGAAATATTGAAAAAATTGGATATGTCATGAATGCATAAACTATATATAGATATTAGTCTATTTTATCATTTACTGCCATAAAATATACATAAATCTATTTTTAAAAGATAAAAATTTTAAAAAGTTAGGCACACAAACAGACAATATGTGGCTCTATTCGCAGTTAAGAGAAAATGTAAATAAACAAATGTAAAGGTACATAAAATTAATTTTAATAATACGTAACTGTACTGCTGTGATAATTTTGTAGCCACCTCCTGTTGCTATTGCAGTGAGCTCACATGTTATGAGTATCCACGTAAAATGCTGTGTGACACCTGTCATCTCTGAACAGTTTGTCTCTCCAGTAAATTACATATTGCGGTAAAAGAGGTTCTGGCATATTTTTACCGTATTTAGTGCGATACTGGAAACTTGGATTAATACCATGGGACCCATACAAAGTGCCTCTAGTGATGCCAGAAGTGCTCCCAAGAAGCAGATGAAAGTTGTGATGTTACAAAAAAAAGTTGAATTGTTTGATATGTACTGTAGATTGAGGTCTGTAGCTACAGTTGCCCATTTCAAGATAAATGAATCCAGTGTAAGGTTCAGTGTGAAAGAAGAAAAAGACATTTGTGAAGTCATCGCTGCAGCTATACCAGCAGGCACAAAAACCTTGCACTTTATCTCATATTGAAAATGAAGCTTTTATGTGAATGCAGGATTGCTGTAAGAAAGGCATACCTATGGACTCTAATATGATTGGAGAGAAGCTTAAAGCAAAGGGAAGGTGAAGGATCTAAAGCCAGAGAATTTAATGCCAGCGAAAGACAGAAATTGTGGTGTATTTCTGTAAAGTTACACCAGGTGTTGCCTGCCTCTCCTGCCTCCTCTTTTGTGTCTTCCAACCTGAGACAGTAAGACCAACCCCTCTTCCTCAGCCTACTCTGTATGGAGACCTTTATGATGATCCACTTCCACTTAATACTAGTAAATACATTTTCTCTTCCTTATGATTTTCTTAATAGTTTCTTTAGCTTACTGTGTTGTAAAAATACAGTATATGATACATATACAAAATATGTGTTGATTAACTGTTTATGTTACCAGTAAGGCTTCAGCGGTAAGCAGGTTCTGATCAACGATAGTTAAGTCTTAGGGGAGTACTTGGATTTTCGACTGCATGGGGATCGGCACCCCTAGGCCCTGCGTTGTTCAGAGGTCAGCTGTAAATTATTTGAAGTTTCTATAAAATAAAAAGATACCAAAAAAGTGAGGGTCTTATTTCTTCCAAATCCAATGATTTAGCATGTTATTGTTTTACTATACAAAATTATATAAATTTCATTTAAGTAAAAAATTGAAAATGAAAAATCATAAATCATTATAAAATATTTAGTTGTTATATAAAATCGTAATGTAATATCCATATTGTTTATGACATATTCTTAAGCACAGAGAATGAAAAGTGTTATTTTAAGGGGAACATTAGAATTTAGAAGATATGCCTCTATGGCTTTAAAGTATTCTGCATATTTAATTACAGTAGAACTATATATAGACCACACAACAACTTTATAAATCTAGATTACCCATTTGTTAGGATTTTATTTACTTACTGCTTCTGAAGACAACCAAATGTGATCTTCACTTTTAATAAAAACAGAAACCCTGCCACACCTAAGGGTTGATTGCACGTTGATAGCTTTTAAACATTTCATCTTTGGTATTAGAAACAGTAGTTTAAGCAGTCATGAGACCTCTATGGTTTGTCATATGATTTTGATTATTAATGAAGTATGGTTATAAGGTAACTGGTTGAAACCCTTTGATCTAGAGTGCCGTATCATTTAAAAGCTCGTTTCTACCACTGTGGCCCAACAGTTATGTTTATGAAAACTGCACTTTTCATGTCTTCTGAAAGAAAGCTTTGGAATATTAAGAAAGATATTACGTAGTTGAATTCCGTCCTTAAATTGTGGGACCAGCTTAACAGTTGTATTTGCCAGGAATTTAATTTGTTTTTAAGATAATCCCGAATCATTTATAATTCAGAATTTTGAATAAATTTACCCTTGGTCTTTTAACTTTATTTTCATAATTGAGACATTGTATTTGAAAAATTATATCTTGTCATTGGAAAAGTAATGAGAATGTCAGTGATGAGAAACTTATAACTTTGGATTTTTCTTAATAATGAAGAATATATTATACGTTTATGGCATTTCTCAGGCAAGTACTGTAGTGGTAAGAGATTGGAAAAAAAAGTGCTTATCATTTCAGGTTTTGAGATCACCATTGAACACCCACACACAGATGTGGTGAAATGTACCCAGTTAGTAAGAGGTAGGTGATCCTTGAAACTTTTAAGATAAGTATTAATGCTTTTTATTATCTGTAATTGATTTGGGTGCTATTTTGTTTTTCTAGCCTTTTGTTAGGTTTCATTAAAATTAGGGAGAAATGTCATTTTTTAAGCATTACTTTTTAGTGTTCTACATCTACTTCTATTTGTGATTCTACCTGGTATGTTAGCTTCCTTTAAACATAGGTAAGAATCTCATTTCACTAAAACTCCGGAGGGCTTCCAAGTATTAGGACTCTATCCATCCCCCATTGAGCTTTGCTAGTCCCATTTCAGTCAAGTGTGGGCCAATAGTGCATAGGTTCAGAAAATAATATTAATTTTGGGTTTGTGTCAAACTTTGACTTTTTGAAAAGTGATAACAGTTGAAGAATTTTGAGGCCAACCTCAGACCTTTCAGATAAAAATTGCCTTTGTTAAAAGATTTGTCAGTACGGTGGCTCCCACCTGTAATCCCAGCATTTTGGGAGGCCAAGGCAGGCTGATCGCTTGAGCTCAGGAGTTCGAGACCAGCCTGGGCAACATGGTGAAACCCCATCTCTACAAAAAACACAAAAATTAGCTGGTTGTGGTGGTACACGCATGTAGTCTCAACTATTCAGGAGGCCAAGGTGGGAGGATGGCTTGAGCCCAGTAGTTGGAGGTTGCAGTGAGCCCAGATCATGCCCCTGCACTCTACCTTGGGCAGCAAGAGTGAGACCCTATCTCAAAAAAAAAAGTTATTTTTGTGGGGGGAGTGTTTTGCCCATATTCATTTGGGCAATCTAAAATTGATTTAATGTATTTTTCGAGGGTCTTTGACATTACTAAAAGTGGTTTCCTTTTTGTAACGGAGAAATAATTATAGAGCATAATACATTTAGTTTGTGATGTGCCTGTTAAGCGTCTTGTTTATAAACAGGAGTACTTTTTAAAAATATTGCTTTACTGCTTGTAAAGTATCTGGTAGTATCTGATACAGCATTTTCTACTCCTAAATGAATCCTATATATCTGTTGTATCCCTAGAAATATTTTTTACACAGTTGCATGTTGTTCTGCTTCTTACTTCCACTTTCCTGTTTCCATTTCAAGTGTTAATGTATTCATAGCAACCACTTGGGACTTGTAATGTGCCATTTTCTGTTACTTCCTTTTTGAAAATAGAATTTTGCAGTTTCATTCATTTACTACCAAGTTTTTTTAGATTTATCCTAAACAAAATGAGTACGACTTTTGAAAATCTTTTGTTTTTAGTATTTACCTAAGTATTCTCACATTTTATTCATTCTAAATTGAATTCATTTTATACCTAGTGATTTATTATGTTAGTGGCTACAATTTTTTAAAAACTGTCTGATAGTGTCATTAGGAAGTAGACATCTGAAAATCTAATTTGTATTTTTTTGTAGTAGCACACGTTATCATTTGTAAGCTAGAACATATTTAACTGTGGTTCCTGTTCTTCATGGTTATATCAGCGTGTTTTATAGCACATTTTCATCTGAATATTACAGTATAGCATAGAATTATATGCATAACTAGTTGTAGTTGTTGAATTAAGGAAAAAGGGTTAGTTTTTTCTAAGAACTTGAAAAAGGTTAAGCTAAACTTTGTAAGCATTGTAGCCATATAATTTGCTTTAAATTAAGAGCCTATTGAAGAAACATTAGTTGAAGGAAGTACTAGTATATGTTTAAAAATATTACTTGTGAATATTAACTTAGGAAATTGGATTTTCAGGTTACTGTTGTGAAATTTGAGTCAACTTTAAATTCTTTATCAGAGATTAATATTTTTTGTACAAGTTCTCCTACAACTAAAAATTCTAGAGACATGAAGTCAGTTTACTTGAAAAATGAAATAGTAACTTTTAAAACATTTACAAAAACTACAAATTTGATATGTCATCCAAAACAAATATTTAGACCAGATTATTTGTTGTTGTTAATGTTAAAATGTGACTGATTCTTTGAGTACAAACCATATATATGTTTAATGTCATTTTGTCTGACTAACATTTCAGGTAACTAGAATATATCTCACTCCATTTTAAAAGTACTGTTTCATGTTTTAGTGTCTTTTTGTTTTCTTTGCTCTTTTACAACTTTTAGCTAACAGCATTTCCCCTCTATTCTCTGTTGCACAGTGACTGTTTCTGGATCACTGAATTTAGATACATGCCTAGGTGAAAACTGCTAATGGCATTTTTTAATTATTATTTTTTCCTTCTCTACGTATTTTTATTCGGAGGGGGAGGGGAAAATAAATTTGATTTCTGTGAAGTCTTTTTCTCCCCTCTGGAGATGAGAAAGTTGGTATTATGCTACTTTGCTGCAGAATTGGCTAATGTCATTTTACAGGGACCTTCACTTCTGTGATTTCTCCTTCCCTCCCCACCAGGAAAGTCACACTGCCTCCAAGACATCTGATGCTTTGACACTCTTCCTTAGCACAACTCTGCTAAACCCCAATCCCTTTTGTAAAACCTTTATGTTGATGATCCACATGGGGCAGCAGGGATTACAGGTGCCATGAATAAAAAATAGGGGAGGGGGAAAGAAATTTGAGGACGGTTAGAGGGGTGGAGTTGAGATAAACTGATCCTAGGTGAGCAGAGGGGAAAGATATGTCAGTGCTTGTGGATGTAATTGGGAAAAAGGGAAACTATAACAAGAGCATCCCTGTTGGGAAGACTAAGAGGCAGAATAAGGGGAGGGAAAACTTTTCAGTGTCTTAAGCTAATTAAAAATTGCCTTTCTGTTGGGTATCAGTGTTGAAGCATTCTGATCCTCCCTAGAATACCTGTATCTTTCCTAAGTTAGTCTTTAATTAGATTCTGTAATTTGAACTAAAATACAGTGGAGCCTCCTGTATCTGTACCCGTATGCTGTTTCTAGGTTTATTCTCTGTTGATGCTTAATAGCATGATGAAAAACTGAGCAGTTTGTGCTCTGTGTTTTGTGGGGTGGGGGTTTGTTTTGTTTTGTTTTTGATGGAAGTATTTAAGCCAACTTAAATATGACTGAGGATTAAGTCTGGCAGGCAACTCTTTGTATTTTGTATTAGACTTCAAAATCTTTTCTTCTTCTTCTTCTTTTTTTTTTAAATCCAGGAGAATGCTTTATTGCAACTTTTAGCTGACTAGATGCTTAACTTAGTAACAAGTTTAGCCCTTGTAACTGGCTAGCTAAAAGCAAATCGGCTTGTTTCTCAGATCTTTGGGGGATAGCAAGAAACATTTGAGTGAATGTTGTTGAAGATTTTCAGTAGTATAGAAAATGATGGCGCTCTTGTGATATTTGTAAGTAGTAAGTAAAATTTACTTTTTGTGTACAAATCTTTGAAGTTTTTGTTGTGTTGAGAACTTTTTGATTGTAGCACGTTAAGGCTGATAGTATTGTCTTCGTTTTTTTTTTTTTCTTACAGCAAGCAAGGATTTGGCACAGACATCCTATTTCATGGCTACCAACAGGTTGTTATCCTGACCCTCTTTGTTGCACTGTTGTAGCACACTATAGCTTCCTTTAATGCAGGGCCCCCTCAATGTGTCTCTTACCCTTGTTGCGACAGGAGACTGGACCATCTACTGTGGTGGTACCTTCCTGTTTGCTTTGCGGTGTATTGTACAAGGGACTTTGGGCACAGAGGGGTTAAATGCACAATGTGAAGTGTAGTGGTGCTTTCTGATGACATATTCTCGATTTGTGAGTGCATAAGTCTAAAATTGGTAGCCTGAATAGCAGCTAAAGATTACAAAGAGCTAAACTTAACGTAGAAATTCGAGCAACTTGGTAAGTATAAAGCTATTTCCAGTTTACAATTATAGTTAAATGACAATTTTTAAAATTTCACGTTGATCCAGTCTTAACTTTAAAATACTCATTAAAGTTTTTTTAATAAATAAAATTTATGTAATTTGAAATTTTTTTTCAGATAATACCCACTAGTAGCAAGTTAAAAGTAGTCAAGTCCTATCCATGCCTGGATTTGCATAAACACAATTTTTCCTTTTTTTTTTTTTTTAAACAAAAAAACCTTCCTTTTCAGTTTATATAGAGTAAAAAATGGTATGTGTTTATGGCTGAACAGATAACATTTCCATCATTGAAACTGAACTGGAAGAATAGTCTTAAGGAGCCTTTAATATATAATTCTGTTCTAGATTTATTAATGATTTAAATTTGTCTTTTTGAGTGGATCATTGGGGAGAAGGGACCAAACCAGCTTTGTATGGTCCCTAATTTCTTGTGACACTGATAAGTTTTATTTACAATTTCACATTGGCAAATACTGCTATATTTTCTCAAATATCTGTTGTTGGTATTTAACCTCTATCCCCAGTAATTCTGAACAGCAACATAAAAAGACTTAAATTTGGAACTTTGATTAGAAAAGGCTAGCTGTGACACATATTTCATGCCCCATATTTGGCATATAGTGGAAGGAGAAAGGTAGTATTTTTGCAGTATTTAATAACATTGAGCCTTGAAGCTGTTTGGCAAAAGGTAAGTTTCCTTTGTGGCTTTGCTGAAAAACAAGGCATAGATTTACATAGATACGTGTTTAATTCTCTGCTTCACTAAAGAAAGCAAATGCCTATTAAGCCACTTCAGTTGGGATAATCCCTGATTATTGTGAGATTGAAATTACTTTGTCAATTTTACAAATAGTTTTTATCTTTCCATTTACATATTTACCATGACATTACAAAAGAAAAATACCACAAAAAATTTACAGTGTTATCTATATAGTGATTATTGCAAATATACTATCCTCCTCTCCTTTTATAAAATACTTCAATTTTAGATGTAAAAACAAAATTTTAAATATTAATATATTAGTAATATACTCGGGAGTGAGTGAGGGGAAATGTTCATTTTATGTAGATTTTTTAGTACTAGAATTTTATAACTTAGCTTTTAATTTAATAAAATAAGGTTTTATACTCTAGACTTAAAGATAGAGTTTAAATTTTGCTCTAATCTTACTGGTAAATGTTTTTCTTTGTTTTACATACTTGAATTTTTATGGCTCTCCATTTTCAAACCTGCTCTGCAACAGTCTGCATCTTACAACCTTCTGTCTTCAGTACAAACCAACAGTGATAGCATGTGTATGCATTCATTTGGCTTGCAAATGGTCCAATTGGGAGATCCCTGTATCAACTGATGGAAAGCATTGGTGGGAATATGTGGATCCTACAGTTACTCTAGAATTATTAGATGGTAAGTAGAGAAAATAAATTTTTAAGTTTGGAATTATCTAAGTTGGCAGTTGTCTGAATTGACAATAGAAAGTGTCAGTACACTATCAGATGAACAGAATGAAAACAACAATTCATCAGCCTAAAGAAAAAAAAATAGAGTCTGGAAGCTGTGCTCATACCTGTAATCCCAGCACTGTAGGAGGCTGAGGCAGGAGGATCACTTGAGCCCAGGAGTTCAAGACCAGGCTGGGCAACATAGACCCTGTCTCTACAAAAAAAAAGTTAAAAATTGACTGGGTGTGGTGGTGCGTGCCTATAGTCTCAGCTACTTGGGAGGCTGAGGCGGGATGATCACTTGAGCACGGGAAGTCAGGGCTGCGGTAAGCCTTGAAGGCACTGCTCTACTCCAGCCTGGGTATATATTAACTACCACCAAATATCTAAAGCTTTTTCAGGACTTAAAAAATAAATAAGTAAGGTTTAGAATTCCATAAGCTGACAAGATAAGAATAGTGATTTAAAGTATACTAATTCTGTTGAGTTTTAAATGTGTATACTGAAAGTTGAGTGTTAACTGTGAAGCAGTAAACGAAAGGGATTTTCAGGGGATTGTGTTTCTTGCTCTGTATTACCATTGTTGCCTTACATTGTTAAATATGAATACACAAGGAGAAATTGTGGGTGTGTGTTCTGTTAATTAGGAACGTGGAATTTTGGGGATGTTTTGATGAGAAATTCCTCTGGTTGAGAAGTAAAAGAAGCCGGCCAGAAATGGGAGATTCTTGGGATTAGGGCATTTTAACCACGTACTGTAGATTTCAGCAAGAAAATAGATAACACTTTTTTTTTTTTTTGAGTCAGTCTCACTCTGTCGCCAAGGCTGGAGTGCAGTGGTGCAATCTTGGCTCACCGCAACCTCCACCTCCCGAGTTCAAGCAATTCTCCTGCCTCAGCCTCCCAAGTCGCTGGGACTGCAGGCACGAGCCACCACACCCAACTAGTTTTTGTGTTTTTAGTAGAGATGGGGTTTCACCATGTTGGCCAGGCTGGTCTCAAACTCCTCACCTCAGATGATCTGCCCACCTTGTCCTCCCAAAGTGCTGGGATTACAGGCTTGAGCCACTGTGCCTGGCCTTGTTTTGTGTTGTTTTGTTTTTTGAGACAGATACTCACTCTGCCCCCCAAGCTGGAGCGCAGTGGTGCAACCTGGGCTCACTGCAACCTCTGCCTCCCAGGTTCAAGCGATTCTCCTGCCTCAGCCTCCTGAGGAGCTGGGACCATAGGCGCATGCCACCACGCCCAGCTAAGTTTTGTATTTTTAGTAGAGATGGGGTTTTGCAGTCCACCTGTCTTAGCCTCCCAAAGGGCTGGGATTACAGGTTTGAGCCTCTGTGCCCCACCTGATGTTTCTTTAAGATAGGGGTCTGCAAAGAGTAACACTATTTTAGAGTTTGTGAACTATAAGGTCTCTGTTGCAACTATACAACTATACCATTGCAGCCAGAAAGCAGCCATAGGCAATTTGTAACTGATTGGGTGTGACTGTGTTCCAGTAAAACTTTTGTTGACAAAAATAGGTGGCCAGCCATATTTGGCCAATTATCCATAGTTTGCCTGTTCTTATTTGTGAAATATGCTTCTTTGTTTCATCCTTTTCTATTTTGTTTTCCACCTGGAAAAAATTATCCCAGAATATATATCTCATGCTGTATTATTGCTGCATGATTATAATGTTTTTCTTAAATTGTTAGAGGCTTTTTCAGAGTTTATCCAGAGGAAAGGAAGTCTTCAATGAGTTGAAATGACATCTAAAACTCAGTGAGGGCTTATCTGTTCTATAGCTTGAAAAATCAGGTTATCTAGGTCATTGTTTTAGTTTAATAGTCACTAGATTAAGATTAGGTAGGCAAAATTTTTTTTTCGGGGGGGGGGTGGGGGACAGAGTCTCAGTCGCCCAGGCTATAGAGTGCGGTGGCGCAATCTCGGCTCGCTGCACCCTCCGCCTCCCGGGTTCAAGCAGTTCTCTGCCTCAGCCTCCTGAGTAGCTGGGATTACAGGTGCCTGCCACCACGCCTGGCTAATTTTTGTATTTTTAGTAGAGATAGGGTTTTCACCATGTTGGCCAGGCTGGTCTTGAACTCCTGACCTCATGATCCACCCACCTTGGCCTCAAAGTGTTAGGATTACAGGCGTGAACCACCACACCCAGCCAGTAGGCATAATCGTAATAAAAATAGTTTATATACCTGGTGCTGAAGTAAAAAGATCACAGAAAAGTAATCTGCCTTTTATCCTGTCTTTAGGTCAGAGGTTAGGTTGTGGTTTATGTGGGGTTTTTTGACACAGGAGGAGCTACCTCATTTCCATTCTGAAAAGTAAAGTTTGTTAATTTGGAGAGCAATTGAATAGGAATCTTGGAGAACTGATATGTTAAGACTTTCACCATGTTTTGCAGCAGCTTTTTTTTCTGTGTCAGTCACAAAAAGGCAATTCAAAATTAAAGACATGAAGGTGTGGCCGGGTGCAGTCACTCACATATCTTGAGCACAGGAGTTTGAGCCCAGCCTGAGCAACATGGCAAAACCACGTTTCTACTAAAAATACACACAAACCGGGCATGGTGGCGCACTCCTATAGACCCAACTACTGTGGAGGCTAAGGTGGGAGGATCACCTGAGCCTGAGACGTCAAGGTTGTAGTGAGCTGTGATAATGCTACTGCTCTCCAGCCTGGGCAACAGAGGAAACCCTGTCTGGGGGGAAAAAAAAAGACATGAAGATTTATCTGAATTGTAGAGTGAAGTGATACTACTATTCTTATTACTTACTGAAATAATTCACTTAATGATTGTGTTCCAGAAAAGAACATTGGCTTAGACAGTAGCTTTGAGAGAGAAGGGCCTCTATTTTAGGCACATACTGTGATTTTTGTGCATATAGCTAATTAATTATGTTAATGGATTATTTAACAGATTCTTTTGTTGTTCTGCTATAAAATTTAATACAGTAGGATACTTAAGAAAAACAAAGCTTACATTTTGTGTACGAGATTTTGGACCAGAACTTGAAGTGTATTTAATGTTTTACAACCAAGTTGTTAACAGAAATTGAGTCAAAACAGTTTTGTTAATGTTGGACCCAAAAGTAGAAAAATAGTCTTTTTTTTTTTCTTTTTTTTTCAAATGAGGAAGTAAAGGTCTGGGCATTAGGGTTTTTTTCATCCAAACTGGATGAAAAAGCTCATGAGACTTTAGCAGGGACTAGTCATGACATTGTCAAGGAAATTACATCTTGAAAGATTAATGGTTAAATTATAGCTTGTCTGAAGTGTCGATCTTAACATTGGCTTAGAATAGTTTACAAAAAAGCTTGCTATTACAAAATGAACCTGTAGTCTCTATTAATAGAGGTTCCCCCAGTATTGAGGTGGAATTGGCATTATTAATATTATATAATATTCTGATGTATTTGACTGATGAATATTTGAGAGTGGCTAGTAACTATTAATGACATTATTAGTTCATCAAAACCACACTACTTTGGAAAAGTGGGTCATTTGATTGTAATCAGAATTTTAAGAAAGTTGGTAGAAATTTACAATGAAGATAGTTTGCTAATATATTAATAGTGTTGATAGCTAGGAAGTATATTTGGAGGAATTTTCCCCTTTAAAAAAAAAGTCTGGGTGTGGTGGCTCACACCTGTAATTCCAGCACTTTGGGAGGCCAAGATAGGAGGATCACTTGAGGCCAGGAGTTTGAGACCAGCCTGGTCAACATAGCGAGACCCTGTCTCTGTTATTTAACAAAAAAAAGAAAGAAAGAAATGCAAAATATTGCATAGTTCCCTGTATACCCTTTAGCTTCTCCTGGTACTAACATCTTACATAACAATATATGATTATCAAAACTAGGAAGTTAACATTGGTACAATACTGTTAACTAAACCACAGATGTTATTCAGTATTCCATATTTTTCCCTATTCTAGGATCCCATGTTCCATTTAGTTGACATGTCCCTTCAAGTCTTCTCCAGTCTGTGACAGTTCTCCAATCTTTCCTTGTCTTTCATAACACTGACACTTAGGAGAATAATGGTCATTTTATACAGTGTTCCTTAGTTGGGGTTTGTCTGATGATTTCTCATTATTATGTCGAAGTTATCCATTTTGAGCAAGAATACCATAGAAGTAAATTGGGTCTTGCTTGGTGCATCATATCAAGGGGTACAGTATGTTGATACGTCTTATAACTGGTCATGACAACCGTGATCACTTGGTTACAGTGGTATCCTTAAAGTGGTTTCTGCACTTTAAAGTCACTATTTTTTTTCTCTTTGTAATTAATACATTTCATGGGGAAGATACGTTGGGATTATACAAATAACGTTTTTCCTCAAACTTTTGTCCACTAATTTTAAAGAATCTTTTGATAGATCTTGTCTGTGACAAAAATTATTGTGGTGTTTGCCTAATGAAGATTTTTTTTTTATTGGGGGGGTGATTATTTTTAATGCTACTAGATTTTCTAGAGATTCTAATTAAGCAAGTAAAATCAAGAGGGAAAGTAATCGTTACAAAAGGATTCAGCTTTGAAAATGCCGGTTGAGAGTTGTGTGTACTTCTGTGTATGCTGAGGATTTAATAGGAGGGTAAAAGTGAAGTAGATGAACTCCTAGCATTCCTTTTTAATACTGCCCACTTAAGAGAAATTTAAATCCTAAAGGCACCTTCTAAGTTTCAAATTTAAATTTTATTTTTAGAGCTAACACATGAGTTTCTACAAATATTGGAGAAAACGCCTAATAGGTTGAAGAAGATTCGAAACTGGAGGGTAAGAGAATTGACAGGGTTTAACAGAATTTCAGTCTTTTATGTAACATTTACATAGCTAACCAGTTTGAATTTTTGTGGTTAAATAATCTTTGCAGTATTCCTGAATAATTCAACGTATCTCAAGTTACATATACTCACATATTCAACTACTGAGTCCAGTGGACTTTGCTAAAGTACATTATACTTTTAAAAAATTTTTTGCAGTGATTATGACAAAAGTATCCTCTTCATTTTACAAATGGGGAAACTGAAGCCTAGACAAGTTAAATTACTTTCTGAAGTGCTGGGCTAGGATTTAACTTGTATCTGATTCTAAAATGGGTGTTTTCAATTTTTTATAGCCTTTTATGCCTCTAAGGCATTTATTTACTGACAACATAAAATCTTGAACCCCAGGTCATTTTATTTCCATATGTTTAATATATAATGTTTTTAATATATAACTTTTATAAGACAAGAAATTTGCATTAAATTATTTTGCTATATCACTGCTTCTTCTGTGTTTTATTTTAATAGGCTAATCAGGCAGCTAGGAAACCAAAAGTAGATGGACAGGTATCAGAGACACCACTTCTTGGTTCATCTTTGGTCCAGAATTCCATTTTAGTAGATAGTGTCACTGGTGTGCCTACAAACCCAAGTTTTCAGAAACCATCTACATCAGCATTCCCTGCGCCAGTACCTCTAAATTCAGGAAATATTTCTGTTCAAGACAGCCATACATCTGATAATTTGTCAATGCTAGCAACAGGAATGCCAAGTACTTCATACGGTTTATCATCACACCAGGAATGGCCTCAACATCAAGACTCAGCAAGGACAGAACAGCTATATTCACAGAAACAGGAGACATCTTTGTCTGGTAGCCAGTACAACATCAACTTCCAGCAGGGACCTTCTATATCACTGCATTCAGGATTACATCACAGACCTGACAAAATTTCAGATCATTCTTCTGTTAAGCAAGAATATACTCATAAAGCAGGGAGCAGTAAACACCATGGGCCAATTTCCACTACTCCAGGAATAATTCCTCAGAAAATGTCTTTAGATAAATATAGAGAAAAGCGTAAACTAGAAACTCTTGATCTCGATGTAAGGGATCATTATATAGCTGCCCAGGTAGAACAGCAGCACAAACAAGGGCAGTCACAGGCAGCCAGCAGCAGTTCTGTTACTTCTCCCATTAAAATGAAAATACCTATCGCAAATACTGAAAAATACATGGCAGACAAAAAGGAAAAGAGTGGGTCACTGAAATTACGGATTCCAATACCACCCACTGATAAAAGCGCCAGTAAAGAAGAACTGAAAATGAAAATAAAAGTTTCTTCTTCAGAAAGACACAGCTCTTCTGATGAAGGCAGTGGGAAGAGCAAACATTCAAGCCCACATATTAGCAGAGACCATAAGGAGAAGCACAAGGAGCATCCTTCAAGCCGCCACCACACCAGCAGCCACAAGCATTCCCACTCGCATAGTGGCAGCAGCAGCGGTGGCAGTAAACACAGTGCCGACGGAATACCACCCACTGTTCTGAGGAGTCCTGTTGGCCTGAGCAGTGATGGCATTTCCTCTAGCTCCAGCTCTTCAAGGAAGAGGCTGCATGTCAATGATGCATCTCACAACCACCACTCCAAAATGAGCAAAAGTTCCAAAAGTTCAGGTAGTTCATCTAGTTCTTCCTCCTCTGTTAAGCAGTATATATCCTCTCACAACTCTGTTTTTAACCATCCCTTACCCCCTCCTCCCCCTGTCACATACCAGGTGGGCTACGGACATCTCAGCACCCTCGTGAAACTGGACAAGAAGCCAGTGGAGACCAACGGTCCTGATGCCAATCACGAGTACAGTACAAGCAGCCAGCATATGGACTACAAAGACACATTCGACATGCTGGACTCACTGTTAAGTGCCCAAGGAATGAACATGTAATAATTTGTTTAGGTCAATTTTTCCTTTACTTTTTTAATTTAAAAATTGTTAGAATGGAAAAATTCCTTCTGATCTAGCAGTGGTAACCCCTGCTGTTGCTGCCACTGCTTCAATATTTGTAAGTGCTGCTTTATTCTTCATTCTGAAAAGAAGAGATTATAGTAAACAAGTCTTTATCTCCACATATGATAGTGTTATAAATACTGTAAAAGCATGGAAGGTGCAAAACTCAGTATTTCTACAATTGCAGCTAAGAACATTAGGATGAATGGCTGGCTGCTTCTAGGAATATAAGATGCCTCAAGCATTCATTATTTATGATTTGAATACTGTAGCTATTTTTTGTTGCTTGGCTTTTGAATGAGTGTAAATTGTTTTCTTTTGTGTATTTATACTTGTATGTATGATTTGCATGTTTCAATGATAAAGGGATAAAACAGTATACTGACAACTGTTTACAAGAAAGTGGAGAAAAATGTACATACATTTTTGTATGTTTAGATATTACCGTAAATACTCAGGATTGGAGCTGCTTGTAAGTATAACAATATACAGAATAACTTTATTTTATCTTGTCAGAGTCCATCACTAATCTAAAACAAAGGTGGCACTTTTTTATGTTAACCTTAAACTCTAGGCCTTACTGGAAGCCACTGATAGGGGACACTTCACTACCAGATGTGTGCAGTGCAACAGATGGTCATATACACTGTGAGGCACTGAAATTTTGCCTTCAGAGGTTCTGACCAGATTGGCTGCTGAAATAGCCCCTAACTTTCTGAAGGCTTGAAGAGGAAAAAATAAAGTTTACATACTCTTGATGTGAAGTGCATTTAAATGTTTGTTGGCTTGTTGCAGTTCTATGAAACAGAGCTGTTAATAATGGTTATGTGGATTACTGTGATTTGAAAACTAAATTCACAATAACTTACCTAGTAGAGATTTAGTGAGTTGTTTCCTTTAAAGAATTTTACACTACATATTTTAATAGTAAACAGGGATCACTTTTCCTTTAGCATTCAGAATGACACCATATTCTTAAATATACTCCTTCCCTGAAGCGTGTTTGTGTGTGATGCCATATTTCTTTTTCAGGTAAATGTAGTCTTCCTTATAAAAATGAAATTAAACCTATGCTCTCAATTCTTTTATATTCTAACAATAAATAAAAAAGAAAAGATTACTGACTGTGCATTGTACCTGTATTTATAGTTTATGGTTATCAGGAAGCTCTGTAAGAAAGAAAAGGTCAGCCTCCCAGGCAAACCAGTAGTGGAGGTTTTACATTTGTTTGCACATCTCAGTATATTTCTGTTGAGGTAAAGTTTGCACAGTCATCTGACTTCTGATCAAGCATTAGATTTTAACTTGTTTAGATTTTGTCTTAAACACCAGTAATATGGCTCTTGTTTATCAGCTAATCTTGAATTTATTCTGTGGTAAATCTTTTGAGTTGTTGAGTATATTTGAGATTGATTGGATTCGACCTCTTGTTGAACTGAAAACTTAATTTTTTCTCTGTATTTTTGTTACAAAGCCACTGATACGTGCACAATTGTAATTAAGTATGTTGCAGTTGTAAATATTAGAGTTTAATCTCATGCTCTACCTTTATTTAGCAATTACCTAATTTGCCAGTAGCTTTATAATTTTTAAAGATAATTGTTCATTATTTTGTCAATGTTATTTGAACTTGGGGTACTTAGGAGCCTCTTTGTAGGGACTGTGCCTAGGTAGCATGTCCTAACATTTGTTCTGGTCTTGCATAACTTCAGTAATCTTTGTCATTATATGTAACTTTGTTGCTCTGTATGGCATAATATTGTATCCATAAACATGGTAATTTTGATACAGTTATACTTTTACAGTGGTACATAATCCAAGGACTAGTATAGAATTAAGCTGAGTGCAAGATGAGGGAGGGAAGGGCTTTCTTGGTAATTTAGATGTGAAACCTCTACAGAGCTATCATGTAAAAACTACATAAGGTGGTTGTGCTACTGTATAATTGGGGGTGATAATACCAGGAATTTTAATAAGATTTTGTAAAGAATATCCAGAAAAGTAGTGAACTTATTTTCAGTAGACATAGAAAACAATGTGAATATTTAAGGTCTGTGACTATAGTTAAACTTCACTAAGAATTTGCAGAATTGTTTTGAGATGTGTGAATAAAGGTAATTTTATTGAATCTTCATTGGTGCTAATGATGGACAGTTAAAAAGATAGCTAGTGTATATTGTTATGGGTCAGTACTTATTAGTACTTCCAAAATTGAATTTGAAATGCTATGTATTCACTTTTCACTCTGTAAATGTAATTCTTTACAATGACTTTATTTATTAAAGGGCAGCCAGTTGTCATTTTTACAGGATTGTGTGAGCTATTCAAACTCTTCAACCCCTGAACAGGGTATTAAGCTTCCAAAATAATGATGGGGATAAATATGGAAATCCTTTTTAAGTTGTATTTCCATTAAACAAAAACCCTTATAATTCATACTATCATGAATTTGCTTTATCCATCTCATTTGCATAACAGTTCATCTGTCTGGTCCCATTAGGCTCTACCAAAGAAAGACTCTGATGAGTGGACATTATTACTGTGACTCTTGTAAGTAGCCATAAATAAACCAAAATAGTATCAAATTTAGGTATGAAATTCCACATGTGCAAAGTACTGTTAAGGTGATAACATTTTTGATGAGATTTAAAAAAATATTTGAAATATTAAAAAGCATTATCTTTAAACATCCTATAAAAGAGTGAGTCATTTTTAAGTTGTGTTTTCCCTAGATCACTGATTTGTTACCTTTACACAGAAGCACATTGCAAAGAAAGGCTTTATTTCTACCTCTTCCATTCAGTTTTCCAATATTGAGCTGTGTCCCTCTGAATATTTGCCTTAGCTATTTCAAAATAGGTATTTTCAGAACCAAAGCAAAGGGTGGTTTGTTCACTGAAACATTCTTAGAGGCCTACTTAACGGGCGGCAGTATCCGGTAGTGGTAAAACCTCACAGTTTCCTAATTGCAGGTATGTAAATACCAAAAAAGTCCTGTTGTCAGCCCTAGGTTTATCTTTGAAAGCAGTTAAATGTGCACCTTGGTCTTCCTCCGTGTGTTCAGATTCCTTCTGGTTAAAGTTCTTATTCAGAGTCATCTAAAAGAAATTTCTAACATGATGTATGGTTTCTTGAATGTCATGAGTGGCTGCGTATATTGCTTTGTAGCAACAGATTGTATTAATAATTAATAGAATACCTAATTTTTTTGGCCTATCCTCTTTGAACTAGAAATGACTACTTGAGGGCTATTTCAGAGAACCAATATGAAATGTTTTTGTTAGTACAAAATACCATTGCCTTAAAAGGTTTCAAGCACATTTTCTTTTCTATTTGAGAACTTAAATTGCTGACTTGTATTCGTTAAGCAACCTTAGAAATAAACCACTGCTTATATCTGCATGAATATTATGCATTTCATGAGTACAGTTAGTTGATTAGATATTTCAGGGTTTTGCATTTTCTATAGACATGGGGACTTTTTTAACATGGTAACGTCTTAGGAAAACCATTCTCTCAAGGTATTACACCATTTCCAATTTTATCCAAATGAAAAGCATATCTGCTTAAATTTAGGATGTCTTTGCTGAGAATATTTGGAGGCTCTTGTTAGGAAGAATCATGGATTCAGTATTTCTAACCTGATTACTGCCTCAGAGGCTGTCTTGAAGGGAGACAGTAGGATTCACTGACTACCTTTACCCAGATGAGGGATCAACAAATCTCACACTTAAACTAAATGAGTTGACAGGACAATAGGTGCTAATCTCATGTGCCCTAAGATGGACTTATTTAGATAGGGATTTTTGCATTGGAAAAGCAGCACATTCTCTGACCTTGGGTACCAAGCTATGATACTAATTTGAGAATCACATTCTGATACGTTAATATCAGAAATCAGTGAGCAACCTAATTGCTGTAAGCTGACATACATGGAAGCCGAAATCAAAAGGTTGCTTTTGTTAGTTTCCCTGGAGCATCTATTTTTGTAATACATTTTGCCAGTGGGACTGAAAAGCTCAAAATGTTTTAGACCTAATATCATACATTAATTTTCTGCTCTGCAGTGTCAATTTGGGCACAGCCAGTTTTTACCTCTGTGGCACCTTCTTTATAATTTACTGTTACCTATTCTGCCTGACAGATTGATTAAGTAGGTTGATAAGATCCATCGAAGATTGAATGGCTAGGAGTAATTCTGTTCTCGTATAGGCAACTTAACTTCACTGTGGAATCCATTTATCTCAAAGTTTGAGGGCTGTCTACTTTATTTTCAAGTTTGGGGCGGAAACTCAAAATCCCGAGCATTGCCACTTTAGTAGTTTGTTTGATTTGCCTATTGTTTAATAATGAGTACATTCTTATTAAGTGATGAGTACATTCTTAATTTTAAGGTATGTTTTTTTCAAGCAGCTTCATTTTATTAGGAAAAATACATACTCATTTGTTGTAAACAGTGATTGTGGGGTTTCATTTTCTGAATGTACTCAAAACTCCCAACAACAATTGAACAGGATGTTTGCTAATAGAAAATCTAAAACAGGAATATGTGTATATGGCATGAATTAGTCATTGACTTTAAGCTTCTTATCCATACAAGGAACTAATAAAATGTTTATTGACAACATAAATCCAAGGCTCTAACATGTCTTAAGTTAATGTGAATCAGAAGTAACTTTGAGGTGGGGCGCAGTGGCTCATGCCTGTAATCCCAGCACTTTGGGAGGCCAAGGCAGGCGGATAACCTGAGGTCAGGAGTTCAACACAACCCTGGTCAACATGGTGAAACCCTGTCTCTACTAAAAATACAAAAATTAGCCGGGTGTGGTGGTGCATGCCTGTAATCCCAGCTACTCGGGAGGCTGAGGCAAGAGAATCGCTTGAACCCAGGAGGCAGAGGTTGCAGAGAGCCCGAGATCGCACCACTGCACTCCAGCCTGGGCGACAGAGCAAGATTCCTTAACAACAACAAAAACAGAAGTAACTTTCAGTCCCTGGAAAATGTGAGATCTCTAGTATAATTGACCCTTTATCCAAGTAATTTCATGTATCATTCAGGAGTGCAGGCTCTGGGATCAAATGGTCCATGCTCTAGTCTCAGCCCTACCATTTAATAACAGAATGGCATTGGGTGAATTACTTGATCTCATGCTTTTTCTTCCCTACAAAGTGTTAGTAGTAGTACCTGTTCATCATAGAGTTGTGTAAGGCTTGGATGGTCAAGGAAGGCTAGATAGAATAGCATTAAAGAGAATCCTAATTGAGGGGTAGATGTGGGATATTGGAATGATGAAGGCCAATCCAGGTGTGTAACTGGAACATATTAAATACTGCATGCCCGCTGTGTCCAGAATTCTCTTAAGTTGTTCATTCTAATTTCTGTTTTAAGATTTTCTTGTCTAACCTCTTGCATCACTCCCATAAAAAGCACAAAGAATAGTTGCAGTACCCATTTAAAATTTTTTATTTTTTGAGACAAGTTCTCACTGTCAGCCAAGCTAGAGTACAGTACAGTGGTGTGATTTTTGGCTTACTATAGCCTCCGCCTCCCAGGCTCAAGCGATCATCCAACCTCAGCCTCCTGAGTAGCTGGGACTACAGGCATGTGCCACCATGCCCGGCTAATTTTGGGGGGTTTTTTTGTGGTTTTTTTGTTTGTTTTGTTTTGTTTTGTTTTGTTGTTGTTCTTGTGTTTGGTAGAACGGGGTTTTGATACGTTGCCCAGGGTGGTTTCAAACTCCTAGGCTCAAGCAATCCGCCCACCTTGGCCTGCAAAAGTGCTAGGATTACAGGTGTGAGCCACCATGCCCGGCCCCTTCAAAAATATTTAAGCATAAGCTGTTCTTTAATAAGGCTGCTCGCCAGCTTCCCTCTCCTTACCAGCAATTTCCCTGCACCTTCCACTTGAAAGAAAATGAAAGCTAATTGCAATAACTTTGATAAAGTAGAATTAGGATAGAAAAGTCGCTTCTTTTAAAATAGATTTTCAGGCCGGGTACGGTGGCTTATGCCTGTAATCCCAGCACTTTGGGAGTTTGAGGCCAAGGTGGGCGGGTCACCTGAGGTGAGGAGTTCGAGAACAGCCTGACCAACATGGCGAAACCCTGTCTCTACTAAAAAATACAAAAAAATTAGCTGGGCGTTGTGGTGCGCGCCTGTAGTCCCAGCTACTCAGGAGGCTGAGGCAGGAGAGAATCGCTTGAGCCTGGGAGGCAGAGGTTGCAGTGAGCCGAGATAGCGCCACTGCACTCCAGCCTAGGCGACAGAGCAAGACTCCATCTCAAAAAAAAAAAAATTTTTTTTTAATTAAAAATAAAACATTTTCAGCCTAAATGTAACATAAATATTTTTTGTATCACAGTTAAGAGATTTGTCTCACTGGTGCTGACACCAGTAAGGGCTTGTTCTATTAACATAATAAATTGGATGGGTTTTAACTTTACAAAGTGAGTAATTCCATCTAACCAAACTCATCTAAGTCCATTGTTTATTCCTTCACCCCTGCCCCCTGCACTTTTCAATATAATAAATTGTATGTTTTTATTTTAGCTGTAGCATATGGCCTGCCTATTCCTTCCCCTCAATACCACCTCCCAAAACAATGTAGGGCCTCACTGACAAAATATTTTTATTATATTGCCATGAAATTAAGAGGCTTACTTAGACCTTTCAAATGTTCAGACACAGTTGAGGAGGCCAGTTTTCTATAGTCTTTCACGTCAGCCTGTTAGTGACTGCTTTATGGATGAATTCAGCCATGGATTTTCATAATGTCGTGATGTCCTGTCAATAGGAGAAAGCACTATCCTCTATAAACTTGACAGTGTAATGGCATATACAAACTTTTTTTTAAACTTTATTACCAGTAGAGAGAGAGGCTGCTTACACCAGAGATTTTTTAATTGGCAGAATCACCTGGAAAGATTTTTAAAATGCAAGTTTCTGCATTTAAATAGCTGCTTTAAACTGAATTAATACTTGTAAGTGCAGCTCGTATGAAGAAGAAAGACGGCCTGGTAGGTGATGGTATGCAGCTTTTGGCTGCTCCTTGAGCAGATTAAGTGGGTTATTATCTTGGAGCTACTCATTACACAGTGTACGACTAAAGTAGGTTAAAGTTAAGGAGATGCTGTAGATCTACTTTTTAGAACTTGGGGGTTAAAATGTCTTTGGTTGAGCTTGGGCCCAGAGCATACAGGAATTTAGTACATAATAAGATGAGTTTTCAATGTGATTGAAAACTCAGCGGTTGTGCCTTGGGAAAAGGGTGATGCTCATGGAAGGGAGGACGGTATTACTGCTAGGTGAACAATGAAAAGCTTTTCACACCATTAAAGTACTCAAAATAATAAAGGGAGGACGATACTACCATCCCAATCAGCAGCTAGAATGAAATGATGTGCCTTTTTCTGCTAAAAGCTCAGTGAATGCTAGCCATCCCAGCCCCAACCTACCTCCACTCCCAACCTCCTTTCAGACCCTCTTCAAAAGGAAGAGAGCACACATATGGGCAGTGATAATGAAGAGTGTAATTCCAAACAATTGTTCATGTCTTAAACACAGTGAATAACAAAAACACAGAAGCTTTGAGGACCAAGGCTTGCCTATTGAAAACTTCAGCTTTTTTTTTTTTTTTTTTTTTGAGATGGAGTTTCGCTTTTGTTGCCCAGGCTGGAGTGCAGTAGTGTGATCTCGGCTCACTGCAACCTCTTCCTTCCAGGTTCAAGCGATTCTCCTGCCTCAGCCTCCCAAGTAATTGGGATTACAGGCACACGCCACCATGCCCAGCTAATTTTTTGTATTTTTAGTAGAGATGGGGTTTCAGCATGTTGGCCAGGCTGGTCTCCCAACTCCTGACCTCAAGTGATCCACCTGCCTCGGCCTCCCAAAGTGCTGGGATTACAGGGGTGAGCCACCCTGCCTGGCCAAAACTTCAGCTTTTTGAAGTTTCTGTTCAATATTCCAAAATTGTCTTCAGTACCCTTATATTTCAGTAGAATAGGAATAAACTTGTTAACACCAACTTCTTGTGTCCATTACGGTGATCTCTATACACAGTATTAACAGGTCTTACTCTTTGCCCTTTCCCCATAGGGTTTAACAGGCTTGATTGTAAATAGTTGCTTTAAAATCCAATATAATATTCAGATTTGAAAGAATGCTGAAGATCCCTCCAAAATGGAAAAGGAATAAGCCCTAACCTTTCAAAATTATGTTGTTTCTGGTCATGTTGAGATACAAGTAAGTAAAATAAAGGACATATTCTTCCCTTAATTTCTTAAATATGAAAAAAAAATTTGAGAAAAGTTATACCCACAAAGACTCATCTAATGTTACATGTCCAGAGTAAAATCTGTTTTTACCTCACCTGGACAGCATTTCACATTTATTTCATAAAAACTAAACCAGCTTTGTTTTGACAAATCCTGATACCAGTATTAGAATACTCCTAAAGTTAATTTTTAGTTGTACCAGCTTGAAATGACGGCAGCCAATAAAAATATCTGTGGCTATAGCTTAGAGCAATAGGTGCTGGCTGGGCGCGATGGCTCACGCCTGTAATCCCAACACTTTGGGAGGCCAAGGCGGGTGGATCATGAGGTCAGGAGTTCAAGACCAGCCTGGCCAAGATGGTGAAACCCCATCTCTACTAAAACTACACAAATTAGCCAGGCACAGTGGCAGGTCCCAGTAATCTCAGCTACTTGGCAGGCTGAGACAGGAAAATTGCTTGAACCCAGGTGGCAGAGGTTGCGGTGAGCCAAGATCACGCCACTGCACTCCAGCCTGGGCAACAGAGTGAGACTCCATCTCAAATAATAATAATAAAAAAAAA
This sequence comes from Homo sapiens, assembly GCF_000001405.40. Taxonomy (NCBI): domain Eukaryota; kingdom Metazoa; phylum Chordata; class Mammalia; order Primates; family Hominidae; genus Homo; species Homo sapiens. Next base: position 134,963,548 of record NC_000002.12, read on the forward strand.
GAACAATAGGTGCGAAGTTTAGTGGATGAGTGAGATCAACAGCAATGGAAACCTTATAAAAAATGCTTAATCCTGGCTGGGCACGATGGCTCACGCCTGTAATCCCAGCACTTTGGGAGGCCAAGGCAGGTGGATCACTTGAGGTCTGGAGTTCAAGACAGCCTGGCCAACACAGTGAAACTCCATCTCGGCCAACATGGTGAAACCCCATTTCCACAAAAAATACAAAAATTAGCTGGGCGTGGTGGTGGGCAACTGTAATCCCAGCTACTTGGGAGGCTGAGGCAAAAGAATCACTTGAACCCAGCAGGCGGAGGTTGTTGCAGTGAGCCAAGATAACGCAACTGCACTCCAGCCTGGGCAGTAGAGTAAGACTCAGTCTAAAAAAAATATTGCTTAATCCACCAACTTAAAATGGCTTGTAATACTACTAACTCATCCATGCTCACTTTTGTGAGGTCTACTAATGTTCTGGGAATGGCAGTATTTGAAGGATGACCTCAGCAGAGGTAACTATTCAAATGAAATGAGCAAAGGTCTGTGGAAAAATCATCCTTCCCTTACCAGACCTAGCTTTTGTCCTACCAGCTGATTTAGACTTAGCTAGTTCTGCATATGGAAATGACCTGATTCACTGCAAATAGATTAAAAACTTCAAATCACTACAAATAAATTACAGAGAAAAGAGCCCAAGGTTTATGATGCCGCCTTAACTAGCACAATTTCTCAGAGACATCTGAGGAGTTTGGGGGCCCTCTGATAATGAAATGCCGAGGCCCTCACCTCCTCCCTATTAGGCCTTGAGCCTCCTAGAATCTTTTAGGCTAAGATTGCTGCCAAAGTACAGAATCTAGAATCTCTTTAACTTACCTTCCTGCCTTCCTCTGCTCTGCTTTGGACGAATTAAGTAAGCATCTTTACTCACCAAGCAAGAAAATATAAGTTGTTTTTACAATTTATTTTAAACTAACAACATTAAAATTGACAGGACAGGCCAAAAATAAAAAGAAATGTCATATAAAACAATAGAGAATGTAGTTCCTGGACAATCAAAACTGTAAACACTGAAATAGTTTTTTGTTGTTATTAAGAACATGTTTTCTGATACTATGAGTAATAATGTCTGACACTTGAGGAGGCTAATATGTAACTGCAACTTTCAGTTAATGACTCCATAGGATCTGCTTAAACTGGGTTAGACTGAATTTTCAGTGGGGAAACAAAGATCCCTTAGCCATCATTCCCCACAATTAAGCAAGGGAGCATCTGCAGTGGAACTGGGAAGAAAGTCTTGATGTATATTCAGTGACTTCTCTCCAAGAAGGAGTGCTTCAGGAGCTGGAGAGCAGAAGGTCGCTCATGCTGGTCCCTAAGAAGGGAAAAACACATTAGAAGCAGCAGCACTCAGTAATGAGACTGCCAATGTAGATCTACTTAAATGTGAACTTTTAAAGACGGAAATACAACTTCTGATAGTCAAACAGACTTGGGTTGAGTCCAGTCTCCAATTTTTAGCTGTGTGACCTTAAGCTAAGTGACTAAAACTCTCTTCATCAGTAAGATGGAGATAACAATAATACCTAACTCATTGGGAGAATTAAATAATATATATACAACTTTTAAACAATAGCATGGTACTTGTTTGAAAAGTGGTAGCTATTGTGATTGAAAACTAGGCCCTACTTTCCCATTGTACTTTTGTGCAATTTGTTTGGAGTCTAATTTACGTATGGTAAAATTCACACTTACATTTACTTTTAAAATTCAGAAGCATTAAAATCCAGAATTGAAAACCTTTTAAAATAGATATTCAAATATGCTTTGGTGATTAATTGAAATAATCCCGTTTTGGGCACTCCTGGATTAACGTAAGATAGAGGGAGACAGTTGTTCAGTACTATTGTGGCATAGTTTTTTTCTTCAAGAAATTCAAAAGATTTTAGAAAGGTATCAGTCAATGAGCCAGTTAATGAACCAATGAGCTAATGAAATAGTCAATGATTAGCTGCAATGGCCTATTCCAGAGGCATTCTTTTGGTTAAATTGGCCATCTTTTGATTTTTTTTTCAGATACATAAATATTTATTAAGGCTTTAACAACCAGGTAACTTCCCCTACCCGCTACATTGTGCAACCACTTTCTTTATTGATATATAATGAGTATTTGTCATTTCTATGTGTCAGGAACACTTCAAGTCCTCTCTTCTAGCTATTTGAAATACAGAATACATTGTTGTTAATTACAGTCACCCTGCTCTGTTATCAAACATTAGAACTTACTCCTTCTATCTAATTATGTACCCATTAACCAACCTCTTTTTATCCTCCCTGCCCCACCACATACACACCCTTCCCAGCCTCTGATAACTATCATTCTACTCTCTACTTCCATGAGATCTACTTTCGTAGCTCCCACATAAGAGAGAACGTGGTATTTGTCTTGCTGGGCCTGGCTTATTTTACTTAAGATAAAGAACTCCAGATCCATCTCTGTTGCTGAAAATGATAAGACTTCATTTTTTTTATGGCTGAGTAGCATTCTGTTGTGCATATATACTAAGTTTTCTTTATCTATTCATCTGTTGAGGGACACTTAGGTGGATCCATACCTTTGTTATTGTGAATAGTGCTGCAATAAGCATGAGGATGCAGGTATCCCTTAGAGATAATGATTTTCTTTCCTTTGGATAAATACTCAGTAGGAGGATTGCTGGATCACACGGCAGGTAGTTCTATTTTTAGTTTTTTGGGGTTTTTTTGAGAAATCTCCATACTGTTTTCCATAATGGCTGTATTAATTTACATTCACACCCAACAGTACGTGAGTTTCCTTATCTACACATTCTTGCCAGCATCTGTTATTTTTGTGGGTTTTTTTTAATATTTATAAGTGATATATTTTCCCATAATAAAAGATGAAAATTAAAGCAGTTGGATGTTTAAAAAGAAAAGAAAGAAGTGAAGAATACACACCAGCTTTCTCCTGATTAGAGGAAGAGCCCCAAAGCTTCTACGGGCACTCACTTTTCTTCTTCTTGCATTATTATGAGGAAATCCTTAGAGGTTGGGAACTTGGGTGACTTTGGCTAATGAGGAGCTCTGTGCCTTGAGCCCCCCAGGCCACAGAATAGTAAATAGTCAGTCTGTGCCTCCAGCCCTGCAGTGTGAGGTTGCAGTCCTGTGGGCTCCACAGACATCTCCTGTATCAGGAGGCTCATGTCTTACCCTGTCTTCTTGCCAGCCTCGAGGACGGAGTCTGAGCCTCCATGGTGCACCACGCAGGGAGGACAGTGGACCTGTTCTCCATGGTCATGGCCCAGCGGAGGGGAAGGGCAGTTCAGTGAGTGTAGGCTAAAGAAAGAGCAATCAGACTCTTACTGTGTCTATGTAGAAAGGAAAGACATAAGAGACTCCATTTTGAAAAAGGCCTGTACTTTCAACAATTTCTTTGCTGAGATGTTGTTAATCTGTAGCTTTGCCCCAGTCACTTTGAACAAACCACTTTGACCCAACCTGAAGCTCACAAAAGCATGTGTTGTATGAAATCAAGGTTTAAGGGATCTAGGGCTGTGCAGGATGCGCCTTGCTAACAAGATGTTTCCAAGCAGTATACTTGGTAAAAGTCATCGCCACTCCCCAGTCTCAATAAATCAGGGGCAACATACACTGTGGAAAGCCTCAGGGAGCTCTGCCCTTGAAAGCGCCGTATTGTCCAAAGTTTCTCCCCATGTGATAGTCTGAAAAGTGGCCTCATGGGATGAGAAAGACCTGAGCGTCCCCGAGCCCGACACCAGTAAAGGGTCTGGCTGAGGTGGATTAGTCAAAGAGGAAATCCTCTTGCAGTTGAGAGAGAGGAAGGCCGCTGCATCCTGCCTGCCCGTGGGAACTGAATGTATCGGTATAAAACCTGATTGTACATTTGTTCAGTTCTGAGATGGGAGAAAAACCGCCCTATGGTGGGAGGTGAGACATGTTTGCAGCAATGCTGCCTTGTTATTCTTTACTCCACTGAGATGTTTGGGTGGAGAGAAACATAAATCTTGCTTAGAGACACGTCCAGTCATAGTACCTTCCCTTGAACTTCCTTATGACTTAGATTGTATTGCTCACATGTTCGTTGCTGACTTTCTCCTTATTATCACCTTGCCCTCCTACTACATTCCTTTTTGCTAAAATAATAAAAATAATAATCAATAAAAACTGAGGGAACTCAGGGGCCTGTGCCTGTTCAGATCCTTGGTATGCTGAGCGCCGGTCCCCTAGGCCCACTGTTGTTTCTCCATACTTTGTCTCTGTGTCTTCTTTCTTTCTTTTTTTTTTTTTTATTTTTTATTGATCATTCTTGGGTGTTTCTCGCAGAGGGGGATTTGGCAGGGTCATAGGACAATAGTGGAGGGAAGGTCAGCAGATAAACAAGTGAACAAAGGTCTCTGGTTTTCCTAGGCAGAGGACCCTGCGGCCTTCCGCAGTGTTTGTGTCCCTGGGTACTTGAGATTAGGGAATGGTGATGACTCCCAACGAGCATGCTGCCTTCAAGCATCTGTTCAACAAAGCACATCTTGCACCGCCCCTAATCCATTTAACCCTGAGTGGACACAGCACATGTTTCAGAGAGCACAGGGTTGGGGGTAAGGTCACAGATCAACAGCATCCCAAGGCAGAAGAATTTTTCTTAGTACAGAACAAAATGAAAAGTCTCCCATGTATACTTCTTTCTACACAGACACGGCAACCATCCGATTTCTCAGTCTTTTCCCCACCTTTCCCCCGTTTCTATTCCACAAAACCGCCATTGTCATCATGGCCCGTTCTCAATGAGCTGTTGGGTACACCTCCCAGACGGGGTGGTGGCCGGGCAGAGGGGCTCCTCACATCCCAGTAGGGGCGGCCGGGCAGAGGCGCCCCTCACCTCCCGGATGGGGTGGCTGGCCGGGCGGGGGGCTGACCCCCCACCTCCCTCCCGGACGGGGTGGCTGCCGGGCGGAGACGCTCCTCACTTCCCAGACGGGGTGGCTGCCGGGCGGAGGGGCTCCTCACTTCTCAGACGGGGCGGTTGCCAGGCAGAGGGTCTCCTCACTTCTCAGACGGGGCGGCCGGGCAGAGACGCTCCTCACCTCCCAGACGGGGTCGCGGCCGGGCAGAGGCGCTCCTTACATCCCAGATGGGGCGGCAGGGCAGAGGCGGTCCCCACATCTCAGACGATGGGCGGCCGGGCAGAGACGCTCCTCACCTCCTAGATGTGATGGCGGCTGGGAAGAGGCGCTCCTCACTTCCTAGATGGGATGGCGGCTGGGCAGAGACGCTCCTCACTTTCCAGACTGGGCAGCCAGGCAGAGGGGCTCCTCACATCCCAGACGATGGGCGGCCAGGCAGAGACGCTCCTCACTTCCCAGAAGGGGTGGCGGCCGGGCAGAGGCTGCAATCTGGGCATTTTGGGAGGCCAAGGCAGGCTGCTGGGAGGTGGAGGTTGTAGCGAACCGGGATCACGCCGCTGCACTCCAGCCTGGGCACCATTGAGCACTGAGTGAACGAGACTCCGTCTGCAATCCCGGCACCTTGGGAGGCTGAGGCTGGCGGATCACTCGCGGTTAGGAGCTGGAGACCGGCCCAGCCAACACAGCGAAACCCCGTCTCCACCAAAAAAAAATACGAAAACCAGTCAGGTGTGGCGGCGCGTGCCTGTAATCGCAGGCACTCGGCAGGCTGAGGCAGGAGAATCAGGCAGGGAGGTTGCAGTGAGCCGAGATGGCAGCAGTACAGTCCAGCTTCAGCTCGGCATCAGAGGGAGACCGTGGAAAGAGAGGGAGAGGGAGACCGTGGGGAGAGGGAGACGAGAGGGAGAGGGAAAGGGAGAGGGAGAGCTTTTGTGTGTTTTTAATAGTAGTCATTTTAACTGGGATAAGATGGTAGGTATCTCTTGGTGGTTTTAATTTGCATTTCCTTGTTGATTAGTGATGTTGAGCATTTCTTCATATACCTGTGGGCTATTTGTGTCTTCTTTTGAGATATGTTTCTTGTTGGATGAACATTTTGCAAATATTTTCTCCCATTCAACAGGTCGTCTCTTCACACTGTGCTTTCCTTTACCTTAAAAGCACAGGTGACAAAACCAAAAATAGACAAATGGAACTATATATTAAAGAGCTTCTGCACAGACCAATAACCTGGAGTGTTTCCCTATGTTTTCTTCTAGTAATTTTATAGTTTTGAGTCTTATGTTTAGGTATTTAATCAATTTTGAGTTGATTTTTGTATATGGTGAGATAGGGGTCTAACTTCGTTCATCTGCATATGAATATGCACCATATATTGAAGAGGGTGTCAATTCCCCAGTATATGTTCTTGGTCCCTTTGTCAAAAATAAGTTGGTTTACATATGGGGACTTATTTCTGGGTTCTCTACTCTGTTCTATTGGTTTATGTGTCTATTTTTACACCAATACCATGCTGTTTGGTTACTGTAGCCTTGTAATATATTTTGTATATATTTTCTGTATATTTTGAAGTGACATAGTGTGATGCCTCCAGCTTTGTTCTTTTTGTTTAGTATTGCTTTGGCTCTTTGAGCTCCTTTTTGGTTCCACACAAATTTTAGGATTGTTTTGTATATATTTCTGTGAAAAATTACATTGGTATTTTTGCATTGAATCCATAAATAACTTTGGTTAGTATGACCACTTTAACAATATTGATTCTTGTGACCCATGAGCATTTGTTTGTGTCTTCAATTTTTTTCATCAATGTTTTGTAGTTTTCCTTGTAGAGGTCTTTCACCTCCTTGGTTACATTTGTTCCCAGGTATTTTATTTTATTTTTGTAGCCATTTTAAATGGGATTGCCTTCTTGATTTCTTTTTCAGCTACTTCATTGTTGGTATATAGAAACACAACAAATTTTCGTATGTTAATTTTGTATCCTGCAACTTTACTGAATCTTTACTGAATCGATCTAAGAGTTTTTTGGTGGAGTCTTTAGGTTTTTCTAGATATAAGATCACGTCATCTGCAAAGAGGCACTGTTTGGCTTTCTCTTTTCCAGTTTGAATGCCTTTTTTTTTTTTTTTTTTTTTAGATGGAGTCTCACTCTGTCGCCCAGGCTGGAGTGCAGTGGTGCGATCTCAGCTCACTGCAAGCTCCACCTCCCGGGTTCATGCCATTCTCCTGCCTCAGCCTCCTGAGTAGCTGGGACTACAGGTGCCCGCCACCACACCTGGCTAATTTTTTGTATTTTTAGTAGAGATGGGGTTTCACTGTGTTAGCCAGGATGGTCTCGATTTTCTGACCTCATGATCTGCCTGCCTTAGCCCCACAAAGTGCTGGGATTACAGGCATGAGCCACTGCGCCCAGCCTGAATGCCTTTTATTCTTTCTCTTGCCTAATCACTCTGGCTAGAACTTCCAATACTATGTTGAATAGGAGCGGTGAAAGTTGGCATCCTTCTCTTGTTCCAGTTCTAAGAAGAAAGGCTTTCACCTTTTCCCCATTCTGTATGATGTTAGCTGTGGGTTTGTCATATATGGCCTATTATATTGAGGTATGTTCTTTCTATGCCTAGTTTGTTGATAGTTTTTATCACAAAGGGATGTTGGATTTTAGAAAATGTCTTTTCTGTTTCTATTGAGATGGTCATATTGTTTTTGTCCTTCATTCTGTTAATGTGATGTATCATGTTTATTGATTTGTGCATGTTAAACCATCCTTGCATCACTAGTATAAAACTCACTTGATTATGGTGTATTATCTTTTTGATGTGCTGTTGGGTTAGGTTTGCTAGTATTTTGTTCAGGAATTTTGTATCTGTGTTCATCAAGGATACTGGCCTATAGTTTTCTTTTTTTGTGGTTTTCGCATCCTTGTCTGGTTTTGGTATCAGGGTAATGCTGGCTTCATTGAATGAGTTAGGGAGAATTCCTTCCTTCTCAATTTTTTGGAATAGTTGGAGGATAACTGGTGTTAGTTCTTCTTTATGAGTTTGGTAGAATATGGCAGTGAAGCCATCCAGTCCTGGGCTTTTCTTTGTTAGGAGATATTTTATTACTGATTCAATCTTATTGCTCATTATTGGTCTGTTCAGGTTCTCTATTTCTTCCTGACTCAGTCTTGTATGTGTCCAGGAATTTATCCATTTCCTCTAGGTTTTCCATTTTGTTAGCTTATATTTGTTCATAATGTTCTCTGGTGGGTTTTTTCATTTCTGTGGTATTAGTTGTTATGTCTCCTTTTTTGTTTCTGATTTTTATTTCAGTCATCTCTCTTTTTTTTCTTGGTTAGTCTAGCTAGCAGTTTATTGATTTTATTTTTTTTTTAACCAACTTCTCATTTCACTGATCCTTTGTATTTTTTTCTGTATTTCATTTAATGCTACTCTGACCTTTATTACTTTTCTATTGATTTTTATATTTTTTTATTTTTAATTTTTGTAGGTACATGGTGTATATATTTATGGGGTACATGAGATGTTTTGATACAGGCATGCAATGTCAAATAATTACATCATGGAGAATGGGGTATCCATCCTCTCAAGCATTTATCCTTTGTGTTACAAACAATCTAATTACACTCTTTTAATTATTTTAAAATGTACAATTAAGTTATTAATGACTATTGTCTCCCTGATGTTCTATCAAATGGTAGGTCTTATTCAAGCTTTCTATTTTTTTTTTAATCCATTAACCATCCCTATCTGCCCTACTCCTATCCTCCTACTATCATTCCCAGCCTCTGGTAACCATCCTTCTACTCTCTATGTTAATGAATTTAATTGTTTTTATTTTTAGATCCCACAAATAAGTGAGGACATGCAATGTTTGTCTTTCTGATCCTGGTTTATTTCACTTAACATAATCTGATCTTTATTTCTTTTTTTCTACTAATTTGGGGTTTGGTTTGTTCCCTTTTTCTTCTGTTTCCTTGATTATTTATTTAAATTTTTATACTTTTTTAAAAGGTCACCCCATCTGGAATGCAATGGTGCAATCATGGCTTACTGCAGTCTCGAACTCTTGGGTTCAAGCAATCCTCCCACCCTAGCCTACCAAGTGACCTAGCTAGCTAATTTTTTTTTTTTCTTTTTGAGACAAGGTCTCACATTGCTACCCAGGCTGGTCTTGAACTCTTGGCTTCAAGTGATCCTCCCACCTTGGCCTCCCACAGTGTTGGGATTACAGGTGTAAGCCACCATGCCCAGCCAATCTTCATACATTTTTGATGTAGGCTTTTATTGCTATAAACCTCCCTCTTAGCACTGCTTTTACTATGTCACATAGATTTGGGTATGTTGTGTTTTGATTTTCATTTGTTTTGAGAAATTTTTTAATTTTCTTCTTAATTTCTTTCTTGCCCCAGTAGCCATTCAGGAACATGTTGTTTAGTTTCCATGTATTTATACAGTTTCCAAAGTTCCTCTTGTTATTGATTTCTAGTTTTATTCCATTGTGGCTGAAAGAATACTTGGTATGATTTTGATTTTTAAAAATTTGTTGAAACTTGTTTTGCAGCCTAATGTATGGCCTATCCTGGAAAATGTTCCATGTTTTAATGGGAACATTTATTCTGCCATTGTTGGAGAAAATATTCTGTAGGTATCTGTTGTGTCTGTTTGGTTTAAAGTGCAATTTAAATCCAGGTTTCTCTATTGATGTTTTGTTTAGATGATCTGCTTAATGTTGAGAGTGGGGTGTTAAAGTCCCCATCTATGATTGTATTAGAGTTTATCTCTCTCTTCAGATCTAATAATATTTGCTTCATATACCTGGGTGCTCTGGTGCAGGGTGCATCAGAACTGTTACATCCTCTGGCTGAATTTTTCTCTTTATCATTATATAGTGACTTTGTCTCTTTTTACTGTTTTTGACATAAAGTGTGTTTTATCTGATATGAATATAGCTACTCATGCTCTCTATTGGTTTCTATTTGCATGAACTATCTTTTTCCATCCTTTCACTTTCAGTCTATATGTGTCTTTACAGGTAAAGTGAGTTTCTTGAAAGCAGTATATTTTTGGGTCACTTTTTAAAAATCTATTCAGCCATTTTAATTGGAAATTTTAATCCATTTATGTTCTTATTCCTGTCATTTTGTTGATTGTTTTCTGGTTGGTTTGTTTGTTTGTTTGTTTGTTTCTTTCTTTCTTTCTCTCTTGTTATTTATCATTGTGGTTTGGTGGTTTTCTGTAGTGTTAACGTTTGAGTCCTTTCTCTACCTCTTTTGTGTGGTTTCCTCTACCTGTGAGTTTTACACTTTCATATGTTTTCATGATGATAGATATGACCTTTCACTTCCAGGTGTAGGACTTTCTTAAGCATTTCTTGTAGGGCCACTAATGGTGATGAAGTCTCTCAGTTTTTGCATGTCTGTGAAAGACTTTCTCCATTTTTGAAGGATAACTTTGCTGAGTATAGCATTCTTGGCTGACAGTTTTGTTTTGTTTTTATGCCTTTCAAAACTTTTTTTTTTGTTTGTTTGTTTTTTTGAGATGGAGTTTTGCTGTTGTTGCCCAGGCTAGAGTGCAAAGGCACAATCTCGGCTCACTGCACCCTCCACCTCCCAGGTTCAAGCAATTCTCCTGTCTCAGCCTCCAGAGTAGCTGGGATTACAGGCATGTACCACCACACCTGGGCAATTTTGTATTTTTAGTAGAGATGGATTTTCTCCATGTTGGTCAGGCTGGTCTCAAACTCCCGACTTTAGGTGATCCACCCACTTCAGCCTTCCAAAGTGCTGGGATTACAGGTGCGAGCCACTATGCCTGGCCTAAAACTTTTAATATATTATCTCATTCTCTCCTGGCCTGTAAGATTTCTGCTGATAAATCCACTGTTAGTCTGATGGGGGTTCTTTTATACATTACTAGATGTTTTTCTTTTGCTGTTCTTAGAATTTTCTCTTTGTCTTTGACTTTTGACAGTTTGACTACAATGTACCCTGGAGAAGACCTTTCTAGGTTGTATCTATTTGTGGATCTCTTAGCTTCCTGTATCTGGATGTTTAAATCTCTTGCTAGACCTGGGAAAGTTTCAACTATTCTGTCTTTAAATAGATTTTCTATACCTTTGGTCTTCTCTTCACCTTCTGGAACAATCAAAATTGTATATCTGGCCAATTTATAGTTTCCTACATGTCATGTAGGCTTTGTTCACTCTTTTTTTTCTTTATTTTTGTCTGAATGGGTTATTTCAAAAGATCTGTATTCAAGTCCTGAGATTCTTTCTCCTGCTTGATGTAGTCTATTGTCGAAGCTCTTGAATGAATTGGCACATGTGGTATAACAGTCACTTCTTTTAAATTTTTGGATTGGCTTTCATAAGGGAAGACTCTTTCCTGAAGATGTATCTATGGTGTTGATTGGGTAGGATGCTTTAGCTTTGATCCTGGGTGTATGCAGTAGTGTGGTCTTAGTATAATTTCTTCAGCTGTAAACAGCGCCAGTGGTGTCTGTGATTTCCTCAGCGGCTAAGTCTGTGATTGTTAGTGGAGTCTGTGGTGAGGTTTTGCTGGGGATTGGTATGCCAGGTGGGCCAGTCCTTTAGCCTGAGTGGTAGCAGTGGTGTGTCAAGCATGCCCATCCTTGGGCCCCTGGGTGACATACATGGGCACTAGTGTTAGTGGGTTCAAATGAGCCAATTCTTGGGCCTCCAAGGCTTGCTCAGGTCCTGGTAGTGGCAGTGGTGTGCTGGGTGGGTGGATAGGTCCTTAGACTCCTGGGCAGCATGCATGGCATGGGCAATGGCAATAGTGGTACTGGGATAATGCTTGGGCTCCATAGCAGCAGGCACTGGTGTTAATAGTGGCTGCAATGGGCTGGATGGGCCGGTCCTCAGGTCCTCATGAGGAATGTACAGATACCAGCAGTGATAGGGCAGAGAATCCCCAGGCCCCAGGCAATGTGCTCAGACACCGGCAGGGCTGCTGGGCCAGGCTTGGTTGACCTTTCCTCAGGCCCTCCAGTGGTACACGCAGGGGTCAGCAGTAGTGGGCAGGGTGGGGTGATCCCCAGGGCCCTGGCATGATGATTGGGTGGCTGCAGCTCCGGTGGTGGTGGGCAAGGGGAGCCTGTCATTAGGGCATGTGCAAGTGTGCTATAGCCCTGCTACTGGTGGAAGCAGAGTTGCCGTCAGTGGCAGCAGCTTCAGGCAGGTGGCTCTCAGGTTCCAGGGAGCTCATGGTTTGGCTTCTGGTGGTGGCAGCAGCTGCAGCCAAGAAAGCCAGTCCTCAGGGCACATGCAAATGTGCTGCAACCCTGTTGCTGAAGCGGGTGGGGTCACTGCCAGTGGCACACACTTCAGCCTAAGCAGAAGCTGCAGTGGACAGCAGCAGAGTCTGTCCTCAGAGCATGTGTGTGGCAGCCCTGCTGCTAGAAAGGGTGGGGTTGCTATCTGTAATAGCCACCTCAGGTAGGCAGTTCTTAGGCACTGGGGAGCACATGCTTTGGCTCCCTTTGTCCCAGGAGCAGCCTCCCTGGTGCGCTGCACTGTTGTTTCTGGGGTGCAGGACACCATGTGTGCTACAATGCTGGGGATCTGGCCACTCCACTGGGTACAACTGGCATCACACTGCTGCAGCCCTCCAGGTAAACACAAGAAGATGTAAGTAGGGTTCCAAGGATATGGAGTTGCAGGGGCTGTTGGACCCCAGGGCGGGATGGAGTCTGGTGGGGGCTGGACTCTCAAAATGGTGCCATGCTGTAGCTGCTTAGGACTCAGGTGTGAGCTCCCTCTCCGGAGCAATGCTGTCACATGGTTTCCAGGCAGCTCCATATTCTAGTCTCAGTGTCTGCAAGGACTAAAGGGTTCTCCCATGGCTAGGATTGCAGGAGTTCACTGTGAGAATGTGGACCACTGAGGATCTCTCACCCTTTCCCCACACTAGGGAGGCTCTCTGGGCTCTCGGCCAATCTCAACCAAACTGACTGTCTTCCTTTCCTTTTCTTCCATGTCTCAGGTGTTTCCTGTAACTTCTCTGTTGAAATCCAGTGTTCTCTCTCAGATGCTATATTTGAAATGTGCTTATCTACTTGCTATTTTAGTTCTTTGTGGAGGAAGTAAGTGCCAGATGTCTCTAGTCAGCCATCTTGAAGCCCCTCCTCTTTTAATAATTTTGAAAGCACAATGGCCACCAGATCATTTTCCAGGTGAAAATGGAAATAAATACTCTTAAAAGTATTTTGTATAAAAGTATTATATTTTGTGTCATTTCAAAAGTAAAAAAAAAAAAAATACAGCAAGGCACAGTGGCTCACACCTGTAATCTCAGCACTTTGGGAGGCTAAGGTGGGTGGATCACGAGGTCAGGAGTTCGAGACCAGCCTGGCCAACATGGTGAAACCCCGTCTCTACTAAAAAAACAAAAACATCAGCTGGCCACAGTGGCAGGCGCCTGTAGTCCCATCTACTTGGGAGGCTGAGACAGGAGAATTGCTTGAACCCATGGACGGAGGTTGCAGTGAGCCAAGGTCACACCACCGCATTCCAGCCTGGGTAACAAAGCAAGACTCCGTCTCGGAAAAAAAAAAAAAAAAAAAATTCTTTCACTATCTGGAGGCCCTTTCTCCGGCCTTTAAAATATGCAGAAATCTCTCTCCTTTAAAATCCTTTCCTTGAACTGGATACCATTTCTAGCTACCACCGCTCCCCCACCCACTTTTTTTTTTTTTTGAGACAGGGTCTCATTCTGTTGCCAAAGCTGGAGTGCAGTGGCATGATCACGGTTCACTGTGGTCTCAACCTTCCAGGCTCAAGTGATCCTCCCACCTCAGCCTTCTGAGTCACTGGGACTACAGGTGTACACAACCATGACTTGCTAATTTTTAAATTTTTTTTTTTTTTTTTTTTTTTTGAGATGAAGTCTCGCTCTGTCACCCAGGCTGGAGTGCAGTGGAGCAATCTCGGCTCACTGCAAGCTCTGCCTCCCAGGTTCACACCATTTTCCTGGCTCAGCCTCCCGAGTAGCTGGGACTACAGGTGCCTGCCACCACACCCAGCTAATTTTTTGTATTTTTAGTGGAGACAGGGTTTCACCATGTTAGCTAGGATGGTCTTGATCTCCTGACCTCGTGATCCGCCCGCCTCGGCCTCCCAAAGTGCTGGGATTACTGGCGTGAGCCACCGCGCCCGGCTAATTTTTAAATTTTTTGTAGAAACAGGGTCTCCCTATGTTGCCCAGGCTGATCTCAAACTCCTGCGCTCAATCAGTTATTCTGCCTCAGCCTCCCAAAGTGCTGGGATTACAAGCGTGGACCACTGCGCCTGGCCCATCCCATTTTAAATGTCTCTGCCAAATGTCTCTAACAAGGCTAAGCTCGGTGACTTCCCCCCTGTATTCTTAACCATTTGGCCCATTCCTCTATAGAAATTGCCCTCTTGAAATTAACCAGATTTAATGAGCTGTTTGTCATTTCTGTAGCGCTTGAAACATTCACTACTCCCTCCTACCTGAAACTACCTCTGCTTAGACTTAGGGACACTCTGTCCTCTTGTTTCTTCTTACACCTTGGGGCAACTCCCTTCCCTTCCTCCCTTCCCTTCTCCAGTTATGTGCTAGACTTGATGCCATGCATTTCTGTTAGCTTCCATTGTGAGCATTTTCAAAATATTTTCCTCAGCCCTATAATTTTGTTATGACTGTAGCAATCAACCTTATAATGATTTTTTTTTTTTTTTGAGACAGAGTCTCACTCTGTCCCTTAGGCTGGAGTGCAGTGGTGCCATCTCAGCCCACTGCAGCATCAACTTCCGGGGTCAAGCGATCCTCTCATCCTCTCACCTCAGCCTCCTGAGTAGCTGGGACTACGGGCACACACCACCATGCCTGGCTAATTTTTGTATTTTTTTGTAAAGATGGGGTTTCTTCATGTGGCCCAGGTTGGTCTCCATCTTGAACTCCTGGGCTTAAGTGATCCCCCCACCTCGGCCTTCCTAAGTGCTGGGATTACAGGCATGAGCCACTGCACCTGGCTGTTATAATTATTTTTAAATGTGTCCTTCCAATCTTAATTGCTTTCCTGAGCTGCAATTCCATAGCTTCAAATGTCTCCTTACAGGAGGTGGGAAGGGTTTAGCTGCCTCCCTGTTCTTCTCTCACAACTGTGATTTCTCCCATTATCCAGAGTCAAAAATGTGAAATCCTATCATTCTGCTCCATTACCAAGTCTTGATTCACCTTTTCTCTGAAATTTTCTGGAATCCTTTACAATCCCACTGCTTCTACCACCATCAGCATCCAAGCTCTGGATTTCTGCAGAGCTTTCTAGTCTCAAGCGACATCCATCCCAGGCCCTTCAATACATTGCCATCTGACCTGCCTTCCCAAAGACCCTTTTCTTTATGGCCTTTTCTACCCCAAATCTTTTGCAGCCCCCTGCTCCTCACTGCCTATTGCAACAAAGCTAAACTCCTTGGCCTGACTTCCCAGAACTTGATCTGTCAATAGGAGTACCCCCTCCATGCTTATTTCTCTCAGCTTCCCCAAGTTCATTTCTGTTTTCTTTAGACTTTCCCTAGTCTATGCCTGATTATCTCTATTTCTGAATCTTTAAGAGTGCCTCGCCCTTTATTTTCTGAATATCCCTATCTCCAAGGAGTATTGTTATTGATATCAGGTGAGATGCTAGGGTCCTCAGGGTCTTTGCCATAGAATTTTAGGAGGTAATTATATACTTGTATATGACTCTAATTAGGTAAGGTATGTTAATATTCTTCCTAATGATTATTAACTGTAAACTCCTAATTTTGTGCCCCACACTCTGCTAAGCAATTTACATGCACCATTTCACTTAACCTTCACAATAACCCTGTTAATTTTTATTAGTGGTGTGAATTGTATATTGCTTAGTTTATGAAGCAACGGTTCAAAAGGAGAGCCATAAAAGAAGATTCCACCCTTTCTCTTTAAAGTGCTTCGTGTGTGTGTGTGTGTGTGTGTGTGTGTGTGTGTAATCACAACTTGAAAGAAAATGAGAATAACAAGTGGTTTCTAGCTGTGAGTCAATAATATAGGTAATTGTTAAATTCGGAACAAAGCAACTACAATAGTTTTAACAGTTAACACCAATATCAAACTAGTACTTGTCTATACGATTTTCCAACACATTTATGCGGTTTTTTTTTTTTTTTTTTTTGGAGAGGGTGGGCAGCTCAGTGACTGGGGCTCTGTCCACAAAATCCACGCTGGAAACCTAAGGGTTCTCTGCATCTAGCAATGCCAAAAACTGTACCCCTGGAGTGGCATTCCTGCCCTGGCCCATGTAATCATCCTGAAATCAGCCAGGACAGGCTGATACACATGTGCTGGGAGAGAGAGACAGAGACTGAAAGAGAGGCACATTCATTGGCAGAGAGGGAGACCTGTAGATTCTAAGATTTATTCAGAAAGGCAAAATGAACCCCCTGGGAGTTGGGGGTTGCCATATGTGCTTGCTAAAAGATGGGACACTGGAGTTTTTCATCTAGGGATAAGAAGGCAAACTTACTTGAAAGACAGGAAATTGACTTTGAGTCTCAGGCCTTTCTTGTCCTCCAATTAAAGTTGAGCCTTGCTAGGTAGGTGGGTTTGGGGCTGCTGTGCAGTATCCTAGAGTGGGCTCCAGCACCCACAGCCCTACTCCTTAACTCTTCCCCGCCCCATGGATACACACTTTAACTAGAGCCATCTGTCTGCTTTTATTTTATTCTTTGATTTAAGATTTCTATGAGCAGAGTACCTGGCTAAAAATTTGAAAATCACAGCACTAGTTAATTTCCATTACATTACAGTTACAGTTCTAACATTTTACCCACAATTTAATTCCATAGATAGGAGAGAAGATAAGGAAGGGGAAAACAGGCAATTTTCTAAGGCTTTTCCGATTCACCAAATACTCCCCCACTTGACGCTTGAAATCTCCAATTTGTTTCTTTGGCTCAAAATGTTTCCCCTCACTTTAAATGCAAGATGATGTCATTTCACCCTAGCCAGTTCCTAGGAAGATGTCTCATTGGTAAATAAGTAGATCTTTAACAAATTTTGCAAACCCATTGATTTGGGCAAGTATTGACAGAACTTGATAAGACATTTAATTGAGGCACTTTCTACTTGAAGCATTGCCTCCTATACCCTGATACAACAATGAACACAATTACCCAATATGACTGATTATGATTACTTTCGGCACAAAATCACTGTCTACTTGACTTCATAACCAAAACAGAGCTTTTAATGGGCCATAAATTGAAAGGGAAATGTCTGCCACTTGGAATCTCCGGGCATTTATCTTCCTCCTCTTGCTTTCAGTTTCTTACCTGGTCAGGCACATGCGCACAAAGTCTGCTGCATTTTCTGAGAAGTGGTCTGGTAAAGGAGGCATCAGCCCTCGGTGTGCTCCGATGTAAAACATGGCGGCCATCCTGTCCATGGAAGCCAGTGGAGGCTTCCCTGTAGCCATCTCAAACACAGTACAACCAATGCTCCAGATATCTGATTTCCGTCCATAGCCAGACTCATTGATGACTTCTGGGGCCATCCAATATGGAGTCCCATGCATGGACTTAAGCATGTCACTGTGGGTGCCATTTAAACCTGCCCAGGCCAAACGCCTGGCACAGCCAAAGTCAATCAGCTTTATTATTCCAGTTGGCATGAGCATAACATTATTTCCTTTGATATCGCGATGTACCACACAGTTCTCATGGAGATAAGCAACACCTTGAAGTATTTGTTTCGTATATTTACAGAACACCATCTCAGGCAATGGCCCAAAACGGTTTATAATACTAGAGATTGAGCCACCAGGAACAAACTCCATGAAAATGCTCACAGTGTTCTCTTGCAAGCATGTCCCCAAATAGGCCACAATGTTGACATGTTTCAGTGCTTTGAGCAAATCTACTTCTTCCTGTAGTTTCCGGTATTCCTTTTCAGCAGCTAATTTATTAGAGGTATCCAAAGCCACCTGTTTTACAGCTATTAGCTGTCCTTGACTAGTGAGACCACAGTATACCTAGAAGCAAATCAATAATACCTTGTTATTAAATTAATGACATAACTTATTCACAAAATGCCTCAGGTGACACTTGACTTTCCCTTCTCTTTCTAAACCCTTGTCTTTCTCTAAGTTGATACCTCCCTTCCTAAATGCAAAGTGTTTAAGCAAATTCAGTGTTTCAGTGGAGCCAAGATGGGTATGAGAAACATGGTGGATGGATGTCATATTGGCTTAAAGTCAAGTGGCTTGAATTGGCTAGAATCCTGGCTTCATCTTTCCCCAGCTATATAACTTGGGATAAATGTGTAATCTTTTGACTTCAGTTTTTCTCATCTGTAAAACTGAGGTAACAATACTTGCCTCAGAGATTTCTTTTCTTTTTTTTTTTTTTTTTTTTGTTTGTTTTTAGACAGGGTCTCACTCTGTTGCCCAGGCTGGAGTGCATTGGCACAATCACAGCTCATTGCAGGCTCAACCTCCTGGGTTCAAGCAATCCTCCTACCTCAGCCTCCTGAGCAGCTCGTAGCTAGGATCACAGGTGTGTGCCACCACACCTGGCTAATTGTGTGTGTGTACTTTTTGTAGAGCCACCGTGCTACCTTTTTCTTTCTTTTTTTTTTTTTTTTTTTTTGGAGACAGAGTCTCTCTCTGTCACCCAGGCTGGAGTGCAGTGGCCCTGATCATATCTCACTGCAGCCTCAAATTCCTGGGCTCAAGCGATCCTCCTGCCTCAGTGTCCTGAGTAGCTGGGACTACAGGCATGTACCACCACACTAGGCTAATTTTTAAAGTATTTTTGTGGAGACGAGGTCTCTCTATGTTGCCCAGGCTGCCTCACAGATTTTTTTCTTTTTTTTTTTTTTTTGGAGACAGGGTCTCGCTCTGTCGCCCAGGCTGGAGTGCAGTGGTGTGATCTGGGCTCACTGCAACCTCTGCCCCGGGGTTCAAGCAATTCTCATGCCTCAGCCTCCTGAGTAGCTGGGATTACAGGTCTGTGCCACCACACCTGGCTAATTTTTGTATTTTTAGTAGAGACGGGGTTTTACCATATGGCCAGTCTAGTCTCGAACTCCTGACCTCAAGTGATCCACCCGCCTCGGCCTCCCAAAGTTCTGGGATTACAGGTGAAAGCCACCACACCTGGCCTGCCTCCCAGATTTCTATGATGACTACATGAGATGGTGGTTTGGAAAAGCTCCTGATAATATGTAAAATAGAGCTGGTTCAGCTCCCAAGCTCTCTGGAGTGAGAAGGAGACAGGCCCTGGAAATCACCATTGTGATGTAATCTCAGTGGTTTTGTGTCTTCCTGTCTTCTCACTGATTTCTGAAATGTCCCCATCTGGAGACAGCACAAGTCTTATTTGGGGGCCAGCCTTTTCTTTACTCGTCTATGTAAATAACTATCTAAAGTGCTAGGGTTTAGATATATAATGTTTGTACATATTTAAGAGGCACATCTGATATATTAATACATGCATAGAATGTGTAATGATCAAGACAGTGTGTTTAGGACATCCATCACCTCAAACATTTGTCATTTTCTTTGTGTTGGGGGCATTTCAATCTTCTAGCTAATTGGAAATACACAATATATTGTTGTTAACTATAGTCACCCTACTGTGTTATCAAACACTAGAACTTATTTCTTCTATCTGACTGTATGTTTGTACCCACCTCTCTTCATCGCCCACCCCCCAAGATCTCTTATGCAGTTCACAAAATGGAAGGAACATCTTTTGTTTTTGCCATCTAGTAATGATTCTCCAAACTTCCAGTAACATATTCAGCTGTTGAAGGAAGATATTTCTTTCCCATTGGACTTGAACCTGGGAGGATGAGAGGTTAGAAATGCAGTGGCCATTGAGTCACTATATGTGCCTGAGAAAAAGCCAGGCAAAGAGAGAGAGAGACCAGATCCTGATGACATTGTCTGATCCCTGAAGCCTCCTGGACCCAGAGCCAGACCTATTCCAGACCTTTCAGTCGGATAAAGCAGTAACTGTCCTTTCCCTCAGTGGTTGGATTTTCTGTTACTTCCAACTGAAAGAGTTCTAAGTAAAAGAGTGCTTGCCAGAGGAAGCAGGGAGGATGACTGGGGGAGTGGGAGGGGTGGAGGGAGGGACTGTGGGGGGGTGGGGAGTGCTGATTTCAAGTTTCCAGTTTAACTTACTGTGCCGTAGGCTCCCTTTCCAAGAATCTCACCCTTGGTCCATAGGATAGGTTCTTCAGACTTTAAACTATTTTCAGAAAATATCTTCTTTTCATTTGAGATGAGAAATTTCTCCTCCCTGTCATATATCCTGAGCCCACTACTATGCCTCTGGAAGAATGAGACAAAAGGAAAGATGACCATTAAACCAAGTCACTGGGATGGAGAGAAAGGGGTGAGAGTAAAGTCTTCTTTTCAAATGTTCCTGTCTGTGGCCACTCTTACAGGTAACTTCTAGAGACACATCATTCCCCCAAATGACCACATAGTGTATCTTAGTTGTGAACTTCAGCCTTGTTAATTATACACATTTTAAAACCACATCTTGCTCTGCATATTTTATAGGAGGAGATCTTAGTCCTGTTCATCTCAGGCCCCACATAGGCCTGCAGCTACTAACCACTGTCTTTTGAGAATTATCTTTCACAAGGTCCCTATCATGACAGAATATGTTAGTGTGTGCCATCTCCTCAGCCCCCTAACCTCAACTCTCTCCTCAAAATTCCCATTATCGTGGTCAGCTTGCTCCTAAACACAGACAAGTTCAGAAAGAGAAACATACACAGAGCTGGACACACACATAGAGACACACAAACTCATACACACATATTCACATATGTGTTCACACAAATGTACACACACATAAACATAAATATATATCATGCACACATATATATCATATATATACATACACATATGTACTGAGAGATAATATACAAACCAACAATGGCCAGATCATATATAAAAATAGAACTCTGACCTACAATGTGCAGCAACCAACCCAGGAAATCAACCCATTATCTACAGTAACCAAAACAGGAAGCCAGTTTACCATCCACAAGCCAGACTTGCAGTAAGTCAGACTAGTATCTCTAGCAAACAGTCCAGGAAGCTATGGGATAATTATTTACCTTGTATGTTCTTCTGACCAATAATTATTTAAAATAATTATTCCTGGCTGGGCGCCGTGGCTCACGCCTGTAATCCCAGCACTTTGGGAGGCCGAGGAAGGTGGATCGCGAGGTCAGGAGTTCCAAGACCAGCCTGGCCAAGATGGTGAAATCCCGTCTCTACTAAAAATACAAAAATTATCCAGGCGTGGTGGTGAGTGCCTGTAATCCCAGCTACTTGGGAGGCTGAGGCAGGAGAATCGCTTTAACCCAGGAGGTGGAGTTTGCAGCAAGCCGAGATCGCAGCACTGCGCTCCAGCCTGGGCAATAGAGCAAGACTCCATCTCAAAAAAAAATTATTCCTGATCCTGATATAGTGTGGATATAGTGCAGTATGACCTGAGTTAGTGTTCAATAAATAATATTTCAGTTTACCTACTGTTTCTGTCTTTAAAATTTCAGTTTGGGAGGCTTGTGTACTTTAGTGAAAACGATAACAAAGAAAACCCGACTATGTGTTGATCTTCTTCCCCACTCCATGCCAACTCTCATGCCAAACAAAATTTTTAAAAATCTTATTTCAGGATTTTTGCTTACACTTCCATGAGAGCAATGGCCGAGTCTTGTACAGCACTATGCTCCTAGTTCTTGGCCCACTGCCAGAAGCACAGTAGGCATCAATAATAATTTTGCATTAAAGTAGTGAATCATCTGAGAGCAAATGCTCAGGTGTAGGGGCTCTGAGAAATGTACATTTCATGTCTTCCTATGAACAAAATGGTGAGCCACTTCTGGAGCCATGTTCATTTCTTTCTATCTCACATACCTAGAGCAATGTCTTGCCTATAATTATGTATCTGCTGATAGTTGGAAATGATATGCTGTTGATTGAAA
Organism: Homo sapiens; assembly: GCF_000001405.40. Taxonomy (NCBI): domain Eukaryota; kingdom Metazoa; phylum Chordata; class Mammalia; order Primates; family Hominidae; genus Homo; species Homo sapiens. The sequence continues at coordinate 134,985,499 of NC_000002.12, forward strand.
ATGTCATCATTGAATAAAATACTGACCTATTTGAATGGTTTTGCTAAATTAATTTAACCAAACTGATTTCATTGCAATGTCAAGCTAGCTAAATTCCAGAAGGGAGTCAATATAATGAAAACATCTTAGCCTGGGGGTCAGAGGACCTGATTTCCAACCTTGTGATCAAACAGTGAGACCTTGAAAAAACTATTTAATTGTTTAGGGTTTATAATTCCTCATTTGAAAATAAGGGGTTTGAACCAGATTGTCTCTGAGGTCCTTCCCACCCCAATGAATCTTGGATTCTAATTATACCAACCTGTATTTTGACTTTTGTTGTCTCTCTGCCCATTTCTTTTGGGGTACTTCCTCTCCATCTGAGGACAAGATTTAGGTTTTCAGGATCTGTTTCATTTGCCATTTTTTGGCAAGAGTTGTTATCTTTCTCATCAAGAGCTAATAATTCTGCAGCTAGACAACCTAATAGTTCATCTGTCAATTCTTCATTATTTACAGAGTCCATAATTTCTTGGGAAATTGAATTTGTGCCACTTAAGGTTTTTCCAAACATTTGATATGTGATTGACTTATTTGCTAAACTATCATGATCCAAATAATGTACCCAATATTGATATGTCTGGGAAGATGCACTTTCTTGTTTTGCTTGGAAAGAGAAATTTGTAAGTGTTTTAGAGTGATCTGAAACACTATCAAACTCTAGATCATTAGTTAAAATTCGGCTGGCATTTACTTTACTAAGAGATGCTGTATTCTGCTTTTCTTGCTGTACATACTTGTTAGAATTCTTCTCACTGGGCACTGCCCAGCTGTCTTCTGAAGGGATAAATGGGATCTGGTGATGTAGCTCTTCAAGTTCTTGCAGATCTCTGAGGCTTGTGGTGAGTATTTGATTGTTAGAAATGTCTCTATCACCAGTAGACTCTTCCATAGAAACTTCTTCAACAATGGATAAATCTGAGACAGGAGGGAATTCATTCTGTTTCATGGACTGCTCAGGTGTCTGAGCCAAGTTCATGGGATGAATTTCATCTTTGGAAGATAGAAACTCATTTCCTGAAGACTTTATCTGCCAGTCTGGTTCTGAAATACCATCACCATTTTCAATGTCATGTAGGTTGCTATGTACAGCCTTGGAACTCTTTTCTTTAGAAATTAAGACTTTGTGCTCTTGTTTAATGCCAAATGAAGTCTTTGGGCATTTCATATGTGTTTTTTTCTGAGAAAGTCTTGTTCTGATATTGCTCTTCCTCTCACTGTGTGAAGATCGACATTTATTGGTGATACGTCTGCCTGATGGAGCCGAACATATCTCACGGTAATACGTGTTTTCATCCCTTTCAGTCTCTCGCACATGACAATAAACAGGGGTCCCAAACATTTCATAGATTCCAGGTCCATTAGCAGTTGAATTGATTTCTTTGAACATATCACTATACTTAAGATCTAGGTAATTTAGTCTTGGCTCTGTCGGTTGAACAGAGAGAGGAACACATGACTTCTGTGTTCCTGGATTTTTACAGATGCAAGGAAATGATTGCTTTTTAGGTTTCTGAGTCCGGTGAGTTGATTGCTTCTTTGCTATCTGTGGCATTTTCTTTTGAAACCTGGGCAATTGCCAAGGCCTGGGGTCCACAAGTCCCAAAGCCGGGAAAATTTGTGTTTTTATGCTGGTTTTATGCATGGTAGGCTTAATGGGACCTTCAGTAGAAATCACAAAATTCTGAGGTGTCTTCTTACTTGTCTTGGTCTTTGAATCCAACTTACTCCTATGGGAATTCATCTTATGCTTGTCATTTTCTTGGTGTACAGGTATGTTGACACTATGGTTGTTATGAATGGTTCCCTTTCTTGTTTGGAGGCTTGGTTTGGCTATCACTGGTTCCTTGGGGCTTCCATCCACAGGGAAGGTGATGTGGATAAGAGGCACCATCCTACTCATTTCTGGTTTGGCTCTTTCTGCTATTGATATTTTTATGTTTGTCTCCATGCTGCTACAACCTTCTGGGAGTTTATCAATGGGGTCATCAAAGACTACACTGGATAAGCTTTTAAGTACAGTACACTCTTCTAAAATATTGTTTGGTTCCATTGCTTCATTTTTATGTAATGAAACTCTTTTTGAAGCAGCTTTATTATTTCTCATCTCTTCATCCTGGCTTGGAGTTATTTCTGAATGCTGGGTTTCTTGGAACTTGCTTGGAATGGTACATACTATTTCTGGATCTTGTTCATAGTTTTTGGCTACTGAACTCTCATTCTTTCTTGATGAAAGATATTGAGAGTTCTCTTCTTCAGGTTTTCGCGTTTTACTACCATGGCAGTCAATATCCTCTTCCCTAACTGCAGGAATATTGCCTTCCTTCAAATTCTCAAAAGACACCAAAGACTGCCCTTTTTCAAAGTGAGTGATTTCAATTTTGTTACATTCTTCTATTTCCTTGGATTTCCAGTTTTCCTCCTTCTCCAGGCATTGCCTGTGATGGTTAGTCTTAGGAAAAGAGCACATGTTTCTTGACCAAATGAAGCCATCAGAAGACCTGAGAGTCGGATCCATCAACGACTTAACTAGGGCTCCCGGAGGCTCGTTTGATGGGCTGAGCTCATCAGATTGACGAACAGACACTGAGAGCTTAGGCACAAAAGATGTGAGACTTGGAATGTTTCTTTCTTTTTCTTTTGGAAACTTGTGATTTTGGGGGATAGTAAGGACACCAGATCGCGTGGGCAAGAGTGACAGTGGTGGCAGAAGGAACTAAAAGGAAGACAGAAAAAGCTGTGAATGCAGAAACATATATAAATATCACGCTAACTCGTTTAAAGTAGTCTAAAGAGATTATAATATCCTCTTAAGGAAGGCTTTTAAAGTTCAAAGCTATCCTGGAAATCACAATTCTTTTTTTTCTTCTTGAGACAAGATCTCGCTCTGTCACCCAGGCTGGGGTGCAGTGGCATAATCACAGCTCATTGCAGCCTTGACTTCCTGGGCTCAAGCGATCCTCCCACCTCAGCCTCCCAAGTAGCTGGGACTGCAGGCATGTGCCACTATGCTCGGCTAATGTTTAAATTTTAGTAGAGACAAGGTCTCTCTATGTTGCCCAGGCTGGTCTCAAACTCCTGGCCTCAAGCAATCCTCCCACTTCTGCCTCCCAAAATGCTGGAATTACAGGCATGAGCCACTATGCCTGGAAAGATCACAATTTTTAAAATTAAAACCTCATTCCCAATATTTTTTTTAGAACCAATTTAAAACAACACGTTTTAAAACCAGGATTATTATAGATGTAAATATTCATGGTTATATATTTTTAAATGAAGGCCCTATAATGTAAATGGTAAAAATTTAAGATAAGAAGCATTTTATTTCTCTTCTTTTTTCTTTTTACTTTCCATAGAATTGATTTAAGATTTTTGAAATCCCACTGAAAACAGTTTAAAATTGCTGTTAAAATACCTCAAAAATTACCAGTTATTGACTAACTCAGAATTCATATCCGAAACACAACTACTCACCATCGTTTTGCTGAATTAGTTTGTGAATGAAATGTACAAAATTTCATTTTTGTGGATGACAGGCAAATGGATGGCTTTCCTTTCTCCTTTGCCCTCTAGTTTCAAACTAAGCTAGTTTTTCCTTTCTCCTTTGCCCTCCTCTAGTTTCAAACTAAGCTAGTTTTTATTATCATCCTGTAGAGGTCAGTGTAACCCAATGTATAATATTAAACTTTGCGGGCAGTAAGCTATAAACTCCTTAACTTTATGCTTCTTTTCATTGTGGTCTTTTCCTGTGTATACAGATTCAATACCTATTTATATCACAATATTTATAGGCATGGGTCATGGGTAGTAATTGAGAAATGTATGTTTAATTTTCATTCTATTGCCACCTGTGTGTAAGAAGGAAGGAAATGGAACCTGACTCTAGAAACTTAGGCATTAAAAGTAGATGAGATGTAGTGTAGACCCCAGTTTTACTGTCTAGATGATTTTCCTCATTTCTCAAAAATGACTTAGGACATAAAGGCAGATTCATCCAGTGCTTAACCATCTGCCTAGTAACAGCCATTACAATTTTTTAGGTCAATAAACTCCTTTTACAATGCTAAGCAGTACCTATGCA